>NC_000012.12:120451830-123443533 GCF_000001405.40 Homo sapiens
AAACAGTATGCTTACATGCCAGGGGCTAATAAATTATATAAATTCTTTTTTTTTTTTTTTTTTTTGAGCTGGAGTCTCACTCTGTCGTCCAGGCTGGATGCAGTGGCACGATCTCAGCTCACTGCAACCTCTGCCTCCCAGGTTGAAGCAATTCTCCTGTCTCAGCCTCCCAAGTAGCTGGGACTACAGGTGCCCGGCACCATGCCCAGCTAATTTTTGTATTTTTAGTAGAGACGGGGTTTCACCATATTGGTCAGGCTGCTCTTGAACTCCTGACCTCAGGTCATCCGCCTGCCCTGGCCTCCCAAAGTGCTGGGATTGCAGGCATGAGCCACCGTGCCCGGCCTAAATTATTTCAATTTTCACATGCAGTCCTGGAAGGTCAATACAAGTTATCTATTTTATATAGATGGAAAAAACTGAGGTTCAGAAAGGTTATATAATGTGCCCAAAGTTTCACAGGTAATAAGCAGAGAATTTGGAACTCAGAGCTTCTGCTGCCAAATACTGTTCTAAGATATGCCAGCTAAAGTCGATTCCTAGGAACTTTACTCTCTTTCATCTGAAATCCAGAGAATGAGTTGACAGCAACTCTGCAGCCAAATACTTAAATGTCCCTCATAGTCTTATGAACCAAAAACTTCAAACTCTTAGGCTCAAGCCATCCTCCTGTCTCAGCCTCTCAAGTAGCTGGGACTACAGGTGTGTACCCCTATGGCCAGCTAATTTTTTTCTTTGTTACTTTTTTTTTGGTGGAGACAGGATCTTGCTGTGTTGCCCAAGCTGGTCTCGAACTCCTGGGCTCAAGTGATCCTCCTGCCTCGGCCTCCCAAAGTGCTGGCATTATAGGCATGAGCCATCATGCCTGGCCTGAATCCAGAACTTTTTTTTTCTCATTCTGTTGCCCAGGCTGCAGTGCAGTGGCGCAATCTTGGCTCACTGCAGACTCCACCTCCTGAACTCAAGTGATCCTCCCACCTCAGCCTCCCGAGTAGCTGAGACTATAGGCACACGCCACCACCCCTGGCTAACTTTTGTATTTTTTAGGGGAGATGGGGTCTCACCATGTTTCCCAGGCTGGTCTTGAACTCCTGGGCTCAAACAATTCACCCCCTTCGGCCTCCTGAAGTGTTGGGAATATAGATGTGAGCCACCTTGCCTGGCTCAGAACTTTTAACCAAGTTAATTAGCCCCCATTCCAGTCTGCATCAAACTAGAAATAAAGTAGGAGGAAGGGAGAAGGCTTTTAGATGGAAGTAGAGGGGTCCACAAGAAGCTATTCCTTCCAGCCAGATAGCAGAAAAGAAGCTCAAAGAAAGAAAAGCAGTGGGAGAACGGTCCCATCAGTGAGTCCAAGGGCTGACAGAATCACAAATGGAGCCACTTTGTCCTCCCTGTTGCCACAGCACTTTCCAATGCCACCGTAGCAGCATTTCTCACAGTTACTTAAGTTATTGTTCCTGAGTTTTAACCAGCAGGGACTTCTAGTTTACAACTGAAGTCTTTCTCAACCAGGGTTCCTCAGCCAAACCAGAACACAGAAAGATTCAAGTGACTTTTTTTCAGTTCTCCCAAGGACAGTATATGACAAATGTTAGCTTAAACACACAGGAGATAAGTTAACTTATCATCAGAATGGGTGTCTTGGGGTATGTAGGCTAACTTATCTTACAGAACCCTGATTGGGAAAGACAGGTGGTGAGGTAGAAGTTTAGTCAATCATTAATTGATCTGAAAAGCTCATCTGGTCCTGTTCAGTGTTTTATATAATTCTGAGGTCCAAGAAAGTGAAGCAACTCACCAAGTGAGAGGTATGCTTGCTGTACCACTGTCACAGAGACCGTGGGTTCAGGAGCCTGTAATTAATAAAGCTAGGTATGGTGGTGCACACCTGTAATCCCAGCTGCTTGGGAAGCTAAGGTGGGAGGATCACTTGAGCCCAGAAGTTTGAGACCAGCCTAGGCAACACAGCAAGACCCTGTCTCAAAAAAAAAAAGTAAAACAACAACAACAACAACAACAACAAAAAACCAACCCCAGAAAATGTGTCTATTTTAGGAACAACTCCATCATAACCAATAACTAAATAGAAATGTATGTATGTATGTACATACATACATAAATAGAAAGGTATGTAAAGGGGTGAATTTTGTTTTCCTGGAAATTTCACTTACGCAGGAAACTTAATTATGAAACTTGATTACTTGATGAGTAAATAGATTAGTTGCTATTAGATCTACTCTTGGGGAAGCAGTAGCATTTAACCGCCTATTGGCGGTAGTAGAGAGTCTTCCCAAACCTTCAGATGCTAGGCAGGTTGTGCCTCATCAGGAGTGCACAGACTTTGAATGAGTGGTAGGGACTGAGATGTACTGGGGTGCACTAAGGCTTTCTGAAAGGAGCAGGTGCTACTCAGAGCCCTCTTACTGCCGTGAATGCTGGCTCAGCATTATCAGATCTTGTTTTTTTAACATTTCATTTAATCTTCCCAGAAATCCTATGAAGCATTCAACAAACAAGGAAACTGAAATATAGAGAGGATAAGTAATGTGTAGCAATGGGATCTGAATTCAGCTGTGACTTGAGAGCCTAAGCTCTTAGCCTTTTTGAGACGGAGTCTTGCTCTGTCGCCCAGGCTGGAGTGCAGTAGCATGATATCCGCTCACTGCAAGCTCCACCTCCAGGGTTCACGCCGTTCCCCTCCTCAGCCTCTCGCTACAGGCCCCCGCCACCACGCCTGGCTAATTTTTTTTTTTTTGTATTTTTAGTAGAGACGGGGTTTCACCCTGTCAGCCAGGATGGTCTTGATCTCCTGACCTCGTGATCTGCCCGCCTCAGTCTCCCAAAGTGCTGGGATCACAGGCATGAGGCACCGCGCCCGGCCTCTTAGCCATTTTTTAATACTGTCCAACAGAAACTATAAACTCCAGAAAGTCCAAGGGTTACCTTTGAATAGTATAATTATGATTTTTATTTTACTTTTGTTCTCCCAAGTTTTCTTAAATGAATACAGTCCTTGTGTTATTCAAAAAAAAAAAAAAATCTAGTACAACTCTCTTTTGTGTGTGTGTGTGTGAGACACTGTCTCACTCTGTCACCCAGGTTGGAGTGCAGTGGTGTGATCTCCGCTCACTACAAACTCTGCTTCCTACATTCAAGTGATTCTTGTGCCTCAGCCTCCCAGGTAGCTGGGATTACAGGTATGTACCACCATGCCCGGCTAACTTTTATATTTTTAGTAGAGACAGGGTTTCACCATATTGGATGGTCTCGAACTCCTGACCTCAGGTGATCCACCTGCTTTGGCCTCCCAAAGTGCTGGGATTACAGGCTTGAGCCACTGTGCCTGGCCTTTTTTTTTTTCTTCTTGCTCTGTCGCCCAGGCTTGAGTGCAGTGGTGCCATCTCAGCTCACTGCAACCTCCGCCTCCTGGGTTCAGGCGATTCTCCCGCCTCAGCCTCCCGAGTAGTTGGGATCACACGTGCGTGCCACCACGCTTGGCTAGTTTTTGTATTTTTAGTAGAGATGTGGTTTCCCCACGTTGCCCAGGCTGGTCTTGAACTCCTGAATTCAGGTGATCCACCCGCCTTAGCCTTCCAAAGTGCTGGGATTACATGCAAGAGCCACCACACCTGGCCTTTCTCCCCCACACCCCGCCGCCCCCCTCCAAGAAATTTAATGTCTGAAAAGATCATACTTGTTCAAGGCCACACAGTTAAGAATGTGCCAGGTCCTGTAACAGACTTCAACTTTCTAATATTCATACCATGAGTAAATATTTGTTGTGTCTAGCTTTGGGCTGGGTGCCACAAAAAAAGAACTAGTCCTTTCCTAAAATAATCTTATTGTGACAACTTAGTTCTCTTTTTTTTTGAGGCAGAGTATCGCTCTGTCGCCCAGGCTGGAGTGCAGTGGCGCGATCTCGGCTCACTGCAAGCTCCGCCTCCCGGGTTCACGCCATTCTCCTGCCTCAGCCTCCCAAGTAGCTGGGTCTACAGGCGCCCACCACCACGCCCGGCTAATTTTTTTGTATTTTTAGTAGAGATGGGGTTTCACCGTGTTAGCCAGGATGGTCTCGATCTCCTGACCTCGTGATCCGCCCACCTCGGCCTCCCAAAGTGCTGGGATTACAGGCGTGAGCCACCGCGCCCGGCTGACAACTTAGTTCTTATGTGCAGCCTTAGCCCAGATGTACCTGTCACATCTTTGTCCCTCTCTGACATGACTCAAACGCCATTAGGGTCTGCCCTCAGTCTGTGCCCACTCAAAGCAGGAGGAGCGTGGCTACTACCGAATACCATATCAGTGATTTAACAGACTGCTTATTTTTTTAATCTAAGTATCTGGAAGCAGGCTTACACACTTTTACACCTTGAAACAATAGTGAAGCCTCATGCAAATGTTCAAGCTCTTGTGTGTTTTTTACCGGTTTGCCATCTGAAGGCTTTAGTAAAGTCACTAGGTCCCACAGAACACTGGGAGATTCTTGAGCTGTTGGTGGCACATCTTGCTCAAGGGCAGGCACATCCACCAAAGTGGCTGTGGTGGAAAAAGCATTCATTTTAGGTGTATCAGATTGGGCTGAGATCCCAGTTGTTACTTAGCAGCCAACATCCTTAAGTTACTCTTGTGGCAAGTTTGCTTCCCCATCTCTGCTTAGCTTTCCAGCTTCATCTTCCACCCCGGCAGACCACACCCCAGCCTGCTAAACTCCCTGTCCTTCTCTGAATCTCTGAGCTCTCGGCTCTATTGCTTTGGGATTCATGCTGCTATACGTGCCAGGAAGTCCATTTCTCATACCTTCATCCCCCAATCCAGCTATTTCTTGCCCATCCTTGAACAGTGACATCAGCTATTCTGAGGATGTGCTACTCACGCAGGCTGGACTAGGTACCCTTTCTATCCTTTGGCAGGCTGTACTAACCTCTGTTAGATTTAAAATATTGTTTTTGTAATTGCTTTTACCTGTCCCCACCAAAAGACAGTTGCCCATATAATCATCAAAAACTATTTGTTAAATCAATCCAGAGAAGTAATTAGCACTTACTTCTCAGGGTTGTTCGGTCAATCTATAAACTGTAGGCTGTTATTTGGTCTACTGTTGATCCCAGCTTCTCTATCTTTGAACAGTGCCCATTAACTCAAGAATATACTGCTTCCTTGTTCTCTCCTTCTTGCCCCTCTCCATCATCCCCTAAAAGCCCCCTTCTCTGAGAGGGTAACCTTGAGCTTCTGGGTTTTGTAGATGTCTATACCTGAGATCCGACAATGTGGTAGAAGGCAACTGTGCTGATGAATTACTACAAAACTCCCATCGCGTCGTGGAGGAGTACTTTGTGGCCCCCCCAGGTACGTGCTGCCCAGAATGGTTTAACAGATAGTCTCACAGTAACCTTAGGAATGAAGCAGGAAGCATGAGGACCAAAGATGCTATGTGAAGGCACTTTGAAAAGGATGAAGTGCATACAGATGGTGGCATTAAGGTGGCAGTAGGGTCCAGGGTCATACTCACCTCTAGGGGGCAGTTAGTAACAGGAACAAGCAAAACAGGATTGGGGGCATGCGGGAGGTTTAAAGTAGGTGGAAATCTGGAGCTCAAGATCTCCCTAAAGGGGCAGCTGGCATTCAGTGTTTCTCAAAGCCACAGTTAAGACCCTGCCAGATCCTGTAATCGACTCCAACTTTCTAGTATTCATACCATGAATAAATATTTGTTAGGTCTAGCTTTGGGCTGGGTACCACAAAAAAACCAGTCCTTTCCTAAAAGAATCCTTTTTTTTTTTTTTTTTTTTTGAGACGGAGTTTCGCTCTTGTTGCCCAGGCTGGAGTGCAATGGTGCAATCTCGGCTCACCGCAACCTCCACCTCCCGGGTTCAAGCGATTCTCCTGCTCAGGCTCCCCAGTAGCTGGGATTACAGGCATGCACCAGCACGCCTGGCTAATTTTTTGTATTTTTAGTAGAGACAGGGTTTCACTGTGTTAGCCAGGATGGTCTCGATCTCCCGACCTCAGGTGATCCACCCACCTCGGCCTCCCAAAACGAATCTTATTGTGACAACTTAGTTATCATGTGTGGCCTTAGCCCAGATGTTTCTGTCACATCTTTGCCTATGACATGATTCAAACGCCATTAGGGTCTGCCCTCAGTCTGTGCCCATTCAAAGCAGGAGGAGCATGGCTGCTACCCTATCAGTGTTGCCAGGCAGGAATGTAAACCCATTTCTCCAGAGAACCTGGATACCTGACATTTTGTGTGATATTTCTTAAATTTTTTTTTTTTTTTTTGAGATGGAGTCTCGCTCGGTCACCCAGGCTGGAGTGCAATCTTGACTCACTGCAACCTCTGCCTCCCGGGTTCAAGCAATTCTCTGCCTCAGCCTGCCGAGTAGCTGGGATTACAGGTGCCTGCCACCATGCCTGGCTAATATTTTTGTATTTTTAGTAGAGGCAGGATTTCACCATCTTGGCCAGGCTAGTCTTGAACTGGTGATCTACCCGCCTCAGCCTCCCAAAGTGCTGGGATTACAGGGGTGAGCCACTGCACCCCGCCGATATTTCTTAAATTTTAAGTGCTAGCAACCAATTCAAAATTTAAAAAACAAAATACCATCCAAGCCAAATAAAACACATCTGCAAGCCAGGTGCAGTCTGTGAGCCATCAGTTTACAACAGCTGGTATAGAGATTTGCATCATCTACCTACTGTAAATATTTTAAATAGAAGCTTTAAAATTACTCTGGGCTGACAGTAAAATCCAGAACCTTGGATAGGTTGACTGTTTTTATCTCCTCTGCAGGTAGGTGAATACTTGGAGCTGTTGTACTACCCCTCTGGGCATCTGGGAGTGGGACTAGCCAAAAGCAATCAGGTAGCCTGCTAAGTGCCAACTTCCAGTTCAGGATATCCTGAGGGAGAATCATTCTGAGCAGACTCCACAGAAGACATTGGCCCTGGTCAGCTTAAGGTGCCAGTTAAAGGCAGGCTCTGGTTGATGCAAGGATGGGAAAGAAAGCTAGAAATTTTGTGAGCTAAACTTTTTGTTTGTTTTGAGACGGAGTCTTGCTCTGTTGCCCAAGCTGGAGTGCAGTGGCGCGATCTCGGCTCACTGCAAGCTCCACCTTCCACGTTCATGCCATTCTCCTGCCTTAGCCTCCCAAGTAGCTAGGACTACAGGCGCCCACCACAACGCCTGGCTAATTTTTTGTATTTTTAGTAGAGACGGGGTTTCACCGTGTTAGCCAGGATGGTCTCTCTCTCCTGACCTCGTGATCGTCCGCTTCGGCCTCCCAGAGTGCTGGGATTACAGGTGTGAGCCACCGCACCCGGCCGTGAGCTAAACTCTTAATCATGCCTCCAATCCACTAAACCACCTGTTAACTGTGGAGAGAAAGGAGACTCTCCATCTCAGAGCCTGATAGTTGTGGCTCCAGCAGAAATATCTTTTGATCAGACATGCTATCTCCCACACAGAACCTTACTTCAGACTTTGCTTTTTGGGACCACCTGAGTTCATGGTCAGTGTTTCCTTCTAGTCCTATCTGCATATTAGTGGCTAATCAACCTGTATACTCCTTACTGAAAAAGGTGAATTTGGCTACACTTAGAACTGATTCTTTCAGATACTCCCAGTTAGGAAAACAGGACAGTAGCTACATTACTTCCATATTTTCCATGAGAAAGTAGTGATCAGTTAGCTCAGTAGAGCCAGCTGGGCGGCAGGCTCAGCTATAACATTCTCTGTTGTGGCCGGGCGCGGTGGCTCATGCCTGTAATCCTAGCACTTTGGGAGGCCGAGGAGGGCGGATCACGAGGTCAGGAGATCGAGACCATCCTGGCTAACACGGTGAAACCCCGTCTCTATTAAAAATACAAAAAATTAGCCGGGAGAGGTGGCGGGCGCCTGTAGTCCCAGCTACTCTGGAGGCCGAGGCAGGAGAATGGCGTGAACCCCAGGGGGCGGAGCCTGCAGTGAGCTGAGATTGCGCCACTGCACTCCAGCCTGGGCAACAGCGAGACTCTGTCTCAAAACAAAAACAAACAAACAAACAAAAATTCTCTTTTGTTATTTTCAAACAGGTAATATCTCTTTGCCAAAGCTGGATGAACAAGAGCCATTCCCACACAGCTGAGTAGCTCATTCTGGAAAGGGGGTACTCTGTGAACATGTGGAAGCATAATGACAGTATTTTTTTACTGTGAATACTAATGTTCCTGCTTTTTTCAGTCCCCTGAAAAAATGGATGCTCAAGCATTTCTTAATAACAGATTCTTCTGAAGACAGAATTGGGAAAGATCTGGCCCCAACAAGGCAGTGAGTTCCTGATGCTAACTGAGGTGAAAGAAAAGCAAAAGTCAGCTTCCAAGGAATTCACTTAACAGGCCTGTTCAGTATGGAAGACATTATTTATCTGCCTTTAACTCCCCCCAAAGGACCATACCAACTGCATGAAAGTGAACTTTTCTATCTACGTAACTGGTAGACGGAGCATCTTGATCACTATGTGACAACCTTGGCTGTCATTTTTAGTTGCCATTTGCATTGATTTGAGCAGCCCTATCTTTACCGAACATACCTGAATTTGTTCCTGGGCTCCCACTTTCTTCCCAGAAGAGGGCTAACTTCCTACTAAGGTCTGAAGAGTGTTGAAAGTAGACTAGAGCTTGGGAACTCCTAACCTAGAACTATCTGCCATCCCACAAAGTGATTATATGCCAAAGGGATACTAGTCATACCTAGTGTTTCTCTTTCTGAAAAGAGAACTTATCCTAAAATTAGCCCTGGGCCTGGGACAAAGGAGCCCTCTCCGCCCCCAAAATGATTATTAAATTGAGATGAGTCCAGGATAAAACTCAGATACCAAGGATAAATGAAACTTATTTAGGGATAAAAGTGGGCTGGGCGCAGTGGCTCACTCCTGTAATCCCAGCACTTTGGGAGGCTGAGACGGGCGGATCACAAGGTCAGGAGATCAAGACCATCCTGGCTAATGCGGTGAAACCTCATCTCTACTAAAAATACAAAAAATTAGCTGGGTGTGATGACAGGTGCCTGTAGTCCCAGCTACTCGGGAGGCTGAGGCAGGAGAATGGCGTGAACCCGGGAGACGGAGCTTGCAGTAAGCCGAGATCGCACCACTGCACTCCAGCCTGGGCGACAGAGCAAGTCTCAAAAAAAAAAAAAAAGTGATAGAATCAGAGAGTTTTTCCTCTAACCAAACTGCCAAAGTTGGTTTTGGCTAAGAATTTCCCAATAATATTTATGCTGCTGCTCATTTTTTTAGTTTTCTGAGACAGGGGTCTCCCTCTGTCACCCAGGCTGGAGTGCAGTGGTGACAGATCACTGCAGCCTCCAACTCCTGGGCTCAAGTGATCCTCCCACCTCAGCCTCCTAAGTAACTGGGACTACATATGTGCATCACCACGTCCAGTTAATTTTTTTTTAAGTAGAGGTGGGGGTTTTGCTATGTTGCCTATCTGGTCGTGAACTCCTGGCCTCAAGGGATCCTCTGGCATGCCTTGGCCTCCCAAAGGGCTAGGATCACAGGCAAAAGCCACCGTGTGTTTATTTTTCCCATTCCCTTCCTTTATCTGCAATGCTTTTTTCTTTAAGGCAGCCTAATTTACAAGCTTGGCCTTGAATTAAAAGAGAACCCAGAACCCGCTCTTGGAGTTTACGTTCTCAAACCAACATCAGAGCAACTGTCTATCCCCATATAAATAAAGTTATCTACCCCTGCTCCTAACTGGGTACAAGTTATGACTACAACTCAGTGATTTTTTAAATTAGTGTGCCTATTTGGTGAAATCTGTGAACTTAATCAAGGACAACCACACATGTCAATTACTAAACATTTAAAATATATTTCTAAACAGAATGGGCCGACTCAGTCACAGTAACTGTTGATCTCCATAGTAGAGCAACCCACAAAGACAGAACTGATTTTTTTCCCATAATCAGGGGTGAAAAATATACAACTTGTTTCTGAACCAAAACCACAATTTCTGCAGTTTAAAATGTTTCACTGCTAATATGGCCCTGGTAGAAATTATGTAGTTTTTTTTCTTCTTTAAAAAAAAAAAATTAAAAAAATTTCCTAAGACACTAAATCCTCAATCTGGAATGTAGATTCTGAGCACAAAGCAGCTCAGTTAACCTAAAAAATAAAGAAAAAATTCCCATCACCTGTCTCAGTAGGGCCTGAAAGGAGAGAAGTAGTGTGGGGAACCCCTGCTTTGGTATGGAGAGTCACGGCCCCTTGACCCAGACCGAGACCGTGAGTAGCCATAGCTGGTGCTTCTCTCAGGATAAACTCGGATGTAGGAAGTTTCACCCTGAAATGCAAACAAAAACAAAAAGAGTAAAGGGGAAAAAAATCAGAGCCAGAAGAATAAGCAAACCAACATCTAACAATAATAGTTAAGTATTGAGCACTTACTGTGTACTCTGTGCCTGGCATGAGGCTATCTCATTAAACCTTCATAACATTATGAGGTAGGTACTCTTACTATCCCATTTCAAGAATGAAGAAAATTAAGACTTAAGTTATATCATTTGCCCAAGGTAACACAATAAATGCCAATTTGACATGTTGATACTCAATTAACTATGATAAACAATATATCTGAATTACTGCCATTGACCCCCCTCAAAGCTAAGAACTGGAAAGGATCTCAGGGGTCATATAGTTTAATCCCCTGCCACCTCATGTATGCATCTTTGGATGGGCATCTATGGAAGGAGCTAGCCTGTATTTAATACCTTCCAGATGTGAGGACCTGAGCTAGATGCTTTAGACGTTATCCTCTTGCTCTAGATTCCTGGCAAGTCTTGTGATGGTGCTATTATGTGACCATTTTGCCCATGAAGGAATCGAGGTCCCAAGAGTAGTTCAGGTAAGGAATTAATAAGCAGCAGAGGAGTCATGTCCAGGCTGGCTTGTCCCCAGGCCCTCTGCCTTCAGCCACCATTCTCAGAAGATCCAAAGATGCCAAGGGGAAAGAAGCCGGATGCTTTTTCACCTTAGGTGAAAGTCAGTAATTGGAGTTACCCTTTCTGAGGCCCTGCTTTGCAGTATAACTGAGGATCAGGTGCTGTTCTGTTTCTGCTTCAAATTCAAGTCCTAGAGGACAGTCTGAACAAAAGCATCATTAAACCAGGGAAGGACCAACCTCTAAGCCAAAAACTAGGCAATTATATGAATCCTCAGAAAAAGAAATGAGCCCAGAGACCTGTGTCCCCAAACATCCGTAAATCTCATAGTAAGGCAGGACAGGATAACCAGAAAAAAACAATGTCCAACTGGTCTGGTTTCTGGTCTCAATGGTACCAAAGGGATAGTCACCACCTCAATCAAACTGAGATCCAAAACAGCAGCTGCTTTCCTACAAGGAAAGACATCAAGAACTACTGAGTCTGAAGGGTGACATAATCAACCACAAGAAAATGTTACGGTTTAGCCTGGCACAGTGGTGCATGCCTGCAGTCCCAACTACTGGAGAGGCTGAGGTGGGAGGACTGCTTGGGCCCAGGAGTTCAAGGTCAGCCTCGGCAATATAATGAGACTGTCTCTAAAATCAAAAATTAGAGAAATATAAAAATTATAAAATTAAAAAAGAAAATGTCATGATAGCTCAGGTTTCAGAGAGGATGCTGCACTACTCTGGGAAAAAAGTGAAGTGACAGCTCAGCCCTGACAGCAGGACCTAGAAGGGCTGAGATGAAGAGGCTGACCTGTAGAGCTCAGCCTGGACCCACAGGAGGGGTAGTTGAGTTCACAGAGGGATACTGCCATTTAAGCTGGTTGTGAATGGGGTGGTATGAAGACCGACTGCACTAGTATTCTCTCCAGGTTACAAATACCATGACCAAACTGTGTAATGTGATACTAATATGCAGAATAAAGCATATTAAAAAACAAACGTACCATGAATGCATACTTCTTTCAGCTATGACCCTGAAGGACTTAGGCATAGCAAATTCCATGGCTTTGTCCACCTAAGATAGATCTCTTATGGTACTGTGAGGTTACCAAATGGCATGGCCTCTTGCTACCTCTGCTAGGTCAGGTTCAAGTGGAGTGATTTGAGTACAAGCTCCTCAACAGAAGGCAAGGACCCACCTCATGAGAGCGGAATTTGGTGTCATCCAGTTTACGCAGGGCATATTCCATGTCTTCTTTTCTGAGATACTCGACCATCCCCACTCCATCCTTCTGCACATCAGCATAACAGACATCCCCAGCTTCTCGCATGTGATCCTTCAGGTCCTGCCAGCTGCCTGACGGAGGAAGTCCTAGGCATGGAGAACATAAGAAAGCCCACATCCTTCAGCTATGTTAACTGCCCTGTTAAGAGCCAGCAATACCTATGGTCCTTTCTCCATGATCACTTAAATCCTGAGGGTCCCCAAATCATAAACCTTGATAAGGGACATGAAATCAGAAAAGAGCACTGAAGTATGTGTGGTAAATGAACCACCTTGAGAAGCTGGTTTTAAGTTCATCTTCCAGAGACCAGGCCTTTTCAACAGAGCAAGAAGTCCATCCCATTACAGGTTTAGTATCTTTGAGAATTCATAGCCTCTTTCTTTGTCCTTTAAAATCAATGCCAAACTCCTAATACTTTGAGTTCCAATTTTTTCCATTATGAAATTTAACAGTACCAATTATTTATTGCTTGACAGGGTTTCACAGGACATGGGAATTTTGAAACCAGACATGAAATAACCAAAGAGTAGCTGAAGGTAACAACACAACAACAAAAAATCTAAAGTTTGTTTTCTTGTAGGTATGAATGACAAACTATACAGAGTACCTCTTAAAAGATCACCAACATTCTTCAATACAGTGGGGGGGAAGGTAAGACTCAGATGCTAAAACTAGTCGGGAGTCATACAACCCTACCTGATGTCATGAAAGGGAAATGTGCTCCTGCTCTCAAAGGCTGTGTTTACCGCTCACAGCTCAGGACTGCAGCCATTTCCTAATAGTTTTCTAAGCAGGATTTCAGAGCAGCATGGAGAGAAAAAAAGATAATGTATGACATCCTGAAGGAGGGAATAGAGTTCTGGGGTTAAAAAATTACAAAGGGACACAAGATAGGCAGATACTGAGAGTATCACTCTTAAGCACATGGGAGTATGCTGTGATTGTGTGACATTCACATCTTAAAAAGGTGCCAGGCTCCTCGATTTATTTCATTCCACCAGGGCCCTAAAACTCCCATGCAATATGCAGAAGGCCCCAGGTCTTTCCAGTGTGTTAATATTTTGAAGATAGATAAACCTCCCAGTTTAGCATTTCATCACTTATAAACACTAGACAGAAATAGTCTATACTTTCCAATAAAATCTCTAAGACTCTTAAGTTACGGGGTTTTAAAAAATATTTAATTCTAAAACCACCACAAAATCTGATCTTCTTCAGGATCCAAGGCTGGGTAAGTTGTTCAAATCTGGCTCCTTGAATGCCTTTCTACCATGTCTGATGCCAAGTATATTCCAAAAGAAGCATCTTTAGAATTGTAGCTCAAGTTTTCCCATCATCTTTCCTTCTCACCACTAGAAAACTCCTTTACAAGAAATATGGTTATGTTCTTCCAAGGCTGCACTCCCAGCGCAATTTCATTTGCAGGATACTTTCCTCATTGGCAATCCAGGGCAAGGCTTCACACAGGCTATTGAAAAGAAAGCCCCCGTGTCCCATGCACTGAAGAATAACAGCTATCATTTCTTGGAAGACAGACTCTGTGTTAAGTATTTTACATGTATCATCTCATTCTGTTTGAAAGGAACATACCTGAAACAAGAACTCGGAAATCAGATCTTCTTGTAGGAGGCCCATTCCTCCCACCACGGGGCCACCCACCCCGACCTCCATAAGTCCTGGGGAACTCCACACGAAGCCGACACTGGCCATAATCATAACCATTTCTTCCATAAATAGCATCCTCTGCATCTCTAAAAAAAACAACAACAACAAAAAAAACGTTTGGAGTTAGTGCTGTTCAGGAGGCCAAGTGACTTTCCAAGTGAGGGGCATGAGTAGTAAGCATAAAAGGGAAACCTAGAGTGAAGAAAAAAACACACAAATCAGGATCCTGAAGCACTTCTGCTTTGGTTTGGAGACGTTTCATGATACTGGAATTAACCTTTACAGCTGTCACACGCAGTTTTAGAGGTATGAAATTATAATGAATGAGCAAACAGATTACTCATAAGAGGGCTAATTCAGAGAAAAAAAAGAATCAACTGCTGACAGATTATTGATTTTGCCAATAAACCATCAGTGTTTTTCTAATCTTCGTGAGCATTTTCTCGAAAAGCACACCACACACTAACCCCTTAATATTTTTCTACAAAGCCTAGTGCCATAAAGTCTATGGAAATAAAAAGTAGGCGGTTAGCCAGGCATGGTGTTGCACGCCTGTAGTCCCAGCTACTTGAGAGGCTGAGATGGGAGTGCAGAGCCAAGATCACACTACTGTACTCCAGCCTGGGTGACAGAGACCCTGTCCCAAAAAACAGGAAAAAAAAAGTAGCCAGTTAGATAGGAGAGTATTTGAGGGTAAATAAAGTAGCTGGGCATGATGTTTGAGCCCAGGTCAGGCCAGCCTGGGTAATATAGTGAGACCCGGTCTTTTAAAAAAATAAATAAATAAGGCTCAAAGGACAAAAGAAAAATGCAAATGAGTGTTTTGTGATGAATGTGGAACTTTTTTTTTTTTTGAAACGGGGTCTTGCTCTGTCACCAAGGCTGAGTGCAGTGGCTGGAGCATAACTCACAGCAGCTTCTAACTCTTGGGCGCAAGCAATCCTCCCACCTCAGCCTCCTGAATAGCTAGGGCCACAGGCGTGTACCACTGCACCCAGCTAATTTTTGGATTTTTTGTAGAGACAGGTCTCCCTCTGCTGGCCAGCCTGGTCTTGAACTCCTGGGCTCAGGCGATCCTTCCCCTCAGTCTCCCAAAGTGCTAGGATTACAGGCATAAGCCACTGCGCCTGGCCTTGGAACTCTAAGTGTACCTTTTCAGCATGGTTTGGAGAACTATTTTTGTCAAAAAACATTCTTTGGATACAATTTTGCCAAAAGAGATAAATATTCAATAAAATTACTTT
Source organism: Homo sapiens (assembly GCF_000001405.40). Taxonomy (NCBI): domain Eukaryota; kingdom Metazoa; phylum Chordata; class Mammalia; order Primates; family Hominidae; genus Homo; species Homo sapiens. The sequence continues at coordinate 120,466,946 of NC_000012.12, forward strand.
AAGTCTTTCCTAGGACTCTAGGAGAGTCAGGAATGCCACGTTGATTCTCCAGTATTGGATGGTAGAAAGTGTGACCTTGGAGCTTGGGTGGACAAGAGGAGCTGAATGTGCTAATGAAGGCATTGTTCAGTGTCACAGGCACATAATCACTTGTAAGATTTTAGAACTAAAAGCAACAATGACCATATCCAGTGCAACCTTGACTACGTAAAATGCAGACTGGGAGAGGCAGAACTGCTAGGAGGTCAGAACAACTCTGAATAAAAACTGGCCAGCATTCAGGCCAGGCGCTGTGGCACATGCCTGTAATCCCAGCACTTTGGGAGGTGGATCACTTGAGGTTAGCAGCTTGAGACCAGTCTGGGCAACCTGGTGAAACCCCTCGTCTCTACTAAAAAGATAAAAATTAGCTGGGCATGGCATCGCGCAGCTGTAATCCCAGCTACTCAGGAGGCTGAGGCACGAGAATCTCTTGAACCCAGGAGGCGAAGGTTGCAGTGAGCTGAGACTGTGCCGCTACACTCCAGCCTGCACGACAGAGCCAGACTCCATCTCAATAAATACAATAAATAAATAAAATTAGCCTGCATTCAAATCACTATTCTGCAAATTACTAGTAGTCATCTCTGGGTAAGTGTTTAATCAAGTTTTTACATCTCTAATGTGAACAGTATGCCTATCTCACAGGGTTATTGTAATGGTTAAATAAGATACTACATGAAATGCTTTGCTTGAATCTTCACATCTAGTGACACCAAAAGATAGTTTTTCTATTATGAAAGGAATGAGGGAAGATGACAATGTAGCGTATCATATAGTAAGTTTGCATTCGAAAAACAGAAGAGGGAGTTCAAATCCATTGATCCCGGCCTGGCGTGGTGGCTCAGGCCTGTAACCTCAGCATTTTGGGAGGCTGAGGTGGGTGGATCACTTGAGGTTAGGAGTTCAAGACAAACCTGGCCAACATGGAGAAACCCCGTATCTGCTGAACATAGAAAAATCAGCCAGGCATGATGGCGGGCGCCTGTAATCCCAGCTACTGGGAAGCTGAAGCGGGAGAATCGCTTGAACTCAGGTGGCGGAGGTTGCGGTGGGCCGGGATCGCACCACAGCACTCCAGCCTGGGCAACAAGAGTGAAGACCTGTCTCAAAAAAAAAAAAAAAATAGTACCTACACCTCATAAATTGTTAAAAATACTAAATACAGGCTGGGCGGGTTGCTCACGCCTGTAATCCTAACAATTTGATCCGCTGAGACGGGAGAATCACCTGAGCTCAGGAGTTCCAGACCAGCCTGAGCAACATGGTGAAACCCCTAATTTATCAATCTAAAAAAATAAGAAGGAAAGAAAAAAAGCTAAATACACACCATGGCACTTGACCCATAGCAACTGTTGAAAAACCACAATGGCACGGTTACTAAATAAGCGAGGCATAGCCTTCTCCGGCTTAGGGGTAAAAATGCCCAGTTCCGGTTTTGAGGCAAATGAGGAGATACTAGGGATGAGCTGTCAGAGTCGACTCTTCAGCCATCAACGCCTCGCGGTGCTTCCTGCCTGCCCTTCCTCAGATGCTCCCCTTGCCCTATCAATACGTCCACCCCAGGTAGGTCGGACACCCTACGAACATTCCGCGTTCCCCGGGAGCAAATGATGCTAGGAAAACAGGGTGCGGGCTCTTATTTGGCCGGAGTGGAGTGACCAGGTCAGCGCCGCAGCTGCTAACCACCACCAACCACAGTTTTGAAAGTTCCTGGGCTTTTTCCGGCCTGAGGGCCGACGCTGTTTGCAAAATCACAAGCACTCCTTAGAGCGGGGTTAGGAATCTAGAGTTTCCAAATCCCTGGAACCTTTAGCATCTCGCCAAGCCTCCCTCATCAAAGGAGGGAAGTGAAATCAGAGCCCCACTCCGGCTGTTTTAGAAGTTTTCCCGAATCCGTGATCCCTTTACAAAGCCCGGGCCCTGGCCTGCGGGGCGGGGCGCGCGAACGGCGAGCTATTCCACCAGAGATCCCTCCACGACCTCCAGCGGCATCCGCGACCCTGCAGCTTGCTCTCCAGCCACGGCGAGCACGGGCCGGGGGAGAGGCGAGCGGGAAGGGCGAACGGCGACCCCCGCGCTGCCCCGCGGCCGCTTCCCCCTACGGTGCTGCCCCAGGCAGGAGGCGGACAAGGCTCATTTGGACCCCCCGAGGCCGGTGCAGGCGGGCTTGGGCCCTCCAAAGGCTCAGCTTTTGGGTTTCTAAGTAAAATATTGGAATAATAAAAATAAAGGAAGTGACGACGGCGCGAAGGACGGCCCGGGCCTGCGAGGAGAGGCTGCCTCATCCTCCACCCGTGAGGGGGCGCCGTGAGGGGTCTGCGCGGAGGCGGGGGGAGGGGAGGCCGGGGGGAGGGGAGCCCTGGGGGAGGGGACAGCAGGGAAGGCGGGGGCCTCAGGCACCGAGGAGGAGAGGGCAGGGGCGCGGGGGCCTCACCGGGGGTCCTCGAAGCGCACGAAGGCGAAGGGCACGAGGCCGTGCCGGTTCTTGAGCTCGATCTCGCGGATGCGGCCGTACTTGTAGAACAGGTCCTCCAAGTCCTTCTCGCGCACGTCGGTCGGAAGGTTCCCCACGTAGATGCGCCCGTCGCCCTCGCCGCCGCGCTCGTCCGCCCAGCCCGACATCCGCACCGCCCGACGCCGCGGGCCCGCCGCAGCCCACGTCGCCGCCGCCGCCTCAGCACGGGTCCCCCCGCAGCGTCCCCGCGGGCTCCGAGGCGCTCAGCCGCACTGCATTGTGGGAACGCGGAGCGGAAGCGAAGGGGTCGGCGGAGGCAAAAGGAGTCCTCTTAAAGAGAACGCGGCTGCGACCATTGCGCGTGCGCGCAGGCCGGCGCCCCCTGGAGGTGCGAAGGGCCTTCGGGCGCTGACAGGGAGAGCCTGGGGCCGGGCCGTGTGGATGCCATCCCCGAGCGCGGTTCGCGCTCGGCTGAGGCGCTGGACAAGTGGCTTGGGCTCCCGCGCCTCAGTTTCTCTCTGTGGCGCCGCCTACCTCACAGACTTGTGAGCACTCACTGACGTGGGTAGCGCCCAGGGCCTGCGGGGCGCAGGAGAGCTGGAGTCAGGCGGAGACCGCAGGCTGACCCCGCAGCGGCCGGGCTGTCGCGGCCCCCACCTCAGGTCAGTAGGCCCCCGGGCCACCCTGTCCCCATTTTACAGTTGCTCAGAACTGACGGTGTCAGCATGAGATGGACTCCATAGCTTGGCCTTGAGTTTGTCGGAGTCGAGGGAGTAAGACTCTTAATGAGTATCACAGCGATCACTATAGAGTGCATCCGACTTGTGCTTTTCATCCTCTCCCGGGCAGAGTCTGAGGCCACAGAGGGGTCAGGAATGGAACCCAGAGCCATGCTCCCATCCTAAGTACTGAGTCCTTATGGAGCTCAGGTAGACACCCACCTTGGCACTTACTTTTCCACATTCACATCCCAGAACGCGGAGCATTGAACCCAGGGACCTTACAGTGAGGCCTTGCACCAGAAGACTTTTTGTTTGTTTTTGATACAGGGTCTTATTCTGTTGCTCAGGCTGGAGTGCAATGGCGCGAACACGGCTCACTGCAGTCTCGATCTCGCTGGACTCAGGTGATCCTCCCACCTCGGGGCGCCGTGAGGGGTCTGCGCTGCGTCCAGCTAGTTTATTTTCTATTTTTTTTGTAGAGAGGCTGGTCTCGAACTCCTGGGCTCAACCGATCCTCCAGCCTTGGCCTCCCAAAGTGTTGGATTACCGGCTTGAGCCCGGCGCCCGGCTGGAATACTCCTAACCTAAAGATTGTTCAGGCTGGGTGCGGTGGCTCACGCCTGTAATCCCAACACTTTGAGAGGCCAAGGCGGGAGGATCACTTGAGGTCAGTAGTTCGAGACTAGCCTGGGCAACATGGGGAAACCCCGTTTCTACTAAAAATACAAAAATTAGCTGGGCGTGGTGGCGTGTTCCTATAATCCCAGTTACGCGGGAGGCTGAGGCAGGAGAATTGCTTGAGCCCGGGAGGCGAAGGTTGCAGTGAGCCGAGATCATGCCACTGCACTTCAGCCTGGGTGACAGAGTGAGACTGTCTCAAAAATAAATAAAGATTTTTCATATTAAAAATGAAACCTGGCTGGGCGTGGTGGCTCATGCCTGTAATCCCAGCACTTTAGGAGGCTGAGGTGGGTGGATCACTTGAGGCCAGGAGTTCAAGACCAGCCTGGCCAACATGGCAAGACCCGCCCCCCTACTAAAAATACAAAAAAAAAAAAAAATTAGCCAAGCTTGGTGGCACGCCTGTAGTCCCAGCTGCTTGGGAGGATGAGGCACGAGAATCGCTTGAATCTGGGAGGCAGAGGTTGCAGTGAGCCGAGATTGTGCCACTGCACTCCTCCAGCCTGGGTGACAGAGGGAGACTCTGTCTCAAAAACAAGACAAAACAAAAACAAACAAAAAAAGGGACTAAAACCACACATTTAATCAGAAGGTAGTTGATTTCTCATTATACCATCTGAGCATTTTAAAATCAAAACAAACCAAAGACTAGACACCCACATATACTACTGAGTGTATATCTTTTTTGGAATACAAGTTGATAGTATACATCAGGCTTTCATAATATACATATACCCTTCGATCTTGTAATTCTGCTTGTAGGATTTTTTGTTTGTTTGTTTTGAGACGGAGTCTTACACTGTCACCCAGGCTGCAGTGCAGTGGCGTGATCTCGGCTCACTGCAAGCTCCGCCTCCCAGGTTCATGCCATTCTCCCGCCTCAGCCTCCTGAGTAGCTGGGACTACAGGTGCCTGCCACCACGCCCGGCTGATTTTTTTATATTTTTAGTAGAGACAGGGTTTCACCGTGTTAGCCAGGATGATCTCAATCTCCTGACCTCGTGATCCGCCTGCCTCAGCCTCCCAAAGTGCTGGGAATACAGGCGTGAGCCACCGCGCCCAGCTGCTTGTAGGATTTTTATCAGACGGAAATAAGCAAGAGATTCTCATAATAAATTACATGTGTATATTTATCATTGCATTCTGTGCAATTAAAAAAATTAAACTTGATAATAAGGGAGTGGCTCAACACATTAACTTTGAATGTTACACAATTATTAAGTCATGTTTTTAATATGACAGAGATATTAAAGTCACAGTAATTTACAGTTAAAGTGAATTGAAAGTGGTGTTTAATGTATACACATATATAGTGTATTTGCTGCTTGTAACAAAAAAAAAATAGAAAAAGCTTTCCAAATGTTGTGGTTGTGGAGATATCTCTTGATGGCAGTGATTTCTATGTTTTTATTTATGCTTTTCTGTATTTCTCAAATTGTAATTAGCATGCACTACTTTTATAATTGGAATAAAACATAATAAATGATTCCTAAAATAAAACCATTATAACTATCTGTTGTATTCTGGATTATGTAAAGCATCTAGCTGTTCTCTAGACAAGCAGGAAAGAGCCCTGGCCAAATATGATCTCGAGTCTAAGTGTGCAGCCTTATAGGAGCTTACATATCCTATAGGCATCCGAAAGTCCAGATGCCTTCTCATTTTGGGTGGTGTGCTTAGGTGTATTAATACCATTCTCTGAGTCCTACCACTCCTATGTGATTGTTGCCTGGAAAGACAAAAAAGGAAAAAAAAGTGCTGTTGGAGACAATTGGGCAGTCTCCTAGGGAGAGAGAAATAGAGTCAGCTAAGTGACTCAATAGGACTGTAGGTGGAAAACTGCTTGCAAATAATAATAATTCAGCTTTAATTGTGCAATGTCCTGCAGCATACAATCTCCAAAGGAGTTCAGTTACCCAGCAGAAAATGTAGGGATGTGGTTAGTACAGGCTTCTTGGATTAGATAGAGCACAGCTAAATCCTTAGGAGGCATTTATGATCATCCATGAAACCCCCTTTATTCCTGTACTGACCTTTGCAGTTAGAACACAAATGAGACCACAATTATGACTTCATGTTCAAAGGGTTCATAGGTTCCATTCTCTGCTAAGGCCAGAGACTCTAGGCAGGGACACCTTTTAAACTTTTTGTTCATCTAGATATTCAACATTATTTATGATTTAGGTCCTGTATGAGGCCCAGGGCATGCAATAATACAGCTCTGTCCTTGAGTTGTGTATATAGGTTGCTATTCGGTCATGTAGAGTACAGTTGTGATAAGGATAAGCTGCTTGAGACTACATCGGAGGGTCACCTACCACAGTCTTAGAGATTCTAAGGAAGGCTTCTGGGAGGAGATGTTTAGAGTCTTGAAGAACCAGTAGGAGTTAACCAGGGGGAAGAGGGAAGGGCATTTCAGACAAAAATGAGGGCATGACTGCTGAGTGCAGTGGCAGTAATCCCAGCACTTTGGGAGGCTGAGGCAGGAGGATGGCTTGAGTCCAGGAGTTTGAGACCAGGCTAGGCAATGTAGTGAGACCCCTATCTCTACAAAAAACTTAAAAATTGCCAGGCCCAGTGGCTCATGCCTGTAATCCCAGCACTTTGGGGAGGTCAAGGTGGGTGGATCACTTGAAGTCAGGAGTTCGAGACCAGCCTGGTCAACATGGCAAAACCTCATCTTTACTAAAAACACAAAAATTAGTCGGAGGTGGTGGCGCACACCTGTAATCCCAGCTACTTTGGAGGCTGAGGCAGGAGAATTGCTTGAACCCGGGAGGCAGAGGTTGCAGTGAGCCGAGATTGCGCCACTGAACTCCAGCCTGGTCAACACCGAGACTCTGTCTCAAAAAAAAAAAAAAAAAAAAATTAAAAAATTATCTAGGCATGGTAACGTGCACCTGTGGTCTCAGCTACTTGATCTCGAACTCTTGAGCTCAAGTGATCCGCCCATCTCGGCCTCCCAAAGTGCTGGGATTACAGGCATTAGCCACGGCACCTGACAGTCCCAGCTACTTAAGAGGCTGAGGTGGGAGGACTGCTTGAGCCTGGGAGGTTGAAGCTGTAGTTAGCCATGATTGCACCACTGCACTCCAGCCTGGGCAACAGAGTGAGACTCTGTCTCAAAACATAAAAAAGGACACCATGAGAAATCACCCAAATAGGAGAGAGAGTAGCAGACCAGGGAAAATCCCTACTGGTGTGACTGGGGCAAGGAGTTCAAGCAGGGAAGAAGAGAGAAGGAGCTGAGGCACCACCAGCCTGGGCAACATGTTAAAACCCCGTCTCTACAAAAAATACAAAAATTAGCTGGGCATGGTGGCACACACCCATAGTCCCAGCTACTTGGGAGGCTGAGGGGGGAGAATCACTTAAGCCCAGGAGGCAGAGGTTGCAGTGAGCCAATATTGCACCGCTGCACTCCAGCCTGGGCGACAGAGTGAGATCCTGTTACAGAAATGGGCTTGTCCTTCTTTTCACCAAACTGAAAAGAAGCCTTTGATGTTGGCAGACTATTAAGAATTAATGCAGTTCCCACAGCAAGCCATTTATTCTCCACCAGAGTGTAGGGCAGTGCCCAACTGAAAAAAACAACATAAAAAAAAAAAAAAATCCCAAAACCAACAACAGCTCGGGTGATGAGTGCATGAAAATCTCAGAAATCACCACTAAATAACTTAAAGAACTTATCCATATAACCAAACACCACCTGTTCCCCAAAAACCTATTGAAATAAAAATTTAAAACAAACAAAAAACCAACAACGCCAGGCATAAAACATGCTGCAAACCTGCCCATCTGGTTTTCTCCTTTTCTCTGTGACATCAGTCCCCTCTGGCATCCCAGCAAAATATTTTCCTCTCTGTCAGGCTCAGTCATGAGCTCCTCCCAGACCTTGGCCCTAGGTATCAGTGGGCAGAGAGGAAGTGATGGGGGAGTAGACCATCTGAGAAGATGAGGAACTGGTCCCGCCTGGCAGGAGAGCTATGGAATGAGTCACTGGGAAACGTGTTCCTGGTCACAGCACCCTGGGAGCTTTCTCTGTCATTCTCTACCACTGTACTTGTGTGATGGAGTAAAATAAAACATATTCTGGAAAGCTACATAATAAAGAACTGAGCCATGCAGGGGAGGAAGAAGAGAAACAGCAGCAGAACTAGGAGGTTTGGAAGAGAGTTTGGAATTGGGGGTGAGCTTTAGGAAAGCAAGTGTCAAGTGTGGGAGGATGAGAAGAGAAAAATGGGAAAGATAATTCAAGATTTGCAGTATATTGTGAATATAATTCCCCTCTGGTGTTTTTTTCAGAGACTGCAAAAAATCTTTAACATTATTTTTCAATAACTTTTAGATAATGAACTGGTGTTTTCTTTGAATATGCCCAAACAGGTGGGAACACAAGGGCTTGATTTTATATGAAGTTACTTCAAGTGAACATACTGTATTTGTAGCAGCTCGGTTGCTTTATTTTTACTAACTTGTTAAATTCTGTGATGGAGTCTTCAAACAGCTTTTTATATCAGGGCTTCCTTTTCTTGGATTAATGGGCTTCTGGGATCAGTGAACTCCTGCCTCCCTGCCCCCTCAACCTCCACCTCCTGACCCTGATCCTGCAAAGTTGTAACAGTTGTATGCAAAATATTGTATGTGGGCAGAAAAGTGTTTTTATTCTGGGGAGAATCTCCATGTAGCACTGTCCCACAGAACTTTCTAGGATGATGAAAACATTCTATATTTGAGTTCTATGTGGTAGCCATTGGTTACATGTAGCTATTGAGCACTTAAAATGTGGCTACTGCAACTGAGAAACCAACTTCTTAAATTATATTTAACAATAATTAACTTTAATTGTAATAGCCAAATGTGGCTAGTGGCTACCATACAGGACAGCGTAGGAATTTATCATTCTCAAAGGTCTATAAGCTGTACTCCCCCATTCCCCCAAAAAAGGCCAAGAAACACTGAGACCAATCACTTCCCTTTACAGCCCTATGGTACTGGCACATAGTAAGTGCTTAGTAAACACCTGTTGATTTTATTAACTAGTATATAAAGAACAGTTATTCTAGCTCCAGAAAAGTGGAACTGAGGTACAAAATGGCAAATGAGCTCATCAGGTTCACCAAATTTCATTTCCTAAGCTCTAAATTCCTTACCCTCAACCCAGAACTTTTTCCAAAACATTTTCCACTGTAACAAACCTTGAAAACTTTCTTCACAGCAGAGTAAATCAGAAACACAAGCAAAGGGTAGGGGGGTGTGAAAAGATTAATAACAGTACTAAGAATGTTTTTCAATGCAACAAAAAAGGATGCATTTATTTAGTAGAATCCTAATTTTTTTAGACCCAAGTCAGTTTTATACTAAGCAGATTTTTAATGAACTGCGTCAATATAATTCAGTAATGGCACCTCCAAGGCAAATACATTCCTTAAAGGTAAAAAACAAGTATGGGAATTATCTGGAGTTTTTTTTTTTTAAGTTAAAAAAAAATAATAATAACTGAAAGCCAGGAAGCTTCTAGGCTACACATCCCCCATGCTAACACATGCCCAGTGGCTGAACTTCCTTCTGTCTGCCTGAGGCTGGCTCTCCCCCTCAGCCAGCACATGTGCAGGGCTTCTGTGAATGTCACATTGACAGACATTCCTTGCTAGGCAGCTGGGGACCAGTTTCTTTTGTAATTCCATCCTTCTCATGGGCTGCCAGTCTGTCTTGTTGTGACACACTCCTTGAAGGTGCTAGAAGGACAGCGGATGTTTGGGGGGTTTTTTTGTTTGTTTTTTGAGACAGAGTTTCGCTCTTGTCACCCAGGCTGGAGTGCAGTGGTGCGATCTCGGCTCACTGCAACCTCCGCCTCCCAGGTTCAAGCGATTTTCCTGCCTCAGCCTCCTGAGTAGCTGGGATTACAGGCATGCACCACCACACCTGGCTAATTCTGTATTTTTTAGTAGAGATGGGATTTCTCCATGTTGGTCAGGCTGGTCTCGAACTCCCAACCTCAGGTGGTCCGCCCGCCTTGGCCTCCCAAAGTGCTGGGATTACAGGCATGAGCCACCGCGCCCGGACTTTGTTTTTTGTTTTGTTTTTTTTGTTTTTTTTTTTGAGACGGAGTCTCGCTCTGTTGCCCAGGCTGGAGTGCAGTGGCACGATCTTGGCTCACTGCAACCTCTGCCTCCTAGGTTCAAGCGATTCTCCTGCCTCAACTTCCCAAGTAACTGGGATTACAGGCACCTGCCACCACACTTGGATAATTTTGTATTTTTAGTAGAGATTGGGTTTCACCATGTTGGCCAGGCTGGTCTCGAACTCCTGACCTCAAGTGATCCACCTGTCTTGGCTTCCCAAAATCCTGGGATTACAGGTGTGAGTTACCACGCCCAGCCAAGAGCAGGTTTTTTTTATCTAGTGCTATGCTTGGACCCCAGCTTTAAGAGCCCAGGGTTATGTACATGGCATCTGGGACTTTGGTGGTGGCTTCACTCCTTGTCTGCTCAACATTTGTTCATGTATTCAACCCACATTTATCGAGCCATAGAACATTGAGCCTGGCTCTGTGCTGGGCACTGGTGCTCGGGATACAACAGTAAGACTCAACCCTGCCCTCACACCATTCACAGACAACTAAAAAGGCAATTACAGTCAGGCGTGGTGGCTCATGCCTGTAATCCCAGCACTCTGGGAACTCGCTTGAGCCCAGGAGTTCCAGACCAGCCTAGGAAACCTAGTAGATCCCGTCTCTACAAAAAAAATAAATAAATAAAAATAAATAAATAAATAAAAAAAGCTGGGTGTGATGGTGTGCACCTGTAGTCCCAGCTACTCTGGAGGTAGAAGCGGGAGGATGGCTTGAGGCCAGGAGTTGGAGGCTGCTTTGAACTAGGGTCTCGCCACTGTACTCCAGCCTGGGTGACAGAGCAAGACCCCGTCTCTGAAAAATAAAGTAAAAATATATATATATTTTTTTTTCTGAGACAGAGTTTCGCTCTTGTTGCCCAGGCTGGAGTGCAATGGTGCGATGTCAGCTCACTGCAGCCTCCGCCTCCTGGGTTCAAGTGATTCTCCTGCCTCAGTAGCTGAGATTACAGGCATACGCCACCATGCCTGGCTAATTTTTTTTTGTATTTTTAGTAGGGACAGGGTTAAGCCATGTTGGCCAGGCTGGTTTCAAACTCTTAGCCTCAGGTGATCCACCCATGTCGGCCTCCCAAAGTGCTGGGATTACAGGCTTGAGCCACTGCACCCGGCCAAAAGTTTTTTTTTTTGTTGTTGTTTTTTTTTTTGAGAAGGAGTTTCACTCTTGTTGCCCAGGCTAGAGTGCAATGGCACAATCTTTGCTCACTGCAACCTCCACCCCCAGGTTCAAGTGATTCTCCTGCCTCGGCTTCCTGAGTAGCTGGGATTACAGGCATGCGCCACCACGCCCAGCTAATTTTGTATTTTTAGTAGAGACGAGGTTTCTCCATGTTGGTCAGGCTGGTCTTGAACTCCCTACCGCAGGTGATCCGCCCGCCTCGACCTCCCAAAGTGCTGGGATTACAGGCATGAGCCACCATGCCTGGCCCCAATTTTTTTTTTTTTTAAATAGAGACAGGGTCTCACTATATTACCTAGGCTGGTCTCAAACTCCTGAGCTCAAGTGATCCTCCTGCCTCAGCCTCCCAAAGTGCTAGTATTACAGACATTAAGCCACCATGCCTGGCCTAAAAAATAAAAAGGCAATTACAGGCTGGGCACAGTGGCTCATGCCTGTAATCCTAGCACTTAGGGAGGCTGAGGCGGGCAGATCACTTGAGGTCAGGAGTTCGAGACCAGCCTGGCCAACATGGTGAAACCACGTCTGTTTTCTTTTCTTTTTTATGAGATGGAGTCTCAATCTGTCACCCAGGCTGGAGTGCAATGGCACAATCTTGCTCACTGCAACCTCCACCTCCTGGGTTCAAGCAATTCTCCTGTCCCAGCCTCCCGAGTAGATGGGATTACAGGCGCCCGCCACCACGCCCAGCTAATTTTTGTATTTTTAGTAAAGACAGGGTTTTGCCATGTTGGCCAGGCTGGTCTTGAACTCCTGACCTCAGGTGATCCACCTGCCTCGGCCTCCCAAAGTGCTGGGATTACAGGCGTGAGCCACCGCACCAGGCTGTGAAACTGTCTCTATTAAAAATACAAAAATTAGCTGGGCATGGTGGCAGGTGCCTGTAATCCCAGCTACTCGGGAGGCTGAGGCAGGAGAATCGCTTGAACCCGGGAAGCAGAGGTTGCAGCGAGTCGAGAACACACCACTGCACAGCAACCTGGGTGACAGAGCAAGTCTCCGTGTAAAAAATAATAGTAATAGGCCAGGCGCGGTGGCTCACGCCTGTAATCCCAGCACTTTGGGAGGCTGAGGCGGGCAGATCATCTGAGGTCAGGAGTTCGAGACCAACATGGAGAAACCCCGTCTCTACTAAAAATACAAAAAATTAGACGGGCATGGTGGCACATGCCTGTAATCCCAGCTACTCAGGAGGCTGAGGCAGAGGAATCACTTGAACCCGGGAGGCGGAGGTTGTGGTCAGCTGAGATCACACCATCCAGCCTGGGCATCAAGAGTGAAACTCCGTCTCCAAAAAAAAAAAAAAAAAAAAATAATAATAATAATAATAATAATAAAATTTAAAAAGGCAATTATAACAAAATGAGATATGTGCTACAAGAAATTCAGGGCACTCCTGCAGCTCTTAACCCAGGCTGGAGGGGAGTGTTCAGGGAAGACTTCCTGGAGGGAGTGGCTCTTCTAAACTGAGACCTGAAGAACCAGATGGTGCTAGGCAGGTAAATGAGAGGAGAAGAAAAGCATTCCAGACAGAAAGAAAGCACTGCAAAGAAAGCTGGGAGGACAGAGGCAAGCTTGGGGCTTTCGGGAAGCTAAATAGTTCAGCACAGTTAGAGCATGGGGTGGAGGTGAGGGCTGTTCTTCCTTGCACTAGTGCCACAAGCTACTTACAGTGAGATGCCCTAATGTAAATCAGAGCCTGGCTGGGTTAGATTACACATGTCAGTCCTAAGTATTTCAGATGTTCACTGGCAATCAGTATGAGTTGCCTTTACCATACAAATGTTTATTGTATATCCCTGAATAGGATGATTGTAAAGGGGTGGCATGATCAGTCTGGGGGAAGGGGCCTTGAGGGGAGTATGGTCTCACAGTGTCCAAAGGAGAGCTGTGAATAGCAAAAGGATGCTTGTTTGGAAGACAGAAGGACAGCAGAAGGGGACAAAGCAAAAATCCAATCATCCCTCCTTGTGTGAGGAAGATGGGGCTCAGGGGGAGCGGAATTCAAAATGTGAGGATGTTTATTAAAACCTATGGTTCCCCCAAAATTAGAGGGGACCTCAATCTGCATCCAGAGGGGGCTGGTTAAGCAGGAAATGTACAGTTCTAGTTCTGAATACTATGCAAACATTAAAAATACCACATTCATATGTGTGGATATGAAAAGATCTCCAAGATACTGACATCTACAGTGTGTACTGTGCTAGATGCTAGGGACACAGCAGAGGGGACAAAGTGTCTGCCTCCCTAGAGACAACACCATCTCCACACCCTCACCTTGGCCTTCAGGATGTGCCTGAAGCAGCTTCTCCTCCACTCCTGCTACTCCTGGCAGCTTCTCTGGGATCTGCTGTCTGGAAGCCTGTGTCCCTTTCCTTCCTCCAGGTCTTTGCATGGGCTGGCTCCTCTCCCTGGACACTGTTTTGCTCCCTCTACCTCTGCCTCCCGAGTCTTTGCCTGGCCAAGGCCTCCTCAGCCTTCAGGTCCTTGACTTAGTAAGGGGCCCAGGCCTGTGTGACCCAATCTAGAACTTTCCTTTGAGTTTATACCTCTGAAAGGCCTTGTTGTCTCCCATTATGCCTTTTGTTCCACCTCAAAGCATTTTTCTTTTTTTTTTTTTTTGAGACGGAGTCTCGCTCTGTTGCCCAGGCTGGAGTCGTGGCTCCATCTTGGCTCACTGCAAGCTCCGCCTCCCGGGTTCACGTCATTCTCCTGCCTCAGCCTCCCGAGTAGCTGGGACTACAGGCGCCCGCCACCATGCCCAGCTAATTTTTTGCATTTTTAGTAGACATGGGGTTTCACCATGTTCGCCAGGATGGTCTCGATCTCCTGACCTCGTGATCTGCCCACCTTGGCCTCCCAAAGTGCTGGGATTACAGGCGTGAGCCACCATGCCCGGCTCACATATTTCTTAATTTCTTTTTTCCTATTTGTAGTTTATGATTCTTATATTTATTGAAGTCTGTATGTATAACACTGTGCTAATACCAGTGACTTCCTGTGATGTCTTATCTTTGACACTATTTCTGACACCAAATGTGTGGTGCGGTCTTTATCTCTGGCACCAGATACGTGTCATTTTTCCACATCAATTGTTCAATTATCTGAGATCAACTGGACCTCTGAAAATTCTATTCAGTTCTGACACTAACTACCCAGAGTTAGCACAGACCCTGAACAAAAGTTAAGGACTGAGTCCCACAAGACCGCCCCCACTTTAGATGCCTGCACAAATGAGGTGCCCCAGCTACCCACATTTTTGTTGGGCCTACTACAAATTCAGAGGTTCCCACTCACCCCCTTCAGGTTCAATAATTTACTAGAGTGACTCACAGAACTCAGGACAGCACCTTATTTACATTTTCCAGTTTATTATAAAGGATACAACTAGGATCAACCAAATGGAAGCGATGCATAGGGCAAGGCATGGGGCGGGGCACAGCAGGAGGAGGTGGGAACAGAGCTTCCATGTCCTCTCCAGGTGCACCACCCTCCCAGCACATCAATGCGTTCATCATTCCAGACTTTCGGAACCTCCTGTTCAAGAGTGTTTGGAGCCCAGTCTCTAGCCCCACTCCCCTCCCTGGAGGTTGGGGGAAGGAGCTGAAAGTTTCCATCTCTAGTAATGTGGATAGTCTTTCTGGTGAACTCCCATATGTATGTTAATAAAATAAATGATTAAATTTTGTCTTCTTTTTGTTTGTTTTAGAGACAGGGGTCTCGCTCTGTTGCCCATGGGGCAGTGCAGTGGCATGATGCTAGCCCACGGCAGCCTCGACCTCCTGGACTCAAGTGATCCTCCCGCCTCAGCCTCCCAGAGTGTTGGGATTATGGGTGTAAGCCACCACGCTTGGCCTTCTCTTGTTAATATATCTTTCGTCTGTTTAATTCACAGGTCCCCAAAGACTAAACCTGAGGGTAGATAAAAAGTTTTTCCTCCCAGACACTGTCTACAAACTGATTCTAAAATTTACAGAGAAGCCAGGGCACTGTGTTTTGCACCTGTAGTCTCAGTTGCACACTTGGGAGCTACTTGGGAGCTGAGACAGGAAGATCGCTGGAGGCCAGGAGTTTGAGGCTATAATACACCATGATCATGCCTGTGAGTAGCCAATGCACTCCAGCCCGGGCAACATAGAAAGGCAAAGGTACTAGATTTGCCAAAACAATTTTTTTTTTTTTTGAGATGGAGTCGCGCTCTATCGCCCAGGCTGTAGTGCAGTGGCGCCATCTCGGCTCGCTGCAAGCTCCACCTCCCGGGTTCACGCCATTCTCCTGCCTCAGCCTCTCAGGTAGCTGGGACTACAGGCGCCTGCCACCGTGCCCGGCTAATTTTTTGTATTTTTAGTGGAGATGGGGTTTCACAGTGTTAGCCAAGATGGTTTCAATCTCCTGACCTTGTGATCCGCCTGCCTCGGCCTCCCAAAGTGCTGGGATTACAGGCGTGAGCCACCATGCCCGGCCTAGCCAAAACAATTTTTTTACAGAGAAAGGCAAAGGTACTAGATTAGCCAAAACAATTCTGAAAAAAAAAATAGTCAGAGGACTCACATACTCACATTACCCAACTTCAAGACTCACTATAAAGTTACAGTATTCAAAGTAGGGTGGTATCAGCAAAAAGATAAACACATAGAGCAGTGAGACAGAATAGACAGCCCAGGCCAGACATGGGCTTTGGGAGGCTGAGGCAGGAGGATTGCTTGAGTCCATGAGTTCGAGACCAGCCTGGGCAAGATGGCGAGACCTCCATCTCTACAAAAAAGTAAAAATTTAGCCAGGCATCGGTGGCTCGTGCCTGTGGTCCCAGCTACTCGAGAGGCTGACGCAGGAGGATCCCTCAAGCCCAGGATCCAGCCTGGAAAACAGAGCAAGACCTCATCTCTTAAAGAAAAAAAAAGGCCAGGCACGGTGGCTTACACCTGTAATCCCAGCACTTTGGGAGTCTGAGGCGGGTGGATCACAAGGTCAGGAGTTTGAGACCAGCCTGACCAATGTGGTGAAACCCCGTCTCTACTAAAAATACAAAAATTATCTGGGTGTGGTGGTGCACACCTGTAACCCCAGCTACAAGGGAGGCTGAGGCAGGAGAATTGCTTGAACTTGGGAGGTGGAGGCTGCAGTGAGCTGAGATTGTGCTACTGTACTCTAGCCTGGATGACAGAGAGAAGCTCTGTATCAAAAAAAAAAAAAAAGGTCAGAAGAAGAGCGAAGGTGGTGAGATATATTTTCAAGATTGAGCTTAAAGAATTTAAGCTCATTAATGTGCTTAAATTAGATGTGAGGTGTGAGGAATATACACAAGTCAAGGAAAACTTCTAGATCTCTCTCCTGAGCACCTGGAAGAATGCAGTGGCTATTTACAGTGATAAGGAAGCCTGCAGGATAAGCAGGCAGGTTTGGGAGTAGAATAGGTCTGTTGTGGATGTGTTAGGTTTGAGACAGATGCCTGTTAGACATCCTAGAGCTATTTCAAATAGGACTTAGAGATATGGGATGGGCATTCAGGGGCAAAGTTTGGGGTGAAAATACAAATTTGAGAGTTGTGAGCCATGAAATTTAAAGCCATGAAAATGGAGACTCCCAAGAGAGAGTTTAAATAGAGAAGTAGCCCAATAGAGAAGGCCTGGTTCACTTCTTCCTTCAGATGTCATGGAGAAAAGGGGAAACAAACAGAGGAGCCTGAGGTGGAGCAGCCAGTGAGATGGGAGGACAGCTAAGAGAGTGTGTGGTCCTGGAAGCCAAGGGAGGACCCAGAGGAAGAGAGCAACTGTGACATGTATGGCCATGAAGGGCACTGAGAATTGGCCACTGTGTTTAGCAGCATGGTGGTCACCGGTGACCACCACATTTGAGCTGTGTGGGTGCAGTGGATTAAAGAGAGAATGGGAGGTGAGGAATCGGGGACAGGGAGTACAGACAACTCTTGGAGGAAAGCCGAGATGGGATGGTAGCTACAGGAGAATGTGTAGGCAAGGGAAGCATTTTTAAAAGAATATGACAGCATGTTTGCACGCTGGTGGGAATAATCCAGTAGACAGGGGAAACTGATGATGCAGGAGAGGGAGAAGAGACAATCACAGGAATGAGAGGAGATGGACCCAGTGCCAGGGAGATGGCCTTAGATAGGAGCATGAACAGTTCATACAGGGTAACGGCAAGGGAGGCAGAATGTGTGTATACAGATGTGGGTGGGTGGGTGGGGACAGGTGGTGGAAATGCATGGAAGTTTATGAAAGGAATAAAGTAGATTTATATATCGTGACAGGGAACTCAGAATCATCCCATTTTGGTAAAAAGGAAAAAAGCCTGTTATATGCCGGGAAAAAATCAAATTTTAACATTATCTTTGAGTTGTAAGATTACAGATCTTACAAAGGAACTTTCTTTTTCAGATTCTAAATTTCTACAGTGTTTCACTTTTATACAATGAGTACCTATTACTTCTGAAAGTAGAATTAAAAAGATTATTTTTATCTTTGAAAGATATTCATCAGAACAAAGCACTGTTACAATACTGAAAAACTGGAAGCAACTTAAGTGTCCACTGATAAGTGATTGTTTCAAGAAGTTATGCATGGACTTTTTTTTTTTTTTTTGAGACGGAGTCTCACTGTGACACCCAGGCTGGAGTGCAATAGCGCAATCTCGGATCACTGCAACCTCCGCTTTGCTTCCTGGGTTCAAGCGATTCTCCTGCCTCAGCCTCCTAAGTAGCCTACAGGCACGCAACACTACACCTGGCTAATTTTTTATATTTTTAGTAGAGATGGGGTTTCACCATATTGGCCAGGCTGGTCTCGAACTTCTGACCGCAAGTGATCCAACCACCTGGGCCTCCCAAAGTGCTGGGATTACAGGCGTGAGCCACCGCCCCTGGCCGCATGGGCTATAAAGAAGCTATTAAAATTGGGCTGGGTGCAGTAGCTCATGCTTGTAATCCCAGCACTTTGGGAGGTGAAGGCAGGATGCCTGCTTGAGCCCAGGAGTTTGAGGCTGCAGTGAGCTAGGATTGCACCACTGTACTCCAGCCTGGGTGAGAGTGGGACCCCATCTTTAAAAATACATAAGTAAATAGTTATGTTGTAGAAGGCTTTTTTTTTTTTTTTTTTTTTTTGAGATGGAGTCTTGCTCTGTCGCCCAGGCTGGAGTGCAGTGGCACGATCTCGGCTCACTGCAACCTCCACCTCCTAGGTTCAAGCAATTCTCTGCCTCACCCTCCCAAGTAGCTGAGATTACAGGCGCCCACCACCACACCCAGCCAATTTTTGTATTTTTAGTAGAGACAGGGTTTTAACATCTTGGCCAGGCTGGTCTTGAACTCCCGACCTCGTGATCCACCTGCCTCGGCCTCCCAAAGTGCTGGGATTACGAAAAGCAGGTAACAAAAATGATACATTGGCCAGGTTCAGTGGCTCATGCCTATAATACCAGCACTTTTGGAGGCCAAGGTGGGAGGATTGCTTGAGCCCAGGAGTTTGAGACCAGCCTGGGCAACATAGTGATACCTCATTTTTATTAAAAATCAAAAAAATTAGCCAGGTGTGGTGGTGTGCACCTGTGATCCCAGCTACTTGGGAGGGAGGGGCAGTCGGATCCCTTGAGCCTGGGAGTTTGAGGCTGTAGTGAGGTACGATCGCACCACTACACCCTAGCCTATTTGACAGAGTAAGTCCCTGTCTAAAAAAAAAAAAAAAAAAAAAAAGATACATACAGTGTGATAGGTATTATATGATATGAATATGTTCTTATCTGTAGACTGGATGTATTTAAGACAAAATATTGACAATGGTTATCTCTGTACAGTTAACATTTATAATTCATTCCTTGTGTTCTTCTGTATCTACTACCATGTGCATTTATTATTTTTGTAATTTTTAATAAAAAACGGGTGTCAGGAAAGAAAATTGATTAAAACCCCTGTAAATATTTCACATGTGTAATGGCTGTGACATTGAGTTTGAGAACAGCTGCAGTTGGCTGCACTCATTACATTATTTTACTTTATAGCTTTGTAGTAAAGGTTGATTTATATGAGCCGAAATGGAAAATGGTCACAGAGAAAAGAGTTGCAGAGGCCCTGGCCAAAACCACCTGGCACCCTGCTAATGAAATAATACCTTTGGAGTTTCTTGGGGGAAGTGGCTCCTGGAAGAAACAGATTATTATGTACAGCCTTAAGCTCTGGCTTTGTGATCCTAAGATGATAAGTTTGGGGGTACCAAGGGTTCTGCTCTTACCGAGAGAGAAAAACAACTTCTTTGCATTCCCCTCTCTGTCCCCTGAGAGAACCAGGGCTTTGCAAACAGATGTTTCTGTTTTTGTTTTTGAGTCAGGGTCTCGCTCTGTTGCCCAGGCTGGAGTGCAGTGGTGCAATCATAGCTCACTGCAGCCTTGAACTCTTGGGCTCAAGCAATCCTCCCCGCTGTAGCCTCCTGAGTAGCTGGAACTACCGGCACACCCCACTATACTAGCTAATTTTTTATTTTTATTTTTGGTAGAGATGGGGTCTTGCTATATTGCCCAGGCTGGTCTCCATCTCCTGGGTAAGGCATCCTCCTGCCTTAGCCTCCCAAAGCGCTAGGATTATAGGCATGAGACACTGCACCTGGAGTGCAAACAGATGTTTAAAATGGAGAAACCAAGAGCCTGAAGCAAAGAGGCAACAATCAATAACCTCCTCACTGGTGTCCTGGCTGCCCTACTAACCTGCCCACTTCAGTGGCCCTCTGATCATATGAATCCCTACCCACTACCTTTCAGTGTTGTGGGATTCAGGAGGATGAGAGAGAGACCTCGGGTTAAAACAGGAGAATCTTTTTTTTTTTTTTTTTTGAGATGCAGTCTCGCTCTGTCGCCCAGGCTGGAGTGCAATGGCGCCATCTCGGCTCACTGCAAGCTCTGCCTCCCAGGTTCACACCATTGTCCTGCTTCAGCCTCCCTAGTAGCTGGGACTACAGGCGCCCGCCACCACACCCGGCTAATTTTTTGTATTTTTAGTAGAGACAGGGTTTCACTGTGTTAGCCAGGATGGTCTCGATCTCTGACCTCGTGATCCACCCGCCTCAGCCTCTGAAAGTGCTGGGATTACAGGCGTAAGCCACCGTGCCCGGCCTTTTTTTTTTTTTTTTTTTTTTTTTTTTTTTTTTTTTTGAGACGGACTCTTGCTCTGTTGCCCAGGCTGGAGTGCAGTGGCGCGATCTCGGCTCATTACACATGTGCAGTATTTACTGGGTTCACACCATTCTCCTGCCTCAGCCTCCCGAGTAGCTGGGACTACAGGCGCCCACCACCACACCCGGCTAATTTTGTTTTTGTATTTTTAGTAGAGACGGGGTTTCACCGTGTTAGTCAGGATGGTCTCAATCTAAAACAGGAGAATCATTTATTGAGTGCACTCAGGCCCAGCTGACTCAACGTCCAAAAGACTGGGCCCGGAAGAAAGACAGCACTTGACTTCTATACACACTTCACAAAAGGGGGTGGGCTAGCTTGAAGCAAGCTTACAGTGGCATGAAAGCAGGGATATAGAGGCAGGACAAACTCAGGATTGCACGTGACCGTTGCCAAGCAACCCAGATGTCCGTTATCTAGGTTTGCCCAGGCACAGACTTATCCCATAACCTTCACTATGGCGCCCAGGTGGCCGTAACTCAGGCCAGCTCAGAGGCTCATGACCTTCACTCCACTGCTTAGATAAAACAATACTTGAAGTCACTGGTTACAGAGAATAGGAATCTATAAACTCATTCCATAAAACAAAGGAAAATTTGTTTTTCTTCTCCCTATGTTGAGGGAGTACTGGGAGAATCTCCAGAGCACATTAGATAATATTATGAAGAATTTTCCTGGGTCTGGCCTGTGCCTATTGCTGCCTCTGGGACAAGTCACCCTCATACAGAAAAACTTATTTCTCTTTCTTTTTAATTTTGCTTTTCTTTAATTTCCCACCTCAACAGAGCCACTGGTGGCCGCAGAAGACAGTCCACGTGTCTTAACCAGACTTACAAGACTCCAAAGGTCTGGCTTCTCCCCACCCCTACTCCCTGTCTTGTCTCTCCCACACTCCCCCAACAGCTTCTCTGGAGCCAAGTCAGCCAGCCTCCTTCCAGCTTCAGGCCTTTGAACATGCTGTTCTTTCCACCTAAAAAGCTCCCTGCACTTCCCCCAGCCTAGTTCCCTGCTTGTATAGATTGTTCCTCTAATGTGACTCCTGGAAAAGCCTTCCTTGCCTCTCCGGCTAGAGCAGAGCCCCCATTAACAGCTCTCACACCAGCCTATCTTTCTCCTCCACTGCATTTGTCACATCCTGTGATCCTGTGTGCATCCTGTTCAATGTCTGTCTCCACACATAAAATCTAAACTCCAAAAGGATAGGAACTGTGTCTGACTCGCTTCCTTTCATGTCCCTTGTGCCTAGATGGGTGCCTTGTATCAAGCAGGTGCTCAACAAATGTCTGCTGAAAAAATGATGCAGGGTGCGGTGGTTCACGCAGGTAATCCCAGCACTTTGGGAGGCCGAGGCGGGTGGATCACCTGAGGTCGGGAGTTCAAGGCCAGCCTGACCAACATGGAGAAACCCCATGTCAACTAAAAATACAAAAAATTAGCCCGATGTGGTGGTGCATGCCGGTAATCCCACCTACTGAGGAGGCTGAGACAGGAGGATTGCTTGAACCCAGGAGGCGGAGGTTGTGGTGAGCCAAGATCATGCCATTGCACTCCAGCCTGGGCAACAAGAACGAAACTCTGTCTCAAAAAAAGAAAAAAGAGAAAAAAAGGACTAAGTGACTAAAAGACAGGGTAGGAACTCAAGGCTCATCCTCTACATGGCCAAAGCACTTAGGCAGGAAAATTAAGTAAGTAATAGAGCTTCTCTGGGGCAGGTGCCAAAGGAAGTCCATCTCTGTACCTAGCACCTAGCTCCGGGCCTGGCCCATAGTAAACGCTCAGAGAATATTGCTAGCTGAATAAGCATTACTTCCATCTACACGTACTCCGCCCTCAGTGGTGATCTCATCCAGTCCCATTGCTTTAAATGTCACCTATAAGCTGATGACTCTCCAAATTATAGCTCAAGGCTGGCCCTCTTCCCAGAACTCATATATCCAACTGCATATTTGACATCTCCACTTGGAATATCTAATAGGCATCTCAAACTTAACATGGCCAAAGCAGAACTTCTTGTTTCCTCTGCCAGACTTCCCCATCTCAATCTATTCTTCTCATTGTTCAGCTCACAAGTCTGGAGTCATCCTTGACTGCCTCTGGTTCCCTCCTATTCTGCATCCAATTGCTCAGCAAATCTGTCAGCTCTACCTTCAGAATACATCTGGAATCTGGCCATCTCTGCCCTATCTCTGCTACCACCTCCTTGTCCAAGCCACCATTCCTTCTTACCTGGACTGCTGCAATAGCCTCTAACTGCTCCCACCTCTCTCGCTGCTCCCATCAGCTTCCCCACCTTCCATCCTCATGCAGTAGCCAGGTCATCAAGTCTTGGCTCAAATGGTGCCTTCTCAGAGAGGTCTTCCTAGAAAACTCTTTAAAACAAGACCCCTCACCCAGCGATGCTTGGTTCTCTTAGTCTACTTTTTTAAATTTTTTTGAGGTGGAGTCTCTCTCTGTCACCCAGACTGGAGTGCAGTGGCGCGATCTCAGCTCACTGCAACCTCTGCCTCCCAGGTTCAAGCAATTCTCCTGCCTCAGCCTCCCAAGTAGCTGGGACTACAGGTGCACGCTGCCACGCCCAGCTAATTTTTTGTATTTTAGTAGAGACGGGGTTTCACCGTGTTGCCCAGGCTGGTCCCGAACTCCTGAGCTCAGGCAATCTGCCCGCCTTGGCCTCCCAAAGTGCTAGGATTACAGGCGTAAGCCACCGTGCCTGGCCTATTCTACTTTATTTTTATCCATTGCCCTTATCAGAGATAAATATTTTTGCTTGTTTTTATCTTTATTCTCCTGCTATAAGTTCCATAAAAAGGAAACTTTGCCTATTTTGTTCTCTTGTGCATCTCCAGCACCTGGAACAGGGCCTGACACCTAGCTCTCGCTCAGAAATCTCCCCAGAGTCATAAATGAAGGGCTAAATGAACTCTGAAAGAGTTTTGGAGAGTCAGATTTTCTCCCAGTCAATGAATCAGGATCTTGATGCCAGAAATCAGATACCAACTACCTATTTTCTTGTTTGGAGCCCTAGAATAATTAAGAGTTAACACAAGACCACTTTGCATATAATTAAAGAGTGACACTGAGGTCACCTACTGAGTCACAGAGGCCTTGTTAGCTCCTAGAGCAGACTACAGATCCCGCCTCTTAGTCTACACCGGAGCTAGCCGCTTGATCTGTAATTGTTGCTCTTTCCGTTCCTTCATCTGCAAGTAGGCCTGCCTGCCTTGTGGCCTTTACATGGAGCTGTGAGCTTGGGATCTGTGACATTCAAATTCAGTCCAGATTGTTTAGGGTGGTGCTTTTCAACTGCTGGGGAGTGATTTCACCCTCCAGAAGACATTCGGCACCATCTGCAGACATTTTTGGTTGTTGAAACTGGGGGTGTGGTGTGATTGGCATCTAGTGGGTAGAGGCCAGGGGTGCTGTTAAACATCCTCAAATGCATAGGACAGCTCCCCACAACAACAACAAAAAAAACTTTCTGGCCCAAAAGGTGAATAGTGCCAAGGTTGAGAAGTCCTGGTCTACAGGAACACTAATGATAAGTGGTAGCTAGCATCACTGATCTTTGCCATGTGCCCAGTACTGCACCACATTCTCTATGTGTATCATCTCACTTAATCCTCACATTGTCCCTGAGAAACAAGAACTCTTATAATCCCCATTTTACAGATGAGGAACCTGAGGCTCAGAGAGGTGGACTCACTTGTTTAATGTCACATGGCTTAGTAGGGACAGATGCACACCCAAGGCTGCCTGGCCTCAAAGTCTGTTCCTTTAATGTCTATTCTGTGTTGCTCTGCCCTCTGACTGAGAGCTGAGGGGGCCTGTTAGTCCTCTCTGGTTGTGTCTTCATCTGCTGCCCCTGTGGACAGGAGAGTGTTGGTCTACTCAGGCGGTGCTTGACTATTAGCCAGAAGGGAGGTTTTCTTTCCCTGAGTTGTCTCAGCCTTTCTGGCCTCACTCTCCCTGCACTGCAGTACAGTCCTTGGCTCCAAAGCTCAGCTCCACTGCCAGCCCCAGGCTGGTGCCAGCCCTTCTCCATGGGGTGGAAGCTTCCGGATTCAGACCTAGGCCTTGCAATCTCTCCCACAGGGTGCCTTCTTTCTGGATGGGGTCTTCAATCAACTCTGGGACCTGCAAGGTCACCTCACACTTCCTTTCAGATAAGGGAGGGTTAGAGCTGCTAGGGTGGTCACAGGACTCATGGTTCAAGAAAGTACTCAAGGTTCCAGAAAGCTAGACAAGTGATTGCTGGACTGGGCTGGGAACAGAGTGATCCTGGGGCAGTAGTGAGGAACAGGCCACGGTCCTACTTGTGGATGAGGTGAGGAGAGCTGCAGACCCCGTAAGGAATCCCTCAGCCTGCCTGTGAGTAACAACTCTGAAGGGCTTTCTGAGGGCCCTGGGAAAGTCTGATGACCGGAGCTGAAAGGTGATTCTGTCCAAGGAAGATCACGATGGCCAAGAACCAATGTAGGGTCAAGTTTCAGGTGTCTGTTGCGGAGGAATCAAGGCTGAAGTACTCTGAACTATCCATCCTTTCTTCCATCCATCCAACACATATTTAGGGAGCTCCTGCCAGGGGCCGACGATGCTTAGTGTCTCCAGCGACATTACTCTGTTCGGAGGCATCAACTCCTTTTGTTTAGGTGTTGCTCGGAGGTTCCATCTACCATGTGGGACTGTAGAGTCAGACCAGGATTCACATCCCAGCTCTGTCACTTTCTGTCACTGACTTTAGGCAAGAGACTTCATCTCTTTGAACCTCATTTTCTTCATCTGTATAATAAAGAGACGAACAGTTCTTACCTTGTAGAATTGTTATGAGAAGCCAATGAGATAATGTGTCTAAATGTCTGGTACATGGTAAGGTCTCAATATACAGTGGCAATAGCTACTATTTATTATACCGTGGCTAGGTCTCTAGATGCATTATTTAATATAATCCCTGCCACCAACCTATAACGAAGATGTGATCTCCATTTAAAAATCAGGAACCTACGAGGTGGGTGGATCACCTGAAGTCTGGAGTTCGAGACCAGCCTGGCCAACATGGTGAAACCCTGTCTCTACTAAAATACAAAGATTAGCCAGGTGTAGTGGCAAACGCCTGTAATCCCAGCTACTCGGGAGGCTGAGGCAGGAGAATCGCTTGAACCCAGGAGGGTGAAGTTGCAGTGAGCTGAGATCGCACTACTGCACTCCAGCCTGGGTGACAGAGCAAGAGTCCGTCTCAAAAAAAATAAATAAATAAAAATAAAAAATAACAATCAGGAACCTGTGCCTTGGAGAGGTTAACTAACTTGAAGGAGCTCATAGCTTAGGTTGATTCCAAAGCCCGTGCTCTCAGAAACATTAACCCCTAGTTATAATTTCCTGTGGCAAGAATGAAAAATGCAGGTTTTCAGGCTTAGAAGGATTTTTAAGCAAGTTTATCAGGCAGGAGTAGATATAGTAAGTTGCCAAAATGTGTGATGCTACAGAACCCCATATGGGCCACTTCAGGGGGACCTGGTGAAGGAATCTCACATTTATTCTAGGAGTCTGGGTTATTGTAGAAGAGTTTTTTTTTTTAATCCTCCTTAGGTTCTGAATCCCTTTATGAATCTGATGGAAGCTAAGGATCCTCTCTTTGGAAAAATGCCTGTAAGCACTACATACATTTTTGTGCATAATTCCAGAGGGCTTGGAAAACCTTTGCAATCCGGTCGTGGACCCCATTTAAGAACCCTCCTCGAGGGTAGCATTTTCCAAGTGCAGGACACATATCACTCATAGTGTCTGAGATCAGTTTAACAATGCAAAAACAAATGTTTTATATTCTAATATTTATATTTTATAGTTACCTTCTATTTATGGCCAATGAGACTGGCTTTCCATTTATGGTAATGATATAAATTTGTCTTTTAAAAGCATACTTATTAGGCCGGGTGCGATGGCTCACGCCTGTAATCCCAAAACTTAGGGAGGCCAAGGCAGGCGGATCACTTGAGCTCAGGAGTTCAAGACCAGCCTGGCCAACATGGCAAGACCCTGTCTCTACAAAAATAGAAAAATTAGCCGGGCATGGTGGTGTGCACCTGTATCCCAGCTACTCAGGAGGCCAAGGCAGAAGAATCACTTGAACCCAGATCGCGCCACTGCACTCCAGTCTGGGCGACAGAGTGAGACTCCATCTCAAAAAAATAAAATAAAATAAAAAGTATACTTATTTAAAAAATAAAGGGAGTTCAAATAAAATTATTATATAGAATATTATATACAGTATTATTTTTTATTTTTTATTTATTTATTTTTTTTGAGAGAGTCTCGCTCTGTCTCCCAGGCTGGAGTGCAGTGGTGCGATCTCGGCTCACTGCAAGCTCAGCCTCTGGGGTTCACGCCGTTCTCCTGCCTCAGCCTCCCAACTAGCTGGGACTACAGGCGCTCACCACCACGCCCGGCTAATTTTTTTTTTTTTTGTATTTTTAGTAAAGATGGGGTTTCACCATGTTAGCCAGGATGGTCTTGATCTCCTGACCTCGTGATCCGCCTGCCTCGGCCTCCCAAAGTGCTGGGATTACAGGCGTGAGCCACCACACCCGGCCATATAAGGTATTATTAATGAACAATTACATTACTATATTATGATGATAGTATTATTATAGTAAAAATTAAATAAATAATAACAGGGGTAGTGTAGTGTAGATATGGAAAAAAATCATGAGGATGATTTAGGAAATTTCCCTGGGGTTTCTACTTAGTGGAGTCACCGTGGCTTTACTTTAGTGTCATTTGCATTTCCAGGGTCCTCACTTGTTGTCAACCTATTTCTTCCTCAAGAGAGGTACTATAGTAATATTATAACTCCTCAAACCCTGAATCTCATCATTAGAAACATGGAACTGGAAAAAGCTGTTGATTTAATTGATATGCATATGTTGAACCTGAAAAGGTTCTAATTATTGCCATTTTTTTCCTTTTTTTTTTTTTTGAGACGGAGTTGCCCAGGCTGGAGTGCAATGGCGCGATCTCGGCTCACTACAGACTCTGTGTCCCGGGTTCAAGTGATTCTCCTGCCTCAGCCTCCTGAGTAGGTGGGATTACAGGCACGTGCCACCATGCCCAGCTAATTTTGTATTTTTAGTAGAGATGGGGTTTCTCCATGTTGATCAGGCTGGTCTCAAACTCCTTACCTCAGGTCATCCACCCGCCTCGGCCTCCCAAAGTGCTGGGATTATAGGCATGAGCCACCGCACCCGGCCTATTCCCATCTTTTTCTTTCTGGAGTTGTGTGCCTCTGCTCAAATTGTTTTATTTTTATTTTTTGAGATGGGGTTTGGCCATATTGCCCAGGCTGGTCTCCAACTACTGAGCTCAAGCGATCCCCTTGACTCGGCTTCTCAAAGTGCTGGGATTACAGGTGTGAGCCATCATGCCCAGCCACAAATTGTTTTAAGGAGTAATGAGAGTAGATGGTCAGAGGAAAATGTAGAAATGTAAATAGGAAGCTTCCAGATACATGATTAACCTGATAACTTATTTATGGAGGTTCGAAAAATACATTATAGGCATTTCAGAGCTGGTTGTTCAAAACCTTGCTGTGGCCTTTGGGATAGTTGTATAAACTGACAATTATTGATAAGATTCATTGATCATTTACTATGTGCCTCACATTGTGCTGAGAGAACTTCAAATGTTTAATACTGCTAACAAGCGTATGAACTGGTTTCCTTTTACATTTAGTCCTCCTTTACTTAAAGAAGACATTCAAATAGCTAGTAAATGACAGTGCTGGGATTTAAATCCAGATCTGACTTGTCCCTCAACTCCCCCAAGATCTTGCTTTTTTAACCACTTCGTGTCTCCTCCCTAAGCCAGAGGGGACGTCATCTCTCTAACGGCCGCTTTTTCGTCCATTAGAATACCTCCTCCTCAGAGATAAATCCCAACCAAGAATCTCTCCCACACAGGAAAGACTGCCTCACCTGAGCAAGAAGCTTCACCCTGGACAAAAACCCCGGGGCTCAACACTCCCAAATCCACCCGGATCCCCATCCCCAACCCCTTAAAGGATGTCCGCATTGCTTGGCAGAGACCCCACTCTTGGGGATAATCCCTTAATTCGTAAGGAAACACCCTCCCTCCTTGAAGCCCTCCCTCAATCCTGAGGATGCCCTCCCCTAAATATTTCAGAGCAGAACCGACTACAAATGGGGCCCAGTGCAAAATGAAAACGTAAGGGTCCCTCCTGTGAGACTGCACTGCTGGTTTACCCACGAAGCCGGCCCTGCTTCAGAGATACCCTTTCAGTAAAGGGAGAGGCCACCTCTGTCGTAATCCTGCTAACCTGGGGTGCGAGATCATGCGACCTGTCGTGGTGGGGGGGCGGGGGGGTGGGGGCAGGAATGGCCACCAACTTCTAGAGACTGTTGTTCGAGAACACACCCTGGGACAACCTCCGTGAATTTGGAATCACTTCCCTTGGCCCCGGCAGAAGCTCCCTTCCTACCTCTCCAGACAGCTGGGTGGTCCTCGTAACCCGGCCGGGGCTCCACCTTCTGGGTGTGTGGGCCTCGTAGCGTGCGGCCCATTGCCCGGGCAACCGACGCCGTGAGCGGTGCATTGTGGTCTGCAACAAAATGCAGGAGAAAGATCCTGAGGGAACCATGGAGTCAATGGACCAATGGAAGAATGCCGTGGGCTGCGTCAAGCCAATAGGGTCGCGCGGCGAGGGGCGGGGCCGGCGGGAGCAGGGCGGGGCCTGAGCACTAGGCGGCGGCGGCTGGCGTGGGGCTGCTTAGATGCGCCACGGTTTCGGTAGCGACGGTATCTCTAGCCGGGCCTGAGCTGTGCTAGCACCTCCCCCAGGAGACCGTTGCAGTCGGCCAGCCCCCTTCTCCACGGTGAGAAACTCGGGGGGCCAGGGGGTGTCCTCGCTGCCTTATTTCGCCCCACTCCGGACTTAGCCCTCCGCGTAGCCCGCGCTTCCTGAGAAGTGGGGTGGGGGGCGTCGTCCCGTGGTGGCGCCGGCCGGGGTGGGGGCAGTTAGTGCCTGGGGGGCGCGGCCCAACTCAACCCCTTACCCCAGGCCTTGCCCACTAGGTAACCATGTGCGACCGAAAGGCCGTGATCAAAAATGCGGACATGTCGGAAGAGATGCAACAGGACTCGGTGGAGTGCGCTACTCAGGCGCTGGAGAAATACAACATAGAGAAGGACATTGCGGCTCATATCAAGAAGGTGAGGATGGGCGCGGGGGCCGATACGCAGCCGGGAGCAGGGGGTTCCTTCCCCCCGATCCTGCTTTCCTAAGGGCGCCTGACAGGTCCCGGGAATACTGCTGGCGGCTTGGGGCGTAGAAGCTTCCAGAAAGGACGCAGATGCATTTTGCGCTCCTGTGGAGAAGACCAGACCCCCGGCGTCCGAAGTTTTTTTTTTTTTTTTTTTAATTACCCAGCTCCGCGGGGGGAAAGCGCCACCTAGCAACGGTATCTAAGATCAGGGAGCAGCGGTTCCCCCTTCTGTGTGGTTCCTGCGCCGAGGATCCATCTGGGTGTTCCGGAGGGGGGAGCTGCGTGGGTGTTTCCAGCCGGGCCGGGAGGAGATCTTGCCAGCCTTCCAGTGGGGAGTTGAGGGAAGGTGGTGGGTGGTGGCGGGGCTGGGGGCTGGGGTAGGGGCTTGGTAAATGGCAGTCTAGAAAGCCGGCAGGACTGCCAACTTCTCGAGCAGTGTTTGCTGGAAGGGAAGAAAGCTGGCAGCCTAAGCCGTGGGAGGGTTCCAGTCGAGAATGGGAAGATGAAAGACTTCAGATGGAACAGAAATAAATGCCTTTTTTGACAAACGCAGCAGTGCGTGCCTCTAGCTTGCAAGAGCGTTACTCCCCTTCATAGCTTTAAAAGGTTTTCGCACTGCGTGCAGTTAGAGTAGCTAAATCTTGTGTGACGCTCCACAAACACTTGTAAGAATTTTGCAGAGAAAGATAACCGTTGCCACCCAATGCCCCCCACAGGCATTCTACTCCCCAGTACCTCTTAGGGTGGGAGAAATGGTGAAGAGTTGTTCCTACAACTTGCTAACCTAGTGGACAGGGTAGTAGATTAGCATCATCCGGATAGATGTGAAGAGGACGGCTGTTTGGATAATAATTAAGGATAAAATTTGGCCAGTTGACAGATTCTGTTTCCAGCAGTTTTTACAGCAACAGTGGAGTGCTTCAGTATTGTGTTCCTGTAAATTTAATTTTGATCCGCAATCATTTGGTATACAATGCTGTTTGAAGTTTTGTCCTATTGGAAAAGTCTTGTGTTGCAGGGGTGCAGTTAAGATCTTTGTGATGAGGAATGGGATGGGCTAATTTTTTGCCGTTTTCTTGGAATTGGGGGCATGGCAAATACAGTAGGGTAGTTTAGTTCTCTACACAGAACATGATAAACTACACCTGTTGATGTCACCGTCTGTCAATGAATATTATAGAAGGTATGAAGGTGTAATTACCATAATAACAAAACACCCTGTCTTTAGGGCTGACCTTTCGTCCTTTGACCTCCTCAGCCTCCATTCCCATCTTCGCTCAGACTGCAAGTATGTTTGTATTAATGTACTATGTAGGCGGCTTGGAGCTGGGGAACATTCTTTCATTCTAAGAATTTGCAGATGCTGACGTTCCTCCTTTCTGCCCCTACAGGCTCTGGCTTATCCAAGAGGCAAACACTGACCTCTGGTAATTAAAATCCTAGTTCTTTTCTTTTGTCTTTTCCAGGAATTTGACAAGAAGTACAATCCCACCTGGCATTGCATCGTGGGGAGGAACTTCGGTAGTTATGTGACACATGAAACCAAACACTTCATCTACTTCTACCTGGGCCAAGTGGCCATTCTTCTGTTCAAATCTGGTTAAAAGCATGGACTGTGCCACACACCCAGTGATCCATCCAAAAACAAGGACTGCAGCCTAAATTCCAAATACCAGAGACTGAAATTTTCAGCCTTGCTAAGGGAACATCTCGATGTTTGAACCTTTGTTGTGTTTTGTACAGGGCATTCTCTGTACTAGTTTGTCGTGGTTATAAAACAATTAGCAGAATAGCCTACATTTGTATTTATTTTCTATTCCATACTTCTGCCCACGTTGTTTTCTCTCAAAATCCATTCCTTTAAAAAATAAATCTGATGCAGATGTGTATGTGTGTGAATTACAATTTGTTCAAATAACAGCGTTGAAGACGGTCACTTGATCAGATGCCCAGGTTGGTGGGGATGAGTCCATCCTTACAGAAGTTAAGTTTCTGTGGGGTATTTCAGTACTCTTTAGTCACATTCTCTCACCCATCCTGCAACTGTTGTGCATGTTGAGAAATGCAGTGCATGATAAAGAAACATTTAAATTAAATCTTTAGTCCTAATCTGAAAAAAATCAATGTTTAAGGATATTTGTTAAGACATTGCTATAGAATGTTCTGGGCCTTTGGCCTCAGGTTGTGGTGATGGATGTGTATGTAGTAGTACTTGAAGCTTTCTATGGCTATAAAATGGAAATAAGCTCAAAACAAAGTTGGGATAATGAAATGGATTCCAGGACCCTTGTCTAGCCCCCTCCCCTGCCTAGAAAGAAGGTGGCCTTAGGGGAAAGTAAATGTTTCTGAGCAGCAGTTTTCATGCTCTTCTAATAATGTAAATTCCTGCAAAGACTTTATCAGCCTGCTGTGCTGTGCTTTGCTGTGGTCAGGAACAAGTGTGAATTGATACCTTTTCCTGAAAAGACCCAATTAAAGCTGGGGACAAGTAGCTATCAGAGGTTTCCTGCTATCAATTTTAAGAGGACTGCAGTCGTAGAAAAGCAAATATGGCAGACTTGTAGGTGGAAAGGAAATAAGACAGGCTGGAACAACCCACACCCATCTTGGGAAACTGCAAGAAGGGTCCTGACTTGTAGTTAGCCTATGTTTTCCCATGGATCTCTAAGATGCCATTGGGATTTCTAAGCAGCTAGGTGACTGCTACACAGAAGAGGGCGATAGATTGGAATTGATGGGTGATAACTCCCATTGTAAGAGTAGAATTAGGTCAGTAACATATTTGGAAGTTTATTTTTCTTCAGAATGTGTGGTTTTAAGAATCCTAGCAAAGTTGTGCTACTTTAGGATTGGAAGGGTTTCAGGGTAGAGGTGCAAGATTTTGACTTTTTTAAGACAGAGTTTCGCTCTTGTTGCCCAAGCTGGAGTGCAATGGCGTGATCTCAGCTCACTGCAACCTCTGCCTCCTGGGTTCAAGCAAGTCTCCTGCCTCAGCTTCCCAAGTAGCTGGGATTACAGGCATGTGCCACCATGCCCGGCTAATTTTGTATTCTTAGTAGAGATGGGGTTTCACCATATTGGTCAGGCTAGTCTCGAACTCCTGACCTCAGGTAATCTGCCCACTTCTGCCTCCCAAAGTGCTGGGATTACAGGCGTGAGCCACCAAACCTGGCAATTTTGACTATTGTGCCAGTTTTTTCCCTGCTGTCTGCAAAAAAGGATGAGGTACTGTGGAATAAACAGGAGACTGCAACTGGGGTAATTTTATGTTTGTATTTATATAAACAGACCGAAAATGTTCCTTTTTTCTAACTTTCATTTTTTTTGAGACTCCTATTGCCCAGGCTGGAGTGCAGTGGTGTGATCATAGCCCACTGCAACTTCAACCTCCTGGGCCCAAGTGATCCTGCCACCTCAGCCTCCAAAGTAACTGGGACCATAAGTACATGCCACCATGCCTAGCTAACTTTTGAATTTTTTGTAGAGCTGGAGTCTCCCTGTGTTGCCCAGGCTGGTCTTGAATTCCTGGGCTCAAGCAATCCTCCCAAGGTGTTGGGATTACAGGTACGAGCCACCACACCCGGTTTAATTCATATTTTTTCTTTTTTTTTTTTTTTTGAGACGGAGTCTCACTGTCGCCCAGGCTGGAGTACAGTGGCGCGATCTCGGCTCACTGAAAGCTCCGCCTCCCAGGTTCACACCATTCTCCTTCCTCAGCCTCCCGAGTAGCTGGGACTACAGGCACCCACCACCACGCAAGGCTAATTTTTTTTGTACTTTTAGTAGAGACGGTTTCACCATGTTAGCCAGGATGGTCTCGATCTCCTGACCTCGTGATCTGCCCACCTCGGCCTCCCAAAGTGCTGGGATTACAGGTGTGAGCCACCGAACCTGGCCTAACTCATATTTTTTCTATCCCTTTTCCCTCTTTAGTGACCTGGCTATATTTCTATTTGAAGCCCACAGGGAATTTGGCCTCCAAAGCTTTAGTTTGTCCAGTTAAGCCCTACTCAGAACGGATGATCTGTCTCTAGCTACAGACCCAAAAGCTGATTCAAGACTGATAGCTAGACACTGGGAGTTTTAGTTGAATATGATCTGTCCCATATTTACTGTCAAGTTGGCAGCTTTTTTGTTTTTTTATTCAGATGTGAGAAAACCATGTTGCTATGGAGATAAGACTGGGTTGATGGTTTATGAAGCTCCTTCCAGTGCCTGTTCCTTCCTGTTAATTTCAAAAGCCAATAGGCTCCAGCTGGCTGAAAAGAAAATGTAAGCTAAGTTTTTCTAAGCATTTATCAAATGCTCTTAGCTGCTGTTCTTTGAGAGAGTTGTATATAGCTAGCTCTATCTAGAAGCTTTTTAGTGACAGGGCAAGATCTTGTAAGTGAAGGCACGTAAATGATCCTTACTGTGCTGGGTCAGGAAGCAGCGTATCTGAAGCCCTTTCACATACCTTTGAACTATGTTATCCACAAACTGTTAGCCAAGTCACAGACTGATTTCTGCAATTCATTTTTGAGACAGGGTCTCACTCTGTCACCAAAGCTAGAGTGCAGTGGTGTGATCTCGACTCACTGCAACCTCCGCCTCCCGGGCTCAGATGATCCTCCCACCTCAGCCTTCCAAATATCTGGGACCACAGGTGTGTACCACCACATCTGGCTAATTTTTTATTTTTTGTAGAGATGGGATTTTGCCATGTTGCCCAGGCTGGTCTCGAACTCCTGGATTCAAGCAATCTGCCCTCTTTGGCCTCCCAAAGTGCTCGGATTACAGGCATAGGCCACTGTGCCGGACCAATTTCTGCAGTTTCTTAGCAAGGCCTCTTTAAAACCTTATGATTCATCCACACTCAAAATATTTATGGCTGGGTGCAGTGCCTCATGTCCCAGCACTTTGGGAGGCCAAGGTGGGAGCCCACGAGTACGAGAGCAGCCTGGGCAACACAGGGAGACCCTGTCTCTAGTAAGAAAAAAAAAATTATGGCAGCCAGGTATGGTGGCTCACACCTGTAATCCCAACACATTGGGAGGCTTGAGGTGGGCAGATCACCTGATGTCAGGATATCGAGACCAGCCTGGCCAACATGGTGAAACCTTGTTTCTACTACAAATACAAAAATTAGCTGGGCATGGTGGTAGGTACCTGTAATCCCAGCTACTTGGAAGGCTGAGGCAGGAGAATTGCTTGAACCTGGGAGGCGGAGGTTGCAGTGAGCCAAGACCACACCACTGCACTCCAGCCTAGGTGACAGAGGGAGACTCGGTCTCCAAAAAAAAAAAAAATTACAAATTAAAAAATTAACCAGGCACTATGGCGTATGCCTGTAGACCCAGCTATTTAAGAGGCTGAGGTGGGAGGGCTGCTTGAGCCCAGGAGTTTAGGCTGTAGTGGGCTATGATCAGGTCACTGCACTCCAGCTTGAGTGACAGAGCGAGACCCTGTCTCTTAAAAAAATTTATGGCCTCATTTTAACATCAAACAGTGGACTGTATTCAGGGAGAAGTTTAGAAAATGACAAGGCCAGGCGCGGTGGCTCACGCCTGTAATCCCAGCACTTTGGGAGGCCGAGGCGGGCGGATCACGAGGTCAGGAGATCGAGACCATGGTGAAACCCCGTCTCTACTAAAAATACAAAAAAATTAGCTGGGCGCAGTGGCGGGCGCCTGTAGTCCCAGCTACTTGGGAGGCTGAGGCAGGAGAATGGCGTGAACCCGGGAGGCGGAGCTTGCAGTGAGCTGAAATCGCGCCACTGAATTCCAGCCTGGGTGACAGAGCGAGACTCTGTCTCAAAAAAAAAAAAAAAGAAAAGAAAATGACAAAAAATGAAAAAGAAAGACAACAGTAGACTATAACAAGGAGACAAGAAGTCTGCTCAGCTCCATCTCTGAGTACTGAAGGTTAGCTTACATCATTTTCAAACTTTTTTTTTTTTGCTATAAAACAAGTGTACTCTTACAAAAAAGCTCCCTATATAAGACATGAAAGCAGGATTTTGCTGGTACATTTATTTTCCAACAAGGACTTAGTGAAAAGGTTTCTTTCTTTTTTTTTTTTTTTGAGACAGAGTCTCTCTCTATCACCCAGGATGGAGTGCAGTGGCACGATCTCGGCTCACTGCAATCTCTACCTCCTGGGTTCAAGTGATTCACCTGCCTCAGCCTCCTGAGTAGCTGGGATTACAGGAGCACACCATCATGCCCAGCTAATTTTTTGTATTTTTAGTGGAGACAGGATTTCACCATGCTGGCCAGGCTGGTCTCAAACTCCTGACCTCGTGATCCACCTGCCTCGGCCTACGTAAGTGCTGGGATTACAGGCGTGAGCCACTGCACCCAACCTACATAGTAGCTTTTTATGGAAGAGGACTGAAAGAATGATGAAAAATATATTTTCTGGCCAGGCGCGGCCAACATGGTAAAATCCCTTATCTACTAAAAATACAAAAAAATTAGCCGGGCGTGGTGGCGCGCACCTGTAATCCCAGCTACTTGGGAGGCTGAGGCAGGAGAACTGCTTGAACCCACAAGGTGGAGGTTACGGTGAGCAGAGATTGCACCACTGCACTCCAGCCTGGGTGACAGAGGAAAACTCCATCTCGAAAAAAAAAAAAAAGTAAAAGAAAAATATATTTTCCTTACCCCCTTCAAGAAAAAATGACAAGTACCATCAAAAGGTAAACTCGTTTACTGGTTCAGCACACAATTCTCATGATCATTAATACTCTGACTTGGGCCTAGACTTCGTCCTAGGCTGAAAGGTTGATTCAGGTACAATTAAATTTTCTGGTTAAAAATTGTCATTGGGTTCAAATGATCTATCATCCCTCTAGAAGGCAGCACCAGCAGAGAAGCTATAAATACACTCACTTCAAAACTGAGCTTTAGGGGTGGTTGTACCTTAACCACACACCCTACAGCCAAGAGAAATTAGCAGTTGAGCAAAGATACAGACCAAATGCCTCTGGGAGATGGACTGAAGCAGCTCCAAAGAAAGCTGTAAAAAAGTGACAAGAATTTGTTCTTCCACTTTGAGACTGTTCGATTCAAACATGAGTCCAAGGCACGTATCCTTAAGAGGAGATGCTCTGCTGCTGTCTCATTTGCCAGATTATCCTTCAGTTCCAGGCTTTCAACAGGATATGACTGGTTCATGCTCCATGATAGGAAAGGAATTAAAGTTTGAAGCCAGAATGAATGGCCACAATGCCTGATGTTAGACTTTCGTAAGTCACCTTGTGAAAGCCTGCATCTTCTATCATGTCCTTGAACTCTTCCTGAAACACAAGGAAAGATGATAAAGCCAGGGTAGCCTGGATATCACTGTAGGGCCTTTGTTTAAAGCTATAGAAGTTTCATACCTGAGACGGAAACCTTCGGATACTCTCTACAAGGTACTGATAGGACTTCCAGTCTCCAGCGATGACCTCTCCCAGGACAGGGATGACCTGGAAGCTATATAGATCATAAAGCCTAGGCAAACAAAAAGGTAAAAGATGAAGATTAGAACATGCCCCTCACTTCTTCCCTAGATAAGAAGAAAGAAGGACTAAACCTGGGGTCACAAACTCAAATGCCTATAGGGATCAAGCAAGAACCTGAATTAAGTGGGTCAGGTACAAGACCAGTAGAAGTGCTGACAGGTACAGTTAGGAAGTATTATGAAGTGGAGAAGGGACAGTTACTACTCAGACCTCCCTGTGGCATGTGGGGAGATAGGCCTACCCAGGGCTGCCATGTATCTGATTTCTCAAGTGAAGCTGGAAATTCAGATTTTTATGGAAAATTTCCTGATTTAAATTTTTTTTTTTTTTTTTTTTTTTTAGAGATAGGGTCTCACGGTTGCCCAGGCTGGTCTTGAACTCCTGGCCTCAAGTGATCCTCCCGCCTCAGCCTCCCAAAGTGCTGGGATTACAAGCATGAGCCACTGCACTTGGCCCAAATTTCCTGATTTTTTTTTTTTTAAGCCAGTCAAATTTATCAGAGGGGGGTTGAGTAGCAACGTTATTGCCACTAATAAGTTCTGATAACCCACTACCATTGGACCAGGCATTTCCTGATTTTTAAATAGGGGCTTCTAAGTCAATTTCTTAATATACATATGTAAGCCAACTTGGGTCTGGTTTGAGACTCTTGTGGCCTAGGTATTGTCATTCAGAACTGGCTGACCTCTGGTACTCTGAACTACAAAGTTCATGCTTATAGCTTACTGGCTATTTTCAATCCATTTCGGGGTGGGAAACCTTGGCTATACAATGAAGATAAAGCCCTATTAACAATGCCAACCTGGATATGAGGGGATTGTTCACTTGGCTAAATTCCAGACAGAGAAACCGTCCTCCTGGTTTCAGCACCCGATGAGCTTCCTGGAGTGCCTGAGCAAGACAAGGAACAACAGGACACACTCCTCAGTAGACCTCACTCAATTCCATGAGGCCAAGACAGCTTTAGCTTCTGCAGGCATTAAAAAAGTTATCATGGCCCACAAACCTCTTGTTTGTTCTCACTTGGGAAGCTGTAACAGCAGCAATAACCCTACGTATCCCAAATGCTATAGGCATTCTGCTGCCGGTGACTAGACAAAGTTAGCTGGGGTAATCTAAACTGACTACAGATTGGTACAATTGCATGAAGGGTAAGTTTAGAGTTACCTTTCAAAATCACAATGGATATCCTCTCTGATAAAGCAATTTTACTTCAAGGAATCTAGCTTACAGAAATGCTTCTACTGTGGGAATGACATGTACGTGGGTTATTCACTTTTTTTTTTATTTTTTATTTTTTATTTTTATTTTTTGCAATGGAGCCTTGCTCTGTCGCCCAGACTGGAGTGCAGTGGTGTGATCTCAGCTCACTGCAACCGCTGCCTCCCAGGTTCAAGCGATTCTCCTGCCTCAGCTTCCTGAGTAGCTGAACTACAGGTGCCTGCCACCACGCCCCGCTAATTTTTTGTTTGTTTGTTTTTGAGGTGGAATTTTGCTCTTGTTGCCCAGGCTGGAGTGCAATGGCATGATCTCGGCTCACCACAACCTCCACCTCTCAGGTTGAAGCGATTTTCCTGCCTCAGCCTCCCGAGTAGCTAGGATTACAGGCACGTACCACCACACCCGGCTAATTTTGTATTTTTAGTAGAGACGGGGTTTCTCCACATTGGTCAGGCTTGTCTCGAACTCCCAATATCAGGTGGTCTGCCAGCCTCGGCCTCCCAAAGTGCTGGGATTACAGGTGTGAGCCACCGCACCCAGCCTATTTGTTTGTTTTTTTGAGACAGAGTTTCGCTCTTGTTGCCCAGGCTAGAGTGCAATGGCATGATCTCAGCTCACTGCAACCTCCACCTCCCGGGTTCAAGTGATTCTCTTGCCTCAGACTCCCAGGTAGCTGGGATTACAGGAATGCACCACCACACCCAACTAATTTTGTGTTTTTAGTAGAAAAAGGGTTTCACCATGTTGGCCAGGCCAGTCTTGAACTCCTGGCCTGAAGTGATCCACTCGTCTCGGCCTCACAAGGTGCTAGGATTACAGGTGTGAGCCACCATGCCTGGCCGGTTATTCACTTTTAAATAAAAAGTATAGGAAGCCATTGTTTTGGATTGTTTCTGCACTAGGTTCCAACAGACCAGACTAAGAATCAAGATGGAGTCACCCAACTTTTGACTCCATAGTTCCACATCACCAAACTGAAACTAAGTTGTCAGCTGACCTTCTAGAGAGATCAGGAGAAAGAGATACAGTCAATTTCTCCAACACTCCTGTTTAAAATTTTTTTTTTTTTTTTAGACAGAGTCTCGCTCTGTCACCCAGTCTGGAGTGCAGTGGCACGATCTCAGCTCACTGCAACCTCTGCCTCCTAGGTTCAAGTGATTCTCCTGCCTCAGCCTCCCATGTTGCTGGGACTACAGGTACATGCCACCACACCCGGCTAATTTTTGCATTTTTAGTAGAGATGGAGTTTCGCCATGTTGGCCAGGCTGGTCTTGAACTAGAGACTTCAGGTGATCCTTCCACCTTGGCCTCCCAAAGTGCTAGGATTACAGACTTGGGCCACCACGCCCAGCCTATTTTTTTTATTATTCTGCCTCCCTATCACAGCCTTTCAAGAAAAGTAGTTTTGAAAGGATGAATAATACACTCTTTGTTCTTTGCTTCTCTGCTTTCTTCAGTCTTTCTGTGTCTATAAAGCCAATGTCTTCTGCTCAACTCATTGGGATGCATTCTATTTTTATTTATTTTTTTATTTTTTTGAGATGGAGTCTTGCTCTGTCGCCCAGGCTGGAGGGCAGTGGCACAATCTCGGCTCACTGCAACTTCCACCTCCCGGGTTCAAGCAATTCTCCTGTCTCAGCCTCCCAAGTAGCTGGGATTACAGATGCCCGCCACCATGCCTGGCTAATTTTTGTATTTTTAGTATAGACAGGGTTTCACCATGTTGGCCAGGCTGGTCTCAAACTCCTGACCTCAAGTGATCTGCCCGCCTCGGCCTCCCGAAGTGCTGGGATTACAGGCGTGAGCTACTGTGCCCAGCACATTCTATTTTATGAAATGAAGTCATTTTAAAATTTGCTGTTCAAACAGTTGTCAAAAGACAAGTGTTTGAATAGCACAAGATTAGAAGCATCTTTAACGATTAATAAGAGACTAAATTATGAAATATAAATATAAATGGAATCTATTCAACTTATTTTTTTTTTTTTTGAGACGGAGTCTCGTTCTGTCGCCCAGGCTGGAGTGCAGTGGTGTGATCTCAACTCACCACAACCTCTGCCTCCCGGGTTCAAGCGATTCTTCTCCCTCAGCCTCCCAAGTATCTGGGACTATAGGCACGCGCCACCACGCCCAGCTAATTTTTGTATTTTTAGTAGAGACGGGGTTTTCACCATGTTGGTCAGGCTGGTCTCGAACTCCTGACCTCATGATCCACCCGCCTCGGCCTCCCAAAGTGCTGGGATTACAGGTGTGAGCCACCACGCCCGGCCTCTATTCAACTATTTTAAAAAGTGCCAGGTGCAGTGGCTCACGCCTGTAATCCCAGCACTTTGGGAGGCCGAGGTGGGTGGATCACCTGAGGTTGGGAGTTTGAGACCAGCCTGACCAACATGGAGAAACTCCGTCTCTACTAAAAATACAAAATTAGTCGGGCATGGTGGTGCATGCCTATAACCCCAGCTACTTGGGAGGCTGAGGCAGAAGAATCACTTGAACCCAGGAGGCGGAGGTTTCAGTGAGCCCAGATCTCTCCACTGCACTCTAGCCTGGGTGACAGAGTGAGACTCTGTCTCAAAAAATAATAATAATAATAAAATAAAAAAATAAAAAGAGCCAGTGCTCTTTATGTACTTACAAGGAAAAATCTCCAAGAAATATTTGTTTACTTTTATTCTATCCATCTATCTATTTATTTATTTTTGAGGTGGAGTCTCACTCTGTCGCCCAGGCGGAGTGCAGTGGTGTGATCTCGGCTCACTGCAGCCTCCGCCTCCTGGGTTCAAGGGATTTTCCCAACTCAGCCTCCCAAGTAGCTGGGACTACAGGTTCGTGCCGCCACGCCCAGCTAATTTTTGTATTTTTAGTAGAGACGGGGTTTCACCATGTTGGCCAGGATGGTCTTGATCTCCTGACCTCGTGATCTGCCCACCTCGGCCTCCTAAAGAGTTGGGAGGCCAGCCTGGAGGCCTCCAAAGAGTTCAAGACCAGCTGAGGTTGAACTCTCAACTGGCTGCAGTGAGCTGAGATCACGTTACTGTACTCCAGCCTGGGTGACAGAGTGAGAGTCCGTCTCCAAACAAAAAAAAAGGAAAAAGAAAGAAAATAGTATATACACCTTGGCACAAAACATCACAAACACTTGTCTAAGGTTAGTCAGTAAACAAATGATCGAATCCATGCAAAAATTACAAATAAGGATGTCACAAAGTTGTGCTACATGCAAAACATAGGAAAAAAAAGAAATATCAATTGGTTATTAGTTATGTGAATCATAACCAATTCACAAAACATCTTGACAAAGATACACAAGAAGCTGGTGACTGTCTGAAGGGAGAAGCACTGAATGGGAGAGGAGGCAAGGATGGGAGGGAGATTGTCACATATAACCTTTTGTGCCTTTTGAACTTTGAACCTATTAAAAAATTTTTTTCCCCAGGCGTGGTGGCTCACGACTGTAATCCCAGCACTTTGGGAGGCCAAGGCGGGAGGATCATGAGGTCAAGAGACAGAGACCATCCTGGCCAACATAGTGAAATGCCGTCTCTACTGATAAATACAAAAATTAGCTGGGCGTGGTGGCACACGCCTGTAGTCCCAGCTACTCCGGAGGCTGACGCAGGAGAATTGCTTGAACCCAGGAGACAGAGGTTGTAGTGAGCCAAGATCGCGCCACTGCACTCCAGCCTGGCAACAGAGCGAGACTCTGTCTCAAAAAAAAAAAAAAAAAGTTTTCATTCAACAAAATAATAAACTGGCTACTGACATAGGAAAGGTGATGCAAACCAAGCTGATGAACACCATAAAGAACTTACCACTTAACCAGAGGACCCAGGCAACCAGAGACCATGTTACTGAAATGAAACTCTTTGCCTTGCACATGGTCTTCAAGTGTTTTGAACAGAATATTAAAGTAGGAATAAAGGCCAGGCATGGTGGCTCAGGCCTGTAATCCCAGCATTTTGGGAGGCTGAGGTGGGAGGATCACTTGAGCTCAGGGGTTCGAGATCAACCTGGGCAACATGGCAAAACCCCATCTCTACAAAAAATAAAGTAGGAACAAAGAAGAGCTCCATCAGATTAAGAGCTGAACGTTCCCCTTTTCCTGTAGAAAAGCCATGAATCCAGCTATCTTTTGTCAAAACAGTGTTTGAGGGCCCTTGTCTTTGTCAGCCTCTGACATGTCTCTGATTTTCTGCAAATTCACAGGGTCAGGCAGCTTCACAAGTATGAGGAAATACACAAAAGGCCAGAGCAAGACAAATCCCAAAGATGTGAATACCAATCCAAGTAAGACAGACTTCTATGGAGATCAGCTCTGTGGTTTCAGTCTTTTTCAATTTTGTGACTAGAAAATTTGTCAACTTAAAGGATGGAGGACCCTAAACTTCAAACAGGCATTCCACTCAAGCGCCAAGCCCTTAAACATTATCTTTTTTAAGATTAAAAAAAAAATCTATCTATCTCTCTCTCTCTCTCTCTCCCTGGGTGTGGTGGTGGGTTCCTGTAAGGTTCCTGTAATCCCAGCTACTTGGGAGGCAGATGTGGAAGGACTGCTTGAGCCCAGGAGTTTGAGACTAGCCTGGGCAACATACCAAGACCCCATCTCAAAAAACAAAACTCTCCTTCTTTCCTCACTCACTGTAGCTCTACAACAGAGGTAATTTCCTGAGAGTCATACAAGCTGAGGATGCAGCCATTCATACCTGATCAATGTGTGTGACATTCCGGATCCCAAAGGCAATGGTGTAAATATCAAACTTGTCATCATCAAAGGGCAGTTCTTCAGCATCTCCTAATACCCATGCAAGTCCTGAAAGAGAAAGTGAGTTCCGGGTCTCAGTGTGGGTAGCTGTTTTTCCTGCCCCCAGTGAATTCATTTCATGTAGAGCATTGAGCTGGAGAGCCCAAGTCCTGGGTGGTTAGGCTGCCTGGATTCTAATCCCAGCTTCACCATATTCCTTATATATACATATTTTTCCTTTTATATTTTTAATCAATCATTATTATTTTTTTTAGACATGGGGAGGTCTTGCTTTCTCACCCAGGCTGGAGTACAGTGGCACACAGCTCACTGCATCCTCAAACTCCTGGACTCAAAGGATCCTCCTGCCTTAGTATCCCCAGTAGTTGGGACTATAGGCACACACCACCCTGCCCAGCTAGTTTTTAAAAATTTCTTCTGTAGAGACGAGGTCTCGTCATCTTGCCCAGGCTGGTCTCAAACTCCTGGGCTCAAGCAATCCTCCCGCCTCGGCCTCCCAAAGTGCTGGAATTACAGATGTGAGCCACTGTGCCT
Organism: Homo sapiens; assembly: GCF_000001405.40. NCBI lineage: Eukaryota > Metazoa > Chordata > Mammalia > Primates > Hominidae > Homo > Homo sapiens. The sequence goes on from NC_000012.12 coordinate 120,510,610, forward strand.
GGCCTGTGTATTCTTGAATAAACTACTTTGTCTGTTTCCTCATCTGTAAAATGGAGTTAAAAACTAGTGCCTACTCTATAGGGTTACTAAAAGTATTAACTGAGTTACTCTAAGTACAGAATTTAGCAGAGTTTTACTGGTTTTATTGGAATCATAGAGCATCAGCGTGTCTAGGTCTGAGATTCAGAGATCACCAGAGGCCCCTATCAGGGTGGCTGTGTCCTCCAAGGATCTTGATTAGACTTTAACATTATACAACCTACAGCGAATTAGATGTAAAATACAAAAAGAAGACTGTATAGAGGAAGGTAAATGAAAATAACCTTTCTGGAAAGCAAATTAACAGTATCTAACAAGGGCCTTAAAAATAAGTACACCTGGCCAGGTGCGGTGGCTCACGCCTGAAATCCCAGCATTTTGGGAAGCTGAGGGAGGCAGATCACGAGGTCAGGAGATCGAAACATGGTGAAACCCCGTCTCTACTAAAAATACAAAAAATTAGCCGGGCGTGGTGGCATGCACCTGTAGTCCCAGCTACTGGGGAGGCTGAGGCAGGAGAATTGCTTGAATTCGGGAGGTGGAGGTTGCAGTGAGCTGAGATCGCGCCACTGCACTCCAGCCTGGGTGACAGAGCGAGACTCTGTCTCAAAAAAAAAAAAAAAAGAAAGTATGCCTTTTGACCCAGTGATTTGATTTTTAGGGAAAGGACATTGACATCATCATCACAGCTACTGCTTAGAGGGCCCTTATCAAGTGGCAGGGTCTGTGTTATTTTATGTACATCTTTAGATAGATTATCTTAGTATATCCTCATACCAACTCTGTGAGAGAGTTACTACCATTATCCTCATGTTTCAGGTCAGCAAAGTGAACATCAGAAAGGTTTAAAGTCTGAGCTGAGCACGGTGGCATGCACCTGTAATCCCAGAGACTCAGGAGGCTGAGGTGGGAGGAGAGCTTGAGCCCAGGAGTTCAAGACCAGCCTGGGTAACACAGCAAGACCATATCTCGAAAAAATAAAAAGCAAAAAGAGAAAGGTTGCTTGCCCAAGGTCACACAGATGGACTGGAACCCAGAGCCTATGTTTTCAACAGCTATGGCATATCACCTCCTAGTACGAAGTAGTTATTAGAGTTTAAACACTTGACTAAGGTTATACAGTCAGTAAACGAATGAATCCATGCAAAAATTACAAATAAGAATGTCACAAAGTTGTGCTACATGCAAAACATTGGGGAAAAAAAGAATTCTCAATTGGTTATTGGTTATATGAATCATGAAACATCCATATGGAAGAATAGCATAAAAAATAATGATTTTGGCCGGGTGTGGTGGCTCACGCCTGTAATCCCAGCACTTTGGGAGGCCGAGGCGGGCAGATCATGAGGTCAGGAGTTCAAGACCATCCGGGCTAACACGGTGAAACCCCATCTCTACTAAAAATACAAAAATTAGCCAGACGTGGTGGTGGGTGCCTGTAGTTCCAGCTAATCAGGAGGCTGAGGCAGGAGAATGGTGTGAACCTGGGAGGTGGAGCTTGCAGTGAGCCGAGATCATGCCACCGCACTCCAGCCTGGGTGACAGAACGAGACTCCGTCTCAAAAATAAAATAAAATAAAATAAAATAAAAATAATGATTTCAAGGAATTTCTAATGACTTGGAGAAATCTTTTGATACCATAGTAAATTAAAGCAGGATTACTAAATTGTAGGACGGGCGCGGTGGCTCATGCCTGTAACCCCAGCACTTTGGAAGGCTGAGGCAGGTGGATCACGAGGTCAAGAGTTCGAGACCAGCCTGGCCAAGATGGTGAAACCCCCTCTCTACTAAAAATATAAAAATTAGCTGGGCTTGGTGGAGGGTGCCTGTAATCCCAGCTACTTGGGAGGCTGAGGCAGGGGAATCGCTTGAACCGGGAGGCGGAGGTTGCAGTGAGCTGAGATCGTACCACTGCACTCCAGCCTGGGTGACAAAGCAGGACTCTGTCTCAAAAATAAATACATAAATAAACAAACAAATAAATAAATAAATTGTATATATAGGATGTTCTCAACTTTATAAAAAGGGAATAATTAGGAAAAAGGAAGGAAACATTACCATATTGAGGGGCAACTCTGAATGTTGGAATTATGGTTAACATTTACTTTCTTCTTAATACTTTTCCAGGCCAGGTGCGATAGCCCACACCTGCAATCCCAGCACTTTGGGAGGCTGAAGAGGGCAGACCACTTGAGGCCAAGAGTTTGAGAGTAGCCTGGCCAACATGGCAAAACCCTATCTCTAATAAAAATACAAAAATTAGCCAGGCATGGTGGCATACACCTATAATCCTAGCTACTCACCTGCCTGATTTTTTTTTTTGTATTTTTAGTAGAGACAGGGTTTCGCCATGTTGGCCAGGCTATTCTCGAACTCCTGACCTGAGGTGATCCACCTGCCTCGGCCTCCCAAAGTGCTGGGATTACAGGTGTGAGCCACAGCACCCAGCCAAATATGTATATATTTTAAAGCTCCTGCCCCTAAGATCTTCCATTTGGGAAGGAAAGTGCTACATAAAAAATATAAATAAAACACATAACCATGCTATACATTAAAAAAAAAAGTAGTTAAGGGCCAGGTGCAGTGGCTCACACCTGTAATCCCAGCACTTTGGGAGGCCGAGGCGGGCGGATCACAAGGTCAGGAGATCGAGACCATCCTGGCTAACACAGAGAAACCCCATCTCTACTAAAAATACAAAAATTAGCCGGGCGTGGCGGCATGTGCCTGTAGTCCCAGCTGCTGCGGAGGCTGAGGCAAGAGAATGGCGTGAACCCGGGAGGCGGAGCTTGCAGTGAGCCGAGATTGCGCCACTGCACTCCAGCCTGGGCGACAGAGCGAGACTCCGTCTCAAAAAAAAAAAAAAAAGTAGTTAAGTTACACATTAACTTTTTTTTTTTTTTTGAGACAGAGCCTTGCTCTGTCACCCAGTCTGTAGTGTAGTGGTGCGACGTCCACCTCCTGGGTTCAAGAGATTCTCGTGCCTCAGCCTCCTGAGTAGCTGGGATTACAGGCGCGCACCACCACGCCTGGCTAATTTTTGTATTTTTAGTAGAGACAGGGTTTCACCATGTTGACCAGGCTGGTCTCAAACTTTTGACCTCAGGTGATCTGCCTGCCTCAGCCTCCCAAAGTGCTGGGATTACAGGTATAAGCTACTGCGCCCGACCACACATTAACTTTTATATTTATTAAATAATTTCTAGGGTCCTCCTACTTAGTTTCTACTTTTCATGATGTTTTTGCAAAGGTATGATTATTGGAGATTGATAAAACAAGGAGGAAAGATAAATCTGTACTATGGGGCACTTAATAATTCCTACACAGATGCATTTGTCTTGGTGCTTAGGAGAGCTCGACGGGCAGGCTATGCAATGGAAGAGATGATTCCAGAAATGGAACACTGCTTATCATTTCAATATCTTTGTTTTCCGTTCTTTATGGCTGAGTACCAGAGAGAAGGGAAACATGTTTGTCAGTAGGAGTAAGGAAACATAGTGCCTTTGTCTAAAAACACTAGCGACTGTCCGCCTTCTGACCAGTATTGATGGTTAACAAAGGAGCCCTTCAGCTTGGGGGCCAAGTGGGCTGCAGCTCGTCTAGGCAGCTCCTTCTGGGGGTGGGAGGAGGAAGAGGAGGAAGATTTGAGCTAAAATAACCATAGACACTCATGGTGGGGGAGGAGAAGGAGAGAAATGCTGATGTTGACCTGAGGGACGTTCTTTGTTATATACCACTGCCCCTCACAGTGGCCATCTGTGGTCCCTGGCCAGCATGGAAGAGGGCAGAATAGCGGCTCTGAAAAGCTGGGCTGGGCGCAGTGGCTCACACCTATAATCCCAACACTTTGGGAGGAATGGGTGGACAGATCACATGAGACCAGGAGTTCGAGACCAGCCTGGCCAACATAGTGAAACCCCGTCTCTACTAAAAATACAAAAAAATTAGCCGGGTATGGTGCTGCGCAGCTGTAATCCCAGCTACTCGGGAGGCTGAGGCACAAGAATTGCTTGAACCCGGGAGGCAGAGGTTGTAGTGACCCGAGATCGCTCCACTGTACTCCATCCTGGGCAACAGGGCAAGACTCTGTCTCAGAAACAACAACAACAACAACAACAACAACAACAACAACAAAAACTGGGCCAACAGGGTGCAGTTGCCAGGACGGAGTTTCTCTCTTGTTGCCTAGGCTGGAGTGCAATGGCACCATCTTGGTTCACCACAACCTCCACCTTCCAGGTTCAAGCAATTCTCCTGCCTCAGCCTTCAAATAGCTGGGATTACAGGCATGTGTCACCACACCCAGCTAATTTTGTATTTTTAGTAGAGACAGGGTTTCTCCATATTGGTCAGGCTGGTCTCGAACTCCAGACCTCAGGGGATCCACCCCCCCTCGGCCTCCCAAAGTGCTGAGATTACAGGCGTGAGCCACCACGCCTGGCCAAATTTGCTTTTTTTTTGAGACAGGGTCTTACTCTGTTGCCCAGGCTGGAGTGCAGTGGCATGATCATGGCTCACTGCAGTCTCGACCTCCTGGATTCAAGTGATCCTCCTGCTTCAGCCTCCCAAGTAGCTGTTACTACAGGTGTGTACCACCACACTTGGCTAACTTAAATTTTTTGTAGAGACAGAGTCTCACTATGTTGCCTAGGCTGGTCTTGAACTCCTGGCTTCAAGCGATCCTTCACCCTCAGCGTTCCAAAGTGCTGGGATTACAGGCATGAGCCACCTCGCTGCCACAATTTACATTTTTAAGCTAGCACACAAATCATCCATTTTGAGCTTGCAGTAATCTCACAGAGATAGGCATGCAGTCATCTGCCTATCTGCTGTTCGTATTTACCACAGTGGGGAAGTGTGAGGAGTACTGTTCACGAGTGTTTCTTTGAGTGTATCAGATGGGTCCTCTGAGAAACATGCTGAGATGGACCAAGGAGTATAATAATTTTTTGTGTGTGTGGCAGGGGAAACACAGAGTAGACAAAGGGAGAGGAAGAAAGACTGAGCAAGAAAAGCCTTTAGACCTTAATGCAGATCTGACAAAGGCTCAGCCTACCCAATAGGGACCTCCAGAACAAAGGCTGGCTGTTAAAGAGTCTTGCTTGGAAAATATCCAGGCCCTAGTAGTCCCACAGTGTTCAGCCATTGGCTACGAGCTGCCACAAAAGAGCCTGGCCTCCCTTGGAAACTGAGGCAGAGGCTGATGTGCTAATAGGTGGAGGCTGCTAGCTAACTGCACTCCTTGTGGCTGAAGGGCAAGTTATTTCTTTTTTTATTGTTTAAGTTTCTTTAGAGACAGGGTCTCACTCTGTCACTCAGGCTGGAGTGCAGAGGTGCAATCATAGCTCACTGCAGCCTGGAACTCTTGGGCTCAAGTAATCCTCCTATTGTGGCCTCCCAAAGTTCTGAGATTATAGGTGTGAGCCATGGGCTCAGCCAGAAGTTCTTTCTTTACAGGAGATGAGAGGTCCAGTTGCACAGCAATCAAACTATCCTAGTATGGACAGGAGAATGGAATGGTTCAAGAATGGGAATGATACACCGAAGTCACCCTGAAGCTGCTGGGAAATGACAGCAAAACTTCTGTCTCAGGGTCTCAGAGCTGAGATCTGAAGATTCAACTCCAATTTGGGATCTGCCACTGAGAAGTTGTGTGACTTGGGTAAGATTCTTGACTTACTTGGGATCTAGTGATCCCAGTCACATAGGGCTGGGTAAGCTCACTCAATGGGCTGCTATGCATACATAATGCATATAACAGCACACAAACTAGATTCAGCCATGCAAATCATCTTCAACCTGCCCATCTATAAGTTTCTGAAAGCCAAAAGATAAAGCATTTCAATATTTTACATATTCCACCTTATTCTATAAAGATACAAATACTTCCCCTGTGTCTGCCTTCTGCAGGACTCACCAGCTCTGTATCCTTGAGCCAAGGCTTTCTGCTTTCCAACCTTTAGCATCTCCTTGTTGATGTCACACACCACGACACGAGACCCGCCCAAGGAATCTTCTTCATTCTGGTACTCTTTGGCAATTTCTTCCCAGGATAAATTTTGTTGGGCCCTTAACTGCCTCTTCTGTTTTCTCTGATGCTGGGACTGAACATAATTAAGGAACCGGAATGCAATGTCACCTGTGGGAAGCCAACATGAGGAAAGATGCAGACTAAAACAAAAATAAAAAAGGAAGAAACAGCATTTCCTAAAACCCAAAGGGGTAACAGAGGCACAGGAGTACCTGTGTTAGCTAACTGGATGCAGTGTGGCTGAAAGCCAAGTCCTTTCTTCTTTTTGTTAGAGACAGGGACTCACTCCATCACCCTAGCTGGAGTGCAGAGGCACAATCATAGCTGAGTGTGTGAACGTGGAAGTTTCTACTCATTTCAACACTAACTTTTTTTTTTAATTAAAGAAATTGGGCTGGGCTCATGCCTGCAATCTCAGCACTTTGGGAGGCTGAGACTGGGGGATCACCTGAGGTCAGGAGTCTGAGACCAGCCTGGCCAACATGGTGAAACCCCGTCTCTACATTTTTAAAAATACAAAAATTAGCCAGGTGTGGTGGCAGGCGCCTGTTATCCCAGCTACTTGGGAGCCTGCGGCAGGAGAATAGCTTAAACCTGGGAAACAGATGTTGCAGTGGGCCGAGATAGCGCCATTGCACTCCAGCCTGAGTGACAAAAGCGAAACTCCGTCTCAAAAATAAATAAATAAATAAATAAAATAAAAACTGAGGCCGGGCGCGGTGGCTCATGCCTGTAATCCCAGCACTTCGGGAGGCCGAGGCGGTTGGATCACGAGGTCAGGAGATCGAGACCATCTTGGCTAACATGATGAAACCCCGTCTCTACTAAAAAAATACAAAAAAAAAAAAAAAATTAGCCAGGCGTGGTGGTGGGTGCCTGTAGTCCCAGCTACTCAGGAGGCTGAGGCAGGAGAATGGCATGAACCCAGGAGGCAGAGCTTGCAGTGAGCCAAGATCGCGCCACTGCACTCCAGCCTGGGCGACAGAGCAAGACTACATCTCAAAAAAAAAAACCAAATCAAGTGTTTATAATACTGTGACCTGGTAAATATTGTTCAGGACAAATCCAGTGCTTTGTAGAATCCTATTTCCTTTCTTTTTTCCTCTCTTTTCTATATTTCCTTTTCTTTCTTTCTTTTTTTTTGAGATGGAGTTTCTGCTCTTGTTGCCCAGGCTGGAGTGCAATGGCGCGATCTGAGCTCACTGCAACCTCTGCCTCCCAGGTTCAAGTGATTCTCCTGCCTCAGCCTCCCAAGTGGCTGGGATCACAGGCATGTGCCACCAAACCTGGCTAATTTTGTATTTTTAGTAGAGATAGGGTTTCATCATGTTGGTCAGGCTGGTCTCGAACTCTTGACCTCAGGTGATCCACTCGCCTCGGCCTCCCAAAGTGCTGGGATTACAGGCATGAGCCATTGCGCCTGGCCCTATATTTCCTTTCTTATAATGCTGTTTCCGGCTGGGCTCGGTGGCTCACGCCTGTGATCCCAGCACTTCAGGCTTCAGGAGGCTGAGGTAGGCAGATTGCTTGAGCCCAGAGGTTTGAGACCAGCCTGGGTAACATGGTGAAACTCAGTCTCTACGAAAAAAATTACAAAAATTAGCCAGGTGTGGGGCACATGCCTGTATTCCTAGCTATTTGGGAGGCTGAGATGGGAAGATTACTTGAGGCCTGGGGGGTGGAGGTTGCAGTAAGCCGAGATGACGCCACTACACTCCAGCCTGGCGAAAGTGCAAGACCGTTTCCAAAAAAAAAAAAAAAAAAAAGCTGTTTCCTTGTCTTTGTTTTTCCTACACTATTTCCAAGAAATATATCCTTGTTTCTCCCATATGTCCAACCAATTAGGTATTCTCCAGTCATTCTCCAGTCATTTTTTATTTTATATCTTTTTTTTTTTTTCCCTGAGACGGAGGCTCGCTCTATTCCCAGGCTAGAGTGCAGTAGCACGATCTCAGCTCACTGCAACCTCCGCTTCCCAGGTTAAAGCAATTCTCCTGCCTCAGCCTCCTGAGTAGCTGGGATTACAGGCGTGTGCTACCACGCCCAGCTAATTTTTGTATTTTTAGTAGAGACAGGGTTTCACCACATTGGTCAGGCTGGTCTCAGACTCCTGACCTCGTGATCCACACGCCTCAGCCTCCCAAATGCTGGGATTACAGGCGTGAGCCAACGTGCTCGGCCATATATTTCAATATATTAATTATTTTGTGCATCTTCTCTGTATCATTCCAAATTTAGTATATGCGCTACTGAAGTGAGCACGATATTTCAATATATTTATAGGTATGCATATAACAACATTTAAAAACATAAACAGGGATATTGTATACATTGTTATACCACGTGTTTTCTTATTCTTCCCACTTAATATGTCCTTGCAACCTTTCCATCATTACTTGTAAGTTTTCCTTATTGTTTTAAATAGATAAACAATATTTCATAGACTGGATATGCCTTAATTTAAAGCCATGTCCTTATTGGGAAGAAATAGGTTATTTCCAATTTTTAATTACTATTAAATGTGATGCAATGAGCGTATATGTGACTAAATCTTTGTGGAAGTTTTTCTTTAGGCGACATAGAATTGAAAATGTGAGGCCAGGCGGAGTGGGTCAGGCCTGTAATCTCAACACTTTGGGAGGCCAAGGTGGGCGGATCACCTTAGGTCAGGAATTTGAGGCCAGCCTGGCCAATATAGTAAAACCTTGCCTATACTAAAAATACACAAAATCAGCCAGGCATGATGATGGGCGCCTGTAATCCCAGCTACTTGGGAGGCCAAGGCATGAGAATCACTTTAACCCAGGAGGCGGAGGTTGCAGTGTGCCGAGATCATGCCATTGCACTCCAGCCGGGGCAACAGAGCAAGACTCCATCTCAAAAAAAAAAGAATTGAAAATGTGGGATCCGCCAGGCGTGATGGCTCATGCCTATAATCCCAGCACTTTGGGAGGCTGAGGTGGGTGTATCACCTGAGGCTGGGAGTTCAAGACCAGCCTGACCAACATGGAGAAACTCCGTCTCTACTAAAAATACAAAATTAGCTGGGTGTGGTGGCACATGCCTGTAGTCCCAGCTACTTAGGAGGCCGAGGCAGGAAAATCGCTTGAACCTAGGAGGCAGAGGTTGCGGTGAGCCGAAATTGTGCCATTGCACTTCAGCCTGGGCAACAAGAACGAGACTTGGACTCAAAAAAAAAAAAAAAAAAAAAGTGGGATCCTAGGCTTATATGCATTTTAGATTTTGGTAGATTCTGCTAAATTACCCTCTACAGAGCAAGGTGTCTTCTTGCCCTCTGAGCTTCCATTTGGGGAGAGGATCACACCAACATAGCTACAGATAAATATGTTTCAAGTATAGAGATTATTCTATTGTAATTTATCATTATACATTACTCTATCGTTACTAATTATCAAATTATTACATTATATATTATTCTAATGTAATTTTATGTATTTATTTATTATTATTATTATTTTTTGAGACAGAGTCTTGCTCTGCAGCCCAGGCTGGAGAGCAATGGCACAATCTCGGCTCACTGCAACCTCTGCCTCCTGGGTTCCAGTGATTCTCCTGCCTCAGCCTCCTGAGTAGCTGGAATTACAGACGCCCGCCACCTTGCCGGCTATTTTTATTTTATTTTATTTTTAATTTTTTTTTTTTGAGACAGAGTCTCGCTCTGTTGCCCAGGCTGGAGTGTGGTGGCTTGATCTCGGCTCACTGCAACCTCGGCCTCCTGGGTTCAAGCAATTCTCTTGCCTCAGCCTCCTGAGTAGCTGTGATTACAGGCGCATGCCACCACAACCGACCAATTTTTGTATTTTTAGTAGAGACAGGGTTTCACCATGTTGGCCAGGATGGTTTCGATCTCTTGACCTCATGATCCGACCGCCTCGGGCTCCCAAAGTGCTGGGATTACAGGCATGAGCCACCACACCCCGCCATCGCCCAGCTGAATTTTTGTATTTTTAGTAGAGACGGGGTTTCACCATGTTGGCCAGACTGGTCTTGAACTCCTAACCTCAGGTGATCCTCCCAAAGTGCTACGATTATAGGCGTGAGCCACCACGCCCAGCCTCTAATGTAATTTAACATGTACGATGACATCACCAAGACGCATTGTGTAAAATCATGACATTTTTCTCTCCAAATGCTCAGTGTACAAGAAGTAACAAAGGACTGTGCACAAACTTTTGATATTTGATGTGATAGCAAATCAAGCAGAAAAGGCAGCCTCAAAAACTTATATAAAGTGATAAAAGGCTTCTCTCATCCCCTAAAAAAGAAGAAAAGGGGGTTAAAGGTTAAGCAGAAGATAAAACAGTCATTTAGATGGTGAAATGTCACTGGTCAAAAATTTGACTTTTTCCTTTGTAATCCTGCGTTTTTTTTTTTTTTTTTTTGAGACGGAATCTTGCTCTGTTGCCCAGGCTGGAGTGTAATGGTACGATCTCAGCTCACTGCAACCCTCCACCTCCCCAGTTCAAGCAATTCTCCTGCCTCAGCCTCCCAAGTAGCTGGGATTACAGGCACCAGCTACCACACTGGCTTTTTTTTTGTATTTTTAGTAGAGATGGGTTTTCACCATGTTGGCCAGTCTGGTCTTGAACTCCTGACCTTAGGCAATCCACCCACCGTGGCCACCCAAAGTGCTGGGAGTACAGGTGTGAGCCGCTGCGGCCAGCCAATCTGTGTATTTTAGAAATGTGACAGGCAGCTGGGCACAGTGGCTCACTCCTGTAATCCCAGCACCTTGGGAGGCCGAGGCGGGTGTATCATGAGGTCAGGAGTTCAAGACCAGCCAGGCCAAGATGGTGGAACCCTGTCTCTACTAACAATACAAAAATTAGCCAGGCGTGGTGGTGCATGCCTATAATCCCAGCTACTCAGGAGGCTGAGGCAGAGAATTGCTTGAACCCCGGAGGTGGAGGTTGCAGTGGAGCCGAGATTGCACCGCTGCTGCACTGCAGTCTGGGAGACAGAGCAAGACTCCATCTCCAAAAAAAAAAAAAAAAAGGAAATGTGACAGGCAGACAGGCACCGGCCAGGTTCATGCCTGTAATCCCAGCACTTTGGGAGGCCGAGGCAGGCAGACTGCCTGAACTCAGGAGTTCGAGACCAGCCTGGGAAACACAGTGAAACCCCGTCTCTACTAAAATACAAAATATTAGCTGGGCATGGTGGAGTACGCCCGTAGTCCCAGCTACTCAGGAGGCTGAGGCAGGAGAATTGCTTGAACCTGGGAGGCAGAGGTTGCAATGAGCTGAGATTGAGACACTGCATGCCAGCCTGGGCGACAGAGTGAGACTCCTATCTCAAAAAAAAAAAAGTGACAGGCACAAAACTGTTATTCTATGCTTTTGATTGATATTCAGTCAAAAAGATAAGTGCGTGCCTTTCTCAGAAGTTATAAGTATGCAGATTTTCAATCACCATCTTCCGCCTCGTGTTAGGTGAGCTAGCTCATTACAAGAGAGACTAATTTCTGTAAAACATGCTCAATGGTAGTGAAGGATACCAAACTCGACATTACCTGTGCCTCCAGCAACATCAAGCAGCTGGGTCCCAGGAAGCGGGTGCATCTTCCAGAGCAGCAAATCCTTCCAAACACGATGGATACCAAGACTCATCATATCATTCATCACATCATACTTCTTAGCCACACTTTCAAACACCTGATAGACTGACATGGGAGAAACACACACAATAGTGCTATTAACAGAATTCCCTTAGAAAAATCCTAAACAAAAAAGGAGGAAGCTTTTTTCCCCTGAAATGACCTGGCTTTGCAAGGTGAAACTAAGTCGTAATGCTTGATGCCCAAATCTACACCTTAACATTACCTCTTTATTGATTTATTTTTTTTTCCTGCCTCAGATTTATTTGTACAAATAGCACAGGAGGACCCCAGCCCCATGCAGATGGCAGTCCAGGGGGGTCACACCAGTCCTTCTGTCCTCACATTGGCAGACAGAGATATCTACTCTGAAGCCTTCGTAGGTGTCCGGGCACCTTTGGGAGCCTAAGCTGGAGCTGCAGCCTGGGCCTTGGTTTGATCTTTGGCCTTGGCCTTTGACCGACATAGCTTGAGCCCCTTGGCAATGCAGGAATGAGCACATTTCCCAAGCCTGGGGGTGGGCAATGTAGGCAAGTGGATCGAGCTTGCGGCTGACACCCTTTGGGATCTCGGGCTTAACCTCCTTGGGCTTTACAAGGGCCTTGATAGCGTCAGCACGTGCACTCGTGGCCCTGGCACTGTTGGCCTGCATCTTTTTTAGGCCTTTCTTGTTGTGCTTCTTGGCAAAGCGCATGTTCCTCAGGAACTTGGGGTCCACTCCCTTAAGAGATTCTTATAAAAAAAAAAGAGATTCTTATCGGCCAGGCGCGGTGGCTCATGCCTGTAATCCCAGCACTTTGGGAGGCTGAGGCGGGCGGATCACGAGGTCAGGAGATCGAGACCATCCTGGCTAACATGGTGAAACCCCGTCTCTACTAAAAATACAAAAAATTAGCCGGCATGGTGGTGGGCGCCTGTGGTCCCAGCTACTCGGGAGGCTGAGGCAGGAGAATGGCGTGAACCTGGGAGGTGGAGCTTGCAGTGAGCCGAGATGGCGCCACTGCACTCCCGCCTGGGCCACAGAGCGAGACTCCGTCTCAAAGAAAAAAAAATAGGATTCATATCTTTGTGATCGGGGTTTCTTGATACCATTTCTGTGCCATTTCGGGACTGGCTGTGTGTGGTGTGGTTCTTAGACTTGGCCATGTCTGCACTGGTCCTCTCCACAGCCTGCTCCCCGCTGCTGCTCCTAAGTCGTGGATGGCATCACATTACCTCTTTAATAAGAGGCTTAAATGTACTTCATGGAAGAAATCAACCTCTTTTCTGCTGTCTTAATTATTATTACTTAGGACTACTACTTTGTAAAAATGCCATCCATATACCTGGTACTAAATAGATGTTTCTGTTTCTTAAAGGATAGGGTGGGGGAAATTGGAATTTTTCTCATGGTTATTATAATAAAAGACAAGATCCATTAGAAGTATGCATACAGGGCACGGTGGCTCTTGCCTGTAATCCTAGCACTTTGGGAGTCCAAGGGGGGTGGTTCACTCGAGGCCAGGAGTTCAAGGCTAGCCTGGCCAACATGGCAAAACCCTGTCTCTAGTAAAAACACAAAAATTAGCTGGGCATGGTTGTGCACACCTGTAATCCCAGCTACTCGGGTGGTTGGGGCAGGAGAATCACTGGAACCTGGAAGGTAGAGGTTGCAGTGAGCTGAAATTGGACCACTGCATTCCAGCCTGGGCGACAGAGAGAGACTCTGTTTCAAAATAAAGATGAAAGATGCATGATTAATGGAAGGAAAGACCTCGGCTCATGTCTGCCTGTATCACTGAGAAGAACCTCAGGTACAATTTGGTGGGCACCTAGATGCCAAGCTGTGAATCAGGGCTAAGTCACAATTTAGAGGGCTCTCATGAGTCTTCTCCATAGGATCAACACAGACTGTGGAATCTGGGATAGCTAAAGAGAGAAAGAGTCTACTATCCAAGACTCTCAGAAGTGTTTCCCTTTAAAGTTACATTTTTTTTTTTTTGAGACGGAGTCTCGCTCTGTCGCCCAGGCTGCAGTGCAGTGGCGCGATCTCGGCTCACTGCAAGCTCTGCCTCCCGGGTTCACGCCATTCTCCTGCCTCAGCCTCCCAAGTAGCTGGGACTACAGGCACTCGCCACCACGCCCAGCTAATTTTTTGTATTTTTAGTAGAGACGGGGTTTCACCATGCTAGCCAGGATGGTCTCGATCTCCTGACCTCGTGATCCGCCCGCCTCGGCCTCCCAAAGTGCTAGGATTATAGGCGTGAGCCACCACGCCCGGCCTTAAAGTTACATTTAACTGTTTTTCACCTCAGTTTCTCTGCCCGTAAGACGGCTATATCAGTGCCAGCTCCCTATCTCCCTGCCAGAAGGCTGAATTGGATAATGAAGAGGAGATGCTTTGAGTTCCTCAGATGAAATGTGCTACACAGATTGAAAACATGACTCTCTTCTGCTGAATCAGACTACAGAGCCCGCCTTTAACTCAAACTTCAACGCCTATTCTCAACCTTCGGATTTCCAAGTGCGCTCTTTCCTTTTTTTTTTTTAAATTTTTTTTGGGACGGAGTCTTGCTCTGTCACCCAGGCTGGAGTGCAGTGGCGTGATCTTGGCTCACTGTAACCTCCGCCTCCCGGCAATTCTCCTGGCTCAGCCTCCCAAGTAGCTGGGACTACAGGCACGTGCCACCATGCCCAGCTAATCTGTTGTATTTTTAGTAGAGATGGGGTTTCACTGCTAGCCAGGATAGTCTCGATCTCCTAACCTCAGATCTGCCCGCCTTGGCTTCCCAAAGTGTTAGGATCACAGGTGTGAGCCACCGTGCCCGGACTTTTGTTTTTGAGACGGCGTCTAGCTCTGTCGCCCAGGCTGGGGTACAGTGGCGCAATCTCGGCTCACTGCAACCTCCTCCTTCTAGGTTCAAGTGATTCTCCTGCCTCAGCCTCCCGAATAGCTACGATTACAGGCACTTGCCACCATGCCTGGCTAATTTTTGTATTTTTAGTAGAGATGGGGTTTCACCATGTTGGCCAGCTGGTCTCAAACTCCTGACCTCATGATCTGCCCACCTCAGCCTCCCAAAGTACTGGGATTACAGGCGTGAGCCACCACGCCCAGCCTGCTCTTTTGAGCATCTTTTGGGGTGTCTGGGGGACACTAAGGCTAACCCCACTCGGTATAAATAGTCCTCCTTGCTGGCATGGTGGCACACACCTGGAGTGCCAGCTACTCGGGGGGCTAATGGGAGAGGACTGCTTGAACCCAGGAGTTCAAGGCTGCAGTGTGCTATGATTGTGCCTGTGAATAGACATTGTACCCCAGCCTGGGCAGCATAGTGAGAACTTGTCTCAAAAATAAATAAACAAGGCTGGGCGCAGTGGCTCATGCCTATAATCCCAGAACTTTGGGAGGCTGAGGCGGGGGGATCACGAGGTCCAGAGATCGAGACCATCCTAGCTAACACAGTGAAACTCCATCTCTACTAAAAATACAAAAAAACTAGCTGGGCGTGGTGGTGGGCGCCTGTAGTCCCAGCTACTCGGGAGGCTGAGGCAGGAGAATGGCATGAACCTGGGAGGCGGAGCTTACAGTGAGCTGAGATCGTGCCACCGCACTCCAGCCTGGGCGACAGAGCGAGACTCCATCTCCAAAAAAATAAATATAAATAAATAAATAAATAAGCAAATAGTCCTGGCTTTGCATGTTCCAATATGCATGAATTTCAGTTACTGTGGTTTAGCTAAACAACACCAGTCACCCAATACCACAATTCAAGTACAATGGTATATTAAATATGAGTAATTACATAAAATACATTCTTTAGCCTACAAATCACTATGTAAATAACAGATACACAACATGTTCAGCAACCAATCACGCACTTCTTTCCCAGACTTTAGGTGACTGGTCACTGCATCAGTTACTCAGTTCACAGACAGTAAAGCATGTACTTGTATTGCCTCTTTATCTTTCAGTGATAAAGCACACGTGGCATAACTGGATAAATGAAAGAGGGAATTGAGCAACAAAAATGAAAATGCTGATAATGCTGGAAGTGAAATTCAAATTGAGTGTCAGTGGAGTTATAGGAGAAATAGATGACTGTGGGAATATTGACACTGCTGCCACTGGAGAGACTCTAGACATACAGCCAGAGGAACTGCAGGAAGATGAACTTACCAACATGAACAAGAAATGGAGCTGTGACAAAAAGGTTGAAGATGTCCCAGAAGAAGTGATGCCAGCAAAAACTTTCACATTAAAGGAGTTCTTGGAGGTATTTCATAACATTGAAAGCACAAAGGATAAAATATCAGAAGTAGATAAAAACTTAGAAAGAAATATGGCAATTTGCCAAGGCATAGAAAAGATATTTCATACGACAAGAAGGTGGCAAATAGTGCTCAAACTACTCTTGGCAATTTTTTTTTTTTTTTTTTTTTTTTTTTTTTTTTTGAGACAGAGTCTTGCTCTGTCGCCCAGGCTGGAGTGTAGTGGCAGGATCTCGGCTCACTGCAAGCTCCTCCTCCCGGGTTCATGCCATTCTCCTGCCTCAGCCTCCGGAGTAGCTGGGACTACAGGCGCCCGCCACCATGCCCGGCTAATTTTTTTGTATTTTTAGTAGAGACGGAGTTTCACCGTGTTAGCCAGGATGGTCTCAATCTCCTGACCTCATGATCCACCCGCCTCGGCCTCTCAAAGTGCTGGGATTACAGGCGTGAGCCACTGCGCCCAGCCTACTCTTGGCAATTTTTTTACAAGGAAATAAAAGAATTTAATTCTCAAGGTTTCTAATTTTTTATTAGAATTTTTTTTCTTTGTTTTTGAGACAGTCTCACTGTGTCGCCCAGGCTAGAGTGCAGTGGCACAATCTCAGATCACTGCAACGTCCACCTCCCAGGTTCAAGAAATTTGCCTGCCTCAGCCTCCTAATTAGCTGTGATTACAGGCGTGCGTCACCATGCTTGGCTAATTTTTTTTGTATTTTTAGTAGAGATGAGGTTTCACCACGTTGGCCAGGCTGGTCTCGAACTCCTGACTTCAAGTGCCTACCTCGGCCTCCCAAAGTGCTGGGATTACAGGTGTGAACCATCGCACCTGGCTGTAAATAAATATCAACTTCAGTATATATTTTTTCATTTCACTATACATTTATAACTGACAGGGTTTTTGATGGTTGATAATTTTTAAAGGTCATAAAACAATTCTAATTTTTCCCATTGATTAAGGTCATTGTGTATGACTTCAGCTTGCACATTTTCACAGTCTTGCATTACTGTGCACAGCGAGGACTGTCTGTACTGCAATCTCAGTCCCCAATCTGGAATTCATATTTAGTTCAGTAGTTAACTTCTTCCTTGCTTGCCACTGTGTGAAATGTTGATTATACATTGATTATACATTGTAAAATGTTGATTATACATTGGCCGGTGTGGTGGCTCATGCCTGTAATCCCAGCACTTTGGGAGGCCGAGGCAGGTGGATCACGAGGTCAGGAGATCCAGACCATCCTGGCTAACATGGTGAAACCCTGTCTGTACTAAAAAAAAAATACAAAAAATTAGCCGGGCATGGTGGCGGGCCCCTGTAGTCCCAGCTACTCGGGAGGCTGAGGCAGGAGAATGGCGTGAAGCCAGGAGGCGGAGCTTGCAGTGAGCCGAGATCGCGCCACTGCCTTCCAGCCTGGGGGTGACAGAGAGAGACTCAGTCTCAAAAAAAAAAAAAAAAAAAAAAAAAAAAAAAAAAGAAACCCCGTCTCTACTGAAAATACAAAAATTAGCAGGGCACAGTGGCAGATGCCTGTAATCCCAGCTACTCAGGAGGCTGAGGCAGGAGGATCGCTTGAACCTAGGAGGCTGAGGTTGCAGTGAGCCCATATTGCGCCATTGCACTCCAGCCTGGGCAACAAGAGCGAAACTCCGTCTCAAAATAAATAAATAAATAAATAAATAAATAAAAACAACCAAAAAAACCCCTATTTTTCTCTAGAGGTAAAGAACGGGGGCTTCAGACTCAGATTAAACTGGGTTTGAATACTGGTTCCGCCACTTACTGATATGTTCAACTGGGCAACTTCTTGCTTAACCTTTAAGTCTCAATTTCCTCACGTGTAATATGGTAATAACAATACCCACTACTGGAATGTTGAAAATGAGAATTGAAAATAATGTCTGTACGTTGCCTGGCACATCACAAACGCTCAGTTGATGGGATTTAGTCATCAGTATTCTGCTTTTAAAAAGGGGGCGTCTGGCTGGGCGCGGTGGCTCACGCCTGTAATCCCAGCACTTTGGGAGGCCGAGGCAGGCGAATCACCTGAGGTCAGGAGTTCGAGACCAGCCTGGTGAAACCCCATCTCTAGTAAGAATACAAAAAAGTTAGCCGGGCGTGCTGGCGGGCGCCTGTAATCCCAGCTACTCGGGAAGCTGAGGCAGGAGAATCGCTTGAACCCGGGAGGCGGAGGTTGCAGTGAGCCAAGATCGGACCATTGCACTCCAGTGTGGGCAACAAGAGCGAAATTCTGTCTCCAAAAAAAAAAAAAATCATAACTGCACAGACAACAACACTGGAACTAATTGGATGTTAAATCAACCCTAACTGGCCAGAAGAAACCAGACCATGGACGGTCAGATCCCTCCCATCCGCCCTCTCGCCCCTTTCACCTTTGCCCCCCTTCTCCTCTTCCGACACAGTCTCAAACCCAAAGTGCGTTTCCGCTGCCCGCTTCTCTTGGGACAAGAGCCGAGCACTTAGTAGGTCCCCGGGCCAAGAGCTACGAAGCCCGAGGAGCTGGCAGCCCCGCATCGCCCGCGACCACCCACGGCCGCAATAGCTCCATAGAGCACAGCTCCCGGGGGCCGCCATCTTGGTAGTCGAGTGACAACGGCCAGAGAGTACGCCTTGTTGCGTCACTCCACGAACGACGGCGGCTGGCCGGCAACATTATTAGCCGAACGCGCCCTGAAATCTGATACACAGTTGTGCCGGCATTATCTCTAGGATCCAAAGGGTGGTCTCTAAGTATCGGAAATCCCTTCCTCTCTCTCTTCTCAAATTGAATTTACAATTCACCAGGAATCAGGGGATCTCAGGGGAGCCCCGGGTCACCTCTTAGCGGCCATGTCTCTGAATCCGGCTAGGCAGAAAAGTACTAACTCGCAAGATATCCAGGAACTCTTGTTGTCTTGTGCAGAAGGGGGAAATTGAGGCATGGTGTGGTTAAAAAGCCAAGATCACGGGCCAATTCCTGCACACTTTGTTGAGCGTAAGAATCACTTGGTTTACGTTTTAAAATGAAGATTCCTGGGTCCCCAACTACCAGAGATTTTGATCTGACCTATATCCCTTTAATCTCTATTTAAACAAATTTCTCTGGCGATTCTGATGCTAAAGATGCAGACCATTCTTGAGAAACATATGTTACACTACTCTGAAAAATAAACATAGGACAGACTTCTTTGTTCTGTCCGTTTTATGAACCTAGGAAGCTCATAAATGGGAACGAAAGCTCTGGTATCCACTTAGCAAGCCAGAACCACCACTCACACTTGGTCTCCTGCTGACACAAAGCTACATTCCTAGCTCCAGGTGGCATGTCATGGGTGTTTTACTTCAGCCCCAGATTTTCAGTCTTTTTTTAATGGCAAGGGTAATGCAGACCGTCTTGTGCAAAATAAAGAACGGACGTTGTTGAGTTTTGCTTGGATTACTGTATGTTTCTGCTTTCATTCCATTTTAAATGTATGTTTCCTGTAAATATTTCACGAGGAGAAAGCGCCAATAGAAGAAACTGTTTTGAAATGAAAATTCTCTTCCTGGTTTAATATAGCCTGACAGATGGACACCTAACCGCTTTCGTTTGGGAAGTACTGCGCTGGGATTTCTGTTTCTTTCTCTTTTATTTTAAGAATGATAGAAGGTCCTCGTTGGTATAGTGATGAGAAAAAAAAAAGGAAGGATACAAGGGCGAAATGATTCATCCATGTATTCATAATTCTCATGTCTTTGTTAAAAGAAATTAAGTGGCTGGGTGCGGTGGCTCACGCCTGTAATCCCAACACTTTGGGAGCCCGAGGTGGGCGGATTGCATGAGGTCAGGAGTTCGAGACCAGCATGGCTAACATGGTGAAACCCCGTCTCTACTAAAATACAAAAATCAGCCAGGCATGGTGGTGCACACCTGTAGTCCCAGCTATTCAGGAGGTTGAAGCAGGAGAATCCCTTCAACCCAGGAGTCACTGGTTGCAGTGAGCTGAGATTGCACCACTGCACTCAAGCCTGGGTGACAGAGCCAGACTCCATCTCAAAAATAAATAAATAAATAAATAAATAAATAAATAAAGTCTCATCAAAGAATCTTATATCTTCCATATCTAGTTATATAAAAGAATGGATCTCAGGATTTAGGGCTGTTCCTTCTGCACATCAGATTAAGTATCCAGACCAACAGTATTTCACTGTTCTCTTATTTCATATGATATGTGGAGGAAAACCTGTAAAAAGTGAAGTAGGACAAGGACTGTTGGAAGGTATTTTTTTTTTGAGGTAGCGTCTTGCTCTGTTGCCCAGACTGGAGTGCAGTGGCATGACTTCGGCTCACTGCAACCTCTGTCTTCTGGGTTCAAGTGATCCTCCTGCCTCAGCTTCCCTAGTAGCTGGGATTACAGGCATGCGCCACCATGCCAGGCTAATTTTTGTATTT
This sequence comes from Homo sapiens, assembly GCF_000001405.40. Classification (NCBI taxonomy): domain Eukaryota; kingdom Metazoa; phylum Chordata; class Mammalia; order Primates; family Hominidae; genus Homo; species Homo sapiens. Next base: position 120,530,979 of record NC_000012.12, read on the forward strand.
TTAGTAGAGATGGGGTTTCGCTATATTGGCCAGGCTGGTCTTGAACTCCTGACTTCAGGTAATCCACCTGCCTCAGCCTCCCAAAGTGCTGAGCCACCACTCCCGGCGCTAATTTTTGTATTTTTAGTAGAGATGGGGTTTCACCATTTTGGCTAGGCTGGTCTTATTTACTTATTTATTGATTCATTCTTTATTTTGAAATAGGATCTCACTTTGTCACCCAGGGTGGAGTGCAGTGGCACAATCATAGCTCACTTCTCACCCTCCCAGGCTCAAGCCATCCTCCCACCTCAACCTCCTGAGTAGCTGGGACTACAGGTGTGCACCACCACACTGGGCTGATTTTTGCATTTTTTGTTGAGACAGGGTTTTGCCATGTTGCCCTGAATGGTCTTGAACTCCTGGGCTTGGGCAATCTGCCTACCTCAATCTCCCAAAGTGCTGGGATTATAGGCGTGAGCAACCGCACCTGGCCCTGGTCATTTCCTTAATAGCATGTCTATGTGATCTTTTGAATCTCAAACTACTATGGTTGGAAGGGAATCATTTGTAATTTTCCAAAGTACAAATAGGTGTGGTATGATTCCCAAAGTCTTAGCGTCTATATCTGTAAACCATATGTTTTTGTTTTTTGTTTTTTAATTTTTAGTAGAGAATTGGTTTCACTATGTTCAGGCTGGTCTCAAACTCCTAACATCAAGTGATCTTCCTGCCTCAGCCTCCCAGAATGTTGGGATTGAGCTACCTTGCCTGGCCACATACATGATTTTCCTTTTTTTTTCTTTTTTTTTTTTTTTGAGACAGAGTCTCGCTCTGTCACCCAGGCTGGAGTGCAGTGGCCCAATCTCAGCTCACTGCAACCTCCGCCTCCCAGGTTCAAGCGATTGTCCTCCCTCAACCTCCCAAGTAGCTGGGACTACAGGTGTGCGCCACCACGCCCGGCTAATTGTTGTATTTTTAGGAGAGACGGGGTTTCACTGTATTGGTCAGGCTGGTCTCGAAATCCTGACCTCGTGATCTGCCCGCCTCGAACTCCCAAAAAGTGCTGGGATTACAGGCCTCCCAAAAAGTGCTGGGATTACAGGCCTCCCAAAAAGTGCTGGGATTACATTGCACCTGACCCACATACATTATTTTCTTTCTTCTTTTTTTTTTTGAGATGGAGTCTCGCTCTGTTGCCCAGGCTGGAATACAGTGGTGCAGTCTTGGCTCACTGCAACCTGTGCCTTCTGGGTTCAAGTGATTCTCCTGCCTCAGCCTCCTCAGTAGCTGAGATTACAGGTGCGCACCACCACGCCTGGCTAATTTTTTTGTATTTTTAGTAGAGACGGGGTTTCACTATGTTGGTCAGGCTGGTCTCGATCTCCTGACCTGTTGATCCACCCGGCTTGGCCTCCCAAAGTGCTGGGGTTACAGGTGTGAGCCACCGTGCCCGGCCCCATATGCATGATTTTCTAAATCTCAGTCTGTATCTGTAAAATGAGGAACTGCTTGTCTCATAGGTAAGAACATCACTTGTTAGCTATGTGATAATAGGCAAATTATCTGGACTTTTGGAGTCCATTTACTCATCTTTAAATTTTATTTATTTAGGGACAGAGTCTTGTTGTGTTACCCAGGCTGGATTCATACTCTTGGGCTCAAGTGATCATCCCTCCTCAGCCTCCTGAGTAGCTGGGACTACAGGCACACTTAGTCTAAAATTTAGTTATTGAGAAGATTAAATGTGATAATGTTAACAGCTGTTAAATACAATTTATAGGAGCCCATTGTTTTGCACTGAGCTTCAGCACAGTAGACCAAACCAAAACAGAGTTACTCAAGGTGAATTTCTACCCAACCACGCCTAAACGAAATTGTTTATCTGACCTTCTGAGAAATCATCAAATCCCCAAACTGGTCAGTTTTACCCCACATAAGGAAGTCCATTCTGCTTAAACCTTTACAAGAAAAGTAATTTTGAAATGACTAATCTGCTTTTTGTTCTCTGTTTCTACTTTTTAAAAAAAAGTTTAGACAGGGTCTCCCTCTCTGTCACTCATACTGGAGTGCACTGGCACGATCGTATCTCACTGCAACCTCCAACTGCTGGGCTCAGGTGATCCTCCCACCTCAGTTTCCTGAGTAGCTAGAACTACAGGTGTGCAGCCACAGCCACTATGCTTGGCTAATTTTTTTTTCTTTCTCTCTTTTAAATTAAAGTTAGTTTTATTCAAACTATTTTATTCAGAGCCCAGCTAATTTTTGTATTTTTAATAGGGTCGGGATTTTGCTATGTTGGCCAGGCTGGTCTTGAACTCCTGGCCTCAAGTGATCTGCCCCCTCCTCAGACTCCCAAAGGGCTGGAATTACAGGTGTGAGCCACCACGCCCGGCTGCCCAACTAATTTTTTAAAAAATATTTTTATTCTTTAGAGACAGGGGTCTCGCTATATTCCCCAGGCTGGTCTGGAACTCCTGGCCTCCAAGGATCCTTCCACCTCTGCCTCCCAAAGTGTTGGGATTACACGCATGAAACACTGCTTATGGCCTGTTTCCGCCTCTGTCTCCTGGGTAATGGGGACCACAGGTGCGCACCGCCACGCCAGGCTAAAGAAATAAAGTGATGTACTGTATGAAGAAGTGCCGTAAAGTGATATTAAATGTAAGGTATTGTCATTATTAACGTTATTATTATTATTCCTAATATGAGATAGACTAAAGGCCATAAATCAATTGGTATTAACGCTAGAATAAGAACCATAAATTGGCCGGGCGCGGTGGCTCACGTCTGTAATCCCAGCACTTTGGGAGGCCGAGGTGGGCAGATCACGAGGTCAGGAGATCAAGACCATCCTGGCTAACACGGTGAAACCGTGTCTCTACTAAAAATACAGAAAATTAGCCGGGCGTGGTGGCGGGCGCCTGTGGTCCCAGCTACTCGGGAGGCTGAGGCAGGAGAATGGCGTGAACCCGGGAGGCGGAGCTTGCAGTCAGCCCAGATCGCGCCACTGCACTCTAGCCTGGGCGACAGAGCGACTCCGCCTCAAAAAAAAAAAAAAAGAACCATAAATCAAACGAGTCTATAAAGGAGTTCCACAGGTATTCCAATGTTTGGCTACATTATTATCAGTGTATATTATTATTGTTACTGTATTTTTAGTGTACTAAGTGAAAAACCTGGACTTGGAGCAACTGCAAGTCCCATTATTTTGAATGCCCTCACAGTGGGGTTGGGGCGGAGGTGGGGGAGGAAATAAAAAAAACAAAACCAAAACAAACAAACAAACAAAAACCAAAAAACAAACCACGAGACCCGGATGTAGGCAAAAACTACATTTCCCAGAATACCTCACCCCCTCTCCACTATATATACAGTCCATCCGGGTTCTTTGAGATGCTGTTTGGCGACTCGTCGCCATTCCCGGAGCAGGTCGGCCTCGGCCCAGGGGCGAGTATCCGTTGCTGTGTCGGAGACACTAGTCCCCGACACCGAGACAGCCAGCCCTCTCCCCTGCCTCGCGGCGGGAGAGCGTGTCCGGCCGGCCGGCCGGCGGGGCTCGCGCAACCTCCCTCGCCTCCCCTTCCCCCGCAGCCTCCGCCCCGCCAGGCCCGGCCCGGACTCCCGAGCCCCGGCCTCCTCGTCCTCGGTCGCCGCTGCCGCCGGGCTTAACAGCCCCGTCCGCCGCTTCTCTTCCTAGTTTGAGAAGCCAAGGAAGGAAACAGGGAAAAATGTCGCCATGAAGGCCGAGAACCGCTGCCGCCGCCGACCCCCGCCGGCCCTGAACGCCATGAGCCTGGGTCCCCGCCGCGCCCGCTCCGCTCCGACTGCCGTCGCCGCCGAGGCCCCCGTTGATGCCGCTGAGCTCCCCCAACGCCGCCGCCACCGCCTCCGACATGGACAAGAACAGCGGCTCCAACAGCTCCTCCGCCTCTTCGGGCAGCAGCAAAGGGCAACAGCCGCCCCGCTCCGCCTCGGCGGGGCCAGCCGGCGAGTCTAAACCCAAGAGCGGTAAGGACGGGCCTGCGGCAGTGGGCGGGGGCGACTGCCCCTGCTGCTGGGGAGAGTCGTTGCTCTCATCGGCTGGGTTACTCGGGGACAGGCTCCACTTTCTTTTATAGCTCCTACCTGCCCTTTTCCATGGCTCTCATTTGCAGTTACATTAATGAGCGCTGTGCTGCGTGGTTTACGTGGATCATTTACATTAATACTCAAAACTGCTCGATTAAGCAGGTGCTGTTCTTATCGCCATTTTGCATATGATGAGAAAGGGTAAGGTCACCCAGCTAGTATTTGGCTCACAGCAGGCCTTAAGACTTGGTTTGTGTGACTCATCAGTCCACGCTCCTAAAACCACTAAGTTGTTCTACCCTTTAATGTTGAATTAACATTGGATAGTGTTCAAGTTTAGATGGGTGGGTGAGGGCCCAAGGACCTTTCAAACTCAGATCTCTTATTTAATAACCTGGTCCCAGATCCATTCCTCTGTCGAAGAGGAAGTCATCCTTCAGTGGCTATTCATTGTGGGGTTAAGAGCGCAGACTATGAATTCAGTCTTTTTGGGTCCCAGTTTGCCAGACCTTGAGTGAGTGCCCCGAGTTTACTTACTTGTAAAGGTAGGTGGAGGTAATATAATTAAATAAACTTAAAAAACTAATTAAAAACAAAACAAATGAACTAAGGTCTTAGGATATCTGGCGTCTATTTTGCGCCAAATACACATAATGTCTATTGTTGTGTGTTGGACTATAGGATTGTCCTTTAACAGGGAAGGTTTTATTTCTGTAATCAAGTCTGTCAATATTATGACCATGTTGATAATAGCTACCTTTAATTGAGGGCTTACCATGTGCCAAGTACTAGGTGAAGTTTTTACCTCTGTTTTCACTGTGCCAGTCACTGACTTGTCTACCAGGGTGAAATTGTTCATATTTAAAGAAGGAATAAACTGAGCAGGTAGGATGTTAGGAGTTGGCAGAGGCTAGAGTCCCGGTGTTCTTCATTTTATTTCGAAGTTTGTACTAATCTCTGCTCTCTTTTGTATTTCAGTCACATTAGCAGTAATAGGAAGGTGTTTTCAGCGACAGTGGGGATGTTGTGGCAGAGAGGGAAATATTTGAAGTCCCTAAATGTGGAGGTCCAGTTTAAAACTTGTCAAGATTAAAAAAACTGTTTAGAGTGAGACCGGGCGCGGTGGCTCATGCCTGTAATCCGAACACTTTGGGAGGCTGAGGTGGGAGGATAGCTTGAGCCCAGGAGTTTCACACCAGCTTGGGCAAGATAGTAAGACCCTCGTCTCCATAAGAAAAAAAAAAAATTAGCCGAGTGTGGTGGCACACACCTGTAACCCTACCTACTTGGAAGGGTAAGGTGGGAGGATCGCTTAAGCTCAAGGAAGTTGAGGCTGCGGTGAGCTATATCACGATACTGCATACCATCCAGCCTGGGTAACAGAGACCCCCATCTCTAAACAGTAAAAAGAAAACTAAGGCTGACTTAAAACAAACAAAAAAAACAGAAAATTGTAAGGTCTGCTAACTCGCTCAGAGTTCACCTGCTGGATATGGCAAACTTGTTTACCTGGTGTGAGACCATTGGAGTATGGGTTCTCGGGCCGTGTCAGGAAATGGCATGTATGCAGACTGATTTTGCAGTTCTGCACATGCGTAGCTTTGCCATAGATCCCTCAAAAGATAGAAGGTAACCAGTCCTTTTGGTCAGTGTTGGAACTGGTTTAGAGTGGTCTGTTCAAAGCAATTGATAAGTAAGTTTATTTTTGTACTCTATTCCCAGATGTATGTTAAGGATTTGGTTCTCCAACTGTGAATTCTCAACTAATTTTTCTGGGGCTCCTCTTTAAGCCACTAACATACATTCATTAGTCAGTTGCAATAAATGCCTTAAGTTTATTTCTTAGCAGTAGGTGAAAGCTTGTGACAACTTAAAATAAAACAAACAAACAGGTATTTAAGGAATTTTACTGCTATGTCCTTCACTTTGAATATGTTGGTTAGTGGAATTAACTCTGATTACCCAACAAGATGATACAGAATTCTATAGTAGTTTGACCAAAGCAAGTATTTGTCATTGTTAACATTTCAAATGGGCTGGGTGGCTATAATCCCAGCACTTTGGGAGGCTGAGGCAGGCCGATTACTTGAGCCCAGGAGTTCGAGACCCTGTCCTACAAAAAAATAAATGAGCCGGGCGTGGTGGCACGCACCTGTAGTCCCAGCTGTGAAGAGGCTGAGGCAGGGGAGGAGGAAGAGCACTTAAACCCAGAAGTTCGAGGTTGCAGTGAGCCACGATCACTCCACTGCACTCTAGCCTGGGTGGCAGAGTGAGACCCCGTCTCAAAACAAGAAAACTTCTGTAAAAACTCATGTAGGCCGGGTGCGGTGGCTCACGCCTGTAATCCCAGCACTTTGGGAGGCCGAGGCAGGTGGATCATCTGAGTTCAGGAGTTTGAGACCAGCCTGGCCAACATGGTGAAGCCCCGTCTCTACTAAAAGTACAAAAAATTAGTCCGGCGTGGTGGTGCGCACCTGTAATCCCAGCTACTCGGGGGGCTGAGGCAGGAGAATCCCTTGAAACCGGGAGGCGGAGGTTGCAGTAAGCCAAGATTGCACCATTGCACTCCAGCCCGTCTAAAAAAACAAAAACTCATGTAAAGGCCCTTTGTTAGATTTTACAAATAACACATATGTGCCTTGAGGCAGCATTCTTTTTTTTTTGTTTAATGTGTGTGTTAGAAAGCTTGACCATGTTTGCCACCGCCAGTGTCTGCTTTTCTGGCTTCTGCTGTGCGTGTTCGTTTAGCAAGGAAGGATGGGCTTTGTAGCCAAATCCATGCTTCTTCACTAGCCATAATCCACTGCTTGCATTTAGGAACAAATTAAAAGGCAGGATATGTGGAGATTAAAAGGTTAGGAAACTGGATATTGGCTGATTTTTAAAGTTGAAACTAAGCTGCCTTAGGAACGTAACAGCTAAGACCAGTGCTACTACAGCAGATACTCAGGAGCTCTGATGCAGTGACTTCACGATGAGATGGTTGCTCTAACAAAAGGGTACACTCAAGCTCCGCATAATCCCATAAAAAGATTTCTGCAGTATCTCATAAGCTGAACACTTCATATACTTGATTCTGCTGGGAATCATTGAAAGGACCTCTTGAATTACAGAGTACTGAGTTGAGGGGAAAACAAGCGTAAGGTGAAAAGATAGTTTATCTTTTGTCAAGGTGAAAAGAGCAAGAGTTTTCAGTATTCAAATATTTAAGTCACTTTTTTTCTCCCCCTTTTCTACCTCGTGGAAGAAAGCCCTTTGGTTTCTATTCTGTAAACTGTCATTAATGGCCATTTGCTTCCTAGCTACATGATTAATTTCTTTGAGATTTTGTTCCAGTGGCTGGCTTAAATTTGCCCTTCATTTGTACACAGGAAATATGTAAATTTGGCTACCAGGATTTTCTTGATCTTTCCGGCTAGAGTCGCATACCACAGTTTCTTTGCCTGGGCTAATTGCCTGAACATTTATATAACATTCCTTTTCTTGATTATATTCCTACAGCTTCATTCCAGTAGTGTTAATAGGTATTTCTGAGAACATGCAGCAGTAAATATCCTGTGAATATAGCTCAGAGGAGAGAAGGTGGGTTAGAAAGTGGGGAAAGTCATTTAGAGGGAGCAAAGAAAGAGAGGCAAGAGAGAAGGTAGGCCGTTTATGGGCAGGCAGTGGACTCTGGCCAGGAACCAGGCTCTTGTCCCATCCCCCTGGGCCGATAGAACTGCCAGGGAGGTTAAGGGAAGGTCAGGTATTATGAGGCAGTTATTTTGAGGTTGGTGGTATGAAGCACTGCCCTGGCATTCTTCCTGTTATTCTGGTACCAGAAACCAGGTTACTAGTGGTAATCTGCCTTGAAGAATGCCTCTGAGCTGTAAATGGACCTGGAGATTTTAATGGCTTTGAAAATTGAGGTGATTTGAAGCCTTCAGTAAAACCACTTAGAGAAATTAAAAGAATTTCAGGGCCCGTTGGCTGGATTCCTTGGTTTATATGGCTTCATTGGAAGTCTAGTGGGTGCTCTTGACAGGAACGCTTTGGATTTATTAATGATAGGCTTTCAAATCATAGTAAAACTGTGTGTCAGCCACTATGGTAGGCATTTTACAGAAGTTTTCTTTCTTAATCCTCATGATTCTATGAGGAAGTATGGTAGAATATTAGTCCTGTTTCACAGAAAAGAAAATAGAGGCTTAGCAGTGTTAAGAGTGATTTGTCCAAGTAAATTTTTATGAAGTCCTAGGCGGTATTTTTCAATAAGCTTTGTATAATCACACTTAGCAAGCAGATAACTTACTGGCATGTGCATCATTCCTGATACCACCTCTCTCTTCCTTTCATTCAGAATTACTAATTTCAGCTGGATTCAATTTGTTGTCAGTTGATTCTGTAGTAAGGCCATATGTTGCCCCTCTGGAGGTGCTTGTCAACTACTCTGGATGATGGGTAAGCAACTTGCTTGTGATTACAGCATGAATCAGCAGCAGAAACTTGCTGACTGGTATTCTGACCTCTAGGCCGAGCCACCTGTTAGAACTAGAGCTAGAAATGAAGATGCCAAGTAATTTAACTGTGAAAAACTTGTGGCCCTTAATTTGGTAATGGGGGGAGGCTGAGATATACCTACTGCTACTTGGTGGAGACCTTTCCATTAGGGAAATGTGGAACAACTGAGAAGCTGGGTTAAGTTTTTAAGTCATTTATTTGTCGACTCTGGAGCCTGAGTTTAGTGGTCTTGTCCATTTTGGAATGTGTCTTGACAGTAGTTCTTGGCAGTTGTTCTCAGTGGTGGCTGTGCATCAGAATCTCCTCAGGAACTTTTTTTTTTCCCTCAAGACAGTCTTGCTCTGTCACCCAGGCTGGAGTTCAGTGGCGCGATCTCAGCTCACTTTAACCTCTGCCTTCCCGGTTTAAGCAATTCTTCTGCCTCAGCCTCCTGAGTAGCTGGATTGCAGGTGTCCACCACCACACCGGCCTAATTTTTGTATTTTTAGTAGAGATGGGTTTCGCCATGTTGGCCAGGCTGGTCTCAAACTCCTGACCTCATGAGGAACTTAAAAAAAAAAAAAATAGGGGTGTGTGGGGCCCCTTCCTAGGAATTTATTATCTTTTTTTTTTTTGTAGAGATGGGGGTCTCACCATGTTGCCCAGGCTGGTCTCAAATTCCTGGCTTCAAATGATCCTCCCACCTTAGCCTCCCAAAGTGCTGGGGTTACAGGCATAAGCCACTGTGCCTGGCCTTTTTCTGATTCTTTAAGCCTAGATTGAACCCGTGGGTCCTGGGCATTCATAATTTAAAAAGTCTGTGCAAGTGATTCTGGTGTGCAGCCAGGATTGAGAACCACCACTCTGAGATTTAAAACTTCACCCATAGTTCCTTCTCCCAGGAACTTGATATTTTTTGTTTTCCAAAATCTAAAGTGGATCATCTTATCACTCCTGTTCTACCCTCGAGTTTTTCCCATGTATATCCTGGCAAGTTGTCCACAAAACATTTCAAAAATAATACTCTGAATTTTATCTCTGGGTCCCAGGCCTGATGGTACCTTCAACCTTTAGCTGCCTTTTGCCTGGGTCTAGAGATAAGAGCCAGTCTCTCACTTGACATATCTGTCTTCATACCCTTAGGTAACTGGAAGACGAGAAACGAGTTGATTTTGGCAACTAAAATCACTAATCATGATGTGGTCAGTTGTTATGTGTTTTGGAAATGAGCAGTTTACTGTCTTATCAGTGAGCATTTCTGTAAGCATTATGAAACTGTTTCCTTGCCAGTGTGGTAATAAGTGAAGAAATGAAGACAGCCTTCTTGCTGAGTGCCAGTTTACTTTCTTTTTTTTTTTTTTTTTGAGACAGAGTTTTGCTCTTGTTGCCCAGGCTGGAGTGTAGTGGTGCAGTCTCGGCCTTGCCGCAACCTCCACCTCCCGGGTTCAAGCTATTCTCCTGCCTCAGCCCCCGGAGTAGCTGGGATTACAGGCATGCGCCACCATGCCCAGCTAATTTTTTGTATTTTTAGTAGAGACGGGGTTTCTCCATGTTGGTCAGGCTGGTCTCGAACTCCCGACCTCAGGTGATCCGCCCGCCTCGGCCTCCCAAAGCATTGGGATTATAGGCATGAGCCACCGTGTCTGGCCATTTTACTTTCTTAATAAGCCCTTGCCATGTAGAATCTGGCTTTACCTAAATCTATGCAAACCGTGAGGTGCATCTTGAAAGCAGCAGTTAGGGTCAAACAGGTAGGGTCCAGGATCATCTGAAACAGTCTTGGATAATGAGGTTGGAGGATATGTGTTTTCTTTATATACCTATCCTCGTAGAATCTCCTTTGCTTGAGGTGATGTGAAATGGAGTTAAGGAAAGCAAAGCAAGAGAATGTGGCTGAGTTAGCTGGGGTTCTGCATCCCCTGAGTTTTCCTTTTTTTTTTTTTTTGAGACGGAGTCTCACTCTGTCGCCCAGACTGGAATGCAGTGGCACGATCTCCGCTCACTGCTAGCCCCGCCTCCCGGGTTCACGCCATTCTCCTGCCTCAGCCTCCCGAGCAGCTGGGACTACAGGCGCCCGCCACCAAGCCTGGCTAATTTTTTGTATTTTTAGTAGAGATGGGGTTTCACCATGTTAGCCAGGATGGTCTCTATCTCCTGACTTCGTGATCCACCTGCCTTGGCCTCCCAAAGTGCTGGGATTACAAGCATGAGCCATCGTGCCTGGCTTTTTTTTTTTTAGAGACAAGCTCTCGCTCTGTCACTTAGGCTGGCATGCAGTGGTGCAAACATAACTGACTGAAACCTTGAACTCCTTGGCTTAAGAGATCCTTGAACTCTTGAACCACTGTGCCTGGTTTATCTTTTTCTTTTTTTTTTTGAGATGGAGTCTCACTGTGTCTCCCAGGCTGGAGTGCAGTGGTGCAATCTTGGCTCACTGCAAGCCCCGCCTCCCAGGTTCACACCGTTCTCCTGCCTCAGCCTCCTGAGTAGCTGGGACTACAGGCTCCCGCCACCACGCCTGGTTAATTTTTTGTATTTTTAGTAGAGACAGGGTTTCACCATGTTAGCCAGGATGGTCTTGATCTCCTGACCTCGTGATCCACCCGCCTCAGCATCCCAAAGTGCTGGGATTACAGGCGTGAGCCACCGTGCCTGGCCTTTTTCTTTTTTTGAGACAGAGGCTCACTCTGTAGCCCAGGGTGGAGAGCAGTGGTGCCATCATAGCACACCGCAGCCTCAACCTTGGCTTAAGCAATCCTTCCAACTCAGCCTCTCAGCTAGGACTGCAGGTGTGTGCCACCACATTGGGCTAATTTTTAAATTTTTTGTAGAGATGGGGTCTTGCTATGTTGCCCAGGCTGGTCGCAAACTCGTGGACTCAAGTGATCCTCTTGCTTTGGCTTCCCAAAGTGTTGAGACAACCGGCATGAGCCACCAAGTCCAGCGCTGAAACTTTGCTTTCTAATTGTTACTACTAGTGCCATGTTTGACACTAACTGTTGCTAACTGAAGTAATAGGTAAAAGTTTAGTTTTTAAGTTCTAACTTTATTTATTTGTTTTTTGAGACAGAGTCTCACTCTGCTGCCCAGGCTGGAGTGCAGTGGCGTGATTTCAGCTCACTGCAACCTCTGCCTCCCGGGTTCAAATGATTCTCATGCCTTAGCCTCCCAAGTAGCTGGGATTACAGGCGTGTGGCACCACACCTGGCTAATGTTTGTATTTCTAGTAAAGATGGGGCTTCACCATGTTGGCCAGGCTGGTCTCGAACTTCTGGCCTCATGTGATCTGCCTGCCTTGGCCTCCCAAAGTGCTGGGATTACAGGGAGCCACCATGCCTGGCCTTAAATTGTAACTAAGGTAAGGGTCACTGTCCGTAAGCAGGATTTAAGGGTAACTGGTAGGAGTGAACCTAGCCTGTTTCTGTGACTGTTCTGTTTACATTGCTGCCATTTCACATGGTTTAGATTGACTCCCAGGTTTTAGGTGGTCAGGTTTGGAGAGAATGACATCTCATTTATACAGTGAGGTTGACAGACTATGGGCGTGAAGTGGTTGCTTTCAAAATTTGGTCTCTGATTTATTAACTTACATTTTCTTCTTTCTGAGGCATTGTTTAACCTTGAATTTATTTAGCCTGCTATAAAAAGCTGGTGATTGTACTTACCAAGAAATAATTTTTTCTAAGTTTAAAAAAAATTACTCAGATAATATTACAGGTCTGCAGACAGGTACTTTAGTATAGTTATATCAGAATCTTAGAGGGTGAGGCCTGAGCATAGGAATTCCGTAAAAGCTCATCTGTGTGATTCCTATGAACTGGCAAGATTGAGAATCATTGTAATAAGATAAAAGTGGGGCCAGACCCCATGGCTCATGCTTATAATCCCAGCACTTTGGGAGGCTGAGGTGGGAAGATCACCTGAGCCTGGAGGATCGCCTGAGCCCAGGAGTTTGAGACCAGCCTGGGCAACATAGTGAGACCCCCGTCTGCACAAAAAAATTTAAAAATTAGGTCGGGCCTGATGGCTCACGCCTGTAATCCCAGCACTTTGGGAGGCTGAGGCTGGTGGATCGCTTGAGCTCAGGAGTTTGAGACCCATCTGGGCAACATGGCAAAACCCCGTCTATATCAAAAATATAAATTAAGCCAAGAATGGTGTATATGCCTGGAGTCCCAGCTACTTGGGGGGCTGAGGCAGGAGGATTGCTTGAACCCAGGAGTTGGAGGCTGCAGTAAGCCGAGATCATGCCACTGCACTCCAGCCTGGGTGACAAAAGTAAGATCCTGTCTCAAAATAAATTTAAAAATTAGCTGGGTGTGGTGGTGCACACCTGCAGTCCTAGCTGGGAGGCTGAGTTGGAAAGATGCTAAGCTGAGGTTGAGGCTGCAGTGTGCTATGATGGCACCACTGCTTTCCACCCTGGGGGAATAAAACATGCTGGGCATGGTGGCTCATGCCTGTAATCCCAGTACTTTGGGAGGCCGAGGTGAGTGGATCACTTGAGGTCAGGAGGTCGAGACCAGCCTGGCCAATGTGGCGAAACTCCATCTCTACTAAAAATACAGAATTAGCCAGGCGTGGTGGCTCATGCCTGTAATCCTAGCTACTTGGGAGGCCAAGGCAGGAGAATTGCTGGAACCCGGGAGGTAGAGGTTGCAGTGAGCCGAGATTGCGCCACTGCACTCCAGCCTGGGCAATAGAGTGAGACTGTTAAAAACAAAAAAAAGATAAACCAGGCATGGTGGTTCATGCCTTTAATCCTAACAGTTTGGAAGGCCGAGGCAGGATTGCTTGAGTCCAGGAGTTGGAAACCAATCAGGGTAACAAAGTGAGACCCCAACTCTACAAAAAAAAAAAAAAAAATTGGCTGGGAGTGTTGGCTCATGCCTATAATACCAGCACTTTGGGAGGCCGAGCAGATGGATCACTTGAGCTCTGGAGTTTAAGACCAGCCTGGGCAACAAAGGCAAACCTCGTCTCTACAAAAAACACAAAAATCAGCTGGACATGGTGGTGAGTGCCTGTAGTCTCAGCTGCTCAGGAGGCTGAAGTGGGAGGGTGGCTTGAGCCTGAGAGGTGGAGGTTGTAGTGAACGAGATTGTGCCACTGCACTCTAGCCTGGGTGACAGAGCAAAACCTTGTCTCTAAATAAATAAAGTGCATAAGTAATTATTATGTTGTTAGAGTATAAATAAATCGGTGTAACGGTTCTAGAAAGCAACCTAGGGATGTGTAAATGGCTTTAATGACCATATTTTATCTGTCAGTTCCACTTTTTGAGAATTTGACATAATCACCTAAGCCTCTGTGTAAAGAGACTCCCAATGGTATTATATTAAACTAACAAAAAATTAGAAGCCACCTAAATATACAACAATGGGGGATTGGTTACATTATTCTGTAAGTATGTGGCCAAGAAGGGTACAGCAATTAATCATGCTTCTGAAGACTAGGGATGCATAAAAATGCTCACAGAGTAGTAAGCAGAAAACAATATATCTTCTATGCTTGTCATTTTATATAAGATTTGTGACACGTATGTAAAATGGAGATTAAAAGGAAAACACTGTTAATGAGTTAGTGCTCTGTGGGTACTGGCAACTTTAAATTATTCTACACTATTTTCAGAATTGAACACATATTATAATTGAAGAGAAAAACAAGAAACATTTTTATTTTTTATTTTTTGAGACGGAGTCTCGCCCTGTCACCCAGGCTGGAGTGCAGTGGCACGATCTCAGCTCACTGCAAGCTCTGCCTCCTGGGGTTCACGCCGTTCTCCTGCCTCAGCCTCCCGAGTAGCTGGGACTACAGGTGCCCGCCACCATGCCCGGCTAATTTTTTTTTTTTTTTTTGGATTTTTAGTAGAGACAGGATTTCACTGTGTTAGCCAGGATGGTCTCAATCTCCTGACCTCGTGATCCGCCCACCTCGGCCTCCCAAAGTGCTAGGATTACAGGCATGAGCCACCGCGCCTGGCCATTTTTAAAAAGGATATGACTCAATCTGATCCAATATGCTTTTATTTATTTAATTAAATTTTTTTTTGAGATAATCTTGCTCTTTGCCCAGGCTAGAGTGCTGTGGCACGATCTCGGCTCACTGCAACCTCTGCCTCCCAGGTTCAAGCAGTTCTCCTGCCTCAGCCTCCCAAGTATCTGGGATTATAGGTGCCCGCCACCATGCGCGGCTAATTTTTTGTATTTTTAATAGACATGGGGTTTCACCATGTTGGCCAGGCTGGTCTCAAACTCCTGACCTCAGGTGATCCACCTGCCTCGGCCTTCCAAAGTGCTGGGATTACAGGCGTGAGCCATTGCGCCCAGCCCCCAGTATGCTTTTAGAGCTCAACTTCTTTTGTTCTGTCAATTTAACAGCTTCTGAATTTGACCTCTAGAGCTTCTGTAAACACAGTTTTGCTGTTAATGCCTTTTGAATATATTTGCTAAGGCCTAGGACAACCCCTTGTAGTATAGAATCTGGTTATGTTATAGTAATTTAAAAAGGAATCTCTTCTGTCCTGTTACCAGGTAAAATACTTTTCCTTAATACAGAATGCCTGTTTCATTTCCTGTAACTTTATCTGACTGAACTTTTACAAGGACAGTGGTTAAGCTGTGTAAAGTAAAGACATTATGGATTGAGAATCCATGTGGTTTGATCTACGCTGTGTTTGTTTTGAGGGAGGGGACCCGTTAGGCTTCATTATTGCAAGAAAAAAACACTCTACTATGTGTTGTCTTGCTCAAAGCACTCATGCTCTGGCCCAAACCCAGATTCCTGAAGGTGGTCAAAGGGCCTATTCACCCTTATTTTTTGCTGGGAGGTGGAGGGCAGTTGGCTAAGTGAATGTATCAGCTTCTTAAGACGTTCTTTTGTGTTTCTTGCTTTCAGATGGAAAGAACTCCAGTGGATCCAAGCGTTATAATCGCAAACGTGAACTTTCCTACCCCAAAAATGAAAGTTTTAACAACCAGTCCCGTCGCTCCAGTTCACAGAAAAGCAAGACTTTTAACAAGATGCCTCCTCAAAGGGGCGGCGGCAGCAGCAAACTCTTTAGCTCTTCTTTTAATGGTGGAAGACGAGATGAGGTATGGAATTTGAGAATGTCCTTTCTAGAGCATAAGCATGAGATCTGATCCCATCCCCCGTCCCCCAGTTTATCAGTAGTTGAGAAGGGGAACAAGAGGTAGAGGAATAGATAATCAAAGCAGTCTTGAGTAGGCGAGAGGGTTAACCAGGTTTGAAACCTTGCCTCCTTTTTTCCCCTGAAGGTTATGAAAATTTCTTTGGAGGAAGGAAAATTTCCTTTATGACAAATTTGGGGTTCCTTAATTTGTATGGTCTTTCTGTTATCACTCTTGAATTAGAGGTACTTTTTGGAATATTTAGGTAATAAAATGACATTAATGACATTTGCCTTTGTAATCTAGCAAAATGTAAAATGCATATATCTATAGTCTCAAATTTTTTTTAGGAGTTTCTTAGCTATGCTTCTGTAAGTGCATAAAGACATTTATGTACAAGGGTATTCACTGCTTTGTTTGTAGTTGCGAAATTGGGAAATAACCTAAATGCCTATCTACAAGAGACTGATAGAGTAAATTACGTTTCATACCATGCAATTATGATAGAATAAGACAGATAAAAAAAATATAGACTGAGGGAAGTAAAGGGATAGAGAGTAACAAGGAAAACAGTTTTAGAAGGTGCTTTAAAGACACCTTCTCTGAGGAGGTGGATTTTGAGAGAGACCTAAAAGAAGCAAGGGAGCACACTATATGGTTGTTTTAAGATGGTCTTGCTCTGTTTTAAGATGGTCTTGCTCTGTAGTACATTGGCATGATCATGGCTCACTGCAGCCTTGACCTCCTGGGCTCAAGTGATCCTCCCACCTCAGCTTTGAGTAGCTGGAAATACAGGTGCATGCCACCATGCCTGGCTAATTTTTTTCTTTTTCTTTTTTAGAGAGTGGATCTTACTATGTTGTCTAGGCTGCTCTTGAACTCCTGGCCTTAAGCAATCCTCTCATCTTGGCCTCCCAAAGTGCTGGGATTACAGGCATGAGCCACCACACCTGGCCATGTTACATGGTTTTGAGGAAGAGTGTCTTAGCCTGAAGGAATAGCACATGCAAGGGACGGGAGGTGGTAGTGCGTTTATTGGTTTGAGGTAAAGCAAGTAGGCTACCGTAAGTGGAGGAGGAGAGGTAGGAAATGTACCCAAAGACTAGGAAAGGGATCAGATCATGTGGGGCTTTGAAGGACTTTGGCTTTTGTTCAGAGAGATGAGAAGCCATTGAAAGGTTTAAGGAGAAAAGTAAGGTAACCTGATGCGGAGTTTTAAAGGGGAAGAGTGGAAGCAGGAAGACTAAGAGACTACAAAGATATTCTTGGTGAGAGTGATGGAAGCTTTGAAAGAGGGTGAGTGATGGAGGTGGTGAGAGACGTTAAGATTTGAGATATTACTTCCATATAGAGCCAAGACTTTTTGTTAGATGTGGGGTCTGAGCAGAGAAAAGGATGAGTAATGTTTTTGGCATAAGCCCAATTCAGGTACCTTTTGCTGGAATGGAGAACATTCTTTCAAGAAGAGCACAAAGTTTTTTTGGGAGAGGGGAATAGGGTTGAGATAAAGAACTTCAGTTTGGAAATGTTATATGTACATTGAAATTCCTATTTGATAAATATAAGCAGAATATAAGTAGAGGTAGGTAGTTAACTGTGAATCAGCAGTCAAGGAAGAGACCCAGGTTAGAGAGCTGTCAGCATACAGTTGGTGCTTAAAGCTGTGGAACTAAGTGAGATAGATTAAGGAGTGAGTGTTCCAAAAACGGATTAGGTTCAAGAACTGAACCTCTGAGTCTGGATAAGAAACCAGCAGAAGAGAGCACAGTCAGGGCGGGAGGAAAATTGCTGAAAGGTGTTGCAGAAGGTGATCAGTTTTGTCAAGTGTTGCTGATAGGTTAAGAATAGGACTGAAAGTTGACCATTCGATTTGAAAATGGCATGTAGATTGGAGAGAATAGGAGGATGGGAAGAAGAAACAGCAAATTTACACAGTACTTTTCAGTGGCTTTGCTCTAAAGGGGAGCAGAGATGTGAGGCGGTGCTTGAAGGGAATATGAGCTTGAGGGATTTTTTTTCTTTCTTTTTTTTTTTTTTTTGAGATGGAGTCTCGCTCTGTCCCCCCAGGCTGGAGAGCAGTGGCGCAATCTCGGCTCACTGCAACCTCCGCTCTTGGGTTCACGCCATTCTCCTGCCTCAGTCTCCCGAGTAGCTGGGACTACAGCTGGGACTATTAGCCCACCACCACGCCCGGCTAATTTTTTTTGTATTTTTAGTAGAGACGGGGTTTCACCGTGTTAGCCACGGTGGTCTCGATCTTCTGACCTTGTGATCCGCCCGCTTCGGCCTCCCAAAGTGCTGGGATTACAGGCATGAGCCACCGCGCCCGGCTGAGGGATTTTAAGATTAGGGAAATGATAACATGTCTGTGCTCATGGGATGGTCCTGGTGAGAGGCAAAGTGATGTGGGGAAAAGGGAGAGAATTGCTGAGCAATGTCCTTGAGTCCTTGAGATCTAGTGAGAAGTGGAGCAGTTGTCTTAGATAGGAACTCTACCAGTTCATCCCCAGTAACAAAAGGAAGGCCTGGTGATGGAGGTGGGTTCGGAGGTAGTTGGAATTCTTTTCTGATTGTTCTAATTTTCTCAGTGGAATATCTAAGGTGAGCCAAGAGGAGATTTGGAAGCCTGAGGAGTGAAGGAGTTGTCTGGGAAAGTGAGGGAATGAATGGACTGCAGAAGCGTACTAGGATTGTAGTACTTCCAGGCACATGAGGGTCTACTGTGGTGAGGCTGGTTGCTGTGGTTGTATTTGTTAGCCCTGTTTGTCTGCTGCAGGGCTGATGTGGAATAGGAAAAGAGTTGAATTAATCAGGGGAAGGTTTTGCCAGGTGAATACAGCAGATATATGAAGAAGTGGGTGATGGGGCCGGGCGCAGTGGCTCACAGCTGTAATCCCAGCACTTTGGGAGGCCAAGGAGGGTGGATCTCCTGAGGCCAGGAGTTTGAGACGGGCCTGGCTAATGTGGCAAAACTCTGTCTCTACTAAAAATACAAAAATTAACCGGGCGTGATGGCAGGTGCCTGTAATTCCAGTTACTTGGGAGGCTGAGGCAGGAGAATTGCTTGAACCCAGAAGGTGAAAGGTGCAGTGACCTGAGATCGCACCACTGCACTCCAGCTTGGGCGACAGAGCAAGACTCCATCTCCAAATAAATAAGTGAATAAATAAATAATAAATAAAAATTTAAAAAAGGAAGTGGGCAGTGGACCACAGGATCTAAGCCAAATCTGAGGGGTTGGATCATTGATTTGGAGGTCCTAGTGGGGGTAAAGAATTGTTGGAGTCAGGACTAAACCTGGGGAAGGAGTGTATTCCGGTCTGGACAACAGAATGCTCAAAGTTAAGATAGTGGAAGAGGTTGTGGTTGTTGGTCTAGACTATAGAACACTCCTGTCTAATAGATCAAGCCATGTGTGTAATCATACATTTTCTAGCTGCCTGCGCTAGAGAAGTAAAAAGTCCATTTTAATATGTTTAATATATTAAATTCAATATATCTAAAATCTAAAAGTTTACCACGTGGTACAGCCACATTTCAAGTGCTTAGTAGCTACATGTAGCTACTGGCTGCTGTGTTGGACATTACAGCTGTAGAACGGAAACCTGTAGGTGTGGTTGGCTGAGATGGGAGGGGCAAGCTAATTGGAAGAGAGGAGGTCAAGGACCTGGAGTTCAGGGTATTGCGAGGATAATCAGGAAGTATGAGTGGCGTCAGAGAAAGTGACAGTGGGCCAGCTAGGACAAGCTGAAGATGATAAAAGGTTGAGAATGTGGAGGATTTTGTTGACTGAGCACAAGCTCTTAGATCTAAGTTTGGGGCATTAAGGGTGGAAGACCGTTTGATTAAAGAGATCAGAGCCATGTGGAGATGAAAAATAAGGGATGACCTGGAAGTCTTGGGCTTCCTGTGTTGCACAAGCAAACAGAATGTGGAGAATGTGGCGTTTTTTTGTTTTTTGTTTGCTTTTTTTTTTTTGGACGAAGTCTCGCTCTGTCGTCCAGGCTAGAGTGCAGTGGCGTGATCTCGGCTCACTGCCAGCTCTGCCTCCTGGATTCACGGCATTCTCCTGCCTCAGCCTCCCGAGTAGCTGGGACTATAGGTGCCCGCCACCATGCCCAGCTAATTTTTTGTATTTTTAGTAGAGACAGGGTTTCACTGTGTTAGCCAGGGTGGTCTCGATCTCCTGACCTCGTGATCCGCCCGCCTCAGCCTCCCAAAGTGCTGGGATTACAGGCATGAGCCACCACACCCGGCCCAGAATGCGGCGTTATTTTTAAGCTTGGTTGTTAATATAAAAAAGGAAGTTATCTGACTGGATGGTATACCACCAGTTGTATTTAATTATTTTTAATTTATTATTTTTGAGACAGGGTCTTGTGGTGTCGCCCAGGCTGGAGTGCAGTGGCATGATTGTGGCCCACTGCAGCCTTGACCTACTGGGCTCAAATTATCCTCCCACCTCAGCCTTCCAAGTAGATGGGACCACAGGCATGCATCACTAAGCCTGGCTAATTTTTAAATTTTTTGTAGAGACATGGGATCCCTGTGTTGTCTAGACTGGTCTCAAACTCCTGGCCTCAAATGATCCTCCCTCCTTGGCCTCCTAAAGCACTGGGATTATAGATGTGAGCCACTGCGCCCATCCTAGTGTTTTTTTTTTTTTTTTTTTTTTGAAATGGAGTTTTGCTCTTGATGCCAGGCTGGAGTGCAATGGTGTGATCTTGGCTCACTGCAACCTCTGCCTCTCGGGTTCAAGCGATTCTCCTGCCTCAGCCTCCCGAGTAGCTGGTATTTCAGGCACCTGCCACTGCACCCGGCTAGTTTTTTTTTTTATTTTCAGTAGAGATGGGGTTTCACCATATTGCCCAGGCTGGTCTTGAACTCCTGACCTCAGGTGATCCGCCTACCTCAGCCTCCCAAAGAGCTGGGATTACAGGCATGAGCTACTATTCCTGGTCACCCATCCTGATTTTATTTTTAAATTTTAGATTTTATTTTTTAGACACAGAATCTCACCCTGTTGCCCAGGCTGGAGTGCAGTGGCTATTTGCAGGTGTATCATAGTGCACTGCAACCTTGAATTCCTGGGCTCAAGTGCCCCTCTTCAGCCTCCTGAGTGGCTGAGAGTGCAGGTGTGCATTACCGTTGCCTAGCTTTGTATTTATTTTTAAAGACTGTATTACTCCATTCTCTCATTGCTATTAAGAACTACCTGAGACTGGGTAATTTATGAAAAAGAGTGGCTTAATTGACTCACAGTTCTGCAGGCTGTACAGGAAACATGGCTGGGGAGCCCTCAGGGAACTTACAGCGGGAGAACGGGAAGCAGGCACATCTTAGGAGGAAGACTGCATAAGAGGAAATGCTACATACTTTTTTTTTTTTTTGAGCTGAGGTCGCGCCACTGCACTCCAGCCTGGGTGACAGAGTGAGACTCTGTCTCAAAAAAAAAAAAAAAAAATTCCTCTTCCTGGCCGGGCGAGGTGGCTCATGCCTGTAATCCCAGCACTTTGGGAGGCTGAGGTGAGTGGATCACCTGAGGTCAAGAGTTGGAGACCAGCATGGTCAACATGGCGAAACCCTGTCTCTACTAAAAATACAAAAATCAGCTGGGTGTGGTTTAATCCCACACGCCTGTAATCCCAGCTACTCAGGAGGCTGAGGCAGGAGAGTCACTTGAACCTGGGAGGCAGAGGTTGCAGTGAGCCAAGATCGTGCCATTGCACTCCAGCCTGGATGACAGAGTAAGACTCCGTCTCAAAAAAAAAAGCTGTGTAAAAGGAGGGTTTTTTTTGGGTTTCTGCTATAAATCAGTGTCATCCTAATCTGAAATACTGATTCATTCTCATTCTCTCTAGGTAGCAGAGGCTCAACGGGCAGAGTTTAGCCCTGCCCAGTTCTCTGGTCCTAAGAAGATCAACCTGAACCACTTGTTGAATTTCACTTTTGAACCCCGTGGCCAGACGGGTCACTTTGAAGGCAGTGGACATGGTAGCTGGGGAAAGAGGAACAAGTGGGGACATAAGCCTTTTAACAAGGAACTCTTTTTACAGGCCAAGTGAGTATTGCTACCCCTCAGAGGAAAGGGAAAGTAGGACTCTCCGGATAGCTGTGGTGCCTCTGTGAGAGGCTTTTTTTAAGCTATTGTGGGAAAGAAGCAGAAAGGGAATTGGTCTCGTTCTTTTTCTGTTCACCACTGCCCCGCCCTTCCTTTCTTTTACCCACTTTCCAGGTGGATGTTTTTGGTACTTAATATAATGCTTAAATAACTTAGTATCATGATAAGGTAGAAAACATGTTTGGAATTGGACCTAGATTTGAATCTTGTTTCGGCCTTTGACCTTAAGTAACTTAACAGCTTTGAGATTTAGCCTCTCCTTTATAAGGAAGAGGAAAGGTTTTTTTTTTTTTTTTTTTTTTTTTTTTTTTTTTTTTTTTTTTTTTTTTTTTTTTTTTTTTTTGAGATGTAGTCTCGCTCTGCCACCCAGGCTAGAGTGCGGTGGCGTGATCTCGGCTCACTGCAACCTCTGCCTCCCGGGTTTAAGTGATTTTTTTGCCTCAGCCTCCCGAATAGCTGGGACTACAGGTGCATACCACCACCCCCGTCTAATTTTTTTATTTTTATTTTTGATAGAGACGGGGTTTCACCATATTGGCCAGGCTGGTCTCAAACTCCTGACCTCGTGATCCACCTGCCTCGGCCTCCCAAAGTGCTGGGATTACAAGCATGAGCCACCATGCCCAGCCAGGAAGAGGAATTCTTTTTTTTTTTTTTTTTTTGAGACAAAGTCTTGCTCTGTCACCCAGGCTGGAGTGCAGTGGCACGATCTCAGCTCGCTGCAAGCTCCACCTCCCGGAGCTTCATGCCATTCTCCTGCCTCAGCCTCCCGAGTAGCTGGGACTACAGGCGCCCACCCCCTGGCTAATTTTGTTTTTGTATTTTTAGTAGAGATGGTGTTGCACCGTATTAGCCAGGATGGTCTTGATCTCCTGACTTCATGATCCACCCGCCTCGGCCTCCCAAAGTGCTGGGATTACAGGCGTGAGCCACGGCACCCAACCAGGAAGAGAAAATTTCTTAAGAGACAATTGAATGACAAGTTGAAGTGCTTGGCATACATTTGCTCAAATATGATCCCCTTTTGTTTCCTTTTGTGTGGCCCTAGTCATAATTGAAGATTTGACTTTGGATCTAGACTGAAGTAACCGTTTTGTACTTTATATGAACTGATGAACTGGTTTCAAATACTAATGACAGTCTTCTGTTTTTTTTTTTTTTTTGGTGACAGAGTCTCCCTCTGTCGCCCAGGCTGGAGTGTAGTGGCGTGATCTCGGCTCCCTGCAGCTTCTGCCTCTCAGGTTCAAGTGATTCTCCTGCCTTAGCCTCCTAAGTAGCTGGGACTACAGGCGCGTGTCACCATGCCCGGCTAATTTTTTTTGTATTTTTAGTAGAACGGGGTTTCACCGTGTTAGCCAGGATGGTCTTGATCTCCTGACCTCGTGATTCACCTGCCTCGGCCTCCCAAAGTGCTGGGATTACAGGTGTGAGCCACCATGCCTGGCCTAATTTTTCTATTTTTAGTAGAGATGGGGTTTCACCCTGTTGGCCAGGCTGGTCTCTAACTCCTGACCTCAAGTGATCCACCCACCTTGGCCTCCCCAAGTGCTGGGATTACAAGTGTGAGCCACTGTGCCTGGCCGAGAACAGTCTTTTCAACTGCCTTGAAGACTAGCCATTTTCTGGGGTTCTAAGGGGTGAGAGAGGAAATCTGGCTTACTGCTGTTTGATGGAGTCACGGTCTAGGTTAATTTTAGTTCAAGGGATGCCTTTGGGGAATTTGGCTGGACTTGAAGCAGAAGAAAACAGTTCATGGATTTAGACTTCTGCCTGCTGAGTCTTTGGGTTCTTTCCAGAGCTGGAGCTCAGAACTGAGGCTGAGGTCCTAGTGCAGTGCCTCATGAACCAGGGCTGCTAATGGCCTGCATTTGATTTCTAAGTGAATAGATGACAATTTCTGCTGAGGGTTTATTGGTAGATCCTGACAGTCTAGCTTTTTCCTGTCTTTCCTATTTCTAGCTGCCAATTTGTGGTGTCTGAAGACCAAGACTACACAGCTCATTTTGCTGATCCTGATACATTAGTTAACTGGGACTTTGTGGAACAAGTGGTGAGTAGCTCAGCCAAGCCCATAAGCTATGAATGGGAGCACTAAATAAAGGCACTGTGGTGACGCAGCAGCTGTTGGCTGTGTGCACTGCTTGATACCCTTTTCTGCCTGGCCTTTCTATAGATGTTTCCCAGAGGTCAGTTCCTGGTTCTTCCTGGAGTCCATTTTGTGACTAATTGGCTCTGGCCTGTAGGGATGGTGTATGAAAGGCTCTGATCTGAAGATGTGTAAGCTGGGAAGTAGTAACCCCTTACCCTCCTGATCTGGGTTGGGCTCATTACAGGGCCATTGCTTCATTGGCAGCCATTCGTAGCAATCACTATCAAAGTAGGCCTCAGCCTTGTGGCAGGGAGGCACATGAATGAGCCACACAGTTGTACTTTTCTTTTTTGAG
This sequence comes from Homo sapiens, assembly GCF_000001405.40. Lineage (NCBI taxonomy): Eukaryota > Metazoa > Chordata > Mammalia > Primates > Hominidae > Homo > Homo sapiens. Next base: position 120,555,203 of record NC_000012.12, read on the forward strand.
AAAGAGTCTCACTCTGTTGCCCAGGCTGGAGTACAGTGGTGTGATCTTGGCTCACTGCAACCTCTGCCTCCAGGGTTCAAGCAATTCTCATGCCTCAGCCTCCTGAGTAGCTGGGATTACAGGCACCCGCCACCACGCCTGGCTAATTTTTGTATTTTTAGTAGAGACGGGGTTTCACCTTGTTGGCCAGGCTGTTTTTGAACTCCTGACTGCAAGTGATCCACCCACCTTGGCCTCCCAAAGTGTTGGGGTTACAGGCGTGAGCCACTCTATCTGGCCCAGTTGTACTTTTTTTTTTTTTTGAGACGGAGTTTCGCTCTTGTTGCCCAGGCTGGAGTACAGTGGTGCAATCTTGGCTCACTGCAACCTCTGCCTGCCAGGTTCAAGCGATTCTCCTGCCTCAGCCTCCCGAGTAACTGGGACTACAGGCACGCACCACCACTCCCAGCTAATTTTTTTTTGTATTTTTTTTTAGTAGAGATGGGGTTTCTCCATGTTGGTCAGGCTGGTCTTGAATTCCTGACCTCAGGTGATCCTCCCGACTTGGCCTCCCAAAGTGGTGGGATTACAGGCATGAGCCATCGTACCTGGCCTCTTTTTTTTTTTGAGACAGTCTTGCTCTGTCGCCCCAGCTGGAGTGCAGTGGCGCGATGTTGGCTCACTGTAACCTCCACCTCTTGGGTTCAAGCAATTCTCATGCCTCAGCCTCCTGAGTAGCTGGGATTACAGGCGTGCACCACTATGCCTGGCTAATTTTTGTATTTTCATTAGAGACGGGGTTCCACCGTGTTGTCCAGGCTTGTCTCAAACTCCCAGCTTCAAGTGATCAACCTGTCTCGGCCTCCCAAAGTGTTGGGATTACAGGCGTGAGCCACCACGCCCAGCTTCAGTTGCACTTTCAAAGCCACTGATGTGTTTTCTACTGAAGTTATAAACTCTAGGTATCCCCTTGTTGGTCCTAGTAGGGTATCTGTTGAAGAATAATAATTTCAAAATGATGGGCACTTTTTCTTTATGAGCAGGGGCTTTTGACCTTAAAGCTTGAACTCTCGCCGGGCGCGGTGGCTCACGCCTATAATCCCAGCACTTTGGGAGGCTGAGGCGGGCGGATCACGGGGTCAGGAGATCGAGACCATCCTGGCTAACACGGTGAAACCCCGTCTCTACTAAAAAAAAAAATTAGCCCGGCGCAGTGGCGGGTACCTGTAGTCACAGCTACTTGGGAGGCTGAGGCAGGAGAATGGCGTGAACCCGGGAGATGGAGCTTGCAGTGAGCCGAGATGGCGCCACTGCACTCCAGCCTGGGTGACAGAGTGAGACTCCGTCTCAAAAAAAAAAAAAAAAAAAAAAAAAAAGCTTGAACTCTCACTACTGTGAAAATGTATAAAATCATCTGAGAATGACATAGCATAAAAACTTAAGTTTTATTAAAAAAAAATGAAGTCTTTTTAATGCGTTCTTTGTTGGAAGTTACTGGTAGATTACTTCTAGACCCTTTTTAGGCCTTTATGCATACATATTAAGTTTTTTTATAAATGGGAATATAGTGATTTGTCACTTTTTTCTATTTAATGTAGAACCCCCAACATACCTGTTGTGTATTAGTTTTATTATATTTAACGGTTATTATGGTTTCCTTGATGCTTTGCTTAAAGAGCTATCATACAAAGCCAGGCGCGGTGGCTCACGCCGGTAATTCCAGGACTTTGGGAGGCCGAGGCGGGCGGATCACAAGGTCAGGAGATCAAGACCATCCTGGCTAACACAGTGAAACCCCGTCTCTACTAAAAAATTAGCTGAGCGTGGTGGCAGGCGCCTGTAGTCCCAGCTACTCCAGAGGCTGAGGCAGGAGAATGGCGTGAACCAAGGAGATGGACCGTCTCAAAAAAAAAAAAAAAAGAAAAAAATGATCATACATGTACCTACGTTGTAAACAATTTTAGAAAGATATGTTGAGTATAAGGATGTACGGGGATAGAGATGAGAGAGATGCGGATGAGAGAGTAGAGAGGCCTAAAACTTTGACAGTCCCTAATCAGTTCTTCAAGCAGTGAACCTTCTGGTGGCATTTTGTTTCAGCGCATTTGTAGCCATGAAGTGCCATCTTGCCCAATATGCCTCTATCCACCTACTGCAGCCAAGATAACCCGTTGTGGACACATCTTCTGCTGGGCATGCATCCTGCACTATCTTTCACTGAGTGAGAAGACGTGGAGTAAATGTCCCATCTGTTACAGTTCTGTGCATAAGAAGGATCTCAAGAGGTGAGATTGAGACATTTACTCAGTTAGATCCCAATCTCTTCACTCCTTGCCCTGCTACATATGAGTGTCCATGTTTCAGTGTTGTTGCCACAGAGTCACATCAGTATGTTGTTGGTGATACCATTACGATGCAGCTGATGAAGAGGGAGAAAGGGGTGTTGGTGGCTTTGCCCAAATCCAAATGGATGAATGTAGACCATCCCATTCATCTAGGAGGTGAGTTCTTTAAATTTTGGGGACAAATAATCCTGGGTACATTCTTTAAGGTGATTGAATATATCTAAGCATCAGAAAGTGAAGCCTTTGGGCAGGGCACATCTGGCATGTTCATATTAGTCATAGGATTCCAGTAGGTTAGGGTGGGGTTTGTAGAGAGTAGATTAATTATTGGTTTCAAGTTTGTTTAATCTATACATCCTAATTTTTCATTTTACAAGGTTTTATTACATAGTGTCTTTCACTGTGCCCAATCTTAGAGGTTCTGTGGTCAGCCAGTCTTGGTGCCTGTCGTCAAGAAACTCAGTAGTCCGATAGAAGAGACAGACTGGTAGACTGGCCATTAGGATAAAGAGTGTGATAAGTGCTCACAATGAATGCCAGAGATGTATTCCCTGTGTTTCATGCAGAAATGAGCATTTGATTAAAATAGCATTTCAGTCTCTGGGGAAAAGATAGATTTCTCAATAAATGGTATTGAAACAATTGATTCTCCCTAAGGAAAAAATAAAATTAGATTCCTATTTCATACCATTCATGAAATTAATTCCAGATAGATTGAAGAAGTAAATGTAAAAAATCCAAAAGTTTTAACCTTTTTATTTAAAAGAAAATATAGGACAATTTCTTTATAAATCCTCAGATGTGCATCTGTCTGAAGGATTGTGTGTTCTCATTTGGGTGGTAAATGTGTGTGTGTAATATTTTTTTCCTAGTGATTTTGACTGTTTAAATGTTTAGCAACTTAAAACATTAAAAATGTGTATTAATTAAAAAAAAATCCTCAGATATGGGTGGATTTTTGAACCAGGCTGAAATGATAGATGCTGTAAAAGACTGATAAATTTTATTTTTATTTTATTTATAGATATATAATATAATATGTATATATATATTTTTTTTTGAGACAGAGTCTGGCTCTGTCACCCAGGCTGGAGTGCAGTGGCATGATCTTGGCTCACTGCAACCTCTGCCTCCCGGGTTTGAGCGATTCTCGTGCCTCAGCCTCCCGAGTAGCTGGGACTACAGGCGCCCGCCACCATGCCTGGCTGATTTTTTTTGTATTTTTAGTAGAGACGGGGTTTCACCATGTTGGCAGGCTAGTCTCGAACTCCCGAGCTCAAGTGATCTGCCCGCCTTACCTCCCAAAGTGCTGGGATTACAGGCGTGAGCCACTGTGACCGGCCAAGAAAACCACTTTTAGTGTCCACAGAATTTTCGTTAATGAACATACCATCATGTCATTAACCCTTTATTTGAGATGGAATCTCACTTTGTCGCCTGGGCTGGAGTGCAGTGGCAATAATTACTTTTAATTAATTAAATTCATTAAAATAATTAAAATTAATTTAATTAATTAAATTAACTTTTAATTTTAAATTATTTTTTTTATTTTAAAAAATTAACTGGGCATGCAGGTATAGTTAATTTTTTATTTTTATTTTTAGCAGAGATGAGGTCTTGCTATGTTGATAGGCTGGTCTTGAACTACTCTTTTTTTTTTTTTTTTTTTTTTTGAGACGGAGTCTTGCTGTGTTTCCCAGGCTGGAGTGCAATGGTGTGATCTCGGCTCACTGCAACCTCCACCTCCTCGGTTCAAACGATTTTCCTTCCTCAGCTTCCTGAGTAGCTGGCATTTCAGGCACCTGCCACCACGCCCGGCTAATTTTTGTTTTTTTTGTGTGTGTGTGTTGTGCTTTTTTTGTTTTTGTTTTTGTTTTGAGATGGAGTCTCACTCTGTTGCCAGGCTGGAATGCAGTGGTGCAATCCCGGCTCACTGCAATCTCCGCCTCCCAGGTTCAAGAGATTCTCCTGCCTCAGCGTCCTGAGTAGCTGAGATTACAGGCACGCACCACCACACCTGGCTAGTTTTTGTATTTTTAGTAGAGACGGGGTTTCACCATGTTGGCCAGCATGGTCTCAATCTCTTGATCTTGTGATCCGCCTACCTCAGCCTCCCAAAGTGCTGGGATTACAGGTGTGAGCCACCGTACTCCGCCTGGTGTTATTTTTTTTTAATTTTATTTTTTGAGGCAGAGTTTTGCACTTGTTGCCCAGGCTGGAGTGCAATGGTGCGATCTTGGCTCACTGAAACCTCTGCCTCCTGGGTTCAAGCGATTTTCTTACTCCAGCCTCCCTAGTAGCTGGGATTATAGGCGCCCGTCACCACGCCCAGCTAATTTTTTGTATTTTTAATAGAAACAGGGTATCTCTATGTTGGCCAGGCTGGTTTCGAACTCCTAACTTCAGGTGATCCACCTGCCTCAGCCTCCCAAAGTGCTGAACGTGAGCCACCACACCCAGCTGGCTTGGTCTTAAACTTCTAAACTCAAGCAATCTTCCTGTCTTGGCCTCTCAAAGTACTGGGATTATAGGTGTGAGCCACTGCGCTGGTCCACCATTTCTTTATTCTTTATTGTTGGTTTTACTGGTTGGTTTGAGCTTTTCTTTTTCTGTGTGTGGTTTTTTTTGTTTTTTTTTTTTTTGAGACAGAGTTTCGCTTTTGTTGCCCAAGCTGGAATGCAGTGGCATGATCTTGGCTCACTGCGACCTCTGCCTCCTGGGTTCAAGCGATTCTCCTGCCTCAGCCTCCCAAGTAGCTGGGATTACAGGCATGCCCTACCAGGCCCGACTAACTTTTTTGTATCTTTAGTAGAGACGGGGTTTCACCATGTTGGTCAGGCTGGTCTCGAACTCTTGATCTCAAGTGATCCACCCGCCTTGACCTCCCAAAGTGCTGGGATTACAGGTGTGAGCCATGGTGCCTGGCTGGTTTGAGCTTTTCTGATATTACATACAATGCTGTAACAATAAACGCGTGACTAAAGTTTTGACTACATCTCTGGGTTTCTTAGATTTCTTATATCAAGAGCAGAGCTACAGACCTTATTTTAAGACCATTGTTAAATTATTTTCTAGGAAATCATGCTAAATTACCCCATTTTCACCCCAGAGAAAAGGCTGTATTTGAAAATTCCTATTTAGCTACACCATCGTGAGCTTTGAATGTTGCATTTCTTTGATCTTGCTGGCATTCTTATAGATGAACAGCACAGCCAGTACTCCAAGTTGCTGCTGGCCTCTAAGGAGCAGGTGCTGCACCGGGTAGTTCTGGAGGAGAAAGTAGCACTAGAGCAGCAGCTGGCAGAGGAGAAGCACACTCCCGAGTCCTGCTTTATTGAGGCAGCTATCCAGGAGCTCAAGGTGAGAGGATGCATTGGAGATGCTAAACCTTTTCACTTTCTCGGCGTTCTGTGGTGAAAACCAGAAATGCTAAACCTTTTCACTCTGTCGGGGGTGAGATGATGGACGCTGGGGATTAAGTTAGTTCCATTCCACATTTAAGACAATAAGCAGAGAATGGCTAAAAAAGCCAATTTGTTTTGGGCTTTGTTTGATGACAGTAGAGAAGGTTTAACCTAGGGCTTTTAAAGCTCTTTCTAGAGCTGAAAGGAGCAAGTCAAAATGATTTTATAACTAATTGTGACAGTGGAGTTTTTTAGATTAGCTATGTTCTTAAAGCAAGTTAGAGTTCTTTGTTTTCTGGGAAAATACTTAAGATTCTATTCTAGAGGTGTTTTGAAAGACATTGTGGAGAAAGTATTATGGCCTGCCCAGTATGCCTTAGGAGTACCTGAAACGGCAAGAATTACACAAGAACAGAATTCCCTGGGTCTTTTATCTTCCACAACAGAGATTCTTGAAGCATCACAACCACTGGTTGTTAGGTCCCACTTTGAGATATTGATTGCATAGGTTAAGCTCAGTAGGCTCAGTAATTTGCATATAACAAGTTCTAGGGTGATTCTGATGGCTGCTCATCCCCAGACCACACTCCTGGAACCACTGATCTAGCTTAGAGCAATAGAAGCCCATATTTATTGAGTGATCAGCATTTGATAGGACTTGTGCTATACACATTTATCTCACTTAAGCTTCTAGTGTGGTAGATAGAACTATCCCCTTTCATGGATGAGGAAACTGAATCCTGGGTTGGGTAATTTGCTAGTAAGGGATGCAGCTGGTATTTGAATTCCCTTCTCCCTGACTCCCAAGGGCTCCTTGGGTAGAGTCCTGTGTATTTAACTTTTGCTTTCTTTCTATAATACGTTGCAGCCGTATTTGTTCAAATGCCATTACAGGCATAAGAAAGGCTACATAGAATTAGAGCTGTCCAGGCTGAGGTGGAGTTAGCTAAATCCTTCCTACTACTCTGGACCTCTGTCTGAGCATAGTTTGTAAAAACTAGGTTAGTTTCATGTTCTTAGATTTCTGTTCTGGAAGTTTTTTGTATAGTGTTGTTTGTGTCAGATTCTCTTTTATTTTTTTTAACTTTTAAGTTCAGGGGTACAAATGCAGGTTGTTACATGGTAAACCTGTGTCATGGGGGTTTGTTATACAGATTTTCACCCAGGTATTAAGCTTAGTACCCATTGGTTATTTTTCCTGATCCCCTCCCTCCTCCCACTCTCCACCCTCTGATAGGCCTCAGTGTGTGTTCCCCTCTATGTGTCCATGTTTCATCATTTAGCTCCCACTTAGAAGTGAGAACATGTGTGCGATATTTGGTTTTTCTTTTTCTTTCTTTCTTTTTTTTTTTTTTTTTTTTGAGACAGAGTTTTGCTCTCGTTGCCCAGGCTGGAGTGCAGTGGCGTGATCTCGGCTCATCACAACCTCTGCCTCCAAGGTTCAAGTGATTCTCCTGCCTCAGCCTCCTGAGTAGCAGGAATTACAGGCATGCCCCACCATGCCTGGGTTATTTTGTATTTTTAGTAGAGATGGGGTTTCTCCATGTTGGTCAGGGTGGTCTTGAACTTCCAACCTCAGGTGATCCGCCCACCTCAGTCTCCCAAAGTGCTGGGATTACAGGCATGAGCCACCACACCTGGCCGTATGTGTCTTTACAGTAGAATGATTTATATTCCTTTGGCTATATACCCAGTAATGGGATTGCTGGGTGAAATTTTATTTCTGTCTTTAGGTCTTTGAGGAATCACCACACTGTCTTCCACAATGATTGAACTAATTTACACTCCCCAGTGTCAGATTCTAAGCAGATTCCAATCCTTAGTGGGTATTGCATGCTTTTTGCTTCCTGTTTCCCTCAAAGTTGAGATATTTAAGCACCTAATTCCTTCCCATTGGGTCTCATTGCCTTTTAACTTTTGGTCCTGTTGAGAGGCCATTCTAAGCCCTTGCCCTTCAAGCTAAGTGTGTGTCTGGAAACTTAACCTTCTCTGGTGTTCTCTCTGGCCACGTTAGACTCGGGAAGAGGCTCTGTCGGGATTGGCCGGAAGCAGAAGGGAGGTCACTGGTGTTGTGGCTGCTCTGGAACAACTGGTGCTGATGGCTCCCTTGGCGAAGGAGTCTGTTTTTCAACCCAGGAAGGTTAGTGTGTTCCTGTTACTAAGTGGCTGCCGTTCCTCAAATGCTGTCATTGAGCTGGTAGGCATTACTGTGAGATCTAAACCTTCTCAAGAGAAGAGGGGACAATGAGTATTTTCTGTATGCTTGTTATTAGTTCTTTCCCCAGGGGTGTTAAATCAGTGAACACGACAGCTAAGATAAACATCTAGGGAGCTTGGCTCTTAGGTCTGCATTTGCCACATTGCTTTCGGAAAGCAGGAGATATCCTTTCTGTTGACTTAGAGTTTGCTGCAACAGGGTGTGCTGGAGTATCTGTCTGCCTTCGATGAAGAAACCACGGAAGTTTGTTCTCTGGACACTCCTTCTAGACCTCTTGCTCTCCCTCTGGTAGAAGAGGAGGAAGCAGTGTCTGAACCAGAGCCTGAGGGGTTGCCAGAGGCCTGTGATGACTTGGAGTTAGCAGATGACAATCTTAAAGAGGGGACCATTTGCACTGAGTCCAGCCAGCAGGAACCCATCACCAAGTCAGGCTTCACACGCCTCAGCAGCTCTCCTTGTTACTACTTTTACCAAGGTGAGGGTGCCGGAAGAGAGGGCTGGGTTGCCGCAGAGGTGTTTCAGAGGTGACCCGGTGCTCTAAGCAGAGGAGCGCCACTAGATCCTGTGGCTTGGGTGGCTTGAGCCCTTGGGCATGGGGAGGGGTGGGGAGCCTCCTGGGGACTGGCCAAGACTGGTGTGTGATAGAGCCCCTTGTCCTCAGCGGAAGATGGACAGCATATGTTCCTGCACCCTGTGAATGTGCGCTGCCTCGTGCGGGAGTACGGCAGCCTGGAGAGGAGCCCCGAGAAGATCTCAGCAACTGTGGTGGAGATTGCTGGCTACTCCATGTCTGAGGTGAGGCCTTCCTGTAGAAATGGAGGGTCAGGCAGCAGTATTAACCTAATCTCTTTGAGGTAGGCCTAGCCATCCTAAGTTCACAAACCTTCAAGGCCTTTAGTTTTTGTATTTTTAGTCTTTCTGTCAGTGATGGTGCTGTGAATTCTTTGTAAGTGAAGTGTCCCCTCAGCATGCCAGGGTTCTGTTAAATCAGTTAATGCTGTTCCCTGCTTCTCTGGTTCATTGATTGTAGTTTGGGGATATAGATATTTCTTTTATTTAAGATGGAGTTTATTTTTGTTTCTTATCCTCCTTATTGCTTGGGAGAAATGTCACAAATTTGTTGTAAGATTTAAAATTAGACTCTTTGAGTACTATAAATTTTTCATCAAACATATGCAGAAAAAGAATAGAAATGAAAATAAATGGGCTGGATGTGGTAGCTCACACCTGTAATCCCAGCACTTTTGGGAGGCCTACTCAGGCAGATTGCTTGAGGCTAGGAGTTTCAGACCAGCCAGGGCATTTCTACAAAAAATACAAAAAAAAATTAGCTGGGTATGATGATGTGCACCTGTTGTCCCAGCTCCTCAGGAGGCTGAGGCAGAAGGATCACCTGAGCTGGGGAGATCAAGTCTGCAGTGAGCTGGCCTGGGCGGCAGAGCAAGACCATGTCTCAGAAAAAAAAAATTGGGCTTCATTTTCTACTATTTCAGGCCAAGTGTCTTTCAATAGGGAGATCTGCTTTATCTTCCTTCCCAGTTATTTATTCTGTCAGTGGTTCCCAGGTTTTTTTCTGTTCTGTTTTTCTGCCAACAAATAACTTTATCTTCTCTGTTCGTCCCCCTCAGCTGTGGGGCCTTGAAAAAATCAGAAACAGCTGATGGGCTTTAGATTATTTGTTGCTGGACTCAGTTCACTCCTTTGCAGTACAAACCAAAAATAACTGGATTTGGTTGCTTATTCCACCTTGCTGTAGGTTGACAGTTTCTCTTTGGCTTTTCAAAATGAGGATAATTGAGCACTACTGTTTCCAGCCCCAGTGCTGGCTGTGTTATGTATATATTGTTGGATATCGGGGTTAGGACCCCCTGCTTTCAGAGTTAGGCTTGCTTTTGTTGAGTATTGGTCCTTTTTCCAATGTAGGATGTTCGACAGCGTCACAGATATCTCTCTCACTTGCCACTCACCTGTGAGTTCAGCATCTGTGAACTGGCTTTGCAACCTCCTGTGGTCTCTAAGGAAACCCTAGAGATGTTCTCAGGTGAGAATGCCCCTGCTCTGCTTCTCTTTATAGTAGGGTTCAGGGATTCTTGTGGCTAGACACCCAGTGGGGGAGGAAACTTATGGAACTGTATCATGAGTCTTAGTACCTCCTAAACACTTCATCTGTTCATCTAGTCCAGCTGGGCCTACTGTTGTGGGTTTAGCTGCTAATACTGGGAGGAGGTAATGACCATGTTGTCCTGGGTCTACCTCTTTACAACCTGACCAATCTGCAGATGACATTGAGAAGAGGAAACGTCAGCGCCAAAAGAAGGCTCGGGAGGAACGCCGCCGAGAGCGCAGGATTGAGATAGAGGAGAACAAGAAACAGGGCAAGTGTAAGTTCAGGAACTTTCATCTTTGACTAGCACTGCTGTACGTCGTTGTATAGAACTCTGTGTCTGGGACCTGGGAGCCAGACCTTAGCCACTTGTTTTCTTCAACTTTTAAATGTGAATCATGAGAGCACCTCCTTAATAGGCTTGCTTGCAAATATAATGAGTTAATATGGGTCAAAGTGCCTAGCACATAGTAAGGATTAAGAGGAAATTCAGCCTTGGTAATAGTGGGTGATATACACCTGTTCCAGAGATGGGAATTGGGGCTTCGCTAAGAATGCTGGGGGCCATCGTTCCCCATGCTCTCTGGATCACTGACCTTACCTCTGACTCTTTATTAAAGGGACCAGCTATACACAGCAAGTCTGCCAGGTGGGTCTGATAAGATGGAAATTTTGATAGACTAGGAAATGCAGGAAGTTGGATTTAAGAGATCTTTCGTAGCAGTAAGCACAGCCTTTTGATCTGGTTCTCCAAAATAAGTTTCATTGAATCCAGGGGATTAGTGTGACCTGAGGTCCCATTATCCACTAGAACACAAGGAACTGAGTCCTTGGCCCAGAAAAGGACTTCGGTGTTTTGACTCCATATGGCATGGAAACATACATTTTATATCTCAAGTGGGACAAGTGTATACTTGGGGTCCCAACACCGTGTAGGTGTTTGGCACATGTCCTGAACTTTGAGAAAACTGATATTTCAGGAATAGGATTTTTTGTTTTCACCTTTTTATTATGGAAATATCAAGACAAGTAGAACAATGTAATTAACCTGCATGTTTGTTACCCAGCCTCAATTATGAATAGTTAGAACAAGGTTAACTATATTAAAGACATTATAGAAGGACAGTTATTGTAAATTTGGGTTTTAGCTTTTGTCTGCATCCTCTAGACCTTTGGGGGTACGCATGTGTGATGTCCTCAACTGTTGGAAACTATTTGAAAAATTCAGGCCAGGTGTGGTGGCTCACGTCTATAATCCCAACACTTTGGGAGGCCAAGGTGGGCAGATCACTTGAGCTCAGGAGTTCAAGACCAGGCTGGACAACATGGTGAAACCTCATCTCTTTAAAAATTCAAAAAATTAGCTAGGTGTGGTGGCACGTGCCTGTGGTCCCGGCTACTCGGGAGGCTGAGGTGGGAGGATCGCTTGAGCCTGGGAGGCAGAGGATGCAGTGAACAGAGATCGTACCACTACACTCCAGCCTGGGTGACAGAGTGAGACCCCATCTCAAAAAAAAAAAAAAAAAATTGAATTCTGTAAATGGGTTTACAAGGGTTATCTTTCCTTTGCAGACCCAGAAGTCCACATTCCCCTCGAGAATCTACAGCAGTTTCCTGCCTTCAATTCTTATACCTGCTCCTCTGATTCTGCTTTGGGTCCCACCAGCACCGAGGGCCATGGGGCCCTCTCCATTTCTCCTCTCAGCAGAAGTCCAGGTTCCCATGCAGGTAAACAGGTGAAATTTAATGAATTCACCCATCAGTTAGACCTTATGCAAAGCTTTGGTGTCTGAGTTTACAACCCCGGCCCACTCAGCATGGTGTGGACTTCAGGGGCATAACCTTACTTTGGTAGTCCTGAGGTACATCAAATTCTTTTATTCATCTTTCCCACTTGCTATACTGACTGCTTTACCCTGCCAGCTTCTAAGCACCTCAAGGAGCTCTTTAGGCAGGATAGTTGAAAATGGAGTCTTCCCTTTGACCCACCTATTTTTGTTTCTAGTTTTTGTTTGAGATACTCCCCTGTATGCCTAAACATCTTTGTACATGTCTCTTTATTGTAGCATCGTTTTAATAGCTCAAAAAAAAAAAACAGTTTAGAAAGCCTACCAATAAGAAAATGACTAAATTATAGTATTTATACTGTAAAATGTTTCACACCAGAAGGCCGGGCGTGGTGGCTTATGCCTGTAATCCCAGCACTTTGGGAGGCCAAGGCGGGTGGATCACGAGGTCAGGAATTCAAGACCAGCCTGACCAACACAGTGAAACCCTATCTCTACTGAAAATACAAAAATTAGCAGGGCATGGTGGCAGGCGCCTGTAGTCCCAGCTACTTGGGAGGCTGAGGCAACAGAATTGCTTGAACCTGGGAGGCGGAGGTCTCAGTGAGACAAGGTTGCGTCACTGCATTCCAGCCTGGGCGACAGAGCGAGACTTTGTCTCAAAAAAAAAAAAAAAAAATCACACCTGTTAAAGAAGGGAATGTAATTCTTCTATTCACGTACTAATGGGAAGATAAAAGTAATTTGTAGAACAAGAATAAATGTTCGTGGGTTTTAAAAAAACACCACCACCACCACAAAACTAAAGCATTTCATTATGGGTGTGTGTGTGTGTGTGTGTGTATGTATATATATATATGTAAATGTATAGAAAAACTTCTGTTAGAAGGCAGGGGAGGAAATAAAAAAATATTAAATGTATAGAAAAGAATTGAAGGCCAGGCACGGTGGCTCACACCTGTAATCTCAGCACTTTGGGAGGCCAAGGTGGGCAGATTCCCTTGAGCTCAGGAGTTCAAGACCAACCAAATTTTGTCTCTACAAAAAATACGAAATTTAGCCAGGTGTGGTAGTGTGTACCTGTAGTCCCAGCTACTTGGGAGGCTGAGGTGGGGAGATGGCTTGAGCCTAGGAGGCAAAGGTTGCAGTGAGCCCAGATTGGGCCACTGCACTCTAGCCTGGGCAACACAGCCAGACCCTCTCAAAAAAAAAAAGAAAAATACTGAGACAGATGTGTTCCAAATTGGTAGTAGTGTTACATTCTAAGGAATGAGACTGGATTGAAATGTTCAAATGGGCCTTTAGCCTTCAAAAAGTTTGTCTTATATATAAAGAATGTTTAAAGTGTTATGAAATTAAACATTTATTAAAGAGTTACTATAATTTCAGAGAACTATCTTTTGTGATCTTCATCTGCCTGGCACATGGTTTATTAATTTCTTTTTTTTTTTTTTGAGATGGAGTCTAGCTCTGTCACCCAGGCTGGAGTGCACTGGTGCAATCTCAGCTAACTGCAACCTCTGCCTCCCGGGTTCAAGCGATTCTTCTGCCTCAGCCTCATGAGTAGCTGGGATTACAGGTGTGCGTCACCATGCCTGGCTAATTTTTGTATTTTTAATAGAGACAGGGTCTCTCCATGTTGGCCAGGCTGGTCTCGAACTCCTGGCCTCAAGTGTTCTGTCTGCCTCAACCTCCCAAAGTGCTGGGATTGCAGGTGGGAGCTACTGTGCCCAGCCTGTTTGTTTTTAAGAGATAGGGTCTTGCTCAGTGCTGTGATGCATTCATTAGCTCACTGCAGTCTTGAACTCCTGGGCTCAAGTGATCCTCCTGCCTGAGCCTCCCAGAGTGCTGGGATTCCAGGTGTGAGCCACTGTACCTGGCCAAGAAAGATACTTTTTGATGCTTACGTCTGATTTCTCAGGCATTCTTGTTTTGTTTTGTTTTGTTTTAGATGGAGTTTCGCTCTTGTTGCCCAGGCTGGAGTGCAATAGTGCAATCTCAGCTTACTGCAACCTCTGCCTCCTGGGTTCAAGCGATTCTCCTGCCTCAGCCTCCAAGTAGTTTGGATTACAGGCATATGCCACCATGCCTGGCTAATTTTGTATTTTTAGTAGAGACAGGGTTTCTCCATGTTGGTCAGGCTAGTCTCAAACTCCTGACCTCAGGTGATCCGCCAGCTGACCTCAGGTAATCCACCTGCCTTGGCCTCCCAAAGTCCTGGGATTACAGGCATGAGCCACTGTGCCTGGCCTCTGTCGGGCATTCTTAACAAAGTGTCCATCATTGGAATATTTAAAACTTGTGGTGACCATTTTGTTCATATGCATATCATTTTGCAGATTAGGAACCTGTGGCTGAGGCAGGTACTTAGTGGCAAGAACTGGGATTAGAACCTGGTTCTTGAGGACTGCACTACTGTGACGCTCTTCTGCTTAACTGAAAAAGGAGCATACGAAGGACTGTGGCAGATCATTAAATACATTATTTGTGATATGCATCTTTTTTTTTTTGAGACAGGGTCTCGCTCTGTCGCCCAAACTGGAGTGCAGTGGCACAAGGCACAATCTCGGCTCACTGCAACCTCTGCGTCCCAGGTTGAAGCAATTCTTGTGCCTCAGCCTCCCGAGTAGCTGGGATTACAGGCAGCACCACCATACCCTGCTAATTTTTGTATTTTTAGTAGAGATGGGGTTTCGCCATGTTGGCCAGGTTGGTCTCAAACTCATGGCTTCAAGTGATCCGCCTGCCTCGGCCTCCCAGTGTGCTGGGATTATAGGCCTGAGCCACTGTGCCCAGCCTATCTGTGATACCGAGATTGTGTTTTCACATACTGTCTTTTCTGAAAGCTGCTTTTTGTTTTGTTTTGTTTTGGATGGAGTCTGTCTCTCTGTCGCCCGGGCTGGAGTGCAGTGGTGCGATTTTGGCTCACTGCAACTTCCCCCTCGCGGGTTCAAGCGATTCTCCTGCCCCAGCCTCCTGAGTAGCTGTGTAGCGTGCCACCATGCCTGGCTAATTTTTTGTATTTTTAGTAGAGATGGGGTTTCACCGTGTTAGCCAGGATGGTCTCGATCTCCTGAGCTTGTGATCTGCCTGCCTCAGCCTCCCAAAGTGCTGGGATTACAGGCGTGAGCCACCACACCCAGCCTTTTTTTTTTTTTTTTTTTTAAGATGGAGTTTTGCTCTATCACCCAGGCTGGAGCACAATGGCACGATCTCGGTTCACTGCAGCCTCCACTTCCCAGGTTCAAGTGATTGTCCTGCCTCAGCCTCCCAAGTAGCTGGGATTACAGGTGCCCGCCACCATGCCCAGCTAATTTTGTATTTTTAGTAGGGATGGGGTTTTGCCATGTTGGCCAGCCTGGTCTTGAACTCCTGACCTCAGGTGATCCACCCACCTCAGCCTCCCAAAGTGCTGGGATTACAGCGGGAGCCACCGCACCCGGCTTTTCTGAAAGTTTAAGCTTTTAATGTATTTAAGCAAGAGCAATTGGTTGGTCCTAGTAATAAGAGTACTGACCATGTGAGGGCCTGCTGCTGGGGGAGAGAATAGGGCCCCTCTCGTCCAACACTGTTCAGGGCAGTGGATAGACTCATCTGTGGGAAGTGTTCAGCTCTAGTCAGAATGGATAGAGAAGTGTATTACCTAGGGAGTATTGGGGAAAAGTTTGCATCCTTGTGCTGGATCTTGTTGATGTGTCTTGGATTCTAATTGGATACTCCCAGGTCATAGTGTCTACTATCGGGAATGTAAAAGCTGAGCTGATTAAATTTTATCTTTTTCTTGGAGCTATTTCATCCTTGTAAAACCAGTCCCTGACAGTACCTATCCTTGAGAGCCAGCCTTTGTGGAAAGTATAGCATTTCAAAAGCAAAGACTTTTCTTACAGTTGGAGTAGATTCTACCATGACTTCTAGAGTTACTGTAACGATGAAGCTCTTCCCTCTTCCTGTACCGGTCGCTGATTTCACTGGTGATATTGTTGGCTTTTTAAGAACATGGAAGAGTTGAAAGTTGGATCAATGTTTGCTTTTTTTTTTTTGAGGGGATGATTTGTAATTTTCCAGACCTGACTCAGGGCTCACTCATCTCTCTTGTTAAGGACACCCCTTGGAACGTGACGAATATAATCAGGTCTCTGGTTCCCTTTCAGACTTTCTGCTGACCCCTCTGTCACCCACTGCCAGTCAGGGCAGTCCCTCATTCTGCGTTGGGAGTCTGGAAGAAGACTCTCCCTTCCCTTCCTTTGCCCAGGTAAATCCTTTGCTTGTGAAGCAGCCCAGGGGTATTTAACATGAACTCTGCTGCTCATTATTATGGGAACCTCCTCCAGGGATTGTTACCTCTCATTCTAATACGGCTGGACAAATTGAGTCATCTGATGGGTAGGAGGGAAGTTAACTGCCTGTCGGAGCTTTATGCAGCATGGAGTTGGTTGAGGGCAGATTATGTCATGGACGTCCGCTCTGTTGGAAAAGGAGAGACTTAACAGGCTAATGTTGCACTGACTCTAATAATCATGGGAGGCATTCTTAAGAGGAAAGCTCATGGATTTAGTCCTCAGATGTTACTGTAGACGTACCCAGGAAAGAGGCCAAGAATAGCTGAGGCAGAATCAGAGTTTAGAATATTTTAAAAATCATTTGATAACTTGTGTACTGGATACTATTGTAGGGGCTGGGGATACAGCATCAGTTTTAACTGGTCTCTGGTTCTAGGACCTCTGATTCAGGTGGTATTTATCTGTTACATAAAATGAGCCATTTCTCTTCACTTTGAGAGGGGAAGATTGTCTTGGTTATACTGCACCTAGCCAAAGCAGCTTCCTTGGAGCTGGGTGGGGGAACGATAGGCTAGTGAGGCTTGCTGTGAAACCACTTTGTTAATCTCTAAGATAACAAGCTAATACTCAGCATTCCTGCATTCAGATAAGTGAGGAAGATGGATGGACAGCTTGACATGTGCCCTTGTAAGAAGTCCGTATAAACTTCTTTGAGGCTAGTGCAGAATCATTATCTTGACAGTTTTTTTTTTTTTTTCCTCTTCTCCAAGACGGAGTCTCCCTGTCCCCCAGGCTGGAGTTCCGTGGCGCGATCTTGGCTTGCTGTAAGCTCCGCCTCCCGGGTTCACGCCATTCTCCTGCCTCAGCCTCCCGAGTAGCTGGGACTATAGGCGCCTGCCACCACGCCCGGCTAATTTTTTGTATTTTTAGTAGAGACAGGGTTTCACCGTATTAGCCAGTAGGGTCTCAATCTCCTGACCTCGTGATCCGCCTGCCTCAGCCTCCCAAAGAGCTGGGATTACAGGCATGAGCCACCATGCCCGGCCATTGACAGTTCTTTAGAGCAGTTGATACGGATCTTTCTTATGTAATTACAGCAGTTTGTACTGAGAAATAAGCAAGAATTGAGCTTTGGTAAGGAGGGTTCCGAAGTCAAGGAACATGAAATAATTGTGGAGGTGAGGTGAGAAGAGAGGGGGATCCTGAAAATTAACTGCTGGACTTAGAGATGATTAACAAGTGGCTCCCAGGAGTTATGCCAAATACTTGTTTTGTTTTGTTTTGTTTTGTTTTGAGTTGAAGTCTTGCTCCTGTCCCCAAGGCTGGAGTGCAATGGCGTGATCTCGGCTCACTGCAACCACCGCCTCCCGGGTTCAAGCAATTCTCCTGCCTCAGCCTCCCGGGTAGCTGGGGTTGGGTTACAGGCGCCTACCACCATGCCCGGCTAATTTTTGTATTTTTAGTAGAGACAGGGTTTTACCATGTTGGCCAGGCTGGTCTAGAACTCTTGACCTCAGGCGATCCACCTGCCTCAGCCTCCCAAAGTGCTGGGATTACAGACATGAACCACTGCGCCTGGCCTTTTTTTTTTTTTTTTTTTTTAAACTAGGCTTTATTGCTATTGCTTTTTTCCTTTGAACTTTATTTTGAAATACAGAGTTGAAAGAATAGTATTATGAACACTTAAACTTTTGACCTAGATTCACTAATTGTTACTATTTTGCTGTTATATATTTGCTTTCTCTTTTTTCTGTGTTGAAAAGAAGTTGCAGATATCCTGAATGATACTTTACCGCTAAGTACTTAGGAGATACATGCCAAAGAAAGTGGGATATTCGCCTATAGAACCACAGTGATCACATTAGAGAAATTCCACTGCCACAGTAATATCTAATATGGTGCATATTTATATCTCCACATTTGTCTCAGCGTCCTTCATTTTCAACTCAGGGCAGAATCCTGTTACTCCCTGCATTTAGTTGTCAAGTCTCTTTAGTCTCCTTTGATCTATAACCGTTCCTTTGCCCATATCCCCTTTTTTTTCCCTTCCATGGCCAGTTGTTTTATAGAATATCCTACAGTTTGGACTTGTTTGATTTCTCATGAATGGATTCAGGTTACATTTAAACATTTTGGTAAGAATAAGACATAGGTGACATTTTGATTACCTTTTAAGAGTAAAACAATTCACATGTCAAACTATTTGGATACTGTCTCAGTCCATTTGTGTGGGTATAAAAGATTACCCGACGCCGAGTCATTTATCAAAAAAAAAAAAAAAGTTTATTTGGCTCATGACTCTGCTGGCTGGAGGACTGGGCATCTGGTGAGTGCCTCAGGCTGCTTCCACTCATGGTACACGAAGTGAAGGGGTCCCTGCTTGTGAAGAGATCACATGGCTAAAGAGGAAGCAAGGAGGGGAGGAGGTGCCAGGCCGTTTTAAACAACCGTGTTCCTGTGCCCAGTTTCAAAATAGCCTTCAGCCAAGCTATTGAAGCAGCCTTTGTGAAACTGGACACACCAGCTACTTCAGATCCCTTCTGTGGTAAGGGCAGAGGCTGGAGTGCCCAGGGTTGTCAAACACACATGTACTGCCATTCCCACTGGGATCCAGTGGCAGACATCACTCATCAGCTCTTTCAGGAATGAATGCGAGAATAGGTCTCCCATCCCCCAGGGAGGGCATTAATCTGTTCATGAGGGGTCCACCCCCATGACCCATACATCTCCCATTAGGTCCCCACTTCCAGCATTGGGGATCAGATTTTAACATGAGGCTTGGGAGGGTCAAATGTCTAAACCGTAGGAGACCCAAACTCCTAGAGACAAAGGGAGAAGTTCACCAAAGTGGAACATAATGAAGAAAGGTTATTTAATGAAATCGGCATCTGCCAACACAAACTCATCTTGAGTAATAGGCATTCCTCACTTTGGAATATATGATTTAAGGACAAGGCATCCCTGCTTGAACCCCATGGGGTTTGTCTCTTGATATTTTTCCAGGAATAAAATGTTCTCTGCCTTTTAAGTGGCATATTTGCAGTTGGGGCTCATAGTGGCCTTCAGCAGTTACAAAGCTGGCCTTGGCCAAGTGGAATGAAAATTCCTCAGGGGCATGAGGATTGTTCTGATTTTATTGTCCTTGCAGGAATTTTACTGGCCTGTGGTTGGATCTGAAAGTTAATGATGAAGGAGCTATTGGAAAAGCAGACTAAAAGGTAGTGAGGGGCTGTTGAAGCGGTGTCAGGAGAGAGTTTAGTTAGTTTTCATGGCTTTAGGTAACTGAAGTTTAGTAGCCATGTGGTTTAAAACTGGAGGGTACTTGGCTGGGCACGGTGTCTCATGCCTGTAATCCCAGCACTTTGGGAGGCCAAGGCGGGCAGATCACCTGAGGTCAGGAGTTCGAGACCAGCCTGACCAACATGGAGAAACCCCGTCTTTACTAAAAATACAAAAATTAGCCGGGCGTGGTGGTGCATGCCTATAATCCCAGCTACTCAGGAGGATGAGGCAGGAGAATCACTTGAAGCTGGGAGGCAGAGGTTGCGGTAAGCCAAGATTTGCGCCATTGCACTCCAGCCTGGGCAACAAGAGCGAAACTCCATCTCGAACAAAACAAAAAAAACTGGAGGGTACTAGGCCGGGCACAGTGGCTCACGCCTATAATCCCAGCACTTTGGGAGGCCAAGGTGAGGGATTAACTGAGGTCAAGAGTTCAGGACCAGCCTGGCCAACATGGTGAAACCCCGTCTCTACTAAAAAAAAAAAAATCCAAAAATTAGCCAGGCGGGTGCCTGTAATCCCAGCTACTTGGGAGGCTGAGACAGAATTGCTTGAACCTGGGAGGCACAGGTCACAGTGAGCCAATATTGTGCCATTGCACGCCAGCCTGGGCAACAAGAGCTAAACTGTCTAAAAAACAAAAACTGGAGGGTACTACTCACTGCTTCCTCCGACAGCTCGATGTTTTTAGGGGTCCCAGGAAGGGCAGAAAAACTTAACCAGAAAGTCGGAATTCCCAATTTGAGGGTCTCAGTAAGAATCTCTTGTGCCTTCTGTGCAGTGTTCTTTACCCATTTCCTAAGGAACAAACAGCTTATGGTTTACTACCTTGTGGGTTTCATTGCCATTTCCATTAGCCAGGATATAGAGGACATGACTAGAACAGTGTGTTAAGGAGAGAAGTACCTGGAAAATCTTTTCAAAGGTGATAGTTGGTTCTGTGCCTCTCCAGTTAGTCAAGGTAGGTCTGAAAAAGAAGTTGGACCAGCTACTTAAATTCTCTCCCCCACTTCTTTCCCACTTTGGCAGATGCTGAGGGTTGGAAAAGCAAAAGCAGATGTGTGGCCCAAAACTGCTCCAAAGAAAGGTGAGGATGGTCCACTGGTGAAGGGGGAGTTTGGCTTCTTTCCATAAAAGGCTGTTTCTAGAAAAAGAGTTGTTTCTATAGTTTTAACACTGGTATTTTTTAGATGAGAACAGCTTAGTTCCTCCTGCCCCTGTGGACAGCGACGGGGAGAGTGATAATTCAGACCGTGTTCCTGTGCCCAGTTTTCAAAATTCCTTCAGCCAAGCTATTGAAGCAGCCTTCATGAAACTGGACACACCAGCTACTTCAGATCCCCTCTCTGGTAAGGGCAGAGGCTGGAGTGCCCAGGGTTGTCAAACATACTACACATGTACTGCCATTCCCGCCTGGATTCAGTGGCAGACATCACTAATTAGGCTCTTTCCCTTCTGAACCCTTCAGCACACTCTAGTGTCATTTAAATAATACTCCATTTGGTATGTCAGATAGGACCTATTTGCCACCCCAGAGAAATTGATGACGCCTGAAAGTGAAATTCTGAGGAACTCTTCCAAGATACAGTGGGGTGTACAACCTGTATCCTTTAGAATCTTGAGTTGGTACAGGGTGGCTAATTAGATGGAGAAGTCAGTCTCGAAGCCTGTTGCACTCTGTTCATGACTAGACAAGAATCACATATGTATGGCGTGCTATGTGCCTAGCACTGTGCTAATTCTCCCAACAACCACGTTAAATGGGTGTACCTCACGTTACAGATGGGGAAACTGAGGTCCAGGGAGGTAAAAGTGATTTGCCCAAAGACACCCACTTGGTGTATACCAAGACTGGTATTGGCATCTAGGCAGTCTAATTCCAGAGCCTCCACTCTTAGCTCCCACTCTGTGACTCTCAGTAATGAAAACTGGCCAGGGGACAAGGGATGGCATTTTAAGTTAAGCTGTCTTTCTGTGTCTCCCTTTAGAAGAGAAAGGAGGAAAGAAAAGAAAAAAACAGAAACAGAAGCTCCTGTTCAGCACCTCAGTCGTCCACACCAAGTGACACTACTGGCCCAGGCTACCTTCTCCATCTGGTTTTTGTTTTTGTTTTTTTTTCCCCCATGCTTTTGTTTGGCTGCTGTAATTTTTAAGTATTTGAGTTTGAACAGATTAGCTCTGGGGGGAGGGGGTTTCCACAATGTGAGGGGGAACCAAGAAAATTTTAAATACAGTGTATTTTCCAGCTTCCTGTCTTTACACCAAAATAAAGTATTGACACAAGAGATCTCTTCCTGCCAAGGTTTTTAGTTCATTGCCAGTTTAGTCTTTTTGACCCATGTGTAATTAATTTTTCTCAACCCAAAGTAAGATTGAGTCCCCTTTGAGATGCATTAGAGCAGTCCAACCCAGAATGGCACACACTGCTCTGCTGTAGCATCATGTCAGGGCTTCCTGGACTCAGTACACCTCTCAGTTTGTCTTTTAAAAAACAGCTGAATCTTTACTACCTATTTAGTTCTCCTTGTTAAAGAAACAGGGGTGGGAATAAAATGGATTTAGGACACCCAGTTTGAATTGCAGTTTTTTTTTTTCTGACACATGGCCAGGCTGTGGTGCCAGCTTAATGGAGTAGGCTGTCCTTGGCACTTGCATGTGTGAAAGGAGGGTTTTGCCTCTTCTTGAGCATGGCTTGAGTTGGTAAGGAAAGCTGTAACTCACGAAGCCCTGAGACCTGCTACCCCTAAGATCGAGCTTGTTTTCAGTGACTGGCTTGAGTCATAGGAGGAGGAGTCTGGTACAGCTGCAGGAGAGCAGGGCCATCTGAAGCGGTAGCATTGCCACCATCTCCCTCTCATCTAGAGCAGTTTTCTTATGCCTTGGTTTGAGCTGAATTTGATGTGAATTCTTTTGCTGCTTAATAAAGTGACCTCTAGGTGCATTAGAATGCGAAGGCAAATAGTTGCAATAAATCACCTGCACAAGCATTGTGAGCTTTTTGTTTTTTTAAGTTCATTACAGGTAAGCTAGACAAGTTATTTCTTGAATAGGTTAACGTGACAGCTACTATGATATTGTAGGCTGTCTTTTCTGGTGTCAGGTTTAAATGGTTCTAGAGCTGGGCTTAGCTTTAACCTGCCATTTTAAAAGAAATCCTATCAGGAAATTTCCTGGATGGATGAGGGTGTTCTGGCCTCCAGATGAGGGGGCATGTTGAAGCCAGAATCACCAGTGTTTCTGTTAAATGTGTATGGTACTTTCAGTCTCATCCATTGTATTATGGAGAAAACAGATCCCAGAAATGTCAGTAGGTAGCAGATCAAACCTGGATCACAAGTCTCCCGCCATTCCTACTTCCTGTGAGTATGGCAGTCTGACTTGTCTTCAGGGCGCCTTGTATTCAGGCGCAATAAGAGCGGAACTACAAAAACTACCTTAAGTTCCTTAAGTGGACAGCTGCTACATGACCATGCAGTAATGATGTCAGATGAGGCCAGCACCCGCGCCCCCCCCAACTGCAAAGGTTGCATTTTTTGTTTGAGACAGAGTCTCGCTCTAGCCCAGGCTGCAGTACAGTAGTGGGATCTCAGCTCACTGCAAGCTCTGCCTCCCGGGTTCACGCCATTCTCCTGCCTCAGCCTCCTGAGTACCTGAGATTACAGGCACCCACCACCATGCCCAGCTAATTTTTTGTATTTTTAGTGGAGACAGGGTTTCACTGCGTTAGACGGGATGGTCTTGATCTCCTGACCTTGTGATCTGGCCGCCTCAGCCTCCCAAAGTGCTGGGATTACAGGTGTGAGCCACTGCGCCCGGCCCAAAGTTGTATTTTTTAAGTTACCTGATTAACTATTGGCAAGGAATCTGGTATCTGTAAGACCCTGTGGTTCAGTACTGAGATGGGCTGTAGATCTCTGCCAGTTCAGTTGCTGTGTCTCAACTAATATTTCTATTCCAAATGACTTGGCTTGCTTAGGGCCCATCATGGGGCCGGGGGTACAAAGCTTCAGGTAGAAGGCTAAGTATTGAAAATTTAGGCCAGGCACAGTGGCTCACCCTTTAATCCCAGCACTTTTGGAGGCCAAGGTAGGCCGATCACTTGAGGCCAGGAGTTCAACAGCAGCCTGGCCAACATGGCAAAACCCCGTCTCTACTAAAAATACAAAAATTAGCCAGACGTGGTGGTGCACGTCTGTAATCCCAGTTACTTGGAAGGCTGAGGTGGGAGAATTGCTTGAACCCAGGAGGCGGAGGTTGCAGTGAGCCGATACTGGGCCACTACACTCCAGCCTGGGTGATAGACTGAGACTGTCTCAAAAAAAAAAGTTTAACTAGTACCACATAGGGAGTCAGTCTTCCCACCAAGGCTAGGGATAGAGAGAGAACAGAGACTTGGCCAAGCATGGACTCCATAAGCCCTTTCTGTAATATAAGTATGCTAAATGCCACGGAAACCAGATACATTTATTAAATCTACTCTTAGCCAAGCAATAAAGATGTCTACAGAGTTCACAACCTGCAACACTTCACCAGGGAATGCTAGGTAAAGGCAACTTCAGTTTAACTGAGTACTCCATTTCAAGTGGGTAATGTCTGCTGGTTGGCAGCTATCCAGTTTGGAAAACTGTGGAAGATGCTGTTGCTACCCAGATTGTTCTGTTCAACAAGTGGGCCTGAAGCCTGAGCAGTGTAGCCAGCTGTGTGGGGAGCAGAGGTTCACTCCATTGCTTCTGCAGCCTCCTCACCTGACTCCTCCTCCTCCTCTAATAAGCAGCTTCTTGTCACAGACTTCTGGATAGCTTCCCGCTCTCCTGGAGAAGGCAGATAACAGGGATGAAAGATATCTTTGGGAGTGATTTCTTCAGCTTAAGGTCAGTCACTGCTCAGTGGGCACTGGGCTAGTGTTGCTTACCTTCATCAGTGCAGTTCTGCAACAAGATCAACAGCTGTCTCCTGTTGTACTGAATTAGGAACTTCTGACATGTTCTTATTGTACCTGGCATATGAGTTACTGTGGTCAACAGCTTGTGAAAGATCTCGACCTTACAGACTTTCAGAGGTAGGGGGAAGTGTCTTGTTAGCGGGACAGCAGCAAGACCCACCCACCAGTTTAGACTGAACTGTGAACGTGTCACCAATTGAAAATCAGTAGCCATACCACCTCACTCCTACCTCCCACATGTAATGTGTTGAAAAAGCATGGGTAACGGTGTCCTTTGTTCTCCAAGTATGTGATGAAGGGAAGAGCTGACCACACAAGCTGATAGAATTCTTTTCTGCATCGAAGTAGCACTATTCCAGTATAGGCATTGAGATATCGAACTACAACAGGAAAGAAAAATCATTTTGGAAAACTTTTGCTCTGTGTGGTGGCTCACGCCTGTAATCCCAGCACTTTGGGAGGCTGAGGCGGGCAGATCACTTTAAGTCAGGAGTTCGAGGCCAGCCTGGCCAACATGATGAAACCCCGTCTCTACTAAAAATACAAAAATTAGCTGGGTGTGGTGGTGCGCACCTGTAATTCCAGCCACTCAGGAGGCTGAGGCATGAGAATCGCCTGAACCCAGGAGGCAGAGGCAGCAATGACCCCCGATCTCGCTGCTGCACTCCAGCAGCCTGGGCAACAGCCAGACTGTCTCGAAAAAAGGAAAACTTTGGAGTAACAGAGCCTACTATGTGCCAAAAGTATGTTGTAGGCAAGTGGCACGTAGATCTATCAGCGAGTAAAAGAGAAAAGCCAAAACACCCACTGTGTTGCACACCACTCAGAACTGGTGAATGAATTTAGAATTGAAAATGCTTTCTAATTCACTAGTTAATTCAATAAATAGGAGCAGGTAGGAGGCGATCCGTTTTAATTTAGGAAAAACCCCCACAAAACCCTTGCCTGAAAAACAGGCTGTTTTACTGCATTTGGGCTCCGTAATTATTGTAGCAGTCAGCTCTCAGTCTCACCTGACTTAGGAGAGTTAAGTCTATCTGCATTTAACTCTCCAGAAGTCAATCTCAAACAAGGTTAAAGTGGGAACTAATTTAAGTGGTGTGAAAGAAGGGCCCCTCTGTCCTAGCTCATCCTGTATTTACATATATTGACAATCATGTGTTCTGTACTTTACCAACTATTTAAGGGCTTTCCCGGAGTACTTTTGACAATTTTTTTCCATATGATGTTAATGTAATCGGTCATATAATAGCTCTTACTAGGAAGTATACACAGCTTCCCTCATTTAATTCTCTACCCTATCAAATTCAATCACAACCAATTACAGAAATTACCTGTCAAGCAGGTAAAAAGAGGCTTCTAGCTCAAAGCCCCACTGCCTTCGGGCCCCTCCTTTTAGCGCTCTGCTAATTTCGGACTCTCGCTTGGGGTCCCAGGCGCTTAAAGAGATACCTTACAAAAAACGGTGCACGGGCTTGGCCACTCGTGCCCCTTCTTTCTTCCTCCGGCGCCTGCCCCCTCCACATCCCGCCATCCTCCCGGGTTCCCCTCTTCCCCCAGCGCCCTTGCACCCGCGAAGCCGATGGAGCAGGCGGCTGCGCCGAAAGTTCCGTGCACCCTGGCGATCGTGTCCCGTACGAGGCTGCTCAGAACTCGGTCATCGAGGCTTAGGCGGCAGCGGGGGTCGTCAGACACCAGTTCGCAGAGCAGGTACCTGCGGCAGGCGAGAGGAAGGTGGACACTAGCGGGGCCGCGAGGACCCAGCAAGGCACTGGGAGGGTCTGGAAGGGAATGCTTACCTGTGCTTGAACCGCACCATGGCTGCCTCCGCGCTCTCCGGTCCGGCGTGCAAACCGGATGTGAATTCTGTCCGCTGCCAATGGGAAGCTTGCTTCCGCAGCCTTTCAGCCATTCAGAGAAGGAGACAGGATATTAGGGCGGAGCTAGAAAGTTGAGAGGCCGAAGTCTGTCAGCTCTCTCAAGCCCCGCCCAACTGCGTTTGTAAGCGCGCATGCGTCCTGCGGAGGGTCACTGACTAGTTTGAGGGCTGAACCCCGGGATGGAGCGCCTTGCAGCTGTAATGGATGGTTCTGTTGCACACTGAAGTTTACAATAGTGTGTAGGATGTAGCCGCTACCCTTGGGGCCCTGGGAACCTTGCACCACAGTTATGTATGCGAGTATATTCTCTCCCCAAGGTGAACGGTGGAGCTTTTGAGGGCAAGACCCTGCACCTCACAGCCCAGGCATTGACAAACGGGAAATCGGACTTTTATTTTCAGGTTTGAGCTCAGTTTAATTCTTCCATACAGCTAAATATGCTATTGCTGTTTGGGCCTTTCAGCAATCTTAGGGAGGCGAGTGTGCCGTCTCGTTTTTTGCTCGCAGAAACAATACGTGGTCATTGTATTTTCCATTTCCGTTTACCTTTTTTTTTTGACAGAAAAGCACAAAGAAGCAAATAAATTATAATCCCAGCACTGAGAGAGAATAACTGTTGTCGTGTAGTGTGTTTTCTTCTGTCATTTTCTCCCTGCGCCAGTGGTTCTCAAAGTGCCGTCTGGGGACCACTGAGATTTCCTAAATTCACTCGATTTGGGAGTCCCCGAAGTCAAAATTACTTTCATAATAATGCTAAGATGTTACTTGTCTTTTTCATTCTCTCTGAGTGAACAGTCAAGTTTTCCAGAGGCTGCTTGACGTGATGACGTCACTGCTCTAGGAATTGTGTATTGTTTTTTAAACGTTTCTCAACTTTAATGTCCATAGTAAATATAACCCACAAAACTAAAAGCTCTTGGGCACCCTCAGTAACGTGTGTAAAGGGGTCCTGAGACAGAGAAAACAGCTTGAGAACTATGCCCTCTGTTAAATTATGTTTTTTCTTTTATTTTTAAGTATTTTAAAAAAAATGTCTTATGGGGTATTACATAAAGTACATATTCTTAAGTGTATTCATCTCAATGAATTTTTACATATGGATAGACTTCTATAACCACCTCCAAGATTAAAATAAAGAGCATTTCCAGTATCCCAGAAGGTTCCCTGAGCCCTCTTCCAGTCAAATTGCTTACTGCTATCAGCCACTATTACCACTTCTACCCTGCTAGATTAATTTTGCCTGTTCTTAAACTTTATATAAATGCAGCCAGGAGGCTGGCTGCAACCTCTGCCTCCTGAGTTCAAGCGATTCTCCTGCCTCAGCCTCCCGAGTAGCTGGGATTACAGGCACCTGCCACCACGACCAGCTAATTTTTGTATTTATTTATTTAGTTTTTTGAGACGGAGTCTCACTCTGTTGCCCAAGCTGGAGCACGATCTCAGCTCACTGCAACCTCTGCCTCCTGGATTCAGGCGATTCTCCTGCCTCAGCCTCCCAAGTAGCTGGGACTACAGGTGTGTGCCACCACAACTGGCTAATTTTTGTATTTTTAGTAGGGACAGGGTTTCCCCATGTTGGCCAGGCTGGTCTTGAACTCCTGACCTCAGGTGATCCACCCACCTCGGCCTCCCAAAGTGCTGGGATTACAGGCGTGAGCTACCACGCCTGGCCATTTGGCTATATTTTCATGTCAGCTCTTCAGCGACAATACTGTTTTTTAGCTGTGCAGTATTGCATTGTTTGGACGTACCATTGTGAAGTTGGTCAGTATCCCTTTGGTAGACGTTTACATTATTTCTAGATTTTCTTGTTATACCCAATACTTTGATGCATGGCTTTGTAGCTTAGTCTTTATGCCCATCCCTGATTATTTGTAGAAGTGTCTTGGCCTTGGCTGGTCCTGTGAGGTCCGTAATGGGGGCAGCTTTCACAACCTATTTTTGCAAGATCTGGAATGAGTTCTGAATTTTCCCATCTCCCACTCTTCTTGGCCACCTTAAAGGAGGGATGTGGGGGAAGGTAGGGAAGAAAAGAATAGGAAGAGGGAACGCCGTGGCCCTGCCAAGGGACCAGTGACAGTGACGGCACTCCCCACCCAAGAACAACTTTTCACCAGAAAGTGTCTGCGACATCCTCCTTTGGCCAACAGGGGGCGCCAGAGGTCCGCAGTGCGCGGAGAGAGCAAGACACCCCCAACTCCTGAGCGCTCCACCCCTCATAGAAATTTCACTCCTCCCAGCCTTCATTTCAACAGCAATGCTTCGCCCATTTTATAGATGCAGTTGGGGCTCAGACCAAAGCCTCGTATCCAGTTAGGAGCAGGATCAGAATTCGAACCCAAAGCCAGCTGACTCCTTGTTCTGGTCAACACGGTTGGTGCTCTCCCGTGCAGGATTTCACTCGTCCATTTAGTGTAATAAGATGGAGAGACGACAGATGGAGGTTCGATTCGCTACTCCGTCATTTACTGGCCCGGCCAGGTGCTGTCAGGAGGGTTAATTCATGTCTCAGATCTTAGTTTCCTCATCTGTGCAATGGGATAACAATGGTTCCTCCCTCGTGGGTGGATATGAAGTTTAAGCGGGGTCATGTGGACAAAATGCCTGGCACAGCGAGTGCATAGTAAGCCCTTTTTTTGTTTTTGTTTTTTTTGTTTTGTTTGTTTTTTGAGACTGATTTTTAAGACTGTCTTAAAAACAAGAAAAGAAAAAAGAAAATATAGCCAAACAACAGGAATTTTTTGAGACAGTTTTTTGCTCTGTCGCCCAGGCTGGAGTGCAGTGACGCCATGTCGGCTCACTGCAGCCTCTGCCTCCCGGGTTCAAGCAATTCTCCTGCCTCAGCCTCCAGAGTAGCTGGGATTAAGGCGCCTGCCACGACGCCCGGCTAATTTTGTATTTTTAGTAGAGATTTCACCATGTTGGACAGGCTGGTCTCAAACTCCTGACTTCAAGTGATCCGCCCGCCTCGGCCTCCCAAAGTGTTGGGATTACAGGCGTGTGCCACCGCCCTCGGCAAGTAAACGCTGTTCTGAACAAATGATTTACTTTTCCCCCACAGGCACAGCCCCGGGAGGAAGCACATTGGCACGGCCCGCGGCCTCCCAGTCTTGGACCAGGCCCGGCCCCTTCTGGCCCAGGAGGGTGCAGACGCCGGCGGTGGCCGGGCGGGCGGGCTCCCCGCGGTAATTAGCGCGCGCCGGCTCGGGCTGCGCCAGCCGCTAATTATAAGTCTCCTAATGAGGCCGGCGGCTGTTTGCAATCACCCGGGTCCCCGCTGCGCGGCGCGGGAGGCTGCGGGGGAATCCGCCCGCGGAGGCATGGAGGAGGAGCGGCCGTCTTCCCCGGGGCCCGGAGATCCGCTGGACGGCGACGGGGTGTGCCCCGGCCGTGCCCGCCGCCGGAATGCCGGCCGCGAAGGGGCAGCGGCGGGGGCTCACACCCCAACCCCTCCTCGGTTCTCTCCCCAGCCGGGCCGCAGAGCCATTATCCTCCCCAGGTGAGGAAGCCGATGAGGCTCTGAGAGGTGAGCTCACCCAGGTGCGACATCACAACTCACCCAGGTGCACAATAGAGCCCAATCCACGTCTGTCTGACCCCAGCCTGTGCCCTTAGCCGAGTCAGGTATCCCCTGGATCAATGGGGTGGTCACTGTTGTCATTACTGTTAGCATTATTACAGTCGTCCTGGGACTTCTCAGATTCCTTTTTTTTTTTTTTTTTTTTTTTTTGAGATGGAGTCTCCCTCTGCCGCCTAGGCTGGAGTGCAGTGGCGCGATCTCAGCTCACTGCAACCTCTGCCTCCCGGGTTCAAGCGATTCTTCTGGCTCAGCCTCCCCAGTAGCTGGGACTACGGGCACGTGCCACCTCGCCTGGCTAATTTTTTATATTTTTAGTAGAGACAGGGTTTTACCGTGTTAGCCAGGATGCTCTCCATCTCCTGACCTCGTGATCCACCCACCTTGGCCTCCCAAAGTGCTAGGATTACAGGCGTGAGCCACCGCGACCGGCCTTTTTTTTTTTTTTTTCTGAGACAGGATCTCACTCTGTCCCACAGGCTTGAGGGCAGTAGCTCCATCTTGGCTCACCGCAACCTCTGCCTCCTAGGTTCAAGCGATTCTCCTGCCTCAGCCTCCTGAGTAGCTGGGACTACAGGTGCCCACCACTATACCTGGCTATTTTTTGTATTTTTAGCAGAGATGGGGTTTTGCCATGTTGGCCGGGCTGGTCTCGAACTCCTGGCCTCATGTGATCTGCCTGTCTGGGCCTCCCAAAGTGCTGGGATTACAGGTGTGAGCCACCGTGTCCAGCCGGGATCACTGTCTTTATTCTTCATCCGTGTCTCCTGGGTGATCATTAATTGGGCTCTCCCAGTGTGCTGGCCACTGTCTTTTCTGGGTTTGATTGATTGAGTCCTCACATCAGCCTCATGAAGTTAGGACCCATTATCCTCTGAGACACAGGGAGGAAAATGGCTTGCCCAAGTTGACACAGTAAATTTGGGTGGACATCTGTCTTACCCTAAAACCTGTGCTCTTAACCCCTTGCTCTCTACTCTGTATTCGGGGACCTAGAAAGATGCTGAGGAAGGAGAGCGCAACTGGGGTACCATTCTGAGGTGACTTTGGCATCCGAGGGGTTTCTGTCAGAGCCCAGATGCTGCTGTTGTGGATGGTGGCAAAGGGAAACTGTATCTGCTCCAGCATTTTATTAAGCAGCCACTGCTCGTAAGAGGCTCCTACTCCTCGAATCTTAACCAATTTTCTGTAAAACCCTTATGGGGACAATCTAGATGAAATTAAACCCTCCATCTGCTTAGCCAGGGGCTTGGGGAGCCGCCACATCCTCCAGGTTGCTGGGACAGATGCAGCCCTCCCTGGACTTCAGTCAAAACATTGCATCTTGCTCCTCCTTTGTCCTCGCTGCCCTGTGAACCTCTTTCCCTGTCCCCGCCTGCTGTGAGAATTCGCTCATCCAAAAATTAATTGAAATTACAAGGGCTCTACTGTTTGACCCAGCAATTTCTCCACCAGCAATTTCTCCCACAGAGATTGTCGCATTTGTGCCAAATGACAGGTGAATGAGGATGTGTCTTGCTTGCAGCATCGTTGGTTATAGCAAAAGGCCACCTCAGTGTTTACCAGAAGGGGTCCACTGTATGTGTGTATTTATCGGACAACTATGGGCCAGGGAATGTTCATTCTAAACACTGCCTAGGCTGGGCGCGGTGGCTCACGTCTGCAATCCCAGCACTTTGGGAGGCCGAGGTGGGCGGATCACTTGAGGTCAGGAGTTCGAGACCAGCCTGGCCAATATGGTGAAACCCCATCTCTACTAAAAATACAAAAAACTAGCTGGGCATGGTGGTAGTTGCCTGTAAATCCCAGCTACTCGGGAGGCTGAGGCAGGAGGATCGCTTGAACCCAGGAGGCAGAGGTTGCAGTGAGCTGAGACTGTGCCACTGCACTCCAGCCTGGGCAACAGAGCAAAACTCTGTCTCAAAAAATAAATAAATAAATAAACAAATAAACACTGCCTAGACTGACTCATTTAATCCTGACAACTACCCTATAAAGTAGGTACTTGGTTTTATTAACCCCATTTTACAGATGAGGAAACTGAGGCTCAGGGAGAACAAACTGTTGGCCTAAGCTTCACGTAGCTTGTCCACAGCAGGGCCAGAATTTGGATCAGGCAGTCCATGTTCTTAACCACTGTTCTATATGGCTTCTCTGCCTTTATTTGCATCGAAAATTTCCAAAGGGTGACCCAAGAAGCTGTTGATGGTGGTTACCTCTGGGGAGAGGAATTCAGGTGTGAAGTAGGAAGGCCTTAGTTTCTACCATGTCCTCTGTTTTTCCATTTTATTTTGCCATATGTTTGTGTGCTGAATGTTTATGTTCCCTCAAATTAATATACGGAAATCCTAACCTTTAAGATGATGGTATTAGGAGGTGGGGCCTTTGGGAGGTGATTAGGTCATAAGAGTTGAACCCTCATGAATAGTATTAGTGCCCTTATAAAAGGGACCCCAGGCTGGGGACTGTGGCCCATGCCTGTAATCCCAGTACTTCAGGAGGCTGAGGTGGGTGGATCACTTGATTCTAGGAGTTTAAGACCAGCCTGGGCAACATGGTGAAACCCCGCCTCTCCTAAAAATACAAAAATTAGCTGGGTATGGTGGTGCATGCCTGTAATCCCAGCTACTCAGGAGGCTGAGGCAGGAGAATCACTTGAGCTTGAGCCTGGGAGGCAGAGGTTGCAGTGAGCTGAGATCACACCGCTGCACTCCAGCCTGGGTGACAGAACAAGGTCCTGTCTCCAAAAAAAAAAAAAAAGAGGGACCCCAGAGAGTGCTCTCTCCCTCTCCTACCACATGAGGACACAGAATCTCCTGGCACCTTAATCTTGGACTTCCCAGCCTCCAGAACTGTGAGCAATAAAAGCAATAAATATTTGTTGTTTAAGCCAACCAGTCTGTGGTATTTTTACTGTAGCATCCTGAAAAGACAAATGGAGATGTGCATATGTTAGTTTCATAATTTAAAGAAGTTACTGGCCACGCATGGTGGCTCATGCCTATAATCCCAGCACTTTGAGAGGCTGAGGCAGGAGGATTGCTTGAGCCCAGGAGTTCAAGACCAGCCTGGGCAACAAAGTGAGACCCCGTCTCTACAAAAAAGTACAAATTAGCCAGGCATGGTGGCACTTGGCTGTAGTCCCAGCTACTTGGGAGTGTGAGGTGGGAGGATTGCTTGAGCCCAGGAGGTTGAGGCTGCAGTGAGCCATGAGTGCACCACTGCACTCCAGCCTGGGTGACAGAGCGAGGCTTTGTCTCAAAAAAAAAAAAAAAAGTAAAAAAAGTTACTGAGCCCCAGTCCCCAAGGTATGTTAACACCAGTCCTTACCTTAGCTGTGGAAGTGGGTACTATCATTATTCCCATCTCAGAGATGAGAGAGCTGAGCTCACAGAGGTAGTCTGCCTGGCCCAATTACAAAGAGGGATGGACTCTTCAAGCTAGTGGTTTTTCTCCTAATTCATATTAGCCCCTGGGCTTGGAGGGTTCAGAGGGGAGAAAAGTGATTAAAAGCATGAACTGGAGCCAGCTGACCTGGGTTCAAGTCTTCATTCAGCCATTACTGGCTGTGTGACCTTGGGCAAGTCACTTTCCCTCTCTGAACCTGTTTCCTTTCTGTGAGGATTAAACAGTTTACATTCATGTCACATGCTTAGAACAAGGCCTGTTTAATCATGAGCACTCAAGAAATGTCAGGTATTTTTTAAAAATATACATTAAAATGTAATAGAGACAGGGTCTCGCTATGTTGCCCAGGCTGGTCTCAAAGGCCTGGGCTCAAGCAATCCTGCCACCTTGGCTTCCCAAAGTGCTGGGATTACAGGCATGAGCCACTGCGGCTGGCCAGGTATTTTTATAGTACTGTTTTCAATATTGTCCCCAATTTCAAGCTCAGAGTGGTTCCTTCTCCCAGCTAGTGGGTCCAGTCCTCCCCCCAGGGGCAAAGCCCAGCCACCCTGTGCTCCCATCTCCAGCAGAAGCCCCTTGCAATCAGTTCTCCTGGGTTATCCCAGGGCGGTGGCTGTGATCAGAGCTGATCACATTGCCAGAGCTGATCTTAGGAGAAGAGGCAGAGCCACAGGACTGGTGTGGCCCGGAGCCAAGGCAAGGCTGTGGCGGGCGGGCGGCCTCCCAGTTCGGGATGTTCCCAGCGCGTTCCCACCGCTCACACTTGGAGGGAGAAGGACCTCAAAATAGCTGCTGCTTCCCCAGCACGGCGCTAGGCCAGGGACAGGAATAGACATCTGGGGGTGGCCGCTGCAGCCTCCCTCAAGGACCCTGGGGGGCTGGAAATAGGCAGAGGCCAGAACCCCACCAATGTGGAGGGGATGGTACAGCTGTCTATGTGCGGTGACCCGCCTGTGACAGTCCAGCCCATGGAGTGTGTTGCCCCAGCTGGGGCTAGCTGGTCAGTGGGTCACCAGCTGTAACCAGACACTGGCCATGGGCTGGATTGTTAAACCAAAAGGGAGTGTCCTTCAGCACTGGCTCCTGTGATCCTCTCTGGGAAGGTGGGAAAACTAAGGCCCAGAGAAAGGTTCACATGCCTGAGATCATGCAGCTGATCTGTTTGGTGAGCAGCAGCCAGACTGACAGGAAAGGTAGGCCTTGGGGCTTTGAGAGCAGCGTAGGGCGGTGGTTAAAGGGTTGGAGGACTCAGACTGCCTGGTTTAAATCCAGCCTCAGCTACCTATGTCCTGCATGCCCTCAGGCCTCAATTTCATCATCTATAAAATGGGCACAAGGAGAGTACCCACCTCCTTTAATGGTTGTAAAGACTGAGTGAATTATTCTTTGTACTGTTGTTATTGTGTTTTCCCCAGATTCCTTTTTTTGTTGAGACAGGGTCTTGCTCTGTCTTGCAGGCTTTGGTGCAGTGGCATGATCATAGCTCACTGCAACCTTGAACTCCTGGGGCTCAAGCGATCCTCCCATCTTGGCCTCCCATGTAGCTGGGACTATAGGTGCATGCCACCATGACTGGCTAATTTTTATTTCTACTTTTAGTAGAGATGAGGTCTCACTATGTTGCCCAGGCTGGTCTTGAACTCCTGTCCTCAAGTGATCTTCCTGCCTCAGCCTCCCAAAGTGTTGGGATTACAGGCGTGAGCCACGGTGCCCGGCCGTATTATGCTCAGTTTTATAGATGAGCAGAGCGAACATCAGAGAGGTGAAGTCACTCCTCCAGGGTCACATAACTGGGAGGTAACAGAGCTAGGATTTGAAACCCAGTCTGCCTGCCTGCATAGCCCATGGAAGTAACCACTGCATGACATTCTTTATCGGGACACTTTTTTAGACGGAGTCTCACACTGTCGCCCAGGCTGGAGTGGAGTGAGGCGATCCCTGCTCACTGCAACCTCCGCCTCCCGTGTTCAAGCGATTCTCCTGCCTCTGCCTCTCAAGTAGCTGGGATTACAGGCACATGCCACCATACCCGGCTAATTTTTTTGTATTTTTAGTAGAGATGGCGTTTCACCATGTTGGTCAGGCTGGTCTTGAACTCCTGACCTCATGATCTGCCCACCTCGGCCTCCCAAAGTGTTGGGATTACAGGTGTCAGCCACCGCGCCTGGCCGGGATACTTTTTTTTTTTTTTGTGAGTCAGAATCTCACTCTGTCACCCAGGATGGAGTGCGGTGGTGCAATCATGGCTCACTGCAGCCTTCACTTCCCTGGGCTCAGGTGATCCTCCCACCTCAGCCTCCCAAGTAGCTGGGACTACAGGCATGCACCACCATGCCTGGCTAATTTTTTTTTTTTTTTGTATTTTGTGTAGAGATGGGGTTTTTCCATGTTTCCCAGGCTGATTTCAAACTTCTGAGCTTGGGTGATCTGCCTCCTCAGCCTCCCAAAGTGCTGGAATTACAGGCATGAGCCACTGTGCCTGGCCTGGGACATTCTTTATAGGGGAGACAGACATGTCGTTCACTTGTTACTGCCCAGGTGTTTGGCACTTGGAGGAGGACTCCACTCCCTCGGCCTGGACATTTATGACCTCAGCCCCCAGTGGTCCCTCCCTGACCTCTGCTCCAGGCCTCTCCAAGTGGCCAGGGCCTTCTTGGGAGAAGGGAGGCTCGGGGAAGCCCACAGCCCAACCTCACTCATGTACCAGTCTCATGTGAGATGTGAGGTCCCCAGCCTGCATTACAGAATTCCTACCTCCCTTCCACTGGGTTTCCCTGAGTACTTACTGTGCCAGGCCTGCACTAGGCTCTGAGAACAAAAGAGGACTTTGTCCCTGCCCTGATATTGCTCACTAGGTGGTGAGACAGGTTGTTAAAAAGGTAGGCTGGGCGCGGTGGCTCACGCCTGTAATCCCAACACTTTGGGAGGCAGAAGTGGGTGGATCACCTGAGGTCAGGAGTTCAAGACCAGACCTACCAACATGGTGAAACCCTGTCTCTACTAAATACAAAAAATCAGTCAGGCGTGGTGGCGGGCACCTGTAATCCCAGCTACTCAGGAGGCCGAGGCAGGAGAATCACTGGAACCCGGGAGGCAGAGGTTGCAGTGAGCTGAGATCGCGCCACTGCACTCCAGCCTGGGCAACAAGAGTGAAACTCCGTCTCAACAACAACAACAACAACAACAAAAGGCAAGAGCAGCTACTGCTCTTGTAAGAATGGGGGTAAACAGGTGCCTGGAGGAGGCACTTAACTCAGCCCAGGTGGTCAGGGAAGGCTTCCTGGAGCCGGTGGTGTCTGAGCTGAGGCCTGAAGGAGAAAAAGAGCTAGGGGAAGAGAGAGGAGGTAGGAAAGAGTGCTGTAGGAAGAGGGAACTGCTTGTGCTAAGGAAGCGACGTGCTGAGTTCCGGGAACTGTGAGTTGTAGGGGATAGAGGTGTGGGTGAGGGGGACTGGGACTGCAGAGATGGGCAGGGACAGGTCCCTCAGGGCCTTGTTGGGCACACTGAATGCTTGGATACTGAGTGGACGGCTGAGAGAATGAGATCGGGAGCTGGAAGCTTCCCTTTGGCTGCAGGGAAGAATAGACCTCAGGCGGCTGGACTGGAGGTAGGGACCCTGGGGAGGAAGCTGCTGCCTGGAGGGAGACGAGAGACTTGGATGAGGGTGGTGGGGATAGAGAGAAACGGGTGGCTTTGTAAAGTGTTTACAGGTAGAACTGGTTACCTCTTGCTGCACGATAAATCACCCCAAAACTGTGTGCCTTAAAACAACAACACTGTTTTTTTCTCATGATTCTGTAGGGTGAGAGGGCAGTTCTGCATCACGTGGGGTTGCTGGGATGGCAGGAAGGTCCCAAGTGGCCTCACCCACGTGGCTGGCAGTCATTGTTGGCTGCCGGCTGGGTGCTCAGTTAGGGCTGTTGGTTGGGGGGAGCCTCAGCTTAGTGCATTCACAATGTTGAGCAACCACCACCTCTTCCTAGTTTCACACTTTCCTATCACTCCATACCCATATGGCAATCTCTCCCCATCCTCCCTCCCCCCAGCCGCTGACAACCATGAATCTGCTTTCTGTCTCTATGGGTGTACCTATTCCAGACATTTCAGATCCATGGAATCATACAATATGTGACCTCTGGTGTCTGGCTGCTTTCAGTTAGCATGATGTTGTCAGGGTTCACCCATGTTGTAGCATGCGCCAGCACTTCATTCCTTTTTATGGCTGAATAATATTCCATTGTATGGCTAGACCACAATTTGTTTATCCATTAATCTGTTGATGGATATTTGGCTTGTTTCCACCTTTTGGCTCTTGGGAATAATGCTGCTATGAGCATTGGTGAACAAGGATCTGTTTGAGTCTCTGCTTTCAGTTCTTTAGGAATGGAATTTCTGTCATATGGTAACTCTATGTTTAACTTTTTGAGGAACTGCCAAACTGTTTCCCACAGCAGCTGCACCATTTTCCACTCCCAGCCGCAATGGATGAGTGCAATGGACTGAATGTTCATGTCCTCCCCAAAATCATATATTGAGATCCTCACCCATGAAGTGATGGCATTAGGAGGTGGGGCCTTCGGGAAGTAAACAGGCCATGAGAGTGGAGCCCTCATCAGTGGGATGAATGTGCTTAGAAAAGGGACCCCGGAGAACACTGTTGCCTTCTCTCCACCATGTGAGGGGACAATGAGAAGTCCACAGTCTTCAACCCAGAGGAAGGCCCTCACCAGAACCCGGCCATGCTGGCCACCGTGACCTCACACTTCCAGGGTCCAAAACTACGAGAAATACATTTCTGGTTTTTGTTGTTGTTGTTTCTTTTTGAAACGGGGTCTCACTCTGTTGCCCAGGCTGGAGTGCAGTGGCAGAGTCTCGGCTCACTGCAACCTCTGTCTCCTGGGTTCAAGCGATTCTCCTTCCTCAGTCTTCTGAGGAGCTGGGATTACAGGCCCCTGCCACCATGCCCGGCTACTTTTTGTATTTTTAGTAGAGATGGGGTTTTCCCATGTTGGCTAGGCTGGTATCAAACTCCTGTCCTCAAAAGATCCACCCTCCTCAGCCTCCCAAAGTGCTGGGATTACAGGCATTAGCCCCCGCGCCTGGCTGAATTTCTGTTGTTTATGAGCCATCCGGTCTACAGTACTTTGTTATAGCTGCCTGGATGGACTAACACAACAGAAGTGTCTATTTTTCCACATCCTTACCAACACTCGTTATTTCTGTTTGTTTGAGATGGAGTCTTGCTCTGTTGCCCAGGCTGGAGTGCAGTGGCACGATCTTGGTTCACTGCAACCTTCACCTCCCAGGTTCAAGCGATTCTCCAGCCTCAGCCTCCCCAGTAGCTGAGACTACAGGCGTGCGCCACTACGCCTGGCTAATTTTTATATTTTTAGTAGAGACGGGGTTTCACCATGTTGGCCAGGATGGTCTCGAACTCCTGACCTTAGGCGATTAGCCGGCCTCGGCCTCCCAAAGTGCTGGGATTACAGGCACGAGCCACCGCACCCAGCCAGCACTTGTTATTTCTCTCCCCACTTCTTATTTTATTTTGTTTTACATTTCCCTGAAAACTGTTTATTGGCTTTTTGGATAGAAACGGGAATTTATTTGCAAGGAAGCATGATCCCATCACACTTCTGTTGGAGCCAGTGCATGGTCTCCTCTTTGCTGATTCTGTGTTTGGCCCCAGTGCAGCCTGTCCTGTGCTTCTTGTCTGTGATGCCGAAACCCGGCCTACTCAGCACCGCAGAGAAGTCCAGGCCATAGACACCCACACTTGGGTCATATTTGATACCCAGATTGATGTGTTCCTGGATCCCAAAATCAAAGTTTCCAGTATCTGAGAAGTTATTTTTTCTCAACTCATACTCCCATACCTCTAGACCCTTCTCCAGGATTTCTTCTGCTTTGGCCTCTTGAACTATGCAGCGGACAGCATTTTCGGCTTTTCATTTTTCCGGATGTCAAACAATATGACAGTGTATCTGGCTTTGGAAAACACAGGGTCCGGGCTGCAAGCTGCTCCAATGCTTTGGCTGCAGGGATCAGTCTCTACTCTCCCCAACACAGATGTCGAGGCAGAGCTTGTGAATGCAAAGTTCCCACGTGGGGTTCTCCTTTTCACCTTCATCCTGTGCCATGATGGAGAACAGGAAGAGCTCTGCCCCCTTTTTAAAAATTAAGGCCATCCTAGTGGGTGATATCTTATTGTGGTTTTGATTTACATTTACTTAATGGCCAATGATGTTGAACATCTTTTTCATATGCTTTCTGGCCATTTGTTTATCTTCTTTGGAGAAATGTCTGTTCGCTTACTTGGCTCATTTTTTTTTTGTTGTTGTTGAGACAGAGTCTTGTCCTTGTTGTCCAGGCTGGAGTGCAGTGGCACGATCTCAGCTCATTGCATCCTCTGCCTCCCAGGTTCAAGCGATTCTCCTGCCTCAGTCTCCTGAGTAGCTTGGATTACAGGCACCCACCACTACGCCTGGCTAATTTTTGTATTTTTAGTAGAGACAGGGTTTCGCCATGTTGGCCAGGCTGGTCTCAAACGCCTGACCTCGTGATCTGCCCACCTCGGCCTCCCAAAGTGCTGGGGTTACAGGCGTGAGCCACCGCATCTGGCTCACTTGGCCCATTTTTTAGAAGGGTTGTTTGTCTTTTTGTTGTTGAGTTCTTTATATATTCTGGATACTAAATTCTTATCAGATATACGATGTGCAAATATTGCCTCCCATTCTGCAGGTTGCCTGTTTACTTTCTTGATAATGTTCTTTGATGCAGAAAAGTTTTTACTTTTCATGAAATCCAGTTTGTCTCTTTTTTCTTTTGTTTCTTGTGATTTCAGTGTCAAATTGAAGAATCTGTTGCTAAATCCTAGATCATGAAGATTTATCCCTGTGGTTTATTTTATTTTATTTATTTTATTTTTTCTGAGATGGAGTTCACTCTTATTGCCCAAGCTGAAGTGCAATAACACGATCTCGGCTCACGGCAACCTCCACTTCCCAGGTTCAAGTGATTCTCCTGCCTCAGCCTCCCGAGTAGCTGGGACTACAGGCGTGAGCCACCACACCTGGCCTTATGGTTTCTTTTAATTGTTCTATGGTATTAGCTCCTACCTTTATGTCATTGATCTATTTTTTGTTGTTGTGTGTTTGTTTTTGAGACAGGGTCTCACTCTGTCGCCCAGGCTGGAGTGCAGTGGTACAATCTTGACTCACTGCAGTCTCCACCTCCCGGTACAAGTGACTCTTGTGCCTCAGTCCCCCAAGTAGCTGGGACCACAGGTGTGTGCCACCATGCCTGGGCAGTTTTTGTACTTTTACTAGAGACGGGGTTTCACCATGTTGGCCAGGCTGGTCTCAAATTCCTAACCTCAGGTGATCTGCCCGTCTTGGCCTCCCAAAGTGCTGGGATTACAGGCGTGAACCACTGTGCCCAGCCTCAATCTCTACCTCTTGATGGGAGGTCAGCATGCCCTTATAGGGTGGCGGGGGAATGGTTGGGGGCCGTCTTTGGAGAGAGTCTACTACAGGAAGTTTTAGTAATCAGTTGGCTGTAAGAGGTTGGAGAGAAGAAGAACAGAAAAAGGCAGGCAGGGTATCATCCACATTTCTGGGTTGAGCCATTGGGCAGTTAGAGAAGCCTGGGGAGAAGCAAGAATGAGGTGAAGGAAATCAGTCACGGACATATTGAGTTTGAGCTCCTGTAGGCATCCAGGCCCCAGGAGCCCTGGGAATCAAATAAATGATAAACAAAACATGGAAGGGTACTTACAAGGGCTTATTTAACAAATATATTCAATAAATATTTATGGAACACTTTATGCTAATACTACCTAACATTTATGTGATGCTAGCCATGGGTCAGGTACTTTGCATTTAAAAAAAAATTGAGTTATGGCCGGGTGCAGTGGCTCACACCTGTAATCCCAGCATTTGGGGAGGCCGAGGCGGGCGGATCACGAGGTCAGGAGATCGAGACCATCTTGGCTAACACAGTGAAACCCCGTCTCTACTAAAAATACAAAAAATTAGCTGGGTGCGGTGGCGGGTGCCTGTAGTCCCAGCTACTCCGGAGGCTGAGGCAGAAGAATGGTGTGAACCCGGGAGGCGGAGCTTGCAGTGAGCCGAGATAGTGCCACTGCAGTCTGGCCTGGGCGAAAGAGCAAGACTCTGTTCTCAAAAAAAAAAAAAAATTGAGTTGTAACATACATACAGTAAAATGCATAAATCTACCGTGGTGGTGGTGTTATTTTTGAGATGGAATCTCAAGAATGAGATTCCAACAGAGTTGCCCAGGCTGGAGGGCAGTGGCATGATCTCGGCTCACCGCAATCTCTGCCTCCCAGGCTCAAGCGATTCTCCTGCCTCAGCCTCCCGAGTAGCTGGGATTACAGGCACCTGCCACCACGCCTGGCTAATTTTTGTATTTTTAGTAGAGATGGGGT
Organism: Homo sapiens; assembly: GCF_000001405.40. NCBI lineage: Eukaryota > Metazoa > Chordata > Mammalia > Primates > Hominidae > Homo > Homo sapiens. The sequence continues at coordinate 120,596,858 of NC_000012.12, forward strand.
TTTGCCATGTTGCCCAGGCTGGTCTCGAACTCCTGTGCTCAAGTCATCCACCCGCCTCAGCCTCCCAAAGTGCTGGGATTATAGGCATGAGCCACCCTACAATGTACATTTCATTGAATTTTATATATCACCTTGCAGGTAAAGATATAGAACATTTCCAGCCCCAGAAAGCCCCCTCTCAGCCATGTTATATTTAATTTTCACATTGACCCTATGAGGTAGGTAGTGTGATTATTCCCATTTTTCAGATGATGAAACTGAGACTTAGGTGAAGCGACTTTCCCAAAACCACATGGGGATAGAGTCTGGACTCTAATTTAGGTCTATATGACTAGGAACGTGGATCCCTTTCCAGCCCACCAAGATTTCTCCCTAAGGCCAGACTCTTGACTCTCAGACCCTCTGAGACCAAGCTGGGGAACACCCCATTCCCTCACTGAGCTGGGACTGGACTCAGACCTCTGGGGGGCACCCTGAGGGCAGGAGCTAGGTGGTCCAGCCTCCACTGGAGAATGGGAGCCCCTCATTTGTGGCTCTGTGGGAGGTACAGGGCCAGGGAGGATGTGGATTTAGGGTGAAGAGGGAAGAATGAGACGGGCCCTTCCATGTCCCCATCAGTCAGGGAGGGGGCCACCTGTGGGTGGTGCTGGCCGAGGCTACACGGCAGGTTGCAGCTGCACTCATTTCCCAGCAATGGGCCCCGGGGAAGATCAGCTTTGACCACGCCTCATCGACTTGATAGGGGAGAGGAGGGGAGCCACACCTGTCAGAACGACTTCAGGCCCTGCTTCCCAAGCATCCCTCAGACCTGCCGGGAGGCTCCTGGGAACGTCTCCTGGGCCTCCTTCAGGAGGACAGAGGAGGCTCCCCCCCAACCCCACGTGTCTGCCCCGCGCAACGCTCTGACCTCTTCTATCCTCTCCTCAAGTTAAAACTGACCTCCTCGCTCTTCTCCCAACCTGTGAAGCCCCTACTTGCCTCAGGGCCTTTGCACTCAATGTTCCCTCCATCTGGAACCTTCTGCTTCCTGGATTTTGCATGGCAGCCTCAGCCTTCTCATGCGTCCTGGCTCAAATGTCACCTCTTTAGAGGGCTATTCCCTGGACAAGTTGCCCTATTTAGTGCTCTCCTCACCAGCCAGCACAGTGGTGCCAGATGGCCTGGATTTGAATCACAGCTCCACCTGCTCCAATGCTGTGTGGCACTGGGCAGGTTACTTAACTTCTCTGTTAAGCCACAATTTCCTCAGCTGTAAGGTGGGAGTGGTGATTACAGCCTCATCGTGTGGTAGCAAGGATCAAATTATTTAACATCTGTTGGCAATGCCTGACCCATAGCAGATGCTTTACACGTATTAGCTTTTATTCATGTAAATGCTTATCCCATGCTGAAATGATTCTGGGTATTGATTTGTTTACTTCGTTTTTCCATCTCCCCCAATTAAAATGAGCCCCATGAGGCTGAGTGGGGTGGCTCACGCTTGTAATCCCAGTACTTTGGGAGGCCAAGGTGGTTGGATCACTTGAGGTCAGAAGTTTGAGACCAGCCTGGTCAACACGGTGAAACGCTGTCTCTACTAAAAATACAAAAAATTATCCGGGCATGGTGGCAGACACCTGAATCCAGCTACTCAGGAGGCTGATGCAGGAGAATCACTTGAACCCAGGAGGTGGAGGCTGCAGTGAGCCGAGATCGCACCATTGCATTCCAGCCTGGGCGACAGCGAGATCCCATCTCAAAAAAAAAAAAAAAAAGAAAAAGAAAGAAAAAAGAATGAGCCTCGTGAAGATGGTGGTTTTTTCTGTTTTGTTCACCGCTGTATCCCCAGTACTCCAACACTGCCTGGCACACAGTGATAAATGCTGGTTGAATAATCAAATGAGTAAACCAGGTTACTAAATGTTGATTAACTAATTGAATAAATGAATAAACCGGGTGACTGGATTCTTCTACTTGTAGCTCCCCAAACGTGCCATGCTCACTCTCATTTCCCGACCTTTGCTTTTGCTGTTCCCTCTGCCTGGAACTATTCACCAGGAGAAGGGAGGGAAGTGACAAAGGGGAGATCACCTGGCAGTGGCCCAGGTTCCTCTCTTGTCCTCGTTTCACTGCTGCCTGCACCGGATACTCACCAGAGAACCAGGGAGCAAGAATCTAGACTCTCCAGGACTCGAGTCACCTGTTACCACCACTTGTTCTGCAACTGGGGAAACTGAGGCCCAGAGAGAGGAAAGAACTCAGCCAAGTTTCCATGCTCAAGGGCAGTGCTCGTCCCTCTCCACTGTACATGTCTCACCCGGAGACTGTTTCCCACGTGCATGCTGTATCTGCTCCCAGCATGGGGCCCAGAGAGAGGCGGTGGGTGAGGGGCTGCGCCCTGCCTGTGGGCCACTGCCCTCCTCCCTGCCCACTGAGGAGCGAGCAGGGTGGCCCGGGCTAGTGAATTCACATGCTCCTGACTTAGACTCACATGAGTCACCATCCTGACACTTTCACTTATTAGCCATGTGACCTTGGGCTCTCTGAGCCTTGGTTCACTACCCTGCAGAAAGAGGAGACAAAACCTAACCCTCTTCCTCCAGCATTGCTGGAAAGATTTGTTTTGTTTTGTTTTGTTTTGTTTCTTGAGACAGTCTCTGTCACCCAGGCTGGAGTCACAGTGAATCTCAGCTCACTGCAACCTCCGTCTCCCGGGTACAAGCAATTCTTATGTCTCAGCCTCCCAAGTAGCTGGGACTACCGGCACCTGAGACCACACCTGGCTGATTTTTGTATTTTTAGTAGAGATGGGGTTTTGCCATGTTGGCCAGGCTGGTCTCCAACTCCTGATCTCAGGTGATCCACTCACCTCGGCCTCCCAAAGTGCCGGGATTACAGGTATGAGCCACCGGCAATCCCAGGAAATGAGCCCCTGGAAATATTTCTATTATAATAAAAGTTCACATGTATCGAGCACTTATCCTCAACTACCCTGCGGGGCAGGTATGAATTTTATCCCCATTTTCCAGATAAGGAAACTGAGGCTCAGAATGGGGAAATAACTCTTCGGAGGTCACACAGCTAGCAGGAAGTAGAGCAGGAATTCCAATCCAGGCAGGCCGACTTCAGAGCTCACATGCTTAGCCATATGAATGCATCAGGCATACAATAGTAGGCGCTCAATGGATATTAGCTACTGGTGGCCCTCTGACCAAGGCCCTAGGAAGAACTTGCTTTCATGTTGGCACCGTTTTCCAGGACAAACTCCATCTTTTGTTTATTTTCTTCCCCTCTAATCCCTGCTTGGAAACACAAGGCCTCTTAGCAGTCCCTCTCTGAGGGATTTTCGGATTATTCCCACCTTGATTAGTTCCAGTTTCTCCTGCAGAAGCAGGAGTTATTTTGGGGCCTTGATGGCTCCCTCTGGCTGCCTGTGACCTCCACCCCGTTGCAGACACCTCTCCCTTCACCTGCACGGCTCATTAGCCGCATTCTGCTGCTCGGCTGCTGCTTTCCGTGCCCGCAGTTCCCCGCCCTACCTCGAGGGCCAGCACCTGCTCCCCTCCTCCCGGACCCCACAGCCACTCCTGCCACCCCACTATTTTGCAGGGATAGAGGCTGTTAACTGTTTCTTTTTTTAATTACCATTTTAATTTTTTATTTTTTGAGACGGAGTCTCGCTCTGTTGCTCAGGCTGGAGTGCAGTGGCGCGATCTCTGCTCACTGCAACTGCCACCCCCCAGGTTCAAGCGATTCTCCTGCCTCAGCCTCCCGAGTAGCTGGGACTATAGGCATGTGCCACCATGCACCGCTAATGTTAATTTTGTCACCTGTGTCCTAATCCTCAGACCCCAACTTTGCCTCAGAGCAATGACCCTCCCTCCAGTTCCAGGATTTTCCCAGACTTGAGCAAAAGCTCACACACCATTTGGATGCAAATGGGTTTGGCTGGTGTTCCCACTCCCTGTTCCTGTGGGAACCCAGTCCTCAATGTCATTCAGCCTGGGGCGGGAGCAGTAAAAACTCCCAAGGATGCATTTTATGTGATGTATATTTTACCACAATTAAAATAAAATTCCCAAGGGGTCACAGGACGCCTCCCCGCCTCTGCCACCATGTTATGTCGCCGTGCGTGGGGCCCACGTCACAGGCGTGGGGCGTGGGTTCTGTGGTAGCTGTCTGTTCTCTCTCTGCTCCTGGCTCTTCTTTCCAGCTCTGCGTTCTGCCTCTGCCAGGGCCGCCTGCAGGCCTTGCTTGCTTTTCAAAAATAACTCTTGAGTCTCTCACTGAGCTTGGGGGCTGCTTCCTGGGTGTCCCGGGCTGTGTGTTAATCCTTCCAATGCAAAACTTCCTGAAGCTTAAGACTCTGGGCTGGGCGAGGGAACTGGTCACCAGTGTCGGGCTGAAGTAGCTCAGATACTGACCTGCTGTTCCAGCACCTATGGTAAGGGCAGGTGGGTCCTTCCCAGTGACAGCAAGTCATTCATTCACTCATTAATTCAGATATTTATCAAGCATCCACTAGTGCCTATTGGCTGCTGAGCACACCCCCAGGTGGCCCCTGTTGGTTTCCCATTTGCTCCTCTTTGAATTTCCATTTCCTTCTCTAAAGTAGGGGTTCTCCTTTTTTTTTTTTTGTTAGCTCACTGCAGCCTCTACCTCCTGGGCTCCATCGATCCTCTTACTTCAGCCTCCAGAGTAGATGAGACTACAGGCAGTTGCCACCACGCCCAACTAATTTTGTTTATGTTTTGTAGAGATGAGGTCTCAAGGCCGGGCGCGGTGGCTCACGCCTGTAATCCCAGCACTTTGGGAGGCCGAGGCGGGCGGATCACTTGAGGTCGGGAGTTTGAGACCAGCCTGACCAACATGGAGAAACCCCGTTGCTACTAAAAAATACAAAATTAGCTGGGCGTGGTGGCGCATGCCTGTAATCCCAGCTACTTGGGAGGCTGAGGCAGGAGAATTGCTTGAACCCAGGAGGCGGAGGTTGCAGTGAGCTGAGATCGCGCCATTGCACTCCAGCCTGGGCAACAAGAACGAAACTCCGTCTCAAAAAAAAAAAAAAAAAAAAAAAGAGATGAGGTCTCGCTCTATTGCCCAGGCTGGTCTCAAACCCCTGGGCTCAAGGGATCCTCCTGCTTCAGCCTCTCAAAAGTGCTGGGATTACAGGCATGAGCCACCACGCCTGGCCAAATAGGGGCTCCTAAATTGGGGTGGCCATCAGTCCCAGTGGGAAACAGATGGCAAGCTCAAACTGGGTGACTTAAGGAAGGCTGACTAAAGGGATCATTTAGATGTGGACAGGGTGTACAGAAATCGCAGGAGACAGTGCAGTGCCGAGACTGGTTACAATGGGAGGGCTGTTACCTCCTTAGGCATGGCAGGAGCAGTTCCCACTAGCCAGAAAGTTATGTGGAGAGGGTCACTTTAAGAGAAGCTGTTGGCCAGATGAGGTGGCTCATGCCTGTAATCTGGGAGGCCGAGGTAGGTGGATCACTCGACATCAGGAGTTCGAGACCAGCCTGGCCAACATGGTGAAACCCTGTCTCTACTGAAAATACAAAATTAGCCAGGCGTGGTGGCACGTGCCTGTAGTCCCAGCTATTCAGGAGGCTGAGGCAGGAGAATCGCTTGAACCTAGGAGGTGGAGGTTGCAATGAGCCAAGGTTGCGCCACTGCCCTCCAGCCTGGGTGACAGAGCAAGACTCTGTCTAAAAAAAAAAAAAAAAAAGAAAGAAAAAAAAAAGAGAAGCTGTGACCTTCTGTTAACCAGCCTGAGGTGCCCTTCAGGAGGAAGCAGTTGCATAAATACCCTGAGTCACTCCACCTTCTCCCTTCAGTCTCCTCCCGGGGGCTCCTCCTTGCCCAAACCAGATTAGAAGCCAGGGGATATGGAAGGCTGTTGAGTCTGAACAGCTGAGTCTCCTTGGGCACACGGCAGGCTGGGGAAGTGCCCCAGATGGGCAAATGGAGGATATCGGACCTCTTCCCTGCTAGTAGTAATGGGGGTAGGAATAGTAAGTGATAGAATATATACTTAATAAATATTAGCTATTATACTGGTAGTGTTCATATTAGTTTATTGACTCCTGTGTAACAAATTACCCCAAAACTTAATGGCTTTAAACAATAATATTTATTACCCTACATGGTTTCTGTGGGCCAGGAATTGGGAACAGCTTAACTGAGCGGTTCTGGCTCATGAAGTTGTGGTCGTGGGTACAAAAAAAAAAAAAAAAAAGCTAGAAAGAAAGAATAACAGCCTGGGCAACATGGCAAAATCCCGTCTCTACCCCCGCAACCACGCACAAAAATTAGCCAGGTATGGTGGTGCATGTCTGTAGTCCCAGCTACTTGGGAGGTTGAGGTGGGAGGATGGCTTGAGCCTGGAGATCAAGGCTGCAGTGAGCTGAGATCGTGCCACTGCATTCCAGCCCGGGTGACAGAGTGAGACCCTGTCTCAAAAAAAAAAAAAAAAAAGTGAATGAATAAATGAATGAGCCCTAGTATTTGATGGCACAGCAGGGTGCGGCTATGGTCAATTATATGTATATATATAAAAAATTGTTGTTGCATTTTAGCTTTTTAATTTATTTTTTAAATTAAATTAAATTAAATTAAATTTTGTTTTTTTTTTGAGTTGGAGTCTTGCTATGTCACCCAGGCTGGAGTGCAGTGGTGCGATCTCACCTGCAACCTCCACCTCCCGGGTTCAAGTGATTCTCCTGCCTCAGCCTCCCAAGTAGCTGGCACTACAGGTGCCTACCACCAAGCCTGGCTAATTTTTTGTATTTTTAGTAGAGATGGGGTTTTACCATGTTGTCTAGGCTGGTCTCAAACTCCTGACCTCAGATGATTGGCCCGCCTCAGGCTCCCAAAGTGCTGAGATTACAGGCGTGAGCCACCGTGCCCGGCCTAATAATTTAATTGTACATTTTAAAATAACTCGAGAGTGTAATTGGATTGTTTGCAACACCAAGGATAAATGCTTGAAGGGATGGGTACCCCATTTTCCATGATGTGATTATTTCACATTGCAAGCCTGCATCCAGACATCTCACGTACCCCATAAGTATATGTACCTATGATGTATCCATAAAAATTAAAAAATTAAATAAAATACTTAGGTTAAAAAAAATGTCAGCCAGTCACCCAAAGGCTTGCCTGGGATTGAAGGACCTACTTGGCTCACCCACATGGCTGGCAGGCTGGTGCTGGCTTCTGGCAGGAGGATTTAGTTACTTGCCATCCAGACCCTTCCACAGGGCTGCTTGAATGTCCTCATGACATGGTGGTTGGCTTCCCCATGAAAGAGTGATCAGGCCAGGCGCGGTGGCTCGTGCCTGTCATCCCAACACTTTGGGAGGCTGAGGCGGGCGGATCACTTGAGGTCAGGAGTTTGAGAACAGCCTGGCCAACATGGTGAGACCCCGTCTCTACTAAAAATACAAAAATTAGCCAGGTGTGGTGGCGGGTGCCTGTAATCCCAGCTACTTGGGAGGTTGAGGCTGGAGAGCATCTCTTGAACCTGGGAGGAAGAGGTTGCAGAGAGTCAAGATCATGCCACTGCACTCCAGGCTGGGCGACAGAGCAAGACTCTGTCTTAAAAAAAAAACAAACAAAAAAAAGGCCAGGCATGGTGGCTCACACTTGTAATCCCAGCACTTTGGGAGGTCGAGGCGGGCAGATCACGAGGTCAACAGATTGAGACCATCCTGGCCAACATGATGAAACCCCGTCTCTACTAAAAATACAAAAATTAGCTGGGCGTGGTGGCACGTGCCTGTAATCCCAGCTACTCGGGAGGCTGAGGAAGGAGAATTACTTGAACCCGGAAGGCAGAGTGGCCCAATCTTGGCTCACTGCACTCCAGACTGGTGACAGAGTGAGACTCTGTCTCAAAAAGAAAAAAAAACAAAAACAAAAAGAAAAAAAAAAGAGTGGTCAATGTGTTTTATGGCCTCCCTCATCTCAAAAACCACAGGCTGTCATTTCCACTATCTCCTATTGGTGATAGTGGTCAGCCCTATTTAATGTGGAGGTGCTTGAATCCCGAGAAGCAGAACCACTGGAGGCCTTCGTGGAGGTTGGCTGCCATGGTTCTCAATAAATTAGCTAATTTAAATTCCATTTAAGCTGGGTGCGGTGGCTCATGCCTGTAATACCAGCACTTTGGGAGGCTGAGGTGGGAGGATCACTTGAGGTCAGGAGTTCAAGACCAGTCTGGCCAACGTGATGAAACCCCATCTCTACTAAAAATACAAAAATTAGCTGGGTGTGGTGGCAGGTACCTGTAATCCCAGCTACTCAGGAGGCTGAGGCAGGAGAATCACTTGAACCAGGGAGGCAGAGGTTGCAACAAACCGAGATTGCACCACTGCACTCCAGCCTGGGCGACAGAGTGAGACTCCATCTCAAAACAAAACGAAACAAAACAAAACAAAAAAATTCCATTTAAGTCTCAAAACCCTATGGGGCTATCTAAAAAAACAAAAACAAAGATCCTATAAGAGAATGATTATTATTATTACTTTACCATGAAAGAAAGTATTATTCTCTTTTCAGATGAGAAAATAGAGTCACAGAAAAGTGAAATAGCTTGCCCAAGATTGTAAACTAGGAAGTGGCAGAGCCAAGAATTGAACCCAGGTGAAGATCTTCCTTTCTTTCTTTCTTTCTTTTTTTTTTGAGACAGAGTCTCACTCTGTCGCCAGGCTGGAGTGCAGTGGTGAGATCTCGGCTCACTGCAACCTCCACCTCCCTGGTTCAAGTGATTCTCCTGCCTCAGCCTTCCGAGTAGCTGGGATTATAGGCATGCGCCACCACACCCAGCAATTTTTGTATTTTTAGTAGAGATGGGGTTTCGCCATGTTGGTCAGGATGGTCTTGATCTCGATCTCGTGATCTGCCTGCCTTGGCCTCCCAAACTGCTGAGATTACAGGCGTGAGCCACCGTGCCTGGCCGTGAAGTTTTTTTTTTTTGAGATGGAGTCTCATTCCATTGCCCAGGCTGGAGCACAGTGGCGCGATCTCAGCTCTCTGCAACCTCCAACTCCCAGGTTCAGGCGATTCTTTGGCCTCATCCTCCCAAATAGCTGGGATTACAGGCACGCGCCACCACCCCCAGCTAATTTTTGTATTTTTAGTAGAGACGGGGTTTTCACCATGTTGGCCAGGCTGGTCTCGAACTCCTGACCTCAGGTGATCCACCTACCTCAGCCTCCCAAAGTGCTGGGATTACAGGCGTCTTTGCAGTCCATCCTCCTGGCCCTGTTCTAGGTAATCACCCATCTGCTATCTGTCATTACATTCAACTGATAAGAACAGTTACTGCCAGCACGGTGGCTCACACCTGTAATCTCAGCACTTTGGGAGGCTGAGACGGGCAGATAACCTGAGGTCAGAAGTTTGAGACCAGCCTGGTTCAAACGATCCTCTTGCCTTAGCCTCCTGAGTAGCTGGGACTACAGGTGCGTGCCACCATGCCCAGCTAATTTCCTTTTCCTTTTTTTTTTTTGTAGAGATGGGGGTCTCACTATGTTGCCCAGGCTGGCCTCAAACTCCTGGCCTCAAGCAATTCTCCTGTCTTGGCCTCCCAAAGTGCTGGGATTACAGGTGTGAGCCACTGTGCCTGGCCTGATAATTACTTATTTTTTATTGCTCAATACTATTCCACCATATCAATATAACACAAGTCATTTATTCAGTTCTCTTGTTGAGCAACATTTGGGTTGTCTCTGGTTTGGGGCTCTTCTGACTAAAGCTGCTATGAAGTTCATGTATGCCTTTTGTGTGGACAGATAGTTTCATTTGTCTCAGGCAAATAGCTAGGAGAATTACTAGATCATATGGGAAGTGTATATTTAACTTTATAAGAAACTGCCAAACTTTTCCAATGTAATTGTGCCATTTTACACTCCCACCAGCAGCTTATGAGAGCTCCAGTTGCTCCATGTCCTCACCAACACTTTGTATCATCAGTCTTGTTAATTTTAGCCATTCTAGTCTGTGTGTAGTGGTGACTTATTATGGTTTTAATTTGTACTCCCCTGCCAACTGAAGATATTGAGCATCTTTTCATCATGCTTATTTGCCATTTGTATGTCTTCTTCTGTAAAGTATTTGTTCAATTATTTAGCCTATTTTTTTTTACTGGGTGTGACGGTTAATACTGAGTGTCGACTTCATTGGATTGAAGGATGCAAATTATTGTTCCTGGGTGTTTCTGTGAGGGTGTTGCTGAAGGAGATTAACATTTGAGTCAGTGGACTGAGAGAGACAGACTCACCCTCAATCTGGGTGGGCATTATCTAATCAGATGCCAGAGCGGCTAGGATAAAGCAGGCAGAAGAAAGTAGAATGAGCAGACTCCCTGAGTCTTCCGGCTTTCATCTTTCTCCCATGCTGGATGCTTCCTGCCCTCGAACATCAGACTCCAAGTTCTTCAGCTTTTGGACTCTTGGACTTACACCAGTGATTTGCCGGGGGCTCTTGGGCCTTTGGCCACAGACTGAAGGCTGCCACTGGGAGCTTCCCTACTTTTGAGGTTTTGGGACTCAGACTGGCTTCCTTGGTCCTCAACTTGCAGATGGCCTATTGTGGGACTTCACTTTGTGATCGTGTGAGTCAAAACTCCTTAATAAACTCCCCTTCATATATACATCTATCCTGTTAGTTCTGTCCCTCTAGAGAACCCTGACTAATACAGATTTTGGTACTGAAAATGGGGTGGTTCTAGAGGAACAGAATTTCTTTTTTTTTTTTTTTTTTTGAGACAGAGTTTTGCTCGTGTTGCCCAGGCTGGAGTGCAATGGCACAATCTTGGCTCACTGCAGCCTCCGCCTCCCGGGTTCAAGTGATTCTCCTGCCTCAGCCTCCTGAGTAGCTGGAATTACAGGCTCCTGTCACCATGCCCAGCTATTTTTTTTTTTTTGGTATTTTTAGTAGAGATGGGGTTTCACCATGTTGGCCAGGCTGATCTCGAACTCCTGACCCCAGGTGATCCACGCGCCTCTGCCTCCCAAAGTGCTGGGATTACACACATGAGCCACTGCGCCCAGCCGAGGAACAGAATTTTAAGGATGGATTTTTTTAGTTGGTTTTGGGGTCTCTGGAGTTGGCTGCTTAATTTGATTAGACCCCAAAATGCTAAGGACTCTACTTCTAATAGTATGGAGAAGACTGATAGTCCTTGGCGTGAACTGTTTAGAAAGTTATGCAAAATAGGGCCAGGCGCGGTGGCCTGTAATCCCAGTACTTTGGGAGGCCGAGGCGGGCGGATTATGAGGTCAAGAGATCGAGACCATCCTGGCCAACATGGTGAAACCCCGTCTCTAATAAAAATACAGAAATTAGCTGGGTGTGGTGGCGCTTGCCTGTAGTCCCAGCTACATGGGAGGCTGAGGCAGGAGAATCGCTTGAACCCGGGAGACAGAGGTGCAGTGAGCAGAGATCCCGTCATTGCACTCCAGCCTGGTGATAGAGCGAGACTCTGTCTCAAAAAAAAAAAGTTATGCAAGATAAATGCTTTTGATACGCCTGATCCACCACTCATGAGAGGCGAGAGGCAAGGAGTTTAGTGACTCTATACATAATACCTTTGGCCATTTGTGGAGAACCAGGGAATATAATGAAGTTGGTTGATTGCTCCTAAGTTTGCTGGACAAAGTGACGAAAGAAAAGGATGAGCTCAGGGGTTCTAGCTCCCAGCTCCAGAAGCACATACTGAGCCTCAAGTCTTCTAAGATTGCCCTGAGTGAGAGTCTTATCTCCTGTAGACAAAGGGCTGAAATTGTGGAAAATCAGACACACACCCTTATCATGAGAGTGGCTGACCTGCAAGGAAAGGTGCACGCTCAGTCTCGCCAGGTATCTACTGTTAAAGTTAGGGCATTGATCGGAAAGGAATGGGGTCTGCAACTTGGAATGGGGACGTTTGGGAGGAACCTGATGAAGCCAGGGACACTGAGCATGTAAACGCTGATGAGCCTTTTTTGCCAGAGGAAACAGTCTCCCCACCCTTAGTGGTGACAACATCCCCTCCCCACCTATGCTATCATCAGCCTTTCCACCTTCGTCTAAGGAGATTAACCATGCACTGTCTGAGGCAACAGTGGTGGCCTCCCCTGAGGCAGTTGCCAGGCAAGACAATGCTGATTCTCCTCAGGACCCACCACCAACACCCCTGTTTGCTTCTAGACCTGTAACTAGACTCAACTCCCGGCAGGCCTGTAGAAGTGAGGTTCAGAGTGTGACCCTCAAGGAGGTGTGCTGCACTGCAAAAGAACTGGTTGAGTTTTCTAACTTATATAAGCAAAAATCTGGAGAACAGGCATGGGAATGGATTTTAAGGGTGTGGGATAATGGTGGAAGGAACACAGAGTTGGATCCGGCTGAATTTATTGATATGGGCCCACTAAGCAGGGGTCCTGCATTTAATGTTGCAGCTTGGGGAGTTAAAAAAGTGTTCTGTTTATTTGCTTGGTTAGCTGAAATAGGAATCAAAAGATGGCCCACTGTGAGCGAGTTGGAAATGCCTGATCTCCCTTGGTTTAATATAGAGGAAGGGATCCAAAGGCTTAGGGAGATTGGGATGCTGGAGTGGATTAGTCACTTTAGACCTACTCATTCCAGCTGGGAGTGTCCAGAAGACATACCCTCTACCAATACTTTGTGAAATAGATTTGAGAGGGGAGCACCTGCATCCCTGAGGAGCCCTGTGATTGCTCTTCTCTGTATGCCAGATCTTACAGTGGGAACTGCAGTCACTCAATTAGAAAATTTAAATGCAACAGGAATAATTGGATCCTGAGGTGTCAGGGGCCAAGTGGCGGCACTCAACTGTCAGAGGCAAGGTGGGTATAGTTACCATAATGGACAGCAGAGGCAAAGCAGCAATCAGAATAGTCTGACTTATGTAGAGCTCTGGCATTGGCTAATTAATCACGGTATTCCTAGAAATGAAATTGAGAGGAAGCCTACTGCATTCTTACTCAATTTGTATAAGCAGAAAACTTCCAGGTCAAGTGGACAAAAGACTAATTTGAATTATAAAAACAGAGAATCATGGCCCCTCAATCAATTTCCAGACTTGAACCAGTTTACAGACCCAGAACCCCTTGAATATAGGGGAGGCCAAGTCCCTTTGAGGAAGAACCCCACTACCTTTCTGACAATCTATACCATTAATCTTTCTTCCATCCTTCCCCAGGCAGACCTCCCCACGGTAACTGTGCACTGGGGAAAGGGGAATGATCAGATTTTTGGGGGACTATGGGACACTGGCTCTGAGCTGACTGATTCCAGGGAACTCAAAACACTGTGGTCTTCCAGTTAAAGTAGAGGCTTATGGAGGTCAGGTAATTCACGGAGTTTTAGCTCAGGTCCAACTTACAGTGGGTCCAGTGGGTCCCCGGACTCATCCTGTGGTCATTTCCCCAACCAGAATGCATGATTGGCATAGACATACTTAGCAGCAGGCAGAACCCCCACGTTGGCTTCCTGACTGGTAGGATGAGGACTATTATAGTGGGAAAGGCCAAATGGAAGTCGTTAGAGCTGCCTCTACCTAGAAAAATGGTAAATCAAATACAACATTGCATCCCTGGAGGGACTGCAGAGATTAGTGCCACCAACAAGGACTTGAAAGATGCGGGGGTGGTGATTCCCACCACATCCCCATTTAACTCTCCTATTTGGCCTATGCAGAAGACAGATGGATCTTGGAGAATGACAGTGGATTACTGTAAGCTTAACTAAGTGATGACTCCAGTTACAGCTGCTGTACCTGTACCAGATGTGGTTCCATTGCTTGAACAAATTAACACGTCTCTTGGTACCTGGTATGCAGCCATTGATTTGGCAAGTGCCTTTGTCTCCATTCCTGTCCATAAGGCCCACGAGAAGCAATTTGCCTTCAGCTGGCAAGGCCAGCAATATACCTTCACTGTCCTGCCTCAGGGGTATATCAACTCTCTGGCTTTGTGTCATTATTTGGTTGGCAGAGATCTTGATCGTTTTTCCCTTCCACAAGATATCATACTGGTCCATTACATTGATGACATTATGCTGATTGGATCCAGTGAGCGAGAAATAGCAAACACACACAACTTGATGAGACATTTGCATGCCAAGGGATGGGAAATAAATCCAACTAAAATTCAGGGACCTTCTACCTCAGTAAAATTTCTAGGGGTCCAGTGGTGTGGGGCCCATTGAGATATCTCTTCTAAGGTGAAGGATAAGTTGCTGCATTTGGACCCTCTTACAACCAAGAAAGAGGCACAACGCCCCGTGGCTATTTGGATTTTGGAGACAATACATTCTTCACTCGGGTTTGTTATTCTGGCCCATTTATTGAGTGAGCCGAAAGGCTGCCAGTTTTGAGTGGGGTTCAGTACAGGAGAAGGCTCTGCAACAGGTCCAGGCTTCTGTGCAAGCTGCTCTGCCACTTGGGCCATATGACCCAGCAGATCCCGTGGCACTTGAGGTGTCAGTGGCAGACACGGATGCTGTTTGGAGCCTTTGGCAGGCTCCCATAGAAGAATCACAGTGGAGGCCTCTAGGATTTTGGAGCAAGGTCCTGACATGTTCTGCAGGTAACTACTTTCCTTTTGAGAGACAGCTCTTGACCTGTTACTGGGCTGTGGTAGAAACTGAACATTTGACGATGGGTTATCAAGTCACCAAGTGACCTGAACTGCCTGTCAAGAACTGGGTGCTCTCTGACCCATCTAGCCATAAAGTTGGGCATGCACAGCAGCATTCCATCATCAAATGGAAGTAGTATGTACATGATGGGGCTTGAGCAGGTCCTGAAGGCACAAGTAAGTTACATGAGGAAGTGGCTCAAATGCCCATGATCTCCACTCCTGCCACCCTGCCTTCTCTTCCCCAGCCTGCACTGATGGCCTCATGGGGAGTTCCCTATGATCTGTTGACAGAGGAAGAGAACACTAGGGCCTGGTTTACAGATGGTTCTGCATGATATGCGGGCACCACCCCAAAGTGGACAGCTGCAGCACTATAGCCCCTTTCTAGGACATCCCTGAAGGACAGTGGTGAAGGGAAATCTTCCCAGTGGGCAGAACTTCAAGTGGTGTACCTGGTAGTGCACTTTGCCTGGAAGGAGAAATGGCCAGATGTGTGATTATATACTGATTCATGGGCTGTGGCCAATGGTTTGGCTGGATGGTCAGGGACTTGGAAAAAGCATGATTCAAAAATTGGTGACAAAGAAATTTGGGGAAGAAGTATGTAGATGGACCTCTCTGAGTGGTCAAAAACTGTGAAGATATTTGTATCCCAGGTGAATGCTCACCAAAGGGTGACCTCAGCAGAGTAGGACTTTAATAATCAAGTAGATAGGATGACTCATTTTGTGGACACCACTCAGCTTCTTTCCCCAGCCACCCCTTTCATCACCTAATGGGCCCATGAAAAAATTGGCCATGGTGGCAGGAATGGAGGTTATGCATGGGCTCAGCAACATGGACTTCCACTTACCAAGCTGACCTGGCTACAGCTACTGCTGAGTGCCCAATTTGCCAGCAGCAGAGACCAATACTGAGCCCTCGATATGGCAGCATTCCTCAGGGTGATCAGCCAGCTACCTGGAGGCAGGTTGACTATATTGAACCTCTTCTATCATGGAAAGGGCAGTGGTTTGTCCTCACCGGAATAGACACTCTGGATACGGTTTTGCCTATCCTGCATGCAATGCTTCCGCCAAGACTACCATCCATGGACTCACAGAGTGCCTTATCCACCGTCATGGTATTCCACACAGCATTACCTCTGACCACGGCACTCACTTTGCAGCTAAAGAAGTGTGGTAGTGGGCTCATGCTCATGGAATTCACTGGTCTTACCATGTTCCTCATTATCCCGAAGCAGCTGGATTGATAGAACAGTGGAATGGCCTTTTGAAGTCACAATTACAGTGCCAACTAGGTGACAATAGTTTGCAGGCCTGGGGCAAAGTTCTCCAGAAGACCACGTATGCTCTGAATCAGTGTCCAATATATGGTACTGTTTCCCTCATAGCCAGGATTAATGGGTCCAGGGGTGGAAGTGGAAGTGGCACCAATCACCGACACCCCTAGTGACCCACTAGCAAAATTTTTGCTTCTTGTTCCCGCAACATTATGTTCTGCTAGCCTAGAGGTCTTAGTTCCAGAGGGAGGAACACTGCCACCAGGAGACACAACAATGATTCCATTAAAGTGGAAGTTAAGATTGTCACCTGGATACTTTGGGCTCCTCCTGCCTCTAAGTCAACGGGCTAAGAAGAAAGTTACAGTATTGGCTGGGGCGACTGACTCAGACTATCAAGATGAAATCAGTCTACTGCTCCACAATGGAGGTAAGGAAGAGTATGCGTGAAATACAGGAGATCCCAGAGGGCATCTCTTAGTATTCCCGTGCCCTGTGATTAAGGTCAATGGGAAACTACAACAACCCAATCCAGGCAGGACTGCAAATGGCCCAGACCCTACAGGAATGAAGGTTTGGGTCACTCCACCAGGTAAAAAAAACCACAACCCACTGAGGTGCTTGCTGAAGGCAAAGGGAATACAGTTTGGGTAGTAGAAGAAGGTAGTCATAATACAACTACCACCACGTGACTGGTGGCAGAAACAAGAACTGTAATTGCATTGAATATTGAATATCCTCCTTATTTTGTTAAGAATATGTTTGTGCCTGTATACACTTGTACTAAGAAAATGTCTTCATTTTATTTCCTTTCTTTTTCCTTTATCATGTGACGTAAGATTTACTGACTTCATATCAGCATTTAAGTGTTGTTAACTTTATGTGATAGCATTTAGGGTAAGGATTAGCGTGCTTCCGGTTGTACAAAGGATAGCCATATTATGTTGGGTGTAATTATGACCTTATTATTGTCTTTATTTGAAGGTTATGTATGATTTCAGGAGATGTGTATGGGTTCAAGTTGACAAGGAGTGGACTTGTGTTGGTTAATATTGAGTGTCAACTTGATTGGATTGAAGTATGCAAAGTTTTGTTCCTGGGTGTGTCTGAGAGTTTGTTGCCAAAGGAGATTAACATTTGAGTCAGTGGACTGCCAGAGGCAGACCCACCCTCAATCCGGGTGGGTGCCATCTAATCAGCTGCCAGTCTGGCTAGAATAAAGCAGGCAGAAGAAGGTGGAAGGAGCCCACTTGCTGAGTCTTCCAGCCTTCATCTTTCTCCCATGCTGGATGCTTCCTGCCCTCGAACATCAGACTCCAAGTTCTTCAGCTTTTGGACTCTTGGACTTACACCAGTGATTTGCCGGGGGCTCTTGGGCCTTTGGCCACAGACTGAAGGCTGCACTGTGGGCTTCCCTACTTTTGAAGATTTGGGACTCGGACTGGCTTCCTTGCTCCTCGGCTTGCAGACGGCCTATTGTGGGACTTCACTTTGTGATCGTGTGAATCAATACTCCTTAATAAACTCCCCTTCATATATACATCTATCCTATTAGTCCTCTCCCTCTAGAGAACCCTGACTAATACACTGGATTATCTGCCTTCTCCTTATTTAGTTGTAAGAATTATTTATATATTCTGGATACTGAGTATTTATATATTCAGTCTTTTGTCATATTTATATAATGCATATTTTCTTTTGATCTGTGGCTTACAGTTTCATTTTTAAAACAATGTCTTTGGGAGAAGAAATTAAGATTTTAATGAAGCACTATCTGGCAATTCTTTTTATTACTTGTGCTTTTTTTGTGTCCTAAGAAATCTCTGCCTACTCCTAGACTACCAAGGTTTTTTCTCGCTTTCTTCTAGAAGTTTGTTTGTTTTAGAGATAGAGTCTCACTTTGTCACCTAGGCTGGAGTACAGTGGTGCAACCATAACTCACTGCAGTCTTGAACTCCTGGGCTCAAGCAATCTTCCTGCTTTAGTCTCCTAAGTAACTGGGACTATAGGTGCACACCACCATATCTGGCTAATTAAATTCTTTTTTTTTTTTTTTTTGGTAGAGACAAGGTTTCACTATGTTGCTCAGGCTGGTCTTGAACTCCTGGGTTCAAGTGATCCTCCTGCCTCAGCCTCCCAAAGCAATGGAATTACAGGCATGAGCCACTGAGCCTGGTCTTCTAGAAGTTTTGTAGGTTTAGTTTTTCCATTTAGGTCTCTGATTCATTTTAAGTTAAATTTTTGCTTATGATGTGAGGTAGGGGTCATGATTCATTTGTTCCTTCCATACAGATATGTTTCAGTCCCAGCTTCCTTTCCTCATTGAATCACCCTGGCACCTTTGTCAAAAATTAATTGATGGTATGTATGTGGATCTATTTTTGAGCTCTCTATTCTGTTTAATGATATACAGCATCATTATGCTACTTCCCACACTGTCCTGATGAATGCAGATTTACAATTCTTCTTGAAATCAAGTTGCTCCAACTTTGTTCTGTTTTTCAAAATTGTTTTGGCTACTCTATAATACCTACAGCTAATATATTTAATGCTGAAAGTCTAAACACTTAAACACTTTTCTCCCTAAGGTTGGGAACAAGGCAAGAATATATGCTCTCACTACTTCTATACATTAATAACATTGTACTGGAGGTCCTAGCCAGGACAATAAGGCAAGAAAAAGAGTGGGAAAAGGCAAAGTTAAATTGTCTTTATTTGCAAATGACATGATTATACATGTAGAAAATCCTAAGGCATTTACAATACAGCAAAACTATTAAAACCAATAATTTTATTTAGCAAGGTCAAAGGATACAAGGTCAATATATAAAAATGTATTTCTCTACACTAGCAATGAACAATTGGGAAATTAAATGTATAGAAACGTTTATGATAGCCTCAAAAAATGTGAAATTCTTAGGGATATGACCAGGTACAGTGGCTCACGCCTGTAATCCCAACACTTTGGGAGGTTGAGGTGGGAGGATCGCTTGAGCCCAGGGGTTCAAGACCAGCTTGGGCAGCATAGTGAGACCCCATCTCTAAAATAAAAAAAAATACCAATAGGCTTTTTTTTTGTAGAAATTATCAAATAGATTCTAAATTGTATATGAAAATGCAAACAAACTATTAATATTTTGAAGCAGCCTTTAACAAGTTGAGGAAGTTTCCTTCTATTCTAAACTCTTGTTAGAGTTTGTTTTTGTTTTTAACCCACGAATAGGTGTTAATTTTAATTTTTTGTTTTGAGATGGACTCTCGCTCTGTCGCCCAGGCTGGAGTGCAATGGCGCAATCTCAGCTTACTGCAACCTCCGCCTCTCGGGTTCAAGCGATTCTCCTGCCTCAGCCTCCTGAGTAGCTGAGATTACAGATGCACACCACCATATCTAATTTTGTATTTTTAGTGGGATAGGGTTTCACCATATCGGCCAGGCTGGTCTCGAACTCCTGACCTCGTGATCCACCCGCCTTGGCCTCCCAAAGTGCTGGGATTACAGGTGTGAGCCACCGCGCCTCGAGAGAAGGTGTTAATTTTACAAGTGTTTTTTCTCATTGATTGACATGACCATGGAGTGAACCCAGATATATATTCTTTTTTTTTTTCTGTGCCTATGTTTACTCAGTTAACCCAGATGTATTCTTTTTTAAAAAAAGAAACCTGAGACAAGATTCACATAACATACAATTATTTAAAAATGAACAGCCAGGCGTGGTGGCTCACGCCTGTAATCTAATCCCAGCACTTTGGGAGGCTGAGGCAGGGGGATCACTTGAGGTCAGGAGTTCGAGACCAGCCTGACCAACATGGTGAAACCCCATCTCCACTAAAAATACAAAAATTAGCCAAGAGTGGTGGTGTTCACCTGTAGTCTCAGCTACTCGGGAGGCTGAGGCAGGAAGATCGTTTGAACCTGGGAGGTGGGGGTTGCAGTGAGCTGAGATTGTACCACTGCACTCCAGTCTGGGCAATGGGGCAAGACTCCGTCTCTAAATAAATAAGTATATAAATAAAATAAAAGTGAATGATTCAGCAAACACCACCTCTACCTAGTTCGAAAACACCTTTATCACCCCAAAGGAAACCGCACACACATTAAACAGTCAATCCCAATTTCTCTCTCCTCCCAGCCTCTGGCAACCTCTAATCTGCATTCTGTCTCTATGGATTTGCCTATTCTGGACTCCTCATATAAATGGGATAATTTCATATGTGGCCTTTCATGTCTGGCTTCTTTCATTTAGCATCATGTTTTTGAGGTTCATCTGTGTTGTAGCATGTGTCAACACTTAGTTCATTTTCTTTCTTTCTTCTTTTTTTTTTTTTGAGATGGAGTCTTACTCTGGCACCCATGCTGGAGTGCAGTGGTGCGATCTCAGCTCACTGCAACCTCTGCCTCCTGGGTTCAAGAGATTCTCCTGCCTCAGCCTCCTGAGTAGCTGGGATTACAGGTGTGTGTCACCATGTCTGGCTAATTTTTGTGTTTTTAGTAAAGACAGGGTTTCACCATGTTGGCTAGGCTGGTCTTGAACTCCTGACCTCAAGTGATCTACCCACCTTGGCCTCCCAAAGTGCTGGGATTATGGGTGTGAGCCACTGTGCCTGGGCTACTTAGTTCATTTTCATGGCTGAATACTATTCCATCACTGTAGGGGTATACCAGGTGATATGGTTTGGCTGTGTCCCCACCCAAATCTCATCTCGAAGTGTAATCCCCACATGTAGAGGGAGGGTCCTGGCAGGAGGTGATTGGATCACGGGGATGGTTCCCCTCATGCTGTTCTTGTGATAGTGGGTGAATTCTCATGCGATCTGTTTTATTTTATTTTATTTTTTTTAATTTTTGAGGCAAGGTCTCGCTTTGTCATCCAGGTTGGAGGACAGTGGTGTGATCTCAGCTCACTGCAGCCTCAACCTGCTGGGCTCAAGCAATCCTCCTGCTTCAGCCTCACAAGTAGCTGGGACTACAGGCACACACCACCACGCCCGGTAATTTTTTTGTATTTTTTGAAGAGACAGGGTCTTGCCATGTTGCCCAGGCTGGTCTCAAACTCATGGGCTCAAGCAATCCTCTCACCCTGCCCTCAGCCTCCCAAAGTGCTGGGATTACAGGCACAAGCCACCATGCCTGGCGGAGATCTGGTTGTTTGATAAGTGTCTGGTGCTTCCCTCTTCTTGCCGTCTCTAGCCTGCCGCCATGTAAGACATGCCTTGCTTCCACTTCACCTCCCGCCATGATTGCAAGTTTCCTGAGGCCTCCCCAGCCATAGTGGAACTGTGAGTCAATGAAACCTCTTTTCTTTATAAATTACCCAGTCCCAGGTAGTATCTTTATAGCAGTGCAAGAACAGATTAATACACCAGGCTAGAGTGCAGTGGCATAGACACAGTTCACTGCAGCCTTGACCTCCTGGGCTCAAGCGATCCTCCTGCCTCAGCCTCCTGAGTAGCTGGGACTACAAGCAAATGCCACCATGCCCAGCTAATTTGTTTTAATTTTTTTGTACAGATGGTGTTTCACTATGTTGCCTAGGTTGGTCTTGAACTTCTGGGCTCAAATGATCCTCTTGCCTCAGCCTCTCAAAGTATTGGGATTACAGGCGTGAGCCCCCTCGCTCGGCCCTAGGTATATTCTTAACCACTATTCTGTGCTGTCTCCCTATATGCCAGGTGCTGTGTTTAGTTCTGCACATACAGTGGAGAAGAACAGAGAACTGGTTTTGCTCAAACTGAACCCAAGTCTCTTCTGGAACTTAGTACTCTCTGTGGTGATTACGTATGTCCACCTCAGATCACACGGGGTCTTGTGAGGTCCTGCTCATTCATCTCCATAGCTCCAGTGTCTAGCCCAGTGCTGTTAGCTGAATAGATGAGTTTAATCTGAGAAGGCTTCATGGAGGAAGCAGCTTTGCTCAGAGCTAGAGGAGTTGAGCAGTTTCCTTCAGCCCACAGTGATTACTAACAACAGCCACCGTATATCAAGCACCTTCCTGTGCCACACGGTACGATGAGCATGTTAACCTCCCAGGGGCGTCCAGCCAGTGAGGGGCAGAGGACAACCTGAATTTGAACCCAGATCCACAGCCCTAATGACTACCTTATACTACCCCTCCAAGCCTGGTTCCAAATTAGGGGTTGGGTCTTGCTACTCTGTATTCTTAATCCCCTGTTTCTCTTTTGCTAGGGACATTTGGATGGGACTAGAGAGTGACAAAATGATGGTCAATGTAGCAAAGCCCGGACTTGGGACACCTTGATGTCTTGGGAAAGACTTTTCACTGCCTCCCCTGCCAGGTGCTTCAGACTCTGGGGGACAGTGCCTTTCTCCCTGTGCTTCGAATCCTCCTTTCCTCCTTCAGCCCTCTCTTCCCCCTCCTCCTTCCTTAGCCCCTCTAGTTCATCGGGCTGTGCCGGAATCTGTGGGGAAAGGAGCAGGATTTCAGCTAAATATAAACCAGGCTGTTCCAGTTTCCAAATAGAACAAAGGAGCAGGGTGTTAAGTTGATTTTTATAAATAAAGAGAGAGGGAGTGAGAGAATATTTTTTCTAGATGTTTAATAAAATCGCCTTGGGAGAGGCAGGAAAATCACTGGGCTGCGGTGGGAGGGTTTGCAGGAGGAAGGGGAGGGGGAGGAGGGAGAGTGGGGGATGCTTCCTTCTTTCTGCAGGGATTCTTTTCCTTGGACCAGGGAGAGAAGGTGGTGCAGAGAGGGTTGGAGGAGAACGGGGAGGGGCATGAGTGTCCCTGGGAGGAAGAGGAGGAGGACAGGGAAGGCTTGTCATCATAATAGTTACTGCGCATTATAGAATAGTTCCTGCATATTGAGCACTTACTGTATGCCAAGTTTTATGCCAGATTACTGCATCATCTCACCAAATGCGGTCAGGATTCTCGTCACTTGGAGCTCTGTGATCTAGCACCTGCCTACCTCTCTGACCTCATCTCCTCCCTCTCTCTCCCTAGCTCACTCTACTCCCACTACTGAGGCTCCACACACCAAACTCATCCCTTCCTCAAGGTCTGTGTACCTCCTAGGTCTCACAGTCAGCTCTTTGTCATCATTCAGGTCTCAGAATAAATGTCACTTCCTTCCTGACCACCTTATGGAAAAGAGAGCCCACACCCAGGCCAGTCAGGATTACATTCCCTTGTTTCATTTTCTTCATTAAGATATCATTTCCAAAACTATTCGCTTGCTTTGTTATGTCTCCCCGCTTCCCCTGCCAAAATGAAAGCCCTATGAAAGCAGAGACTTCGGCTGGATGTGGCGGCTCATGCCTGTGGTCCCAGCTCCTTAGGATCGCTTGAGCCCAGGAGGTTGAGGCTGCAGTGAGCTGTGATCACACCACTGTACTCCAGCCTGGGTGACAGAGCAAGACGTTGTCTCAAAAAACAAACAAACAAACCCAGAGACTTTGTCTCTCTCCTTCACTGCGGTAAGGCCAGGACCTAGACCAGTACCTGGCACATGGTAGATACTGCTTAGTATGTATTTGCTAGACGAATGGATAAGTGAATGAAGCTCAGAGAGGTGAAGGGACTTGCCTAAGGTCACATAACTAGGAAATGACAGAATTCAGGAGGAAGCCCAAATTTGTCTGATCTCCAAATGCATGCTTTTTTTTTTTTTTCTGTTTTGTAAGGCTTCCAGCATGATGGAGGAGAGGATTGAAGGGGATCACTATTGAATCTTGGAATTTTGGGGGATGATCAGGCACAACCCCGGTAGTGGGTCAGTGAAGCCAAATGTTACCATCACCCTCATCCTTAAGCAATGTGTGTATCATATAAAAATGGTTCCACAGACAGATCTCCTTTGTGGGGGCTATTCCATAGTGAGAGTTTTACCCAGTGCTACCCA
Source organism: Homo sapiens (assembly GCF_000001405.40). Taxonomy (NCBI): domain Eukaryota; kingdom Metazoa; phylum Chordata; class Mammalia; order Primates; family Hominidae; genus Homo; species Homo sapiens. Next base: position 120,620,635 of record NC_000012.12, read on the forward strand.
AGGGAGAGCTAGTCTAGGTTTTGGGGAGGTGGCAGAGGGCTTCTCACCTTAGGAACTGGAAGAGATGGCTGGAGGAAGCACATATTGTACACCTCTACCTGCCCCGCCTTGCCACTCCTTGAATCTTTACTCTTTTACCTCTGCACATAGTGGTGAGTCAGGAGTGTGTTGGGCTAAGTGGCTGCACAGGTCTCTGGGGCACCCAGTGATGTGAGTATGTCTTCCTGCTGACACCAGGTGCTGCCTCACCAGGGATATCCAAGGCATAACCTTGGACAAGTCATGTGGCTCCCTCGGTGTCTCATTGTCTTCCTGTGTAAGACAGGGCTGTTGAAGCTTGCTTGGCTATGAAGATTAGAAATGCTGTATTAGGCCAGGCACAGTGGCTCACACCTGTAATCCCAGCACTTTGGGAGGACTGCTCAAGGCCAGGGGTTTGAGACCCAGTCTGGGTATCACAGTGAGACCCTGTCTCTACAAAAATTTTTTAAAAATTAGCCATGCATGGTAGTGCGTGCCTGTAGTTCCATCTACTTGGGAGGCTGAGGCAGGAGGATCGCTTGAGCCCAGGGGTTTGAGGCGGCAGTGAGTTACGATTACACTATTGCATTCCAGCCTGGGTGATGGAGTGAGACTTAGTCTCAAAAAAAAAAAAAAATTGGGAACTCAAAAAAACTTCCAAGCACATGACATGGTAGATGCTCAGCAGAACAGATGGAAACTGTTCTTCTCTTACTTATTATCACCTCTCTTTGGATTATAATTAATTGAGCACAGGGACCATCACTCCATTAACTGAGCAGCTACTGTACGCCAAGCTCTAGGCTATGCATTTTATGTGAGTTATCTCATTGAATCCTCATACTAATTCCATGAAGTAGGTACTATTATTATTGTTATCCCCATTTTATGAATGAGGAAAATTGAGCTCTCAGGGGTGAAGTGTCTGGCCCAAGGTCACACAGCCAAGATGCAACAGAACTGGGCCTGAAATCCATGCAAACCCAACTGCAGATCCTGGGCTTTCAAATATTATCCAATCCTGGCTGGGTGCAGTGGCTCATGCCTGTAATCCCAGCACTTTGGGAGGCCTAGGTGGACGGATCACTTGAGGTCAGGAGTTCCAGACCAGCCTGGCCAACATGGTGAAACCCCGTCTCTACCAAAAATACAAAAAAGCCAGGCATGGTGGCACACGCCTGTAGTTCCAGCTACTTGGGAGACTGAGGCAGGAGAATCGCTTGAACTCAGGAGACAGAGGCTGCAGTGAGCTGAGATCACGCCACTGCACTCCAGCCTAGGCGACAGAGTGAGACTCCATCTCAGAATATATATATATAATCCAATCCTGTGTCTCAGAACTAAGGAAGTAGTGGAGCTGTCTGGTGCTTCAGGAGTTAGAGCCTGGCATAAGCGGGGAGTAAAGAGGTCAGAAAGGGTCATGGTGAGAAGAGAAGTGGAGGCCTGGCCTTGGTGAAGAGGACAAAGAGGGAGCCCCAGGTGGGGTGGGGGACGGATGCTGCAATTCGGGGGGCTGTGGCTCTGCGCCTCTGACTCATTCGGACAGAGCAGCTTGATTCCCTGCGGCAGGAGAGGCTATTTATAACCTGCAGGTTCTAGCATCCTGTTGAGCACACAGCCCTGCAGCTACCTGGGGCCCTTCTTCCTGGACTGTAGGGCGAGGGGAGTAAGGAGCAGGATGTCGGGGTGGAGGGTGTCTGGCGGCCAAGGAGAAGGCCGTGGCTGACCCTCCTTTCTCTTTGCTGTGGACTCTCCAGTGAGCACAAAATGCACATCAAGGGCCCTGTGGGTCATTCTGGGGCTGTCTAGCTTGTCATCAGCAGAGTGTCTGGCACCTAAGAGGAATGAATGAATGAATGAATGAATAGAAGTAGCTTTATCTGGTCAGATCACGTCATGTCTCTGCCCCAAGCTCTTCAATGCTTCCCCATCTCCCCATCTCATTTGGAGTAAAAGTCAAAGCTCTTACAGTGACCTACGAGGCTCCTATATGACCTGGTTCCTGTTGATCCTTTTTTGTGTGTGTGAGACAGTCTCACTCTATCACCCAGGCTGGAGTGCAGTGGCACGATCTCGGCTCACTGCAATCCTCACTTCCCAGGTTCAAGCGATTCTCCTGCCTCAGAATCCCAAGAAGTTGGCATTATATGTGTGCGCCACCACACCGGCTACTTTTTGTATTTTTAGTAGAGACAGGGTTTCACCATGTTGGCCAGGCTGGTCTTGAACTCCTGACCTCAGGTGATCCGCCCACCTCGGCCTCCTAAAGTGCTTGGGATAACAGGCGTGAGCCACTGTGCCTGGTCCCTGCCCCTTTCTTCGTCCTATCTTCCTGCTCACCCACTTCACTCCCGCAGTCTCCTTGCTGCCCCTGGGAACGCACTGGGTCCATTCCTGCCTTGTGGCTCTGCTCTGCTTTCTTCTCCTGGGACACTCTTCCCCCAAATACTGGCATGTTTTCGTCCCTCACCCCCTTCAGGTCTTTGCTCAAATGCTAACTTCTCAGGGAGGCCTTCCCTGACCACCCTACTTAAAATCACATCCATGCAATATACACTCCTTATTCCCTTTCCCAGCTTCATTTTTCTCCGTCGCATTTATTGTCATCCAGCATACTATGTATCTTACTAACTCATCTTTTTATTGTCTGGTTCCTTCTACCAGAACGTGAGCTCCAAGACGATAGGAGTTTTTGTCTGTTTTGACTCTGCTCTCTCCATAAGGTCTAGAATAGTGCCTGGTGCATAGCTGGCACTCAAAAAAATAGGTGTTGGCTCCATGAATTCGCTGGGATTTTCACGGCCTTGCTGTGTGGCCCTGGGTAGTGAATCTCACCTCTCTGGGCCTCAGTCTGTTGAACTCACTGGCCTTCCAGTTTAGACATCCTGGGGCTCTGTCCCTTCATCCTGGCACTTAAGGGTTTTTGTTTATTTCTTTTGTTTTGTTTTGTTTTGTTTTGTTTCTCCCCACAATATCTGCTAAAAGGAGAACTGGCCAAGGCCTGGCTTGATATTTTTCTCCTAGGCTAGACTTTGAGCCAGGCACATGCCAGCACTCTTGTATCTGAATAAGGGGCTTTGACAAGATGCATTTGTGTGACCGAGCTTCTAAATGTGTTTGAGAACCTGGGTGAGACGGGACATTCCAGCAAAATGTCAGCATAGGCCCAAATTCTGTCTTTCTGTTTCTTTTTGTTTGCAGTGGAGCAAAAAGTAGAAATCTCCAAGGGCACCGCGGACCCTTCTCTAATGAATCAATGGAAACGCCCACTGATCTGGAGATGTAAGGGACGAGCCTGCTGGCTGTGATTCCCCACACCTGTAACAGGCTGTTTCCACTTCCTCAGGAGCCAGCTGTGAGAAACCCACAGCAGAACTGCCCACCTTCCAACAAGGGAAGCCTGCAGGAGAACTGCAGGCTTCAATGGGGATGCCAAGCCCATTTTTAGATCTCATCTGTTCTTAATGAGAAATGGGTCCAACCTTGCCCAGGTTTCTAGAACAATCCCTGACAGGGCTTTGGAGTTTATTAGCATGTTCACACGCTATCTGGCTTAATTGCCAGATGATCTCTTGTTTTCTCTTCTTTTTATGGTGCACTCCCTGGGACTAGCATAATACCTAGCATCTGGTAGGGATCACTAGATTTTTGTTGGAAGAGTTAGTTTTCATAAGTCATGAAAGACAGGCAATATTGTCATCATTTTTTTTTCTTTTGAGACAGAGTCTCGCTCTGTCGCCAGGCTGCAGTGCAGTAGCGCGATCTTAGCTCACTGCAAGCTCCGCCTCCTGGGTTCAAGCAATTCTCCTGCCTCAGCCTCCCGAGTAGCTGGAGCCACAGGTGCACGCAACCACGCCCAGCTAATTTTTGTATTTTTAGTAGAGACGGGGTTTCACCATGTTAGCCAGGATGGTTTTGATCTCCTGACCTTGTGATCCACCCGCCTTGGCCTCCCAAAGTGCTGGGATTACAGGCATGAGCCACCGTGCCCAGCCCATTTTTTTTTTAAGAGGTGGGGCCTCACTCTGTCGCCCAGGCTGGAGTGCTGTGGTGTGATCATAGCTCACTGCAGCCTTGAATTCCTGGGGTCAAGAGATCTCCCACCTCAGCCTTCCAAGTAGCTGGGACTACAGGCGTGTGCCACAGTGTTTGACTATGTCATCAATTTTTTTTTTGGGACGGAGTCTCGCTCTGTTGCCCAGGCTGGAGTGCAGTGGCGTGATCTTGGCTCACTGCAACCTCCGCCTCCCTGGTTCAAGCGATTCTCCTGCCTCAGCCTCCTGAGTAGCTGGGACTACAGGCCCAGGCCACCACGCCTCGCTAAATTTTTGTATTTTTTAGTAGAGACAGGGTTTCACCGTGTTAGCCAGGATGGTCTCGATCTCCTAACCTCGTGATCCGCCCGCCTCGGCCTCCCAGAGTGCTGGGTTTACAGGCGTGAGCCACCGGGTCGGGCTTACATGATCATTTTACAGATGATGAAACTCAGGCTCAGTAATGATATGACTTGGCCCAAGGTCACACAGCCAGGACATAAATCTATGCAGGCAGCTGGCTTGGGGTTACCAGAAAAGAAGAGAAGGAACTCCGTCCCAGTGGTGGCTACAATTTGGGAAAACAAACTTTACTTATGAATATGGGAGGACTTAAGAGAGCTTGCGCCTTTGGAATCCCAGTACTGCACTTGTGCACTTGGACAAGTTCTAAAGACAACAGGGGCCAGGCGCGGTGGCTCATGCCTGCAATCCCAACACTTTGGGAGGCCAAGGCGGGTGGATCACCTGAGGTCAGGAGTTCGAGACCAGCCTGGCCAAAATGGTGAAACATCATCTGTACTAAAAATACACAAAAATTAGCTGGGCGTGGTGGCACGTGCCTGTAATTCCATCTACTTGGGAGGCTGAGGCAGGAGAATAGCTTGAAACTGGGAGGCGGAGGTTGCAGTGACCCGACATCGCGCCATTGCACTCCAGCCTGGGCGATAAGAGCACAACTCTGTCTCAAACAAACAAACAAAAAAAAATGGGGCCTCAGTTTTTCTATCTGTAAAATGGACACACCAATGTGTGCGTCCCTCTTACACAGAGCCTGTGGGAGTTACAGTGAGAAAATGCAGTTCAATGCCTGCCACCGGGTGGTGCTCAATACACTCCCACCCCACATTGACCTTTCAGGTGATATCTGGAACCCCCCACCCCCTCTCACCGCCGACCAGCCCCACTGCTGCACCGTTGCCTGCCCTCGCAATTTTGGGGCGGGACTGGAGAGAGCCTGCTGAATAATCGCCCTGCGCATGCGCAGCCGCCATGAGTCACGTGGCCTGACGCCACCCAAGTCCTCAAGGGCGAGGCCTCAGGAACTTTCTGTCGTCAGTGGGGACCCTTGGGACAGCTTTCTTCTCACCTCGGCTGGAGCTTGGGGTCCTTGGAACACCCGAGTGTGCACTTGAAGGGCTGAGAGAGAAGGCAAAGACCTTCCAGAACCTCAAATGAGGGTTCTTTTGACCTTCGTATGTTTTCTGTTTTGAGTCAGGGTCTAGCTCTGTTGCCCAGGCTGGAGTGCAGTGGTGCAATCACAGCTCACTGCAACCTCTGCCTCCCAGGTCAAGGGATCCTCTTGCTTCAGCCTCCTGAGTAGCTGGGACCACAGGTTCGCACAATCACCCAAGCTATTTTTTTTTTTTTTTTTTTTTTTTTTGAGACCTAGTCTCATTTTGTCTCCCAGACTGGAGTGCAGTGACGCGATCCTGTCTCACTGCAACCTCCACCCTCCGGGTTCAAGCGATTCTCTTGCCTCAGCCTCCCTAGTAGCTGGGATTACAGGCGGCTGCCACCACGCCTGGCTAATTTTTGTATTTTGGTAGAGACGGGGTTTCACCGTGTTGCCCAGGCTGGTCTCGGGAACTCCTGAGCTCGGGCAATGCGCCTGCCTCGGCCTCCCAAAGTGCTGGGATTACAGGCATGAGCCAACGCGCCCGGCCCACCCAAGTTATTTTTAAAATTTTTTTGTAGAGAGGGGGTCTCACTTTGTTGCCCAAGCTGGTCTGGAATCCTGGCTTCAAGCGACCTGCCCGCTTTGGTCACCCAAAGTGTTGGGATTACAGGAGGTGCTCCCAGTCACCCTTTCCATGTTTGAGGGAGGCTTTCCCAGGCCCCTGGGACCAAAGGAAACCAACCAGGGAAATGGCTGGCCTGAGGCAGGTCAGCCCTTCTGGGCAGCCCTTCCTCATCCGTTCACCCAGGTAACAAATGAGCCCTTCCCTGGTGTTCAGCACTAAAGATACAGTGACAAGGACCCAGCTGGGGAGATAGACTTTCCCTGGGAAGTGGAAACTGAGTGGAAACTGAAGGGATGCATCCGAGTTAATCTGGGGGAGCTGGGAGAGAAAGAGGTTGCAGACGGACCAGGGACATTGAGGAGGGTAAAAGCTTTCAAGGGGGAATGAGCCTGGATGGTCTCGAGAACTGATGGGCGTGGGAACAGTGGCCTTGGGAAGAATTTTGGACTTGATCCTAAGAGCAGCAGGAAGCCACTGAAATTGGGGGATAATGTAATTTTTAGAGTCCTGCACTGAATCATTTTGCTTTTCTTTCTCATTCAGAAAAATGGATTTTGAATTCCACACCTGCCATACTAATTTTTAAAACTTTATTTTCAGAAATAGAAAAGAAGAGAACAATGGACTATGTGTTTCTTCTCAGGGTTAAATATGCTAAAAGACGCAAATTGCCTAGCATTCTATATGTGGTCTATAAATGGTAATTCCCTATCTCTCCTCTAAATTCCATTCCACAATTTGCACCATTCCAGGAGCATTGGAGGAGATCAATCCTCCCTACAGACTAAAGATAAATTTCATTTGAAGTACCTGGGTGGATGAAAAATTTGATTAGTTCAAAAGATTAAAGGGTAATTATTTTACAAATTATTATTCAAATAGTATGCTCCCCATGAGCATACAACATATTATTTGATTTATGGAATTGCAATTTACATTCAACTTTTTAGGAGCACATTTATTTATTTACTTAAAAAAAATCGTTTTGCGACAGAGTCTTGCTCTTTCATTCAGGCTGGAGTGTAGTGACATGATCATAGCTCACGCAGCTTTGATCTCCCAGGCTCAAGCAATCCTCCCACCTCGGCCTCCCTAGTAGCTGGGACCATAGGCATGCGCTACCGTGCCTGGATGATTTTTTATTTTTAGTAGAGATGAGGTCTCATTATGTTGCCTGAGCTGATCTCAAACTCCGGGCCTGAGCAATCCTCCCACCTCAGCACCCCCAAAGTGCTAGGATTATAGGTGTGAGCCACTGAGCTCGGCCTAGAAGCATATTTATTTTAGAAAACAAGACTAAGTTTCAAAAAGGCAGGGGCCACGTCCATGTTTTTCCCCCACTGTAAGATCACCACCTTGCTGGACATATAGTAGACTTTCAAATATCTGTTAGATAGATTTAAATACTGAAATATATTTTCTGCTACATTGAAAGTCAGGGGCCTCAATTCTAGGGTTTTCTCTTTATAGTTGTTAACATGAATTTTGATGGCATGAGAATGCTTGTTCTCTGAATTATATGTAGCTCATACAAACTCTACTGCACAATTATGTTGTAAAGGGGAATTAAGTTTTATCTTTAAGTTGTTATTATAGCCTTGGGAAAAGGTGAACATTGAGAATAACTACATGAAGTGGTAGCATATTGTATTGTTAATTTTGCTACTTTTCTTTTTCTTTTTTTTTTTTTGAGACAGAGACTCCCCTGTTGCCCAAGCTGGAGTACAATGGCGCAATCTTGGCTCACTGCAACCTCCGCCTCCTGGGTTCAAACAGTTCTCTTGCCTCAGCCTCCCGAGTAGCTGGGATTACAGACACCCGCTACCATGCCCAGCTAATGTTTGTATTTTTAGTAGAGACGGGGTTTCGCCATGTTGGCCAGGCTGGTCTCGAGTTCCTGACCTCGTGATCCGCCTGCCTCGGCTTCCCAAAGTGCTGGGATTACAGACATGAGCCACTGCACCCAGCCCTACTTTTTCTTTTTAACGTGGTGTAGGGCCTAGAATAGACTGTCACGTGTGAAAGGTATGTCAGGCAGGGTCTGTATAAGAAACAGATGGCGCATTCAAATTAGATCATTAGAAGAATATTTAATAAATGGGCTATTTACAAGGTTGAAGCAGAAAGTGGGGAAGCTATAAGGGATAGTGCAGTAGCCATGGGGCCTTTACCACTCTTAGATCTGAAGGTTGAGGGGAGGGAGAAATGACAGAACCCAGAGAGAGTTGTGTAGAGCAGGCTGCCTTGAGAAAGAGGGGTGACCTTTTATCAAAAGGCACAACCAACCTAAGGCCATCTGGCAGGAGGGAAGTGGGGAAAGAAACACTTCACCCATGCTGTCCTCCTGCCCTCCCATCTCCTGCTGCCGCTCCCATTGGCTGTACCCGCCTGGAAGCTAGAGGGCAGGAGAGTGAGCTGCTGCAGTCCATGTAGGTCAGCCCGCCAGGGCCAAGGGCAGCACGGAGAAGGGTGGAAGAGTGGATCTGGAGGGCAAATGGAAACTATCTGGTACAGGAGACTTCATTTGCATCCTGGATAAAGACTTGATATTTAAATCCTGGTATCTTAGGGAGGCTGTGAAACCTTAAGGGATGGAACTATGGCAGCAGGTTCAGGGTTCTCATTTGTTCATTCCTCAGATCTCCTGAGGATACTAGAAAAAGTATTGTGCTGGGCATTTGAGAGAAGCCCAGCAATGGCAAAGCACTCTGAGAAATCAATGCATTTTCCTTCCTGATGCATATATATATATATTTTTTTTTTCTGATGCTATATTTTTAAGAACACACCCCTCCTCTATCAAGAGCACTTGTTTAGAGCTCTGAATAGTGAATACAATCCCACTGGTCTCAGAACGAGACACTGCTTCCCCAGAAGCAAGAAAGTTCAGGCAAAACTCACAGGTTCTGATTTTTTATTTTTATTTTTTTGAGACAGCGTCTCACTCTGTCCCCCAGGCTGGAGTGCGGTGGTGTGATCTTGGCTCACTGCAACCTCTGCCTCTTGGGCTCAAGTGATTCTCAGGCGTTGGCCTCCCAAGTAGCTGGGGTTACAGGTGTGTGCCACCACGCCCAGGTAATTTTTGTATTTTTAGTAGAGACGAGGTTTCACCGTGTTGGCCAGGCTGTCTTGAACTTCCGACCTCACATGATCCACCCACCTCGGCCTCCCAAAGTGCTGGGATTACCAGCATAAGCCATGACGCCTGGCCTCCGGCTCTGAATCTTATGGCTAGCAGCTGACAATTATGTTCCTCACCAGGTCAGTACCCTTTAGGTTGTAGCTGGATGGACATTTTTTCAGGCCCGGGGACCAGAATAGAATGTGTGAGTGTGACTCTGGAAAGTGGACTTGCTCTTATGAATGGAGTGGATTGTGGTCTCACATTTTCTGAATCTGTGAAATCATTCCACTCTTTAATGAGGTCCTCTTAGAAGGGGAGGGAATAGATCTCCTTTAGTGACATGACTTTGACAAGCAAATCAATTCATTCCATTTGTTTCCTCTTTGAAAACAGCAATCCTCGAGCGTTACATAATCTAATCTTCATGCCTCACTGGTTTGTTCTGTCCTCCTGAGGAATTGGCAGATGGTGCCAATGCGGAGACCCGCACACACGCCTCGCAAGCCTCATGGTAACAGGAGAGTTGCTCACAGTGTCTGTCTCTTTGCTGTGGGGTCCCTCGCTGGCATTTGTTTCCCTGGATCGGTTGGCTCTTTAGCATCCCTCAGGCACCGCTGGCTTCTTGCCCTCGGCTCTCATTCCAAGATTAATTGGAAATGCTGAAAGCAGATAAAAAGAGAACAGAAAGTGAAGTTGAAAGGGCAGAGAATTTTCTGGATTTTTTTCTAAAAGCCCTCCTCCGTTAAAGGCCGAGCATCTTTGGAGATTTTTAGCTTCAGAATGGTGACTCCCTCCTTCAGCCTGGTCCCTGTGTACATCTTTGTTGCTGGGTTACACACAGCATAGGGACAGGGCTGGCTGTGTCAGAGCTGGGAGAGTAGAGATCTGCTTGATAAGGTCTCTGAATTTCTCCAACAGCGAGTCACATATCTTCAGAAATGATTGTTCCCCAGATAGGGCAGTTACCTGGAGTCCACCTTCAGGTCGGTGATGTCACTTACGAAGGGAAAATTATCTCAGAACTCTGTAAGGTGAGGAGCCTCCTGGCAAGGAGGCCCTGTCAGCCAGAACCACAATGCTGAGATGTCCTAGTAAAGGTACTGCCTATACATCTTGTTTAAAAATCTGGAAGTGGCAGCATCCAAAGGAAAGGAGTGGTGGGCAGAGTTCTAATATTTAGGACTGGAAAGTGGCTGATGTGCTCTGGTATTGCTTTTCAATTGTTAAAATATTGAAATACTTCCATACTACTGGGTAAAGAGTTGGATCTTTGAATTCCCCATGCTCCCGTCCCTCTGCTAATACTTAAAGTCTGTTGAGAGGGTCTTATTTTATTCAATTTCATGAGGAGCTCTACCTGTCCATGCAGCAATGGGAGCTTCCTTTGCTGAACCCAGTTTGCTTTCACCGTGCAGTACCAGTAGGTCTTCTTGGTGCAGGGCCAGGCACCACTCCCAGTGCCACAGATGTAACCGCACTGCTCACGGACTGCACTGTTGGCTGACTGCTTTTGGATGGAACCTCCAGGCAATTAAAACATAGAACCCTCCTGCATGTGGCAAAAACATGCCTGGTCCTTAAAGGTCACATACACCTTTATGCTTGCTGTCACTCAGGATCCAGGTTGTATTTGCACGCAGCAGAAATGAGCTGTCTGAAGGAGAACCAGAGCCCCTGCAGCATCTTCTTTTATGGCCACCCTCCCCCATGCACTAGGTCCAGGCATAGAGGACTCATTTCTATAAAAGCAATAATGGGCAGGTGTGGTGGCTCACACCTGTAATCCCAGCACTTTGGGAGGCCTAGGTGGGTGGATCACCTGAGGTCAGGAGTTCGAGACCAGCCTGGTCAACATGGCAAAACCCCGTCTCTACTATAAATATAAAAATTAGCCAGCTGTGGTGGTGCACGCCTGTGATCCCAGCTACTTGGGAGGCTGAGGCAGGAGAATTGCTTGAACCTGGGAGGCAGAGGTTGCAGTCAGCCGAGATTGTACCACTGCACTCCAGCCTGGGTGACAGAGCAAGACTCCATCACAAAACAAACAAACAAACAAAAAGCAATAATGGTTTTCTTTTTAAAAATTTGTTATTCATTCACTAAATAATATCATGTGAGCACCTATCATGCTATTATGTTTTGGTCACTGTGCTAAGTGCAGGATGTGTATAAATCGAGCTTGTCTCTGCGTTCATGGAACATATAGTTTAATGGGATGTGGGAAGACAGACCATAAAGGAGGCCACGGTGGCTGGAATGTGGTGGGGTCACCTGAACATGGGTTGCATTTCGCCTCATGGAAACTGCATAGATGTCATGGGTGGCTTCTGGTGTGTGGTCAACTTATCGAATGTATCTACCCTGTTAGAGCACTGGGGTGCATGGCACCAGTATTAAAGGTGCAAAGCATAGGGGGTGACCACTTCCTGCATCCATTGAGGATCTCCGAGAGGTTGGGAACTGCTCTGGATTAGGCAAAGATAGGGGGGAATATTCTGAATGAGGAATGATGGAGATGATAGGTTCTAACATTTGGAGGTCAGGCGTGCTATTTATTTATGTATTTATGTATTTATTTATTTATTTATGACAGAGTCACGCTCTATCGCCGAGGCTGGAATGCCGTGACAGGATATCAGCTCACTGCAACCTCTGCCTCCCGGGTTCAAGCGGTTCTTGTGCCTCAGCCTCCCGAGTAGCTGGGATTAGAGGCTCCTGCCACCACGTGTGGCAAATTTTTGTATTTTTAGTAGACATAGGTTTCACCATGTTGGTCAGGCTGGTCTCAAACTCCTGACCTCAAGTGATCCACCCACCTTGGCCTCCCAAAGTGCTGGGATTACAGGCATGAGCCACTGTGCCTGGCCAAGTGTGCTGCTGGAGTGCAATGGCGTGATCTTGGCTCTTAGCAACCTCCACCTCCTGGGTTCAAACAATTCTCCTCCCTCAGCTTCCTGAGTAGCTGGGATTACAGGCATGCGCCACCATGCCCGGCTAATTTTGTATTTTTAGCAGAGATGGGGTTTCTCCATGTTGGTCAGGCTGGTCCCGAACTCCCGATCTCAGGTGATCCGCCCGCCTCAGCATCCCAAAGTGCTGGGATTACAGGCGTGAGCCTCCATGCCCGGCCCCAAGTGTACTGTTTTTAAAAGACGGTAACTTCTGACCCATCAGTCATCTGTAAGGGACAGGATTTCCTTCATCAATGCTTATTCCCTCCTTTGCCTCAGTAACCAAGTGAGTTCAGTCACCAAAATCATAATTCATGCCCCTAAGAAGGTCCAGTCGACCATTGTACTTGTCAGTATTAATTATTTTTGCTCTATCTGTCCCGATGGTTTGATTTTTCTTTTTATTGAGTTATTATTTATATGCAGTGAGATGTACAGTCTTGAGTGTATAGTTCAGTTTTGACCCATACATGTATTCTTGCAACCCATACACCTTTTCATTTTTATGTTAAAAATGGAGGCCGGGTACAGTAGCTCATGACTGTAATCCCTGCACTTTGGGAGGCCGAGGTAGGAGGATCTTTTAAGCTAAGGAATTTGAGACCAGCCTGGGCAACTGAGCGAGACCTCATCTCTACCACAAATAAAAAAAAAAATTAGGCCAGGCGCGGTGGCTCATGCCTGTAATCCCAGCACTTTGGGAGGCCAAGACAGGCAGATAATGAGGTCAAGAGATCCAGACCATCCTGGCCAACATGGTGAAACCCTGTCTCTACTAAAAATACAAAAATTAGTTGGGCATGGTGGCATGTGCCTGTAGTCCCAGCTACTTGGGAGGCTGAGGCAGGAGAATCGCTTGAACCCAGGAGGCAGAGGTTGCAGTGAGCCGAGATCGAGCCACCACATTCCAGCCTGGCAACAGAGTGAGACTCTGTCTCAAAAAAAAAAAAAAAAAAAAAAATTAGGTCCAGTCAACCGTTGTACTTGTCAGTATTAATTATTTTTGCTCTATCTGTCCTGATGGTTTGATTTTTCTTTTTATTGAATTATTATTTATACACAGTAAGATGTACAGTCTTAAGTGTACAGTTCAGTTTTGATCCAGGCTTTTTTTTTTTTTTTTTGAGACTGAGTCTTGCTGTGTCACCCAGACTGGAGTGCAATGACACAATCTCCACTCACTGCAACCTCTGCCTCCTGGGTTCAAGTGATTCTCCTGACTCAGCCTCCCAAGTAGCTGGGACTATAGGCATGTGCCACCACACCCAGCTAATTTTTGTATTTTTAGTAGAGCCAGGATTTCACCATGTTGGCCAGGCTGGTCTCGAACTCCTGACTCAAGTGATCCACCCGCCTTGGCCTCCCAAAGTGCTGGGATTACAGGCATGGGCTGCTGCGCCTAGTCCCAGGCATAAATTCTTGTAACCCATAAAAACCCTTTTCATTTTTATTTTAAAAATCTTGGAGGCTGGACGTGGTGGCTCACACCTGTTATCCCAGCACTTTGGGAGGCTGAGGTGGGAGGACTGCTTGAGCTGAGGAGTTTGAGACCAACCTGGGCAACTGAGTGAGACTTCATCTCTACTACAAATAAAAAAATTAGGTGGGCATGCTGGCATGTACCTATAGTCCCAGCTGCTTGGGAGGCTGAGGTGGGAGGAATGCTTGAGCCTGGGAGGTCAAGTCTCCAGTGAGCTATGATGGCACCACTGAACTCCAGCCTGGGCAACTGAGTGAGACTTTGTCTTGAAAAATAAAAATCTTGACATCCTCTCAAGTGATGAACATTTGGGTCCAAGGGCAGATTACTGGAAAAGAATCCTCTATGTAGTCCACTGACCCATTACCCCCACCCTCTAAAATCTCATCCAATCCTTTCCTGAGTTTCCCAATCACACAGAGGACTTAAAACTCTAAGAACATTTTGTAATCCCAGCTTTCTGAAACATAACAGAGATATTGTCATCTGAAAACAAGGGGAGATTAAGTGCAAAATTTGATTCTGACAATAGCAGAAAGGAACAAGTTAGACAAAGAACGTCACAGAGAATGAATTCAAGCACCACCGTGTAAATGCTCCACAACCTTTTTCAAGACTCTAAACATGACATACAGTCTTGGTGAGGAAACAACAATGTTTAAAGGAGTTTGCTACAGGGACATGGCATCATCAAACTGCGATCTGTTAAATGAGAGATCCAGGTACACTTTAGGAGTTTTGCTCTTACTCTTTCTGGATGGATTCTCTTAGAAATGAGGCATAAAGACAGCTAAACACACTGTTCTCTCTGCACTGATGCAGTCCTCCCAAACCCACCTTTTCTGTTTCACTGCCCTTGTATGCTGAGATGCCTTTCCAGTGCTGCAAAACAGCTCTTTTTCTGCCTAGTTTTCACCAATGATTATACAGTCAAATAATATAACAACAGGTAATTATTTAATAATTACAATTTGTGTAACACCTAAAGGCAAATGAGAGGCTTTATGTGAAAGAGCTTTTTTTTTTTTTTTTTTGAGCTGGAGTTTCACACTGTCGCCCTGGCTGGAGTGCAATGGCACGATTTTGGCTCACTGCAACCTCCGCCTCCCAGGTTCAAGCGATTTTCCTGCCTCAGCCTCCGGAGTAGCTGGGATTACAGGCACCCGCCACCACACCCGGCTAATTTTTGTAGTTTTAGTAGAGACAGGATTTCACCATGTTTGCCAGGCTGGTCCCGAACTCCTGACCTCAGGTGATCCTCCCGCCTTGGCATCCTAAAGTGCTGGGATTACAGGCTCGAGCCACCGTGCCTGGCCGTGAAAGTGCTTTTAAAGCTGTAAAGGTATATACAATCCAAAAAGATTCTTTTAAAATCGTTTTTACATGGCAGGATACTTTGAAGCAACTGGATTTCCGCTGTATCTCACAATCAGTGAGGCAAGCCATTCTCATTTTCCACATTCAGGATTTTCCATGTCTTAGTGATGGCATTTCTGGAATATTCCTGGATCTGACCCAGCCTCTGAAATTAGTCCTCATGTTCTCCCCACCAGACTTAAAGTCCATGAAGAAAGGTATAATATTCACTTGTTAACTATTCTATTCCTGAGGCCTAGTCCTTGGTGGGCATTCAGTAATGTCTGTTAAGCGAATGAACCTCATTGGTCTTGCCTTCAGTCTCCTTCCAGCCCACCTGACAATGTATTTTTTGCATTGCATTTTTGAAGCATCATTTCAAAAACACAGTTCTGGGCCGGGCGCGGTGGCTCACGCCTGTCATCCCAGCACTTTGGGAGGCCAAGGTGGGTGGATCACTTGAGGTCAGGAGTTTTGAGACCAGCCTGGCCAACCTGGTGAAAAACTGTCTCTACTAAAAATACAAAAGAAAAATTAGCTGGGCATGGTGGCGGGCACCTATAATCCCAGCTACTCGGGAGGCTGAGGCAGGAGAATTGCTTGAACCTGGGAGGCGGAGGTTGGACCACTTCACTCCAGCCTAGGTGACAGAGTGAGACTCCATCTCAAAAACAAAAAGCAAAAACCAAAAAAAACCACAGTTCTGCTTGCATTTTGCATTGCATTTTGAAGCATCATTTCAAAAACACAGTTCTGCTTGCATCCTACACAAGCTCACAAAACCTTCAAGCATTCTCCATTGCCAATAAAATAAAGTACAAACTGCTGAATGTCACACTCAAGATCTTTCATGGTCTAGTTCCAAACCACCCTTCTAGGCCCATTTCCCAGCCCTCATTTTCCCTCCCCCTTCAATCGCCAAATGATTCCCAAGCACGCCATGCAGGTTCACACTCCCAACCCTGACTTAATCTATGTCCCCTGCCTGGCATGACCTTCCTTTGGCCCTCCTTATTCATCTGATGGAATTTCACTTATTCTTCAAAAAGCAGCTCAAATGTGACATCCTCTAATGCTTTCTCTAGCTCCCCTTAGGGTTCTCCCATATAACTTAGCTCATAATCCCCTTATTACACGTTTCCCATTATAGTTTAGTTGGTTTTCTCCCCTGACCCTCTGCCTTTTTTTTTTTTTGAGACAGGGTTTGGCTCTTTTGCCCAGGCTGGAGTGCAGTGGTGGGATCTTAGCTCACTGCAGTCTCTGGCTCCAGGGCCCAAGCCATCTTCCCACCTGAGACTCCCAAGTAGCTGGGACTACAGGTTCATGCCAGCAAGCCCGGCTAATTTTTGTATATATTTCTTTGGTAGAGATGAGGTTGCACCATGTTGCCTAGGCTAGTCTTGAACTCTTAACATCAGGCGATTCCTCCTGCCTTGGCCTCCCAAAGTGCTGGGGTTACAGGCATGAGCCATTGTACCTGGCCCCAGTGGTGCTTTAATAATGTCAACTATCATATGCCACCCACTGCTGCAAACCCACCAGTGGCTTCCCTTCACACTTAGAGGAAACCCAAAGCCTTGACATTTTTGGCCCCTGCTTTCCTGCTTTCCTCTCCAGTTTCTGTTTTTTTTTTTTTTTTTTTTTTTGAGACGGAGTTTCGCTCTGTCACCCAGGCTGCTGGAGTGCAGTGGCGCGATCTCGGCTCACTGCAAGCTCTGCCCCCTGGGTTCACGCCATTCTCCTGCCTCAGCCTCCCGAGTATCTGGGACTACAGGTGCCCGCCACAACGCCCGGCTAATTTTTTTTTTTTTTTGTATATTTAGTGGAGACGGGGTTTCACCGTGTTAGCCGGGATGGTCTCGATCTCCTGACCTCGTGATCCACCCGCCTAGGCCTCCCAAAGTGCTGGGATTACAGGCTTGAGCCACCATGCCCGGCCTCCTCTCCAGTTTCATCTCTCCTACTTTCCCCCTCGCTCACTCCAGCCTCCTTTATCTCCGCTTCTCCTGGAACATGCCAAGCTATTCCCTCCTCAGGGCTTTTGAACAGCCTCCCTCTGCCAGGGAAGCTCTTCTCCCAGATATATACATGACTTCCTCCTTTACTTCATTTGAGTTTCTACTCAGATATTCCCTCTGCAGAGAGGCCTTCCCTAATCGCTCTCTAAAAGAGCACCCTAAGTTGGGCACAGTGGTTCATGCCTGTAATCCCAGCATTTTAGGAGGCCGAGGTGGGAAGATTGCTTGATGTCAGGAGTTTAAGACCAACCTGGCCAACATAGCAAGACCCTGTCTCTATGTAAAAATATTAAATAAATAAATAAAATAGCACCGCCCGTTAAACCCTAGTCTCTTACCTGCTTTATTTCTCCCCATGGCAGAAACACCACCAGTTTGTCACCATTACTTTTCCATGCGTTTATGTATTTGTTTATTTGTTGCTGAGGATAGAGACCATTTTGTTTGCTATCATATCCCTGGTACCTAGAACACTGCCTGGCAGATAACAGGCACTCAATTATTTGTTGAATGAATGGATCAATCTTTGTATCCAAGATGACTACTGCAGTGCCTGGTTGGATACATATTTGTCAAATAAGTGACCAAATTAATACACTTTACAAATGAAATGGAATCCTGGCATACATCCAGGATTATCTGGGATATGAGTGAAGGTGTTTCATCCATTTGCTTCATGGACATAATTTTTATTTATTTACTCTAGTAATCATAGGTAACATAATCAGATTCTTCAGTTTTTCAAAAACTAGTTGGTGACCGAGGTCTTGCCCAAAAATATTTAGGGCATTTCAGAAAGGTTACCAACAGTGGCACAGCAGGGATTTAGAATACCCAGCAGTCCTCTGCCTCTCATTGGCTCCTGAGGGTTTCTGATAAGGTTCTTTATCTCCTGTGATTTATATTGAATGTGCCTTTGTTTTTAATCCTGCCAAACACTGATTATTCTGAGGGCTGGAGCAGGTAAGACATTGACTGACCTCGAACTCAAAGGGTGGACTCATTACACCCTGCATATCCCAGAGGACCCTGCAATGAGCCTTCAGGGCTGCAACGCCCCAGGCTGCTTCAGGATTTGGGCTTTAGGAACCTGAGTGGCTTTGATATGGCAATTCAGTCCCTTAAGGGTAGCTGATCTGGGGAACAATTTGCCACACTTTCCTAGTTTACTTTAGCCTCTGGGCAGTTGCTTTCCCAGCCCATCCATTTTCCTTAATTCCTTGCCTATGGATAAGTAAAAGAGGCACACAGGGCCCAGCGCGGTGGCTCACGCCTGTAATCCCAGCATTTTGGGAGGCCAAGGCGGGCAGATCATGAGGTCAGGAGATCGAGACCATCCTGGCTAACATGGTGAGACCCCATCTCTACTAAAAATACAAAAAATTAGCTGGGTGTGGTGGCGGGTGCCTGTAATCCCAGCTACTCGGGAGGCTGAGGCAGGAGAATCGCTTGAACCTGGGGGGCAGAGGTTGCAGTGAGCCGAGATCGTGCCACTGCACTCCAGCCTGGTGACAGAGCAACACTCTGTAAAGAAGCAGACAGTGCAGAGAAGGATGAACTCTTGGCATGAGTGAAGTGTAATATCGGCAATCTGTTTGTGTACCCTTCTTTTTTTTTTTTTTTTTTTTTTTTTTTGAGACAGGGTCTCACTCTGTTGCCCAGGCTGGAGTGTAGTGACCCAATCTCGGCTCACTGCAACTTTCACTTCCCGGGTTCAAGTTATTCTCATGCCTACAAGTGGCTGGGATTACAGGCGCCCACCACCACGCCTGGCTAATTTTTGTATTTTTAGTAGAGACAGGGTTTCACCATGTTGGCCAGGCTGGTCTCGAACTCCTGACCTCAAGTGATCCGCCGGTCTTGGCCTCCCAAAGTGCTGGGATTACAGGTGCGAGCCACTGTGCCCGGCCTCGTGTATCCTTTTAATGAGGCCGAGCGGTGACAAGACTGTGGATGGCATTGGGGCCAGGGACCAGAACAGGGAGAGCCTGGGAGGAACCCCTCCAGCCCCCCGCAAAGCTCAAGCACCGGATACTAAAGAAGAATGGTAGATGGGGCCTCACGATGTGCAGGGGGAAGGGAACTGGCTTAACTGGATGGTCCCCTGTCCGAGCACTGGGCTAGGCCTTTTGTGTGCATAGTATCGTCTGCTGTTACCAAGAAATTAGTTATGCTTATCATCTGCATTTTACAGAAGAGGAGAACAAGGCTCAGAGAGGTTGATGACACCTGCCCAAGTTACCCAGATGGTAGGTGGCAGAGCTGGGATTTGAGATTCAGATAAGGCCTGGGACGCTCCCTGGCTGCCCACCGAGAGCAGGAATTTCTGTAGCATCTAGAAAGGCAGGAAGGTGAAAGAGGGGACAAGAGCTGGAGGGGGAGCAAATGGGTCCTACCTGAGACTTACCATCATCAGGTGCTGCCAGACCTGGCTTCTCTTCTATTCTGAGAACTGATATCCTGTGGCTGACTTACCAGGGTCGTCCTAGTCCCCCCGCACGGTATTGGGAGTGGAGGCAGCCCCACACGGAGGCGCTGGGAGACTTTCCTCCCAGCAGTGTCCTGTCACTGCATTCCGGCCCCTGCGTTTGTAGGCAGTGATGTCACAGAGTGCCTTCATGCTCCTCGGGTCTCCGGTTCTCCCCGGACCTCTGTAGTCCTCATTGCCAAAGTTGTACCCCCTGGGGAGTGCACCCTGCCTGCATTTCTGGAGGTTCGGGCGGTTCCGGGGCTCTGCAGGAGCCTCCAGGCGTGATAAAGAGCGCTGCCGGCACTCCCGGGGTCTCGGCCTCTTTGGGGCCCATTGCCAAGCCCCTTCCCTCCTCGTGCTCCCGCTCCGCGTTGCAGCGTCCCCTTCGCCGCCAGGGGCCGCCCGGAAGCGGGGCTCCCCCAGGGCGGGGCGGGGCAAGGGGCGGGGCGCGGCGGTACCTGGGCCGCCAGGGAGCCGGGGGTGGGCTCTCCGGGGACAGCCGGCAGCGCCCCCAGATCTGCACCGCCAGCCGCCGGGAGCTCCGGGCTCCGGGCGTAGAGGCTGCGCTGTCACATGGGCGGCGGCGACGGGGCCGCATTTAAGCGGCCGGGGGACGGCGCCCGCCTCCAGCGCGTCCTCGGGCTTGGCTCCCGCCGGGAGCCCCGTTCTCTGCCCGCCGGGGGCCCCGCGCCGCGCCGCACCGCGCCGCCCCCGCCGGGCCATGCGAGCGCGGGCCCCGCCGCGATGAGCTCGCACATCGCCAAAAGCGAGTCCAAGACGTCGCTGCTGAAGGCGGCGGCGGCGGCGGCGAGCGGGGGCAGCCGGGCTCCCCGCCACGGCCCTGCCCGGGACCCGGGGCTGCCTAGCCGCCGGCTACCCGGCTCCTGCCCGGCGACGCCGCAGTCGTCCGGGGACCCCAGTTCGCGGAGGCCCCTGTGCCGGCCGGCGCCGCGAGAGGAGGGCGCGCGGGGGAGCCAGCGTGTGCTCCCCCAGGCGCACTGCAGGCCCCGGGAGGCGCTGCCGGCCGCGGCGTCCCGACCTTCGCCGTCGTCGCCGCTGCCGCCGGCCCGCGGGCGGGATGGGGAGGAACGGGGACTGTCCCCGGCGCTCGGCCTCCGGGGCTCTCTGCGAGCCCGGGGCCGCGGGGACTCCGTTCCAGCCGCCGCGTCCGAGGCGGACCCGTTCCTCCACCGGCTGCGCCCCATGCTCAGCTCCGCCTTTGGCCAGGTAAGGGCCGCGCCTCCCGTCAGCGCTCCCGGGAAAGGCGCTCGGGACCCTGCCGGCCGCGGTTGCGCGTCCACAGCCTCCTCCCGCGGCCCGTGGTCCCCCACGGATCACGCCTCGGCTCACCTCGTCCTCCCCGGGCCGGCGCCCTTGCCGGCACTCCTCCTCCCCGTGCCTGATTCAGCACCCCGTGCGCTGTCCACGCTCCGGGCCTCTTGGGGCAAGGCCCTCCCCGCTAGCCTCCCTCATACCCGCCAGAACCCGCCAGTCCTGGAAGAGAGCGACCTCTACGACCGTCCTGGAGATTTGCGGGGGTCAAGGAGGGGCGCTCCGAGCAGGTGGCGCCAAACCCACTCCTCTGGCCTCTGGCCAGTACCGCCAGGGAGGGACTCAGGAGAGCAAGCGGTTTGGAGTCTGGGGGTCAAGAGAGGGGACCTCAGAGAACACAGAATTACTTGAGGGCGAGGGACACTGGCCACTGCCTATCATGTCCCTGAAGGCCTGAGAAAAGTTAGGAGATCCAAAAATATGAGGAAAGAGAAGAGGTGTCTGGGTAGGCATGGAGGGGCATGCAGAGCTGTGGCTCAAACTGGAACTTTGGGGTGGTTTAAGGAGGCTGTCACTCTAGGGATGCCATTGGAAGGGTGAGAAAGGCCACAAAGAGGTCATCAGTGGTTCCCTCAGGCCTTTCCCTCAAGAGTCCCAGGCACCTGGGAGCCTGCCCTTTAAAAGCAGCTCCGTAGTCACAATATAGGTCTACAGTTTGAGGCTGTGCTGCTGGGGAAACAGGCTCAGTAGAAGGAAACCTCTGAACTCCTGAGCAAAAAAGCCAGGGTTTCCCCTAGTTCGGAGTCTGTAATCAAGTCAAACTCATTGGCACAGCTTTGAGACAGTTCTGTGGCAGCCTCCGAGAGGTGTCATGCAGAGGTCTGATTAGAGCGTTTGCGTGGTTTGTAGGGAAACAGGGGGGGCTGTGCCTTTCTGTGCTGAGATCTAGCATAAAGAAGCTGTTTCAAGCTCCTGGCTTGCCACGCCGGATCAGAATTCCAAGGAGGCCCTGTGTGTTTTGCTTCAGATCTGCACATTTCTTTTCAAAATACTACTCGGCAGTGGCTGATGCTGGTGGAGGTCTGACATGAAGGCAGCCGCACATGGATTTGGGTTGCGTGGTGCTGCTGTGGTGGGGCCATAGGGCAGTGGTGTGTGGCTTTGTTCCTGCAGGGAGCCCTCGTTAGCCGAGTTAGCTGGAAACAGTTCTCTGGAGTAGAGATGTGGATGCAGAGCCGTGAGAGTTAGTGAGGCGATGTGTCAGGGGAGTTCACTGCAGTGCTTTGTGTTAATGAGGAGGTGTAGGCTGCCAGGGCACGAGTGGTCTTTGGATTGGGGCTGGGTTGCAGCAGGAATGCTGGGTTGTTGAATGGGTGATACCAATTCATTCATTTATCAATTATTTCTTGAGCATTTATTAAGGAAACCTTCAGGGGTTTCCTTAGTTCCTGTGGTTTGTTTGTTCAGACATTTGCTAGACACCAGGAAGACAACAGTGAACCAGATAGCCAGGGCCCTGGCTGTACCTAGCAGTTTGGAAGGGTAGGTCATTGGCCTAGAATCATACACTTTCTGGTTACTCAGTTTGCAGCTGATCTGACTCAGCTCCTGAAAAAAAAAAAAAAAAAGAGTCCTTTCTTTCCTGTCTTGCAGAATTTGCCTAC
This sequence comes from Homo sapiens, assembly GCF_000001405.40. Classification (NCBI taxonomy): domain Eukaryota; kingdom Metazoa; phylum Chordata; class Mammalia; order Primates; family Hominidae; genus Homo; species Homo sapiens. The sequence goes on from NC_000012.12 coordinate 120,643,049, forward strand.
ATGAGCCCTTTCTGAGCTCCGAGCATTGTAGCGACGTGCTTTTGTTTCTCCTTCTAATTTCTCAGTCATTAAGTGAATTCTCCGGCCCAATGTTCTGAAATGTCACCAGGGTCACCTGAGTCAGGAGGAGCTGGAAGTTCCCATCAAATATTTACTACCTCCCTGTGGAAGCTCTTGCCTCTCAGCTGCGGGCTTTTACTTTAAAGCCCAGCACATTCAGTTTGGGCTTCCATCTGACACCTCGAAGTCATCTACGTGAGCAACAACAGCAAACCCAGGCTGGGACTTTCGTGTCAGAGCCTCCAGTCTCCTGTGACAGAGAGGAATTAATCTTTTCTTCCCTTTTCTCCGTATTGAGATTTCTGTCCTTAGAGGCAGGGTCAGAACCAAGAGAAGGCAGATGGGGTTCTGAATACAGAAACTTTTAGTTAAGATCTGCTTAGAGAAAAATACAGCCCTGGGGAAGTATATTTTTCATGACTCCCCAAGTTTCATTTGTTTTTAACTTAAGTGAATTGCTTAACCTCATTAAGTCTATTTCTTTTTTAAAAAATATATTTTATAATAGAGACAGGGTCTCACTATGTTGCCCGGGCAGTCTGGAAATCCTGGGCTCAAGTGATCCACCTGTTTCAGCCTCCCAAAGTGCTGGGATGACAGGCATGAGCCACCGTGCTTGGCCAAGTCTATTTCTTTACCTGCAATGTAGGGATCATCAGGGTGCTTGGGAGATTAAATGAGATACGGAGAGATAGAGAGAGCTTGGCCCAGGCCTGGCACGGAGCCCTTGCTAACTCTATCAGTGTTAGTTATTCTTCTTCTTTGTTGTTATTGTTGATTAACTACCAAGGCCTTCTTCCTTTTCATTTGTAATAGTCTCAGAGAGCCAGTGTTCAGAATCACACTGAAGGCACAAAGATGAATTCCTACCTTAAAGGAAACAGGGATGAAAACTCTCCCAGTGACCTCATAGAGCATCCTTATTGCATATGCATGGAGACAGCGTGGTTTTGAGGCTAAGGTGTGGAATGGTGGCTTGGGAGACAGCAGAGATGCAAGTTCTAATCCTGGCTCTGTCACTTTCGATCTCTGTGTCCTTGGGCATGTTATTTTCTCTCTCTGGTCTTGGTTTCTTCATCCAGGAATGAGATTGACAAAAACTGCTTTGCAGTTATTAGGAGGCTTACACAAGATTAAGGATATCAAATGCCTGGCTCATAGTGAGTGCTGGATAAAGGGCAGCCTTCATTAATGTTATTGCTATTATTAATAGGGTAATTGAATGAGGGCCTGGGTAAGGTACTTTGAAAGCTGATTCTGAGCCAGGTGAGGATGGCTATTAAGGGAAGGAGCTGAATGTCAAAGGATCTTCCGTACTCCCTCTTTGTGGCCAGCTAAGGACATGCCACCCAGCTGTCTAGAGAAGATGTGATGTCAGAAATTAACTCGGCAGAGGCATGATGACATGGGGCTTTAGGTCTTGGAAGACTATTTTAAGAAACAGGCTTTCTGCTCCTTACCCTGAGCTTGAGAAGAAACATGCCTTGTGGAGGAGGCAAATGTGGATAAAACCCACAGCTCTGTCCCATCCTTCCCATTTTTCCAGCTGTAGAAACACGTCTCCTAATACAGATAGGCTATCCCTGTTCCCATACTGCTTTGCACATAGCAGGATCACAGTATTTAATGAATGAATGAATGAGTGAATGAATGGTATCACCAGCCTCCGGACTTCAGAGGCTTCCTTAGCTCCTGTGGTTTGTTTGTTTATTTTGAGACACAGTGTCACTCTGTCACCCAGACTAGAGTGCAGTGGTATGATCTTGGCTCACTGCAACCTCTGCCTCCAAGATTCAAGCCATTCACGTGCTTCAGCCTCCTGAATAGCTGGAATTACAGGTGCCTGCCACCGCACCTGGCTAATTTTTGTATTGTTAGTAGAGATGGAGTTTCACCACGTTGGCCAGGCTGGTCTCGAACTCCTGACCTCAAGTGATCCATCCGCCTCAACCTCCCAAAGTGCTGGGATTACAGGAGTGAGCTACCACGCCCGGCCAGTTCCTGTGGTTGAGATGGGGAGAGAGGCCATGGTGGTTTGGGTCATGGATTTAATTGCACTAAGCCTAGGTTCCTAAGATAGGGCTGTGTCTATTCCTCACTCCTACTCCAGTCATGTGTCTCCCTCCTTCTCTCTGAGAGGGCTTGGAGCCCCTATAGGCTTTCTCTGGGGCCTGGGGAGAGGGAAAGTGAGGGTCAGCTTGTGGTTAACATCAGCCACAGGTGATAGGAGTGGCTTGGAGTCAGTTCAGTGAGAGCCTCCAGGAGGTCAGCCTTTACCTCCAGCTGTTTTTGAGAGGCAACAATAGCACTTGAGGCCTCAGTCTAGAGCCCACTGCACAGTGGACAAAGTGTCTTCTTATCTTCACAGCTACCTGTGAAGGTTAGCATCATCAACTCCCCCCAACCCCACCACAACAATTTTAGAAATGAGGAAGGCTTGGCCAGGCACAGTGGCTCACACATGTAATCCCAGCACTTTGGGAAGCCAAGGTGGGTGGATCACTTGAGGTCAGGAGTTTGAGACCAGCCAGGCCAACACAGTGAGACCCATCTCTACTAAAAATACAAAAATTAGCTGGGTGTGGTGGTGGGCGCCTGTAACCCCAGCTACTCGGGAGGCTGAGGCATGAGAATTGCTTGAACCCAGGAGGTGGAGGTTGCAGTGAGCTGAGATTGTGCCTCTGCACTCCAGCCTGGGTGACGGAGGAAGACTCTGTCTGGAAAAAAAAGAAATGAGGAAGGCTCAAGAGAGAGGAAATGACTTGTCCAAAGGTCATATAGTAAGTACATGGCAGGGCCAGGTGTAGTGGTTCACATCTGTAATTGCAGCACTTTGGGAGGCCAAGTCAGGAGGATTGCTTGAGCCCAAGAGTTTGAGGCTGCAGTGAACTATGATTGCACCACTGTACTCTAGCCACAGTGACAGAGTGAGACCCTGTCTCTAAAAATAAGTAAATAAGTAGGTGGCAGGACTGTGCTGAGAATTGTGGTCTGCCTGCCTCCGAAAATACCTGCCTGTTCTGTGTGTGCCATGCTGCTTTGGTGGGAGGTCACATAAGTGTGTTCCCTGTTCGTCAGAAGCATCTGCAAAGCACCTCTCACGTTACAGTCCAGCTTTCCCTGAGTGTCTTAGTACCGGGCTGTCATCCAAGTTCAAAGGCTGGTGATAGTTCAAATGCTGGTGATAGAACTGACCAGCGCCAAAGGCCAGCCTCCCTTCTAATCAGGAATAATCAGCAATGAGTTTATCCTTCTCATCCCTCTGATCCTATCATTCCATTCCAGCACTCAAAGTAGGGCTTCCGGAGGCCCAAGGGCTGCTGCCACAGTGGATAGAGATGGGAGGTGAGGGCATACAACATGCTTCACTCCTTACAGGAAGCCCCCACCGTTCAGCCTTTTTTGTTTTTTGTTTTGTTTTGAAGAGACAAGGTCTTGCTCTGTCACCCAGGCTGGAGTGCAGGGTACAATCATAGCTCACTGCAGCCTCAAACTCCTGGGCTCAAGTGATCCTCCTGCCCTAGCCTCCTGAGTATCTATGACCAGGGGCACAGCTGCCATGCCTGGCTAATTTTAAAATTTTTAATAGAGATGGGGTCTTGCTATGTTGCCCAGGCTGGTCTTGAACTCCTGGCCTCAACTGATCCTCCCACCTCAGCCTCTTGAAGTGCTGGGATTACAGGCATAAGCCGCCATACCCAGCTGTTCAGCCCTTTTAAAATTTCCTACTGAAGGCTGAGCCCTCTGTCCCTCCTGCCTATCTGCCCGGCTCAAGTTAGCTTAAGTAAGCTTTAAAGCACGTCGAAATCCCTGGATCCCTTGCTATCCTCAAACCTCAAGGTAGTATCAGCTCCTGCACCTGCCCCCAAAGCAGGATGGGATTTCTTCAAAGTGTGTGATTTTTCCATAGGGACCAGGTTTTGCCGGCTCCTGTCTCCTGTTTCCAACGACAGAGGCATATCCCAAGGTCGACAAGTGGGTGCTATGCCCGGACTGGCCTGCAGGGGGCAGGAACCACCAGATTTGACTGAGTTGATGCCCTGCTGAATAAATGGATGCCACGCTTGGCCCTTTAATACCAATGCTGGGCAGGGGAAGACGGCGCTTTCTAGATGCTTGGCACAGTGCCAAGCCCTTTGCATGTATTATCTCATTAGCTCCTCACAAGAGCCCTGTGGGAGGTGCTATTAGAATCCCTATTTTATAAATGAAGAAACTGAAGCCGAGAAAGATCAACATGTCCTCTAGGCCACATGGTTACTGAGCAGCAGACAAGATTTTTTTTTTTTTTTTAAATAGAGATGAGGTCTCACTATGTTGTCCAGGCTGGTCTCGAACTCCTGGGCTCAATGATCCTCCTGCCTTGGCCTCCAAGGATTACAGGTGTGAGCCACCATGCCCGGCCCAGGATATGATTTGAATCCAAGTCAGCGTGACTCCTCAGTCCAAGCCTTTTTTTTTTTTTTTTTTTTTTTTTGAGATGAAGTCTCACTCTGTCGCTCAGCCTGGAGTGCAATGACGCGATCTCGACTCACTGCAATCTCCGCCTCCCGGGTTCAAGGGATTCTCTTGCCTCAGCCTCTCGAGTAGCGGCGACTGCAGGCACCTGCCACCACGCCCAGCTAACTTTTGTATTTTTTTTTTTTTTTTTTTAGTAGAGACAGCGTTTCACCACGTTGGCCAGGCTGGCCTCGAACTCCTGACCTCAGGTGATCCACCTGCCTATGCCTCCCAAAGTGCTGGGATTACAGGTGTGAGCCACCACGCCCCGCCCCAAGCTCTTAGCCTCTACATCAGTGCTTCCCAACACTGGCTGCAGGTTAGAATTACCTGGGAGTACTAAGCAACACCAATGCCCAGTGCCCATTGGAGACAGAATTAAGTTAGAATTTCTGGGGAAGCTCCCCAGTTATGCCAGTCTACAGCCAGCATTGAGAATCTCTGCTTTATGCTGTGCTGTTTTGGCCTTTACATATATCCACCCATTCATACCTGGACCTTAACCTGAGCTTCCCTCTGGGGTCCCTAGTGAGCACTATTGTTTCAAAGGAACCTACATATGGTCTATTTTCTAGATTTTGCCTGCAAGTCTTTCCTGATCCCCTAGACTCAGACAGATTCCCCTCACTCACATTCCCAGAGTTTTTGTGTTTTCCCTTCATAGCATTTATCTGAAATGTAATCAGATAACTGTGTCCCAGCTCTAATATCTCCTGCCCACCTGCTAGAATGTAAGCGTCCTGAAATCAGGAACTGTGTTTCTCTTATCCCCCAACAACGTTCCCAGAGCCAAGCACGGTGCCTGACATTTCTCCACTGGACAAGTGATACTTCTTTCTTCCATTTAAATAATTACTGATCCAGTAGCTATTCGGTGTCTTACACTTTCTCATGTATGCTATATAAGCAAGCTAGGAAAAGCCCCATTTTTCCAGTGGCGGAAACTGAAGTTCAGGAATGGGAGGCAGCCACCCAGTCAGAAGCTGGCAGCGCTGGGCATGGTGTCTCATGTCTGTAATCCCAGCACTTCGGGAGGCCAAGGCAGGTGGATCACCTGAGGTCAGGAGTTCAAGAGTAGCCTGTTCAACATGGTGAAACCCCATCTCTACTAAAAATACAAAAATTAGCCAGGCATGAAGTTGTGCGTCTGTAATCCTAGCTACTCGGGAGGCTGAGCCAGGAGAATCGCTTCAACCCAGGAGGCAGAGGTTGCAGTGAGCTGAGATTGCGGCACTGCACTCCAGCCTGGGCAACAGAGCAAGACACTGTCTAAAAAAAAAAAAAAAAGAAGCTGGCAGAGCTAGACTCAACCCCAGACCTCCCCGTCCTTCCCATTCATTGGAGTCCACTGACCCCTGCCTGGGCCTGCTTCCTTCATGCTGTTTCCAGGAGACACGCATCATCACCCTCTTTTCTGTTCTTTAGTCATCAATACCCGCCCCCCAGGCTCCTCCTCCTCCATCTCCCCCTCCAGAGGTTTGGCCCAAACAAGGCTGCTGAGTAACTCCCCTGATTAAACCATTGCGTGGTTGTCAGCAGCAGCACCGGGGAGGTCCAGGAGTTATCCAGGGACCTCCTTCCCAGCTCCCTAGGAGTGAGCACCCTCTGGGCAGCGCCCCCACCCATCTTCCTAACAGGAGTTCTGAGCAGCCCCCCCACACGGGAGAAAAGTTCCTGGGAAAGGAGGCTCTCCGGGCTGAAAACTGAGCTAGCGTGCAAGAATGGGCTTGGGAGGAGTTCTGCTTCCAGTCTATCTCTGGTGCCCCCTGCTGGAAAAAGCTGGGTGCAGGAAACAGGGACACTTGCACGCGGGGAATCTGGCTGGGGCTGTAGGTCTCAAACCGGACATCTGAGGCGTGAGATGAATTCATATCAAAGCCGACCCTGGAGGGACGAGGAAGAGCCAGTCATCTAAAAAGCTCCAGCTGTGGGACCTCGAAGAGCGCTTCGTAAAGGGCTTCTTCTCTGCCCGGCACCCCAAGGAAGCTGGGGAGAGGTCTTTGCTGTGGATGAGGCAGGGGGCGAGGAGGAGGAGGTTCAGAGACCTTTTGCTCATGCCCTCTCTGCCTGCGCTGCCTCCGTCATGCTCCCCTCGGGGCCATCTCCTGGTTTCCTTCGGGTCAGAGAAATTGCACACAGAGCAGAAGGATCTGATCTGACTGTTGGCTCATCTGCACTGCCGGCCCCCGAGCCTCGTCCCATTTCAGTGACAAGGCAAGTGTGAAAAATGGAGCATGATGGAGGCGTCACCAGACCTCCCAGGCTCTCGACTGGAGCCGCAGCTCTCAATGCAGCTGGAATTGCCAGGGGCAGTGAGTGCTTGTCCAGCTCACTGCTCTTTGGAAGGGGCATTCATCTCCCTGAGCGCTTGTGTGTGCATGCATGTGTGTGTGTGTTTGTGCGCGCGTGTGTGTGTGCATGCACGTTTGTGTGTGTGTGTGTGCGCGCGCGCACACACACAAGGCTGGGAGCTGTGCGGCAGGCACCCTGGCTTCGGGAACCCAAACTAGCCAGCTTCCCTTTCTGGGCCTGCTGGCCTAATTCCCAGCCGCAGCTGCCATTCTGGGCCCCCCTCCCTGAGGCCATCTCCCTGCAGATTTGGCAGCGGGGAAAGGAGGGGCCGAGAGAAGGGGAGAGAACCAGAGACAGGACTGAGCGCTAATCTGATGTAGATGATCCGGCAGCCTTCTCCAGCTTGGTTCCCCTCTGCCATCAGCTCTCCAGGTGACTTTCCCTGTGCCCTGCACTCTCCCCTTCTGCTTTCATCTCCTTAAGAAAGTGCCCAGAAAGTTAAACCCACACACAAACACACACACAATCCACCCAAAAAAAAAAAAAATCGGAGAGCAGGAGCAGGCAGACGAGTAAGAGAGCACGCGCGCAAGAGAGGGCTCACATCCGTCCTGGAGGAAGAACGGCACAGACGGAGGGAGGCTGGGGTTGGCAGAGACTGGGACGGAAGTCCCTCAGTCCCCCAGGAGCCTCCTTCATGGACCCGGGGATCCCAAGAGGGGCTGCCTCAACTTAGGATGGGCAACTGTGTCAAGTATCCACTGAGAAATCTCTCAAGGAAGGTATGTTTTTGGAGTTTCCAAGATCTGGGGCTGGGGATTGGGGGTATCTCACCATCTGTCTCAGAGGTTGGGCACAGAAAGGGTGGCTGGAGCTTGCTATCCTTCCCAGGGGTTCTGTCCAGGGCTGCCTCCCTGCTTCTACCCCAAACACCCTCCTATTGCCGTTTTCTGTGTCCCAGGCTTTGGGCATGGCGGTCGGGGTGAAACTGTGTTTGGGAATTTGCACAAGGCTTAGGAAAGAAACTGTGTAGCTTTGGGGTTTCTAGGATGTAAAATGAAAAGGGTGGATCCTTAAGATGTCAGTGAACTTGACTGGCACCTCAGTCATTCAAGGGACTGGCCAAGTCCCTTAAAACCGGCAGAATCTGAAGACCCTTCCCAGCAGCAAGGGCAGGGACTCGTTCATATCCTTTGAGGGTCTGTGAGCCTCTCTGATGGCCTCTAAGCCTTCAGAATTGTGGATTTTGAAGTAGATCCCATTGCTACTGAAAGGAACCAAACAACAATAATTCTTCCCCAATAATTCTTGAGTTAAGTCAGAGTATCTCAAATAGGACCCGAGTGGTTTTAGGGCCCAGGAGTTTTTCCATTAAGAAGTAGGCTGCCCGGGTGATGTGTTGAGCAGGGGTTGCATGTAAGTCACTTTCTGTGGTGGCTTTATCGCCATACACTTGGATTTGTTTTTGTTTTTGCAAAAATTCCTTTTAGAAAGAACATGATCATCTCTAAAGCATCTTTCATGCAAGGCTGGGTTTGCACCTATAGGGTTTTGGGTTAGGTGGGCTCTGCGTATTTTTCTAGCCCTCTGTTGCCAGGCCATAGAAGAGACTCAGGTATTATTTAAAGGAAGAGGGAATGATGGCGTTGTTTTCCTCCAATTCTTCCATTTTCCAGACAAGGAACTTGATTGACATTCAGAGGGAGGGGTTAAGTGACTTACCTATGGCCTCGGGTGAGCTATTGGCGTCTGTATCCCCAACCCCATCCTATCTTGGTCAGTTTACCAGCCTCTCAATTTAGGACACTTTGGGCTTTTCTGCCTGTCGTCTTCCTCATTTGGCTAAGCTGCTCACATCAAATTCCTTCTAATCTTTGCTGTTCCTTAGATCCTTCCAAGGGCTTGTTGTTTCTTCCATGCACGCCTCCCCCATAATCTGGTATCTTCTTAGGGGAGTCTTCTGCATCGGAAGTGCCCTCCGCGCTGTCCCAGAGAAGCAGAAAGTGATCTGAATTAGCCCTTGTAATAGGTTCCATCCAGAGCTTGAGGAAGTGAACTTAAGAACAAGGATTATCCTTCTGTCCCACCCATCTTCCCTTACACAACAGCATGCTTAAGAGTCAGATTACACAGGCCTCCTCTTTCTGGCCATGTGACCTTAGACAGATTACTTAACCTCTCTGTTCCTCGATTCCCTTGTCCATCCATCAATTGGGCATACTAATATCCACCTCTTAAGGTGATTCTGGGAATGAAATAAAGTGCTGTGCACAGTGCCTGGCCTATAGTAGTCAATAAATGTTAGTATTCTTGTCATCATAACCATAATTGTTCCACTCTGGGTTTTAGAGAAGCGGGATGGAGGAGAAACAGGAAATAGGAGAGATTTTCAGTCCACAGAGTAAAAGATAAAAAAACTTACTGCAGTCAATTTCGTGTTTCTATCATAGTATTAATAATTGCTTTTTTTTTTTTCTAAATATCTGCAACATACCTAATGTCTGTTATCTCATTTTCTCTTTTCCGCTACATAGTTCTTTTGGCTGTTTTATAGAGAAAGAAGCTGGACTCAGAGATAGAGCCTTCCTAAGGTTACACAGTCGATAGGAAGCAGAGCTGGGATTTAAACCCTGGTCTGTGTAAAATCAGAGCTGGCATTTTATTTTTATTTTTTCCTCTACGAGAGGCTGCCTCTCTCTTTCCCCTGCTGTCAGAAATGTTATTCATAGATTTCTGGATCTGACCTTAGAAGTCGTCTAGTCCAAATTCCCGCTCAGCGCATCAGTCCCCTCCCCGCTCACCAGGCACTCCCTCATTCGGCTTCTCCTTGAAGACATTCATTCGGCAAGAGGGAGCTTTGATGTGCATACTCTTGGCCAGCTTGTATTATTAGAAAGCTGTTAGGTCATGAGGCACACTTGCCCCTCCTGTTGCCATGCCACACTTAGGAGACGTTGCCTTGGTGCCAGGAGAAATTGTCGGTCCATGGGTTGCTGCCCACTTGGCTTCCTGAGCGGTATCTGGGGAACTGGAAATGGTGAGAGGCAGCCTGCACCAGGCTCAGAGCTGGGCAGGACCAGGCTGTCAGGTGCCATCATTGGCCAGAAAAGAATTGCAGCCTCTGGGGCAACTTGGTGTTAGGCAGTATTATGATCAAGAGATGCAGTGGAAATTCCCCAGCTACCACTCTCCATTCTTCATGGGAGCAAATTCCTCTCCATCCTTCTCATTTCTTTCCTGATTGGCAGATGCTCCCCCACTTCCTCTGCAGCCAGAAGTAAATGCCTTCTGGCACCCAGCATCTCTTAAATTACATCACTGCCACCACCATCATCATCGCCATCATTGCCATCACTATGGCAACTCTATTTATTCACCTCCTCTTGCCATGCCCTAGCCACCATGCAGAGCACTTTATGTGTATAACTCATTACTTGTCGCAGGAATCCTGTGACTAGTCATGAGCATCTCCCACAGTATGGAGAAGGAAGCTGGAGCACAGAGAGGTGAAATGACCTGCCCAAGGTCACACAGCAAGCAAGTGGCAGAGCCAGAATTTGTCCCTAAGACTGTTTGAGCCCAAAGCCAGCAGGCTAAACTGCCTTTTAAAGTTTTGTTTTGTTTTGTTTTGTTTTTTGTTTTTTTGTGGTTTTGAGATGGAGTCTCGCTCTGTTACCCAAGCTGGAGTGCAGTGGCGCATCTCGGCTCACTGAAGCCTCTGCCTCCTGGGTTCAGTGATTTTCCTGCCTCAGCTTCCCAAGTAGCTGGGATTATGGGTGCCCGCCACCACACGCGGCTAATTTTTGTATTTTTAGTACAGACGGGGTTTCGCCATGTTGGCAGGCTGGTCTTGAACTCCCAACTTCAGGTCATCCACCCGCCTCGGCCTCCCAAAGTGCTGGGATGACAGGCATGAGCCACCACGCCCGGCCCGCCTCTTGGAGTTCTGTGCCACCTGCTACCTCCCTGCCTTCCTGGGTTATGCTATCTCTGAGCCAAGTGCAGAAGATTCAGCCAGAAACAAAAATGCTGACTCTCTGCAGACATCTCCTGAGACTGGTTCCTGGGGTTCGGCCAGTCACTGTTATCTCAGGCATGCTTTGATCCACTCTCCCAGATGGGAAGGTCTCTCTTGTTCTGCCTCGCTCTAGTCTTGCCTCGCTCTAGTCTAGGTCCCAGAAGTCTGAGTGAGTGAAGCCGAGGCTCTGAATCACAACTCTTTGGGATATCAAACCAGGAGGGGCTCTTGGCCTGTCTGACATCCCTCAAGTTTTGGGATCACCTAAAACAGACATTTATTGCACTCATCAAACTTGACCCTGGGACTGAGTTCCTTCACCTCCAGCCTGAGTAGCTGCTTCCTCTTTGAGGAACCGGAATACTGCACCACCCTCTCTAGGCCTGGAAGGGGCTTAGGAAGTTGGAAGGGAGTCTCGGTCTGTAGTCCCACAGGGCTTTGGGGAGAGGAAGCAGGAGAGGACACGGTGGGCAGGGGGTTGTTCTGAGTCTCAACCTGGAAGGACAGGCTGCCCCTGGGTCTTGGGATGTTCTCCTAAGCAGGGCCTTCTTTGCCCTGGAGGAATCTGACTGCAAGTAGAATGCAGTAGGATGGAAGGATAGGGTGCGCAGACCTGCACTTCTCAGACAAAGAGCCCTCAGGGTTTCAGCTCCTGTCGCTCCTTGGGAAGGTCCTACTCTAGCTAAATCCCCCCACATTGAAGGAAGGTATGTAAGCTCCAGGCCGAAGGCAGAGTGCAGGCCGAAGGCAGAGTGCAGGCCGAAGGCAGAGTGCAGGCCGAAGGCAGAGTGCAGGAGCTGGATTCTGTAGAGGCACTGGGCATCCCGGGAGGCTGGGGAGAACTGAATGTTGTGTCTGGAAGCTGCTGTTGTCCTAAGGGGAAGGTCTGTGGGCAGTGCGGACTTTTTATAGCCGCATGGGAACCTTCAGGGCGGAGGATCGGCTGGTCAGGGCCTGGGAGCACAGCTATATTAGGTAAGCAGAGAAGGGCCCTGCCTTAGCCTCTAGAGGTCCGGCACTCTGGGCCAGGCAGGGAGCCAGGGAAGGCGGGAGGGAGGAAAAGGAGAACTGGTGGATGGCAGAGAGTGTCTAGTCTTGAAATCACAAACTGGGTGGAATCCTACCTACAGATGTGCCTTGTGTGGCCCACCCGGTGCTTTAAATCAGATCTGGTTACACTGGGCTGGAGTTAAGTAGTGCTACCTCTTCAGAGGGGTCACCATCTCAGGCTAGGTGCGGTGGCTCACGCCTGTAATCCCAGCACTTTGGGAGGCTGAGGCAGGAGGATCACCTGAGATCAGGAGTTCGAGACCACCCTGGCCAACATGGTGAAACCCCATCTCTGCTGAAAATACGGAAAAAAAAATTAGCCAGTGTGGTGGTGGGTGCCTGTAAACCAAGCTACTCAGGAGGCTGAGGCAGGAGAATCACTTGAATCCGGGAGTCAGAGGTTGCAGTGAGCCAAGATCACGCCACTGCACTCCAGCCTGGGCGACAGAGTGCACTAGCCACACACGAAAAAGGAGGGGGCATGTTTCCACTTTGCCCCAGTCCCCACCTCTCACACCCTGCCTGCTTCATTTATGTCAGCAATGGCACCTGCATGTGCAACCTCTGGTCTGGCAGACCAGCCAAGCCTGGTCTCCATGCTGCCAGCTCCGATTGCCCTCACTGCCTTCCAGCGGGGATCTGGCTGGAGTAGGACAAGTCTGTTTGGGAGCTGGGAGGAATGACTTAGCCCTGGAGATTGACTGAATTGGGAGGTTGGGAGCATTTTGGGAAAGGATGTTGTCTCATTAGGCTCTGAGTGAACACTTCCCATTGGTGAGAATAGAAGCCCCCCGCTGCCCCTGTCTCTTCATGCACTTGGGTGTGTGATTCTGTGCATATGTATGTGCCAGTGCGTGCGTGCGTGTGTGTGTGTGTGTGTGTGCGCATGTGCCACACAGAGGGCATCACATTCAGCTCTCCCCGGAACCACCATTTCCGTCAAGGATTGGAGACTCTGTCTGTTGGACCAATTTGATGCCTGTGCACGCTCAGGGCTCTCTGAACCCCGCTCCTTGACTCTCAGGGTCCCCTCTTGCGGAAAGCCCCTCCCGGGACCAGGAGCCAGGCTGGGCAGGGAGGTGACACCCTGCCTCTCTTTTGCATTTGCTTGGTGCTGGCTGAAGATGTGCCAGGAGGAACAGACCAGCTACATGGTGGTGCAGACGAGCGAGGAGGGGCTGGCGGCTGACGCCGAGCTCCCGGGACCGCTCCTGATGCTGGCCCAGAACTGCGCAGTCATGCACAACCTGCTGGGCCCTGCCTGCATTTTCCTGCGCAAGGGCTTCGCTGAGAACAGGCAGCCTGTACGTAAGTTGGCCCAGTGGAGCCCGCTGAACTTGGCTTCACAGGGCGTGAGGAGGTGCTGGGATGAAGAAGGGGTCTATACAGAGCTCACACCCCCAACTTATGAATCTGATCCCCAAAGTTTTCCACTCATGGCTACAAAGTGCTGGTGAGTCCATATCCACGAGCAAAATAATGATGATGATAATAATAATAATAATATCAGATACATTGTTTTGAGCACTTACTAGGTGAGCACTGTGCCTAGTGTGTTGGCGGATTGCCTCATTTAAGCCTCAGAGCAGCTCTAAGAGGTAGGTGCTTTTATCATCCCCATTTTACAGATGAGAAAACTGACTTGGGCTGGGCGCAGCGGCTCACGCCTGTAATCCCAGCACTTTGGGAGGCCGAGGTAGGTGGATCACTTGAGGTCAGGAGTTTGAGACCACCCTGGCCAACATGGTGAAACCCCATCTCTACTAAAATACAAAAATTAGCTAGGCATGGTGGCGGGTGCCTGTAATCCCAGCTACTCAAGAGGCTGAGGCAGGAGAATCGCTTGAACCCAGGAGGCAGAGGTTGCAGTGAGCCAAGGTCGCGCCATGGCACTCCAGCCTGGGTGACAGAGTAAGACTCCAACTCAAAAAAGAAAGAAAGAAAGAAAACTGGAGTGCAGAGGTCACATGCTCGAGGTAACAGCTTGTTGGTGGTAGAGGTAGGATTCACACTTGGATAGCCTGACTCAAGAGCCTCTTGTGCTCCTAATGACAACTCTGTATACGTGGCACTGTCCGGTAGAACTTTCTACAGTGATGGAAATATTCTAAATTCCGTGCTGTCCGATACAGTAGCCACTAGCCACATGTGGCTATTGACCACTTGAAATGTGGCTAGTGCAACTAAGGAACTGAATTATGGATTTTATGTTATTCTTACTCAAATTTACATAGCCACATGTGGCTAGCGGCTAGTGAATTGGCCAGCTTTCTACAAGTAGCTAAATAGTTCAAAGAGAGGAGAGGACTAATGAGGATGTTATAGAGGTAAACATTTGTAGGTTGCATTTATTGAATGCCACATGCTAAACACTTTAATATCTTGTCTCACTGAATGCACACTAAGGCCCTGTGAGGTGGGTACTGGTATTAACCCATTTTACAGATGAGGAGACTGTGGCTCAAACAGCAGAGTGACCTGCCTGAGGAAGTAGATCTGAGCTTCATACTCAGGTCTGTCTGCCTCTAGAGTCCAAGTGCGTCTCCCCAGCCACATGTACTGGGGAGAAAGGCGTGTTCCTGCACCCCATTCCACCTGACCCTGAGTTGCTGCACGTGATCTTCCTGGCACATTAGTGGGCATCCCTGGCTCTACTCCAGGGCAGAGAACACACATAGCTACTGCTGTGCATGGGGTGTGTGATCCAAGGACCAGCCATCAGTGCTCAGCAGACCAGCTCTGGTGGCGGGCACACTCCGTGAAGGGGCACCTGGCTTTGCTGCCCCCGGGGCTTTGGGTGTACAGGAGGAACGGAAGGGGCTGCCATGGGGTCAGCAATGCCTGTTCCTCCCGAGTCCTGCAGAACTGGGCCTTGGAGAAGTGGGAGGCTGCTTAAGGCCTGATGCGTGGGAAAGGATTTATTGGGTCTCAGTAGCTGGTCCTAGGGCGTGTGCTCTGCATGTATGTGTACACACGTGTGCTTACTCACTCGCTTTCACAGACTGCTGGTATGACCCATTGCACAAAACATCCTTTTTGGTCACCCAAAAACATCTACGAACATATGGGTTTGTGTTGGAATGGCTGTGACCTACCCTTAAGCCAGGCACCATCACCAGCTTTTTTTTTTTTTTTTTTTTTTTGAGACAGAGTCTCACTCTCTTGTCCAGGTGGAAGTGCAGTGGTGCAATCTTGGATCACTGCAATCTCTGCCTCCCAGGCTCAAGTGATTCTCCTGCCTCAGCCTCCCGAGTAGCTGGGACTACAGGCGTGAACCACCATGCTTGGCTAACTAAAACAAGGTTTTTTGGTAGAGACGAGGTCTCACTATATCGCCCAGGCTGGTCTCGAACTCCTGGCTTCAAGTGATCCCCTCGCCTTGGCCTCGTAAAGTGCTAGGATTACAGGCGTGGACCACCGTGCCTGGCCCATAGCGAGCTTTTTAGGTGAACGTCCATGCAGTCATCTCAGAGACACGCCTCCCTATGGGTGACTCCTACCCCCAGCCTGGCGGAGCTGGGAGCTTGCAGCCTGCTCCCTCCAAGCTCACACACACTCTCAACGCTGTCCTGCCACACAGAGCTACCTCTGAGCTCTTGGTCCTATGCACCTGGTTGTCCCATGAGATGTGACTCAGCAGCCCTTCCCTTTCTAGATGATCTGCAGATTTTCTGGTGTTGTCGTCTTTTGTCCTGGGGCCAGTTTGGAGTGGCTGTCTCTACTCATCCTGGCCCCGTTGGCTGGAACGGCCTGCATGCACAGTGGAGGTGCCACACGCTCACTGTGGCATGCCTGCGTGTCTGTGTTCGTGGGAGGTATGGCCATACCTGTGTGAGCCTCTTCAGGACGGGCACACCTGCCTGGTGTCCTCCCTGCCCAAAGGCAAAGAGCTGCAACATGCGGGAGGCTGGACGCTGAAGGCCACTTTTGGAGTCTACTAACCAGGTCCAGCTGGGCACCTGTATCCATTTCATGCCAGTCTATCTCCCTCCTGGGCAGGCCCAGGGCAACTGGCAGCTCACCAACCTGAGCTTCCTCCAGGCCTGCTCCTTGGAGATGTCTCTGCCATCTGTTCTGACGCCTAGATTCAGGGTTGCCTTGATTGCCCAGGAGACCTGGGCACTGCTTGAGGCTGGAGACATGTGCTTTTTGGACCCTGGCTCCAGCCAGAAGCACTGGTGGCCCCCGGGGTCCTATGTGGTGTCCTGTGATCCCATGACAGGGGAACGTACAGGGATGGGGGTCAAATTGGAGAAGGTGGGGCAGTGCCCGCGAAGCAGTCACAGCCCCATTCTGTTGCCACGTCTCCTCCTGACTCCTCCCTGTCCTCCTACCCTCGCTTCAGGATGGCCCTGCCTTCCCTCCCCTCCTGCGCCTCTTCTGTTGTCTTGCAGCCTCTGTCGCCCTGCTCTTCCTGTTTCATTGGGTGGTGCTCTCTTTTCCCTGTTGTGACCTCCCTGGACTCTGTTTTATTTGCAGGTTTTTGCCACCAGGCAAGCTCTGTTCTCTGACTCATTCTTTTTTTGTTTTTTTTTTTTGAGACAGGGTCTCACTCTGTTGTCCAGGGTGACAGAGTGCAATGGCACCATCATAGCTCACTACAGCCTCAAACTCCTGCTGACCCATTCTTGTATCTGGAACAAGGGGCTGGAGGCACAGAGGTTCTGTGCCCAGGCTGGTGGGGCTGGTGGCTTCTTGGGCATCTCCTGTTAGGGGCCCAGGAGCTTCTATGTCTAAGGGAGATGTGGGGCTTTCTTCTCCCCTCAAGGACCTGATCCAGGCACACCTGTGCTGCATCCTCGTCACCTCCTACCCAGTGCCTGCTGCCACGTGGATGGCCCCCAGGTTAGGTATTTTGTGACTTCCAGGTCCCTTGTCGCGGCTAATAGGACATGTTCTTTTGTTTCAGGATAGATCACTGCGACCAGAGGAAATTGAAGGTAAAACTTGGCCCCTTGGGGGAAAGGACTGCCTAGCCCTCTAGGAAGGTGTGGGAAGGGAGGTTGATGGGAAGAGAGGCCCCTGGAAATGGGGCCTGGTGCAACGCGGGGTATCTTCTGTGAAACCAGCTGCTGAAGGTGTGCACAGGAGGCAAGAGAAATGCCCCAGCATCCTGGGAAGCTCCTGGGCCTCTCTTTCCATGCCGGTGGGCCTTTGGGCTGCCTTTGCCCACAGAGGCTCTGCGGGTCCTACCCCTGACCACATCCACCTTTGCTCACTTCCCCAGAGCTCCGAGAGGCCTTCAGAGAATTCGACAAGGACAAGGATGGCTACATCAACTGCCGGGATCTGGGCAACTGCATGCGCACCATGGGCTACATGCCCACCGAGATGGAGCTCATCGAACTGTCCCAGCAGATCAACATGAACCGTGAGTCCCTCTACCAGGCATCTGCGTCCCTTCGGTCCTCACCCTTGCCGTCCTCTGCAGTCAGACAGGACTGGCTTCAAATTCTGCATCCACCTCTTACCAGCTCTGTGATCTGGGGCCAACCACTTACCCTCTCTGAGCCTCAGTTTCCTCACCTGTAAAATGAGGGCCGAATTGGAGGAGTGGAGCCCAGAAAGTAGATTAGGGAATATCTGTAAAACAGCCCAATAACTGGCTCACAGGAAGAACTGAACAGAGGGCTCTTGTTATTATTAAGTTTGTCTCTATCTGATGAGCAGGTCAAGGAGGGGTTGTCCATTCTGTCAGTTGTCTAGTTGGAGACAGGGAATGGGTATGTCGGGGATGACCTAGCCCTTTCCTCCTTTTCCAGTGGGTGGCCATGTAGATTTTGATGACTTCGTGGAGCTAATGGGGCCTAAACTCCTGGCAGAGACAGCAGATATGATTGGTGTAAAGGAACTGCGAGATGCTTTCCGAGAGGTAACGGACAGAGGCAGGCAGGCATGGGGCGGCTATTGGAATCCTATCTGCAGTATAAATACTTCAAAAGAAGCCTGAGCCTCAAGTCCCAGATCAGGGGAGGGAGCTTGGACAGAGAAAGGTCTCTGGTAAAGGGGGGCAATGACACTGGAGAAGGAGCTCAACTTTGGGATCTGCTGCTGCCAATCGCCATGCTGGGGCGACCTCTCCTTCCTTCCTGCCTTCTCTAGTTTGACACCAATGGTGATGGGGAAATAAGCACCAGTGAGCTGCGAGAGGCTATGAGGAAGCTCCTGGGTCATCAGGTGGGACACCGAGACATAGAGGAAATTATCCGAGATGTGGACCTCAATGGGGATGGACGAGTGGACTTTGAAGGTAGGTGGGGCTTGAAAGTGGGAGAGAAGCAAGCCAGCAGTGGCCATCCATGGAGCCCTCCAATTGTGTATCCATCATGCAACCATCAATCCGCCCTAATTTTCCAACCCCCAGCCCTTTCATCCTCTTATCCCTCCGTCCATGCCCCCGTCTAATCCATCTCCCATCCCTTCCCCATGCATCTATTCATGCATCTGTCCATCCATCTATCCATCCTCTACCTTTCCATTCATCTGTCCATTTATCCATCCATTCATCTACCTATCTATCCATCTGTCCACCATCCATCCATCCATCCATTTATCTACCCATCTATCCATCCATCCATCCTCTACCTATCCATCCATCTGTCCATTTATCCATTCATCCATTCATCTACCTATCTATCTATCTGTCCATCATCCATCCATCCATTTATCCATCCATCCATCCGTCCATCCATTCGTCTACATATCTATCCATCCATCCATCCATCCATCCACCTATCCATCCATCTGTCCATCCATTCATCTACCTATTCATCTATCTGTCCATCTTTCCATATCTATCTCTCCATTTTTCATCTGTTTATCTCCTTATCTGTCCAGATGCCTATTTATCCATTCCTCCATCTCTAAGCAATCATTCCTATAGCAATTTATCCATGCATTTATCTGTCCATTCGTGCATCTATTCATTCTTCTCTACATTCACCCATGAATCTATCTATGTATTCATCTACTCATATAGATCTCTCTATGTGTTCACACTTCTATACTTCCATTCACACATTCATGTCTCTTCGTCTGCATATACTTCTACCCATACTTGCATTGATCTATCCATCTATCTGTTCAGTCATTTCCTCATCTATATCCATCTACTCATCCATTCACCCATCCCTGTGTCCATCTGCACCCATCCTTCTCTATCCATTTATCTGTCTACCCACGCATGCATCCATCCACGGTAGGTGTTTTCTGAACATTACATTCCTCAACTGGACACTCAGGCTCCCTAAGATCTGACCACAGCTCACCTCCCCAGCCACAACTCAACAGTCCTTCATTCACACTCCACCAAAATACTTGTGATCAGTGAAGCTGCTAGGGTCCCTCTTGAATACACTGATCTTTTTGCCAGGAGGGCTTTTTTGTTGTTGTTTGTTTGTTTGTTTGTTTGAGACAGAGTCTCACTCTGTTGCCCAGGCTGGAGTGTGGTGGCAGGATCTTGGCTCACTGCAAACTGCGCCTCCCAGATTCAAGTGATTCTCCTGCCTCAGCTTCCCAAGTAGCTGGGATTACAGGCGCCCACCACCATGCCCGGCTAATTTTTGTATTTTCAGTTGAGACGGGGTTTCACCATGTTGACCAGGCTAGTCTTGAACTCCTGACCTCAAGTGATCCACCCGCCTCGGCCTCCCAAAGTGCTGGGATTACAGGCGTGAGCCACTGTGCCTGGCCACCAGGAGGGCTTTTATCCTGTTCTTTTTTTTTTTTTTTTTGAGACAAAGTCTCGCTCTTGTACTCCAGGCTGGAGTGCAATGGCACGATCTCAGCTCACTGCAACCTCTGCCTCCTGGATTCAAGCGATTCTCCTGCCTCAGCCTCCCGAATAGCTGGGATTACAGGCGCCTACCACCACGTCCAGCTAGTTTTTGTATTTTCAGTAGAGATGGGGTTTCACTATGTTGGCCAGGCTGGTCTGGAACTCCTGAACTCAGGTGATCCACCCGCCTTGGCCTCCCAAAGTGCTGGGATTATAGGTGTGAGCCACTGCATCTGGCCTATCCTGTTTTTTACTTGGGCTAAGTTCTGTTAGCCCAAGGGACATTCTTCATGACTCGACAGTGGGACTCCTTCTTCTAGCACCCTTCCCTGGTTCCTCAAACTGAACTTCCTCTTTTCTGGGTTTTCACAGCACGTCAGGCTCACCTGTTCTTCACACTGTCCCCTAACTGCTGGTTAGAGTTGTCTTCCCAGTTGACTCTGAACTTTGAAAGAAGAACCCTATTTTCTTAATCACTGCATTTCTTGCATAACACAGCTAGTGCTCAGTGAAAGGTTATTTATTTATTTATTTATTTATTTATTTTAAGACAGGGTCTTGCTCTGTCGCCCAGGCTGGAGTGCAGTGGCGTAATCTCGGCTCACTGCAACCTCCGCCTCCCGGGTTCAAGTGATTCTTGTGGCTCAGCCTCCCGAGTAGCTGGGACTATAGGGGTGCACCACCATGCCTGGCTAATTTTTTGTATTTTTAGTAGAGACAGGGTTTCACCATGTTGGCCAGGCTGGTCTCGAACTCCTGGCCTCAAGTGATCCACCCGCCTTAGCCTCCCAAAGTGCTGGGATTACAGTCGTGAGCCACCGCGCCCAGCCTCAAAGACTTTCTTTTTAAAGAATCAATAGTAATCATAATAGTTATAATTTACTGTACACTTATGTGCAGTCATTGTACTAAGTAGCTTTACACATATTCTTACATTTAATTCTCAGAATGACTCTATGGATTGCATTATTATAACCTCATGTTACAGATGAGGAAACTGAGGCTCAGAGAAGTAATATAACTAGCTCAAGATTGCCTGCCTACTAAGAGGCAGAGCTGGGGCACAGCCCCAGGCCTGAAATCACAGCAGAATGCAGTCTTGTGCATGACGCCATGTGAGGCACTACGGGATACAGGGAAAGGGTAAAATGTTGACTCTGCACACCAGGAACTTGCATTCTGAGCAGAAAGACAAGATAAGCATGTGCCAGAGACCGTGAGTGTCCAGAACACAAAGGCTGGGAGGTTTTCTCTCAGGAGCAGTTGGCCTTCAAGGCCAGGGAGCGTGGATAGTTGGAGAGAAGGCTTTGTTATCACCAGATCTGGAAATCTCAGGTCTCCCTGTATCCAGGTAGCGCCCACCACAGATGACAGCCTTGCTCTTGAAAGCCTGGCATCCCCCATTCATCCTACGAGGATGCATTGTACATCTGCTGTGTGCTAAGATCTGGTCTCTGCCTCGAAGAGCTCAAAACCAGCAAGAAAACCAGAGAAAACAATAGCATAATCCATGTGTGCTGGGGGAAGCACAGGGGGCTGCTATAGAGGGGGCGCCTGTGCCAAGTTGCAGGGAGGGATTAGGGAAGACTTCCTGGAGGAGGTTATAAATAATTAGAGCCCCCCAAAATGGGAAGAGCCACCAGGTGAGAGGGAAGGGCAGGTATTTACCCAAATGAGTTGAAAACCTATGTCCACACAAATCTGTACATAGATGCTTATAGCAGCTTTATTCATAATTGTCCAAACTTGGAAACAACCAAGGTGTCCTTTCAGTAAGTGATGGATAAATAAACGGGGGCACATCCAGACAATGGGATATTGCTCAGTGCTAAAAAGAGATGAGCTAGGCCAGGCGCTGTGGCTCATGCCTGTAATCCCAGCACTATGGTAGGCCGAGGTGGGCAGATCACTTGATGTCAGGAGTTTGAGACCAGCCTGATCAACATGGTGAAACCCTGTCTCTATTAAAAATACAAAAAAAATTAGCTGGGTGTGGTGGCGCACACCTGTAATCCCAGCACTTGGGAGGCTGAGACACAGAATCGCTTGAACCCGGGAGGCGGAGGTTGTAGTGAGCTGAGATGGTACTGCTGCACTCCAGCCTGGGCAACAGAGCAAGACTCTGTCTCAAAAAGAAAAAAAAAAAAGAGAGAGAGAGAGATGAGCTATCTAGTCATGAAAAGACATGGTGAAGAGGGGACACACATGCATATTACTAAGTGAAAAGCCAATCTGAAAACACTGCATACCCTATGATTTCATCTATATGACATTCTGGAAAAGGCAAAACTATGGAGACAGTAAAAAGATCAGTGGGTGCAAGGGGTTGGGGGGAGGGAGGGATGAATAGGCAGAGAAGAGAAGATTTTTAGGGCAGTGAAACTATTCTGTATGAGGCCAGGTACAGTGGCACATGCCTGTAATCCTAGTATTTTGGGAGGCTGAGGCAGGAGGATCACTTGAGGTCAGGAGTTCGAGACCAGCCTGGGCAACATGGTGAAACCCCGTCTCTACTAAAAATACAAAAAAAATTAGCCAGGCTTGGTGGCGCATGCCTGTAGTCCCAGCTACCTGGAGAGCTGAGGTGGGAGGATCGCTTGAGCCCGGGAGGTCAAGGCTGCAGTGAGCCGAGATTGTGCCACTGTACTCCAGCCTGGGTGACAAAGTGAGACCCTGTCTCAAAAATAAATAAATAAATAAAAATAAACGATTCTGTATGATACAACAGCAGAGGATGCATGTCATTATACATTTGTCTGAACCCATAGAATGTACATCGCCAACAATGAACCCTGATGTAAACTGTGGTCTCCAGGTGATAACGATGTGTCGGTGTCGGTTTCTCACTTACAACAAATGCACCACTCTGTGTGGGATGTGGTTGGTGTGGGAGGCTATGCGTATGCGGGGACAGGGGTTGCAGAAAAAAATCTCCGTACTTTCTAATCCGTTTTGCCATAAACCTAAAATTGCCCTTAAAAAAAGAGAGAGAGAGGCCCGGCGCGGTGGCTCACGCCTGTAATCCCAGCACTTTGGGAAGCCGAGGTGGGCGGATCACGAGGTCAGGAGATCGAGACCATCCTGGCTAACATGGTGAAACCCCATCTCTATAAAAATACAAAAAATTAGCTGGACGTCGTGGCGGGCTCCTGGTCCCAGCTACTTGGGAGGCTGAGGCAGGAGAATGGCGTGAACCCGGGAGGCAGAGCTTGCAGTGAGCCAAGATCACGCCACTGCACTCCAGCCTAGGTGACAGAGCGAGACTCTGTCTCAAAAAAAAAAAAAAGAAAAGAGAGAGAGAGAAGGGGCTGGGCACGGTGGCCACACCTGTAATCCCAGCACTTTGGGAGGCCAAGGCAGGAGGATTGCTAGAGCCCAGGAGTTTGACCTTACAGTGAGCTATAATCATGCCACTGCACTTCAGCGTGGGCGACAGAGGGAGACTCTGTCTCTACATTAAAAAAAAAAAAAAAAAAGGAAGAAGAAGAAGGGAGGGGGTACAGGTTGCTTTCAGAAAAGCTGAGAGGAGACCAGCCTGGCCAACATGGTGAAACCCCATCTCTACTAAAAGTACAAAAATTAGCCAAGCGTGGTAGTGCACACCTGTAATCCCAGCTACTAGGGAGGCTGAGGCAGGAGAATCGCTTGAACCCAGGAGGTGGAGGCTTCAGTGAGCTGAGATCGCATCACCGCACTCCAGCCTGGGTGACAGAGCAAGACTCCATCTCAAAAAAAAAAAAAAAAAAAAAATGCTGAGAGGTGAGAGAGAGAGTGCGCCAGCTGCACTTGAGGGGCTGAAAAGATCTGTGTAGTTGGAGCACAGAGGTTGGGAGTTAGCCTGAGAGATATGGCTGGAGATGTCAGCTGGCGCCAGATCAGGGAGGGCCATGAGGCTGTGTCAGGATATTGGAGATTTTTCCAGTGGAGAGCTGTGGGAGGTTTACGCAGCGGTCAGATCCGCAGATTAGAACACTCTCGCTGGCTGCTGTGTCCATGGATTGGAGAGGGCGGAATGGATGGGGGACCAGCACAGAGTTGGGGCAGTGGCAACAGGGTGGGGTCTGAAGGCAGCAACCTGGGGAGGCCTCTGGCTGCTGCTTGCTCCCCAGCTGCTCCTCTACCCTTCTAGAGTTTGTCCGGATGATGTCCCGCTGAGGCCGCGAGGGCCCCTCCAGGACTGCCAAGCTCCCAAAGGCGGGGCTAAGAGGAGCTAGAGCTTGCCTCACCCGCTGTAGCCGCCGAGAGCCCAGGATGTACTGGCGGATGGGGCCTGCCTGCACCCCGGGGAGGCGCCCACCCCGGACCCCCACCCCTCCGCACTGTGAAAGACTAACTCCTGCAACTGGAAAGCGGGGGCGCCCGCCGACGAGGAGGCCACCGTGCCAAGCCGGCAGAGGTCATGCCAGGCGCCAAGGGCCATGTGCCCAGCTGCTGCTGGCTGGGTGGGCCAGGGAGCCCGCCAGCAGACCCCACACAGCATGTCCGCCCCAGGGCAAAGCCTCCCACCTTCGCTCTGCGCCCGTCCCAGCTCGCCTCAGCCCTGTTATCTCAGAACCAATAAAAATATTTCCAAGAGCAAGACAGCCGTGATGGTCTTTCCTCCTTGGGCCTGGTTAGATGACCCTCACATTTCCTGAGTACCAACTGCATGCCCAGAACCTGCTGATCATTTTTGCATTCAGCATTTTTTGTTTGTTTATTTATTTATTTCGAGAAGAAGTCAAATGAGGGTTCTTTTGACCTTCCTGTGTTTTCTGTTTTGAGACAGGGTCTAGCTCCGTCACCCAGGCTGGAGTGCAGTGGCGTGATCTCAGCTCACTGTAACCTCTGCTTCCCAGGTTCAAGCGATTCTCCTGCCTCAGCCTCCCGAGTAGCTGGGATTACAGGCGCCCGCCACCACGCCTGGCTAATTTTTGTATTTTTAGTAGAGATGGGGTTTCACATGTTGGGCAGGCTGGTCTCAAACTCCTGATCTCAAGGGATCTGCCTGCCTTGGCCTCCCAAAGGGCTGGGATTCCAGGCGTGAGTCTCCATGCCTGGCCAACATGCATTTATTGAGTACCTATTATGTACTCAGTGACTTCCATTCTCATCCGTGGGCCAGAACCTGGGACTGCTAAGGGAGACTGAAGAATGTAGTTAGTTATTTAGCTGGGTACTCAGCTTCCCCAAACAAAATCAGGTTCTATAAGAAGAGAAGCATCCAGCAGAGTCTGTATCACTTCTGACTTTCTGGAACTTTTATACTGGTTGGAGAGACAGGCATGAGAGAAACACATCATATAGGATTACAAATTGTGATACTGCTATTGAGGAAAAATATAGGGACCTTCGGCAGGATATACTAAGGAGGCCTGGCCTCCTGTAGGGAGGTCAGAAAAGGCTTGCCCAGTGAAGTGATGTCAAGGGTTTTGCTCTGGAGGAAGTCCCAGTGTGTGCGGACAGACAGATATAGACACAGCTGCCACTGGCTGCGCGCCGTGGCTCATGCCTGTAATCCCAGCACTCTGGGGAGGCTGAGGCGGGAGGATCACCTGAGTTCAGGAGTTCAAGACTAACCTGACCAACGTGGCCTGTCTCTACAAAAATAGAAAAATTAGCCGGGCGTGGTGGCATGCACCTAGAGTCCCAGCTTCAGGAGAATCGCTTGAACCCAGGAGGTGGAGGCTGCAGTGGGCCGAGATCATGCCACTGGGTGACGGAGCGAGACTCCGTCTAAAAAAAGAAAGAAATAGCTGCCATCCTCTCTGCTGAGTGGGAGGAAGATGTGTAGCCAATAGGCCCAGGGTTTGCTTGCTGTGTGACTTAGGGCCAGTCGCGTCCCCTTTCTGAAGCTCAGTTTCTTCCTGTGTAATGTGGGGATGATAAAGGATGGGGTCAGTGCATAGCAAGTGCCCTCAGGGCATTGCACCACACGGCACACCCCAGGGACTGCTATTCAGACTGCAGTGGAATCATGCAATTGAAAAGACCCATTGTAATTCGTTTCTATAAGTGAAGTCTTAAAGCAGCCCAAAGGAGAAATCTGTGGGTAGAAGTTGTCGAGTCTTAGACAGGCTTGGAGCGTACTTGGGCAGGTGTGTGGGGTGGCCGGTGTACCTCAAGCCATTGGTTCCCAAATCTTAGCATACAGCAGAATTGCCTGGAGCATTTGTGAAGCCCAGATCTGGGCCACCCCCGCAGTGATTCTGATCCCATGTCTGGGGCGCAGTCCATGAATTTGCATCTCTTACAAGTTCCCAGAGGATGCTGATGCTGCCAGTCCATGGACAACAACCTGAATAGCACTGCTGTAAACCCCAGACACAAGGGAGGCTGGTGTGCCTCCAGGCAGCCAGGGGAGGCTGCGGGGTTGATGGCTGGGGGTGGGAGGTGGGCAGAGCATCCGCTGCCCGCTGTGCTGCCGCAGAGGGAGGATCCTTATTCTCAGACCTGGCAGGGAATGTGCAGGATCGTGGGCCCCAGCCAGAGGCCCGGGTAATCCTCACGTTCCCGAGGTCAGTGGGGCTGGGAGCTCCAAATTCACTCTAATAATCCAATTCTGAGACTAAGCCCTTGGCTCTGTGCCCTGCTAGGCAAGCCTGCAGCCCTGCCTGCCTCTGTACTAGCTTGGCTCCGCCCAGAGACTCCAGAGTTTCACTGTTTCAGAAACACAGTGGCCTTGGAGGGCAACCTGCGGGAAGAGGGCTTCTGTAGACATCTCTATCGGCTGGCAGGGTGAGCCCCCAGGAACACCACTCAGGATAGACTTAGGGATAAACTAGGACTTCTTTGTCCCCAGTGTGTGGCTGCCTAAAATCAAAGAAGTGGCAAGCCTGGCCAACATGGTGAAACCCCGTCTGTACTAAAAATACAAAAATTAGCCAGGCGTAGTGGGGCATGACTGTAATCTCAGCTATTAGGGAGTCTGAGGCAAGAGAATTGCTTGAACACGAGAGGCGGAGGTTGCAGTGAGCCGAGATCACGCCACTTCACCCCAGCCTGGGTGACACAGTGAGACTCTGTCTGAAAAAAAAAAAAAGAATCATAGATATGCCAGTTGTGATAAAGGAAATGGAGAATGTAGTCAGGCTACTGTTCAGAGGCCCCTTAATGCTCAGGGTAAGGGGAGGCCCAGGGCAGTCCTCCTGCCTCCTCCCCTGCTGAAGCTAGGACTCCTCCCCAGTAATTTGTCTTTTTGTTGGTTTGTTCATTTTAAAATTATTTTTATTTGCTTTTGTTTTTTGTTTTGGCTCCCGCCAGGAAACGTTTTTTTTTCTTTCTTTCTTTGTTTTAGAGACAGGGTCTCACTCTGGCACCCAGGCTGGAGTGCAGTGGTGGGATCATAGCTCACTGCAGTCTTGAACTCTTGGGCTCAAGCGATCCTCCTGCCTCAGCCTCCTGCATAACTAGGACTACAGATGCACACCAGCTGATTTTTAAATTTTTTTTGTAGAGACAGGGTCTCAATCTGTTGTCCAGGCTGTCTTGAACTCCTGGCCTCAAGGGATCCTTCCACCTCAGCTTCCCAAAGTGCTGGGATTACAGGCGTGAGCCACAGTGCCCAGCAACTTGTCTTATATTTTGGGGTTCCTAGTATGACTGTTTGAAGAAAGGGGTCTGAGACTTTTCAAGGACTGAGATGCACTTTCCTAGC
Source organism: Homo sapiens (assembly GCF_000001405.40). NCBI lineage: Eukaryota > Metazoa > Chordata > Mammalia > Primates > Hominidae > Homo > Homo sapiens. Next base: position 120,670,382 of record NC_000012.12, read on the forward strand.
CAAGAGTTCTTTCTGCAACCTGCACCACTACCTTCCCTGCTGGGGAGCTCTGGGTGTGTCATCTTAGAAAAGCTCTTTGTCTAAGGCCGAGCGAGGTGGCTCATACCTGTAATCCCAGCACTTTGGGAGGCCGAGATGGGTGGATCGCTTGAGGTCAGGAGTCTGAGACCAGCCTGACCAACATGGTGAAACTCCGTCTCTACTAAAAATACAAAAATTAGCCAGATGTGGCAGTTCATGCCTGTAATCCCAGCTATACGGGAGGCTGAAGGACGAGAATCACTTGAACCCGGGAGGCAGAGGTTGCAGTGAGCGGAGATTGCACCGCTGCACTCAGCCTGGGTGACAGAGTGAGACTTTTGTCTCGAAAACCAAAAAGAAAAGCTCTTTGTCTGAAAGCTCTTTTATTGCACCTGGATTTGCCTCCTGCTGACTCATAAAGGCCAATTTGTCTGCTCATTCATGCACACATGCACTTGATGTTTATTGAGCTCCTACTATGTGCCAGGCCCCATGCAAGACTTCCTGTCCTCAAGGAGTTCAGACTCTAGCAGGGCAAACAGATCAGAAACCAGAGAAATGTAATCTAGTGGCCTAAGTGCTACATATTAGTAGTACCCACTAGGTTAGCCTAGAGCCCTGGAGGTACATAAAAGGCACCCGATTCAATCTGGTGGGTGGGTGTGGGGAGGAATGGACAGATCTACTAGGACCTCAAGGATCAGCAGTGCTTAGTTAGGAGAGGTGGGCATGGTGGCTCATGCCTGCAATCCCAGCACTTCGGGAGGCCAAGGCTGGCGGATCACTTGAGGTCAGGAGTTCGAGACCAGCCTGGCCAAATGGTGAAACACCGTCTCTACTAAAAATACAAAAATTAGCCAGGCATGGTGGTGCGCGCCTGCAATCCCAGCTACTCGGGAGGCTGAGCAGGAGAATCACTTGGGAGGCAGAGGCTGCAGTGAGCCGAGATTGCGCCACTGCACTCCAGCCTGGGCAACAGAGCAAGAAATAGCAACCACTATTTCTGGTCTGGGAATAGCATATGCAAAGGCCCCGAGGTAAGGGAGAGTGTGGCCCTTTTGGGAAACTAAGTGGAATTTTGTCTAACTGATGTACTGGGCTGGAGAGAGGAGCAGAGAGAGGTGACGCTCAACAGGGAGGCAGGACCCCATCCCTCCGCAGACCTTGGAGTGTGGAGAGGCTCAGATGGGAACTCTGAGGGGCTGCCTTCTGGCATTAGCCAGGCCCACGGCCACAGAAACGCTGGTGCTATGAAGGGCTCACCTTTGGGGACAAATCTGTCCAGAAGATAGAAGAAAACCCAGGCAGCTGAGGGTAGCCAGGAGGCGTCCCCATAGCAGTGTGGTTAAAAGCATGAGTTCTGATCAAAAAGCAGAGAGCTAGGCTGGGTGCAGTGGATTGCACCTGTAATCCCAGTGCTTTGGGAGGCTGAGGTGGGAGGATCACTTGAAGCCAGGGGTTCAAGACCAGGTTGGGCAACATAGTGAGACCTCATCTCCACAAAAAATTTTAAAAATTAGCCAGATGTGGTTGCATGTACCTGTAGTCCCAGCTACTTGGGATGCTGAGGTGGGAGAATTGCTTGAGCCCAGGAGTTCGAGTCTGCAGTGAGCTATGATCACGCCATTGTATTCCAGCCTGGACAACCGAGCGAGACCCCATCTCAAAGACAGACAAACAAAAATACCAGAAAGCCAGACATTAGATACCACTGATGAGAGAACACAACACCAGCCCCTGGGGTTGCTGAAGGGATCAAATCTGAATCTGATCATGCCTTGAGATCCAGCCAGCAATTTGCAAAAAATCCAGGGGCAGAGAAACATGTTGAGCTGTACCATGAGGAGGACATCAGTTTTTGACATCCACAAACTCCAAACTGGGAAAAACAATACAGGTCAAATGGCTCATATTCTTCAAAGCAAATTACAAGAAAAAGAAAGAGATGGGCCGGGCATGGTGGCTCACGCCTGTAATCCTAGCACTTTGGGAGGCCGAAGTGGGCGGATCACCTGAGGTCGGGAGTTCGGGACCAGCCTGACCAACATGGAGAAACCCTGTCTCTACTAAAAATACAAAATTAGCCAGGCGTGGTAGCACAGGCCTGTAATCCCAGCTACTTGGAAGGCTGAGGCAGGAGAATTGCTTGAACCCAGGAGGCGGAGGCTGCAGTGAGTCAAGATAGCGCCATTGCACTCCAAAAAAAAAAAAAAAAAAGTGAACTTATAGATCAAAAGAGACTAAAAAGTATCGTGTTTTAAAAAGTGGGCCTGACTAAATGATAGTATGTAGGGATGTGCACTTGGGTGAAAAAAAAAAAAAAAACCACAAAGAAACCCAAGGGAGGCTGGGCGCAGTGGCTCACGTCTGTCATCCCAGTACTTTGGGAGGCTGAGGTGGGTGGATCACTTGAGGTCATGAGTTCAAGACCAGCCTGGCCAACATGGCGAAAACCCGTCTCTACTAAAAACACAAAAACTAGCCAGGCATGGTGGTGTGCGCCTGCAATCTCAGCTACTCAGGAGGCTGAGGAACGAGAATAGCTTGAACCTCGGAGGCAGAAGTTACAGTGATCCGAGATCGTGCCACTGCACTCCAGCCTGGGCGATACAGCAAGATTCCATTGCAAAAAAGAAAAAAAGAAAAAGATTTTTAAAAAGAAACCCAAGGGAATTATTACTATAAAAGTCAGGAAAGTGGTTGCTTTTAGAGAGAAGGAGGGAAAAAGCTATGATTGCAAAGGGGCACAGAGAGGAGCTTCTGGGGTGTCTGACAAAGTTCTATTTCTTAACAAGTAAGGTGATTACAAGAGTGCTTGCTTCATGATAATTCACCAAGTTGTACAATTGTTCTGTGTGGTTTTCTGTGTCTTATTTTACAATAAAAAAAATATCTAAAAAGGCCTGGCGTGGTGGCTCACACCTGTAATCCCAGCGCTTTGGGAGGCTGAGGTGGGAAGATCACGAGGTCAGGAGATCGAGACCATCCTGGCTAACATGGTGAAACCCCGTCTCTACTAAAAATACAAAAAATTAGCCGGGCATGGTGGCAGGCACCTGCAGTCCTAGCTACGTGGGAGGCTGAGGCAGGAGAATCGCTTGAACCCGGGAGGCGGAGTTTACAGTGAGCCGAGATCGTGCCACTCACTGCACTCCAGCCTGGGTGACAGGGCGAGACTCCATCTCAAAAAAAAGAAAAAAAAGTCTAAAAAAAACCAAGTGCAGGTTCAGGAGCCAGCTATCTGGTTTCCAATCTGAGCTCTACTACTTATCAGCCGCGTCATCTTGGGTAGGTTATAAGACTCTTGAGGTCTCAGCTTCCTCATCTGTAAAATGGAGATGATGTTATAGGGAGGCAGGAATTCTACTACTAAACCACCAGTGCTTCCTGACCAGGGGGATGATGTGATAGGGTTGTTCTGAAGATGAAACAAATTATTCTATGTGAAGCCTTTGGAATAGTGCCTGGCACGCAGTAAGCATCGTAAATGTTTTTGCTGCCTGGTGTGGTGGCTCATGCCTGTAATTCCAGCACTTTGGAAGGCCAAAGTGAGAGGATCGTTTGAGCCCAGGAGTTTGAGACCAGCCTGGGCAACACAGCAAGACCCCATCTCTATTTTAAAAAATTAAAAATTAGCCAGGGATGGTGGTGGGAATCTGTGGTCCCAGCTACTCAGGAGGCTGAGGCACAGGGATCACTTGAGCCCAAGAAGTTGAGGCTGCAGTGAACCATGTTCGTGCCACTGCACTCCAACCTGGATGATGGAACGAGGCCATATCTCAAAACAAAAAATTAAATAGAAGTATTCACTATCATTCTTGTCGGTTGTTATTCTCCAGTTGCCTACCACTCTCTCCCATGTGTCATCACGCCTCAGCGATTCCTTCTCAAGAAAAGGAGAAGAGAAAGTTGGGCATGGCATTCTTGAATGGCTATGGCAGAACCTCTTATTGACAGTGACAAGATAATCACAGCTTAAATCTGGGATCTGGCCCTAGACCAGGGAGGGGCTGTCTGCAAGGCAGCCCTGATCCTGCTGTGCCTGTAGCAGGAACTGCAGGGCTGGAGTATCCTTTCATCTCCCTGGAGGTGCCTGCTGCTTGCTTCTGCACTCCAGCTAATGGTTGTCTTTCCTACAGAGGGGACAGGGGTCTGAGTATCATGATTGAGGGATGAGCTCTGGTGTTAACAAGCACATGTTTTTTGGCAGGGCGGGGTAGCCATGCCTGTAATCTCAGCACTTTGGGAGGCCAAGGCGGGTGGATCACCTGAGGTCAGGAGTTCAGACCAGCCTGGCCAACATGGTGAAACCCCGTCTCTACTAAAAATACAACAAAAATTAGCTGGGCATGGTGGTGCGCACCTGCAGTCCCAGCTACTGGGGAGGCTGAGGCAGGAGAATCGCTTGAACCCGGGAGGCAGAGGTTGCAGTGAGCCAAGATCCCGCCACTGTGCTCCAGCCTGGACAACAGAGAGAGACTCTCTCTGCCAACACCCACCTCCGCCAAAAAAAAAAAACACCAAAAATACCAAGCATCTGGTTTCTGACCCCAGCTCTGCCACTTAAGGGAGTTAAGGGATGTACATGTATAGGATGTATGTGTGAAGGGAGTCCCTCACTGTTTATTTTTATTTTTAGTTTTTTTAAACATTAGTTTTTTGTTTTTTGAGGCAAAATCTCACTCTGTCACTCCTGCTGGAGTGCAGTGGTGTGATCTCGGCTCACTGCAGCCTCTGCTTCCTGGGTTCAAGTGATTCTCCCACCTCAGCCTCCCAAGTAGCTGGGATTACAGGTGTGCACCGCCACGCCCAGCTAAATTCTGTATTTTTAGTAGAGATGAGGTTTTACCCTATTAGCCAGGCTGGACTCAAACTCCTGACCTCAATTGATCCACCCGCCTCGACCTCCCAAAGTGGTGGGATTACAGGCGTATGCCACTGCCCCCGGCCATTATCTGTTATTAATGATAATAAATTATCTACCCTGTGGGGTGGATGTGAAGAAATTAACCCTTGCATAATGCTTAGTGGAGGGCCTGGCTCAGGGCCCTCACACATGCTGTTCCCTCTGCCTGGAGTGCTTTTCCTTGTACTCTTTGAATAGCTAGATCCTTCTCATTTCTGGAGTTGAACTTAAATGTCTTTTTCTTGACTTATCTTTTGAAGGAAGGACAGAAGTCACCACCACAGCTCATTTGTATTCTTCAGAGCACACATGAAATCTCTGGCCTGACATATTTATTGTACGACAATATGTTTGTATCTGCTTATTGTTTGAGGCTCCCTCCCCCTCACTAGAATGTAAGCTCCATGTTGGTAGAGACCATTTCTACCTTGTCCAGCATAGTGTCTTCAGTGTCTAGTAGGCACTTAGCAATGATTTATTGTATCAGGCAGGCACAGTGGCTCACACCTGTAATCCCGGCACTTTGGGAGACCAAGGCAGGCTGATCACCTGAGGTCAGGAGTTCGAGACCAGCCTGGCCAAAATGACGAAACCCCATCTCTACTAAAAATACAAAATTTAGCTGGGCGTGGTGGTGGGCACCTGTAATTCCAGCTACTTGGGAGGCTGAGGCAGGGGAATCGCTTGAACCTGGGAGGTGGAGGTTGCAGTGAACTGAGATCGAACCACTGCACTCCAGCCTGCATGATGAGAGGGAGACTCCATCTCAAAAAATAAAAAACAGCCTTGATTCCTAGTCTCATGGAGATAATAGTCTAGACTCTGCTGTCCAATATGGTAGCCACTAGCCATATGTGACTATTTAAATGAATTAAAATTAAACAAAGAATTAGTTCCCCAGACATACCAGTCACATATCACCTGTTCAATAGGCACATGTGGTGTGGATAGACTACCTTCCCATCATGGCAGAATGCTCTTGTCTGGAGGGGCAGCTGACAAGTAACCTGGCCATTTATAATCCAACGTGCAGGTGTGGCTATAGGACTCGTTACCTCCCCAATGTGTCTGGATCTAGGAAAGAAACTGAAAAGAATAAAACAGCTGCTTTCTTTCTTCTTCTTCTTTTTTTTTTTGAGACAGAGTTTTGCTCTTGTTGCCCAGGCTGGAGCATGATGATGTGATCTCGGCTCATCACAACCTCCGCCTCCCGGGTTGAAGCGATTCTCTTGCCTCAGCCTCCTGAGTAGCTGGGATTACAGGCATGCGCCACCACACCCGGCTAATTTTGTATTTTTAGTAAAGATGGGGTCTCTCCATGTTGGTCAGGCTGGCCTTGAACTCCCGACTTCAGGTGATCCGCCTGCCTCAGCCTCCCAAAGTGTTGGGATTACAGGCATCAGCCACCGCACCCGGTCAGCTTTATTTATTTCTGAGTATGTGTACTTTAGTCCTTTTTATTCACCATCTCACTCTGTCTTTACACCTCATTTCCAGGTGAGGAAACTTAGGTTCAGAGAAGGAATGTGACTTGCCAAGCTTACACTGACAGTGGATAGTAAAGACCCTCCTGGCATTCCTGACTCAACAATTGTGTCCTTAACACAATGTAAAAAGTCTGGGAGATGATGATATAGGCAGCTAACAAGCCGAGTGCAGTGGTACACGTCTGTAATCCTAGCTACTTGGGATCAGTTAAGGCCAGGAGTTTGAGTGCAGCCTGGGCAACATAGTGAGACTCTGTAAGTCTGTAAGGCATTCTCTTGAAGTTTGTGGTTTTTTTTTTTTTTTTTTCCTGAGATAGAGTCTCACTCTGTTGCCCAGGCTGGAGTGCAGTGGCATGATCTCAGCTCACTGCAACCTCCGCCTCCCGGGCTCAAGCGACTCTCCTGCCTCAGCCTCCCAAGTAGCTGGGACCACAGGCGCCTGCCACCATGCCTGGCTAATTTTCGTATTTTTGGTAGAGACAAAGTTTCACCATGTTGACCAGGCTGGTCTTGAACTCCTGACCTCAAGTGATCTGCCTGCCTTGGCCTCCTAAAGTGCTGGGATTACAGGCATGAGCCACTATGCCCAGCCTTCTTTTTTTTTTTTTTTTTTTTTTTTGAGACAGAGTCTCACTCTGTTGCCCAGGCTGGAGTACAGTGGTACGATCTTGGCTCACTGAAGCCTCTGCCTCCTGGGCTCAAGTGATCCTCCCACCTCAGCCTCCCAAGTAGTTGGGACTACTGGCATGCGCCACAATGCTCAGCTATTGTTTTTATTTTTTGTAGAGATGGGAGTGGGGGGTGTCTCACGATGTTGCCCAGGCTAGTATTGAACTCCTGGGCTCAAGCGATCCACCTGCCTCAGCCTCCTGAAGTGTTGGAATTATAGGCGTGAGCCACAGCGCCCAGCTGAAGTTGCTTTCTATCGTACTCATTGCAACTCTAGGAGGCTGAAAGTTATCACCATCTCATTCACAGATGAGGAAACCAAGGTGCAGAAGGGAAATGATTTGTCCAAGGCCACCCAGAAGGGAAGGCACTTGTTTTTTCTGTTCTCTGCCTAGACAATGAGCACACTGGGCCTGGCTGGCTTCTTCGCTGTGACTCATATCCTCTTGGGGGACATGAAGACACACCAAGTCCATTCTCCCTCCTGCGAAGTTGGGGACCCGGCCAGGTTTCTCAGTTCGAGTTGCACCCTGGGGGCCAGGACCAGCAGACACGGTGGGCTGGCTCCCCACCTCTCTGGATGGCTCTGGTCCCTCTGTGGTCTAACTCCCAGAGGCCCAAGGTGAGCAAACTTGGTCTTGGGACCAAACCACCCACCTCAGAGTTTCAGGGCTGGCAGGACTGGCTCCCACCCCTGCCTTGTGTTTGCCTTTTGAACTTTTGTTGTGAGTTTATCTTTAAGGGGGAAAAATATCCCATAAACTTAAAAATAGGCAGGACTTAATTAATAGTACGCTTTGTTCTTCTGATCCTTATCTGGACAGGAAGACACAACCCTTTTCAGTTTTATGGGTCAAGGTGAAATTGCCTCTCGGGGCTCAAACACAGCTGCTGCACCTTCCCCTTTTGAACTCTGGTTCCCTTTGGTTTTTTCTCCCTTGGGGAGAAGGGTATTTCCCACTCCTTAGCCTCAGCACTTCATCAAGGTCTTTTCTATTTATCAGATTGCCAGCGGTACCTGTTATAATTATTTCTTCATACATAATTAATAGCTTCTGTGCACTGAGGACTTCTATGGGCCAGGCACGCTGTGAATGGCTCCTAACAGCCCCACATGGTAGGTCTTCTAATTATATCCATTGTACAAGTGAGACAACTGAGGCCCAGAGAGGAGAAACGACTTTCCAAGGGCCACACAGCTCTAAGAAGTGGAGCTAGGCTTTAAATCCAGGTCTCTATGCCCCAAACACCCACGACTATGATTTACTGATCACTTAGCTACGTGCTCAATGGTCCCACAATGCTAATTTTAAAAACCACATCCTGGACGGGCGTGGTGACACATGCCTGTAATCCCAGTACTTTGGGATGCTGAGGGGGGGGCAGATCACTTGAGGTCAGGGGTTCGAGACCAGCCTGGCCAACATGGTGAAACCTTGTCTCTACTAAAATACAAAAAGTAGCCAGGCGTGGTGGTGTATGCCTGTAGTCGCAGCTACTTGGGAGGCTGAGACAGGAGAATCACTTGAACTGAGGAGGCCAAGGTTGCAGTGAGATGAGATCACGCCACTGCACTCCAGCCTGGGTGACAGAGTGAGACACCATCTCCAAAAAAAAAAAAAAAAAAAACCAACTTTAATTTTTTGTTTATTTAAAATATGTTTTCTTATTTTTAACAGTCCTACAAGGTGGGCACAATTATTCTCTCCATCCCACAAATGAAGAAACTAAGGATCAAAGAGGTGAATTCATTTACCCAAAGTCACACAGTGACTAATGGCAGAGCTGTGATTTGCACCAAACTATGTTTGCTACATAGCCAGGCTCAAAGGAAAAGAAGTATATTAGATGCCAAAACATTGGATTCTGGCTGTTCATTGTGTGACTTTGGACAAATCCCTCAACTCTCTGAGCTTTAGCTTCTCATCTGCAAAAAAGGGAACATGACCTAGTTTTCCAACGTTTTGAGGTCATTAAGAGCATCGGATAAGTAGGAACCAATGATTATTGAGAAGCTGCTCTGTCAGGACCTGGGTTTATATGCCTTATATCAGTTTTGGATGAAATTTTGGTGAATTTTGGGCTGGGCGCAGTGGCTCATGCCTGTAATCTCAGCACTTTGAGAAGCCGAGGTGGGCGGATCACCTGAGGTCGGGAGTTCAAGACCAGTAAGACCAACATGGAGAAACCCCGTCTCTACTAAAAATACAAAATTACCTGGGCATGGTGGCGCATGCCTGTAATCCCAGCTACTAGGGACGCTGAGGCAGGAGAATCACTTGAACCCGGGAGGTGGAGGTTGCGGTGAGTTGAGATCGCGCCATTGCACTCCAGCCTGGGCAACAAGAGCGAAACTCTGTCTCAAAGCAAGAAAAAAAAAGAAAAAAGAAATTATGGCAAATTTTATCTTTAAAAAAGTCTCTTCTGGCCAGCATGGTAGCTCATGCCTGAAATCCCAATACTTGGGGAGACTGAGGTGGGCGGATCACTTGAGGTCTGGAGTTTGAGACCAGCCTGGCCAACATGGTGAAACCCCATCTCTACTAGAAGTACAAAAATTAGCCAGATGTGGTGGCACATACCTGTAATCCCAGCTACTCAAGGAGGCTGGGGCAGGAGAATTGCTTGAATCCGGGAGGCAGAGGCTGCAGTGAGCAGAAATCACACCACTGCACTCCAACCTGGGCAACAGAGTAAGACTCTGTATGGGAAAAAGAAAAATTCTCTTCCATGTCGTCTGCATTTTCTACAAAAAGTGTATCTTTCTTCCACAGAGAAAAATAACTGCTGCCCATTTAAGAACTACCTATTTAGTCCTTACATCAATGTGGTGTGCGTTTCAGGAGAAAGGAGACTCAGCAAGAAAGGAAGTGATGTGACTGGGAAGCCGCTGAGGAAGGAACTGAACCCAGCTCTGTCTGACCCCCAAATCTTGGTTCCTGTTACTCTAACGAGGGCAAGTCCTCCATCCTGAGAGAGTGCTGGAGGATTTGCAGAAATGTTTGCAGCAAACCAGCCCCAGCTGAAAGAGGTGGGAATGCAGCCGCCCCAAGTGTTTCTGGGCTCTCAGATGGGGATGACCTTCCACAGCAGGGAGGGGAAATGGGAGACTGGAGCCCAAATTCCTCATTGTCTACAGAGAAATGGCCTGGGTCCAGGGCCACCTGGGGACTGACACTCTTCTCAGCTTTCCCAGGGCTCAGACTCCATGCCTTCTGCATGGTCTATCCTGAGAGCAAACCTGGGGTTATCTGGGGACCCCTCTGGGTCAGTGCTTTTGGATATAATCCTGCCCTGGGTTCAGGCCCTCTAGCCTGACTCTGGCCTTTTTGTCTTCTGCCCCCAACCCTATCAAGGCTCATGCCTGTAATCCCAGCACTTTGGGAGGCCGAGGCAGGAGGAGAACCCAGGAGTTTGAGACCAGCCTGGGCAATATAGCAAAAGACCTCATCTCTACAAAAAAAAAGAAAAAAAAATTCAGTGGGGCATGGTGGCACATGCATCTAGTCCCAGTTACTAGGGAGACTAAGGTGGGAGGATCCCTTGAGCCCGGGAGGTAGAGGCTGCAGTGACCCAGGATTATGTCACTGTACTCCAGCCTGGGCAACAGAAGGAAACCCTGTCTCAAAAAAAAAAAAAAAAAAAAAAAAAAAAGGACCGGGCGCAGTGGCTCACGCCTGTAATCCCAGCACTTTGGGAGGCCAAAGTGGGTGGATCACCTGAGGGCAAGAGTTTGAGACCAGCCTGGCCAACATGGTGAAACCCTGTCTCTACTAAAAATTCCAAAATTAGCTGGATGTGGTAGCATGCCTGTAGTCCCAGCTACTCGGGATGCTGAGGCTGGAGAATTGCTTGAACCCAGGAGGGAGAGGTTGCAGTGAGCCGAGTTTGCGCCACTGCACTCCAGCCTGGGCAACAGAGACAGACTTTGCCTCAAAAAAAAAAAAAAGGCATAGATCTAGTAGCCTTCTATAGTACAAGATGGGGGTCCTACTCCTGATACCACCTCAGGTGCGCAATTTTTTTTTTTTTTGAGACGGGTTCTTGCTCTGTCACCCAGGCTGGAGTACAGTGGTGCAATCTCAGCTCACTGCAACCTCTGCCTCCCGAGTTCAAGCGCTTCTCCTGCCTCAGCCTCCCTAGTAGCTGAGACTACAGGCGCACACCACCACGCCTGGCTAATTTTTGTATTTTTAGTAGAGACGGGGTTTCTCCATGTTGGCCAGGCTGGTCTCAAACTCCTGACCTCAGGGTGATCCGTCTGCTTTGGCCTCCCAAAGTGCTGGGATTACAGGCATGAGCCACTGTGCCTGGCCTTTTACTTCCTTTTATTCCTGCTCTAAAACTTGTCTCTGTCTCTCTCTCTCTGCCTTTTGCCCCTTAGTTGAATTCTTCTGAGGAGTCAATATATATATATATATATTTTTGAGACAGAGTCTCACTCTGTCACCCAGGCTGGAGTGCAGTGGCATGATCTTGGCTCACTGCAACCTCCACCTCCTGGGTTCAAGCGATTCTCCTGCCTCAGCCTCCCAAGTAGCTGGGACTACAAACGCATGCTACCACGCCTGGCTAATTTTTATATTTTTGTAGAGGTGGGGTCTCGACATGTTGGCCAGGCTAGTCTTGAACTCCTGACCTCAGGTGATTCACCTGCCTTGGCCCCCCAAAGTGCTGGGATTACAGGCGTGAGCCACCACGCCCAGCCAAGAATTGAGGTGCTGTAGACTCGTACAGATTTGTGGCTACAAACAATTTTATCAAGAGTTCCTAAAAGCGTATATCTGGGACCAGGTGCAGTGGCTTATGCCTGTAATACCAGCACTCTGGGAGGCCGAGGTGTGAGGACTGCTTGAGCCCAGGAGTTCGAACCAGCTTGGGCAACATCGCAAAAGACCCCATCTCTACAAAAAAATAAAAAAATTAGTGGGGCATGGTGGCACATGCCTCTAGTTCCAGTTACTTGGGTGGCTGAGGTAGGAGTATCCCTTGAGCCTGGGAGATCGAGGCTGCAGTGACCCATGATTGTGCCACTGTACTCCAGACTGGGCAATGGAACGAGACCCTGTCTCATAAAAAAAAAAAAAAACCAAAAAAAAAACATAGATCTAGCAGCTTCTTACAGTACAAGGTGGGGGGTACAAGTTCAGAAGGCAAGAACTCAAGAGACTTTCTTTCTTTCTTTTTTTTTTTTTTTTTTGAGACGGAGTTTCGCTTTTGTTGCCCAGGCTGGAGTGCAATGGCACAATATCGGCTCACCACAACTTACGCCTCCCGGGTTCAAGCGATTCTCCTGCCTCACCTTCCTGAATAGCTGGGATTACAGGCATGCACCACCATGCCCGGCTAATTTTGTATTTTTAGTAGAGATGCGGTTTCTCCATGTTGGTCAGGCTGGTCTTGAACTCCCAACCTCAGGTGATCCACTCACCTCGGCCTTCCAAAGTGCTAGGATTACAGGCGTGAGCCACCGTGCCCGGCCGAGACTTTCATTTCAGAGTAGCAATCGGTTGAGTGCCTTGGCTTGTGCCAGGCATGAATCTGTCAAAAATAAAATCAGATCAAGTTAAAATTTCAGGAGTTGATTGTGCATACAAAGGAAGAGTCTGTGAATCGGGAGATTACAAGATTGGCAAGAAGTCTGAATTGACAGCAGTTGTAGCACAAGAGGAAGTATTTTGACCCTTTACATGATTGGCTGATATATATTTTTTCAAAGGCAAATAGAGCTGCTTAAGCTGGTTTGTCTATGGCTGATTGGTTTAATTCTGTGGAATCATGCTAATAAGGGAAGAAAACTTATTCTTGTGCTTTGTTTATGTTTAGAGTTAGCATTTTGGAAAATCAGGTGCTAAAATTTTGGTTATGTGGCTATGGTGGTTGGTCTCGGAGTATCTAAACAATTGTTTCAGCTCTTTATCAATTCTAATGACTTTATTATATGCATTACCACCTTCTCCTCCTCTTCTTCATGCGGTTTTATTACCTTCTTTAATCCTCACGTCTGCCCTCTGAAATAGAAACTATTCCAGGCCAGGTGCGGTTGTTCACACCTGTAATCCCAGCACTTTGGGAGGCCAAGGCAGGTGGATCACTTGAGGCCAGAAGTTCAAGACCAGGCTGGCCAACATGGAGAAACCCTGTCTCTACTAAAAATACAAAAATTAGCCAGGCATGGTGGTGCATGCCTATAATCCCAGCTATCTGGGAGGCTGAGACACGAGAATTGCTTGAACCCAGGAGGCAGAGGCTGAAGTGAGCCGAGATCATGCCACTGCACTCCAGCCTGGGCAAGAGTGAGACTCTGTCTCAAAAAATAAATAAGTAAAATAAAGTATTCCAGTCATGTGCTACATAACATTTCAGCCAATGACGAACCACATACACGATGATGGTCCCGTGAGATTATAATATTGGCTGGGTGCAGGGGCTTAGGCCTGTAATCCCAGGACTTTGGAAGGTCAAGGCGGGAGGACCGCTTGAGGCCACAAGTTAGAGGCCAGCCTGGACAACATAGTGAGAATCTGTCTCCACAATAAATAAATAAATAAATAAATAAATAAAATTTTGTGTGTGTGTGTGTGTGTGTGTGTGTGTGTATATATATATATATTTTTTTTTTGAGACTGGATCTCACTCTGTCACCCAGGCTAGAGTGCAGTGGTGCGATCTCGGCTCACTGTAACCTCTGCCTCCCGGGTTCAAGCGAGTCTCCTGCCTCGGCCTTCCGAATAGCTGGGATTACAGGTGCGCCCCACCATGCCCAGCTAATTTTTGTATTTTTAGTAGAGACAGGGTTTTTCCATGTTGGTCAGGCTGGTCTCGAACTCCTGGCCTCAAGTGATCCACCCACCTCAGCCTCCCAAAGTGCTGGAATTACAGGCATGGGCCACTAGGCTGGCCAATACTGTGTTTATACTGTATCTGTGTTTAGATACGCAAATACTTACCATTGTGTTCAACTGTCTACAGTATTCAGTAAGGTAACATGCTGTAGAGGTTTGTAGTGTAGGAGCTATCAGCTATACCATATAGCCTAGGTGTATAGCAGGCTATCCCCATCTAGGTTTGTGTAAGTACACTCTGTGATCTCTGCACAATGACAAAATCGCTTAATGATGCATTTTTCAGAACGCATCCCTGTCATTAAGTGACTCATGACTGTATCTCTATTTCACAACTGAGGAAACTGAAACTCAGCGAAGTACATCACTTGCCCAAGGCCACACAGTGGGTAAATGGGACTAGGCATGGGATGCAGGCAGCCTGTCTTAGATCCCACGCTCGGATCCCATACCCTGCCTCCAGGGTCTCAGACTTTACGTTTTACTGAAAAGACAGCCTAATTCATGAGCAGCTGGATCTCAGAAAGGGAGCCAAGCTCCTTGGTACACAGATGGCCCAACCACGAATGGTATCTGAAGGGCTCAATAACAGGAGCCAGCCGGGTATCTTCTTCACCCTCTGGGGTGACCAAAGACACGAAGGACTGAGAGAAAGCCTTTAGAGGCCTCCCCCAAAATTTAATCCGTTTTTGTGATTGTTTCTCCTGGACTAGACTGCCTTGAGGATAAAATAAACATGAGCGCCTGGTGGCAGTGCAATACCTGAGTGGTACGTGGGCTCTGCAGGCCAACTGCCTGGAGGGAGGAAGCCCCATCACCACTACTTGTGTTTCTGTTCCCCATTTGCACCACACCCCTCCTTTGAGGGTAACTGAAGCCTCTGAGTTGTCAAGATCCTTAAAAGATGACAGTTTGAGAGAGAGAATAGTAGAATTAGAAACCCCAAGAGGCCAGGTGTGGTGGCTCACACCTGTAATCCCAGCACTTTGGGAGGCCGCGGACCCCGAGGTCAGGAGATCGAGATCATCCTGGCCAACATGGTGAAACTCGGTCTCTAATAAAAATAAAAAAAACTAGTTGGGTGTGGTGGCGCGCGCCTGTAGTCCCAGCTACTCAGGAGGCTGAGGCAGCAGAATCGCCTAAACCCGGGAGGTGGAGGTTGCCATGAGCCGAGATTGCACCACTGCACTCCAGCCTGGCGACAGAGCAAGACTCTGTCTCCAAAAAAGACAGAAAAAAAAAAAAAAAGAAACACCTTGGACAGGAAACATGTCTATGGGAGGAAGTAAGGCCAGATGCTTGCAAAATAGGGGGGAAAGTGAGACCGGGAGGGAACACTTCCAAAAGTTACCCCCATGGGGTCTGAATTTGGGGCCTGGGAAGGAATTTGGGTGCATTTAGATCCACCACTGATAGTCTCTATTTTGGCACCCTGTTTTGTTCCCGTATAGCACTTACCACTGTTCTAACTAAACAATTAATTTCATTATGGGTTGTGCAAAGTCTATGATTCTCATGCGGGACCCCAGGTGTGTTTTTTGTTCATGTAGCACAAAGCTCATTGCCTAAGTAGTAGGTAGGATTGGTAGATAAAATACAAGAAGTCCAGTTGTTTAAATTTTAATAAACAATGCATTTTTTTTTTTAGTATAAGTGGGTCCCATTTGCTTATCTGAAATTCAAATATAACTGGGCTTCTCCTATTTTATCTGCCAAATCTGACAACCCTGGTAGCAGGGACTTGATACATTTTTTTCCTTTTAGGGAGAATTTCTAAATCGACCAGTATTTATGGAAAATGCATAAGCGTTTTTTTGTTTTTTTTGTTTTTGCCTTGACTCTGCCCTACACTTGCGGTGCGACCCTTTGGCAAAATTCAGTCCCTTTCTATGCCTCAGTTTCCCCATCGGAAAAATGGGAGTTTGAACAGCGACCGAAGCGCAGGGATCGCCAGTGTGGGAGAGCGCCAGGTGAACTGTGAAGGAGCAGGGAGGGAGTTCGGGCCGTGCCCGTGCGGGACAACCCCGGTATCCACTCTGGGCACCGCCGGCGGCGACTCCCGCCAGCGCCTAGGGTGCCTCGGTCCCGCCCCTACGCAGCGGAGGCCGGCCAGAGGCCGTCGCCATGGAGACGCGAGCAGCCTGGCACCCACTCGCTCTCAAAGCCACGCGTTTCCGCTGCGTTGGAGCCTTCTCATTGGACGGCCGTCTGGACGCTACCACCCGCCCCGAGCCCGCTAAGGGGAGGGGGCGGGGCCTTATTCTCATGGGATTCGTTCCCTGGAGACCTGTGTCCGCGGCCTCTCTGGGAAAGCATGGGTCCTCTCCCTCACGCGGGGAAAAGGACTGCGTCTCTTAGGTCTGGAGAGTGTCCATTGCTTCTCCTACTAGAATTTATGCTCATGCTGCTCCCTGAGAAAAGAAGAGGGGGCGGGAAAGTCGGCCACGCCCCCTCCAGAGCCTATTTGGTCTCAGGAGCTAGAGCACCGGAAGTGCTGGCGACATGTCAGTGCGCCCTACCCTAAACCTTCCCCCCCCAGGCCACCTTTCCCATTCAGCTGTGGGATTCCGGGGCCGCCTGGGCGCTGCACCCGCCACTTCCGCATCGAACCGCCGCTTCAACCGAACTCACTCCCTCTGCGCGCGCTCCATCTGGTGCCCGACTGCTGGGCCGGCGCCTGGGAGAAGCCACGCCCTTTCCCGCGCCTGACAGCCAATGAGCGGGCGCCTCCCGGCGGGGTGGTGGGTAATTAATGAGGGCCGGGCGCTGATTGGCTGCAGCGTCGTGGCCGGGGGCAGGGCGGCGGGGTAGGTTGTTCCTGAGGTGGGAGGCGGTACCCGTGGCTGAGAAGAAGGAGGCCTGAGAGCGACATGTCCCCGGCGGCTCAGGCGGAGCGGCCCGTGGCGCTGTTTTTCTGAGTCCGGGGTGGCCTGGCAGCCGGCCGAGGACGAGGGTCGGCGGGGGCTGCCCCCGTGGTGGTGGCCGCCATGCTGGGAGCCTGGGCGGTTGAGGGAACCGCTGTGGCGCTCCTGCGACTGCTGCTGCTGCTGCTGCCGCCGGCGATCCGGGGACCCGGGCTCGGCGTGGCCGGCGTGGCCGGCGCGGCGGGGGCCGGGCTGCCCGAGAGCGTCATTTGGGCGGTCAACGCGGGTGGAGAGGCGCATGTGGACGTGCACGGGATCCACTTCCGCAAGGACCCTTTGGAAGGCCGGGTGGGCCGAGGTGAGAGTCCCCCTGCCGAGCCGCGGGATCCAGGGCCTGCTGTGCTGGGCGCAGCCGGCCGGGGGCTGCGGGCCCCGAGCCCCTTTCGACCCTGGGGCCGCGTCTCTGGAGCGAAGTTTCTCTCTGCAGCTTCTTCGGGGGCCCGCTCTGAGCTCAGGGCCTGGCACTGGCTCCAAGGTACCTAGAGTCATACAGGCAGAGAGTTGGCCAGAAGTTAGTTATATTTGGATTTCTCATCCTGCATTTTCTCAACCCCTCACTCCCATCCAAGCTGGGAGAGAAATGACGAAGGCGGCCTTTTGCTACCTCCAGGCCTCGCGGGTTGTAGGTCATGGGTGCCCCTGCTTCTCCTGTCGAGACAGTTCTTGGGAGATTCTCGTCGACCCAGGAATCGGCCGCTTTCCTTGCCCCTTCTGCAGGAGCGGGGCTTGATTCTTAGCCAGAATAGGAAGGAATCTTCGAAGAGAATGGGCCAGGAAAGTTTGATTGTAGCCTCCTCCCCCGCCCTCTTTTCGAGCGAAGAATATGTGTGCTTAAAAGTAGAATCGGCAGGCCGCCCCCAGAGGGTGGTTCTATCGAAGCCATCCTGCACGTGAGGCTGGTGGCTGTGTGTGAACTGGGTCAACCAGTGTAAGAATCCGAATGGTCTATCAGAGAATGCTTACAACCTCCCCTAGGTGATCCTGAGAGTTCTAATTCCAGCTTAGGGGGAAAATGATTGTGACTTAACTTGCTGGGCAACAGTGGTTTTTAACGGAGCTGCTCCCTTCCCAAAGTTAGTGTGTGTCAGAATTGCCAGGGCAGCTGGTTAAAAATGCAGATTCCTAGTCCCCACTCGAAATTGATTATAGTAGATTGAGCTTTTTTGCTGGGATCCAGGTTTCTGCACCAGGGGCTTGTGATGTAGGTTGCCCCGAGACCACCGTTTTGGAAGATCAGCTTTATAATCTTTGTTTCTTCTGTTGGAGGGATTGGAAAACAGGTTTCAGAAGGAAGTTCTTTGCTAGGAGATTGATACTGTATGCTGGGTTCAGAGGCTACCAAATTGGCAGTATGCCACCTCCAGACAACCAGGAGACAGACTCACTCTTCACTTTCTCTCATTCTTTTTCTGCGATGCCCAGATTTGGCTCTTGCTTTTACTAAAATAGTTAGTTCTTCCCAAGTCGATTGCAGTGTCCTGGAGTTTGTTATATTAAGGAGTTTATTGCCTTTCACACATGTGAGGGTCTTGGGACACAGGGCTGTTTTGTGAAGTTCTATGTTTGTCTTGGAGTTTGTTGAGCCCTGGCATGTAGATCACAGTAGCCTGGGTTCAGCTGACTCAGGGCTCCAGTCTTTAGCAGCGGTAACAGCAGCCAAAGCCAGACTTTATAGCAGGAGGTCATTACTATCTCTATCCTGGACCCTTCCTCTTTCTTCACGAGTGTGGGCAGGGAGGAAAGAGCCCTTGAGGAAACTAGACAGTTTGTGGACTTTGCCTCTTGAGATAGCGGTGGTGAGGGTGCTGAGCGGATGGTTTCTTTCACTTAGCAGATACCAGGCCTTACATTGGTTACATCGTCCTATTCAGTCTGTTGTGCAGAGAATAAAGCCGAGTAAGACCACACAGGTTTAGTTCCCAGATACTGCCCTTATTCAGAAATTCTGGTTTTAATTTGCTGATGCAGGTGGTGTGTGTGTGTGTGTGTGTGTGTGTGTGTTTCTTTGGCTTGGTCAGCAGTCAGCCAAGATCTGTGTCCTTGGGTTATTGGCTCATGGTTGCAGTTCCTTGGAAGGAGTTTATTGTAGCAGGTAAAATTACATGAGACCTACCAAAGCTTGTGTGTACTGGAGTCCTATTTCGGACACTGGCCCTTGGGGCATTGTATAAATGAAGGTTCCCTGCTAAGGTTCCCCTCTCCATTCTACCAATCTGGGTAAGAATTGGAGCAGTATTAAGGCATGGATGGGGAGTGGGAGGTGGCGCTTGTCAGCTGCAGTTTGGACCAGCTTGTTGCAACATTGCGCTTACCAGGTTCCTGAGAAAGGCATTTTGCTGGCTTTAGGTCGGGCTGAGATGCGCATAAGCTTGCACTCTCAGGAGGCAGCTCTCTACTAAGGAGTCAGTCCTACCAAGGGAAGTCCAGCTGTTCACACTGCCTTT
Source organism: Homo sapiens (assembly GCF_000001405.40). Lineage (NCBI taxonomy): Eukaryota > Metazoa > Chordata > Mammalia > Primates > Hominidae > Homo > Homo sapiens. Next base: position 120,689,678 of record NC_000012.12, read on the forward strand.
CTTCTGGGCCTGTTTGGATAAGGGTGTGCCAGGTATTTGAAGACCCTTGCCTCGTGCAGCTATTTACACTGATTGCAGTAGGAACTGTATGCCTTATTTCTTTTCCCGCCTGCCTGTGATATTGTTTCCAGCATGCTGAGAAAAGTTGATTTTATGTTGAATGAATTCAGGTATTTGTTACCAAGTTAGTCCAGATAAGGGTTTGGCCTTCTTTTGAACTTGCTGTTTCTGTGTAGTTTCTTTGTAGTTCAACATTCTTGTAATTGTGAGTGGCCCAGGGCACCTAGTGGTTTATGCTTTCAAAAGCAGTTCAGAATATTTATTGAATTTCATTTCTGCCTTGAGGATAGCTAGTGCTTACAGCCTGGGAAAGGCTTTTTCAGCCTGTGTGCTTCCACAGATGGGAGCACCACTACAGAAAGTGGTTTAGAAGCGTTCACCTTGGGGTTTTGGTATGAGGCACATTCCAGGGTTTTTATTTATTTATTGAAAATTTTTAATTTTTTTTTTATTGTAGACACAGGGGTCTCACTATGTTGCCCAGGCTGGTCTTGAACTTCTGTCCTCAAGTGATCTTCCCACCTTGGCCTCCCAAACTGCTGGGATTACAGGCATGAACCATCACGCCTGACCATGTTCCAGATTTGTAACTTGGTCATTTTGAGTTCCTCTTCACTCTGACTAGGAAAAGACCTGGTTATTTGACCTGAGGGCACAGAATTTTGCTTGAGTTTAGGGAAGGCTATTTCCTCTTCAGAGAAAGATACCTGCTAAAGTCGCAGGTCCTCGAGAAACTTGCTTTACGTCTCTGAGCCTTGTTTTCCTTTTCAAAAAATCTCTCATGCTTTAGAAATTTCTGATAAGACTGTAAACTCTCCTGTCCAGAGTAGCTTGAAGTGTCTCTGTCACTTTTTTTTTCCTTGATGACCTTTTACATGGAATTAAAAATAGGGCAGAACATAGCTCCAGAGGGGAAAAAAGTTGGTTGGGGACCAGAGCCTATCAGGTTGCTAATGCTGTAACCTTAAGGAATACCCTTTCCTGGGCTGCCTTCCTTTCACCTGGGGAAGGATTTGGCTTTGGGGAGGTAAGAGCTTGAAACATGGGATGAGAGAGGAGTCACTGCTACCTCTGATTTGCTCAAAGCCATGGCAGTTGTTTAGAATTCTCTACCTCTACTGTCACCTAACAGGCAGGCTTCATCTGCAGGCCTTCCAAATAGTGGAAGTTCACAGGTAGAAAATTTAGGTCCCTGAATCCGTGGGTTCGCTGTCTCAGCCCATTCAGAACAATTCTTTAGGTACTGGCCTCACTGGAGAAAGAAGTGATCCAGAAGAACAGTCTAGTGACCAGGAGATCTGAGGGTAGGGTGGGAGTGACGCTAGAGCACCAAGGGGGGCTTTACAGCTGTGTTCTCATGGAGGACAGGCTTCTGCTCATTCTGGCTTTCCCACTCTTGTGGTTCCCAGTTGCAGTTTTCCAGTTAGTTTTATTACTTCCTTTTCTTTTGATCCATTCCCTAAACTGCCTTGAGTGGAGGCATTTGTTTAGTGCTTATCGTGTGCATATCCTTGCCTGGCTAGCATACCCATGTTTCTGTGTCTCTCTCCGTGTGAGGCATTGTATTGAGCTATTTATACAGATTGTTTTATCCTTACCACAATGCTGTGGGATAGGTGGTGTCCCCATTTTATAGGTGAGAAAACAGACCTAGAGAAAACAACTTGTTCAGTGACACTTCGTGTATGTCTTTTCCTGAACCCTGTGCTGAATTTTCCAAGGAGCCTAGTTACTACATTGTCTAAAACTAAGAAAGAGCAGACATAATGTAGGCCCTTCGGCCCCCTTCCTTTTTGGTTAACTGAGTTATGCCAATTTCAGCAGTATGCTGACTGTACACTTCATTGTATTTTAGAGAAATCTGTTTCGCTGTGAATGCATAAAGGCTAAGGAGGGAGGAACAACCCTTGTTTGCTGCTGCATCTCTTGGGACTTGGGCAAATTCAACTTTGCACGTGGCAGATCTCTTGGGAAAGCCACTTGGGTTTTAAAGGGAAATATTTTAAAGGTAATTCCAAGGTTGTTAAGTAATTTTTGTTCACATGGTTGAGTTTTCTTCACTGTGGGACTGAGACTGCCGCAGATTACGTTACTGTCAGTTCCTCACTTTTTCCACTTGGCAAGAAAAAAAAAAAGATTCGGCCTGGTGTGGTGGCTCACGCCTATAATCCTAGCACTTTGGGAGGCCGATGCGGGCAGATCACCTGAGGTTGGAGTTGGAGACCAGCTTGGCTAACATAGTGAAAGCCCGTTTCTACTAAAAATACAAAAAATTAGCCGGGCGTGGTGATGCGTGCCTGTAATCCCAGCTACTTGGGAGGCTGAGGCAGGAGAATCGCTTGACCCTGGGAGGTGGAGGTTGCAGTGAGCTGAGATTGCGCCATTGCACTCCAGCTTGGGCAACAAGAGCGAAACTCCGTCTCCAAAAAACAAAAACAAAAACAAAAAAACAATTCCCCACCCATGCACAAAATTTTCTGTGTATCCGTAAATCAAATGTAGTCGATGTTCCAGATTTGTAATGATCACAGTCCTCATGGAAGAAGGAAATTCTTAGAGCTCAGTTGGAAGAGAAACAGCAGTCTTTCAGTCTTCATAGGTTTGTATCCCGGGGCAATGGTTTTTTGAGGCTGGAAAGGAGGGGGAGCATGTTAGCAGTACATCCTTTGTATGCATTGCTCAGCTACTCTTTGATTTCTTGAGGAGAAATAGAAAGAAAAAAGTCTGAAGACAAAAGTGCAATGAGTTTCCTCTTCCATTGTCTCATCAGTCCCTCTGATCTCGTGGCTAATGTCACTTACAGGAACTGTTAACAGTTATGTTTATTTTTTTGAGGTCTTGACCTCAACCACTGGGTCTTTTTGTTAATCTTTTACCTTTTGCCATGTCTTCTCCCTTGTTGATGATTCAGAAGATAAAGCTCTGGGGATGACAGCCCCTGGCCTTCTCCCAAAGGATCTAGTTGCCAGATGTCTTCAGGGTCACCACGTGAGATTGGAAGGCAGTCTTGAAATCTTAATTTCATGCGGGAGGAGAGACTACATGACGGCTACATCTGTAGTTGGAACAGTATATTTATGGAGCACTGGAAAGCCTTACTGTGTTTATAGGATAAAGGAGTCAGGCTACTCTCTGGAGGAAGCAGAACTATTTACCTCTGAGACTGAAATGTGATATCTTATATTTGCACAAAAAAGATTCGGCCTGGCGCGGTGGCTCACGCCTGTAATCCTAGCACTTTGGGAGGCCGATGCGGGTGGATCACCTGCGGTCAGGAGTTTAGTGTGTTGTGCGAGAGGAAGAAAAAAACATATATACAACTGTCTTACACCAAGGTTGGGAGAGGGCCAGGGCCAAGAGAGGTTTTCTGCTCTTCTGATACTGACCCGAGGTAAGTAACTTTTTACTTTTATCCTCTCTCATTCCTTGTCAGTTTGTGAAATGTGAAAGGTGATTCCCCTAGGACTTGGACATCTTAGGCAGATTGCCTTGCCCTGCAGGATGCTCCAGCCTTGTGGACAGAGTGGCATGGCTTCACTGCTTTGCAGGCACCTCCTTCATTGTCATTTATTCATTCAGCAAACTGTATGAGTGGCGACTATGTGCCAGGTCCCGTGCTAGGCACTGGAGGTGCAGTGGTGACTTTTTTTTTCTGCTGTTGGTTTATCTGAGTGAATGTTCAAGTAAGTAGGTGAGGTGGAGTTTTGTGAGTCTGTGGGAAGGAAGGAAATTAGCATCACACCTTTCTTTTATGAGCCTGTTTTTGTTTACAGCTTTGGAACTTTTTGAATGAAAATTATAAAAAAAACACACAACAACTAAAGCTGGAATTTTATTCGTAAGGACAATGAAGAATGACTTTCCAAAGCAGATATCCTGTTTGTTTTAGACTCTGGGCTTTTCTGAATGAGAGAAAACATTCTTTGAACTTCATCTTGTATGGAGTTCCTGGCCATCCCCCTTGTTTTAGGAGGTTTCTCTGAAGCCCTCCCTCTTGGGGAACCAGGCAGCTGCAACACAGCACTTTCTTCTGGTAATGAGTTAGACTTGTTCTCCGTACAGTCAGGGGGAAAAAGTCATTTTAATGTGCTTTTAGAAAGTTCCGCTCTGAGGTTTACAGGGGCTGTTGGCCTGATTAGTGTTTAGTTTCTTTCATTTTACTCTTCCATAGTAATGGCTGTATGATTCCTGCCTTTGTTGGAGCTCTGTTTGGAGCCAGGTGCAGAGTGGGTGGCCCCTTTTATGGAGAGGGTTATTAGCATTGCCCTGGAAATGCCTCTGGCTGTTCTGGGGTCTTTGCTTTTCTTTTGTGTCTTGCCTCTGATGTGCTTTCTCTTTGTCTTTTGTCCTCAGCCTCAGACTATGGCATGAAACTGCCAATCCTGCGTTCCAACCCTGAGGACCAGATCCTGTATCAAACTGAGCGGTACAATGAGGAGACCTTTGGCTACGAAGTGCCCATCAAAGAGGAGGGGGACTACGTGCTGGTCTTGAAATTTGCAGAGGTCTACTTTGCACAGTCCCAGCAAAAGGTGAGGCCTAGTCAGGCTGCTGCTTGACCAGTAGGACATTGCTGCTCTTGGACAATCCACGATTATGGGGCTAGAGAGTGTGAGAGTCTCTCCAGAAAGGCAGAACAGATGAGCTCTAGAGAAGCATGTTCCATAGTGCACAAGGCTGCACTTGCCTTGGGGGTGAGTGACAGAAAGCAATGCCAGAATCCTTGTTTTGCCAACTAACTGATCCTGTTAAGGCCCTCCTGGCTACTTCCCTCCATGGTTTGCCGCACCTTCTTGTTTTTAGCCTTATTTTTCCTCTGTCCCTTCCTGTGAATTTCCTTCTTCCTATGCTAAGCTTTTTGTTTGTATTCTTTGTTCCTTAAAGCCAATATAAGAACTCCTGGGCAGTGAAGGAACACGGCTTTGATTTGACCCGGGTTAAGGATGCTAACCACCCTGGATATCCAGACCCATCATTTCTTAAATTATTTTTGAACTTCAAGCCCAAACACGTGCATGATGTCCAACTGCTTGAAAGGATGTAAAGCTGATGGTTTTGACATTGTTTTCTTTTCTTATCCTGGAAGGTATTTGATGTACGATTGAATGGCCACGTCGTGGTGAAGGACTTGGATATCTTTGATCGTGTTGGGCATAGCACAGCTCACGATGAAATTATACCTATGAGCATCAGAAAGGGGAAGCTGAGTGTCCAGGGGGAGGTGTCCACCTTCACAGGGAAACTCTACATTGAGTTTGTCAAGGTAATTCCCCTATTCTGCCCATTGCTGAAGAGAGTGGGTACAGGGGAAGTTGTTTGCTGCTGTGTGGGGTTGACCACTGTTTCCCTTTTCCTAGGGGTACTATGACAATCCCAAGGTCTGTGCACTCTACATCATGGCTGGGACAGTGGATGGTAGGTTGTGTTCTGACCTGCTTTTTTGACTTGAGTGGAGGGATATGGTTGAGGAAGCCCTTGGGAGGTAATTGAGCTGATGACTATTTTGGAAACACTTAAAGCTAAATTGTAGGGGATTCAGAATCAGTTGGATAAGGATGAAGCATAACATGGTACTAGCCACAAGCTTTGGAGTCAGGTCTATGTATATCTTGTTGCTGCCATTTAATCAGATGTTTGTCTTGGATGGATGCTTTTAATTTCCCTATAAATTGGGATTAATAATGGTACCTATTGGTGTACCCTGACCTTTGTAGTCATTTGGGATCACCTAAAACTTGTCCTTATTCTGTTTGTTTGACATCTCTTTCCTAGGGGAAAAAAAGGTAAAAGGAGGAGTCCTGTAGGCTTTTGGTATGCTCTGAAAGATTCCAGCATTGCTGGACTGCACTGGGACAAAACTTCACTTATTTATGTCTCCTTATCCTTGGGATCAAGTCTTAGAGTATATTTCTTTCTCAGGGTTTAGATTCTCCTGGCTGCCAGCATCTCAGGCTGATTTTTGCAGAGAAAGCTGCGTCTTTGTGACATTTCTCCCCCATTCCACCTCTGTACCTTTCCCCAACTCAATCTTGAATGCACTGAGGATTTCATCCTGTTGTCTTGATGTCCCCCAAATGCTGATATTATGACATCTAGGAGGATGAATGTCTTACCACCAAACAGACCTGTGTTCAAGTCCCTGAGGAGGAGGCAGGACAGAGGGATAGTGTGTGCTGGGAACCCAGAACTCTCTGGGTCAACGTTTCTTCAGTTGTTGTGTGAATCAAAAGGGAATGTGGGCTTGTGGGAGGAGGAGGGATTTGAAAAGGCTAAAGTTTAGGCATTGGATCATTGTCCCTGTCCAGTCTGGTTATCTTGGGGCTCTGTAAAAGTAGAACAGGAAGGTAAGATAGTGAACCTCCCTATGAGCACGGCTTTTTCTACTTTCTAGTTAAATCTAAAGCTTTTGCAGCACTCTGCTGTTCTGTAGACCAGAGGCTATTTCTGCTACTTCTGGTCTTTTCTCTGGACCCGGGTTCAATCACAGCAATCTCTTTATTGTGGCTTATTTGCTGCTTTTAAGGGTCTCTCTTACTTAAATGCTGTGGGTCTTAACAGTGTTTTCTTCCTTGTGTTAGATGTACCAAAGCTTCAGCCTCATCCGGGATTGGAGAAGAAAGAAGAGGAAGAAGAAGAAGAAGAATATGATGAAGGGTCTAATCTCAAAAAACAGACCAATAAGAACCGGGTGCAGTCAGGCCCCCGCACACCCAACCCCTATGCCTCGGACAACAGCAGCCTCATGTTTCCCATCCTGGTGGCCTTCGGAGTCTTCATTCCAACCCTCTTCTGCCTCTGCCGGTTGTGAGAACAAATGACTATCCTGAACAGGGTGGAGGGGTGTGGGAAAGAAACCAGCCATATTGGTTTTGGTTTCTGTATTTTTCACAATGATTAATGAACAAAAACAAAGAGAAAAAAACACACATCAATTAAAGGAGACAAAAAGAGGCAGAGCGAGTAGAGAGCAGCCCTCATTCACCACCTGGTCCCAGACGTGCTTCAGTCCTCGTCCTCTCTTTGTGGCTGGCTCCCAGCCTTCTCTTTCCTCTTGAGGATACTTAGGGTAAACTGGATCCTTCCTGCTCAAGGATCCTCATTTGTATACCTAGTGGAAAGGACTCTGAACTCAGAGGAGTCACTGTTCCTTTTTTTAGGTTAGAAATTAACAGCAGGGAAATGCCATCTTATTACCTGAGACGACCAGCACTGGGAGTTAGGTACGGTCTGAAGTTATGTCTAGATAAGACTTCAGACGTCCTGGGATTGAAAGAATGTGTGTGAAGGGGTAGAATTTGTGCGGTAAAGACTTAAAAAAAAAAGTAGGGAGATTAAAAAAAAAGAAAGAAAATGCTTCCTTATCTGGAAGCCTTTCTGGATTAATCCAGTGATGGTCCCACCTTTAGTGTTTGAGCTTTGTCATTGCTTGTCTCCCTGGCATGTGCCAGTTATAGACTGTCCAGCATCCAAGACGTTTCGGTTATGTCGGGTCCTCAGATCGCCTCTGACTTGTTACCACAACAAATCATTTTGATTTCAGTGCCTGTTGGGGACTTGATTTCTTCTCAGTTTTGTTTGTTTGTTTGTTTCCTTAATCTGGCTCATTTGAAATTTCTTCTCCCTCTCAACCATCCCACTAAGTTATAGCCAAGAAGGGAAGGAGACACGGGGATTTGGGGTTCTCTGCTTGAATGTCTTCTCCTTTACCACCTCACCTTGTTGGTACCTCCCTCCCTGGATCTCTGAGCCAGCAGCCAGGAGGACCTGACCCAGCAGTTCTTTACTGGCCCCTTTGTAGGGCCTTGCTGCCAGGGGGCAGGGATGCTTTCCAGCCTGCAGCAACAGAACACTTGACCTTAAAAGTCTCTTCTGGTCTTTGGATTAGAAAAGGCTTATGTTAGCATAGCTTAAGAGCAACCTCAGAGATTTGAGCCCTACTAAGTGACTGACCACTGTTTAGAGTGTCTGGTATCTGATGTTCATTTATTCCCATGTTCTTGTGTGTCACAGTTCAGCCAGTTTTGGTTTATGCCTAGAGCTACTTCAAGGAACTAGACTAATTAGCTATATAGGCCCAGCGATGCTTCTTATTGATCTTAATAGTATGCCCCTCCTTCCCCTGTCCTTTCATTTCTCTATCCAAGTAGCAGTCAGGTTCTTGGTGTGATGGGACTGAAAGAATTCCAGTCAGCCAGAGCCTTGGCAGCTCTGAAGCTAACCTTAGCATCTAAGTGTCGATCTTGAATTCCCTGAAAAAATTTCTATAGGAAATGAAGCTTCCCTGGTCCCCTCCTTTCTGGCCATTGTCATCCATTTCCCAGTTAGGGCAACAATGAAGGAGGACCCAGCCAAGCTAGAAGGAATTTTGTGGATGGGAGACAGCAGGATTAGCTTCAGCTTGGGCTGGAGCAGTCAATATAGGATCTCAGGCCAGGCCCGCTTTTCTAGAATGTGTTTAATTTTGAGTTTGCTTTATTAGATATGTTTTTTAAGAGCTCTGTATATTTGAACTGCTCCTTATGTGACAAAATAGGTAGCTCTTGGGCTCATGTCCTGGGTTTTGGCTCTTTAATGATTACTCCAGGCCAGCATTTAGTCGTTTGAGAATTGTAGCCTGTTGTTTTCGCTGTGACTTGGGTCTCAGTGCTAGGGTATTGAGTCAGGCAGCTGGAGGGTTGTGGCCCGAGGCTGCAGTCAGAGGTATACTTCCCATAGTGCTTCACACAGCTCCCCTGCTTCTAAAGGATAAGGTACTGTAGCCTTGGTCCTGGGGACCACCTGCCTGGGGCAGTGGACATCCTAACTAAACAGGCTTCTGGCAGTAGCTTTGGTTCCTATCCCATCGAAATTCCCCAAAGCCCTGGGCCACTGCCATTGGGTTAGTCAAGATGAAGGAGGAGGACTGGCTGCCTCCATTTTGCCTTGTTTGTTAGTTTGCCTGGGTCTGTCTGAGGAAGGAGGGGGTCCCGCCTTCCACCTCAACACATCCCTTCAGTGACTCAGAGTCTCAGAAGGAAACCCTGACTCCTGGGGCCATTTCCTAATGGTACTGTAAGCCAAGCAGCTTTGCTTCTGCCTCTGTTTCCAAGCCCACCCTTTTCCCCTGAGCTCAGGGTTAGGGATGGGCGCTTTCCTCTCTGGTTGTGAACGAAAGGAAGGAACATCTTTCTATGGCTAACAAAAACTAAAGGGGAAGTGAGGAAACAGGAAGAAGTATGGTGGGGGCTGGGGTAGACTCCCCTGGAGCCAAGCCTATCCAGCTAACAAGAGCTCCCTGGGGCTGGTCACAGCTGGCTCATGATGCTGAACTTGAAAGTTTTTTTGTTTTTGTTTTTGTTTTGTGGCTCCTCCAAGATATAGGTACATGAAGTTTAGGTTAAAGGGGTGGGATTCTTTATTTTTATTTTTGTATTGTATGTGTCAAGAATTACTCTGTTGTTCACCTTTTGCTTTTTGCACTGTTTGTTCTCTTATCTGTATTTTGAGCTTAGTGCTAGGACTGAGAGGCTGCACCATAGGGAATGTATGGGAGATGGTGAGGGGTGCCAGTGAGGGGTGCGTGGAGGAGAGGCCTGGGCTCCTCTACTGGATCTACACTCTGTCCCAGGTTTTTAGATCCCACTGAGCCCAGCTGACTGAAAACAAGGACAGTCAGGGTGAAACTTCTTTTGCCAGAAGTGTGGCCTGAGTTGAATTTCTGGGAGGATGACGCAGATGTCTGCTGCAGAGCTGGGCTGAGAGTTCTGCAGTCTAGCTCTGACTTAGGTCAGGGGCCTGTTGGTCTCTCATTGGACGTTTTTGGGTCTCACTCATGCTTACTGAAACATTGTGCCAAGAAACTCTGTGGGATTTGTGTCCCTTAAACCAGACTCACTTTTCTGAAAAATCTCCATTGTTGAGGAGAGGCTGCTCAATCGACACCCCGAGTTCTCATGACTGGGAAGATAGTTTTCTTCAGGTGTCAATGGCGTTAGACTCCCAGGAAGACTAGCCCTGCCCACAGGGCCACCTGTTGGTTTGAGAGCGTGTTCGTGTTCTCTTGCCCTCCCTGCCTAAGAGCTACTGGGATCACGTTAGCGGGCATTTAGGCTTTGATGAGAGGGCACAGTTTGAGTTAGGTTTACCTCCCCCTTTCTGTGCCTGGGAACTGTTTGGTCCAGCTTTAGAACTGTGGTTTTGACTTCCTTATCTCTTGGGAGAAGCTTCTGTTTTAAGGAATTTCTCTTCCTTCTTCTCCTGCCTCTAGCCTCTCCTGGAAAGGCCTGGATATGGTTTCTAAAATCTCAGCTGAGAACTTCAGAAAACAGCAGCAGTATTTTCCTTTTCCTAGTGCTAAAATCCCTTTCCCTAGAAATTGGCTCACCTTGGGAAACCCAGGGAAAGAATCAGCAGGTTCTCTGCCCTCCCTAGGGGTTGGGGAAGGACCCACCCCGGTCAGCACAGTGCCTTTTCCTCTCCTGCTCTGAGCCAGGGTGGGGCATTCCCTCTAGATTCAGGTTTGGGCAGGGGTCCTATAGTCCCTGCCATGGGGCTGCTTCCCTGTCCCTTCCCTCCCCTTTGCTGGCCTACTCTGGCATAATTCAAGTGTCTTCTTGCCTTGGGGATCCTTAGTGGCATCAAATGGCAACATGGAATATTGTCCTCCATGCCCCTCCAGAAGGACCTAGGAGAGTAGGTGAGCTTTCCAAAGTGAGAGACGAATCTTTCTTTCTTTTTTTTTTTAAAGGGCAGGATGGGTATGCTTTGGGCTTTCTCCTTCTGTGGCCCCGGAGGAAGGAGAGACTGAGGCAAGGCAAAGTGATAGTACACGGAAGCAGAACCGGAAACACCCAGGAACTGTTCAGAAATCTCAGAAGAAATCTGCTTCTCTTCGATGGAAAGATATAATTAACGATCAAAGAGCTCTAAGAAAATTGCAAAGAAGCCTTAATGTTCAAGCTTTAGAAAGATCAGAGCAATTTTTCTCTTTCAGTCCAAACTAAGACTCTCTGTATTTAAATCTCTCTGGGGCAAGAGGGCTAGATTTCCTCATTTTGTTATGAGACTAGATTGGTACCAGTAGATCAGCTGCCTAGCGAGGGCAGGTTTCTTCTTTGCATCTGTGTGGCTTGCTTCCAGTCTGGCCTGTCCTTTCCAGCTGCCTTTTGTCTAGCCTGCTATGGGGGGCCAGATTATCTTGATAAGAGCAGGTGATTTGGGGACTAGCTGGGTTGGCAGGAAAAGAGCAGGATGGATCTCTTGGGACAGGTTCCCCCAGGAGTATAAACACAAGGAGCCAGGATTGTGCTGGCAGCCAAGGAAACAGTAGTGCCTGTTTGAGTTGGCAGAGAGGGCCTTGGCACCTCTTGCATCCAGGCAGTCTTGTGAGATGGGGGCACATAGCACTGGGGAAAGCAGAACTCCATTCTCACCTCTATTTTGAGCTTCAGTGCTTTATTTCAGTATGAGGAAAAACAACAACAAACTGAAGTGCGCTTTCCGTCCTTTCAAAGGACAACTGTCGGGAAGGGAGAGCCGAGTTGCGAGGTAGGAGGGGAGCACTGGCAGGGAGAGACATTCTTGACTCCTCTCTTCCCTGGTGTGTTGTGATCCAGGGAATGAAAAGAAATTTGACCCTGGATTGGTTCTCTCCTTGGACTTAAGGAATCTTACCTTTTCCTTCCACAAAGTTCTCCCAGGCAAGGACCAGCTGCCCATTCTGAGCCCAGGGCAGCCTCTTCAACCATTATTGGTCTAACCTGGCTTGTCAGGAAACCAAGCCCACCCTTCCACATTGGGCCTGGCTGCTCTATTCTGTACCAAGTACTGGAGAAAAAGCATCAAGTTCTTAGCCCTTGTAGCTTCTACCCTAGTTTCCCATCCTCTCTCTGTGGAGGCCAAACCAACTCTTTGCCAGCAGCCACAACATGCATTGACAGCGGCACAGTGAGATATAACTGATGGGCTTTGAACCTGGTTGGCCGGGGAAGCTGTAGGGGTGGATAGAGCTGGCTTTCCTTCTGGGCTGTCTCCATCTGACCCTACCCCTTCCATGTCCCACCCCACTCCCACCAAAAAGTACAAAATCAGGATGTTTTTCACTGTCCATTGCTTTGTGTTTTAATAAACAATTTGCAGTGACACTCTGTGTTGGGACTGAGTTCGAACTTGATCTCAAAGCGCTGAAGTGATGGGGTGGGAAAAAGGAGACCCAGGGGTTCACTTGGCTCCAAAGAGTTCTCCTGTGACGAGGCTGGGAACTGTTGTCCATTTAGCTGTGTGTCTTTTGCTTTTCTTCTCTCTGGGATGTTTGCTTAGGGGAATCATTCTGTAAAACCCTTCCTGGTCATTTCAACTAGCAGCGCATTTAAGGACAAAAAATTTGTTTTCACTTTCACTGGAACAACTAGGCACAGACTGTCCCACTCTTAAGGCACACTGGGCCTATTGCTGCCTCTCCTCACCATTCCCTTAGCCTCTGTGATAGCCCACGGACAAGCTAAGCTAACCTAAGCCATAGGAGATTTTTCTCTGCTTGCTCCTTTTCTGGTGTTTTGTCATTGTTGATTACACATTAGGAAGAGCAGAATGCAGGAGGGATTTTTTTTCCTATAATTTATAAGCCACGTTTTACAGGTGAGGATCGTTGAGCCAGGCATGGTGGCTTAACGCCTGTTATCCTAGCACTTTGGGAGGCTGAGGCCAGCAGATTGCTTGAGCCCAGGAGTTCAAGACCAGCCTGGGCAACATGGCGAAACCCTGTCTCTACTAAAAATACAAAAATTAGCCAGGCATGGTGGTGCATGCCTGTAGTCGCAGCTACTTAGGAGGCTGAGGTGGGAGGATTACTTGAGCCCAGGAGGTCAGTGCTGCAGTGAGCTGAGATTTCGCCATTGCACTCCAGCCTGGGTGACCCAGACACAGACACACACACACAGACACACACATACACACACACACACAAACACTGAAGCTCAAAAAAGTTCAGTAACATACCCCAGACTAATGTAGTAAATGGTCTGGTCAAGCCAGGGTTCAAATTCAGTCTGTTTGCCATCAAAGCCCCAAGCTCTTTAAAGCTGTAAAGATAATTACAGCTGTCCATTACTGAGTCCTTGAAATGGGCTGGGCACAATGCCCAGCATTTTCCACATGTTATCTCTCTTTTATCTTCAACAAACCAGTTGCTATTCCCCTTTAAGAGATGAAGTGACTTGCACAAGGTAGCACAACCAACAAAAGGCGGAGCTGGGGTTTTAAACCAGGACTCCTGCTCTCCATCATTACCCTCTGCTGCCATCCATTTCTTCATGGTGCTGGGTGGCATGGCTCCAGAGCCTACCTGCGGGATTTCTCCGAGTGGGAATGGAGACTGCTGGCTTGCAGGGGTAGGGAGGGGTGGAGGTGGAGGAACAGGAGTTTGGCCTACCTCCCTCAGTTATCCCTTGAAGGGCAGAATTCAGTGTGCAGCCCCAAGAGTGAGGCCATTGTTGATGGAGTCTGTTCTCAGGGCCCAAACAAGCCAGGAGGCCCACAGAGCCTCTTTCTTAGGCTGAGCCCACCCATAACTGGAGTTCTTTCCTAATTCAGATTTCGTTGTTACTATTTCAAGTAGCTTTGCATGAGCTGCCAAATGGGGAAGAGACCTGAAGAACTCCTGCTCTAGGGAGTTACAGGGAGGGAAATTGTCTGACAGAAGATCTTGGGCCAAGTACCGGGGTTGGGTTGGACCACTCTGTGGGTCCAGATCTTAATCTTACTAAGGAAATCAGGCTCCCGGTTGGCTGGAGCCGGTGAGACCTTTCTCCATACTTAGTACCCCCCATCCCCCATAAAGGAAGAGAGATGAGTTTTTCTAGTACTTACTGGAAAGCTCATTGCTATCGCAGTGGTGAGGGGTCAAGGCAGAAAGGAGGCGGAGCATGGAGGTCCTGGAGCGGGCTTGCCTCTGCTCTCCAACAACCTAAGGCCACAAGCACCTCGCTGCAGCACCCTGGCCCAAGAGTCTCAGTTTTGTTTGTTCCTAACCACTTAACATTAGTACGAAATAACTCCACTTGCTTTGTCACTGCACTCTCTCACCTGGATCCATGGCTTCTCCCTGCCCCATGCGCCTGCCCTGTGTGCCTGCCCTCAACAGAGGGGGCGTGGAGAAAGAGGCCACTTGTGTATATTGTCATAGTGACCATTCATGGGACACTCTTCCTGGCACCAGTACAGTGCTTTTTCTTGCCGTTTTGTGTCTCTTCATAACAATCCTAGGAAAGACCTGTGACTAGCCTGACTTATAAATGAAGGCACAAAGGCCTCAGGAGAGAAACGACCTGGCCAGAGTCACATAGCTGGTAATTGGCAGAGCAAAGACTGGAACCCAATGCTGTTTGACCCCAAAATCTGTGCTTTTAGTGCCATGATATACTAGTTTTAAAGAGGAACCTTTGAGTATTGATAACTGATGAATCTATGATTACATGGAGGTTTTATTATTTCTCTGAAAAAGTAACTTTTAAGACTTGGTGATATAAAGATCTATAAATATATACAGAAATAAATTCTTAAAAAAGTGTTAGGAGTGCAAAATGTGAAAAATCATTTTCTTTTCTTTTTCTTTTTTTTTTTCCTCTTTTTGAGGCCGGGTTTTGCTCTGTCACCCAGGCTGGTGTGCAGTGGCAAGATCTTGGCTCACTGCAGCCTTGACCTCCCAGGCTCAAGCGATCCTCCCACCTCAGCCTCCTGAGTAGCTGGGACTACTACAGTGTGCAGCCACCACACCCAGCTAATTTTTATACTTTTTGTAAAGACAGGATTTTGCCATGTTGCCCAGGCTGGTCTCAAACTCTTGGACTCAAGTGATCCGCCCACCTCGGCCTCCCAAAGTGCTGGGATCAGAGGTGTGAGCCACCATACCTGGCCTGAAAAATCATTTTCTTCCCTATCCCTCTAATCCCTAAAGGATAATACAGAGGACATTCTGGTGTGTATCTTTCATTTTAAATGTATTTACATATATATATGTGTATATATGTATTTATATATATGTAATATATATGTAAATGTATTTACATATATGTGTGTAAATGTATTTACATATATATGTATTTACATATATATATATATACACACACACACACACACAGAGTCTTTTTAAACAAGTGGGAATATACCATACATATCATTCTGTGCCATTTTTACTTAATATGTCTTAGAGAGGTAGTTCATATAGATGGGTCAGTACATAGAGATTTTCCTCACTCAAGGGCTGTACAGTATCTTATGGTTAGATTGTAATTGATTTTACCAATCCCCTGTAGATGAACATTAAGATACTGCTCATTTTTTGCCAGTACAAACTGCTGCAGTGAACATGCTTATGCATATATCTTTGTGCGTATGTGCAGGTGTTTCTTTAGGGAATTCCTTTAAGGAATTACTGGATCAAACAATATATGCATTTAAAAATTTGAAAGTACTGTCCTCCATGAGGCTATATGAATTTTTACTCACCAATCTTGTGCTGTGACTTTGGAATATGCCAGAAATCTCTTTTGGAAACAGGTAGGATATAAATAATAAATAATGCTTTTTAAAAACAGCCCTCTGGCTAAGCGCAGTAGCTCACACCTGTAATCCCAGCACTTTGGAAGGCTGAGGCAAGTGGATCACCTGAGGTCAGGAGTTCGAGATCAGCCTGGCCAACAAAGTGAAACCTCGTCTCTACTAAGAATATAAAATTAGCCAGGCGTGGTGGTGGGCACCTGTAATCCCAGCTACTTGGGAGGCTGAGGCTGGAGAATCACTTGAACATGGGAGGCAGAGGTTGCAGTGAGCCAAGATCATGCCGTTGCACTCCACCCTGGCAACAGAGCAAGACTCCTTCTTAAAAACAAACAAACAAACAAACAAACAAACAGCCCTCAGCCAGATAGTAGAGTGACTTGGTACTAAGGAAATTACTAGCTCTTAGTCCCAGACCACAAGCCATGCCTGCAATCCCAGCCATGATTTGCTAATTCAGTGCATGCCATCTGGGGAGGCAGCAGAAAGCAGGACTGAACTTTCAGTCTTGGCAGAAAAATGCCAGCTGATGATGTCTTGCTTACCTTGGTTACACCAGCTCTGGGCCCCACCTGCCTGGCCTGATTTGAAGGCAGACTGCCTGGCTACTCTGGGACTGCCCTGGAAAACAGCCACTCTCACACCTCTTACAGGGAGGAAAACAGCCAGCGGGAGAGAGTCAGCCCTGAGCTGGGGGGAAAGGAAGGCTGGCCCTCTGCTTTTGGTGTCAGGATTACTATTTAATGCAGTAGTCCTCTATTTTCCTTCTTCCCCCAAATAAAGTGTTAGTATATGTAATTTTCAAAAGACATTTTAAAAGAGCCTTTCCCCACACCTCAAAAAATTTGATGTGGAAAGGCAGATTGGCGGTTACACCCCTAATTTTTCCTACCCCTTTAAAAAATGAAATTATATATATTTCCTTCCCTTTCCCTTTCCTTCATTTCCTTCTTTCTTTTCTCGTTTCCTTCCTTTCCCCCCGTCCTTTCTTACAGTCTCACTCTCACCCCTCGAACTTCTGGCCTCAAGCAATCCTCTGGCTTTGGCCTCCCAAAGTGTTGGTATTACACGCATGAGCCACTGTGCCCAGCCAGTCTATTCCTTTTAACCAAAATTCATAGGTAGTGCCCAGAGAGAGTACAAGCTCTGACTCATATGGCAGTATTTACTTAAAAAAAAAAAAAAATGCCAGGCATGGTGGCTCACGCCTGTAATCCCAGCACTTTGGGAGGCTGAGGCAGGCGGATCGCCTGAGGTCAGTTCAAGGCCAGCCTGACCAACATGGTGAAACCCCATCTCTACTAAAAATACAAAAATTAGCTAGGTATGGTGGTGGGCACCTGTAATCCCAGCTACTTGGGAGGCTGAGGCAGGAGAATCGCTTGAACCTGGGAGGCGGAGGTTGCAGTGAGCCAAGATTGTGCCACTGTACTCCAGCCTGGGCGACAGAATGAGACTCTGTCTCAAAAAAAAGAATAATAAAAATAAAAAATAAAGTAAAATAAAAAAACAGGCCAGGCACAGTGGCTTACGCATGTAATCCCAACACTTTGGGAGGCTGAGGCAGGTGGATCACAAGTTCAGAAGATCGAGACCAGCCTGTCCAACGTGGTGAAACCCCGTCTCTACTAAAAATACAAAAATTAGCTGGGCATGGTGGCGCGTGCCTGTGTTCTCAGCTACTTGGGAGGCGGAGGCAGGAGAATCGCTTGAACCCAGGAGGCAGAGGTTGCAGTGAGCCGAGATTGTGCCACTGCACTCCAGCCTGGGTGACAGAGCGAGACCCGTCAGAAAAAAAAAAAAAAAAATTAAGTTTGAGGTTGCTTTTAAATTTTAAAAGATTTGTAAGGCAACTTTGGCATAGAGTTTGCCTTCCAGACACAGATCCAAAAGTATTTTCTTTTCTTTTTTTTTTTTTTGAGACAGAGTCTTGCTCTGTTGCCAGGCTGGAGTGCAGTGGCGCGATCTCAGCTCACTGCAACCTCCACCTCCCAGGTTCAAGCGATTCTCCTGCCTCAGCCTCCCAAGTAGCTGGGACTAAAGGAGTGTGCCACCATGCCCGGCTAATTTTTGTAGTTTTAGTAGAGACGGGGTTTCACCATATTGGTCAGGCTGGTCTCGAACTCCTGACGTTGTGATCTGCCTGCCTCGGCTTCCCAAAGTGCTGGAATTATAGCCGTGAGCCACTGCACCTGGCCGGTATTTTCTTTTTAAAAAAGTATACAAGCAGCCCATGATTATATGCTTGAGATAAAATAGTACAGAAGTAGTAGTTCTAAATAATGTCAAAAGTGAATATATTTCCTTTAGTCTCTTCTGATACTCTCCTCCCCAGACGTAATCAAAGTTAATGTTTTAATGTATATCCAGACCTCTTCCTTTACAGTTACAAATGCATATTTATATTTATGTCTATGTCTATCTGTGTTTTTTTTTTTTTTTTTTTTGAGACAGGGTCTCACGCCCATGGCCCAGGCTAAAGTGCAGTGGTGCGATCTCAGCTCACACAGCCTCGGCTTCCTGGGCTCCGGTGATTCTCCCACCTCAGCCTCCTGAGTAGCTGGGACTACTGGCATGCACCACCACGCCCAGCTAATTTTCGTATTTTTAGTAGAGACGGGGTTTTGCCATGTTTCCCAGGCTGGTCTCGAACTCCTGGGCTCAAGCAATTTGCTCACCTTGGCCTCCCAAAGTGCTGGGATTACAGGCATGAACCACCACACTCGGCCCACATCTAAATATTTATATACTTTTTATTTTAAATAAATGGGATTCGCGGCTGGATGCAGTGAGCTGTGATTGTGCCACTGCACTGCAGCCTGGGTGACAAGAGTGAGACCCTGTCTTAAATAAATAAATACACAAATATGACTCTGTGCCTTGCTTTTTGCCCTACTTAATATATGTTTGAGATCTTTCCATACTAATATATATGTCTCATTTTTTAAAACAGCTCTATGTAACGTGAATGGATACAAATGTAATTTATTGTAATTTGTCAATATTACAAATCTCTGTGCATGCAGGTAGGGTAAATTCCTAGATGTGGAATTGCAGGTGAAGAGGTTACATTTGCCATCATCCCTAGAAAGAGAAAAGCCATGGTCCAGGTAACTAGTCTTGGTGCTATGAGAACAAACCTTCCGTAAATAAGTATATGGGAAATGACCACATGCTAAACCACCCTCTTGGCCATTCACAATCAAGTAGCATATTAAAAGTTCTGGAAATTCTTCAGTAACCACTCTGTTGAGTGGTTTAAAAAGAGTTGTTTGTAAAAGGAAAGACTTTAATTCTTTGTACACATTTATTAAAATCTCCCTGAACAGTTAGTTAAATGCCACCATATACTAATCTCTCAAAGACAGTACAGCATTTGGGTAGGAATTTGGCCACACACTATGCCACCCAATTGGGCAGCTGGGGTGGGGTCAGGTTTGGACTTTGTCCAGGAACCAAGAGATGCCTGTCTTGGTGGCTTTGGTGAGAGGGACTCAGCAAGCAAGGCCTGGCAAGAACGTCAAGAGGCTCTGGGGGACGGTTGCAATTTTACTCTAGCCTGGCTGAGAGGTGATGTCAGACCTAGCAGACACACTGCATCAATCAGGCCCAGGCCTCCAACACAGAACAGTGCAGATCTAGAATCCCTAGAGAAGGAGCCCCTCAGGGTGGAAGACGGTAGACCACATCCCCCTGTTGACCCACTTCTGGCTAATTGGTGAGGTCATGGCTAACTTCCAAAGCTCAGTGCAGATATTGCCTCTGAAAACTTCCGAAGCCCTCAAGCTTTTACAGCCAGGTCAGAATAAACCACTCCTGTGTGTTCTCCTAGCACCTTTGCTGCATCTCTTAGTGCAGTCAGTGAATCTAGTTTGTCTTCCAGTTCATACTAACCTACCTTGTGAAAAGGAAGGGTCACATAATGAATTGTGTACTTTACAGTCTTCTCTAACAAAAGTGGGAGCTCTTCCATAGTGGGATACTGTTCAGGCTCTCATTCAATCATTACTGAGCACCTACCACGTGTCAGGCATTAGCTGAACTGCTGGGAATTCAGGGGTGAGGCAGACCCAATCCCTGCCCTCACTCTTACATCTCCTGTAGCCTAGCCCAATGTCTAGCCCAGGGCCTGGCACAGTAGGGCTTACGGATGGCAATCTCATTGGAAAGTTTGTCTTGAAACTGCCTTTGCAAAACAAACACTGCTTTAACTTACCTTCTATGCTAAATATATTAATAAACATTTTCTCAAGATGCATTGTCCACTAATAGCTTAGTGTTGAAGAACAGGCCTTGGGTCAGATGGACCTGGATTAAAATCCCTGTTCCCTCCTCTTACTGCTTGAGGGACTTTGGACATGTTACCTGACTTCTCTGAACTTGAGCTTCCTGATCTGTAAAATGGAGACAGTAATACCTCACAGGGTTGTTGTGAGGTGAGGAGCCTGCCCTATAGCAAGTGTCCTGCCATATAGCAAGTGCGCAGTAAACACTGGCCATTCTTCTTCTTGGTGTGATTACTGGGAATTAGTTGCCATTGTGCTGTTGGGACTGGTGACAGAACTCTTGGATTGAGAATGCCGAGATGGTGCACGGAAGATTCTGTGTGCTCTTTCAGACCAGGAGGAGGATGAGGAGGAGGAAAGTTTATATGACGTAAATTCATTTGACCGTAAGATATGTATTTAAACATCGTGGAGGATCTTGGGGGTCTGATGGGGAGTGGGGTTGCTGAAGCTCCAGCCACCCCTAGGCCCTCCACCTGGCAGGACCAAAGTTGGGGCAGTAGCCGAAGCACCGCCCCCCGGGCCCCGCAGGAGTGTGCAGTCACCCAGTTAGGCCTATCTTGGCCTGCCCATCACTCCTGGCCTGCGGTCTCCTAACCCTGTGGCAGCAGCAGCATTCCCTGAATGGATCGAAGGCTGCCATGGTGTCGTCCGCTGAATTGCTATAGGAGTCAGCCCAGGGCTGCTCATGTGCACCTCAGGTTGCTGATGGCAGCTCTAGTTATTTGGGGATGGAAGTTTGGGGAGAGTGGGCCTTGGTCCACCCTGTGCGAAAGGGAATTCCACAGCCCCCCGGGCGCCCGCCCCCGCCCCCGCCCCGCCCCCTCCCCGCCCCTTCCCCGCCGGGCCCCGGGCCCCGCCCCCGCTCTCCATAGTTACCGCGCTGTGGAGGCGGCGGCCATCTTGGCGGCGGAGCGATGAGCGGGTCTAACCCGAAGGCTGCGGCCGCGGCGTCGGCGGCTGGGCCCGGGGGGCTGGTGGCTGGCAAGGAGGAGAAGAAGAAGGCGGGCGGCGGCGTCCTGAACCGCCTGAAGGCGCGGCGGCAGGCGCCCCACCACGCGGCCGACGACGGCGTCGGGGCAGCGGTCACGGAGCAGGAGCTGCTGGCGCTGGACACCATCCGGCCCGAGCACGTCCTGCGCCTCAGCCGGGTCACCGAGAGTGAGTGCCGCGCGGGCCGCGCCCTCCCCTCGCGCCGTGCCCCGGCTCCCGGAGCCTTCAGCGGACCCGGCCACTTGACCAGCGCGGGGGTCCCCGCCAGACCCCCTCGGCCGGCCGGGCCGCGCTTCCCGCTGCCCCGCCGGCCGGGCTTTGCTCCCGCCACGCTCACGTAGCTCTGGTGGGGAAGGACTCTCCTGGGCTGGACCGCATTCCTGTGAGTCCGGCCACGCTAGGATGCCCTTCGGCCGGTCGGCTCCCCAGCTCTGCCGGACCTGTTTGGGTAGAGGGCCCCGTTCAGCTGAACTGGATCCTCCTGAGCCGGCCGGGGGCCGAGGTCCCCTAATAAATGGGCCCCTGGGCCCTCAGCCTGGAACCCCCGGCCATCAGTGAAGTTCCCGCTCAGCCAGGCTCCCCCAGCCCTCTGGCAGGCCAGAAGCCTTACCTGCTTCCTCCGCCCTGGCCCCATGGCAGCCCTCCCCCATTGCAGCCTGCCCGGCCTCCCTCCCTCTTTGGGTCGGGAGCGTTGCCCCTTAGTGTGCAGATGGGTTCTTCCTCAAAACACATAGCCGTGGCATTTCCTGCTCATTTAAAACTGTGCCACATTAAAACAAAAATAAAGTTTCAGTTTGTGTACAGACTCCGACATGTGAATCCTGCTTTTGACATTCTCGTGAATTAAGAATGATTTCAGAGTTTCAGAAATGCGTTTCCTGCACAAAAGGCAACCATCCTAAGCTTTTTCGTTGATAGGAGGATGGGTGGGAAGAAAAATGTTGCCCAGTCCCTGCCCTGGGTGATCTCCCTTTTTCTGTTCTCTGCCAAGCCAGTCCCTGACTTGACGTCTTTTCTCTTGCTGCTGTTTTCCCTGCAGGAGTGTGCACTCACCTAGTTAGGCCTATCTTGGCCTGCCCATCACTCCTGGCGTGCAGTCTCCTAACCCTGTGGCAGCAGCAACATTCCCTGGATGGATCGAAGGCTGCCATGGTGTCTGCTGAGCTGCTATAGCAGGCAGCCCAGGGCTGTTCAGGTGCACCTCAGGTTGCCGATTGCAGCTCTAGTAATTTGGGGATGGAAATTTGGGGGGAGTAGGCCTTGGTCCACCCTGTGCGAAAGGGAATTCCCATTTCCTAAAAGAGTTTTAATTTGATTCTAGATATTTGGATGCCCCCGTTTCCCAATACTGTTTGGGTTGAGACTGTCCTTACCAGACCTGAACGTATCTTTAGACATTCTTGTTAGTTTTATTGAAACAGTGTGAAAAAGCTTCTTTTCTTCTGAACCAGTTTTCATTTGGGGCTCTGAAAGTACAGATGCTCAGCACCTGGTCTTGGTAACCTCATGCCCTCTCCTGCCATCCAAGTGAGTTAGGGTATTCTGTGCCTGGCCCTAAGCAGGATTCTCAGTGGGCACTCAGATCCTATCTGGGGGCTTGGGATTGTTGCTCATTGTCCAAACCCACCTCTGCAGCTTCTTAGAGTCTGGCAACCTCTTTGTTACTCTTCTTAACGTCTCGTTCATTCTATCCAGCAGATTATTTGAGTACCCTCTAAGAGTCCAAAGCCAATGTTAGCCTTTTTAGCAGTTACAGAATAATCAGTAGTTGTCAAGTTTGTCGTCTTAATAAAGAGACAACTTGTAAAACACGAAAACAACTAACTCAGGCAATAAAAGATCAAGTATCAAAATGAGCTGTGGAGAAGATGCTATCCGGAATCATCCTAGAAAGAAATCAGTGAAATTTGCTGTGATTAGAATTATTTCAATTTGCGGCTCATGTTCTAGTCACTTGGGCCTAATGTCTTCACCGGCAGATTTATCCTCTTGCCTGGATATGTATGATATGTATTGTCTACTGTATGATTTTGTGTAGCCCACAAACTAAGATTAGGTTTGTACATTTTTAAATGGTTGAAAAAAACTTTAAAATCTTGAGACACGTGGTTATGTAAAATTCATATTTCAGTGTCCATAAATACAGTTTTACTGGAATATAGCCACATTCATTCATTTGCGTATTGTCTGTGGATGCTTTTGTGGCTACAATGATAGAGTTGAGTAGTTGTGACAGAGACCATGTGGCGGCAAAGCCTAAATTATTTAGAATCTGGCTCTACAGAAAAGTTTGCTGATCTCGGCTTTCTTACACTGACAGTTGGCAAACTAACGTTGGCAAACTAGCACTGTATTATCTGCTAAGTCAGTTTAAATGTCTTAGATTGGAATTCTATAAAAAGTTCGCCCTGTTCTGACATCCAACTTGATAGATGATGAAAGATTTTTATGTGTTTCCAAAGAAATCCACCTTTTCTATCCTAGTTTCTAAAAGTTTTGCAATTTTTCATCCAAAGCAAGTCCTTGTTATTTTTTTTCTTTGTTGGATCCCCTAATTCTGTCCATACAACTTCTGCTGGTGATAACACATGAGAAAGTTTTTGGGAGTATTTTAAGTGTGTTGTGTAAGAAAAAATCTGAGTTTGCTTCAAAACTTGAGAATTAAATAAATGGTAGTTTTGGAGGATTATTTAACAGTGTTGGTTTCTCTCTCTTGTTTTCAGATTATTTATGTAAACCCGAAGACAACATCTACAGTATTGATTTCACCCGCTTCAAAATTCGAGATTTGGAGACAGGGACAGTACTTTTTGAGATTGCCAAACCTTGCGTTTCAGGTAGGCCTCTACGTTGTGGTGACCACTAGACAGTTTTGAGCCAAAGGTCTTTGAAACTCAAATCTTTGTGTGCCACTGCATCCTGTTTCTTGGACTCCAGTGTGTCCCACTTCTGTGACCTCTTCCCGTGGCCTGGTCTGCCAGGCATGGTGGTTTGAAGCTGCGTTCAGAGGCTGATGTTTGTTGGATGTCTATTCTGTGCTGGTCACTGTGTTCCACGTCTTTGTGCACATCAGTGTATGTAATCCTCACACCTCTTTGAGGAATTACTGTTATCTCTGTTTTACAGCGAAGGATCTGAGGCCTACAATTCCCAGGCGGCTCTTTCCTAAGGCCCTGTGCTGGTTCATCTTACCATGTTGCCTCCAGTTGGGAAAGGAATCCTTGAAATTAAACTATAATGAGGAAAACTCACCTGAGCCTGGTGCCCTCTTGGAGGGTGATAGGGAGGATCCTGGTCCAGACATGAGGCAGTTTGAGCCATCTTCTTGCTCTCTTTTACATATTGCCTTGGAGTTCCCAGACCTAGTTTGGATTTTAATCTCAACCATTTTCTGGAAGAACAGACCCAGGAACTCAACTACTTGGGGTTCCTTAAATTAGCCTCCCATAGCCGCTTCCTGTGCTTGTGATAAAGTGCCAGGCTGATCTGGACCACAGAAGCCTTTGGAGCACCTCACTGGAGGTTTAGCGCCCCCTGGAGTTAGTCATTTGTTAGAACACTGGTACAGATACCCATAGTATCAGTGTGGTTTGTAAACTTACTTTGCAGTGTTTCTCATCTGATTTGCTACTTAGAGCCTGCAAATTTGATAAGGCCCCGATTTCACCCCTACCTGGTGGTATTTATGCTATCATAATCTCATACTGACCAAGGCACCTAAAGGCTCAAGTTCATGGGTAATTTTGTTGTTGTTGTTTTGTGGGTTTTTTTTTTGTGTTGTTTGTTTTGAGACACAGTCTTGGTCTGTCACCCAGGCTGGCGTGCAGTGGCACAATCTTGGCTCACTGCAACCTCTGCCTCCTGGGTTCAAGAGCTTCTCCTGCCTCAGCCTCCCAAGTAGCTGAGATTACAGGTGCCCACCACCATGCCTAGCTAATTTCTGTATTTTTAATAGAGACGGGATTTCACCATGTTGGTCAGGCTGGTGTCAGACGCCTGACCTTTGATTCGCCTGCCTTGGTCTCCCAAAGTGCTGGGATTACAAGCGTGAGCCACCGCGCCTGGTTGCTTATGGGTAGTTTTTTATTGGGATGGTCAGATCAAGACCAGCTAGCTTCCTGGGTCTGTGGTGTTCTCATCTCTAAGCCACATATCACAGTACCTGGGACATTGCAAGGACTCCAGGCCTACTACAGGTATGTGGATTTGGATTAGACTCAAGAGTTGTCATTTCAATATAAGACGGAACTGTTTCAAGAAGGTCAGCTGAAGATACTGTAAAGTATCTTGGTTTTCAGTCTCTCTAGTTTTTACATTTAAGGATCTTGATTCACTTGTAATATTCCCCACATTGAGGCTGGGTGCGGTGGATCACACCTGTAATTCTAGCACTTCGGGAGGCTGAGGCAGGCAGATCACTTGAGCCCCAGGAGTTTGAGACCAGCCTGGGCAACATGGCAAAACCCCATCTGTACAAAAAATACAAAAAAATTAGCCAGGCGTGGTGGCACATGCCTGTGGTCCCAGCTACTCAGGAGGCTGAGGTGGAAGGATGGCTTGAGCCTGGGAGATCAAGGCTGCAGTGAGCCGTGATCACTGCATTGCACTCCAGCAAAGGTGACAGAGTGAGACCCTATCTCAAAATAAATCAATAAATATAAACAACAGATTATCCTCACACTGAATCACTACCTTTCTGCAGCACTTGTTCTGATGAATTTGAATCCCCAAGATTTGCTGTCTCTCTGAGTCACATTGTTGGAGCCAGGGTTTTAGAGTCTCTGGGGGTGAACCCCTACTCAGCCTGGTTGCCCAGTCGCTCTTGGGCTTGTCAAAAGCAGAGATGTTTGATGCTGAAAAAGTCTTCTCTTATGTTGTACTCATGTACAGCTTAGACCTGGAGAAAATATCCTCACTGGACACTGGAGGGTACTAACTCCTATTCACATTAGAATGCTTGTTCTCTGATTCTTTTTTTTTTTTTTTTTTTTTTTTTTTTTGAGACGGAGTTTCACTCTTGTTGCCCAGGCTGGAGTGCAATGGCACAATCTCGGCTCACTACAACCTCCGCCTCCCGGGTTCAAGCAATTCTCCTGCCTCAGCCTTCCGAGTAGCTGGGATTACAGGCATGCGCCACCACGCTGGGCTAATTTTGTATTTTTAGTAGAGACAGGGTTTCTCCATGTTGGTCAGGCTGGTCTTGAACTCCTGACCTCAGGGGATCCGCCTACCTCGGCCTCCAAAAGTGCTGGGATTACAGGCATGAGCCACCGTGCCCAGCCCTCTGATTCATTTTACAAATCTTTCATCTCCTGGGTTCAGGAATGGACTAGACCGGAGACCAGCATTAACCTTGTAGAGGCCACCACATCTGCTTCACCCTTTCCCAGGTGGTCAAAGGGTTAGGCCTGGTATGGCCTAGAAGTAAACATCAGTCAAGGAACTATAGTATCCCAAGGCTGTAGGTCAATGTCTTCTATTTAAATAACAAAATTATTTTTAGTGGTTTATCTTTGCAGCCTGTCAGAAATTTTTATATTCATTGAAATAACTTTCTGATAAGTGTCAACTTTTGTAGCCTCATTCTTTTAGGTTGGTGCTAGCGCTTCAACTTGGTTAACTGCAGACCTAGTCTGAATAGAATAGACCATGTCAGAGGCCCAGTTCCCAGCTTGTGTTTCAGGTTTCACCCTTAGGATATGGCATAAGCTCTCAAACTATTAAAAAAGGCTAATAGCTTAGTGTTGAAGAACAGGCCTTGAGTCAGATGGACCTGGATTCAAATCCCTGTTCCCTCCTCTTACTGTTTGAGGGACTTTGGACATGTTACCTGACTTCTCTGAACTTGAGCTTCCTGATCTGTAAAATAGAGACAGTAACACCTCGAAGGGTTGTTGTAAGGAGTCTGGACTATGGCAAGTGTCCTGCTATATAGCAAGTGCGCAGTAAACACTGGCCATTCTTCTTGTTGGTGTGGTTACTGGGATTGGTTGCCATTGTGCTGTTGGGACTGGTGATAGAACTCTTGGATTGAGAATGTCGAGATGGTGCACTGAAGATTCTGTGTGCTCTTTCAGACCAGGAGGAGGATGAGGAGGAGGGAGGTGGAGACGTGGACATCAGCGCAGGACGTTTTGTCCGCTATCAGTTCACACCGGCATTTCTCCGCCTCCGGACAGTCGGGGCTACGTGAGTACCATTACTACCTGAGGGGAGAACATTCTGTTTGTTCACAGAGAAGAGTGTTTTCGGTTGGGTTTTGGGTTGGCTTTAGAGGAGGGAGGAGGCAAAGTCGGGCTTACAGAGATTTATTTTCCAGGGTGGAGTTCACAGTGGGAGACAAACCTGTTTCAAACTTCCGGATGATCGAACGGCACTATTTCCGGGAACACTTGCTGAAAAACTTTGACTTTGATTTTGGCTTCTGCATCCCCAGCAGTAGGAACACTTGTGAACATATCTATGAGTTTCCCCAGCTTTCGGAGGATGTCAGTATGTATCCCCTGACCCTTACAGCACTCTAGATTCTGAGGGCTACAAGGAACAAACCTTGAAACCCATCTGGTCCAGCGCCCTGGCATTGTCTCGTGGCAGTGCTGACATGATGCGTATCTAGTCATTTGACCTCAGGCTTCTCATTTCCTATTGCTCCTGGCTCCTGTTCTAAACTCTGACTCGGCCCGTATGGGAGCAATGAAGGGTTTGTTTGTTTTTGTTTTTGTTTTTTTCCCCTGAGACAGAGTCTTGCTCTGTCTGTTGCCCAGGCTGGAGTGCAGCAGCGCGATCTCGGCTCACTGTAACCTCTGCCTCCCAGGTTCAAGCGATTCTCCTGCCTCAGCCTCCTGAGTAGCTGGGATTACACCACACTTGGCTAGTTTTTGTATTTTCAGTAGAGACGGGATTTCACCATGTTGGTCAGGCTGGTCTCGAACACTTGACCTCATGATCCACTCTCCTCGGCCTCCCACAATGCTGGGATTACAGGTGTGAGCCACTGCCCCCGGCCCTTTTGTTTTTTTCTTTTTTTTTTGAGACGGAGTCTTGCCCTATTGCCCAGGCTGGAGTGCAGTGGCGCAGTCTTGGCTCAGTGCATCCTCCGTCTCCTGGGTTCAAGTGATTCTCCTGCCTCAGCCTCTCGAGTAGCTGGGATTATAGGCACCTGCCACCATGCCCGGCTAATTTTTTGTATTTTTTGTAGAGACAGAGTTTCACCATGTTGGTCAGGCTGGTCTCGAACTCCTGACCCTGTGATCCACCTGCCTCATCCTCCCAAAGTACTGGGGATTACAGGCGTGAGCCACTGTGCTCAGTCTGAAGGTTTTTTTTTTTTTTCTTTTTGAGACGGAGTCTTGATCTTGTCACCCAGGCTGGAGTGCAGTGGCGCAATCTCGGCTCACTGCAAGCTCTGCCTCCTGGGTTCATGCCATTCTGCCTCAGCCTCCTGAGTAGCTGAGACTACAGGTGCCCACCACCATGCCCGGCTAATTTTTTGTATTTTTAGTAGAGACGGGGTTTCACCGTGTTAGCCAGGATAGTCCCAATCTCCTGACCTCGTGATCCGCCTGCTTCGGCCTCCCAAAGTGCTGGAATTACAGGCTTGAGCCACTGCGCCCGGCCGGTCTGAAGGTTTTAATAATACAGGCCATCCTTTTAGATGCCTCCTGTGGGAAGACAGTGCCTAAGGGAGATAAAAGGAGGCCTGTGACCATCCCTGGGACGCTGATCAGATAAAGCACCTCTCCTGTGCACTGTTAGTCATGGTTTTCCATTGTGTTTTAGTCATTGGCCCTTCACTTTTTTCTTAATCAGAGCTAGATGTGAAACTGCAGGCTAAATAGAATCAAGGCCAGAGGACTTCTTTTCCATTCCCTGCAGGATAGAGAGTTGATTGGATAAAGTGTTGAGATAGATCCAGCAGGAAGGAATGGGGCTGTTGTAGATTTTGGGGCAGGAGTGAGAAGGTGGAAATACTGTTTGAGGAAGAGTGGCCTAGACCTGGGGAGGGCACCAGAGGGAGAAGGCTGCTGCCGTGTAGCCTCGGCAAGGGAAGATGGGGACCAAACGAGAGAGAAAGAACAGCCCTTGTCAGTTTCTGCAACTTTGGCCTAGCCACCTCAGGTTCGCATCCTTTGTGAATAGTTAGGGAAAATTCAAGTCATTTATGAGGGTGTGAATAGAATCCTGTGACTAGTGATGCCTGTAGTTGCCTTGCTGGCATCACTGATTGGTCCTCTCAGAATCCCAGGTCCTTAAGAATTGTCATATTCTGAAAACCAGATAACCTTTAATCGTGTGGCAGTACAGTTCCCAGGTAAAATGAGGATTGCTGAGATGTGGGGCAGGGTGTTGACGACAGCATCTGGTTCTGACTTGAACCCCTCTTCCCAAGCTGGCTAGAATATGTAGATACTTGCAAGAAAAGATGATGTATAGTGTTATAAGTTTTACCCATGAAGCCAAATCAGCCTGGAGGGCAATATTATGCATATAAACCGAGTAGTTTTGGCATTGGTGGGTTCAAAGAACTTTAAAAAATCAGTTTCACTTTTTGAGAACTGTGGTGAGCAACAGCATTTCCTCCAGGGGACTCCAAATGGCATGTAATCATTAACTCAAAACTGATCAGAGGTAGTATTATCTTTATTCTCCAGTATGGTTAAAGACTCAAAATGGCATGTAATCATTAACTCAAAACTGATCAGAGGTAGTGACTGTTAATTATCTTTACTCTCCAGTATGGTTAAAGAGGTCTGGGCAATTGCCTGAACAAACAAGACTTTACTTTAGATCCCAAGACAGGCAGACCTATTGCTGAATCATTTGCGAGTTAATACCCAGAAGGTCTCCGGAGAAGGCTCCCTGCCCTGTGTTCCTTGCACTCATTCCAATCTAGGTTTCCTTGGGTTGTCAGGGTTGTGTGTGGAGGTGGGCACAGTGAGGCTCAGATTTCTGAATTTGGAGTGGAATGTCTAGAGGTGGGCCACTGACCAGAGGCCAGGGCTGGCTTTGGTCAGCTGAGAGCACTGAGTAAATAGGTTGGTGGGGTCCATGTTGGGAAGAGGGGTGAGCACATTTCCCTGGTATCTTGGCTGAAGAATCCAGGCTGGAGATGACAGAGGAGGCCATGGTGGAGAGTTGATTGCATCCTTATGTTGAAATGGAGATCATGTTCAGCTGGGGGGCCTCTGTGGTCTCCCCAGCTGTCAAGGGCTGCCTCCCTCTGTTCTGACCTCATCGTTATTCTGGCAGAGTATACTCTGAAGCGCTGGCTTATTTTGGAGGGGATGCAAAGTTTTCTCCCACCTACCCTGTGGGGCAGACTCAAACATAATTCTTTGCTTTTTTCTTCCCCCTTTGCCTGACTTGCAGTTCGTCTAATGATTGAAAATCCTTACGAGACCCGCTCTGACAGCTTCTACTTTGTTGACAACAAGCTGATAATGCACAACAAGGCTGATTATGCCTATAATGGAGGCCAGTAAGTGCTGCAAGAGTAGATAGGGGAGGTGCTTTGCCGCGGCCACAAGATCCTGGCACACGGAGATGATCGAAGCTGCAGTTTGTCAACACACATCTGGAACCTGGCCCCAGGAAGCCAAGGCTGGGGTGGCAGTTTCCTGCGCGCCAAAGGAGCTGCCAAACAGTGCTGTGTTTTCTTCCCCAGTATTTTTTCTTCCCTTTTTTTCCTGCCCCGTAGGTTGCAGAGGTACTATAGTAAAGTAAAAGGTTAGGATAAGGGTCCTGGAATCCAGATAAAAAAGTTTATTTTCCGTAGTTCTGGCTGCCTGTTGGTTGTCTTGACGACCAGGCATAGCTGTGCCTGGTGAGAAGGCTCTGGCCAGGCCCACCAGCAGGTCAGCAGCTCTTAAGGTTCCTGGGTGCTGTGGGAAGCTGAAAGGTAGGCCTCTTCCAGGTAGCTCCTCCTCTCACCTCCGGCATTGCCATCAGCGCAGTCTGCCCTCGGTCTGTGTGAAGTCTTAAACCAACTGGAAGACACTTGAAAGGGTGGGGAGGGAGGGAGGTGCCAAGAGTGGAGGCACCAAGGAATGGGTGATGCTGCCAAGCTGAAGGGTCTGCTTTGTGGAGAGGCTGCTGCTCTGTCTGACTTCCAGGGTCTCAGCCAGCCCTCCTGGGAATAGACCAAGTTTTCAGCCTGGCAGTGCCTTCTGTTCCCATTTTGGAGGACAGACAAGCTTGCTCCACATCTCCTGGCTCCTCCCTTCTGAGTCTCATGAAATAGAATGAGTCAGCTCTGCTCATGGAACAGTAGTATCTCTTGAGGCCAGAGCAGGTCTTGTATTTTGTTTTTTTATTTCCAGACTTCTTTCGGGGAGGTTTTATAAAATGACAGTGGTGTTCCCAGCATATGTGATATGTGGTTAGACTTCTGATAGTATCAGCTTCCAGGGGCTAATCTGGCTTATGTTGGGAGGATATGCTTACGAATCAGCAGCAGCTTTCTAAAGGAGAGATTTGACTTTTCTCTGCACTGCACAGCCTGGAGGATTGGCTTTTGATGGGGATTTGCCTCCGAAGCTCTTTGTACATTTCTTGTTTAGGAGGGTTTTCCTATCTACCTTTCTACTGAAGTAGTTTCTGGAACTTTCCTGGTGGATCAGAGTTACGTAATGCAGTCTGAGCCTTCAGACTGCTAGTTAGAATTGTTTTAGGTGTTCAGAAAGGGCAAAATAGGCTGATGTGGCCTGTCAGAGTGATGTGTTCTCAAAAAAGTTCACTTGCACATCTGTGGGCTGCTTTTGTCCTCAGACCCTTAGTGGACAGACTCCACAAACCCTCTGATGAGACGATTGATGTGGCCAGGGTCCAGTTAGCATCAGTAGAAGGATGTCACTAGGAAAGGCCCAGGTATCTGGTAAGTGACTGTGAGGTGTCACAGTACCTGTGACAGGAGAGTGTCCTGATGTGCTTGGGAGAAAGGCCGTATGGGGGCCAGGGATGGAAGAGACAGTGTGTGGCCACAGAAATTCCTGTCCATCCACCACCAGTGCTGCTCCCTGTGTGGGCTTTAGGGCGAGTGGCCCCGAACCTTGGCCCAGTGCTTTGTCCCAGGCCAGAGTCTTGGCAATGCCACATGCTGGCAGCTTTCTCACTGAGAAGGTCCTAGCTTACCCCTGTGTGCTGGCCTTGGATTCAGCCCCGAGAGAGGGGAGAGACCATTCCTCCTGTGGAGTGGGTTCCTTATCACCAGACCGGCCACTCTCAGAACTGGCGTCCACTGTAAATCCAGGTGCCTTACGTGTGGCTCTGTCCCTTATGCTGCAGGGGAAAGCTGCATTGCCATTGTTCCCACCTCCTCACTGGCAGAAAGATGCCAGGGCTGTTAGCACTGTCTCCTCACCTTCTGTTTCTCATTGTGGCTCCTCAAATGGGATTTGCATGTTCCTGTCAAGCGTAACAACAATCCCTTCTCTCTTTGACAGAGGCCCAGGTGGGACAGTTTCTACTATTTGATATTTGAGTATTATCTGGGATGTGGTTCTGGAGCTGCCCAGAGCTGTGCTTAGTAGAGTGTGTCTTGGAAACATGCCCCTGGGCACACTGTATCTGCTACATTAGTGGGCTATCTCTTATCTGCAGTGTTCGCTTTTGCTAGAAAGAGGATGTGGAGGAAGGAGGAGGTGGGCAATCTGGCTTGAGTTGTGCTGTATCCTCTTCCTTGTTAGCTTGCCTTAGTCTCACTGGAGACCATTTGCGGATAGTGCTTGGTCCATGCCCAGCAGGACAGGGCTTTGCTGCTTCTGAAAGTCTGGTGTTCTGTATCTGGGGCTGTGGGTTCCTGTGTCTAGCTGCTCAGGAAATCTTGAGAAGCATTCCACTCTGGGGTGTAAACCAGTATGAGTTTGAAATTCAAGCGTTTGTACCTGAGTTGGGGAGAGAATTGCAAGGCATACTTTCTCTGAAAGTAACAGAACCATTCAGGCTGCCATGTTATTAAGGAATCTGAACTGTTGATAGCAGTTACCTTGTGGGTGATACAATGGGAGGCGGCAAAAAAACTACCTGCATAGGAGACCCTGCCCTTTGTCAAGAGCTGGGAGCACATTTCATCAGAGTAGCAGGCCCACCTGGTGCCAGAGGGCCTGCCCCTCCTGCTTCTGTTCCTTTGCCTTGCAGTCTCCTGGAGAGAGCCTCTCTTTTCCTGTACAGCCTTTGGGCCAAAATGCCCTTCTAGCTTCTCCAAAGAAGATCCGAGTTTATTTCATTCTATGTTTTAAGAGGTAAAAGGACATAACAAGTGAAAGAAGTTTTGGGCTAAAGTAGGCTATGTCTCCTTATGTATTACTCAATACTGTTTTGCAGAGAAAACATTTTTCAAGCATGTGCTTCCTGAAGACACCTCAGTCTTTGGGCCATTTGATTTCCAATACATAGGGTGGAAGAATGTGATTTTGGGGCTGACCATAAACTGGAAATTTGTGAAATGGCAGTGATTGGGCAATCTTCAGTTTATTTTTTCAGTTGAAGTGGAACTCATTTCTGGAATGGATTTAATAGGCTGTGTCTAATGTACAAACTGGGTGAGTCCTGCCTTAGTGTGTCCTGCCCCACCGGTACGCTTCCAGGATACTCTTTTCCCCTCTGTAAAGTCACTTTCTTCTGATGGCCAGTGTCACTATGATGTCAGTGAGGTCTGGGGATGAGGACAGTGTGTCCTGAAATTCACAGGACTGACTCCTCACCCCAGTGCACGAGGATTCCTGTGGCATCAGGTGCTGCTGTACCTGGTGTAGGAGCCTAATCATTGAACCATTGTGTTACTCACATTCCATGTCACAGAACATATCAGCCTCAAGAAGGATTTGGTGGAGGTGGATTTACCACTGGTTTTACAAAGGACCGTGTAAAGTCATTGAAGTTGTGAAAGTCTATTTTTTTTCCTGTAAATCTATTTTTTACAGAATATAAGAAACATCAATGACCTGATCTGTCCTTCCTCCTCCTTCCCGCTTCCCCCAAAATCACATTCCAGTTTTTATTGTCTTTGTGTCCAAAGTAAACTAGGTGACTTATTTGTATAAAATGTTATTTTGCCACATGAGACAGTAATAAAAGAAAGATTTTCACAGTACGTCTCCCTCGTCCTGTCTCCTGATTGTTGGGCCCGTTGTGTTGCTGAGGGGAGCAGGGGCGAATGGGGGCTCCAGGTTTCTCTTACTTTGGCTATTATGTGGCCCTTCTGTAAGTAGTTGAACTAGAGTATAGCTGGCTTCTAGGGTGATTGAGGAATTGTACTGGACTTTAGGCTTAATATTTTTGCTTTATATTTTCCCAGGGTGAGTGGCTTTGTAAATTGAAAGTTTACATGCATGTTTTAAAGGTAGGGTTTTTTTTTTTGAGATGGAGTTTCGCTCTTTTTTCCCAGGCTGGGATGTGATGGCATGATGGTGGCTCACTGCACCCTTCGCCTCCCGGGTTCAAGTGATTGTCCTGCCTCAGCCTCCCAAGTAGCTGGGATTACAAGTGCATGCCACCACGCCCGGCTAATTCTGTATTTTTGGTAGAGACAGGGTTTCCCCATGTTGGCCAGGCTGGTCTTGAACTCCTGACCTCAGGTGATCAACCCGCCTTGGCCTCCCAAAGTTCTGGGATTACAGGTGTGAGCCACTGTGGCTGGCCATAAAGGTAGGCTTATTAAGAAATACTTTAACTACAGTAAAATTTACCTCAATTAAGAGTATTGATGCATTTTGACAAATGAATACTTTTATTACCCATCACAATCATGATATAGGACATTTCCATCGTACCCACTCAGAAAGTTCCTGAGTTCCTTGTGTTTGCAGCCAGGTGACTTCCCCCACTTCGCCTCTTGCAACCACTATCTGATTCTGTCTCTATTGGAAAACTTGGATACTTTTAAAATGAAATTTGAACGTTCATATTTACAGTCACAAATTCTCAAGAGTCTGGTTTAGATGCTCTGTGGCACCTGAAGCAATTATTGGCCTTTGCTCACAAACACAACTCACTTATTTCTCCCTTTTCTCCTGCTTCTTCATCGTTTCTTCCACCCAGGGCTGGTTCCCAGGTGGGATGACGGAAAGGTGAGGAAGCCCTTAGAGCATTTGCCAATGGGAG
The DNA here is from genome assembly GCF_000001405.40 of Homo sapiens. Taxonomy (NCBI): domain Eukaryota; kingdom Metazoa; phylum Chordata; class Mammalia; order Primates; family Hominidae; genus Homo; species Homo sapiens. Next base: position 120,724,651 of record NC_000012.12, read on the forward strand.
CCATTCATTTGACTTTAAAGTACTGAGAATTTAGAGGCGTTCTTTTAAATGCATTATTTAAAAAGAAAGGTAACACATTAAGGACTTTGCTGCATCTTTTGATTGGCTTTCTTCTAGGAAGTAGTGACCGAGGTTTCCACTTTCCTCCAAGAGGAAGAGACAGAAGTTTTGGCAAATAGGTCAATGCTGGGAACAGATGCCTGCCTGGCTGAGTGCTGGGAAAGAAAGGCAGTTGGAGGGATGTGTGGGTGCCTGGGAGGGCGTGGGTGGTGCCCAGGAGGCTATGGGAATCAGAATCACACTTGCACAAGAGAAGACCCTTATGGGACAAGTAAAATCAGCATAGTTTCTTGGGCGGGGCAAAGGTGTCCTGATGAGGATGCTAGGGGTCAAATATGTGTCTGGGTTCTGCCCCAATCGGGAATGAGACACAGTACTGAAGTGGAACGGGGGTAGCATCTCCACCCACCTTCACAGCCTCTGGGGAAAAGAAAGCTTTCCTTGCAGCCCAACTCCAGGGGCCTAAATATTGAGCACCAACACAAGACAGGTCCTTGAGCTTCTCGGAGCGAGTCGGGGAAGCAGATAATTTCAGATGCAAAGTGCCTTGAATAAACAGAACGAAAGATAGAGAGCCAGAGGGGGAGAAACGGCTTGGTGTGGTCAGGGCAGGCATCCATGAGACCTAAACGAAGAGGGGGCATTCCAGACAAAAGGAACAGTGATCACAGAGGCCCCGAGTCAGGAACCAGCTAAGGGTCTTAGAGAAGAGCTGCCTCGTAAAGCTAAGCAACAATAACCAGGGAACGGTGGGCATGGGCCCTGATAGACAAGGCAGGTCTTGGCTTTTTAAGCCATAGAATTGGATTTTAGGAGGGATGGGCCCGCCGACAAAGCCAACAAAGTTTTAACCCGAAGATCGCTATCTTATTTATGCTTTAAAAAGACCTCTCTGGCCTTTCTGCGAAGCTCTATCCTTAGCTTTCTCTTGTTAGCATTTTGATTAACGAATGTGGGCACGAACAGCCAGCTGACCGACCGCGCGCGCAGTCGAGCGTCGGTTCCTCGCCTTGGGAGGGACCACTGGAGGCCCCGCCCCCTGGCCGCGAGCGCACCTCGGCCCCGCTCCCGAGGCCCTACGGGCGTGGCCTCTGTCCCGGGTCCCGCCCCCCAGCACTCCGGAACAGCGCGCTCGCAGCGGGAGGTCGCGAAGCCTGGGACTGTGTCTGTCGCCCATGGCCGCCGCGCTGCTCGCCCGGGCCTCGGGCCCTGCCCGCAGAGGTGAGTGCGCTGGGGATCCGTACGGCGGGGCTTCAGCCCGCGTCTGGCCCAGCGGGCGGAGGTCCTGGCGGCCGGCTCTGTCAGAGCCGCTGGCAGGCGGAGCCCCACTCCGGGAGCGCTCACGGCCTTTGCCCCAGTTCTGCTGCTCCTTGCGCCGACCCAGCCCGGCCCTTCAGGCGTCCCTGGTTCCTGCACAGACCCCTACCCCCCGATTGACCCCAGCCACCAGCCCAGTTCCCAGTTCCCATATCTCCCTCCCTTCATTTCACCCCCACTAGAGGTTCAGGGTGCGTCCTTCTTCCGGAGCCAGGCCTGGGATTGAACCAGACCCGCATCTGTGACCTTGGGCAAGACAGCCCCTCCTCAGCCTCGGTTGGCCCATGTGTAAAATGTCCACAGAGAAAATCAGAGTTGTTGGGAGGATTAAATCATAGGGTATGTAAAGCACTTCGTGCCTGGCGTGTAACAGGTGTTCCACAAATGCTCGTTCTTGCTGGTTAATACAGTACCTTTCCCATCTTACGTGTCTCCAGTTGTAGCAGCCGTGACACATATAGCCACGGCTTCCTTTGCCTGGCCTGAATTACAAGGGGAACGCTACTGAGAACTGTGTTAAGCGCTAGTTAGTCTTTCTTTCGCACTCCGAGGAGCGGAATACTATTCGCCTCCACTTGTTATAGAAACGGAGGCTCACTGACGTTTAAAACCCTTGCCTAAGGTCACAGAGCTGAGGTCTTATTACTGTTGGTATTATACTGAGGACTGAAGGATGTAGTGTATGGAAATGTCTAGTGAGTGTACTAAGCATTCAGTTAGTATGGGGTTTTCAGTGGCCGCCATGGACATTTTGGGCTGACAGTTCTTTGTTGTGGGGGCTGTCCTCTGCCTTGTTGGATGTTCAGCAGGGATCCCGGACCCCTATCCACTGGGTACCAATAGTATTCCCCTGCTCTAGTTGTGACAACTAGAACTGGCTCCAGACATTGCCAGATGTCCCTTGGAGGGCAAAATCCTCCCTGGTGAGTTAGTGGGTCACTAGGATTCTTGGAGACCTCCTGCCTCCTCCTTCCACTCACTTCTGCCCTTGCCGGCAGCTCTCTGTCCTAGGGCCTGGCGGCAGTTACACACCATCTACCAGTCTGTGGAACTGCCCGAGACACACCAGATGTTGCTCCAGACATGCCGGGACTTTGCCGAGAAGGAGTTGTTTCCCATTGCAGCCCAGGTGGATAAGGAACATCTCTTCCCAGCGGCTCAGGTGAGAGTGCAACCTCAGCAGCCCACGATAGTGGTCTGCCCTCTGCTACTGGATGAATGGTGGCAGTGACAGTCAGCGGCACTCGGACTCTGGTAGAGGAACCCCAAAGCAGGGCCTGGAACCCAGAAAATGCTCTGGAAGTTTCCCTTGTCCAGCCTGTGGCCAGTAGCCAGGACTTAACTTCTGGGACAACAGTAATATGTGGTGGATGGTCAGTTGCTTACTGTGCCAGCCACTGTGCTCATTCTAAATAGTGCCTTTAGGGTGTTTGGCATGCACTAGGCACTGTTCTTGAGATGGGTTATCTCATCTGTTCCTCACAACGGTCCTGTGAGGTGAAGGTACTATTCTTATTTATTTTTTTGAGACGGAGTTTCACTCTTGTGGCTCAGGCTGGAGTGCAATGGTGCGACCTCGCCTCACTGCAGCCTCTGCCTCCTGAGTTCAAGTGATTCTCCTGCCTCAGCCTCCCAAGTAGCTGGGATTATAGGCGTGCACTGCTCTGCCCCGCTACTTTTGTATTTTTAGTAAAGACGGCGTTTCACCATGTTGGCCAGGCTGGTCTCAAACTCCTGAATTCAGGTGATCTGCCCACCTCGGCCTCCCAAAGTGCTGGGATTACAGGTGTGAGACACCACGCCCGGCCAAAGGTAGTATTATTATATACCCCATGGACTCAGACTTGTGAACAAGTTAAATAACATACCCAAGGTCATGGAGCTCATCAGCGGCAGCCTGCTCGACCTATTTTCTTTTTTATTTACTTATTTTTTTTTGAAATGGACTCTCGCTCTGTTGCCCAGGCTGGAGGGCAGTGGCGCAATCTCAACGCACTGCACCCCTCTGCCTCCTGGGTTCAAGCAATTCTCCTGCCTCGGCCCCCAGTAGCTGGGATTACAGGCGGGCACCACCACGCCCAGCTAGTTTTTGTACTTTCAGTAGAGATGGGGTTTCTCCATGTTGGGCAGGCTGGTCTCAAACTCCTGACCTTAGGCGATCTGCCCGCCTTGGCGTCCCAAAGTGCTGGGATTACAGGCGTGAGCCACCGTGCCCGGCCTGCTTGAACTGTTTTCTCCCCTGAGTTTCCCATCAGCGCGCTCCCTCCCGTGCCACTGTGTTCTTCCATTTGCATTCAGTCTGTCTGCAGCTACGCGTTGAAGATGTTACTGCCGTACACGCTGACCTAAAGATGTCCAGCACCTGGTGTAAACACTCAGTAGTAGATAGTTGTTTAATTAATGATTTGTGAAAAGTCAAACCTCTCCGGCCTCTTCTCCTTGCCTGTTTTTTTTTTTAATTTTAATTTTAATTTATTTTTTATTTTTAAAAATTTTTTGAGACAGTCTTGCTCTGTCACCAGGTTGGAGTGCAGTGGCGCGATCTCGGCTCACTGCAACCTCCGCCTTCTGAGTTCAAACAATTGTTTCCTGCCTCAGCCTCCCGAGTAGCTGGGATTACAGGCGCACACCACCATACCCGGCTAATTTTATGTATTTTAGTAGAGACGGGGTTTCACCGTGTTGCCCAGGCTGGTCTCAAACTCCTGAGCTCAGGCAATCCACCCGCCTCGGCCTCGCAAAGTGCTGGGATTACAGGCGTGAGCCACCACACCCGGCCTTAAAAATGAGTTTTAAAAGGGACGTAAAACATTGTTTTTATATGAGGGACCCACTAACCGTTTCCCAGATATGAAGGCAGCAGGTGCTGCAGGCTTGCCTTGTCTGTCACTGCTGGGAAAGGGGTCTTACAGTTTCTTACGGTTTCTCTTGGGAGTCTGGAGACCACCAGGCTCAGCCTCATCAGTGCTGTTGCCTCTTCTCAGGGTGCAGGTCAGGGTTGCTGGGTCACAGACACTAGGAACCAAGAGTGACCATTGCAGGGGGCTCTAGGAGGCCACCCCTTGAGATAGCTCTGAAGGTCAGGCCTCTCTGTAGAAAATACTAAAATATTGGGGCTGGGACGGGCGCCTGGCTGCTGTTAGTTAATTACCATCAATTTACATAGGTCAGAAACGATGGACAAACCCGAACCCATTTTTTTCCCTTGACTGCTTCTCTTTTTCTTTTTTCTTTTTTTTTTTTTTTTTGAGATGGAGTCTCACTCTGTCCCCCAGGCTGGAGTGCAGTGGTGCGATCTTGGCTCACTGCAGCCTCTGTCTCCCAGGTTCAAGTGATTATCCTGCCTCAGCCTCCCAGGTAGCTGGTACTACAGGTGCCCGCCACCATGCCTGGCTAATTTTTGTATTTTTAGTAGAGATGGGGTTTCACCATGTTGGCCAGGCTGGTCTTGAACTCCTGACCTCAGGTGACCTGGCTGCCTCAGCCTCCCAAACTGCTGGGATTACAGGTGTGAGCCACTGCTTAATTATATTTTGGGTTTCTCCTTTTTGACTGTCTCGTCTCTTCCCTCTCCTGCCACCCCTTTTTCCTTCCCTCGGTGCTGGTCTCCCTGTCTCTTTTTCAGGAGGCCCTTTAACGAGTGCACATTACCATGGTTATTGCTTTTGTCCCCACTTTTTTTCTAGAATGTTCCTGTAGCTGGCCACAGTTTGTTGCCTGAAATCTAGAGATAAATTTCAGAGTGAGAAGGCCTGGGAAACAGCCCCTGTCACCACTGATAAAATGGGGTGAGGTGACTGTGTCCAGGCTCTGGGATGGGATGGAGAAGGCTGTGCTCTTAGGTGCTGCCCCAGAGCGGTGCTCCTCTCTTTTGAAATTTGCTGTCTCAACACCAGAGTGGGAGTGAGTGGAACTGCCATGTCTTTCACAGCCACAGGTAGATGCTTTATTTTTTAAATTATTTTTGTGTGTGTGTGATGGAGTCTCGCTCTGTCCCCAGGCTGGAGTACAGTGGTGCGATCTCGGCTCACTGTAGCCTTTGCCTCCTGGGTTCAAGCAATTTTCCTGCCTCAGCCTCCCAAGTAGCTGGAACTACAGGTGCGCACCACCACACCCGGCTAATTTTTGTCTTTTTAGTAGAGACGGGGTTTCACCATGTTGGCCAGGCTGGTCTCGAACTCTTGACTTTGTTATCCGCCCGCCTGGGCCTCCCAAAGTTCTGGGATTACAGGCATGAGCCACCGCGCCCAGCTGGTAGATGCTGTAAAAGAAAATGCTGATGGTGAGAAAGGAGGGAAGACAGGAGCTGGGGGAAAATTGAGGGCGATGGTATATGCTAGTGAGGTCCTTTGGGTGTGGGAATTGTGAATTCCTACAACTTTTGATTCTAGCTCATTGAGAAGTGTCGCATTAGTCAGAGGGAGGCGGCGCTGTGTAGGGAGGAGGAGGCTGGGGTTCTGTCTTGCCTCCTGGTGGCCTAGACCTGGCCACTGACACCACATACCCTTTCTGTGTGAATTCCCTCATCTGTAAGAGGAATATGGGGTCACCCTCATTCTGCTACCTGTCGGGACGTGTGACCAAGCATTTTAGGTGAGTATGAGGAACTGAACGCACCTAGGAGAGTTTCATCCTTTTACTCTCTTTCTGGGAATTTGGGTTCCCACTGTGTTTCTGGGGATGAGATGGAGTTATGGAGCGATTGGCTCATGTGCCATTTATTCCAGGGTTTTATACCAACAAGTTCCGGGGTGAAAAGGAGGGTGTGTCTCTGTCCAGGGAGATCTGAAGGTGCTTGGAGGGTGAGGCGGCTTGAGCTAGTTTAGCCTTATTCTGTTTTGCTGGTAAGCTAGAGAAAAAGGCTTTTGGTGAGGTTCATGCCTAGGCCTGACCGTGAGTCTTGGACAACTGCATATTTATTTTTGTTTTTGTTTTTTTGAGACAGGGCCTCACTGTCGCCCAGGCTGGAGTGCAGTGACACAAACACAGCTCACTGCAGCCTTGACCTCCCGGGCTCAGGGCTCAAGTGATCCTCATGCCTCACCTCCTGCAGTAGCTGGGACCACAGGTGTGCACCGCCATGCCTGGCTCATTTATTTTTATTTTTATAACTTTTTGTGGAGATGGGGGTCTCGCCATGTTGATGAAGCTGGTCTCAAACGCCTGGACTCAGATGATCCTCCTACCTCCGTCTCCCAAAGTGCTGGGATTACAGGCCTGAGCTACCACACCCTCTTTTTAAAATTTTTTTAATTAAAAAATTTTCTTTTAGAAACAGGGGTATCATCATGTTGGCCAGGCTGGATTTGAACGCCTGGGCTCAAGTGATTCTCCTGCCTCAACCTCCTCCTGAGTAGCTGGAGACCTGCGTATTTCTAGCACTTGGTAGAGTATTGTCCAGCAGCAGAGGTGTTCCTTAATAAAATAGTTTTTTTTTTTTTTTTTGAGGCGGAGTCTCACTCTGTTGCCCAGGCTGGAGTATAGTGGCACGATCTTGGCTCACTGCAACCTCCACCTCCTGGGTACAAATGATTCTCCTGTCTCAGCCTCCCAAGTAGCTGGGATTATAGGCGCCCACCATCACGCCTGGCTAATTCTTGTATTTATTTTATTTTATTTTATTTTTTTTATTGATCATTCTTGGGTGTTTCTCGCAGAGGGGGATTTGGCAGGGTCATAGGACAATAGTGGAGGGAAGGTCAGCAGATAAACAAGTGAACAAAGGTCTCTGGTTTTCCTAGGCAGAGGACCCTGCGGCCTTCCGCAGTGTTTGTGTCCCTGGGTACTTGAGATTAGGGAGTGGTGATGACTCTTAAGGAGCATGCTGCCTTCAAGCATCTGTTTAACAAAGCACATCTTGCACCGCCCTTAATCCATTTAACCCTGAGTGGATACAGCACATGTTTCAGAGAGCACAGGGTTGGGGGTAAGGTCATAGATCAACAGCATCCCAAGGCAGAAGAATTTTTCTTAGTACAGAACGAAATGAAGTCTCCCATGTCTACTTCTTTCTACACAGACACAGCAACCATCCGATTTCTCAATCTTTTCCCCACCTTTCCCCCTTTTCTATTCCACAAAACTGCCATCGTCATCATGGCCTGTTCTCAATGAGCTGTTGGGTACACCTCCCAGACGGGGTGGTGGCCGGGCAGAGGGGCTCCTCACTTCCCAGTACGGGCGGCCGGGCAGAGGCGCCCCTCACCTCCCGGACGGGGCGGCTGGCCGGGCGGGGGCTGACCCCCACCTCCCTCCCGGACGGGGCGGCTGGCCGGGCGGGGGCTGCCCCCAACCTCCCTCCCGGACGGGGTGGCTGCCGGACGGGGTGGCTGCCGGGCGGAGACGCTCCTCACTTCCCAGACGGGGTGTCTGCTGGGCGGAGGGGCTCCTCACTTCTCAGACGGGGTGGCTGCCAGGCAGAGGGGCTCCTCACTTCTCAGATGGGGTGGCTGCCGGGCGGAGGGGCTCCTCACTTCTCGGGGCGGGCAGGCAGAGACACTCCTCACCTCCCAGACGGGGTGGCGGTCGGGCAGAGACACTCCTCAGTTCCCAGACGGGGTCGCGGCCGGGCAGAGGCGCTCCTCACATCCCAGACGGGGCAGTGGGGCAGAGGCGCTCCCCACATCTCAGACGATGGGCGGCCGGGCAGAGACGCTCCTCACTTCCTAGATGGGATGGCGGCCGGGAAGAGGCGCTCCTCACTTCCCAGACTGGGCAGCCGGGCAGAGGGGCTCCTCACATCCCAGACGATGGGCGGCCAGGCAGAGACGCTCCTCATTTCCCAGACGGGGTGGCGGCCGGGCAGAGACTGCAATCTCGGCACTTTGGGAGGCCAAGGCAGGCGGCTGGGAGGTGGAGGTTGTAGCGAGCTGAGATCAAGCCACTGCACTCCAGCCTGGGCAACATTGAGCACTGAGTGAACGAGACTCCGTCTGCAATCCCGGCACCTCGGGAGGCCAAGGCTGGCAGATCACTCCTGGTTAGGAGCTGGAGACCAGCCTGGCCAACACAGCGAAACCCCGTCTCCACCAAAAAAATACGAAAACCAGTCAGGCGTGGCGGCGCGCGCCTGCAATCGCAGGCACTCGGCAGGCTGAGGCAGGAGAATCAGGCAGGGAGGTTGCAGTGAGCAGAGATGGCGGCAGTACAGTCCAGCTTCGGCTCGGCATCAGAGGGAGACCGTGGAAAGAGAGGGAGAGGGAGACCGGGGGGAGAGGGAGAGGGAGAGGGAGAGGGAGAATCCTTGTATTTTTAGTAGAGACGGGGTTTTACCATGTTGGCCAGGCTGGTCTCGAACTCCTGACCTCAGGTGATCCACCTGCCTCAGCTACCAAAGTGCTGGGAATACAAGCATGAGCCACTGCGCCTGGCAAAGTACTCTGAAGTGTGGGCTAGAAAAGTGTTCTGTTCAGAGGCCATGTGTGTGCTGCCGCAGGTCTGTGTCTCCAGGTCCTCTTCCTAGTGAAAAGCACTCTCTCACTTGGACTTCCCCTTCCCTAGTTGGTTCCTGCCTGCTGAAATGGTGCCTGCTGAAATGGTGCCTGCTGAAATGGTGCCTGCTGAAATGGTGCCTGCTGAAATGGTGCCTATTCTGAGCAGGACCCCCCTCCCCAGGTGTGTGGCGGCCACAGAACAATCTTCTTTTTAGTAATTCTCAAAATGACACCTCCCTGGTAGCTCTGAGTTCCCATTTGTCACTGTGGATGAGTTTCCTATTGCTGCTGTAACAAATGACCACAAACCCTGTGGCTTAAAGCAATACAGATATATTCTCTGACCATTCAAGACCAGCCTGGGCAACATAGCAAGACCCCATCTCTACCAAAAAAAAAAAAAAAAAATAGAAAAAACAAAACCAAACCATGGCAGCCACTTGAGAAATGCTGTTCACGAGTTACTCAACCCGAGTCAGGCATCCAGTGTGGGTCCCACAGGGCTAAATCAAGGCATCGGCAGGACTGAGTTCCCTCTGCAGGCTCTGGGGAAATCCACTCCTGTCTTTCCCAGTTCTAGAGGCCGCCTGCATTCTTCCCGCCAGAGTTCCTGCCTCTGCTTCCGTCGTCACCTCTCCTTCTCTGAGTCTGTGTCTGTCTTTGCCTTACAAAGACTCTGTGATGACACTGGGTGACTCTGATCATCCAGAATAACCCTCACATCTCCAGACGCTTCACTTACGTGTGCAAAGTCCCTATTGCCACGGAAGGGAACATACTCCTGGGACCTGGGATTAGGATGGGGACATCTTGGGCGGTTGCTGTCATGCTGCCTTCCACACACTGGCCATCTCCTTCCCAGCTTCTCTGCCCTCTGACTGCAGCACAGCATCTGCCTGGGGGCCGCAGAGCTTGATGTGCACTTGTGGGGGTCATAGCTCAAGCCTCTCAGCACACACGTTTATGCCCCACATGTGGTACGTGTGGGAGACTCGGAGATGACGCTCCGCCCCGCACTTAGAGTCTTACAAGTGAGTTTCCCATGGGAACAGTTCAAGGAAGAATCAAATAAGCAATTTCACAGAGGGACACACAGGTTGTCACAGAAGTGCTGCAGGCTCCTAGGTGCCCCCTCTTTTCCATACGTTATTGCCAAAGTAAGAACTAGGCTTGGTGTGGTGGCTCGTGCCTCTAATCAGCATGAGGGAGGCTGAGGCAAGAGGATCACTCGAGCCAGGAGTTCGACACCAGCTTGGGCAACACAGTGACACCCTGTCTCTAAAAAAACAATAATTTTTTTTTTTTTTTTGAGACAGATTCTCGCTCTGTCGCCCAGACTGGAGTGCAGTGGCGTGCTCTCGGTTCACTGCAACCTCTTCCTTCCAGGTTCAAGCAATTCTCCTGCCTCAGCCTCCCGAGTAGCTGGGATTACAGGCACCCGCCACCATGCCTGGCTAGTTTTTATATTTTTGGTAGAGATATGGTTTCACCACGTTGGCCAGGCTGGTCTCGAACTCCTGGCTTCAAATGATCCACCCATTTTGGCCTTCCAAAGTGCTGAGATTCTTTGGGAGGCTGAGGCAGGCGCATCACTTCAGGTCAGAAGTTCGAGAACAGCCTGGCTAATGTGGTGAAACCTGGTCTCTACCAAAAATATAAAAATTAGCCAGGTGTGGTGGCAGGCACCTGTAATCCCAGCTACTCGGGAGGCTGAGGCAGGAGAATCACTTGAACCCAGGAGGTGGAGGTTGCAGTGAGCCGAGACTGTGCCACTGCACTCCAGCCTGGGCAACAAAGTGAGACTCTGTTTCAAAAAAAAAAAAAAAAAAGAAAAAAGAAACAAACAAAGTGCTGGGATTACAGGTGTGAGTCACTGTGCGCAGTCCTTAAAAAAAAAAAAAAAAAAAAAAAAAACAACTTGGCAGCCACTTGATGATAGATGCTGTTCAACAGTACCTCAGCCTGGGCCAGGTGCTGGGCTCTGCCTTTCATGTGTATTATCTCAGTCAGGCCTCAGAACAGTCCTTTGAGGTGAGTACTGTTTTGGGGACGGGGAAGGTAAAACTTTTATATTCACAGGAGTATAGAAAAACAAGAATATATTAGCAAACATTCTTATTAGTTTATGTAAGTCATGGTAGTATAAGAACATGGTTGAGACTAGGTGTGGTGGCTCACACCTGTAATCCCAGCACTTTGGGAGGCCGAGGTGGGTGGATCACGAGGTCGGGAGTTCAAGACCAGCCTGGCCAAGATGGTGAAAACCCGTCTCTACTAAAAATACAAAAATTAGCTGGGCGTGATTATGGGCACCTGTAATCTCAGCTACTCGGTAGGCTGAGGCAGAGAATTGCTTGAACCTGGGAGGAAGAGGTTGCAGTGAGCCGAGATCTGCACTACTGCACTCCAGCCTGGGCAACAGAACAATACTCTGTCACAAAATAAAATAAAATAAAATAAAATAAAATAACATGTTTGCAGGAATGAGATTGTATAAAAGGGCTCGTGAAAAGCAACGGTTCCCTCCCGTCCCCATCCCTGTCCCCGTCCCTGTCCCTGTCCCCGTCCCTGTCCCTGTCCCTGCTCTCCCAGAGATAAGTGGTTTTACTTGTTCCTTTTTGAAGTTAGGTAGATTCTGTGGTCCACATTTCCCATATTACTCACCTGAAAGTAATAATACTATTATTATTATTTTGTTTTTGGTAGAGATGGGGTCTTGCTATGTTGCCCAGACTGGTCTCGAACTCCTGGCCTCAAGCAATCCCCTCACCTTGGTCTCCCAAAGTGCTGGGATTACAGGTGTGATCACTGCTCCTGGCCCACTCTTAATATGATTATTACCCAGAATTAAGAGTCCCAAGCTCTTATCCTTCATTCATTCTCTCACTGGCCTTGGGCATGTAGCAGTGAGCAAGAGCACACACAGTCTGTGCCCTCGTGGTGAAGGCAAAAGACCTTAATCCAGAGAAGCACGTTCATCCCTGAGAAATTCCAGCCGCAGAAGTGCTGCAGGAGAGGGACTGAAGGATTTGACTCAGCGAGGCTGGGGATGGCAGCCCAAAGCAGCGAGGCCTGAGCTGCGATCAGAAGGAGAGGAGGGGCAATAACCAGCTGAGGGATAGGAGGTGGCATGTGCAGAGGCCCTGTGGTGGGGAGGGTGCGTGTGTGTGGATGTGCAGAGGGGGCTGGACGAAGGTCAGTGTGGCTCACGCTGTCCTGCTCCTTACCTCTGAGTTCCCTGAAAGCATCCTGTGCCTTCTGCTTGCTCGCTGCCGTGGCTGTGGACGGAGCGGGGAGCAGGCGTGGAGGCGGGGGCAGGACAGCTTGAATGAGAAGTGCCATCATATAGACCTCAGTGGGACTGGGTCTTCAGCTTCTGGACTTGGGGATCCCTTGTGCGTGGCTGGGGTCACATGGCCTGAGTTTCTGCAGGGCACTGCCTCGGGGGCAGGAGGGTTTGGGCTTGGGGAGGGTGGGCTCGCCCCCGGCAGCTGCCCATGGCGTGCCGTCCTTCCCTGTGCCCAGGTGAAGAAGATGGGCGGGCTTGGGCTTCTGGCCATGGACGTGCCCGAGGAGCTTGGCGGTGCTGGCCTCGATTACCTGGCCTACGCCATCGCCATGGAGGAGATCAGCCGTGGCTGCGCCTCCACCGGAGTCATCATGAGTGTCAACAACGTGAGCCCCCTCCCAGGCCCCTGGGACACACGGGTGGAGGGAGGCTCCCGTGAGCGGGCAGGCTCTGGCCTCGGCTCCCAGCCCTGATCTCTCTGGAGACGTCACAGGCCTTGGTCCTACTGGGTAGGCCCTGGACAGAACAGGCCCTGAGGTGCAGCCCGCAGGTGGGCAGGATGCGCCTGGGCCTGGGGCCTCCGACCGCTCCCCGCTGTCCTCCTAGTCTCTCTACCTGGGGCCCATCTTGAAGTTTGGCTCCAAGGAGCAGAAGCAGGCGTGGGTCACGCCTTTCACCAGTGGTGACAAAATTGGCTGCTTTGCCCTCAGCGAACCAGGTACCTGCCCTGTCCCCTCACCTGTCCTTAGGGTGACAGGCCCAGAGGGGAGGAGAGGAAGGTGCTAGGCCAACTGCCCACTGCTTCGGAGGCCAGAGGGGAGGCTCCCCGTGTGGTTGGTAGGGTGAGCGCTCTTGCCACCGCGGCGCTGGGAGGAAGATTGCCTTCGGGGTCCCCTGGTTTAAGACGCCAGCTCCTGCACACCCCCCTCGCCCTCTGGTCCCATCACTGAGAGCTTTGGGACCCTCATCTTTGGAGCCCGAGTCATAGGGTTTCGTGTCTGCCAGCAGGGGTGTGGAGGGAGTGAGGCTGGTGCCCTTAGGTTGTGTGGGGTGGGGCGTGCGCTGAGCCCTGGGTCTGTGTGGGCAGGGAACGGCAGTGATGCAGGAGCTGCGTCCACCACCGCCCGGGCCGAGGGCGACTCATGGGTTCTGAATGGAACCAAAGCCTGGATCACCAATGCCTGGGAGGCTTCGGCTGCCGTGGTCTTTGCCAGCACGGACAGAGCCCTGCAAAACAAGGTGGGCCCACCCAGAGAGGGGTTCAGCCGGATCCTGGGCTGCTGTCATTTCTGTTTCTAGGGCCTTCTCTCCTTGGCCCGACTGGACCTATTTTTGCTCTGGGGCAAGTGGGCTGTCCCTGTCCCTCCTCAGCTGCCACTGAAGCCTGCACCTTCCCCAGAAGCCGGCAGAGGGTGTCAAGGCCTGAGCTTCTGAGGGAGGTGGGGAGGGGACCGGGTTGGTGTTGGGTGTGCTGGTGTGAGGGTGTGGCTGAGGGGCAGCTCTGAGAAAACCACCCGCCTCTCCTTTCAGGGCATCAGTGCCTTCCTGGTCCCCATGCCAACGCCTGGGCTCACGTTGGGGAAGAAAGAAGACAAGCTGGGCATCCGGGGCTCATCCACGGCCAACCTCATCTTTGAGGACTGTCGCATCCCCAAGGACAGCATCCTGGGGGAGCCAGGGATGGGCTTCAAGATAGCCATGGTGAGCCCGGCAGTGGGGGTGGCACCTTGAGGCCAGGCCCGCGCCCCGGCTGGCGGGCCACTGACCAGGGCGGTCCCCACAGCAAACCCTGGACATGGGCCGCATCGGCATCGCCTCCCAGGCCCTGGGCATTGCCCAGACCGCCCTCGATTGTGCTGTGAACTACGCTGAGAATCGCATGGCCTTCGGGGCGCCCCTCACCAAGCTCCAGGTCATCCAGGTAATGGTGGCAGCTTTAGGAGCTGGGCCTAGAGGCTGGACAGCGGGCGGAGAGTGTGGCCTCCTGACTGCTCTCCGTCCTCCTCCCCCTCCCTTCTGTCCCCTGGAGGGGCAGCTGCTGACCTGTGGTGTGGGGTGGGGCTATTGCAGTTCAAGTTGGCAGACATGGCCCTGGCCCTGGAGAGTGCCCGGCTGCTGACCTGGCGCGCTGCCATGCTGAAGGATAACAAGAAGCCTTTCATCAAGGTGCCCACAGGGGTCCCCGAGCCATGGCCCAGAATGTGGTGGGCCCAGGGACGGGGAGAGGTTGGGGCGGGTCTCTGCTCCTTGGCCCCGTGGGTCAGAGGTGTGGGCCTGGGGTTTACAGCCCCATGGGGAGGCTCCACAGGCCTCCCCTGCTGAGGGAGTGGGGGAGCAGGGGATGGAGGGGTCCCCTCAAGGGAAGGCTCTGACTGTACCCCCATGTTTAGGAGGCAGCCATGGCCAAGCTGGCCGCCTCGGAGGCCGCGACCGCCATCAGCCACCAGGTGAGTGTCCACAGTGAGCTCTGAGGGGGCCAGCTGCCCCTTCTCCAGCTTTCCCCACGCCGGGGTCTTCTCCCTCCTGAGCCACTGTTCTCATCTCAGGCCATCCAGATCCTGGGCGGCATGGGCTACGTGACAGAGATGCCGGCAGAGCGGCACTACCGCGACGCCCGCATCACTGAGATCTACGAGGGCACCAGCGAAATCCAGCGGCTGGTGATCGCCGGGCATCTGCTCAGGAGCTACCGGAGCTGAGCCCGCGGCGGACTGCCCCAGGACTGCGGGAAGGCGCGGGAGCCAGGGGCCTCCACCCCAACCCCGGCTCAGAGACTGGGCGGCCCGGCGGGGGCTCCCTGGGGACCCCAGATGGGCTCAGTGCTGCCACCCAGATCAGATCACATGGGAATGAGGCCCTCCGACCATTGGCAGCTCCGCCTCTGGGCCTTTCCGCCTCCTCACCACTGTGCCTCAAGTTCCTCATCTAAGTGGCCCTGGCCTCCTGGGGGCGGGGTTGTGGGGGGGCTGAGCGACACTCAGGGACACCTCAGTTGTCCTCCCGCGGGCCCTGGTGCCCTGGCATGAAGGCCCAGTGCGACAGGCCCTTGGTGGGGTCTGTCTTTTCCTTGAGGTCAGAGGTCAGGAGCAGGGCTGGGGTCAGGATGACGAGGCCTGGGGTCCTGGTGTTGGGCAGGTGGTGGGGCTGGGCCATGGAGCTGGCCCAGAGGCCCCTCAGCCCTTTGTAAAGTCTGATGAAGGCAGGGGTGGTGATTCATGCTGTGTGACTGACTGTGGGTAATAAACACACCTGTCCCCCAGTCTGTGTCCTCGCCCTCTCCTGGGTGCTCCGGGGAGGGATGGTGGTCTCTGCACAGAGTCCTGCTCTCTGACAGTCTCACCCTGTGAGTGTTGGGGGTCTTGGGGAGGGGCCTGGCCACCTGGGAGGTTCCTGAGTTCCGGCAGAGGCCAGATTGGCCAAGGAGGCAGTTCAGGAATAGGAACTGGGTCCTGCAGGCCTCAGGGAGTGGCCCCTGGGGAGGGAGGGTGGGCCAGGCAGGGCCAGTGGGCTAGAAGGGGTTCTCTACGCAGGACCAGCCTCCAGGCAGGAGGAAGGAAGGCCCCAGATTGCCAGAGTCGGGGAGCAAAGCTGTGGAGGCCTCGAGCCCCAGGTGGGAGAACACAGAACCTCGAGAAGCAGCCATTGTGCTCACTAGCGCGCTCGGGGGCGGCCCTGGCCAGCCAGTGCGGGGGCTTGCCCTGGTCCTGGTGCCTGCAGGGCTTTCTCTGGGCAAAGGTGCCCCTGAAGCCAAGGTCCAAGCTCTTAACCCTCTGGGCCAGTGTCGATCTCAGCAGCTGGAAGAGAAAACAGTGAGCAAAGAAAGATTTCAAAGGAGGTGGGGACAGCCCTCCGCCGGGCAGGCAGGGCAGAGAGTCAAACTGGCATTGCTGGGAGGTCTCTGGAGGGAAGCGGGAGGGAGACGGTGACTTTAGGAGCTGTCATCAAAGGGGCGCCCAGGGACCCTGAGCCCCTGTTGGGGATGGATTTTTTTTTAGAGACAGAATCTCACTGTCACCCAGGCAGGAGTGCAGTGGCACAACCACAGCTTATCAGAACCTCAACCTCCCAGGCTCAAGTGATCCTCCCGTCTCGGCCTCCCAGGTAACTGGGACTACAGGTGCACACTACCATGGCCAGCTAATTTTTAAATTTTTTGTAGAGATGGGGTCTTGCTTTGTTGCCCAGGCTGGTCTTGAACTCCTGGGCTCAAGTGATCCTCCCACCTCGGCCTCCCAAGTGGGATTTCTGTGCCAGGTGCTGGTGCCCCGCAGCCGAAGGATCCAGCCT
This sequence comes from Homo sapiens, assembly GCF_000001405.40. Taxonomy (NCBI): domain Eukaryota; kingdom Metazoa; phylum Chordata; class Mammalia; order Primates; family Hominidae; genus Homo; species Homo sapiens. The sequence continues at coordinate 120,741,037 of NC_000012.12, forward strand.
GGAGCTGCTGCTCTGCAGGGCAGCTCTGCCCTTGACCCCGCCCTGACCTGGGCCTGGTCCAGGGCCCCGGGGAATAGGAGTGCGCTTCTTTGAGCGAATTTAGGTCCTGATTTACCCCACAGGCAGGGTGTGCGCAGAGCCCACGGGTAGTGTGTTCCCTGCTAACGAGGCACACCTGTGGCTTCTGGGAAGCGCGTCCTCCTGGGCTCCCGAGGTCAGTGGCGTCCTGCGCAGTCTGCAGAAGTTTGGGTCCCTGGGCTTTCCTCCTGGCTCCAGGTAAGTGCCGCCTGCAGAAGTTTGGGTCCCTGGGCTTTCCTCCTGGCTCCAGGTAAGTGCCGCAGGGTCTTGGCTCCTGGCTCACACTCTCTCGGGGTCTCCTGATCTGCTCCTGTCCCTGCCCTGGGCTCAGGTGCAAGCCAAAGGTAGCAGAGCAGAGGGGGACCCAGGATGCTTCCAGAAGCAGCGCATTTGAGCCCTTCCACCTGGGGGCAGATGAAGGCCTGTCATTCCCTGTCCCCATGAGCCCGGGGACAGTGGGGAGGGGGTGTTTGGAGGCGCTGTGCCCCCGCCCGGCGAGGCAGCGCTGCTCCTGACGCAGATGCGGCGTGGGGTTGAGGTTGTCTTTGGGCCCTTCCTCCAGGTGATGGGGGAGAGGAACCCAAACAGCATTCATCCCAGGCTGGGGACCTGGCTGTCTTGGCTGGAGTTCAGGCCCCTCAGCTCCCCTGCCCTACCCGCTGAGAAGGGTCTGGGCCCTGGAGGGTCAAAGGTAGCCGACTTGAGCCACACCGCTCCCAGCAGGGCAGAGGGCTGGAGTCAGCACAGGCCGAGTGGCAGCCCTGGAGGGGTTTCTGCTTCTCAGACCTGCCCAGGGCTCGTTCAGGTGGCCACGAAGAGCCTTTCCAGGAAGTGCAGCCTCGGAGGCCTGGGGTCCTCCATTTCAGATGAAGCAACCCAGGCTCCGACCCAAGAGCCAGTCTGTGCACTCGGGGGCTTTGAGGTGCCGTCGTGGGTCCGGGGTCTGTCCTTCGGTGAGGGAGAGTCGGCACAAACCCTTGGCTTTGACGGGGTGCTGCCCGTTAGTGGAAGCTCCTCCTAACTTAGAACTGAATGTGGACTCTGCCCCCGGGCCACTGGAGCCCGAACTGTCCTAGAGCCCATGCCCCTCTGGATACAGTTTCCTCAGTGTAGATTTCCTAAGGACAAGGACGTTCACTTACAGAACAACAGGACCGTTTCCCACCCTGGTCAACTTTCACATCTGCACACTCCACTCGGATTGTGCCAGCTGGCACGGTGTCTGCGAAGTCAGCTCTTCTCAAGGTCCAGGGGCCTGCATTGCATGTAGCTGAGAGGCCACCTGTTTCCTTCCCTCTAGCCCTCTGGGACAAGTTCTCCATGCTTTGGTTCTTTTTTTTTTTTTTTTTGGAGATGGAGTCTCGCTCTGTTGCCAGGCTGGAGTACAGTGGCGCAATCTCGGCTCACCGCAGCCTCCACATCCCGGTTTCAAGCGATAAAGCGATTCTCCTGCCTCAGCCTCCCGAGTAGCTGGGGTTACAGGCATGCGCCACCACGCCTGGCTAATTTTTGTATTTTTAGTAGAGACGGGCTTTCATCATGTTGGCCAGGCTGGTCTTGAACTCCTGACCTCAGGTGATCCGCCCGCCTCGGCCTCCCAAAGTTCTGGGATTACAGGCGTGGGCCACCATGCCTGGCCTGAATTCATACATTTCTAAGTGTGGCTTTTGCTTCATCTCATACATTTTAGTGTCATATTTTCCTTATTACTCAGTTTTCTGAGGCCCATTGTGCTTTCTATTTTGATTTATCAGTTATTTAGGAGAGTATTATTATGTTTTGAGACAGGGTCTCTTCTCGCTTGGGCTGGAGTGTAGTGGTATAATCGCAGCTCACCACAGCCTTGACCTCCCAGGCTCAGGTGGGCCTCTTACCTCAGCCTCCCAAGTGGATGGGACTACAGGCGCCACCACACCTGGCTATTTTTTGTATTTTTAGTAGAGATGGGGTTTCACCATCTCTACTAAACATGTGACCAGCCCAGGCTAGTCTCAAACTCTTGGGCTCAAGTGATCTGCCCGCCTTGGCCTCCCAGAGTTCTGGGATTACAGGTGTGAGTCACCATGCCTGGCCAAAGAGTATTATTTTATTAATATGGGGTTTTCTGAGGTATTTTTTGTTAATGATTTTTAAAAACTGTGACGGAGTTTACAGTTTTAACCATTTTCAAGTGTACACTCAGTGGCATTAGGACATTCATCATGTTATGCAACCATTGCCACCATCTAGTTCCAGAACATTCTCATCACCCCAGCAGGAAACTCCATACCTACTGTTGCTGGTTTTTACCTTAATTGCATTGTGGTCTCAGCACATTTTCTGCACTATTTGAATTTTTTGAAATCTGTTGAGATGTGCTTCACGGCACTAAGTTACTTTTTATGAAGATTGAATATTAGCAATTTGGTTTTTCCATGTTGATACGTGAAGTTCTAGTTCATTTATGTGGATGGCTGCATGGTGTCCCATGGGATAAACTATATTGAGGTAGTTTCCTGCTTTTTACTCTATAAACCATGATGCAGTGGACATTCTGGCATGTGTGTTTTTCTAATGTGAGAACTTGTGAGCATTTAAATCGAAGTGGGCTTGCTGGGCCTTAAGGCTGTTTATTTCTTCAGCTTCGCCAGATATTGCCAAATGGCCCTCCAGAGGTTGGATCAGTGGTCGGATCACCCTCTATGCATATGCGAGGGTTGATGACGCGCATTCTCCCCGTTCCTTGGCACCCACAGATTTTACAAACGTTCTTCAATATGGTTGTGATTTTAACTTGCATCTCCCTGGTTTCTTGAGAAACTGCACGTCTTTTCACGTGGTGATTGGTCATTCTGGTTTCTGCTGTGAATTGCTATTGTCTGTTTCTTCTTTGGGTTGTAATTGATTTGTAATTGTCCCACGTGTTTACTCTTGATACTAATCATTTGTCAGATATCTGGTTGCAAAAGGACTCATACAGTGTGTGGTTTTCCCTTTATTTATTATTTTTTTTTGAGACAGAGTCTCGCTCTGTAGCCCAGGCTGGAGTGCAGTGGTGTGATCTTGGCTCACTGCAAGCTCCACCTCCTGGGTTCACGCCATTCTCCTGCCTCAGCCTCCGGAGTAGCTGGGACTACAGGCACCCACCACCACACCCGGCTAATTTTTTGTATTTTTAGTAGAGACGGAGTTTCACCGTGTTAGCCAGGATGGTCTCGATCTCCTGAACTCATGATCGGCCCGCCTTGGCCTCCCAAAGTGTTGGGATTACAGGCGTAACGCACCGCACCCAGCCTTCCCTTTTAAAAAATGGGTTCAGCCAGGTGCGGTGGCTCACGCCTGTAATCCCAGCACTTTGGGAGGCGGAGGCGGGTGGATCACCTGAGGTCAGGAGTTCGAGAACAGCCTGGCCAACATGGCAAAACCCCATCTCTACTAAAAATACAAAATTAGCCAGGCATGGTGGTGTGCGCCTGTAATCCCAGCTACTCGGGAGACTGAGGCAGGAGAATCGCTTGAACCTGGGAGGTGGAGGTTGCAGTGAGTGGAGATTGTGCCACTGCACTCCAGCCTGGGCAACAGAGCAAGACTCATCTTAGGAAAAGAAAATTTTAAAAAATACAGTTTAGTAGAAGGAATACGTTCTAGTGTTCACACAATATGGTGATTATTGTTATCAGTATTTTTTGTATATTTCAAAACAACTAGAAGATTTAGTATGTTCTCAACACAAAGAAGCGATAGATGTTTGAGGTGATGGATACCCAGTTACCCTGATTTGATCATTAAACATTTTATGCATGGATCAAAATATCACACGTACCCCATAAATATGTACAATTATTGTGTATCAGGTTAAAAAAAAAAAAGGCTCTTATGTGTAGCAGAAGGGCAGACATGGTGCAGGCAGGCCAGAGACCTAACAGGAATTTGCAGAGCTCCAGAGCCTGAAGACTCAGCCCCGGCAGATTGCTTAGGCCAAGGGCAGGGGCGTGGGAAGGAAAACCTGGCATCCGGAAAACGGAGCCATCTGAACGGATGCCCCTGATGCTGCTCTCCAGCCCAAACTCTCCAGGGTGCAGAGGGTGGCTGCCTCTCCATAGGAAGGTGAGGGCTTCTGCTACTGGAAGAGTCTGCGGAAGCCGCTCCCAACAAGGCCACAGGTGCCCCTCTGCAGCGGCCCTCACCTCCTCTCCTGGCTGCCGGGCCCATGACTGCGGTCGAAGCCCAGTGTCACCCAGCTGGGGACAGGCTGGAGCTGATGAGAAAGCGACGCTACACTGGTATTGGTTTTCTACTCTAGCAACACATCACTACACGCTTAGTGGCTTGAAGAAATACCCATCTTAAAGGGCCAGGCACAGCAGCTCAGCCCTGTAATCTCAGCTCTTCGGGAGGCCGAGGTGGGAGGATGGCTTGAGCCCAGGAGTTCAAGAGCAGCCTGGGCAACACAGGGAGAGCCCATCTCTACAAAAAATAAAAAATAAATTAGCTGGACGCAGTGCCGCATATCTAGAGTCCTAGCTACACAGGAGGCCAAGGAGGGAAGATCACCTGAGGCCAGGGATGCAAGACCAGCCTAGGCAACATAGTGAGACCCTGTCTCTACAAAAAAAAAAAAATTAGCCAGGCTCAGTGATGCATGCCTGTACTCCCAGCTACTTGGGAGGTTAAATTAGGAGGATCACATGAACCCAGGAGTTCGAGGCTACAGCGAGCTGAGATTACACCACTGCACTCCAGCCTGGGCAGCAGAGCAAGGCCCTGTCAAAAAACCAAAAAAAAAAAAAAACCAAAAAAACAAACCCATCTCATAGTTTTCATGGTTCAGGAGTCTGGGCGTGGCTTAGCTGGATGCTCTGTCCAGGGTCTCACAAACTGAAAGCAAGGGACTGCAGTCTCATCTGAAACTCCGTTCCCTTCCACGCTCACGTGAGCATTAGCAACATAGCAAGGCCCCATCTTAAAAAAAAAAAGATAAACATATAAATACTAAAAGAGTCCGAGGAAGTGAGACGGGCGAGTCAGGGGACTCATGTTTTTGGTACGAGATTTTAATACAATTTGATTTTTGTGTATTTTATATTTAATACACAAAATGAAAACATGGCATACCAAAACCTATCATACTCAGCCGGGCGCGGTGGCTCACGCCTGTAATTCCAGCACTTTGAGAGGCTGAGGTGGGAGGATCACGAGGTCAAGAGATTGAGACCAGCCTGGCCAACATGGTGAAACCTCATCTCTACTAAAAATACAAAAATTAGCTGGGCATGGTGGCATGCACCTGTAGTCCCAGCTACTCAGGAGGCTGAGGCAGGAGAGTCGCTTGCACCAGGGAGGCAGAGGTTGCAGTGAGCCGAGATAGTGCCACTGTACTCCAGCCTGGGCGACAGAGCAAGACTCCGTCTCAAAAAACAAAACAAACAAAAAAAAAAACTATCATACTCATGCTGATGAAATTTAAAATCTACATAAATGATTTATCTTCCAGGAAAACAAATACACAGAATTGATTCTAGAGAAGGCAGAAAAAACAAACAAACACAAAAAACAGACCAGTAAGACTAGAACAAATTGAAAAGGAGTTAAACATTTGTCCCCACAAAAGGCATCTCCTAACAGAGTCAGTGGAAATGTAACTCAACTGGAATTGCCTCTCAGAGCAGGCGGAAGGGTAAATTGGTACAATTATTGAGGAGAAATGCTGTATTCCAACAATGAGCATACATACAACTATAAAAAAGAATGAACTACTGACCATAAATTGCTAACATGGCTGAATCTTACAAATGTAACATTAAGCAAAAAAGGTTAGGCTCAAAGCTGGGCACAGTGGCGTGCACCTATAACCCTGGCTACTTGGAGGCTGAGGTAGGAGGATTGCTTGAGGATGCTCCAGCAGTTGGAGACCAACCTGGGAAACATAAGGAGACCCCCATCTCAAAACAAGCAAACAAAGTTAAATTTAAAAAAAGGTAGGCCAGACATGGTGGCTCACGCCTGTAATCCCAGCACTTTGGGAGTCCGAGGCAGGCGGGTCATGAGGTTAGGAGATCAAGACCATCCTGGCTAACAGAGTGAAACCCTGTCTCTACTAAAAATAACAAAAATTAGCTGGGCGTGGTGGCGTATGTCTGTAATCCCAGCTACTCAGGAGGCTGAGTCAGGAGAATCGCTTGAACCCGGGAGGCGGAGGTTGCAGTGAGCCGAGATTGCACCACTGTACTCCAGCCTGGGGGACAGAGCGAGACTCTGTCTCAAAAAAGTTTATAGTCAAGACTTCATAATGTATTCACTGTATTACATGAATTTCAAATGCAAGCAAAACTAATCTGTGGTGACTGAAATTAGAACAGTGGTTACCTTGGGGGCCACTGACAAGAGGCACAAGAGAAGCTTGCTGGGTGCTGGAAAGGTTTTATATTCTGATCCGAGTGGTGGTGGTTCAGGTATAGTCATGTGGAAAGAGTCACGAAGGCTGTACACTTAAAATAGGTGGACATTAATGCTTCCAGCTCAGTATTTTTTTTTTTAATAAAAAAAAAAAAACACGGTATCTGGCCCAGATGGCTCTATTGAGAGTTCTAAAAGAGGCAAGAGGAAAGGCCAAGGGTTTCCACAGTCTGCGTTTCTGTTGTGAGCAGGCCTGGCTTACTCAGTCTTTGCTGCTCTCTGGGAGTGCCTGGAGCTATGGCACTGACCTGGGACAAGCTGAGAAGGAAACTCTTGGAAGGTGCATGTAGTTACTGATGAATGTTAATCTGTAGGCCTGGTGCACTGGGGCAGGATGAGCAGCCTGTCAGATGTCAGAATGTTTAACATCAAGATTTAGGATGTGCGGCCGGGCGCGGTGGCTCACGCCTGTAATCCCAGCACTTTCGGAGGCCGAGGCGGGCGGATCACAAGATCAGGAGATCGAGACCATCCTGGCTAACACGGTGAAACCCCCGTCTCTACTAAAAACAAAAACAAAAAATTAGGTGGGTGTGGTGGCGGGCGCCTGTAGTCCCAGCTACTCGGGGCCGGGGGTGGGAGGCTGAGGCAGGAGAATGGCGTGAACCCAGGAGGCGGAGCTTGCAGTGAGCCAAGATCGTGCCACTGCACTCCAGCCTGGGGGACAGAGACAGACTCTGTCTCAAAAAAAAAAAAAAAAAAAAAAAACTTAGGATGTGCGTCTGGCCTCTGTTTTGGAGTGCTGTGTTTTGGTTACCATGGCTGGTCATGTGGCAGGAAAGTGCCTATGTGACCATCTTCTTAGAACAACAGGTTTTGAGACCTGGGTGTTTCCCTGGGCAGAGACATCTCACATCTCTGTGGTTCACACCTGGAAAGAAACACACCGTGCAGCCTGCTCTCGGCCTCCCTGGACTTTGTCTATGTGTATCTTTCTCTCTGGTCCCGTGGTGTATCCTTCGCTTAGTCAACCTTAGCTGTGATATAACCTCATCAGGTCATGTGAATCCTTCTAGTTAATAACTGAAGTAGGAAGGGGTCCCGATTCATCCGCCATAGCCCCCAGCTCTGCCTCACTCAGGTCTGCTGTGCTCCCCTCTACATTTGCTCACAACCGCCTTCTCTCCCTAGAATTTTCTTCTGATCTTTAGTTCCCTGAATCAATATGCTTTCCTTTAATCTCTATAGCACTCAGGCTTTGGCTAAGGCAGGAAGCCAACAACCTATATGCTAGTTCACCACCTTGGGGCAAACCAGAAGTCACCCACTATTAAAAAAAATTGTTTATTGCTGACATATTTCGTTTTTATTTCTGTTTATCTGGTTATGTTGAAGAACTTCGTTAGTTCTTTCAATAGATTATCCACTCAGGCCGGGCATGGTGACTCACACCTGTAATCCCAGCACTTTGGGAGGCCCAGGTGGGTAGATTACCTGAGGTCAGGAGTTCGAGACCAGCCTGGCCAACATGGTGAAACCCTGACTCTACTAAAAATACAAAAATTATCCGGGCGTGGTGGTGCACGCCTGTAATCCCAGCTACTTGGGAGGCTGAGGCTGGAGAATCGCTTGAACCCGGAAGGCGGAGGCGGAGGGTGCAGTGGAATGGTATGGTGCCGCTGCACTCCAGCCTGGGCGACAGAGCAAGACTCTGTCTCAAAAAAAAAAAAAAAAAAGCCTTTTTTTACACTCCTCGATACCAAGGCTCTCTGGTGCTCACACTTAGCCGTGAACTGCTTGTTCACAGTTCTCAGTTTCTCACTTGCTGCAGATAGAGCATCAGGACGATTGAGCAGTGAGCAGCCACCTCGGCACTTTCCCTGGCATTGTCCCACCTCCACCCTGGATAGCCTTCAAATTCTGCATCATCACAGCTGCCACAGCATTCCCTCCTCCAGGACATTCCCAGGTCACCACTGATCAGATCTTTAGCAATGGAGCCACCACGCTGGGCTGGGATCTATTTATGCCACCTACTGACCAGAACACCAGAACACCTTGATGTGGGTCATTTTTCATTCATTTAGCTGGGCACGTGGTGGGTCTTTCCATCTAGAGATCCATGTTTTTTTCCTCCATGTTCTTTAATTCTTGGAACTATTACATTATTTCTTTGATAATTTTATTCACTTTTTTTTTTTTTTGAGACAGGGTCTTGCTCTGTTGTCCGCACTGGAGTGCAGTGGTACAATTATGGCTCACTGTAGCCTCAGGCTCCTGGGCCCAAGCAATCCTCCCACCTCAGCCTCCCGAGTAGCTGGGATTACAGGCATTTGCCACCAGACCTGGCTAATTTTTTTTTATTTTTAGTAGAAACAGAGTATTGCTATGTTGCCAGGCTGGTCGCAAACTCCTGGGCTCAAGTGATCCTCCCATCTTGGCCTCCCAAAGTGCTGGGATTATGGGTGTGAGCCACTGTACCCAGCTTGATTCACTCTTTTTTTTTGGTTTGCTTTCTAAATTCCTAGAAGTCTGATGTTGTACTTTCTTGGTCGAACCTCTAATTTTCTTTTCTCTCCTATTTTCCTACTTTGACACTCCTATGTTTGAGCAGATCATCGATTTTATTTTTCTATTCTTATTTGTTTGTTCAAAAATGTATATTGAGCACTTATTCTAGGTGCTGGAGATACAGCAGAGAAAAAGACAAAGCCCTTGTTTTTTGTTTTTTTTTCTTTTTTGAGATGAGGTCTTGCTCTGTCACCCAGGCTGGAGTGCAGTGGCATGATCATAGCTCACTGCAGCCTCAAAGTGCTGGACTCAAGTGATCCTCTGCCTCAGCCTCTCACATAGCTGGGACTACAGGTGCACACCACCACACTAAGCTAATTTTCTTTAATTTTATTTTTTTTTAAGATGGAGTTTTGCTCTTGTCCCCCAGGCTGGAGTGTAATGGCACAACATCGGCTCACTGCAACCTCTGCCTCCTGGGTTCAAGCGATTCTCCTGCCTTAGCCTCCCTAGTAGCTGGGATTACAGGCACCCGCTACCATGCCCAGCTAATTTTTTGTATTTTTAGTAGAGATGGAGTTTCACTATGTTGGCCAGGCTGGTCTCGAACCCCTGACCTCAGACAATCCACCTGCCTCAGCCTCCCAAAGTGCTGGGATTACAGGCGTGAGTCACTGCGCCTGGCCTTTTTAAAATTTTTAGTAGAGATGGAGGTCTCACTATGTTGCCCAGGATGATCTCAAACTCCTGAGCTCAAGTGATCCTCCTGTAACCCCAAAGTGCTGGGGTTATAGGGATAAGCCACTATGCCTGAACCCTTGTTGATTTTGGATTCCAGTTTTTTTTTTTTTTTCTTTAAGCAACAGGGTCTCACTCTATCATTCAGGCTGGATTGTAGTGACGTGATCACTGCTCACTGTAGCCTCCAATTCCTAGGCTCAAGAGATCCTCCTGCCTCAGCCTCTCTGTAGCTGAGACTACAGGTGGCGCCACCGTGACACACTTATTTATTTTGTAGAGACGGGGTCTTGCTATGTTGCCCAAGCTGGTCTCAAACTCCTAGCCTCAAGAGATCCTCCCTCCTTGGCCTCCCAGATACTGAGATGATAGGCATGGGCCACTGCGCCTGGCAGTTTCTTTTCTTAATTCTTCCCAGTCACACTGTGTGGTAGTGAGAGAAGGTGGTCAGTTGTTTTCACTTTTCTGAATATGAGGCCTTGTGAGAATCGAATACATGGTCCGTTTCCATCAAGAGTCCATGAGAACTGAAAAGGTTATGTTTTGTATGATGGTAGAGATTAATAAAATTGAACGAATGTTGATAATTTTATTCTGATTCATTCATTCATATTGCAGCAGCTACTATATCTAAGATACTGTGCAAACCATTGGGAGAAACAGTGGGTGAGCAGAAACAATTCCTTTTTTCACAGTCCTTGCAGGCAAGCTAGTGCTGGTGGTGCTAGTGGCAGACACTAATCACATCGCAGCCTCAATGGGATGCGTGCAACGCAGGAGAGGAGCAGAGTTCTAGGAGAGACTAAAATAGAGGAACCTGAGCTGGAATGCTGAGTCACAAAAGGCTTCCCTGACCAGGTGACAGCTGAACTGAGATCTGAGGGATGAGTTGGCGTGAATGAGACAAAGAGCCTAGAGATGGACAGCCCAGGCCTGGGAAATGGCTTGTGCAGATGCCCTGTGGTGGGAGAGAGCATGGTCTTCAAGGAATGGAAGAATGGCTGGAGGACGGAGCGGGAACACGGCGTGAGATGAGCTGGAGAGGCGGACAGCCATCTCGGGTACAGTCCTATGGGTCACATAGATTTCTGCCTTGTCCTGGAAGTGACAAGGAAGCCTTTGGCGCATTTGACTCAGAGAGATGGTGTACAAATGTTTTTGTTTGTTTGTTTTTACAGAGTCTTTCTCTGTCACCCAAGCTAGAATGCAGTGGCACAATCATAGCTCTCTGCAACCTCAAACTTCTGGCCTCCAGTGATCCTCCCATCTCAGCCTCCCAAAGCACTGGGATTACAGGCATGAGCCACCACACCTGGTCTGAAAATATTTGTTTTGAGGCCAGGTGCGGTGGCTCATGCCTGTAATCCCAGCACTTTTGGGAGGCCAAGGCCGGTGGGTCATCTGAGGTCAGGAGTTTGAGACCAGCCTGGCCAACGTGGTGAAACCCGGCCTCTACTAAAATACAAAAAATTAGCCAGGTGTGGTGGCGCATGCCTGTAGTCCCAGCTACTTGGGAGGTTGAGGCAGGAGAATCGCTTGAACCCGGAGGCGGAGGTTGCGGTGAGCCGAGATTGCACCACGGTGCTCCAGCCTGGGCGACAAGAGTGAAACTCTGTCTCAAAAAAAAAAAAAATTGTTTTGAAAAGATCCCCTCTGGCTGTGGTGTGCAGCGCAGTGAGGAGGTGTGGAAAGAGGAGGTTGGTCAGAGTGGAGAGTTAGGAGGCTCCTGTAATGATCCAAGAGGGAGATGATGGTATCTTGGATCTGGGTGGAGACAGGAGATGGAAAGAAATGGATGGATCCCTGGAATGGCAGGCAGGTTAAACAAACAAGAGTCAGTGATGCATTTCCTGGTCATGGGGATGGAGGGAGAAGGGCTCTGTCCTGTCCAGCTGGATGAATGGTGGTATCACTCCGGAAGAAAAGGGAGAACTTCATTAGTGGTGCTGGGGAGAACAGATGATCGATCTGTCTTAGGCACTATGAGCTTTTTCTCTCTATACACATTCTTTTTCTACTTGCATTGTCAGAGACTGAAAGAAATTGTGTTATTCTTCAATTACATTTTTATTTCTATCGATTTCTCGTGTTGCAGTTTTGCTTATGTAGTTTGATGGTAAGAGTTTACAGCAGTGTTACATTTTGAAGATTTTAATTTTTAATTTTTGAATAAAAATATTGGTATGTGTTCAAAATTGTAGGCAGCCTCTATGACTCCCAATTCCCTCTCCAAAGGTAACCCTGGTTTCTAGCTTAGGATGCATAAGAAAATATACAGTATAGGTTATGGTCCTCATCTTTATTCATTTCATTCCTGAATAATAATCTGTACACATACACATTTTGTTCAGTTAATGACAATTTTGGTTGTTTCTTCTTTTTGGTTATTAATACTGCTATGCACATGTATGTATAAGTTTTTGGTAGATACAGATTTTTAATTCTTGTAAACTGTAACTATGAATGAAACTGCTAGATCATATGGTAACTATGGTACCTTTGGTGGAACTGTGAAGCCATTTTCCAAAGCAGCTGCACCATTTTATAATCCCACCAGCAATGGTGGTTTTTTTTTTAATTTTTTTTTAAATTTCTATTTATTTTTTGAGATGAAGTCTCATTCTGTCACCCTGGAGTGTGGTGGCGCGATCTTGGCTCACTGCAACTTCCACCTCCCGGGTTCAAGTGAGTCTCGTGCCTCAGCCTCCCTAGTAGCTGGGATTACAGGTGCCCACCACCACTCCTGGCTAATGTTTGTATTTTTTAGTAGAGACGGGCTTTCGCTGTGTTGGCCAGGCTGCTCTCGAACCCCTGGCCTCAAGTGATCTGCCCACCTGGCCTCCCAAAGTGCTGGGATTACAGGTGTGAGCCACCCTGCCCGACCCCAACAATGTTATGAGGGCTCCATTTTCTGTACATCTTTGCTAACTCTTGTTATTGTCTTTAAAAAGTTATTGTCATCCTAGTGGGTGTGAAGTGATGTCTCACTGTGGTTTTGATTTGCATTTCTCTAATGGTGCTGAACATCCCTTTCATGTGCTTATTGGTCATTTGTGTGTGTGTGTGTGTGTGTGTGTGTGTGTGTGTGTGTGTGTGTGTGTATATTTTTTTTTTTTTTGAGATGGAATCTGGCTCTGTTGCCAGGCTGGAGTGCAGTGGCACGATCTTGGCTCACTGCAACCTCTGCCTCCCTGGTTCAAGTGATTCTCCTGCCTCAGCCTCCCGAGTAGCTGGGATTACAGGCACGCACCACCACGCCTAGCTAATTTTTGTATTTTCAGTGGAGACGGGGTTTCACCAGGTTGGCCAGGATGGTCTCGATCTCCTGACCTCGTGATCTGCCCACCTCAGCTTCCCAAAGTGCTGGGATTACAGATGTGAGCCACCGCGCCCAGCCCATTTGTATATATTTTTTGGAGAAATTTCTATTTGTATCTTTTGCCCATTTAAATAACTGGATTGTCTTTTTTATTGTTGAGTTGTAAGAATTCTTTTTTTTTTTTTTTTGGGACGGAGTCTCGCTCTATCGCCCAGGCTGGAGTGCAGTGGCACGATCTTAGCTCACTGCAAGCTCCGCCTCCCGGGTTCACGCCATTCTCCTGCCTCAGCCTCCCGAGTAGCTGGGACTACAGGCGCCCGCCACCGCTCCCGGCTAATTTTTTGTATTTTTAGTAGAGACGGGGTTTCACGTGTTAGCCAGGATGGTCTCGATCTCCTGACCTTGTGATCCGCCCGTCTCGGCCTCCCAAAGTGCTGGGATTACAGGCGTAAGCCACTGCGCCCGGCCCAAGAATTCTTTATATATTTGGAATACTAAATCCTTATCAGATATATGATTTACAAATACTTCCTCCCAATTTTTGAGTTGTCCTTTTTTTTTTTTTCTTTTTTTTTTGAGACAGTCTTGCTCTGTCACCTAGCCTGGACTGCAGTGGTGCCTATAGTTAGTTCACTGCACTCTCAAACCCCTGGGCTCAAGCCATCCTCCCACCTCAGCCTCTCAAGTAGCTAGGACTACAGGTGCATGCCACCATACTTGGCTAATTTTTTTTTGTAGTTTTTGTAGAGATTGGTTCTATGTTGCCCAGGCTGGTCTTAAACTCCTGAGCTCAAGCAGTCCTCCTGCCTTGGCCTCCCAAAGTGTTGGGATTACAGCCATGAGCCACTGCACCTGGCCCTCACTTTCATTCTTGAAAGATATTGTCACTGGATATAGAATTCTGGGTTGACACATTTTACTTTTTCTAAAGGTGTCATTCCATTGTCCTCTAGTCTTCACTATTTCTGATGAGAATTTTGCTGAAATTCATGTAAATCTATTGTTGTTCCCCTATGCAGTGTGTCATTTTTTTTCTTGTTGCTTTCAAGACTTTCTATGTTTAGTTTTCAGACTATGAAGTCCCTGGGTGTGATGTTCCTTTATTTATTTTGCTTGAGATTTGCCATGTTTCTTGACTCTTTCCCCATATTTGGCCATTTTTTTTTTTAAACCTTTCTGCCTCATTCTCTCTTCCCTCATTCTGTGACTCCAACTATATATATGTTAAGACTGCTTGACACTGTTCACAGATAACTGAGGCTCTGATCATTTTTTCTGTATCTTTTCTGTTTTTTAGATTGGATATTTCAGGGTTTGGGAAACTGGCCACAGGTGGAATGTTTATTCTCATTTACAGTGGCTGCTTGCTTCCACACTATGATGGCAGAAATGAGTAGTTATAAAGGGGATTTTTGACCCACAAAGCTAAAAATATTACCTGACCCCTCACAGGTTTACTAATCCCAGCTCTATTGCCAGTTTAATGATTCTTTAATCTGCCAATGTGCTGTTAATCCTATCTAGTGAATTGACTTCATGTGTTGTATTTTTAAGTTCTAGAATTTTTATTTGGTTCTTTTTGTCATGATTTATCTGCTGACAATTCCTATTTGCTCATTATGAGCATATTTTCCTTTACATCCTGGAGCATGGTTATAATTACTTTAAACATCTTGAATGTTAATTCCAACATGTCAGTCATATCAGAGTCAGTTTCTGTCAATTGCTTCTTGAGCATAGATCACATTTTCTTGTTCATATGTATAGCAGTTTTGAATTATATAATTGCAGAAAATCTGGTGAAGTGTTTTTTTTTTTGTTTTGTTTTGTTTTTTTTACAGCAGGCATTTAACGGCTGAACTCAAGATTTAAAACTTTGATTCCAGCCAGGGACAGTGCCTCATGCCTGTAATCCTAGCATTTTGGGAGGCCAAGGCGAAAGGATGGCTTGAGGCCAGGAGTTTGAGACCAGTCTGGGCAACACAGCAAGACCCCATCTCTACAAATAAAAACCTCCCAAGTAGTTGGTGGTATGTGCCTGTAGTCCCAGCTATTAATACTTGGGAGGCTGAGCTGAGAGGATTGCTTGAGCTTAGGAGATCAAGGCTGCAGTGAGCTATGATTGTACCACTGCACTGCAGTGTGGGTGACAGACACAGACTTTGTCTCAAATTTAAGAAAAGGAAGGCGGCCGGGCTCAGTGGCTCACGCCTGTAATCCCAGCACTTTGGGAGGCCGAGGTGGGTGGATCACGAGGTCAGGAGATCGAGACCATCCTGTCTAACACGGTGAAACCCCGTCTCTACTAAAAAAAATACAAAAAATTAGCCGGGCATGGTGGTGGGCGCCTGTAGTCCCAGCTACTCTGGAGGCTGAGGCAGGAGAATGGCGTGAACCCGGGAGGCGGAGCTTGCAGTGAGCCGAGATTGCACCACTGCACTCCAGCCTGGGTGACAGAGCGAGACTCAGTCTCAAAAAAAAAAAAAAAAGAAAAGAAAAGAAAAGGCAAAACACAAGCAAAAAAAACCCTTTGATCCTCCTCTGGTGGGCAGCAGCTGAAATTTGTCTTTATTTCTTTTGGCCTTAGCTGGGCTGTTTAGAGTCTGCCCTCTGTGTATTTCAGAAATCAGATTTAGGCAGGGCTTATACATGGTATTTTCTGTATTTCATGTATATTTTAAAGTTGTTTTTAGCCAGAGGATTGATTTGAATAACAGCCCAGTATTACTGGGGATCAGAACAGCAGCTGACAGTTGTTTTTATGTTTTTATGGCTTGTTTTAATATCAGCAGTGGGTTGGGTGTGGTGGCTCATGCCTGTAATCCCAGCACTTTGGGAGGCAGGATTGCTTGAGCTCAAGAGTAGGAGGTTGCAGTAAGCTATGGCTGCACCAGTGCATTCCAGCCTAGGCAACACAGTAAGACCCTGTCTTAAAAAAAAAAAAATCAATCAGCAATAGGGTAGTCATAATTTTAACAATGAAATCCAGTTGCTTTGAATGCCTCAAAGATTCTAGTTTAAGCCTGGCTTGCTAGGAGGCATGCATCCTGGTCCCCTCCTCCTAGGAACTCCTAGTTTGTGTGAGGTGATACCCTCTCATGAGTAATGGTCAACACTGCTGCAGCATTATTGGAGAGGAAGGTGTCGGCATGCCCCTTCTGGACAGCAGCTGGGTCAGCCCAGGGCTTGGCAGCCAAAACCCCAGCTCTTTCCTGCCACCTACTAGGGTTGGTGGATCTCCATCTCCAATACGATGCTGTTTGCATGGTCCTTCCCTGTTTACAGAAACTCCCCACAGTTCTGTATGTATGCTAAACAAGTCGTGTCTACAAAACCTGGCTGTGATTATTTTCTCATAATCTGGGCAATGAGCTCAGTCTCTGGAAGCAGGAAGATCTGGGGCAAATTAGCTGCCCTTGAAACTTTGGGTACATAAAATGGATGATAAAATCTGCCGTTACATAATGAGACTGAAGATCTGAGATGACAGGCCACCATTCTGGCCCACAGCATGGAACACACTCTGCAGTTAGGGAGACCCAGGCAGACGCTGTTGCAAGAATCTTTATTTGCTACAGGCAGTGGATGGATTTAAATGTATTTGGAACTAAGAGTAGGATTTAAATGTATTTGGAACTAAGAGTAGGCCCTAGAGCCATCAGTGTTTATGCCTTACCTGTATTTTCTGGGGTGGAGATCATTTCTAATCCTGGGATGAGGATGGAATATAATGATTAGGGACAGTGTTTAGAGCTTATTCTGCCACTTAGCAATTTGTGATCTTGGGGTCTTGGCGAGTTCCTTTGTGACAATGGTGACAGTAATGGCACCTGCCTTTATTAAAGGGCTCTTGGGAGGCATGACTGACACCCGGTGTGTGGCCATCATTGGCTGGGGCTCTCTCCAGCAGATCTCCCCAGATCTGCTTTGACACCCCAGGCCTCTGAGCTTTCTTTAGGTCATGAGTATGTCCCTTCTCCTTGCTTCACGTTCTCCTCAAATGAAGCCTGGCAACTGTGTCCCTGGCCAAATGATCAAGAGGGATGTGGGACAGGACAGGGCTGAGGACGAAGCCCGGGCCCATCCCTTCAAGGTAGCATCAGCTCCTTCATCAGCGACTTTTGGGGAGGGTCATGGGTCATCCCACCAGTTATTGATCTGCTTCATCAGACGGTGCCTCAGCCCTGATTGCTTCACTGTGTCCTGGAGGACTGAGAATTTTCCAAATGCGTGGCTGGAATCTCCTCTTTCACTCTCTCTAGTCTGGCTACTGTCCCTCTCCTATTCAGTGGACTGACCTGAGCCAAGTGGCTTAGAATGACACTGTGTTTTATTTTAACACAGGATAGGAGTTTGGCCCATGAGTCTTTTTTTTTGAGAAGGAGTCTCGCTCTGTCACCCAGGCTGGAGTGCAGTGGTGCGATCTCGGCTCACTGCAACCTTCACCTCCCAGGTTCAAGCGATTCTCCTGCCTCAGCCTCCCGAGTAGCTGGGACTACAGCCATATGCCAGCACACCCGGCTAATTTTGTATTTTTAGTAGAGACGGGATTTCTCCATGTTGGTCAGGCTGGTCTCGAACTCCCGACCTCAGGTGATCCACCCACCTCGGCCTCCCAAAGTGTTGGGATTACAGGCGTGAGCCACCGAGCCCGGCCCTGGCCCATGAGTCTTTTGTTCCAAGGGTGTTCAAGAAAAACCTAGATGTATCAACTAATACAGGCCCACAAAAGACTGACAGAATGGGAGCTTCACAGTGTAGTAAACTTTTCCCTCAAAACAAGCAGTAAGACTTTAAAGTACACTGAAGTTAAAGAGGGCACATGCAGTGTTTATTATGGAAAAAAAAAGTACAGAAAAATAAAAACGTCAACACTGGTTTGTGTGCAGAATCTGGGTAGAGGTTGATCTTCTTGGCCTTAAGAAGCCAAAATGAGGAACTGCATGGGCAGGGTCACCCACCATCCCCCTCTGCATATGGAGCTTTGTGCTAAGGCTTTCAGTGTGTAGAAGAAAATTTCAAGACCCTGGATGGGGGAAATCACCCCTCAGCAGAGGGGAGAGAACCAGTATTCCTAATGATGAACCGGGAGCTGTGGTGGTTTGAATAATGACAGCGTACAGATCTAATGATTTTAACTGTATTCCAACTCTCTGAGCATTGTGTGTGAAATATATGAGAACACAGTAAACCAGAAGAGCGCCTCATATTTACTCAATACTTTCTATGAGGCACCTTCATCCCCATTTCAGATGAAGCAGCTCGGACTCAGGGGGCTCCATCCCTAACCAGAGCCCCATGGTGGCTGTGTGGGGGATGCGCATGACAAATGCCTTCACACTCAGAGCACCACAGAGCAGTCTTCCTCCTGCCTCTCACTGTCCAGGTCATCTCGCATACTCTGCAAGGCTTTACATCACTGAAGACTTTTTTTTTTTTTGGCTTTAGCTGCTCTATTGGCTAGAACAACTCTTCTTCCCCAATTTCTTCTGTTATCTATTTTGGCAATTCATTGTTCAGGTTAAGAAGTGTGGAGTCACTGTGGAGTCCCCAACCCTGCATCCAATCTGGTAGCAAGTTCTGTTCTTCGCATCACCCTAGTCCAGGCCATGGCCTCTCTCACAGCGACTGCCCCGGGCAGAACGCCTACACTCAACAGGGGAGGGCTGCGGGAAGTGCCAGGAGGCACAAGCGAAGGAGGAAAGGTGGGGCCGGGGCTCCTGGCCAGATGGTGGTCTTGGGGAGGGTGGCACTGCATTCTACCCGCCGTCAAGCCGGCAAGGCCACGACTCATCCGTGCGATGCTTCGTCATCTTAGTTCCTCCCTGCACTAGCAAGCGCTCAGCCTCTTTCTCTGAAATTGGTTTCCGCCTTCCCCAGGGAGCTGTCACAGGATATGTTACTATCTGCCTGGGGATAAAAACCCCATCAAGGCACGACAGCAACCGCAGGTGTGAGGAAATTCAATCTCTAATGGCAAAGGCTCAAACACAAAAGCTAGAAGCTCACGTGGTGGCTACACTCCAGCAGCTCCAGGTGGGCAGAGTGAAAGGTGGCAGTAGCAGGCTGACAGGTGGTCCGCCTGGAGAGAGGCTCTCTGGTGAGACAGAGCAACTGGTGTCGGGATCCCGGGGCTGGATCGCTTGTCTTCAGACATTTGGTTGAATGCAGTGACCATCGTGCTGTCCCCCTCCGTCTCTGTCCTGTGGACACCCACTTCCTGTCTCCCATTCCTCACAAGCGCAGGCCTGCTGCCCACTGCCTGGCGGCTTCCCCACTCCCAGTCTCTCAAGTCTTGCTTCCTCTGCCTAACTGGTTCCCATTCCTGTCATCTTTGGATCTGGTGAGAATCCCAGGACTCCATGGGGGCTGGAGACAGCTCGTGGGCTTAGCTATTTTGGAACCTTCAGAGCCTCTGTTCGCCTGCAGACAGGTGGCGTGTTTTACAGGTTCTACTCAACAGGAAGAAGATGTCTTGGAACTTAAGAGAAAAACTGGTTAGGCAGACTCCAAATGAAAGGAACCAGAAGCGAAGCGGAGTCTGCCGCATGAATTCTTAAGACCTCAGGTTATCTAGGAAATCTACCGCACGCTAAAGTGCTCCTCCGTAAGTGCTGCAGTTAGAATCTTCACAGCCTCCCTGCAGGATGTTTGTATCAAGCACCTGCTAACCACTGGCTCCGTGCGGTAAGACTTCTGAAACCTGTAGTGACGAAAGATCATTGCGCTTGGGGCTGTAGGCTTTCGCTTGTCTTCAGACATTTGGTTGAATGCAGGCCTGTGTCCACCAGGAGCACTGGGCTTCTCCTACACCAACTTGCTTCTCAGCCTTCTCTTCATTGGCACATCCCGTCCAGTGATACAGGATCCCCAGCCCAAGCCTCTGCTATTTACAGCAAGGCCCAGAGTTACGGAGAGAAGGCTGTGGATTCTACTCTTGAACGCACTGTGGCATCCCTGCGTGACCTTGTGTGGGAATGGCTGCCACACCCCCTCCCCACAAGCCAAGCATGCTAAAGCAAGCCCTGCACAGACCGCAGGAGTAGGGGGTCAGGATGTCTGGTTTTGTTCACTGGGGGGCCCAGTGCCTCAAGCTTCACTGAAACATGACTGATTGCCTCTAACGGACAGGAAAGGGCTCTGGATTTCAAGGGAAAGGCTGAGGAGGAAACAGATGATGGCTGGAGCGGGAAGAATTTTGTGATGGGAGAGTCTCTGCGCATGAGACAGTTGGAATCTGAACCTGCAGAAATTTGAGTTTAGAGTTTTGCAGATAGAAAGCACCCTATACATTGCAGGGAATAGGAATAATTTCTGGATTAAAAAGTCTTACCTGGTTTATCCCTTCCAATAAGAGGAAGAAGCTTGAGTTGGATGACTCGATCTGCAGTGCTTCAGCTGACACGTGTTAGCAGCCATTGTCCTAGAAATGATTTCACTGTTGGAAACTGCTGAAGAAATGTGATTCGGTGAAGTGGGGGAGGCTGTCCTGGCCACTGTGCACTGAAGACCAGAAAGAGACCGAGATGGCTTCCTTCTGAGCCTGTACCGCTGACATAGCTCTGTAGAGAAGGGGGTTGTATAAATGATGTCCCTAAGGCATGTACTCCCATGTATAGACACGAGTGCTGCATTCCCAGGCTCTGACGTAAACGCTAGGCTTTACAAAACAGAAACGTACACACAACATGGGATCTGGTGAGCAGTAACGTGAGAGCTGCTAAGCAGACACAGCAGGTTCTATTTTTAACACTTGATTGGCAAAATGGAACTCCCTTCCCCTCCACCCTCACAGAGAACGAGTACTTTTGTTTTTCTTGTGGGTGACCTAACTTACCTGTTTACCCAAGGCCTGTGAGCCTGCTACAAAAGTAATTCAGACAGTAGCTTAGTCCCAAGCCACCGAACCGTTCCTATGCGGGGAGCTGTCACTGTCACATTCAGAAAGCGTATGCACTGTAATAACAGCAATGGAACACACTAGGCTTTGGACAGACTTTACTGTCATATCTTCATTAGCTCAAACTAGAAAAAAGAGTTATTAAAAAGCGGGAGTTCTAGTAACACACAGTCTCTTTGTGAGGAAAAAGGACTTCAGATCAGTGAGGAAGGAATCTGCTGAAATTTCATGAGCATGCCATGCCTAATGCAGCAGACTTCCTAGAAAACCCCTAAACCATGGTATTTGAGAAAACAGAATAAGAGGCGGACCTAAGTGTATCAGGCAGCGGGGAGCAAACGAGCACTGGAAGGGAAGTCTAATGTGTGCTTTAACTGCAGCCACCCACTCAACCCTCCGAGACGAGTAGAGTATTTGCTGTTTCTCTGCCAAAGTTTTAAGGGAGTGTTTTAAGGGCTTTGAAGATTAGCAACTGGAATCCAGGGTGCATTCACAGCCCTGTGTGGGTATTTCCCCCCAAAACCTGCACAGAAGTGAGAATGACAAAATAACGACGTTCCTTCTGTCTGGAATTTAATTTTCTTATGAAAACAAAGACAGAAAAATTAAAATGACCCACTGCCAGGATAACATTTCCTTTTTTTTTTTTTTTTTGAGATGGAGTCTCACCCTGTCGCCCAGACTTGAGTGCAGTGGCGCAATCTCTGCTCACTGCAACCTCCGCCTTCCAGGTTCAAGCGATTCTTCTGCCTCAGCCTCCCAAATAGCTGGGATTACAGGCGCCTGCCACCATGCCCAGCTAATTTTTGTGTTTTTAGTAGAGACGGGGTTTCACCATGTTGGCCAGGCTGGTCTCGAGCTCCCAACCTTGTGATCCACCTGCCTCGGCCTCCCAAAGTGCTGGGATTACAGGCATGAAGGATAACGTTATTTCTACCCATCACTGGCACTTGCCCTTAATCCGAGTCATTTTGGAGCCCCCCTCTCTGTCTCTGGGCCTGCTTAATTAGCTATATGCATCCTCGAGGGCTGAGAAGGAAGGAAGGGAGAGTCCGCAAGTGGATTTTTAGTCTTCACCCAATGCAGAGGCAGTTTTGAGTTCTGTGGACAGCAGAAGCTTCAGTTCTTTGATGTATCTATGACTGGGCCAGAGCTGCAGATGACCAGGTCTGGGGACAGACAGAGTCTTCCCATCAGTCTTCCAGAACAGGGAGGAGATGGCTGGGAGCTCTGTTTGGTACCAACAACCAAAGTGAAGATTATGTGACAAAGGCTACAAAGGAGTCATTTATTAAAAACAAAACCCCAGAAACCCCTCAGCAGGAATTGATGACAACAACAGAGGAATCCAACACCCTGACTGCTTCAGACTCTGTTGACAACAGGATGGGTGCCCCCTGTGAGCTCGATCCACAGTGACTTCAAGCCACAGTGACACAGCACACTAATTCATTACACAGGTCAAGACAGAGGCAGCCACTGGGGCGGGGACCCTTGGGGAGAGGCTGGAACTCAGGGCCCTTCTCCAGCCTTTGTTGTCAGGCATCCTCATGCCAACCGCAGGCTTCTCTTTGCCTCTGAACAATGGGCACCTTCTTACCAGGCAGGGGCTGCTTAGGTAAAGGTCAGCAGACCTAACACTAGTTACTCCCAGAAATCTGGGCTTGCAGCAGAGACCACAGCACAGGGCCAGGCTCTCAGGACACAGCAGCTGGTTCTTTCCCCAGTTACTGGAATTTAGGGCCCATCTCAGAGGGGCATTTGACATGTGTCCCCAACACCCGGTTGTCACCACAGGTAAACCAAGACTATAATCACAACAGCAAGGACAGGATTGTGTTGCTTTTTTCCTTTTTTTTTTTCTTAAAGGAGTGAGGGCATGGAAAATATACAGCACACCAATGAAACAAAATGTCAAAAAAAAAAATACAAAAAAATAGAAAATAGAAAAATGTATTTACAAGTAGTACGTTACTATGATGAGAAAGCACAAAGACACCTGCTGCTATAATACATGCATTGGCTCGAGAAGAAACTACGGAACACCCTGCGAGGGAGAAGCCTAGAAAAGAAAGAAAGGGCCAAAAGGTTTGAACTCTTCATCCCTAATTTGCTACACTGATCAAAACCAAGTAAGGGCTCCTGAAGTCCATGAGTCTATCATCAATCAGCACAAATGCTATACTAGTTTGTAACTGCGGGGTCAGTTGTGAAGGGGAAGGACAGCAGCTTATCCATATACAAGGAAGCCACAGTAAACTGCTCGACATGCTCAAAACGACAGCAAGCCCCTGTCAGCTACACAGCGTGATCTTAGCAGGATTTCATTTTTGTTTATTCATATATATCTATGTGTGTGTTTATATATATATATGTACGTATGTATAAAAACCGTGCCCTTGTTCACTGCCAACACAACATCTGGGTGGACATGAACTCATTACAACAAATTCTTATGTGGATGTTGTAAGAAGTCACTCAATGTCTGTGGATTTAATAAGTCACTTCACACCACAGAAAATATTTAATAAATCCAAAAAAAGGAAAGAAGAATATAACGACAGAAGAGCTTCTGTCTCAGTTCTCTGAAACTGAGTCCCCTATAGGAAACTGGTCCCAAAGTTCTCGAGGGGTCATTGAAGAAACTTCGGTTTGCTAATTTTTTTCATCCTTTTAGTGTTCAAAAGTTCTAGAAAGACTCCTCGCTGTTTTCAGTTTTTAAACAGTCAAATCTCCATCTCCCCCAGAAGGTAACAGTCTGGTGCAGATCCATAAAAACGTGGGAGGAAGGCGCGCTGGGGAGAGGCCTGTCCCTCTTGGAAGGGGCCCCACCTCTACATCCGCAGGAAGAGAAGGAACCAAACAGGGCTCCAGCACCTCTCTCCTGCAAACGAGCTCCCTTTAAATGCCAAATCCAGTCACACGGCAGTTCCTTAAACACAGGTACATTTCTGAGTACCAGGCCAGCTCTAAGAGGAAACAAACCATGAGTTGAGAGAAAAGGACTATGACGGCCATCTGGTCACTTTCCACGTGATCCATCATACTTCCAGGAATCGGGAGCTGCTGGACTTGGAGTGGAAAGGCTCAGACCACATCCGCCGGAGGTCGCCCTGGGAAACAAGGGACTTTCTAAGTTACAGATTTAAACATGAGGCACACACAGCTGTCTGATTCTTTAAAAAAAAAAAATTTTTTTTCCAGGTATGAAGTCTTCCTATATATTGGCCAGGCTGGTCTCAAACTCCTGGGCTCGGGCAATTCTCCTGCCTCGACCTTCCAAAGTGCTAGGATTACAGGCATGAGCTGCTGCGCTTGGCCCCTTTCTGATATTTTTTTTTTTTGAGATGGGTTCTCACTCTGTCACCTAGGCTGGAGTGAGTGCAGTGGCGAGATCTCAGCTCACTGCAACCTCCGACTCCTGGGTTCAAGCGATTCTCTTGCCTCAGCTTCCTGAGTAGCTGGGATTACAGGCACTCACCACCATGCCCAGTTCATTTTTGTGTTTTTAGTAGAGACAGGGTTTCACCATATTGGCCAGGCTGGTCCTGAACTCTTAACCCGCCTGCCTCAGCCTCCCAAGGTGCGGGGGTTACAGGCGTGAGCCACCATGCCCCTGGCCCCTTTCTGATGCTTGATCTGAGATCAGATTGCTTCTGTGGGAAACCAAAGAGCATTTAAATCTTACCCATTCAAAAATAACCCACTATTTTTAGGAGGACTCCCTAGAAGGGGTGCTTTTAGGCTCCCTGAGCAAGAAAAGGGCTTTTATCAACTCTCTAGAGGTAGTGAGTCAAGTGAGCTGGGCAAGTAAGTTGACCTCTGTATCTGCTTCCTCATCTGTAAAACGGGGCTGAGAATAGATATCTGGGAAATAATGTGCTCTTGAACTCTGGTTTTATCATATGCTGCCTCAACACTATTCAATCTTAATTATTCCCAAACTTTAACGTAGTGTTAAGCTGTTAGGTGGCAGGAGGGCACTGCTTTGAACAGAAGCAGGAAGTACCCTCAGCTGGGCTCTGGGGCTTTCAATTAGTTATTCCTCGACCAGGTGGTGTAGTGGTCTAGCTCATCAGCATTTTCTGTCAGTGGCTGCACGAATCTGGAAGCGTTTGCTAACGCCAGGGTAGCGCGCGCGCGCACACACACACACACACACACACACACACACACACACACACAGTCGAGATCACAAGCTCACTCAGGGGCTTAAGCAGAATCACCTCCAGCGAGGAGAGTGCAAACCGAGGCACAGGCCAATCCAAGTTATTGCTTTCACAGGTTTATAACTGCTGCTCTCACCTTTAAATAGGCCATCGTGAGGAGTGGCAATAAAGTAAATGGCACCAAATAGAGAAGGGCGGGCTGGGCGGCCCGGTGAATGCGAGACGCCACAGTAGCAGTGAGCAGGCCTGTGAGGAGAGAGAGGCATCTGTGAGACACGAGAGGGAACCCGTGTCACCTGGCTGCTGCTGGGCAAAGTCCTGCAACTGTACAGATCTAATGTGCTGTCGTCCATTCTATGGTTGGGGTGTGAAATGCCCAGCTTGGGCAGTTGAAGAAATGTGGATCAGCACAGCTTTAAAAAACACCTACAA
Organism: Homo sapiens; assembly: GCF_000001405.40. Lineage (NCBI taxonomy): Eukaryota > Metazoa > Chordata > Mammalia > Primates > Hominidae > Homo > Homo sapiens. The sequence continues at coordinate 120,766,559 of NC_000012.12, forward strand.
CTCCAAGGACACATGACTGACCCAAGTCTCACTCCTTGCTCAGGTTCCTGGGTTCAAACCCTCCTTCCAGCTCCAAGTGTGCCTCTGTCTCCTGTGATGCTGGACTTGGGAGGCAGAAGACCTGGGTTCAAGTTCCAACTCTGCTACTCACAATAGCTAACATAAATGTAGTTCAGACCTTCCACCTCTCTGAGCCTCAGCTTGCTCATCTGTCTAATGGGGATAATGCCACTTGCCTTGCCCCTCTGAGTTTGTGGACTGAAATGAACCCATGTGAATGAACTGCTGTGGGACGAGGACAGTGCTGGGGTTGAGGAGGACGTACGGAGTGCAAAAGCTCCTTTCCAGTCACTGTGCGGGAGCAGTTGCATGTGCGGGCAGGTTACTGCTTTTCCCAGCCCCATCACAATCATCTCCTGTCTGCCTACACATGAGCTGGCTACAAAACTTGGCCTAGGTCAGAGTGGCAGAAATGTAGAACTAATGAATGTAAGTAAGTATCTATTGAATAAAGTAGGAAATAAATACGACAGTCATTCAACTCTAGAGGAAGATTTAAGCACAGACTAATCCACTGCACTGTGTGCTGTGTGTCCTTGGCTTTGAGGACTGACCTGCTTTTCCTACAACGTTCTTCAGATACACAGCTGGAGAGGGAACTGGCCTATCCAGTACACAAAACACTTAGCATCTCACGGGCCAGGCTGTCTATTACAGCACCCAGAATTCCTGCTCTCCTTCCATCCAGTAACTGTAGCTAGAAGACCTGATTTAATTCCAAAGGTTGGAGGACAGCCAGAGCGAGGATCATCTGCAGTCTCTCTGGTTCTCTTACCTACAAAGTATCCGATGAGGGTGCAGTGAAAGTAGGAGACCTTCTGCATGCGCCCGGAGATGTTGGCAGGTCCAGGGGCCCCACAGGAGTCCCCACTGGCTTGCTTTTTGTAGTTGTCATAGCGAAGGACAAAGCATAGTAGGAGACCAGGCATAACGATGTCTCCGATGCCCAACATGGAGAAGTGGCTGCCAGTGGAGCTGGAATGCAGTTTCACAGGTTAGTGACGTCACACTCTACAATCCAGTTTCTATTCCTTTTGTGCAAAGTTTGTTAGCTTTTTAAGGAGTCAAAGAGCTTATCTGCATGGCAGATGGAAATCTCTTCTGATGGAACATTAGTTTTAAGAGTGTAGAGAGAAAAAGCTGCAACAGTACTGGCACTAGAGGTCTCCACCTTGGCCCCCCTGTTTCAGGAGAGCCCCTTGGAAGTGACTGCTGAAGTGATTTGCATAAGTGCTGCTTCCTCTAGAAATGTCAAACAATTCATCATTTGTGACACATTCACTGTTGAGACTTCAAATAAGCACCTGGCTACTATTACAGGTGGAAGATTAAAGCAGCACATTCATTCTGCCAAGATTATATTACCAGGAGTTGTATAATTCTACCATTAGAACTTATTTTTATAAATATCTTACAAGTTAAAAGGATCGAGATTCTCCTAACTCCCTCCAGCCAACTCTAAACAGTGGAAACAGCAGTAAGGCATGGCTGTTTGCTGACATTAATCAATAATAAAAGGCACCGCCTGGATCACTCAGTGATCCTTCTTGGCAAGCCAAGAATCTCATCCTCATTTCCTCTTCTGCAGCATGGAGATAATGGCCCCAGGTTGGGATCAGAATGCTGATGACATTAGAGACTGATCAAGGCCGGGAACAGATAGGCACAGGAAGACAGTGTGGTCCTGTCATAGCATGAGGTCTTACCTTGGGAAGACCAGTTTTCCAGGCAGAGACAGGCGAGGAACATCACGCCCAACATTGGGCCCCAGGTGGAGCTTCCGGGATAGAACGTCAAGGGGATTGTCAGCCGGCTGAGTGGCCACCTTCACCATGACGTTGCTATTGAAGATGTAGGCTGAGAAAAATACCTGCCGAGTTGGAGAGATGCCTTTAACAGAGGGAGTTGGAAGCAACCTGCTTTCAGCATCAGCCCTCCTTGCTCTTAAGAGCAGAGTCTCAGAATGCTGTGACTGCAATGCTTTCGTTGACTGTATGATTTGAGAAAATCTTTGCTCTTCCTGTGTACTTGCCAATTTCTGCACTCTCCACACCCAGAGATTACTCCCTGACGGGGTGGCCCCCACTGCAGCGAATCTTGTCAGCCTGTTACCTCTTCTATCCTAGGAGTCACACACACACACTACCTACTGTACGACTTTTCAGCAAACAAAAGGATCGGACTGCACACCCATGATACAGTTAAGGACTGGAGAGAGAGTGATCAGCAGCTGGGCAAGCCCGACTTTGGATACTTCTAGTTAATAGTTTTCAGGCATGAATGCTTCACTTCAACACAAAGAAGGGGAGGAGCTCCAAGGACATAAACGCTTACCCAAAAGACATCATAGATGAGAAGCCCTGAGAGAAGCAGGCAGGAGACCTTGAGGCTCGGCAGGCGGACAAAGGCGATCATGGCGACACAGAGGCCCATGGCCAGTGCTGGGGAGGAGACAGGGTACAGCAGACAGCAGTCAGTGTGGACTCCAGGCTCATCCTCTTTCCACAAGCTATGGCCCTTCACAGAGTTTGCAATTCCCTCAAAAATCAGGCAGCCCTAAGCTCCAGCTTCAGAAACTTACATGCAACTGGTGCAAAACACCCGCTTCTTCAGCCTGTTTGGACTTGTGGAATTTGGGGTGATTGCTTTCCTCCTCCTAGACATAGTGCTCGGCTGTTGGAGACCCAGGAAACCAGTCCAAGACCTCCAAGCTCTCTTTTCCTGCCTTCCCTCCAATGTTGTGGATGTGTTGTCCTTGCTCCCTGCTTTAAAGTGAACTCACACCCTAGATAGCACCCCCTTTCATTCACTGGAGGCATCATCCCAGCAATTCATTAACTGCGTTATAGAAAACTAGAGAATACAGTAAAGCAAAATAAAAAAATTACATTCCCACTTTTCAGAGATTACCACTGTTCAATATCTTCCTAGAATTTTGTTTTTCTTTTTGGAGATGGAGTCTCGCTGTATCACCCAGGCTGGAGTGCAGTGGCACAATCTCGACTCACTGCAACCTCTGTCTCCTGAGTTCAAATGATTCTCCTGCCTCAACCTCCCGAGTAGCTGGGATTACAGGCACCCACCACTACGCCCAGCTAATTTTTGTGTTTTTAGTAGAGATGGGGTTTCACCATGTTGGCCAGGCTGGTCTCGAATTCTTGACCTCAGGTGATCCACCTGCCTTGGCCTCCCAAAGTGTTGGGATTACAGGCATGAGCCACTGCACCCAGCCAATAATTTTTTACATACTTTTTTTTTTTAATCTAATGAGATCACACAATCTGTTCCCCCCCTCCACCAAAGCCAACAACCCCCAGTTTCCATTTGGGTGAATTTTCACCTCATTTAATCAAATTTCTCTATAGACCCCAAAACATCTTTTGCAGATGGTTTGTCTGTGCTGGTTTCCAATCTGACATAGTCCACCCCACCACTTTTATTTTTTTTGAGACAGGGTCTTGCCCTGTTGCCCAGGCTGGAGTGCAGTCATGCGATCTTGGCTCACTTCAGCCTCTGCCTCCTGGGCTCAAGCAATACTCAGCCTCCTGAGTAGCTGGGACCACCGGCATGTGCCACCACACCTGGATAATTTTTGTATTTTTTGTAGAGATGAGGTCTTGCTATGTGGCCCAGGCTGATCTCAAGCAATCCTCTCACCCTGTTCTCCCAAAGTGCTGGGATTACAGGTGTGAGCCACCATGCCCAGCCTAAAGTCCTTTTTTTAATGACTTGCTGAAACTGGAGTCATCTGGATTTTTCTGTGCTTCTCTATTGCAGTGGTTGGCTTTTCCTCTATCCCATATATTTCCCATAAATTAGATGTTATCATTTGAGTGCTCGATCACTTCCAGCAGGGCTTTCATCCCTGCTACTCCACTGACACTGCTCCTGGGGGCTTGCCAAGGATCCCCTCATTGCTAGACACAGTAATCGACCTGTCCTCCTCTTACCCGACCTTTAGGCAGCAACCCGCCCAGCTAATGGCTCCCTCCTTTTCCCTTGATTCTCAGGACAATGTGCTCTCCTGTTCCTCCCCACTCACTGGCCTTTTCAGGCTTCTCTGTAGCTCCTCCTCAATTCCCAGAACTCCACGGGCCTTTCCTCAGATCTTTTCCTCTCTCAGTGATCTCGTCCAATCTCAAGGCTCTTGACACTATCTATCTTATATGTCATCAACTCACACATTTTAATTTCCAGCCTGAATCTCTTCTTGGAGCTCCAGACTCATACATCCTGTGGCCTAAGAGACATATATACTTGGCTGTCTAGTTGGCCTCTCAAATCTAACATGTCCAAACTCAGCTCTTAACAGTGCAGTCTTCTGTCTCCAAGCATTTACTCTTTGCTTCCAATTGTGCAGACGGAAATCTGTGATGTCGTTTTTGACCCGTCTCTCTTTTACACCCTGCCTGGCTTAAGCCGCCATCCTCTCCTGGCGTGCATTGCTGCAATGACCTCCTCCCTGGCCTCTCTGCCTCCAACTTAACCCCTAACAAGTCTCTTCTTCACAGTGCAGACAGAAGCAGCTTCTTAAACCCTAAGGCAGGTTTTATGGGGCCCCTAGCTCAAAACTCTTAAACAACTTCCCATAGAGTAAAAGCCACAGTCTTCATACTGGCTGACAAGGTCCTGCTGTGACGGTGACCCTTCAGGTCACCTCCTGCTACTTCCTTTGCCAGCCACAGCAGCCTCCTCACTCTACCCCCCATGCCGCCGCTTCGGCCACGCCGCCGCTTCAGTGCTCTGCATTTACTGTGCCCTCTGCCTGAACGATCTCCTCCCAGAACCCAACTGGCTCCGCTCCTCGTCTTTCACAGTTCTTCACGCAAGTACTAGCTTCTCAATGACAGGTGGACTTTCCTGCAATTACATTTAAGATCATACTTCCTGCCCTTGTCTTATTTTTCATTTCTCAACTTCTGATATACATAATTTCTTCTTTTTTTTAAACATTCTCACTGCCCTCAACTCCAGTGAAGGTTCCCCGAGAGCATGGCTCAGTGCTCACCCTTGTAGTCTAGGCCAGGGCCTGGCAGGTGCAGGGCCTCTCCCCTCCTTCAGCTCTCTTCCTCCACTGTTCTGCAAACACAGGTTTGATGAGGACACAGAGCTGTTGAGAAACTCTTCATGGGGTCTTGTGGTGGGATGAATGTCCAACTCCCTGGCCAGGGAGGGCACTCTCCACTGTACAGCCCAAGCCCTCAACACGCATTCCTGTGGCTCTGTTTTCTAGACAGTTCAACACAATTTCCCGCTCTCCACACATACTGTGTTCTTTTCACGCTCTACCCAGAAGGTCCTGCCCCCGGCTCCTTCATATGGAAAATCCATCCTCATTCTGGAAGAGCCAGGTCAGGAGTCCTTTCTCAGAGTCTTTCCTGATCCAACCAGTCAGTTGCTGCTGCTCTTTTTTTGTTTTTTTGAGACAGAGTTTTGCTCGTTGCCCAGGCTGCAGTACAATGGTGCAATCTCAGCTTACTGCAGCTTCCACCTCCTGGGTTCAAGTGATTCTCCTGTCTCAGCCTCCCGAGTAGCCGGGATTACAGGCATCCATCACCACACCCAGCTAATTTTTGCATTTTTAGTAGAGACAGGGTTTCACCATGTTGGTCAGGCTGGTCTCAAACTCCTGACCTCAGGTGATCCACCCACCCCGGCCTCCCAAAGTGCTGGGATTACAGGCATGAGCCACCGCGCCCGGCCCAGTTGCTTCTTCTATGTGATGTGCCATAGAACGTTGAATGTCTCTCAACTCACTCATCCATTCTATGACCTTGTGAATATTTACATACTGGTAAGTTTATTCCCTGTGCTAGCTGACCACGTGCTCCTGGGAAACAGAAACCATGTCTGATTCTTTCTGTGGATCCCTAGCACTTGACAGAGTAGACATTCAATAAATACTTGCTGAATGAATGCAAAACTGTGTTCTATTAACTTCAAATTTCAAATTATTCTAAGGAAAGTAAAAAGCCATATGAACAGATATATTTCATTTTCATAGAACTGGTGGTAAATTGTCAATATATGTAATAAAGTGGATAAATACAGCAGCTTGGCAGACCCTGGACACATCAACTAAATTACTGTTTCATGGGTTCCTACTGTGTGCACGGTGCTAATATAAACACAGAGGAGAAAAAGCTGCCTCATCCCTACAACTCAGAGGAGTTGGAAAGACAGTATTCAACCTAGGAAGAGCAAAATATATATCTTCATCTCCACTATCATCACTGTTATCAAGCGCTCACTGAGTTACAGGGTGAGCTGCAGTGTGAGTTCTGGAGAGATGTGGTCAAGATCTAATTCCTGACTTTATAATCATATAGAATGTTTATTATACTAAGGTCTCCTTTAATTTTTAAATAAATTCATACAACCAACCTGGTAAAATGTATACAAATGCATGTCATTTGAAATGAACCTAATGAAATGTATTAGTCAGTGAGGCTTGACAAAGCTCAGAGCATTCAGAGCTGCAAAGGGATGACTGAAACATGATGTTTAGGACACTGAGAGATGTACCCAGAGCCCCTGCTCTGATCAACTCACACGCATATTTGAAAGGACAGGACCTCCCATGATCATCATCTTTAGGAAACAAAGATTTGGTTGTGTCATGAGTCAATAACCAGGACATTACCAGGGAGCAGCTCATCTGGCTGGAGGAACAACAGTGGTCAGCAGCAGGTGGGAAGCCCATCGGGCCAGAGCACAGGTGAGACACAGGTTTGTGTATAGATACTGGCTAGGGTGATCTGTTCATGGACTTACAGGTGAATACATGGAATGCAAGGCATCAAGGGCACGAAGAAAGTAACAGAAGGCCTAGGATGGACAGACGGGAGACAGGAGTCTGCGGGGAGTGAGGGTCAGAGGACTGAATGATGCAGCTCACCAGTAACCAAAAGCGGGGCAGGGAAACAGACTGAACAGAGAAGCAAGAGGCCAGGCTCCTCGGGGTAAGTTTATTCGCCTCTGTGACACATGTAGACGACCTGTCCCTTCCTGACCTTTTCTTTTTGGAGATGGAGTCTTGCTCTGTCGCCCACGCTGAGTGCAGTGGCACAAGCTTGGCTCACGGCAACCTGTGCCTCCCAGGTTCAAGTGACTCTCAAGTGACTACCAGCGCCCGCCACCATGCCCAACTAATTTTTGCATTTTTAATAGAGATGGGGTTTCACCATATTGGTCAGGCTGGTCTTGAACTACTAACTTCAGGTGATCCACCTGCCTCAGCCTCCCGAAGTGCTGGGATTACAGGCATGGGCCGCCGCGTCTGGCCCTTCCTGAACTTTTGTACTCAATTTGCCATAGAATCACTTCATCCTAACTGCGCAGGAGCCTTGAAAGGTCACAAGGTCTGAGCATCCACCTGCTGCTTTGTCATTCATCTCATGCTAATCCTCCTCCACCTGCGTCTAAACTAAACATGGAACAGACTGCTCAGTGACTGGGTTTTCCATGACTCCAGACAGTGTCATTCTATCCTAACCTTCCAAATAAGAAAGTCTGGGTTCATCTTCAACACATCACAGCCTCTCATCATACACATGAAATCTGCAGCCATTCTGAGGTGTTATCCTTTACTGTTACTGCAGACCTTGCTCACACCTCCACCCACTTCCTACTTTGCTGTGTCTCCTTTCCCTCCCTCCCTCTTACTCTTTCCCATGTACTGTTCACTGCCACTGTCAAACATCTGTTCACATAATTTCCTGCCTGAAGGTCACCAGGTTCCCTTCTCTATGACGAATCAAGTCTAATTATAAAGTTGCATAAACTCAGGAGGCACAACCTCCACAGAGTGGAGCTGAGCACCATGCTGGCTCTGCCTTGGCATCTGTCTGAACGGGTTCCTATTCCTCAGCCTATCCCTTCTCTCCATCTGCGTTAAGCTGAACACCCTCTTTCCAATTAGACCATCTAGGTCCTCCCCACTCTAGTCTAAGTTCCGTGTATGAAGAGGCAGAAGGCATCCTTTTGACTGTCTCAGAGAAGGCTCTTAGAGGCATGTGGAATAAATACCACTCTGACCCAGCGAACACTGCCACAAGCAATGTCGTATTCCCAGAACATGCTCTCAATCTAGTTTGCCTGCCTTTCATTCTGTCATTCAAGTAACCCTTAAAAAATCTTACCTCCTCCTCAGGGCTTTTCAAGGCTAAAGTGAAGGGAGGTGCTCTCTTTCCCTTGCGGCTTTAGACACTCCTGAGACTCTCTCTTATAGGTTTACCAACACACTTAACTTTTGGTTAAATGTACATTAACCAAAAGTGTTGGGGGAAGTAAATGATTAATCTTAGCCATTTAGCTAGAGTTATTTTCAATTTATCACTGATATCTCTGTATTACATTGTCTTCTACAACCAGTGAGTCAGGGACAAAGACAGTGACACCAAACCGAGCTCAAATGTTCTCTACGAGGATGACATAACCTGTAAGGTTTCTAAGCAGTGCTCACATTCGCGATACAGGCTCTCTAGATATCTATGCCCTATGTGGAGTCAGCGCACCAAGAGTGTAGCATTTTATTTATTTATTTATTTAGAGGCAGAGTCTCACTCTGTTGCCCAGGTTGGAGTGCAGTGGTGCAATCTCAGCTCACTGCAACCCCTGCCTTCCAGGTTCAAGTGATTCTCCTGCCTCAGCCTCCCAAGTAGCTGGGACTACAGGTGCATGCCAGCACACCTTGGTTAATTTTTTTATTTTTAGTAGAGATGGGGTTTCACCATGTTGGCCAGGCTGGTCTCCAACTCCTGACCTCAACTGATCTGCCCACCTTCGCCTCCCAAAGAGTTGGGATTACAGGTGTGAGCCACCGTGCCCGGTTGAGTGTAGCATTTTAAAACAAAATATCAATTGTTAGATTTCTGGCCCTAAACATGTTCTAATCATAGGTTAGTAGCAATTGCTATAAAACGAGGGGACTGAATCAGACATCTGTCAAGATTCTGTTAGTCCCTGAACTAGGCAGGGGATAGACTGTAAACCAGGTTCTATGATCCTTGATCACTAGGGGTGTGTACTCAATATTCATCAGCTTTTAGCTAACATACCATCACCCATAGGTCCAACTCTTTCAAGTCTTCCCAAATTTGAAAGGTTAATTTGCCAGATGAAACTGAGAGTAGATAAAACAGCCCTAGACTTCAGTTCGGGAAAATCCCGAAGTCCATTCTTAATGTTAATACTTCTTAGTGTAGCCCTGAAAATAATTTATTATCCTGTTTTCACTCTAAATTAACTTCAAAGAACAGACTTCAGTTAAGAAACACTAATTAAAAAAAAAACCCAGCCACCAAATATCACTGCTTACAAGATGATTTCAGATTCTGCAGAGAAGTCTGAAAGATAATATTCACAGCAGAGAGCAAGACACTACAGTGTATTACACAACATGGCTAGAAAGCCAGACTACTGTGACAGCAGAAAACAAGTCAAACACTAGTCTGAGAAACAAACGAAAAGCTCAAAGGCTCTCTTTGAGGAAAAATTCCATCCTTGGTCACAAGGGCGTTTCAACCAGTGCAAACTGGCAGGAAGAAGAGATCTGTGGATAAGTAATACTGGGAAACTGCAATAATGACAGAAAAATGTGGTAAAATTCTAATTAGGGTTTCGGGGAGCCTCACTGAACATTCAGCAAAACTTTTCAACTATGAAGTGAATTTTCCAATGGAAATGTACTTCTGATAGCGGCCACTGGGGAAAAAAGTTTGTTCTTTATGGCCAATTTTCTGTCAACTGTACAGTCTAGAGGAAGGGACTCGCATTGTAAAACAGACCCTTTAGTATGTCTTACAGAGAGGTGCTCACCCCATTCCTCCTTTAGTGAGTCTGATAAACCCATTCCAGACCTGTCTGCAGAAGTACAACGAATAAAATTCTCCCGACTTGCTCTAAAGTGTATGTTTCCAATGGCTGTGAAAAGAATGTCACCTTCCACCATGCTGAACTTTTTTTTTTTGGTAACATACTATTAGTAAACAGGCATTTTTTCTGTTCTCTGCAATGCTAAGATAGGACAGAGCTAAGGGTAGAAAGACCACACTGCTTATTGTTTTGAGAAACAGCTCATCTTTTTTGGGTCAGCGGCTTACTAAGCACTTTTAAACCCTCAGCAAAACATGTAAATAGTATCATGTGTGTCTGGACATGTGAATAAAGAGGTTCAAGAAAGGAGAGCCATCAAAAAGTTAGCAGTGGGATTACTGAGAAACTCAGACCACATGGGGGACTGAGACTTCAAGGTAGTTAAAATATCATTTGTCATAATATGGGCTTTGCATCTGCTAGCAGTGAAACTAATCATCCTGCTTAGGTGATTACTGCTTTACATTACTTTAAACCAGTAGCACCTGGTGCTTTCATTGTCTCATTCCACATTTGTTTAGGTGGATTTAAGTGTATCATTATGGGGGTGGCCTCTCAATCTGTCATTTAAAGACACCATCATAAAACAGTCTCTCTTAGGAATATGTGGTTCACAGTCATCCAAACAGCCAACTTACATGCACTGAAAAAATCTGGTTTAGATTCTAACCAACTAACTGGAATTTCTAAATAGTTTCTGTTCAGAAGTAACAGCAGGAGAAACATCTGCCTGTTTCCTCATCAGGAAGCCACTGGACTAGGTAAGATTTAAGGGATATACTCATAAAAGAAGCTATGAGATTGATTTGGACTAAAATTTATTCTCTGTGCCCCAATAATTATCATGATCAAGATTCCTTAATATTGTATAACACATATTTTTAAAAGATTAGGTTTTACTAAAGTTTTTCAGAATTCCCTATATGCTCTGTTTATACATGCATCACTTCTTCCCTACTTTAAGTTAACAAATTATTGTTTGCAGAATTCAACAAATGCTACTCTCCGGAAAAGTCTAATGCACATAGCTGTCACTTTATCACTCTTAATAATAACTAGTCCTTATAGAATCAGCACTTACCCACCCTTTTACCATACCACCCTTTTACCATAAGCTGGGCAAGCAACTTGCTGTATTACTTTGAATGCAATGTCATCAACTTCCGGAAGCACTGAAGTATCGTAACACAAATCACAAGCTACTGAAAGCACTAATTAATACTTGATTTGGGAAATCAGGTCTGGTAGCCATTGCACTTCAGACTGCTTATATGCATAGTGGGTTCTCTAGTACTGAAGCAAACAATCACAGCACATGTTTTTATAAGGGAATACAAGATGCTAAACAAATGACCAAACCTGTCAGAATCAGCAAAGGTGAATTACTACACAGACGGGCACGGGTGATTTTGACTTTGCCTTTCCTGTCTGCGTCATCAAAGGTCTGTATAGTCTAGAGGGTAACTTGGTCTGCAAACTCAAGGAACTGTTTTAATAGCTTGGTATATGGTAGACACTCAAAAAAAGCATTGAATAACTACTATGAAAACAGATTTACATATTTGTAAAAAATAAAAACATATTTAACATTTTATTTCCAAAATGACTGAAAAGCAATTTTTTTTTTTTTTTTTTTTTTTGAGATGGAGTCTTACTCTGTTGCCCAGGCTGGAGTGCAGTGGTGTGATCTCGGCTCACTGCAACCTCCACCTCCTGGGTTGAAGCGATTCTCCTGTCTCACCATTCTGAGTAGCTGGGATTACAGGCGCACACCACCACACCTGGCTAATTTTTGAACTTTTAGTAGAGACGGGGTTTCACCATGTTGGCCAGGCTGGTCTCGAACTCCTGACCTCAGGTGATGCGCCTGCCTCAGCCTCCCAAAGTGCTGGGATTACAAGCATGAGCCACCGCGCCCGGCCTGAACAGTAAAATTGACAGTTTCTCTTTAGATGTAGCAGTTCTATGAAAGTTCCCACATGCATTTACAGAGTCACCACCATGCTCAGCATAGAGAATGGTCACATCACCCCCAAAACCCCTGTTTTTTCTTTATAGTCACCCTACTCCTCCACACAAACCCTGCCAACCACTGAGCTGTTCTCCATCACTATAATCTTGTCTTTTTAACAAATGTATTTTAAAATTGTAAGTATAACTTATATTTGTATGCTTTACAATTTGCAATCCACTTGCTAGTTTATTTCCACAGAATACTCAGTTTCTTATGACATTTTACTAACTAACTTGACACACAGACATTCAAATCATTGTACTGGTCAAAGTCACTTACGAAGAAAAAAAATTCCTAGATGCAGAAGGACAAGTTTTTTGTTTTCCTTAAAGTTTAAAATTTCTTTCTTATTAAGATGATTCTGATTCTGGATCCAGAAAAAAAATACAATCATTTTTGTCAAATTCTATCCAAATTGACCAGAACATCCTTGGTTTTGAGTTAATTCATATATTTGATGCAAATGTCTTCTAAAAAAAAATCCAAACAATTACTTAAGCCCAGGAGCTTGAGGTCACAGTGAGTTAGGATCATGTTACCATATTGCAGCCTGGACAACAGAGCAAGAACCTTTCTCTAAAACAAATTAAAAATAAAAACCCCAAACAATGGACCAAATACTATGCAGCAAACTTAAGATCAGTCATACAAAGTATATATAGCCTATAAGATCAGTACTTAGAAACTGTTTGACTAACTTAGCTACTCCAAACTTGAGGCAGTGACAGTAAGCATCACTCTGGGTGGCTCTGGGCTCAGACAATGATGAACATCAACCCCAACACCTCTGAGCCAGCCCCAGAGCTGCAGGGAAACACTGCCTGGTGGAGTGCAGAGGAGCCTCCCAGACCTGGCACTGGTTCCAAAGAACTCTGTCTCCAAAGTCTGGAGTAGCTTTGTGGTTATTTGGAGTAGGTAACAGGAATAGATGCAATCCATACCTGTACCCCAGATTTTCAAATTCTTCCCTTAAAAATTCTTTGGAATTACAAGTAGTATAAAATTGACTGTCTTTATATTTTAACCTTCTTCTCTTTGGAACCACCAAAAGAAAGGAAAAGGTGATAGTTCACAACCCCTTTTAAAGAATTTTACTTTGTGGGGCAGAGCAGTTAGATAAAAATTTTTTGAGATTACAAAAGTGAACTGTGGAAATGTAAGGACTGCATATAAAGGAAGTGAAGGCCAGCTGCGGTGGGCTCACGCCTGTAATCCCAGCACCTTGGGAGGCTGAGGCGGGTGGATCACCTGAGGTCAGGAGTTCAAGACCAGCCTGGCCAACGTGGCGAAACCTTGTCTCTACTAAAAATACAAAAAAAAAAAAAAAAAAAAAAAAAAAATTAGCAAGGTGTGGTGGTGGGCACCTGTAATCCCAGTTACTCAGGAGGCTGAGGCAGGAGAATCACTTGAACCTAGGAGGCGGAGGTTGCAGTGAGCTGAGATCGTGCCACTGCACTCCAGCCTGGGCAACAGAGTGAGACTCCATCTCAAAAAAAAAAAAAGAAGTGGAAACAGAATGATACGGTTTAAAAGAAAAGTTTAAAAACATCTCAAGGGGCTGGGCCTCGTGGCTCAGTACATGCTTGTAATCCCAGTGCTTTGTAGAGATGCAGTCTCACTATGTTGCCCAGGCTGGTCTTGAACTCCTCGCCTCAAGCAATCCTCCCATCCTGGCCTCTCAAAGTGCTGGGAGCCAATGCACTGGCCCCATCCCAGCACTTTGGGAGGACTGCTTGAGGCCAGGAGTTCAAGACCAGCCTGGGTAACATAGTGAGACCCATCTCTATAAAATAATAATAAAAAAAATTGTCTGGGTATGGTGGCTTGTGTCTGTGTACTTGAGAGGCAGAGGTGGGAGGACTGCTTGAGTTCAAGAGTTGGGTAAGCACTGATCATGCCACTGCACTCCAGCCTGAGCAACAGAGTAAGGCCCTGTCTCCAAACAAAACAAAAAAAGCTGGGGGAGGCCAGGCACAGTGGCTCATGCCTGTGCACTTTGGGAGGCCGAGGCGGGAGGATCGCCTGGGTCCAGGAGTTCAAGACCAGCCTGGGCAACATGAAGACACCCTGTCTCTATTTAAAAAAAAAAAAAAAAAAAGCTGGGCGTGGTGGCTCACGCCTGTAATCCCAGAACTTTGGGAGGCTGAGGCGGGTGGATCACCTGAGGTCAGGGGTTCGAGACTAGCCTGACCAACATGGTGAAACCCCGTCTCTACTAAAAAATACAAAAATTAAAAAAAAAAACAAAACAAAAATTAGCTGGGCATGGTGGCGTGTGCCCACAATCCCAGCTACTTGGGAGGCTGAGGCAGAATAGTTGGAATCCGGGAGACGAAGGCTGCAGCGAGCCAAGATCACACCATTGCACTCCAGCCTGGGCAACAAAAGCGAAACTCCCTCCCCCAAAAAAAGGTTTTAAGGGAAAAACCAGGAAAATTATGGGTGATTTTCAGAAACAGCCTCCAAGATGCTTTGGTGGTAAGTATGAATTCTATATAAGGGGTCTGTGGCTGGGATGAGCTAGTTCTCTGAACCTTTGTTTACTCTTTTGAAAATGGAAACAAACAGCAGTACCTACTTCAAAGAGTTGTTCTGAGGATTAAAAGAGATGATCCATGTAAAGCACCTAGCAGACTGCCTAATCAATAAAAAGCACTCCATTCATCCTAGGTATTATTGTCATTATTACTTCATCCTTATCATCAATGAAGAGAAATTCTCATATGCTACAGGTTGGAGTATAAACTACTATAGCCTATCTGAAAGGCAATATAATAATAGGTATAGATTTTTTTAATGCAAGAATTCTGTTCTAGGAATTTCATGTCTAGGTATTCATCCTTAATACTCTGGAGTTATTAAAAAGGATATGATATACTTTTATGTAATGATATAGACATGTATTTATATCATTAAAGTGTATGATGTATATCACGTACATAATGCAGGTTATATATAACATGTTATATTACATATACTACATATATAATATAGAGCATAATATGATGCATTATATTACAGTCTAATCCCATCTCCTTATTGTTACGTTTTTTTTTTTTTTTTTTTTTTTTTTTTTTTTTTTTGAGACGGAGTCTTGCTCTGTTGCCCAGGCCGGAGTGCAGTGGCTCGATCTTGGCTCACTGCAAGCTCCGCCTCCCGGGTTCACACCTCCGGAGTTCTCCTGCCTCAGCCTCCCGAGTAGCTGGGACTACAGGTGCCTACCACCACTCCCAGCTAATTTTTTGTATTTTTAGTAGAGACGGGGTCTCACCATTTTAGCCATTTTAGCCAGGATGGTCTTGATCTCCTGACCTTGTGATCCGCCTGCCTCAGCCTCCCATTACAGGCATGAACCACAATGCCCAGCCCTTATTGTTACTTTTTAAAGAGACAGGGTCTCACTCTGTTGCTGAGGCTGGAGTGCAGTAGCATGATCATAGCTCTCTGTAATCTTGAACTCCTGGGCTCAAGGGATCCTCCCGCCTCAGCCTCCCAAGTAGCTGGGACTGCAGGTGTACCATGCCCAGATGATTTTTATTTTTGTAGAAATGGGATCTTGCTATGTTGTCCAGACTGGTCTTGAACTCTTGGTCTCAAGTGATCCTCCTGCCTCAGCCTCCCAATGTGCTGGGATTACAGGCATGAGCCATTGTGCGAAGCTTCCATTTATATAAAAAAGCATAGTCTGCACAAAAACTTGTACATTAATATTCAAAGAAGCATCATTCATAATAGCCTAAAAAGTGGAAACAACCGGTAAACGAATAAATAAAATTAGTGTATCCATACAATGGAACAGTATTCAGCCATAAAAAGGAAGTGCTGATACAGGTTACAACACAGATGAACCTTGAAAACATGCTAAGTGAAACAAGTCAGACACAAAAGGCCACATAATGTATGATTCCATTTATGGAAAATGTCCAGAATGGAGAAATCCATAGAAACAGAAAGTAGAGACTAGTGGATACCTGGGGCTGGGGAGGTGGGTAAGGGGAATGACCGCTCATTTGTTTTGGCGGGGGTGGGTGTGAAAATGCTCTAAAAGTTTATTGTAGTGATGGTTGTACAGCTCTGTGAATATCCTAAAGTATCTATAAAACTCTATAAAGTAAAATTACAATTTGTCACAAATTAGTCACTCACCATCCATGAGAAGCCAATGGCCAGTGAGAACCCAGATGAGGACGAGCATGACAGACAGAGAGAATGACAGCAACTCAGCAGCAGTGAAACGTCCACAGCAACCAAAGGAAATCCTGGAAAACACACAACACTTATTGGACAGTGGGCACACTTTATTCAGTAACCAAATTCTCCTTTGGTATTTCGTGATGGCTGGATTAGAATAGCAGATAATACCAAGATAGCTGGAAATCCAAAATACCCAATCCTTTTTTGGAGAAACCTATGGAAAGCTCACAGGAATATACTTCTGCACCAACTGATAATGTCTTTTTGGGACCAATTATCAACATGGGCATTTAGAAGTTTGAAGTGATAATATTAACCTCTGGAAAAGCTAATAAGTATGGAGGAAATTCTATTCTTATGAGGAAAACAAAATGAAGAAATGCCAACAATTCAACTCATTTACCAAAGATGGTATCACTCTATTTAGAAGATTGTAAATCTTTTGGTTATCACTAATTCCTGCGAGCATCAGCTGCCACCAATGACTGGTTTCCTAAGTGCGTTCAGCATCTCCATTAGCACAGAATTTTGTTTCCGTGCAGCAATGACTTTCAGAGTTAAGGTGTGAACACTAGGATTAAACGCAAGTAGGTAGCATATCTAGGCCACCGAAGACCAAAGGCAAAGAAGAACGTTTGAGTTCAACCACTATTCTCATATTTCATCAACTCACAGTAAAGGAATGAAAGCACCGTTTCAAAAGAAAACTGCTCATCTTTCAATGATCTAAGTAGGAAGCACATTACAATGACTCAGACTTCCTAAGTTTTGTTTGTATTTCCTCTGACATGAGAAGGTACAAAAGGAAGTACTAGCTTCTGGCTTTAAAGATCAAATGTGTCACTTCCTGGTCTTTTGGCATTTCTGTGCTCCAGCCAATAACAGAAATTGAGAATCCTAATAATGCTATCAAATATGACAGAAAAATATATACAAGTTTATAATTTAAGAGGAAAGTCCCAAGTCCTTACTTGTTCTGAGGTGAGCAGGGTCTTGTTAAATACTGGCACATCGGGAGGAGAAGAAAAGCAAAAGCTATCGTTGCAAGAACTAGAGAAAGAAAAGGTATAATTTTTTAAAACAATTATAAGAAAAATGGCATGACTTATAGAAACTTCATTCCGCCAAACACTAGACAAGTGGATACGGTTAATTGACTAGAGAAGAAAAATGTCTTCCTTTAATACTGCACAAAAAATCTCTTCATTATTAAAAAAAAGTACCTGATTTGAAGTAGGGGAAAGCATAGGTAAGTTTCCTAAAAGATAAACAGCAGGCCAGGGGATGACCTCCTAACAAGTCTTGTAGCATTTTGCCGATTTTTTTTTACATTTCCATCAATACTTAGCTTGAAAACACATCAAAGAGCTGACAGTCCAATCACTTTGATTAGCTATCCATGTTTCTACCTGCAAGAACGTGGGTAGAGGCTGACAATGGCCTCTATGCCAAGCTCAACCTTCTGGTAATCTAGAAAAAGCGCCACAGCCAAAGCACAGCAATACTGCTCTGGTGTCATAGAATTCCTGCACTTTGACGTCTCCAGCCTTTCTTTCAGATTGTGTGGGCAGGTCTCAACAGATGACGTGGATCAAGAGGTTCAAGGAGGAGTTGGGGAAGGGTGGCGTGGTTGAGACGGAGAAGGCGAAGCCAAGATTTATAAGGAAAAACTTACATGACATGGTATATAAATCTTAATTTTTGAACAATGATAAAGGTGAAAAATTTTCCTTTTAGTATGTTAAGACTAGACAGAGAAACTCATATTTACCTGCTGTACATATTGTAAAAACTACTTGAACTGAGTCAAAGAAGAAGAACATTACTAAAAGAGAGACAGATGCTCCAATTGGAAGGAACAGAGCCTGGGTAGAGTCAATTGTTTGGATGCCTGAAAGAGAAAAACAGACAGATTAATAACTTATTATGCACCAGGCACTGTGCCTATGCACTTCATATACATTAACTTGCAAAAATGCAGACAGTTCTACGGATTATACGTAGGACATGGATTATCCAGGCCCTATGAGTCTTTCTTTCCCAACGAGATTATGAGCTCCTTGTTCTCTTCATGGTGCCTTTCATTACAGCAGACACTCAGGAATATTTGTTGAAGTGAACTACTACCTCCTGGTGTTAACCATCTGGATGACAGGATCCAAACCACCACCGAGAACATTAAGAGGTAGTAAAAACCCAGATTAGTCCATTTGGGTAAATTTGTGGTCTTGAATATAGGTTTGGTAAAAGAGGTGGTTTAAACCCATTGACTAAAAGGACTTCTCATCACCTGTGGGTTTAAGGTACTCATTTTCACTCTTTCTCGTTGTTGCTAATAGTTGAGAACTGACTTGGCTGATGGGGGAGAAGGAGGACAACAAGTCATAGCTGAAAACAGCAAATCAGAAAAATTTTATTTGGCCAGATGTGGTAGCTCACGCCTGTAATCCCAGGACTTTGGGAGGCTGAAGTGGAAGGATGGCTTGGGACCAGGAGTTCAAGACCAGCCTGGGCAACACAGCGAGACCCCCGTTTCTATCTATTAATATTTACAAAAAAAAAAATTTATTTTATGGGAACATTTTAAGGTACCAGAATAGGAGATGAATACGGGAAAATAATCTCTTGGGCTAGAGTAGGATTTAGCGCAAGGGTTCTCAATTCTTGGCTTCCCATTAGAGCTTTAAAAAAATTACAAAGCCCAGGTCCAATCCCAGACAAATTAAATGAAATCACAGGAGTTAGGCCCAGCTAAAAGCTCCTCACAAAACTGTATTTTGCATCTAGGGTTGAGAACCATTAATAGAGTATTTTTGGTAGAGAAGGAAAACATGGCAAACTCTAATAACCACTGAATGAAAAAAAAAATTACCAGTTTTATCTTGTCTCACTTCCAAATTAACTCTATTGAGATGTCATAAAAGCGCACAAAAGGAATCAAAGAAATCTTCATATGATCTATAATAATGAAATAATAGAAGAAAAAGGCTGGGTGTGGTGGCTCATGCCTGTAATCCCAGCACTTTGAAAGGCTGAGGCAGGAGGATCACTTGAGGCCAGGAGTTCAAGACCAGCCTGGGCAAACTAAGGAGACCCTATCTCTACAGAAAATTAAAAAAAAAAAAAAAATTAGGCATGTTATCTTGAGCCTGTAGTTCCAGCTACTTGGGAGGCTGAAGTGGGAGGATCACTTGAGCCCAGGAGTCCAAGGCAAAAAAAAAAAAAAAAAAGGAAAGGTCTCTTCATTATATTAAGGCTACAAATAAAATATGTAACCAGGATAAACATAGCAAGACACAAAGGGTTACAATGATCAACAAAATTTCTCTTAGGTATTTAAATTTGCCTGTCCCCAAAAGAGTTATTTAGGGTTTTTGATTGACTAAATCTATAAAACAAAATGCTTCTCAGGGACTAGGCAGATGAGTGAAGTAATTCACTTAGGAATAGGACAATTCAATTTAGGAAAAGTGAACTATGTGTCATGACAAACAGAAATTATCTTGGAAGCAGTCTGTCCTGACCCTAGTCAAATCCATTCAGCTTGGCCCAAGGATCACTTCGGGAAGTGTATCCATTAGACAAAACTCTATGAAATCTCTAACTAAATTTTACCTAAATAGTTTTTAAATGTAAGTGCTCTACAGTAGTTCAAAGAACAGCTAGAGGAAGCTACAGATTTTCAGTGCCTTTCACTACAGAAAATAATGTTTCTCAGATAAATAACTTTATCATAGGAACAAAGCATCAGGGAGTCTATAGACAGATTATACTGATTCAAAGTATGAAGAGAAAATTAAATGGCTAGCTAGAATAAAGACTGTAGTGGTGAGGTATATAAGAGATGCATTTGTTTATAATAAAGCTAAATTTTAAAAGTTCAGTCTGCAATTACATGCGAAACTGAATACAAAGGACCTTTCTGGCGTATTAGATAGAATGCACAGATTTTTTTTTTTTTAAACCACAGATTTTTGAACCAGGAGGCGATGTCACAGGGCAAGTAAAGCGCCTTTAGTTCCTGACAATATGCTACCTAAAACAATGTCCATGACTTCAGTACTCCATTTCCTAAAGTTCTGGAGATAAAGGTCTTGAATGGGAAAGAAAGAGGTAATTAATTAGAAATTTTAGCCAAACTCCAGTAACTTAAAAACAAAGCAAAACTGAGCAAAGCAAAACAGACTAGCCATAATTAGGAGGACATATGCAAGTGCAGTTGCATTATCTTTAAGGCAAAAATCAACATAGGAAATAGGCTTGGTAATGGAATTAAAAATTTTGTACAGCAACATCATTTTTAACATTCAATGAACATGGCTACAGGCTAAATGTACGTCTGGTATGGAATAGACACTGAGCAATAAAACCAATAACTATTAAGAAAATTACTGATTTTACACCTCCCTGTAAGAACGATGCTTTTGACTATTTGCTGAACACTTATTATATAGTAAGCAACAGGAGGGATTAAAAGAAAGTCATTTCCAGATCTCATGAAGTTTACAATCTAAGCAAGAAGATTAAGATGTATACCTCTACTAAAGATGAGGATCCCAACTATACATCTCCATCAATCTTTATAACTCAAATAAATTATAACTGAAGTTTAGTAAAAGTCTTTAAGATGTCAGATAATTGGGCAGGGGTGTACATGGCTTTTTAAAATTCCACTTAATACTACTTAAATGAAGGACTGATGTGCCATGGGAAAATAAATTTCTATATTGGCTTCTTGGGGGCAGGCAGAGAAGTTAGAACAAGGTCAGGGGAAATCAGAGGACCTGGAGGGAACTCTTGCCCTCCACCCTCACTCCTGTCACTTTCTAACCTTTTTTATGGTGAAGCATCACACCCAGAAAAGCACAAAAATGAATTATTACATATTTAATACCACTCAAGTCAAGAAACAAACCAACCCCAGAAATCTTCCTTTGTGTCCCTCTCAATCACTACTTTCTCTCTCTCTCTCATTCTCCTGAAGGGAACCGCTATCCTGACTTTTATGACACGTTTTCCACCCAAGCACGCATCCTTAAATACTAGTTTGCCTGTTTCCTAAATTTTATATGCATTGAGTTATGTAGTTATTTTTTTGTGTCTGGCTTCTTTGACTCAATATGATTTGTGAGAATTATCCATGCTGTTTTATGTAGCTACAGCAGTTCACTTGTTTTCACTGTATGAATACAGTAAAATTTATCCATTCTACGGTTGACATTTGGGTTGTTTCCAATTTTTTGGTTATTACAAATGCTGCTGCTCTAGGCACTCTTGCACATGACTTGATGCACATGTGACTGTATTTGCTGGATATATAACTAGGAGTGACACTGCTGGGTCCAAGGGTATTTATACTGTCACCTTTAGTAGGTAAAATGTCAAACTGCCTTCCAAAGTGACTGTGCTAACGCATGCTCTCCAGTAACGCAAGAGGGCTCTTTGCTGTTGCTGTGCATCCTCATCAGCACTGGGAATGGTCAAGGTTTTTAATTTTAGCTATTCTGGTGGTGGGCATGTAGTGCTTTTTCATTACTGTCTTCACTTTTACTTTTCTGCTTTCTAATGAGTTGAGTGCCATAGTTCCTGGCAGGCCTGATCAACTCTTCCTCTTACTTCCATGTGTTTCGAGTTGCCCAGATAGGTGGAACATTATTATAATCTGAAGTAATAATTACCCAGTCTTTTGGTCAAATACCCTAGGGCACCCTGCAGCGAGAAACTTTCAATTACAAACTGATTTCTCCATTTTTAAGTTCTGATTTTTTGGGGCATGAGTCACATGGCCCATCTAACCCTCTGTTGAGTCTCACTTAATGCTTCTCCTTCTCCTAGCTCCTATTATAATCAAGGACAGTCAAATCATTTCTGACATATTCAAAGCATGTAATCGTAAGAGTAACCCTTCACCCACGTACCCCACCAATGATGCTGGCTACACCTACAACTTCTCCTGCTCTCCTATCTCTTTACAAATTCCTTGTTTCTTATTATTTTGGGAGTGGGCAGCTACAATCTTTTAAAAACTTCTGATTACTGTCTCCTTCAATCAGTCTGAAACACTCCTGACAAAATCTTAACACTAAATTTATACTTTCTTTTTCTCAAAACCTTCTCCCCAGTTGTTCCACATTGTTAATCATCCAGGACTTCCATCTCCTTAGCACCTACACCTCTCTGTTTCTCTGTTCATCTTTCTGGCTATTATTTCTTTGATTCTTGATAAATTCATCCTGTTTTCCATGTCATCCTTTCAATCTGTAATAATTTTATATTCCATAATCAAGTACTGGTCGGCCGTCTTTGTAATGGCTTCTTCATTATGTTCTTCTTTGAGGAAGTGAATTTTGCAGTCTATGCTAATCTGTCCTTATCCTATTGGCATCCACTGCTCAGAGCAGGCACTGAAGAAATGTTGTCAAGGATAATTTAGTACAACATAGCTGGCAGAGTTAAGAAAGACCATTTAGGTTGGGTGCAGTGGCTCATGCCTATAATCCCAGCACTTTGGGAGGCCAACACTGGAGGATCACTTGAGGTCAGGAGTTCAAGACCAGCCAGGGCAACATGGTGAAACCCCATCTCTACTAAAAATACAAAAATTAGCCAGGTGTGGTGGTGGGTGCCTGTAATCCCAGCTACTCGGGAGGCAGAGGCAGGAGAATCACTTGAACCCGGGAGGCGGAGGATGCAGTCAGCAGAGACTGCACCTCTGCACTCCAGCCTGGGTGACAGTGAGACTCTGTCTCAAAAAAAAAAAGAAAAAAAGCATTTAAAAAAGAAGTATTCTACCACTCTTTAGACTGTGCTTCATGAACAAAAAATAAAAAAGCTTATGTTGGCTGGGTGCAGTGGCTCATGCCTATAATCCCAGCACTTTGGAAGGCCGAAGTGGATGGATCACTTGAGATCAGGAGTTTGAGACCAGCCTGGCCAACACTGTGAAACCCCATCTCTACTAAAAATACAAAAATTAGCCAGGCATGGTGGCGAGCGCCTGTAATCCCAGCTACCCCAGGGGCTGAGGCTGGAGAATTGCCTGAACCCAGGTGACAGAGGTTGCAGTGAGCTGAGATCACGTCATTGCACTCCAGCCTGAATGACAGAGCAAGACTCCGTCTCAAAAAAAAAAAAAAAAAAAAAAAAAAAGAGCTGTATTACCAGGTAACTTCTTTCCACTGTACGGACTGGCACAACCATTTCTTGTTTTTGTTTGTTTTTGAGGTAAACTTAGACATAATAATATAGGTAGATTTCTTTAGGTTTCTGTGATGCAATGTACAGCAGATTTATAATTTGGTTTAAGAACATCACTTGCATATGTGCTACATAATACAGGACTTTTAAAAAGAGTTTCAGGAGTATAAACTGATTTGGCTTAAAATGTTGACAGAAGATAAGCTGCTATGTAATAATTTAATCTAAAAATCAGATTTTGCACCAGGTTTTATGTGGTTCCTTGCACTAGTAATAACTACTGGTATGGAATTTTATATCATACAAGGATCCATGTCATAAATTTAAGAAAAGACTCATTATATTTAAATGAGTCGACTTACCGTCTTTATCATGCCCACTTTGGCACTGCCAGGGACAATGAAACCCATGTGACTGGGTCTGTGCCCGGTGAAAACTGGGCAAATACAACTAGGTTGACAGCGTGCTATAATAACTGGAGAAACTAAGATACACAATAAGTGATCTCTTTTCAATTTAACATCCATGGTCCTCCAATCAATATTTGATCTACCTTTTAATTAGATCTCTAGCATTTCCTCTCTCTTAGGTGGCGACCTTACCCTGTTCTATAGGTCGTGATCTCTGTGCCTGTTATTATATGTTCCCCTAACCTGAAATGACGACTTCTCCACCAATCCACATTCACTAAGTCAAACCCACCTTCTCTTGTAAAGAAACCTTATCTGACCCATTGCTGCTCACCTGACTTGCGGGTCTCTTTATGCTCTTTCTACATGGATATCAAAATGATTTCATCTGTAGAGCTTCCTCTGATAATAGCTCTATGTTCAGAGGGATTCTGAGGCTATGGTGAGGGTCACCGAAAAAAGGTACTTGCCCCATATATAGGAGGTGAAGAGGTATTTGCCCTCTCTATCTTGGCACTTTTTTTTTTTTTGAGACGGAGTTTCGCTCTTGTTGCCCAGGCTGGAGTGCAATGGCACGATCTCGGCTCACTGCAGCCTCTGCCTCCTGGGTTCAAGCGATTCTCCTGCCTCAGCCTCAGTAGTAGCTGGAATTAGAGGCATGCGCCACCACACCTGGCTGATTTTGTATTTTTAGTAGATAGGGTTTCTCCATGTTGGTCAAGCTGATCTTGAACTCCCAACCTCAAGTGATCTGCCTACCTTGGCCTCCCAAAGTGCTGGAATTACAGGTGGGAGACACTGCGCCTGGATATCTTGGCACTTTTTAAAGAACATCTTGGCAAAAATTTCTCTTGTACTTTTGCATCTTTCAAAAGATCTAACAGAATGTTGAGTACATGGCAGATCTCAATATAAATGTATTAATATTATCAAATCAAGTCACTTCAAATTCAAATCTTTCTATAAGCATCAAACATTTTTATTAACGTTATTGAGGTACAATTACATACCGTAAAATTCACTCATTTTAAGTATAATTCAATGTTTTTTTATACCAATCATAAATCCTTGAACCCAGTAAATTATTAACTGGAGGTATAGAAACAGCCAAATTAAGAAAACTATATGTACAGAAGTTAATTGACATAAAATATCTTACTATTATTGGTGCTGTTGCCATTGAAAGACCCAGAAGAACTATTACTGTCTTTCTCCTTATCTTGATTTTCAAAGTCCATATTAAGGGACCTGTGGAAAAAAATTTTGTAGTTAAGTTGTAGTTTTGCTTACAAAAGAAGGTCAGAAAAGTCATATGACAATATTTTTAAATGCCAAGGAATTAGGAAAGAAGGTCTCTTTTGAACAACTCTGAAAAATAGCTCTTGTAACATTTTAAAAAACAATCTTCAGTCCTTCCAATGTGTCAGTTCAAGAGTTTTCCTGACTGCAGATGAAAGCATCCCAATGCAGCTGAATCTTCCACTCCTATCTCTGAGCATATCATATCCTTAATTACTTCCTTATGATAAAAGCCTAGAAGGAGAAATGTCAAAGGGCAAGCACATTTTGAGACTTTTACATACCACACAACTGTTCGCAAAAAGGCTGCATCAGTTCACTCTCTCAGCAGTGTATGAGAGCACTCATTTCCCTATACCCTGTCAGCTGTGATTCAACAACAAAAAAAATTTGAGTGTCTTCTATATCTGGAACTGTTCTAGGTACTACAGGGACAATAAATAGCAAACACAAGACTGGATTTTATATTCAAGGGGGGAGATGTAATAGACCAGAAAAATAAGTTCAATACATAGCGTGTTCATGGCAGGTGCTAAGGAGGAAAACTAGGAAATGCAGGGGTTAGGGTTTGAAATTTTAGACAGGATGAACAGGAAGGCCTCACTGACAGTGACTTCAGAGTCAAGACCTGAAGGAAGTAGTCACTGTCTATCTGGGGAACTAAAAATGGCACGTCACTTTGATTTAGAATTCTTTAACCAGTGAATAATGTTGTGTACAAAAGCTTGCTCATTTCTTTCTTTTTTTTTGTGAAGTATCTGTCCAAGTTCTTAGCTAATTTTCTGCTAGTGTTTTCCTGTAAAGAAGGTGTTTGTGGGTGCAGTGGCTCACGCCTGTAATCCCAGCACTTTGGGAGCCCCAGGCGGGCAGATCACGAGGTCAGAAGATCGAGACCATCCTGGCCAACATGGTGAAACCCCGTTTCTACTAAAAATACAAAAATTTGCTGGGCGTGGTGGTGCGTGCCGGTAGTTCCAGCTACTTGGGAGGCTGAGGCAGGATAATTGCTTGACCCCAGGAGGCAGAGGTTGCAGTGAGCCAAGATTGCGCCACTGCACTCCGGCCTGGCAACAGAGTGAGACTGTCTCAAAAAAAAAAAAAAAAAAAAAAAGTTGTTTTTTTGCAAAAGAACTTTCTGTTATGATGGTCTTTATCTGCACTGACAAGTGCTGTGGACATCAGCCACATCATGTGATCACTGAAATGTGGCTGGTAGGACAGAGGAACTGACTTCTAAAACTATACAGCTTTTAGATAAAAACACATGGTAAATCTCTGTGACCTTGGATTTGGAGTAGATTCTTAGATATGATGCTAAAAAACAGAGAAAAACTTAAAAAACTTACGTGCCTCAAAGGACACTAACCAAAAAGTCAAAAGACAACCCATAGGATGGGAGAAAATCTTTGCAAATCATGTATCTGATAAGGGACTTGTGTCTAGGATATATAAAGAACTCTTACACCTCAATAATAAAAAAGACAACCTGATTTTAAAATGAACAAAGGATCTGAAGAGACATTTCTTCAAAGAAGATACACAAATAGCCAATGAGCCCATGAAAAGATGTTCAACACCGTTAGTCATCAGGGAAATACAAGTCAAAACCATGAGAAACTGGCTGGAAGCGGTGGCTCACGCCTGGAATCCCAGCACTTTGAGAGGCTGAGGCAAGAGGCTCACTTGAGACCCATGTGGGCAACACAGTGAGACCCTGTCTCTATAAAAAATAAAAGAATTAGCTGGGTGTGGTGGCATGTGCCTACAGTTTCAGCTACTCGCCAGGCTGAGGTAGGAGATCACTTGAGCCCAGGAGGTCAAGGCTGATGGCACCACTGCACTCCAGCCTGAGCAACAAAGTGAGACACTGTCTCCTCAAAACAAAACCACCACCATGAGAAACCACTTCACACATAGCAGGATGGCTATAATAAAAAAGTCAGATAACTAAGTGTTGGCAAGGACACAAGGATGTAAAACTGGAACCTTCATACACTACTAGTGGGAATGTGAACTGGTGCAGACACTTTGGAAAACAGAATCTAACCATGTTGACACCCTGACCTGAGAATTCCAATCTCCAGAACTCTGAAAAAATAAATTTGCTGTTTAAGCCACCCAGTCTATGGGTATTTCATGGCAGCCTGGGCTAATGCAGATCAGATTTCATACCTGAATCCTTTTAAATGTATTGAGATTTGTTTCATGTCCCCATATATGGTCTGCATTAGTAAATATTCCACATACACTTGAGAAAGAGCGTGTGTTCTGTTGTTGGATGGAACATTCTATAAATGTCAATTAGGTCAAATTGATTAAGAGTATTGTTGAAATCCACTGTATCTTCACTGATTTTCTGCCTAATTATTCTATTATTGGGAGTGGTACTGAAATCTTCAGCTATATTTGTGAATTTATTTCTCCTTGCAGTTCTCTCAGTTTTTGCTTCATGTATTTTGAAGATCTTTTATTAGATACATAAACATTTGTGATTGTTATGCTCTCTTGCTTAATTGACCCCTTTGTCATTACAAAATAACCTTCTTGTCTGTGGTAGTATTCTTTACTCTGAAAGCTGCTTTGTCTTATATTAATACAGCCATTCCAGCTTTCTGTAGATGAGTATAAGCAGCATATCTTTTCCTAACCTTTTACTTTTAACTATTTTTTTTTTAATCCTAACCACTAGACAACAGGGATTAACCTTTTTTGGCTTTATAGTGTGCTTCTTGTAAGCAGCATATATTTGGGTCTTGCTTTTTTATTCAATTTCACAATTGCTGTTTTATTTTTATTTTTATTTTTTTGAGACAGAGTCTCAATCTGTCACCCAGGCTGGAGTGCAGCAGTGTAGTCTTGGCTTACTGCAACCTCTGCCTCCCAGGTTCAAGCAATTCTCCTGCCTCAGCCTCCCGAGTAGCTGGGACTACAGGCGCATGCCACCACACCCTGCTAATTTTTGTATTTTTAGTAGAGACGGGGTTTCACTATGTTGGCCAGGCTGGTCTCGAACTCCTGACCTCATGATCCGCCTGCCCTGACCTCCCAAAGTGCTGGGATTAGAGGCGTGAGACACTGCACCTGGACAACTGCTGTTTTAAAGAGGTGTGTAGACCAATTTCATTGAATGTGATCAGTGATACAATTAAGTTTGAGCCTATCATCTTACTATTTGTTTCCTACTTGTCCTATTTTATTTCCCCTTAACCTGACTTTGTTTGGATTAATATAGCATTTTTTATGATCCAATTTGATCTCCTTTGTTGTCCTATGAGCTATAACTCTTTGCTCTTTAATTTTAGTGGCTGCTGTAGGGTCTATAGTATACATCTTTAACACAGTCTACCTTCCAGTTATATTGTAACATTCATGTATAGTATAAACTCCTTACAATAGTTTATATTTATTTCCCTCCCTCAACCTTTGTGCTACTGTGGCCATGCATTTAACTCTTACATGTTATCTTATAAACCTCACAATATATAATGTTTGTTTATGTTGTCAATTATCATTCATTCTTTCATTCATCTTGCTATGTTGCCCAGGCTGGTCTCAAACATCTGGGCTTGAGCAATCAATCCTTCTGCTTCAACCTGCCAAGTAGCTGGGATTACAGGTACACACCACTGTGCCCAGCTCCAGTCAATTATCTTTTACACAACTGTAAATAGAAAAAAACTTTTATCGATGGATGTTCATTTCTGGTGATCTTAACTCCCTTGTGTAAATACAGATTTAAGGCTGGTACCATTTTCATTCTGCTCAAAAGACTTCCTTTAACATTTTTTAGTGTAAGACAGCTGGTGATGAGATGAATTCTTTCCGGTAGTGTATGGTATGTCAAAAACATCTTTACTTTGCCTTCATTTTTAAAAGATATTTTTGCTGTAGAATCTTACAGTGACAGTTTTTTTCTTCCTGTACTTTAAAGCTACCGTTACATTGACTTTTCACTTGTATTTTCAAATCTGACATCACCCTCATCTTTTCTCCTCTGTACCTAACATGCTTTTTTGCCCCCTCTGGCAGCCTTGGGGATTTTCTTTTACCACTCATTTTGAGCTACTGATTATGTGTCTTGGTGTAGTTTTCTTCATGTTTTTTGTGCTTATAATCTGCAGTTTTGAATCTGCAGATTATAGTTATCAAATTTAGAAAAAACTTGGCCATTATTTCTTCATGTATTATTCTGTCCCTCCCTTTCTTCTCCTCTTTCAGGGACTCCATTACCCATACAGTAGGCCACTGGAGGTTTCTCTCTAATGTTCAATGATAGCTCCATTATGATCTTTTCATGTTTAAAAAAATTATTCTTTTCTGTACTTCATTTTGGATTAATTTCCATTACTGTGCCTTCAAGTTCACTAATCTTTTCTTCTGCAGTTTCTAATTGCTGTTAATCCCATCCAGTGTATTTTTCATCTCAGACATTGTTGTCTTCATTTCTGAAAGTTTGATTTCGTTCTTCTTTATAATCTCCATGTTGGCCAGGCACAGTGGTTCACGACTGTGATCCCAGCACTTTGGGAGGCTAAGGTGGGTGGATCACTTGACGACAGGAGTTTGAAACCAGCCTGGCCAACATGGTGAAACCCCGTCTCTACTGAAAATACAAAAATTAGCCAGGCATGGTGGCACAAAC
This sequence comes from Homo sapiens, assembly GCF_000001405.40. Classification (NCBI taxonomy): domain Eukaryota; kingdom Metazoa; phylum Chordata; class Mammalia; order Primates; family Hominidae; genus Homo; species Homo sapiens. The sequence continues at coordinate 120,796,251 of NC_000012.12, forward strand.
CTATAGTCCCAGCTACTTGGGAGGCTGAGGCAGGAGAATTGCTTGAACCCGGAAGGCAGAGGTTGCAGTGAGCTGAGATCACGCCACTGCACTCCAGCCTGGACGACAGAGCAACTCTGTCTCAAAAATAAAATAAAAATAATCTCCATGTATCTATCTAACTTTTTGTATATATGGAATACAATTATATCTGTTTTGATGTACTTTGCTCATACTAACATCTGTGTCAGTTCTGGGTCAGTTTTGATTGACTGATTATTTTCCTCATCCTGGGTCATGTTTTCCTTTTTTGCCTGTCTGGTCATCTCTGCACGTATGCTAGACATTGTGAATTTTACCTTATCTAAATATTTTTTATTCCTATTAATTTTGAGCTTTGATCAGGGATGCTGTTAGATACCTGGCTTTATTTTTGTTTCCATGATTTATTAGGTGGGTCTGAAGCAGTGCTCAGTCTAGGGTAATTATTCTCTATCATTGAGGCAAGATCTGAGTACTCTATCCAATGCCAAATGAATTGTAAGTTTTTCCAATCAGGCTTTTGGAAGCAGGTACTCTCCCTTCTAATCCTTTCACATTATTCTTTCCTCCACTTTAGATGATTTCCACATATGCATACACTAATTAATACTGTGGTGAGGGTGGGTGCAGTGGTTCACGCCTGTAATCCCAGCACTTTGAGAGGCTGAGGCGGGCGAATCACGAGGTCAGGAGTTCGAGACCAGCCTGGCCAACATGGTGAAACCCTGTCTCTACCAAAAATACAAAAATTAGCCAGGTGTGGTGGTGGGTGCCTGTAATCCGAGCTACCCAGGAGGCTGAGGCAGAATTTCTTGAACCCGGGAGGTGGAGGTGGCAGTGAGCCGAGATTGTGCCACTGCACTCCAGCCTGGATGACAGAGTGAGACTCCAACTCAAAACAAACAAACAAAAAACAACAAACAAAAAAATTGGGATGAATGTTCAAGGATTCTGTGTAGATCTCTGGGTTTTTTCATTTTGCAGCTCTCTTTTCTTTTGTACTCTGTTCTATTAACTCTAGCTGCCTCTAGCCGTCTCTTTGGACTCTCAGTTCCATCTCTTCAACTTCAGAAATCTTTCTCTCTGCACCATGAGTGGAAACTATCTTAAGATAGTTTGACGGGAAAATAAGTATGACGGGAAAACTATTCCTCAACTCTCAGGAATACTGTCCTTTGTTGTCTGATGAAAAATATCTTGAAAACTGCTGTGTTATGAGGGTTTACATGTTTTTTTTATTGTTTTTAAAGTTGTTTCATGTGGGATGGTAATTCAGTCTCTGTTTCTCTATCTTGGCTGGAAGTACAAGTGGCTCTAGGTAGTTCTTTTAAATAGGTCCTGAACTGGACAGATTTTTAAGTGAAGGAAAAGGCCTTTTAAAATTTCTTGTTCATGTCCCTGGGGGTACCAAAACATTGATGAATTGTATCCCTTTCTTTAGGAAAGCAGAGGATCCTATCCTATAATGAAGAGGTAGGTCATAATCCTTCCTGGAAGAAACTTAACCAAATGACTGGGCTCAGGTCACACTGATAATGATCTTAACTTCGTAGTTTCCCACCTCTATGACTCAAAATTTCTTACTGGATTTGAAAGACTTGCCCCTCTACTAACAGCCTGACTCTAGCTGCCACTCTTGTTTCCTGTACTTTCATTCACTAAAACTCCCTTCTCTGTTACTGGTACCAAGGAAGCCTCAATTAGAATGGGGGGTCTGGGGAGGATAATCTATGAAGTAGAGACTGGTTAGTTACATGTCACCCTGTTCTCATATAAATCTGGCCAACGAACTGTTTAGCAAACTGTTCCACTGGAGGGCAGCCCCAGTGGGTGACAGCTCCCCAGCAGGACCAAAACACAGCGACTTTTAGATGTGGTGGACTCCCTGAAACATGGTTAAGACTCCTCTTCTGAAATATGGTCAGGTGTCTGATGTGTTGGCTTTCCTGGGGGTTTTTTTATTTTAAAAAAGCCTTGGATTTTAGAAGATTCATATACAGTATTTGAGACATATTTCTCCAGCCATCAGAGGAAGACACATTAGCAGAGATTAAAACGTACACTTACTGCTCATACCTCAGTCACACTTAGAGGAATAGCTATGGCAACTGGCTCCTGAAAAACTTTTTCCTAATTAGTTCCACAACAAACTAGATGTAGTATTTTGCATATATTTCCCCTGCCAACGCACCTGTGGTAGTTTCTAGTACATGGTTTCACTTCTATGATCTTTTAAGCTTTAATTCATGTTTTCGCACAGCAGAGCTAACAATGTGCAGGACCTAAACTCTAGGGTTGGTGATGCATTTAATGGGAACGTCTCTGGAGTCAATGGAACATGAAGACTGCTCCTTCCCTGTGGGCATGTTTTGGAAACACATATATTAATTTAAATTGAGTTTTTCAAATTCACTTATGAATGGAATAACAATAACTACACTTGTTATATTCTGCTTCTCAGAATCTGGTGACAGCAGGTTAAATGTGCAGGAATTTTTATCTACATCTCTACCCTTGGGGCTACACAGATTGCCAGCTTCTCTTACTTTTTCTGTTGGCATTATATCGCTATTCTGGATTGGAAGGTTGCCAGTCATCTCTTTGGTTTAACCCTAGGCACAGCTGCTACGGAGCCTCTCCCATGAGACTGGGTTAGTGAGAATAGGTGCTGAGAACCCCCCGCGGGACAGGATGAAGGGTTATATAACTCAATTTCAATTTGTTATTAGTTGAGAACTATTTATAACTCCATCCTGGATGTTTTAAGGCAAGATTTTCCCCTTTTTTCAAATACAGCTGCTCCTTGACTTACAATGGAGTTATATCCCAATAAGCCCAGGTAAGTGGAAAAATCTCAAGTTCAAAATGCGTTTAATATTCATACATCTAACCTACTGAACATCATAGTTTAGCCCAGCCTACCTTAAACGTGCTCAGAACACGTACATTAGCCTACAGTTGGGCAAAATCATCTAACACAAAGGCCTGTTTTGTAATAAAGTGCTGAATATTTCAAGTAACTTACTGAATACTGTACTGAGAGTGAAAAACAGAATGGTTGTATGGGTACTTGAAGTATGCTTTCTACTGAAATCATACTGCCTTTGTACCATCATGAAGTGGAAAAATCTTAAGTTGAACCATCATTAAGTCAAACCGTTGGTAAGCTAGGGATCTTCTGTAGCAGAAAGTAGTGGTCAACTTCAAACCAGTTTTAGCTGGTCCATTTTCTTAGCATCTAACTGACAAGAACTGCAGCAGGGACAGGAAAGCCTTAGGCAGGAATGAGGTACTATCAGATGGTGGGGGAGGGTGGAGGACTGGTAAGGAGAGCAAGCATTCTTCTAGTTCTCTGTGTAATTAGAAGACTTTGAACTTCTCACTGCCTCAAACAAGCTTAGCTAAAATCAAGCCTTGTTTGGTTGTTAGAAGCAGACCATGGGTCACCGCTGCACAAAACAGAAATGGGGCACAGTGAGTTAGTAGGGCCTTACCTATTAGCTCAAGCTGGGAAGATTCATATCTTCCAGCTTTATACAACAAGCTTAAAGGGCCTGGGCTTAGCAGATCCCATGCCACTATGACTGGGGTCCGGTAAAGTTACTCACACTGCACAGCTGACAGCAAACTTAAGCTGTTTAAATAAAGCCTTTGCAAAAGACTCTGCCTCCAAAGCTATCCAGGACTATTTTCAATTATAGGCCTTTAACTTAGCTTATTTGGTAATTTATTAAGTGCATAGACATCAGATTGCTAGGTTGGACCTAGAACAGTTCGCTGCATCTTCACAGAAGACTACTCTTCATTCTCTTCCATCTTGACCTGCCTTCACAATCTTGTTATTGCTATACAGTAACATAATATGATGTTAATATAACGTTATAAATATACATTCCATCCAAATTGTATCCTGGCTATTTGCAAGTCTAGGTACTGAAATCAATGTTTAGGTCAGGTGCGGTGGTTCATGCTTGTAATCCTAGCACTTCAGGAGGCTGAGGCTGGTGGATCACCTGAGGTTAGAAGTTCGAGACCAGCCTGGACAACATGGTGAAACCCCGTCTCTACTAAAAATACAAAAGCTAGCTGGGCCTGGTGGCGCACACCTGTAATCCCAGCTACTCAGGGGGCTGAGGTAAGAAAACTGCTTGAACCCGGGAGGTGGAGGTTGCAGTGAACTGAGATCACACCACTTCACTCCACCCTGGGCAAAAGAATGAAACTCAGTCTCAAAACAAAAAAACAAAAAACAAAACAAGAAAAAGAAATCAATGTTTAAATGATCAACAGAAGGACTTGAGCTATGGCTTTTTCATCACAGACAACCATTTACCATCACAGAAAAAAAATCCATCTAAATTATAGCATATTATATGCTATTTTTTTTTGTCTTTTCATCAACTATGACTGAACAGGAAGTAGTTATGGGTCAAGGTGTAGGAGGTCAACAAATGTCCAATTATTGATACTTACATAGAACCTACACTAAGAAAGAAAGACTAAGAACCTGGGCAGGAAGAAACAGTCTCTGACTCAGCAGCTGAGAACATCCAGGGGGTTAAAATGATGATAATAGTTAAGCTTGATTGAGCTCATACTGTCAGGCACTGCTAGGTGCTTTACAGGCAAGGTTTCTTTTGATTCACAGAAAAACTCCATGAGTGGGGTGACCACAAATTCCAGCTTATGCCTGCTGCCTTGGCAAAATTATGAAGGAAACAAAAATATTTCACCCAAAAATATACTTCTCTGACATATTTCAGATGGTTTTCAGAAGGGCTGGAAATACAAGAATAGCTGAGAGAAGCTGTGTGGGGCAGATTTGCATCTGTAGAGAAAATATGCATTGATGAGGTGGAGGCATTTCTCTGAGGCCCTACCTTGTCCAGACACAGGAAAGATTAATTGAGAGTCTGACACCTTAGAAGGTCAGAAAGAAACATATTCCATCTATTCTCTCTCAGGGCTGCGACCTGTGAGGTTTCATCTACATGACAGGACCACCTGTGCTAGCTGGGCCTCCTCTTCTCTCTCTCTCATAATCTGTCTCACCACCATAACCTGATTTACCACCATAACCTGTCTTGCCACACTCCAAGCCCTCATTCTTTCTGTAACCTCAAGGTGGTATAAAAGCATCAGCCATCTGGCCATTTTTTTTTTTTGAGATCTTATATTTTGTAAGACTTTTGTGCACATTAACAAATCTGTATGCCTTTTCTATTAATCTGCTATTTGTCAGTGGATTTTTCAGCGAGGATTCAGGGGGCACAGAGGAAGTTTTCCCTTGGCCCTGTTACACCAAGTAATGGGCTCACTGCTTGACGCGCTACATCTTTCCACATTAGTATATACTGCTTTTTTCTCATAAAAACAAACAAACAAAAAAACCTACAGAGTATTTCTCCCCAAGTAAACTTGATCTGGTATCATTTTTAGATAAGCTGCACATGAGCTGTCTTACTACAGAGAAATATTAAGACCAGCAGGCTTTATAGGTGAATGATATGGTTTAGCCTTGAACTGGGTAAGGTCCAGATGGCCACTGACCCTGTCAGCTAATTAGTGTCAGTTAGAATGACAACTCATCAACATTCTTCAACTTTAAATTGGGTGTAAGTATAAATTCCAGTTTGGTGTTTTGGTCACTTTGATGTACATTTCACATGAAGTTTATTACAGACACTATATCAAGAAGTATATTAATATTCTGTGAGTGCCTTAATAAGATTTTAGTGTGGCTGAGGTAGAGATCTGGTTATATTTGCCCTAAATTTGTTTCAGGCTAGAATTAATTCAGTTGCAAGGAACAGAACTTTAGGAAATCAACTACTCATTTCTTTATGTCCTAGAGTGGATTAAAAAGGATTTTCTGAGGAAGATTCTAGGCCTGCCTTTAGGAACTTCCACTGCCTGCCTCAGGACAAGGGGAAACATGGGCTTATATTTAGGTATTAGGTTCCTTCATTCTGATAAAAATACGAATGCACCATGAGTGCTGTTAAGACAACTAGGTCTGTATTTAGCTGGCAACATAATACATTTTTGGGCTGCTGCTTTTATATATGTATGTATGTATGTATGTGTGTATATATATACATATATATGTATATATATACACATATATGTGTGTGTGTGTGTGTGTATATATATATATATATTTTTTTTTTTTTTCCTTTTTGAGATGGAGTCTCAGTTTGTGGCCCAGGCTGGAGTGCAGTGGCGCAATCTCGGCTCACTGCAACCTCTGCCTCCCAGTTCAAGCGATTCTCCTGCCTCAGCCTCCTGAGTAGCTGGGATTACAGGCATGCATCAACACGCCTGGCTAATTTTTGTATTTTGAGTAGAGATGGAGTTTCACCATGTTGGCCAGGCTGGTCTTGGAACTCCTGACCTCACGTGATCCTCCCACCTTGGCCTCTGAACATGCTGGGATTACAAGCGTGAGCCACCGTGCCTGGTCTGCTACCAATATTTATTAACAGATCAACATTCAAGAATAACCAGTTTAAGAATTAACAGCCCATTCATTCTCCAGATATTCCAAAATATAACCTTAGACCACACTTAGCAGTAAGATGGTTATCTAAACAACAACATCCTGTTGCCCACTGTGCACCTTCAATTTTGGCAAAACTGCTTTTGCTGAAATACATTTTCATGCAATGCCACCAACTTATATTGAAGGTACTACAATTCATTCAACAAACACTTATTTGAATGCCTACTGTGAGATGAATGAACTTAACATTATATCCTCTTTATGAAGGTCGTTAGGATAAAAGTCTGTCTGATCTTAAGGCCAAGAACAGTTGCGATTCACCTGAACAACTGAGTTCTTTTGATGGAAGGAAGCTGAGTTTTACATTCTTTCTTTTTAAATCTGGCTGCTACAAAGCTTATGGTGGTCCTTGTGAAACACTAGTAACAGGAGTGCTGGCATTATGGTATGCATTTTTACATTTCTTTTTTGGCTCTATTTTGTCTCCACTCATACTTTTAGTTTTCTTTGGCCCCATTTTATTTTTCCTTGAAGTAACTTGCAAAAGTTAGTACATGCTCTGAAATCGGGCAGTGAAGAGCACAAATAAACAATTGTAGGAAGCAAAATGGAGGGGAGAGCAGATCAGTTTATTGAAAGTTATACTCGTTCATCCATTTGCATTCTGATACCTGAGGACACTGTGAATTACTGGAGGAGAAAAGCAAATTGGAATTTTTAACCTTAACATTATTTTTTTCTCAGCTCCAGAAAGGAGTGAAAAAATGAAAAAATAATAAAATTTTAATTTATAAAAAATTTTAAAAAGAAAGTTTTTTGATAATTCTACTATTGAAAGTGAGTACAATGAAGCGGGGACTCACTGGTTCAAGGTAAACATTACATGGTTAAAGTTAGGTTAAGTTAAATATGTGTTCCTAGAAAACTTACAGTGGTTTTATAAATTGAACATTTAATAGTGAATTGATGAAATTCTTAAATATATAAAAAAACTTGTCTACACACGCTGCAATGGACAAAATCATTCCCTACGTCATCTAACAAGTTCAGGCTTCTGTGTATGATGTTTTCTTCAAGTAGGACGAGTTATGGAATGACAAAAAGGGTAGCTCAAAAGTTAATCAACATATTACACACAATTAGAACATCATGACAATTGTGAACCATAGTGACACTTGTTCTGGTGAACCATGGTCTAACTACAATTATATGCACTTAGAATGAAGGGCATCACAATCATATCAAGTATAGTTCTTATTAAAGAACTCAGCATCTCTGCAGGCTTACTAACCTGATGTTGTCTTCCTAGAGTAGGTTTGGGTATACGTAAATGAACTGCCCTCATTACCTAAGAAAGCATTGGTAGGTGCTTGCCTTTACAAAAAAGGAACTAGTTACTCTTGAGTTATAATACAAATGACCAAAAACTAACTCAAGAAAATCTAAATAGCCTTTTTTGGACAATGTTAAGACAGAAACTGTTACTAGAGATAAAGAGGAACATTTTATAAAAGTCAAGAAATAGATAACAATTATAAGCATACAGAAAGTGAAAAGACAAACCCAGAGGCACTTATAACAAAAACCCATTTTCACAATAAAGAAAGAACACTCAAAATTCAACAAGAAAAAGAAAACCCAATTTAAAAATGGACAGAAGAGTTGAAAAGACACCAAAGAAGAGACATAGATGGCAAATGGGCACATGAAAAGATGCTCAACATCAGTAGGCATTAAGAAAATGCAAACCAAAATTATAATGAGATACCACTTCATACCCACCAGAACAGTAGAATAGCTATAATCATAAAGATAGATAATAACAAGTGTTGGTGAAGAAGTGGAGAAATTGGAAACCTCATACATTGCTAGTGGGAATGTACAATAGCATAGCTGCCTTGGAAAACAGAAGCATTTCTTAAAATGTTAAGACTAAGAGTTACCATTAGACCCAGCAATTCTGCTACTAGGTATCTGCTTGAGGGCAATAAATATGTTATGTCTGCACAGAAACTTGTACACAAATGTTCACAGTAACATTATTCATAAAAGCCAAAAAAGGGAAACAACCCAAACGTCTATCAGCCAATGAATGGAAAAACAAAAAGTATTATTCAGTAATAAAAAGGAATGAAATACTGATAACATGCTACAACACAGATAAACTTCAAAAACATGCTAAGTGAAAGAAGCCAGTAACAAAAGGTCACATACTGTATGACACCACTTATACGAGAGGTCCAGAATAGGCAAATCTATAGAGATAAAAGGTAGATTCATGGTTGCCTAGGGCTGGCGGGCAGGGAAAGAGGAATGGGAATGACTGCTAACTGGTACAAATTTTCTTTTGGGATGATAATGTGCTAAAATTGGATTACAGTGACGGCTGAACAATTTTGTAAATAAACTAAAACCCACTGAATTGTATACTTTAAGTGACCAAACTTTATGGTATTTATCTCTCAATAAAGCTGTTAAAATATACTATATAAATTAAATGGACAAAAACCACAGGATCAACTCAATAGAAGCATAAGAACACATGATAAAATCCAATACCCATTCATGATAAAACTCTCCACAAACTAGAAATAAGAGAAATTTCTTCAACCTGATAAAGGGCATTTATGAAAAATGTACAACTAACTACATACTTAATGGGAAATGCTTTCCCTGAAGGATTAGGAACAGGGCAAGGATGGATGTGTGCCTTTGGCACTTCTATTCGACACTGTACAATAAGGGAGAAAAAGGGAAAAAGACAAAGTCTTTCAGAATTGAAAGCAGCAGCAAAACTGCCTTTATTTGCAGACCACATCATCCTATGTGCAGAAAATTCTAAGGAATCATAGACAAAAAACTACCAGCACTAATAAATGAGTTCAGCAAAGCTACAGTATTTGAGGTCAATACACAAAAATTAATTGTAGTTCTATATACTTAGCAATGAACAATCCAAAATGAAGAAAAAAATTCATCAAAAATAACATCAAAAAGTAAAAAAATACTTAGGAATAAATTTAACAAAATAGTGCAAGCCTTGCACACTGAAAATTACAAAACACTATTAATAGAAATTAAAGAATATCTAAAACATCTAAATTAAAGAATATCTAAATAAACGGAGACACATTCCACATCCATGGATTGGAAGTGAACATCATTAAGATAGCAATTTTCCTCAAACTGATCTATAGATTCACAATGCCTATCGAAATCCCTGCAGGCTTTTTTTTTTTTTTTTGGTAGAAACTGACCAGCTGAACCTAAAATTTATATGGAAATGCAAAGGATCCAGAGTAGCCAGAAAAATTTGTAAAAGAACAACACTTACTTTAAACGCGACAACAATCAAAACATTGGCACTGGCATAAGAAGAGACATACAGACCAGACCTAATAACTATCTTTACTTTTATGGTCGATTTTTTTTTTTTTTTTAAGAGACAGGGTCTTGCTATGTCACCCTGGCTTGAGTGCAGTGGCGCGATCATAGTTCACCATAACCCCAAACACCTGGGGCTCAGGTGATCCTCCCACCTTAGCTCGCGAGTCGCTGGGATTACAGGTACATGCCACCATGTCAGCAATGCATTTTTGACAACGGTGCCAAGGTAATTCAACTGGTAAGTATAGTCTTTTCATCAAATGGTACTGGGACAAGTGGATAACCACATTTATAAAGATGAAATTAAATTTGTACCTCATGCCATACATAAAAATTAACTCAAAATGAATCATAATTTTAAATGTAAGAAGCAAAACTATAAAACTTCTTAAAGAAAACGTAGGAGAGCCAGGCGCGGTGGCTCACGCCTGTAATCCCAGTATTTTGGGAGGCTGAGGTGGGTGGATCACGAGGTCAGGAGATCGAGACCATCTTGGCAAACACTGTGAAACCACGTCTCTACTAAAAAATACAAAAAATTAGCTGGGCATGGTGACGGGTGCCTAGTTCCAGCTACTCGGGAGGCTGAGGCAGGAGAATGGCGTGAAGCCGGGAGGCAGAGCTTGCAGCGAGCTGAGATCACACCACTGCACTCCAGCCTGGGCGACAGAGCGAGACTCCATTAAAAAAAAAAAAGAAAGAAAGAAAGAAAACATAGGAGAAAATCCTTGTACCCATGTACCAATTTACCAGTTTCACATTTTATGGATCATGCTTTTGGCACATCATCAAAAGCATGATCCATAAAACGTGAAATTGGTAAAGTGGCTTTAACAAAATTAAAATGTTTATATTCCAAGGGACACTATTAAGAAAATGAGAAGGCAAGCCAGAGACTGGGAAAAATTTATAGTTGCAAATCATATGACTGAGAGAGAATTTTTGACTAGACATTTCACCAAAGAAGATAAACGGATGGTTAATAAGCACAGGAAAAGATGCTCATCAACTTTCCAACATCCCAATATCAGGGAAATACAACCCAAACCACTATGAGATACCACTTCACACCTTACTACTAGAATGGCTATAATAAAAAGACAATGCGTTTCAGAAAGCCCTTACCTGTCACCGAAGGGTACACTAAAAAATGGTTTAAATGGTACATTTTATGTTATATATATTTTACCACAATAAAAAAAATAGCCCCTAACAATTACAAAGAAAACGGGAGGCTGGGCTCGGTGGCTCATGCCTGTAATCCCAGCACTTTGGGAGGCCGAGGCGGGCAGATCACGAGGTCAGGAGTTCGAGACCAGCCTGACCAACATGCAGAAACACCATCTCTACTAAAAATACAAAAATCAGCCGGGCATGGTGGCATATGCCTGTAATCCCAACTACTCGGGAGGCTGAGGCAGGAGAATCGCTTGAGCCTGGGAGGCGGAGGTTGTGGTGAGCAGAGATTGCGCCACTGCACTCCAGCCTGGGCAACAAGAGCGAAACTCCGACTCAAAAAAAAAAAAAGAAAAAAAGAGAAAGAAAAAGAACAAGGGAAAGGTGGTAAACTCAGCAGGAAAAAAACAAAAACCAAAAATATCTTCCCACAAAGAGAAGCCCAACTGTAGGTGGCTTCACTGGTGAATCCTATCAAACATTTAAAGACAAAATTACATAAATCTCTTCCATAAAACAGAAGAGGAAAAAACACCAACTTATTCAGTGAGTTCAATTTAAATGTATAATTAAAGGCATCATGATTTACTTTTTGCAGAAATGCCTTATTAAATTATAAAAGATAAAAGGTTCTGAGCTGGAGGTCCTGAAAACTGTTTCAATCCAGACTTTGTTACCAAGTGGTTGCATAATCTTTGTCAAGTTACATCAACATTTTCATTTTGGGCTTCAGTTTCTTAGTTTCTTTTCTTTTTTTTTTTTTTTTGTTTTTTGTTTTCTTGAACCAGGGTCTCACTCTGATACCCAGGCTGGAGTGCAATGGTATGATCACTGCTCACTGCAACCTCCGCCTCCTGGGCTCAAACATTCCTCCCAGCCTCCCAGGTAGCGCCGCCATGCCCAGCTAATTTTTGCATATTTGGTAGATGGGGTTTCACCATGTTGTCCAGCCTGGTCTTGAACTCCTGGGCTCAGGGCATCTGCCTGCTTCAGCCTCCCAAAGTGCTGGGATTACAGGTGAGAGGGACCATGCCTGGCCAGTTTCCTCATTTGTAAACAGGGAGGTTCACCAGAGAAATCCTTTCCATCTATATAATTCTATGATACACTTATTACATAAAATTTGGTTTAAAACTTGCTCAATCCTAAAATGATATAGCCCTTCAGAAAAACAATACAGTAATATGTAGTAAGAGCCATTTCATACTCTCTGTCGAAGTATTTCCACTTCTGGATATTTATCTTGGTGATATAATTCAATAAAAGCAAATACTCCATAAAGCTATCATCACTGTAACAGTCCACTTGTCCAACAAGAGTGGAATAAGATGAGTAACACAACGAAATGTCAAATTACTAAAATGATATGAAGATAATTTGTAGAAAGTATTTGTCTGGTGCAAAGAATCAGAATATAAATGATTTCAACTATGAAAATGTATACAGTATACAAACATATGCCAAATGGAAGGTAGTCTGCACTACTGAAAGTAGTATTAGGGTTGAGTCTAAAGATGGCTTCTTCTGTGTTTAATTGCAAAGTCCTTTGAAATATTAATGCATTATATACTCAAAGGGAAAAAAATAAAATACTTGTCCACAGGGTAGAGATGCAAAATATCAAGATTACACTGATAAGGTTCTAAGTTCCTCTGGTTTGATTAATGCTTCTGAGAGTGGTTATGAATCTGGAGTTCTCAGTAGACATCTCAGTGATTAACACTTTTGGCTGGGCGCAGTGGCTCACGCCTGTAATCCCAGCACTTTGGCAGGCCAAGGCCGGTGGATCACAAGGTCAGGAGATAGAGACCATCCTGGCTAACACGGTGAAACCCCATCTCTACTAAAAATACAAAAAATTAGCCAGGCGTGGTGGCGGGCGCCTGTAGTCCCAGCTATTCAGGAGGCCGAGACAGAAGAATGGCGTGGACCCAGGAGGTGGAGCTTGCAGTGAGCTGACATCATGCTACTGCACTCCAGCCTGGGCAACAGAGTGAGACTCCGTCTCAAAAAAAAAAACACCAAAAAAAACCTTTTATCGGTGTATACTGAAATTACCCGTAATATTTTACTTGTTCTACTCAGTATTGAGGTAAAGACTGCAAGTCTGTGATTTTACAAAGTAGCCATTAAAATTCAGATATAACACTGCATAGTTAAAAATCTTTACGCCTGGGTATTTCACTTATCCCTATTACTTCCTTTCAAGTTCTCAACTTATAATTCCTTGAGCAGCATTTTCTGGTAGGTTCATCAGCCACTAAACTATTTGAGTTATACAACCATTAAAGTTCCTCTCGACTGAGGATAGTGGAAAAAGGGAGTGTGTCTCTAGTGTCTATATTTTCCCTCCTATTCCTATGGCTGCCTGCTGAGATGAGAACCTCAGCAGGATCTAGTCTCAGCATCTCCAAGGTTATCAGAGAGAATACCTGGTAATGCTACAAGGCACAACCCTATTAATAGTAAGATGAACCATATGAAATTGTTTCTGTGGGCCAAAATATTAATAGTCAACCATCAGCAATTTTGTATGGCTCAACCTTGGATGTCAAGCCTTTGGATTAAGAAAAATATGATGTAAATTTCCATAAGGACATAATCTACTTACTTACAAGCATTTTAGGACAACATAAAAAAATTTTTTTTTTTTTGAGACATAGTCTGGCTCTGTTGCCCAAGCTGGAGTGCAGCAGTGTGATCATAGCTTATTGTATCCTCAATCTCCTGGGCTTAAGTGATCCTTCTTCTGCCTCAGTCTCCTGAGTAGCTGGGACCATAGGCACTACCACCATGCCTGGCTAACTTCTTTAAAAAATATTTTTTGTAGAGACGGGGTCTTGCTATGTTGCCCAGGCTAGTCTTGAACTCCTGGGCTCAAGCAATCCTCCTGTCTCAGCCTCCCAAAGTGCTGGGATTATAGGCATATGGCACTGTGCCCGGCCAAAGATTAAGAACTTTATTAGCATCCTGGGTACAGTTTTACTTTGGTTTCCCTGGTCTTCGTAAGCCTACTAAAGTTTTGTGACTACACTTTCATTTTTGGTTAGAAAAAAAAAATGAAATGTTCTCTTTGTCATTTTATTACATGGATATTTAGTAGTTTTTTTTTCATATTTCAAATTGTCCTTCCATTTAAACTCTTTGTTCCCTTTGAGACTCTAGAATCATTGTCAAAGACTCTCTCCTTAACCTTCTTAATAAAGAGTGCATTAGGTGATTAATTTCAGAACCAGCATTTTAAGCAATTAGTTTTTACATGTAAGCATTAACATGCTAAACTCATAAGCACAATGAAGAAGTGTTTAACAGCAGCCAATTAAAGAACAAATAGCAGAACTCTCTATTCTGAGTCAAATCCTGCCGAAGTCCTGTTTTTCTTCACAGAGTAAGTTTTGGTACCAGCACTTTCAGAGCAATGCTTCCTTCTTCCACCTCCAACTTGTATCAACCCCATTTGAGAATATCTTACCTGAAACTACCATAGACTATAAGAAGAATGGAAATCAGAAATGTAGACACTTGACTGGAATCCACCAGGGAATAGGCCCTAGAGAAATAAGAGGAAAAAAATTTAAATCACATGCAGTGAGTCCTAATGGAGCTTACAGTCTAATGGAGTTCTATAAACCCCACTGAGCTTTGTTTTTATCTTTAAGAAGGAAAAAAGGTATAAATTAGCATTAACAAAATAACACAATTAAAATGAGATTTGCTAGTTTAACATGAAGAATAAATTGGTAGGTTTACAGCTATTATTAGTAAATATTTACGGCATGTAAAATGACATCAATGTAAAAATCCCATCTCTGTATATGTTTACAACATCCACCCCCAATTTAAAAAGTATCAAAATATCTACCAGATCTGTGCCAATGGCAAAAGTCTCAATAATCAGACTTTTATCCAGTTACATTTCAATCTCTAATAGTATTTTACTGGTTTTGCTCGGTGATGAGGTAAAGCCTGCATCTCCTGAATTCCCCGTTTCCATTTTTCTAACTGCCTATTGATTTTCTCCATCTAGATGGCCTACAGGAGGTTCTTCAAAGTCAACAAGTCCACCACAAATACTCTCTCCATCTTAGCTGATCCTCTCAAGGAATGGTGTCACCATCCCCTCAGCTGCCAAAGCTAAAAATCTGCTGCATTCTTGACAGCCCTTTCTTTCTCTTACTTCCACATCCCGAACTACCCTATTTCTCCTAATCCCACTGCCAATTTGTTAGCTCCCTTCTATGGCTCGGCTATTGGAAATATTGTTTTAAAGGCTGTCTCCATGAGTTCACCCTCCACATTGCCCATTCTTATTTGTCAGGGATTTTCCTAAAACAAATCTTAGCAGGCTTTTTGTTGTTGTTGTTGTTTAATTTCCATTCAGCAAAGTATTTAATACTGCTTACATGCCAGGCACTCTGCTAGCCACTGGGATATACAGTAATAAATAAGAGTGCCTTGGTCTCTGCCTAAATGTCTTTTCTAAAGAAATGAACAATTTCACCCTAAAGAAATAAAAAAATGAACATAACTGAATGAATATAATCATGAAGAATGTTACAAAAGAGAGAAAGAGAAGTATAGGGTACTATGATAATGTATATTAGGTAGATGCAGTCTAAGAACAGGGGAGCTTTCCTTAGGGAGGAAGATGATTTAGAGAGACACAGGACACAATAAACAGGACCTGGTGATTGTTTATGGGAACCAGCAGAGGGAAGAATTGCAGTGATCCCTAGGTTTCTGCTTAGCTGGCTTTGTACCATTTAGTGGAAAAAAAAAAAAAAGTAACATAGGAGGAACAGATTTTTTTTTTTTTGAGACAGAGTCTTGCTCTGTTACCCAGTCTGGAGTGCAGTGGCATGATCTTGTTTCACTGCAACCTCCGCCTCCTGGGTTCAAGCGATTCTCTTGCCTCAGTCTCTCGAGTAGCTGGGATTACAGGCATGCACCACACCTGGCTAATTTTTGTATTTTTAGTAGAGATGGGGTTTTACCATGTTGGTCAGGCTGGTCTCCAACTCCTGACCTCAAGCAATCCACCCACCTTGGCCTCCCAAAGTGTTGGGATTACAGGCGTGAGCCACTGCGCCTGGCCAGAGGAACAGATTTTAAGCTAAGGTTTGAATGTACTGAGGAGACAAGTGGATATTGAAACCGTTCTGAGCTGAAGATGTATATATACTGAGAGCTCATCACCTTCCACATGGTAACTGAAGTCATAGGTGTGTGTGAATGCCTCACAGCAGTGAAAAGAGGACCTAGGATCAAGGCCTGGGAAATCTCCAAATTGAAAGATCAGGTAGAAGAAGGAACTGCAAAGAAAACCAAGATGAAAGAGAGACAGAGAAGGAAAACCCAGAATAGTAGGTTATTTCAGAAAGGCAGCAGAATTAAATGTGGCCTGAATTTAATCCCTTGCTCTACCACTTACTAGTAGCTAAGCCAGTTACTTAGCCTCTCTAAGCTTCAGCTTTTCATCTGTAAAATGGGGAATGACAACCTCAAACAGTTGTTAAAGGATTAAATGAGGAATTCATATAAAGAACATAACACATTAAATACTCAATTCACACTCACTGCATTAGGAGGGAGACGTTGCCAACCATGAATGCTGCTGAGAGGTCAAGAAAGACAACTGGAGTGACCACTGGGTAAAGTGGTGAGGATGGAGTCAGATTGAAATTGGGTGAGAAGTTAAAGCTAAGGAAATGAAGACAGTATTTTGAAAAGTGCAGGGAAAAGAACGGCAGCTGGAGGGTAAATATAAGGATAAGGGAGGTCTTAAAAGATTATCTTTTTTTTTTAAGGTGAGAGATGCTCAACCTTTTCTGATGCTGACTGGAAATTAACCTCGTGAGGAAAGACTGATGCATACAGAGGAGGACATTACATTTCCTTTAATCGTTGTAAAAAATAAGACATATAATAAACTTTCATGAGACACTGCTGTGGTCTATAATGGCAGGCTTTTGGATCCTCAGCTTTTTTTTTTTTTTTTGAGACGGAGTTTCACTCTTGTTGCCCAGGCTGGAGTGCAATGGCACGATCTCGGCTCACTGCAACCTCCACCTCCTAGGTTCAAGCAATTTTCCTGCTTCAGCCTCCTGAGAAGCTGGGGTTACAGGCGCCCCCCCACCACGCCCAGCTAATTTTTTGTATTTTTAGTAAGAGACGGGGTTTCATCATGTTGGCCAGGCTGGTCTCAAACTCGTGACCTCAAGTGATCCACCCGCCTCGGCCTCTCAAAGTGCTGGGATTACAGGCTAAGGATCCACTGCACCCGGCGTGATCCTTAATTATTACAGATACAACCTGAAGTATTTATGGGTATGTTAAAAAAAAAATGAACTGGGGAGTCCATTAGGCTGAGATGGTTCCAGTGTCTTGGGTTCCTAAGGAAGCCAACTGAAATCCAACTCAGAGTAACTCAACCCATCAGAAACTGCCAATCAAACCTAACCAGGGGCTTTACCAATCAGAAACTGCCAACTAATCTCTACTAGAGACTTTCTACTTTAACCAATCAAGTATTTTCTTTCTTTTGCTTCTGCAAAAGCTTTATAAAAGTTTTGCCCTCAGGCCCCCTCCAAGGAGCTGTGATCCACTTGTGATCTGGTGCTGCCTGATTCATGAGACACTGCTCAAAAAAACTCTCCAAAAGTTAAACATAAGTTTATCTTTTAACAGGTGAAATAATATGATTTAAGATTTACTTTAAAATACTCTAAGAAAATAAAACATGGGAGGGATACACCAAAAAAAAGGTAGACTTTTTAAAATTATGAAGCTGGAATGATAGGTATATTGTATCCTTCTCTCTTCCCCCCACACCAGGCTTTGAGATGGTAAGACAATTTGAATACAATTAAAACTACTAGAGGCAGATGAATACAAGAATATATGTTTTGGATCATGAATTCTGTTTCACAGCACCTCACAGGGGTGCTACCTTTTCCTAAATTTCAGTCAGCCGGGGAGTGGAGAAAGGGAAGGTAGGAGACATGAAGGCCACTCGAGCCTCTCTCTTGGGTCCCATCCAGCAATGATGCAGCTGTGGCTGTCCAGGGTCCTCTTTTGAACAACCAGATTATGTAGACAAGGCTCACATACCAAGAGATATCTGAGCTATCATGTATCATGTATTAGGAAAATGAACTTCATCAGTTTCTCTTTATTCTAAAATTATGTTTCTTGCTGTGTGACATAATCTTTGCACACATCTTCCAAAATTCTGAAAACAAGAAGGAACATTTTCTTAAAATTAAAAAAAATTATGACTAGGTTATATATTCATACAAAAATCAAAAGTATATTAAAAAGTACATACACAGAGGTCTTACTCCCATCTAGTCATCACCCAACCCCCACCCTCTCAGTCATTTTTAGATAACAACTTTTAAATAACCACATTTTTTAGTTTCTTATCTAGCCTTTTGGAGTAAACATACAATATAAGAACATTATTTCTCACCACTTCTTATGAAATAGGTAGAATATTAAATATACTGCTCAGTATCTCCCTCTACCCCCCTTTTACAATATAGCCTAGAAATCTTTCTGTATCAGGATGTGGAGAACTTCCTTTTTAAAATTTTCTTTTAAACATCAGCATGATAGTCCATTGTGTAGATGCCCCACAGTTTTTGTTTTGTTTTGTTTTGTTTTTTAAGAACAAGTTCCTTACAGGTGGACACTGGGGTTGTTTCCAAAAACTCTGCTGTTAACAAGTAATTCTGTAATAATGGGCCTTGTAAATTATACCTGCATTGCACACACATGAAATGACCTGTTTGTATAACATTCCTCAAAGTCAGATTGCTGGCTCAAAGGGGAAATGCACTTGCAATTTGATAGATGTTGCCAAAGTGCCCTACAGAGAGGTTATACCATTTCACACTCTCATCCGTAATGAACTCAATGCTCCTACTTTCCAAAGTGAGTATTGTCTAACTTTTGAATTTTTACCCATCTGAGAGATGAAAACTGGTATCTCAGTATGGTTTTTATTTGCATTAAAATTGTAATTAAAATTTAAAAATTAAAGTGAGATTGAGCAGCTTTTCTTTTTTATGATTAAAGGTCAGCAGGTATTTTTAAAAGGCAATTTAAAGTTTTCTCCAGACTCCAGAGCTATAAAAAAACAAGAGCGGCTTTCTTCTGAGGAACTTTTCTTCTGATGGTGTCTTACTTGGATGACTTTGTTTTTGTATCCTTTGTATTTTGAAGCATATTGTCACTACCCTCAAGGCAGATTAAATATCTACACTTCCCAAATTCACTGCCTTAAAGTCTGATACTATTGTTTAATTATTTTGCTACATCTCTCAAATCAATGGAGACTCTCTAGAAACTCTTAACCTCAGACTTCTGGAAGTCTGGAATTTTTATTTTATTTTATTTTATTTTTTGAGACAGAGTCTCGCTCTGTCGCCCAGTCTGGAGTGCAACGGTGCGATCTCGGCTCACTGCAACCTCCGCCTCCTGGGTTCAAGCAAAATTCTCCTGCCTCAGCCTCCCAAGTAGCTGGAATCACAGGAGTCCGCCACCATGCCCAGCTAATTTTTGGTATTTTTATTAGAGACAGGGTTTTGTCACGTTGCCCAGGCTGGTCTCAAACTCCTGACCTCAGGTGATCCACCCACCTCA
Organism: Homo sapiens; assembly: GCF_000001405.40. Classification (NCBI taxonomy): domain Eukaryota; kingdom Metazoa; phylum Chordata; class Mammalia; order Primates; family Hominidae; genus Homo; species Homo sapiens. The sequence goes on from NC_000012.12 coordinate 120,815,983, forward strand.
GCCTCCCAAAATGCCAGGATTACATGCGTAAGCCACCACACCTGGCCTGGATTAAATTTTCAAAAACCAGCTCCTCCCTGACAGATCTTCTGTGCTGTGCTCCAGCCTCTGAGGAGCTGTAGCTACTGACTTTCTTCATAGTCTGTTTTTCTAGATGAAGGTTTGACCATGTGCAAAATATAAGAGTGTGACTAAGGTTGCCAGATCTCACCTCCATATCCTGGCAGTGAGCATGTCCCCCACTGCAGAACTAAATGCCTGATTTCAAAAAAACTGTTCAGATGTTTAATGGTTTCTTCTAACTTAAGTTTTGTTTTAGCTTTCAAATAAACCTATACAAGAAAATCTGATTAAAGTTCACCCCTAATATTGTACATGGTATTTTATAATTTATACTAAGATCTTAAAAAGTTCTAACAATTTGGCAAACTTTACCAAATATCACATAACTAGAAGTTATAGATTATTTTACGATGTTATTTGAAATTTCATATACTATTTTCAATTCAAACTATCATTATAAAAGTTTTTGTTGTTGTTTCTTTTTGGAGACAGGGTTTCACCTGTTGCTTAAGCTGGAGTGCAGTGGCACGGTCTTGGCTCAGTGAAACCTCCAACTCCTGGACTCAAGCAATCCTCCCACCTCAGCCTCCCAAGCAGCCAGGACTGCAGGTGTGAGCCACCACAGCCTGCTAATTTTTGTATTTTTTGTAGAGACAGGGTTTCACAATGTTGCCCAGGGCTGGAGAACTGTGAATCTCTGTGATTATTAGTGTTTTTTAAGATCAAGAGCCAGATGCACTTCTGATCTTAGGAGGCCTAATTCCAGAGTCTCTCAAATTGACTTCAATATCTGCCCAAAACTGGATGACAAACTGAAGTTTCTATCTGTAATTATACAGTAATTAGCTATGTAATCCTCCCTGGGCAATCCTTTATATCTTTCTATTACCTATAAAATCCTCTTTGGGCCCAGATAAACTTGAAGGCCAAATTAATTTTTATTTTTCAAGGGTCTAGGTTTTGGCTGGGTGTGGTGGCTCATGCCTGTAATTTTGACACTCTAGGAGTCCGAGGTGGGAGGATTACTTGAGCCCAGGAGTTCAAGACCAGCCTGGGCAACAAATGAGATGTGACTCTATGAAAAATTAAAAAAAAAAAAATCAGCCAGGCACGGTGGGGCGCGCCTGTAGTTCCAGCTACTTGGGAGGCTGAGGTAGGAGGATCCTTTGAGCCCACAAGTTTCAGGTTGCAATGAGCCATGATCGTGCCACTGCACTTCAGCCTGGGTGACAGAGCGAGACCCTGTCTCAAAAAAGTTTAAAAAGTCTGTATTTTTATATTGTTTTGCTTTCAAAAACAGAAATATTACCAGAAATACTCTTTCCATCTTTCATGTTGCCCATCATTGACATAGCCAAAGAGGCACTGCCACAGATGACCCTGTTTCCAGGTGACTAAAATTGGTATTTTCCTCTTTTAATCACCCAATATTTACAGATTTAAAAATGGCTTAATATAAAATCTTACATTATACCAGTAGACATATATGAAGGTAAGCCATCATCTTACCCTGGGTAGCAACTCTGGTTCGTTTATTCAACCCATGGGAAATTCTTCCCTAGGGTCTTTTTAAAAAATGTGGCCAGCCTTAAGGCTAATTTACAAACTCTTCATTTTCCCTCTGCTAGACTGCTTTATCCCATATTTGTTTATGCCCTTGGTCTCCTGAAGTAGGCTCACTTTTCACCTACTCTACAAGCTCATAAAAATGAGCACAGAGCGGTTTCAAAAATGTCTAAAGGTTTTCACTGCTGGTAACGACAGGGAGGAAAAGGGCCCCTCCTGTATCATCCTCTATTCTGTTCTTTGCCCACACAAAGAAAGCAAGCGTTCATCAGCATTTCAGAAATAGACACAGATTTTACTACAGGAGCTGGGGTTTGGGGATCTGGGGTAAGACTACGATCAATGGAGCAGACAGGGAAGAAAAGGTATTCCAAGGAAAAAGGGTGGGTAAGTCTGGCCAATAATAGGAAATCAAAGCCCAGCAATCTTATTTCACAGTCTCTCCCTATCCTACATTTCAGACTCTACCAAAGCATCAACAGAAATGTGTCATTCTTCAGGCCCTCCTACTGAGGTGTCTGTTCCCAGAGGCTCTGGGCGGACATGAAAGACAGGAACTACTCTATTCTGAGATAAAGGAATTCTTACTGAAACACAGAAAGAAACTAAATACATGCATTTGAGACACACCAAAATCAGGTTAGCCAAATGTATTGAAAACAGTCTTGAAGACTTTGTCAACTGATGTATCAGTATAGGCCAGCTGTTGAGTTGAAATATTTTATATATTCATTATGAAGACCACTAATTCTTTAACTACATTCCTGCAAGCCTTTACCTTAATAGACAAAGAGTTACCAGAAATGTCTCTCATATACAAGACTAAACTCTAAACCCTAAGATTTTTAGAACCATGCTGGATTTTAGTAACTGCTCTACAGTCAAACATCTATTTCTAGCTACTTTACCAGCAAGTGCTTATAACACATATCCTGCTAAAAATCATGCCAAACTGAGACACAGAGAGTACTGTTCTATAACGTGTTCTATGTGTCAGCCTTCCAGCTATACAATGAAAGCATTCTTGTCCACCCCAAAACCAAGCAACTACTATTCTAACACTGCACAGACATTGCCTTAGACCAGCACTTCTCTAACTTTGTGGTTGCAGAACAATTTACACTCTTAAAATTGAGGACTCCCAAAGAGCTTTAGCACATGTGGGTTAGTGATATTTACCGTATTAAATTAAAACTGAGAAAAAGTTAAAATATTATTTATACACAATAAAACCATTACATGTTAACATAAATAACATTTTTTAAAGGGCAAATATCTATTTTCCAAAACAAAACAGAACAAAAAAATTAAGCGAGACAAGGAACATTCTTCACATGTTTGCAAACCTCTTTAATGTCTAGCTTAAATGGAAGATAGCTGGATTCTCATATCGGCTTCTGCATTCCATCTACTGTCATATGTTGTTTGAACTGAACTCCATGGGGAAAAAAATCCAGCTTTACACAGATGGATAGTTGGAAAAGAAGGAGTACTTCATAGCCTTTTCAGATAACTATCAATATTCTTCTTTGATACTACACTAAAATTCAACAAGTGGTAATTTCTTAAAGGTTTACTGCAATGTGGAATTTGAAACTATCTCAATGGATTTTTTTGAATTTTACTATATTACATTAAAATCCACTGGACTATCCTGAACTTTGTGTGAATCTTTTACCCATGGATGATTTTGTAACATCATGCATTGGTAATTTGGAAGATACTGATTTGCTGAGTTATGCCGCTCTTCCAGATGTTGTCTCTTTTCATTATACAATATCTGAAAAATCATATTGTTAGTACCATTCTTGGGGCTTATGGTAGCAAATACAAATTTTCAAAAATTCTATTTTCACTTGAAAGCTCAAATTTTATCATTGATAAAAACACTTTTTTTCCCTTTAAGTGACAGGCTCACTTGATTCGTTTTTGAGAAACTATCTGCCAAATATGCCCAAAAGTCATTCTTTCAAGTAAAAATGGTATTCCAATTTTAAACAAATCTAGTTCAGTTAGCATCTCAAATGACTGCACAAGTGGTTTCCTCAAGATAACCAATGGTACTTTGGAATACAGCAGAAGTGCTTTGTGGAAATTTTCCATTTTATCATTAAAAATTTCCATTTTATCACTTAGTGTACTCAAGGGTTAAAACTTAACAAAAGAAACTTTTACTGCTTCGTCAAGAACATTCTAAGTGTAAATGGCATTTCAGAAGATAAGCTGGGTGCCTGGTGATGGAGAACACCATGATTACCAGGACCGCCTGGTGCCACTGCCTTGATTCAGGTGAGGGCGCACCAGAGGTTTTACCCACCATTGCTTTGCCACCATGAGAAAAAAGGTGCGAAAATGAAAAAGACAAGTAATGTTAGTAGTACTATGAAAACCGTATGACCCTATGGACCCCATGACAGGGTCTCAGGAATCTCCCATGGTCCATGAGCCACATTTCGGGAATTGCTGCCTTCTACCTTTACCCATAAGCTCTGGCTATGCAAACTGCTAACACCTTCTCACATGCAATTCTTACAGATCACAAAACACCAAAGGTTGTTAGAATTTTTTTGCTATCCAAAATTTCAAATTTAAAAATTATATGCAAAAAAACTTGTATTCCATGCTTACAGAAATGTTCATTTTTCCCTTTATGGAAATATGTTGAAATAGGACTTAATTTGTATCTTTCTCTAAATTTTTTTTTTTTTTTTTTTTTTTTGTGAGACAAGAGTCTCGCTCTGTCGCCCAGGCTGGAGTGCAATGGCACAACCTTGGCTCACTGCAAGCTCCGCCTCCCAGGTTCACGCCATTCTCCTGCCTCAGCCTCCTGAGTAGCTGGGACTACAGGCGCCTGCCACCACATCCGGCTAATTTTTTCTATTTTTTAGTAGAGACGGGGTTTCACCGTGTTAGCCAGGATGGTCTCGATCTCCTGACCTTGTGATCTGCCCGCCTCGGCCTCCCAAAGTGCTGGGATTACAGGCGTGAGCCACTGTGTCCGGCCTATCTAAAAATATTAGTCTAACATTATAATGTTGGAGATCATTGTTTTCCACATTTCCCCATATTTTAAAGGAAAAAACCAAATATGTATTGCAAGCTTAATAACAGAATAGGTATGTTATGAAATAAAAATTTAATACATTAAATTTAACCATTTACGTGCAAGGTACAAGTAGTAAATAAAATAGTTACTTAAGGCTGGGCGCAGTGGCTCACGCCTGTAATCCCAACACTCTGGGAGGCTGAGGCAGGAGGATTGCTTGAGCCTAGTAGTTCAAGACCAACCTGAAAAACATATGGAGATCCCACCTCCACAAAAATATCAAAATATTATCCCTGCATTATCACAAAATATTTCATGGAAAGACATATATGAAATATACTATATGTTAATATTTTATATTTTACCAAGACTAATACAATGAAAAAATGATTACTTCCATCAGAGATACAAAATCTGCTGACTGAGCAAATTCATATGAAAGAAAGGTATTAGTCTTCAAGGCAGTAAAGATGATCTGGAGTAATTTTGTTTTCAAATACATCTTATTGCCTAGGATAGATAAGAAAGGATTTATTGCCGGGGGCGGGGAGAGGGATTGAAACAGAAAGAAGACCCCACATTAAAGGCTTCGATGGCAATATGCTTCAACTTTTTCCTATGAATTATCCTCTAAGACAGGTCCTCACATCATAGTTTCCAAAGCATGCGCTTTTGATTGTGACTTGCGCACACAACCAGCAACACACTGTGGTTCCTGTGTTCAACACTGCAGCCGGAAACAGCCCTGGGCTGGCTGCAGCAAACATAAGGCAAGGGAAAGAAATTAGGCAACTGGTTTCCTCGGACAAAGCCAATAGGTACAAGCTGGATAAAGCAGTTTTGCATTTTTATTTGGCCAAGGGACTTATTTACAGAAAAAAAAAATTATAATACAGCTTTTGAAGGTATCTTTGTATCATGATCCAAGACTGCTTTAGAACTTGTACAAAATAAATCTCCTTAAAAACTTGCAAAAATCTATGTTAACATGCTGGTTGAAATTACTATTTCATAAGAAAAATGCTACTGGATATCTAAATACCCTCTCAGGATATGTGCTCATAAAACTTACTAAAGCCTAGGTATTTGCCCCAAATAACTGAAAGCAGGGACTCAAACATACTTGTACACCAATTTTCACAATGGCTGGGCCGTGAATAATGGGTTGGGTTGGGTGGAAGTAACCCAAGTGTCTATCGGTGAATGAATGGATAAATAAATTGTGGTACAGCCATCCAATCAAATATTATTCATCCTTAAAAAAGAAGAAAATTCTGATACATGCTACAACATAAATCAACTTCAAAAACATGATGCTATGTGAAATAAACCAGAAAAAAGAGACAAATATTGTTATGACTCAACTTATATGACAGACCTAGATTAGGCAAATTCATAGAAAAAGAAAGCAGAATAGCGGATACCAGGACTGGAGAGAAAGGGAATGGGGAGTTTTTGTTTGATGCATACAGAGTTTCTGTTTGGGATGATGAAAAAGGTCTGGAAATGAATAGTGGTGACTGTTGCACAAAACATAAGTGAACGTACTTAATGTTACTGAACTGTACACTTAGAAAAAGTTCAATGGTAAATTTCAAATTGTATGTTATGTATATTTTACAATAACAACTTTTATAAAACTTAAGGAAAATTTTAAAAACTGCTCTTAACCTCTAAAAGAACTGGTTTTTACTGTATCTGTTTCATTAAAAGATTATTCCCTGCCATTTAATGCTGATAATAGTTTTAGAAATGATTCTAGAAACGAAGTCTTAAAAGCATCCCTACAATTCCAAAATCTAACTTCAAGAAGAAAATTTCCAGTGACTTTTAAAAATGAATGCTACAGATTGACATTTAGTTATTTCCTGGGGGCTAACCTCTCCTAGTGACAAATTCTGTGGACAAGCAAACAGGAGCCTAAGAGTTTAAATCACAGTTCATCCCTTACTTCTATCAGGACAAACTAGGGTTTCTGTCTGGGATGATGAAAAAATTGAAGAAGGAAAGTCTCTTGAGCCCCAGAGCAAGGAGGGATTAGACAGACTGAATTTCAGTAGCAAATCTCCAATGACCCTGGGGGCACACTTCTACCTGCATATACCACGGTCACCTCAAATTCAACACATCTAAAAATCAAACCAAATCTCTCCATCATCTTGCAGTATCTAATGTCTGTTACAAGCTCCAACTAGAATAAATACCTCTGGTCACTGTTCTGTCCTATCTTATGTATCACCACATGCATGAGGACTCTGCTAGGTACTAGCACTCCATGATAAAGACTCAGCCCCTACCACCCACCAAGAATTGCCTAACAGGGAGACAAAAAGAAGTAAACAGGTTGCCAAATTAAACAGACAGGTGTAGGAACTCAGCATGGAGGCCTATGTGACAGTGCGACCTGCTGGGAGTTCACAAAGTAGTCAAGCAGTTCAGTTGGGCTAGAGAGGAGAGAGCAAGAGTGAGTGATCATGCGTGCAAGAGACAAAAAGCAAGAGCTAGAGCATATTCCCACAAAGGTGTCTGTGAGAGACGGAGAGTGTGTGTGTGGGGGTGGGGGGTGGGGGGGCGGCGGCGGTGGCGGGGAGGACAGAGAACAAAAGGAAGAAAGGCCAGTTCACATAGGGCTACCAAAGCTAGGGATCTGGCTGTATTTGCCGTCTTCACTGGTATCTCCTTGTCACACTGTGCCTTCTATCCCCAGCACTCCATGGAATTTGCTCTCCCCAAGATCATCAACAATCTTGTTGTTACTTAATCTAGTAACACTTCAGTCAATATCTTACTTGATATCCCCGCTCCCCTTGCAGGATCTGACAACAGTAGCCACTTCCTTTTCTTGAAACAATTTTATCCCAGCTCCCACGACATCCTACTGGATTTCTTCCCTGCTCTCTGGCTCCGTATTTTCTCCTTCTCCTCTGCCCATCAGGGCTCTGTCATCAGTTCTCTTTACTTCTTACTCCACATCTCATCTCTGGGTGATACTGTCTACTCTCATGCCTTTGGTTATCATCTATATAGGCTGATGATTCCCTTTTCCAAGTTGTAACAGCAATCTTTTACTGAGTCATGTGCCCAGCACTGTCCTAAGAGCTTCCCATTATGATCCCCATTTTGTACAGATGAAAAAACAGAAACATAGTGGGGTGAATTAACCTATTTGTTTTACTATAGTCATTGTGTTTTATATAATTCACTCTATCACAAAGACATTTTTTTTTTTTTGAGACGGAGTCTCACTCTGTCGCCCAGGCTGGAGTGCAGTGGCGCAATCTCAGCTCACTGCAAGCTCCGCCTCCCGGGTTCACACCATTCTCCTGCCTCAGCCTCCCAAGTAGCTGGGACTACAGGCGCCCGCCACCAAGCCCAGCTAATTTTTTCTATTTTTAGTAGAGATGGGGTTTCACGGTGTTAGCCAGGATGGTCTCGATCTCCTGACCTTGTGATTTGCCCGCCTCAGCCTCCCAAAGTGCTAGGATTATAGGCGTGAGCCACTGCACCCAGCCCACAAAGAAATTTAAAAGAATGGCACGAAGAATTGTTAGGAAGAAGCAAGCTGAAGACCTACGTATCACATAAAACCACTTTTATTAAAAATGGGACTATTTCACATTTCTGTATTATTTGAGTTTTTAAAATAACACTAAAATTTTTTTTTAATGGAACACAGGATTCTGGTGGAAACGTTAGCAAAAAAGACAAAAAAGTGTTAGTGATGTCTGATTTGGCTATATTTTTCACTTATACTAAATACTAAAAGCTTGTGTTCTTCAGTCGGATATAGAATTTAACAAGTAATACTACAGAGTAAGTTCTATAGCAGAATTTAATTTTCAAAGAGCCCAATTTAAATACAATGGTTTTCTTAAACTTTTATTTTTTCTGAGACAAGGTCTCACTCTGTCACCCAGGCCGGAGTGTAGTGGCATGATCACGGCTCACTGCAGCCTTGACCTCCTTGGGCTCAGGTGATCCTCTCATGTCAGCCTCCTAAGTAGCTGGGGAGACAGGCGCATGCCACCACATCAGGCTAATTTTTTTTGTTTGCAATTTTTGTAGAGATGGGGTTTTGCCATATTACCCAAGCTGGTCTTGAACTCCTAGACTCAAGTGATCCTTCAGCATTGGCCTCCCAACTTGCTGGGATTACAAGCGTGAAGCTGCCTGGCCTTCTTAAACTTTTGACACTGTTTTTCACACAGAAAAGAGTAACAAACTTCCATGCCCTATTCATTTGAAAAGACAATTTAAAAACACTTAAGTAGCTACTGTAACAACATATTTCTAGAAAGCTTAACTGCAGATGGAATGGAACAAATGTTAAAGGGTAAACATGCCCCCCACCCCCAGTCCCTTTCTCATAGTGTGCCCTTCCTTATATGACACTACCTTAAGTCTACTGGATAGTCATTATATTTATAACACAAATGGAATCTTAATTACTAACACCTTAAACTCATTTAAAAAAAAAGGACAGATCCAAACTTACATAATGTCAGTTTGATCCAGAACAATGTTCACAAATTTTAATTCATTAAATCCAAAATAATAAAGTTTTACTAAATTAATAATTGAAAAACTATATAATCCAGCCAATTATTTAGTTTGAAAAAACAAGCCTGACACACTAAAAAGGAAATTATGGCAAAAGCAGCCCCAATTCAGTTAACTGAATTTGTTATCAAACAGACCTGATGTATTCAGAGAAAAATTTTTCTGTGAGTTAGGAAACACTAAAGAGCATCTGTTTATTGAGCACCTGAAAGGAGTTTGGCTTGGTAGAGAGAAAAGAGAGTGGAGGTGAGAAAACAAATCCCAAAAGAATAAAGGTCATGATCTTAACTCTCTAGTAACAGGGCACATGTACACAGGAATATCAACAGGAGCAAATATCGCTTGTCTTACGGAAGAATGGAATTCCAGAGAGACTCACTGCAAGATCAGCTTCTGTTTACAGAGGGGTTAAATTATGGTGTACTTGAAGTCAAGGTTTGTTAGCAGGATTTTAGCTGCTGGAGTTTTAACGTCACCTGAAAACATTGCTTTTATTCAACTAGTAGAGTAAAAATCATAAGAGTCTATAATATTTTTGGAAAATCAGTCAGGCAGAAATATTCAGTGTAGATAAATTGGGCAGAAGAGACTAGAATCAAGGAGACCAAGTAAGATTCTTATGATAATCTAAGCATGAGGTGATCAAGTCTAGGTTAGTACGAAGTGGAAAGAGGAGGTGCTATAGTCACAAACTATATTTTGAAAGAAGAACTAATGGGACCTCTCTTTGTCCAGGGTGTCTATCTCTGGTGACACACTCACTGGTCAAGAGAATGAAAGCAGGGCAAGAGTTAGGACGGGCGCAGTGGCTCACGCCTGTAATCCCAGCACTTTGGGAGGCTGAGACAGGAGGATTACCTGAGGTTGGGAGTTCGAGACCAGCCTGACCAACATGGAGAAACCCTGTCTCTACTAAAAATACAAAATTAGCCGGGCATGGTGGCACATGTCTGTAATCCCCGCTACTCAGGAGGCTGAGGAAGGAGAATCGCTTGAACCTGGGAGGCAGAGGTGGCGGTGAGCTGAGATTGCACCATTGCACTCCAGCCTGGGCAACAAGATTGAAACTGTCTCCAAAAAAAAAAAAAAAAAAAGAAAGCAGGGCAAGAGTCAAAATTTCCATGGGTTATGACAAACTCAAACCTAGACCTACCTGCCTTGCCCTCTAACAGTGCTGGATACCTGACTGGGCATCGAAATCCCAATTTAGGCACTCATGTATGTGGCAGAGACAGTTAGAGGTCACAACTTAAGGCAGAACCCTTGACACGGATCACCTCCACCTGGCCTAAAGCTTACCTAACAGCAAGCCCAAACAGCACCACCAAACAGTGCCAGGGGAAACCTGTTCAGTGTTACACAGCCTAGTAAGTGATAAGAGTCTCTGCAAAATCGCTCCATAAAGCAGACACTCAGCTGTCTCTGGCCTTAGCAATAAGAAGAATATTTAATACCCTCGTTTTTCAGAAGTATATACAAAGGATCAATGACTAAGGTCTTTGATCTTTAGCTTCTCTAAAAAGATTCACATTAAATAATGTCTTGGAGTTTTCACCTAAGTTTATACCTGGAGTCCTGCTGTCCAGGACTCCAGGAGGGGAGAAAACACCAATACAATCTACTGTTTGAAACTAAAATAACAATGAGATGCCCTGGGTGATTTTATTTATGAATTTTCTAATTAATCCTGACAAAATTGAGACATTCATAAAATGAGTGTCAAAATTTAAAAGTCATATACTGGAAGAGGTTATTTTTATTTGGTAGCTGTAAAGGGTGCTGGACTCTGTTCTCCAGTTGGTGATTTCTACCAACCCCGAGAATGTTTTCAGAGGAAACTTGACTTAGCAGGAGTCAAATTCTTGGTTAGAGTTTAAATCACAGTATTTTGAAAGTGTGGGTTTTAAAGATTTTTCCAAACTATGTTTTCCTCTATATAGGGGGGCCACAAACAGCCAAACAAAAGTTATCTGAACTTCTTTATATAATAAACATGAGAAATACCCTTAACAGGGAAGTAGTTCTTTAAAAACTATCCAAGAAGCCAGACAAAACTTATTTGAAAGGCCTATGAGACCAAGAAATATAACTGCTGCTATAATAACAGGAACAATAATAATAATAATAATAATAATAATATAATAATATAATAATAATAACAATAATAATAATAATACTTTGGGGGCTCTTACTGAGTTGCTAGACTTCATACAAGCTGTTTACATTTTCCTCATTTCATCTTTTCAACTTCTCCCTGAGGAACATACTTCCACTATCAGCTTTAGAGATGAGGATACTGAAGCAGAGAGATGAACTAGTTTGTCCAAGGTCAAACAGCTGCACAGCTTCAAGGAAGAAGAACTAGCATTCCCATCCAGGCAGCCTGGTTCTAGATCCAGAGGTCATGCTTTAAACCATTTTACAACACTCCCTAGCTCAACCTGGCTTGTGCCCCCCAGCCTCAGCTGGGATCATTAAGTTGTATCATGAATCAAAACGCACCCTCCAAGAGCTAATGGTAAACACCACACATGGACCATTTTCCAGACTGGCCCATAAAAACAAGTCTCAAATAATTTTTTTTTTTTTGAGACAAGTCTCACTCTGTTGCCCAGGCTGGAGTGCAGTGGTGCCATCTTGGCTCACTGCATCCTCCGCCTCCCAGGTTCAAGTGATTCTCCTGCCTCAGCCTCCCGAGGAGCTGGGACTACAGGTGCACACCACCACACCTAGCTAATTTTTGTATTTTTAGTAGAGATGGGGTTTTGCCATGTTGGCCAGGCTGGTCTCCAACTCCTGACCTCAGGTGATCTGCCTGCCTCAGCCTCCCAAAGTGTTGGGATTACAGGCATGAGCCACCACGTCTGGCCTAAGTCTCAAATAATTTAAAAGAACTGATATTATACGAAATATGCTCTCCAACTACAATTTAAATTAGAAATCACCCAAAGGAAAATCTGTGAAAATCCCCAAATATGTGGAAATTAAACACACTCCTAAATAACCCATGGGTCAAATAAGAGATCACATGGAAAATTAGAAAATATCTTGAACTGAATGAGGATGAAAACAAAACATATCAAAATATGTGGAAGGCAGCTAAAGCAATGTTTATACAGGCAAATCTACAGCATTAAGTGATTATACTGGAAAATAAAAAAAGGTTCAAAAATCAAAGTTTTTGCCTTAAAAAAAACTAGAAAAAAAAGAGCAAATTAAACTCAAATCAAATAGAAGGAAGGAAGTAATACAGAGCAGAAATCAATGAGACTGAAAACTACAAAATTCCTTTCTGCAGAAATCCATCGGCTAGTTCCAAAATTTGTATGAAAGCAAAGGAAGTAGAATAGCTAAAACAATCTTGGGGAAAAAAAGTTGGAGGATTCACATTAACTGATTTAAACACTTACTATAAAACTACAGTATTTATAGTGTGAATTGGTGAGGAATACACGTACTGTTCAATGGAACATAGATTCCAGAAATTCACAAATTTATAACCAATGAATTTCTAACAAAAGTTCCAAGAGGAAAGAAAGTCTTTTTTGTTTGTGTTAGAGATGGAGTCTTGCTCTGTTGCCTAGGCTGGGGTGCAGTGGCGTGATCACAGCTCACTACAGCTTCGAACTCCTGGGCTCAAGAGATCCTCTGCCTCAGCCTCCCGAGTTGCTGGGACTACAGGTGTGTGCTACCACTTCCGGCTAAGTTTTTTATTTTTATTTCTTGTAGAGATGGGGGTCTCTCTATGTTGCCCAGGCTGGTCATGAGCTCCTGGGCTCAAGTGATCCTCCTGCCTCAAGCCTTCCAAAGTTCTGGGATTAGAGGCATGAGTTATTGGGCCCAGACTAGGAATAGTCTTTTCAACAAACAGTGTTTGAACAACTGGATGTAAATATGCAAAACAAACAAAAAGCCTCACACTGTATGCAAAAACAGATCATAAGCTTAAATGTGAAACTGAAATCCATAAAGCTTCTAGAAGAAAACAGAAAAATCTTTGTGACATTGGGTTAGGTTAAAAATTTCTTAAAACACAGAACAGATCATAAAAGAAAATTTGATAGGTCAGACCTTATCAAAATAAAAGCTGCTCTTTGGCTGGGTACGGTAGCTCACGCCTGTAATCCCAGCACTTTGGGAGGCCACGGCAGGCGGATCACTTGAGGTCAGGAGTTTGAGACCAGCCTGGCAGACGTGGTGAAACCCCGTCTCTACTAAAAATACAAAAATTAGCCCGGCATGATGGTATATACCTGCAGTCCCAGCTACTCTGGAGACTGAGGCAGGGGAATCGCTTGGACCTAGGGGGCAGGGGTTGCAGTGAGCTGAGATTGCACCACTGTACTCCAGCCTGGGTGACAGAGGGAGACTCTGCCTCAAAAAAGAAAAAAAACAAAACAAAACTGCTCTTTGAAAGACACTGGTCAAGAAAATGAAAACACAAGACATAGACCAGGAGAAAATTCTGCAAAATACATATCAAATAAAGAACTGAGGCTGGGTGTGGTGGCTCACACCTGCAATCCCAGTACTTTGGGAGGCCGAGGTGGGCGGATCACCTGTGGACGGGAGTTTGAGCCAGCCTGGCCACCATGGTAAAACCCTGTTTCTACTAAAAATATAAAAATGAGCCAGCTGTGGTGGCAGGCATCTGTAATCTCAGCTTCTTGGGAGGCTGAGACAGGAGAATCACTTGAATGCGCGAGATAGAGGTCGCAGTGAGCTGAGATCGCACCATTGCACTCCAGGCTGGGTGACAAGAGCAAAACTCCATCTCAAAAAAAAAAAAAAAGAAGAGTAAATTTCACTGTTCACGAACTACACCTTTAAAAATCTGACTTTAGTATCCCAGTGAAAAGACAGTTAAGATGGTGGCTGGTACTGGGGTGAAACTCATGGTAGCTGTGAGAAGTTATCTGGTCTTAGATACATTAATATTTGGAAGATGTATCTACAGGATTTCCTGACAGAGTGAACACAGAGCATGAGTGAAAAAGAAGCCAAAGATGACTACGACCAAGCAACTGGGAGAATGAAACACCATCAGCTGAAACGAGATGGAATAAGGGAGAGGGGAGGGGGAAGGAGGGGGGAGGGGGAAGGGAGGGGTGGGGGGGAGGTGGAAAGGAGGGGGGAGGGGGAAGGGGTGAGGGGGAAGGGGAGGGGGGAAGAAGGGGGAGGGGGAAGGGGAGGGGGAAGAAGGGGGAGGGGGAAGGGGAGGGGGAAGAAGGGGGAGGGGGAAGGGGAGGGGGGAAGAAGGGGGAGGGGGAAGGGGAGGGGGGAAGAAGGGGAGGGGGAGGGGTGGGGAGGGGGAGAGCAGAGGGGAGGGGAGGGGAGGGGGAGGGGTGGGGGAGGGGGGGAAGGAGAGAGAGAGAGAGAGAGAGAGAGAAGGTGTACATGCATATGTTGGGGAGAGCAAGGGTGGTGAGGAATTCAGTTCTAAGCTTCCAGTCTGGTATAAAACAGAGATAATCCCATTACTTATCTCATAGTTTTGTTGTTTCACTTTGGGTAAACATCACTGCATTCCTTCATTTCACTTAGAAGTCCTATCAGGCTGACTTTTTTGTGACCCTAGAAGGAAGCCCAGCCATCACTTAGTTCTGCTTACTGTAGCTTGATGGATGTGATGGTTAATTTTATGTATCAATTTGACTGAGCTAAAGGATGCCCAGCTACGTGGTTATACATTATTTCTGTTTGCTGCCTATTTCTGTGTGTGAGAGTGTTTCTGGAGGGGATCAGCACTGAAGTGGGAACTGAGTTCAGCAGATGATCCTCCCCAGTGTGGGAGGGCATCATCTAATCCACCAAGGGCCTGAACAGAACAAAAAGGCGGAGGAAGGGCAAATTCTCTCTCTCTCTCTCTCTCCTTGAGGTGAAACATTCAACTTCGGTCCTTAGACATTCCCACTCTTGATTCCTGGACCTTCAGACTCAGATCAGGAGTTACACCATCGGCTCTCCTGGCTCTCAGGCCTTTGGACTTGGACTCAGTTTCACCACTGGCTTTCCTGGTTCTTTAGCTTGCAGATGGTGGTGCTTCACAGCCTCCATCTCTGCCCGAGCCAATTCCTATATAAATCTCTTCTTACATACACATCATATATACCCTATTGGTTCTATTTCTCTGGAGAACCCTAATACAATGGGTCCTCCAGCACTCACCCCAAATTAAGCATGTTTCCTTTTACAAAAGGTAGAAATGTCCACTCTTCATAAGTCCTTTAATCAGGTCCCATTCAAACTCCTCTAAAATAAATTTCTCCAAAATTCTATTTCTATATTCCACTTTGCATGCTCACTGTTTATGCCACTGTTTATGTGAAGCAGAGGTTAGGATACCTTGGGAATTCATGTCTCAGCCACTTGTATCTCTAATACAGCTTTCCCTTCCTACTGTGGAGTTTATCATTTCCACTAATAGGTGTGTGCTTAATAAAAACAAAACATGAATTGCTTCTCTTCTCCCATCTCTTTAAGCCATCTGTTCCCCTGTAGTTCTGTAGTTCCTTATCCTTTTTGCAGAGGCTCTCCATTTTCTCCTTTACACTGTCATTTTAATCTGGGAGTTGAGAGAAAGAATCTGATAATTGCCACCCCCTCACACCACTACCACCAAAGAAGCCACTACGAATTCCCACTGAAAGCCTTTTGTTCTAAAGGGAGAGCCAGTCCTGTGCCTACTGCAGTACTGTCACCTAGAAACCAAAATTCTCAGCTGACATAACATTTCAGGACTAATCTAATTCCTAAGAACTACTCAGCACAGTTCAAAATATAAAAAACCAGCTACAGCTCTTGCCTCTTTATCACCAATCTGAAATCTCAAACTGTAAATTCATAATAGCAATTGTATCTGCTTAGTTTTATCGAGCTTTTCCTATGTGTGGGGTACTGTGCTAAATAAGTGCTTTAACTGAATCAGCTCATTTAATACTCAAAATAACCCTGTGACAACATTTTCATTATTATTACTCATAAAAACAGGACACCTTGGAGATAAGCAAGAAGCAACATTTAGACTGTGTACCACAGAGTAGGACATTTAATTAATCCCCCAAGAATTGTGAGATTGGTTTTGCCTTATATTATTATTTTCTGACTCTAATATTAAAAAAGAGAAAGAAAAATACAGGTGTGCCACCTCTTAAAGAAAATGAGCTATTTGGGGCCAGGCACGGTGGCTCACACCTGTAATCCCAGCACTTTGGGAGGCCAAGGTGGGCGGATCACCTGAGGTCGGGAGTTCAAGACCAGCCAGACCAACATGAAGAAACCCCATCTCTACTAAAAATGCAAAAAATTAGCCAGGTGTAGTGGCGCATGCCTGTAATCCCAGCTACTCGGGAGGCTGAGGCAGGAGAATCACTTGAACCCGGAGGTTGCAGTGAGCTGAGATCACACCATTGCACTCCGGCCTGGGGAACAAGAACGAAACTCCGTCTCAAAAAAAAAAAAGCTATTTGGAAATGAAAGTGAAATTCTTTTTATTTTACTTGGAAATCCTTATATCCAAGGAAGAAACCCAAGATTGCCCTCACAGCAGGTCCAAAGCTCACCATACCATATAGGAGGCCTGTTTCCATACTGTAGTTTAATATTAGAGATTTGAGTTGCACAGGAAGACTCTTTACAAACAACCAGTGTGTTAGACAAATGTTTTACTGAGCACTTCCAAAGCATAAGAGACTATTTTAGGCACCACATCAGCACTATGGGGATCTGGTGATAACTCACTGCTTCTGAGTCAAGATTACAATCTAAGTAATAAGATGTGCATAAAATAACTTTAAATGCACTACAAAGAAATCTACATTTCAATAAAGGAACATAAGCACTATAGGAGTTCAGAGGAAGAAGAGATTGCTTCCATCGGAGAAGGTCAAATTAGCCCCTTCTGAAGAGGTAAAATTCGAATTATTCTTGAAGAATAAGTAGGATCTGAAAATGTGAGATCCATTAGGGAGAATAAGATTCAAAAGCAAAGGGTACAATAAGAACGATGGCATAATGACAAAGAAGTGTGGGGCATGTGTTAAGTACTTGGAGCTTACTTGGAGCATGGGTACCAGAAAGGGAACAGAGGAAAACAGGGTTGGCCAAAGAGGTTAAATGTGACTGTGGCAGGCCTTAAAAAGGAGACAGCCTCGATAGGAAACTAATATAATATTCTAGGAAGAACGTCTGAATCAAGGCAGACACCAGAAACATTTTAACAAATAGGATGGAGAGCATTTGGGAATGACTTAGTATGAGGAGCAAGAGACATGTAGGAATGAAGCTGGGTAAATGAGAGGATGGTAGTAGGTTAATAAAAACATGAAACAAGCCAGGCGCAGTGGCTCATGCCTATAATTCCAGCCCTCTGGGAAGCTGAAGTGGGAGGATCACTTGAGGCCAGGAGTTGGGAGACCAGCCTGGGCAATATAGTGAGACTCCATCTCTCCAAAAAAAAAAAAAGAAAAAAAAAAAAAGGAAAAAGAGAAAAAAAGGAGGAAAAACAGATGCATACAACTAGGGAGAAAAAAGAGTTGTTGAGTTTTAAAGTGTGTGTGTGTGTGTGTGTGTGTGTGTGTGTGTGTGTGTGTTGAGTTTCAAGTGACAGAGGAATATTTAAGTGGTGAGATCCATTTTTAATTTATATAACTGAAGTGGGCTCTAAATGCGGGGCTACAGCTGAAAACTGAGATCTCATCTTGACACATACACATGAAGCTGACTGTGAGTCTGCACAGTACTGACCTTTGAGAATAAGCATGCATACAGGGTGACACATTTTCACATGTGCTCTACTTTAATCCTTATGAAGCAACCTTGTGAGAGAAATATTATGATGTCCTGAAATTATAGTATTTGGCCTGTAAGTTCTTCCTAGCCAACGAGTTCACAGTTAGAACCAGTTTTACGTTAACCACATCTGCTGAATACAGAAAAAAGGAAACCACTACAGATGGAATTTTAAGTCTTCAGTTTATAACAGACAATCGAGAGAGAATGAGAATGTTTCAGTTCATTTTTACTCCTTGTAGCTGCCTGACCCTTCAACACAATCATGTGCTAACCAGTTCCAAGCCAACTATGCCCCTGGTTAACAAATGGGCAATGGAGTGGTGAAATGTGATCGGTGGTCCATGAAGTCTTTTTGGTTGTCTCCAACAGGGGTTGGAGTGGGCTCTGAGTAGGGGTGGTTGGTGGGGACTCTGCCCTCTGAAGTACCCTTTGAGAGACTGCCCAGAAGAGAGATAGGCCATGAACAGCTTCCCCGTAAACACCTTCATAATCGGGAGGTGGGAAGCAGAGGAGAACCATGGATGTTGCCAACCAAGGAGATGTTAGAAATCTTTGCTAAAACAAATGAAGGCATTTCCTCTCCCGTCGCCATACTCCTTCTGCAATCTTACACTCATTCTCCTTTTCTTTCACAGTGAACAGAGATCAGCTGTGCTATTTTCACCATTAGTATGAAAACCAGTAAATGAAGGTCCTATACTACTCTAGTTTAACCAGAGCTAAAAATAACCTTTTGTGTTTCCCTTTCTGTACTCTTTTCATTAACAATAAAACAAGTGTTCATAACTGTGTGCACACAGTAGGTAAAATGTGCCAAAACTATACAATAATTAATCTTTTAAATCATCACATGGAATCTGATAACATCTTATAAAAACTAACCCTCCAACTAATAACTGAAACACACATTTCTGAACTATTAATACTTTAGAGATGGAAGAAAAACAGTACAAATCTATTTTATAGGGGTGAAAAATGAGGTTCAGGCAGCTTAGTTTGTTGTAACATTCTTGCCTCATTTTGAAACTCTTCTATGTTAATCACCTTGGTATTATATTACCTCTCTGCATACATCTTATTTGTCCTGTTAGACCACAGTCTCCTGGAAAACAGGGACCCTGTTCCAACTTCCTTTTAATGATGTCTAACAATATGCTCCACAGATCGACAGTGCATACTAAATGTCTGTAAAATCAGTTATCACTCAGAAAGGAAGGCAGAAGGAAGCTCTTAGCCAAATAACATATAATTCTAAACTCAGAGTGAAAAATTCATTTTATTTTTGAAACCACACCTACCCTTAACCATCCTCATGATTTATGAAATACTCTCTAAGCATGTAGCCCTTGCTAAACAGTAGTTCTTTCGTTATCTCTCCTTCAAGAAATCTAGGCAAGCTTGTTCGTTAGTCATAGATGTTATACATACAGTTATAGATGATCAAGAATTCTGACGATGAAGTCTAAGATCTATCCTCTGACCCACTGTGCTGTCACTCTTACAACAAAACGAAGGAAGCTTAACATTTTATAGTCAGAAAAATCTTGAGAAAATGTTTTACTGGTTTCATTTCCTTGATTGAAAAACTCTTCTCCCTCTTAAAAGATCTCTTCTATGTTGATAGTATCTTGAAAAACAATATCCTTATGCCTTCATGTAAAAAGCTTAATGTAAAGACAGAAATCTGTGTGGTCTCTCCAAGTCGGTATTACAGAATTCTGGCACTACATATACAAGCCCCTGCTATTTTAGGATCACAAGAAACAGCTAGCCTGGGAAAATGAGAGAGAGGTGAACCATTCCTAACATCTTAACAGCCACTTCAAGCAACCACTTGTTCTGCAAATACCACAGGCCCCTTGAGAATCCTTAGATTTGGTTGGTAACTTAAATTCTGGCAACTTCCCTTGCAACAGAACTGTTCTATCTGAAATGGGCATTAGCAACAGAAAACTATGTAACCATATCACATTCTCCTTTGTACTTTTTATGAAATTCAAATGAGTTCACATTTCAAAATTGAAGTAAGGTAGCATTTACAACAAATCCAAGCAGACCCATGTGCCATCATTTCTGTAACTTTGGAGTGTGCACCACATTGTCTGTAAAGCTGGCCACCAAGAATGCCTCTCATCTCTGCATATATCTGCTACTCTTCCCACCAAGAAGGGGAGTCTATTTCCCCTCCCCTTGAATCTGGGCTATCCTTGCAACTTTCTCCAACCAAAAGACGGCTACAGAAAGCAGGCTGTGCCAGTTTTAGGCCTAGATTGAAAAGAGATCTAGCAGGCTCCACTTTTGCTTTCTTGGCACCTGAAGCTGGCATGCAAGGAAGTCCAGGCTCTCCTGTTGGAAAGAGGCCACACAGAGAAAGAAGCCTAGCAGAAGACAACTACATGAGAAAGGTTGTGGGGAGGAGCACTTAGACACCTCAACAAAAAGCCAGTACCAAGGCTCTATGCATGTGAATGAGACCATCCTGATCCTTCAGTGCTGGTAGAGTCCGGCAGACACCACACGGGACAAAGACAAAACCATCCCAACTGAGCCCCTGCCCAAATGCAGATCTGAAGAATCATGAGCAAATATAGCATTTCTGGAAGGACAAAACTTTAAAATGGCAAACAGATTAGTGGCTGCCAGGAGTTAGGGACCGGAGTGAGAATGGAGGGTTAGCACCGGGAAGGTGTGGGATATGCTTACAAAAGGGCAACCCAAGGGATACTTTCAGTGTTAGTTCCATTCACTATCCTGACTGTGGTGGTGCATACAGAAACACAGGCAGGTGGTAAAACTGTACACGCCTTAACATGCACATGTGTGTGTGCATACGTGCATATACGAGTGCAAGTAACCAGGGGTATCTGAATAAGATAAATGGGTTGTATCAATGCCAATATCCTGATTGTGTTGTTAAGAGTTTTACAAAACGCTGCCCATTGGGAGAAACCAGGCAAAGAGCACATGAGCTCTCTGCATTTTTTTTTTGTAACTGCATGTGAATCTATAATTATGTCAATAAAAATTTCAAAATGGTGACATTAAGCTACTAGGTTTTGCGGTAGTCTGTTTTACAGCAATAGATAATAGATAACTGATACAGAGCAGTAACATTTTAATGTAACTTGTTAGCTAAGATTTGTAAGACTAACTGGCTGTATATCTGATGTTAATAAGTACTAGCTATATTATTAATATGGTTTTATTTTTGCCTAGTTTATCTGCATTTGACCAGTTCTCAATCACAAGCAATAATTGTCCCTTCAACTGGCTAGAGAGAAATGTGAAGAGAAAAAAGGCAGATATGAAAAAGGTTAATATTGTCAAAGAGGTACTTTCCTCATATTTTAACAACTCTGAAATTGGAGCGCATTTTATAACTGGCAGCATTTTTTTATTGGTGGCACAAAAATAATGTTAAATCAATAGTCTTCAATTAGCTGAAATACGTGATATTAAAATCTTAGTTCTTCCTGAATCCAAATTGGTATTTAGCTGCATTTGAAGGCATTAAACATTTTTGAATTTTCTATAATGCTTTTTAGCACTGTATTTGTACTTACTCTTTATATCATACAACAACCTTCCATTTATTATCAGAAGGGAATGCGATTCCTGTAAGTCAAACAGATAACTTCAACTACCACAATTTACTAGGCAATTAAAAATACCCACCTAAAAAGGAAAAATAAAAAACTACAATATGGCAGAGACTGCAAATTTCCTTCCAACATTTATTCTCTCCCTTTTTGGTAAAATAATCCTGATTTTTAAAATAATGCATTTCCAACCTTTCCTGCAGCTGTTACATACACACACACACACACATGACTAGTGCCTAAATTCTGACAATATCAAAATGGTATAGTCTCTACTATCCAGGTGTGTTGGTGGGCGACTGTAATCCCAGCTACTGGGAGGCTGAGGCAGGAGAGTCACTTGAACCCAGGAGGCGGAGGTTGCAGTGAGCCAAGATCACACCACTGCACTCCAGCCTAGGCGACTGAGCAAGACTTCGTCTCAAAAAATAAAAAATAAATAAAACTCAGACACAGTGATTATAAACACAGCCCATACTTACTACTTAAAACAAAGGAACTGTCTTAAAGCTATAAAATGCTTTACCAAAACAAGGAAGAATAAAAGGACATAGACACGAAAGGCTAGAAAAAGAAATGGTCTCCTGAGAGATGGGCTATCTGAATTTGGTAGGTTATCAGATACAGGCTCGAGTGCAGTGAATGCATATTTATTTTTTCCTTATCAGCTCTACAGGAGAGGTGTGACTCTGTAGTAGACCCTTGTTGGATACTTCTCCAGCATACTTTCTTCCTTCCTCTCCTAGGAGAACCCTGATTTGGACTGTACTCACTCCCGGCTCCAGCTTATCCCAAACTGCGACCAAAAACAAGCACACAGCCAAGGCAGATCAATCAGGGGCCAAGAAGATTTGATTCGGGGACTTCCATTTAAGCCTCCTGGGAACGCTGTCCTAGTCAGTGTGGAGGATCAAGTCTTGGCTGAAGCCAGATTTACCTGGATTTTTCAGCTACTCTATTGGAAAAACTTCTTTATCACTTAAGCCATTTGGGCTCTCTGTTCTTTGTGTCCAAACATTCAACAGATAAAATTTTTAGAGTAATCAAGGACCATATGTGAAGTCAGAATTAGAGGTATTGCCAAGGTACCTATTGGTATCTAATAGTTACCATTCCAAGAGAGTGGTCAGACTCAAAAAACCTCATGAGCTTCATCATCACTGGCCATCAGAGAGATGCAAATCAAAACCACAATGAGATATCATCTCACACCAGTTAGAATGGCAATCATTAAAAAGTCAGGAAACAACAGGTGCTGGAGAGAATATGGAGAAACAGGAACACTTTTACACTGTTGGTGGGACTGTAAACTAGTTCAACCATTGTGGAAGTCAGTGTGGCGATTCCTCAGGGATCTAGAACTAGAAATACCATTTGACCCAGCCATCCCATTACTGGGTATATATCCAAAGGACTATAAATCACGCTGCTATAAAGACACATGCACACGTATGTTTATTGTGGCACTCTTCACAATAGCAAAGACTTGGAACCAACCCAAATGTCCAACAATGATAGACTGGATTAAGAAAATGTGGCACATATACACCATGGAATACTATGCAGCCATAAAAAATGATGAGTTCATGTCCTTTGTAGGGACATGGATGAAATTGGAAATCATCATTCTCAGTGAACTACTGCAAGGACAAAAAACCAAACACCGCATGTTCTCACTCATAGATGGGAATTGAACAATGAGAACACATGGACACAGGAAGGGGAACATCACACTCTGGGGCCTGTTGTGGGGTGGGGGGAGGGGGGAGGGATAGCATTAGGAGATATACCTAATGCTAAATGACGAGTTAATGGGTGCAGGACACCAGCATGGCACATGTATACATATGTAACTAACCTGTACATTGTGCACATGTACCCTAAAACTTAAAGTATAATAATAAACAAAAACAAAAACAAAAACCTCATGAGCTTTCCTGAACTCATCTTAAATTTAATTCTTTTTCTTTAAATAACCAAAGGTAGGAAATAGCATACTAAAATTCCTAACTCTGCAGCTAAATGATTTTTTCAGTATGTATGTACATGTGACAACACATTCTTTCACTGGACTAGTCAACAACTATATTAGGAAACAATAAGATACAGACTGTAAAACAGTGCAGTCACTTTGGAAAACAGTTCAGCTCCTCAAATTGTTAAACACAGAGTTACCATATGACCCAGCAATCCCACTCCTAGGTATAGTCAAGAGAATTGAAAACACATGTACACATATATAAAAAAAAAATGAACACAAATGTTCAAAGCAGCAGTACTCACGATAACCCAAAGGCAGAAATAACCCAATGTCCACCACTGAGAAATAAACAAATTGTGCTATATCCATGCAATGGAATATTTTGGGCCATAAAAAGGAGTAAAATATGGCCTAGAGTGGTGGCTCATGCCTGTAAACCAGACACTTTGGGAGGCCGAGGCGGGTGGATCACGAGGTCAGGAGTTCAAGACCAGCCTGGCCAAGATGGTGGAACCCCGTCTCTACTAAAAATACAAAAATTATCTGGGCTGGGTGGCAGCGCCTGTAATCCCAGCTACTCAGGAGGCTGAAGCAGGAGAAATGCTTGAACCCGGCGGGTGGAGGCTGCAGTGAGCTGAGATTGCACCACTGTACTCCAGCCTGAGCGACAGAGTGAGACTCTGTCTCAAAAAAAAAAAAAAAAAAAAAAAAAAGCAGTAAAATACTAATACTTGCTTGACATGGATGAACCCTAAAAACATGAAAGCTAAGTGAAAGAAGTCAGACACAAAAGGCCATATATATTGGATGATTCCATTTATATGAAATGTCCAGAATAGGCGAGTAGATTAACAGTTACTTAGGGCTGGGGTGGGAAAATAAAGGAATGGAAAATGAATGTTCATGTGTATGGGTTTCTCTTTGACGGGGATAAAAATTAGTGATGATGATTGCACAACTAAAAACCAGAATTGTGGCCAGATGCGGTGGCAGCACTTTGGGAGCCCGAGGCAGGTAGATCGATTGAGCTCAGGAGTTCAAGACCAGCCTGGGCAATATGGAAAAACCCTATCTCTACAAAAAATACAAAAATAGCTGGGTGTGGTGGTGTGCGCCTGTAGTCCCAAGCTATTTGGGGGGCTGAGGCAGAAGGATGGCTTGAGCTTGGGAGGCGGAGGTTGCAGTGAGACAAGATTGTGCCATTACACACCCCAGCCTGGGCAACAGAGTGAGACCCGGTCTGAAAAAATAAAATAAAAATAAAAACATCGCTTGAACCCAGGGGGTTGCAGTGAGCCAAGATTGTGCCACTGCACTCCAGCTTGGGCAACAGAGTGAGACTCCATTTCATTCATTCATTCATTCATTCATTAATAAATAAATAACCATAGAATTCTATATTATGAAGGGATGAATTTTACGGTCCGTGAAAAACTTACTAAAAAAAGAAACAGGCTGGGTGCAGTGGCTCATACCTATAATCCCAGCACTTTGGGAAGCTGAGACAGGTGGATCACCTGAGGTCAGCAGTTCGAGACCAGCCTGACCAACATGGAGAAACCCCATCTCTACTAAAAATACAAAATTAGCCAGGTGTGGTGGTGCATGCCTGTAACCCCTGCTACTCCAGAGGCTGAGGCAGGAGAATCGGTTGAACCCGGGAGGCGGAGGCTGTGGTGAGCCATGGTCGTGGCACTGAACTCCAGCCTGGGCAACAAGAGCGAAACTCCATCTCAGAAAAAAAAAGAAACAATGAGATATACAATACTTTGAACTATTAAAATCTTTATTATTCATCAGTTTTCTTTGCTAGTGTACTTTTAAGTTAAAAAAATAGTTATATATATATATATGCACAAAACATCTGGATTGTCTCCCCATCTCAACTCAGTTTTTCATTATAGAGTCCTGAAACCTTCATGTTATGGAAGTATGATAAACGAAAGGCCAAGTTATAATTATTTTTTGTAAAAGGGTGGAAAGAGAAATTGCCTCAGTTTGTTCATTCATCTGAATTACATTAAATTACTTGACTGTGTAAGTCAGAAGTTCTGGAATATGAAACAAAACGTATTAATTGGCCAAGTCCCAGTCTGTGCTTTATACAATTAGCCCAATGTTACAAAAACAAGTATCCCTTGTTATCCAAATCTATTCAGTTTCTGAGTTTGGAAAGTGAAAGGTCAAACACAGAGTGGTAACTGAGTTTCCTTTGGTCAGAGAGGCTCAATATCTGACAAGCTAGCAATTACTTCTTTCTTCAAAGCAAAATAAGCATCAATATAACATAGCTTTCTGCTTTTACCACTAATCAATAGCCCGAGTCACAGGATTATTGGCTTGTATATTTAAGTGTGCACCTGTACTATTAGGCATTTAAGGCAAAATTTGACACTAAATAAACTATTACATCTAAAACTTCCATCATGCCCCAATATTTGTTGAAATCTGGAATAGTAAATTTGAGGATCTGCAGGCTGAATTATTTTAGATCACCAATACAGACTGTGTACAGTATTCCAGATAGAAAATAAATGGTTTAAAATTGTGATGGCAAGAAGTGCTCAAAATTTGAAATTGTGGCCCAGAATCATGCATAGAAAGTTGGCATTTTTTAGGTAGATAAGAAGAGGGAACACAGTTATAAACATCCCCTGAAGGTGTACTTGATTCATAAAAGTAATAATGGCAACGAGCACCACAAAGTTAAAGACATCTACAGACAATTATTAGAAACTTGTTCCTTGACCTAAGATAAGGGCAGAACATTACACTATACACTAAGAGGCTACAGAAAATGGAGGAGAAGAGTTTACTCATAGGTTATAAAATGTTCCCCAAAAACATGGTCCTGAAGAAATTATTTTTCAATAATAGTAGAAAAGGAAAAATTAGTCCATTTGGGCTGCTATAACAAAATACCTTAGACTAGGTAATTGTAAACAACAGAAATGTGTTTCTTCCAGCTCTAGAGACAGGGAAGTCCAAGATTCAGGTGCCAGTAGATTCTGTCTGGTGAGGACTCACTCTGCTTCATCGATGGCAGGTTCTCGGTGCATCCTCACATGGTAGAATAGGCTAACAAGCACTTTTGGGCCTCTTTTATAAGGGCACTAATCCCATTAACGAGGGCTGTGCCTTCATCACTTAATCACTTACCAAAAGGCCCCCATCTCTTACACCACCACACTGGAGATTAGGTTTCAACATAGGAATTGGGTGGGTGGAGGGAGGGGACACATTCAGACCACAGCACACAGTATTGAAAACAGAGGCCTTAACAAACATGCATAGTTAATAGAAAAAAATGCCAT
Source organism: Homo sapiens (assembly GCF_000001405.40). NCBI lineage: Eukaryota > Metazoa > Chordata > Mammalia > Primates > Hominidae > Homo > Homo sapiens. The sequence goes on from NC_000012.12 coordinate 120,842,905, forward strand.
TTTTAAAATGCAGAAGGACCTGCTGATTAGTGACTTAGAAACTGGAGGAGGCAGTACACATACAAAACAACTTCAACTATACATTTTGCACTATTTCTAGGTTGAAATGTATTAAATTACAGCCTCAAACTAGTAGACTCAGTTAGTTAGTATATCCCCAGGAATGCAGATACAAGAGGACCTCTGTGCCTATGCTTCATTCAACAGTGTTCACAGTGAACGGATCACAGTAGGGCTACATGTCTGGGTTCACAGGTAGGAGGTATACATATACAAGTTATAACATAGAGTGACATTTCTATAGATTCACATTAGATAAAAAGTACGTTTGCTATCCCCATTCTGTCTTAGAAAACACAATTACCTGTTACATCTATTCTTGATACAATCTTTTGTGATTTAAGACTTGCCTATAATCACCGTCTCCTTCACTTCTATTCTCTCCTTGACCCATTCATATCTACTCTACTGAGAATGTGCGTGTCAAGATTATGACTGATGCTCAAAGCCAATATTCCTGCTGTTATTCAACTTAACCTCTCTGTAGCATCTGACACTCCCTCCTTCTTGAAATTTTCAGCTTTTGGTTTCTCCAACATCACCATCTACTGGTTTCCTCCCACCTCACTGGCTGTTCCTGCTCAGTCACATCTGCCAGATCCTTTCTCCTAGAGTTCCCAGGGCACTAGGTGTACTCCTCTTCCCAGTGTACACAATTTCCCCAGTTATCTTAGAAAGTCCAATGGTTTCAAAACATTTGTTCTCAGGCCAGGCGGGGTGGCTGATGCCTGTAATTCCAGCACTCTGGGTGGCTGAGGTGGGTGGATCGCTTGAGGTCAGGAGTTCGAGACCAGCCTGGCCAACAAGTTGAAACCCTGTCCCGTCACTACCAAACATACAAAAATTAGCCAGGCATGGTGGCACGCGCCTATAACCCCAGCTACCTGGGAGGCTGAAGCAGGAGAATCGCTTGAACCCGGGAGGCGGAGGTTGCAGCGAGCCAGGGTCGCGCCACTGCACTCCAGTCTGGGCAACAGAGCGAGATTCCTCCCAAAAATAAATATAACATAACATAACATAAAACAAAACAAAACAAAACATTTGTTCTCTGCTGCTTAATCATAAACCTACACCTGTAGCCCTGTCTTCTTCCTGGAATGCCAGTCATATATTTGATTGCAAATTTGATATCTCCAATTGGCTAATAGGTATCTTAAACTTAAAATGGACAAAATAGAACTCTCGATTTTTCTCAAAAACCTGCTTTCCCCCCAGTTTTCACTGTTTCTGTAAAGGCACCATCCACCCTAGCATTAATGGCAAAATCTACAGCACAAGTAAATGAACCATACCTCCAAAACATAGCCTAAACCCTTCCACTTCTGTTTCCCCGTTATTAGCACCCTAATTCAAGTCACTACCAACTACACTACTGCAATAGTCTCCTAACTAGTCTTACTCCCATTCTCCTTCGCTCAACCCACACACAACCAATTCTTTATGCCTGAAGTGCATTACCGTGCCTGTTTAAAATCCTCTAACAGCCTCCCATCGTGCTGATAAAACCCAAGCTCCTGTCTACCTATCTGATCTCAATCTTACCCTTCTTTCCCGACTGCCTGCCCCCCACACCCCACACACATGGCTGAGTGCCCTTTGATTTCTCAATACAAACACTATGTCAGTTTCACTGGTCTTCTTTCTGCTTTTTAATACCCAACTCATTCCCACCGTAGGACTATTCCCTCTGCTTAGAATGTGCTTCCTATGATCTTTTTATGGCTGGCTTTTGTTTTTTTTTTAAGCAAAAGACAAAAACCAACCACCAAAATGGATCTCAACAGAGCTCTAAAGCCAAGGGCATGCCCAGCACTCCCAACACAGCGACTCCCGGAGGCCAAGGGCCCACGGGCCTACATCCCCTCTCAGCACTGAACAGAAAGTTGACTTTCCTTTTTACAATTAAAAAAAAAAAAAGCTGACTAATATTGCACAGGAGTAACAGAAACTGCCTAATTGGAAACAGAAACTATTTACATTGAATAAAAAGCCTGGCTGCAGGCTGCATGTGCCACATTTACAGCACAGTGTGATGCACACTGTGACCGAACCATGGAGGCAGCTTCTGCACTCACACTGGAGCCAAGTGTTTGCCACGAGAGTAAAGCAGAGGGCAAGAGGAGTGAGAGGGAGGGGTGTCGCATTCACTTCTGGTTCCGGAGCGGACTAGACAGCCAGCCCAGTCCTTGATAGAGCCCGTCGCCACTGGTGGCACAGGTGGCCTGAATGTACCAGTTCATGTGGCAAAGGGAGTGCAGTCCCAGCTTGTCTGTGGTCCCTGCTGCATTCACGGCATTGGAGAGGTCCTGCTTGTTGGCAAACCCCAGGAGGACAGTATCCCAGAGCTCGTCCTCGGCCAGCATCCTCATGAACTCCTCGCAGGCCTCAATCATACGCCCTCTGTCAGTGCTGTCCACTACAAAAATCAGGCCTGTGTGTTCTGGAAGTAGTGGCACCACAGAGGCCGGATCTTGTCCGAGCCGCCCACGCCCCACACAGTGAAGCTAATATTCTTGTACTCCATGGTTTCCACGTTGAAGCCTATGGTGGGAATGGTGGTCACCATCTCCCCCAGCTTAAGCTTGTACTGGACTGTGGTCTTCCCTGCAGCATCCAGGCCCACCATGAGGATGCACATTTCTTTTCTGTCAAAAAGGCCCTTGAAGACGTTGGCAAAGATGTTATGTTCCCCATGCTTGTGGACAGGTGGAAGGACGCTGGGAAGGGTACCTCAGTGGCTGCTGCTCCGAGCCAGGTACTGTTTTGCTCCCACCAGGGCTGGCTCTTTCTTGTTCTTCAGACAGCAACTTAAATGTCACCTTCTCAGACAGGCATTTTCTGCCTACCTAATTTCAGAGCCACCCCAATTACTATTTTAATTGCTTAGAATCCATTATCTATCTATCTATCTATCTATCTATCTATCTATCTATCTATCTATCTATTTTTTTGAGGCACAGTCTTGCTCCGATGCCTAGGCTAGAGTGCGGTGGTGCAATCTTGCTCACTGCAAGCCTCCGCCTCCCGGGTTCAAGCGATTCTTATACCTTAGCCCCCAAGTAGCTGGGACCACAGGTGCATGCCACCACGCCCAGCTGATTTTTGTATTTTTAGTAGGGATGGGATTTTGCTATGTTGGCCAGGCTGGTCTCAAAGTCCTGTCATTACTGATATTTTTTTTAGGGTTAGCTCTGTGAGAGCAGGGGCCTTGATGCTTCATTCACTGTTACAACAGTGCCTGGCACATACATAACAAGAGCTCAGTAAATATTTTAAGTGACTGAATAATTGAAAAGTAGGGACATTCCAAGAGTAACAATAAAATAATTTTCTAACTTCATAAATTCATTTCCAACACATGCACAGTAATGACATATTTGTTTAGCATGGCAATTTTATCAAAGATATATGCTGGGCTCTTTAAATAGATTTTCAATTATATTAAAAGCAGGGAATTTTATTGTTTTAAATTGACGAAATAATCGACAGTGTCTGGTTTACTTGCATAGCTGCTAGTATTTCCATTTAAAATAGTTACCTTAGAATTTTAGAGCCTGAGCATGTTTTATTCTATAAAAGCTATGGAGAGTAAAACAGTAAGCTACGGTTGATCTGCTTACTTAGTGTATGCTATTTAAGAGTGGAAAGAGAAGTCTCAAAATTGGAGTTTTAAAAACTTGCAACAAATTAGATAAAATTTTTTAAGAATAACAAAGCTCTCAAGAAAAATCACTTTTTTAAAATAAAAAAAAATGGCTTGTGGAAAGCTGGCAAAATGGAATAGAAGTAGTCATGTTTTGAGCATTTAGTTGAGCCATTTATAAAGTTCTAAACTGGTTTCACAGAAATTCTTGGAACAGATTCCATATTTTTGTTTGCCAGATAGAGGGCAGGAAGAAAACACCCAACAGAGTTCATGTGGGTGGGAGTGTGGAGGTTTCTTTCAGGCCCTCATCTGGGTGTTTATATTGTGACAGCAAACTCTGTGGTTAAGCTTGTGCAGTAATTAAGTAGTATGTTTATTATAACTAAATCTCAATAGACTTTTCTAAGATTTCCCCTCAGGCTCAGGGAGAAGTGAAATAGGATTCTGACTTATAAACCCAGATAAATGAAGTTTTATGTTACTGAATACCTGCACCAATAGCCTCAAACTTCATTATGCATAAAACCAAACGTAAGGAAAAGAGAAAAAATAAATTCAAACAAAATAAACCAGAAGAAAGGGAGATGTAACATCAATTTCAACACTAATTAGAGAGGGAAAAAGAAGAATTTAGCGTCTCTTTGGGGAAGGTGGAAACATGAATTCAGTTTATTTTTATTTATTTATTTATTTATTTTTTAAGACAGGGTCTCACTCTGTCACCCAGGCTGGAGTGCAGTGGTGTGATCTTGGCTTACTGCAACCTCTGCCTCCTGGGTTCAAGCAATTCTCCAGCCTCAGCCTCCCAAGTAGCTGGGACCACAGGTGTGTGCCACCACACCTGGCTAATTTTTGTATCCTTTGTAGAGACAAGGTTTCAACATGTTGCCCAGGCTGGTCTAGAACTCCTGAGCTCAAAGCAATCTGCCTGCCTTGGCCTCCCGAGGTGCTGGGATTACAGGCGTGAGTCACCAAGTCTGGCCTTATTTTTTATTTTTTTAAGTAGAGGCAGGTCTCACTCTCTTGCCCAGGACGGTTTGAAACTCCTGAGCTCAAGTGACCCTCCCACCTTGGCTTCCGAAAGTGCTAGGATTACAGGTGTGAGCCACCACACCTGGCCTTGGTTTAAAGTAACCACTGAACTGCCTTTGAATCTAGTAAAAAGGGAGCTAATATTTATAATTAATATTCCATAGCAGAGAACTGTCTTTCTGTTCTCCTGTACCTGAGTACCATAATCACCCTGGGTGTGTCCCCTGGCTTTCAAAATGCCACATTGAATCTGAACCGTGCTCATTTTAACTACCGAGAGAAAGGAGATAATCACAAGTTTGGGGAGAGAGTGATTTTTATAAGTGGCTGAATGTCTGGTGACAGAAAAAGGGAAGTAAGGCATTATGTAAAACTTAAAACAAAATCTAGTCTTGTTCATCACACTGGTGTGAGATAAGGTGGTGGTGGTGCATGTGCACAAGTAAGAGCAGATTCTGACCTGCACTACTTACCAGCTTCTGATGAACTCAGCAGCCGAATCTATTAAAGGGAGAGGAAATTCACTAGCACTGCCCTGACAGAATCTCAAGGTTGCTCTATAAGCAACTAAATACAACTATAAGCAAAGTTGTATTTGCAGTGTTGTTCTCCAACAGCCACTTTCTAATGTACAGGATCAGGATATATCTCAAGGAGTCAGAAGAAAGGCCAAACCACAGCCATAAGATCGCACTGAGGACTACAGGGACACCATGGGTCTAGAGTTATTCTCACAATCACAGAATTAAGACCTCAAGTTAAAGTGCTTGAACATGGCAGGGAGCCCAAGAAGGGTGGAATACCAAAACTGCTATTTCTTGTCCAATCTAATGACTGAGAATAGTGGTATCATTAACAGAATGGCAAGGATTTACTTTAACTTACTTGCCCCCGCCACACCCCAGAAAGTGCTAGTCTATCTAACAAGTATTATTTTAGAATTGCTGTATTATTTTAGTCATCTGCATATTTTCGATGGACTTATAAATTAATCTATATATTTAACATAAGCCAAATTGACAATTTTCATAACTACTACTGATTGTTCCATTTCTCAAAAATCACAATTAAATCCAAAAGGTTACAAAAGGAAAGGTTAGATTTCTCACAGATGCTTTAAATTACTGCTCTTTTACCATAGCTCATTATACCTAATGTGTAAGAAAATAGTAAGGACAAAAATGCCTTAAAAATTTGTGCATAAATTACTTTTTATCACTTTAGTGTAATAACACTAATGATCAATGAGCAAGCTACAGGTGATTTGTGTAACACTCAATTTTGGTTTTTTTTTTGGCCATCTTTCAAGGCCCAGGATGTAATACAAACTTGATTACTATGTAAATATCCATCTCTACAAAAAATTTAAAAATTAGCTGGGCATGGTGGCACATGTCTATATTCTTAGACATGCTCATGGAGGCTGAGATGGGAGGATTGCGTGAGCCCAGGAATTTAAGGCTGCAGTGAGCTATAATCAACGCCCCTGCATTCCAGCCTGAGCAACAGAGATCCTCCCTCTAAAACCAGAGGAAGAAAACAAAAAACAAAAGAAAACAATAATAATAAAAAGTAAAACTAAACCTAAACTTTACCTGATACTCTCTTTCCCTCTAACAAAGTTATTAGAGATGGGCTCAACTCTAACAAGCATCTAAATCAGTACTCTAAAGGTAAAAAATAATTTCAGGTAATCAATACCAACTTCTACAAAGTTGTAGCCAACTGGCAACACAATTTCTGAAGACATTCTATTGTTTAAGTAGATACGAATAGATTAATGAGCCACCACAGAGGCAAGTGAAACAGGATGATCTATCTATACTAGCAATGGCCTAAGGTTACCAAGATATAGCAAATACAGGTAAAATGTAGACATGTTGAGAAGATTTCCTTTGAATTTTACTTAGAAAATCCAAACAGCTCTAAAAAACAGATCAATATATACTCTGTACGAAGTGATTTTTGCACGTGGCATCTGAAAATATGTCCAAGAAAATTTCTAGCTTCTATCAGGCATGCTAGTTAGCTATGAGGAAGCTTGACTAGTGCACAATACATGTAGTCTTTACCTTTTGGGACCAGGAAAATCCTATTTATCCGAGACTCCTAAAAACCACTCTGGGTTACAGGTTCTGGATCTTCTCACACATACCCTCCCCCTACAATTCTCATGTCCTCAGGCCTTACCACTTCTTTGTGACAGCTGCTGCTTTATAAAGACATAATTCTAGCGTGAAGTATTTCTACTGGAAAATCTGGGATTGACAGGATGTTGACAAGGACTCAGTAAAAATAACCATTCCTAACAGAGTGTGTAGATACAAACAGGCAGTCACTGGTCAGAAGTTTTCCTCAGCTGAGTCACCCGGCCATGGAAAACCCCAAGTTTGCACCTGAGAGGCTCTGAAATACTACCCTCTGGAGTGCAAATATAAAACACATTAGGCTTGGAGAAACTGTTCTAAAGCAACTTGTTGGACCAGCTAGATTTAGAAATATAATGGATGGTTGGTAAAAGGTAACTCTAGGGGCTGCCAAGGGAACTCAGTTCCAAAAACCCTTCCCATAAAATTAGGCTTTCCAGAGACACACATCTTAGATGTTCCAGAGGTTTATGAGTCCTCTCTGTTGCCCCTTTCAAATCTAAATACTTCCTCAAAGTCTCTAGAGCCATCTGTTAAGGCCAAAGTAAATCTCAACATGTCTACACCACAGAAGTTTATGCCGCATTGTAAGGAAGTCTAAAAGGCCAAATGAATGCACAGCTACTTGGGAGGCTGAGGTGGGAGGACTGCTTGAGCCCAAGAGTTCAAGACCAGCCTGGACAACATAGTGAGACCAGCCTTTAAAAAAAAAAAAAAAAAAAAACAAAAGCCAAATGCTGCTATTCTGGATTTCATACTGTGAAAAAGAATGAAAGAATGTTAGGTTTTTTGACAGTGGACGTTAGGGTTTTTCAAACACTTTCCCTTTTTAAATGTGAGTAACATCCTATATTAGTTTCCTACTGCTGCTGTAGAAATTACCACAAATACTGACTTTACACAAGCTTATTCTCATAGTTGCGGAGGTCATGAATCTGACATCGGTTTTATAGGGCTGGTTCCCTGTGAGGGCTCTGAGGGAAGAATGTGTCCTTGCCTTTTTCATCTTCTAGAGGACCACCTGCATTCCTTGGCTCACATTCCCTTCATCGATCACTACAACCTCTTGTTTCCATCGTCAAATCTGCTACCACTCACTCTGGTGTGCCCACCTCTTCCAAGGACCTGTGTGATTATATTGGGCCAACACAGATAATCCAGGATAATCTCATCTCAAAAATATTAATTTGATGCCATCTGCAAAGTCTCCTTTCCTATATTCATAGGTTCTAGAGATTAGGACATGGACATGTTTTAGGGGTCATTATTCAGCCTACCACACAATTACCAGATTTAAAATTCTATGAAGTATACTTACCTACAGTATCTCGTTTAGATACTTACCAGGTGTTATCATTCCTAATGAATGAGAACGCGAGTCTAGAAACTTCATTGCTTAGCCACAGTGATATAGTCAAAAAACTAGAACTCAAACTAGAGCATATGGCCCTAGAGACCATGTAGCAGCAGCACATACCACTTCTCCTCCACCAGGCTGCCTGTAAATCACTGGCCTTTGGCCTCTCATTTTCTCATACAGTTTTTTTTTAAAATCATACTCATAGTCCAAACTGCAATCTACCAAAAAAAGTAGCCCACATCAGAGATTCCTCAAATGTTCTCAGGTCATGGCTCCCTTAAAATCTCAGTCATTTTTTTTTTTGTGGCATACCTGAGGCCAAAAGAAATGCCTAATAGCTCTGTTCAGTCGAAGCAGTATTTGTGTCCTAATAGCTCAGGAGCTTCTGGGCACTCCACCACTTCTCAAATCTTAGAATCAGATGGGACACTGCCACTCTCGTTTCCTGTTTCACATTCTTTTTTGTTTTTTTGAGACAGGGTTTCACTCTGTCACCCAGGCAGGAGTGCAGTGGCGCAAACACGACTGACTGGAGCCTTGACCTCCCCGGGTCAGGTGATACTCCCAGCTCATCCTCCTGAGTAGCTGGGACTACAGGTGAGCGCTACCACACCTGGCTAATTTTTGCATTTTTTGTAGAGACAGGGTTTCACCACATTGCCTAGGCTGGACTTGAACTCCTGGGCTCAAGCGATCTGCCCGCCTCAGCCTCCCAAAGTGCTGGGATTACAGGCGTGAGCCACCGTACCTGGCCCGTTTCACACTGATTTTCAAACAGTACTGCTTTTATTTCACAGCAATGGCCAAAATCCCAGCTTTGCAAAGATATGGCATCATCAAAAGGAATTTAGTGATTTAATGCTGAATTGTGAACTACCTTAAGCTATTAGTTTGTATGATATCTAACAGATGTCATTGTGTTTCACTGAAGGTTAAAAATACTCTGTGATACCCACGAGTTTGAACCTGCAGGCCTGCGCTCCTCACATTACTGCTTGTACACTCCTGCTCTGACGAAAGTGTGCTCTCTGTTATGCAAAGTGCATAGCTGAAGCTCCATATAATGGGCTCAGACAAATAATTTAGGAAACTCCCAGTTTGTCATCGCACATAGTTACATGCCAATTTGACATTTTCTATTAAAGATATATATCTTTATTATATTTATATAATCATATATATTAATTTATATATACATATTTTACATATATGAAATATATGTATATATAATATACATATTTTACATATATGAAATATATGCATATATAATATACATATTTTACATATGAAATATATGTATATATAATATACATATTTTACATATATGAAATATATGCATATATAATATACATATTTTACATATATGAAATATATGCATATATAATATACATATTTTACATATATGAAATATATGCATATATAATATACATATTTTACATATATGAAATATATGCATATATAATATACATATTTTACATATATGAAATATATGCATATATAATATACATATTTTACATATATGAAATATATGCATATATAATATACATATTTTACATATATGAAATATATTTTATATATAATATACATATAATATATTTCATATATTATATCTATGTATATTATATATAAAATATATTTCATATATCATATATACATATATGAAATATATATTTCATATAATATATACATATGATATATGAAATACATATTTCATATAATATATACATATCATATATATTTCATATATATATATATATTTTTTAAGATGGATTTTCACTCTTGTCGCCCAGGCTGGAGTGCAGTGGTGCATTCTCGGCTTACTGCAACCTCCACCTCTTGGGTTCAAGCGATTCTCCTGCCTCAGCCTCCCGAGTAGCTGGGATTACAGGCACCCGCCACCATGCCTGGCTAATTTTTTTGTATTTTTAGTGGAGACAGGGTTTGACTGTGTTGGCCAGGCTGGTCTTGAACTCCTGACCTCAGGTGATCCGCCCGCCTCAGCCTCCCAAAGTGCTGGGATTACAGGCATGAGCCACTACGCCCGGCCTAAAGATATATTCTTTACCATCATCTTATCTGCTCATCCACTTTTTTTCCTAAGGCAAGCAAATGAAGGAAAATGTATATGGTAAATATTTGATTTCTAAGTCTACAGAACTATATTATATTACATCTACAAGCAGAGAATTCCTGTTAGACAAATAAAGTACACTGACATTTTTATCTGCCCAAAGGAATTGCACTTACTCATTCAAATGTCACATGGACAAACATCTGACACCAAACGTAAAATTTTTTCCTTAGTAACTTCTAAAAATGTACACAATAGTAGCAAAACAAGAAGCTGTAACAAACCATAGTATTCCTAATTCTTTTGATATAAATTTTAGACTAAGAAGAAGATATGATGCACACCAAAGCACATGGAAAGGAAGTTTCAGCATTTGTTCAAAATGATTAAATTCATGGATCTTCTAGACCAGTGATTCTCAAAGCTGATGGTGTATCCAAATCACCTGGAGGACTTGTTAAAACACAGATCGCTGTACCTACCCCAGAGTTTCTGGTTCAGCAGATCTGGGGCAGAGCCAAGCATTCATAAATTTCTAAAAAGTTCCCAGGCAATACAGATGCTACTACTAGTCCAAAGACCATACCTTAAAAATCAGTTTTAGATAAAATTCACATTTTCATAGCAATTCAGAAAAACTACTGAATATATTATGAAAGCAAGTGAGATGAATTTGTATTTGGAATAGCAAAAAACAACAACAAAACCCAAACCCAAAACCACATGAAAACAAACACCACCACCACCACACACACGCACACATACACACACACACACACACACACACACACACACACACACACACGGGGAAAAAAAAGGCCAGAGGGAGAAGAAAACCCCACAGTGACAGTCAGTTCCCCAAACAGGATAAACCTAGCTACTCAAACTGAATTACTCATGACTGTGCAAGTTATCAATGTACCCTTTACTGACGGCTCTTCAAGGAGTAAATGTAAGAACACATGTGGCAGCCTCCTGTGAGGTGGGCAGAGGAAACTGACCCAAGGAAATCAGAAAAGCCAAGGGTTTACCATGAAGCACCTAAAAAATTCTCCACATTCAGTGGGAGGTAAACATGGTCCACCCCTAAAACAATTTTAGAATGCTCAAGAAACTGTTTTGGTGATAAGTGTTGAATTATATGTATCTATATACATACTCTAGTAGTCTGATGCTAAGTAAATCTAGTCTTGCCAACATACAATGGAGAAGTAAGCAAGCCAACAGCACAGGTCTTTTTTCTTTTTAAGTCATGGCAGCTATGTGCTGTGTGACCACCTTCCTTTTGCAACAGCTACACCTATAAATCACTAAAACAATAATTGATGAACAAGAGCCTGAGGTGCTATCAAAGCCAAATACATGTTAAATTATATATTCTGTATATTTTATTAAGGCAAGAAACCATTTTAATAATACTAAAAAGATTTTCAAAAAGACTCAAGCAAAAATGACTGTCAATTGGGTCTAAAATTCAGTCAGCCTGAATGCCCCAAAGTCTAAGGAAGCATCATGAAGTTACAAACCTTTCCAAAGGTCAACAAGAAGAAGCTAACTTCCTATTATTCCTACTCCTTTTAAATAACAGTCATTACCAAGTGTTTCCAAAGCGGGGCATTTGTTTTGTTATAATCAAAACCTGCTCAACTGAGGAAAAACAGTGCAATGAAAATATTCTTATATTTATGACATTCAAGATCACTATTTGGACCAAAGAACACGCCAGGATTTTTATAGCACCTGCATGTAACTGTTTCATGATGACCCTCCACAAGGGGCAGGGAAGGGACAGGGAAGGAAGAAGCATGCAGGGCTTTCCTGACCCTACTTCTAGTGTGTAGGAAAGAGGAGAGGGAACTCATTATCCCTCCAGCCACCGTTTCTTCTCCTTGTATGGATGGATCACTAGACCCCACAGAGTGCAAGAATGACGAGAGAAGGGGACTATCAGTGATTAATCCTTGTACTAATAACTTATAAAGTACATCCCCTCAGTATAACAGATTCCATATAGCACAAAAAATGAACAGAAATAATAGTTTCCTGGCATTTTCCAACTACCCAATTAGAAACTGACAAATGTATAAAAAACAATTTTTGTCAAGTAAATCATAGGCCCTGGCTATTTAGCACTATGACCTCAAAGCTTAATTTTCAAATAAAATGACTGGTCTCAAGAAAAACAGGCCAGGCGCTGTGGCTCAGGCCTGTAATCCTAGCACTTTGGGAGGCCGAGGCAGGCAGGTCACATGAGGTCACGAGTTCAAGACCAGCCTGGCCAACATGGTGAAACCCCGTATCTACTAAAATACAAAAACTGGCCAGGCATGACGGCAGTTGCCTGTAATCCCAGCTACTTGGGAGGCTGAGACGGGAGAATCGCTTGAACCCGGGAGATGGTGGTTACAGTGAGCTGAGATCGTGCCACTGCACCACTGCACTCCAGCCTGGGCAGCTGAGCAAGACTCCATCTCAAAAAAAAAAAAGAAAAGAAAAGAAAAACAGTACTTCAGAAATGTGTTCAGTACTTTTTCTGGCAGTAAAACAACCTTTTTGTTTCTCCTACACAGAGAAATTATTTCACTCATGCAAATGAATGGGGGTGTACTTGAAGCCCCAGAGCCACATGGGGTGGTCTCATTGTCAGATTCTGTGGCTGTTCACCATGAACATGCTTTCTGGAATGCACCTGAGAAAATCTCAAGACTAAATGCAATTCTGAAAAGGCCCAGGGAGTGAATCGTGATTAATGTAAGCCAGCACTGTTCAACAGAACTCTGTGATCATGAAAACATTCTAGTAATATTACAGCACTGTCCAATCAGGTAGCCACTAGCCACATGGGACTACTGAGCACTTGAAATGCAGTGAGTGCAACTAAGGAACTTAATCTGTAGTTGTACTTAATTTTAATGAACTTAAATTTAAATAGCCCCATGTGGCCAGTGGCTACCTTGCTGGACAGCACAAACCTAAATGCAGATTCCAGTCCCCTTGTGGCTTAGGCTTATGATGCAATTCTGGCCAATGAGACAGAAGGAAAAGATTTCCCTTAATCTGAAAGAAAAAAAAAAAAGAAACACAAAGAAGAGAAGGTTCTTTTTTTGTGGTCTTGAGGATGTGATGTCTCGGAAATGTTGCAGTTGTCCTGCAAACAGCAGCGCAGCAAGCCTAGAGGTGAGGTTAACATGCTGGAGGGCAGAGCAGAAGAATACACAGAACATGAACCCTTGCTACTCACTGAGCCCCCTGGCCACTGGTGTGGAGATGAACAATTTTCATCTTTTTTTTTTTTTTTTTTTTTTTTGAGACAGAGCGAGACTCCGTCTCAAAAAACGAAAATAAAAATTTAACTATGGGACAAGATTCTGGAACGACGGCAGCATTCAGGGCATAGTTGGTTTGAATCCTCCTGAATTTTCCCATAAAAACAGATTGAGCAATCTGGATGCAAAACTGAAAATCTGCACCTACAACAAAGCTAAGTGATCAGGTAGCCTCACAAAACCCAAAAGACAAGCAGATGGGGACAAACTACTGACTGCTAAAGACTGGTGTGCAATTGCCATCTGTGTGAGAAGCAGCAAAGGGAAGCAACAGGGTATTTGATGAATCTGAAATTAGGAAAACCCCAAATGAGACAACAGGTACTGGCAAGCAAGGTGAGCTGAACTAGGAATAGCAGTTGAACTTTAAAGGAGCTCTGTACATTCCAACTTATGGCCTGTACAAGGGGATGGAGTGATAGGGACCCTCTAAACTAAAAGCTAACCATCTGAAGCTCTCTTTCAGGACAAAGTCTTGTACTGAGGAGAAACTACTGGGAACAGAATCCAGCAGAACAGAGACAGGAGAAGAAAAGGAAGAAGGTGGCCCAAATAAAGAACCAGGAAGAGTAATGACCAGATGTCTGAAAGTGCTAGGATTCCCTCTTCCCCTCCACCAGAAAAGTCAAAAGAGGGAGCTCTAGAGCCAGAAAGCTAAAGTCTTCCTGCCCACTTCTCTCTCTCAGTTTATGAAAATTAATTTCCTGCAAATCAAAACCACAATGTGATACCATCTCACACCAGTCAGAATGGCGATTATTAAACAGTCAAGAAACAACAGATGCTGGCGAGGCTGTGGAGAAACAGGAATGCTTTTACACTGTTGGTGGGAATGTAAATTAGTTCAACCATTGTGGAAGACACTGTGGCGATTCCTCAAGAATCTAGAAGCAGAAATACCATTTGACCCAGCAATCCCATTACTGGGTACATATCCAAAGGAATATAAATCATTCTATTATAAAGACACATGCATGTGTTTGTTTATTGCAGCACTATTCATAATAGCAAAGACATGGAATCAACCCGAATGCCCATCAATGCTAGACTGGATAAAGAAAATGTGGTACATATACACTACTATGCAGCCATAAAAAGAAATTAGATCATGTCCTTTTCAGGGACATGGATGGAGCTGGAAGCCATCATCCTCAGCAAACTAACACAGGAACAGAAAACCAAATATCACATGTTCTCACTCATAAGCGGGAACTGAACAATGAGAACACATGGACACAGGGAGGGGAACAACACACACCAGAGCCTGTCACAGGGGTGGGTGGAAGGAGAGCATCAGGATAAACAGCTAATGCATGCGGGGCTTAATACCTCGGTGATGGGTTGACAGGTGCAGCAAACTACCATGGCACATCTTTGCCTATGTAGCAAACCTGCACGTCCTGCACATGTATCCTGGAACTTAATATATATTTAAAAAGAAAGAAAATTAATTTTCATTAAAAATGAACAACAGGAAAGCACTGTGGTTTTATCTCAAAGTCATTATTTTAAAAAGAGAGAAAGGGAGGCAGAGAGCATCTGTAAAAACAATAAAAACATACCAGAAAAAAAACATGCCTTTAAAACAGGTAAAAACTGTAACACAATATTATTTTGAAATTTTAAATTTTTTAAGAAAATGACATCATGGCTGGGCACTGTGGCTCACGCCTGTAATTCCAGTACTTTGGGAGGCCGAGGTGGTCAGAAGTTCAAGATCAGCCTGGCCAACATGGTGAAACCCTATCTTTAAAAATACAAAACTTAGCCAGGTGTGATGGCGGGCGCCTGTAATCCCAGCTACTCAAGAGGCTGAGGCAGGACGCTTGAACCCGGGAAGCGGAGGTTGCAGTGAGCCAAGATCGCAACATTGCACTCCAGCCTGGGTAACAAAAACAAGACTCCATCTCAAGAAAACAAAAAAAAAAACAAAGAAAATGACATCATATGACGAGGCAACATAAATCTGAATTAGAACAACTCAAAAGGGGTGATAAAACTCAGAAATTTCAGAAATGAACACTAAACTAAAAGAAACACAAGAATGAACAACCAACGGGTAACAGATAATGCCTTAAAGAAACTAGAAAGTAAATAGGATGGAAAAGTTAAGAAAGGGATAAAAAGATTAGAGAGCGGCAATCTATAGAAAAACAGGCAAAGAAGATCCAAAATGTATACAATAGGAGTCCCCAAAGAAGAAAATCAAAGCAAGGAAGCATAACAAAAACTAAAAACAATAACTAAAGAGAATATCACTAGTCTCTGACAGCAACGCTCTATGGAAGAACATAATAGAGAAAACGAAATGTGAGCCGAGAATTTATAAGCAGCCAAACTATGAAGTGAAACTGCAGGGTCACATGGTAAATTTGTTTAACTTTTTACGAATCAGTTTCTTTTTATAATCTATCAGTATTTACTTATTTAGTCACTCTAGGGTCCTTATAAGAGATGGTTATGTTTTCAATTTTGTTCTGCCTCATTGCATTTCTTGAAGGCATAGTAAGAAAATCTCTCTATGGGTAACTTTTAATTTTTTTTCTATAAAGAAAACATACAGATTAAGTGTTCTTCATCCAAAATGCTTGAGACCAGAAGTGTTTCAGATCTCCCTCTTTTTTGGGGTGGGGGGCGTGGGGGTTTCAGAATATTTGTATTATACTTACTGGTTGAACACTGCAAATCCAAAAATCCAAAATCCAAAATGCTACAATGAGCTTTTCCTTTCAGCATCATGTTGGAGCTCAAAAAGTTCTGCATTTTGGATAATTTTGGATTTTGTGATATCAGATGCTCAACCTGTACTGTGCTATGAGAGAAAAAATTAAAAATGCTTACATACCTTCCTTATAAGACAAAGATGACTGAATCTATGTAAATCGTCTTTTCAAGCAATAACTGAAGTTAAGAATTGTGACAGTATACAGCAGTGTGCATTATTACTTTGACAAAAAAGTTTTTGTTTTTTCAAACAGTACTTGAAACACAAATCCTGTGGGAACCACTGATATCAAATAATTCTTTTTGAAACTTATCTCTACAGCCATTATTATCCCAATTAAAAAGGAAGCTACACTACACCTAAACACAACAGAAAACATACAGACTCAAAAAGTCTAGCTGGGGCCGGGTGCAGTGGCTCCCAGCACTCTGGGAGGTCGAGGCGGGTGGATCACCTGAGGTCAGGAGTTCGAAGCCAGCCTGGCCAACATGGTGAAACCCTGTCTCTACTAAAAATACAAAATTAGCTGGGGATGGTGGTGCGCACCTGTACTCCCAGCTACTCGGGAGGCTGAGGCAGGAGAACTGCTTGAACCCGGGAGGCAGAGGTTGCAGTGAGCCAAGATCGCGCCACTGCACCACAGCCTGAGCAACAGAGCAAGACTCCAACTCAAACAAAAAAAAGTCTAGCTGGGTGCAGTGGCTCATTCCTGTAATCCCAGCACTTTGGGAGGCCAAGGCGCAGGGACTGCTTGAGGCTAACAGTTCAAGAAGAGCTTAGGCAACATAGTGAGACCCCCATCTCTAAAAATAATAAAAAATAAAAAATTAGCTGGGTGGGAGGATCACTTGAGCCCAGGAAATCTGGGCTGCAGTGAGCCATGATCATGCCAGTGCACTTCCAGCCTGGGTGACACAGCAAGACCCTGCCTCAAAAATAAAGTCTACTCAGTCACTGAGTAGGGTCTTTAAGGCAATAAAGATTATATCACATTATCCAGAAAGGGCCTGGCTCACCAATGGAGGTCCATCTACATCACTTTCAGTGTGCATCATCGCCTATACAGCATACTCAACCAGAAATTTATGTATAATATACTCAATCAATAAAAATACTTACAGGAAAGAAGTAAATAAGTTGTATAAATATAAAAGTTGTCCAGTAACAGACTACAAGAACAAGACTGTTTAAAGTGTGGGTTTAGCACTGGTATTGCTTCATGAACTGTTAGCAACGGATCCATGTCAAGGTAAGTGCAAAAACTGAGAATGTTTAAACCTCATTATAGCAATTTGGTAATTTTCCATCTGTTGACTCTAATAATGAAAAATCTGGGCATGTATTTTGTTAAGTTTTTGTTTCTTTTTTCTGGTAATTTGTGTATATTGTATTTTATACACACGCACAAAAGTTTGTTCGTGACAAATTGGAGGGAGAGAGGAAGGAGAAATTAGTCTGGTACTTTGCTAGAAATAGTAAGAGAAGTAGAAGGCGGCAAACTTTTTATGTAAAAGAGTAAATATTTTAGGCACTGTAAGTAATATGGTCTCTGTGACAACTACAGTCCTCCCTATCTTTGGGGGACTGGTTCCAGGACAACCCCCTACTCCCCTTCTAGATACTAAAATCCTTGGATGCTCCAGTCCCTTATAAAACAGTGTAGTATTTACATACAACCTACACACATCCACCTGTATACTTTTTTCCTCCTCCCATTTCAGGGCTCCACAGGACTCTCATATACTTTAAATCATCGCTATATTACTTACAATACATAGTACAATGAAAACGCTATATAAATACCTGTTTTACCATATTGTTTTCATTTGTATTACTTTTGTTTTTTCTCCCTCAAATATTTTTTATCTGAGGTTGACTAAATCATGAATGTGGAACCCACAGAGACAGGGCCAACTGTTCTCAAATCAACTCTGCCATTCTAGCATGAAAGCAGCCATAGATGATATGTAAACAAATGGGCATGGCTGTGTTACAATAAAGCTTTATTTACAAAAACAGGTTGTAGGTCAGATTTGGCTTGCAGGCCATAGTTTGCTTATTCTTAAATGAGAACATGCTAGAAAAACAGAAAAAGGAAGGAGACAAAGTACAAAAATTCTCCAAAAGGACAGATCCTTGAAAAGGGTGTTGGCAATAAATAACAGGAAGGGAAAAAGAGTAAGATTTTTTTTTATCAGTGTGGTCTATATTTCATCTAGCTACTCCAGCAGCCACATTTCTGGTCATATTTTAAACAGGCTGTGGTAGATCCTTGCATTACTACTGTCAACTACAATGCCCTGAAGACATACCACACAGGTCAGATGTCTTCATTGAAACGCATCCTAGCAGCGGACTGAGTCCTGGTTTATCTGGCAGGGGAGTACGCTGACTGATATTACTCAGTATACAATCACCTCTCTGGCAGATTTAAAAATCATATGCCTGAAATTGTAACATATAAAAACCAATCCAATCTTCTAACAGGTTATCTTATTCCTTGTTACTTGTATTATGAAATGATTTCTGATACCCAAGATTTCTGAGATACCAAAAGGAGAGAACAGAAGGGCTGTGAGGGAGTTAGGGGTAAGAGAGGGACTGGGAACTCAAAGGATTGGGAATATCACTTTGGGCTGTAGTGCTCAACATCTTCATGTCTTCAATTCTAGAATTTTGAGCAACATACTTGAAGGTATTAAGATTCCAAAACAATAGTAAATAAGTGAACATGAATTACAATGTAGGCAGTACTACAGAAAATAATGTCCACAGTGTCCAGAGAAGTAGTTTTCAAACTTTTTAGTTCAGGACTCTTGTTGAGGACCCCAAAGGGCATTTGTTTATATAGATTATACTTCCTGATATTTACCATATTAGACATTGAAACTGTGAATATGAAAAATATTTATTCATTTTAAAATAAACTCATTATACATTAACATAAATTACACATATTTCTATGATCTGTTTCTACTCTTAACACTTCTGACACCAAATGTGTGGGTTTTTTCCATGTCAATAACCAATTTTCCAATAATAATTAGATGTTCATCAATTCAATTCTGACACTATTACCCAAAGGTGTCACAGGCCCTGCATGTTAAGGGCTAGGTCTCATGAGATTGCCTCTATTTCAGGTGCCGGTATCAAGTCCAGGTCACCCGTACTTCT
This sequence comes from Homo sapiens, assembly GCF_000001405.40. Taxonomy (NCBI): domain Eukaryota; kingdom Metazoa; phylum Chordata; class Mammalia; order Primates; family Hominidae; genus Homo; species Homo sapiens. The sequence goes on from NC_000012.12 coordinate 120,862,446, forward strand.
GACTCATCAGCTACAAAGTTAGGGGTTTCCACAATCCCTTTCTCAGGTTTGACCATTTGCTAGGATGGCTCACTGAACTCAGGAAAACAATTTACTTACTATTGTTGGTTTATTATAAAGGATACAACTCAGGAGCAGAAAAATAAAAGACATGCACAGGGCAAGGAATGGAGGGCTGAGAGGAGTATGCAAAGTTTCCATGCCTTCGGTGGGTGCACTGTCCTCCCAGCACCAGTTCACAAGTCCAGAAGCTCTCAGAACTCAATTTTTAAGGATTTTTTGGAGGTTCCATTACACAGGCATGATTGATTAAATCACTGGCCTTTCCTGGCTGGGCTCAATCTCCAACCCCTCTCCCCTCTGCAGAGGTTGAGGGAAGGGGTTATATTTCCAACCCTCTATTGGTTCTTCTAGCAACCAGTCATCATCCAGAAGCTATTTAGGAGCCCACTAAGACTCAGCTCATTAGCATAAACTCAGGTAGGGTTGAAAGGGACTTCTCATGAATAACAAAAGATGCTCCTCTCTCCTCTATCACGAAATTCTAAGGGCTTTATTATAAAAGCTATTATGCCAGGAACCTGGGATAAAGACCAAATATATATTTATCACAACATCTAGGCCAGGCATGGTGGCACACACCTGTAATCCCAGCACTCTGGGAGGCTGAGGTGGGTGGATCACCTGAGGTCAGGAGTTTGAGACCAGCCTGGCCAACATGGTGAAACCCTATCTTTACTAAAAATACAAAAATTAGCTGGGTGTGGTGGTGCATGCCTATAATCCCGGCTACTCCAGAGGCTAAGCCAGAAGAATCACTTGAACCCAGGAGGCAGAGGTTGCAGTGAGCTGAGATCACACCACTGCACCCCAGCCTGGGTGACAGAGCGAGACTCCATCTCAAAAGAAAAAAAAAAAAAGTTTTAATGAAAAATAACTCTTTTGAAAGTAAAAATTAGTGAGAGGAATGGTACCGTTTTACATTTCTGCAAATATCTTTAATGTCTGGCTTAATCGAAGTCAGCAGTATTCTCGTATCTGCTTCGGCATTTAATCTGTACTATGATATATAGTTTGGTTCAAGTACATGAAGAAAATTCAACTGCATGCATATCTATAGTTTAAAATGTGAGTGGTATTTTAAGAGCCTTTCAGGTAATCGTAGATATTATTCTTCAATACTGAAATGAAATTCTACAGATGGTAGGTTTTTTAATTCTTTTTGAAATGTATTCTCGTTTTATTGCTCAGGCTGGAGTGATCACAGCTGACTGTAGCCTCGAACTCCTGGGCTGAAGCTATCCTCCTGCCTCAACCTCCCAAGTAGCTAGGCCCACAGGGTCAAGTCACCACATTTAGCTTTTTTTTTTTTTTTTCTTGTAGCTTTCTTTTTCTTTTCTTTTCTTTTTTTCTTGCAGAGATGGAGCCTTGCTTGCTGCCCAGGCTGGTTTTGAAATCCTGGCCTCCAGCAATCCTCCCACCTTGGCCTCCCAAGGTGCTGAGATCCCGGGCATGAGCTACCACACCCAGCCTAGATGGTAGTTTCCTAAAGGTTAGCTCCAATGTAAAATCTAAAACCCTATCAATGAACTTTCTGTACTCTGTTACATTAAAATCCATGTCTGCCTTCACTCTGAATGGATCCTTACCCATGCATAATTCTGTACATCATGCACTGGTAAGTTAATATTTGTTTCCTCAGTTGTGAGCTCTTCAAAATGCTTATGTATTTCATTATCCAATACTAAAAATTCCATCTATTACCACTGATCTCATCACAGAAGTCTTTAAATACTGGGAAGTTGTAGGCCAGGCCCAGTGGCTCATGCCTGTGATCCCAGCACTTTGGGAGGCCGAGCTAGGTGGATCACCTGAGGTCAGGAGTTCAAGACCAGCCTGGCCAACATGGTGAAACTCCATCTCTACTAAAAATATAAAAATCAGCCGGGTGTGGTGGCACATGCCTGTAATCCCAGCTACTTGGGAGGCTGAGGCAGGAGAACTGCTTGAACCTGGGAGTCGGAGGCTGCAGCGAGCCGAGATCATGCCATTGCACTCCAGCCCAGACAAGAACGAAACCCCATCTCAAAAAACAAAAACAAAAACAAAACCTGGGAAGTCATCAAGCCCAAAAATCTTATCACTGGCAACAAATATTATCAGTCCTTTCATTTTTTACAAAATCTGCCAAATACTCAAAGCTGAATAACCATAGTTTATTAGTTATTCTTAAAAGTAAAAATGTCCATGAAAAAAGATGGTTAGGTCAGCATGTAACTCAACCCTACAGGTGCTTTTCCTTAAAACAACCACAGTACTTCAACACGCAGCAGAAGTGCCTTGTGTGACCTTCCCATTACATCACACAAAGCATTAAAAAGATGTGCAATCTAGTGTCAAGAGTTAACCAAAGGAGTATTTTTTTACGCATTCTTAAGTGAAACTGGGTTAAAAAAATAACAAAACAAAACTGTAGAGTGTGTGGAATACAATGTCTATGAGCACACTTTGGTGCCACTGCCTTGATTCACGCTTAGGCACCAGCAGTACCATCAATACAAATGTTAACACAGAGAGAAAGATAACTTCTCAGAAATACTATATAAAGGTTTGACCTTGAGGATCCCATGAGAGATTTTCAGGGATTTCCAGGGAAATAGGGGCCACACTTTGAGAAGTGCTAATCTAGAGAAACATCAACAGTTACCCAGTTGATCACTTTGTGGCCCTTCAAGATTGGTTACTGTTTTAATATAACTGCTGACTGCTCTGACACCCTCCCACATGAAAATGCCACTGTTTCATGTCTTACCATATCTGTTACCTCACGCTCATAGCGAACTGTACACTGCTCTACAATGCACTGCACAATCAGCACAGCTCAGCATCTGATCTACAACGGCCAGTACAGTGTGGTTTAAGAGCACAGGCTCTAAAGTCAGTTTGCTTGGGTTCCAATCCTGGGTCTACCACTTACTGGCTGTAAGGCCTTGTACAGATTATTTATCCTTATTTGCAAAATGAGTACAATAGTATCTATCTATGAAAGCTGTGAGGATTCAACAACCTATTCAGTGTTTGGCATGGGTCCTTACACACAGTTAAGTGCTCACAACCTGTTACCAATATTCTAAATATTACTGTATTTATTAGTATATATTATACTACTATAATCCTGGGATAGTAGATGCATTCTAAGTTGTAGCAATGAAATTTTATACAGTAGTCAAGACTAGGCAGGATCCCCAGGGAGGAGCCTACGCTCTACAGCAGTGTTTCCCAAGCTAGCCTGGAAGAATCACCTAAGGCAGGGGTCTCCAACCCCCAGGCCACAGACTGCCACCAGTTAGTGGCCTGTTAGAAACTGGGCCGTACTGTAGGAGGAGACAGGCAGGCAAGTGAGCAAAATCATCTGTACTTACAGCTGCTCCCCATCGCTCACATTAACGCCTGAGTTCTACCTCCTGTCAGATCAGCAGTGGCATTAGATTCTCATAGGAGTGAGAACCCTATTGTGAACTGTGCATGCGAGGGATCTAGGTTGTGTGCTCCTTATGAGAATCTAATGCCCGATGATCTGTCACTGATTCCCATCACACTCAGGTGGGACTGCCTAGTTGCAGGAAAACAAGCTCAGGGCTCCCACTGATTCTCCATTATGGTGAGTTGTATAATTATATTTCATTATATATTACAGTGTAATAACAGAAATAAAATGCAACATAAAGTAATGTGCTTGAATCATCCCCAAAACATCCTCCCCCTCCTCCCCATCCATAGAAAAACTGTCTTCCACAAAACCAGTCCCTGGTGCCAAAAACGTTGGAGGCCTGTGACCTAAGGTACCTCCGCCAAATCTAGATTCCTGGGTTCCACCCTAGACTATACATCATAAACTTAAGGGAAAGAGCCTGGGAATCCGTGTAACAACACATTAGGAAATTCCTATTACGCAAGGTTGGGACATATACCTCTAGAGAGAACATTATATTTGAGGAATTTAGAACTATTAAAAGATAGTCAACATCAAAAGTCATTTTCTGAATTAACTGAAATAGTAAGGCATAATTTACCTTGAAAAGACACCTCCACACATGGCAAAGTTTATCCTGAAAAAGGCATGTTCAAAAAAAGGAAAGAATTTAAAACGGAGAAATAATGTATTTCTTCTATTCTAAGACACAATGGATTGTAAAATAATAGCATACATTTCTCAAAACAGTTACATACCACTTTCCTTTTCAGAATCTGATAAAAGTTTGAACTGAAACTTTCTTAACATTCAAAGTCTAGTGATTTTTCTGAACTTTTGGCCATCTCCAGTTATGCAATAGTATCAAACATGTCACTTCTCAAAGTCAGAATTCTGTTCTTTTTGACATCTTTGGGACTGACAGCATAATTCTGAGGCAAATAAAAGAACATCTGAGAATCCTCTGAATTTTGTCTTTAAACTCAGTTTCATCTTTCCTCAAATAGATGTCCCTAGAAATTAAGCAGTTTCTCTTAAAAATAAGGAACGTTTTTTAAAACATTAGTGCTTGAGTGATAATCCATCCTAAGTCATGAGTCAGTCATAGGTAACCTCCATTATCTCTCAAACTCTACAATGTACTCCTAAGATTTAGCAATTTCTATTGCTTTTAACTGTATTATTTATCTTGGAACAGGCTATTTCCTACATATAAAATAATCCTTGTAGCACACTCTTTTTGAGAAAGATACAGAAAATAATTACATATCTAAATGTAACTTAAAATTCAGCCATGTGTAATGTTGTCAGTGCAAATAACTTTAATCTGATGATAAATGGTTGAAAAGACACCTCCATGCATGGCAAAGTTTATATATATGCAGGCAATGACATCTGCGACAGCACTTGGTGAATTTCTTTTGACATTAAGAACTACAAAGGACCATCAAAAATATTTAATGGTGTAGCTGGGCGCGGTGGCTCACGCCTGTAATCCCAGCACTTTGGAAGGCCGAGGTGGGTGGATCACAAGGTCAGGAGATCGAGACCATCCTGGCTAACATGGTGAAACTTTGTCTCCACTAAAATACAAAAAACTAGCTGGGTGTGATGGTACGTGCCTGTAGTCCCAGCTACTTGAGAGGCTGAGGCAGAGGAATCGCTTGAACCCGGGAGGCGGAGGTTGCAGGGAGCCAAGATCACTCCAGCCTGGCTACAGAGCGAGACTCTGTCTTAAAAATGTATATATATATATACATACTTAATGGTGCTGAGAAGAAGTTTATCTTAGAGTTGAACAACTATGGTATTAGACAATTCATGTATTAAAAAAAAATTTTTTTTTGAGACAGAGTCTCGCTCTGTTGTCCAGGCTAAAGTGCAGAGAGGCATGATCTCGGCTCACCGCAACCTCCACCTCCCGGGTTCAAGTGATTCTCCTGCCTCAGCCTCCCGAGTAGCTGGGATTACAGGCACCTGCCACCACACCCAGCTAAATTTGTATCTTTTGTAGAGACGGGGTTTCACCATGTTGGCCAGGCTGGTCTCGAACTCCTAACCTCAAGTGAACCGCATGCCTTGGCCTCCCAAAATGCTGGGATTACAGGCATGGGCCACGGCACCCAGCCTATGTATAAAAATTATAGTTCAGCCCAGGCAACACAGTGAGACCTCATCTTTACAAAAAATAAATTAAGCATGGTGGTGTGTACCTATAATCCCAGCCATTCAGGAGGATGAGGCAGAAGGATCCCTTAAGCCTGGGAGGTCATGGGTGCAGTGAGCCATGATCATGCCACTGCACTCCAGCCTGGGTGACGGAGCAAGACCCTGTCACTGCAAAATAAAAAAAAAAAATGTTAGGGAAAAAATGGTATCTGATAAAGTGGAGTACAGAGCAAATTCAGTAATTGAGGACAACAAGGTTAATACAAAAGCAATACAGGATATGTGGCACTGCTTTTCAAAGTGTAGTCCACGGACCACCAGTATCACCCAATCACTTGTCAAGTGGTCAACAGATAGATGGTGTAGTAATTTCTTTTTTCTTTTTTTTTGTTTTTGTTTTATTTGTATTTATTTATTTTGAGACGGATTCTCACTCTGTCACTAGAGTGCAGTGGCACAATCTTGACTCACTGAAACCTCCACCTCCTGGGTTCAAGCGATTCTCCTGCCTCAGCCTCCCAAGTAGCTGGGACTACAGGCGCATGCCACCATGCCCAGCTAATTTTTGTATTTTTAGTAGAGACGGGGTTTCACCAAGTTGGCTAGGATGGTCTCAATCTCTTGACCTCGTCATCCACCCACCTCGGCCTCCCAAAGTGCTGAGATTACAGGGGTAAGCCACCATGCCCGGCCAATGGTGTGGTAATTTCTAAGGAAAATCAATAAAATAATATTTTCATATACATCTGAAGTGTAATATTAATAACTTTTCACAGAAATACTGAAGTAATCTTAAAGGCTGTGGAGGTGCCATAGCGACTGCTATAATTCAGTCAATTCACTGGCTCCCAAGTTTACCACACCTAACATCTGTTCATAATGAAAAATTTTAAGTCTCTTCATTATATTGAAATTATATTAATAGTCTACATAACTTAAAAAATTACAATGTCCTAACTATAATATGGGGAATAAAGAAAAGGAAGCTGATTCATAATAAAACACTATTTAATATATTAAAACTCGAGCACCAATACACTAGGAAATAACATGATATAATAAAATGCTTGCATCAATTTGAAACATCACCATGAATGTGACAGCAACAAATGCAGACTGAATCAGGTGTGTCGAATGGTGACTACGATACCATGAGGAGTACTGCTGTAGGTGATGCATTCTACCAAAATGGCAAACTCTTGGTAAAGCCTTAAATGAAAAAACATTACTCACTCCTTGATTTACACAACAGTGCCATTCATAGAAAATGTAGTTTATCATGTAAAAAATGATTTGTGTTTATATGTAAAATATTTTAGACTTAATTAAAGGAGCTTCAAACACCATATGAGACAGAATAGTTATTCGCTGTAGCACTTTCCTGCACACTGCAAGACATCTAGCAGACCTAAACCCTGTCCATTAAATGCCTGTAACGACCTCTACTATGGTGCCAAACAAAAATGTTCTCATGAATTTCAAAAATGCACACCAGAGAATGGTATTACCACAGCTGAGAACTACTGAGCTAAACGGGTATATATGACTAGGTTGGATATTTTAAAAATCCTTTGCTTGCTACTATTTACTTCTTATGTTAGCATTTTCGCTACTACACAGTATGACTTTGTAGCTGCAATTCACCATAATGGATCAACAGAAAAGTAGTTATGAAAATGGAAACTACTACATCTAAGCATACTACAAATATATGTGATTAAACATGACTCAAGTACAAACAAGAATGAGAACATATATGTTCTGGAACAAACAAATTTCAAATGTGATGATTTCAAATACACAGCTGAGAATCCAAAAATAGGAATATCTGAAAACTGGATTTCACTGGACCAGAAACTACTCACACTAGCATGTTGTCCAAAATGAAAATTTGTCAGTGACATAAAGCCATTGAATCTTTCATACTGTTTTCAACAAATGTAACCAAAAATGTTTAGCTTACTGTAAAGGATGCAGACCGTAAAAGAAACGTTCAGTTTTAAATTATATTGTCAACATGGAAAAAAGAACACATCTTCAGATTCAGAATAAAAGCAAAGTAATAAAGAAAAAAAAGGGCCAAGTGCAGTGGCTCATGCCTGTAATCCCAGCACTTTGGGAGGCTGAGGCGGGTGGATCACCTGAGGTCAGGAGTTTGAGACCAGCCTGACCAACATGGAGAAACCCCATCTCTACTAAAAATACAAAATTAGCTGGTCGTGGTGGCGCATGCCTGTAATCCCAGCTACTCGGGAGGCTGAGGCAGGAGAATCACTTGAACCCGGGAGGCAGAGGTCACGGTAAGCAGAGATTGAGCACTCCAGCCTGGGCAACAAGGGTGAAACTCGGTCTCAGAAAAAAAGAAAGAAAAAAGATACAAAGATAAATGCAAAAATCAAACTGGGAAGAACAGAAAGCAGAGTCTTGAGAGATGTCTGTACAGCAATGTTCACAGCAGCATTATTCACAATAGCCAAAGGGTGGAAGCAACCCATGCCCAGTGATGAAAGAATGGGTAAGAAAAATGTGGCCTATCTATACATTCAAATATTACTCAGCTTTAAAAAAAAAAGTTAATTCTTAAATTCTGATACATGCTACAACAGGGATGAACCCTGAAGACATGATAAGTGAAGTATGCCAGTCACAAAAGGACAAATAAAGGATTCCATTTATGTGACCTAGCTAGAGCAGTCAAATTCATAGACAGTGGAATGGTGGCTGCCAGGGGCTCAGTGAGAGGAAAATGAAGGTTGCTGTTTAATAAGTACAGAGTTTCAGTTTAAGAAGATGAACTTTGGGAGGCGGAGGCGGGCAGATTGCCTCAGCTCAGGAGTTCAAGACCAGCCTAGGCAACATGGTGAAACCTTGTCTCTACTAAAACACAAAAAAAAACAGCCGGGCATGGCGCCAGGCACCTATAGTCCCAGTTATTCGGGAGGCTGAGACAGGAGAATCGCTTGAACCCAGGAGGCAGAAGTTGCAGTGAGCTGAGATCATGCCACTGCACTCCAGCCTGGGCGACAGAGTGAGACTCCGTCTCCAAAAAAAAAAAAAAAAAAAGAAAAAGTTCTGGAGGTAAACAGTGATGATGACTGCACAACAATGTGAATACACATAATACCACATGACAGTACATTTAAAAACGATTAAAATGGTAAATTTTATGTTATATATACATTTTACCACAGTTTTTTAAAAAGTAAAAAGAAAAAAAGCTGGCAAAGTAGAAAGCAGAATTGACATAAAATCTGTTGACAAATGAAAGTGATAAATCACTGAAAGTACAATCATCCCTTGGTATCCTGGTATCCACGGGGGATTGATTCCAGGATCCCCCTTGGATAACAAAATTCACATATGCTAAAGTCCTTTATATAAAATGGCCAGGTGCAGTGGCTCACAGCTGTAATTCCAGCATTTTGGGAGGCTGAGATGAGTGGATCATTTGAGGTCAGGAGTTCGAGACCAGCCCGGCCAACGTGGTGAAACCCTGTCTCTACTAAAAATACAAAAATTAGCTGGGTGTGGTGGTGCACGCCTGTAATCCCACCTACTCGGGCGGCTAAGGCAGGAGAATCACTTGAACCTGCAAGGCGGAGGTTGCAGCGAGCCGAGATTGTGCCACTGCACTCCAGCCTGGGTGACAAGAATGAAACTCCGTCTCAGGGAGGGATAAAAAAAAAGGGCACAGTATTTGCATATAACCTGCACATATCCTTCCATATACTTTAAATCATCTCTACATTACTTATAATAGCTAATACAATGTAAATGCTATATAAATACAGTTGAATATTCCTTATCTGAAATGCTTGAGACCAGAAGTGTTTGGATCTGGGATTTTTCCGATTTTGGAATATTTGCATTACATATTTACTGGTTCAACATCCCTAATTTAAAAATCTGAAATGCTCAAATGAGTATGTCCTTTGAGCATCATGGCACTCAAAAAGTTTCAAAATTTAGAGCACTTCAGATTTCTGGATTAGGGATACTCAACCTGTTGTTATGCTGTATTTTTAAAGAATGTGTGTTGTTTTATCATTGTATTGTTATTATTTTCTTTTCCAAAAATTCTGATCCATGGTTGGTTGAATCCAATAATGCAGAACCCACAGATACAGAGGGCTGACTATATTAACAAAATTTAAACAGGAGGACTCTCAATTTGGAACATGAAGTTGTAACTGCTACAGTAACTGTCCTCCCACTATAAACAGCTAGAAAACCAGACAATACACATGAAATAACAAGTTTTAGACACTGGGCAAAAAGTAGCACAAGACTGTGATCCCCCTCCAGGGAAAGGAAAAAAGAAGGTAAATTTTATGACTAACCAAACTTAAAGCCTGGAGACAACTCCCAGGCTTCATACTTCAGGGACAGAACACTGAAACCAAATCCAAGGGTCTCAATGCACTGAGGAGCCAACAGAGCTGGGGGAAGCTGAGGCAGCCAGAATTTGCAGGACCCAGTACTGGAGAAGCGGGGGCTGCATGCAGAGGGCTCCGGAGGTCTGGCAGAAGGGTTCCTTTCAGTCTCGGATCTCCAAGTGCTTGAGAGGAAGTCTCCCCAAGGTCAGGGAACAATCTACTGGAAAGCAATAGGGCCAACACTTCCCAGAGCTCCCACAGGGCTGGTCACTCTGACCATGAAAAAAGCACGGGGCCTTAGAAGGATCAACACCTTAGTAGGGGGGCCAAGTTAGTCCAAGGATTAAAGGCCGCTATTACTAGCCACAAAAACCTTAAAAGTAAGCTTCACAAGGATCAAACTGATCCAAACATTACTTATCTGTGTGACCAAATACAATCTGACAGTCTTTAGAGGAATACAGCAAATCCAGTGTTCAGCAATATAAAATTCACAATGTCCAGGCATACGAAGAAGTGAAAAAGACCCATATCCAGATGAAAAATTAATTGAAATAAATCTACAAATGATAGAAATAATGGAATTAGAACACAAGGACGTTAAAACAAACAATATACAGTTCATATGAATGTGATGTGGAAAGGAGACAAATAGTTTTTCTGACCCAAATGGAAACTGTAAAGATTTTAAAAGTACAGTATCTCAAATGAAAAACACATTGGCTGAGAGTAACAGCAGATGAGACCCCCTGCAGAAGGAAAGATGGTTTAACTTGAAGACACAGCAGTAAAAAGTACCCACAGTGAAGACTGAAAAAATATTAACAAAGCCTAAGTAACCTGTGGAACACGATCAAGTGGTCTAACACAGCTGAACTAGAATACAGGAAGGGCAAAAGGGAAAGCAGAAAAAAAATTTGAAGAAATAACGGCTGCAAATTTCATAATATAATGAAAACCATAAACTCACAGATCTAAGAAACTCAAAAAGCCCCAAACAAAAGAAACATACATAAAACCACATCAAGGCACATCATAACCAAAGTGCTAAAAATCAGTGGTAAAAAGAAAAACTTCAAGTGTCCAGAAGGAAAAGGCCGTATTATTCAGAGAAACAAAAATAAAAATGAGTCCGTGCACAGTGGCTTACACCTGCAATCCCAGCACTTTGGGAGGCTGAGGTGGGTGGATCATGAGGTCAGGAGTTCCAGACCAGCCTGACCAACATGTGAAACCCCGTCTCTAATAAAAATACAAAAATTAGCTGGGTGTGGTGGCACGTGCCTGTAATCCCAGCTACTCAGGAGGCTGAGGCAGGACAATCACTTGAAACCGGGAGGCGGAGGTTGCAGTGAGCCAAGATCATGCCACTGCACTCCAGCCTGGGCAACACAGCTAGACTCCATCTCAAAAAAATTAATTAATTAATTAATTAAAAAATGAAATTAGAAATCATGCAGCAAGAAGAAAATGGGAGATCTTTAAAGTACTGAAGGAAAAAAAGTCAATATAAACTTCTTCACCCAGTGATACATAGTTTTCAAATATGGAGACAAAATACTTTAGACCAATAAAAGCTGAGATAATTCATTATCAGCAGAACCCTACTACAACTAATGTTAAAGGAATTTCTCCACACAGAAGAAAAATACCAGATGGAAATGTGCATCTACAAAAAGAAATGAAGAGTGAAAGAAATGGTAAATATGGCCAGGCGTGGTGGCTCACGCCTGTAATCCCAGCACTTAGGAAGACCGAGGAAGGCGAATCACCTGAGGCCAGGAGATCGAGACCAACCTGGCCAACATGGTGAAACCCCATCTCTACTAAAAATATAAAAATTAGCTGGGCGTGGAGATGGGTGCCTGTAGTCCCAGATACTCAGGAGGCTGAGGCAGGAGAATTGATTGAACCTGGGAGGCAGAGGTTGCAGTGAGCTGAGATTGCGCCACTGCACTCCAGCCTAGATGACAGAGCGAGACCCTGTCGCAAAAAAAAAAAAAAAAAAGAATAAAAGAAATAAGTGAGTAAATGTAAAAGACATGTTTAAAACAAAAATAATAATGTATTGTGTAACATAACATACAAAGAATTAAAATGCCTGATAACAGCAGCACAAAGGCAGCAGTGTGGTAGACTATATTTTCCAAAGACTGCCTCCTTTCCCAGCCCACATGCCTTGCTTCCAATATGGCATCAATATTCCTGTCGATGTCACACTGGAAGCAGAGCATGTGGGCTGGGATACGAGAGGGTGTGTGTGATGTGGGGGAGAGTTTGGGATAGGAGAGGATGTGTGAGTGTGAGTGTGTGTGTGTGTGCTGGTGGGGTAGGAGGTGGTTATGCACCTTCTCCTTGAATTCAGACAAACCTCCGTAACTGCCTCCACCTAAAAAATATAGCAGAAGTGACACTAGTCAAGGCTGGGTCACAAAAGCCAATATAGCTTCTATTTGGCTCTCTTCTCTTAGGACATTTGCCTTTGGAACCCAACTACCAGATTGTAAGAAAATTTAGGCCACATAAAAAGGTCATGTGCACGGGTTCCGGCCAACAGACTAAGCTAAGGTCTGAGCCAGCATCAACTGCTTAACATGCAAGTGGGTAAACCTTCAGATACTCCCAGCCCCCAGCTTTGAGCTGCCTCAGCAGAGGACACAGGCATCATGAAGCAAAGACAGAACATCTCTGCTGTGCCCCATCCAAATGCCTAACCCACAGACTAAATTGGCAATAGTGTTGTTTTAAGGCACTAATTACTGGTGGCCTTTTATGCCATGAAAATAACTAAAACAGAAAAAAATTAAAATAGAAAAAATTTAAAATTTTTAAAATTATGCTTAAGTTACAGGTGAAATAGTATAACATTATTTCAACATAGATGGTGATGAAGATGCATACTATACACCCTGTATCAACCACTAAAAATATAAAACAAAGATGTGAAGCTAGTAAATCAAGAACAGACCAGCCTGGCCAACATGGTGAAACCCCATCTCTACTAAAAATGCAAAAAATTAGCCAAGCATGGTGGCGGACGCCCGTAATCCCAACTACTCCAGAGGCTGAGGCAGGAGAATTGTTTGAACCCCTGAGGTGAAGGTTGCAGTCAGCCGAGACTGTGCCACTGCCCTCTAGCCTGGGCGACAGAGACTCCATTTCAAAAAAAAAAAAAAGAGATAAAATGGAATCACAAAAATACTTCATGTTTTAAAAAGGCAGGAAAACATGGAAAAGGAGAAAAAAGATGAAAAATAAATTCCAAGAAGGAAAAAAATTTTAACATAAGCATATCAATAATTACATCAAATGTAAATGATACACCTAGTCTAAAAGGCAGATTGTCAAACTGGACAAAAAAGTAAGATCCGGCCACATGCTATGTATAAGAAACATAGTTTAAATATAAATACACAGATTAAAAAGATAAAGAAAATACATACACCATACAGGCACTAAGCTGGAGTGGTGTCAATATCAACAAAGTAGACTTTGGAACAAGGAATATTAGGAGGGATATTACAAAATGATTAGTGATTGGCAAAACAAACAGACCCCCCCCACCCAAATCACCAAGGACTACTGACCAACTTGACTTCACAGATACTTATACAATATTTCACCCAGTAACAGCAGAATATACATTATTTTCAAGTGTACTTAAAACATTCACCAACATGGATCATATTCTAGACCACCAAAAACACACAACCTCCATCCCTCAATTTAAAAAGACTGAAATAATACAAAGCATATTCTCTAACTACAGGAGAATTAAACTAGAAATTAATAGAAGAAAAAACACTTCTAAATAACTCATGGGTCAAAGGAAATAATAAGGGAAATTAGAAAATATTTTGACTTGAATGGGCCAGGCACAGTGGCTCACGCCTGTAATCTCAGCACTTTGGGAGGCTGAGGCGGGCAGATCATGAGGTCAGGAGCTCGAGACCATCCTGACTAACACGGTGAAACCCCGTCTCTACTAAAAAAAAATACAAAAAATTAGCTGGGCGTGGTGGCGGGCACCTGTAGTCCCAGCTACTTGGGAGGGTGAGGCAGGAGAATGGCGTGAACCTGGGAGGCAGAGCTTGCAGTGAGCCGAGATCGCGCCACTGCACTCCAGCCTGTGTGACAGAGCGAGACTCTGTCTCAAAAAAAAAAAAAAAAAAAAGAAGAAAGAAAATATTTTGACTTGAATGAAAATCAAGCAGACCAAAATGTACAGTATGTACAGCATGCAGCTAAAAAGTGCTTAGAGGGAAACGTATAATTTTCAATACCTATACTGGAAAAAAAGAAAGTTTTCAAATTAATGATCTAAGCTTCTACCTTGAGAAACACATACACACACACACACACACACACACACACACACACAAATTAAATGCAAAGAAAGAAGGACGTGATAAACATGAGTGCAGACATCAAAAAAATGGAAAAACACTAGAGAAAAAGCAATGAAACTAAAAGCAATTCTTTGAAAAGATAAAATCATCTAGCTAAACTGATCAGGAGAAAGGGAGAAGTACAAATTACTAACACTAGGAATGAAAGAAGGAACATCACAACAGACGTTACAAACATTTAAAAGGTAGAAAAAAAAACCTATAAACTTATACAAACAACAAATTAGACTACGTAGATGAAATGGAAAGAGACAAACTACCAATTTCAACATAAATTGGGATAAAGATACATACAAACCCTAAATCAATATATAGCCTAAACAGGCCAATATCTGGTAACAAAATTGAAATTGTAGCTTAAAATCCTCCCACAAAGAAAACTCCAAGTCCAGATGACTTCACTAGTGATCTACCAACCATTTGAAGAAAGAATTATCAATTCTACACCATCTTCCAGAAGAGGACAGAAAACACTTCCCAACTCATTCTATAAGGCCAGCATTACCCTGATACCAAAACTAAAGACCTAAAAAAATCACAGACCAGTGTGTCTCATGAATAGAGACATGAAAATCTGTAACAAAATGTTAGCAAATCAAACCCTGCCATACAGAAAAAGCATAACCCGGCCAGGAGTGGTGGCTCGCGCCTGTAATCCCAGCACTTTGGGAGGCCGAGGCGGGTGGATCACCCAAGGTCAGGAGTTCAAGACCAGCCTGGCCAACATGACGAGACCCTGTCTCTAGTAAAAATATAAAAATTAGCTGGGTGTGGTGGCAGGCACCTGGAGTCTCAGCTACTCGGGGGGCTGAGGCAGGAGAATCGCTTGAACCTGGGAGGTGGAGGGTGCAGTGAGCCGAGATCGTGCCATTGCACTCCAGCCTGGGCAACAAGAGTGAAACTCCGTCTTAAAAAAAAAAAAGAAAGAAAGAAAGAAAAAGCATAACACGTTATGATTTCAGGAATGCAGGGCTGGTTTAATATTTGAAAAGCAATCAGTGTAGGCTGGGCATGGTGGCTCACGCCTATAATCCCAACTACTTGGGAGCCTGAGGCAGGAGAATCGCTTGAATCTGGGAGGCAGAGGTTGCAGTGAGCCACTGCACCACTGCACTCCAGCCTGGGCAAGAGAGCAAGACTCTTGTCTTAAAAAAGAAAAAAAAATTAATTAAACAGGAAAATAAAAATATCAGAGTGAGAAATAAGAAAGGAATTGTAAAGGCCAAAATAAAATGTATTTCTACATACCAGTAATGACCAGCTAGGAAAAAAATGAAATATCTTAATTAAAACAACAAAAAGTATAAAATATTTGGTAATTAATGTAGTATTTAAAAAACAAAAAACAAAAAACAAAAACTTGGTCAGTTGCAGAGAAGGAATATACCAGAATATCATGAAGATTTTGTCCCAGTTAAGTAACAGCTGTAACATATTTCCAATGAAATCATTAACAAGATACTTTACGGAACTTGGGAAAACTTGGAAAAATAAGTGGGCAAAAATATCAAAGAACACTCTGTAAAAACATAAAGATAGGATTAGCCCTACTGAATACTAAAAGCAATGCCTAATCAAGGGATTGGGTCTCAATTCAGCTGATAAATGACTTTCTCTTACAAGCTAAACGCTAATGGGCTGCTGATTCATTCATTTGCTGACCATCTCTGACACGAGTTTCTGTTCAATATTTAAATAATACGCCCATAATAGAGACAATCTTTCATTTCCTATATCACAGCTTATGTTTATCAGTGGCAGAGCTAAAATGAACAATTCAGGACCAAGATAAAATCCTTAAACTCAAAGCCCATATGTAAGAAGTATTGCTGGTCAAAAATTATTTTTTCTTAAATTATCTATGCCTTAAATCCTTCTGTTGTGTTATCTTACCATATCATACACACTGAAATAAAGCTACAGCCTTGCATTCCTTGTAGGGTTAAGAATAAGACGATAAGGCCGGGCGCAGTGGCTCATACCCGTAATCCCAGCACTTTGGGAGGCTGAGGCGGGTGGATCACCTGAGGTCGCGAGTTTAAGACTAGCTCGACCAACATGGAGAAACCCCGTCTCTACATAAAATACAAAATTAGCTGGGTGTGGTGGCGGGCGCCTGTAATCCCAGCTACTTGGGAGGTTGAGGCAGGAAAATCACTTGAACCTGGGAGGCGGAGGTTGTGGTGAGCCGAGATCGCGCCATTGCACTCCAGCCTGGGCAACAAGAGCAAAACTCTGTCTCAAAAAAAAAAAAAAAAAAAAAAGAATAAGATAATAAAACTAAAATAAAATAAAGCTACAGTTTAATACCTGTCATGTAGACAGGGGAAGCTGCAGTCACATGCAATTCACCTCTGGAAAAGCACATTACTTTTGAGTTACATCATCACAGCAGACTTTGAAGTATAAACTGACATTCCTCATCTCCCCCGCTCCAAAAGCTGCACACCTGGTCTGTGTTAGAGAATTCTACGGACTGATTCTCTTCTTCACCTAGTTAGGATTTAACTTACTGTCCTTTGATTTGAAACAAGAAAATAGAATGCAACTGTGAGTGGTACTTCCCAAAATAATGTTAAAGGAGAACTGTTCCAGGTATTGTTAACACGCTGAGCAAACTCTTCCCTTAAGCAAGTAAGCGTCTTAATATTTAAAGCAAAATTAAACAGAGATTTTTACCGCCCAACTTCTCATAGCTCATAATATGCTAATTCAGACCAAATTTCCAAGAGAGGGATTTAATATGCAGCCTTTTTCAAGCTTACTTGATTAAAGGTTCTCATTATCACAGAGAACCATTAATTGCAGAGTCAAAAATACCTGTGTTCAAATGCTACATGTGCCACTCATTAACTATAAAATCTTGGGTAAGTAATCAGTTTTTCATCTGTAAAATGGGAAAAACACCACCTACATTTCAGGGGACTGATTTAAAGGTAAAAGTTATATATATACACATGCAGTCAAATGTGGATTTAAAAAACTTACATATATATACAGAGTTTAACAATGTGCCTCACAAATTTTCAATAAAGTTGCAATCTGCCCTAAAAGCAGAAGTTGGTGATACTTGGAATTCCCATACTCCACCTCTGTTCCCTGCTTTTATCTTTTTTTTTTTTTCACTTTTCATTCCTCGGTTTAACAATCCTACTTGATTTTCTTTTAATTTTAACTGTTAGTGAAGGGAGCCATGTTCAAAAGCTTTCCTACATATTGACTCACACCACTCAACAGGCTACTGGAGGACAGGATGAAAAAAAAACACTGGGGCTGAGACACATTATTGAGTGAAAAAAGCCAGATAACGAATCTCAGCGTATATGGTACACTACTATCCTATTAAAAATGAATTACACAAAAGAATGAAGTTGGACCTTTACTATTATACAAAAATAGTCTCAAAAATGGATCAAAAACATACAAATAAGAGCTAAAACTAAAAACCCTTAGAAGAAAAAAGAGAAGGGCTTCATGACATTGGATTTGGCAGATTTCATGGATGTGACACCAGAGAACACACAACAAAAGACAGAAAAATTGAACCTTATCAAAAGTAAAAACTTGTGCACCAAAGGCCACTATTAACAAAATCAAAAGACAACCTACATAATGGGAGAAATTATTTGCAAATCGGCCGGGTGTGGTAGCTCATACCTGTAATCCCAGCACTTTGGGAGGCTGAAGTGTGCAGATCATGAGGTCAGGAGATGGAGACCATCCTGGCTAACACGGTGAAACCCATCTCTACTAAAAATACAAAAAATTAGCTGAGCATGGTGGCACGTGCCTCCAGTCCCAGCTACTCGGGAGGCTGAGGCAGGAGAATCGCTTGAACCCGGAAGGCAGAGGTTGCAGTGAGCCGAGATCACACCACTGCACTCTAGCCTGGGCGACAGAGAGAGACTCCGTCTCGGGGGAAAAAAAAATTATTTGCAAATCATATAACTGATAAGGGATTGATATCCAGAATATACTAATAACTACAGCTCAACAACAATCAACCCAGCCAAAAAAAAAAATGGACAAAGGACGTGAATAAACACTACTCCAAAGATACACAAATGGTCAATAAACGTGAACAGATGCTCAGCATCACTAATCACTAGAGAAATATAAATCAAAATCACAATGAGATACCACTTCATACCCATTAGGATGGCTATTGAAAGAAAACACACACACACACAAAATTCAACTAGTGTTGGCAAGGATGTGGAAAAACTGAAACCCTTATACATTGCTGGTGGGAATGTAAAATTTGGCAGTCACTATGGAAAATGGTAATGGTGGATCCTCAAAAAATTAAAATGTTGCCCAGGTGCGGTGGCTCCCGCCTGTAATCCCAGCACTTTGGGAGGCCGAGGCGGGAGGATCATCTGAGGTCAGGAATTCAAGACTAGCCTAACCAACATGGTGAAACCCTGTTGCTACTAAAAATACAAAAATTAGCTGGGCGTGTTGGTGTGTGCCTGTAATCCCAGCTACTTGGGAGGCTGAGGCAGGAGAATCACTTGAACCAGGAGGCAGAGGTTGCAGTGAGCCAAGACAGCGCCACAGAACTCCAGCCTGGGCAAAAGAGTGAGACTGCCTCAAAAAAAAAAAAAAAAAAAGAGAAGAGAAGAGAAGGAAAAAAATTAAATGTTGAATTGCCATACGAGATTGAGCAATCCCACTTCTAGGTTTATATCCAAAAGAACTGAAAGCAGGGTCTCGAACAGATATTTGTACACCAATATTCATTGTATTACTCATAGTAACTAAAAGGTGGAAGCAACTACTGCCCATCAACAAATGAACAGATACACAAAATGTGGTCTTACCCATACAGTCAAGTATTATCCAGCCTTTAAAAGGAAGAAAATTCTGACACACGCTAAATATAGATGAAGCTCGGGGGGCATTACTCTAAGTGAAAAAGCCAATAACAAAAAAAAAAAGAAACAAAATATTGTTAGATTCCATTTATATGAGGTACCTAGCATAGTCAAATTCACAGAGACAGAAAGGAGAACAAAGGTTGCCAGGGTGTGGGGAGAGAGGGGAATGAGGAGTTAAAAGTTTAATGGGTACAGTAGTTCCGATTAAACTTATCTATGGTTTCACCTTCCATGCAGTCAACCGTGGTCTGAAAATATTAAATGGAAATTTCCAGAAAAAAGTCGTAAGTTTTAAAGTGTGGACCATTCTGAGTAGTATGATGAAGTCTCATGCCATCCTGCTCCCTCCTGCCTGGGATGTCACTCATCCCTCTGTCTACCATCTTCATGCTATATACATACACTACCCCTACCCACCAGTTTGACATTTGATAACCATCTTGGTTATCAGATTGAATAAACAGTATATACAGGGTTCAGTACTATCGGCAGTTTCAAGGTATCCACTGGGAGTCTTGGGATGTGGATAAGAGGGGACTACTGTATACAGTGTCAATCTGGGAAGATTAAAAAGTTCTGGAAATGGATGGTGGTGAAGGTTGCACAATAATGTGCATGTACTTAATGCCACTGAGTTCAGTGACACTTAAAATGGTCAATTTTATGCTATGTGTATTTTACTGCAATATAACAGGGGTACTGCATAGGACTTTGTATACACATGTGTTTTCATGCACACATTTCTAGAAAGATAGAAAGAAAACTGGTTATAAGCTTTCTTGAGACAGGGCAACTGGAAGATCAGGAATAAAAGTGATATAATAAAAACTAGAGAGATTGAATACAGTGGTCTCCTATGTATCCACAAAAACTGATTATATATTAAATGGTATCAAAAGACATTCAAGATATATTTAATTTTAAAAAGCATATAACAAAACACTATTTACCATTTTAACATTACTTTCATAAACACACATACAAAAACAATCTCCACCTGGGCACAGTGGCTTATATCTGTAAACCCAGTGCTGTGGGAAGCCAAGGCGAAAGATTGCTTGAGGCTAGGAGTTCAAGGTTACAGTTAACTATGATGGCACCACTGCACTCCAGCCTGGGCAACAGAGCTAGACCCTGGCTTTTTAAAACCAATCACAGAGGTAATGCTAGAGATCGTTGAGGAAAGCAGGGACTATTTTATCAACATATAGTTCTGGGACAATTGGATTCCTAACTAATCCATACACAGATATATAAAACTTAATTCTAGAGGCCGGGCGTGGTGGCTCACAACTGTAATCCCAGCACTTTGGGAGGCTGAGGCAGGCAGATCACGAGGTCAGGAGATCAAGACCATCCTGGCTAACACGGCGAAACCCCGTCTCTACTAAAAATACAAAAAAATTAGCCAGGCGTGGTGGCGGGCACCTGTAATCCCAGCTATTCAGGAAGCTGAGGCAGGAGAATGGCATGAACCTGGCAGGCAGAGCTTGCAGTGAGCCGAGATCGCACCACTGCACTCCAGCCTGGGCGACAGAGCAAGACTCCCGTCTCAAAAAACAAACAAACAAACAAAAAACAAACTTAATTCTAGATGGATTAAAAACTTCTATGTGAAAGGCAAAGCTTGAACTCTAACCTATTCCTATTTAGAGGAACATATAGGAGACTATCTTCAAGACTTCAGGCTAGAGAAGAATTTCTTAGGACACAAAAAGCACTCACCATAAAAGATAATGGTAGATTCTACTCCCAGGTATATAAACCCTAAGAAAACTCTGAAACATAAATACCAGGAAAATATACAAGAATGTTCACAAGACTCCTCTGAAATAGCCTCAAACTGGAAACTAAATATTTATCAGAACAGATAAATAATGTGATTATATATTCACAGGATGGAACATTATACAGCACTGGAAAGGAATGCAACAACTGGGACAAATCTTAGAAAAAATATTGACTGAAAAAAACAAATTATAAAAGACAATATATGTCATCTTTATAAACTTATTTAAAAAAGCAAAACAAAACATGTTGTACAGTAAAACATTAAAATGTAGACGTAAGCCGGGCGTGGTGGCTCATGCCTGTAATACCAACACTTTGGGAGGCCAAGGTGGGTGGATCACCTGAGGTTGGGAGTTCAAGACCAGCCTGATCAACATGGAGAAACCCTGTCTCTATTAAAAATACAAAATTAGCCGGGCGTGGTGGCGCATGCCTCTAATCCCAGCTACTCAGGAGGCTGAGGCAGGCGAATCGCTTGAACCCAGGAGGCGGAGGTTGTGGTGAGCTGAGATCACGCTACTGCACTCCAGCGTGGGCAACAACAGCGAAACTATGTCTCAAAAAAAAAAAAAAAAAAATGCAGATGTAAATCTAGTTTTTTTAAAAAGCAAAGGGATGGTAAACAAAATTCACGACAGTGGTTACACCTAAACGGGGACAGGGGACAGAGGCATGAGGAAGGACAAAGGAGAGTACAAAGGGGGCTTCCAGAACATTGGTAATCCTATAGTTTCTTTAACTGGTGAAGTTCATGAGCGTTCATTATGCTACACATACAAATCATATATTCTTCTGTAGACATTAAATATCACATAAAAATGAAAGCACAGTATAAACCTGTTCCTGCTTTTGTGTAAAAAATGATCTACAGTTCCTATATGTAATGCCCAAAAGGGTAACATGAAATGTTACCATAAATTTTCTAAGTAAGTTAAATATTAGGTAATTAGGATTTTTCTTTTTTTACTTCTATTTGGGATTTCTGGGTTTCAACAACTTGTATAATTTAAAAAAAAAAAAAAACCAACTGTCACAATATATGGATTTTTTTTAAACCTGAAAGATATGCAACAAATTTAATGAAAGATCTCTCTGTGTTGGTAGAATTGTGGGTAGTTTTTCTATTCTTTTTGTGTTTATCTACACTTTTCAATATTTTCACCAATAAAATATGGTATTACAGTTTCATAATTCCTTATCTGACACCCTTATGGCTGGAGATGTTTCAAAATTATGGCTAGAGTTTTTTTGGGTTTTTTTTTTGGGTTTTTTTTTTTTTTTGGCTTTCAGAAAGGTAACAATGGTGTGTGAAGTGGGTGACAAGTCACACCTATTCAATAAATAGATACTAGAAATAACTTCAGTTAAGGTCTTGTTTTGTTACCAAAGAGGTCTAAACCAGATTTTATCCCCTAAAGGAATGGCATTATTTAGTGTAAGTAAGGCTTCCAATTCCGCCCCTACTGGTCCAACTAATTTGGAGCTTAATCACTGCAGACTGCACTCAGTTGGGAACAAACAAAAAAACCCTTATATTAATACTTTGTAATACCAACAAATCAAAGCATTTCAAACTCAACTAAAAGACATTTCTTTCTTAGTAAGGCTAAGGCTTTCAGACACATTTCAAAAATGAAGCTAATGAACAAGTGTCAAAGTATAAAATATTTGGAAATTATCAAAATAATAATGTATACAAAAACTCAACAGAACCACCAAATAAACTGATTAAAAAGATAGTACCACTTACGGTGTTCTTTAATTCCATAATTGTGCACGGGACCTACAACACATAAGTATTTCACATGGCCTTCAAATTCAAACAAATCAGTGAACTCACAAATGGGCCCTGGGTCCATATTATCACAAATGCCAGGGTATAGCATGTAAATTAAGTCATGATCGTTGTTCTCTTGGTCAGAATACCATTTATGGACTCCAACTCAAAAGCATGTGAGTACCACTTAGAATAACTACATGTCCTTAAGGCATCTAATAGTCAGTAATAATGCAATGGTCAAATCCTGTTAAAGTATTTGTATCTAAACATGCAAGTGCCCATAAAAAGTTGTTTTTTTAATCCTCTGTCACTGGAGCACTGATCAGCTATCCCTATCTTCAACCATCCTTGAGGCAATGACCTACAACTATGGTTACTAAGGGATCACAACTCAATTGCCTCCAGGAGCTAGGTAAACAGCATAAATGAGTGAGGTAGAGATTCAGTGTACAGTAAACAGAAAGTGATGGGGACTCAGCCAAATTAGAAAATGTAAGCTGTGAGTAAAGTCATTCAAACATTAAAACTTTTTTTTTTTTTTTTTTTTTTGAGACAGAGTTTTGCTCTTGTTGCCCAGGCTGGAGTGCAATGGCGCGATTTCAGCTCACCGCAACCTCCACCTCCTGGGTTCAAGCAATTCTCCTGCCTCACACTCCTGAGTAGCTGGGATTACAGGCATGTGCCACCATGCCCAGCTAATTTTGTATTTTTAACCTGTCCATGTTGGTCAGGCTGGTCTCGAACTCATGACCTCAGGTGATCTGCCTGTCTCAGCCTCCCCAAGTGCTGGGATTACAGGCGTGAGCCACCACGCCCGGCCAAAAAAAAAAAAAATTTTTTTTTCCAAATTCAGTCCTTCTAGTAATCAACTGACTGACTAGGAGACACAATCTATACAACAGCCCACTCTGAAATCTCCTTGTCTCTAAATTGTCTTAATTACATCTGCTGGCATTTGACACCCAGTCTCTAACACTATAAACTTCTGATGAAAAAGGATGTGGTTTATTCTATTTTAGTTACTATAGCAGAGCCCCAAAAGGCATAAAGTCATTCATTAAACACAGAGATCAAATTCACAACCTTACTCTGTCTAACCAAGTGAGCTGTGTGGTTAGGCAGTACAAGTGGTATATAACTGATACACAACAGGCCAAAGCAGACCTTGAACACCTATAACCATCAGAACAAGGACCAAACGATAACAGTTCCAACAGATTTACTTGCTGAGAACTATAGAATCTGGTACATCTCTAATGAGGAGGGAGGCAATTTTCTTCCTCCTGTGAATTTAACTGCTCGCAACCAAAAATCTGAGCTATGAGGAGCTTCCTCTCTGAAACCCTCTAAACACCCTCTTCCCCACTGAAAGAAAACCCGGCAGTAACAATATAAAACTAAAGAACTAGAAATACAGACTGATCACACACTCATCTGTTTTTCCTAAAGACACACAGATCATACATGTGAGCAAAAATCTAGATCATAAGTATTTACCACCTCTGGAACCGCACTGTTCAATATGGGAGCTGCTAGCCACATGTAGCTACTGAGCACTTGAAATGTGGCTAGTCTGAATTGAGAAGATCTTGTACTAAAAAAAGTTAAAATGTCTCATTAATTTGTATATTGATTACATACCATCAGTGATATAATAATTTTTTTTTTTTTGAGACAGAATTACCCTGTCACCCAGGCTGGAATGCAGTGGCACGATCTCGGCTCACTGCAACCTCTGCCTCCCAGGTTCAAGCAATTCTTGTGCCTCAGCCTCCCACCATCACGCCCGGCTAATTTTTGTATTTTTAGTAGAGATGGGGTTTCACCATACTGGCCAGGCTGGTCTCGAACTCCTGACCTCATGATCCACCCATCTCGGCCTCTCAAAGTGCTGGGATTACAGGCGTGAAATAAGTATTTTTATGTAAATTAGTATCACCTTTTTAAAAAAACTTTTTAATGTGGCTACCAGAAAACTTTACATTACATATATACCATATATTATACTTCTATTGGGCAGTGCAGCTCTAGAAAAGGTAGTATTTTACAACTAACTCCTCCAGTGATTATCCTCCTGGCAAAGAACTGACACATCAAGGCACCCCTCACCGCCACTTCCACCCACCAAACCTTCAGTCATGAAACCACTCCTAGTCCCAAGCTTACTGATGATGCAGCAGGTTGCCAGAGTAATTCGGTTAATCACTTAACCAAAGGGAAGAAACTAGTTTAACAATTATCTGAGGCTAATTTCTTTCTAAATTATTCCAGCACGCAAAAGAAATAAGAAGTAGCCTGAAGAAAAATCTGTGAACCAAAGGTGTACTAAATTTTTGTTCTTGACACAAGATTTTTAGTTGACTAAAACAGAGGTTCAACTTTGGTAGTACACTTCTAAAAACAATCAGACCTAACATTTTAAACTACTGCTTTTTTCCTCTACAAACCCTTAATTAAATATAAACACTACACAAATAAAACCACAATGAGATATGACTTTACACTCACTAGGATAGCTATAATTTAAAAGACAATAACAAGTGTTGGTGAAGACGTGGAGAAATTAGAATCTCACACATTGCTGGTGGTAATGTAAAATGGTGCAGCCGTTTTGGAAAGCTGTTTGGCAGTTTATCAAAATGTTAAAAACAGAAACTATGAGCCAGCAACTTTACTCCAAAGTATTCACCCAAGAGAAATAAAAACATACATCTGCACAAAAACTTGTATACAAATGTTCATCGCATAACTATTACTATTTTTGGTTTTTTTAGACAGAGTCTTGCTCTGTTGCCCAGGCTGGAGTGCAGTGGCACCATCTCTGCTCACTGCAACCTCTGCCTCTTGCGTTCAAGTGATTCTCCTACCTCAGCCTCCTGAGTAGCTGGGATTACAGGCGTCCACCACCACGCCCAGCTAATTTTCGTATTTTTAGTAGAGACAGGGTTTCACCACGTTGGCCAGGCTGGTCTCGAACTCCTAATCTCAGGTGATCCACCTGCCTCAGCCTTTCAAAGTGCTGGGATTACAGGCATGAGCCACCACACCTGGCCCCACATTATTCATAGCAGCCAAAATGCGGAAACTACCCAAATGCCTGTCAACTAATGAGTGCATAAGCTGAATGTGGTATAAAAAAGGAAAATTATTTGGCAATAAAGAGAATGAAGCATTGACACATGCTACAACATGGATGAGCCTTAAAAACACTGTGCTAAGTGCAAGCAGCCAGAAACAAAACAAAAGCTATGTATCATTCGATTAACAGAAAAAGAACAAATCCGTAGAGGCCAAAAGCAGACTAGTGGCTGCCAAGGGCTGGGGAGAAGGGTAATGAGCAGTAACTGCTAATATGTACAGTTTCTTTTGGGATGAAGAAAATGTTATAAAAATGATTGTGGTGACGACTGCCCAACTCTGTAGATATAATAAAAACTACTTAATTGTACACTTTAAATGACTGAATTGTACAGTATGTGAATTATATCTTATATTTTATTTTTTGAGACCGGGTCTTGCTTTGTCACCCAGGGCGGAGTACAATGGGTGCAATCTCAGCTCACTGCAACCTCCACCTCCTGGGCTCAGGCGATTCTCCTGCCTCAGCCTCCCGAGTAAATAGCTGGGATTACAGGTTCATGCCACCTCACCTGGCTAATTTTTGCATTTTTAGTAGAGATGGGGTTTCGTCATGTTGGCGAGGCTGGTCTTGAACCCCTGACCTCGGGTGAACTGCCCACCTCAGCCTCCGGAAATGCTGAGATTACAGGCATGAGCCACCACACCCGGCCCGTGAATTATATCTTTCAAAAGCTATTTATAAAATATAAACATCAGAATGAAAAACACAATGCCACAGAAAGGGACTTCTATGAAATGTGCCTATATGAAATGCTTCATTTTAGAAGAGCATGAAAAAGCGATAAGTAGCCCTATTGAAACAGAAGAGGGAACTTTAACTGTGGTAGATTGCATTAGAGGCATTAATTCCTCATCCTTTCCAGGATCTATTCCTTAGCCATATGATTTTGCAGTTCTTCCCACTAATGGGCGTAAGATTTATTTTTGTGGCTCCTTGACTTTGGCTTCAACCATATGACTTGCTTTGGCCAAAAGAATGGAGCAGAAATGGCAGTGTGCCAGTTCTAAGCCTAAACCTTAAGAGGTCTCACCTTGCCCTCTTGTGCCCCTGGCACTGCCTAGAGAAGAGCTTCCCCTATGTGGCTGCTGCCCATTCACTCTGGGCCTAAAATGAACACACTTGAAGCGGAGTCATCTCAATCAACTTACAGATCGGAAGAAGCAGAGTTGCACCAGCCAATCTGTAGATTCATAAGTATATTTTATTGTTATTTTAATCCACTGAGTTTTGGTATAATTTGTCATGCAGTGTTATTGTGGCAATAGCTAACTGATATAGTCACCAATTCTCCCACTGTGTTATGAAGAGGTCCTACAAATTAAATAGTGATTGTTATGAAGGTAGGTCCAGCCTAACACCTTGAATAATAGTTTTTCACTTAACATAAGACAACCATAAACGATGTTTAATGCTTGTCCCTTTAGGCTCTTAACTGAGGACTGATAGCAATTTAAGACATCCCATATTCTTCCACCTTACTTTGAAAAAAAAAATAATTTTGCTGGGGGCGGTGGCTCACGCCTGTAATCCCAGCACTTTGGGAGGCCAACGTGGGTGGATCACCTGAGGTCGGGAGTTCGAGACCAGACTGACCAACATGGAGAAACCCTGTCTCTACTGAAAATACAAAAAAATTAGCTGGACGTGGTGGTGCATGCCTGTAATCCCAACTATTGGGGAAAGCTGAGGCAGGAGAGTTACTTGAACCTGGGAGGCAGAGGTTGTGGTGAGCCGAGATTGCGCCATAGCACTCCAGCCTGGACAACAAAAGCGAAATTCCATCCCAAAAAAATAAAATAAAAAGTTTTACTTTTTCAGGGTATTTTCAAAATATCAAATCCAGGGCAGGGCACGGTGGCTCACACCTGTAATCCCAGCACTTTGGGAGGCTGAGGCGGGCAGATCACGAGGTCAAGAGATCGAAACCATCCTGGCCAAAATGATAAAACCCCATCCCTACTAAAAATACAAAAAATTAGCTGGGCGTGGTGGCAGGCGCCTATAGTCCCAGCTACTCGGGAGGCTGAGGCAGGAGAATCGCTTGAATCTGGAAGGCGGAGGCTGCAGTAAGCAGAGATCGCGCCATTGTACTCCAGCCTGGGCGACAGAGCCAGACTCCGTCTCAAAAAAAAAAAAAAAAAAAAAATCAAATCCAGAATAATCTTCACTTTTAATAAACTATGGGCCAGACCACTGAGGATAAACACATGAACATTATTCATGTCCTCAAAACTTTAAGGGAAAAAAGGGAAGGGTCATCTTGGAACAAAAATTTAGGAAAAGGGAGAGGAAGCAAATTTAAAATATATTAAATAATATTCTACATATACACACAAACACGGAGCGAAAAGTCAACAGGCCTTATTATTTGATGAGAATCAAGAATGTCTCCGAGGTATCTAGCTGTGAAGCCGAAACCCGATGCTCTCAACAGCTAACAGGACAAGCTAAGACTATCTATCCTATCACTAAAGGTTGACTCATTATCAACTTGGTAAATCTAACCTGAACACAAAGGTGGATTTCCAGAGATGTCTTGGGCCATCTGCACCTTTGCTACACAATGACTCTGGTTTAGCTGTCTACTTTCTGGTAGCTGCCTCCTTTTTCCACTTCATCTCTAACCTTCGCCTCTGCTTCTATTGCTCAATCACATTTGCCATTCACATTTCTTCCCTACTTCTACTTGTTATTCCCTTTTTCCTAAGCTGGTTGATAACATCTGCCCATGGTTTTATAACCTTTGCTACCCAGGAATCCAGCCTAATACATCATCCTTAGGCCTGTGAGTTTTCACCACTGCAAAGATACAAAGGTTCAAAAACAAAACTAACTCCTAATCTCCCAAATGTCTGGTTTATGCCTATTCCAGATGACGGTGTTATTTAATTCTGACCTAAGATTGAGGCACTGCTATATCTATTAACTTTAAAATAAGCACACATCAGGCCACGAGATTTTTTTCAATTGCCCTTTCTGAATAATTATAAAACAAAGGACAAGAAATGAGCTGAAAAAGAAAACAGACTTTTAGAAAAAGGAGAAAAAAACGGCAAAATAAGTTTCTATTAAAAAAATTTTTTTAGCTTTTTAAACAAAAGCGTAATACAAAGACTATGAATTCCTGAAATAGTAGTGAGAGAGAAATATTACATTGTTCAAAAGCTAGTTTACATACAGCTTATACTCATATCTCGAGATGTTTCCTGCAAAATATTTTCACATGAGCATGTTACTGAAATTTTTTTCCCTAAGACTGTTTTGCAAATTCTAAAAAAAAAAAAAAAAAAAAGCAGCTGAGTGTCTCCACTTTAGGAAACAAGTAATATATGCCACATATTTAATAAATGGCTGTTTGGGAAATATAAAGTATAAATAAACTTGTATTTTACTTATACTTTTATAAGTGAGTCAGTGGTCATGTTCAAGAAGACTAAGCTGAATGAAGAAGAGCGCTCTAAAGGGCTTGTGGCCCTTTGTAAATGTCTCCCTTAGCTGAGTCCCTTTCTTTCTCTAGGTGTTGTCAGGATATTAGAAAGTTAGGCAAATTTGGACATAACACTTGAACCAACTTAACAGTAACCATTTTATTTCTGTACTTCCTTCAAAGAGCAGTAAGATGTTCTCTCCTCTCTTCCATGTGCCTTGTCACCATATTTTTAGGGAGACATTCTATTCTAAAATCCAGCATCTAACAAATTTCACCCCTAAAATATTCATTCTTTTACAAAGAAAATCTGAGCACCTACTATCTGTAGGTCCTTGCACCATGAAATTAATGGCTTTGAACCTACCCTTACAAAGTGCATTGTCAAAACGGGAAGATGGTCATATTAAATACATTCAATACAAGGTCAGAAAATCCTGAGTGCTGCCCACATGACAGGAACAGATAAAGAGCTGTAGACATCAGAAGAACATTTCTCCTGCGCCAATCAGAAAGAAGGCTCCACAGCAAGGGGAAAACATTGCAGTCAGACCTTGAAAAATGGGTAGGAGTCAACATGTTTAGAGACTTGGAAGAAGGGCAAACGAGGCAGAAGAGTCACCGTACATAAAAGAGGAAACAGAAGTAACCCAGTGTGGCTGAAGTAACACGTAATATTTAAAGGAAATATAGGGAAGCAGGGTTATAAGACCAGATTGTTTTGAAAGTCAGATTGTAGAGGGTAGATTTTATATTCCAACAATAAAAAACACAAAGGCTATTAAAATACGATACAACCCAAAATTAGAGGCCAGGCGCGGTGGCTCACGCCTGTAATCCCAGCACTTTGGGAGACCAAGGCGGGTGCATCACAAGGTCAGGAGATCGAGACCATCCTGGCTAACACGGTGAAACCCCGTCTCTACTAAAAATACAAAAAATTAGCCGGGCATGGTGGCAGGCGCCTGTAGTCCCAGCTACTCGGGAGGCTGAGGCAGGAGAATGGCGTGAACCCGGTAGGCAGAGGTTGCAGTGAGCCGAGATGGTGCCACTGCACTCCAGCCTGGGTGACAGAGCAAGACTCTGTCTCGGGAAAAAAAAAAAAAAAAATACAACCCAAAATTTAGTGGACAATATACAAACCAAGAGAGACAAAAACTAAACGTACACACTAAGGACTCCTCTGAAATTCTCTTTACAACCCCTAACTGAAACCCTTAATAATTCTTTAAAAGGTAGAAATCTCTAAACTGAAACTACAGTAAAAAAAAATACTGGGTCAGGTGCAGTGGCTCACGCCTGTAATCCCAGCACTTTGGGAGGCCGAGGTGGGCGGATCATGAGGTCAGGAGATCGAGACCATCCTGGCTAACACAGTGAAACCCTGTCTCTACTAAAAATACAAAAAATTATCCAGGCGTGGCGGCGGGCGCCTGTAGTCCCAGCTACTTGGGAGGCTGAGGCAGGAGAATGGCGTGAAAAAAATATATATTTTTTTCCGAGATCAATTTTCTCTCCCTGCCTGCAAATATACAATTATCTCCCTTATTTATAAAAAACAAAAAGAAGACCTTTATGACCCTGCTGTCTGTACCAACCATTCTCTTTCCTCAAGTCTTTCACATCTCAAACAAATGGCCAGTACCCAGAAGATGCCTTTATTTCTTTATGACCTACCCCTGATTGGGCTTCCACCCCCACTACTCTGATCTTAGCAGTGCACTCTCAGTAATGACTTCCTTTACAAATTCAATAGCCTGCTTTTTCTTCATTCTCTCTGAATCCTTGTAGCTTTTTACACTCCTGCCCCTAAAAATTCTCTTATGCCTTTTCATCGCCACTGCACTTTCCTAATTATCCTACCTCTGATGGAGCCTCTTCTGATTCCTCTTCTTCCTGACATTTCTTAATTGTGAGTTTCCCAAGCCTCAATTTCTGGTCTTCCATTTTTTCCTCTCCATACTCTTACCTTTTGGTTAATTGTTCTTACCTCAAATCTTCAACTAGTTCCAGCCAGCCTAGCCATAGTCCCAGATGGCATTTCTAGAAACATTTGCACTAATCAGTGGCAAAGGTATTTGTTTTTCACAACTAATCTTTACTTCTAAAAGTAGTATTTTTGCAAGCGGTTATAAGAAATGAGTGTAGGGGGCCGGGTGCAGTGGGTCACGCCTGTAATCCCAGCACTTGGCGAGGCTGAGGCAGGCAGATGACCCTGAGGTCAGGAGTTCACAACCGGCCTGACCAACATGGAGAAACCCCGTCTCTACTAAAAATACAAAATTAGCTGGGCGTGGTGGCGCATGCCCGTTATCCCAGCTACTCGGGAAGCTGAGGCAGGAGAATCACTTGAACCCGGGAGGCAGAGGTTGCGGTGAGCCAAGATGGTGCCACTGCACTCCAGCCTGGGCAACAAGACCGAAACTCCATCTCAAAAACAAACAAACAAAAAAGAAATGAGTGTAAATTTCATAAGTTTATAAAGTCAGAGTATACAGTCAAAGGCTATCAGGCAAAGCTTGAAGATTTAGTCAAGTTTGGAAGGTCAAGCTAAACAAGGTCTAGACAAAACTTAAACAACAAAACAAAGTCAGGCACTGTACGTAGGTCACAATGACTGTATAACTAGCTTGAAGAAGAAATGAACAAAACTTTCTTTGCTACACCTGCCCTATCTAGGTCAAGAGTGAAGCCCAAGCCTGAGGCCTCAGATGAAGGGAAGTGGGTGTGCCTGTCAGGCATGGTGTGGGATAAGGAAACAGATAAACTACTGGCCAGGCGCAGTGGCTCATGCCTGTAATCCCAGCACTTTGGGAGGCCGAGGCGGGTGGATCACCTGAGGTCGGGAGTTCAAGACCAGCCTGAGCAATATGGAGAAACCCCGTCTCTACTAAAAATACAAAAAATTAGCTGGGTGCGGTGGCGCATGCCTGTAATACCAGCTACTAGTGGGGCTGAGGCAGGAGGATCCCTTGAACCCGGGAGGTGGAGGCTGCAGTGAGCTGAGATCGTGCCACCGCACTCCAGCCCGGGCAACAGAGTGAGAGTCCGTCTCAAACAAACAAACAAACAAACAAACAAACCTGCTAACAGCTCCTCCTCAGGCATTTTTAGAAGGGTAGAAAACCGTACCATGCATTCCAAGGAAAAGCAGGGAAAGATGAGGATCATCCACTCTACTGTTCTTTCTTCATTTAAGTAGATCATGAAGGAAACTGTCTTCAAAATCAAGATAAAACTAACATGAAAAAACAGGTCGGGCATGGTGGCTCACGCCTGTAATCCCAGCACTTTGGGAGGCAGAGGTGGGTGGATCACCTGAGAT
The DNA here is from genome assembly GCF_000001405.40 of Homo sapiens. Classification (NCBI taxonomy): domain Eukaryota; kingdom Metazoa; phylum Chordata; class Mammalia; order Primates; family Hominidae; genus Homo; species Homo sapiens. The sequence continues at coordinate 120,895,217 of NC_000012.12, forward strand.
CAGGAGTTGGAGATCAGCCTGGCCAACTCGGTGAAACTCCGTCTCTACAAAAAATACAAAATTAGCCGCGTGTATTGGCGCGCAGCTATAAACCCAGCTACTTTGGAGGCTGAGGCAGGAGAATCGCTTGAACCCAGGAGGTAGAGGTTGCAGTGAGCCAAGATCGCGCCACTGTACTCCAGCCTGGGTGACAAGAGCGAAACTCCATCTCAAAAAAAAAAAAAAGAAACATAGCTTTATTCATCATCTTTCTTCTTGTGGAATGTAGCCATGGACTATGAAACTTAGAAATCAGTGACAATTTGGAGACTATTATTTCTTTTTATATAGCATTATGTGGCATCCTCAATATAAAGGACATCTCAAAGTTTAAGCGCTGGCTAAATTGTGAAACAAGAGAAGTCATTTCTATAGTGAGGAACTCTATCTGGAACCTATCTGGCTCTAACAAATAATGTACAGAACAAACAGCGTGCTTTCACGGAGCACTTTGCAATGCATGAAGCATTTTTATGTGCATTATCTCACTAAATCCTCACAACGACCCTGTGGAGTACAACAGGCATAACTATTGTACCAAATACAACACTAGGACTAAGACATGGCTAGGTCACAGTCAACTAGAGATGAAAACCACCCTCACGCTAAAGATTTCCTGATTCGAAGAAACCGTAACAGAATGAGGTGCTCATATCTCAAGATTTCAAATGAAAATTTAATGAGTGGCATAACACAACTGAATACTTTTTGAATAATCACTTATATTCGATACAATTCAAAATATGTAGAAACAACTAGGATACATCTCCACTTCAGAGCACTTAAAAAAAAAAATCCTTTGGTGGTTCTTCACTATCCATGCTGGAACTCCAAAAGAGAGATAACTAAGTTTTCCTACCAGGTTAGGGAATACCCTACAAACCAAGAAATGGGATTTTCCATAAGGTCTCTATTAGGCTAAGGCATACTCCTTAGTCTAATACCTTAAAGATACCTACAAAAACTTTTTCTTAGGAGCTCAACCTAGTCGTTCCACAACAATGAGGTGGAGCTGTTTCATTTCAAGCTGTGGCCCTAGTTTGACTTATTAATAAAATCTGAGGGGTAACAATTCATTGAGAGGATCATTGGGACTAACTAGATTTTTCCCTGTAAAACTGAATTTGATCATTTAGAGCCCCTCTGAGCACCTCAGACGTTAAAATTCCAGAAGACAAGTATTCTGCCTCTAACTCTTTAAGTAAGGATAAGAAAATACATGATAGAAAGTGAAAGTTGGCCAGGCATGGTGCCTCATGCCTGTAATCCCAACATTTTAGGAGGCTGAGGCAGGTGGATCACAAGGTCAGGAGTTTGAGACCAGCCTGACCAACATGGTGAAATCCTGTCTCTACTAAAGATACAGAAAACAAATTAGCCGGGCATGGTGGTGTGCACCTGTAATCCCAGATACTTGGGAGGCTGAGGCAAGAGAATTGCTTGAACCTGGGAGGTGGAGGTAGCAGTGAGCTGAGATCGCACCACTACACTCTAGACTGGGTGACAGGGTGAGACTCCGTTTCAAAAAAAAAAAAGAAAGTGAAAGTTGCAAACACTTCTTAATTTATACATACATCACATACAATCAGTATTTTAATTCCTAAGAAGGAACCATTAAACTCTAGAAACATCAAAAATAGATTATAGAATTTTAAAAATCAAATTATACTTATGGCGAACTGCCATGACAGCAGTCACACACAGTTTCAGATGCCAAAAACAGCCAACTAAATAAAACAGCACTTGGTTATCAACACTCTCTTTCTCTTTTTAGGACATCTCTAAATTTTCACGAGATGGTTTGATAAAACAGATATGAATGATGAGAACTAATTTATTAATGTTATTAATGTTGAAATAAAATACAATTATATAGAATGACACATCACAATCCAATGGCATTTGTCATCTCTAAAATAAATGATCACGTAGAAATCTTTTTGAGAAATGCATGATCATTAAGCATTTAAATTGATAGTACTACCTGATACTTACAGGCTGATATGGTACACTCTCCAGCTTTCTTTACCCCCGAAGGCTTTATAAAAAACCTTGAGGAAAATGATTTAAATATAAATTCATGGGGTTAACTTTGGCTAATTTTAGTTTAAATCACACATCACCCAAACAACATTATCATAGTACTTTAACTATAGGCAAAATATGTTTTTAAAATAATGAGCAAGGGCCGGGAGCGGTGGCTCACACCTGTAATCCAAGCACTTTGGGAGGCTGAGGCGGGTGGATCATGAGGTCAGGAGATCAAGACCATCCTAGCTAACACGGTGAAACCCCGTCTCTACTAAAATTACAAAAAATTAGCTGGGCGTGGTGGCGGGTGCCTGTAGTCCCAGCTACTTGGGAGGCTGAGGCAGGAGAATGGCGTGAACCCGGAAGGCGGAGGTTGCAGTGAGCCGAGATCGCACCACTGCACTCCAGCCTGGGCTACACAGCGAGACTCCGTCTCAAAAAATAATAATAATAATGAGCAAATCTTCTAAAGTCTATAATGCTAGACACAAATTTTCAACTACTTTCTCTCTGAAAAACTTCCATCAGCTACAATTGGATATGATCATACCAGATACAACAACACACAACAGTAATCCAAAAGTAGAACTGACTTCCACTAGATATGGAGACCTGTGTTATTTGCCATTCTCAGGTTTAATAATATTTGCAAATACCTGACATGTAATGACCATTATCACAACAATACATCACCTCAATATAATACAGCCCTGAGATTAGAAAGCCTTAAAATGAGTAGCACGGGCCAGGCGCAGTGGCTCATGCCTATAATACCAGCACTTTGGGAGGCCGAGGTGGGTGGATTGCTTGAAGTCAGGAGTTCGAGACCAACCTGGCCAATATGGCAAAACCTCATGTCTACAAAAAATTAGCTGGGCATGGTGGAGCCTGCCTGTAGTCCCATCTACTCAGGAGACTGAGACACGAGAATTGCTCGAGCCTGGGAAGCGGAGGTTGCAGTGAGTCGAGATCGTGCCACCACACTCCAGCCTGGACAGAGCAAGACTCTGTTTTTTTTTTTTTTTTTTAAAAAAAAAAAAAAAAAAAAAGATGGGTAGCACAGAGCAGCCACCTATTTATATCTATTAAATGCCAGGCACTGGAGAGAGTACCAAAAACAGAAAGGGTTTTATCCTTATGTAGCTTATTTTGTTTATCGTCTGTCATCCCTCAGAGAGACACACACAAGATCAAACCATGAAGAACCACACTAAGGAATCTGGGTTTTATTCTAAGTGTGGCCAAAACCCATACTTTTAAGCAGAGAACTGCCAAGATCTGACTTAGGTTGTTAGAAGGCCAAGAAGGTACCAACAGGTAGATAATGGAAGAAACCCAGCAAAGAGGCTAATACAGGAACTCAAGCAAAAGAGGGCTGGCTTACAGTCAACACTGTGGAAACATTAAGTGGACAGATTCAGTGTCAGAATTTGTGTCAGATAATCTTCCCTTTGAGCCCTTTACCATTTACATCCTTGGGCAAGTTACTTACATGCTTTGAGCCTCAATTTCCTTACTTAGCAATGCTCGTAAAACTCTATCACATAGAAAATACACAAGTTATTATGATAGTATTTTGGTAACAAAATTCACTTGAAGGAGTTCAAATAAATTGACTTCCTTTTCCCTCACACCAACATTAGTAATGTTGAGCAGGGGTTCAATACCAGTTATATATAAGTACCACATTTTGCTTCATCAAGAGACGAGTTCCCGTTTCTCACAGAACTTACACTAAAACTGCTCATAAATATACAGGAAGAAAGGTGTTTTTCTCAAATTAATAAAAGTCTAGTTAGCACATTCAATCTGTGTTTTCACATGCATTCTTTTACTTCCTCAGTGTATGTGAGAAAAAAGGCTATAAGGAGAATCTTGTAGTTAAATTGTGATAAAGATTCTGATGTTACTACCAATTATTTCAATTTATTCTGTTAATAGCTTTTATTTAGAACTTTAATAAAGGATGGCATTCCTCATTCTTGCAGCACTGGTACATCAGGAAACCAAGTTACAAAAAGCCCTCTTTGATAAGTACTTGGGTTATAAACACTTATTTTTCACTCAGTAGCATCCTCCTTATGTTTAATATTCTTTCAACAAAGGATGAACCATCCTGAAATTCAGTGTCATATTTACCACTTGGTATTTACTCAGTAGGGTCTATGTGTACTACAATGTGCTAGGCACTATGGGAGAACCAAGGTTAGTGTCATATGGTCCTTACTCTCAAGGAGTTTACAATATAGTTAGATTAGGCATTTACATGAGATAAGGAAGGAATTATGCAGACAGAACTGTAAGTATTAAAAATAAAAAGATCGCCGGGCACAGTGGCTCACACCTATAATCCCAGCACTTTGGGAGGCTGAGGCGGGAGGATCACCTGAGGTCAGGAGATCAAGACCATCCTGGCTAACATGGTGAAATCCCATCTCTACTAAAAATACAAAAAAATTAGCCGGGCATGGTGGTACACGCCTGTAATCCCAGCTACTCGGGAGGCTGAGGCACAAGAATCGCTTGAACCCAGGAGGCGGAGGTTGCTGTGAGCGGAGATCATGCCATTGCACTCTTGGGCGACAGAGCAAGACCCTGTCTCAAAAAAAAAAAAAAAAAAAAAAGATCATTTTCATATGGGGTGGTCAGAAAATGCTTCACAGCTAAGCAGAATTTGAGTTGAACCCTTGAGTACAGGATTTTGATAGAATTTGCTAGGAAGAGAGCAAGCACACGTGAACTTACATATAAAGGGCCTTGTTGAAAAAACTTTTTATTCTGAAAAATTTAAACATGTAAAAGTCAACAGAATAATAAACCTCCATGTACTCATCACCCAGCTCCAGTAATGATCAACTCATTGCCAATAATTTACATCTTATTATACGAAAATCCTAAGGGAGCCCATCTGCATATGCCTTTATATTCTTCACCGAGTCCATCCTCAGACAAATCTTTAGTGGCACAACAGTCTCCACAGTTTGGTTTTTCCAAAGGTCACATACAAACAAAGTGCAAATCTGTTTAAAAAAAAAAACAGCAGGACCAGGCACTGTTGCTCACGCCTATAATCCCAGCACTTCGGGAGGCCAAAGCAGGCAGATCACTTGGGCTGAGTTCAAGACCAGCACCGGCAACATGGCGAAACACAATACAAAAAATGCAATAATCAGCCGGGCGTGGTGGGGCACACCTGTAGTTCCAGCTACTCAGGAGGCTGAGGTGGGAGGATCGCTTAAGCCCTGGAGGCACTGCTGTGATCTTGCCACTGCACTCCAGCCTGCATGATAAAGTGAGACCCTGTCTCAAGGAAAAAAAAAAAAAAAAGAGAGATCAATTGCCGGGTGTGGTGGCTCACGCCTGTAATCCCAGCACTTTGGGAGGCCAATCCCAGGCAGACTGCTTGAGGTCAGGAGTTCAAGACCAGCCTGGGCAACATGGCAAAACCCTGTCTCTAGTAAAAATACAAAATAAATAAATAAATAAACTAGCAGACGTGGTTGTGCACGTCTGTGGTCCCAGCCACCTGCAGGGCTGAGGCAGGAGAATTGTCTGAACCTGGGAGGCAGACGCTGCAGTGAGCTTAGATCGGGCCACTGCATTCCAGCCTGGGCGAAAGAGTGAGACCCTGTCTCACAAAAAAAAAAAAAAAAAAAGTAATCAACTCTTGATTGTTTGCACAAGCCAAGGGAAGAGTGACAAAGATAACTGCAAAATGACAGATAATCCAAAAATCAGTCTACATAGACTACTGGAATACCTTTTCCATATTTATATTTCAATAAGAATGAGTAAAATGATGGGAGAATTCATGTCAAACAAAATAAAGCATCACAAGTGAAGTACTTTAAACATACCACTTGGCCTCCCAAGCCTGTTTCTTCCTCTGTGAAACAGGGAAATATCACCTACCTCAGAAACTTGTGAGAATTAAATGTGTATATTTAATGCCATGTGTATAGTTCCTTATTTTATTATATTATTAGTCAGTTGAATCAGGAACAACTATTAAATAGGAAGCTGTGGCCGGGCACGGTGGTTCATGCCTGCAATCCCAGCACTTTGGGAAGCCGAGGTGGGCAGATCACTGGGTCAGGAGTTTGAGACCAGCCTGGCCAACATGGTGAAACCCCATCTCTACTAAAAATACAAAAAAAAGCCGGGCATGGTGGCATGTGGCTGTAGTCCCAGCTACTCGGGAGGCTGAGGCATAAGAATTGCTTGCACCCGGGAAGCGGAGGCTGCAGTGAGCCGAGATGGCGCCACTGCACTGCAGCCTGGGTGACAGAGCGAGACTCCGTCCTAAAAAAAAAAAAAAAAAAAAAGGAAACTGCCCACTTTCCCCAGTCTCCCCTTATATGCCACCCTCTCTCCAGATAATGTAAAAATTTTCTTCATCTCAAAACCTGCCAAAGGTTGAGGGGCTAAGCTCCCCGATTTCAAGGAGTTTCTTTGCCTGTAAAGCAAACAGAGCTGACATTGAAGGAAGTATTTTAGTAGAATAAATTTGTAAATTGTCAAACTTCACAAAGTAATCCCTCCTTAATAGAGCCAACTAATGTCAGAGAGAGGTCGTGTGTGTCCAACCTACCTAGTAAAACATTTTCATTTTCCCCATTTCTTGACCACTGAGTTTTCTATTCTTTCAACCATCCAGGGCCTCTGTACAGCACAGTAAAAACAGCAAAGCAGCCATTAGGACTCTCAGGGCCACAGCCATTAGGGCCAGAGTATGAGAAGCTCAAGATGAGTAACCACAAGGCATGACAGAAACACCTTTACCTTCATTTCTTACTCTGTCCAGAAGGAAGCTGAAATTGTAATCTTGTGTTCCCTACGACCTGCTACTGAAAGGCAGCTGTCACGCAAAACTATGAAATTAGCTTAAACCTCTTTTTAGAGCACGTGTTCACCAAGATTTTAATTCTTCCTTTAGGGTTACTTTGTCTCTCAGTTACCTTCTTCTTGAGATTGCACATACATCAATGAAGTTCTCTTAAGAATTATCATCTTCAATCCCCAACTCCCTTTCTCTTATGTGAAGACTCAATGAGTTACTGACTTATAACCTCTAACACTATAAATAATCCACTCAAAGTCTTCTACCTAAAACCATTCCTTATTTTCTGATATTACCCATTTCTTAGATGTTTCTCTAGGATAATTATAATTAATGTAGTAAGATCTGTGGCACTTCACAGTTTGCCAAGTGCTTTCTAAATGTACTCACTTAATCCTTACAGGCTGTGGAAAAGGTAATTCCCTCTATTTTATAGGTAAGGAAAAAGGACCGAAGAACTCACTACCATGTCGTATCAACAAAGCAAGTTGGTGGCAAACCGGACCTCCGAAATAGGTCTTCCAACTCCACACGGCATGCTCGTCCCATTCTATTATGCTCTTTTCTAAGAAGGGAATGTCTACAGTTCTGTCCCAAACCACATTTGCTTCAAGAGTAAACCATCTTCAAACCATTTCTCTAAATTGCAATCAGGTCCCCCACTCCTACGATCATGCCATTTCTTGCTTCCTCACTCTCCAGCTATGACTTCCTTCTCACTACCCGATTTCCACTCTTCATGGATACTGCCATCATTCCTTCAACCCGTCCTGCAAATATCCCACCTCTACATGCTAAAGGGAGACCCCTCATGTTCCTTCCCCCAAACCCTGGCACTCCCTTCTCCGGATATGTAGGTTGTCACCCCATAAACTACACAGTAGCTTCTCGCTTCTCGGCCCTTAACGAGCTACTTACTAACTTTAAAAGCCCCACAGAAATGAACTTAACTTGCAGGTCCTCCACCTCCACACTTGGCCCTGGGCGCCATTCCTCTGAAAATAATAGTACCAACCCTTACAAAGACTCTGCCCATGCCCCACTGTCACCAACGAATTCCTTTTCCAGAAGGAAAAGGAAACAGGTTCTTCAGGCTCCTCTTCCAACCTCTTCACCAGTGACTCCCCTCCAAGGTTCGTGGACTCTACCCCCGCAGTTTTCCTCCCCTCACTCCCGGGCCTCTGCCCACCTCACCAACTCTCCCTGCGCTCCCTGTCCCAGAGCCAAGCGGCGGCCGCTCCACTCTCCCAACTTAGAAGTTCTGCCTCTATCACCTGTTCTCACTAGAGCTTCCTCTCAGCCCAGCGGCCCACCTTTGCCCTGGCCTGCCTCTCTCCACCCCTTCGAGTCCTCCTGCCCAGGAAACACCCCCACGAGTCAGTTCCGGGGTGCCTGTCGGATTCAACTTCCCATCCGTGGGATTCCCACCCCCGGGGTCATGCTCCCCTTCTCCATCACCTGCTCCGCCCATAGCCAGATGACATCCGCCGCTGCCTCCTCCTCCATTCCCCTTCTCGGACGCCAGGTCCCCGGCCACTCACCGCCCTCCGTGCGCGCCAGCCGCCCCCTCCGGTGGGGAAGAGGGGGGCGTGCACCCCAACCCGCGCCCCCCCCCCACGACACGCACCTGTTCTTCCTCCTCTTCCCCTCGGCGGGCCGCGCCGGCGCCCCGACCCCCACCCTTGCCGCCTCCCGGCCTCCCGGAGCCCCGCACTCACCACGAGTAGGTCTGCTCCGCCATGGCGCTGCCTCTCGTGGGCTCCGCTGCAGGCTGTGGCCGGGCCCGGCGGCGGCGGGCTCGCTCGGGCCGTAGCTGAAGGCGCGGCCGGGGTCCGGTGCTTGCTTGCTTGCTCGCTCGCTGGCTCGCTGGCTGCACGGCGGGCCGGGAAGGCGGCTGGCGGGGAGAGGCCGGGCTCCGAAGCGGCCCCGCTCCCTGGGCCCCGGGGCGGGGCGGGCTCCGCTCTCGGCCTCCCTCACCCGCGGCGGCGGCGGCGGCTCCGCTGCAGCTCCAAACCCAACATGGCGGCGGCGGCGGCGCGGAGAACAAGGGGGCCCTGGGGCGGGCGAACGGCAAGACGGGCCCGCGCTCACTGCGCGCGGGGCCGCGGGAGCGCCGCGCTCGGGCGGCGGCGGCGGCGGCCGGGGGACATGGCCGGCGGGCGGAGGCGGCGGCGACTGAGGGGGGCGCTAGGCGATGAGGCGAGGCCACTCGATCACACCCGCCGAGGGGAGGAGGGGCGGGGGCGGGGGCGAGCCTTGGCCCCGCGCGGGTCACGTGCCCAAAACACGCTCACGTGATGCGCGCCCCGCCCCTCGAGCCGGGCCCATGCGCAGAGACGTCGGCTCCTGGGTTCTAGGCGGCTGCTGCTCGCACAGCCAGAGCAGTTGGGCCGCCTCCCGCTGCCTGGTGCCGCCCCCCTCCCCACGCGGAGATGTCGCCTCGGGTACCCTCTTCCGCCCCTCTCCGAGGGGCTGCTGCACCAGCCAATCGGGAACCCCGATGCGCGTCTGTTGGCTGCCACTCAGCTGTCAACCGTCAGTCAACAGTCTGCTGGCCACGGGCCCCCCAACTGTCAGTCAACCTGTCAGTCAACAGGCAGAGGGCTGCATTCCTTCGTTCGTATGTTCCTTGGTTCATTCATTCAGGTAGCAAATATTCCAGGCAGCCAACCTTTATTGCGCCCAGGCCCGGCACCAAGTCGAATACCCCACGCTTGCCTTCACAGAATCAATCAACAGATATTTGTTGGGTGCCAACCATGTGTCAACTCACTCTGCCTTCCTAGAGCTTACATTCTAAAGGAAGAGACATAGTCCAAGCCCACAAATAAGATAATTTCAGATGCTGCTAAGTTTTACAAAAACACATTTTGTAACACAAGGTGAGGGGACAGAGAGTGAGCAGAGGTGTGGGTTACTTTAGATAGGGTGGTCAAGGAAGGCCTCGCTTAGGAGGTGACATTTGAGCTGATATTGAATGATGACAGAGAGCTGGCCTTGCAAAGATCCACAGGAAAAGAGTTCCTGGCAGAGGGAACAGCAAGGGCAGAAGGCTCAGGAAACCGTCCATTTGGAGGTCTGGAAACCGGCACAGAAATAAACACGGTAGAGCTAGACCAGAGACCAACAAAGTGAATCTGGAGCTTAGATGGAGAGAGAAGAGAGAGATTAATTGAGGCCCCAGGTACTGCGGAATGCTTCCCCAGGAGTGGATGAGGCCGTCTGAAAGGGTGAGAGGCTTATCAAAGAAAAGTCATTCTTTTGGCCGGGCGCGGTGGCTCACGCCTGTAGTCCCAGCACTTTGGGAGGCCGAGGTGGGTGGATCATGAGGTCAGGAGATCGGGACCATCCTGGTTAACACGGTGAAACCCTGTCTCTACTAAAAATACAAAAAATTAGCCGGGCGTGGTGGTGGACGCCTGTAATCCCAGCTACTCAGGAGGTTGAGGCAGGAGAATGGCGTGAACCCCGGAGGCAGAGCTTGCAGTGAGCCGAGATTGCGCCACTGCACTCCAGCCTGGGCAACAGCGAGACTCTGTCTCAAAAAAAAAAAAAGAAAAAGAAAAAGAAAAAGAAAAAAAAAAAAGAAAAGGCATTCTAGAAAGAAAGAATGGCATGAAGTAAGGCCCAATTCCTGGTGAGCTTGAATCCGAGAGTGGGATGGGTGATTTGTGCTGGAGTGTTGAGAAAATATACTGAGAAGGTGCACTGAGGCCAGACTTTGAGGGCCCAGCTAAGCCTCCTTGCCAGTTACTGTGTTCATGAATAAAAATGATTAACCAGTGCAGCTTCAGAATTTAGAAACATGCCTGGGCAACAGATACACTAACCCTCCTGGACACCCCTCCACCCCCACCCTTCACCCCCCTGTTTCTCTGCAGAAGGCAAAACTCACACACCTGAAACCAACGTACTCAAGCTTCTCTGCAGCTTGCCCAACTTTAGGCCAGAATTTAGCTCTGCTCCAGTTTCCCAGGGCCTGCCCAGGCTTACAGGGAACACCACACCCTGAATCTATCTCCAAATGGATCAGTTGGCCATTGCCCATACATCTGCCGCTTGCCTGTTCCCCAAGGGAAACCCTTTAAAGAGAAAGCCAAGTACACTTTCCCTTCAGAAGCAAAGCTCTCCTTCCTTATTCCCCCACTGCCAGGTGCCAGGACCAGTTAGGTTCCAAGTGTTTCCTCCAAAGCTCTATCAGAGAGCCCTGGGAAAAGGCTCACTGATGAGATTGAGGTCCAGGCCGGGCGCGATGGCTCACGCCTGTAATCCCAGCACTTTGGGAGGCCAAGGCAGGTGGATCATGAGGTCAAGAGGTCGTGACTATCCTGGCCAACATGGTGAAACCCCATCTCTACTAAAAATACAAACATTCGCTGGACGTGGTGACCCATGCCTATAGTCCCAGCTACTTGGGAGGCCTGAGGCAGTAGAATCGCTTGAACCGGGGAGTGGAGGTTGCAGTGGACCTAGATCACGCCACTGCACTCCAGCCTGGCGACAGAGTGAGACTCCGTCTCAAAAAAAAAAAAAAAAAAAAAAGATCGAGGTCCAGGGGAGGGTTTGAGGCAGGGCAACAAGAAAATATCAAATCACCAGGGACCCTTAGTCTCACTATTCACAAGAAGACACTGGCCTGCAAAGATCTGTCCAGCCATAAACCCACCAGATGCAGGGATATTAAGGGGAGATGAGAAGGCAAAGGGGCTAAATTCTTTTTTAAAAAATTTTTTTAATTTAATTACTTTTTTTGTTTGTTTTTGAGACAGAGTCTTGCTCTGTCACTCAGGCTGGAGTGCAGTGGCGTGATCTCAGCTCACTGCAACCTCTGCCTCCCAGGTTCAAGCAATTCTGCCTCAGCCTCCCAAGTAGCGGGGATTACAGGCGTGCGCTACCACATCCAGCTAATTTTTTATTTTTAGTAGAGATGGGGTTTCACCATGTTGGCTAAACTCCTCAAACCCCTGGCTTCAAATGATCTGCCCACCTCGGCCTCCCAAAGTGCTGGGATTACAGGCATGAGCCACCGCGTCCGGCCAGGGGCTAAATTCTTGACATTCATTTAGCTCTCACAACCTTGCCAAGTGCTTTTACATAAAGCCAACTGTGTCCTTGAACGTGACGCAGTCATTCTGAGTTTCAAAGGGGCACAGAGTGAGGCTTTAGGTCCCATGGGAAAGGCCAGAAGCCGTTGGAAGTGGCTTTGGGTGATGCAGAAGCTTTTTCTTTGGAGAGCTAAGAACAAAACAGACCAGACATGTCACTTTTGAAACGAAAATGCCACACTGAGCCTCTGGGCGATTCACTTGGGCTTTGGTTCCCAGTGAGTCATAGAAGTCAAAGCCAAGTGGAAAGTTGGTGTTGGATGAATGAAACGGGAGCTGCTAGAGTAGGAAAGTCAAGGCCTTCCCAGAAGCAAAGGGACCATTCTTTTCAGTGGGAAAAATCTGGTGGAAGAAAGGAGGGAGAAGGGGTTTGGTGAAGGTATGGTGAATGAGGAGAGGTTTTCTTCTCTCTATCTGAACCAGAGACCTCCGAAGTGTTTCTTGAGGAAATGTGGCTGCAGACCCTAGAAGAAGCTACACAGCACTTGCCAGGGCTGGGATGATGTCCAGGCCATGGAAACACCGTGTACCTGGTCCCAGGAAGATGAAGTGTGGGCCCAGAGACTAATGGCTTGAGCATCTCAGGCTAAGGTTGCCGAGAAGTAGACAGCACCTCTAGATCCTAGTCAACATCTCTACAGGCTTGAAGTCTCCCCAGAGGGCAAGGTTGGAATAAATCTGAAGCCTGTGGCTTGCCTGGGAGCTGCCCAGACTGTGGCATCTGGGGAGTGACTTTTTAATTTTAATTTTATTTTGAGACAGAGTCTTGCTCTGTCACACGGCTGGAGTGCAGTGGCGCAATCTCAGCTCACTGAAACCTCCACCTCCTGGGTTCAAGCCATTCTACTGACTCAGCCTCCCAAGCAGCTCGGATTACAGGCACCCACCACCATGCCCAGCTATTTTTCGTATTTTTAGTAGAGACGGGGTTTCACCATGTTGGCCAGGATGGTCTCGAACTCCTGAGCTCAGGCAATCTGCCCACCTTGGTCTCCCAAAGTGCTAGGATTATAGGCGTCAGCCACCGCACCCGACTGGGAGTGACTTTTAGTCTCCCTGCCAGCAGCACTCAGCTCCAAGCTATAGCAGCCCCAGGTGTATCTGTGACACCTTTGGGCCTCAGCCAGGGAGTCAGGTGTGCTTCACAAGAGACTCAGGCATTAGGCTCCCCCAGGAGGGGTGCTTTGTCTCTCTGCACCCCACTGCAGGTGAGAGCGCTACAGCTTGTGCAATATTTGCTGAAAGAAGCCATGGAGGCTGGGTGCGGTGGCTCATGCCTGTAATCCCAGCACACTGGGAGGCCTAGGCGGGCAGATCACCTGAGGTCGGGAGTTCAAGACCAGCCTGGCCAACATGGAGAAACCCCATCCCTACTAAAAATACAAAAATTAGCCGGGTGGTAGTGGCACATGCCTGCAATCCCAGCTACTCGGGAGGCTGAGGCAGGAGAATCGCTTGAACCCGGGAGGCGGAGGTTGCGGTGAGCCGAGATCGTGCCACTGCACTCCAGCCTGAGCAACAAGAGCGAAACTCCGAAACGCCGTCTCAAAAAAAAAAAAAGAAAGAAAGAGGCCATGCAGGTGCCTCTAATTATCACCACAGTAATTATAGGATAGCTTCTTCCACCAAGTGTGTTCAAAAGAGACTTGGGGAGTCTCCCCCAGGATGGGTCCTCTGCTTTAGGCACAGACTCCAGGAAGCTGGCATTACAAGGTCTGTCTGGGCTGCTTAAGCATTGTTTCTGAGAACATCAAGGCTTAGGTCTGACCTGGCTCTACCAGTCCCTCCAGGCCATTTCTCCCCTCTGTCATCCACCCCTCGCCCCCACACACATGCATGTGCACTTTGTTTATATTCCATAGTGACCTGCTTGTAGCTTCCCCACGGGCTGTGTTCTTTTTTGCTTCCAATCCTCTGATCAAGTCCAGGAGGTTTCCCATTGGGTCTTTCTTTTTTTTTTTTTTTTTAGACAAAGTATCACTCTGTCGCCGAGGCTGGTGTGCAGTGGCGCCATCTCAGCTCACTGCAACTTTCGCCTCCTGGGTTCAAGTGATTCTCCTGCTTCAGCCTCCCGAGTAGCTGGGATTACAGTTGCCCACCACTACCATGCCCAGCTAATTTTTTTTTGTATTTTTAGTGGAGACGACTTTGGCCATGTTGGCCAGGCTGGTCTCAAACTCCTGATCTCAAGTGATCCACCCATCTTTGCCTCCCAAAGCGCTGGAATTACAGGTGTGGGCCGCAGCGCCCGGCCTCCCATTGCCTCTTAACTGCTGCTTATAGTTTTCGGGGCTTGACTGCAATGTCACATCCTCCAGGAAATCTCACTTGACCAAAACCTAGGCTGGGTTAGATACTTCTCTGCATTCTCATTGTCCTCTGAATTTACCCACATGACACTTGGCATAATGAACTGTCATCGACTGTTTACTTGTCAGTTTCTCCCTTAGCTTGTGAATGCTTCTTGGGAAGGGATTGTAACTGGCTGCCAGTTATATCCTGTGTGCCCAGCAGAGAGATTAGCCCAGAATAGAAGCTCAGTGTCTGTAGAATGAATGTTTGAGTGAAGGGGAAGGCAAGCCAGGATCCAGAACAACTTGTTTTGCCTGATGTCATACTCAACACCCACTTCTGTCCTCTGTAACTCCCTCCTTGACTAAGAGTGAGAGTTCTTAAGGGGAGAGAGATACGGGAAGACAGATCAGAAGTAAGGTATATGGTGAGCTTATCAGACACAGGGTCACTTGCATTCTTTGAACATGGGTTTTCAGAAAACGTTTTTTAGAGAAGTTTCAGGCTTACAGAAAAATTGATGGGAAAGTACAGAGAGTTCCCATATAGGCCTCTCCCTCCAGTAAATCTCCCCTATTAATCACATGGTATATTAGTGTAAGTACATTTGTTACAGTTGATGAGCCAATAATGAGATTAGGTTTTACTCTTCATGTTGTATAGTCTACGGGCTTTGACAAATACACTATGGTATGTAACCACCATTATAATGTCATACGGAATAGTTTCACAGCCCCAGAAATCTCCCACCCTCTGCCTATTCATCCCTCCCTCCCCATCAAATTCTGGCAACCACGGATCTTTTTACTGTCTGCATAGTTTTGCCTATTCCAGAATGTCCTATCATTGGAATCATACAGCGTGTAGCCTTTTCAGGCTGGCTTTTCACGTAGCAGTATACTTTTGATATTTTTCCATGTCTTTTCGTGGCTTGATAGCTCATTTCTTTTTATTGCTGAATAATATTCCATTGTATGAATGTACCAGAGTTCGTTTATCCCTTCACCTATTGAAGGACACTTTGGTTGCTTCCAACTTTTGGCAAGTATGAATAAAGCAGCTCTCAAGGTTTGTGTGCAGGTTTCATGTGGACATGTTTTCAATTTATTTGGGTATACCATGGATACTATGTATTTTTTGGAAGAATCTTGTTTAATTTCCAAATACTTGGGGCTTTCCTGGATATCTTCTTTGTTGTTGATGTTAATTGAATTCTGTTGTGGTCAGAGAATATATTCTGTAAGATTTCAGTCTTCTGAAGCTTATTGGAACTTGTTTATAGCCAACATATGGTTTATTGCAGTGACTATTCCAGGTGCACTTTAGAAGAATTCTATTATTTCGGGGTGCGGTGTTCTATAATAGTCAACTAATTCAAGGTGGCTGATAATGTTGTTCAGATATTCTATGTCCTTACTGATTTTTTTGTCTAGCAGCTCAATTATTTAGAGATAAGTAAATTTCTAATTATGAATTTACTTCTTCATTTAATTATATCAATTTTTCCTTTATGTATTTGGAACTATGATTAGGTTGATACTTAAAATTGTTATATCTTCTTAATGAAGTGCCCCTTTTATCATTATGAAATACCTGTCTTATGTTCTTAGTTTTGAAGTCTACTTTATCTGATATTAATATAGCTTTCTTATGATGTGTGTTTTTATTTTAGATCATTTTTCCAACCTTTTACTGTCAACCTCAGTGTGGGTTTGTATTTAAAGTATGTGCCAGCTGGGCGTGGTGGCTCATGCCTGTAATCCCAGCACTTTGGGAGGCCAAGGCGGGTGGATCACGAGGTCAGGAGATGGAGACCACCCTGGCTAACATGGTGAAACCCCTTCTCTACTAAAAAAATACAAAAAAAAAATTAGCCAGGCGTGGCCGGTGACTGTAGTCACCGGTACTCAGGAGGCTGAGGCAGGAGAATGGTGTGAACAAGGGAGAAGGAGCTTGCAGTGAGCCAAGATCGCGCCACTGCACTCCACCCTGGGAGACAGAGCGAGACTCCGTCTCAAAAAAAAAAAAAAAATAATAATAATAAAGTATGTGCCGGCTGGGCGTGGTGGCTCACGCCTGTAAACCTAGCAGTTTGGGAGGCTGAGGCGGGCGGATTGTCTGAGCTCAGGAGTTCAAGACCAGCCTGGGCAACACGGTGAAACCCCGTCTCTACTAAAACACACAAAAAAATTAGCCAGGTGTGGTGGCGCATGCCTGTAGTCCCAGCTACTCGGGAAGCTGAAGCAGGAGAATTGCTTGAACCTGGGAGGCAGAGGTTGCAGTGAGCCCAGATCACGCCACTGCACTCAGCCTGGGCAACAGAGTGAGACTCTATGAAAAAATAAAACAAAAATAAGTAAATAAATTTATGTGCCTTAGGCCAGGCGCGATGGCTCATACCTGTAATCCCAGCACTTTGGGAGGCCAAGGAGGCAGATCACCTGAGGTCAGGAGTTCGAGACCAGCCTGGCCAATGTGGTGAAACTCTGTCTCTACAAAAATACAAAAATTAGCCGGGGGTAGTGGCATGCACCTGTAATCCCAGCTACTAGGAAGGCGGAGGCAGGAGAATCGCTTGAATGCAGGAAGTGGAGGTTGCAGTGAGCCAAAATGGTGCCACTGCACTCCAGCCTGGGCAACAGAGTGAGACTGTCTAAAAAAAATAAATAAATAAAACTTTTTAAAAAGTATGTGCCTCGTAGATAGCATATGCTTATATATTCTTCTTTGCTCTGCCTGACCATTTCTTTTTCTTTCTTTCTTTCTTTCGTTTTTTTTTTTCAAGACAGAGTCTCACTCTGTCCCCCAGGCTGGAGTACAGTGGTGCAATCTCAGCTCACTCCAATTTCTACCTCCCGGGTTCAAGCCACTCTCCTGCCTCAGCCACATGAGTAGCTGGAATTACAGGCGCCTGCCACCACGCCCGGGTAATTTTTGTACTTTTAGTAGAGACAGGGTTTCTCCATGTTGGCCAGGCTGGTCTTGAACTTCTGACCTCAGGTGATCCACCTTCCTCAGCCTCAGCCTCAGCCTCCCAAAGTACTGAGATTACAGGCATAAGCCACAGTGCCCGGCTCCTGCCTAACCATTTCTGTGTTTTAATTAGAATATTTATTTCATTTACATTTGATGTAATTGTTGATGTGTTTAGGTTTGGTTCTGCCATTTTGCTATTTGTTTTCTACTCATTCCATCTTTTTTGTTGTTGTTCCTCTGTTTCTCCTTTCCTACCTTCTTTTGAGTTAACTGAGTAATTTTTTATGATTATATTTTAATATCTCTACTGGCTTTTTTCTTTTTTGAGACAGAGTCTTGCTCTTGTTGCCCAGGCTGGAGTGCAGTGGTGCAATCTCGGCTCTCTGTAACCTCTGCCTGCTGGGTTCCAGAAGTTCTCCTTCCTCAGCCCCCTGAGTAGCTGGGATTACAGGCACACGCTGCCACACCCAGCTAATCTTTTGTATTTTAGTAGAGATGGGTTTTCACCATGTTGCTCAGGCTGGTCTCAAACTCCTGAGTTCAGGCAGTCCACCTGCCTTGGCCTCCCAAAGTGCTGGGATTACAGGTGTGAGCCACTGCCCCCGGCTTTACTGGCTTTTTTAAAGCTGTACCCTCGTTAAATTGTAGTCGAAGTGGCTGCTGTAGTGAGTGTGAATCTCATGAGCTTTAACTTATCACAATCTACTTAAAATTGTTATTATTATTATTATTTTATTTTATTTTATTTTTTTTGAGAAAGAGTCTTCCTCTGTCGCCCAGGCTGGAGTGCCATGGCACGATCTTGGCTCACTGCAAGCTCCACCTTCCAGGTTCAAGCGATTCTCCTGCCTCAGCTTCCCGAGTAGCTGGGACTACAGGTGCCCACCACCACCCCTGGCTAATTTTTTGTATTTTTAGTATAGCCAGGATGGTCTCGGTCTCTTGATCTCGTGATCCGCCCGCCTCGGCCTCCCAAAGTGCTGGGATTACAGGCGTGAGCCACCGCGCCCGGCCTATTTATTATTATTATTATTATTATTATTATTATTATTATTATCATGTTTGAGCTGGAGTCTCACCCTGTCACCCAGGCTGGAGGGCAGTGGTTCCATCTCGGTTCACTACAACCTCCGCCTCCTGGGTTCAAGTGATTCTCATGCCTCAGGCTTCCAAGTAGCTGGGATTATAGGCACGTACCACCACGCCCAGCTAATTTTTGTATTTTTAGTAGAGACAGGGTTTCACCATGTCGGCCAGGCTGGTCTTGAACTCTTGACCTCAAGTGATCCATCCATGTCGGCTTCCCAAAGTGTTGGGATTATGGAAGTGAGCCAGTGCGTCCAGCCCACAATCTACTTAAAATTAATATTGTACTATTTCCCATAAAATGTAGGAACTTTGCACAATATCGTTCCATTTATTTCCATGTCCACCCTCTTTTGTTGTTCTTATTATATAAATGACATCTGTTATAAACCCCACAATACAATGTCATAACTTTAGCTCTTAAATAGCCACATCTGTCAGTGTGCCTATATGATTAAAAAAAAAAAAAAAAAAAAAGGAAGGCCCAGGTACGGTGGCTCACACCTGTAATCCCAGCACTTTGGGAGGCCCAGGCGGGTGGATCACGAGGTCAGGAGTTCAAGACCAGCCTGACCAACATGGTGAAACCCCATCTCTACTAATAATAGAAAAATTAGCTGGGCATGGTGGCACGTGCCTGTAATCCTAGCTACTCAGGAGGCTGAGGCAGGAGAATTGCTTGAACCGGGACCCGGGAGGTGGAGGTAGCAGTGAGCCAAGATCGCACCACTGCACTCCAGCCTGGGTCCAGCCTGGGCTACAGAGCAAGACTCTGTCTCAAAAAAAAAAAAAAAAAAAAAAAAAGGGACGCAACCACGGCGGAAGAACAACTGCCAGTCTAACTGTGCGTGAAGGCTGGCAGTGATGGGGCCGAGACTGGGAACCGCCCCTTCTCCCTGAGACTGTTCATAGTGCTGTGGGTCACAGGAGTCACCTTCAACGTTACCACCATTGACACCAAGAGACAGACTGAGAGAGTGCAGAAGCTGTGCCCAGGAGGGCAGCTCCCATTCCTGCTGCATGGCACTGAAGTGCACACAGACACCAACAAGATGGTGGAATTTCTGGAGGCAGTACTGTGCCCTCCGAGATACCCCAAGCTGGCAGCTCTGAACCCTGAGTCCAACACAGCTGGGCTGGACATATTTGCCAAATTTTCTGCCTACATCAAGAATTCAAACCCAGCACTCAATGATAATCTGCAGAAGGGACTCCTGGAAGCCCTGAAGGTTTTAGACAATTACTTAACATCCCCCCTCCCAAAAGAAGTAGATGAAACCAGTGCTGAAGATGAGGGCATCTCGCAGAGGAAGTTTCTGAATGGCAATGAGCTCACCCTGGCTGACTGCAACCTGTTGCCAAAGCTACACATAGTACAGGTGGTGTGTAAGAAGTACCGGGGATTTAACATCCCTGAGGCCTTCCCGGGAACGCGTCAGCACTTGAGCAATGCTTATGCATGGGAAGAACCCGTCTCCACCTGCCCAGATGATGAAGAGATCCAGCTCGCCTATGAGCAAGGGGCCAATGCCCTCAAATAAGCCCCTCCTGGGACTCCCTCAACCCCCTCCATTTTCTCCACAAAAGCCCTGGTGGTTTCCATATTGCAACCCAATGGACACACTCCAAAATGGCCAGTGGACAGGGAATCCTGGAAGACTTGTTCTGGGATGGTGTGGGGAAGAGGGGATGAGGGAAATAAATGGGGGGCTGGGTGAGATTTTTATTGTGGGGTGGGATGGGCAGGACAACATATTTCAGTAATAAAATAGAGAAAAAAATGAAAAAATAAATAAACAGCCGCATCTGTTAAAGAAATAAAGAAAAAATGTAAATACAATTTAAAAATATTTACTCACCTGTTTACCATCTCAAGAATTTTTTATTCCTTTCTATAGATCTGAGTTTTTTTTTTTTTTTTTTTTTTAGATGGAGTCTTGCTCTGTCACCCAGGCTGGAGTGCAGGGGCACCATCTCGGCTCACTGCAAGCTCCAACTCTTGGGTTCACACCATTCTCTCGCCTCAGCCTCCTGAGTAGCTGGGATTACAGGCATGCGCCACCAGGCCCGGCTAATTTTTTATATTTTTAGTAGAGACGGGGTTTCACTGTGTTAGCCAGGATGGTCTCGATCTCCTGACCTCGTGATCCGCCTGCCTCAGCCTCCCAAAGTGTTGGGATTACAGGCGTGAGCCACCGTGCCTGGCCCTATAGATCTGAGTTTTTATCCGGTATCATCTCCTTCAGCCAGATGAGCTTTCTTTGATGTTTTTTTTTTTTTTCTGAGACGGAGTCTCACTCTGCTGCCCAGGCTGGAGTGCAATGGCATAATCTTGGCTCACTGCAGCCTCCGCCTCCTGGGTTCAAGCTATTCTCCTGGCTCAGCCCCCCGAGTAGCTGGGATTACAGGTGCCCACCAGCATGCCTGGCTAATTTTTGTGTTTTTGGTAGAGATAGGGTTTCACCATGTTGGCCAGGCTGGTCTCAAACTCCTGACCTCAAATGATCTGCCCTTCTCAGCCTCTCAAAGTGTTGGGATAACAGGCGTGAGCCACCGTGCCCAGCCGATGTTCCTTATAATACAGGTCTGCTGGTGACAAACTCAGTTTTTGTTTATCTGACAATGACTCTGTTTTGTCTTCATTTTTGAAGGATAGTGTTACTGGATATAGAAATCTAATTTGAGCCAGGCGCGGTGGCTCATGCCTGTAATCCCAGCCCTTTGGGAGGCCGAGGCAGGTGGATCACGAGGTCAGGAGATCGAGACCATCCTGGCTAACACGGTGAAACTCTGTCTCTACTAAATATAGAAAAAATTAGCTGGGCGTGGTGGCGGGTGCCTGTAGTCCCAGCTACTTGGGAGGCTGAGGCAGGAGAATGGCATGAACCTGGGAGGCAGAGGTTGCAGTGAGCCGAGATTGCCCCACTGCACTTCAGCCTGGGCGACAGAGCGAGTGTCTGTCTCAAAAAAAAAAAAAAAAAAATGACTATGCCATACCTTGGCAGATTGTTTTGTATTCAGGCTGCTTGGGCTTCACTGAGATTTTTGAATCTATAAATTTGTCTTCGACTCTCGGCTTTCGGCTCGGAGGAGGCCAAGGTGCAACTTTCTTCAGTCTCTCGAATCCGGGTTCATCCAACACCAGCCGCCTCCACCACGCCGCCAAAGTTCAACCCCAATGAGATCAAAGTCGTATACCTGAGGTGCACCGGAGGTGAAGTCGGTGCCACTTCTGCACTGGCCCCCAAGATCGGCCCCCGGGGTCTGTCTCCAAAAAAGGTTGGTGATGACATTGCCAAGGCAACAGGTGACTGGAAGGGCCTGAGTATTACAGTGAAACTGACCATTCAGAACAGACAAGCCCAGATTGAGGTGGTGCCTTCTGCCTCTGCCCTGATCATCAAAGCTCTCAAGGAACCACCAAGAGTCAGAAAGAAACAGAAAAACATTAAACACAGTGGGAGTATCACTTTTGATGAGATTGTCAACATTGCTTCACAGATGCAGTACTGATCCTTAGCCAGAGAACTATCTGGTACCATTAAAGAGATCTTGGGGACTGCCCAGCCTGTGGGCTATAATGTTGATGGCCACCACCCTCAAGACATCATAGATGACATCAACAGTGGTGCTGTGGAATGCCCAGCCAGTTAAGCACAAAGAAAAATATTTCAATAAAGGATCATTTGACAACTGTGGAAAAAATAAAAAAATAAAAAAAATTTGTCTTCGAATAAATTTGAGAAATCAGCATATACTTTGTCAAATATTTTAATGCCCCATTCTCCCTCTTCTATTTTTCTGAAATTCAAATTACATATGGTATATAGAACATTTTTATTTTTATTTTTAAAATTTAAAAAAGATAGAGTTTCACTCTTGTCACCCAATCTGGAGTGCAATGGCATAATCTCGGCTCACTGCAACCTCCGCCTCCTGGGTTCTAGCGATTCTTCTGCCTTAGCCTCCTGAGTAGTTGGGATTACAGGCATGCGCCACCACGCCTGGCTAATTTTTGTATTTTTAGTAGAGACAGGGTTTCTCTGTGTTGGTCAGGCTGGTCTCGAACTCTCAACCTCAGGTGATCTGCTTGCCTCGGCCTCCCAAAGTGCTGGGATTACAGGAGTGAGCCACTGTGCCTGGCAATTTTTGTGTTTTTAGTAGAGATGGAATTTCACCATGTTGGCCAGGCTGGGTATATAGATCTTTTAATGTTGCCTCCCAAATCCATAAAACTCTGTTTAATTTTTTCAGTTATTTTTTCTCTCTCTGGTCTTTAGAATAAATAATTTGTATTGCTTTATCTTTATATTCACTGACTCCTTCCTTTGTAATCTTCATTCTATTAAATCTGTCAAGTTGATTTTTCATTTCAGTTATTGTACTTTTCAGTTCTAGAATTTCCATTTGTTTTTTTTTATAGTTAAAATTTCTCTTCTGAAGTTCCATATCTGTTCCTTCATTATGACTACATTTTCCTGTAAGGCCTTGAAGATAAGGCTGGGCATGGTGGCTCACGCCTGTGATCCCTGGACTTTGGGAGGCCAAGGCGGGCAGATCATCTGAGGTCGGGAGTTTAAGACCAGCCTGGCCAACATTGTGAAACCCCATCTCTACTAAAAATACAAAAATTAGCTGGGTGTGGTGGTGCACACTTGTAATCCCAGCTACTTGGGAAGCTGAGGCAGTAGAATCACTTGAACCTGGGAGGCAGAGGCTGCAGTGAGCTGAGATCACACCACTGCACTCCAGCCTGGGCAACAGAGGGAGACTCCATCTCAAAAAGAGAAAATAATTATAAAAGTTGCTTTAAAATCCTTGCTGCTAATTCCCAAGATTAGAAATTCCAACATCTGAGTCATAACTTTTTCTCTTTGAGAGTGAGTTTTGAGTATGATTCAGTTTTCTGTTTCTTCATATGCCTAGTACTTGTTTATTGTAGCTGGACATTGTCAAGACTATGGATTTTGTTATGTTCCTTCCAAGAGTGTTAATTTTGTTCTAACAGGCAATTAACTTGGTTGGACTGAAACTCCAATCTTTGTTTCCCCTGTGAAAGGCAGTAGCTGGAATTTCTACTCTGTTCTTGCTCCCAGCTGCTGATTTTACTGGGACTCCTGGAGACTCCTGTGCATATGTGCAGTTGGACAACCAAGGATTTGGACAGAGTTTATATACAGATTTTGGGACTTGTTTGCTCTATAGAATTTATTTCTGTGAGTTCCCTCTTAATTTTCCAGCCACACTTCTTGCCTAGAACTCTGTACTCGGCACCTCAAACCAGTAAGACCGTAGCTTTCTATGCATTTCCACCTCCCACACAAATTACAGAGTGCCCTCACACAAATAACCACAAAAATATAAGTCTAGTACGGGGCAGCTCCCACCTTTCAAGAGTTGATTTTCCTCACATTTCTAATTGCTGTTAGGTGTTCTTTAGTGCCTTCAAATATTTGGGTTTGGTTGTTGTTTATTTTATTTCAGGTTTTTTGTTTTTTGTTTTGGTTTTGTTTTGTTTTTGTTTTGAGATGGAGTTTTGCTCTTGTCGCCCAGGCTAGAGTGCAATGGCACAATCTGAGCTCACTGCAACCTCTGCCTCCCAGGTTCAAGTGATCCTCCTGCCTCAGCCTCCTGAGTAGCTGGGAATACAGGCATGCACCACCACAGCTGGGTAATTTTTGTATTTTTAATAGAGACAGGGGTTTCACCATGTTGACCAGGCTGGTCTTGAATTCCTGACTTCAGGTGATCCACCTGCCTCAGTCTCTTAAAGTGCTGGGATTACAGGTGTGAGCCACTGTGCCCGGCCAGGTTTTTTTTTTTTTGTTATTGTTTTGTTTTTAAGAGACAGGATCTTGCTTTGTTGCCCAGGCTGGAGCACAGTGGTATGATCATAGCAAACTGCAGCCTTGAACTCCTGAGCTCCAGCAATCCTCCTGCCTCAGCCTCCCAAGTAGCTGGGACTACCAGTGCATATCACCATGCCTAGTTAATTTTTTTGAAAACTATTTTGATAGAGATGGAGTCTTGCTATGTTGCCCAGGCTGGTCTTGAACTCCTGGCCTCAAGCAATCCTCTCACCTAAGTCTCCAAAGGTGCTAAGATTACAGGCATGAGCCACTGTACCTGGCCTTGTTTCAGGTTTTTTTTTGTTTTTGTTTTTGTTTTTGAGACAGAGTCTTGCTCTGTGGCCCAGGCTGGAGTGCAGTGGCACAACCTTGGCTCACTGCAACCTCCACTTCCTGGGTTCAAGTGATTCTCCTGCCTCAGCCACCCGAGCAGCTGGGATTACAGGTGTGCACCACGAGCCTGGCTAATTTTTTGTGTATTTTTAGTAGAGATGAGGTTTTGTCATGTTGGCCAGGCTGGTCTCAAACTCCTGACCTCAAATGATCTGTCTTCCTCAGCCTCCAAAAGTGCTGGGATTACAGGCGTGAACCAAGGCACCTGGCCCTTGTTTCAGTTTTATAATTGTTATCTGAGGCATGATTATTCTGACCAAATTATTGTGCTATTACCACCTCCTTACATTTTTTAACCGTTTTATTCCTCAGAGCACCTCTTTAAGGCTAATATAATTATCGCCCATTTTTAAACTGAGGAAACAGAGGCACTGCAAGGGAAACCATTTGTTTAAGGTCACACAGCTAGTTTGTGGAAGAGCCAAAATCTAAAACCAGTCAGATTACATAATCCTATGCTTGCTCCAGTTCACCACTATTCCTAAACACCTCAAGGTGGTTTGGATTCCAGCCTAGAGCCCTCTGGAAAGTATTTGGGGCTGGAAGGAGGTAAGAGCCCTCAAAATTCCTATTCAGGCTAGGGCAGTAGCTTTCAACCCAGAGCATCGGAGTCATCTGAGAAACTATGAAAAAGAGAGATGCTAGGCCTCATCTACTGAATCAGTAGCTCTAGTGGTAGAGACCGGGAATCTACTTTTTTGTTTTGTTTTGAGACAGAGTCTCGCTCTTTTGCCCAGGCTGGAGTGCAGTGGAACAATCGTGGCTCACTGCAACCTCTGCCTGCCGGGATCAAGCGATTCTCCTGCCTCAGCCTTCTGAGTAGCTGGGATTACAGGCGTACACCACCAAGCCTGGCTAATTTTTGCATTTTAAGTAGAGACGGGGTTTCACCGTGTTGGCCAGGTTGGTCTCGAACTCTTGGCCTCAAGTGATCTGCCTGCCTCAGCCTCCCAAAGTGCTGGGATTACAAGCATGAGCCACTGTGCCTGGCCAACATTTTTTTTTTTTTTGGTAGGGGACAGAGTCTTGCTCTGTGGCCCAGGCTGGAGCACAGTGGCACAGTCTTGGCTCACTGCAGCCTCAACCTCCTGGGCTCAAGCAATCCTCCCACCTCAGCCTCCTAAGTAGCTGGGACTAGAGGCATGTGTCACCACATCTGGCTAATCTTTTAATTTTTTTGTACAGACAGGGTCTCACTATGTTGCCCAGTCTGGTTACAAACTCCTGGACTCAAGCAATCCTCCTGCCTTGGCCTCCCAAAGTGCTGGTGTACAGGTGTGAGCCACTGTATCCAGCCTTTTTTTTTTTTAGAGACAGGGTCACTGGGCGTGGTGGCTCACGCCTGTAATCCCAGCACTTTGGAGGCTGAGGCAGGCGGATCACGAGCTCAGGTGATCGAGACCATCCTTGCTAACACGGTGAAACCCCATCTCTACTAAAAATACATAAAATTAGCCAGGCGTGGTGGCAGGCGCCCGTAGTCCCAGCTACTCGGGAGACTGAGGCAGGAGAATCGCTTGAACCCAGGAGGTGGGGCTTGCAGTGAGCCGAGATCGCGCCACTGCACTCCAGCCTGGGCGACAGAGCGAGACTCCGTCTAAAAAAAAAAAAAAAAAAAAAGAGACAGGGTCTTTCTCTGTTGCCCAGGCTGGAGTGTAATGGCACGATCATAGGTCACTGCAGCCTCAACTCCTGTGATCAAGTGGTAGTCTGGCTTTTTTTTTTTTTTTTTCTGTTTCTCTGGTGATTCTAATGTCCAGTCAGGGTTGAGAACTTCTGTGGTAAAGGCAAAGTACCTACACCAGTATTCTTCTATCTACTGTAGCCCAAGACTAACTTTTCCATCATGCCTAGCCTAGTTGGTGACACTGGTGGTAAGGTTAATACTGAGGGTTCTGGAGTCACTCCATGTAGGTTCAAATTCTGCCTCTGTTGCTTGTTAGCTGTGTGAACTTGGGCAGGTGGCTCCACCTCTCTGAGCCTACTGTTTTCTTATCTCCTAATTGGGGATAATAACACCAGCCTCAAAGGGCTGTTCTGTATGAGATAGGTAATGCATGTGAAGTGTTTAGCACAGTGCCTGGCACCTGATAAGCACTCAATAGATTGTAACTATTCATATTCTCTCTGTTTTTCTGCAGTCATGAACTGTTATATGTCCTACTTAAATCCAGCTTCTAGAGTTAGACTATACTTAGGTCTTCTATTTTTTTTTTTTTTTTTTGAGATGGAGTCTTGCTCTGTTGTCCAGGCTGGAGTGCAGTGGCGTGATCTCAGCTCACTGCAACTTCCGCCTCCTGGGTTCAAGCAATCTTCCTGACTCACCCTCCCAAGTAGATGAGATTATAGGCACCTGGCTAATTTTTGTAATTTTAGTAGAGACGGGGTTTCACCATGTTAGCCATGGCTGGTCTCGAGCTCCAGACCTCAAGTGATCAGCCCGCCTGGGCCTCCCAAAGTGCTGGGATTACAGGCATGAGACACCACACCTGGCCTAGGTCTTCTAAGTTATTTCAGAATTCCCCTCTCCCAGCCTCTGTCCTTGCAACGGATCCATCCCCCATGCTGGGTCCCTCTTTAGTAAACGGGAAGCATTTTAAATCTAGCCCAAAGCCTCAAAGAACTTCTTAGGAGTGGTTCAGATGTTCCCAGCCCCAGGCTCTACCCCTTCTTGCCTATTAGAGGCCACACCTTCAGTGACACTGTGAGGGCAACTTTGAATACCAGAATGGGATATTACAATCACAAAGCCAGACTTAGATAGTTGAAAGTGCCCACCACCTCTGTTCCTGAGAGTTGGGCCTGAGACAGAGGATTCTAAGTGGAAACCACGCTTAACTAAGAGGACCCAAGAAAGGCAAGCTCTTTTTAAAAAATTTTTTTTTCATTTTTTGTCTCACTCTGTCACCCAGGCTGGAGTGCAATGGCACAATCATGGCTCACTGCAGCCTTAACCTCCTGGGCTCAAGCCATCTTCCCACCTCAGCCTCCCAAGTAGCTGGGACTACAGGCACATGCCACCATGCCTGGCTAATTTTTATATTTGTTGTAGAGAAGTTTTCACCATGTTGCCCAGGCTAAGTCAAAGTCTTCTTTTTTTTATTTTTTATTATTTATTTATTATTATTATTTTTTGAGATGCAGTCTCGCTCTGTCGCCCAGGCTGAAGTGCCATCTCTGCTCACTGCAAACTCCACTTCCCGGGTTCCTCAGCCTCCCTAGCAGCTGGGACTGCCAGTGCCCGCCACCACGCCCGGCTAATTTTTTGTATTTTAATAGAGACGGGGTTTCACCGTGTTAGCCAGGATGGTCTCGATCTCCTGACCTCGTGATCCGCCTGCCCGCCTCGGCCTCCCAAAGTGCTGGGATTACAGGCGTGAGCCACCGTGCCTGACCTTTTTTTTTTTTTTAAAGATTGTATTATTCATCAGAGTGTAATTGGTTTTTCTTTTTCTTTTCTTTTCTTTTCTTTCTTTTTTTTTTTTTTTTTGAGACAGATTCTCACTCTGTCGCCCAGGCTGGAGTGTAGTGGCAAGATCTTGGCTCACTACAACCTCCACCTCAATTGATTCTCCTGCCTCAGCCTCCTGATTAGCTGGGACTACAGGACCTGCCACCACTCCCAGCTAATTTTTGTATTTTTATTAGAGATGGGGTTTCGCCATGTTGGCCAGGCTTGTCTTGAACTCCTGACCTCAAGTGATCCGCCAGCCTCAACCTCCCAAAGTGCTGAGATTACAGGCGTGAGCCACCACCCCTAGCCTAAGTCAAACTTTTAACGCCCTATTTCTAGACGCTGGATGAGCAGGTTGGTGGATAGAAGAGGACTCAGCCAACACCCTCGAAGCTTGCTCTCATCCTCCCATCTGGCAAATTTTTCTTCAGGACTCCTCCCCATGGAAACCTTTCCTAAGTGGCACACCCCAAGATGACTAGCACCTGGAGCAGTCCTTTGGGGTTCCTCTGCGGCCAGAAGCGTTCACTCAGCCTCCAGCACATGTCAGATCTGTAGGTTTCCGTGGACAATGAGAACAATGGAGGGGCCTCAGAGCTGGGAAGGAAGAGAGGAGGACCCACCATTAATTGGGGCCCCCCTAGGTGACAGGTGCTATACATCCTTTATCTTACATAATCACTGCAACGGTGTCTGTTTTCCTCATCAAATACCCAACATCTAGTAGAATAGATACTTGCTAACTATTTAATTATGGCAACAGTAAAACAGCTACCATTTATTGAGGGCTTACTATGTGTCAGGGACTCTTCAAAGTGCCTCATATCTCTTAACTCATATAATATTTGCTGGATGAGAATTTTGATAACAACGCTATAAGGCTGGACTCTTTTTGTTTTATTTCATTTTATTTTATTTTTTGAGACAGAGTCTTGCTCTATCACCCAGGCTGCAGTGTGGTGGCACGATCTTGGCTCACTGCAACCTCCACCTCCCAGGTTTAAGTAATTCTTCTGCCTCAGCCTCCCAAGTAGCTGAGATTACAGGTGCCCACCACCACCCCCGCCTAATTTTTTGTATTTTTAATAGAGACAGGGTTTTACCATGTTGGCCAGGCTGGTCTTGAACTCCTGACCTCAGGTAATCCACCTGCCTCAGCCCCCCAAAGTGCTGGGATTACAGGCATGAGCCTCCGAACCCGGCCTGTTTTATTTCATTTTTTAAAAATAAAGATGAGTTTTCACCGTGTTGCCCAGGCTGGTCTTGAACTCCTGAGCTCAAGCAGTCATTCCACCTCAGCCTCCCAAAGTGCTAGGATTATATGTGTGAGCCACCACACCCAGATAAGCTGGACTCTTTGTTCCTGTTTTATATAACATAAAACTAGACCGGGTGCAGTGGCTCATGCGTGGTAATCCCAGCACTTTGGGAGGCTGGAGCGGGCAGATCACTTAAACTCAGGAGTTCAAGACCAGCCTGGGCAACATGGTGAAATCCCGTCTCTATTTAAAAAAATACAAAACAAATTAGCCAGGTGTGGTGGTGTGTGCCTGTAATCCCAGCTACTTGGGAGGTTGAGGCAGGAGAATTGCTTGCACCTGGGAGGCAGAGGTTGCAGTGAGCCGAGATTGCGCCACTGCACTCCAGCCTGGGCGACAGAGTGAGACTCTGTCTCAAAAAACAAAAACAAAACAAAACAAAAACTTGAAACGGACACATAGAGAAGGTAAAGAGATGGTGGAAGGGCAGACAGGTCATAGGTGGATGGTGGGGTTAGGCTTTGAATCCAGGGCCATGTGGTACCCCAGGAAGTGGAAGGGTCTGGGTTTGAGTGACTGAGATGGGGGCACAAAGAGAGGAACTGAGTGGGCATTGAAGGAGGTGATTCTAAGGAAGAAGGAGCAAAGGGTAGCCAGGCACGGTGGCTCATGCTTGTAATCCTAGCATTTTGGGAGGCCAAGGCAGGAGGATCGCTTGAGGCCAGGAGGTTGAGACGAGTCTGGGCACCATAACAAGACCCTGTCTCTACCAAAAAACAGAACAAAACAAAACAAAACCAGATATGGTGGCGCACACCTGTAGTCTCATGTAGTCCCAGCTACTTTGAAGACTGAGACAGGACGATCACTTGAACCTAGGAATTCAAGGCTGGAGTGAGCTATAATCATGCCACTGCATTCCAGCCTGGGCAACAGAGCCAGACGCTGTCTCTACAAAAAATAAAAATATTAGCCGGTGCCATGATAAGTATTTTTTTTTTTTAATTAGCCAGGCATAGTGGCACACGCTGCAGTCCCATCTATGGGAAGGCTGAGGTAGAAGGATCACTTGAGCCCAGGAGGTGAAGACTTCAGTGAGCTATGATTACACCACTGTACTCCAGCCTGGGCGACAAAGTGAGACTCGGTCTCCAAACAAACAAACAAATGGCTGGTGAGTATTTGGGAGGAATCACTGCCCCGTGGCTGTCCCCTTAAGCCAGTGTCTCAGATGCTGCCTCTGAGGTCCAGCCATTCCCTAAGAAATGCTGACATCAAGGTCCACACCTCCTTCCCACAGGAGGAGTTGGAAATGAATCTCAAATTTCACCAAGGCCCCTGCTGGGGGATGGGGGTGGAGGTTGTGCCAGTGATCACAAGTCCCGATTTTCATGAGCGTCTCTGCTCAGATCCTGTCCCAGAGGCCTAGCACTAGGGTAGAATGACAATAGTCTTCCCAGCGTTGCCTGAGATGAGTCATAGGTGACGCCCCTGCCCTACAGCCTGGGCCTACCTGGGCAGGTAGAAGCATGTCTCAAACCCCTCTGGCCGCTGCCAGTGGTTCAGAGGATCCTGTCGTAGTCAGCCTCATTCCCCAACTGAGAAACCCCTGGCGTTGGCTTGACGGGGGAAAAACAGAGCTGATCTGCTATCCTGAGTCAGCTGTTGGGAGAACCTGACTTCTCAGGTGAGACAAGGACCCCCAACAAGGCGAGGCCTGGGAATGCTACCCAAGAAAAGGAAACAGATGTGACCCTTCTGCTCCGAGCTCATTCCATGGTGACTCAAATAACCGAGTCTTCCCTGGCCTCTCAGCTCCAGCACCTCGGCCATTCCCGTATCACTGCTCAGTTTACCTTGACTCATCTGGTTACTTGACTGTTATCTCCCTTGCTACCCTGGAAGCTCTACCCTGTTGCTCCTCGCTGCCCACCTGGCATGGAGCTTGGCACAGAGCTTGGCACAGAGCAGGTGCAGAACTGGTATGGATGAGCTGTGAATATAAAGGGACCCAGTTTACTGGCTCATGCCTGCAATCCCAGCACTTCGGGAGGCCAAGGCAGGCAGATCACTTGAGGCCAGGAATTCAAGACCAGCCTGGCCAACATGGTGAAACCCCATCTCTACTAAAAATACAAAAATTAGCCAGGTGTGGTGGCACACGCCTGTAATTCCAGCTACTAAGGAGGTTGAGGCAGGAGAATCACTTGAACCTGGGAGGCAGAGGTTGCAGTGAGCCGAGATCATGGCATTGCACTCCAGCCTGGGCGACAGTGAGACTCTGTTTCAAAAAAATATATATATATATTATATATAATATATATTATATAATTTATGTATAATATATGTATAATATATAATATATATTATATAATATATGTATAATATATAATATATATTATATAATATGTATAATATATAATATATATTATATAATATGTATAATATATAATATATATTATATAATATATGTATAATATATAATATATATTATATAATATATGTATAATATATATTATATATTATATAATTAATGTATAACATATATTACATAATATATGTATAATATAATATAATATGTATTACATAATATATGTATAATATATAATATATAATATATGTATATTATTAATATATTATATATAATATATGTATATTAATATATTATACATAATATATGTATATTAATATATTATACATAATATATGTATATTAATATATTATATATAATATATGTATATTAATATATTATATATAATATATGTACAATATATAATATATAATATATCTATATTATAGATATATATTATATATAATATATCTATATTATACATGTATAATATATCATATTATACATGTATAATATATCATATTATACATGTATAATATATCATATTATACATGTATAATATATCATATTATACATGTATAATATAGTATAATATATCTATATTATACTATATTATATATAATATATCTATATTATACATATATAATACATATTATACATATATAATATAATATATCATATTATACATATATTATATATATAATATAACTATATTATACATATATTATATATATTACGTATAATATATCTATATTATACATATACTATATATAATATATAATATATAATATATAATATAATATATCTATATTATATATATCTATATATAATATAGATATATTATATATAATATATGTATAATATGGATATAATATATAATATATATAATATAGATAGATATAATATATCTTATATATAATATAGATAGATATAATATATCTTATATATAATATAGACAGATATAATATATCTTATATATAATATAGATAGATATAATATATCTTATATATAATATAGATAGATATAATATATCTTATATATAATATAGATAGATATAATATATATTATATATAATATAGATAGATATAATATATTATATATAATATAGATAGATATAATATATTATATATAATATAGATAGATATAATATATTATATATAATATAGATAGATATAATATATTATATATAATATAGATAGATATAATATATATTATATATAATATAGATAGATATAATATATGTATAATACAGATATATTATATATAATATATGTGTAATACAGATATATCATATATAATATATGTGTAATACAGATATATCATATATAATATATGTATAATACAGATATATCATATTATATATATGTATAATACAGATATATTATATTATATATAATATGTGTATAATACAGATATATTATATTATATATAATATGTATAATACAGATATATTATATTATATATAATATATGTATAATATAGATATTATATATGTATACTACAGATATATTATATATTATATATTATATATTATATATTATACATATATTATACATATATGCTATAGTATACATATATTATAGATATTATAGATATATCATATATTATATATATCTATAATATATCTATATATTATAGATATATATATTATATATATCTATAATATATCTATATATTATAGATATATATAATATATGATATATCTATATCTAGATATATCTATATCTAGATATATCTATATCTAGATATATCTAGATATAGATATATCATATATTATAAATATTATAATATATCTATATTATAATATTATGTATATTATCTATATTATATATAATATCTATATTATCTATATTTTATATATTATATATATATATATATATATATATATATATATATATATATATATGTAAAGGGGCCCTGTTTACAGCCACACCCTCTGTCCTGATGCTCCAAACACCCACATCTAGGCCAGTAGGAAGGAAGTCCTGTCTTCCACACAGGTTCCCTTCACCAAGTATCCCAGGAATGCTCTGGGTTCCGATGGGGCTGTGGGTTGTCAGCAGGGCTCCTTCTAGGTCTGGAAGGGGCTGCTTCAGCTGTGGCTAGAGCTGCTCTTTGCAGGCAGAAGGCCCTCTGCCTGCTGTCTGTGGGTCTCAGGCACTGCACCACGGCCCACTTCCCTCCAGGGCCTGTCTTTCTCGGACGCTTACTCCTGACCCCTCTCTCCAGCCAGCCCCTGCAGTGCCTTCTGTTGAGCTCTGTGAAAGAGTGGATTGGGCCCCAAGTGAGCCCTCTTCGTCTCAGAGCAGTGAAGGCTATGGGAGGATGAGGAGGGGCTGAATCTGGGGGTTCAAACACAGCCTCAGATTGTTTCTGGAACCCCCCTTCTCTCCAATCTCCAGACTCAGCCCTCAAGTCAGGCGGGCTGGGTGTCTTCCTTCTGCAGTTTTCTCCTGGAGCACCCCCATCCCCTCCCGCCCCTGCAACTTCTGTCTGTACCTGGCAAACCTGTTGGGCTGGTTTGGAGTTTTCCGAATCCCAGGTTCAGACACCGGACATGATGTCATTTATTTCCCAGGAAGCCTGTGGGTCCCACGTAACTCAGGGGGATGGCTGCACACATTCCACACAGTGTCGTGCCTACCCACTCATATTCCATCTCCACAGCTATCGGGGGCATCTTTCCAGAGCCCATAGGACCCCTCTGAAGGGCACTGTGGTGTGATTGCTCCGCCCTGGCCCAGCCAAAAGCAAAATAAAAACCCAAGAACTCTGCCCAACAATACAAAAAACAGGGGAAGAGGCTGGGCATAGTGGTTCATGCCTGTAATCCCAGCACTTTGGGAGACCGAGGTGGGCAGATCACTTGAGGTCAGGAGTTCGAGACCAGCCTGGCCAACATGGTGAAAATCTGTCTCTACTAAAAATACAAACATCAGCTGGATGTGGTGGCATGCGCCTGTAGTTCCAGCTACTCTGGAGGTTAAGACAGGAGAATCGCTTGAACCTGGGAGGCAGAGGTTGCAGTGAGCTGAGATGGTGCCACTGCACTCCAGCCTGGGTGACATAGCGAGACTCTGTCTCAAAAAAAAAAAAAAAAAATCAGGGGAAGAGAATGAACATTTCTCAAGCACTCACTATGAGCGAAGCATCCCACTGGGTCCTTCCAAATGTAAGATCTCAGAATCCCCTCTTTCATAAACTTTTAGTGAACACCTACTTTTCTGTATCATACTTTATGGACCTGATTGAATTTTCGCAGCATTCCTGTGAACTATTATTTCCATTTCAGAGTTGCAAAGACTGAGGCTCAGAGAGGTTAAGGGACTTGCCCAGGGTTACACAGCTCTCCAGTGACGCTAGGGCCTGTGCTCCTCTCACTTAGCCACATCCCATGCCCAGTTGTGGCCTCCAAAGACAGGCTCAAGGAAAACAAGGCATGACCCGCAACATTCTACTCATCTAAACAAGAGGTGCAAACTCTTTTTTTTTTTTTGACACAGAGTCTTGTTCTGTCGCCCAAGCTGGAGTGCAATGGAGCGATCTTGGCTCACTGCAGCCTCCGCCTCCCAGGTTGAAGTGATTTTCCTGCGTCAGCCTCCTGAGTAGGTGAGATTGCAGGTACGCATCTCCATGCCTGGCTAATTTTTGTATTTTTTAGTAGAGACAGGGTTTCACCAAGTTGGCCAGGTTGGTCTTGAACTCCTGACCTCAAGTGATCCACCCACCTCGGCCTCCCAAAGTGTTGGGATTACAGGCTTGAGCCACCATGCCCGGCCAAGAGGTGCAAACTCAAATGCCTCCTGGATTCAAATAATTTAATTAAAAAAAAACTATTTATTTATTTATTTGAGCCAGGGTCTCACTCTGTTGCCCAGGCTGGAGTGCAGTGGTACAACCACGGCTCACTGTAACCTCGAACTCCTGGGTTCAAGTGATCCTCCTGCCTCAGCCTCCTGAATAGCTAGGATTGCAGGTGTGATCCACTGCACCTGTCCCCAAATAGATTATTTAAATGAGTGAAGTGGTCACATCCCATCTAAAGGGGGTAGGTTCCACTCAACTTCAGCTGAATGTTGCTATGTGGGACTGTGGGTAGGTACGGCCAGATCTTCTGATTTTTCAAGAAAATCTGGGAATCTGAAACTTTAATATATTTCCAGACAAAGCACATCCAATGCTAGCTCTATCAGGCTGACAATTTGACCCTCCGAACTAAAAGATCCTCCATGATGTTTGGAAGGGTTCTGGGCCTATAAGACAGCTGTTTTTGAGTTTTGTACTGTGTTTAGACCCTCAAGATACCCCTGTTTCTGGGGAGAGAAGGTTGAAAGCAGAAGATTCACAAGACATGCACAACCAAAAGGCATAACACATTTAAGGAAAGACGTGTGGCTCTATCATTCTATCACAGGACCACTTGAAGGTCTGAACTCATTAGGGGCTTCAGTTGCCAAAAATGGAATCTAATTCTGGGTAACTTAGCCAGAAAGAAATTTGTTAGAAGGATATCTGGAAGCTTAGAGAATTGGCAAGAGAAATAGGATCAGGAAATTGGCAGAAACCAAGGGGAGCTGAATGGCTGCAACCAGCGCTAAGGATTTTGCCAGAAACAGCTGCTGCCACTGTGGGACATAGGAGACCACATTAATTCTAGACCATCCCTTTTTCTAGGTACCCCCCACCTTGTGTTTCCAGAGATTTCTTTCTTTCTTTTTACTTTCCTTTTATTTTGAGATGGAGTCTTGCTCTCTCTCCCAGGCTGGAGTGCAGTGGCATGATCTCGACTCACTGCAACCTCTGCCTCCCGGGTTCAAGCAATTCTTGTGCCGCAGCCTCCTGAGTAGCTGGGATTACAGGCACACGCCACCATGCCCGGCTAATTTTTTTTTTTTTTTTTTTTTTGAGACGGAGTCTCACTCTGTCACCCAGGCTGGAGTGCAGTGGTGCGATCTCGGCTCACTGCAAGCTCCGCCTCCCGGGTTCACGCCATTCTCCAGCCTCAGCCGCCCGAGTAGCTGGGACTACAGGCGCCCGCCACCACACCTGGCTAATTTTTTGTATGTTTAGTAGAGATGGGGTTTCACCATGTTAGCCAGGATGGTCTCGATCTCCTGACCTCGTGATCCGCCTGCCTCAGCCTCCCAAAGTGCTGGGATTACAGGCGTGAGCCACCACATCCACCCTAGATATTTAATCGAAATGATCCAGCTTGGTGAGGGCAAGTATCTGACCCTCTTGTCTTTCAATATCGGAATAAAGAAACTGAGCCTCAGAGCAGGCTCATGACTTGCCCAACGTCACACAGAAAGCTTGTGGTCAAGCCACATGTCAAATCCAGACCTCCTGACTCTGGTTTTCTAATCGAACTGTAAAGTGCTTCAGGACTCATGAGAAGGGAGAGGAATGTGAGGCATGGCGACCAGGAATGAGGCACCTTGGTGGAAGTGGAGGGTGGAAGATGGAGGAACATCCTAAAGGATGGCTAAAGCTGGGAGAGAACACAGGGGAGAAATGAAAATAAAACAATGCTATAAAGGGGCTGGCGTGGTGGCTCACGCCTGTAATCCCAGCACTTTGGGAAGCCGAAGAGGGCAGATTGCCTGGACTGAGGAGTTCAAGGCCAGCCTGGGCAACGTGATGAAAACCTTCCTCTACTAAAAACACAAAAAATTAGGCCAGGCTCGGTCGCTCACGCCTGTAATCCCAGCACCTTGGGAGGCCGAGGTGGGCGGATCACCTGAGGTCGGGAGTTTGAGACCAGCCTGACCAACATGGAGAAACCCCATCTCTACTAAAAAAATACAAAATTAGCTGGGCATGGTGGCACATGCCTGTAATCCCAGCTACTTGGGAGGCTGAGGCAGGAGAATCGCTTGAACCCAGGAGGCAGAGCTTTCGGTGAGCCGAGGTGGTGCCATTGCACTCCAGCCTGGGCAACAAGAGCGAAACTCCACCTCAAAAAAAAAAAAAAAAAAAAAATTAGCCGGGCGTGGTGGCAGCATGCAGCTGTAGTCCAAACTACTCGGGAGGCTGAGGCATAAGAATTGCTTTAACCTGGGAAGTGGAGATTGCAGTGAGCAGAGATCATGCCACTGCACTCCAGCCTAGGCAACAGAGCAAGATTGTCTCAAAAAAAAAAAAAAAAAAAGGGTGCAACGGAAGTGAAGTCACAGAGGAGAAAATGCTGTCCTAACTTAGGGCTGGACAGTTCTTTTTAGAGCTGGGGTTGACCGGGCAGGGTCAGGTTTATGAGAGGACACTGAAGCCACGCGTAGAAGAGGCGTGTGGACTCTGCCAGCTGTCAGCACACCGGGCTGTCACGATGCACTCAGGTTCCAATAATGTGCTGAGAATGCAGGAAAGGCAGCTCAGGGCTTTATAGACTCGCTGCCCCCAGTCCATCCAGAGGCCCAGAGAGGCCAAGCTACTCACCCAAGGACACACAGGCCTTGAAATCTGATACTTTCTGAATCCCAGCACTGCATGGCCTTTGCGTTCTGTGAGTGGCTCACACTGGGGAGCTGGTGACACCCTGACATGGGCTCCATACTTGCTGCTCCTTCTGCTTTTCTTCCAGTGGCACACTTGAGGGATGCAGGGACTCACATAGGACCAATTCCTGCCCCACTGTGTCCCCTAAGTAACCCACATCCAAAATATATCCCGAATTCAGCCATTTTCCTTCTTAGGTCAATTCATTCCTTCTCTCTCTCTCTTTCTCTCTCTCTCCTCTGTCAGAGAGACAGGGTCTTGCTCTGTCACCCAGGCTGGAGTGCAGTGATGTGGTACAATCATAGCTCACTGCAGCCTTGAATTTCTGAGCTCAAGCAATCCTCTTGCCTCAGCCTCCCAACTAGTTGAACTACAGGCATGTGCCACTGCATCCAGCCAAGTTTTTTTTGTTTTTGTTTTTAGTAGAGACAAAGTCTCGTCATGTTGCCCAGGCTGGTCTCAAACCCCTGGGGTCAAGCAATCCTCCTGCCTTGGCCTCCCAAAGTGCTGGGATTACAGGCTTGAGCCATGGCGCTGCCACCGCCTACTCCTCCTCCTCCTCCTCCTCTTCCTCTTCTTCTTCCTCTTCTTTTTTTTTTTTTTTGAGTTGTACAAGAAAATGAGAGGCCAAAGGCCCGTGATTTACAGGCAGCCTGGTGGAGGAGAAGTGGTGTGTAGTGCTGTTACATGGTCTCTAGGGCCATATACTCCGGTTTGAGTTTCTAGTTCTTTGACTATATGACTGTGGCTAAGCAATGAAGCTTTCTAGACCTGCGTTCTCATTCATTAAATAGGAATGATAACACCTCATAAGTATCTAAATGAGATACTGTAGGTAAGTGTACATCATAGAATTTTAAATCTGGTAAGTGTGTGGTAGGCTGAATAATAACCCCTAAAAGATGTCCAGGTCCTGCCGGGAGCAGGCTCACACCTGTAATCCCAGCACTTTGGGAAGCCAAGGTGGCGGGATCACCTGAGGTTGGGAGTTCAAGACCAGCCTGACCAACATGGAGAAACCCCCTCTCTACTAAAAATACAAAATCAGCTGGCCGTGGTGGCACATGCCTGTAATCCCAGCTACTCAGGAAGCTGAGGCAGGAGAATTTCTTGAACCCGTGAGGTGGAGGTTGCGTTGAGCCAAGATCGCGCCATTGCACTCCAGCCTGCGCAACAAGAGCAAAACTCTGTCTCAAAAAAAAAAAAAAGATGTCCATGTCCTAATCTCTAGAACTCTAGAACCTATGATTATAGGAAAGGAGACTTTGTAGATGCATCAAATTAATATTTTTGAGATGAGGAGATTATCCTGGATTATCTAGCCCAATATAATCACACAGGTCCTTGGAAGAGGTGGGCACACCAGAGTGAGCGGTAGCAGATTTGACGATGGAAACAAGAGGTTGTAGTGATCGATGAAGGGAATGTGAGCCAAGGAATGCAGGTGGTCCTCTAGAAGATGAAAAAGG
This sequence comes from Homo sapiens, assembly GCF_000001405.40. NCBI lineage: Eukaryota > Metazoa > Chordata > Mammalia > Primates > Hominidae > Homo > Homo sapiens. The sequence continues at coordinate 120,934,855 of NC_000012.12, forward strand.
CAAGGACACATTCTTCCCTCAGAGCCCTCACAGGGAACTAGCCCTATAAAACCGATGTCAGATTCATGACCTCCGCAACTATGAGAATAAGCTTGTGTAAAGTCAATATTTGTGGTAATTTCTACAGCAGCAGTAGGAAACTAATATAGGATGTTACTCACATTTATTCATTTGTTTACTTATTTATGAGACAAAGTCTCGCTCTGTTCAGGCTGGAGTGCGGTGGTGTGATCTCGGCTCACTGCAACCTCCGCTTCTCAGGTTCAAGTGATTCTTCTGCCTCAGCCTCCCAAGTAGCTGGGATTACAAGTGTGCACCACTACAGCTGGCTCATTTTTATATTTTTAGTAGAGATGGGGTTTCACTATGTTGGCCAGGCTGGTCTTGAACTCTTGGTCTCAAGTGATCTGCCTGCCTCAGCCTCCCAAAGTGCCAGGATTACAGGCATGAGCCACCGTGCCCAGCCTCTTCTTCTTTTCTTCTTCCTTCTCCTCCTCCTTTTTTGATTGAGATATAGTTCACAAACTATAAAATTCACCCTTTTAAAGTGTGCAATTCAGTGGTTTTTAGTGTAGCTATCAACTTGCCCAACCACTTTCATAATCTACTTCCAAACCATTTTTATCTTCCCCAAAGAAACCCCACACCCATTCACCGTCATTCCCCATTCTCTCACCACCCCCAACCTCAAGCCCTTGTCAACATCTAATCTAATTTCTATCTCTATGGAGATGCCTATTCTGGACATTGCATATAAATGGAATCATACGATTTACAGTCTTCTGTGTCTGGCTTCTTTCACTCTGCAGAATGTTTTCAAGGTTCATCCATGTTGCAGTGTGTCAGTACTGCATTCCTCTTTTTTTTTTTTTTTTTTTTTTTTTTTTTTGAGACAGACTCTTGCTCTGTTGCCCAGGCTGGAGTGCAGTGGCACGATCTCAGCTCACTGCAACCTCCGCCTCCTAGGCTTAAGCAATTCTCATGCTTCAGCCTCCCGAGTAGCTGGGATTACAGGCCTGTGCCACCACACCCGGCTAATGTTTGTATTTTTAGTAGAGATGAGATTTTACCAGGTTGGCCAGGCTGATCTTGAACTCCTGGCCTCAAGTGATCCACCCACATTGGCCTCCCAAAGTGCTGGGATTACAGGCATGAGCCACTGTGCCCAGCTGCATTGCTTGTTATGGTCAGAATGATTCTATTGTACAGATAGGCCACATTCTGTTCCCTCGGTGGATGGACATTTGGGTTGTTTCCACTTTTGAACTACTATAAAGCTGCTATGAGCTTTCATATATAAGTTTTTGTGTGAACATGGTTACTGCTTGCCTGGATGAGACCGTTAACCTCCTCACTGGACTCTCAGCCTCTGCCCTTAACCCACACAGGGTCCATCCTCCTCACAGCAGCCAGAGGAGTCCTTTGAAAGTCAGGTCATGTCATTCCTGTGTTCTAAACCACCAGTGGCTCCCCAGTGCCCTGAGGATAAAGTTGAAGACCCAGCACAATCTCCACCCCAGCTCCAGCCCCACTTCTTCTTCACTGGCTGGCTCTCAGTTCCTCAAATGAGCAATCCTCCTTCCTGCCTCCCTCCCTCTGCAAGTGCCGGCCTTCTGCTTGGAATGCTTCTCCGGCTCCTTATTCCCTTCTGCCTTTAACTCCTCTTCATCCTTCAGGTCTCCAGGGAAAATCAGGGTTCAGGGAGGCCTTCTTTCTCTCTCTCTCTCTCTCTCTTTTTTTTTTTTTTTTGAGACAGCATCTCACTCTGTCGCCCAGGCTGGAGTGCAGTGGAGCGATCTCGGCTCACTGCAGCCTCAACCTCTGCGTCTCAGCCTCCTGAGTAGCTGGGATCACAGGCACGCACCACCAGGCTGGTGAATTATTTATTTATTTTTTGTGACAGAGTTTCGCGCTTGTTGCCCAGGCTGGAGTGCAATGGTGCAATCTCAGCTCACCGCAACCTCCACCTCCCAGCTTCAAGCAATTTTCCTGCCTCAGCCTCCCGAGTAGCTGGGATTATAGGCATGCACCATCACACCCGGCTAATGTTGTATTTTTAGTAGAGATGGAGTTTGTCCATATTGGTCAGGCTGGTCTCGAACTCCTGACCTCAGGTGATCCGCCCCCCTCAGCCTCCCAAAGTGCTGGGATTACAGGCGTGAGCCACTGCGCCCGGCCTGAATTTTTTAGTTTTTTTGTAGAGACTGGGTCTGGCTATGTTGCCCAGACTGGTAGGGAAGCCTTCACTGATCTTCCCACTAAGAGGCACTAGGGGTGGGTAATGAGGTTGGAAGGGCAGAGTGAGGGGGTTTGTCTTGGAGCTACCTGTTGGTCACTGTAGAAGACGTTGTGGGTGTCCTGCCCAGATCCTTTTTCTCAGCAGATGCTTCCATTCCCCAGCTGCTAGGAGTGTTGGCTGCTCCCTTCTCCAGAGAACTGTGTTCACGCAAGGGGCCCTGCCACTCCTGGGAGGTTACGACATCTCCATTCCACTCCCCTGCCTAGCAGCCTGCAATGACATCAAACGGGTACAAAAGGCTGGCCTCAGCCAGGCTCAGTGGCTCACGCCTGTAATCCTAACACTTTGGGAGCTGAGGCGGGCAGATCACCTGAAGTCAGGAGCTCAAGACCAGCCTGGCCAACATGGTGAAACCCCGTCTCTACTAAAAATACAAAAATTAGCTGGGCATGGTGGTGCATGCCTATAATCCCAGCTACTCCGGAGGCTAAGGCAGGAGAATCGCTTGAATCCAGGAGGCAGAGGTTGCAGTGACCCAAGATCATGCCACTGAACTCCAGTCTGGGTGACACAGCGAGACTCCATCTAAAAAAAAAAAAAAGGCTGTCCTCCTTGCCTCAAGGTGGGAGGATTCCATGGCGCAGTTTAGACTCCAGTGCACACCCTCCCCATGGTGTGGGTCAGGCCAAGAATAGACTTTACCTGAGGCTTGGACCCTGATCCTCCCCATCCTGCTTCCTCTCCCTCACTCCTTAGTGAATTGTGTATGCCTGTCTCAGACTCCACTTCTAGGGAATTCAGAAATAAGATAATATTTTCCTTTCCATGAGATTGACAAATTGTCCATGTCAATATCCAGCCTTTCCCCTCCCTACTCCTGCTCATGGAAATGAAAGGGAGGAAGGCTAAACCCACCCCCAACCCCTCTTTGGCACTGCCCCTGTGGGTCAGTATCCTGTGAGTGCTTCCCAGGGCACGACACACTTGCCGCCCCTACATTCTTCACTTGTTTTTGTGACTGTTTGTTTTTTTAGAGACAGGGTCTCACTCTGTTGCCCAGGATGTGGTTCAGTGGCACAATCATAGCTCATTGCTCAGTGGCACAATCACAGCTCATTGCAGCCTCCACCTCCCAGGCTCAAGCCATCCTCCTGCCTCAGCCTCTGGAGTAGCTGGAACTACAGGTGTGCATCACCCCACCCAGCTCATTTATTTATTTATTTATTTTTACTTTTCATAGAGATGAGGTGTTACAGTATTGCCCAGGCTGGTATTGAACTCCCAGGCTCAAGTGGTCCTCCCCACTTGAGCCTCCCAAAGTGCTGGGGTTACAGATGTGAGCTACTGCACCCAGCCCTACTGTTGATGGCCTCTCCCCAACTTGATTTTAAGTTCTCTAAGGGCAGGAACCTCATCTGTCTCATTTTCTACCTTATACTCACTACCTGGCACCTTGGGGGACCCTAATAAATATCTGGTGAGGGATGTTCCTTGTCACCCTGTTTATAATACCAAGAGACGGAAAACAACCTAAATGTCCATGAAAGGAGAATTATTAAATATATCATAGCATGGCTTTACAATGGAATACTATACACCCATTAAAAATGAACAGGGCTGGCACAGTAGCTCACGCTTGTAATCCCAGTACTTTGGAAGGCCGAGGCAGGAGGATCACTTGAGGCCAGGATTTTGAAACCAGCCTGGGCAACACAATGAGACCTTATCTCTACAAAAAATAGAAAAAATTAGCCAGGCATGGTGGTGCATGCCTATAGTCCCCAGCTACCCAGGAGGCTGAGGCAGGAGGAAGATTTAAAAAATGAACAAAGTAGATGGATGTGCACTGATATAGAACAATCTCCAAAGTGTACAGCTAAGTGAAAAAAAGCTAGGTGTGGAATGGAATGGTATGTATAGTATGCTATTCTTTGTGTTTAAAAAAGTAGGCATTTTCAAAGACAAAAGCTCCAGAATATACATAGGATTACAAAAATACTCAGCAAGGTAAAACTCACAGTTCCACAACCAGTCAAAAAAAAAAAGTATATGTACATTTTGGCTTGCTTATCCATAGGAGATTAGCTATCTCTACAGTGGGAACCTGCATGTCTACATGAGGTGGAAAGGGAACTTTTCACTCTATACCTTCTGTCTTCTGAATGTTTACTATGTTCACAGCTTAGCTATTCAAATAATACATAATCTTTAATAAGTTTTTGAATGAATGAATGGAGCTGGAAAAAGAAGCCCTTTTCATGCTCTCTATACAAAAATGGCTAAGTCCCGTCCAGCTTGGGCAATACAGTGAGACCCTTCTCTGCAAAATACAAAATAAAAAAACTAGCCAGGTGTGGGGGTGTAGTCCCAGCTACTAGGAGGCTGAAGCTGGAGGATCACTTGAGCCCAAGAGATGGAAGCTGCAGTGAGCTATGATCATGCCACTGCACTCCAGCCTGGGCAACAGAGTGAGATTCTGTCTCTTAAAAAAAGAAAAAAAGAAAAAAAAAAAAGACCCTCTGGTCAGCTGGGCTTGCTTCCCCAGCAGACTTCTTCCTTCCTTGATTTCATAGACCCACATGCAGCCAGCAGCTCTGGGTCCACTTCCCCATTGTCCTACAGCTGAGGCCAGAGACGTCAAAGAAACCTCAAGGCACCTCCCAGTCATCAGCCAACCGCTTGGGAACCAGCATAGGGCAATAGAAAGGACGTGGGATTTATTTGCTATATGTATTTCTGAAGCCTAAGAAAAAAAATGTGCAAGCACTTTGACCCAGAGATTCCATTGCTAAGAATTTATCCCAAAGAAACAATGAAGGATTATGCATAAATCTTTAGCTACAAGGATATTCATGGAATGATTGCTTATGACAGTGGGGAAAAAAACAGAAACAACCTGCAGGAATAGGAAACTGACTAAATGAATTAGGCTGCATTCACGTGAAACACTGTACATATTCCTTATGCAGCTTATGGTATTTTTTTTAAGAGATAGGGTTTCGGTATGTTTCCCAGGCTGGAGTGCAGTTGCTATTCACAGGTGCGATCATAGCATCCTACAACTTTGAACTCTTAGGCTTGAGCAATCTTCCTGCCTCAGCCTCCTGAGTAGCTGGGACTATAAGTGCATGCCACTGTGCCAGCTTCCTTTTTTTCTTTTTCTTTTTCTTTTCTCTTCTTTTTTTTTTCTTTGGGACAGAGTCTTGCTCTGTCACCCAGGCTGGAGTGCAGTGGTGCAATCTTGGCTCATTGCAAGCTTTGCCTCCCGGGGTTCACACCATTTTCCTGCCTCAGCCTCCCGAGTAGCTGGGACTACAGGCGCCCGACACCACGCCCGGCTAATTTATTTGTATTTTTAGTAGAGACGGGGTTTCACTGTGTTAGCCAGGATGGTCTTGATCTCCTGACCTCGGGATCCACCCGCCTCGGCCTCCCAAAGTGCTGGGATTACAGGCGTGAGCCACCGCGCCCGGCCACTGTGCCAGCTTCTTATGCAGTTTTTAAAAAGTTGTTTAGTCCTGGCTTACACAGTGAAACCCCGTCTCTACTAAAAATACAAAAAATTAGCCGGGCATGGTGGCGGGCGCCTGTAGTCCCAGCTGCTAGGGAGGCTGAGGCAGGAGAATGGCGTGAACCCAGGAGGCGGAGCTTGCAGTGAGCCGAGATCGTGCCACTTCACTCCAGCCTGGGCGACAGAGCAAGACTCCGTCTCAAAAAAAAAAAAAAAAAAAAAAAGTTGTTTAGGCCAGGCACGGTGGCTCTAGTGGAGTAGATGACATCTCTTACTAAAAATGCAAAAATTACCCAGGCGTGGTGCTCTGTGCCTGTGGTCCCAGCTACTTGAGAGGCTGAGGCATGAGTATCACTGGAACCCAGGAGGGGGAGGTTGTAGTGAGGGGAGATTGCGTCACTGCACTCCAGCCTGGGCAACAGAGTGAGACTGTCTCAAAAAAAAAAAAGTTGTTTAAAGAAAGAAAAGGGCAAATGAGGCCAGATGTGATGGCCCATGCCTGTAATCCTAGCACTTTGGGAGACCAAGGCGGGAGGATGGCTTCTAGTCCAGGAGTTCAAGGTTACAATGAGATATGGTTGCACCACTGCATTTCAGGCCGGGGGACAGAGTAAGACCCCATCTCTTTTGTTTTGTTTTTTTGAGATGGAGTCTTGCTCTGTCGCCCAGGCTGGAGTGCAGTGGTGTGATCACTGCAACCTCTGCCTTCCGGGTTCAAGCGATTTTCCTGCCTCAGCTTCCCAAGTAGCTGGAGGGATGATCCACCATGCTCAGCTAATTTTTGTATTTTTAGTAGAGAAGGAGTTTTGCCATATTGGCCAGGGTGGTCTCAAACTCCTGACCTCAAGTGGTCCATCCCCTTTGGCCTCCCAAAGTGCTGGGATTACATGCCCGGCCGAGACCTCATCTCTTAAAAACAAAAACAAAAACAGAAAAAGAACCAATGAAAGGGATATCTAGTGTCAGACAGAGCTTGGTTCAAATCCCTGTTGTACTACTTATGAGTAGTGTGAGCTCCATCTACTGAGCCTCTGTTTTCCCGTTCTGTGAAATGGGTCTATCAAATACCATGTATTTATCAGGATTGGCTCACTACTGTAACAATGACAAATATCTCGCTGGCTGAACACAATGAAGGTTTATTTCCCTACCCCACAGAGTCTGATGCAGATGTTCCCAGGAAGGTAGAAGTCCTGGGCAGTCTTCTTCCAGCTGGTGGACTCTGGGCAGATGTTCCCGGGAAGGTAGAAGTCCTGGGCAGTCTTCTTCCAGTGGACGCTGGGATTGGGTTCCTTTGCATAATAAGGCTCCACCATCTTAAACTCTTTTGCCCTCATCCTTATGGACAGGAGACAGACAGAGCATGAAAGATCAGACTGGATGTTTTATGACCAGCCCTGGTGGGCGGGTACATCCCTTCTGCCCACTGACAGTGCAAAGTACATGTCCCTTTCTAGCTGCAAGGGGGCTAGGAACTGTAACCCAGTCAGTGCTCAGAAAGAGGAAATAGGTTTGGTGAGCCCTTTTTTTTTGTCTCATGGGGCTCCTCCTCCTCCTCCTCCTCCTCCTCCGAATGAATGAATGAATGAATGAATGAATGAATGAATGAAATAATTTAAACACAGTGGCACAGGGCAAGTGCTTAAATGTGTCAGGCATCTTTTCCTCCCTCCCTTCCCTTTATGGTTGATTCTAGATAGGACCACCTTGACTCTTCAAAAATTGATGCCCTCCTGAAGTTTTCTGTATGTTGAATCAAGATGTTTATGTGAGCTGGGCATTGTAGATGGGCTGGGCTTGGTGTCTCATACCTGTAATCCCAGCACATTGGGAGGCTGAGGTAGGAGGATTGCTTGAGGCCAGGAGTTCAAAGACCAGCCCAAACAGCATAGCAATACGTCATCTCTTAAATTAAAAAAAAGATGTTTATGCTGGTGGGGAAAGAGGGTGAGGTACACTAGAGGGCAAGGTGTCCATTTAAAGGAGGCCTGGAGAAGAGACCACCCATTCCACCATTCCACCCTCACCCTACCTCTCTTAGGCCATAGATGTTGCCAAAGGAATACCTGAGGCTGGGAAATTATAGTGAAACTCCGTCTCAGAAAAAAAAATATTAGCCAGGTGTGGTGGTGCGCGTCTGTAGTCCCGTGGGAGGCCCAGATGGGAGAATCACCTGAACCCAGGAGGTAGAGGTTGCAGTGAGCCAAGATTGCGCCACTGCACTCCAACCCGGGTGACAGAGTGAGATTCTGTCTCAAAAAGAAGGAAAGAAAAGAAAAGAAAGAAGAAAGAGGGCCAGGCAGGGTGGCTCACACCTGTAAACCCAGCACTTTGGGAAGCTGAAGTGGACGGATCACTTGAGGTCAGGAGTTTGAGATCAGCCTGGCCAACACGGTGAAACCCTGTCTCTACTCAAAATACAAAATTAGCTGGGCGTGGTGGTGAGCACCTGTAATACCAGCTACTCGGGAGGCTGAGGCAGGAGAATCACTTGAACCCTGGAGGCAGAAGTTGCAGTGAGCAGAGATCGTGCCATTGCACTGCAGCCTGGGGGACAAGAGCGAGATTTTTGTCTCAAAAAAAATAAAAAATAAAAAAAAAAGAAAGAAAGAAAAGAAAAGAAAAGAGAGGTAGAAGAGGTCACGTGAGCACACAGTAAGAAGGTAGCTGTCTACAAGCCAGAGAAGAGGCCTCAGAATAAAATCTACCTTGCCAACACCTTGATCTTGGACTTCCCAGCCTCCAGAACTATAAGAAATAAATTTCTTAGCCAGGCACAGTGGCTCATGTCTGTAATCCCAGCACTTTGGGAGGCTGAGGTGGGCAAATCGTTTGAGGTCACGAGTTCAAGATGAGCCTGGCCAACATGGTGAAACCCCGTCTCTACCAAAAATACAAAAAAAATTAGCCAGTCATAGTGGCACACACCTGTAATCCCAGCTACTTGGGAGACTGAGGCAGGAGAATTGCTTGAACCTCAGAGGTGGAGGTTGCTGTGAGCCCAGATCGCATCATTGCACTCCAGCCTGAGTGACAGAGCAAGACTCCGTCTCAAAAAGAAAAAAAAAAAAGGAAGAAATTTCTCAATCTACAGTACTTTGCTGTGGCTGACCAAGCAGATAAGACATAACAGAACCCACCTTAAATTATTGCTTTTTTTGACATATCTTTGACAGATATTTGAATATCTAGAAAGCACTTGAAGCTGTGTCTGGCATGGAGTTAGTCCTACTCACTGTTTTTTTGTTTTGTTTTGTTTGTTTGTTTTTTGAGATGGAGTCTTGCTCTGTTGCCCAAGCTGGAGTGCAGTGGTGCCATCTCAGCTCACCGCAACCTCCACCTTTTGAGTTCAAGGGATTCTCCCACCTCAGCCTCCCAAGTAGCTGGGATTACAGGTGTGCGCCACAATGCCTGGCTAATTTTTGTATTTTTAGTAGCGACAAGGTTTCACCATGTTGGCCAGGCTGGTCTCAAACTCCTGGCCTCAAGTGATCTTCCTGCCTCGGCCTCCCAAAGTGCTGGGATTACAGACATGAGCCATCGCGCCCAGCCCCCACTCACTGTTAAGATTGTCACACACCAGCTATATGTATTTATGGAATGAATAAACAAATCTATTTTGCAAAATAAGTTCTTAAATAGTGGATCTCTTAAAGTGGATTTACCTGTATTATTATCTCAGAATTCTTGGACACAGATGAACTTCTTCTTCTTCTTTTTTTTTTTTTTTTTTTTTTTGAGACAGAGTCTTACTGTTATCACCCAGGCTGGAGTGCAGTGGCGTGATCTCAGCTCACTGCCACCTCCGCCTCCCAGGTTCAAGTGATTCTCCTGCCTCAGCCTCCCAAGTAGCTGGGATTACAGGAGCACACCACCATGACCAGCTAATTTTTGTATTTTTAGTAGAAACAGGGTTTCACCATGTTGGCCAGATTGGTCTTGAACTCCTGACCTCAGGTGCTCCACCCACCTTGGCCTCCCAAAGTGTTGGGATTACAGGCATGAGCCACTGTGCCCGGCCAGATGAACTTCTTAAGAAGAGAACTTATAAAAAACAAAAATATCAACTTGAAATGGGCAGGTGGGTAGAAGTATGTATCTCCAACCCTTAGAGTTCCGAGAGCATCCACCAGGGGGCCGTGCGCCTTCTCCTTCTTCCAAAACTTCACTGACCCCTGGAAGCAGTCATTTCAGAAAGGAAGAGAAAGTTGGGTTTTTCCATGGGTTTACCCCATGGAAATAAACAAAGCCAATACAATCTCGGTGTGGCTGGGTGGGGAAAAAAAACAAAACAAAACTCAGGCCAGGGTAAGAAGAAGTAAGTCTGGGTCTTTGTTTCATTGGCCCTGGGGAGGAGCCTAGGTGATATCTCTGAGCCTCGGTTTTCTCATCTGGAAAAATGGAAATAATCCTATCTAGTGCACAGAGTTCTTGGGAGCACCAAATAAAAGCATTTTCTTTTTTTTTCTTTTTCTTTCTTTCTTTTTTTTTTTTTTTTGAGACGGAGTCCCACTCTGTCGCCCAGGCTGGAATGCAGTGATGCAATCTAGGGTCACTGCAAACTCCGCCTCCCAGGTTCAAGTGACTCTCCTGCCTCAGCCACCCGAGTAGCTGGGATTACAGGTGCCCACCACTATGCCCAGCTAATTTTTTTAATTTTTTTTTTTTGAGACGGAGTCTCACTCTGTTGCCCAGGCTGGAGGCAATGGTGTGATCTTGGCTCACCGAAACCTCCGCCTCCTGGGTTCAAGCAATTCTCCTGCCTCAGCCTCCCAAGTAGCTGGGATTACAGGCATGCACCACCACGCCCAACTAATTTGGTATTTTTAGTAGAGACAGGATTTCTCCATGTTGATCAGGCTGGTCTCGAACTCCTGACCTCAGGTGATCCAACCGCCTCGGCCTCCCAAAGTGCTGGGATTACAGGCATGAGCCACTGCGCCCCGCCAATAAAAGCATTTTCTAAAAGATCAGCTGTTGCTATCTGATATAGTTTGGCTGTGTCCCCACCCAGATCTCATCTTGAATTGTAGTTCCCATAATTCCCATGTGTTGTGGGAGGGACCTGGTGGGAGGTAATTGAATCATGAGGGCGGTTTCCCCCATACTGCTCTCAGGGCAGTGAATAAACCTCACAAGATCTGATGGTTTTATAAGGGGTTTCCCTTTTCACTTGGCTCTCATTCTCTCTTGCCTGCTGCCATGTAAGACGTGCTTTTTGCTTTCTGCCATGATTGTGAGGCCTCCCCAGCCGCGTGGAACTGTGAGTCCACCCTTTTTCTTTCTAAATTACCCAGTCTCCAGTATGTCTTTATCAGCATTGTGAAAATGAACTAATACACTATCACATCACTAAGTTACATGGACCCATTTTACATGGAGTATCTAGTTATAGGGAGAGTGAAGGTCCCTCAAGACCACACCCCAGGACTTGCCCAATTCAGGCCACCAATGTCTGTTGTTTAGCACTCAGCAATTAAATGCACTTAGATTGGACATAAATTCTTTTTGCCATAGTCTCTGCCATTACATGTTGTATACGCTTGTCTTGCTTTGCTTCACCTGCTTGGACCCTAAAGGGTTCTGAGTTTGCAACTTCTGGTCTAAATAGAGAGTTTTCCTCTGTGTCAGTCAGATGATATCTGGAGCGCTGCTATTTATTGAGGCAGGCACCAAGCTCTATGCGTAATATATGTAAGCCAAATATAACTAAGGCTTCTCATTGCCTCGTCTCTGCATGGTGACTTATTTGGCAGAAAAATATAATTGGAAGTAATTAAAATCTTTTCTCAGTCTCAAAAAAATGCCAGAGTGAGTATATTTTTAAAAAAGAGTGTTTTGGAGGTATAGTTGATATACAATAAACTGTACACATTTAAAGCACGCAATTTTATGAATTCTGATATAAGCCTACACCTGTGAAACCATCACCATGATCAAAATAATTGGCCAGGCATGGTGGCTCATGCCTGTAATCCCAGCACTTTGGGAGGCCGAGGCGGGCAGATCACGAGGTCAGGAGATCGAGGCCATCCTGGCTAACATGGTGAAACCCCGTCTCTACTAAAAATACAAAAATTAGGCGGGTGTGGTGGTGCACGCCTGTAATCCCAGCTACTCAAGATATTGAGGCAGGAGAATCGCTTGAGCCTGGGAGGTGGATGTTGCAGTGAGCTGAGATCATGCCACTGCACTCCAGCCTGGGGAACAGAGCAAGACTCTGTCTCAAAAAAAAAAAAAGGGGGGGGGGGGAAGAAGAACAAAATAATTAATATCGTTACAACTCCTAGAAGTTTCCTCATGTCCTTTTTTGTTTTTGAGACAGAGTCTCATTCTGTCACCCAGGCTGGAGTGCAATGGCACTATCTCTGCTCACTGCAACCTCCGCCTCCCAGGTTGAAGTGATTCTCCTGCCTCAGCCTCTCGAGTAGCTGGGATTACAGGCACATGCCACCATGCCTGGCTAATTTTTGTATTTTTGGTAGAGACGGGGTTTCACCATGTTGGCCAGGCTGGTCTCGAACTCCCGACCTCAAGTGATTTGCCCACCTTGGCCTCCCAAAGTGCTCGGATTACAGGCGTGAGCTGGCCCTCCTCATGTGTTTTTGTGATCGCCTGGCCCGGACAGCCTCCATCACTCCTCTCAGCCCCAAATTGCTCACTCAACGGCCGAGTCCTAGAGGGAACATGTGGCTGCCCTAGCCTGGATTATGTGCCCACCATTTGATTGCAGCTGGAGCAGAGACGGGGAGAACTGGACGTTTGTACATCTGTGTAGGGGGCAGGTGTGTCACCCACTCTCCTGTGACTGCTCACAAAGGAGGGTAGGTCTCCATAGGGAATGAAGTGCTGCTGACCACTGAATATCCCAAGCCCACAAATGCTCACTGCAGCTGCTACTATTTAAATCCAGGAGAGGGCTAGTCGCGGTGGCTCACGCCTCTAATCCCAGCACTTTGGGAGGCCGAGGTGGGTGGATCATGAGGTCAAAAGATTGAGACCATCCTGGCCAACATGGTGAAACCCTGTCTCCACTAAAAATACAAACAATTAGCCGGGCGTGGTGGTGGGCGCCTGTAGTCCCAGCTACTCGAGAGGCTGAGGCAGGAAAATGGCGTGAACCCGGGAAGTGGAGGTTGCAGTGAGCTGAGATTGTACCACTGCACTCCAGCCTGGTGACAGAACGAGACTCCATCTAAAAAAAAAAAAAATTCCAGGAGAGAAAGCGCATGCTTCTTGATAAGACCAGGGCAGAGTTGCGTGGCCTATTCTACCCTCCCTTGCTTCCCAAGTAATCACTAACCTCCCCTCCTCTCCCCTCCCCTTTTCTGTGCTTTGCTCTGTCACCCAGGCTGGAGTGCAGTGGTGTGATCTTGGCTCACTGCAACCTCCGCCTCCTGGGTTCAATAAATTCTTGGCTGGGCGTGGTGGCTCACACCTGTAATCCCAGCACTTTGGGAGGCCGAGGCGGGCGGATCACGAGATCAGGAGTTCAAGACCAGCCTGGCCAATATGGTGAAACCCTGTTTCTACTAAAAATACAAAAAATTAGCCACGCTTGGTGGTGCACACCTGTAGTCCCAGCTACTCGGGGGGCTAAGGCAGGAGAATCGCTTGAACCCGGGAGGTGGAGGTTGCAGTGAGCCGAGATAGTCCCACTGCACTCCAGCCTGGGCGACAGAGTGTGACTCCGTCTCACAAAAAAAAAAAAAAAGAAAGAAATTCTCATGCCTCAGCCTCCCGAGTAGCTGGGACTACACACCACCATGCCCAGCTAATTTTTGTGTTTTTGGTGGAGACGGGGTTTCACCATTTTTGCTGGGCTCGTCTCAAATTCCTGGCCTCAAGTGATCTGCCCGCCTCAGCCTCCCATAGTGCTAGGATTACAGGCGTGAGCCACTGTGCCCAGACTAATCTGCTTTCTTTCATGCAGATAAGTTTGCATTTTCTAGAATTTTATGTATATAAAATTGTATAGTATATACTCATTTTTGTCTGGCTTCTTTCACCCAGCGTATTATTCTGAGATTTGTCCATGTTGTGTGTATCAGTAGTTCATTCTTTTTTGTTGCTGAGTAGCATTCAGTTATATGGACAGACCATATTCTATTTGTCCATTCACTGATTGATGGTCATTTGGGTTGTTTCCAGTCTTTGGCTGTGACAAATAAAGCTACTATGAACATGTGTGTACAAGTCTTTGTGTAGACGTACACTTTCATTTCTCTCAGATAAGGAACCAAATGGCTGGATCTATGATAGTTGCATATTTATTTTTATTTTTATTTTATTTATTTATTTTTTTTTTGAGATGGAGTACCACTTGCTCTGTCGCCCAGGCTGGAGTGCAATGGTGCAATCTCAGCTCACTGCAACCTCCGCCACCTGCCTCAGCCTCCTGAGTACCTGGGATTATAGGAGCGCACCACCATGCCCAGCTAATTTTTGTATTTTTAGTGGAGATGGGGTTTCACCATGTTGCCCAGGCTGGTCTCGAACTCAGCTCAAGCAATTGCCTGCCTTGGCTTCCCAAAGCGCTGGGATTACAGGCATAAGCCACCACGCCCAGCAATTGATCTCTCTTTTTTTTTTTTCCTTGAGACAGGGTATCACTTTATCGTCCAGGCTGGTGTGCAGTGGCAAGATCACAGCAGCACCTCCAGGACTTAAGTGATCCTCGAACCTCAGCCTCTTGAGTAGCTGGAACTACAGGCAGGCCCCACCACGCCCAGCTGATTTTTGTATTTTTTTTGTAGAGACGGGGTTTTGCCATGTTGCCCGAGCTGGTCTTGAACTTGGCTCAAGTGAACACCCGCCTCAGCCTCTCAAAGTATTGGTGTGTCCGGAATTGGTGGGTTCTTGGTCTCACTGACTTCAAGAATGAAGCCATGGACCCTCCCAGTGAGTGTTACAGTTCTTAAAGGTGGCGTATCTGGAGTTTGTTCCTTCTGATGTTTGGATGTGTTCGGAGTTTCTTCCTTCTGGTGGGTTCGTGGTCTCACTGGCTCAAGAGTGAAGCTGCGGACCTTTGGGGTGACTGTTACAGCTCTTAAGGCGGCGTGTCTGGAGTTGTTTGTTCCTCCTGGTGGGTTTATGGTCTCGCTGGCTTCAGGAGTGAAGCTGCAGACCTTCGCAGTGAGTGTTATACCTCATAAAGGCAGTGTGGACCCAAAGAGTGAGCAGTAGCAAGATTTATTGCAAAGGGCGAAAGAACAAAAGAACAAGCCTTCCACAGTGTGGAAGGGGACCCGAGCGGGCTGCCACTGCTGGCTTGGTCAGCCTGCTTTTATTCTCTTATCTGGCCCCACCCACATCCTGCTGATTGGTCCATTTTACAGAGAACCGAGTGGTCTGTTTTGACAGGGTGCTGATTGGTGCGTTTACAATCCCTGAGCTAGACACAAAGGTTCTCCACTTCCCCACTAGATTAGCTAGATACAGAGTGTGGACACAAAGGTTCTCCAAGTCCCCACCAGAGTAGCTAGATACAGAGTGCCGATTGGTGTATTTACAAACCCTGAGCTAGACACAGGGTGCTGATTGGTGTGTTTACAAACCTTGAGCTAGATACAGAGTGCCTATTGGTGTATTTACAATCCCTTAGCTAGACATAAAGGTTCTCCAAGTCCCCACCAGAGTCAGGAGCCCAGGTGGCTTCACCCAGTGGATCTCCCACTGGGGCTGCAGGTGGAGCCACCTGCCAGTCCCCCGCCGTGCGCCCACACTCCTCAGCCCTTGGGTGGTCGATGGGACTGGGCGCCGTGGAGCAGGGGGCGGTGGTCATCGGGGAGGCTCCGACTGCACAGGAGCCCACGGAGGCGGTGGAGGGGGGTGCGGGTGGGGGCTCAGGCATGGCGGGCTGCAGGTCCCAAGCTCTACCCCGCAGGAAGGCAGCTAAGGCCCGGCGAGAAATAGAGCACAGCGCCCGTGGCCCGGCACTGCTGGGGGACCCAGTACACCCTCCGCAGCTGCTGGCCCGGGTGCTAAGCCCCTCATTGCCCGGGGTGGCAGGGCCGGCCGGCTGCTCCGAGTGTGGGGCCCGCCAAGCCCACGCCCACCCGGAACTCCAGCTGGCCCACAAGTGCCAACCCGCACAGCCCCAGTTGCCGCTCCCGCCTCTCCCTCCACACCTCCCTGCAAGCTGAGGGAGCTGGCTCCAGCCTTGGCCAGCCCAGAAAGGGGCTCCCACAGTGCAGCGGCGGGCTGAAGGGCTCCTCAAGTGTGGCCAAAGTGGGAGCCCAGGCAGAGGAGGCGCCGAGAGCGAGGGAGGGCTGTGAGGGCTGCCAGCACGCTGTCACCTCTCATTGGGATTACAGGCTTGAGCCACCGTGCCTGGCCCTCCACTTTATACTTCAAACAGCAATGTATAGGTGTTCCAGCTGCCACACATCCTTGTCAGCACTTGTTATTGTCAGTCCTTTTAATTTTAGCCATTCTAATAGGTGTGGTTTTGTAGCATGTACATTTTCAGTGCAGAGTAAGACTTCTTTAAAACATTTCTTCTTCTCTCACAATAGTATGCAGAGAGGAAGTGGTATGCCCAGGTCTCAAATTATCTGACAACTTTTGTCTCAAGACACAGCCTATTGCTGGGATTCTGCCTGATAAAGGGGAGATATGGAGCTGACTAGGCAAGAATTGTCTTCCCTTAGAAGGTGTGGAAGGAAAGAGCATAAATAATCACACCTAGACGATAAAAAAAAATTAGCCAATCTAATCCTCATATTAACCCTGAGATTATAAAGATCCTTCACCAAATTGTAGTCATGAGGAAACAGGCTCAGAGGGAAAATGAGTTGCCCAAGGTCACGCGGCCAAATCCAACATTTGAATACAGGCCCTCTGGTTCTAAAACTTGTGCTCACTTCTTAGAAGATCCCCACCAGGCTCTAGAGGTAACCAGGGCAGGTATGCAGGTTGTCTGAAATGTGTCAGCTGAGGAATGGGTAGAGGAATTAGGGCCCTGTAGTTAGGAAGACAGAACTCCCAGCAGGGTGTGAAAATCGTCCTCAGTTATTTATTTATTTATTTATTGAGACAGAGTCTCGCTCTGTCGCCCAGGCTGGAGTGCAGTGGCGCAATCTCAGCTCACCGCAAGCTCCGCCTCCTGGGTTCACGCCATTCTCCTGCCTCAGCCTCCCGAGTAGCTGGGACTACAGGCGCCCGCCACCACGTCCGGCTAATTTTTTTTTGTATTTTTAGTAGAGACGGGGTTTCACCGTGTTAACCAGGATGGCCTCAATCTCCTGACCTCGTGATCCACCCGCCTCGGCCTCCCAAAGTGCTGGGATTACAGGCATGAGCCACTGCGCCATGCCTGTCCTCAGATATTTATTTCAAGGACTGTATTTGACCCCGAGCACATCATTTTTAAACCCTCCCTTCCTATAAATGACAAAAATATTTTCAGTATCAATCATGTAATCATCAATGATCATCATTTTCTTAATTCATTCCTTCATTTCAAAACAATTAACAATTAGGAAAGAAGAATACATTTCAATTTTAAAGGTATTATTTAAATTCAGTAAACTATTTCACACGTGAACTTTACTAAACAAAAGTATTACACCCTGCTGGCCGGGCGCAGTGGCTCACGCCTATAATCCCAGCACTTTGGGAGGCCAAGGCGGGCAGATCACCCGAGGTCAGGAGTTCGAGACCAGCCTGACCAACATGGAGAAACCCTGTCTCAACTAAAACTACAAAAATTAGCTGGACATGGTGGTGCATGCCTGTAATCCTAGCTACTCGGGAGGCTGAAGCAGGAGAATCGCTTGAACTTGGGAGGTGGAGGTTGCAGTGAGCTGAGATCGTGCCATTGCACTCCAGCCTGGGCAACAAGAGCAAAACTCTGTCTCAAAAAAAAAAAAAAAAAAAAAAAAATTACACCCTGCTGTTCATACTCTCACTGTTTTATATTTTAAACACAAATAAAAACTCCAAATGTACCCCTAGAGTGACAAATTGAAATAGACCAAGTTCTGTTTTTTTTGTCTTTACAATCATTGCACTATAATTTTTTAAAAATCTATGGTTTAAATGCAGGAATACGTAGCACCTTTGGGGTTGTAGTTATAAACTATGCCCAGTGATTATGCATTATTATAAACTTCCTTCAAACCATCATGGCTATAACTGAATCCACAATGTGCCAGGGACGAGCTGCAGAAGTGGGAATTCTCTGAATTAACTTTCATGTGTATGACAATGTTTATTAAAACATAAGTTATTAGCCGAGTCCGGTGGCTCACGCCTGTAATCCCAACACTTTGGGAGGCTGAGACGGGTGGATCACTTGAGGTCAGGAGTTCGAGACCAGCCTGACGACCATGGCGAAATGCCGTCTTTAGTAAAAATAAAAAAATTACCCTGGCGCACTGGCACATGCCTGTAGTCCCGGCTACTCAGGAGGCTGAGGCAGGAGAATCGCTTGAATCTGGGAGATGGAGGTTGCAGTGAGCCGAGATTGTGCCACTGCACTCCAGCCTGGGTGACAGAGTGAGACTCCGTCTCAAAAAAAAAAAAAAAAAAAAAGCTATTTTGGCCGGGTGCGGTGGCTCATGCCTGTAATCCCAGCACTTTGGGAGGCGGAGGCGGGTGAATCACCTGAGGTCAGGAGTTCAAGACCAGCCTGGCCAATATGGTGAAACCCCATCACTGCTAAAAATACAAAAATCAGCTGGGTGTGGTGGCAGGTGCCTGTAATCCCAGCTACTCGGGAGGCCGAGGCAGGAGAATCACTTGAACCTGGGAGGTGGAGGTTGCAGACAGCCGAGATTGCGCCACTGCACTGCAGCCTGGGTGACAGAGCAAGACTCCACCTCAAAGAAAAAAAAAAGCTATTTTTAAATTTATATTATTTGTGTTATATTTTGTATTTTATTTATATTGTAGTTATAGGATTATGTTATTTATATTACTAAAACTCAGCAGTAATTATGGTAAATATTTAGAAGTTATATCAACTTGAGGAAGAGTATTTTATCACTGATATAGTTTAGAATTGCAATAGCATAGTGAGAATAAAAAGCACACTGACTTTTAGCTGATTTTCTTCTTCTTTTTTTTTTTTTCTTTTTTGGATGGAGGCTTGCTGTTGCCCAGGCTAGAGTGCAGTGGTGTGATCATAGCTCACTGTATCCTCAAACTCCTGGGCTCAAGAGATTCTCCTGCCTCAGCCTCCCAAGTAGCTGGGACTACAGGCTCATGCCGCTGCAACTAGCTTTTTTTTTTTTTTTTTTTTTTTTTTTTTTTTTGTAGCGATGAGGTCTTGCTGTGGTGCCTGGGCTGGTTTTGAACTCCTGGACTCAAGCGATCTTCCCACCCCTCCCAAAGTATTGGGATTACAGCTATGAGCCACCTCACCCCGCCTAGTTGGTTTCATTCTGGCTTTCACATTGTGTACACTAAATGCCCCGCTCTGATGCAAAGTGCCCCACTGCCCCGCCCTTGGCACGTCACTGGCAGAGAGACTGGACATCTCATCTGACATATATGACATAGACATTAGGACCCCATGTCGGTGGATAACCATGTAGCCTTGACTTCTCTCTTTTTTTTTTTTTTTTTTTTTTTTTTGAGATGGAGTCTCACTCTGTCTCCCAGGCTGGAGTGCAATGGTACAATCTCGGCTCACTGCAACCTCCGCCTTTCGGGTTCAAGCAATTCTCCTGCCTCAGCCTCCCGAGTAGCTGGGAGTACAGGCACGCACCACCCCACCCGGCTAATTTTTATTACTAGTAGAGACTGGGTTTCACCATGTTGGCCAGGCTGGTCTTGAACTCCTGACCTCAGGTGATCCGCCCACCTCGGCCTCCCAAAGTGCTGGGGTTACAGGCGTCAGCCACCACACTCGGCCCTCAACTTCTCTGAATCCCAGTTTCCTCATTGCTAAAATGGGAATTTATTTTTATTTATTTTTGAGACAGAACCTCACTATGTTGCCCAGGCTGGAGTGCAGTGTCGCGATCTCGGCTCACTGCAGGTGCCGCCTCCCAGGTTCAAGCAATTCTTCTGCCTCAGCCTCCCGAGTAGCTGGGATTACAGGCATGCACCATCACGCCCGGCTGATAGGAATTTTGTATTTTTTGAGTAGAGATGGGGTTTCACCATGTTGTCCAGGCTGGTCTCGAACTCCTGACCTCAGTGATCCGCCCACCTCAGCCTCCCAAAGTACTGGGGTTACAGGCGTCAGCCACTGCCCCAGCCTAAAATGGGAATTTAATAACATCTCTTTTAAAGGACAGCTATGAGACAAAAATGGGATAAGGTGTGTGAAGATGCTCTCCTTTTCTGCCCAGTGGGTTTCTGCCTTTCCTTTGGGGGATCGTAGAGGAGGTTTCCCTCACTGTCTCCAGCCAGACCAGGGACTGTAGATGGGGACTCCTGGGTCCACGTTGTCCCTGCGATGTCGTCGCCCACAGAGTGACCTGCGGTACCCACTGAAGAGGCCACTCTTCCCCTCCCACACTCACAGCATCTCACCCACCTTCCTCCAAAGTCACTATCAGGCCTGGACCTTGAGGATGGTTAACAAAGCTTTTAATCAAGGCAGAAGTTCTTCAGTGGGAGCACAAACTAGAATTCCCTAGAGGGCTTGGGAAACAAATCCAGCTCACTGGGCCCCACCCCGAGTTTCTGATTCAGCAGGTTTGAGGTGAGGCTTGAGGATGTGCCGTTCTAACAAGTTCCCAGGTGAGGCCAATGCTGCTGGCCCTGGGACCACACTTTGAGATCCAATGAGCTTAGTCAGTGCTGCTAATTCCATCCCCATTTGCCAGTGATTGACTGGGCCTAAGCCAGTGGACCAACGAGATGCAAGGCGGGGCTTACTCTGGGCTGATGAGGGTGAGCAGCTCCTCCTTCTCCCCAGAGGAGACAAAGGTGCCTGAGTGAGTGGTGGCAGCCACTTTGTGACCATGAGGGGAATCAGCCTTCACAGAAGCTGATGCTGTAGACTGAGAAAACCTAGACTCCTAATAACATATACCATCAAGCCCACCCAACTTTGGGATTTTTTTTTTTTTTTAATTCTGGGGAAACTTTTATTTTTATTTCTAGACCAATTGACTATGGGATAGGAAAGAAAGTGAGGTGTCAAGGATAAAGCCAATATTTGACTCAAACAATGTAGAGGATGTTTGTTTTTAGCTTACTTGAGGAAGGCTGTGGTCGGGGAGAAGATTGAGAATTCTTTTTTTTTTTTGAGACAGGGTCTCACTCTGTTGCCCAGGCTGGAGTGCAGTGGTGCCATCCTAGCTCACTGCAGCCTCGACCTCCCAAACTCAAACAATCCTCCCACTTCAGCCTCCTGAGTAGCCAGGATTATAGGCAGATGCCACCATGCCTGGCTAATTTTTTCATTTCCAGTAGAAATGAGATCTCACTATGTTGCCTGGGCTAGTCTCAAATTGGGCTCAAATGATCCTCCCACCTTAGCCTCCCAAAGTGCTGGGATTATAGGCGTGAGCCACTGCACCTGGCCAAAGATTAATTCTGATCAATGCTAAGGACTTTCCACTCTTTACAACTTTAACTTTGTTTTGGTTGTTTCAAGAGCTACATTTGATTCGATTCGTTTTGTTTTGAGATGGAGTCTCACTCTGTCGCCCAGGCTGGAGTGCAGCGGTGCAATCCCACTGCAACCTCTGACCCCCGAGTTCAAGGGATTCTCCTGCCTCAGCCTCCTGAGTAGCTGGGACTACAGGCACCCACCACCACGCCTGGCTAATTTTTGTATTTTTAGTAGAGATGGGGTTTCACCATGTTCGCCAGGCTGGTCTCAAACTCCTGAACTCAGGTGATCTGTCCACCTCGGCCTCCCAAAGTGCTAGGATTACAGGCATGTGCCACCGCACCTGGCCTAAGAGCTACATTTTTTATCGCAGTCTCAGCCTTTTCATTTCCCCATATCCCACTCATTCCTATAAGGGCCAAATGCAATAAAACAGATGTGTATGTGCACTCACGCTGTGGAGTGAAGATGCAAATGACTGTGATGATCCAAACCCTGGCAGGAAGGTGGCAGCCCCGTAGGGCATGGGGATCAGAGGTAACTCCACTGTGTGTGCCTTCCGCTGTGTGTGCCCTCCACTGTGTGTGCCCTCCGCTGTGTGTGCCCTCCACTGTGTGTGCCCTCCACTGTGTCTGTCCTCCGCTGTGTGTGCCCTCCACTGTGTGTGCCCTCTGCTCCGCTGTGTCCACAGTGACAGCATAGATTATCCCAGGGCTCAATCAGTTGTTCCAGCTAACTTCCTGCTAAACAGAGCTGGTCACCAGGAGCCAGGCTGACACCTTTGAACCCCTTCTTCCCCTCTGCCTCCTTTCTCAGAAAATATAAAGTGCAAAATGGTCCAGAGGTGGACAGTGTGGGGAGGGAGGGGACATTGAGTCTTGATGACCTGCAAATTTACACCAGTTTCTGCATAATCCTATATGGGCTTTATCTGATCTTAGAGGCACCCATCCCTTTGCAATAAAAGATTGCATCTGTTTTTATTTCCCCTTTCTGTTGGAAGCTGATAAGCCAAGAATGTACTCTCCCCACCTGCTCTCAGCTTTGATTCCCATTAACACAGGGGCATTCCCAGGAAAGGGTTGGGCTCCCCAAGGTGTTTGCTGGAGAACCTGCTGTCACTCTGCAGAGATGTACAAGTATTTACTGAAAGAAGAACTTCTCCAGGAATATTGTGTAAGCAGATTACACCGGATCTCCCTGCCCTTGGACAAATATATATGGTGAAGCTCAAAGAGGGGAATCCAATGCACAGAAACCTCCATGCTTAAAAAATATCTTGTGGCCGGGCACGGTGGCTCACGCCTGTAATGCCAGCACTTTGGGAGGCTGAGATGGGAGGATCACTTGAGCCCAGGAGTTCGAAACCAGCCTGGGCAACATAGGGAGACCCCCATCTCTACAAAAAATGAAAAAAGTTAGCCAGGCATGGTGGTGCACACCTGTAGTCCCAGCTACTAGGGAGGCTGAGGTGGGAGGATCACTTGAGCCTGGGAGTTTGAGGCTGCAGTGAGATATGATCATGTCACTGCACTCCTGCCCGGGCGACAGAGTGAGACTCTGTCTCAAAAAACAAACAAAAAACCAAACCAAAACAAAACAGAACTTGTGAATTGGTTTGGGGATTGCTGGTAAGAGACAAAGGGATGATCATCAAGTCTGGGGATGCCCATCCATTGCCACATCCCCAAGGGGATCACACCAGCTGGAGCACATCACTGCACGTCGCATTTTTGTTTTGTTTTGTTTTGAGACGGAGTCTCACTCTGTCTCCCAGGCTGGAGTGCAGTGGCGCCATCTCAGCTCATTGCAACCTCCACCTCCCGGGTTCAAGCAATTCTCCTGTCTCAGTCTCCCGAGTAGCTGGGATTACAGGCATGCGCCACCACACCCTGCTAAATTTTTTTGGAATTTTTAGTAGAGACAGAGTTTCACCATATTGGCCAGGCTGGTCTTGAACTCCTGGCCTCAGGTGATCCTCCCACCTCAGCCTCCCAACGTGCTGGGATTACAGGCGTGAGCACTGCACCCGGCCCTTTTTTTTTTTTTTGAGATGGAGTCTCACGCTGTTGCCCAGGCTGGAGTGCACTGGTGTGATCTCGGCTCACTGCAACCTCTGCCTCCTGGGTTCAAGTGATTCTCCTGCCTCAGCCTCCTGAGTAGCTAGGATTACAGGCACATGCCACCACGCCTGGCTACTTTTTGCATTTTGAGGCAGGGTTTCACCATGTTGGCCAGGCTGGTCTTGAACTCCTGACCTTAAGGCCCGCCTCAGCCTCCCAAAGTGCTGGGATTACAGGCGTGAGCCACCGCGCCCCGCCTTGCACATTGCATTTCTAGAGACTAGAGGCCTCAAATTAAGGTGTCGGTAAGGCTTGGCCCCCTCTCAAACTTGGGGGAGAGGGGAGATTCCACTCTTGCCCTTTCCAACGTCTCACGTCTCTGGTAATCCTTGGCAATCTTTGGCTTGCTGCTGCAGCACTCCACGGTGTACCTCTATTGTCCTAAGGTGTTCTCTGTGTGTGTGTCCAACTTTGGATTTTTGTTTTTATTAATTTTCTTTTCTTTTTTTCTTTTTTTTTTTTTTGACGAAGTTTCACTCTTGTTGCCCAGGCTGGAGTACAATGGCATGATCTCGGCTCACCACAACCTCCACCTCCCGGGTTCAAGCAATTCTCCTGCCTCAGCCTCCCAAGTAGCTGGGATTACAGGCATGTGCCATCATGCCCAGCTACTTTTTTTGTATTTTTAGCAGAGACAGGGTTTCTCCATGTTGATCAGGCTGTTCTTGAACTCCCGATCTCAGGTGATCCACCTGTCTCGGCCTCCCAAAGTGCTGGGCTTACAGGTGTGAGCCACCGGGCCCGCTGTTTTCATTAATTTTCATTTGAAGACATCCTGATACCTAGTCAAAGCCTCATGACTTTGGGGGCTGAGAGGACAGGGTGGTGGTGGATGTATAGTTGGCGGGGTGTGGTGGTGCACACCTGTAGTCCCAGCTACAGGAGGATTGCTTGAGCCCAGGAGGTCGAGGCTGCAGCAAGCCATGAGTGTGTCACTGTACTCCAGCCTGGGCGACAGAATGAAACCCTGTCTCTTAAAAAAAAAAAAAGAAAAAAAAAGGATGTACAGTAGGAGGATTATCTTTGCCTTCAGTTGCTGGGAGGTGATCTCTAGGCCCCTTAACGTCCTGTCTGATGGAAGTGTCTGTGTTTGCCTGGGGCCTTTGGCCACCAGATAGTCTAACAATGTGATCTGTAATGAAGGCTTTGGAACATCCTGTATCAGTTCCAACCTCCAGATGAGCTGGATACACAAGAGTTAGCTCAGGAGAGACTGGAGATGAAAGGTCAGCCACACTGGCAGTAAGGGATCAAGCCCCACTAAAAAACGCTGGACACTGGCTGGCAGTGGCTCATGCCTGTAATCCCAGCACTTCAGGAGGCTGAGGGGGGCGGGTCACCAGATGTCAGGAGTTTGAGATCAGCCTGGCCAACATGGTGAAACCCTGTCTCTACTAAAAATACAAAATCAGCTGGGCATGGTGCATGCCTGTAATCCCAGCTACTCGTACTCTGGAGGCTGAGGCGGGAGAATCGCTTGAACCCAGGAGGTGGAGGTTGCAGTGAACTGAGATCACGCAACAGCACTCCAGCCTGGGCGACGAGAGCGAGACTCCATCTCAGAAACAACAACAACAAAAACAAAACCCCCAAAAACGCTGGACACCAAAGCCTCAGGAGCTTCTCTGGTTAGCAGTATTCTCTGAGTGTCATCACGCATCATAGCTGGGGGGAGGTGACTGTCTGGAGAGAAGGTAACTAGGAGCTTTGCACTTGAACCCCTTCCGCACCTCACCCTCTATGTCCTTTCTTGTGGCTGGTTCTGATCTGTGTCTGTTTGCTATCATAAAAACTGTCGTTATGAGGCGGGGCACTTTCCTGAGTTCCATGAGTCATTCTAGTGAATTATTGAACCACAGGGGGTAGTGGGAACCCTCAATGCAGCCAAGCGGTCAGAAGTGAGGGTGGCCCAGGAATCCCCAGTTGCACCTGGCATTTGAAGTGAAGGCTGCCTTGTGGAGGGACTGTGTCCTTAGCCTTGAGCTTGACAAATTCATTGCAGTAGGTTCTGTCATCTGCCTCTTAGAGAATACCCTCATTTCAACTGGGCGCGGTGGCTCACGCCTGTAATCCCAGCACTTTGGGAGGCCGAGGCGGGCGGATCACGAGGTCAGGAGATCGAGACCATCCTGGCTAACACGGTGAAACCCCGTCTCTACTAAAAATGCAAAAAATTAGCTGGGCGTGGTGGCGGGCGCCTGTAGTCCCAGCTACTCAGGAGGCTGAGGCAGGAGAATGGCGTGAACCCGGGAGGTGGAGCTTGCAGTGAGCCGAGATCGCGCCACTGCACTCCAGCCTGGGCGATAGAGCGAGACTCCATCTCAGAAAAAAAAAAAAAAAAGAGAATACCCTCATTTCCTTGCAATTTGGGACAGGTGTTAGGAGCCTCATTTTATTCTTCTGAAATCAAATTATCCCTGATTCAGACTTCAGGTAAGGTGGCATTCAAATGCAGTCGTGACTCAGGGCTTACTATTTCTATTCTTCTAAAAAGACTATGGGATTCTCATGTAGGTGGAAATGCTTGAGTGGGCGCCTCTGGCCTTTGGTCTACACGCACTAGCCTGATACACGTCTCCTCCACCAGGCTGTAAACCTCGTGAAGTATCGGTTTTATTCCTGACTAGAACAAGGCTTAGCACCTAGTGGGTGCTCATTAAACACATGAAGCATGAATCAGTGAGGGATTTCACATCTCGTCATCTCTGAAAAGCCTGTTAGCTCACTTCTAGGACCAGGAAACTGGCATTATCAAGAGTGTTATTCCAGCTTTGGTTGGTTCTGAAAATAATAATAATGTATCAGTCCAGTATTAGGTTTAGCTGTATAGAACAGAAAACCCAAAGTGAAATGGCATAAACATGTAAGAGTTGATTCCTTCCAGAAGCAGGCAGTCTAGGACTGGTGTGGGCCTCCCCTGAAGGCTGGCAAGACCACTATTTCTGTGCCAACCTTTGGCGCAGGGGTCTTTATTCAGATTGGCTACTCCATACCCAGGATCCAGCCTCCCCAAGTTTTGCCTAGGTCACCAATCCTCAGGATCCCCCAAATCATATCTCCAGTCTTGGGGCATCTCCAACGTCCCATGAATCATCACCCATCTCTGTAAAAATAAAAAAGTCCCAGGCTGGGTGCGGTGGCTCATGCCTGTAATCCCAGCACTTTGGGAGGCTGGGACAGGTGGATCACCTGAGGTCAGGAGTTGGAGAACAGCTTAGCCAACATGGCAAAACCTTGTCTTTATTAAAAATACAAAAATTAGCCGGGTGTGGTGGCAGGCGCCTGTAATCCTAACTACTCGGGAGGCTGAGGCAGGAGAATAGCTTGAACCTGGGAGGTGGACGTTGCAGTGAGCTGAGATCACGCCACTGCACTCCAGCCAGGGCGACAGAGCGAGACTCCGTCTCAAAAAAATAAAAGTAAAAAAATTTTTAAAAAGTCCTAGAGTACACAGTTCCTGAGTCTGCTGACTGTCTAAAGATGTTCTTCTCTGATTTCTGCTGACTGCAGAGAAGAACAGGGGACTTTGGTCTCGTTCGTTGACTCCTCAGCAGGGAGGAAGGGGGCGTGGTCTCTGGTTCTCCAAGGCATTGGCTGGAACAACAGGAGTTTCCATGCCAGGCTGTAGCTGGTTTTCTCTCAACATATTTAAAATTAAACGTGTTTCAAACCATAAAGTTCAATTTCCTTCTGAAAACATTCTCCTCTATCTTCTGAATAGGAAACTGATATTCCTGTGAGTTACAGCACTTTGATTTAATGTTATGAATCCTGATCTTATTATGCTAAGAGGACACTGCTCCCTCCCTGCTCAGAGTCATATGACAAAGACTTCGCATGTCAGTACCCGCAGTGAAGGGGGCCAGGCCCAACTGGCTCCTGTACATGCGTGCGTGCGTGTGTGTGTGTGTCCCTGGCTACAGAAGGGGCAGAGGGCAATCTTGGGGGCAGAGGGCAATCTTGTTTGACCGGGCCACATTTATTAAGTACTTAGGACTGTGTCTAGCACATAATAAGTGCTCAATAAACGGAGATGCCATGATCATTTGTAGCTAGTTACATACCCAATATCCATTCTTCCTATTTTTTTCCTTAATAACAGATTCAGATCGTGCTGCCTGGAATGAAGACATTTCCCAGTCTCTCTTGCATTTTGGTGTGGCCCCGTGACTACACTATGTTCCATGGACTGTAGTAGGTAAAAGTGTATGAGGCTTCCAGGAGCCTCAGCCTTGAGGTTCACTGCTTTTGTCCTCTATTCTACCTGGTATTTGGATATAATGGCTAGAGTCCAGCAGCCATCTTGGACCATGAGGTAACCCTGAGTACAGAAGCCACCCACTGAAGATGGTAGGGCAGGAAGGTCAAAGCTCTGGTGACACTGTGGAGCCCCCACACTAGTCCTGGACTGCCAGCTTCTGGAAAGAATCAACTCCTACATGTTTATGACATTTCACTTTGCAGTGGCATCCTTGATAATGTCAGGAGTTTCCTGGTCCTGGAAGTGATCAAACAGGCTTTTTAGAGATGATGAGACATGAAATCACTCGCTGATTCATTCTTCATATGTTTAATGAACACTCACTGCTAGGTGCTAGGGCTTGTTCTAGTTATGAACAAAACAGAGACTTTATGAAGCTTACAGCCTGGAAGAGGAGATGCATACACCCTCACAAATGTGAAAAAGCACCCTGAAAGAGCAAATACAGTGCAGGGATGGAGAGTCACAGAAAAGAATCTGTTCAGATGTATCACGAAGGGCTCTGTGCAGAGGTGACGTTTAAGCTGAGAAGTAGGATGTCTTAGTCTGTTCCTGCTGCTATAAAAAAATACCATAGGCCAGGCATGGTGACTCATGCTTGTAATCCCAACACTTTGGGAGGCCGAGGCGGGAGGATTGCTTGAGGCCAGGAGTTCGAGACCAGCCTGGCCAACATGGTGAAACCTCGTCTCTACTAAAAATACAAAAATTAGATGGGTATGGTGGCGGGTGCCTGTAATTCCAGCTACTCAGAAGGCTGAGGAAGGAGAATCGCCTGAACCTGGGAGGCGGAGGTTGTAGTGAGCCGAGATTGCCTGGGCCACAGAGCGAGACTCCACCTTGAAAAAAAAAAACCAAAAAACCAAAAAAACATAAACTGGGTTACTTATAAACAATATTTCTCATAGAGTCTGGGATCTCCAGCAAGGGCACCTTCTTGCGGGGCCCTCACCTGGTGCAAGGGACAAACAAGCTCCCTTGGGCCTCTTTGATAAGGGAACTAATCCTGCCCCCAAAGTCCCCACCTCTTAATACCACCACCTGGGGGGCTAGGATTCCACATATGAACTTTGGGAGGACACAAACATTCAGACCACAGGATAGGGAAGGGATGACAATGAGGTGCTGATGGGAGGAAGAGCTAGGAGAGGGGTTCAGGCAGGAGGAACAGCATGGGCGAAGGTCCCAGGCAGGAAGGGGCTGTGGGTATGGGAGGAGCTGTAGGCGACTTGCTGTGCACTGCAGGTGGACAGTGGAAAAAGGTGATCATGGATTGGACAGGGTGGCCCAGCCCCTTGTAGGCCAAGGTGAAGCAGCTGAATTAAGCTAAATTAATTGATTTTTTTTTTTTTTGAGACAGAGTCTCACTCTGTCACCCAGGCTGTAGTGCAGTGGCGCGATCTCAGCTCACTGCAACCTCTGCCTCCCAGGTTCAAGTGATTCTCCAGCCTCAGCCTCGCAAGTAGCTGGGATTACAGGCATGTGCCACCATGCCCAGCTAATTTTTGTATTTTTTAGTAGAGACGGGGTTTCGCCACGTTGGCCAGGCTGGTCTCGAACTCCTGACCTCAGGTGATCCACCCACCTCGGCCTCCCAAAGTGCTAGGATTACAGGCGTGAGCCACTATGCCTGGCCAATTTTTTTTGAGAGTCTCGCACTGTCAACCAGGCTGGAGTGCAGTGACGCGATCTCTGTCTCCCAGGTTCAAGTAATTCTTCTGCCTCAGCCTCCCCAAGTAGCTGGGATTACAGGCATGTGCCACCACACCCAGCTAATTTTTTTTGTATTTTTAGTAGAGACGGGGTTTCACCGTGTTGGCCAAACTGGTCTCGAACTCCTTACCCCAAATGATCTGCCCGCCTCGACCTCCCAAAGTGCTAGGATTACAGGCATGAGCCACCTCGCCCAGCCTATGTACTTATTTTGAGACAGGGTCTTGCTCTGTTGTCCAGGCTGGAGTGCAGTGGCACTATCACAGCTTGCTGCAGCCTTGACCTTCCTGGGTTCAGGTGATTCTTCCACCTCGGCCTCCTGAATAGCTGGGACCACTGGCATGTGCCAACACTCCCTGCTGATTTTCTTTTCTTCTCTTTTTTTAGAGATGGGGTCTCACTATGTTGCCCAGTTTGGTCTCGACCTCCTGGGCTCAAGCAATTAACCTGCTTCAGCCTCCCAAAGAGTTGGCATTACAGGTGTGAGCCACTGCACTTAGCTTTAAACCAAAATTTTTTATAGAGACAGGGTCTTGCCATGTTGCCCAGGCTGGTCTTGAACTTCTGGGCTCAGGCGATCTGCCCACCTCAGCCTCCCGAAGTGTTGGGATTACAGGCGTGAGCCACCACACTGGCCTGAATTTTACAAGCAGTGGGCAATTACAATGCCAGGTTTCCACTTCAATGAAATCTTCCATGTTTCCGTCTCTGTTCGGCAAGACTCTTTGGTTTGCAAGTGGTAGAAATCCAACTTGAAATAACTTCAGGAAAAAAAAAAAAGGGCACTGATGCAAAGAACCTTGAAGTTTTTAGCTCATAGCATTTACCTTTTTCTGTTCAGATGATCTGAGTTTTGAATAGTTACCCACATCTATTGGGTGGTGGTCTGGCCTCTTCTGCGATCGCTTCTCCTGTCTCCACCCTGCTCTGTGTGTGGGGGTCTCCCATGCCTCTGCCTGGTGGTTGGGTTTGATTAGCGGAGAGCCCAGAACAGGTACTGTTCTCCTGATACTCCGTCCCTTGCATCTCCCTACATCTGCTCCCACTCATAGTCCTTTTATTTTTTTCTTTGAGACGGAGTTTCGCTCTGTCGCCCAGGATGGAATGCAATGGCACGATCTCCGGTTACTGCAATCTCTGCCTCCAGGTTCAAGTGATTCCCCTGCCTCAGACTCCTGAGTGGCTGCGATTATAGGCACCTGCCACCACGCCTGGCTAATTTTTATGTTTTTAGTAGAGACAGGGTTTCACCATGTTGGCCAGGGTGATCTCGAACTCCTGACCTCAAGTGTCTGCCTGCCTTGGCCTCCCAAAATGCTGGGATTACAGGGGTGAGCCACCGTGCCTAGCTTGTCCACCCTCTTCTTGGGTCTCTCGGTTCCCTTCCCCTCCCCAGAAACAACCAGTGCCCCAGGCTCTTGCATTCTATCTGCCCAGAAATACGATCGCATGGTGTTTTATTTTTTCGATTATCAATAACTTGTGAGTGGAGAGGCTGCAAGCCAGTGATGTGAATGAACGTGACTCCACATCAGGTCCCATGGAGATCAGGTTCAGCATGTTTTTCTTCTTGTCCCATTGTATTCCCACAAAAGCCCTGTTTTCAGTGGGTGGAGTCCAGAGCCATGGCTTTCTGGGAGGGATGAGGTGCTGCACTGAGGCCGTGACTAACTGGCACTTGGCCATCGGTGGGATATCTGTCGACGGTAAATGGCTTTAGCAAGACCCAGGCATTGGCACTTCCTGATCCCAGGGGTTCAGACGTGTGTTGGCCAATCTGGGAAAACTCGCAGGGCTAGGAATCCTGGCTGGGGCCACACCTAGGGCAGGCGGGCTGTCCTTGGCCCTTTTGCTATTTTGGGTCCTGCTCAGCTGAATGGGCCACTTTTCCCAAAGAAGCCAATGTATAATTTTCATGAGTCCTAAACACCTGGTGGTTTTGCTCCCGTGAGGCTATTTCCTCCTGGGGCTACAGGATAGGTTTTCTAGGCTCTAATCCCAGCTCTGCCATTTCCTGGTTGGGAGACGTTGGGTTCTTTTTTCTTTTCTTTCTTTTCTTTTTTTTTTTTTTTTTAAGACAGACCTTTCTCTGTTGTGCAGGCTGGAGCGCAATGGCACAATCATAGCTCACTGAGACCTCAAACTCCTGGGCTCAAGCGATCCTCCCACCTCAGCCTCCCGAGTAGTTGGGATCACAGGCATGCACCACCACGCCCAGCTGATTTTTTTTTTTTTAAGAGACAGGGTCTCACTATGCTGCCCAGTTTGGTCTTGAATTCCTGGGCTCAAGAGTTCACCTGCCTCAGCCTCTCAAAGTGTTGGGGTTACAGGCGTGAGCCACTGCACTCAGCTTTAAATTTTTTTTTATAGAGACAGGGTCTTGCTATGTTGCCCAGGCTAGTCTCAAACTCCTGGCCTCAAGCGATCCTCCAGGCTCCACCTCCCAAAGTGCTGAGATTACAGGGGGTGATCCACCACGCCTGGCCTGTGCGTGTTTTTTTTTTAACCTTTCTGTGTCTTAATTTCCGCATCTGTGAAATGGGGATAATAATAGATCCTACCTCATTGGGTTGTTGTGGGAGTTAAAGGAGGAAGTAAATGTTAGCTCAGGGCTCGGCCGTAAGTGCTCAGAAATATTAGCTATTTTTCTTAGGACGAAAACTAACATTTAATCAAATGCCGGCTTGCTACATTCACAGCTGCTTGATGTGTTCTTGTTGAATTCTCACAACGCTGTGAGTTAGGCCCACATATCCCCATTCTACAGATGCGGAAACGGAGGCTCCGAGTGGAGATGGGACTTGTTCAAGGCCATTCAGCTGGTATACCGCAGAACTTCCAACAGTCGGCTGTGCAGGTAGTGACCTCAGCCAGCCCCGCGACCGAAGTACAACGTCCCGGCTCATTTATTTCTCTACTAATTTTGATTTGCATCTTTGTGTTTGAGGTCTCTCTGGGCTTTTGCTTGTTGGAACCAGATTTCTTGTTTTCATTTGTAAACATCTGGAGGGCAAGAGCCATATCTGAGATACCTAAGAAGCTGTGTGAGAGTTTCTGAAACTTGCTTTATCCTGGGAAAGTTGCCTGAAGTGTTTGTTCAAAGACGAGGTTCTCTGGCAGTTTGACTGGGGAGTCTGACTCAGGAACAACAAGGATGGGGCCCTGGAATCTGATTTTTTTTAACCCTGTGACTCTGGGAATTTATTTTTTGCATGACTCGAAATTCTTAGGCTAACGTGTTTGGAAACTTTTGCTGCATAGAATTAGCGTGTCCTTTGTTGTTGAAGAAGAGGATGGCAGCAAAGCAGACAGAGGCGCTCCCAGTATCCAGCCTTTTCCTTCTACAGGTGTTTTTCTTGCCTCAAGTCTTTGTGCTACCCTTGAGGGTCACTGTGTGCCCAGCCCAGAGCTGGGCGGGGGTGAGGGGAGTAATAGGAAGGTCAACGTTGTCCCTGCACTCCCGGAGTTTACAATCTAATTGGATTAACAAGACACATTCAGCAAGTCATGAAAAATGCATTCAGAAATGGTGGATTGGGGTCCGTTGGGCAAGCGTTTCTGGGGCATGCGCAATGTGTGGAGTTCCAGGCATGGAGGTCGTAGAGATTATGAAACCCTGGATGCCCAGTAATAGACGGACCTTGGTTTTTGCCATCTGTGGCCCACAGCCAGGCCGGGATCCTGAGACAAACACCTCAGGCGGGGAACAGAACTGTCGAGAGCTTTTTTTGGCTTTTTATTTTGTGAGATGGAGTCTTGCTCTATTGCCCAGGCTGGAGGGCAGTGGTGCGATCTTGGCTCACTGAAACCTCCACCTCCCAGGTTCAAGCAATTCTTCTGCCTCAGCCTCCCGAGTAATTGGGATTACAGGCATGTGCCACCACACTTGGCTAATTTTTTTTTTTTTTTTTTTGAGACAGAGTCTCACTCTGTCGCCCAGGCTGGAGTGCAGTGGTGCAATCTCAGCTCACTGCAACCTCTACCTCCTGGGTTCAAGCGATTCCGCTGACTCAGCTTCTCTAGTAGCTGGGACTACAGGCACGTGACACCGTGCCCAGCTAATTTTTGTATTTTTAGTAGAGACAGGGTTTCTCCATGTTTACCAGGATGGTCTTGATCTCTTGACCTCGTGATTCACTCGCCTCGGCCTCCCAAAGTGCTGGGATTACAGGTATGAGCCACCGTGCCTGGCCCATTTTTGTATTTTTAATAGAAGCGGGGTTTCACTATGTTGGCCAGGCTGGTCTTGAACTCCTGGTCTCAAGTGATCCGCCTGCCTCAGCCTCCCAAAGCACTGGGATTACAGGCATGAGCCACTGTGCTCGGCCTCCTGTTTTTTTTTGTTTTTGTTTTTTGAAGGCAGTATCACCCAAATAAAAATAACTTTATATTTTTTTCCAGATATAACTAATAAATGTTCATGTTACAAGGTTCAGGGCTCATCCTAACACTTTAGAAGGCCTAGGTGGTAGGATGACCTGAGTCCAGGAGCTTGAGACCAGCCTGGGCAACGTGGTGAGACCCCATCTCTAAAATTAGAAAAATTGGAAAACAAAAAAAAAGAAAGAAAGAAAAAAAAATCTTCGAGTGTAGACTCAGAAATCTGTGTTTCTAACCCCTGCTCCAGGGCATTCTGATGCCGTAGCTCTGCTCCAGTGAGTAGGGAAGGCCAGCCAGTGAAGGCTCACATTGCTGTGGGTGGCAGAAGAGGACAGCAGGAGATTCTGACCAGGTAGATCTTGAAGACAGCAGCAGCTTGACAAATGGAGGTTTCCAGGTAGAGGGAGCAGCTTGCACAAAGGCACAGAGGTGAGAAAGTTAGGGGTATGTTCTGGAGATGGCAAATAGAGTGGGTGAGGTCTGGGTATGGAGGGGCTGTGCAAGATGAGGCTGGAAAGATTCAAATCGAGGAGGGCTTTGAGTGCTAGGCTAAAGCATCAAAATGTACTCTTGCCTCTGGCATTTATTTGCAAAATAGTGGTACACGAGGTAATTGTAGGTGATATGGTACATGTAGGGAGAACATTCTCTTTTCAGTCCCTTCTAAAGTGCTTACATTGAGGAGAAAGTTTCAATTAGTTGCTAGTCTATCTTTAACACCCCTCTGAACACTGCCTAATTTCCTTTCAACATAGAGAAACCCTCCTTAGGCTTAGGGCCTTAGTGTGAAACAAGAACAAGTGTGAATGCCTCATTTCCATGTCTGAATGACTGCTTGCTATTTATGGCAAGGGATACTCTTTTTCTTTTTCTTTTTTTGAGACAGAGTCTCACTCCGTCACCCAGGCTGAAGTGCAGTGGCACGATCTCGGCTCGCAGCAACCTCCGCCTCCTGGATTCAGGTGATTTTTGTTCCTCAGCCACCCGAGTAGTTGGGATTACAGGCACGTGCCACTATGCCTGGCTAATTTTTGTATTTTTAGTAGAGACGGGGTCTCACCATGTTGGCCCTAGCCTCAAGTGGTCTTGAACCCCTAGCCTCAAGTGATCCTCCTGCCTGGCCTCCCAAATTGCTGGGATTACAGGTGTGAGCCACTGTGCCTGGCCGGGATACTGTTTTTTTGAGTATTAAAATTATATAAAGCTTTTCTTTTCTTTTTCTTTTTTTTTTTTTTTTTTGAGACGGAGTTTCGTTCTTGTTCCCCAGGCTGGAGTACAATGGGGCGATCTCGACTCACTGCAACCCCCGCCTCCTGGGTTCAAGCAATTCTCCTGCCACAGCCTCCCGAGTAGCTAGGATTACAGGCATGCGCCACCACGCCCAGCTAATTTTGTATTTTTAGTAGAGACGGAGTTTCTCCATGTTGGTCAGGCTGGTCTCGAACTCCCGACCTCAGGTGATCTGCCCACCTCGGCCTCCCAAAGTGCTGGGATTACAGGCATGAGCCACCGCTCCCGGCCAAAACTTTTCTTTTTAAAATAAGTTTAGTTTTAAAAAAGTGAGTTGACAGGAGCAAAACTGCTAAGTAAATAATGCAAAAGGCAGTGGTGCTCAAATATGGGAAAATAATATGCAGGTGATACCAGAGTCTTGCCTTTGGGAAATGCAGACCCAGGTCCTTTTGTCTTTAGAGCTCACCGGCAATGCGAGGTGTTTCAGGTAGAAGGAACAGCATCAATGGGGTGTTGGCTAGTGTTTAACAGCTGGCTCTCTGAAAAAGCAAAATAAAACACACACACACCAAATCTGATGGTCTGTTTCCATGATGTGAGTACCTCCAGCTGGGCCGAACTGACATCACTGAACACAGTGGAAAGTGATGACTGCAGTTGTCTCTCCTGGGAGCTTCAACACAGTACAGGCTGACAAAAGTGGGCAGGGGGTAAGGGCAGGTGGTGGGAGTGGCCTCTACGCCAGAGAAGGGAATGGAGAGGTCAGGCTGGCTAGAGAGTGGGGTTGAGTCGTCCATGCCCTTGAATGCCAGGATGAGGGCTAAAGAGTCAAATGGAATGGGTGACTTCATATGCAGAAGTTTTTACAAGAGAAGAGAACTCAGTTTGGCCAAGAGAAGTGGGGTCGTCATGTTGGTAATCACGTAACAGTGATCGTTCAGTCATGCGGAATGCTTTCAAGGTGTTGGACACTGTTCATTTTTTATTTTTAGTTTTTGAGGCAGGGTCTCACTCTGTCGCCCAGGCTGGAGTGCAGTGGTGCAATCTTGGCTCACTGCAACCTCTGTCTCCTGGGTTCAAGCGATTCTTCTGCCTCAGCCTCCCTAGTAGCTCGGATTACAGTTGTTTGCCACCACGCCCGGCTAATTTTTGTATTTTTAGTAGAAATGAGGTTTCGCCATGTTGGCCAGACTGGTCTCGAACTCCTGACCTCAAATGATCCACCTGCCTCGGCCTCCCAAAGTGCTGGGATTGCAGGTGTGATCCACCACACCTGGCCGCTTGCAGGGTGTTGGACACTGTGGATATCACCTCATTCATTCTCCTAACAACCCAAGAGAAGAGGAACTGAGGCAAAGAGAAGTTAAGCAAGTTGCCCAAGGCCATACGGCTAGTAAACGGCAGAACGAGGCTCAAACCCAGGCACTCTGGCTCTAGAGTGTGTGTTCCTAACCACTGTGCTCTAGCACCTCGGAACCTTAGTCTCTTCATCTGCAAAATCAGCACTGAGGTGACAAGGCCAACGAGCAGAGGGTTGGAGTTACCCAGAACAACAACAACAACAAAAGTAATAGTAACACATATTTGGTCAAGGCTTAGATTCTGGCGTCATGGGGATCTGGGTTCAAATCCTAATTCTGCCTTAGCCGATTAGGGTCCCTATCCTCTTAAAGCCTTGGTTTCCTTATCTGTAAAATGGGGATATCATGAAGCTGTTAGATGTTAAATGAGAAAATGAATGAGAAAATTGCATGTACTGTCCATAAAGTTGAAAAGATAATAGGGGTGGGAAGGAGAACAGTCCGAGTTTGAATGCAGGTGGGCCCTGGGGCATTGTCTGGACTGAAGGACAAGGGTCAGTTGAATTGCCAAAGAGCTCTGAGACTGGCTGAAGGGACACTCGTCTTGTGCTAGCTGCTAAGACCAAGGGGAAGCCTGTGCCTCGCCCGAATTTTAGTCTTGCAAACAGCTGCTCACCCAGTAGGAGAGAATTGTGATAAAACTCATAGCCACCATTTCTTGAATATCTACTATGCCCCGGGACACAGCAGACTATTTTAGAGAATTTGCGAAGGAAACACAGTGACATCTGTTGGACACCTTGCAAACTACCAGCTCAGGATAGTTAAATTTGAATGTTAGATGGAGGGAACTTCCTTTCCACAATGACATGATTTTGTAAAGCTGAGTGTATGGCAGTTGTCATGATTAAAAGCAAGTGCCATGCAGAAGTTATTGTGTAACAGGAAATGAGATTAGATAGCGTCCAATCTAATCTCAAGGTTTGAGTAGCTGTGGACAGCCCAACAGGCACAGGCCTCCCGTTAGTACATCCATACGAGAAGTTAAGAATGAGTGAAAATAGTTTTTTTTTTTTTAATTTATGTGCATTATTTTTTTCAAGCAGCTACCTTGTTAGGACATACTTAATAGTTATCTTGGCCTACCTACTGCACTTACTAAACAACTGTTCACTTTTTAATTTTTAATTTTCAGATTTTTTTGAGACGGATTGTTACTCTATCGCCCAGGCTGGAGTGCAGTGGCGTGATCTCTGCTCACTGCAACCTCCGCCTCCCGGGTTCAAGCTATTCTCCTGCCTCAGCCTCCTGAGTATCTGGGACTACAGGTGTGCGCCACCACATCCAGCTAATTTTTGTATTTTTAGTAGAGATGGGGTTTTACCATGTTGGCCAGGCTGATCTGGAACTCCTGACCTCAGGTGATCCACCTGCCTCGGTCTCCCAAAGCGCTGGGATTACAGGTATGAGCTACCATGTCCGGCTGTTCCTTTTTTTTTTTTTCTTTTTCTTTTTTTTTTGAGACGGAGTTTCTCTCTGTCACCCAGGCTGGAGTGCAGTGTCATGATCTCAGCTCACTGCAACCTCTGCCTTCTGGGTTCAAGTGATTCTCCTGCCTCAGCCTTCCGACTAGCTGGGATTATAGGTGCCCACTGACAAGCCTGGCTAATTTTTGTATTTTTAGTAGAGACGGGTTTTCACCATGTTGGCCAGGCTGGTCTCGAACTCCTGACCTCAAGTGATCCACCCACTTCGGTCTCCCAAAGTGCTGGGATGACAGGCATGAGCCACTGCGCCCAGCCACTGTTCGCTTTTTTTCTCAGTGGTTCTCTAGTCCATTGCCTTAACCACTCACCATGACTACAGCTCTTATTTGCAGTGACTCTCAAGAATGCAAATGCAAATGCCATTCCTGACCTCGAGTTAATTCAGCTTTGTCCCCTGAGCATGGGGGAAAGGCAGGCTGGGGGCTGGAACTTTCTGCTTGTGTACCTATCTCTTTAGACTCTGGAGGCTCCTCCCCAATCTCTGTCATTCCCTCTCCAACCAAATCCACCTGCCGTCCCAGACTCAAATGCTCAGCCACCTAACTGCCTGAGGACCCAGCAGTTAATGAGTTTACATGCTGGGGGCAGGAGTCAGGGCCAACACTCCTTGGTTCCTCTGGCTCCCTGGAAAGGGAAAGTCACCAAGAGGCAGCTGCAGGCAGCAAAGAGAATAAGCAGGAGAACCTCAAAGCCACAAAGGGACAGCACACAGCATCTTCCCTGTTTAGCCTGGACTTGAGAATGCTGTCCCCAGCAGTAAGCTGCTCAACCTCAAAGCAACTTGCACGGGGGTTTACAAAAAAATGCACTTGGCCGGGCACGGTGGCTCACGCCTATAATCCCAACAGTTTGGGAGGCCGAGGTGGGTGGATCTTTTGAGGCCAGGAGTTTGAGACCAGCCTGGCAAACATGGTGAAACCCTGTCTCTACCAAAAATACAAAAATTAGCCAGGCATGGTGGTGTGTGCCTGTAGTCCCAGCTACTCAGGAGGCTAAGGTAGGAGGATTGCTCGAACCCAGGAGGCAGAGGTTACAGTGAGCTGAGATCGCACCACTGTACTCCAGCCTGGGTGACAAAGTGAGGCTCTGTCTCAAAAATAAAAATAAAACATAAATGCACTGGAGGAAAGAGGGTACCACTCTCCTTAAGGCGGGGGCTGCCAACTTGTCCTGCACAGCCCGTCCGCCTGCCTCAGGTGGACTTAAAGCCCAGCTCTGAGGGACTCTGAGCAGTCATTTAACCTCTCTGAGCCTCTCTTTCCTCCCCTGCAGAAGGGGGATTATAACAGTTCCTAATTCATGAGTTGTTCTTGGAGTGAAATACATTACTGGCCAGGTGAGATGGCTCATGCCTGTAATCCCAACACTTTGGGAGGCTGAGGTGAGAGGATTGCTTGAGCCCAGGAGTTCGAGACCAGCCTGGGCAACAAAGCAAGACCCCCATCTCTAAGAAAAGTAAATAAATAGGCAGGGTGCAGTGGCTCACCCCTGTAATCCCAGCACCTTGGGAGGACGAGGTGGGCAGATGGCTTGGGCTCAGGAGTTTGAGACCAGCCTGGGCAATGTGGCAAACTCTTGTCTCTACTAAAAAATACAAAAATTAGCGAGGCATGGTGGCACACGCTTGTAGTCCCAGCTATTGGAGAGGCTGAGGTGGGAGGATCACGGGAGCCCCAGAAGCATAGGTTGCAGTTTGCCAAGATTGTGCCACTGCACTCCAGCTCGGGCGACAGAAGGAGACCCTGTCTCAAAAAACAAACAAAAAAGATAAATATATAAATGAAGCTGGGCATGATGGTGCGTACCTGTAGTTCCAGCTACTTGGGATGCTGAGGTGGGAGGATTGCTTGAAGCCAGGAGTTCTAGGCTGAAGTGAGCTATGATCATGCCAGCCTGGGTGACAGAGTAAGAATCTGGCTCTTAAAAAAATAAAAAGTAAAATGGAACAGGTGAAGTTATTTTCTTTAATTTTTAAAATAAAAAGTTATTTTTATAAATAAAATTTTAATTTAAACCAAATTATTTTAAACTAAATATAACATTATATTTGTATAATATATAAATAATATTTTAATTAAATCTAATTTAAAATTATTCTAAATGTTAACTTTTTTTTTTTTTTTTTTTTTTTGAGAGGGAGTCTCGCTCTGTCGCCCAGGCTGGAGTACAGTGGCGCGATCTCGGCTCACTGCAAGCTCCGCATCCTGGGTTCACGCCATTCTCCTGCCTCAGCCTCCTAAGTAGCTGGGACTACAGGCGCCCGCCACCACGCCAGGCTAATTTCTTGTATTTTTAGTAGAGACGGGGTTTCACCATGTTAGGCAGGATGGTCTCAATCTCCTGACCTTGTGATCCGCCCACCTCGGCCTCCCAAAGTGCTGAGATTACAGGCGTGAGCCACCGCGCCCGGCCTAAATGTTAACTTTTAAATTGTCTTTTTTTTTTTTTTTTTTTTTTTTGAGACAGTGTCTTGCTGTATCACCCAGGCCAGAGTGCAGTGGCATGATCTTGGTTCACTGCCACCTCCGCCTCCCAGGTTCAAGTGATTTTCCTGCCTCAGCCTCCTGAGGTTAATTTTTGTATTTTTATTACAGATGGGGTTTCACCATATTGGTCAGGGTGGTCTCGAACTCCTGACCTCAGGTGATCTACCCACCTTGGCCTCCCAAAAGTGCTGGGATTACAGGCGTTAGCCACCACGCCCGGCCAAAATTTTCTTAATTTAAAAATTTAACTCAATATATTTTTTAAAAATTATCATTTCAAGAAGTGACATTAGCCATCTTTCAAGTGCTTGGTAGCCACATGTGGCTGGTGGGTGAGGGCAGGGCCTGTTTTTTTTTTTTTTTTTTTTTTTGAGACAGAGTTTTGCTCTTGTTGCCCAAACTGGAGTGCAATGGCGTGATCTCGGCTCACTGCAACCTCCGCCTCCTGGGTTCAAGTGATTCTCCTGTCTCAGCCTCCTGCGTGCATCACCATGCCCAGCTTTTTAAATTTTTAGTAGAAATGGGGTTTCATCATGTTAGCCAGGCTGGTCTCAAATTCCTGACCTCAGGTGATCCACCCACCTCGGCCTCCCAAAGTACTGGGATTACAGGCATGAGCCACTGTGCCTGGCCACAGGGCCTGTATTTAGATGTTTGCTATTTTGTTCAGCACAGATTATTTTACATTAGTTAAAAAATATTTTTTGAGGCCGGGCATGGTGGCTCACACCTGTAATCCCAGCACTTTGTGGGGCTGAGATGGGAGGATCTCTTGAGTCCAGGAGTTTGAGACCAGCCTGGGCAACATGGTGAAACTCCGTCTCTACCAAAAATACAAAAAAAAAAAAAAAAAAAATTAGCTGGGTGCAGTGGTGCACACCTGTAGTCCCAGCTACTCGGGAGGCTGAGGTAGAAGGATGATTTGAGCCCAGGAGGCGGAGGTTGCAGTGAGCCCAGATCATGCCATTGCACTCTAGCTTGGGCAACAGAGCCAAACCCTGTCTCAAAAAATAAAAATAAATAAAAATGAAAAAAAAAATCAGAATTGCACACATGAAATGGGTGAATTGTATGGTAAGTATATCTCAATAAAGCTACAACAATATTTTTATTGATTTACATACCATCAAACTCGCCCTTTTAAAATGTGCAATTCATTGGGTTTTAATAAAGTCACAGAGTTGTCCGATATCACCACAATCAATTGTAGAACATTTTTATCATCCTAAAGAAACCCAGCACCATGGAGTGGCCACTCCCCATTCCCTTCTCCCACCCAGGCCCTGACAACCACAAATCCACTTCCTGTCTCTATGGATTTGCCTGTTCTGGACATTTCAGATAAATGGACTCACACACTATGTAGTCTTTAGTGACCACTTTTTCACTTAGCATCATGTTTTCAAGGCTCATGCATGTTGTGGCATGTACTGGAACTCCATTCCTTTATATGACCAAATAATATACCATTGCATTGGCTGGATGCGGTGGCTCATGCCTGTAATCCCAGCACTTTGGGGGGCCAAGGCGAGGGCATCACCTAAGGTCAGGAGTTCGAGACTAGTCTGGCCAACATGGTAAAACCCCATCTCTACCAAAAATACAAAAATTAGCTGGGCGTGGTGGTACATACCTGTAGTTCCAGATACTCGGGAGGCTCAGGCAGGAGAATTGCTTGAACCCGGGAGGCGGAGGTTGCAGTGAGCCAAGATTGCACCACTGCACTCCAGCCTGGGCAACAGAGCGAGACCCCCATCTCAAAAAAAAAAAAAAAGAAAGAAAAAAATATATATGTCTATACCATTGCATGGTCAAGCCATATTTTGTTTATATATTCATCAGGTGATGAATATTTATGTTTTTTCCACTTTTTGGCTCT
The DNA here is from genome assembly GCF_000001405.40 of Homo sapiens. Lineage (NCBI taxonomy): Eukaryota > Metazoa > Chordata > Mammalia > Primates > Hominidae > Homo > Homo sapiens. Next base: position 120,977,045 of record NC_000012.12, read on the forward strand.
TGTGAATAATGCTGCTATGAGCATTCACGCACAAGTTTTTGTATAGACATCTGTTTTTAATTCTTTGGGGTTTTGCATTCATTTTAATTTTAAAAACATATTGCATAAAAATGTTATTTACCTTGATGACTGGGTTTTTTGGCATTCCCTTAAAATTTGCACCTGGGCTGCCAGGCATGGTGGCGCACGCCTGTAATCCTAACACTTTGGGAGGCTGAGGTGGGCGGATGGCTTGAGTCCAGGAGTTTGAGACCAACCTGGGCAGCATGGCAAGACCCTGTCTCCACAAAAAATACACACACAAGGCCGGGCACAGTGGCTCACACCTGTAATCCCAGCACTTTGGGAGGCCGAGGCGGACGAATCACTTGAGGTCAAGAGTTCAAGACCAGCCTGGCCAACATGGTGAAACCCCAACTCAATAAAGAATACAAAAAAATTAGCCGGGTGTAGTGGTATGTGCCTGTAATCCCAGCTACTCCGGAGGCTGAGGCAGGGGAATCGCTTGAACCTGGGAGGCGGAGGTTGCAGTGAGCCAAGATTGCTCCACTGCACTCCAAGCCTGGGTGACAGAGTGAGACTCTGTCTCAAAAACACACACACACACAACCCAAACACACACAACACACACACACAAAATCAGCTGGGTGTCGTGGTGCGTGCCTGTAGTGCCAGCTACTTGGGTACTTGGGTGGCTGAGGCGGGAGGATCACCTGAACCCAGGAAGTCAAGGCTGCAGTAAGCCATGATCGCGCCACAGCACTCCAGCCTGGGTGACAAAGTGAGAACATAGCTCAAAAAATAAAAAAATAAATTTGCACCTGAGGCAAGTGTCACACTCATCCCAACTCAGTCTCACCTTGCATGTTTTCTGCCTTGCTGGCTGTATGACCCTGGACAAGTTACTTAACCGCTCAGAGCCTCGATTTCCTCCTCTATAAAATGGGGATAATCTCTGTAACTGCTCACAGTTGGTAGCAGAATGCAATGAAGTGAATTCGCCCTCACAGAGCCAGCACTGTTCTTGGCACATGGTAATCTTAACATATTTTTTCCTACAGGGAGGCCTGGTGTCAGGCCGGGAGTGGGGTGGAAGGGTCCCAAAATGGATGGAAGGGCCCCAAAATGGCCGTGAGCATCCTCTGCCCTTGAGAAGAGCTAGCCCAGCTGTCTAGAGCTCCCTGCTGCTGCCGCTCTCGTAAGCAGCAAGCATTTTTGGCTCTCCTGTCTCAGCATGATGCCCCTACAAGGTTCTTTCGGGGGTGGGACCCAACGCTGCTCTCCTGATGGCCTCCCTGGCTCCCAGCACCTTCCATCCCAGCTGCTCAGGGCCCCTCACCTGCGCCTCCCCCACCCTCCCCTCTGCCCACTCCCATCGCAGGCCATAGCTCCCTGTCCCTCTCCGCTGCCATGAGGCCTGCACTTTGCAGGGCTGAAGTCCAAAGTTCAGTCCCTTCGCTAAGCACACGGATAAATATGAACCTTGGAGAATTTCCCCAGCTCCAATGTAAACAGAACAGGCAGGGGCCCTGATTCACGGGCCGCTGGGGCCAGGGTTGGGGGTTGGGGGTGCCCACAGGGCTTGGCTAGTGGGGTTTTGGGGGGGCAGTGGGTGCAAGGAGTTTGGTTTGTGTCTGCCGGCCGGCAGGCAAACGCAACCCACGCGGTGGGGGAGGCGGCTAGCGTGGTGGACCCGGGCCGCGTGGCCCTGTGGCAGCCGAGCCATGGTTTCTAAACTGAGCCAGCTGCAGACGGAGCTCCTGGCGGCCCTGCTCGAGTCAGGGCTGAGCAAAGAGGCACTGATCCAGGCACTGGGTGAGCCGGGGCCCTACCTCCTGGCTGGAGAAGGCCCCCTGGACAAGGGGGAGTCCTGCGGCGGCGGTCGAGGGGAGCTGGCTGAGCTGCCCAATGGGCTGGGGGAGACTCGGGGCTCCGAGGACGAGACGGACGACGATGGGGAAGACTTCACGCCACCCATCCTCAAAGAGCTGGAGAACCTCAGCCCTGAGGAGGCGGCCCACCAGAAAGCCGTGGTGGAGACCCTTCTGCAGTAAGGAGCCCTGCCCCGTCCCCGCTCCCAGGAGAGCCTAGAGGGGCCCCCCTCAGCTCCTAACGAGCCCCCCTTCTGAGTTGAGTCCCCATGACCTTCAGCCTTTAGCCTAGTTGCTGGGAAGGGGGACAGGGCCCATGAGAGCCCAGGGGTCCTTGCTTGGAGGTTTGAGCCTCCAGCCCCTGAACTGCTCCTCTGCAGAGTCCCAAATCCCATGAGCCCAGGCCTTTAGCCCAGTCCTTGGGCAAGGGGGACATTTCCCAGGGGGGTCCAAGATGGGAGAAAAAGCAGGTGAGTTCACAACTCAAATGCCTGGAGAACTGGGAGGTGGTGGAAATTTTTAGCCACTCTGATCATTTATACTCTCCAGACCCTAACTCCTGCACTGAGTCCTCAGTGGGTAGGCTCCGGGGCCCAGGAAGCACTGCCAGGGAGGAGGGCCCGAAGCTGGGGTTTGGGGGCTTTCCTGGCCTCCTAGGGACTCATGCGTTTAGCCAGGGAAGCCCAGGTCTTTCTTACCTGAGGCAGACAGAGCCTCGAGGTGGGAGCTGCTCCCCTTTCCTGTATGGCCACAGGCACCCCACCTCACCAGCAGGCGCCATTAGAGGCTGCCCGTTCTACATCCCCATCCGCTGGCGGACTCCCCGTCTCCTGGAGAACTGGGTGGGTCCTGAGCTCGATGCCTCCCCTCTCCTCAGCAGAGCTGACCTAGTTACTAATTACCCATGTGCTTTATTATTTCTCTTTTGTTTTATAAATTTATAAATGGCAAAAGGCTCTGATAAGGTCTGTGATCATTAACTTGTAGGAATGGTGGCCTGGAAAGATCTGGGCCAACCCACCTCCCACCTAGTGGGGGTGGGGGATGGGGGTGTGGGGGAGAAGGAAGGATGGCCTGGGGGCTACAGGGGCCACCCCTCCCCAGCGGCTCCCTGACCTCCACCCTACAGCGCCTGCTTGAGGAGGTTCACTACTTCCTGGGCGCTGTGCTGAGGTTTCACAGGAATAATTTCCCTTCATGGTGAGGAGTCCTGGGCAGAAGCTATTGGTGACTCTGCTTCACAAATGGGGAAACTGGGGCTTAGAGCCGGGAAGGAGCTAGACTAAGTTCACCAAACTGAGGCCCCAAACCTACTCTGTTCGGTGCTCTCAATTGCTATGACCGGGGACCAGAGGCCTGCAGGGGGTGGCCAGGGAGTCAGAGAGAGACCGAGCCCCAAAGATGCTCCAAAGGGGCCCATCTCTTTTCTGTCCAAGGTCCTGATCCCAGCTGGGGTGGGGGAGGGCTGGTGGATTCCTGCTTTCCCAGAGGCCTCAGGGAGCCTCCCGAGGGCCTGGACAGGGGGCAGGGGAGCAGTCAGGGCCCCCTGACTTGGCAGGAAGAGGAGGGCAAAGGACTCCAGAGCTGCAGGGGAGGGGCAAAGAGTCAGGCATCCCAGACCCAGGGCGAAGGCAACCTGACGGGGTGGGGCTGGGCCTGACCTGCCCAGGGCCCCAGATGGGACTGGGGGCTTTGGGGTGAGGGTGGGGGCAGGGGATGCTTTCTTACCTGGCTGAGTGAGCTCTCTCGGTCAGCAGCCCCCTTTGGTGGGATGGTGGGGTTGGGGAGGCTTGATCCACAGCATTTGAAGGGGAAGCAGAGGTCAAAGTGCTTCCTAGGGACCAGCAGAGACCTGGAAGCTGAGGCAGAGAGTGTAGAGAGAGGCCATTGGGGGAGATGGACAGAGAAGCTGGGAGAAGCAGAACGGAGGAGCCAGGGGGGCGGGGGCTCAGACCCAGCTGGGAGAAGGGGCACGGGAGAGAATGAGGCGCCCCAAGCTTGCAAGGAGGCTGGAGTGCTTCCCGCCTGCCCCGATTGGGTTTTCTTTAATGCTAACAGCATGCTATTTACTTTCCATTTAAATTTGAGATGTTGCTATAAATTATCAACCAGCTCCTTGTTCCTGCAGAGTTTATAACTAACTACCTGGGTTACTTATTGTTCAGGTAACAAAAGGGATCGGAAAACGCCCTGAGTGAAAAAAGTGGGGCCTCCAGCGTCAGGGTCAGGAAAGGAGCCAGGGAGAGAGGGGCGGGGGACCCCTATTGAAGGCCTGGGCCATTGGGGAGGTTGAGGCTGGGAAGACGGTACAGAGGCAGAATGTCTAGTAGAAGCTGTTTCCCGGGAGAAGTCAGTGTCTGGGAAGAAGCCGGGGTGGGTCCTGGGTCCCAGGCCTCCCTGGGGTGCCCCATGTTGGTGGCCACAGCAGGAACCTGAGCTCTTTCTTCAGATCTCCCCCTTAGCTCCCTGAGTGACCTTGGGAAAGTCTGTTCCTCTCCTTCTGCCTCAGTTTCCCTCCCTGGCCAAGGAATAAAGTCCAAACTCCCTGCCTTGGTTTCGTTCCCCTCCCTCCACCCCACCAAATTCCTGGATCTCTTCCCAGGTCTTTCTCTTCCTCTCGGCCTTTGCTGCAGTCATTTTGGCTTTGCTGTTCCTCAGTACCCCAAGCCAATTCCCACCCCAGGGCCTTTGCACGTGCTCTTCCTGCTGCTCAGAACCTCTTTCCAGATCTTCCCATGGCCGATTCCTTCTCCTTCAGCTCCCTGATTGCTCCATCCAAAAGGGGGCCCCACCCCCGTCACTCTCTTCCACTACTGTTGTTCACTTTCTCTGGTTCCCTGTCAAGACTTGTGATCATCTGATTTGTTTGTTTTCTATCTCCTGCCATGAAAATAGAAGCTCTTCAAGGACAAGGCCCGTGTTGCCTTATTTACCACTTGTACCCACATCCTGCCCAGTGGCTGATGCACAGCAGGAATGAGTGAGTGACTGGGATTGTCTGAGGCCCTGAAGATATCTGCTGCCCTGTTGGTCAGGGCCCAGCAGCCTGAGACGTGGCCAAGGGAGAAACTGGGACCCAGAGTTCCTTCCTGGGTGTCCTCCCGGGTCCTTTCTGTCCCTGATCAGCTCAAACCCCAGCGTGTTTCTTTTTTGTTGTTGTTGTTGTTATTTTTGAGACGGAGTCTCACTCTGTCGGCCCGGCTGGAGTGCATGGCGCGATCTCGGCTCACTGCAAGCTCTGCCTCCTGGGTTCACGCCATTCTCCTGCCTCAGCCTCCCGAGTAGCTGGGATTACAGGCATGCACCACCACGCCTGGCTGATTTTTTGTATTTTAGTAGAGATGGGGTTTCACTATGTTGGCCAGGCTGGTCTCAAACTCCTGACCTCAGGTGATCCGCCCGCCTCGGCCTCCCAAAGTGCTGGGATTACAGGCACTCAGAGCCACTGCCCTCAGCCTTCAAACCCCAATCTTGAAGTATTCTGATCCTGCCCATCAGGCAGCATCAGGGCACTGAGACTCAGGAAAACAGTAGCCACGGCAGGAGGGGGGGGGGACAGAGGATCTGACGTCCCCAACAAAAGCCAGACTGCCTGCATCCTAATCCTAGCTCTGCCCCTTTCTAGCTTGAGCAGGTGATTTTATACTTCTGAGCCTCAGTTTCGTCTGCAGGGTAGAGATGACAATAGCCCTTGTCCACAGGGTTAAATGGCATGGCACTTGTAGAGTAAACATGTAGTAACTGCAATATACAGCAGTTATTATTAGTGATCCCATTTTACAGATGAGCAAATTAAGGCTGAGAGAGGCAGTGCCTTACCGAACGAAACTCTTCCAAATGACTGAAGGCAAGCCAGGACTTGGACCTGGGTCCTCCTACCTCACGCTCCATACAGCAACCTCGAGGTCACACTTTCCCCTCCCCAGTCATTCCTGCTGTTTAAGTTGACCATCAACTCACTTCCATACAGTGCTTTGGAGTTCACAAAGGGCTTACAAAATGCGCTAAGCTCATTTTTTCCTCCTCCCCATCTCTGAAGTCTGAAATATCATTAGCCCCATTTCACAGATGCGGAAACTGAGGCACACGGAGGTTAAGCAAAGAATCAAGGCCAGGTCTAAAGCCCCCACACTGAGAAGTCAGCTCCCCTCCAGATGTGGAGATGAATACCACAACCTTGCATGCCCTGAAACCCCAGGGGCCAGAGGGCAAGAGGCTCAAAGCCTTGGACATCCGATTGACCCTGGAAAGGGTAGGAGAGAGAGGAGGAAGATGTGGGCGGGTCTTCACTTCTCCTGGGCTCTGCTGTGTGGGGCCAAGGGTCTCCAGGGCTGCATTGTTAAGATGATGATGATGACAATATTATTCCACAAATTCAGCACTTACTGTGCACCAGGCATTGCCCTAAGTTCATCCTCCCTATTTGAAGCTCATTTAATTTTCCCAGTAGCAGTGTGAGGTAGGGGTGGATTTACCCCACGTTACAGGGCAGATGTGGGTCATGCAAGAGCACGCGTGGCTAGGTCACAGTGGTGGGATTTGAACCCACATTGGTTTGACTCTCAAACCCATTAGAGTCAAAGCAGGAGATGCCTGGAGACTTGTCCTCTTAGTTCTTTCCTTTTTCTTTCTTTCTTTTTTTTTTTTTGAGATGGAGTCTCACTCTGTTGCTGGGGGTGGAGTGCAGTGGCGCAGTCTTGGCTCATTGCAACCTCCGCCTCCCGGGTTCAAGTGATCCTCCTGCCTCAGCCTCCTGAGTAGCTGGGACCACAGGCATACGACACCACACCCAGCTAATTTTTGTATTTTTAGTAGAGACAGGGTTTCACTGTGTTGGCCAGGGTGGTCTCTAACTCCTGACCTCATGTGATCCACCCGCCTCGGCCTCCCAAAGTGTGGGGATTACAGGCATGAGCCACCACGCCCAGCCTTGGCCTCTTAGTTCTGAGCTAGGACAGTTGGAGAATCTGCCCTCAAAAATAGTCAGGCCCTTGAAGACTCTGTGTGTGTGTGTGTGTGTGTGTGTGTGTGTGTTTGTGTAAGAGACACACAGAGAGACAGAAGAGAGAGAGTGATAGCAAGGGAGTGGGGGGTAGGGAGAGAGAGACATCGATTCAGTAGGTTCTAGAAAAAAGTGGCACAGGTGGCTTCTCCCAGAAAAGGGAAAGACATGCCCTCTTGGTTCTCTGACTCCTAACTGGCATTTAAAATTCACTTTTTTGTTGTGGATTTTTTGCCCAACTCTACTAGGAATTGTTTAAAAGTGGAACGTTCGTATCAGCTCACTTTAACAGTTTGCTTTCCATTTTCACATTCAAAAGCCTGTCTTCGGTTTCTAAGGGTTGCACATGTATTTGTGCAGGGTGGCTGGCCTTTGTTTTATTTTCAAGTTCAGCTTAAATTTGACCTGGCATGAGAGAATGAGAATGAGAGAGAGAGAGAGAGAAAGAAACAGACAGACATGGAATCAGATGGACAGGGGCACATAGAAAATCTTTGGTTTGAGCCCAGGAGAGGCTCTCAAGAGGTGAGAGGAAGACTGACCCTATTCTCTTTGTGGGAGAGAGAAGGGAAGGAGGGAGGAAGGGAGGACACAGGAGGACATGGCACAGGAGGGTGATGGCTGCAGATGGGGGAGGGGAGGCATCAGGCAGCCTGGCTCTAGGATCAGATAAACATGTTTGCCACAGAGCACCAGGCTGGACTTTGTACTGCCCTTCCTTCTGAGCTCTGACTGGCACTCAGCAAAGCAGGGAGATGAAGGAGAGAGGATCCTAGGAGCCCCGGAAAGAAGGGAGAGAGAGAAGCTGGGGAGAGGCCTGCGGGGGTGGGGTGGTCCTGGCAACATGAAATATTTTTGAGTCCCAACTAGATCACCTTGCACAAGTGACTGCACCTTTCTGAGCCTCAGTTTTCTCCTCTGCAAAATGGGCACACCGTCTACTTCCTAGGGTTATAAGATGTAAGTGGCCAGTCCTCAGCACGGTGCCTGGCTCACAGTAAATCCTCAAGAAACATGAGTTCTCAGACTTTTTTTTTTTTTTTTTTGAGACAGGATTTCACTCTGTCGCCAAGGCTGGAGTGCAGTGGCGCGATCACAGCTCATTGCAGCCCCGACCTCTCGGGCTCAAGAGATCCTCTTGTCTCAGCCTTCTAAGTAGCTGGGACTACAGGCTTGTGCCACCACACTTAGCTAATTTTTCTATTTTTTGTAGAAACAGGGTCCCACTATGTTGTCCAGGCTGGTCTCAAACTCCTGGGCCCAAGGAATCCTCCCACCTTAGCCTCCTGAGGAGCTGGGACTACAGGTGTGCACCACCATGCCTGGCTAATTTATTTTTTTTTTTATAGAGACAGAGTCTCACTATGTTGTCCAGGCTGGTCTTGAACTGCAGGGCTCAAGTGATCCTCCCACCTCGGCCTTTCAAAGAGCTGGGATTACCACCATGAGCCACCATACCCAGTTTACAATTCAGTTTTAAATATTATATATGCCAAGGTGGGAGGATCGCTTGAGCCCAGGAGTTTGAGACCAGCCTGGCCAACATAGCAAGACCCTGTCTCTATGAAAAAAAAAAAATAGAAAAAAGAAGAAAAAGTACAAAAATTAGCTGGGCATGTTGGCATGTGCCTGTGGTCCCAAGTACTTGGGAGTCCGAGGTGGGAGAACCAATTGAGCCCAGGAGTTTGAGGCTACAGTGAGCTATGATCACGCCACTGTGCTCCAGCCTGGGAGACAGAGCAAGTAGCCTCTAAAAAGAAAAATAAATAAATAAAAATAAATATTGGCTGGGCACGGTGGCTCACACCTGTAATCCCAGCACTTTGGGAGGCCAAGGCAGATGGATCACCTGAAGTCGGGAGTTTGAGACCAGCCTGGCCAACATGGTGAAACCCTGTCTCTACTAAAAATATAAAAATTAGCTGGGTGTGGTAGCGCACACCTGTAATCCCAGCTACTCGGGAGGCTGAGGCAGGAGAATCGCTTGAACCTGGGAATCAGAGGTTGCAGTGAGCTGAGCTCGCGCCACTGCACTCCAGCCTGGCCACAGAGCAAGGCTTTGTCTCAAAAAAAAAAACTAAATAAAAATAAATATCATGTATGCATATATAGTATATATTATGTAATTTACAAAGTACACAAGGACAACAGAGAAAACTGTCCTTCTCACTCCCATCCCCAGCACCCCGTTCTCCTCTGGAAGGAACCAGAGTCCCCAGTTCCTTGCGTGCCCTCCGGTATTTTACACGTGCACAAATATGTAGAAATCCTCTTTTACCTCACTTCAAATTATTCATAAGTAGCAGCACAGCAGACACACCAGATAAACTCTGCTCCACCTGGGCACACAGAGCTTCCTCAGCGGGGTTTTTTCAGTGGTTGCATTGAACAGATGCACCTCCATTTAGTTAATCAGTATCCTTTTGCTGGGCTCCTTGGTGGCTTCCAATCTTTTGCTATGGCAAGCAACGTGGCAAGGAATTGCCTTCTACTTGTGCCATTTGTCACCTGTGCCAATATTAAAAGCCACAAATTCTAGAAGCGAATTGCTCAGCGAGGCAGGGGAAAGCACAGGCTTTGGAATCACGCAGACCCAAGTTCAAATCCCAGTCTGCCTGTTTCAGTGCTGCTGTATTGAGCTGTATTTATCTGTAACTTTTTGTTTGTTTGTTTGTTTTTTGAGACGGAGTCTCACTCTGTTGCCCAGGCTGGAATGCAGTGGCGCGATCTCGGCTCACTGCAACCTCTGCCTCCCGGGTTCAAGCAATCCTCCTGCCTCAGCCTCCCGAGTAGCCGGGATTACAGGCACCTGCCACAATATCTGACTTATTTTTTATTTTTATTATTTTTTTCGTAGAGATGGTTTTCTCCATGTTGGCCAGGCTGGTCTTGAACTCCTAACCTCAAAAGACCCGCCCACCTTGGCCTCCCAAAGTGCTGGGATTACAGGTGTGAGTCACTGCACCCAGCCTATCTGTGACATATTGGTAATATAAGTTCAGGAGAGGGAGAGAGAAAGAGGCAGGGATTGAGACAGAGCAGGAGAGGAGGAGAGAAAATTTATATGGCTCAGGCAGTCTGATCCCTTCTGTTCCCCCACAGGGAGACCCACAGCAGAGACATGACTCACAGGTGGCATCAGGTCCCTTTGAGTCTCTCTGGTGGGAGAATCTCAACCCACAGAGTAGGATTCCAGTGTTCACATGCATTTTTGGTACTATGAGGCCTCTGAATGTCAACCCTGTCACCTGAGACTCTGTTGAAAAACCAGCCGCGGCCGGGCGCGGTGGCTCACGCCAGTAATCCCAGCACTTTGGGAGGCCGAGGCAGGCAGATCACAAGATCAGGAGATCGAGACCATCCTGGCTAACACGGTGAAACCCCGTCTCTACTAAAAATACAAAAAAATTAGCCGGGCGTGGTGGCGGGTGCCTGTAGGCCCAGCTACTTGGGAGGCTGAGGCAGGAGAACGGCATGAACCCAGGAGGTGGAACTTGCAGTGAGCCGAGATCGCGCCACTGCACTCGAGCCTGGGTGACAGAGTGAGACTCCATCTCAAAAAAAAAAAAAAAAAAGAAAAAGAAAAGAAAAACCAGCCTCCTGTTCTGGTGCTGCAGGGAAACAGGCCTGGCCACAGCCAAGGGTGCAGATTTTCAGGAAGCATTTTTAAAAATATATATATATATATATACACATATATATATATACAGAGAGAGAGAAGCCACTGAGGCCCACAGAATTTGCATCATTTTATTCCTTGTCCAAGGTCACAGGACAAGCAGAGTCCCACCCACCTGAAAGGATTCAGTTCTAAGACAGCCTTTAGGGCAAAAAGTCACAAAGTTGATCTATCTATCTATCTATCTATCTATCTATCTATCTATCTATCTATCTACGTGTTTGCACCCTAATCACTGGCAGTAAATGCACTTTTTTTCTTTTCTTTTCTTTTTTTTGAGACAGGGTCTTGTTCTGTCACCCAGGCTGGAGTAGGTGTAAAATTGGAGAATCCATATTTCTTTCCTTGTTTTCAGATTTAATGCTTTCCTTTTTCCAGCAGGTCTCCTTCGTCCATCCATCCATCATCCATCTACCCACCCACCCACCAATCCATCCATCCATTCATCCAACCATCCATCCATCCATCATCCATCCACCCACCCACCCACCAATCCATCCATCCATTCATCCAACCATCCATCCATCCATCATCCATCCACCCACCCACCCACCAATCCATCCATCCATTCATCCAACCATCCATCCATCCATCATCCATCTACCCACCCACCCACCAATCCATCCATCCATTCATCCAACCATCCATCCATCCATCATCCATCCACCCACCCACCCACCAATCCATCCATCCATTCATCCAACCATCCATCCATCCATCATCCATCCACCCATCTATCTGTCCATCCACTCTACCCTACCATCCATCCACCAGTCCATCCATCTATCCACCAATTCATCCATCCATCCACCCATTCGCCCATCCATCCATCCACCCACCCATCCATCCATCCGTCCATCCACCCATTCATCCATTCATCCATTCACCCATCCATCCATCCACATATCTTCATCTGTGTTGTGTGTCTGTGTATCCATGTTTCTAAACCTTTATCTGTTCCAGTGTCTGTATCCATAGGCCTGTGTCCACGTTTGTCATGTGTGTGCGTCTACAAGTCTCTGTCCTCATGACCATGTGTCTGTGTCCCTGTGTCCTGGCATAAATGACCATACCTCACCGTCCCTGAGTCTATGTGTAGGCCCCTGGGCTCCATAACTGCTTTCATGCACAGTCCCCACCCTCAGGGTTGACAAGGTTCCAGCACCCAGGACCGCAGCCCCACCTATGGGGAGAGACAGCCCTTGCTGAGCAGATCCCGTCCTTGCCCTCTCCCAGGGAGGACCCGTGGCGTGTGGCGAAGATGGTCAAGTCCTACCTGCAGCAGCACAACATCCCACAGCGGGAGGTGGTCGATACCACTGGCCTCAACCAGTCCCACCTGTCCCAACACCTCAACAAGGGCACTCCCATGAAGACGCAGAAGCGGGCCGCCCTGTACACCTGGTACGTCCGCAAGCAGCGAGAGGTGGCGCAGCGTAAGTAATGACCCTACCCCGCATCTTCCCTGGGAGGGCCCAGGACTCTCCCCTAACTCATAGGTGGGGGCTGGAAGCTTCACCATCCCCATTACACAGACAGGTAGATGGAAAGGAAGTCAGTGGGATTCAACCTGCATTTATTACCTATTCTGCGCCAGGCACTCTGTGGGACGGGAGTAGACTTGGTCCTGAACATCCAAAGATGAATGAAATGGGTCCCTGCTTTCTTTTTCTTTTTTTAGATAGAGTTTTGCTCTTATTGCCCAGGCTGGAGTTCAGTGGTGCGACCTCAGCTCACTGTGACCTCCTCCTCCCAGGTTCAAGCAATTCTCCTGCCTCAGCCTCCGGAATAGCTGGGATCACAGGTGCCCACCACCATGCCTGGCTAATTTTTTGTAGTTTTAGTAGAGACGGGGGTTTCACCATGTTGGCCAGGCTGGTCTCGAACTCCTGACCTCAGGTGATCCACCCACCTCAGCCTCCCAAAGTGCTGGGATTACAGGCGTGAGCCACCATACCCGGCCTGGGTCCCTGCTTTCTCAGAGCCCATGGTTAAGTGGGAAAGTGGGAGAAAAGCTCATTATGATCCAGCGAGTCATGTATTAGAATGGGACAACAGCAGCCACAACAACAACAATAATGGCCACTATTTATCATGCATTTTTGGGGTGCCTGGTCCAGTGCAGAGTATTACACAAAGCATTTCAGGGTGCTGAGCTGACTGTCGACTGGGGAGTAACCTGTTCTTCCTCAGGAAGGCAGAGGTATCAGGAAGCCTCACATTGCAAATATGACCTTTAGAATATGACCTTTAGACTAGGTCTTAAAGTGGGAGTTGAATTTTGACCCATGGAGACGCAGGGAAGGGTGTTTCAGGCAGAAGGAACAGCATCAGTAAAGGCTCAGAGGCAAGGTCTACGGTCAGGAAATCCTCCACTGCAAACTCAGGAAGCTCTGGGAGCCCTATTACTCAGGGAATGGTGGGTTTTCTTCTCCAGGCCTCATACCCCACCAAATCCCAAGGGCACTGTCACCTTCCAACCTCCATCTATGTGTGACATTTTTTGACATTTCTTTTATTAATTATCCAGGTTAATTTTTTTTTATTATTTTTTTATTTTTTTGAGACAGAGTCTCACTCTGTTGCCCAGGCTGGAGTGCAGTGGCGTGATCTCGGCTCACTGCAAGCTCCGCCTTCCGGGTTCATGCCATTCTCCTGCCTCAGCCTCCCGAGTAGCTGGGACTACAGGTGCCCGCCACCACGCCCAGCTAATTTTTTGTATTTTTAGTAGAGTCGGGGTTTCACCATGGTCTCGATCTCCTGACCTCGTGATCCGCCCGCCTTGGCCTCCCAAAGCGCTGGGATTATAGGCGTGAGCCACCGCGCCTGGCCTTAATTATCCAGGTTTTTAAAAAAGGAAATAGCCAGGCATGGTGGTGTGCCATAATCTCAGCTACTGAGGAGGCTGAGGTGGGAGGACTGTTTGAGCCCCCAGGGGTTCGGCTCCAACCTGGACAACATGGCAAGGTTCCTCCTCTAAAAAAGAAAGAAAGGAAAGATGATAGGAAAGGGAGGAAAGATAGGAAAGGGAGGAAAGATAGGAAAGGGAGGAAAGGTAGGAAAGGGAGGAAAGGTAGGAAAGGGAGGAAGGAAGGAAGGAAGGAAAAGAAAAGAAAGAAAAAGAACGAGAGAAAGAAAGAAAGGCAATACACATTTGGTTAAAAAAAAAGAAGAAAAACAGAGTTTATAAGAAAAATTAGATGCCTTTACCCTAAAGCAGCCACTGGAATTCCCAGACTCTTGTGTATCCTTCCAGAGAGATTTTCTGCATATAGTAGCAATAGATATGTTATTTTCTTGCTCTTTTTCTGATTAATGGGAACATACTAGACACACTATTTTACATGTTGTGTTTTGTCTCTTGGCAATAAATCCTGTATATCTTTTCATATTGGCACTGAGAGATTGATGGATCTCATTCTTTATAAGGGCTGCTGGCTGTTATTTGTTTAACTGGCCACCTACTGAAGGACTTTTAGGGATTTTGCAATCTGCGAATACAACCAACTGCAGCAAAAAACATCCTTCTTTATATAAGTGCATGTTCACATGTGACTGTGTCTGTAGGATAAATTCCTAGAAGTGGACTGCTGGAACACAGAGTAGCTGCTTTAAAATCTTGGGTACATATTGGCATAGTTCCTTCCAAAGAAGTTATATCAATGTACACTTCCACCAGCAGTAAAAATCACTGTTGAAAAAAAAAATGTATGCAGGCCGGGCGCAGTGGCTCATGCCTGTAATCCCAGCACTTTGGGAGGCCAAGGCAGGTGGCTCACTTGAGGGCAGGAGTCTGAGACCAGCCTGGTCAACATGGTGAAACCCCATCTTAACTAAAAATACAAAAATTAGCTGGACATAGTGGCGCATGCCTGTAATCCCAGCTACTTGGGAGGCCAAGGCAAGGGAATCGCTTGAACCCAGGAGGCAGAGGTTGCAGTGAGCCAAGATCACGCCACTGCACTCCAGCCTGGGTGACAGAGGGAGACTCTGTCAAATAAATGTATGTATGTATGTATGTATGTATGTATGATGTATGTATGTATGCATGCATGCATGCATGCAATAGACAACTCTAGTCCTTACTCTATAGCTACCCCTCATCCCAATTATTGGGGTGTTCACACTCTACTGTGCTGTAATACACACTTGGAAAAACAGTACATTTTAATACTATTTTAATTTGTATGAGAAGAAACAAAGATTTATTCTGAAAATCTGTTAGAACTAGATTTAGTTTCTGAGAGAAATAGTGTTCTCCTAAAACCATCACTAGACGAAATTTTACAATATTCGATAAAATGCATTAAAAAATTTCTAACAGTTAGAAATGTCATCAAGGACTTCAGCCTAGAGCTGAGAATAGAGATGCAAACTGTGGCCCAAATAGCTTTCCCTGGGGGATTTTTAACTTTTAAGGAGAAATTGGAGAATTTGAGATGCAGAGTCAATATATGACTGTAGTATTAGGACTCTTTCAGTAACAGGGGACAGAACCCCAACTCAAATGGATTTAAACAGAAAAGGGAATGAATTGACTGAAGCAATGTGAGGAGTCCAGGGCTGCTTCAGGCATGGCTAGATCAAGGGGCTCAAATGAGGTTCACACAGCATTTCTTGACTCTTTTCTTTTTTGTTGGCTTCATTCTCAGACAGGCTCTCCTCATATAGGCAAAGATGGGTTCTGGAAGCCCTGGGCTGCCATCCTACCAGCTTAGCAACCTTGGAAGGAAAAGAGCTCTTCTTTTCAGCTACTTTCAGTTGAATGACTCTTTTTATACTTGATAATGTAAACTTTTATTTATTTTATTTTTTGAGATGAGGTCTTGCCATGTTGCCCAGGCTAGTTTTGAACTTCCGGGCTCAAGTGATCCCTGCCTCAGCCTCTTAAGTAGCTGGAATGGCAGGCACACATCACTGTGTCTGCTATAACAGAAACTTTTAAATGAAGTCTAACATAAAAAGTGCCCAAATCCAAAGCATACAGTTCAATGAATTTTCACAAAGTGAACACACCAATACAGATAAAAAATAGAATATTACCAGCTCCCAGCCTGGTGTGGTTGTACCCACCTGTAATCCCAGCACATTTGGGAGGCAAAAGTGGGAGGATCACTTGAGCCTAAGAGTTCAAGACCAGCCTGGGCAACAGAAGGAGACCCCATCTCTCCAAAAAATACGAATAAATGAGCCAGGTGTGGTGCAGCAGGTGTGTAGTCCTAGCCACTTATGCCCGCTGCTGTTTCTTGGCACTGAGATGGTGAGGGCCCTGCTGCTGCTGCTGCGCCCCTGATTCAGAATCTACCTTCCTCTCTTCTCATAAAGTGCTGTCCTAGCACTTGTGTGTCCCAGTCCTTTGGTGGCCTGCTCAGGGATAAGCTGGTAGACCAGTTTCCAGTAAAGTGGTACCAGCTGATGAAGGCTGGCTGGGTCTCTTCCTCTAGCTAACATTTGCATTTTAAGCCTGATTTTCAAGTCTGGAAAGCTGAATATAATTCTGAATACACTGAGGACATATGGCTCAAATTTTTGCTCTACTGCGTGACTCTGGAAAAATATGTAAGCTCTCTGAGCCTCAGCTTCCTCATCTGTACAATGGGGATAGTAAATGTGCCAAATCAGAACAAATGCTAATGCTTACCTGCAGTCTTGTACTGAGAAGGATGGTGAGATCATATCTTGGGTTGGTAGGAAAGCATTCAGGGATTGATTAGTGATGTTTGCCTTGAACACAGGTTAAGAAAGTGATGGCATGTGTGCTGTGTGTTTGTCATCAGTAGATTAGATGATTTCTAAGTTCTAGCTGTAAGCTCCTCTGGTTCAGCGCCATGGCAATGAGAAAGAATCAAGGGCAAGGTCAGGGGAATGGACGTGGGAAGGTGAGAGTGGCCAGTACCCCACTCACGGCTTTCTGTGCCTGCAGAGTTCACCCATGCAGGGCAGGGAGGGCTGATTGAAGAGCCCACAGGTGATGAGCTACCAACCAAGAAGGGGCGGAGGAACCGTTTCAAGTGGGGCCCAGCATCCCAGCAGATCCTGTTCCAGGCCTATGAGAGGCAGAAGAACCCTAGCAAGGAGGAGCGAGAGACGCTAGTGGAGGAGTGCAATAGGTACAACGGCGGGCGGGAAACAGTGCTGGTTTGGTCTGGGCTGCGGCAAGGCCAGGGAAGGGGAAGGTGACTCTAGGTCCTGTAAAAGGCTGTCCAGTTGCCGAGAACTCCTGATATTGGCTTAGCCTGGCCCAGAAAATTGAGAATACTTGAACCTAAGCCCATTCCTCGCAGCCCCCCTGCACCCTGGACACCAAGCAACCCCTTCCATGGATGCTCACCCAATTCGATTCTCTCTACAATCCTATGGCTCTTTTGCTCACTTTATGAATGGAGAGACTGAGGTCAGACAGACTGTCAATTGCCCAAGGTCACACAGCAGACCTGGCATTGGAACCCAGATCTGCCAGCCTCAAACCCTCCGGCAGAGCTCAGCTTCTCAGAACCCTCCCCTTCATGCCCAGGACAGGGTTCCTCTGAGCCTGGCCTGGAGGCTCATGGGTGGCTATTTCTGCAGGGCGGAATGCATCCAGAGAGGGGTGTCCCCATCACAGGCACAGGGGCTGGGCTCCAACCTCGTCACGGAGGTGCGTGTCTACAACTGGTTTGCCAACCGGCGCAAAGAAGAAGCCTTCCGGCACAAGCTGGCCATGGACACGTACAGCGGGCCCCCCCCAGGGCCAGGCCCGGGACCTGCGCTGCCCGCTCACAGCTCCCCTGGCCTGCCTCCACCTGCCCTCTCCCCCAGTAAGGTCCACGGTAAGTGGTATGTGGGGACAAGGGACACGTGGGAAGGTGGGAGGGTTGGGGAGGACTGTCCCAGTGACAGCAGTCACCTAAACCTCTTTGCACTTCAGTTTGGTTCCATTCCATTCATGCCACTCCTTATCACTCTACTTCACTCTGTTCATTCATCCATTCCACTCTATCTCATTCCATTCACTCTACTCCTTTCCACTCTATTCACTCCATCCACCACAATTAACCCCATTCCATCCACTCCATCCACTACCTTCGACTCCACTCCATCCACTCTACTCCATTCACTCCACTCAACTCCACTCCATCCACTCCACTCCGTCCAACTTCATCCCATCCACTACATTCAACTCCACTCCATCCACTCTACTCCATCTACTACCTTCAACTCTACCCCATCCATCCACTCCACTCCATCCATTCCATCCAACTTCATCCCATCTACTACATTCAACTCTACTCCATCCACTCCACTCCATCCATTGCATCCAACTTCATCCCATCTACTACATTCAACTCCACTCCATCCACTCCACTCCATCCATTCCCTCCAACTTCATCCCATCCAGTACATTCAACTCCACTCCATCCACTGTACTCCATCTACTACATTCAACTCTACTCCATCCACTCCCCTCCATCCATTCCATCCAACTTCATCCCATCTACTACATTCAACTCCACTCCATTCATTCCACTCCATCCATTCCATCCAACTTCATCCCATCCACTACATTCAACTCCACTCCATCCACTCCATACCTGGCTCCATCCACTCCACTCCATCTACTACATTCAACTCTACTCCATCCACTCCATACTCTATTCCATCCACTTACTCCATCCACTCCATTCAGCTCCACTCCATCCACTCCACTCACTCAACTCCATCTACTCCACTCCCTCTACTTCATTCAACTCTGCTCCATCCACTCCACTCCACCCATTCCATCCACTGCACTCCAACCAGCTCCATTAGACTCCACTCCATCCACTCTACCCAC
The DNA here is from genome assembly GCF_000001405.40 of Homo sapiens. Lineage (NCBI taxonomy): Eukaryota > Metazoa > Chordata > Mammalia > Primates > Hominidae > Homo > Homo sapiens. The sequence goes on from NC_000012.12 coordinate 120,995,410, forward strand.
TCTTCTCTCCACTCCTCTCCACTACATACCATTTTATTCTATCTGTCCCATCCACTCAACTCCATTCACTCCACATGACTCCACATTTCATCCATTCCACTCTACTTCATCCACTCACTCCACTCTATACCATTCCACTCCACTCTATTCACATACTCCACCATTCCAGTCTACTCCATTCACTCCACTCCAACCCACTCACTCCACTCCATACCATTCCACTCCACTGTGTTCACACAACTCCATCCATTCCACTCTAGCCACTCCATTCATTCCACTCCACGCCACACTATTCCTCACCATTCCATCCACTCCACCCTATACCATTCCACTCCACTCTATTCCTCCCCACCCGTCCTCTCCACCCTTTACCACTCCACTCGACTGTACCCATTCCACTTGATCCCACTCATTCCACTCAATTCCATCTACTCTACTCCACACCATCCACTCCACTTCATATCATTCCACTCAACTCAACCTAAGTTGATTTGGGTTAATTCAATTCAATTCATTCATTTCAGATTGTATCAATTCAATTCATTTCAATTCAACTAAATTCAGTTAAATTCAGTTCAGTTGTCTTCTACTGAGCACCTACTGCATGTCAGGTATAGCACTAGGCAGTGGGAGGAATGGAGCTAATAAATGCAGTCCCAGCCTTCAAGGAACTGGGAGCAGCTGACCCAGGGCTTGGCAAAAGGTAGAAACAAAGGCAGATTTGCTGGCTGCATAAAGGCAGACAGGCAGCTGGCCTAAGCAAACCAATGGAGTTTGAAGTGCTGAGGGCTGTGGAGGCAGGGGAGGGCAGGGAAGTGGGGTGCTGAGGCAGGACACTGCTTCCCTCTCCAGGTGTGCGCTATGGACAGCCTGCGACCAGTGAGACTGCAGAAGTACCCTCAAGCAGCGGCGGTCCCTTAGTGACAGTGTCTACACCCCTCCACCAAGTGTCCCCCACGGGCCTGGAGCCCAGCCACAGCCTGCTGAGTACAGAAGCCAAGCTGGTGAGTGTCCTTGCTTGTAAGGAAAACCCAACCTCATCTTTCCTTGGCAGGGAGATTCTGGAGCAGTCCCTAGGGAGGCCCTGTGGGGACCCCGGCCCCCCGGACACAGCTTGGCTTCCCCTCGTAGGTCTCAGCAGCTGGGGGCCCCCTCCCCCCTGTCAGCACCCTGACAGCACTGCACAGCTTGGAGCAGACATCCCCAGGCCTCAACCAGCAGCCCCAGAACCTCATCATGGCCTCACTTCCTGGGGTCATGACCATCGGGCCTGGTGAGCCTGCCTCCCTGGGTCCTACGTTCACCAACACAGGTGCCTCCACCCTGGTCATCGGTAAGCTGGTGGGGATGGGTGGGCACCTGGGTGGGAGGCTCATGGGGCAACCGCAGAATCCAGGAGCTGGAAGAGCCACTGGGACTCATTCATTCATTCATACAACATGTATTTATCCAGTGCCTACTCTGGACCAGTCACTGTGCTACATCAGTGATACCTGGGTGAACCAAACAGACCAAAATCTCAGCAACTCAAGCAGGGAGGCAGGCACTAAGCATAATACATCAATTCTGTGGTACCTCAGAAGGTGAAGGGTCTATGGGCAAATTACAGCAGGGTAAGGGGGACTGATGTTTTCTAAGTTTTTGTTTTATGAAGAAAAATTAAGCCCAGAAAGCCCTTATTTGCAGGTACAATTATGCAGAAGCCCAGTACATAAGATAGATAAGGAGCTGCTAGGAGAGGGGAGCAGAGAACTGACCCCATGGCCTTTGCACTGCTGTGGAACCCCAGGGCTCCAGGGAACCGCAGTTTGACAACTTTTGAACAAGTCACCGCCTGCCTCTCCCACTAGCCTAGACAAAGAGCTAAAGGCTCAGAGAGGGGGAATGACTTGCCAGAGCCACTTAAATTAGTGGCAGGTCCCAGTGGAGGGCTGTTTCCTGACCACCCTGCCCCCTCCTCCAAACCACGGGCTCTGGGAAGGAGAGGTGGTGCCCTTGGGAGGTCTTGGGCAGGGGTGGGATATAACTGGGGGGCCCAGCTGATTCCCTCCCCTTCCACTCCAGGCCTGGCCTCCACGCAGGCACAGAGTGTGCCGGTCATCAACAGCATGGGCAGCAGCCTGACCACCCTGCAGCCCGTCCAGTTCTCCCAGCCGCTGCACCCCTCCTACCAGCAGCCGCTCATGCCACCTGTGCAGAGCCATGTGACCCAGAGCCCCTTCATGGCCACCATGGCTCAGCTGCAGAGCCCCCACGGTGAGCGCCCTGTGCCCCACACAGCAGGAGATGATGATAGAGGTTGGCTGTCAATGGATGCAGGGGAAAGGGGTGCCTGGCAGGCATTGCAGTCTGCATGTGTCTCTGGGACAAGTGTGTTTCCGTGATTGAGGGTGTCTGCAGGCCAGTGTGTTCCCATGTGAATGCACGTATCTGTGTGTGTGCACGACTGCTTGTGTGAGCAGATCCCTAGTGCGTGTCTGGGTGTGTATCGGTTGTGCATGCATTTGTGTGCATGCCTGTGTTTCTCTGAAACTCTTAGGGCCATATGAATTTCTAAAATCTATTCAGATTTTAGAAAGGTAATCTGGGGCCAGGCGTGGTGGCTCATGCCTGTAATCCCAGCACTTTGGAAGGCCGAGGTGGGCAGATCACTTGAGGTCAGGAGTTCAAGACCAGCCTGGCCAACACGGTGAAACCCCGTCTCTACTAAAAGTACAAAAATTAGCCAGGCGTGGAGGCACGTGCCTGTAGTCCCAGCTACTTGGGAGGCTGAGGCAGAATCGCTTGAACCTGGGAGGCGGAGGTTGCAGTGAGCTGAGATTGTGCCACTGCACTGCACTCCAGCCTGGGCAACAGAGTGAGTACTCTGCCAAAAAAAAAAAAAAGAAAAAGAAAAGTAATTTGGTGGATATGCCAGCTATCACATAACACTCCCAGCAGGGTTTGAGACAGCCCCCTGTGATCAAAGCACTGCTATTTCTGCAGCCAAAGATAGGATTTCCACAAGGCAGTTTAAACACTCATAACCTCATACCAGGTTCAGGCTGGGTTTCGCCACCAAATGAGCTCTAGTGCCAATCTTAAGGAAATCTTTTGGTTTCAGACCTTTTTGGAATTTGGGACTGGGTTAAGAGATTTGGGGCCTGTGTATGTCTGTGTGTACATGGTTGAGAGTGTATGCGTGTGTGTGTGTTACATTTTTATCTGAGTCACTGTGAGAATATGTGGTTTATGTGCGTTTTCCTAGTGTCTGTGTGTCTCTTGTAGGGTCTATGTGTCTCCTGAGGGGTGGGTGGAGGTGCTGTAGGCAAAACATGGGGTTATATTTGGAAAGGTGGCCTGGAGATGGAAGTACTGCTGTCCTCTGCCTTGCTCTTTGACAGGGGCCACCTGAACTTACTACACAGCACCTGAGTTTAGTACAGTAGCACCTGTGCTTAGTACATAGCACCTGTGTTTAGTATAGTAGCACCTGTGCTTAGTACATAGCGCCTGCATTTAGTACAGTAGCACCTGCGCTTAGTACGTAGCACCCGTGCTTAGTACAGTAGCCCTGCACCTGCACCTCCCGTTCCCTTTCATACCTGCTGTCTCCAGGTGACAAGAGGAGCTGGAGTTGGTTTCTGGCCTCCTCCAGGCTCCCCTGCATCAAGCGCAGCTGAGCAGTTCCCTGTAATGGGGAGAGGGTCTGTCCCTTTATCTGGAGCCTCCAGTTTTGAAAATCAGCCCTGGATCTCCAACTGCTGCCCAGTCTGGCTGTTCAGCAGGCCCCATGCCCCCCTTTCCCCAGTCTTGAGGCCTGGGACTAGGGCTGTCAGGCACGTCTGCCACGTCTGCCCCTCTCTCCCCTGCGGCCAGCCCTCTACAGCCACAAGCCCGAGGTGGCCCAGTACACCCACACGGGCCTGCTCCCGCAGACTATGCTCATCACCGACACCACCAACCTGAGCGCCCTGGCCAGCCTCACGCCCACCAAGCAGGTAAGGTCCAGGCCTGCTGGCCCTCCCTTGGCCTGTGACAGAGCCCCTCACCCCCACATCCCCCGGGCTCAGGAGGCTGCTCTGCTCCCCCAGGTCTTCACCTCAGACACTGAGGCCTCCAGTGAGTCCGGGCTTCACACGCCGGCATCTCAGGCCACCACCCTCCACGTCCCCAGCCAGGACCCTGCCAGCATCCAGCACCTGCAGCCGGCCCACCGGCTCAGCGCCAGCCCCACAGGTGAGAGGCCCTGGCTCCACCCCCTCCCTTACTGTCCCTGCCCCCTTCCATGTTGGTCCCACCCCTTCTGTTGCTGTCCGTCACTGTGGGGCTGTGCATGCAGCAGGCCTAGGGCTGCTGTGAGGAAGCACTGGCAGGCGTGGAGGGGTGGGGTGGGCTTCCATGAAGCCCAAGAGGCACAGGCGACCCCAGGAAGATGGGGCCCACCTTACAAGAACATCTCAGGGACTGGACTGAGGAAAATGATGAAGTAATTGTTAGAGGCAGTGGAGAGTAACGATAAGGACCAGGTCTGTGAGCCAGAAGCGACTCTTGCATGTGTTTGGTTTGGCTTGGCTCAGGGTTGAACATTCTTTGAATTTGTTGCCAACATTTCAAAATCAGGAATTTTCACATAGAAATCCAGATTTCTGGCATCTTTTGGAAAATTGGAAAAATTCATATTCCCATATAACAGTGCACCAGGCCTCACTGCATCCACTCACATCGGCTCCAATGACCCCTGGCGGTGGGGCGGTCACCTGAGTTTGTAATCTATGATGCCATTGTCAGGAGTGGGCACTTTGGAGTCAGGTGGGTGGGCTTTGCAGCCTGCCTTTTTGCAAGCTGCCCCCTTTCTATAAGGTTCCTGGACCCGGCCCTGGCAGCTGTCATGACAGCCACTGAGGCCATTCTGTGTCCTGGCATTCACCCCATGAGGCGTGTCCATGACCACCCCCATTTTACAGATGAGAAAGTGGACACTCAAGGAGGGGAGGGACTTGCCTCATCTCCCACAGCTACCAGATGGCAGGGCCAGGACTCGAACCCAGGTCCCACCTCAAAGCCCATTCTCTTAACCATTGCCATCAGTCAGGGTTCTCCAGGAACACAGAACCAACAGATTTATTTGAAGGACTTGGCCCGTGTCTGCGGGGGGCTGGCAGGCCTGAAATCTGTTGCTGGCAGCTCTGGGGAGTGAATTCTGCAGCCTTGAGGCAGAATTCCTTCTCTGGGAAACCGGTTTTTGCTCTTACGGCCTTCCACTGATGTAGGAGGCCCACCCATATTTTCAGGGTAATCTCCTTCACTCAAAGCCAACTGATTGTGGCATTAACCACATCTACAAAGCACCTGCATTCACAGCAGCGCCTAGATTAGTGTTTGACTCAGCCTAGCCAAGCCAACACGTACAACTACCTACCTCGGCATCTCACCGGGGCTTCTCCAGTGTTCACACTAAGATGTACTCAGGCCACTCCATGGGCGGCCGTGGACCCTGGCTGGGAGGCTCCCTTTGAAGAACCGAGGGTAGAGGTGTGACTTTGGGGTTCCTGTTATCTGCTGTGATCCAGGAGGTGTGGCCCTGCCTCCCCATCCTGAGTACCCCTAGGGACAGGCAGGTGGGGTGGGTGTGGGTGCCTGGTGGGTGGCTAGCAGCCTTGTTTGCCTCTGCAGTGTCCTCCAGCAGCCTGGTGCTGTACCAGAGCTCAGACTCCAGCAATGGCCAGAGCCACCTGCTGCCATCCAACCACAGCGTCATCGAGACCTTCATCTCCACCCAGATGGCCTCTTCCTCCCAGTAACCACGGCACCTGGGCCCTGGGGCCTGTACTGCCTGCTTGGGGGGTGATGAGGGCAGCAGCCAGCCCTGCCTGGAGGACCTGAGCCTGCCGAGCAACCGTGGCCCTTCCTGGACAGCTGTGCCTCGCTCCCCACTCTGCTCTGATGCATCAGAAAGGGAGGGCTCTGAGGCGCCCCAACCCGTGGAGGCTGCTCGGGGTGCACAGGAGGGGGTCGTGGAGAGCTAGGAGCAAAGCCTGTTCATGGCAGATGTAGGAGGGACTGTCGCTGCTTCGTGGGATACAGTCTTCTTACTTGGAACTGAAGGGGGCGGCCTATGACTTGGGCACCCCCAGCCTGGGCCTATGGAGAGCCCTGGGACCGCTACACCACTCTGGCAGCCACACTTCTCAGGACACAGGCCTGTGTAGCTGTGACCTGCTGAGCTCTGAGAGGCCCTGGATCAGCGTGGCCTTGTTCTGTCACCAATGTACCCACCGGGCCACTCCTTCCTGCCCCAACTCCTTCCAGCTAGTGACCCACATGCCATTTGTACTGACCCCATCACCTACTCACACAGGCATTTCCTGGGTGGCTACTCTGTGCCAGAGCCTGGGGCTCTAACGCCTGAGCCCAGGGAGGCCGAAGCTAACAGGGAAGGCAGGCAGGGCTCTCCTGGCTTCCCATCCCCAGCGATTCCCTCTCCCAGGCCCCATGACCTCCAGCTTTCCTGTATTTGTTCCCAAGAGCATCATGCCTCTGAGGCCAGCCTGGCCTCCTGCCTCTACTGGGAAGGCTACTTCGGGGCTGGGAAGTCGTCCTTACTCCTGTGGGAGCCTCGCAACCCGTGCCAAGTCCAGGTCCTGGTGGGGCAGCTCCTCTGTCTCGAGCGCCCTGCAGACCCTGCCCTTGTTTGGGGCAGGAGTAGCTGAGCTCACAAGGCAGCAAGGCCCGAGCAGCTGAGCAGGGCCGGGGAACTGGCCAAGCTGAGGTGCCCAGGAGAAGAAAGAGGTGACCCCAGGGCACAGGAGCTACCTGTGTGGACAGGACTAACACTCAGAAGCCTGGGGGCCTGGCTGGCTGAGGGCAGTTCGCAGCCACCCTGAGGAGTCTGAGGTCCTGAGCACTGCCAGGAGGGACAAAGGAGCCTGTGAACCCAGGACAAGCATGGTCCCACATCCCTGGGCCTGCTGCTGAGAACCTGGCCTTCAGTGTACCGCGTCTACCCTGGGATTCAGGAAAAGGCCTGGGGTGACCCGGCACCCCCTGCAGCTTGTAGCCAGCCGGGGCGAGTGGCACGTTTATTTAACTTTTAGTAAAGTCAAGGAGAAATGCGGTGGAAACTTCTTGCTTGTCCACAAATCATTCAGATGGGGTTTGGGCAGGTAGCGGGAGGCTGGGGCAGGCCAGAGGCCTGCGAAGAGGAGACAGGCTCCAGCACCCACGCTCTCACACCCCACATCTCTGCTTTTCTTGCTCTGCTGAGACTCTAATGACAAAGCCAGATTTCATCTTAACCTCAAGCTTCTACTTTTTAAAAAAATTTTGTTTTGGAGACAGGGTCTCACTGTCACCCAGGCTGGACTGCAGTGGCATTATACAGCTCACTGCAGCCTTGAACTCCTGGACTAAAGGGATCCTCCCACCTCAGCCTCACAAGCAGCCTCACAGGCGCTCACTACCATGCCCAACTAATTTTTGTATTCTTTTTTTTATAGAGACGAGGTTTCACCATGTTGCCTAGGCTGGTCTGGAACTCGGCTCAAGTGATCCACCTGCCTCGGCCTCCCAAAGTGCTGGGATTACAGGTGTGAGCCACCATCCCTGGCCATGAGCTTCTACTTCTTTTCTTTTTCTTTTTCTTTTTTTTTTTTTGAGATAGGGTCTTGCTCCATTGCTTAGGCTAGAGTGCAGTGGCGCAATCTCGGCTCACTGCAACCTGCACCTCCTGGGTTCAAGCGATTCTCCCACCTCAGCCTCCTGAGTAGCTGGGATTACGGGCGTGTGTCAACATGCTCAGCTAATTTTTGTATTTTTAGTAGAGATGGGGTCTCGCCATGTTGGCCAGGCTGGTCTCAAACTCCTGGCCTCAATTGATCCACCTCCTTGGCCTCTCAAAATGCTTGGATTACAGGCATGAGCCACTGCACCCGGCCACAAGCTTCTACTTCTTGCAGAATGCCTTTGTCCCATGAAACCTAGTCCACGAGTGCTATGACACTTCCTGAAGTCTTGGGTGGGGTGAACGCACAAATCCTGGGGGTGTAGAGAGGAGGAGGATGTTTACTTAAAATGTCTTAAGGTTCAGCATTGACAGAGAGGCAATATCCAAATCACTCTAAGTTTTGTTTTGGGTCCTCTGACAATTGAGTTTCCATAATCTGGTCGGCTCAGAGACACCATCATGTGTGGTATATTCACAAATGCAGACAAAGAAAATTCTAGAAAGCCAGGGGTGAAAAAGCTCTCCTTTCTCAGACGATTCTGTGAAGTCTATGTGGGCTAAGGAGAGAAGAACAAAAGTTTCTCTGGGCCTTGGCCTCTTGGGGATCCCTTCTCTCATTTTCTAAAAACTGTTTCTCACACCAGGCTAAGGAGGTGGTGGGGAAGGTCTCCCTTCCCCTGCCCACCTCAGACAGTTCTAGGGAGATGGAGGTTTCACCACTTGGCCACTAGTCTCAAATAACTGGAAGGTTCCTTTTTTCCTGAGGTCATGAAATGTTCTGGAACCACAGCGCCCCCGCCAGCCCTCCGTGGGAGCACAGAGGGGCAGGCCTTGATTGGTCTTCTCACCCTACAGCCACTTTTTTGGCCCAACTCTCGAGCAAGCCTTCATCACCATCAGGGTCTCATGGGCAGTCTGGGTTTGCCAGCCCAGTCCTTGAACTTGGAGAGGGAGGTGGGGCTTGGAAATGCCTTGTCCCCAGGGTGGGGGGGACACCTTGTCCTTGGAGCTGGCTGAGCCCTGTGCCCATGGCTGGGTTCAGTTTGCAGGTATAGCTGTAGCACTCTTTGCTGGTGGGAATGGAGAGGTCTCGCTGGCCTTCTTTGCCTTTTTCTTCTTTTTGGTCCCAAGCGACACCTGGTCCCCGTTGAGCTCACCTGACTTCTGCTTCTGGACTGTGGCCATGCTGGTGGGGGTGGTGGCAGCGACAGCCGAGTCGACACTGGCCACCTTCTTGGCTTTCTTTTTCAACTTCCTTTTCTTCTTTGCCTCCTTCTCCACTGTTCCAGGGCTGTGGATGGCTGACTCCTGTAGGATGTCGGACGCCGACACAGCTGCCTCCCGGCACCGCCGCCACTCCTCGTCACTGTCCTCACTGCTGCAACGAGAGGGTACCCTGGGTTAGCTGGAGTCAGGACACAGCCCCAGAGCTGCCTCTCGCTGTCCTCCCTTGGTCCAGGTCACCAGAAGGTGGCCGCAGAGAGAGGCAGGTAGTGAGTTCAGGCTTGGGAGTGAGGCCAACCTGGCTTCCAATACTGGCTTCTGGGCGTAGCAGCCTTGTGACCTCCTTAAGTGACTTAACCTCTCTGACTGTATCATCTCTAAAACGGGGATCTTAACAGAGTCCAGGCCTCCCAGGGATGTCCCAGGAGGCAACTATGATCAAGTGAGGTGTCTGGCCCAAGACAGGTGCTCAAAAGCAGTAAACATCCAAAGCTGCCGCCAAGAGGGCTTTCCCTCCCGCTGAGCTCATGATTTCTCCAGCTGCCTGACAGGGCCACTGCCTTGGCCTGGTCCTGACTGGAGTCTGCTTGGCTATTCCAGGGAACCCACCAAGACAGAAGAGGAGAAAAAAGGAGGGGACGTGAGGAGAGGTGTGAGTTCTCACCTGGAGCTGGAGGGCTGTCGCTTTCGGCGGGGTTGGGGAGACTCTTCCTTCTCACGGCCTCCAGGGACAGATGTGAAGAAAAGGCGGAAACCTAAGATTCAATGGGGCAGAGTCAAACAAAAACAAAACAAAACAAAAAGAAACATAAAAAAATAAAAAATAAAGAAACAAAAAAGAAAAAAATTTTAAAAAGGAAAACGAAAGAAAGAAAAGATAAAGAGAAACAAAAAAAAAATTTTAAGAAGACACAAAATAAAAAAATTTAAAAAAGAAACAATAACAAAAAAACCCAACCAAGCAAACAAACAAAAAAAACAAAGGAGCAGAGTCAGCACCCCCAGATGCCAGCCCCTCCTCCCAGGTGCCAGGTGCTGAAGCTGCCCCGCCTCTGCCCTCAGGAGCTCCTGGTCCAGAGGCAAAGACCCAGGAATCAGTCGTCTAACTACAAAGTGATTCTGCATCTGCCAAGGGTCATGCTGATGCCTGATGGAGCCAGTGGAGGGCGCGCTGGAGCAGGAGCCAGCAGCCACATCAGCTCAGCAAGCCCTCAGAGGCTTCTGGAAGTCAGCACTTGAGCTCCTGACCTAAGGCAGCCTTCAAAGTGGCAAATGTGTTGGTACAGGACAGACGCAGATGGGCGAGGCTGTGGAGGGCAGCAGTAAAGTGCTCCTGCTCAGGGTGACACAGACGAGGCCGCCTCAGGCAAATGACTTCGTTTCTCAGGGCCTCAGTCTCCTTGTCTGTACATGGGGTTCAATCATAATACCTGCCTCACCACAGGGGCTGAGCAGATGAAAGAATGGTGAGGTGGCCCATGCCTGTAACCCCAGTACTTTGGTAGTCTGAGGCGGGAGGATAGCTTGAGGCCAGGAGTTTAAGACCAGCCTGGGCAACATGACAGAACCCTGTCTCTAAAAAAAAATACAAAAATTAGCCAGGTGTGGTGGTGCACGCCTGTAGTCCCAGAACTTTGGAAGGCTAAGGTGGGCAGATGGCTTGAGGCCAGGAGTTCAAGACCAGCCTGGGCAACATAGCGAGATCCTGTCTCTAAAAAACATAAATAATTAGCCAGGGGTGGTGGTGTGTGTCTGTGGTCCCAGCTACTCAGGAAGCTGAGGTGGGAGGACTGCTTGGGTCCGGGAGGTTGAGGCTGCATTGAGCTATAATTGCTCCACTGCACTCCAGCCTAGGTGGCAGAGAGAGTTCCTATCTCAAAAAAAGAAAAAAAAAAAAGAATATACCAAAACTGTTTCGCCCACCTCCAGACACACATTAGGTGCTTAATAAATGATAGCTTCTATTAAGTATAACCACTCACCATCATCCTCCAAAGCGACTTTCTGTACCTTAGCTTTTGCTGGCTCCTTTGCTGCTTCTGAGATGGTAATGAAGCTACAGGGAGACGAGACGGTTGATTTAAGATGAGATTTTTGGATAACGACAAAAACAAAATTCTTTTTCAAGTGGAGGGGATGGGGTATGTGATTGTAAATGCAAAAGCGAAAGCGTGCTGGCCTAGTAAGAGGGCTGATGGTCTGGTTATAACATGCTGACCAGCCTCTGCCACGCGAACTGCAGTGCTTCATTTCTTTAAAGCCCACTTTATTCCAGTAAGTGTTGAAGAAGTTTTAAAGACATAGTAAAACAAGATGAGGCCAGGCATGGTGGCTCACGCCTGTAATCCTAGCACTTTGGGAGGCCAAGGCAGGCAGATCATGAGGCCAGGAGATCGAGACCATTCTGGCTAACACGGTGAAACCCCATCTCTACTAAAAATACAAAAAATTAGCCGGGCATGGTGGCGGGCGCCTGTAGTCCCAGCTACTCGGGAGGCTGAGGCAGGAGAATGGCGTGAACCTGGGAGGCGGAGCTTGCAGTGAACTGAGACTGCGCCACTGCACTCCAGCCTGGGTGACAGAGCAAGACTCCATCTCCAAAAAAAGAAAAGAATTTAACAAAATGAATGCAATTTCAAATAGGACAAAGAGATATAAGGGCAAGAGGAACAGAAAGACCTAGAAGTGTAGTCAGGAAGTCCTATACACTTGTTAGAGAGAGGGCATACATTTTGCTCTGAGCTTCCTAGCAGCAAGCATGAAAAGGGAAATATGACCAATCTAGAAAACTGGTTCAGAGGACAGCTTCTGGAGCAGGGCAGACCTGTTTTTAAATTTTTTTTTTTAATTAAAAGAAATTGGAGATAATTGTAGACATGCAGTAGCAACAAATAATGCAGATGTTCCATAGACCCTCCATCCATTTTCTCGCAATGGTAACATTGTGCCTCGCTATAGTACAACATCACAACTAGGAAATGCAAATTGATCCAATTCATGGACCTCATTCAGACTTCAGAGACCTGGGTTTTGAATCCCGGTTTTGTCACTTATTAGCTATGTCCCTTAAGCAAATGACTTTATCTCTCTGAGTCTCTGTTATCCACCTGTGCAGTGGGAACGATGAAGGTCCCTACCTCTTAAGGTTGTCACAAGGATTGAAGGGGAAAATGGATATCAAGCACTTGTGGCACACGGCCTAGCCACAAGTAGCTGCTCAGCAAATGGTAGCTATGATGACGATGCAGATGATGACTGTCATCAAGAAAAGCTTCAGCCTTCACAGGCTCTCTAACATAAAAATAAACCACATTTCTCTAGAGGCACAAGGCCAGGAAGCATGTGTCTGGTGAGTGCAGATGGAGATGCCACTGTGCACAGCAGAGAACAAGGCTCTCAGCAATGCCCTCGAGGCAGACGCAGCAATGCCCTGGGTGCTTTCCCTAACCTCCCTTCCTGTATGCCAAAGGTGCCCCCCAAGCCCTGTTCAGGAAAAGCAACCCGGGGAGAGGGAGTAGAGATGATGCCACCCAGGCACCTGTTCTTGACCCCACACAGTGGTTCAATGGTGGCCATCAGGGGCATTTGGCAATGTCTGGAGACATTTTTGGATGTCACAACTGGTGGGGTGAGTGCTACTATCATCTAGTAGGTAGAGGCCAGGGATGTTGGTAAACATCCTATAATGGGAAGAAGAAGGATAGACCCCCACGACAAATGCTAGTCAAAGATGTCAGTAGCGCCAAGGTTGAGAGACACTGACCTAACACTAGGGACCAAATGCAGTATCATTTACATTTCCTTTTTTTTTTTTGAGATGGGATCTCACTCTGTCACCCAGGCTGGAGTGCAGTGGCACGATCTCAGCTCACTGCAACCTCTGCATCCTGGGTTCAAACGATTCTCCTACCTCAGCCTCCCAAGTAGCTGGGATAACAGGTGCACGCCACCATGCCCAGCTAATTTTTGCATTTTTAGTAGAGATGGGGTCTCACCATGTTGGCCAGGCTGGTCTCGAACTCCTGTCCTCAAATGATCCACCCGCTTCAGCCTCCCAAAGTGCTGGGATCAGAGGCATGAGCTGCCACGCCTGGCCTAAGGTATCATTTAGATTTCTTTGGAGAAACATGAAAATGCTGCAGGGAATATTCTAACCATGGCTGACTGGCATTTCTACTGCAGAAACATCTCTGTGACTCAGTGCAATGCCAAGCAGGCCCTGTTCAGCCTGAAGCCAGAGAGTCACAAAGGAAAACTGCTCCCACAGGCTGAAATGCAGCTGCCTTCCTAAACACCTCCTCTACTTTCTCCAATTGAGGGGAACCCTGTGGGATTCAGGCTGCGGGGCTCTGGCCCATCATTCTGTCTCAGAAGAATAGCTGGTTCACACTTTGGGAAGGCTCATTTGTCCTTTTTGATATCTACTTTGAATGGAATGACAATGGCCCCAAATCCTGCCTCATCTCCCTTTCAAAACCCTGCCAGGGCTCTGCCAGTCAGGAACAGATCTAGACCAGTGTATCCCCAGACCTGTTCCGCAGGTTGTTGACTGGTTTTCCATGAAACAAAGGCACTGTGGCCAAACAAGTTTGGAAAATGCTGGGCTAAACAGTTACACAGGTCTCTTCACTACAGGAATTCTCAGAGCCTTGAATATACTACTCTGGCTTGCAGTCTGCAAGGACACGTGGAGGTATGTAGATTGCAGTGTTTCTCACGCTTCTTTGCTGTTGGACCTCCTTTTTTCTAAAGCCACGCTTTGGGCTAGTGCTAGAATCCAAATGTTTGTGTCCTCCCCAAATTCTTATGGTGAAATCCTCACCCCAGCTGGGCATGGTGCCTTACACCTGCAATCCCAGCACTCTGGGAGGCCGAGCCGGTGGATCACTTGAAGTCAGGAGTTCGAGACCAGCCTGGCCAACATAATGAAAACCCATTTCTACTGAAAATACAAAAAATACAAAAAATTAGCCAAGCGTGGTGGGTGCGCACCTGTAACCCCAGCTACTCAGGAGGCTGAGGCATGAAAATCGCTTGAACCCAGGAACTGGAGGTTGTTGTGAGCCGAGATCACGCCACTGTGCTCCAGAGGGAGACTCTGTCTCCAAAAAGAGAAAAGAAAAAGAGAAATCCTCAACCCAAGGTATTAGGATTAGGAGATGGGGGCCTTTGAGAGGTGATTAGGTCGGGAGGGTGGAGCCTTGATGAATGAAATTGCTGCTCCTATAAAAAAGGTCTGAGAGAGACCCCTCGCCCATGCCACTATGTGAGGACACAGTAGGAAGGCGCCATCTGTACTGGGAAGAGGGCTCTCCCCAGACACTGAATCTGCTGGTGCCTTGATCTTGGACTTCTCAGCCTCCAAAATGTGAGAAATACATTTATTTTGTTTATAAGCTACCCAGTTTATGTTATTTTGTTATAGCAGCCCATATGGACTCAAACAGGTTGTATCCTTGACACCTACTTTAGGAATGCCAACCTGAATCCTTACCGACTGGGTTATCAACCTGTGCTGAGAATGTAAGATAGAGACCTGGCACAGTGTCTAGCATACAGAAGGCACCCAAGAAATAGGAACACGGTCCTTCCTTGCCCTCTTGTGGCGGGAATGAGCTTCTCGATGTTCCTCTCTTACTCTCATGGTTGCAGGATAATGCAGGGGTTAAGAACATGGGCTTGGCCCGGCACAGTGGCTCACGCTTGTAATCCCAGCACTTTGGGAGGCCAAGGCAGGTGGATCACTCGAGGTCAGGAGTTCGAGATCAGCCTGGTCAACACGGTGAAACCCCGTCTCTACTAAAAATACAAAAATTAGCCTGGTATGGTGGCAGGTGCCCGTTAAGTCCAGCTACTTGGGAGGCTGAGGCATGAGAATCGCTTGAATCCAGGAGGTGGAGGCTGCAGTGAGCCAAGATTGTGCGTGCCACTGCACGCCAGCATGGGCGACAGAGTGAGACTCTGTCTCAAAAAACAAAACAAAACAAAAAAATGTGGGCTTGGAGTCAGACGCACTTGGGTTTGAGGCCCAATTCTGTTCCCTCCTGGGTTCTGAATCCTGGCTTTGTCACTTAATAGCGGTGTCCCCTGGGCAAATGACTTTGCCTCTCTGAGCCTCAGTTACCCATCTGTACAGTGGGAATGATAACAGTCCCTACCTCTCAGGGTCATCAGAAGGATTAAATGAGAAAATGGACATCAAGCACTTAGCACAGAGCCTGGCCACAAACAGTTGCTCAGTAAATGGTAGCTGCGATGATGATGTGACTTCAGGCACACCTGTCTCCTTGCTGACAGCCTGTTTCCTCACCTGGAGGATAAAGGTAACAACAGGACCCACATGATAATGTTCTTTATAAATGCAGGGAGATGACATATGCCAGGTGCCTGCCACCGTGCCAGCCTGGACACCGTGAGCTCCCAGCCAATGTGAGCCATTGCTGTTCATATTAACAAGGGCAAGAGAGGAGAAACTCCACCTTTGTTTACCTGTCCAGCAGGGCTCCCAGCTTCTTGGCTACGTGGGCTCGGAATTCAGGGGTGGTCTGAAGCTCGTTGCCATCTTGTTCATGCTCATTCACCTTATGCCTACGACACACACAAAGAGACCTCACTTCCTGCCCGCTCAGAAGCTGTCCCCATGAGCACAGGGACCATGTGTGTCTTGTTCACCTGGAAATGCCAGGCGTGAAGCCTAGCATCTGGCACACGCAGGGGATCAGTATTTGTTGAATAAGTGAAACTTGAACCCAAAGTGCATAGTACCTGAGGCTCGGTTGGGAGGTTGACAACTGGCTATTTGCAGCACCTGTGGAAAAATGAAAATTAGGGCATTTATAGAGGAAACAATGACAGCAACAACAAATGCGTGCCAGGCACTATTTTCAGCAGCTTAAAATACATATAACTCATATATATACATACACATGTAACTCATATATATTATATTTATATATAACTTAAAATAGTTATATACCCATAACTTCAAATAGTTACATATAATTTAGTTATATATGTATATAATATAGTTACATATTTTATGTAAGTACATTATATATATATATATCTTAGTTATATAACTTAAAATATATATATAACTTAGTTATATATATAAAACTTAAAATAGTTATATATATAACTTAGTTATATATACATAAAACTTAAAATAGTTATATATGTAACTTAAAATATATATAACACATATAACTCAGTGAATCTTCCCAACAACCCGATTGGAGGGATTACAATTATCCCATTTTGCAGAAGAAACGTCAAAGATATGTAAAATAACTTGGCCAGAGTCAAATACCTAATAAGTGACAGGGTTGGGCTGGGGGCCCAGGCCATCTGACTCCTGAGCCCCCTCTTAACCACCACGCTGTGCTGAACAGGCAGGTCTAAGTGTGATTTGACTGCACAGTTTAATGCCTGCCTGGCTGTGTGCTAAGTGCCGTGGAAGAGAGAGAAGATGGCTCTTTTGTGGATCACATTTTTCAAGCCAAAACGGTGGGGATGCCCGGCCTTTTGGTCATTCCCTCAAACCAGATACTGAATGCCTTTTATTAACCAGGTGTTGTCATTGCTGAGCAACTTACTCGACTATCACTGTCTGCAGGAGCTTACATTCTAGTTGGTGGAGAGAGATGATAAACACACATACGTAAACAAAATGTCAAGTTGGATAATGCTAAGTGTATGGAAAAAAACGGAAACAAAGTAGGCGAGAGAGGTGGGGAGTGTTGGGCTGGGGATTGTTAACATAAAGGTGGGCAGAGAGGGCTTCACTGATAAGGCAACATTTGAACAGAGATTTGAGAGAGGAGAGGGAGTGAACCAAGTGGACATGTGGGACACAGCCTTCCAGGCAGAGGGAAAGCATCTGCAAAGGCCCTGAGACTGGAGCCTGCTTTGTGTGTTTAGAACCAGCAAGGAGGTCAGTGTGACCAGAGCCTGCCCAGTAAACCGGGAGCAGCAGAGATGGAGAACTCAGAGGGGCCAGATCATGAAGGGCCCTGACGTGGGCCAATGGGAGGACCTGGACTTTGAGGAGGAGGAGCTCTGGAAATGAGCAGAGAAGGGACATAAACTGACCTGGGTTTTGACAGAACATCTTTGGCTGCTGTGCAGCGTGAGACTGTTGGGGCAAAGGCAGGAACACGGAGTCTGCTGCAGTAATTGATGTGGTGAGAAGTGGGTGAACTCCAGATAGATGCACTTTTAAGATGGAGTCAAGGCCGGGCGCGGTGGCTCACGCCTGTAATCCCAGCACTTTGGGAGGCTGAGGCAGGCGGATCACGAGGTCAAGAGATCGAGACCATCCTGGTCAACATGGTGAAACCCCATCTCTACTAAAAAATACAAAAATTAGCTGGGTGTGGTGGTGCACACCTGTAGTCCCAGCTACTTGAGAAGCTGAGGCAGGAGAATCGCTCGAACCCAGGAGGCGGAGGTTGCAGTGAGCCAAGATCACGCCACTGCACTCCAGCCTGGTGACAGAGCAAGACTCCGTCTAAAAAAAAAAAAAAAAAAAAAAAAAGATGGAGTCAATAGGATTCACTGATGGACTGACTACAGGGCGTGAGAAATGAGTGAAAGTTAGCTCTGAGGTTTCTGACTTAACTAACAAGACAAAACGTGCTTGTATATTTAAGGGGCCAACTGAACAAAGTGGACACTTGGTAGCTCCGGGCCCAGTGGAGGGCCATGGTGTAAGAAACAGCTCCATGGGGGCACTGCTGTGTTTATGTCATCACCCATACACATTGCATCTGTGTCCTAGTACCTTGTGGTCTGTGTCACTGTACTCCAGAGCACAACACAGAATGCTAAACACGCCCCATGCTCCTGGAGGTGGGTAATGTGGGGGCCTGGATGGACAGTCTTTAAAGACCTGGTCTTTCGTCTTCAGCACATAATCACTTGGAAGAAGAGCATCTCTTCCATCATGACTACAGTGTGATGAAGGTGAGGTACCGTCAGGGAACAGAAACAGTATTACAGAGGGAGACAGTTCAGTTGAGTCCTGGCTCTGCCACCAAGCTGTGTGATGCCGGGCAAGTCACTTTCTCTCCCTGAGCCTTTGTTTTTCTCATCTATAAAATGGGAATACGATTACCAACCTTCTGGAGTCAGTGTTGTGGACGCTGTTTCCATACCCATCCCCTTCCTGGATTTGTAAGCTACTTGAATACGTGGTCTGCCTCTTTTTACCTCTGTATCCCCAGATCCTGCCATAGTGTCTTGGTTTGAATTAATTGTCAGAAAAATAAGTCAAAGTAGATGCTACCCTAAAATTAAAGTGGTTTGAGTGACGAGTTCATCACTGGATTTAAGAGCTGTCTCTAGAGGTTACATAAATAAAATAGTGACCTATATTTCCACAGTCATGGACCAAAGGGTGGGAGTTTTGACCACAATAGACACTTGTCCATGGCAGAGTGGCACAGCAGCAATGAAGAGCATGGACTTGGGAGTCAGGTAGGCCTGGGTTTACGCCTGGTTCTGCCACTCACAAATTGGACAACCTTGGCCAAGTTATTTTACCATTATGAGAATCAGTTTTCTGTAAAATGGGGCTAATACACCCTCTTGTGGCATTGCTGGGAAGATGAAAACAGACAACAAATACAAAGTGTTTAGAACAGGGGCAAAAAGAAAATTCTCAACTCCTGGTGGCTATTACTAGACGCACTCAAGAATGTAATCTAGGCTGGGTGTGGTGGCTCATGCCTGTAATCTCAGCACTTTGGGAGGCCAAGGTGGGCGGATCACCTGAGGTCATAAGTTCGAGACCAGCCTGGCCAACACGGTGAAACCCTGTCTCTAATAAAAATATAAAAAAAAATTAGCTGGGCCTGGTGGTGGGCACCTGTAATCCCAGCTACTTAGGAGGCTGAGGCAGGAGAATTGCTTGAGCTTGGGAGGCGGAGGTTGCAGGGAGCCAAGATCGCGCCATTGCACTCCAGCCTTGGTAACAGAGCGAGACTGCGTCTCAAAAAGAAAAAAAGAGACCAGGCGCGGTGGCTCACACCTGTAATCCCAGCACTTTGGAAGGCCGAGGCAGGTGGATTGCCTGAGGTCTGGAGTTTGAGACCAGCCTGGCCAACACGGTGAAACCCTGTCTGTACTAAAAATACAAAAAATTAGCTGGGCGTGGTGGCAGGCGCCTGTAATCCCAGCTACTAGGGAGGCTGAGGCAGGAGAATCACTTGAACCCAGGAGGCAGAGGTTGCAGTGAGCTGAGATCGTGCCATTGCACTGCAGCCTGGGCAACAAGAGTGAAACTCCATCTCAAAAAAAAAAAATGCAAAAAAAAAAAAAAAACCCCAAAAAACAAACAAACAAACAAAAAAAACTAGAAGCCGAGCACAGTGGCTCACACCTGTAATCTCAGCACTTTGAAGGTTGAGAAGGGAGGATCACTTGAGCCCAGGAGTTCGAGACCAGCCTGGGCAACATGGCAAAACCCCATCTCTACAAAAAATACAAAAAGTAGCTGGGACTATACATCTGTAGTCTCAGCTACTTGGGAGGCTGAGGTGGGAGGATCATCTGAGTAGGGGGAGGTCGAGGTTGCAGTGAGCCATGATTGTGTCAGCCTCGGTAACAGACTGAGTCCTAGTTTTGAAAAAAAAAAGAGCGAGAATTAGGCAGGAGGAGGAAAGCAGTCCATGTGGAAAGACCAACCACATATTTGCCACCATGTATTGGGCCTTTAAGATGTGCCAAGCACTGTAGATTGCATTATCTCAGTTACTTCTCAACCTTATGGGGTGGGTACTATCACTACCCGCACTGTACAGATGAGGAAATTTAGGTACAGTGAGATTTAAGTACTTTGCTCAAGTTCCCACCGCTAATGAGATGGAAAGGCAGATCTGTAAATAGAACTTGCAGAGAAAACTGTGGTTATGGTACTAGGGGGTGAGAGGGGCAGACTATGGTCTGGAAGCTACCTACAGGAAGTGCAGTATGGCAGGAGGGAAGGAAGGGAGAGGAAGGCAATGGATCACCAAAGGGCTTGTAAGTCCTTTTAAACAAATCCAGCGGTTCTTAACCTTGCTTTGCCATAGCCTTCTCTAACAGCCTGGTGAAGCCCGGTTCTCTTCTCAGAGCAATGTTTTAAATGCATGAAATGCAACATACAGGATTACAAAGAAAACCAATGATACCGAAATTTAATTATCATGATAGTAAACAACCAAACTTGTGATGTATGTGCTTCTTACATCTTAGATATAGAGATGGGTCTAAAAATTAGAGTGGCACATTTTAAATCAGGGATGAGTGTAAATGACTTTTTTCCCCAATATCTTTTTATCAATAAAATGATATATTGATATCTGTATCTGCAAAGATTGTAATGAGATATGAAAATCTGTGACTTCTGTTGGGATAAAGTAACGGCATTGCCAGAACTACTGTGGCTTAGTGCTTGCAAGACGGAAAGAGATGCTAAAATTCAGTCAGAGATGAATAGAAAGCAAAGATGCAACATGTTTTCATTCCAAATTCAAGAACCCTTGGGTTCTATCCATGATTAGGCCCCTTGATGTTGCGGGGCTCTGTATTTATTCCCAGGGCACTAGGGAGTCACGGTCAGAGTGATGTGCTGGGCACTGCTCTTGGCAACAACCTCCAGGGTGGGAGAATGTGTTGGAGGTGGGGAAAGGCTGGGTGCGAGAATACCGGGAGGGGGCTGTTGCAGTTATCTCGAAGAGACGGCAGCCTTCCCAGTGTGGGGCAGTGAGGATAGACCCAAGGAGGCAGAATCAAAAGACATTTGGGTACCTCAGCTTCCCCGACTGGAATAATGAAATACCCTCCCTACTGCACCTGCCCATGCTTTCAATCTGCACTACACCCAGTCCCTGGAGGTCTCTCGGGGAAGGAAGCCGAGTCCCAGTGACTCTCTCCTCACCATCCATCCTCTCAGGCTCCAGGGGAAGATCCCACGCCCCTCAGCCAGTCTCCCCAAACATAGTACCCTACCGGCTCTTGGCTTCCCTGCCACGTGCGGGCGTTGCTCCAAGCCCCAAGCCGGCATTGCCGCCTCGCGGCACCGCTCCAGCTCCTCCGCATCGCTACTGCTGTTACTACTTTCCGAATCGCTCACTGTGCCACTGGGCGCCGCCATCTTGAACCACCGCAAAGGATTGTGGAGAACACCGCCGTTATCAAGCCTCCTTCATGACGTCACGTGAGAGGAGAGGCGCGAGGCATTGTGGGGATTGTAGTTCCAAGACTTGGACCGCCATTGGCCATGAACTGTACTGGGTTGGGGATACCAGGTGGGAATGGGGAGGTGGGCGGTTCTCAAAGGCAAGAGCTAGAAGGGCCTAAGAGATTAACTTCTCCAATCATTTCTTGATGACAGATCTCCAGAGGGGATGGGAATCTCCTAAGGAGTTAATGACAGACCCAGGATTAGTTCCCAGGTTTTGATTCCATGTCATTTATTCTAGTAATTTCCCAGTCCAGCTGGGCCTAAGAAACACCTTAGAGAGCTGGTTAAACTGCAGACTTTTGGGTCTCACAGAAAATACTAACAGAATCAGAATCTCTGATAGGTGGAATCCAGGAATCTGTATTTCCTTTAATAGCCTAGGGCCTTACTACTTAAGAGTGTAGTCCATGAGCCAGCAGCATTGGTAACACCTGGGAGCTCGTTAGAAATGCAGAATCCAGGCTGGGCACGGTGGCTCACGCCTGTAATCCCAACACTTTGGGGGGCTGAGGCAGGCAGATCACAAGGTCAGGAGTTCGAGACCAGCCTGGCCAACATAGTGAAACCCCATCTCTACTAAAAATACAAAAATTAGCTGGGCATGGTGGCACGCACCTGTAGTCCCAGCTACTCAGGAGGCTGAGGCAGGAAAATCACTTGAACCTGGGAGGTGGAGGTTGAGGTGAGCCAAGATCGTGCCACTGCACTCCAGCCTGGGCAACAGACTGAGACTCTGTCTCGAAAAAAAAAAAAGAGAAATGCAGAATCCTGTCCGGGCACGGTGGCTCACATCTGTAATCCCAACACTTTGTGAGGCCGAGGCGGGCAGATCATGAGGTCAGGAGTTCGAGACTAGCCTGACCAACATGGTGAAACCCCATCTCTACTAAAAATACAAAAATTAGCCAGGCAATACTGACTCCCAGGACCCATCCAAGACCAAAAAATTAGAATCTCTGTGGTTAAAATACCTCACAGTGAAGGATGAACAAAATCACTTTACTTTTGTGTGTGGAATGCTGTTTCATGTTTTATCTTTGAAGACAGGTATGTCAAAACTTTACTAAAATAAACTCTCTGGCCTTGAGCTTTTTCTATTTCAAAGAAGAGGAAGGTGACTGATATGGTCTGAATGTGTTCCTCCAAAATTCATATGTTAAAATTGACACCATAAAATAAATAACAGAGAGACTGACTCTCCAAAATAAAGCGTTTATTCCAGAATTGCAAGGAATTGCAATTTGAGATATGCATGCTATAGTGGACTATAGGCACATTAAAAGAGGTTGTGGCAACGAGAAAAGACAAAGTCCACATAAGCTTCTTTAAAACAAGTACCGTTGATCACAGGAGCCTGTTGCAGGAGTTGGCTTTAGCTTATTGTGGAGACACCCACTGTTAGGCAAATATTCTTATGCAAGTGGTTTATCTATAATACTGCGGATTTTAGGAACTTCTTGAGATAATTTTTGTGACAGGCATTTGTTAGGGTTTGACATAAGTGACTCCATTTTGATACTGATAATTTCCAAAAAGTCCTTACTCCCAAGGTGATGGTATTAGGAGGTGGGACCTCTGGGAAGTAATTAGTGAAAGGGTCTTGTGTTGGTTCGAACCCCAAGAGCGTGGCCAACAGACAACATGAGGCAGTGTGTGTGCAGGTGGGCTGAGGCTTAAAATGGCGTCAGCACCAAATGAGGACGGGGCAGGGGTTTTGTAGTCTCCTGTAAACAGGAAGTTTCTCAGTCTGTTGTAACCGCTACATTGTACCCGGATGACGTCTCTCTCGGTCTTCAGGGGGTAGGTGTCTTCTGGCCCGCTCTCTTCCCGCTTCTGCTATCTTGCTGACACATGCTGCTGGCGCGAGTGGCCTTGCGCCTTGGGACCGGGCCCAAGGAGGGAGGGGAGGGAGGGGTCATTCATTCTCTTAAGCTTTCAGGCCCCACGGAGAATCTTTCAATTACATAATGGGTCCTGAGCCCTCATGAACTGGATCAATGCCTTCATAAAAGAGACCCCAGAGGCCAGGCATGGTGGCTCACAACTGTAATCCCAGCACTGTGGGAGGCCAAGACAGGTGGATCACAAGGTCAGGAGTTCGAGACTAGCCTGGCCAAGATGGTGAAACCCCGTCTCTACTAAAAATAAAAAAAAAATTAGCTGGGCACAGTGGTAGGTGCCTGTAGTCCCAGCTACTCGGGAGGCTGAGGCAGGAGAATCGCTTGAACCTCGGAGGCAGAGGTTGCAGGGAGCTGAGATCATGCCAATGCACTCTAGCCTGGGTGACAGAGCGAGACTCCATCTCAAAAAAAAAAAAAAAAAAAAAAAGAAGCGATCCTAGAGACACCTTTGCCTCTTCTACCATGTGAAGACTTAGTGAGAAGCTGCCATCTGTGAATCAGGAAGAGGTCCTCACCAGACACCAAATCTGCCAGTGTCTTGACTTGGACTTCCCAGCCTCCAGAGCTGTAAGAAATAAATGGTTATTGTTCATGAGCCATCCAGTGTATGGTATTTTGTTTTAGCAGCCCAGATGGACTAAGACATTGCATTTTTCATTCTTTTTTTTATTTTAAACAAGAATTTTCCCACCACCTACAATGTGGGCTGTGCTGGGCATTATGAAGGACACAAAGATGGGGACTGGAACAGCCTGTCTACCTCCTGGAAAGGAGGCACTTTTTCTGTCCCTGAAGGCAAACAGAGGTGGGAGATACACAGATTATGATTGCTAAATTGACCAGAGGCTGTTGATAACCAATTGCAGTGTGCATTTTCTATGCTATGGTAGGAGAGTAGCCCACCAGAAAACTAGGCAAAACAGGGGGGCAAAAGGAAACTTTTTATTGCTTGGAGTAAACCTGATCACATGACGTCCTTTGATAATAAAGATGCTATTACTTTCCTACAGTTTCCTGACTATTATGTACTGTTTGTGTATGGGTTTTAGGAGTTGAGGTGATTTTTTTTTACACTGCATCATCCTCAATCTCCCATTCTTTGTCTCTTTTTGCCTCAGTTTCCCCAGTCCTCATTTCTTAGAGTTGAGAAGCTCAAATGATCAAGCAATAACCATTAGGACAGCATTAGGCCCTGTGGAAATAAACAGCCCCCAAATGAGAACTAACAAAGGCGATTTATTCCCAACTTGCTATAGCAAAGGAACCAGCCACCCATCTCTCGCTTTTGACAGAGATTTAAAGACAGGCAGGAAAATGGGAAGGCTTCAGGGATGCCGTGATTGAGGCTGTTGGTATGGGGAAGCTGGAAGTGCACTCACCAGAAGTGGGGCTAACCATGTGATTGGTCTGGGGAGCTTATTTGGGTTTCTTGGGTTGGTCATAAATAGGAAGCAGGATGGGAGTAGGGTGGGGAGTTAGAGATGCTGCCAGTTATCGCCCAAGTCCTGATGGTTTGGGGTTGATTGCTGCAGAAGGCTGTGGGTCCGAATTCTGTTGCTGTGCGTCATGTGACCACACTATTTATTTGTATATTTAGTCCTCACACCCCTCCTCATCCTCCCCCTGGCAGGGCTGGGATAATCCTTTTTTTAAACGGATTTACTTATTTTTATGTTTTAGTTTTTAGACACAGGGTCTTGCTCTGTGGCCTGGGCAGGAGTGTAGCGGTGTGATCACAGCTCACTGCAGCTTCAGCCTCCTGGGCTCAAGTGATTCTTCTGCCTCAGCTTCTTGAGTGCCTGAGACTACAAATGTGCACAACCACACCCAGTGAATTATTTTTTTATTTTGTAGAGACGGGGTCTCCCTGTGATACCCAGGCTGGTCTTGAACTCCTCGGCTCAAGCGCTCCTCCCACCTCGGCCTCCCAAAGTTCTGGGATTACAGGTGTGAGCTACCACGTCTGGCCTGGGATAACTCATTGTAAAACTGGTGAAGACCTGGGACCTTCCCAGTAGACAATGGGACAGAGTGATTGACAGGATGAGTTCTGGAGTACATGGCAGAAATGTACAGAGAAGTCTCCCAGAGAAAACTAACTGGCTGGAAACAGAGCCTCTCCTTTCTTCTTCGAGAGGATGAGAGTGTCACTGTCTTGGATGCCATAGATCCCCAGACCCAACCAGTCCTGCAGGACTTGGCCTTGGAATTCCAGCTGCTGCTGCTTTTTAGGAAGCCCCTGCTGGTCTTCAATCTGCTGCTTCAGACCCAGGATGAAGCTGTTGGGGTTGATGGCATAGGCGTAGCTCCCACCATCAGGATTCTTCACGAAGACCTGGATCTCGGAGGGGATGGTCTCCAGCAGATAGATGTGAGTGTGGGAGAAGATCCCATATTTGGCTAAGGAGCACCTGCTGCTGAGAAGCTGCCTCTCACTGCCAGGAACCTGGAAGGACAGACGCTGCAGGCCAGAGTAGCCCCTGGTCCTCCGGATTTTCTCTTTAACCTTCCTTATGGGCTCATAAGGGTTCACGATGAGGTTGAAATCTGGGTAACCCCTCTGCTCCACTGTCAAGTGGATGTCTCGTGCCCTCTGGAAGGGAGAGGGAGAAGGAGAGGTGTTAAGTCCACACTTCTTTGTCTGATGTGCAAATGTTCCCTTCATCTGTCCTTATCTTTACAATAGTAGCAGCAGCAGCGGCAGCAGCAAATGTTTAGGGAGTGGTAAGCACTTTCCAGGCTGTATGCTGAGCACCTTCCATACCCTTAATGCATTTTATTCTCAGAGCATCTCTATTAGTTGGTTGGTTCTACTGTTACCCCCATGTTATTGATGAGGAAACTGAGCAGGGTTAGGTAATTTACTGAACACCAATCACATAGGTAGTAAGGAGCAGGGCAGATATGTGAAGTGAGGTTGGTCAGACTCCAGAGTCTGTGTTCTCACCACCTCCAGAGGCTACACTCCAGGGCCTGAGAGCCCCAGGTGGCTGGAGAGCACCTGGAAAATGCTGGCGAGGGTCAGGCCTCTAGCTGATTCTTTCCAGAAGAAATATAAGCCTTGGCTGGGTGCAGTGGCTCACGCCTGTATTCCCAGCACTTTGGGAGGCCAAGGCGGGCAGATCACTTGAGGTCAGGAGTTTGAGACCAGCCTGGCCAACATGGCAAAACCTATCTCTACCAAAAAATGCAAAAATTAGCCGGGTGTGGTGGCGTATGCCTGTAGTCCCAGCTACTCGGAAGGCTGAAGTGGGAGAATCTCTTGAACACAGGAGGTGGAGGTTGCAGTGAGCTGAGATCGCACCACTGCACTCCAGCCTGGGCAACAAAGGGAGACTCTGTCTCAAAAGGAAAACAAAAAAAGAAAAAGAAAAAGAAATATAAGCCTGGCATTGCCAAGTTTTCTGACTAGCCAAGATAAAAAATATTTGCACAATGTTGTGTGTGTTTGTTTTGTTTTTTGAGACAGGGCCTTGCCCTGTCACCTCAGGCTGCAGTGCAGTGGTGCAATCTTAACTCACTGCGCCTTGACCTCCCAAGCTGAAGCGATCCTCCCGCCTCAGTTTCCTGAGTAGCTGGGACCACAGGTGCGTGCCACCACATCTGGCTAAGTTTTGTTCTTTTTTTTTTTTTTTTTTTTCAGATGGAATCTCACTCTGTTGCCAGGCTAGAGTGCAGTGGCACGATCTTGGCTCACTGCAACCTCCGCCTCCCAGGTTCAAGCGATTCTCCTGCCTCAGCCTCCCTAGTAGCTGGGACTACAGGCACATGCCACCACACCCAGCTAATTTTTGTATTTTTAGTAGAGATGAGGTTTTACCATGTTGGCCAGGATGGTTTCGATCTCTTGACCTCGTGATCTGCCCACCTCGGCCTCCCAAAGTGCTGGGATTACAGATGTGAGCCACCGCACCTGGCCAAGTTTTGTATTTTTAGTAGAGACGGGGTTTCACCATGTTGCCTAGGCTGGTCTTGAACTGTTGGGCTCAAGGGATCCACCCGCCTCAGCCCCTCAAAGTGCTGTGATTACAGGCGTGCGCCACTGCCCCCAGCCTACAATGGCTTTTATATTCAGGAAAAATCCAGAGGCGTATATTTTCCAGCCCATGGGTGGGCCTCCTCATTTGGCCAGCGGGTCCCCCCGTTTATACTCTATGTACCTTACTGGAGCCTCTGATTCTGCTTCTGCCTTCTGCTCCAAGCAGTTCAGTCTCCTGTCCTGTACACATCTTGCTCATCCCAGCCTCCCATCCTTTACCCCTCATCATCCTTTGTCCTCTGTTCTGAGTGTCTATATCTCCCCCCGGCCTTTAGGGCTCATTTCAACTCCTAACTTTTTAAAGGAATCTTCTCTGGTGACTTCAGTTAACATTTATTCTGCTTCCAGACC
This sequence comes from Homo sapiens, assembly GCF_000001405.40. Classification (NCBI taxonomy): domain Eukaryota; kingdom Metazoa; phylum Chordata; class Mammalia; order Primates; family Hominidae; genus Homo; species Homo sapiens. The sequence goes on from NC_000012.12 coordinate 121,022,856, forward strand.
CCCAGAGCCCCTGGTTCTGCTGCCTCTTAGCAGAGTGCCCTTAGTTAATTAACCTCTCTGAGCCTCAGTTTTCTCTTCTGTAAAATGGCAATAATAGTAATGATGATAATAATAATAAAGATAGTGATAACACTCGACCTTCTTACTTTACAGAATTGCTTATGAGGATCAACTGAGACAGACCTTGGACAAGAGCTTTGCACACTAGAAAGTGTGATGTTAATAAAATAGATTTTTGTGATCTCTGCCTATACTATAGGTTTGGCATCATATAATAATATGACTTAGTATTTTTTGTTTGTTTGTTTGTTTTCAGAGTATCTTGTCTTCTCTGGTAATTCTAGCAGTTTTGTGTAAGTTTGTTTCATGGATTTGCTTCCTGACAACATAGGGTGAGTTCTCTGAGAGTGAGGGTGGTGTCTTTTTTTTTTCTTTTTTTCTTTTTTTTTTGAGGCAGAGTTTCCCTCTTGCTGTCCAGGCTGGAGTGCAATGGCACGATCTCAGCTCACTGCAGCCCCCAGCTCCCGGGTTCAAGCGATTCACCTGCCTCTGCCTCCGGAGTAGCAGGGATTATAGGCACCTGCCACCACGCCCGCCTAATTTTGTATTTTTTTAGTAGAGATGGGTTTTTTCCATGTTGGCCGGGCTGGTCTTGAACTCCTGACCTCAAGTGATCCACCTGTCTTGGCCTCCCAAAGTGCTGGGATTACAGGCGTGAACCACCGCACCTGGCCGAGCGTCGTGGTCATGTCTTATTTCTGTGCCTGTGTTGTCCCCCAGCCCACATCCCCTACCCCATCCCTGAGAACAGCACTGGCACAGAATGGCTGATTGAGCTGACTTGGCTGGACCCAACTCACGCAAAGAATGATCAGGAACACAGAACTGATTCTCCAGTAAATTATGGGAAAAAGAAAGGAAAGGAGAACAAGAATTTGAAGGTAAGAAACCCAAGGCTCTGAGAGCCAAAGAATTTGTCCAAGTTCACGGAGCCCATGGGTGGTGCAGCTGGCCCTTAAACGGTGACTCTAAAGTTCTGTTCTCCATCAACACAGAACTGAATGAGTAAATACTGAGTAGTTTATCTGTCGTTCTGACCTTCAAGCCCTTGACAGCCCAGAGAGGAGCCATTACCTTCACGTTCCAGCTGGAGATGGGGTTCTCCCTGTTGTCATAGCAACAGTCCTGTTTCAGGCACTGGGAGGCCCTCTGAGCAACGATGTCCCATCTGTACCCTTCTGCCACGTTGAGGGTGGGGTCGGCCGGATCCAGGATGATGGGCCTGTAACACAGGAAAAGGGTGCCCAGGCTCATAATGGTTTGAAGGCCTTCAAGCCAGAAAAAAACCTTCTCGGCAATTATTTCGTCCAGCCACTGAGAATTGTGATATCCACATCCCGGGGATGTTCAAGAGGGCCCCAAAACACCGCAGGAGAGTAACAGGATGGAGACAATGCTATTTCCAAGAATTCCTATCTGGGCCAGGCACAGTGGCTCACGCCTGTAATCCCAGCACTTTGGGAGGCTGAGGCGGGAGGATCACTTGAGGTCAGGAGTTCAAGACCAGCCTGGCCAACGTGGTGAAACCCTGTCTCTACTAAAAATACAAAAAATTAGCCAGGTGTGGTGGTACGCACCTGTCATCCCAGTTACTCAGAAGGCTGAGGCAGGAGCATTGCTTGAACCCAGGAGGTGGAGGTTGCAGTGAGCCAAGATCATGCCACCACCCTCCAGCCTGGGTGACCGAGTGAGACTGTCTCAAAAAAAAAAAAATTCTTCTTCTTTGGGATAGTGCCTTAAGTGTTTGCAAGGAATTTAGGGGGAGAATGAGGCCCCAAGAGGCATGCTGGAGTAATAACAGATGCCCTTTCAGGCAGGGGGGGCCCTGTACCTTCGGAGCAGGTTTTGCAAGTTTAAGTTTAAGGTTAGAGCTGCTGAATTACTTTGGATAGTAGAAACACCACTGCCACCAACTACTGACATTTATTGAAGCACAAGGCCAAATCCTATGCAGATTAACCTATTTTAATCTTACAGCAATTCTATAAGGTAGGGACTGTTATTTTTATTGTTTATTGTTGTGGTTGTCCCCTTTTTACAGACCTCCCTAAGTTCCTTTTTTTTTTTTTTTTTTTTTTTTTGAGACAGAGTCTCGCTCTGTCGCCCAGGCTGAAGGGCAGTGGTGCAATCTCGGCTCACTGCAACTTCCACCTCCCGGGTTCAGCCAATTCTCTGCCTCGGCCTCCTGAGTAGCTGGGATTACAGGTACCCGCCACCACGCCCAGCTAATTTTTGTATTTTTAGTAGAGATGGGGTTTCACCATCTTGGCCAGGCTGGTCTTGAACTCCTGACCTCGTGATCCACCTGCCTTGGCCTCCCAAAGTGCTGGGATTACAGGCATGAGCCACCGGTGCCCGGCCTAGATTGCCCTAAGTTCTTACAGCCAGTAGATGGGGGCTCTTACCCATCTACCTCCTCAACAGAGCAGAGGTTGGGCTGCCCCCAAAAGTCTCTCCTTTCTATAAATATTGAATAAATATTTTAAAGAATATTGGCTTGAAGGGGATCTTGGGCTTGCTTATTAACTTGGGGTGACTGCAAGTCCATGATTAACACCAGCTCTTTGAGTGGGGCGCAGTGGCTCACGCCTATAATCCCAGCATTTTGTGGGGCCGAGGTGGGCAGATCACTTGAGGTCAGGAGTTCAAGACCAGGCTGGCCAACATGGTGAAACCGTGTCTCTACTAAAAATACAAAAATTAGGGCATGGCGGCAGGCGCCTGTAGTCCCAGTTACTTGGGTGGCTGAGGTGGGAGGATAGCTTGAACCCAGGAGGTGGTGGTTGCAGTGAGCCAAGATCGTGCCACTGAACTCCAGCCTAGGTGACAGAGCAAGACTCCATTAAAAAAAAAAAAACAAAACCCAAAAACAAACAAAAAAAACCCAGCCCTTTGTACTCCAGGGCTTGGGAGGGAGCTGCGACTTCATCTGTGTAATCGAATGTGACACAGGCTACTGGAATGAACTGGACTTTGGGCTCCAGGCTGGCTCCTCCCAACCCTGACTGCTCCCTAAAACAGTCCTGCCTGAAAGTGCCAGGCTGTCCTATGGGGTGGGGTCACTGATCTAAAGTGGCTCATTCTGTTGGCTGGCAGGTGACCCAACACATGGGGTCTGTGTCCCGTGACCAGGAATCAGACTGGTTCTCTCTGGGGTTTGGACATGGGGATGATGGAGATCCCTTATACCTGGGAGGCAGAGGGGAGCCGGACAGGTGTGGAGAGAGAAGCAGAGGCTGAGGGGAAAAGTGCTGTAGTTCATGAGAGAGAGTGACAGAGAGAGAGAGGGAGTCTCAGGTCCTGATGCTTTCTCGATTTTTCTGGCCATGGTTATAATAAATCCTCTTTTCATGAGCAGACCTGGCTTTTCTTCCTTACAAAAGAGACCCAATACTACATAACAGAACACTAAATACTGTGATGTTGCTTACACAGGCCCAGAGCTTCTAACACAGAGAGTTGTCTGGGTTGGGCTTCCCCTGAAGCAGATCCCCAGATAAGGATTTGGCTTATTTGGAAAGTGATCCCAGGAAGCACAAATAAGGGAGTGAGACAGTGAGACAGATAAGGGAAGGCAGACAACAAAGAGTGGGTATTGAAGTAATTACTACTGTGGTCCACTGGAGGCGATCTTTAGGAAAGAGTATGGAATGGGGCCCAGTGCGGTGGCTCACGCCTGTAAGCCCAGTACTTTGGGAGGCCAAGGCAGGCGCATCACCTGAGGTCAGGAGTTTGAGACCAGCCTGGCCAACATGGCAAAGCACTGTCTCTACAAAAATACAAAAATCAGCTGGGTGTGGGTTGTAGGCGCCTGTAATCTCAGCTACTCAGAAGCCTGAGGGAGGGGAATCACTCGAACCCAGGAGGCAGAGGTTGCAATGAGTGGAGATTGCGCCACTGCACTCCACCCTGGGTGACAGAGCAAAACTCTGTCTTAAAAAAAAAAAAAAAAAGTTACGCAATGAGACCCAGATTCCTTCCATCTTTTGGGTGAGGGAGCTGTGGTATTTATCCACCAACTCCCACCAGATCTGGTGGAGGGCTCTTCTCAGAGTGGGTCTGCTGGCAAAGGGATGCAGGTGCTGACAGCTGGAAGTGGAACCAACCTTCCCTAGAACGGTAAAGGCCGAGAGGATATGAATGGGACGCTGACAGCACATGCTCCAATATAAGCATTTACTCAGCATCTGCCAGATGCTAGATATTGTGGATCCTTAACACAGATTTTCTCCAACCCTTACATCAATCCTATGTCGTAGGTTCCAGTTTACTCCTGTCTTATGGATAAGGGATTGAGGCTCATAGCAGTAGGAAAATGGCTGAGCTGGGATTTAAACTTGAGTCTCCAAGATTCTTTCCATTTTCCCATGCTAGCTCCTACAAAGCACTGAAATGGTCTTCAGAGAGCAAGAAGGCCAAGCTAAGGTGGAGGGTGGCTTAGGAAACAAGGAACAGGCTTCTACCCGCCCCATGGCCCCCCAGTGACTTTGATAAGCCACCAACTTGAGATGCCAGCTGTGTTGGTGTGGGAGGTCGATGCTCAACTATGGTGGCAGCCTTACTGCTTAATACAGCCAATCCATAAAACTCTATGCCACGTTACACTAGCCCGTCTCTCTTTTTTTCTGTAAGATTTGGTGGGCAAACAGTGGTCCAGTACCTCTCTTTTTTGAGCTGTTTTCTGACACAATCCTCAATGATTGCATTGTGGAGTGTGTAGTACTTGGTCCAGTAGATACAGATGACTTCATACTCCAGGAGCAGGTCCATCACAGTGGTGAAGCCTTCGTCCAACATGAAATTCTCGTCTTCTTCAGTACCCATTTCCCAGGCATAGATGGTTAGAAGTTCAAGAGCATAGAGAGGGGGCAGATTGGCTCTGGGGGACCTGGCTTTCACATACTGTTGAAAGAGATGGGAAGACAGAGAGAGAGAGACCCTAAGATTCTGTGTAAGGATGGCGTTGGACCAGAAGCTGAGAAATCCAAGTTCTAGTCCTGGCTCTGCTGCCTACTGGCTGTGTGACCTTGGCCATGTCACATTCCATCTCTAGACATAGGTTTCACCATTTTAGAATTAAAGGGCTGAGTTAGTCCATTGGGCTTCAATATATGCTCAACAGATGTAACTCCTGGAATGAACTTATGAACAGGTATGAGCAGATTGCGCTCGGTCACAAACATTCTAGCCTAAGCAGTCCCATTTAAATCTATTTTAATGTATTGAGCTGCTGAGAAATGTTTCTTAAAAGAAAGGAAAGGTTTCCTTAGATAGAGGGAAAAAATGGTAATAGGTGAGATTCTGTAGTGAAGATTGGGGTTGCCTCTCTAGCAGACATTCTTTCCTTCCCCATTGCATAGTAGCCATGATGTTTGGAAGGGGTTGACCCCCACCCGCAGCTCCAGGATGGGCCCTGACTGGCACAGTCCTATCAGCATAAACCTTTCCCCCTTGCAAGTGATTGCTTCAAGAGAAGGCATGCGATCTAAGTTGGCTCAACTAGAGTAAAGCCTAGTTCTTTTGTTCAGTGGTTGAAAGAAGAGAAGTCCTCCCATGTGTGAATATGAGGGCAGGAATAGTTGTGGCCATTTTGCCACCAAGAGGGAAACAAGCCAAAGGACCAAGCTGACATATAGAGGAATGAGAAGCTGAGAGAATTCCAGAGAAACAGAGCCAGTGCCCTCACCAGTGCCTGAAACCCGCCCCCCCCGCCCGCCCCCCCTACTGTTTAGGGGTTTTCCTACATAAGCTGATAATTCCCTTTATTGTTTAAGCCAGTTTGAGTTGGTTTTTGTGTTTTTCTCTTACTTGCAAAAGGAAGCATCTTAACTGACAGTGGTCACTTCCTGTGTTAAGAATCTCACTGAGGCCGGGCGCAGTGCCTCCCGCCCGTAATCCCAGCACCTTGGGAGGCCGAGGCGGGTGGATCACTTGAGGCCAGGAGTTCGAGACCAGCTTGGCCAACATGGTGAAACCCCGTCTCTACTAAAAATACAAAAATTAGCCAGGTGTGGTGGCAGGTGCCTGTAATCCCAGCTACTTGGGAGGCTGAGGCGGGAGAATCGCTTGAACCCAGGAGGAGGAGGTTGCAGTGAACCAAGATCATGCCACTGCACTCCAGCCTGGGCAAGAGTGAGAACTTGTCTCAGAAAAAAAAAAAAAAAAAAAAAAAGAATTTCACTGATACATTGATATTTAGCCAGAAAGTGAAAAATTTTGGTCAAATATTCAGTAGTTTGATTTGTGGAAGTAAAACTGACATATTTTCCTATGGCCATCATATATGAATATTAGCTCCCATCCCAAAGTCAGAGGAGAAAAAAAAAAGCTATAACACTTTGGCCTTGAAACAAACACAGAATCATCTTGTATAATTCTCATCTCCCAAATAAATGAAACCTTGGGCCTTTCCTATAGGTCACTGACTTACTAACAAAAAAACTTTATCCTTGACCTTAGAAATTCAATTTTGAATTAAAATGTATTTATAAGGCTGGGCTCAGTGGCTCACGCCTGTAATCCCAGCACTTTGGGAGGCCAAGGCAGGTGGATCACAAGGTCAGGAGATCGAGACCATCCTGGCTAACACGGTGAAACCCCGTCTCTACTAAAAATATAAAAAATTAGCTGTGCATGGTGGCGGGCACCTGTAGTCCCAGCTACTCGGGAGGTTGAGGCAGGAGAATGGCATGAACCCGGGAGGCGGAGCTTGCAGTGAGCTGAGATTGCGCCACTGCATTCCAGCCTGGGCGACAGAGCAAGACTCTGTCTCAAAAAAAAAAAAATTATAAGTTAATTAATTTGTTTTGTAACTTTTTGCAAATTCATCCTTAACACTCAATTTTGTAAACCATAACTAATAACATTATAATTTTGTTAGAAATTTAAACTCATGGTAATATAACTTATTTTCTTCAATATTAGTGAAATGTTACATTCTTAAAACTTAGATGATATATAAAATGTAGGATGCCTGTAATCTGTAAGATGTAAGCCTTAGTGAATAGATAAAAAAAATACCCAGCTCAACTTACTTCACCTCCGGGGCTCAAGTGATCCTTCCTCCTCAGCCTCCTGAGCAGCTGAGACTACAGGAACCCATCACCACCCCCAGCTAATTTTTGTATTTTTGTATTTTTTGTAGAGACGGGGTTTCACTATGTTGCTCAGGCTGGTCTTGAACCCTTGGGCTCAAGTGATCCTCCTACCTCAGCCTCCTAAAGTGCTGAAATTACAGGCGTGAGCTACCACATTTGGCCGGTAATTGTTTTTTCTTTAAATCCCTGTTATATTTTATTTTATTTTTTGAGACAGAGTCTTGCTCTCTTGCCCAGGCTGGAGTACAGTGGCGCGATCTCGGCTCACTGCAAGCTCCGCCTCCTGGGTTCACACCATTCTCCTGCCTCAGCCTCCCGAGTAGCTGGGACTACAGGCGCCCGCCACCACGCCTGGCTATTTTTTTGTATTTTTAGTAGAGATGGGGTTTCACTGTGTTAGCCAGGATGGTCTCGATCTCCTGATCTCATGATCTGCCCACCTCGGCCTCCCAAAATGCTGGGATTACAGGCGTGAGCCATCATGCCCAGCCTATTTTATTTTTATTGGATCAAATCTTTCCTTCTGCTGTCTGATTCCCTTGTAACTTCTCTGCAAGTTCTATATAATAAATGATTTTTGTCTCTGAGTTCTGTTTTGCAGTTGGAGTTTCCGTTATCTCGGAGGAAGATTTTGTTTCCAAAACTGACTGAGCTGCTGCCTGAGAAATGTCCCTGAGGGCTGTTTACACTCACACATGCCCTCTTTTCGACTCCTGGGGTGGAATTAAAGAAATCCTTCCCCTTGTTAGTCCTTAACCTGCTGTGACGAATGGCCACAGTACCCGGCGAAGCTGACATCTGCCAGGCCTAGACTGTAATTGAAGGGTAACAAGAACATGTGGGGTGGGTGTGGTGGCTCGTGCCTGTAATCCCAGCACTTTGGGAGGCCAAGGTGGGAGGATCGCTTGAGACCACTTCGAAACCAGGCTGGTCAACATAGTGAGACCCTGTCTCTACAAAAGAAAAATAAAAAAAATTAGCTGGGCATGGTTGTGCATGCCTGTAGTCCCAGTTACTTAGGAGGCTAAGGTGGGAGGATCACTTGAGCCAGGGAGGTCTTGATCCAGGGAGGTGGAGGCTACAGTGAGTGGTGATTGCACCACCGCACTACAGCCTGGGCAACAAAGCAAGATCCTGTCTCAAAAAAAAATAATAAAATAAAATAAAAATAACTAGTTTACTGAAATACTGTAGAGCACCTATTTTTCTCCTTCCTTCTCTGTTTCTTTCTCCTCTTCCTCCTCCTCTCCTCCTTTTCCACCTTCTTCACTGACGGTTTCACTTTACATTTCAAAAGACTAGCATTCTCTCCCTCTCTACCTGCTTCCATTTCCCCTGGCTGCAGCTTCCTGAGATGAAAATCAGGCCCTGCCTTTCCTCCTCACCCTCTTCCCTCTCCTTGCCCCTGCCATCCTGGCAGCCCCCTCACCTGCTGGTACCAGTGTTTCACCAGGCGCAGGAGGCTCTTCAGCTTAGTTGGCCGATGTTTCACGAAATTTCTCTGCAGCTCGCTGAAGGATGGGCAGAAATTTCCAGGACCACCGCAGGCCTTGATCAGGCTCACATAGACCTCAGGGGGTGGCTGGGAGTTGGGAAGAGAAGGCCCTGAGGAGTGAAGGAGCAAAGGAAGAGATTGGGGATTGAGGAAGCCAGAGGGTGGTAAGTAGTATTTTGGGGAGAGCCTGCCTTTACATTGGAAGTATCCCTCCAGGGACACTTGAGACCTCATATCTTCAGAAACCAAAGGTTTGCCTTGTCTAATTGTCCTTTTTGTGAAATTCTTACTCTGGAGAACCAACATTGGGCTTTCCATGCATCAGACCCCTCCCTGGATGTCCTCAATGTCCCTCATTTTCTTTAATATCTGTTTTGTATCTCTTTCAATACTCATAGGGAGGCCGGGTGTGGTGGCTTAAGCCTGTAATCCCAGCACTTTGGGAGGCCGAGGTGGGCGGATCACCTGAGGTTAGGAGTTTGAAATCAGCCTGGCCAACATGGTGAAATCCTATCTCTACTAAAAATAGAAAAATTAGCCAGGCATGGCATGGTGGCGGGCTGTAATCCCAGCTACTCGGGAGGCTGAGGCTGGAGAATCACTTGAACCCTGGAGGTGGAGGTTGCAGTGAGCCGAGATCACGGCACTGCACTCCAGCCTGGGCGACAGAGCGAGACTCCGTCTCAAAAAATATATATATATATAAACTCATAGGGAGAACCAGGAACCAGTTCCATGGTACACATCACTGAGACATCCCAGCACTCTCTTCCTTGCTAAAATCAGATCCTGTCTCTTATACCTTCTCCAAAGAGCAACTCCACGCAGCCAGCCACTACAGCTGATAGGAGTTAGCACATGAGATGAAACCTCTAGGATCTGGGCTTGCAGCATGTAGGTTTTACTTCAAACACCTAGGACTCTGCCCGAGGACAAACAACAGGGGCCAGTGAGTTAGTGCTCCCAAAGCAGCCCCCAACCAGTGACGGCTGGGAAGCTGGTGAGTAAGCACGCCAGCGTCCCACTTGGGATCCCGAAGAGGTTCGCTCCATAATGGGACTGTGAGTTCTCCCAGGACATGAAGCTCAGGGTGGTGACTTGCCCATGGACGCACGTTGTATTGAATTCTTGCCTTTCCCATCTCAGTTCCATACTTCCCTACCGGTGTTTCCTGGGAGGAATACCCAAATAAACTGCGTATCCTCACATCCATGTCTTAGGATCTGCTTCTATAAAATGCAGTGACAGACCCCCACTCCCACTTTTAGCTCCTTCCCCTCACTGGGTGTCAGAGCCTCCTGAATGTTGTTTCCCCAGAAAGTCACTTCCTGAGCACCCTTTCTGTGGTTACCCAGGCCACCCCATTCTTTTTCTCTGAGCATTTACACCATTTGCAATCATGTTTTTTTGTTTGTTTTTTTGTTTTTTGTTTTTTTGAGACGGAGTCTTGCTCTGTTGCCCAGGCTGGAGTGCAATGGCGCGATCTTGACTCACTGCAACCTCCGCCTCCTGGGTTCAAGTGATTCTCTGCCTCACCCTCCTGAGTAGCTGGGATTACAGGCGCCCACCACCACACCCAGCTAATTTTTTGTATTTTTAGTAGAGATGGTATTTCACCATCTTGGCCAGGCTGGTCTTCAACTCCTGACCTCATGATCCACCTGCCTTGGCCTCCCAAAGTGCTGGGATTACAGGCGTGAGCCACCGCGCCCAGGCTGCAATCATGTATTTATCTCTGCAATTCTTTGGTCAATTTCTGTATTCCAAGTTGAGCAATATGATAGCCAGAGTTGAGTTAATCCTGTGCACTGCAATAACCCAGCCCCAAGCATAGGACACAGATGAAATGAATAAATGTGGGTGTGTGCACGTGGCCATGAGTAAAGGTGAGACACTGGGAAGTCTCCTGGGGTGGGCAAGTGTGTGAGTCGGGTGAGCTTCCCCTCCCCTTACCCAGGGCTCTGTAGGCAGGCACAATGGTGACCGTGATGGGCTCCGCAGTCCCCCTGGTCTGGATGGTGAAGACGAGAGCATCGGGGACTCTCTGCTCCATCCTCAGGTCCTCGAGCCCGAGGTCCAGCAGGTCCTGGCTTTGCCACATGGTTTTCCATATCAGCCTCAGAACATCTTTGTGATGCTTGGCTGCCTCCTGGAAGCTGTGGAAACAGCTCAGAAACGCCACCAGCTCCACCTCTCTGGTGCTCCTGAGAACCGTGCCATTCCCGAAGGAGCCCACCTGCAGAACACAGAGCCCCGTCACCCTGAGGCCCACTGCCATGAGCCAGGCAACCCCTGCGGCACTTCACATGCACTGTCTCACTGAATGCTCACCACCCGCTGAGGGATGGGTTGTGGGTAGTACTAATACCCACACTTTACAGGTGAGAAAACTGAGATGTCTGGAGGATCTCGAGACATGGGATGGAGAAATGGGGCAGCCTGAAAAAGATCTTGACACTTCCCTGTTTCTTAGCTAGGTAAATGTTCTGACTCCTAAGACCTTCATCTCTAAAATGAAAGCAATGGCAGAATATGAGTCACTGGGCTACTGGGAGGATCAGATGAAATAATGTATGCCAAGGGTTTGGTGGGGTGCCTGGCACACAGGAAGTCAGCAACACATTTGTCTTTCTCCTCATTAGTCATTTGTCTCAGGTCTCGCAGTTTGCAGCCCTCAGAGCCCAGACTCTTTTTTTTTTTTTACACAGGGTTTCACTCCCGTTGCCCAGGCTGGGCTGCAGTGGCATGATCTTGGCTCAAGCAATCCTCCCACCTCAGTCTCCCAAGTAGCTAGGACTACAGGCCTGCGCCACCATGCCTGGCTAATTTTTGTATTTTTTGTAGTGACTGGGTTTTGGCATGTCGCCCAGGCTGGTCTCGAACTCCTGGACTCAAGCGATTTGCCCCCTTGGCCTCCCCAAATGCCCAGCTTCTTATCTACTACACTGCATTGCTTCTGAGACCCAGTCTTCTTACCCACAGAGTAAGGCCTACTCCAGAGGAATGGTAGCATCTACTCCATAGGGTTGTTTGAGGATTCTGGGGGTGGTGGTGGGGCTGAATAATTTCATGACATTATAAAGCAAGGAGCAAGTTTGCCTGGTGGATTTAAGAGCCATAGGCTGTGAAATGGAGCAGCCTGAAAAAGATCTTGACTCTTCCCTGTTTCTTAGCTGGGTAAACATTCTGACTCCTGAGACCCTCATCTGTAAAATGAAAGTAATGTTGGAACAAGAGTCACTGGGCTACTGGGAGGATCAGATGAAATAATGTATGCCAAGCGTTTGGTGGGGTGCCTGGCACACAGGAAGTCAGCAATACATTTCTCTTTCTTCTCATTATCCAGCTGACTTAGACAATCTCTTCTGCTGCCGGGGGGTCAGTTTTCCTGTTAGTAATGGAAGGAGGTCGAGAAGGGATTTTTCGATGTTTTGAGATTCTAGATGAGCTCTCCAGGCCCTGGTGCCTCTGGTATGCAAAGCGCCACAACTCTCTGGCCTCCTCTCCTTCTCATTCTGTGTTGGGAGGTGGAATTGCTAGGGAGGCATCAGACCCCCAGAAGGCTACTTTTCTTGGTGGTTGGAGTCACTGCACAAGAATCAGATTCCAGCTGTTGCCGGATGATATAACATGCCCTGTGTGACATGAGCACGGATGCTGGATGACATGAGCACGCCCTGTGTCTGGCACCCATAAGAGCCCTGTATACATATTATTCCTTTTAATCTTTACTTCCCAGCCAGGCATGATGGCTCATGCCTGTAATCTCAGCACTTTGGGAGGCCAAGGTGGGCGGATCATGAGGTCAGGAGTTCGAGATCAGCCTGGCCAACATGGTGAAAGCACATCTCTACTAAAAATACAAAAATTAGCCAGGTGTGGTTGTGTGCACCTGTAATCCGAGCTACTGGGGAAGCTAAGGCAGGAGAATCGCTTGAACCCAGGAGGCAGAGGTTGTGGTGAGCTGAGATCTCGCCACTACACTCCAGCCTGGGCGACACAGCGAGACTCCATCTAAACAAAACAAAACAACAAAAAAAAACGCCTTCACTTCCTGTATTGAGGTGGGTACTAGGAGAATTATCTCCAATGTACAGATGAGAAGACTGAGGCAGTGAGGAGCTTGCCATGGTCTCCCAGCCAGAAGGCAGCAGAGTCAGAGAAAGAGCCAGAACTCAAGTAGGGGATGGTTCTTCCGCCTCTTTCTTCCTCGTGACCCAAGGCTGTGAGCCAGGCCCTGCTTCCAAGGGACCATGGGCATTCAGACCCAGCACCTCCACCCCCTGGGAGAGGGTTGGAGATGGCACCCTGTGTGTGAATGAAGGACACATTCCCCCCGAAGGCCAGTCTAGACTTCCCTTTCTTTTTGAGACAGGGTCTTGCTCTGTTGCCCAGGCTGGAGTGCAATGGCACGATCTTCACTCACTGAAGCCTCGACCTCCTGGGCTTAAGCAATCCTCCCACCTCAGCCTCCGGAGTAGCTGGAACTACAGGCATGCACCGCCATGCCCAGCTAATTTTTTATATATATTTTTGTAGAGTCGGGGGTCTCACCATTTTGCCCAGGCTGGTCTCGAATTCCTGGGCTCAAGCAATCCTCCCACCTTGGCCTCCCAAAGTGCTGGGATTACAGGCGTGAGCCACTGTGCCTGGCGTAGACTTCCCTTTCTGCCTTTCCCACTGGTAAGATCCAGGCAGAGAGAAAAGAACACATCCAGAACAGGCTTCCTGATTTGCTTCAGTTTTAAACCTATTTAAGCACAATTCATTTGAAGACGAGCATTCCCTTATGTGGACCAGCTCCGCTCACTAGATTTTCAGAGGGTGGGGAACGGGAGGGTTTAGACTCTAAATAAGATATATTATTCCTCATTAGTCATGGCTCACTGGGGATTGCTACCATTTAGTGGTTTCAAGAGGAAAAGTGGCTATGATGTGCAGGAAGTATTTGAGGCTTAGGTAAATAGCATTTCCTGCCGTAAAAACTCATTCTTGGCCGGGCGTGGTGGTTCACACCTGTAATCCCAGCATTTGGGGAGGCCGAGGTGGGTGGATCACTTGAGGTCAGGAGTTCGAGACCAGCCTGGCCAACATGATGGAACCCCGTCTCTACTAAAAATGCAAAGATTAGCCAGGCGTGGTGGAACACACACACACACAATAAACTTATTCTTGTAGCATCCTCCTCTTACCAGACATTCCTTATTCCCTCCACTTTATTCTCAAGTTTGTTGGGGAGGGGGTGGTCTAGGAGGGTCTGCCAGAGTCAGACTTGAGTCCCAGGCCCAGAAGAAAGCTTGGCAAGAATTATAATGATGCTTCTGTTTCTGAGCATTTATCGTGCATGAATCATTCAGCCTGCATTGCACCACTGGCTTGGTGAGGGAGAGATGATGATGATGCCCCAATCACAGATGAAAAGAATGTGGGTTTGAGAAAGAAGAGTGGGAAGGTCAAAACCACACAGCTGGTAAAGGAAGAAGCGAAGAGTCTGTCTAATATCAAAATTTGTGGTTTCTCACTTATAAATTGTATGGCCTCAGGCTTCATATGCTGGGGATAGGTGCAAAGAACGGATAGGGGCCCAGGGCTTCTAGATCCCTCTGTGAGTTGGTTGCCCCTAGAGAGAGAACTTGAGCACTGGGCTGGGAGTCAGGGGTCCTAATTCTAGTCTTGCCTTTGCCACCAACTCGCTGTGTGACCTTGGGGTATCTCTCACCCTCTCTGTGCCTCGGTTTACTTAATTTTTTAAGTGAGTCATTGGTGAGACTGTCTGATTCTCCAAAGTCTTTCTAGCTCCGACCCTCTTGAATTTTGATCTTAGCTAGCACAGGCGGTGGCATGAAACAGCTGGAGGAAGGGCTTGGGGGAAAATCTCAGTGAGGGGGGCTTGGGTCCCTTGAGTCAAGTTCAAATCCCAGCTTCAACACTGTGTGACCTTGGGCAAGTCACCTCACCTCTCTGAGCCTCCATTAAAAAATCATTTTAGGCCGAGTGCAGTGGCTCACTGTAATCCCAGCACTTTGGGAGGCCGAGGAGGGCAGATCATGAGGTCAGGAGATCGAGACCATCCTAGCCAACACGGTGAAACCCTGTCTCTACTAAAATACAAAAAATTAGCCGGGCGTGGTGGTGGGCGCTGTCGTCCCAGCTACTTGGGAGGCTGAGGCAGGGGAATTGCTTGAACCTGGGAGGCAGAGGTTGCAGTGAGCTGAGATCGTGCCACTGCACTCCAGCCTGGTGACAGAGCAAGACTCTGTCTCAAAAAAAAAAAAACAAAAACAAAAATCATTTTATTGGCCGGCCAGACATGGTGGCTCACACCTGTAATCCCAGCACTTTGGGAGGCCAAGGTGGGCATATTCTTGATCCCAGGAGTTCGAGACCAGCATGGGCAACATTGGTGAAACCCTATCTCTACAAAAAATACAAAAATTAGCTGAGCATGGTGGTGCATGCCTGTAATCCCAAGCTATTTAGGAGGCTGAGGATCACCTGAGCTCAGGGAGATTGAGGCTACAGTGAGTGGTGATTGTGCCACTGCACTCCAGCCTGGGTGACAGAGCGAGACCCTGTCTCTAAAAAAAAAAAAAGTCATTTTATTATCAAAAAGTTAAAACACATAGAAAAATAGATGATACAACTAACACTCATATACCCAACTAGTTGATTCAACAAGTCTAAATTCCTGGCTACATGTGCTTAATCTAAGCCACGTTAAAGTAAATTATAGGCACCAAGGAACTTTGTCCCTAAAATACTTCAGTGTTCGTGTCCAAACAAAAGACAACCTTCTGATAACCACAAAACTACTGTTACACCTAACAAAATCAACAATGATTTCCCATATCAGATATATGTACTATCTGATATCTAGGCCAGTTGTCCCCAAACTATATTTTACAGATGGTTCATTCACACTAGGATCCAACCAAGGACCTCGCATTGTATTGGTTCTGAGCCTCCATTTGCTAATCTGTAAACTGGGCAAAGAATAGTACCTATCTCACAGAGTGCAAGAATTAGAGATAGTGTATGTTAAGAGGTTAGTCCAGTGAGCCCCCAAATGTGAGCTATTATTACTAGACTCATTCTACTCAAGGCAGTGGTGCAGTGGGGTGTAGACAGCTAGGTGGGATGGGGTATTCTGAGATGTCATCAGCATGGGCTAGGGATAAGGAGGACAGGGGTCCCCAGCATCCCCAGGGACGTGGACTCTGATACTGGGTTTTGTCTTGCGTGGGGGCTGGAGGAGCCCAGTCTTACCTTGACTACCTTCAGCACCCGCACATCCTGGTCCAGCCCACGCTTCCCCTGGAAATGCTCCTGCCTCAGAAACTCCTCCACGGTCCGCACAGCGTCTAGCACCTCTTCCTTCCACTCCCGGTGGGGCTGCAGCCACTGAGCCACGAAGGAGTCCAGCCTGGAGGCTGGTGTGCTATACAGTTCCTGCATCAGTGCCATCTCTGTCCCGAGAGTACCGCTGCTGGGCAGATATATAGCCAGGCTCCTACCCAGCTCCCTGGCACACACCTCCTTTTTTAAGGTAGCTCCTCCTCAGCTGCCCTCCAGTGCTCTGTGGGAGGAGGGACCCTAGCAGAGAGGAAACCAGGTGTGACGGGCTGACTCCAGGTCCCCCTTCTTGGAGACACCCTTGCTGCAGTAGGGGCACAGGAGGACTCTGGGCTGAGGCTGGAATATCTGGGGCCACCTTAACAGGCTGGCCGTCTAGTCAATCTGTCATCAGTTTCGATTCTCAACTTTTAGAGTTCTCCTTTATGACGTTGGGAAACTGAAGTTGGATAGTGTTTGACCCCAAAGGAGGCAACTTGCCCAGTAGGTTGGGGTTGGATAGTTGTTAGTCAATTCAACTGCTTACATCTGTCTAAGGAAATTGAGGCTTGGGAACGGAAGGGACTCACTAGTGTTCAGGTGGTGGAGTGAGAATCTGGAGCCCAAGAGAACAGACTGGGAATTCTAGTCTACCTGTGCCAGACTCTAACCTCTTTGACCCTCACTATTCATAGAGTGGGTTTTTTTGTTTTTTTGTTTTTTTTTTTTTTTGGCCGGGTCTTGCTCTGTTGCCCAGGCTGGAGTGCAGTGGTGCAATCTCAGCTCACTACAACCTCTGCCTCACGGGTTCAAGCGATTCTCCTGCCTCAGCCTCCCTAGTAGCTGGGACTACAGACATGTGCCACCACGCCCGGCTAATTTTTTTTTTGTATTTTTAGTAGAGACGGGGGTCTCACCATTTTGGTCAGGCTGGTCTCAAACTCCTGACCTCAAATGATCCGCCCACCTCGGCCTCCCACAGTGCTAGGATTACAGCGTGAGCCACCGCGCCCGGCCCATAGAGTGGGTTTAACAGGTATTATGATTCACGCACTGAACCAAGAAGTTCATGCATTGAGCCAAGAAGACAAAATAAGATGAGGTTCCTGTTCCAAGGGGACTCCCAGAACGGTGGAGGAGACACAGAAAAAAGAGACTGCAAAAGTCCAGTGCGATGAGTTAAGTAGGAAAAAAGCATGAAAACATGAAGCCGGCAGATGAGTTTCATTTGGTGTTAGCAGACACCTGCTTGAGAGGAATCTTAAAGACTGGGGATCCGGGCTGGGCATGGTGGCTCATGCTTGTAGTCCCAGCACTTTGGGAGGCCAAGGTGAGAGGATCACTTGAGGCCAGGAGTTCAAGACCAGCCTGGGCAACATAGCTGGACACCTGCAACTTCCCAAACTCTGAATAATATTAAGTGCTCCAGGGCTTAGTCCTGGGTCCTTTTCTCTTCTTGTTCTAGACTTACTCCCTTGGTGATTTCAGCCAGCGTTTAAATGTTTTTACTCTGGCAACTTCCACATTTTAATTTTATTTTTATTTATTTGTTTATTTTTGAGATGGAGTCTCACTGTCTCGCCCAGGCTGGAGTTCAGTGACACAATCTCGGCTCACTGCAACCTCTGCCTCCCAGGTTCAGGCGATTCTTGTGCCTCAGCCTCCCAAGGAGCTGGGATTACAGGAGCCCGCCACCGCGCCTGGCTAACTTTTTGTATTTTTAGTAGGGACAGTGTTTCACCATGTTGCCCAGGCTGGTCTTGAACTCCTGATCTGCCCTCCTCGGCCTCCCAAAGTGCTGGGATTACAGGCGTGAGCCACCATACCCAGTGACTCCCACATTTGTATCTTAAATCCATACCTCTTCCCTGAAATCCAGACTCATGTATCCAACTCCCCACTCCACATTGGCTTTGAATTCCGGTCTGCCCTTTGCCACACTTGTAACTTCTCTGCTTCTGTGGTGAGGATGATTGCAAGGGCAAGAACAGATGTAGGGAGATGGTCAGGACACTGCACAGTGGTGCAGGTGAGAGGCAGTGGTGGCCTGGAGTTTAAAACTCCAGTTTTTGTTTTAAAAACAAAAAGTTTTTTAAAAAATAGCTAGGTGTGGTGGTGTCCACCTGTAGCCCCAGCTACTTGGGAGGCTGAGGTGGGAGGACCACTTGAGTCTAGGAGTTTCAGGCTGCAGTGAACTATCATGGTGCCACTGCACTCCAGCCTGGGTGACAGCATGAGACTCTGTCTCCAAATAAAAAATAAAAAAGACTGGCACTCCAGCCAGGAGGATGAGGGTACAGCATAGAGGCTGAGAAGTATAAATAATGCTAGGATATGCCAGGGACTCAAGTGTGCTGTGTGCCTTGGGATGAAAGGGTGAGCAGGGGAGAGGTTAGAAATGTACCTGGACAGGTGGGCAGGATTGAATCTTGGAGTGCTATTCACTCATTCGTTCACTCATTCAACAGATACTTACTGGGCACCTACTCTGTGCCAGGCAGGTGCTGTGGATACAACAGTGAACAAACAGTAGTGAAAAATCCCTACCTGCAGATAGTTTTCTTTCTGGTAGTGGAGACAAACAACAAATAGGATAAATAGGTAAAATTATAGTAAAGAAGACGGTGATAAGTGCTAAGCAGAAAAACAAAGCAAGAGAAGGGATTAAGAGGTTGTGTGTGTGTGTGTGTGTGTGTGTGTGTGTGTGTGTGTGTGTGTTGGGGGCATGTATTTAGGTTTCAGTCTTACATAAGGTGATTAGGGAAGGCCTCCCTGAAAAGGAGACATCTGAGCAAAGACATAAGAAGGTGAAGAGTTTGGGAGGCCAAGACGGGTGGATCACAAGGTCAGGAGATCGAGACCATCCTGGTTAATACGGTGAAACCCCATCTCTACTAAAAGTACAAAAAATTAGCCGGGCGTGGTGGCAGGCACCTGTAGTCCCAGCTATTCGGGACGCTGAGGCAGGAGAATGGCGTGAACCCAGGAGGCAAAGCTTGCAGTGAGCCAAGATTGCACCACTGAACTCCAGCGAGACTCCGTCTCAAAAAAAAAAAAAAAAAAGAAGGTAGAGTGAGCCACGTGTGTAACAGAAGGAAGAAGATTCTTCATGGCAGAAGGAGTGGAAAGTACGAGGACCCTGTGGTGGTACTGCCCGGTGGCAAGTATAAGGAACATCAGTGTGCCTGGAACGGAGTGATCAAGAGCAGAGAGTGGAAGGGAATGCGGTTTAAGTAGTAAAGGGTGGCAAGGCAAATAGATACAGGATCCTTTTTTTTTTTTTTTTTGAGATGGAGTTTCACAATTGTTGCCCAGGCTAGAGTGCAATGGCACAATCTCGGCTCACTGCAACCTCCACCTCCCAGGTTCAAGCGATTCTCCTGCCTCAGCCTCCTGAGCAGCTGGGATTCAAGGTGCCCACCGCCACACCTAGCTGATTTTTGTACTTTTAGTAGAGACGGTGTTTCACCATGTTGGCCAGGCTGGTCTCTAACTCCTGACCTCAGGCGATCCACCCGCCTCGGCCTCCCAAAGTGCTGGGATTACAGGCGTGAGCCACCGCACCCAGCCAGGATATAAGATCTTTTTAAAAAGATTTATTCCATAAACAAGGAGCAGGAGTGGATAGGATCTTGAAGACGACTGTTAGGAGTTGGCTTTACTCTGAATGAAATGGGGAACCACTGGGGAGCATTTTTTGTTGTTCTGTAGGAGTCTGACACCATACATTGGAGAGTTTTGAGTGGAGGAGTGACACGGTCTTTCATTTTAATGGAATTAATCACATTGGCTGCTGGGAGGAAATTAAATTAGAAGCAGAGGGTGGAGTGGAGGTGAAAGTGGAGGCAGAAGTATGGTTAGGAGGCTACTGCAACAGTCCAGGCAAGAGGTCAGTTGACTTGGATCAGAGTGGTAGCAGTGAAATAGTATGTTTTAATTTTTCTGATTTTGGAACATTTCAAACAAAGTGGAATAATACAATGAACCTCCATGTACCATCACCAGTTTCAACAATGATCAACTTATAGACAGTCTGGTTTCAATTCTACCCCCATCCCTAGATTCCCTACTGTGTTATTTGGAAGTGAATCTGGACATCATGTCATTCCGCTGGATATATTTTGACTCCAAGGCTGACAGGTCTTGCTAATGGGTAGAGTATGATGAGAGAGAAAGATCAGAGTCAAGGTCTAAGTCCGGGGCTTTTGGCCTTAGCAACAGAAAGGTTGAACTGCCCTTAACTGAGGTGGGATAGGCTGGGCATGGAGATGAGGAAGGAACTCAGTTTTGGAACTGAAGTTTGGGGTGTCTGTCAGAGACCCAGGTGGAGATATGTGGTGGGGAGTTGGATATGCGAGTCTGTATTACAGGGAGGAGGTCTGGACTTGAGATAAAATGTGGGGGTCACCGGCATAGGGATGTTTAAAGCCATGACACTGAATGAGATCACCAAGGGAGTGATGACACAGCAGGAAGAGAAAAAGACCCAGGACTGAGCCCCAGAGCACTTAATATTATTCGGAGTTTAGGGAGTTGCACGAGTCCAGCAAAGAAGAAGGAAAAGAAGTAGCTAGTGAGGTGGAAGAGAAATCAGGAGTGATGGTTTGAAGGCCAAGTGAAGATATTGTTTTAAGAAAGAGGAAATGGGATGGGCATGGTGGCTCACACCTGAAATCCCAGCACTTTGAAAGTCAAGATGGGAGGATCGCTTGAGCCCAGGAATTCAAGATCAGCCTGGGCAACATGGCAAAACCCCATCTCTACAAAAAAATACAAAAATTAGCCAGGTATGATGGTGAGTGCCCATAGTCCCAGCTACTCAGGAGGCTGAGGTAGGAGGATCACCTCAGTCCAGGGAGGTCGCGGCTGCAGTGAGCCATGATCATGCTACTGCACTCCAGCCTGGGTGACAGAGTGAGACCCTGTCTCAAAAAAAAAAAAAAAAAAAAAAGGAGAAGAAGAAGAAGAAGAAATGGAAATGATCCACTGGGTTAAAAGAGTGCCAGGTGAATCTGCTTTTTGTCCTGAGGGCAGTGGCAAATTTAGGGGAGTGGCATGTAGTGGAGTTAAGATTGGTCTGGCTGCTTCCATGGTGAGGACGAACCGCAGAGGGCAAGGGCAGATGCAGGGAAATGCATTAGGACACTTCGCAGGGGTGCAGGTGATAAGCAGTGAGGCCCAAGACAAGGCTGGAAGCAGTGCAGGTGGAGAAGAGGGGTTGGATTCTAGGTCTATTTTGGAAGAAGGGTGGGCAGGGCTTCTTGTTGACTATAGGTGAGGGGCAAGGAGAAGACAGGGATGACTCCCAGCTCTCTGGCTTGTGTCCTTGAGTAACTGTTGGAGCCACCATTCCCAAGGAGAGAAGGAGGAGTGGGTATGGCTGTGGGGAGTTCGAGGGGTGCATTTTGGATAATGATTTGGTAGTACCCAAGGATGAGAAGCGAGTGACCTGCTCCATGTAAAGACATATTTGATTTCCCTCAGTATACACGTGGTCACTGGTACCTTGGGGAAGAATGAATCACACCAAAATGAACTAATGTAGAGACAGAGTCTCGTTCCATCTCCCAGGCTGGAGAGCAGTGGTGCAATCATAGCTCACTGCAGCCTCGAACCCCGGCTCAAGCAATCCTCCCACCTCAGCATCCCAAAGTGCTGAGATTGCAGGCATGAACTGCTATGCCTGGCCAAGCCCCAAATTTAAGTGATGAGCAGAGGAAGAGAAATTTAGGCGGTACCTGCTGGGGTGGCCAAAGAGGTGGGCATAACCAGAGTTAAAAAAAAGTCACCCACATTGCTGAATGCTTCTGAAAAGTTAAGAAATACAGACCTGAAAAGTACTCAAGAAAACGACTGGTGATCAAGGTGGGCACAGTTTTAGGCGAGAGGAGGGAGCTGAAGCCAGATTAGGCTGGGTGGGGTCGGGGGCATGGAGACCAGAAGTGCAGATGATTCTTTCAAGGAGTTTGTCCATCATGACACATTCCAATTTAACTTTTCAAACTGGCTAACCCCAAGTGGAAAGCATCACATATTTTAATTACATAAATTATAAAAGTTCTTATATTTCCAGTGTTTGGTAGTACCTGATCCTTCAGCAATACCATATTATGAGGATTTAAAGAGCAGTGACAATTTCACAAAGCTAAGTCAACAACCGGTTAAGACTCCAAACATTTGCCATATGGTTACGATGACTGACAATGAACTTCAAGGCAATATAGAAGTTATTCAAACAATAAACATTCAGACCTTAACCTATTGGTTTTTTATTCGACTTCGTGAAATCTCTGAGGGTTACATAGCTTTCAATTATTTGATCATTAATATGTTGGATGACATTTGAGGATTTCAAAAGGGAACATGAAATCAGTAATGTGTTGGTTTTATGGTTTGTTAAAATACCACCCAGTTGAGCAGGCATCTGCAGGGAGGGAGAAGAGCCAGTGGATAGGAAGGGGCTGAGCTAGGTTTTGAGCAGGAGAAAGAGACACAAAGATGAGTGTTGTCTTAGCTTGGATTCCCCTCAATGCAGAGCATGAGACAAGGGGTTGCATGAAGGTGGTTTGTTCTGGGAAATGATCTCAAGGGGTAAGTGTGGGGGATTAGGAAGCAGAGAAAGCCAATCTGAGGAACTCTTTCTCTTTTTCTTTCTTTCTTTCTTTCTTCTTTCTTTCTTTCTCTTTCTTTCTTTCTTTCTTTCTTTCTTTCTTTCTTCCTTCCTTCCTTCCTTTCTTTCTCTTTCTTTCTGTCATCTCTCTCTCTCTCTTTTCTCTTCCTTTTTTTTTTGATGTTGTCTTGCTCATTCGCCCAGGCTGGAGTGCAGTGGCATGATCACAACTCACTATAACCTCGACCTCTTGGGCTTAAGTGATCCTCCCACCTCAGCCTCCTGAGTAGCTGGGACTACAGGCACAAGCCACCACACCTGGCTAATTTTAAATTGTTTTTTGTTGTTGTTGTTGAGACAGGGTCTCACTATGTTGCCCAAGCTGGTGTCGAACTCCTAGGCTCAAGTGATCCTCCCACCTCAGCCTCCTGAGTAGGTAGAGCTACAGGCACCATGCCTGGTTAATTTTCAGAAAATTGTTTGTAGAGATGGGGTCTTGCTACCTCAGACAGGGCTGAGATAGGAGGATCTCCTGAATGTGGGAAGTCAAGGCTGCAGTGAGCCCTGATCACTCCACTGTACTCCAGCCTGGGCAAGGGAGTGAGACCCTGTTTAAAAAAAGAAAAAATTGTCCATCTGAGAGGTAGAAGAGGGGCCACTGGTTCTGGCCTTCCCCTTGGTTATGGGTTGCTCCATTGGGTGTTAACTCCCTTGAACTTGCAGGTTTGCTCATGCATCCTAATGGGTGAGTAGGCACCCACAGATGTGTCTTATGAGGTGGCGGAGAATGCCTTGATAGAAAGCAGGGCCAAGTTTCCTATTCATGGAGAGAGATTATAGAAGAAAATGGCTCACAGGCTGGGTGTGGTGGCTCATGCCTGTAATCCCAGCACTTTGGGAGGCTGAGATGGGCAGATCACCTGAGAGGTCAGGAGTTCGAGTTCAGCCTGGCCAAATGGTGAAACCCTGTCTCTACTAAAAATACAAAAAATTAACAGAGCGCAGTGGCGGGTGCCTGTAATCCCAGCAACTAGGGAGGCTGAGATGGGAGAATTGCTTGAACCGGGAGGCGGAGTTTGCAGTGAACCGAGATCGCACCACTGCACTCCAGCATGGGCAACAGAGCGAGACTCCGTCTCAAAGAAAAAAAAAAAAAAAAAAAAAGGCTAACAATGCATAGAATAATGCTGCCAATTTCCTCTCCTCCCTGTATACACACTCCTCTACAAGGCTGGCTTTGCAGCTCCTCCCAGCAAGAGGTGGAGTTTATTTCTCTATTTCCTTCAAATCAAGGCTTGGCCATGTGACTTGTTTTGGCCAGTGAGACATTAGCAAACGCGATGCAAGCAGATGCTTAAAAAGTGCCGGCCTAGGGGGACTTGCTCTTTCTCTTGCTCCTGTCAGAGCCCAGTGACCACATGCACAAGCTCAGGTTGGCCTATTGGGTAAGGAGAAACCTACGGTGAAGGCAGCCCTATTTTCTCAGCTGATATATATATACACACACACACACACACACATATATATATATATATACACATACACATATATATACATATACACATATACATATATATACATATACACACACACTATATATATCACTATATATTATATATATTATATATATCACTATATATAATATATATCACTATATATTATATATATCACTATATATTTATATTATCACTATATATTATATATATCACTATATATTATATATATCACTATATATAATATATATATCACTATATATAATATATATATCACTATATATAATATATATATCACTATATATATAATATATATATATATAAAATACATATATAGTTTGTTTGTTTTTTCTTTAGACGGAGTTTCACTCTTATTGCCCAGGCTGGAGTGTAGTGGCATGATCTCAGCTCATAGCAACCTCCAGCTCCTTGGTTCAAGTGATTCTCCTGCCTCAGCCTCCCGAGTAGCTGGGAGTACAGGCGCCCGCCACCACATCCGGCTAATTTTTTGTGTTTTTAGTAGAGACGGGGTTCCACCATGTTGGCCAGGCTGGTCTCAAACTCCTGACCTCAGGTGATCCACCCACCTCGGCCTCCCAAAGTGCTGAGATTACAAGCATGAGCCACCACGCCCAGCCTTCCCAGCTGATATTGAACCAACTGCCAGACACGTGGGTGGAGCTGGTGTAGATCTCCTGTGGCAGGTGAGCCAGATCAGACCAGGAAAACTGCTCAGCCAAGTCACAGAATCATTGAACAGAAAAATGGATGTTGTGGAGTGATTCACTATGCCCAGAACCAAGCCGGGTCCGGCTGCATTTTCTCGAGGCCCAATAACGAGAAGCAGAGAAACTAGAAAAGAAGGGAATTTATTGCTGTAACAAGATACAGGGAGATAATTCCACCAGACCAAATCAAAGTGTTACCATTTTCTTAGTGCTTATATAGGTTGAGGTTATGTGCCTATGTGCCGTATGGCATTCGCCTAAGTCTATTGGTAACTAATTTTGTTTCAACTAGAAGGTCAGAGGCCAAAAAAAAAAAAAAAAAAGACTTGCTAAGTTCCATTAAGCTGTGAGAACCCCGGTACCTTTTGTTTTTTGAGATGGAGTCTTGCTCTCTTGCCCAGGCTGGAGTACAGTGGCATGATTTCACTTCACTGCAACCTCTGCCTCCCAGGTTCAAGAAATTCTCTTGTCTCAGCCTCTTGAGTTGCCGGGACCACAGGTGCACACCACCATGCCTGGCTAATTTTTGTATTTTTAGTAGAGATAGGGTCTCACCATATTGGTCAGGCTGGTCTTGAACTCCTGACCTCAGGTGATCCACCCACCTCAGGCTCCCAAAGTGCTGGGATTACAGGTGTGAGCCACCGGGCCCGGCGGAGAACCCCAGTACCTTTAAGGCCTGTCTGTTGTGTGATTATTTCTGTCTTATCTCCTTTACAGCTTGGTCCGGATTGCTGCCTTAGACTCTCCAATGAATTTATTCAAACAGCTGCCTTTGTGCTGCTGTGTTTTGCTTATCTGGGAGCGAGAGTTTCTGTGTCTGTTCCCAGGCATCTTCTTGCAGCTGCAGGCATCCCCGCCACGTCTGCTTCTAGCTTCCCTGTAGTCTTTGTGCTGCTCTGCGGAAATGGGTCGGTGTAACGGAAGTGCTATGCAGGTCTGTGTGTGTGATTGTCAGGGAGAGTTGGCCTGGCACATAAACCAGCTGGCACCCCCTCTGGCATCATCTGGACTCCTGGATCCACATGACAGTTAATTTTAGGTATCAGGATGCCCAGAGAGTAAAACATTATCGCTGGGTGTGCCTGTAAGGCTATTTCCAGAGGAGATTAGCATTTGAATGAGTACACTGAGGGATGAAGATCTGCCCTCACTAATGTAGGTGGGCACCGTCCAATCCACTGAGAGCCTGGACAGAACAAAATGTGAAGGAAGGGTGATGAATTTGCCATCCTCCTTGGGAGCTGGGACATTCATCTTCTCCTGCCATCAGACATCAGAGCTCCAGGTTCTCAGATCTTCGGACTCTGAGCCTTACACCACTGGCTCCTCTGGGTCTCCAGCTTGTTGACGCCATATTTTGGAACTTCTAAGCCTCCGTAATCATATGAGCCAATGATTTGGTTTGGACCTGTGTCTCTGCCCAAATCTGATGTTAAACTGTAATCCCCAGTGTTGGAGGTGGGAGCTGGTGGGAGGTGACTGGATTATGGGGGTGGAGTTCTCATGAATGGTTTAGCACCATCTCCCCTTGATACTGCAGAGTGAGTTCTTGTGAGATCTGGTTGTTTAAAAAGTGTGCAGGAGGCTGGCAGGTGAATTGCTTGAGGTCAGAAGTTCAAGACCAGCCTGGCCAACATGGTGAAACCTTGTCTCCACTAAAATACAAAAGTGAGCTGGGCTTGGTGGTGGGCACCTGTAATCCCAGCTACTAGAGAGGCTGAGGCAGGAGAATTGCTTGAACCCAGGTGGTGGAGGTTGCAGTGAGCAAAGATCATGACACTGCACTCCAGCCTGGGTGACAGAGCAAGACTCTGTATCAAAAAAAAAAAAAAAAATTATGAAGGACCTCCCCCTTCTCTCTCTTGCTCCTGCTCCAGCCATGATTGTAAGTTTCCTGAGGCTTCCCCAGAAGCGGAAGTTGCAATGCTTCCTGTACAGGCTGCAGAAGTGTGAGCCAATTAAACCTCTTTTCTTCGTAAATTACCCAGTCTCAGGTGTTTCTTTATAGCAGTGTGAGACCAGACTAATGCAGTCAATTCCCCTAATAAATCCCCTCTTCTTTATCTACACATATACCCTACTGGTTCTGTTTCCATGGAGAACCCTGACTAACACGGTCCAGTTGTACCTAATGTTAGCTTCCCCTGGACTCTTACGGGCCATTATATGCTATTTATTTTGAATTTGTATTTGTATTTTTAGAGTCAGGGTCTCACTCTTTCACCCAGGCTGGGGTGTAGTGGCACAATCATAGCTCACTGTAACCTCCAATACCTGGGCTTATGTGATCCTCCTACCTCAGCCTCCCGAGTGGCTAGGACTATAGATGTGCGCTTACCACACCTACCTAACTTTTATATTTTTTGTAGATATGAGATCTCTGTGTTGCCCAGGCTGGTCTCAAACTCCTGGCCTCAAGTGATTTTCCTGCCTTGGCCTCCCAAAGTGCTGGGATTGTAGGTATGAGCCACCGCAGCCAGCCCATTCTACTTATTTTTGCATAAACTATTTTGAATGGGGTGTCTGTCACTTGCAACCCAAAATGTCCTTATGTTCCAGGAGTGAATGGACTGGAAGGATAAATGGGCAGAAAATTGAAGGCATCCACTAGGGAGTGACTGGCAGGCTTGACCATGGGGTCTGGGCTGGATAGAAAGGCAAGTAAACCAGGGTGTAGAAGAAATGGGTCAGTAGCCCAAGGTCCTTCCTCCTTGAAACCTTAAGACTTCCTTCTCTGAATCTCTTCTTGGAGCTGAATGAAATTCACTGGTAGCCTCCTGGTCTCCCCAGTGATACTGGGCTCTTGCTAACTCATATCAGCCTGTTTTCTATAGGCCCCTAGAATTCCACAGAATTGTGACCGCCTCCCTGTTTAAAAGTAGGAAAACTGTGGAGGCCCGTCCCTGATCATTACCATAATTCATCTCCTTGCATTCTGGCAAAACAGCTCAGTTGGACTTCTGGGTCTTAGGGACTTTCTCCTTGTGATATCTGGAGCACCACGGAATAAAGCTGCATCCAGTTTTCAACCTACCCAAAGGACAGAAACTTGCACAAAAATTGTCTCAATGCCTAATATCACAACATTTTCTCCATCCTCCTTCCTGACTCTAAAGCAGGAGGGAGATAGCTCCTGGGGATTCTGAAACCAACAGGCAAATGGCAAATGTTGTCAGGGATAAACATGCAAATTTATGCATAAAATATGAAAAACGCCAATGGTCAGAACTTAATCACATGGTCACACCCAGCTGCAAGGGAGGCTGGGAAATGTAGTCTTTAGCCTTTGGCAATGTGCCTAACTAAAAATTCTATTGCTATGGAAGAAAGGGAGAAAGGATATTGAGGGAAAATAGCAATTTCTGCCACAGCATGCATTCTGTTTTTGCCATGTTGGCCGTGGTATAGAACTAAGAGTGAGGGAACTTCCAGGACTGGAAAGAATACAACTCTTTAGAATTCCCTCTACTCCAACACGAGGATATGCAGGGAGAATTTGGAGGGGGCAGTGGAAGGAGCTAATAACAGCTGGTAGCTGTTGCATTTAGTGAGCACTGTGTGTTAGGCAGTGGGTGCAGAATTTCACCTGTGTCGTGTTGTTCCAGACCTCATCCAATACCTCATTCAGTCCTCCTTGAATTCATCCATTCATTCAACATGTATTTACGGAGCTCCTATTATGTGTTAGCCACTGTGCCAGGCACTGGGAGACAGCGCTGAATAAGACGGTCCTCCATTCCTGGTGAGTTTACAGCAAAGCAAAGTAGTCGCAGCATGAGCTTTGGAGCCAGAGTGTCTGGATTCAAATCCAAGTGTATTCATTGTGTGAATGTGGAAGTCATCTAAACTATTTGTGTCTCAGTTTCCCCACCTGGAAAATGAGGATGATAATAGGACCTACATCCTAAGCCTACTGTGGTGCTCCGAAGAAGGAATAGATGGAAAGTACTCAGCCCAGCACCTGACACATAGTTGGTGCTCAATGAATGTGAGCTATTATTCTAATGAGAAGACAAATCTCGAATTGGAATTTTAATGAGATGAGTGTGAACAGAAAGAAGAGCAGGGTTCACTGTTAGCAGTGGCTAGAAATCTGGGAGCCATTCTTTATTTTTTTTTTTTTTGAGATGGAGTCTTGCTCTGTTGCCCAGGCTGGAGTGCAGTGGTACAATCTCAGCTCACTGCAACCTCTGCCTCCCGGGTTCAAGTGATTCTCCTGCCTCAGTTTCCCTAGTAGCTAGGACTAGAGGTGCATGCCACCACGGCCTTTTTTTGTTGTTTTTTTTTTGTACTTTTAGTAGGTATGGGTTTTTGCCACATTGGCTGGGCTGGTCTCAAACTCCTGACCTCAGGTGATCCACCCGCCTCGGCCTCCCAAAGTGCTGGGATTACAGGTGTGAGCCACCGTGCCTGGCTGAGTCATTCTTTTTCCCAGATTATTCAGTTGAGATATAACTCACAAACAATAGAGCACACAGGTTTGAAGTGCAGTGGATGAGGATGATGGCACTTGCCACCAGATGCCCCTTCAGGACTGGGGCACTCATTTCCCAGCTGTTGGGAGTGTTGCTGCTAACAGCTCCTAGTTGAGTCCCTGCCAGAGCATTGCCCTCAGACAATGGGAGGTTGCTTCACTCAAGATCATATCCTCAGACCAGGTGTGCCTGTTATCCCAGCACTTTGGGAGGCCAAGGAGGGAGGGTTGCTTGAACCCGGGAGACAGGGGTTGCAGTGATCTGAGATTGTGCCACTGCACTCCAGCCACTGCACTCTAGCCTGGGCGACAAAGTGAGACTCCGTCTCAAAAAAAAAAAAAAGAAAAAAGAAAAATAATGGTAAATATCTACAAGTTACAAAGAGTTCTTAAAACTGATAAGGAAGACAGACAGCTCAATGGGAAAATGTGCAAATTACATTAATACATAGCTCCCAAAAGTTCTAGTTGAGAAGTCCCAAACAAATGCATTTTTTTGAAAGGTAGACTACAAAACCAGTATGCATGATATGACTCCACTTATGTAAGCTCTGTGTGCACCGTACGCACATAGATTTCAAGAGAGGCAGGAGAGGCTAGGCGTGGTGGCTCGCACCTGTAATCCCAGCACTTTGGGAGACCGAGTTGGTAGGACTGCTTGAGCAACAGAGTGATACCCCCTGCATCCCATCTCTACAAACCATAAAAAAATTAGCTTGATGTGGTGGCACATGCCTGTGGTTCCAGCCACACAGAAAGGTGAGGCAGGAGGCTTATCTGAGCCCAGGTCAAGGCTGCAATGAGCTGTGATGGCACCACTGCACCACTCCAGCCTGGGGGACAGAGGGAGATCCTGTCTCAAAAAACAAAAAAGAGAATAGTATAGCACAGTATGGCAACAACAAACAAACAAAATGGCTATCCCTAACATTGTACGGTATCCTTAGACAATGAAGGTTATTTCCATTTTTTTCTCTTAAAAAATGCTGGAGGCCGGGCGCGGTGGCTCACACTTGTAATCCCAGCACTCTGGGAGGCCGAGGTGGGCAGATCACCTGATGTCAGGAGTTTGAGACCAACCTGACCAACGTGGTGAAACTTCGTCTCTACTAAAAATACAAAAATTAGCCGGGCGTGGTGGCGCATGCCTGTAGTCCCAGCTACTCGGGAGGCTGAGGCAGAAGAATCACTTGAACCTGGGAGATGAAGGTTGCAATGAGCAGAGACTGTGCCACTGCACTCCAGCCTGGGCAACAGAGCGAGACCTTGCCTCAAAAAATAAAAAATAAATAAAAATAAAAAATAAACAGGGCCCAACACCCTGCAAGCAACCTTTCTAATCCCAAAGGATTAGAGAGAAATCACCTCCTTGGGTTGGGTGGGAATCCATCATTTGGAAGTCCCATTTATTTCCCCAGGCCATGATGGAATATGGTAACACATGCATTTATGGGAGGACTTAATCTCCAAGGTATCGCTCCAGTCCTGTCTCCCTGAAAAAGGGCAACCTCCACTCTCCCACTGGATTCCACTTTCTCAAGCCTCCCGAGGCCAGGTTGGCAAAGCGGCCCTGACTAGTTTCTCTGGACCCGACCTGTCGCTGTCTTTACCCAGAGCATCGAAAGCCGGGAGCTTATCCATCCAAATGACTCCGCTGCTCTTCCTGGACTGGACCTGGAGGGACAGGGAGTCAGGGGCCCTTGTACCCTCCCTGTGCCGGACCACAGTGATATTGTAGGCCAGGCTCTTGCTACAGTGAACCAATTCTCTTCAATGAAGCTGATGATACTGTCTCGCAGCTGTGCCTGGTCTTGGACGCTGGAGAAGCAGCTCAGGAAGAGAATCAGGTCCAGGTCAGAGCTGTAGTTCAGCATCGTCCCCTTCCCTGTGGAGACGCTCTGTGGAGGATGACATGGGTGAGTGTCACCTCTGCTGAGATCTGATGCTTTGGGGTTAGGAATGAAGCCAGAGGCACCCAGGTTAGGCTGTTCACCCAGGTCCCAAAGGAGCCCTTGGTCTCCATCATACATCATGGTCTTTGCTGAGTATTATTACTTTTTTCATTGATTCAAAAAAATTAAATACCCGGTAAACACTTCAAAGGATGTAAGTAAAATGTAAAACTCCACTCCTCTTAAAGCCCGAAACTCCTTTTCCAGAGACAACCACAGTTACAAGCTTCTTGCATATCGCTCCATAAATGTACAGCAAGACCTGTATCACCCAACATGGTATCCAAGAACCACATGTGGCTATTTAAATTTAAATTAATTATGCTGGGAGCAGTGGCTCACGCCTGTATTGCCAGCACTTTGGGAGGCTGAGGTGGGAGGATTGCTTGAGGCCAGGAGTTTGAGGCTGCAGTGAGCCATGATCACCCCACTGGTACTGCAGCCTGGGTGACAGAGACACTGTCTCCAATAGATAAATAAATAAATTTAAATGAATTAAAATGAAATGAAATAAAACATTCAGTACTTTGGTCCTACTGACCTCATTTGACGTGCTCAAGGGCTGCCCAGAAATAGTGGCTATTGTATTGGACGGTGAATGTATAGAACCTTCCCACAGGGTGCGGTGGCTCACACCTGTAATCCCAGCACTTCGGGAGGCCAAAGCGGGAAGGTTGCTTTGAGCCAAGGAGTTCGAGATCAGCCTGGGCAACAGGGCAAAACCCTGTGTCAACAAAAAAATCAGCCGGGGGTAGCGCTGCATGCCTGTAGTCCCAGCTTCTCGGGAAGCTCAGGTGGGACGATCGCTTGAGTCAGGGAGGTTGAGGCCGCAGTGAGCGGAGACCGTGCCATGGTACTCCAGCCTGGGCAACAGGGCAAGACCCTGTCTACAAAAAAGAACCTTCCTATCATCATAGAAAATTCTATGAACAGTTCTGACTGAAACATATTGTTGTGCATATATTTTGTATACATCTATTTCGTATGCGTAGAGGCATGTGTGTATGTATAACCATTTTTGAGACTTTTAATTTGGAAGTAATTACAGATTCACAGGAAGTTGTAAAGATAGGACAGAGGCGTCTGGTGTGTCCTTTACTCAGTCCCCCTCAATGCTCACATCTTACACAGCTATAGTGGAATGTCAAACCCAGCAAATTGAC
The DNA here is from genome assembly GCF_000001405.40 of Homo sapiens. Taxonomy (NCBI): domain Eukaryota; kingdom Metazoa; phylum Chordata; class Mammalia; order Primates; family Hominidae; genus Homo; species Homo sapiens. Next base: position 121,055,263 of record NC_000012.12, read on the forward strand.
ATCAACACAATGTTTGTATTCGTTGTGTGACGTATCATCACATGCAGGGATTCCTGTAACCACCACTGCAATCAAGATGGAGAACTATTCCATTACTGCCAAGATGGGCCTCATGCAGCTTCTTCATGTCACACCCACCTCCCTCCCCTCCTCCATCCTGAAATCAGGGAAACCATTAACCTCTTTTCCATCTCTGTTGTCTTATCATTTTGAGAATATTATATACATGGAACTATATGGTATGTGACCTTTTGAAATTGGCTTTTCCCCTCCACTAAGCAAAATGCTTTTGATATCCACTGGTGTTGCATGTCTTTTGTGTGTGTGTTTTCTTTTGTTTATTTATTTTTTTGAGGCAGGGTCTCACTCTGCTGCCCAGGCTGGAGTGCAGTGGCACGATCTTGGCTCACTGCAACCTCCATCTCCTGGGTTCAAGCAATTCCCATGCCTCAGCCTCCCGAGTAGCTGGGACTATAGGCATGGGCCACCACACCTGGCTAATTTTTGTAATTTTTGGTGGAGATGGGGTTTCACTGTGTTGGCCAGGCTGGTCTCCAACTCCTGTCCTCATGTGATTTACCTGGTTCGGCCTCCCAAAGTACTGGGATTACAGGCGCGAGCACCGCGCCAGCCATCACTCTTGTTACAGATTATTCAAGATTTGACTCCAGTCCCTAATCTGCCTGCCTGCTATTTAGTTTTTGGAGTCCTCAAGTACTTGCTTTCTAATGTCTGTCCAGAGTTTTAGTTGTAATTTGTGAGATGTTTACTACATCTTGGCTGGCACCGGAAGTTTATAATCACTTTTGAAATAAGTATATTTATAGTTACACATGAAATAAAATATTTTCTAGTTCTTTATAAACATTGAAAATGTGATCATAGTGCACTAAAATATAAATGGTGCTTATCTATGAATAGTAAGGGCATTCATTTGAGGGTTTTTTTTGGTATTTTCCTATATTTTTGTGACTCAATGTATGATTTTTGTAATTAAAAACATTATGAAGCAATTTTGACTTCAGATTCCTCTGTAACCTTAATTTAGACATTGGATTCCTTGACCAGAGGACACAGAATAGTAGAAAAGGAAGAATATTGGTGTCAGGTGGAGTTAGTGACTAAGTACTGCAAGAGATGTCCTTGCAAATGTTGTCCCTGGTCCCAGAAGACTCTCCAAGATATTCATGGCAGGAAATCAAATGGAACCAGTATATTCGACTCTAGAAAAATACAGCACTCTTGTCTTAATAAGGATGAATGAAAGCTAGAAGACTAAAATGCAACTAAGAAAACTTAGGGCTGGGTGTGGTGGCTCACGCCTGTAATCCCAGCACTTTGGGAGGCCGAGGCAGGAGGATCACCTGAGGTCAGGAGTTTGAGACCAGCCTGGCCAACATGGTGAAAGCCCGTCTCTACTAAAAATATAAAAAATTACCCAGGTGTGGTGGTGCATGCCTGTAATCCCAGCTACTCGGGAGGCTGAGGTAGGAGAACTGCTTGAACATGGGAGAAGGAGGTTGCAGTGAGCCGAGATCATGCCAGTGCGCTCCAGCCTGGGTGACAGAGTGAGACTCTCTCTCAAGAAAAAAAAAAAAGAAAGAAAAGAAAACTTAAAGGCCGAGTATGGTGGCTCACACCTGTAATCCCAGCCCTTTGGGAGGCCGAGGCGAGTGGATTGCCTGAGCTCAGGAGTTCAAGATCAGCCTGGGCAACATGGTGAAACCCCATCTCTACAAACACAAAAAAAGAAAAAAAAAATTAGCTAGGCGTGGTGTTGCGTGCTTGTAATCCCAGCTACTTGGGAGGCTGAGGCTGAGGCACGAGAATTGCTTGAACCTGGGAGGTGGAAGTTGCAGTAAGCCGAAATTGTGCCACCACTGAACTCCAGCCTGGGCAACAGAGCAATACTGTCTCAAAAAAAAAAAAAAGAAAAAAGAAAAAAAAAACCAGAAAGGAAGAAAACTTAGTGCTTGAAAAGCTCAAGCAAATGTTGAATTATATGCAATGTACTCCCTTCTTCCCAATACAGAAACAAAGTCCTTCTTGTTGCTTGTTTACCGATGTTTATTCAGACAGGATCTCTAGCTCTATAGATAACTTTGTTGTAGGCATTTTCTGTGCTGGTCAAAACTGGTGGAAATAGGTATTCTAGGGGCGTTTCCACCTCTGGAAATAGAGATGGTTGAGAGAGCAAGAGGAAAGGTAAAATGCATTTTTTTCTTATACAGACAAATAGTCTCCATTTGAAACACATCCCCGTAGAGGCGGGAATAGGAACTTCACGTTGTGAGTGTTTGAGATCATATGAATGGTGCGCCTCCCATCAAGACAGTGCCTTTCAATCAGTAGAAGAACTTTATTATAACATATGTTAAAGTACTTGAACACCCTCGAACCCATTCTTAAGAGAATACGCATTCTATTTCTGGTTCTGATCGGGATTCCCCTTTTCTTTGTGTTTTTGTTTTGGATCTGGAAAGCAAAGATGCTGCCAGAGCTCTGCAGCAGAGGGACCTTAGGGCACATGCAGATGTGTGGACGAGCCAGAAGCCAGAAGGGCAAAGTTGTATCTTTTTAAGCAACCATGGAAGCTCGAATTTCTGTTTTGAAGCTCAGGGTTTGCTAGTAACACTCCTGATTATTTGCCTTCGACTCCGTATTTAAAGATTCTTTTTTTGAGACACTGTCACCCAGGCTACAGTGCAGCGGCATGACCACAGCTCACTGCAGCCTCGACCTCCTGGCCTCAAGTGATCCTCCCACCTCAGCCTCCCGAGTAGCTGGGACCACAGGTGGATGCTACCATACCTGGCTAATTTTTTTGTGCTTTTTGTAGAGACAAGTTTTCGTGATGTTGCCCAGGCTGGTCTTGAGCTCCTGGGCTCAAGCAATCTGCCTACATTGGCTTCTCAAAGTGCCGGGATTACAGGCGAGAACCACTGTGCCTGGCCTGAAGATTCATTAAAGCTGCATTTCCTTCCTTTTCAGTCGTATTCTCGGCAGCCATTGCCACTCCCAGGTGAAGTCTGATTTGCTTAAGATAATGTTAGATGTCTTTCATTCTAGCAAAATAAACCAAATCTAGATTTATGGTTAAGGCATTTTTGATTTAGGGTGATATGTTAAAAGTTGAACTATAGTTTAGTACTTTCCCAGGGGAAACCATGCTATAAATACGTATTTGATTCCATGGTCAGCCTCTAACAAACCCTCTGAACCCAGAGAGTACCCTCTGATATTACCTAATTGCTAGGTAGTTTCTAACAAAATCAGTCAGCGCCATTTTATTTTTTTACTTTTTTTTTTTTTTTTTGAGATCGAGTCTCACTCTGTCACCCAGGCTGGAGTGGCGTGATCTCAGCTCACTGCAAGCTCTGCCTCCCGGGTTCACACCATTCTCCTGCCTCAGCCTCCCGAGTAGCTGGGATTACAGGCGCCTGCCACCACACCTGACTAAGTTTTTTTTTGTATTTTTATAGTAGAGACGGGGTTTCACCATGTTAGCCAGGATGGTCTCGATCTCCTGACCTCGTGTTCCGCCTGCCTTGGCCTCCCAAAGTACCGAGATTACAGGCGTGAGCCACCGCGCCCGGCCAGTCAGTGCCATTTTAGAAGGAAAATATAGATGATCTTGATGACTTTAGGGGTTAAGTGGGGCTGGTTAAAGAGGAAACAAAAGGCATAAATTTTATTTTAATTTCTTTAAAAATTTTTTTTAAATAATATATAAAAAAGTTTAAAATTTTAAATAATTGAGATGAGGTCTTGCAATGTTGCCCAGGCTGGCCTTGAACTCCTGGGTTCAAGTGATCCTCCCCACTCAGCGTCCCAAAGTGCTGGGATTACAGGTGTGAGCCACTGTGCCTGGCCAAAAGGCATAAATTTTATACAAACCTGCTACCCATAGTCCACTTGATTCCCTGGCACTTAGAGAGCTGGATCCCAAATCATCATCATCATCATCATCATCATCATCATCATCATCCAGATTTGTAGAATAGTTTACTGCTTAAGAGCACTTTTCTATGCTTTATCCCATTTATTGTTCATTAGAAACCGGTTTTAGAGAGGAAGAGACCGATGCTCAGAGAGACAAAATAACTCATCCCTTACCTATCCCACAGCCCCACAGTCCCACAGGGCAGAGCTGGGATTTGAACCCCGGGGGTTCCTGAGTGCTCACCTTTGCCATCTTCAGCACCCTGACTTCCTGGTCCAGAATCAGCTCATTATAGAAGAACTGATCCCTCAAGAACTGCTCAGTTCAATGCCCGGCATCCTTCACTTCATCCTTCCAGTCTCCCTGGGGCTGGAGGCTGTTTTACGAAGGCAGACTGGAAGGATGTTTTATGAAGACATCCAGCCTGTCCCCAGGGGTGTCATACAGGTCCTGGAAGCCTGCCATCTCTGTGGGACCAGGAATGAATCGTCTCTGCTTCTGCCCAGCCCTGTAAGGGGCAACTCCCAGCCTTTGTCCAGTAGGCCACAGAACTGCAGAAGGGCAGGGAGATGGTGTGGGTTAGAGAGAGAGTTAGCTGCCCTTTTTCTTTCTTTTTTTTTTTTTTTTTGATACAGAGTCTTGCTCTGTCACCCATGGCGTGATCTCAGCTCACCGCAACCTCTGCCTCCCGGGTTCAAGGGATTCTCCCACCTCAGCCTCCTGTGTAGCTGGGATTACAGGCACCTGACACCACGCCCGGCTAATTTTTGGTATTTTTGGTATTTTTAGTAGAAACGGGGTTTCACCATGTTGGCCAGGCTGGTCTCAAACTCCTGACCTCAGGTGATCTGCCCGCCTTGGGCTCCCAAAGTGCTGGGATTACAGGCGTGAGCCACCGACGGAAGAATCACTAAGCTTACTTTCCTCTTTTTAGGGTGCAGAGAGGGCTAGGGGGCCCTCCAGGCATCAGCTGAGCCTCCCTCTGCTGGGCTGCCTTAGTTCAGCAGCCATCTCTCCTGCCGGCTGAGAATGGAAACTGAAACTGAACTTTGTTTTGTTTGTTTGGGTTTTTTTGTTTTGTTTTGTTTTGTTTTAATTGGAAACAGAAAATTTGCTGAGCTTTGAAAGAGGAATTTTCTCTTTCCATTTGAGGTTGCCAGGAAAAAAGGCTGGAGATGGAGCCAAGTGCCCCTTGGGCTTCCTTGAGAGGAAGGTTCTCAGGCTGGGAGTTTCCCAGGGTGTCCTGGAGCTGGGCTGCCCCCACCTCTCCATCCCCTATTTCCTGCTGCAGGAGCAGACCTTGTCTCCCTACGGGAACTCAGTAGTGTCTGCCCCGGAATCAGAAGGTGCTGGCTCCTTGGGGTGAGGGGATGGGGGCTTGGGCTGAGCCCCGGGAGTCCTGGGGCCTGGGATTGACTCTTTATTTTCTAAAAGCAAAGACATACTCACCCCTTTACTACTTGTTTTGTTGCGTATATTTAGGTCTCCCCTATCCCCTCACCAATAATCCACAGGAAGGAGGTAATCTTTTAAAAAATTGTCTTTAGGGGGCGCTGTTCTCTCAAGAACTTCATTTTGAAGAGCAAACTGACAGTTTGTGGTAGACACATTGGCTTTTAAAGATCTCAACTAGCGACCAGGCGCGGTGGCTCTCGCCTGTAATCCAGCACTTTGGGAGGCCGAGGCGGGAGGATCGCTTGAGGCCAGGAGTTTGAGACCAGCCTGGCTAACATGATGAAACCTCGTCTCTACTAAAAATACAAAAAAATTAGCCAGGCGTGGTGGCAGGCGCCTGTAATCCCAGCTACTTGGGAGGCTGAGGCAGGAAAATCACTTGACCCCAGAGGCGGAGGTTGCAGTGAGCCGAGATGGCATCACTGCACTCCAGCCAGACTGTCTCAAAAAAAAAAAAAAAAAAAAAAAAAAAAAAAAAAAAGGAAAGAAAGTAAATCCCACATTGATACTGTGGAGGCCATAAGTATGCACCTATAGGATGCATTTTAAAAATGCCCTAACAACGCATAAATATGTCACTGAGGTTTGTTAAGAATGTCCAGATTTCCAGCCTGGGCAGCATAGTAAAACTCCATCTCTACAAAATATACAAAAAAATTAGCCGGGCATGTGGCATGTGCCCGTAGCTACTAGGGAGGCTGAAGTGGGAGGATCACCTGAGCCTGGGAAGTCGAGGCTGCAGTGAGCTGTGATCAAACCACTGCACTCCAGCCTGGGCAACAGAATGAGACCCTGTCTAAAAAAAATTAAAAATAAAAATGTCCAGATTCATGACAGCCTGTCTCTCACTCTGCTTAACAGAGTAAAAAATACTGAGCCCTGAAACACAGGCTTAGAAGATTCAAAAATTGCCTTGGAGAGGGAAAACCACTAAGTGGGAGATGCCTGTGAAGAGCTTGAGTTACAAAATCTTTTTGAAAACTGAAAGTGGAAAAGAGTAATATTTGTATATTACCCCATAACATATACAAATGTATAGCTGTATCTAAATAAATTAACGAAATATTGGAAGTGCATATTTGATTTCCCTTAAGCTTATGTAATTAGGGCTATGCCAACATATTTTTATTTTTCATTTATTTTTATGTTTTTCCCCATTGATCCATGTGATTCTCAAACACATTTTTATTTTCTCCCTGGCAAATATTTGTTATTAGTCCATTGGAAAAATTGATTGGATTTGGGGATCACCTTGCATTAGGGCATTTTTGGTATATGTACTCATATTTTAAAAACTGTGAATTCCAATATATATTCTTAATAGGAAACTGCGACATTTTTGTCAATTTTCCTCTCTTCCACAAGATGATGCTCCACACCCACCTAAAACAATCACCATTTGTAGTTCCTAGGATCCTAGTACAGAAGAGACAGAGGGGATCTGCTTAATCCTTGTTTTTCAGAAGGCAGACAGGAGCCCAGAGTGTTTACCAGGGCTCTTTGACATTATGGTATTGATATTAACTCCAATAGCTATACTTATCAAGCACTTCGTGTATACCAGGCTCTCTACACAGTTTATTTTATTCTTTATTTTTTTTGAGATGGGATCTGGCTCTGTCACCCAGGCTGGAGTGCGTGGCATGATCTGGGCTCACTGCAACCTCACCTCCCAGGCTCAAGTGATTCTCCCACCTCAGCCTCCTGAGTAGCTGAGACTACAAGTATGCATCACTGAGCCTGGCTAATTTTTGTACTTTTTTTTTTTGTAGAGATGGGGTTTTGCTATGCTGCCCAGGCTGGTCTCAAACTCCTGGGCTCCAGTGATCCGCCTGCCTTGACCTCCCAAAGTGCTGGGATTAGAGTCGCGAGCCTCCACACCCAGCCTCTTTTCACAGTTTAGTTCCCATAATCCCCACAAGACTCTGTGATGCAGGTTCACACCATGTTACATTATGAAGAAATCGAGTCTCAGCAAGATGATGTGGCCTGCCCAGAGTCACACACCAAAGAAGTGGACAAGCTGTGATTCAAACCCAGGTTCTCTGATTCTAAATGCCAGAGGTTTACCCACGACATTATCTTACTGCCCAAGGCACTTATTATTTATTGAGCTCCTACTACGTGCTGGGCACTGGGCGAGGCTTGGAGAATACATAAATGAATAAGGCAGCCCCATTCTACGGGCAGTTTGTTATGTGTCTTCTCTACTGGGAATCTTCAGCGTGAGAAGCACGTGGTCCCAGGGTCTAGCACATTTCTTGGCACACAATGGGGCCTCAGTTAATGTTGGCTGAATAAATGAATGAATGACACCATGTTTCCTAGGAAGCAAAAGCACTTCAATCTTGTGACTATTTTTTAGTCCATAAAACGGATAGATGGTGGAGGACAGAGAACTTCCTGGTGACCTTCTGCTTGCTTCGTCAAGGCATCTATCAAGGGTCCCCATCTTTGAGTATGGTGGCTCAACCACAGTGGACCATCCCAAAGGTCCTCTCTGGTTCTGCATTGCAGACACTCTGTGCATGGTGGTGCGGGACCTCCTTCCTGGAGGTGCTTGCTTCTTCATTTACCCCAGTGTTTCTTAACATTTTGAAGTCTTGTGAGCACCAGAGAAAATGATGAATGCAAGGGGCCCTCCCTCTAAAAAACATGTTAATGCTAATATTTTGCATGCAATTTCAGGGGCTTCCTGGACCCCAAGTTAAGAATCTCTGCTATGGGGCCGGACACGATGGCTCATGTCTGTAATCCCAGCACTTTGGGAGGTTGAGGCGGGTGGATCACTTGAGGTCAGGAGTTTGAGACCAGCCTGGCCAATATGGTGAAACCCCATCTCTACTAAAAATACAAAAGAATTAGTCAGGCGTGGTGGTGGGCGCCTGTAATCCAAGCTGCTCGGGAGGCTGAGGCAGGAGAATCGCTTGAACTGGGGAGGCAGAGGTTGCGGTGAGCCAAGATCGTGCCACTGCACTTCAGCCTGGGCGTCAGACTCTGTCTCAAAAAAATAAAAAAAGAATCTCTGGGCCGGGCGCGGTGGCTCACGCCTGTAATCCCAGCACTTTGGGAGGCCGAGGCGGGTGGATCATGAGGTCAGGAGATCGAGACCATCCTGGTTAACAAGGTGAAACCCCGTCTCTACTAAAAATACAAAAAATTAGCCGGGCGCGGTGGCGGGCGCCTGTAGTCCCAGCTACTCGGGAGGCTGAGGCAGGAGAATGGCGTGAACCCGGGAAGCGGAGCTTGCAGTGAGCCGAGATTGCGCCACTGCAGTCCGCAGTCCGGCCTGGGCGACAGAGCGAGACTCCGTCTCAAAAAAAAAAAAAAAAAAAAAGAATCTCTGCTGTGGAAGATGCTTTTTTTTATTTTTCAAAATTTTTATTAGAGATGGAGGGGCGTCTCGCTATGTTGCCCAGGCTGGAGTCAAATTCCTGGGCTCAAAGGATCTTCCTGCTTCATTCAGCCTCCTGAATAGCTGGGATTACAGTGCATGCCACCATGCTTGGCTTCTCCTGTGGAAGATTCTTGAGGACCAAAAGACATCCTAAACAAGAGTCACATCTCAAACCTTTTTATTGAATTCCTGTTTTTTGTGCATCATGCTGGGTGCTAAGGGATAGTGTAGGGAAAATCTCCAGCCTTCATATCAGTCAGAAGGGAGCCCTGGGGCAGCAGGGCATCTAGTCATCAGCCTCTCAGCTCTCAAGTCACATGTGGGACTGGGATCCGGGTGTTTCCCACCTCCCCAGTAAGCCTGCAACTTTTTCTTCCATCTGGCTCCCATTTTAGAGCCTTGCATATGTTTCTTCAAGGGAAGCCTGGATAATCCTGAATTGCCTCTAATAACCACATTCTTTTTTTTTTTAATTTTTTTTTTTTTTTTTTTTTTTGAGACAGAGTCTCGCTCTCGTTGCCCAGGCTGGAGTGCGGTGGTGGGATCTTAGCTCACTGCAACCTCTGCCTCCTGGGTTCAAATGATTCTCCTGCCCCAGACTCCTGAGCAGCTGGGATTACAGGCACAAGCCACCGCCCCTGGCTAATTTTTGTATTTTTTGTAGAGACAGGGTTTCGCCATGTTGACCAGGCTGGTCTTGAACTCCTGACCTCAGGTGATCCGCCTGCCTCGGACTCCCAAAGTACTGGGATTGCAGGTGTGAGCCACCGCGTCCGGCTGTAACCACATTCTTTAATTCTTGTTTCCAACAGGTATTCCCAGGAAGAACAAAAAGCGGTTCCACTCAGGGTTCTAAGTTCGAAGTTGCCCTCATCTCAACCATCATCAACAAAACGCCAGAATGATTTTCTTCTTCTTTTCGTTAATGGTAAAAATAAGATTTTGCCATTTGTTGGGAGCATACGTATTGAGCACGTTTGGGGAGCTTGTGACTCTGGGTCACAAAATAAGACTGGGTTTTTGGAAATGTGGGTGGATAAGGTGGAGTGAGAGGGGCGGGATAAGCTCATGGCTGGCTGCAAAAGCCTATCCAGGGTTTGTGGAGCTTCTAAAATTTTCTAGATCCCTTTAAAGAAAAATGACATAAAATAGTGAATAAAAATTTCAGCTCAAAAGTGATGTTGTTTCTGACCTATTTTCCTTGTCTCTGAACAAGTTTTTTTTTTTTTGGTTTTTTTTTTTAAATAACATTTCTTACAAGATAGATCTACTGGCTATAAATTACTGATGAATTTTGCCTCAATGCAATTCTCCATTTCCCTCATTCTTTCTGCATTTATGAAATGGAAATCTATATTCTTCCAAAATGCCCCACCATTTTTTGCTTACCTGAAAGTTCTTTATTTCTCTTTCACTTTTGAAGGATAATTTTGATAGGTACAGAATTCTAGGTGTGGGGGCTTTTTCTTTCAACACTAGGTATTTTACTCCACTCTCTTCCTTCTTATGTGGTTCCTGACAAGAAGTTCAACGTAATTCTTTTTTTTTTTTTTTCCCCTGAGACAGGGTTTCACTCTGGTGCCCAAGCTGGAGCACAGTGCCTTAATCTTGACTTACTGTAGCCTCAACCTCCCAGGCTCAAGTGAGCCTTCTGCCTCAGCCTCCCGAGTAGCTGGAACCACAGGCAAACACTGGCAAGCCTTGCTAATATTTCATATTTTTTGTAGAGATGGGGTTTCTCTATGTTGCCCAGGCTGGTCTCAAACTCCTGAGCTCAAGCAGTCCTACTGCCTTGGCCTCCAAAGTGCTGGGATTATAAGTGTGAACCACTGCACCCTGCCCAGTGTAATTCTTATACTAGTGCCTCTATGAGTAGTATGTATATTTTCCTTTGGCTTCTTTCAAAGTTTTTTTTTTTTCTTTTTCTTTTTTTTTTCGAGATGGAGTCTTGCTCTGTTGCCCAGGCTGGAGTGCAGTGGCGTGATCTTGGCTCACTGCAAGCTCTGTCTCCTGGGTTTAAGCAATTCTCCTGCTTCAGCCTCCTGAGTAGCTGGGACTACAGGCACCCATCACCTCGCCCAGCTAATTTTTGTATTTTTAGTAGAGACTGTTTCACCATGTTGGCCAGGCTGGTCTCGAACTCCTGACTTCAAGTGATCAGCCCACCTTGGCCTCCCAAAGCGCTGAGATTACAGGCCTGAGCCACTGTGCCCGGCTTCTTTCAAAGTTTTTATCTTTGATTTTACAAAATTTGAATATGATATGATGAGATATTGACTTCTTTGTATTTATCCTGTTTGGTGTTCTGAGATTCCTGGATCTATGGCTTGGTGTCTGTCAATAATTTTGGTGAGTTATCAGCCATTATTAGTTAAAATATTTCTTCTGCTTCTTTCATTTTTCTCCTTTTAGAATTCCCTTTACGAAGATGTTATACCTTTTGTAATTGTCCCGCCATTTTTTGATATTTTTTTCTGTTTTCCTCAGTCTTTTTTTCTCTTGCTTTTCAGTTTGGGAAGTTCTATTGACATTTTCTCAGGTTCACGGATTTCTTCATCAACCACGTGCAGTCCACTGACGGGTCCATCAAAGGCCTTCTCCGTTTCTGTTACGGCATTTTTTATTTCTAGCATTCCCTTTTGATTCTTAGAGTTTTCACTTCTCTACTTACATCCCATTGGTTCTTGAATCTCATCCACTTTTTCCATTAGAGCCTTTAGCATATTAATCATAGTTATCAGTCTGATAATCATCAAATCTCTGTATATTGCAGTCTGGCTCTGATGCATGCTCTGTCTCTTCATACTGTGGTTTTTGCCCTTTAATATGCTTTGAACATTTTAGGATGAAGATGAGAGAGTTGTTATGTTTCAAAGAAAATAGGTACTGGTTGGGCGCGGTGGCTGACGCCTATAATCCCAGCACTTTGGGAGGCCGAGGTAGGTGGATCACCTGAGGTCAGGAGTTTGAGACCAGCCTGGCCGACACAGTGAAACCCCTTCTCTACTAAATATACAAAAAATTAGCTGGGCGTGGTGGCATGCACCTGTAATCTGAGCTACTTAGGAGGCTGAGGCAGGAGAATGGCTTGAACCCGGGAGATGGAGGTTGCAGTGAGCCGAAGTGGTGCCATTGCACTCCAGCCTGGGCAACAAGAGCCAAACTCCGTTTGGAAAAAAGAGTCTTCTCGTTATTTATCAGTTTGGGACAGGTGCTGAGGAGCGGCCAAGCACTGAAAGAATTTTACTGGCTGTCCCAAGTGGTGTCCCCGAGCTCTCAAAATCTACGAGCTGTCCGAAAGCATTTGGGCTTTCTAAGTGGGTTTCACATAATGACTATGATAAACCTGTGGTATTTATGCACTAATACCTGTGCTGGGCTATGTGCCCACTGACACCAGCATATATTGTGGATAGTGTGTAGGAACTCTATAGGCTCAGATAATTCCAGACGTGTCAATACATACAGATGATGGAACTCTTTTGCACAGTGACTGGTGGTCCCACAGCTGAGTGATGATGGTGCATCCGTTGCTCAGAGCCTCGGCGCTGGAGCCACATGCTTGGGTTCCCATCTTGGCTCTTTTACTTAGGAGCTCATAAACTTGATCACATTCATCTCTGTCTCTTTTTCTCCAACCGGTGAAAGGTGAGAGTAAGCCACGCCATACGTATGTGGTGACTTCTGAATTGTTCAATGTGTATAATGTTATCAGTGCAAATGCTCATGAAGCTTAATTATCAGTGAAATGCCTTGCTTTAGATTGCACGACTTAACAAGCTCAAAGATTCATGCAAGCCCGGGATTCCGAACTCCCAAGCCATTGTTCTTTCTATGACATCTTCCTGCTTGGTCTACAACCAACCACTTTATCCAAATTCATACTCAATTTTGAAATACTCAGATAAAGCTTTCAAAAATGCTGTCTGTGTCTGGCTGAGTGCACACTCAATGGCCACTCCACATAAAAGGGCACATTAGGAGGCCTGGCACGGTGGCTTATGCCTGTAATCCCAGCACTTTGGGATGCCAAGGCAGGTGGATCACCTGAGGTCAAGAGTTCGAGACCAGCCTGGTTAATATGGGGAAACCCTGTCACTACTAAAAATACAAAAAAAAATTTTTTAAAGGGCACTATGGTCCTCCAGAGTGGTCCAGTTGCTTGAGTCATGGTCAACAGATGAGCTGTGCGAATGAGATGAATACCAGTGTCCTGGGTGGAGCCGCTTATCTACTGACAAGTCTGCTGTGCTAAAAGTGGTGAAAAATATCATCTTGCCTTATTTATTCCTAGCAAATGTAAGTGCCTCTAACCTTAGATTGCTTCCGAGTCATGGAACCAACAGTATCTTAGCATCAACTCCGGGTGATGGGTTAGGGGAACAAGTCACACAATATATCAAAACAATATAAACAGTTTTTCAGAGCTGCAGCTCTATATGCAAACTTGTACAATTATCACCTTATTATTTTTAAATTTATCTTTATATATATATCCATATGACTTACTTGTTTCTTGGTGTGAATAAATCTGTATATTCTTGGTTAATAGTGTCTACCGATTCATTTCATGTCCCTATCTTTATTCAATATGGGCTACTCTTTGGATGAGAAAAAAATGATTGTACTTGAGTATATTTACCTTTGGAAAGGTAAGTAGGTTGGGTGATTGACTGTAGTTGATACCTCTATGATTCTGCATAAACTCATTTATAAAATAAACTCAAATCATAAAATAAATAATAAAAAATAAAAGTGGATCTTGTTTTACACACGAACACATAGACAATACACATTCTTATTATCTCTTTTTTAAAAAGTTGATTTATGGATATAAATGACATATCCCAAGTTTACTAAACTAAATAAACATTTCATCAAGAGGAAATACATATTAAAAGCAAAGATAGGTAAACTTGATTGCGTGAAAAGCCACAAAGACATCTGCATCTTTCTAGGTTTGCTCCAAATTTTTGAAATTAATTATTTTAGTAGCTACTTAATTAGGTAAAAAAACTGCATTACAACAAACTTTGCCATATTTTCCCCAGGAGTATACCTAATTGGGCAGTTTGAGGGGTACAGGATGTAATAGGAAATAGCACATGTTCTTTAAAGGAAAAATTCAAAGGGAACCTGCTTGACGCTAGAATCAAATATATAAATTAAGGAATAAAATAGATCCCCAAAACACATTTATAACCGCATACGAAAAATACAGAGGATAATTTTTAAATACATTTAAGAGGACAGCATTCAACAGGCCAGTGTGAACATACCTCTAATGCAGGAACTCAGGTTTCCCATAAGAAATACCAAAATCTGGCCGGCACGGTGCAGAGTGAGACTCTGTCTCCACCACGCCCGGCCAGAGGTTCCATTCTTGAAATTCCATCACCAGATATTTCTATCATTCCTAAGTGATCTAATATTTCTAGAAGCAATAAGCAAACTGTTCAGAATTAGATAAAAGACAGCATAAATAGATATTCAGTTATAAAAATCATATTTCTCTAAAAGTTATATTTCTAAAAGTCATATTTCCCTAAAAAGTCATATTTCTACCATTCCTGAGAGATCTAATATTTCTAGAACCTATAAACAAACTGTTTGGAATTAGATAAAAGATAGCATTAGTTGATATTAAATAAAAATCGTATTTTTTTTACTTTTTAAAATATATTTTTTATTAAAAATAAAAAATAGTATTTAATATTTTAATTAAATAAAAATCATATTTCTCTAACAATATAATTATCAAAGTTAATTTTTCCACTTATCTCTATATATTACTATGCATTTAGTTATCTCCCAATCTTTGTGAATTCATAGACGAATTTATCTATCATTGTGTATGTAAACGGCTGGCTATTCACTGAGTCTTTAGGGGAAAAAAGTCACTATGTTTTCACCAGTGCATCTCCTGAGGGGGTGAACAGTTTGGGGGAATACATATATTTTTCTTTTTTTGAGACAGGGTCTTGCTCTGTCACCCAGGCTTGAGTGCGGTTGTGTGATCACGGCTCACTGCAGCCTTGACCTCCCAGGCTCAGGTGATCCTCCCACCTCAGCCTCTCATGTAGCTGGGATGTACTAGGCAAGTGCCAGGAGTGGTGGCTCACACTTGTAATCCCAGCACTTTGGGAGGCCAAGGCAGGTGGATTGCTTGAGCCCAGGGTTTCGAGACCAGCTTGGGCAATAGGGTGAAACCTCATCTCTACAAAAAATACAAAGAGTAGCTGGGCCTGGTAGTGCACACCTGTAGTCCCAGCTACTCAGGAGGCTGAGGGGGTAGGATTACTTGAGCCTAGGAGTTTGAGGCTGCAGTGAGCCATGAGTGCACCACTGCACTCCAGCATGGGCAACAGAACGTGATCCTGTCTCAAAAAGAAAAAGAAAAGGCCGGGTGTGGTGGCTCACGCCTGTAATTCCAGCACTTTGGGAGGCCGAGGTGGGCGGATCATGACATCAGGAGATCGGGACCATCCTGGCTAACATGGTGAAACCCCGTCTCTACTACAAATACAAAAAATTAGCCTGGCGTGGTGGCACGCACCTGTAGTCCCAGCTACTTGGGAGGCTGAGGCAGGAGAATAGCATGAACCTGGGAGGTGGAGCTTGCAGTGAGCTGAGATCGCGCCACTGCACTCCAGCCTGGGCAACAGAGCGAGACTCCATCTAAAAAAAAAAAAAAAAAAAAGAGGGAGAACACAACTAAGCAAAAGGCCCCCTAACAACCTCAACTGAATGTGGGATGTTGCCTAGAGGAACCAGACTAACCAGATCATGTTATTCAATATAATATTTTAGGGAAATTATCCCTAAATTGAGAACTTCTTCTATTTTTAGGTTTAATTTCATATATTTGACTCAATCATGTGAACACCACTGCAAGAGGAGTTTTTTTTGTTTTTTGTTTTTTTGAGATGGAATTTTGCTCTTGTTGCCCAGGCTGGAGTGCAATGGAGCAATCTTGGCTCACCGCATCCTCCACCTCCTGGGTTCAAGCGATTCTCCTGCCTCAGCCTCCAGAGTAGCTGGAATTATGGGTATGCACTACCACACCTGGCTAATTTTGCATTTTTAGCAGAAACGGGATTTCTCCATTTTGGTCAGGCTGGTTTTGAACTCCTGACCTCAGGTGATCCACCTGCCTCGGCCTCCCAAAGTGCTGGGATTACAGGTGTGAGCCACCACGCCCAGACAAGAGGAGTTTTGAGGTACAATTTACACTGAATTGTGATGATTACAAACTTCCAAGGATAACTAGTCATACATTATGGTCCTAGGATCTTTTTAAAAATGTGATTCAGTAGATAACTTTAGAGAAAACAGCAAATGAAAGACCTCCAAGAATTCTCTCCTCCAAAAAAATCAATGAGAAAACTGGCAAAAATTATCACCACTAATATTTTTAGACCTCTAGAAATTAGCCAAAAGCTTGCAGTAATCCAGAGGGTGTTGATTAAAAACCAAGCAGAATCTCAATAAGAGCAGTGAGTTTTGTGGCAGTTTAATTTTCTCTAGTCCTATTTCCTACTCTGTAGTTCCATGGTAACCCAGAAAATTAAGGCCCACATTTGCCGTGACCAGCAACCTGCCAGCCACTGCAGGGAGCAGAATAGGACTGGAGCTCCCTCAAAGCCTCATTCCCAGAGAATTATCACTATTTGAAGTCATATTTGAAGTCTGTATAAGACTCCACCTTGTTAGACTGTATTTGACCTGACTTGAAATTTGTCCAAGGCAAAAAAAAGCCTTTTCTGTGGCACAACTATCAAAAACAATGAGAGGCAATTGTTTAACTTTGTGGCTGCTTGAAGTGGTGGATTACAGTTGGGGCAAACAATAGACTAACTAAAAAGCTTAAAAGAAAAGCTGGGAAGTTAGATGACCATATGGCTTGTGAAAAGTTCTGACACATTCCTGGGTATCTAGAAAATGCGCAGGGGTCCCATTCTCCGATAAGAGGAGCTCACTGTGCCTAAAATGCTTTCACAAACACTATGGTTCTTGCCAAAGATATTTTTCTATCTGGGATACTGGAATTTAGGTATGGGCTAGGAAGAGGACACCAAATAACCAGTTCCCGTTAAAAACTGTGGGCACTTAGTCCCTAGTGAGCCTCCCTGGTGGACAATGTTTCATACATGTTGTCGCAACTCGTTGGAGAAATTTTCTGTGCCTGTGTGATTTGTTTGGACAGGATTCTTAGAAGCTTGTGCCTAGTTTCCTCTGGATTTTGCCCCATGCACCTTTTTTCTTGTTTATTTTGCTAGGTGTGCTTTCACCATAAGAAATCACAGCCAGGTGTATGACTATATACTGAGTCCAGTGGTTTATCCTAGAGAATCACTGAACCTGCAGTGCTCTAGGGCCTCTCCAACACAGGCTGATTGATACACTAGAGAAAAAAAGCAACTAATAGATACCATCCATGAGGAAGTCCATGAGGAAGTCCAGGCATTGGATTTACTAGACAAAGATTATATTAGCTGTTTTAAATGTATTCAAAGAATTAAATAAAACTATATATAAAGAATTAAAATATAGTATGACGATTGTGTTTCATCAAATAGAAAATAGTAATAAAGTTATAAATCATAAAAGAGAACTAAATAGAATTTCTGGAATTGAAAACTAAAACTACAACTAAAAATTTATTGGAGGGGTTTGTATTTGTTTCCTAGGGTTGCCAAAACAAATCATCTCAGTGGCTTAAAACAGCATAAAGTTATTTGCTTACATTGCTGGAGGATAGAAGTCCAAAGTTAAAGTGTCAGTTGGGCTGTGCTCTATTTGAAGGCTCTAGGGAATTATCTTTCTTTGCTTCTTTCTAGCTTCAGGTGGTTGCTGGAAATCCTTGGCTTTCCTTGGCTTGCAGCTGCACCACTCCAATCTCTGCCTGTGTCATCACATGACCTTCTTTCCTCTGTGCCTGTGTTCAAATTTCCCTGCTCTTATAAGAGAAACAGTAACTGGATTAGGGCCCACCCTAATACAAGATGACCTCATCTTAATTGATTACATCTGCAAATACCGTATTTCCAAATAAAGCCACATTTATAGGGACTAAGTAAGAGAGCCTTGAACATATCATTTTGGAGAACATGATTCAACCCACAACAGGGCTGAACAGCAGATTTCAGCAGACAAAAAATTCAGTGAATTTGTAGATTGGTCAACTGAGATTATCTAGCCTGATGAATAGTAAGTTAAAAAAAAACAAAAGGAAAGAGCCTCAGAGAACTATGGAACCCTATCAAGCAATACCAATGTATGCATAAAGAGAGTCCCAGAAGGAGATGAGTGAGAGAAAGGAGATACAAGAATATGTGAAGTTATAATAGCCAAAAACTTCTCCAATTTTATGAAAAACACTAATCAAAATATGCAAGAAGTTCAATAAACTCCAAGTAGCATAAACGCACATCTTAATAAATTAATCAAAAGCCAAAGGCAAAGAAAAATCATGAGAGCGATAAGCAAGAAATAAATCATCATGTATAAAGGATCATTGGTAAGATTAACAACTACAAACTTTCAGTTTAAGTTCTAAGCATCTAATGTATAGCATGGTGACTGTAGTTAATTATACTGTATTGTATACTTGAAATTTGCTAAGAGAGCAGATCTTAAGAATTCTCATTTCAAAAAAGTAACCATAATGTGATGAATGTCTTAATGGACTTGATTGTGGTAATCATTTCACAATGCATATGTGTATCAAATCAACAAACTGTATATTTAAAATATAAACAATGCTGTTTGTTAGTTATACCACAATAAAGCTGAAAGGAAGAATCCATGGAGGCCAAAAGGCAGTGGGATGACATATTCAAAGTTCTGAAAGGAAAAATAAATGTCAGCCAAGAATTTTATATCTAGCAGTGGTGTCCTTCAAAAAATGGAGACATTAAAGCATTCCCAGATAGACAACATTTGAGAGAATTCATTGCTGTCAGACTAGCCCCATCAGAACACTAAACAGAGTCCTTCCAGCTGAAATGAAGACAAGAGAGTAATTCAAATCCACATGAAGAAATAAAGAGCACAGGTAAAGTTATGTAAGTAAAAATGAGACAGTATGTCTAAATAAATAAAATGTATGGGGTGGACACGGTGGCTCATGCCTGTAATCCCAGCACTTTGGGAGGCCAAGGTGGGTGGATTGCTTGAGCTCAGGGGTTCGTAACCAGCCTTGGCAACATGGTTTTACCATGTTGAGAGGCTGAGGTGGAAGGATGGCTTGAGCCTGGGAGGCAGAGGTTGCAGTGAACCGAGATCGCAACACTGCACTCCATCCTGGGCAACATAGTGAGACTCTGTCTCAATAAATAAATAAATAAAATGTATGTAGTAAACATGTATAAATAATGTATTTTTCCTGTATCTGTTCTGAAGGACAACTATGTAAAGCAAATATAAATCTATGTTCTTGAGCACACAATGAATAAAGACGTGTTTTGTATGACAATACCAACATACAGAATGGGGCATGGAACATGTATAGGAGAAAAAAGTTTATATGCTATTGAAATTAATTAATCATACTTAAATGTTATAAGTTAAGATGTTAATTGTAGTCTCCAGGGCAACTACTAAAACTACTAAAAAAATTCCAAAAATATATATGACAAAAGAAATGGCATAGGGATTAAATCAGCACAATAGGAAATACCTAACACAAAATAAGATGGTAATGGAGGAATATCAAAAGCAAAAGACATCCCACATATAGAAAAATAGCAAAATAGAATATTTCAATCATGTTAGTATTTTACTAAATCCCCATTGGTAATTAAATCAAATGGAGTTTCATTATACACTTCAGTTAACTGGCAGAGAGTGGTAGAACAGATAAAAAATGTGATCTACCTATATGCTGTCTACAACAGTCAAACTTTAAATTCAAGACACAAAGATGATCAAAGTAATAGAATAGGAAGAAATGCAGCAAGCAAGTATTAACCAAAAGAGAGCCAGAATGGCCTTATTAATATTAGATCAAATAGACTTAGGACAAAATTATTCCTAGAGATGAAGAAGAACATTTTATAAGGATCAAACGGTCCATTATTTGAGGGTATAATAATTACAAAATTGTTATAAAATTATAAATGTATAAATTATAAAATTGCATTTGGCACTTAACAACAGAGCTTCAAAATACATGAAGGAAAACTGACAGAATAGAAAGTTGAAGTAGACACTTCAACAATAATATTTGGAGGAACAGAAAGAAAAAAGATTGCCCTCTCCCTCTCCCTCTCCCTCTCTTTCCACGGCCTCCCTCTCCCTCTCTTTCCACGGTCTCCCCCTGATGCCGAGCCAAAGCTGGACTGTACTGCCGCCATCTCGGCTCACTGAAACCTCCCTGCCTGATTCTCCTGCCTCAGCCTGCCGAGTGCCTGCGATTGCAGGCGCGCGCTGCCACGACTGACTGGTTTTCGTATTTTTTTGGTGGAGACGGGGTTTCGCTGTGTTGGCCGGGCTGGTCTCCAGCTCCTAACCGCGAGTGATCCGCCAGCCTCGGCCTCCCGAGGTGCCGGGATTTGCAGACGGAGTCTGGTTCACTCAGTGCTCAATGGTGCCCAGGCTGGAGTGCAGTGGCGTGATCTCGGCTGGCTACAACCTCCACCTCCCAGCCGCCTGCCTTGGCCTCCCAAAGTGCCGAGATTGCAGCCTCTGCCCGGCCGCCACCCCGTCTGGAAAGTGAGGAGCGTCTCTGCCCGGCCGCCATCCCATCTAGGAAGTGAGGAGCGCCTCTTCCCGGCCGCCATCCCATCTAGGAAGTGAGGAGCGTCTCTGCCCGGGCGCCCATCGTCTGAGATGTGGGGAGCGCCTCTGCCCCGCCGCCCCGTCTGGGATGTGAGGAGCGTCTCTGCCCGGCCGCCCATCGTCTGAGATGTGGGGAGCGCCTCTGCCCCGCCGCCCCATCTGGGATGTGAGGAGCGCCTCTACCCGGCCGCGACCCCATCCGGGAGGTGAGGAGCGTCTCTGCCCGGCCGCCCCGTCTGAGAAGTGAGGAGACCCTCCGCCTGGCAACCGCCCGCCTGAGAAGTGAGGAGCCCCTCCGCCCAGCAGCCACCCCGTCTGAGAAGTGAGGAGCCCCTCCGCCTGGCAGCCACCCCGTCTGGGAAGTGAGAAGGGTCTCCGCCCAGCAGCCACCCCGTCCGGGAGGGAGGTGGGGGGGTCAGCCCCCCACCCGGCCAGCCACCCCGTCTGGGAGGTGAGGGGCGCCTCTGCCCGGCCGCCCCTACTGGGAAGTGAGGAGCCCCTCTGCCCGGCCAGCCACCCCATCCGGGAGGGAGGTGGGGGGTCAGCCCCCCGCCCGGCCAGCCACCCCGTCCGGGAGGGAGGTGGGGGGGGTCAGCCCCCCGCCTGGCCAGCCACCCCATCCGGGAGGTGAGGGGCGCCTCTGCCCGGCCGCCCCTACTGGGAAGTGAGGAGCCCCTCTGCCCAGCCAGCCGCCCCGTCCGGGAAGGAGGTGGGGGGGGGTCAGCCCCCCGCCCGGCCAGCCGCCCCGTCCGGGAGGGAAGTGGGGGGGGTCAGCCCCCCGCCCGGCCAGCCGCCCCGTCCGGGAGGTGAGGGGCACCTCTGCCCGGCCGCCCCTACTGGGAAGTGAGGAGCCCCTCTGCCCGGCCAGCCACCCCATCCGTGAGGGAGGTGGGGGGTCAGCCCCCCACCCGGCCAGCCACCCCGTCCGGGAGGGAGGTGGGGGGTCAGCCCCCCGCCCGGCCAGCCACCCCATCCGGGAGGTGAGGGGCGCCTCTGCCCGGCCGCCCCTACTGGGAAGTGAGGAGCCCCTCTGCCCAGCCAGCTGCCCCGTCCGGGAAGGAGGTGGGGGGGTCAGCCCCCCGCCCGGCCAGCCGCCCCGTCTGGGAGGGAGGTGGGGGGGTCAGCCCCCCGCCCGGCCAGCCGCCCCGTCTGGGAGGGAGGTGGGGGGGGTCAGCCTCCCGCCCGGCCAGCCGCCCCGTCCGGGAGGTGAGGGGCACCTCTGCCCGGCCGCCCCTACTGGGAAGTGAGTAGCCCCTCTGCCCGGCCACCACCCCGTCTGGGAGGTGTACCCAACAACTCATTGAGAACGGGCCATGATGACAATGGCAGTTTTGTGGAATAGAAAGCGGGGAAAGGTGGGGAGAGGATTGAGAAATTGGATGGTTGCTGTGTCTGTGTAGAAAGGGGTAGACATGGGAGACTTTTCGTTTTGCTCTGTACTAAGAAAAATTCTTATCCTGTTGATCTGTGACCTTTCCCCCAACCCTGTGCTCTCTGAAACATGTGCTGTGTCCACTCAGGGTTAAATGGATTAAGGGCGGGGCAAGATGTGCTTTGTTAAACAGATGCTTGAAGGCAGCATGCTCGTTGAGAGTCATCACCACTCCCTAATCTCAAGTACCCAGGGACACAAACACTGCGGAAGGCCGCAGGGCCCTCTGCCTAGGAAAACCAGAGACCTTTGTTCACTTGTTTATCTGCTGACCTTCCCTCCACTATTGTCCTATGACCCTGCCAAATCCCCCTCTGCGAGAAACACCCAAGAATGATCAATAAAAATAAATAAATAAATAAATAAATAAATAAATTTAAAAAAAGAAAAAAGATTGAAGAATAATGAAAAAATAATAATATTTGGAGAATTCAATACCTAACTTTAAATAGTAGATAAAAAATTAGGCAGAAAAGTTCAACAAGGAAGTAGAAGACTTGAACAATACTAGCTAAGGAACCTAATGGGCATCTATAGATTGCTCCATCTGGCAATAGCAAGACACACATTTTTCTCAAGCACACATCAAACACTCCCCAAAATAGACCATATGATAGGCAAGAAAACAAATCTCAATAAATTTAAAGTGATTAAAATCATACAAGTTATGCTTTTGGGCCACAGTGTAATAAAATCAATAATAGGCAGAAATTTAGGAAATTCACAAATATAGGTTAATCAAACAATACCACTTCTATATAGCTTATGGGTCAAAGGCACCATAATAGGAATTCATAAAATACTTTAGATGGATGGATACAATAACGCAAAATATCAAAACTTAAGGAATACGACAAAAGCTGTGCATTGAGAGAAATTTATATCCTATATTAAATGTCTATATTAAATGCATTTAATATAGGAAATGCCTATATTAGAAAACTTGAAATAACTCAAATCGGTAACTTAATCTTCCACCTAAGAAACTGAAAAAAGAAGCACAAGCTAAACCAAAGAAAGCAGAACGAAGGAATAAATAGAGATTATAATGAAAATAAATAAAATGGAGAAAATAAACATAATAGAGAAAATCAATGACCAAAATTTCTTTGAAAATATCAAAAAAATTAACAAACTTTTAGCTAGACTGACCTAGAAAAAAAGAAGACTCAAATTAATACCAACCCTACGAAAACATAAAAAGATTATAATACCATGAACAATTGTATGGCAACAAATGATATAACCTAGATGAAATGAAGAAATATCTAGAAAGGAACAAACCTTGGCCGGGCACGGTGGCTCACGCCTGTAATCCCAGCACTTTGGGAGGCCGCAGTGGGTGGATCATGAGGTCAGGAGATCGAGACCATCCTGGCTAATATGGTGAAACCCCGTCTCTACTAAAAATACAAAAAATTAGCCAGGCATGATGGCAGGCGCCTGTAGTCCCAGCTACTCGGGAGGCTAAGGCAGGAGAATGGCATGAACCCGGTAGGCGCAGCTTGCAGTGAGCCAAGATCACGCCACTGCACTCCAGCCTGGGCGACAGAGCAAGACTCCGTCTCAAAAAAAAAAAAAAAAAAAAAAAAGGAACAAACCAACAAAACTGAAAAAAAAAAAAAAAAAGGAAATCTGAATATACCTATAGCAAGGTATAGATTGAGTTATTAATTTTTTTTAAAAAAAAGTCAAAATCCCCATAAAGAAAAGAAAAGCTCAGGGCACGATTGATTCACTGGTGAATTCTACCAAAAGTTTATAACAGAATTAAATCTTTCACAAACTTCTAAAACATGTAAGAGGAGGGGTCATTTCCCAACAACCCATTCTATAAGGTTAATACCTTGATATCAAAACCAGACAAAGACATTGCAAGAACAGGAAACAACAGACCAATATCTTTAATGAATACAGATGCAAAAAATCCTCAACAAAATACTTGCAAACCGAATGCAACAACAACAACAAAAAAGATGATACACGGGCCGGGCAGGGTGGCTCACGCCTGTAATCCCAGCACTTCGGGAGGCCAAGGCAGGCATATCGCTTGAGCCCAGGAGTTTAAGACCAGCCCGGGTAACATGGTGGAACCTCATCTCTACAAAAAATACAAAAAAAAATTAGCTGGGCGTAGTGGCATACTACTGTAGTCCCAGCTACTTGGGAGGCTGAGGTGGGAAGGTCACCTGAATCTGGGGAGGTCAAGGCTGCAGTGAGCTATGGAGAGCCACTGCACTCCAGCCTGGGCGACAGAGTGAGACCCTGTCTCAAAAAAAAAAAAAGAAAAGAAAAGAAAAGAAAAAGAAAAAAGAGAGAATGATGCATGATGACCAAATGGGATTAATTTTAGGAACGCAAGGTTGGTTCCAAAAATTTGTATCAATCAATGTTAATATACCATATTAATAAAACAAGGTTAAAAATGCATAATCATCTCTTGTGCGCCTGTGTCTTGATCATGGAGCAGCCTCCCCAGGTCTCCTCTGCAAATGGGCTCCGTGGCCCAGTGCCCCTGACCCCACCACCTGTGATCGTGTGCCAAGGCCAGAGAGGGGTCGCCGCCCAGGCCGCCTGGGTTCCACTTCCAGCAGCAGCTCCTGTGGCAATACCAAGTGCCCTGGGGAAGCCATCCCCCACCCACCGGCTTTCCCCAAGGCTGACCCAGGTCACTGGTGGGCCAGCTTATTTTTCGGGAAGTCCACCCTCCTGTTCATGGCCACGGTGTTGGAGTTGGTAGAGCACCCGGAACCCCCCAGGCCTGCAGCAGCATGACCACCTGGGGCCTGGCTCGGGAAACCCCGAGGAAGCAGCCCGGTGGCCGGTCCAGCACAGCCCCATCCTGGACCCCTGTCCTGACCTGAGTGGCCACCACCAGCCCCAGGCCTATGGAGGGACTAGGCCACCAGAGGCCCTGTCTGTCTCCCTCCCAGCTCCTCACCCTGTAGGACTAGGCAGCTGCAGCAAGTTGACTTTCACATCAACACAGCAGACACTGAAAAGGAGTGAGAAAGCCCTGCTCCCTACTGCCCCAGTACTTGTGAGCTCTCTTGATACCTGAAAATGTGCACCTGGCACCAAGTGGAAAATAAACTCCAAGCAACCAGAAAAACAAACAAAAAAAGCATAATCATCTCAATAGACTAAAAAATGATTTGGCAAAATGCAACGCCCTATCATAATAAAAATAGTTGAAAAACTAGGAATAGAAGCTAACTTCCTCAACCTTATAAAGGGCACCTATGAAAAACCCACCACTACTTTATACTTAATGGTAAAAGACTGAAAAATTTCCCCCGATATTAAAAGAAGATAAGGATGTCCACTCTCACCCTACCCCCCGCCCCCCGCCTTTTTTTTTTTTTCTAAGACAGAGTCTTGCTCTTGTCGCCCAGGCTGGAGTGCAATGGCATGATCTCGGCTCACTGCAACCTCCGCCTCCCGAGTTCAAGCGATTCTCCTGCCTCAGCCTCCTGAGTAGCTGGGATTATAGGCACGCGCCACCACACCTGGCTAATTTTGTATTTTTAGCAGAGATGGGGTTTCTCCATGTTGGTCAGACAGGTCTCGAACTCCTAACCTCGGGTGATCTGCCTGCCTCGGCCTCCCAAAGTGCTGAGATTACAGGCGTGAACCACCGCGCCTGGCCAACTCTCATCACTTTTGACCCAACACTGTAATGGAAATTCCAGCTACAACTACTAGGCAAGAAAAAGAAATAAAAAGCATACAAATAGGCAGGGAAGAAATAAAACTGTCCCAATTTGCAGATGACATGACACTGTATAGAAAACCATAAGAAATAAATGAAAAACTATTTGGACTAATAAGCAAGTTCAGCAATATTACAGGATACAAAATCAACAGGTAATAATTTTTCTCACCACAAAAATGATAAGTAATTGAGGTTGTGTATATATCAATTAGCTTGATTTAATTATCCCACATTATATTTGTAAATCACAATATCACTTTGCACCTCATAAATATATACAATTATAAATTGTCAACTTACAATGAAATAAAAAAAATTTCTTGGGCAAGAATTACTGTGTCAAAGGATATGGTGCATTTTAAGGATCTTGATAACTAGCCAACTTGCTTTCCAGAAAGTTTATATGAGTTTATTCTTCCACTTGTCCATAAGAGAAGATTTCGAGGTTCTTTGAACATAATCCTATATTGAGAAATAATAAACCTTTGACAAGGCTTGGAGGCTTGATAAACCAATCAATTGTATTTCTATGAACTTGCAATAAACAATCTGAACTTGAAATTAAGAAAAAATTCCTTTTGCAATAGCATCAGAAATAAATACTTAGAGGCCAGGCACTGTGGTTCATGCCTGTAATCCCAGTACTTTGGGAGGTTGAGGTGGGCGGAAAATTTGAGGTCAGGAGTTTGAGACCAGCCTGGCCAACATGGTAAAACTCTGTCTCTACTAAAAACACAAACATTAGCCAGGAGTGGTGGCACATGCCTGAAGTCCCAGCTACTTGGGAGGCTGAGGTAAGAGAATCTCTTGAACCGGGGAGGCAGAAGTTGCAGTGAGCTGAGATCATGACAAGGCACTCCAGCCTGGGCAACAGAGCAAGACTCCATCTCAAATAAATAAATAAACAAACAAATAAATACATAGAAATGAATTCATCAAAAGAAGTACAAAACTTGTACATTGAGAACTATGAAACATCATTTAAATAAATTTTAAAAGATCTAATAAATGAAAAGACATATGTTCACAGACTGGAGTACTTATACTTAAGATGTTATATTCCCCTAATTCATTGACAGATTCAGCAAATTCCTGTAAGGATTCCAGCTGCCTTGAAACTGACAAGGTGATCCCAAAACTCATAAAGGAATAGAAACCAATGTAGAGAAAATAATCTTAAAAAAGAACAAGGACTCAGACTTCCCAACTTAAAAACTTAATATAAAGGTAGTATAATCAATCTGTGCAGAACTGGTGAAAAGATGGATGTATACATCCATGAAATAGAATTGAGAGTCTGGAAGTAAACCCTCACATTTACTGTCAATTTTTAAAAAGTGTGGCAAGGCCAAAGACAGAATATTCTTTACAACAAATGGTGCCAGGACAATGAGCATCCACATGCAAAGAATGAGGTTGGACAGCTAACTCACACCATACACGAAAGTTAATTTATGCCTGTAATCCCAACACTTTGGGAGGCGAAGGCGGGTAGATCACCTGAGTTCAGGAGTTTTGAGATTAACCTGACCAACATGGTGAAACTCCAACTCCACTGAAAATACAAAAATTAGCCAGGCATGGTGGCACATGCCTGTAATCCCAGCTACTCGGGAGGCTGAGGCAGGAGAATCGCTTGAACCCGGGATGCGGAGGTTGGGATGAACCAAGATCACGCCATTGCACTCCAGCCTGGGAGACACGGCGAAACTCTGTCTCAAAATAATAATAATAATAATAATAATAATTAAAAATGGATTAAAGGCTTAAGACTTTGATAAAACATAAAACAAAAAACATTAAAGAGCTAAACTATATGAATCTCAGAAAAAAAGGGCATAGATCTTCATTTTCTAACATTTGGCAATGAATTCTTACATGTGTCACCGCAAGTACAAGCAACCAGAGGTAAAATAAATAGGACTTCACCAAACTTAAAATCTTTTGTGTTTCAAAGAACACCATCATGAAAGGGATACAAAAACACAGAGTTGAATAAATTATCTGCAATTCATGTATCTGATAAGGTCTATTATCCAGAAGAGATAAAGAACACTAGCAAATCAAAAATAAAATGTCTAACAAATTTTCAAAATTAAAATAGGATTTGCATAGATACTGCCCTAAAGAAGATACACAAATTGGCAATAAATAAATGAAAACATGTTTAAAATCATTAGTTAATAGGGAAATGCCAATCAAAACCCCTGAAATATCACTTCACATCCACTAGCATGGCTATAATTTAAAAAGCAAACACAAGTGTTAGCAATGATTACAGAAATTGGGACCTTCCCACATTGCCTGTGCAAATATAAAAAGGAAAAAAGACTTTGGTGATTCCTCAGACAGTTACTCACAGAGCTACGAATATGGCCTAGCAGTTCCAATGCTAGATATATATCCAGGAGAAATAAAAATCATATGTTCACCAGGCGCGGTGGCTCACACCTGTAATCCCAGCACTTTGGGAGGCCGAGGCGGGCGCATCACCTGAGGTCAGGAGTTCGAGACCAGCCTCAACATGGAGAAACTCCGTCTCTACTAAAAATACAAAATTAGCTGGGTGTGGTGGTGCATGCCTGTAATCCCAGCTACCCAGGAGGCTGAGGCAGGAGAATTGCTTGAACCTGGGAGGTGGAGGTTGTGGTGAGCCGAGATCGCATCATTGCACTCCAGCCTGGGCAACAAGAGTGAAACTCCATCTCAAAAAAAAAAAAAAATCATACGTTTATACAACAACTCGAAGATGGGTGTTCATAGCAGCACTATTGATAGTAGCCAAAAAATGAAAATAACGCATCTGTCCATCACTGATAAATGGAAAAACGAAACGAGTTATGCTCACACAATGGATGGTATTCCACCATAAACAGGTAAGGTCCAGGTATGGCCACAACACAGGTGAACGTGAATACTTTCTGCCTACTGAAGAAGCCAGGACATAGAAGACAGCCCATTGTATGATTCTATGTATATGAAATACACAGAATACAAAAATTCGCAGACAGAAAGCAGATTAGAGGCTGGCAGGGCAGGGTGTGTGGAGAGAATGGGGTTGGCTGACATGGGCAAGGGGTTTCTCTTTGGAGTGGTGAAGTACTAGAATTAGGTAGTGGGGACGATGGCAAAACCAGAATATACTAAAAACCACTGAATTGTATCCTTCAAAAAGGTGCATTTATGGAATGTGAATTATATTTCATTATATATCAATACAAAAGAATATGACAACAATTTATTTTGTTTCTAAATATGATGCACTAAACTGCAACAATTGCTAGTGAATAAATTCAATGATTAAATTCCCGCAGGCACTTCAGTGGAGGGGGTGGTACAGGATGATATTTGAGGCTTAACCTCGTTCTTTAGCCAGATCCGGTTTTGATGCTGCTGAACAGCTGTGGGGCCAGGGGGTACATTTTCTTCCCCAAGAATCCATCCCCATGTACATCCTTTATTGGAATCCATTATCTTCTTATCACTAACTGTCCAGTGGGGCATTTGAATGAAAGTGGAGTTAGGAAGAGGGATCCTGCAGTGTGGTGTGCCTAAAATACCCCACAGAGGGATTGTGTGGGAACAGTGGCTTTCTTTAGATAACAGTGTAGAAAGTCAGCACAACACAGTGACCAGAGCATGGGTGCTGGTGCCTGATGGCTTGAGATCAAAGCCACGTGTGCCTGGGACTGTCACTCAGTCCCTTTGTCCTCAGCTCTCTGTTCTGGGGTGAGAACATGTTACTAGGGCTTGCGTAGTACTACCATGTTATAAGGGCTAAAGGTAAACACAGACACAGCCTAGAGAAAAATGACGGGTACTTCATAAGCACTGCCTACCTAAGTGTTCAATGATTACACATCTGGAAAAATAAAAAAGACAAGCAGCATTGGTGACCCCCAGAGAGGCAACATGGAGGGTGACAGACGGGGGAAGGACAGGGCCCTACTATTCCACATGGGCATGTGCACGACACTTTACACCTCCTGGATGGGCAGAGCAGGGGCTGTAACATTTACTTTATGGTTCAGGGCACTGAAATTGACAGAGATTCAGTGACGTGCTCAGAATAGCAACACTGATGAATAATGAAGCTCAGGCAGGGAATTTAGTTGGCTCCCAAGGGATGGAGATCCCTGAACACCTGAGACTGAGGCAGGAGATCAACAGGACTCACTTTCTGAGCAACTATCACAGCCCTGCTGATGAAAACAAGATGTAGCAAAGAAACCAGCCCAAACCAGCTAGGACTAGGAATTCTATTGTATACTCTTGAGTCACCCCCACCAGGGCCATGACAGTTTACAAATGCCATGGCAATGACCCGGAAGTTACCATATGGTTCCGGGACTCCTGGTTCTTTTCCAGAAAATCGTGAATAGCCCACCCCTTAATTGGCATATAATTAAGAGTAGGTATAAATAAAGCTAGCCATCATGCCACTGGTGCTACACGCCTCTGGGACAGCCCTGCTCTGTCTGTGGAACAGCCATTTTGGCAGACACTGTTGTTCACACAAACTTGCCGGCTTTCACCATTGGCTGGCTCTTGTTTCCTGAGCAAATCCAAGGACCGTCATGGCCTAAGGTCCAATTTTGGAGTTCGCCTGCATCAAGACCATTAGATCATGCCCTGGACGCTGAACCGAGGAACCTCCTTACTCCTTTCCCAAATCCTCCCACCCCCACGGCTGCTGCAGGGAGACACTGTTGCCTGGAGGAGGTGCTTGGCCCAAGAGAAGGGCCCAAACCCTGACTCAACTCCCAGCTTTACATTTCAACCCCTGACCCAAGATGTGATGACTTTCCCCCAAATGAAGCCCTGCTGAATGCGTGGGGTCCAAATTTGTGTCTGTCTCCCACCACACTTGACTCTGTGGTTGCCTTGTGAAGAGACTTCCCTGTGGTCTGGTGACTGCCCTGAATGACCAGTAGCCTCCTTGACTCCCAACCGACTCGGAATGCAGGAGGTCCCCCACCAACTGCCCACGTGACCGTTGGACTTTGAATCAGATTCACCTTCAACTGACCAAACCGGGCTGCTGGGCAGTGCAGATTCTTTCAATGAAAAAGCGGCCTGCTGGGCTGGGGCTTGGGCAGCGTAGGGAGTGAAGCCGGCAAGCTGCCAGGGTCTCAGTGCCTCCTCTTGATCACAGCAGCTGCCCCAGCAGTCTGGACTCAGGCCTGGCTGAGAAGAGGCAGTGGCTGCCCCAGCTCTGAGTGGGCGCCTCCCTGCTCCTGTCCTTCCTCACCAAGACTCAGGCCCTGCTGTACAAACCACAGCAATGATTCCAATCTCCTGATAGCTTCAGGTCCAGGACGCCTTCAGTGGAGGAGCTGGCAGGTGGTGATGTCTGAGGCTCCTCCTGCCTTTGCCCAGATGCCGACGGGATGCTTCTGGGAATGGCCAGGAGGTTTTCTTCAGCCCAGATCACTTTTCTGGCATAGTCTGGATTTGAATCTTCCATGATCTGTTCTTGTTGTATCTCTGAGCCATGAGCTTTGGAAAAATGCATTGAAAATAGAGCCCCCTGTTGATACGGTGCAGGCAGGAGACGGTGGGCAGGTGTTCACCTTTCCCAAGTCACACTTGTCTCCAACAGCTGCCTCGGGGAGCAACCGAGTCAAAGCTGGCTTAGCGGGAGGCGTCCTGAGGTGCTGTGAGCACTTCACATAACACCCGGATGATTGCGTGGGGACGTTACTCTAATGAGACAATTCAGGAGGGCAGCTGAGCTCAGTGACTTAGAGCAAGTGGCAGGTGCCTGATGTCCTGGGCTCAGATCCTACCTAGAAGCAGACCCAAACGAAGCCAACAGAAAAATGACTGACACTTCATAAGTGCTAGAAAACTGCTCAAATACATAATGTCTGAGGGAATGAAGGAGATCTGTAGTAGTGGTTGCCTCAGAGTGGCTACAAGTCACGAGTCACTTTCCAGCCTTTCCATGGGCAGGAACTTCTAGCTCCTGAAGAGGATCTGTTGTCATCCCTCATGACCCTCACAGGAGCCCCGTGAAGTGGGCGGAGCAGGGCTGTGACCCACATTTTACAGTTGAGGACACTAAAATTGACAGGGCCTAAGTGACATACCCAGAGTCACAACACTAAGGAGGGACGAGGCTGAGCCGGGAACGTAGTTGGTTTCCTGGAGACGGAGATCCCTGAAGCCCAGTTTCCTCTAGATCATGCCCTGGGTGCCTGACCCAGGGCTTCCCTCACCCCATTTCCCAAATCCTCTTGTTCCAGGATTACTTTGGAGAGAGGTGATGTCCTGCAGGAGGTGGCTGACACAGCCTCCTGCATCTATGTTGTAATCCTTGACCCAAAATATGATGCAGCTGACCCCAAATGAAGACCCTTTGAAGGATCAGGGTGTCCAATCTGCGCCACTCCTGCCCCAGCACCTTCACACCATGAGCCACCTCAAGGTGAGGCTTCTGGATGTGCCAGCGACCACCCTGAATGACTAGTGTCCTTCTTGACTCCCCACTGGCTCAGAGCTCAGGACTCCCATGCCAGCCACACCCATAGGACAGAGCCTCCCAAAGAATTCGCTTCACTGTAACTGACAAACTCTTACGAGCAGGGAAGGCGAGTTAACTGGGGAGGAGGCCTGCTGGACTGGTGCTCTGCTATCTCAATCAGTGAAGCCCGTCAGCCCCCTGCTTCCCTTTCCCTTTATGGACTAAAGATCTGAGCAGCTGTCTGAGCATCCCCGACTCAGGCCTGGCTGGGAAGAGGCAGTGAATGCTCCAGCACATCATGGGCACCTCCTTGCTCACATTCTTCCTCACCAAGACGCAGGAGGTGCTGCCAAACATCACCAAAGACTTTGGAGTTTTACTGACGCAAAGGCAGGAAAGACACGGTTTTCCGGGAAAGATCATTTTTAAAAAATCACAGCAAGAAAAGATGATGACAAACACTGCACACTCAAAGCCCAGAGGCACCAAACCTCTCCCTATTGAGTCAGTAAGGATGACAAGGACAAAGCAGCCTTCCATACACGTTTCCTTTCACTTTCTAATTTCATCCCCCACTTCCTCAGTCTCTAAGGCAGCAGGCCAACCCCAACTGCTACAGGCACCCTCCTTCGTTGGGTCCCTCCTGGGTTGTTTTAAACCTGGAGTGTCTTCTTCATCACTGCTTGAATCATGTCTTCTGTTGACAATGGAGTCTCTAGAGACAAAAGTGGGAAGACAATTATTCCAGAGGAAGGTTCATCCATCCCTCCTCCTCCAGCTGAGGTCAAGCTGGATCACACAAGACCACCCTGCTCTCTCTCTTGGTCTGTTCAACCCTCCTTTAACTCTGTGGAGTCCAGAGTCTCTAACAAGACACAGCTCACGGGTGCAAACCCTCAGGAGAGAGCACCCCCATCATCTTCCCACTTCCGCATTTCCGCTGGATCGTTAGAGCTCGTTCCTCCAGTCCCATTCACCTGAAATTCCAACTTTGATGCACAGGTTTCTTAGTTAGATGAGTTCCATGAACAGACCCCATGCCAGGCTCAGAGCAGGTTCCCAAGAGTGTGTTCTGTGTGGATGGAAATGTTCTCTGTGCTGTTGCATAAGGTGGCCGCTGGCACAAACTCTGTGGGGCACTGGAAATGTGGCCAGTGTGAATGAAGATTGGAATTTCTCATTTTATTGTGATTAACTGCACTAATGAATGAATGAGTTATACACAGCACCTCCAGGCTGGGATTCCCACGCTAGATGCTGCAGCTCTAGAGATACAAACATGAAAAGGACATGACTCCCTCCCTGGGTGTTTCCTTGCAGTGGGGTTGGGTGCTCTGATCCCATCATTCATGTGTGGCTTCTGAGGGCCTCTGCAAGGAAACAGGATTTTTTTTAGCACCTGCACAAGGGCCAGGCACTGTGTGAGATATGGGGATACAACCATGAGGACAGTGCCTTGGCCTAGAGGGAAGCCGTGGGGAGGGGGTTACACTTGCACACAGAGAAGTGAAACCAACCTTGTCTAAACAGCATCAGAGCAGAGAGACCCCAGGAAAATGGACATCCCAGGGTCTGCAGGAGCCCACCCTCACCACCCTCTGACTTGGGTCAGATCCTGGGAAGACGCCTCGTTCAGTGAGAAGGTCCAACAGGCTGAACAGTGTGAGGAGGGAACCTTTGCCCACTCGAGCTAGAGCCCAGCCCAGGGGTGTTTTCATGAGACCTTCATGTGGCCTAAGACAGGCTGCCCAGGGCTGAGCGCTGTGATGAGAGGAAATGCGGAGGGCACATTCCTGCCCCTGCACTGAACAGCTGCAGCCGCATTGCGGATCCCCATGAGTGCGAGGACTCAAGAGTTTGGGCCTGAGAACTCTAAGACCATTTCAGAGAAAATCTCAAACCCACGTCCTCTGGGCTGTGAAACAGAGGATCAAGGATGATCTGGGCTCTGGGATCAGCCTCCATCACTTTGCTGAGCTTGCCCTGAACGGGAGCCGGTGCCCTCGCTCCTTCCAGGGAGCTACAGTGTGAGCAGCTGCCCTGGCCAGGTGGGGCCACACTGCCTTCAGTTTCAATGCACTTCTGGGCCAGGCAATCTTTGGCTAGTGCTGTCTACAGAGGGCGCTTGACAGGCAACTTCCAGAAGCAGGTGGAAGATGGAAACTGGTTTCTGTCCAGCCCCAGAAAGGTCAGTCTGGGAACTTCTGTGTGTCTGGCCTGACCTTGACAACCATCCCTGCTGAACTATGAGCCCCAGGAAGGTCAGTCTGGGAACTTCTGTGTGTCTGGCCTGACCTTGACACCATCCCTGCTGAACTATGTCCCCCAGTCTGGCTCAGAGGACCGGAAACCTGATTCCTACTCTCTGCCTCTCGCCAGCTTCCAGGATGGAAAGGCCTGCTTTGTCACACAGCATGATGAAGACGCCCGTCCCCAGCTCCTGTCACAGCTTCAACAGGAAGGAACTACCCTCTCTTAAGAAATGTCAGCGATGTCCATGCAGGGTCACTCCAGCCAGGACCGTCCCCCCTGCTCTTTCCCACTTAGAAGGAGCAGGAAAATCATAGGACTCAGGGGATGATGATGTCATGAGTCTCCTGACATTAAAACCCTGGAATCTATCCTCCCCAACCCCAACTCACCGGGCCCGGGGACCCTTGTGACTTCCTTCTATCCCTCTATATCTTCTCCCTCTGCAGGCCCAGCCTGGGGCCGGAGCCCTGCCTTCTCCCACAGAGTCCACTGAGCGGCCATCTCTGGATTCCTGGAGTCCTTGATCTTGTCGTCACTGCTTTTAGCATTGAGGTCCTCACCTTGGGTTTTTTCTCAAGCACCACTGGGAAACTGTGTTCTAGAGAGTAAGAAATGTCTAGGACAGCCTTGTTATGAGAAGCATGTTTCTGTAGGCAAAAGTGACCCTTTTCAAATGGAGCAGTCTCATCTTTTTGCTTTGTGGGGATAAATATCAAGAGGTCAATTGCAGGCTAATGGATTTCTATGATGATACAAAGCATTTCACGTGGTGTTCATGATCCAAATGGTTCCTCAAGCCATAGTATGCCTCATTTTACACCTACTTTTGCTTAAGCAAGAATCCTGTTTTCTTGCAAAGGCCCTCAGAAGCCAGCAGACACCTATTTCACCCAGGAGGTTCGGCAGGGAATCGGGTGGGGATTTCTTTGTCATTACACTGACTTGATCTTTCCCCACCCTGCAATGCACAACCTAACATGTCCTCCTCCTAGGAACAGAGCCATGTGCCTGCCCTGATGCTCAGCCATTGATGAAGCCCCTTTGTCATTTTACACAGTGCATGTGGCCCAACCACACAGAAGCCGTGGCTGGCAGAGGTGATGATGGGAGGCAGATTTTCCACATTCTTGGCAACATTATCTGTAGTGAAACTTTAGACTTCAGTTGAGAAGGTCGCTGAGTGCATGGAAGATCCTTCTTTCCCTGATTTCTACCAGAACTGGCTGGGCAGTGGCTGCAGGGTTACTGGGAAATTTCAAACTTGGGGTGGAGCCACAGGACTCCAGTGCAGGGGGCTGCTGGTGTCCCTGGTCCAGGCCTTGCTGACACTGGGGGGCGTTGGAAGGGCCTGGGCAGATGGGAAGAAGCTCCCACTGGAGCCAACAAGAGACCTTGCAAGGAAAAGCTGGGAAGGGGGAGTGGCGACCATGGGGTGACCTCAAAGACAGATGCTGGCAGTGAATGAATATTGCTGAGGAGGATAAGGCCGTCTGAAAAAGCTGCCTACTCCATGATTCCAAGCCTATACAATTCTGGGAGAGAAAACTCTAGACACAGTGAAAAGGATTCTTGTTGCCAGGGCTTCTGGCAAAGGGGAGAGGGATGCACAGGGGAAACACAGGAAGTGTTTAAGGCATGCAGCTACTTCGTATGGGTGGTGAATGGCATTCGGAGTTTGTCACAACCCATAGAGGGCACAACACGGTGAACCTCCATGCAAACTCCTGACTTCAGATCGTAAAAATGTATCCATATTGGTTTAGTCATTGTTACACACATGGACCACACCACTGAAAATGGGGTTAAGAAAAGAAAAGGGTGGACAAAGGATCTGAGACCTTTCTGTTCTGTCTGTTCCATTTTCATGTTAATTTCAAACTGTTCTACACAATGACTATTTTAGTCAAGGTTGGCAACACTCTTTTGAGTGGATGTTTAACACTCAGGTGAATGTGTCAACATAAGATTGAGACGTTGCTTTCCAGTAAAATGGTACCATCCTTTAAATTGTAAATACATCTTTACTTCTACAGTTGCAGAAACAGCAATGACTTCATTTTAGATGTGTGTAGATGAACTGCAAGAAGACTAAGGCGTAACAGTGTGAGAGTTCTGACTTCAGTACGGGACACAGAACCCCCTAGAATCTTGATGATTGAATGAACTTCACTGACTTTCCACAGCACCTTCAATGGATGGTTTTCTGGGATGAACTCAATTGTCTGCCCAGTTGTGGGTTTTTCTGACCCACTGCGTGGGGCCAGCAATAGACGGTGCTGACTCCTTGGTAACCACTGTCAGATCCTGGAGGCAACAGCCTCCCAAATGTATGACGATAAAGACAGCTGTTGACATCTTGTTGACAGGATTTATGAGAAATTCATACAAATTGATTCACACTTCAACCTTTTGATTCTCTTGGGATCTTGAGAGATGTGGCTGAGCCCAGAGAAGAGCTCATCTCAGATGATGTTTAACACTCACCTGAATATGTAACATTAGATTGAGATGTTGCTTTCTATGAAAAGTGTCGCAACTTTACATAGTATGTTTCTTTTCTAGTTGTAAGACTAGTGATTGACTTAACAATTTAGATTTTTCACAGATGAACTCAAAGAAGACCACAGCATAACAGTGTTAAGAGTTTTGTCTTAAATATGGGACACTGAACCCACCAGGAACCAGGATGATTGAATGAGCTTAACTGATTTTCCACAGTACCTTCAACTGATGGTTTTTCCCGCTGCACAGAATGGTGTGGCCAGCTGTGGATTTTTCTGACCCACGGCCTGGGGCCAGCCATAAAGTGTGCCGACTCCTCAGGAACACTCTCCTACCCTGGAGTCAACGTTCTCCCAAGTTATTACAAGGAAGACATCTTGCTGGGAGAATATCATAGAGAAACTTACAGCAATTGATTCCCAGTTCAAACTTTTGACCTTTTTCACCATCTGCATAAGAATCCACCTGAATCCGAGTAGGGCTCTGGGAAGCCCCTGCAGTGTGTGTTGCACTTAGTACTCAGCAGACTGTGTAGGCAAATACCTGCCTTCAGAGGAGATGATATAGAGAGGCAGCAAGTACTGTGTCCGGAATTGGTGGGTTCTTGGTCTCACTGACTTCAAAAATGAAGCCGCGGACTCTCGTGGCCAGTGTTACAGTTCTTAAAGGCCCCCTGTCTGGAGTTTGTTACTTCTGATGCTCGGATGTGTTTGCAGTTTCTTCCTTCCGGTGGGTTTGTGGTCTCGCTGGTTCCAGAGTGAAGCTGCAGACTTTTACAGTGAGTGTTACAGCTCATAAAAGCAGCGTGGACCCAAAGAATGAGCAGTAGCAAGATTTATTGCAAACAGCAAAAGAATAAAGCTTCCACACTATGAAAACGGGTCGGAGCGGGTTGCCACTACTACCTCTGGCAGCCTGCTTTTATTCTTATCTGGCCCCACCCACATCCTGCTGATTGGTCCATTTTACAGAGAGCCAATTGGTCCATTTTACAGAGAGCTGATTGGTCCGTTTTGACAGGGTGCTGATTGGTGCAT
Source organism: Homo sapiens (assembly GCF_000001405.40). Classification (NCBI taxonomy): domain Eukaryota; kingdom Metazoa; phylum Chordata; class Mammalia; order Primates; family Hominidae; genus Homo; species Homo sapiens. The sequence continues at coordinate 121,093,244 of NC_000012.12, forward strand.
TTACAATCCCTGAGCTAGACACAAAAGTTCTCCAAGTCCCCACCAGAGTAGCTAGATACAGAGTGTCCATTGGTGCATTCACAAACCCTGAGCTAGACACAGGGTGCTGATTGGTGTGTTTACAAACCTTGAGCTCTATATAGAGTGCCGATTGGTGTATTTACAATCCCTTAGCTAGACATAAAGGTTCTCCAAGTCCCCATCAGACTCAGGAGCCCAGCTGGCTTCAGCCAGTGGATTCCGCACGAGGGCCGCAGGTGGAGCTGCCTGCCAGTCCCGCAAGGTGCGCCCGTGCTCCTCAGCCCTTGGGCAGTCGATGGGACTGGGCGCCGTGGGGCAGGGGGCAGCACTTGTCGGGGAGACTCAGGCAGTGCAGGAGCCCACGGGGGCGGGGTGGAGGTTGGGGAGACTCAGGCTCAGGCATGGGGGGCTGCAGGTCCCGAGCCCTGCCCCACGGGGATGCAGCTAAGGCCCGGCGAGAAGTCTAGCACAGCAGCTGCTGGCCCAGGTGCTAAGCCCCTCACTGCCCGGGGCGGCGGTGCCGGCCGGCCGCTCCGAGTGCAGGGCCTGCCGAGCCCACGCCCACCTGGAACTCGCACTGGCCCGCAAGCGCTGCGCGCAGCCCTGGTTCCTGCTCGCGCCTCTCCCTCCACACCTCTCCACAAGCCGAGGGAGCCGGCTCCAGTCTTGGCCAGACCAGAAAGGGGCTCCCACAGTGCAGCGGCGGGCTGAAGGGCTCCTCAAGTGCCGCCAAAGTGGGAGCCCAGGCAGAGGAGGCGCTGAGAGCGAGCGAGGGCTGCTAGCACGCTGTCACCTCTCACTGGGGGGCCAGGCAGTCCTGCTCTTATCCCAAGTCAGTTTCCCACAGGAGGGATCTGCCCAACCTAGTGCTGGCTTTTTCAAGTGCTTCCTTTGCATATTCTAAATCAACTCAAAATGGATTAGAGACTTCAATGTAAGACCTGAAATCATAAAACTACGAGAAGAAAACACAGGGGAAAAGCTTCCTGACGTTGCAAACCGTACATCTCATAAGGAGGCAATATCAAGAATATATACGGAACTCATGGAACACAGTAGCAAAAAACAAATCACCTGATTGAAAATGGGCAAAGAACCTGAACAGATATTTATCAAAAGAAGACATATAAATGCCCAACGGGTGTATGAAAAAGTGCTCAACAGCACTAATCATCAGGGAAATGCAAATCAAAACCTCAATGAGACATCACCTCACACCTGTTAGAATGGCTATTATCCAAAAGAGGAAAGATAACAACTGTTATTGAGGATGTGGGGGAAAGGGATCACTGTACACTGTTAGTAAAAATGTAAACTTGTACAGCCATTATGGAAAATAACATCCATCCACAGATGAATGGGTGAGGGAAACGTGTCTACGCAATGGAATATTATTCAGCTCCAAAAAAGAAGGAAATCCTGCCATTTCCAACAGCCTGGATGAACCTGCTATGCTAAGTGAGATAAGTAAGCACAGAAAGACTAATACTGCATGATCTCAGCCTGGTACAGTGGCTCACGCCTGTAATCCCAACACTTCAGGAGGCTGAGGCAGGTGGATCACCTGAGGTCAGGAGTTTGAGACCAGCATGGCCAACATGGTGAAACTCCATCTCTATTAAAGATACAAAAATAGATTGTGGTGGTGCACGCCTGTAGTCCCAGCTACTCGGGAGGCTGAGGCAGAATCGCTTGAACCCAGGAGGCAGAGGTCGCAGTGAGCCAAGATGGCACCACTGCACTCCAGCCTGGGCGACAGAGCGAGACTCCACATCAAGAAAAATAAATAAATAAATAAATAAATAAATACTGCATGATCTCACTTATATGTGGAATCTAAACTAACCAAACTCATAGAAGCAGAGAGTAGAGTAGAATAGTCGTTGCCAGGGACTGAGGGTTGGAGAAAACGGGGTGTTGTTTAATGGGTATAAAGTGTCAGTTATACAAGATGAGTAAGTTCTGGAGATGTAACGTACAGCGTGTAACAACACTCTGTTGTATACCTGAAATTTCTTAAGAGAGTAGATCTTAAGATCCTTAACCACCCCACCTCCAAAAAAGAAAGAAAGTGGTAACAATGTAAGATGGTGGGTGTTTTAGTTTGCGGTGATCATTTCACAATGTGTATTAAATATCCGGTTGCCCACTTTAAATATATACAATGTTTACTTTTCAAGCATATTCAGATAAAGCTGGGGGAAAACAAACAGCTTTCTGGGGCCATTGTTTGCAGACCCCTGAGTTAGGGCATTGTGTGATGGCTGGGTCAATTTCACTTCAGCATGGTAAGAGGCACGTGACAAAAACTGGCATGAAAGGGGCTGTTGGAACCAAGGGGCAGGAAAGGGCTGCCCTATAGGATCCGCCAGAAGACAGACCGGCATTTCACGAAGTGAGCAAATTCCGGAGGAAATAAAGGATTTCCGTTTTAAGGGGTTGGGAGGCAAGAGAAAAGGCTGAGAGGGTGTGTGTGTCTGAAATGGGGTCTCTGGGTGAGAAAACGTGTGAGATAAAGTGCGAGGCTGGAAAAACGCGCACGTGTGCAGGAGGCGGGGATCTGCTGCACCGAGTGTGCACATTTGCACGAACCGTGGGGGCGTCTGCGGCTGTGGGTGGAGAGGAAATCCTGGATCACACATCTGAGAGAGGGGGTGTGGGTGGGAGTGGGAGAGTATGTAAGAGCGTGGGTCGTGACAGGTGAGGGACTTGTGTGTGCAACTGTGCGTCCTGCGAGAGTGAGGAGGTCTCGGACTGAGGAACTGCGTTCAGTGCTCAGTGGTGAGTTCCCACGCAAGAGCCTGGGGAGTCAACCAGAAAGACCCGCACGCGGGGCGGGCCCAGCGACCTCGGGCGCCATCTGCTGATTACCAGACGCCACTACCTGAGAAAGGCCCCTCCAGTCTCCTCATTGCCCAGCTGCGGACCCTAAGCTGAGCCATAACCGTCCTACCAACCCACGTCAGCAGAAGAGCCCAGTGGGAGGGCGTGTGTTCACTTCTGCTCCTCTGGGCAAAGACGCCCAGGTCAGAAACACCCACCCGACCCTCCCACTACCCAGAGACAGCCCCACCTGCACAGCTCAGAGCAGGACCACTGACCCTCTGGCTCTCCGGTCATATTTGCTATTGAAGACCAGAATAAAGTATTTTTATCAGGATTGAATACATGACTCATGAATGAATAAATTCATTCTCCTTACATATCGGTTCCTATTGAGAAATATGGTGGCTAGAATTTATTTCCTCCGGAAAGAGGAATAAATGTGGAGCCCCTGGGTTTGGTGCTATTTATTACCCATTTCTCTGATGTTGTAAGAAAAGAGAGATTCAGAAGAAATATCACATTTCAGCCCCGAACTTACGTAGCTTGCTGCCGTTCTAGGTGATTTACTTAGATTGGCTTCTGCATTTTGACAAATGAGGAAATTGGGAGAATTAAAGCCTCTGGTTTTAAAGCCTGCTGCTGGGTCAAGTAGAACTGTGACTTTTATTTTTTTTTTTTTAGACAGAGTCTTGCTCTGTTGCCCAGGCTGGAGTGCAGTGGCACAATCTCAGCTCACTGCAACCTCCACCTCCCGGGCTCCCTCAGCGATTCTCCTGCCTCAGCCTCCCAAGCAGCTGGAACTACAGATGCCCACCACCACGCACGGCTAATTTTTGCATTTTTAGTAGAGGTGGAGTTTCACCGTGTTGGCCAGGCTGGTCTCAAACTCCTGACCTCAAATGACCCACCCACCTCAGCCTTCCGAAGTGCTGGGATTACAGGTGTGAGCCACCGTGCCCGGCCCAGAACTATGACATTTTGTTTTTGTTTTTCTCTGTTTCTTTGAAAAGAAATGGAGTGAAGGTGCAGAGATATGAGATAAATTATTTAAACACATTATTATTATTGTTGTTATTATTATTATTATTATTATTATTATTATTGAGTCGGAATTTCACTCTTGTTGCCCAGGCTCGAGTGCAATGGCATGATCTCAGCTCACTGCAACCTCCACCTCATGGGTTCAAGTTATTCTCTTGCCTCAGCCTCCCAAGTAGCTGGGATTACAGGCATGCGCCACCACGTCGGGGTATTTTTTTTTTTTTTTTTTTTTTTTAGTAGAGATGGGTTTCTCCATGTTGGTCAGGCTGGTCTCGAACTCCTGACCTCAGATGATCCACCCACCTCGGCCTCCCAAAGTGCTGGGATTACAGGCGTGAGCCACCGCACCCTGCCTTAAACACGTTATTAAATCAGTAAAATGAAGGGCCTGACAAATAAATGACCACTGAGCTAGGATGTAGAAGACCAAGGCCTGGAAGAAGGGGAGTCTGCCTCTTCTGTCACTGGTGAGCTACGACCTTCCCTGCAGGCACACCCTACGCTGTCCTTCAGGCTGGCTCTCCATGCCCTCGGGGGCCTCGGTCCAAACATCTGGACAAAGGCCCTATGAAAGGACCTCTAACAAAATATTTTCCACCATATTCAGCTAGAGTTGCATGTTTTTCTATTTTTCCTAATGAGAACATAGGACTTGAGAACTGATCATGTGTCTTCGCTTTAATTTGAAATGATCAGAATAATCTGAAAAAAACAGAACTATTGTCCAGGAAATGAGAGAGAACTGAATTCAGTCACTTAAATATATAATCAAATCCCTTCCCCAGCCTTCCCCCACATGTGCTGGTTTTTTCATTCTCACTCTTCAAACTGATCACCTATTAATCATCTAAAACCACAACAAAATGCTTTTGAAAACTTTTTAAAAAGAAGTGCATCTCATTTTATGTAAGTTGTGATGTAAGAAAAATAGTAAGATTATAAAAATATTTTTTACTTTTGATACAGTGACTAGCAAAGGTAAAAAAAAAAAAAAAACATAGGACATCGAAGGGTCAATTCATTGTCTGGGAAGAGGTTTTGGATTTATTTACCAAGCTTCTAAACATGGATCTTCCTAATCATAGAGAAAAAGCCCTTTCAAAGCAGTTGTTGTAGGCCGGGTGCAGTGGCTCAGGCCTGTAATCCCAACACTTTGGGAGGCTGAGGTGGGTGGATCACCTGAGGTCAGGAGTTTGAGACCGGCATGGCCAACATGGTGAAACTCCATCTCTATTAAAAATACAAAAATAGATTGTGGTGGTGTACGCCTGTAGTCCCAACTACTCTGGAGGCTGAGGCGGGAGAATAGCTTGAGCCTGGGAGGTGAAGGTTGCAGTGATCGCGCCACTGCACTCCAGCTTGGGCGACAGAGACTCCATCTCAAAAGAAAAAAGTGTGGTCTAGTGAGGGTGATTTTAAACTGATTAGGTTTAATTCATTTCCTTGATCTAAATATGAAGTGTTTTTACTCTGTGAGCAGAAAGTTTTTGAAACTAGTTCATGAAGGTGAGTCCAGTGGTATTTTTCTTTTTTACTTCTCAGCCTTCTACGAAAGGCAAATATAAGACAGCAAAATCCAAAGAATGGAGTTATTAAGGCTGCAAGTGGAGTCCGAGGCCAGTTCCATGCCAGGCATGGTGCGTGCACTGAGAGACAGGGATCCTCTGCTCCAGGAGCCGAAGGCACATGCTGTTTTGCTTACTACTGAACTCTACTACACATTTAAAGAAGAACCATTACCAATCCTACTCAAACTCTTCCAAAAAACTAAAGAGGAGGGAACACTTCCAAACTCACTTTACAAGGCCACCATTACCCTGATACCCAAACCAGACAAGAACACAACAACAAAAAAAAGAAAACTACAGGCCAATATTCCCGATGAACATAGAGCCAAAATCCTCAACAAGATACTAGCAAACTGAATCTAACAGCACATCAAAAAGACCATTCACCATGATTGTTGATGGCTGATGCAAGACCTCAGTTCTTGTCTTCTTAGTTTAAGAAAATTTAAACAGACTCACAGCAAAGGAGATGCAACATAGAGTAATTTATTGCAAAAGAAAAAGACTATTTTGGGCTAGGTGCAGTGGCTCACACCTGTAATCCCAGCACTTTGGGAGGCCGAGGTAGGCAGATCACCTGAGGTTGGGAGTTTGAGACCAGCCTGACCAACATGGAGAAACCCCATCTCTACTAAAAATACAAAATTAGCTGGGCATGGTGGCACTCAGGAGGCTGAGGCAGGAGAATCACTTGAACCCAGGAGGCAGAGGTTGCGGTGAGCCAAGATCGTGCCATTGCACTCCAGCCTGGGCAACAAGAGCGAAACTACATCTCAAATAATAATAATATTTTGAAAGTTTGGTGCAAAATAGATAATATACCCTGGGAGAGAGAATTTTGTTGCTCATAAGGGCGAGACAGCAAAAACTGGCACTAGGAAGACTCTCTTTATGGAAGTCTTACACGATTATTCATAAAGGGTTGGAAGAGGTGTTGGTAGTAAGCATCTTCTGGGTGGTCCTCTTGCCCATGCACAGTAGCTGTACATGATTGTTCATACATTGCATGTCTCATTCGCATCTTAAATCTCCACCCAGGGGTGGTTTTTTTTACTATTATAATGAGCAAAGGGTCAGTTTGAGGACAGGTAAAATCAAACTGTTCATGCTCTCCAGAGGGGAAAGTCCCTACTGAAGATAGCTTTGCTTGAATGAGCTCAATTACAATGCAAATACTGAGGCTTATTGTGTTGACTGTATAGTCACCACAGTTACTGCATCCTGAGAACATGGTTACTTCTTTGACTACCTATCCTGCTTCATGATCAAGTGGGATTCATCCCAGGAATGCAAGGATGGTTCAACACATGCAGATCAATAAACATGATACATAACCTAAACAGAAGCAAAAACAAAAACCATATGATTATTTCAATAAATGCTGGAAAATAATTTTGTAAAGTTTAGCATATTAAAAACCCTCATCAAAATGGTTATAGAAATAACATAGCTCAAAAAAAATGAAAGCCATGTATGACAAACCCATAGCTAACATTGTACTGAATGAGGATAAATGGAAGGTCTTTCCTCTAAGAACTGGAATAAGACAAGGATGCTCACTTTCACCACTTTATTCAACATAATACTGGAAGTCCTGGACAGAGCAATTAGGCAAGAACAAGAAATAAAGGGCATCCAAATTTGAAAGGAAGAAGTCAAATAAGCCTTGTTCACAGATGACACGTCTTATACCTGGAAAAATCTAAAAACTCTACGAAAAAACTGTTAGAACTGATAAACAAATTAGTAAAGTTGCAGAATACAAAATCAACATACAAAAATCAGTGGCATTTCTAATTTTTTTTTAGACAGTCTCACTGGGTTGCCCAGGCTGGAGTGCAGTGGCACGAACATGGCTCACTGCAGCCTTGATCTCTTGGACCTAAGCGATCCTCTCACTTCAGCCTCCCAAGTAGCTGGGACCACAGGTGCATACCTGGCTAGATTTTTTTTAAATGTTGTAGAGATAAGATGGGGTCTCACCATGTTGCCCAGGCTAGTAGCAGTTCTATACACCAACAAAGAACATTCTGAAAAAGAAATCAAGAAAGGAAGCTCATTTACAATAGCACCAAAATAAAAATAAAACACACAGGAATAAATTTACCAAGAAGTGAAATAGCTCTACAAGGAAAACTATAAAACACTAATGAAAAAAATTAATGAGGACACAAAAAATGGAAAGATATTACATGTTCATGGATGGCAAGGATTTTATTGTTAAAATTATAACACTACCCAAAGCAATTTACAGATTCAATGCAATCCCTATCAAAACCAATGACATTCTTCACAGAAAAAGAAAAAATATATAAAATTTATGTGGAACCACAGAAGACCTCAACTAGCCAAAGCAATTCTGAGCAAAAAGAACAAAGCTGGCGGCATCACACTATCAGACTTCAAAATATACTACACAGCTATAGTAACCAAAACAGCACGGTACTGGCATAAAAACAGACCACACAGACAAATAGTACAGAATAGGTAATCCTGATATAAATCCATGCATATGAATTTACAACAAATTTTTTTTTTTTTTTTTTTGGAGACGGAGTCTTCTTGCTCTGTCACCCAGGCTGGAGTGTAGTGGCACGATCTCAGCTCACTGAAACCTCCACCTCCCAAGTTCAGGCAATTCTCCTGCCTCAGCCTCCCAAGTAGCTGGGACTACAGGCGTGCACCATCGTGCCTGGCTAATTTTTATATTTTTAGTAGAGACAGAGTTTTGCCATGTTGGCCAGGCTGGTCTCGAACTCCTGACCTCAGGTGATACACCCACCTCAGCCTCCCAAAGCGCTGGGATTACAGGCATGAGCCACTGCACCCGGCCTTACAACTAACTCATCTTTGACAAAGGTGCCAAGAACATACATGGGGAAAAGGTCAGTCTTTTCAATAAATGGTGCTGGGGAAACTGGATAAGTATACACAGAATGAAACTAAACTATTTTTGTCTCTTACCACACACAACAATCAAATCAAAATGGAATAAAGGCTTAAAACTTTTTGGAGGCAGGATCTTGCTCTGTCACTCAGGCTGGAGTACAGGGGCATTATCCTGGCTCATTGAAACCTTGACCTTCCCGGGCTCCAGTGACCTTCCTGCCTCAGCCTCCCAAGTGGCTGGGACTATACGGACACACGCCACCATGCCCAGCTAATTTTTGTATTTTTTGTAGAGATAGGGTTTTGCCATGTTGCCTAGGCTAGTCTCAAACTCCTGAACTCAAGCAATCCTCTGCTTTGGCCTCCCAAAGTTCTGGGATTACAGACCTGTGCCACCATGCCCAGCAAGACTTAAATCTAAGATCTGAAACTATGAAACTACTAGAAGAAAACATTGGGAAAATGTTCCAGGACATTGCTCTAGGCAAAGACTTTTTGTGTAGGACCTCGAAAGCACAGGCAACCAAAGCAAAAATAGACAGTTGGAATTACATCAAGCTAAAAAATAAGGGAAACAATGAAGTGAAGAGATTGATGCAGGGCAGGTGAACCCCAAAATTAGCCCGGGAGGGTTCTTGGCTTTGCCCAGGAAATAATTCAAGGGCGAGCTGGTGGTGTTAGGCAGCAACTTTTATTGAAGCAGCCGTGTACAGCAGTAACAGAGGTACTGCTCCCTGTTGAGCAGGGTCACCCCATAGGCAGTGTGCCCAGAGCAGCAGCTCAGGGGCAGTTCTGCAGTCCTATTTATACCTACTTTTAATTATATGCAAATTAAGAGGTGAATTATGCAGAAATTTCTAGAAAAAGGGTAGTAACTTTCAGGTCGTTGAGTTGTTGCCATGGAAGGGGGCAGTAACTTCCAAATGTTGCCATGGCAATGGTAAACTAACATGGCACAATGGTGGCCAAGTCTTATGGAGAGATGCTTTTGCCTCTTCCCTGTTTTAGCTAGTCCTCAATCTGGTCTGATGTCTGAGCCCTGCCACTGGCATCAAGTCCCACCTCCTACTTCAAGACAACCCATCAGATAGGAGAAAATATTTGCAAACCATCTCACAAGGGATTAATAACCAGAATATGTAAGGAGCTCAAACAACTCAATAGTAAAAAAACAAATAATCCAATTTTAAAATGGGCAAATGATCTGAACAGATATTTCTCAAAAGCAGACATTAAAATGGCCAACGTGGCTGGGTGTCGGTGGCTCATGCCTGTAATCCCAGCACATTGGGAGGCCAAGGTGGAAGAATTACTTGAGGCCAGTAGTTACGACAAGCTTGGGCAACACGATGTAATTCTGTTTCTACAAAAAATAAAAAATTATCTGGGCATGGTGGCATGTGCCTGTAGTCCCAGCTACTCAGGAGGGTGAAGCAGGAGACTTGCTTTATCCCAGGATAAAGAAGATGTGGCATATAAACATTCAGCCGTACAAAAGAATGACATCTTGTCATTTGCAGCAACATGGATGGACCTGGAGACTATTATGTTAAGAGAAACAAGCCAAGCACAGAAAGACAAATATCACATGTCCTTACTCATCTGTGGAAGCTAAATAAGCAGATCTCATGAAGATGGAGAGCAGATTGATTGTTAACAGAAGCAGCAAAGAGAAGAGGGAAAGGGAGATACAAGGGGGAAAAAAATACATATATAACTTTATTTATTACCACCAATTTTCACTTAAAAATGGTAAAGATGGCCAGGCACAGTGGCTCACACCTATGATCTCAGCATTCTGGGAGGCCAAGGTGGGAGGATTGCTAGAGCCCAGGAGTGCAAGGTTACAGTGGCCTATGATCAAGCCACTGCACCCCAGCCTGGGTGACAGAGCGAGATACTGTCTCAAAAAAAAAAAAAAAGTAAAGCCAGGCACAGTGGCTCATGCCTGTAATCCTAGCACTTTGGGAGGCCGAGGTGGGCAGATCACCTGAGGTCAGGAGTTTGAGACCAGCCTGGCCAACATGGTGAAATCCCATCTCTACTAAAAATACAAAAGTTAGCCAGGTGTGATGTCAGGCACCTGTAATCCCAGCTACTCAGGAGGCTGAGGCAGGAGAATCACTTGAACCCGGGAGGTGGAGGTTGCATGAGCCAAGATCGCGCCACTGCACTCCAACCTGTGTGACAGACCAAGACTCCGTCTCAAAAATAAAAAATAAAAGAAGAAAAATAAATAAAAGTAAAGATGACAAATTATATGTGTATATTTTACCTCAATAAAAAGAGTGTTGCTAATTTCCACATTTTTGAATTTTCCCGTTTTCCTTCTGCTATTCATCTCCAGTTTCATTGCACTGGATATTCAATACAGACCCATTTTGGGCTCATTTATATAATACCTTGTTCAGATCTATTTGCTTATATTTTCTCTTTCTCCACACACAGAAAAAGCCAAGAATTTGTCATTCTGACCCTGATTTGGCTTTCTCTGGGAAATCAAGTCCCTCTTCCTACAATATAAAAAGCAAAGGCTTGACAGAGCCCTGGCTTCACTTCCATCCATCTATAAAGTGTTTTCAATGGAGAGTTTTACCAATGAGGTCTGTTTAGATCCGGCAAAGAGAAGAATCTGCTGACAGTCACATGGAAGAGAATTGGCAACTAAAATAAAATAAAAGCCAATTCTTGGCCCAGTGATTATTGGGTACATCAGAGTATGTTATCCATGAATTCAGTATACCCTTACTGGAAGATTCTGCTTATTGAAAGAGTGCATGGGCCAGGCATGGTGGCTCACGCCTGTAATCCCATCACTTTGGGAGGCCAAGGCATGTGGATCAATTGAGGTCAGGAGTTCGAGACCAGCCTGGCCAACATGGTGAAACCCCATCTCTACTAAAAATACAAAAATTACCCATGTGTGGTGGTGAGCACCTTTAATCCCAGCTACTCGGGAGGCTGAGGCAGGAAAATCACTTGAACCCAGGAGGCGGAGGCTGCAATGAGCAAAGATCATGCCACTGCACTGCAGCCTGGGTGACAGAATGAGACTCTGTCTCAAAAATAAATTTAAAAAAAAGAGAGTGCATGGAATTTTGATTCAGAATGACTAATGCAGGTTATTAGTAATATTCTAGTACAATACCGGGCTTTAAAAAATAAAAATTTCTGGGCTTCTAGACAAAAAAGCGCAAGTGACATAATAAGGGAAAGAAATTAGAATCTACCTTTTTGAGAGCAATACTTTGTACCTGAGGAAAATGGAGTACATATTTAAGAAAAGAAACTGTAAACCGTGAATGTTATATCCAGCAAAACTCACATTTGGGTAGAGAAGACCCTGACGTGCCATGCTGTGACAGAAGACCTCAGGTGCTATTATTCCCATGATCTCTTCCAGAGAAATAACAAACTTCAGACAACAAAATGCCTAGAAAGACATTGACACAGGGCAGATCTTGAGTCCTAAATTTGCTACTTGTATAAATAAGACTAAATGAGGGTGATATGAGAGGGTGTGGGGCCCCTCCCAAGATCAGGTTCACAGGGTGCTAAGACCTGTTTGCTGCTCTTTGCTGAGTGTATGATCTGTCCACAGAGAGTGTCTATAAATATCCTACAGGAGCAAATTAATCCGGGCATTTACCTAGGCAGTCCTCAGGAGACTGGTGCCCTGGCTAGTGAAACAGGTACAGATGAAAGAGAAGGTCTGTAGGACTGCACAATGAAAAGACAGAGTCCTGGCTGGGCATGGTGGCTCACGTCTATAATCCCAGCATTTTGATAGACTGAGGCAGGTGGATCACCTGAGGTCAGGAGTTCGAGAACAGCCTGGCCAACATGGTGAAACCCCACCTCTACAAAAATACAAAAATTAGCCAGGCATGATGGCAGACGCCTATAATCCCAGCTACCTGGGAGGCTGAGGCAGGAGAATCACTTGAACCCAGAGGTGCAGATTGCAGTGAGCCAAGATGGCACCACTGCACTCCAGCCTGGGTGACAGAGTGAGACTCTGTCTCAAAAAAAAAAAAATAAAAAGAAAGAAAGAAAGAAAGAAAAGAAAAAACAGAGTCCCATGTACCTGGGCCCTGTGAGGAGCCAGAGGTCTGATGACATGGAGTAGTCGGGGGATAGTGGCGACCCTGTCCCTCTACTTGAACCATCAATATGATCCAGCCAGGAGGCCTGCACATTAAATATGGACAGCATCCTGGAGCTCTTTTCTTTTTCTGCTAATAATCACTATTGTCTCTACCACCACCACAACCAAACTTTGCCTGTGCTTTTCAATTAAAAAAAAAAAAAATCACAGAGGGTGGAGCAGGATGGCTGAATAGAAACCAACACCATTTGGCCAGGCGCGGTGGCTCATGCCTGTAATCCCAGCACTTTGGGAGGCCGAGGCGGGCGGATCATGAGGTCAGGAGATCAAGGCCATCCTGGCTAACATGGTGAAACCCCATCTCTACTAAAAATACAAAAATTAGCTGGGTATGGTGGCAGGCACCTGTAGTCCCAGCTACTTGGGAGGCTGAGGCAGGAGAATGGTGTGAACCCGGGAGGCAGAGCTTGCAGTGAGCCGAGATCGTGCCACTGTACTCCAGCCTGGGCGACAGAGCGAGATCTTTCCCAAAAAAAAAAAAAAGAAACCTACATCATTTGACCCCTCACAGGACCACCAAATTTTAACAGCTAACTACACACAAAAAGCACCATCGCAAGAACCAAAAATCAGGTGAACAATCACAGTACCCGGTTTTAACCTTATATCGCTGAAAGAGATGCTGAAGAGGGCAGGAAAGACAGTCTTGAGTTGCTGATGCCACCCATCCCCCACCCCCCAGCAGCAGCCCCGTGGCACGGAGAATCAGTGTGCTTTGGAGAGGGAGAGCATAGCAATTGTGAGACTTCGCATTGAACTCGGTGCTGCATTGTCACAGCAGAAAGCAGAACCGAGGTGTACTTCGCTGACACTGGCTCACACAAGGAGCGCTTGGACTGGCACTCACCGGAATTGCCCATCTTAGCAGTTGGAGCTTGAGTTCTGGCAAGCCTTGCCACTGCGAGCTGGAGTGCTCTGGGGCCCTTAGCAGACTTGAGGGGCAGTTTAGGCCATCAGGACTGCAATTCACAGGCAAACCCGAGTGCCGAGCTGGGCTCACAACCAGTGGACTGTGGAGTCAGGGGCACACAACCTCCTGAGACATTAGCTGGGGCAGCTAAGGGAGTTCTTTGGGCCACCCCCTACTCCCACCCCTGGCAGTGGCCATGTGGCACAGACAGATCTGTGCATTTGGGAGAGGGAGAGCTAGCAACTTGGGGACTTTACATTGAACTCAGTGCTGTCCCATCACAGCAGAGACCTGGCAGCATTCATCATCTGCTGACTAAGGAGCCCCTGGGCCCTGTATAACCAACAGCCATAGCCAGGTAATATGCTGCGGGCATCTACAGCCAACTCAGCTGGCTGAGTTCCTCGCCTCATGGGGGACGTGTGCAATGGCTGCAAACAGCAGCTTCCTTGGTGGTGTATGCAGCCTGTTTCTTGTATGGCTGCTCTAAGGGACCTTGGAGACAGGCCCTCAGATGGATGTTCATGTCTCTGACCTTGCACTACCCCAGTGTAGGCTCCAAAAAGGTATGTGAGGTGCTTTTGGAAAGCCCCGGGGCACCGTGGCTGGGGTTCACATTGGCCAATTATCATGTCCATCCGCCTTGAACCCAGAGAACAAGGAGCATGTGATTAAGGCCCTGCTCAGGGCCAAGTTCAAGTTTCCTGGCTGCCAGAAGATCCACATCTCACAGAAGTGGGTCTTCACCAAGTTCAGTGAAGATGAATTTGAAGACACGGTGGCTGAGAAGTGGCTCATCTGAGATGGGTGTGGGGTCAAGTACATCCTCATTGTGGCCCTCTGGACAAGTAGTGGGCCCTGCACTCGTGAGGGCTTCTGCTGTGCTGCCCCTTCTTAATACTCACCACTAAATCCTACTTCCCATCCACCTGTGGGCACTGGGCTCTGAGACATGCTGGCTTCAGGTGTGATCCAGCACATTTCCGGCTGTGGTGGCTACAGTGAAAGATGCCTTCTGTTTGAGAAAAGCAGGAGGAAGAGTAAAGGGGACTTTGTCTTGCCCCTTAGGTACCAGCTCAGCCACAGTGGGGTAGAGCACCAAGCAGGCTCTTGGGGTCCCTGAGTACAGGCCTAGGCTGTTGGTCAGCATTTGCGGACCTGCCCTGGGCCAAGGGGAGCCCACTGCCTGAAGGATGAGTCACAGGCCTGATAGCATTCATCGCAGGCTGCCTGAAGAGCCCTCGGGGTTTTTGTGAACATCAGCAGTGGCCTGGGAGAACTCCTTGCAGGCTGGTGGAAGTGGTGGCCACAAGGAGAGGTTCCTCTGACTGAGGAAAGGGGAGTGAAGAGTGGGAAGGACTTTGTCTTGTGGTTTGAGTGCCAGCTTACCTGCAGTGGAATGATACATCTATAGAATTCTATTCTATCTTAGAATAGAATTCTAAGGTTTATCAATCCCTGGCTCCCAGACAGCATCTCTGGACCTTCCCAGGGAACTCACTGCCCTGAAGGGAGGGACAACACCCTGGCTGGTTTTGCCACCTGCTGATTGTAGAGTCCCAGGCCCTTGAGTGAATTCAGGTGATGGCCAGGTAGCAGTTCTAGCAGACCTTAGGTGAGACCCAGTGCTGGGCTGCTTCAGGTCTGAACCAGTGCAGTCCCAGTGGTGATGGCCACAGGGGTTCTTGTGTCCTTCCACCCCCAGTTCCAAGAGGCCTAGCTTGGAGAGAGAGAGAGAGAGACTCCATTTGTTTGGAAGAAAGCAAGGGAAAAGAACAAGAATCTCTGCCTGGTAATGCAGAGAATTCTTCTGGATCTTCTCCAAGACCACTAAGGTGGTACCTTTACGAGTCCGCAGAACTACAGTTTTATTGGGTTCGGGGTTCAAGTCCCTTTGAATACCTGAAAAGCCTTCCCAAGAATCACAGGCACAAATAAGCCCAGACTGTGAAGACTACAATAAATGCCTAACTCTTCACTGCTCAGACACTGATGAATATCCATAAGCATCAACACCACGCAGGAAAACATGACCTCACCAAACTGAATAAGGCACCAGGGACCAATCACGGAGAAACAAAAATAGGCAACCTTTCAGGCAGACAATTTGAAAGAGCTGTATTGAGGAAACTCAAAGCAATTCAAGATGACACAGAGAAGGAATTCAGATTTCCTATCAGATGAATGTAACAAGGAAATAGAAATAATTAAAAAGAATCAAGAGGAAATTCTAGAGTTGAAAATGAAATTGACATACTGAAGAATGCATCAGAGTCTTAATAGCAGAATTGATCAAGCAGAAGGCCGGGTGCGGTGGCTCACACCTGTAATCCCCACACTTTGGGAGGCTGAGGCAGCTGGATCACTTGAGGATAAGAGTCTGAGACCAGCCTGGCCAACATGGCAAAACCCTGTCTCTACTAAAAATACAAAAAATTAGGCTGGGCCTGGTGGCTCACGCCTGTAATCCCAGCACTTTGGGAGGGTGAGGTGGGTGGATCACTTGAGGTCAGGAGTTCGAGACCAGCCTAGCCAACATGGTAAAACCCCAACTATATTAAAAATACGAAAATTAGCCAGGCAAGGTGGTGTGCACCTGTTATCCCAGCTACTCAGGAGGCTGAGGCCAGAGAATTGCTTGAACCTGGTAGGTGGAGGTTGCAGTGAGCCGAGATCATACCACTGCACTCTGGCTCGGTAAACAAAGCGAGACTCTGACAAAAAAAAAAAAAAAAAAAAAAAAAAAAAAGACTTTGAGACCAGACTGGCCTACATGGTGAAACCCTATCTCTATTAAAATTACAAAAGTTATCTAGGCATGGTGGGAAGTTGAGGCAGGAGGATAGCTTGAACCTGGGAGGTGGAGGTTGCAGTGAGCCGAGATGGCACCACTGTACTCCAGCCCAGGCGACGGAGCGAGACTTTGTCTCAAAAAAATACCAAAAACCAAAAACAACAAAAACAAAAAACATCAAAAGACTATGAGAAACAGTGATTGGATGTTTGGGGTGTGGATATCGGAATCTGGAGCTGGGGACAGGTGTGTCATTTGATAGTCCCTTTTGAGAACCACTGTTGATCTAAAGCTATTCCAGTTCCCTAGGGGATTGCTAATAACCGGTGCAGCTGCTGAGACAGGGAAAGGGGCCTAATTCCTTTTGCAAAACAAGGAGCAATATTTATATGAGAACTCAGTACATTTCATCACATAAAAATTGCAAAACGCCAGGCTCTGTCATTTTTAAACTAATATTTTTGGGAGTCCACCAAACAGTCTCTAAGATGGAACTGATTGTGAATATGCTGGTGCCAGGTGCAATGGCTCACACCTGTAATCCCAGCTACTTGGGAGGCTGAGGTGGGAGGATCACCTGAAGCCAGGAGTTCGAGGCCAGCCTGGGCCTCTCTAAAAAAAAAAAAGCTGTAAGTCAAATGATATAGCCTCTAGAAGCCACAGTTTGCTCATTTACAAACTGGAGGAGAATAAGATGAGAATTGTCTGATATTGAGGATCAGAAAGTGCTTCATGATGCATAAAGCAGGTAATGGATTATCAATGCTTTGCTGCTCAGACACACAGCAATGGGTTCATACCATTCTGAGAGTCTAAATTTAGGACGTGGTGTGACCAAAATTACCAGTAATTAAGTTTCTTATGTTTCTGAGGCTCTGCTTCCTCATCTGTACACTGTGGCAAGACCTTGTTCTGACTATGCACTGAGGATAAAATAAGGCCTTTTGAAAAAGATGATGACACTGACCACTAATTAATGATTTCAATGTTCCCGTCCAAGGTCAGGCAAAAGCAATGCAGAGCCATAGAGAATGTTGGTGCAACACTGCCCTCTGCTGGTCAGTAGCAGCACCACCATGGTTACAGAGAGGAAAAGGTCTTTACAAAGGGATTCCTGGGAAACTGAGGCAGAGAGTGGAAGGGATTTGCTCAAGGGCACAGAGTTAGCTTTGGACAAAGTGATGGCTCGAATCTGAGATTCCTAATTCCTAGTTCTTTCTAGAGGGAGAAAAATAAGGGCTGGAAACTAGTGGATTGTCGTTTCACTCTCACTAGGCTCTGCACGGCATTTTAAATAGGCTGATTGGAATTTCTCTCTCCTGTTCTTCCCTTGCCACCCAAACTGCTCGGGTTTCTTGTCCTTTTCTTCATACCAGGATAACCATCTGTGTGGCCCCATAAGGCCCAAAGTCCTCTTGGGTGCTGCCGGAGGTCCAACAACCAGTAAAGCACGGAAGCTGGGATCTGAACACTCACTTGAGACCCCAAGGCCCACAATCTATTTGCCACCAAAAAACAAGACAAAGCAAAACACCATGGTAACTTGTGTTGAAAAAGATAGATCTTGTGTTTTGTTATTTCCCCGAATGGTATTTGTTGGGCAGACACATGTGTGTGTACAGGGTAGCAGTCAGGATGGACCACAGGCCCCCACACTATGAAACCCTTCAGACTCTCCCATAGAAATGAGGGGAACTGAGCCAGGTGCAGTGGCTCGTGCCCGTAATCCCAACTTGGGAGACTGAGGCAGGAGGATGGCTTGAACCCAGGAGTTCAAGGCTGTAGTAAGCCATGATTGTGCCACTGCACTCCAGCCTGGGGGACAGAGTGAGACTCTAACTCAAAAAAAAGAAGGGAAGGAAGGAAGGGAGGGAGGGAGGGAGGGGAGCCAGGCACAGTGGCTCACACCTGTAATCCTAGCACTTTGGGAGGCCAAGGCAGGCACATCACTTGAGCCTAAGAGTTTGAGACCAGCCTAGGCAACATGGTGAAACCCATCTCTACAAAACATACAAAAATTAGCTGGGCATGGTGGCACATGCCTGTAGTCCCAGCTACTTGAGAGGCTGAGGTGGGAGGATCACCTGAGCCTGGGAGGTCAAGGCTGCAGTGAGCTGTGATCGCCCCTCAGGACTGGAAGTCCTCCTGGTCTGGGTTCAAACCCTGCATTTCTGAACACTACTGTGTGCCAAGCCCTGGCAAATCATATTTCTTTTAATCTGATAACACTGTGAGGTCGGTACAATTATTATTATCACCATTTTACAGGTGAGCAAATGGAAGCTCTGAGACATTAAGTATCTTGCTTAAGAGCAAGAGTTGTGGGGAACCCAGGTGTTGATAATTTGCCAGCATTTGACGTGATGCTTCATGGTTTTATTCCTCCCCATTTGCAGACAGGAAAACCGAGTTGCAGACAAATGAAAGTGACTTACCTCAGGGCCTTTGCATGTGACATCCTCTCTGCCTGGAATGCTCTTCTCAGATATCACCTTGGCATCCCCCATCACCTTCTTAAGGTCTTCACTTAAAAGTCATCATCTGGCCGGGCGCGGTGGCTCACCCTGTAATCTCAGCACTTTGGGTAGGCCAAGGTGGGTGGATCACGAGGTCGGGAGATCGTAGACCATCCTGGCTAACATGGTGAAACCCAGTTTCTACTAAAAATACAAAAAATTAGCTGGGCATGGTGGCAGGCACCTGTAGTCCCAGCTACTCAGGAAGCTGAGGCAGGAGAATGGCGTGAACCCGGAAGGCGGAGCTTGCAGTGAGCCGAGATCGCGCCACTGCACTCCAGCCTGGGCAACAGTGTGAGACTCCATCTTAAAAAAAAAAAAAAAAAAAAAGTCATCATCTTAGGGAGGTCTTTTCTGATCACCCTATTTAAAAGTTCAGGCTGGGCGTCATGGCTCACACCTGTAATCCTAGCACTTTGAGAGGCTGAGGCAGGAGAATCACTTGAACCTGGGAGGCGGAGGTTGCAGTGAGCCGAGATTGCGCCACTGCACTCCAGCCTGGGCGACAGAATGAGACTCTGTCTCAAAAAACATAAAAAAATAAAAATAAATAAAAATAAGTTAGCTCCATGCTTTTAACTCAGTAACAAAAAGACAAATGACCAACGTCAAAAGTGAGCAAAGGACTATCTAAGAAGATATATATACACGGCCAATGGGCACATGAAAAGATGCTCACCACGTAATGATATGTATTAGGGAAACACAGATCAAAACCACAGGACACACGACTTCCTATCACTAGGATGACTGTTATTTTAAAAATGGAAAATAACAAGTATTGGTGAGGAGATGAAGAAATTGGAAGCTTTGTATATTACTGATAGGAGTGTAAAATGGTGCTGCTGCTGTGGGAAACTGGCCATTCCTAAAAAAGTTAAACATAGAATTACCATATACCCAGCAGTTCCACTTTTAGGTTTTTACCCCAAAGAATTGAAAATGGGGACTCAAGCAGATACCATTTTTATTTTTATTTTTTATTTTTAGTAGAGATGGGGTTTCACCGTGTTGGCCAGGCTGGTCTCGAACTCCTGATCTCGAGTGATCCACCCGCCTCGGCCTCCCAAAGTGCTAGGACTGCTGGCGTGAGCCACCATGCCTGGCCTCAAACAGATACTTGTAACCTAAATGTTCACAACAGCACTATTCACAGTAGCCAAAGATGGAGACAACCCAGATGTCCCTAAACAGACGAATGGATTAACAAAATGTGGTCTATCCATGTGATTCAATTTTACTCAGCCATAAAAAAGAATGAAAGGCACATGCTACCACATGAATGAACCTTGAAAACAAGGTGAGATTCTTGTGAAAGGAGCTAGTCACAAAAGGCCACATAGTGTATGATGCCATTTATGTGAAATATCCAAAAACAGACAAACCCACACAGAGAAAGAAAAGCAACGGTTACCAGGGGCTGGAGGAGGAGGAATGGCCAAATGGGTACGGGGTTTCCTTTTGGGGTGATGAGAATGTTCTGGAACTAGACAGAAATAGTGGTTACATAACACTGTGAATGAACTAAATGCCACTCAATTGTTCACTTAAAAAAAAACAGAGATGGAGTCTTGTCGTGTTGCCTAGGTTGGTCTCTAACTCCTGGGATCAAGCAATCCTCCCGCCTCAGCCTCCCAAAGTGCTGGGATCACAGGCCTGAGCCACCGCGCTGGCCAATTGTTCACTTTTAAATGATTAATTTCATGTTATTTGAATTTCACCTCAATGGAAAAACTCAGCCCCAAACATGCCTT
The DNA here is from genome assembly GCF_000001405.40 of Homo sapiens. Classification (NCBI taxonomy): domain Eukaryota; kingdom Metazoa; phylum Chordata; class Mammalia; order Primates; family Hominidae; genus Homo; species Homo sapiens. The sequence continues at coordinate 121,113,731 of NC_000012.12, forward strand.
ATCTTCCCTCCCTACCTGATTTTTCTCCTAATGCACAGGGCCCCTCACACATGGTATGTCCGGCCTATGTGTCCATTGTTCATCCTGCTTCTTTAAAATATAAATTCCAACAGGGTAAGGATTTCATCTGTTTTGTTAACTCACATATGCCCAAAGAGTCTCTGGTACTCAATAAATATTTGTTGAATAAATGAATTAGATAGGGTGTGGTGATGGAGAGAGTCCCGCCGCCATCCCTGCCCCCATCTCTAATTCTAACGTTCTAACCCGGCTCTTGACCTTGGAGCCGGTTAACGATGATCCTGTCTGGGCTCATTTTCCCTCCTTTTCCTGAAGAGCAGCATCCACAGGCCCTCACTCAGCTCACTCCCTTTTAACCCTTGTCTGCTGAGAGTTTGAGATAAAGGGGGCCACGAGAGAAGACAATGAATCCATTACAATGTGTGATGAGCTGTCTGCTCTGTGGCTTCCCACAGCAATTTATCATGACCTGGAACCACAGCTGTGAGGCCGGGTGTTCCCCCGCCAGGACCTCACTCCCCAGCTGCTTCAGAAGGGAACATTTACAGGAACCTGTCCATACCTATTTAATGAACAGCTGCTCGGATGCAGCCCTGTCCCAGGCACTCAGCCAAATGACAAATGAACTATATAATCATTCATTCATTCGATGATTCATCCATTCTGTGATTGATTGATTCATTCATTCATGTGGTTGTCAAACATTCATTGAGCACCTACTATGTGCCAGACACTGTACCTTGCACTGTGGCCCTTAATATCAGAGATGTCAATGTATGATAGACCAGGATTCCTCAGCCTAGGCACTGGGGACACTTTTGTTTTTTGTTGTTGTTGTTGCTGTTTTTGAGACAGGGTTTCACTCTGTGGCCCAGGCTGGAGTACAGTGGCACAATCACAGCTCACTGCAGCCTCAACCTCCTGGGCTGAAGCAATCCTCCCACCTCAGCCTCTTAAGTAGCTGCGATTACAGGCACACGCCACCATGCCTGGCTAATTTTTTTGTATTTTTTGTAGAGATAGGGTCTCCCTGTATTGCTTAAGCTTGTCTTGAACTCCTGAGCTCAAGCTATCCTCCTGTCTCAGCCTCCTAAAGTGCTGGGATTACAGGTGTGAGCCACCATGCCTGGCTACTGTGCACATTGGAACCAGGTATTTCTTTGTCACAGGGGTTGTCCTATAGATTAGCAGCACCCCTGGCTGCAGATGCCAGTAGCACTCCCTCAGTCGTGACAACTAAGATGTCTCCAGACATTGCCAAACGTCCCTGGGGCACACAGTCATCCCTAGTTGAGAACCACTGGTCTAGACAAGTATATTTTCCTCAAATTATCAGAGAAAAAAATGCTTTTATTTTTGCTGTTTCCTCCTTCTCTCCCTCTCTCTCTCCCCCTACTTACCTACCTACCTGGCTAGTTAAATTGGAAAGCAAAAGCATAATTACAGCTAACATTTGTAAATAGCACATAGTAAGGGGTCATTTTATCTTGGTTATTCTCGCAACAACTATATGGGCAAAATGCCACCAATGTTCACTTTACAGATGAAGAAATCAAGGCCCAGAGATGCTAAGCAAGTTGTCCAGGGTCACACCAAGATGAAGGGGCAGAGCTGGGGTTCAAATCCAGGTCCATATGACTCCAGAGCCCGGGTGCCACCAGATTAAGATTAAGATTAAGAGACCAGGTTAAGCAATATAGGAAGACCCTATCTCTACAAAAAAATACAAAAAAAATTAGCCAGGCATGGTGGCATGCACCCGTAGTCGCAGCTAACTGAGAGGCTGAGGCGGGAGGATTGCTTCAGCCCAGGAGGTTGAGGCTGCAGTGAGCTGTGATTGTGCCACTGCACTCCAGCTGGGCCATAGCGTGAAGCCCTGTCTCAAAAACAATAACAACAAAAACAAAAAACAAAAGTGTCCACAGTGTCTAGGCTGAGGAATCCACTGTGCCACACTCCCTGGCACACAGCCTCACACATTGTAGTGAGCAATAAACATTTATTACCTCAGTGAATGAACACAAGAATGGGGCAAGGATTCTGAGAAAGGCCTGGAGAAGCATAGGCTGCAATTGGAGGCTTGATGTTCTGGAGGGACGTGTATTATCTTAATTATTTCCATCCATCAGTCCATCCATTCATCGATCCAGCCACTCATTCACCAAGCATTCCCCAAACACCTGAGTTGTGTCTGGCACCTAGGAGGAATTCTGGTTTCAAGATCTCATAGCTGGCTGGGCACGGTGGCTCATGCCTGTAATCCCAGCACTTTGGGAGGCTGAGGAGGGCAAATCACTTGAGGTCAGGAGTTCGAGACCTGCCTGACCAACATGGTGAAACCCTGTCTCTACTAAAAATATAAAAATTAGCCGGGCGTGGTGGCATGCACCTTTAGTCCCAGCTACTCGGGAGGCTGAGGCAGGAGAATCACTTGCATCCAGCAGGTGGAGGTTGCAGTGAGCTGAGATCGCACCGCTGCATTCCAGCCTGGACAACAGAGAGAGACTCCATCTAAAAAGAAAAAAAAAAGAAAAAAAAATTCTCGTAGCCAAGGAGGACGCATTAATTGTGCTCAGGAATAATTGCCACATCAGATACAAAGTGAGAAGCCACGTTATGAAGGGACACAAAGATGCTAGATTAGCCAAGACTCTTGGTCAAAAGTGATATGTATGCCTGCTCCAATTGGCTTAAGCAATAAAGGGAGGTTATTGGCTCCTAAATCTAGTGAGGTTTCAGGTATGGCTTGATCAGTGTGTTCAAATGATGTCATCAGAAATCCCTCCATCATTACCCTCTGCCTCTGGTTTTCTCTGAGTCAACTTAATTCCCTGCTGGCATGACGGCCACCAAGAGCTTTAGGCTTATGTCCTGCCAGCTTAGCAACTCCAACTCAAAGAGCACCACTTTTTCAATGATTTTAGCCAAAATTCCAAGACTTGTCTCAGACCAACCTGAATCATGTGCCTGCTCTTGAACAAAGCACAGTAGCCAGGGAAAAATTGTGCTTTGATTATCTAGGACTGGATCCTGGACCTGCCCCTGGGACTTGCGGAAGGGGACAGCTCAATCTGAGCCATATCAACTGAGAACACAGGAAGCATGGTCCTACCAAGAGATGTCTATTCCAGGTATGGTGGAGCCTCAGAGGACAGCATGACTCTCGTTCAGCTGGTGGATCAGGGAATGGTCCAATAAGCCACAGCTGTGGATATGAAGGTCTGTTGATTTCAGATTGAGCTATAGGGGGATACTGGGCATGGCAGAAAAATCTATCAATCTCTGCTATAGTTAAATATTTGAATATTGGATTGTTTGCAGATCTTGTGAAATCAGTGACCTCTGGGTCATGTAGAAACCCAGCACATTCCCACAGGACACAGCCTAGCAGTTGATCAGAGCAGTAGTTCATACCTGAGACCCTGGATTTTCAGACCCTCCCCCAGGCCCCACCAGCCTCTGTCAGTGCCAAGCTGGACGGAACAAACCACATGAGGTTGGTCAGGCCTCTACCCCATGGAAAAACACAGAATGGTGATTTTTTGCCTGTACATTCCTGGACAAATAAATTCTCTTTTGGGAGCTTTTTCCTGGCTGGGCTATGTTATATGCCTCAGAGCTGCCCAGATCCCCTGGAAACCCAAAGATTTCCTTCCATGTGTAGGACTCATTCAGCCCCAGCTCAGAGGACTGTTTCATGGGTACTGGTGGCAGGAATTCTTGGTTGTCTTCAATGTCTGGCTCCCTGATTTTCGGTAGGGAACATGGTCAGCAGAATGAGGATGGCATTTCCTACCTTCTACTGCAGGTAGGTGTGACCATGTGACTACGCTCTGGCCAATGACCTGCAAGTGGCAGTGACAGATCCCATCCTTCAAGGGAGGAACATGCCTTCTCTTTCTCCTTTCCTCTTTCTTCCAGGCTTTTAATTTTTTATTGATTTATTGATTTTGAAAAATGGAGTCTTGCTCTGTCACCCAGGCTGGAGTGTAGTAGTGCAATCTCCGCTCATTGCAACCTCCACCTCCTGGGTTCAAGCAATTCTCCTGCTTCAGCTTCCCAAATAGCTGGGATTATAGGCACGTGCCACCACGCCCAGCTAATTTTTTGTATTTTTAGTAAAGATGAGGTTTCACCATGTTGGCCAGGCTGGTCTCGAACTCCTGACCTCAGGTGATCCACCTGCCTCAGCCTCCTAAAGTGCTTCCAGCCTTTTTAGAATTCAGTTCTGGTGGGAACCATTTTGGATCATGCTGATGAAGGTAACACCATAGAGATGGCAGAGCTGGGGTTGGGTCTGGTGACTCACGCTTGTAATCTTACCACTCTGGGAGGCCGAGGTGGGAGGATTGCTTGAGCCCAGGAGTTTGAGACCAGCCTGGGCAACATAGTGAAACCTCATCTCTACAAATAAACTCTTGGCTAAAGCAATCCTCCCACCTCAGGCTCCCAAGTAGCTAGGCTACAAGCACACACCACCATGCCTAATTAAAAAAAATTTTTTTTTGTAGAGACAGGGTCTCGCTATGTTGCCCAGGCTGGTCTTGAACTCTTGGCCTCAAGTGATCCTCCTGCCTTGGCCTCCCAAATTGCTGGGATTACAGGCATGAGCCGCTACACATGGCTCATATTCTCAATAGAGCAGTCCCAATTGGCCACTGACCAGCCAATAGTCTTGCTCTCCTGGGCAGATGTTCACCCTGGTCCAATAAGCCACAGCTATGGATATGAAGGTCTGTGATCTCAAATTGAGCTAGAGGGGGAAGATGGGCATGGCAGAAAAATCTATCAATCTCTGCTACAATTAAATATCTGAGGTCAGACATGGTGGTTCACGCCTAGAAACCTAGCACTTTGGGAGGCTGAGGTGGGTGGATCACGAGGTCAGGAGTTCAAGACCAGCCTGAACAAGATGGTGAAACCCTGTCTCTACTAAAAATACAAAAATTAGCTGGGCATGGTGGCAGGCACCTGTAATCCCAGCTACTCGGGAGGCTGAGGCAGAGAATTGCTTGAACCCAGGAGATGGAGGTTGCAGTGAGCCGAAATCGTGCCATTGCACTCCAGCCTGAGCGACAGAGCGAGATTCTGTCTCAAAAAAAAAAAAAATTGAATATTGGATTATTGAAACTTGGCATAGAGCAGCCACTGTCCTTGTCTTCTAAGAGCTTATATCATATTATTATTTTATTATTATTAATAACATATCATTATTAATTAATAGCTGCAGTTCACTGAACAGTATTAGATACCAGGCATGGTGCTTGTAATTAGTCATCTCATTGAATTCCCTTAATGAAAATTAGGTAGTCAGAGACCTTTCTTCATGGATCGCAACCCCAGGGGCATGTGGGATTTCAGAGATGTGTTTTGGGGAAAGAGGTATAATTATTCAACTTTCAGTTAATTAGCCACTTAGAGAAATTAAGTGGTAGGTGGAGTTGTAAAGGAAGGCAAAGTACTGGGCAGGCAGATGCTAAGTGGGCGACTGTTCTAGGCATAAGAGAAATGGGGGTGGGTATGAAAAAAAGCAAGAGAAAGAGAGAGAGAGAGAGAGAGACAAGGGAAATTTGGTTTGACTGGATAAAAAGGCCAGTGAAAAGAGGGAGTTTTGGTAAGAGCTATGCCATGGGCAGGGAGAAGTACAGAGATCTTCAATCATGGACTCTATCGCCATCCCCTCTTCTCTTCCTGCAGGTGGGCAGAACCAAGGTGCCCTCCCTACACCTTCCTGGGGCCTCCAGCGATCCTGAGCTCAGCCTCCTGACCTGCAGACCCCTCAGCTCTGGCCCTCACGTCCTGCTTGCTGTACCTGCTTTATCCCATATCACCATCTCCATTCCTCAGCATAGTGACAATCCCAGTTCCTACCCATTCCACTGGCTTCTCCATTTGGCTTGGAGCTCTTTAGCTGGATTGAGACGACTACTCTGATGAGTGCCATGTCACTGGCTCAACAAAATGGGCCCAAGTGAGTCAATGTCATTGACATGAAGGTGCTGTCAGTTTGGTGGGAACCAAGGGAATGAGACTGTGTTTTAGCTGCGTTCGTTTGAACAGTTACACACTTAGGGCTTCTTATGCGGATGCTCAGAGAGAAATATGGAAGACGAGATCTCGTAGAAAACAAGAAGACATGTTGTAAATGAGTCAGGCCTCCTGGAGTCCAGGACTAGGGAGGAACTCTTTATTGAGGATCACTCGAGGGAGTCTTGGGGCTGGTGGTCTTCACGCCACAGCCCCATAACTCAGCTCCTCTCTTCCTTCTCTCAGTCTCTCTGCTTCTGTTTTTTGTCTCATGTCCTAAATGTCCAACTATTCAGCATAACTTTATTCTGCTTCCCCTCTCTATCCTCTGTAGCAAAATGCACTGTTGGAATTACATTTTTATTTTTATTTTTATTTTTATTTTTTTAAGACGGAGTCTCACTCATTGCCTAGGCTGGAATGCAGCGGTGTGATCTCGGCTCACTGCAACCTCCACCTCCAAGGTTCAAGTGATCCCCTTGCCTCAGCCTCCTGAGTAGCTGGAACTACAGATGCCTAACACCATGCCCAGTTAATTTTTATATTTTTAGTAGAGATGGGATTTCACCATGTTGGCCAAGGTGGTCTCGAACCCCTGACCTCAGATGATCTGTCTGCCTTGGCCTCCCAAAATGCTGGGATTACAGGCATGAGCCAATGTGCCCAGCTGGAATTAAATTAATAATTTTTATTTCTGCTTTAGCGAGAGAGGCGGTGACTCACTGATACAAGGAAGATATTTCCCCTTCCAAGGGTGATGTATTCAGCTTTTGGGTTTAAAAGGAGATGCTATCAGGCACGCGTGGCTATCCTGGCAGATTACATAAAAATACAGAAGAAATGTTCTTTGTGTTAAAAGAATAAAAAAGAAAAAACAAAACGTGTTTCCTCAAAAACTTAAATACAGAATTACCACATGACCCAGCAATTCTACTACTGGCTATATCCCCCCAAAGAATTGAAGGCAGGAACATGAATAGGAATTTGTAGAACCATGTTTATACCAGCATTATCCACAGTAGCCAAAAAGTGGAAAGAAACTAAATGTTCATCTACGGATTAACAGACAAACAAAATGTGGAATATCTGTACAACAGACTTATTATTCAGCCTTTAAAAGAAATGAAATTCTGGGCCAGGCGCAGTGGCTCACACCTATAATCCCAGCACTTTGGGAGGTCGAAGCGGCAGATTTCTTGAGCCCAGCAACATGACGAAACCCCATCTCTCCAAAAAATACAAAAATTAGCCCAGTGTGGTGATGCATGCCTGTAGTTCCAGCTACTGGGAGGCTGTGGTGGGAGGATTGCTTGAGCCCTGGAGGTCGAGGCTGCAGTGAGCTATGATGGTGCCACTGCACTCTAACCTGGATGACAAAGCAAGATCTTGTCTCAAAAAAGAAAGAGAGCGAGAGATGGAAGGAAGGAAGGAAGGAAGGAAGGAAGGAAGGAAGGAAGGAAGGAAGGAAGGAAGGGCGGACTAGTTAGAGGCAGTCAACCCATCCATTATTTGAATGAGAGCATCTCTTCTGTGTTAGTTGGACTAAAGGAGAAGCTGCCAGAACTCTCAAGGGGAATGAGAAAATGGAAGGGAATTGAGGCTTTGGTTCTATAAGGTAGTAGACACCTGAGCCACATTCCAGTACCTTATTCCAGGACCTATCAATGACCAGGAGATGCCAGGGCAAGGACACCATAGGAAAGATGCCAGCGTGGGTGGCCCATTGTGTGCTAGATTTGAGACTGATCCCAGCACCCAGGCAGGCTGCCTCCAGCAGGCGGATGTTTGCCTGGATGTTTGTCTGGCTCTGTTCTGCAGGGATGCTGTGGTCAGTCTTCTGATCATCACAGAATTCTTTGGCTAAGAGTAAATGAAAGCCCAGTTAAAACGACTTAAACAATATTTCAGAGAGAGAGAGAGAGAGAGAGAAGTCCCAAGGTAGGGTGGCTCCTGGGTTAGTTAACTCAGCGGTTCAAACCAAGTTCTTTCCATCATTCTGCTCTACCACCCAGAGCGTGTCATTTCAGAAAGGCCATCTCTTCTTGTGTCTCTTTCTTAGGAATGACTCCTTCCTTCTTTCCTTCCCTCCTTCCTTCCTGGCTTCTTTCCTACTTTCCTTGGTTTCCTCTGTCCCTCCCTCCTTCCTTCCTTGATGGGCTCTCACTCTGTCACCCAGGCTGGAGTGCAGCGATGTGCAACCTTGACTCCTGAGCTCAAGTGACCCTCCCACCTCAGCCTCCCAAGTAGCTGGGACTGTACGTGTGCACCACCCACGCCTGGCTAATTTTTAACATTTCTGTAGACGGGCTTCACTATGTTGCCCAGGCTGGTCTTGAACTCCTGATCTGAAGCAATCCTCCCATCTCAGCCTCCCAAAGTGCTGAGATTACAGGTGTGAGCCACTGTGCCCAGCCCCTACATCTTTCTTTAGAAGCCCCCCAACAAGTTTCCTCTCACGTTTCATAGCCATATACTCATTTTCATATCCATTCCTACACGAGTCAACCACAAGCAGAATGAGACTAACGTGATACTCCTGAATTGGGGATGAAGCTGTCTTTCTCAAGGGTTTCAAACCCGAACAAAATTGGGGATTCTGTTAATAAGGAAAATAGAATGCTTTATTTATTTATTTATTTATTTATTTATTTATTTATTTATTGAGACAGGGTCTCACTGAGCACTCAAGGCTGGAGTGCAGTGGCATGATCACGGCTCACCTCGACCTCCTGGGCTCAAATGATCCCCCACAATTGCCACCCAGCTTCCAGAGTAGCTGGGACTATAGGCGCATGCCCACCACACCTGGTTATTTTTTCTATTTTTTTGTAGAGAAAAGGGGTCTCGCTATGTTGCCCAGGCTGGTCTCGAACTCCTGGGCCCAAGGGATCCTCCTGCCTCAGCCTCCCAAAGTGCTGGGATTACAGGCATTAGCCACTGTGCCCTACCTAAAATGGATTTTGAATGGGCAACTAGGAGTGTCTGCTACACCCCTGATACGGACGAGCTCTAAGGATTAACGGACACGTGGGAAGGACTGTTTCAAGCACGCTTCTATTACCAATTACCGGGTAGGGATATGGCCCACACTCTGGGTAAATGGTGGCTCACCTACAGATTCTCATTCCAGCCTGTGAGATGGTGAAAGGGAAGAGTGGGGTGTGCTCTTTATTTTTAAGGTCCTGACCTCTGCATACAAAGTTCCCTCTACTTCCTGACCTGAGTAAGACCTGGCTCTTCCCTGACAGTCCTCGAAGCCCTTCCCAGGGGATGGTAGTCCGTCTCCCACCCCCATGGTGTCCTCTATGCTCCACACCTCTATTTCCAGATCCATAGTCCTCCATCTTGAGTAAGCACTGAGGCTCCTGACATCTAGCTGTACCACCTTCTGTGCCTTCTCATTGATGATGCCTACTCATCAATCAATCAATCAACTGTTATTCTCAGAGGGCTTTGGCAACTGGCTTACCCTTCTCGCCCCAGTTCCTACCGCCATATTGGTGACTTTAATGACCCAGGACCTGGCCGAACTCCTGGCCCTTCAGCTCCTGTCCCTTCTTATTCCAATGACCTTCACCTCCACTCTACTTTAGCCACCATCTCCCTGGACCATGTACTGGCCCTCAGTTTCTCCTGGAACGAATCTTCCTCTAAAGTCTCACATTTCTCTGATCACAGACTTGTACCTTCTGTTCTTTTGATCATTCCAGCTTAGCAGTTCTTCGAACTCCAGGATCCCTTGGCCCTTCCACTTTCTCCCTCTCAGGACCCTCCTTCCTCCAATTCCTTTCCCATCCAGCCTAGATTCCATGATCTTTGCTATACCCAGTCATGGATGTTGTGAATGACTCCCCAACATCCATTCCAACCCAGACGGTTGGTCCAAGTTGGTCATGGTCATTCCCTGTCTCTTATCAGGAGAGAAACAGTCATGTGACTCACTTCTAGTTCTAGAGGGTAGAGTGAGGTGGGGTAAAGAGGACTCTGGGAAAGATTTTCCCATGAAAGAGACAAAAGAACTGATGATCTTTCCTCCTGAGGATGAACCCAGCAACAAGGGTGGCAGTGCATAGAGACAGGAAGAACCCAGATCTTTGATGATGTTGTCAAACCACTAAATCAACCCCATCTGAAGTATCTTCCCCCAGGATATCCCAATACATGAAATAATAATTTATTTCATATTTAAGCCAGCTTGAGTCAGGCATTCTGCTACTTTCAGACAAAAGCACCCTAAATAACTTAATTTGCAACTTGCAGCAAAAGCCCAGTCCTGGATCAATGTAAATTTCCTTCCATTCTGTTTTTATACCTGTTCTGCTTAGACTGGTGGAGAAAACAATAGGTCCTCAGTCTTCCAGAAACCTCAGACGTCTCTCTACCCATCCACCATTAGGAGAGCGTTTCCCCATCCATCTCCAGCCTTTGTTTAGGGTTGCAGAAGACCTGCGTTGTTATGTGAAGTGGCCAGCTGTCTTGACTAGGAAATAGATATTTTTTAAAGTTCCCAAGGATAGCATGGGTATTTGGCTTGGGTAGAGGGGAACAGAGGGGAGATCTTGAGGTTAAAAGAAATCCAGCATTCATAAGGAGGTAGGGTAGTTATACTCAGATTAAGTTGAATGAACGAAGTCATTCCCAGTGGCTGAGTTGAGTTAGGGGACAAAGAGAAGCTTCCTGCCTGGCAGGGGTGCAAGCCCCAGGGGAGGGTGACCTATGGGCAGAGCAACTGAATCAGCCTTTTGCTCCTGTATCTTGGACCTGACTAGCTACTGTCCCAGTAACACATGTCAACACCATAACAAACATAGTAGATACCAATGATGACACATCTTAAAACTATGTGAACCAGTTGGCAAGTCCTGGTGGTTACTGAGTGTGGAGGTAGGAGGCGGTTCCTATTGGTGGGAAGGCCCAGGCCTCTACCATAATCTCAGTCACCTAGACTGTTGGCAATAACAAATTCATGGTCTCTAATTCTTACCACTACTCTGGAATTCCTGTTTTCCCTGTTGGCTCTCTCCTCCCATTCACCATAGCAACTATTTTGAATCTTCTCTACACTCATCCCACCTCCCACCTGCCTGCCTTCCCTCTCACTCTCAGGCACCTCTGCCTCCCCTTCCTTCCTTGCTTCCTTCCTTCCTTCCTCCCTCCCTCCCTCCTTCTCTCTTTCTCTTTCTTTCTTTCGTTCTCTTTCTTTCTTTCTTTTCTTTCTTTTTCTTTCTTTCTTTCTCCTTTCTCTCTCTCTTTCTTTCCTTCCTCCCTCCCTCCCTCCTTCCTTCCTTCGAATCTTCTCTATACTCATCCCACCATCCCACCCACCTGCCTTCCCTCTCACTCTTAAGCAACTCTGCTTCCTATTTCTTTCTCTCTCTCTTTCTTTCCTTTCTCTCTTTCTCTATTTCTTTCTTTTTTTTTTTTCAGAGTCTTGCTCTGTTGCCCAGACTGAGGTGCAGTGGTGCAATCATGGCTCACTGCAGCCTTGACCTCCTGGGCTCAGGTGATCCTCCCTCCTTAGCCTCCCAAGTAGCTGGGACTACTGTGCCTCCTATTTCACACAGAAAAAAAAAATTTTTTTATTTTCGTTTCATTATGTTGCCCAGGCTGGTCTCAAACTCCTGACCTCAAGTGATCCTCCCACCTCAGCTTCCCAAGTAGCTGGGACTACAGGTGTGAGCCACCTCACAAGGCTTCACACAAAATAGATGCCATCTATCTGATTGGGACTATCCTTACCTTGCTTGCTTACCTGCAACTGTTGTAGCACTGTCCGGTTGAGCTTTCTATACTGCTGGGTAAGTACCGTATATCTTTGCTGTTCAATATGGTAGCCATTAGCTACAGGGGGCTATCAAAATATGGCTTGTACAGCTGAAAACAAGAATTTTAAATTTTACGTCATTTTAATTAATTTAAATTGAAGTATGTGTGAGTGGCTGCCCTATTAGGCAGCACCAGTTCAGCATAACTAAAAGAAAAACATTTGTGGATACCAAGGCACTGGGGTTTCTGCGAACCCTCTGACATCACTAGGCAATAGACTCTCGACCAACGATTATAGGAATTCTGAATTAGGTGATGAGAAGGAAGTAAGATAGAGTTTAAAAAAAAAAAAAGTACATTCGGCAGGGTGCAGTGGCTCACGTCTGTAATCCCAGCACTTTGGGAGGCCGAGGCGGGCAAATCATGAAGTCAGGAGTTCAAGATCAGCCTGGCCAACATGGTGAAACCTTATCCGTACTAAAAATACAAAAAAATTAGCTGGGTGTGGTGGCGCGCACCTGTAGTCCCAGCTACTCGGGAGGCTGAGGAAGGAGAATCGCTTGAACCCGGGAGGCGGAGGTTGCAGTGAGCAGAGATCACACCATTACAGTCCAGTCCGGGCGACAGAGTGAGATTCCGTCTCAAAAAAAAAGGAAAAAGAAATAAAAAAGGCACATTCACTGAGAAATTGCCCCGGAGAAATAAAGAGGAAAAAAATATTGCTTTGACGTGTTGTTTTAGTCGTGGCAGTTATGAAGAAGGAAACCACACAGTGAACCATGGCTGGAACATTGGTTCCATGGTGGTACATGGCTCTGTACACATGACAGAGAAGAAAAGCCTTGTATCATGGCTGCAAAGCCCCACTGGTACTGACATGCTCACAGCGTCTGTGGGAGGAAAGATGGAACACCAGCCACGTAGAGAAGAGAGTGAGGTGTCGTCATCAGTTGAGTAACTTCAAAGAGTGTCCAGTTTTCTTTGTTTGCACTTTCTACCTTTCATGCAAAATGTGTGCAACACAAACATATGGGTAACTTGCACGTCCCATTTTGTGTAGCTGATTTTGCTCACTTTTGGAGACTCTGCTCCTGGGGCAGTCCTGGAGAAACAGCCGAGAGAGCAAACCAGCTGAACACTCATTATTTTCTTAAGCAGTAGATAGCTGCAAAAGCTCCATTTCGTTTCTTAAACAGTTTCTTTCAGTCTCTTTACCTGTAGGTATGCTAGTTTACAAGGACTCCAGATGGCCTGGGAGCTTCAGAACCTTTTGCCAATTATCAGAGGAAGGTAAAGCCTGCTGGAAACCAGAGCAACGCAGAATCAGGGACTCCTTGCTATCTTTAGACCATTAATATATCATTATAATACTAAAATTCCCACCCAGAGAAGAAAATTGCTATTTTCTTTTTTCTTTTTTTCGTTTTTCTTTTTTTGAGACAGAGTCTCGCTCTGTCGCCCAGGCTGGAGTGCAGTGGTGCAATCTTGGCTCACTGCAACCTCCACCTCCTGGGTTCAAGTCATTCTCCTGTCTCAGCCTCCCGAGTAGCTGGGATTACAGGAGTGCGCTGCCACACCTGGCTAATCTTTGTAGAAAATTGCCATTTTCTAAACATGCATCCTGTGAAGAGACATGTTTATGATTTGCACCTGCACATCTAAAGTTCCTCCCTGCACAAACATACAAACCTCCCCGCCCCATATCTAACTCCTTAAAATTCCCCAGCTACCCACATCTTGGGGAGGAGGAGGCGTCTCTGGAGCAAGAGGTCATTCCTTCTCCTTCTCTGGCCAAAGAATAAATCCTGCTTGCCTTCCTCCCCGCAACCCTCCAATTTGTGTTCTTTCTTTGCAACTGACACAAAGTAGGGAAAGGACTCAGTTTACCCATGGCAGTTCTATCACATTTTAAATAGTTACACACCTTTGCAAATCTGTAAAGTTTGAGTACATTTTCCTGTCTCCTCTGACCTCCCCTGAACGAGCAGCCAATTGTTTAAAGATCCTATTTGGAGAAATTTCTTTCTCCCCTGATTTAAATGCTTTTATTGCACACTAAGTTCCTACTCTTTTTTTTTTTTTTTTCATTATTGCATACAGAGTCTCACTCTGTGGCCCAGGCTGGAGTACAGTGACATAATCTTGGCTCACTGCAGCCTTGACCTTCCAGGGTCAAGGGATCCTCCCATTTCAGCCTTTCGAGAAGCTGGAACTACAGGTGTGCACTCCCGCAACTGGCTAATTTTTTTATTTTTTGTAGAGACAGGGTTTTGCCATGTTGCCCAGGCTGGTCCCAAACTTCTGGGCTCAAGCAATCCTCCTGCTTTGGCCTCTCAAAGTGCTGAGACTACAGGTATGAGCCACCGCACCCGGTCTGCACCTATCTTTGTGTTTAATACGTGACTCCACCCTGTTCCAATAATGTGTCTGTCAGTTCCCTTACTAGAGCTGCTTTAATTACACAGATTTACCATCGCTCTTAATATCTCCGTGGTCACCGGTTTATTTGTGAAGTGTTCACCCCATGGCCTCTGGGGACTCACTGTCTTTCGGCTTTCCTCTCCTCCCTACTCTGCCTCAGCTTAGTCTCCTTGGTGTTGGTGTCCTTCAGGGATCTGTCTTCGGTCCCCCTCCATGTCACTCTACCCTCTCCCTGGGCAGACCCCTGGCTCCACTCTTGCCCCTTCCGCCCATTTTCCATGGTGCAGCTAGAGTGCTCTGACTGAGCTGCAAATGAGACCATGCACACCCGTTTATAAACCCACCTATTGTTCTCAGGGTAAATTCCAGACAGACTCTTTAACACCAGAACATAAGGCTGGACGAGATTCAGGTCCAAGTAGTTTGTTTGGGAGGCGACCCAGGAAGAGGAGTGGGGAAGTGAGACAGGAAAGGGAAGGCAGTCAACACAGGAAGCATTAAAGAGTAGGTCAGGAGGCCGGACGCAGTGGCTCACACCTCTAATCCCAGCCCTTTGGGAGGCTGAGGCGGGCGGATCACCTGAGGTCGGCAGTTCTAGACCAGCTAGGGCAACATAGTGAAACTCCAACTCTACTAAAAATACAAAAATTAGCCGGGAGTGGTGGCACGCGCCTGTAGTCTTAGCTACTAGCGAGGCTGAGGCAGGAGAATCGCTTGAACCCGGGAGGCGGAGGTTGCAGTGAGCCGAGATCGTGCCACTGCACTCCAGCCTGGGCGACAGAGCAAGACACTGGAAATAAATAAAACTAATTAATTAATTAAAGAGCAGGTCACGGCTGTGGGCATCTGGGCTCAGACCCCCTCAGGCCCTCTGGAGACTGCCTAGACTTGTCTCAGAGTTGTCCCACCTGGGGGAGGAACGGGTATTTAACCAGCAGTCCCTCAGCCTTGGAGCCTCTATTCTCTGAGAGTCACATTCTCATTCTCTCTCTCCCTCTCTCTCTCTCTCTTCCCACCCCCCTTCTCTCTCTCTCTCTCTCCCGCCATCTTCCTTTCTTTCCTCCCTCCCTTCTCCCCCAACGGAGGTTGGCCCTTGACGCCCTGTGTGATTATGGCCCCGCCCACAGCCATAGCTGATTGGACCAGGGATAAAGAATTAGGCCAATCAGATTCATTCCCCTTGAGTTCTGGAACTGGGCAGGGGATCTGGGCTTGCATTTGAACTGTGGAACCTAACTTGGAGAGCATTGCTGAACCACGTGCCCTGGGAGAAACAGAGGA
This sequence comes from Homo sapiens, assembly GCF_000001405.40. NCBI lineage: Eukaryota > Metazoa > Chordata > Mammalia > Primates > Hominidae > Homo > Homo sapiens. The sequence continues at coordinate 121,129,247 of NC_000012.12, forward strand.
AGCCAGTGTTTAGAGAGACTCGCAATGGGCACACAGAGACAAACAGAGGCGGGCTTCAGACAAACTGAAAGAGCAACCTCAGCACAGGACAGTTTGGTTTCTGATTCTATTAATAGGTTCTCATGAGGTTGGGCACATTTCCTGCACTTGCAGTCTGTGAGATAAGTGTTTCCTCAAAAAAAAAAACTCCCTTTTCTGCTGAAGAATGTCACTTGATTTTCTGTAAATTGTAAACACACCCACACACTCACAAGACTAAGAAATCCACCGTTCAATCCCCAATTTTTTTTTTTTTGGTAACTTTATATTCCTTCCATCACGAGGTCAGAACATTTCATTGCTGCTGTGAGACTCTCCAGAGTTCTCATTAAAGAGTTCAAGACAATGGCTGTTCCGTTAGCCTCGATCTCTGAGTGATTACAGAGAGCTGAGCCATCTGGGAGACCCATGATGGACATATAGTGTGAGTGAGAATTAATTCATCACTGCTATAAGCCATGAGACACTGAGAGTGCTTTGTTATTGCAGCATAACCTGTCCTATCCTGATAGAATCATAAGAAGTGCTGAGAGACAATTTGCTGGAACTGATATTTACAGGGAGAAGAGAGCCAGAGAAAGATAAGACAAAGATTGGATGCAGTGGCTTATGCCTGTAACCCCAGCACTTTGGAAGGCTGAGTCAGGAGGATCACTTGAAGCCAGGAGTTCGAGACCAGCCTGGGCAGCATAGCAAGACCCTATCTCTACAAAATTAAAAAAAAAATTAACGAGGCTTGGTGGCATGTGCCTGTGGTCCCAGCTACTCAGGAGGCTGTGGTAGGGGGATCACTGGAGCCCAGAAGTTTGAAGCTGCAGTGAGCCATGATTGCGCCACTGCACTCCAGCCTGGACGACAGAGCAAGACCCAGTCTCTAAAATAAATTAATTAAATTAATTTTTTAAAAAGAAAGATAAGATAAAGAGTCATAGAAGTACAAATGAGAAACCAGGAGAACATGGGACCCAGGAAAGTCATGGAAACCAAGGGAAAATACTGGTCCAAGATGCAGAAAGTAGCCAGTGATGTTGAATGCATCCAAGAGATCAAGTAACATAAGGAATAAAATATATCCACCCAGTCTGGCAACTGAGAAGTCTTTGGTAACCTCTTTGAGAACAGAATCCATGGAGTGGAGGAGGTAGCAGTGATGAAATAGCGGACAAGGGCTGAAGGAGTGGAGAGGGGAGAGCATGAGGGACCAGTGCAAGAGTGCAGCAGAAAGACAACAAACAGGCCGGGTGTAGTGGCTCACGCCTGTAATCCCAACACTTTGGTAGGCTAAGGCGGGCAGATCGCTTGTGACCAGGAGTTCGAGACCAACCTAGCCAACATGGTGAAACCCCATCTCTACTAAAAACACAAAAATCAGCTGAGCGTGCGCATGGCTGTAATTGCAGATACTCATGAGGCTGAGGCACAAGAATCGCTTGAACCCAGGAGGCAGGGGTTGCAGTGACCCAAAGTCTTGCCACTGCACTACAGCCTGGGCAACAGGGGGAGACTCCATCTCAAAAAAACAAAAAAAAAAAAAAAAAAAAAAAAAGAAAGAAAGAAAAGAGAAAGAAAGAAAGACAAGAAAATAGATGTCTTTGAGTGGTAGCAAGAGCAACACTGAAGTGATTTGCCTATTCTGGACATTTCCTATAAATGGAGTCGTAAAAGATGTATCCTTTTGTGTCTGGCCTCTTTCACTTAAGCGTAGTGTTTTCAAGGTTCATCCATGTTGGAGCATGGGTCAGTGTTTCATTCCTTTTTATGGCTGAATAATATTCCCTTGTATGGGCTTTCGTGCTTTTGTGTATCCATCCATCAGCTGATGGACATTTGACTTGTCTGCCTGTTCACTGCCATATCTACTATTCCTGGTGCTCTTGGGAATGAGTGAATGAATAGCATAAACAGAGCTGTCCAGGGTCACAGAGCTGGTAAGATGTGAAGCCAGGATCGGAAGCCAGGCCATTAGTCCCCTAGAGCCTATGTTCTAAGCATCAGGCTTTACCTGTGAATCTCCTCTTTTTACAGATGAAGATGACCGTATCACTCAGATTCCCGGCAGGAAAGCAATGGCATACTCAAGTGGGGTAACTAATGATGGAACCATTTACAAAGGTGTGGACAGAGTTAAGAAAAAGCAATAGGAGATAGTGAGCTTCCTGGGGCTGGTAAGAGTGGGGAGCCCTTACCACTCCCAGGACTAAAGGAGGGAGTGGTGCCCAGAAGCCCTGCCTATATGCAACTGAGAAGGGCAGGGCCAGGGAGTCACGTCCATCCTCACTGCTCTCCAGTCTCCTGAACTGGAAGCCAGAAGGTGAGGGGAACCCTGATGCAGTTTGTATGTGTGAGAAAGTACAATTAGTTTAGACTGAAAAACTGAAAATCTACCCGGCCACTTAGCAGGCTGGAATAACAGAAAGGGATCAAGCCAGCTGTAAAGATAACAGGGAACAATAATTCTCTGTAGCTGTAAAGTGATAATACAACCCTGCATCTTTGAGTGACTGCTGAAACATTGTCCTTTAAAATCAGAGACCTTCAGAAACTTTGCTGTTTGAAATTACATGACTAAGACTGAAATATTCCAATTTTGCCTGGAAGATTTAAGTCATCTTGACACAGAGAAGCAGCCTCAATTTACAACTCAGGAGCAGAGCTTCAGATAAAGATTTTCTGGACACATTTGACATGTATCTTAGCTATGTTGCTTCCTAGGAAACAGGGCCCTGGGTCCTCTTTGCAATCCAGACTGAAGTTGACTGCTTTGTACAAACCTGTTTTGCTTTGAGTCCATCAAAACATGACTTCATTTAGATTTTATCTCAACTCCACTTTCCTCGGAATCCTATAATAAATTGCTGTTTTCCTTTGTTTGGTGATGTGCGTAGCTCTTCTGGTGGGTGGTGTCCCTCACTGAATAGGTCAACAAACCTAACTTTGTTGGACTGCCACTGTGTCCCTGGTGATCTTTGGCTGATTGGTCTAGGTCATAGATCGACCTGCCGGGGTGCAGAGGAGGGTGGAGAGTAACTCAGAGGGTCAAGCATGAAAGATCTGGCAGAAAAATAAAGCCCCTCCACCCCCACCACCCCTACCCCTGCAAATCTGATTTCCCCCACCAACTGCAGACCAGAGTATTATAAGGGGCGGTGGAAGAAGAGGGGGAGATCTTCATTTACCCAGAGCTCCTATACATCAGGGGCTGAATAAAGGGTTGTAGAAATGAATGAATCAATCTCTGAGTGGGGCTTCAGGCAATGGAAAGATCTCAGTCCTTTTCTGAGGCATAATGGAAGCTCCCAGTCTTGTGACATTTGCAAGGCTGCCCCTTTCTCCCAAGAGACATGAGACCAAAAAAGTGAAAGGAAAGGGGGGAAAAGGGAGAATTCTAAAAATGCCCATCCTCTGAACACCATCTTTGTGTAGGCATCTGGGGGAGGCCAGCTGGGGTGAGGTCATCTGCCAGCCAGGCCCGTAGGACTTGGCGCTTCTTGTTTATCACAGCCACATGTGGGGCCACTGCCAGGGCCCGCCCCAACTCTGCAGTCATTGGAGGAGCTTGAAGTTAAAGACTCCTGCTAAAAACCAGTACGTTTCATTTTGCAGTTACTGGGAGGGGGCTTGCTGTGGCCCTGTCAGGAAGAGTAGAGCTCTGGTCCAGCTCCGCGCAGGGAGGGAGGCTGTCACCATGCCGGCCTGCTGCAGCTGCAGTGATGTTTTCCAGTATGAGACGAACAAAGTCACTCGGATCCAGAGCATGAATTATGGCACCATTAAGTGGTTCTTCCACGTGATCATCTTTTCCTACGTTTGGTAAGTGGGATCTGGGGAGGACCCAGATCTCTGCAGTGGCCGACAGCACAGAAAGCCCCAGCGGGCAGCTTCAGGTGCACATTCTGAATCTCACATGGTTTTCGAATCTGAGACGTGCTCTCACAGCCAGCTGGGCGGGAGGGAGGAAGCAGCAGCAGGCAAGAGGAAACGGTGCCAGGCTGCAGCAGAGAGAAGCCACAGGACAAGCGGGATTCCTTTCTGCTCTACTTCAGGCCCGCCAGGGCGCGCAGGGCAGGGCGTGCCTGGGGAAGGTAGGAAAGCGCAGGGCAACACCCTGGATCCCCAGGGAGGAGGCGAGGATCTCAGGGCACGCCTGGTGATCATGCTGGCATCTGAGTCACCATGCTTGGGAGGAATAGGACCAGGCTTGAAAATGTGTTATAACTTTAGGTCCTCACCAACGTCAGGAAGGCCCTGCTTTTTGGTTTTTGTTTCTTCTAAAAGAAACTTACTGAGATATAATTTATACACCATACAATTGACCCATTTAAAGGGTACCATTTAATGATTTTCAGATTATTCCCAGAGTTGTGCAACCATCCCCACAATCAATTTTAGAATATTTTAATCGACTCAAAAGGAATCCCACACTCCTTCACCATCATTTCCAACACTGTTCCTCCTCCTTCCCACCCATCAATTTCCTTTCTGCCTCTATGGATTTGCCGATTCTGGACATTTCATATAAATGGAATCACATAATATGTGGTCCTTTGTGGCACTTAGCGTGTTTTCAATGCTCATCCATGTTGTAGCATGTGTTGATACTTCATTCAATTTTTTTTTTTAAAGAGACGGGGTCTCACTATTTTGTCCAGGCTGGTCTCAAACTCCTGGACTCAAGTGATCTGCCTGCCTCGGCCTCCCAAAGTGTCAGGATTACAGGCGTGAGCCATTGCACCCGGCTGATACTTCATTCCTTTTTACGGCTGAGTAGTACTCCATTGCATGGATAGACCACTTTTTTCTATCCATTCATCCATTGATGGACATTGGGGTTGTTTCTCTTTTTTGGCTATCATGAATAATGCCACATGAACATTTGTGTACAAGGTTTTATGTGGATATATATTCTCCTTTCTCTCGAATATGTACCTAAGAGTAAAAATTGCTAGGTCATATGTTAACTATGTTTCACCTTTGGGGGGAATGTGGAGCTGAATTTCACAGCAGCTGCAGTTTTTTACATTCCTATCAGCAGAGTATGAGGGATCCAATTTCTCCACATCCTCACCAACGCTTGTTATCGTCTGTCTTTTTGGGTTTTGTTGTTGTCATTTTGTTTTTGTCTTTGAGATGAAGTCTTGCTCTGTTGCCCAGGCTGGAGTGCAGTGGCGCAATCTTGGCTCACTGCAACCTCCACCTCCCCGGTTCAAGCGATTCTCCTGCCTCAGCCTCATGAGTAGCTGGGATTACAGGTGTGCGTCACCACTCCTCACTAATTTTTGTATTTTTAGTAGAGATGAGGTTTCGCCATGTAGGCCAGGCTGGTCTCAAACTCCTGACCTCAAGTGATCCGCCCACCTTGGCCTCCCAAAGTGCTGGGATTACAGGCATGAGCCGCCACGCCCGGCTGATTGTCTGTCTTTTTTATTATAGCCATGCTAGTGGGTGTGAAGTGGTAGTTCATTGTGGTTGTGATTTGAATTTCCCTGATGGTGAGTGCCTCTTATTCTCTGTGCTGATTGATAATGATGATGAAGGCAATTTGTATCTATAGAGTGGCAGTGTAGTTTACTAAGAGTTAGGGTAACTTATTTCATAGTACTGGCTATGTCTTCTGGGCCAAGTCATTAACTTCTCTGAGCCTCAGTTTCTGCATCTGTTCATAGGGTTGTGGCAATTAACCAAAAAAAAAAGGCATGAACAGCCCTTATCATGATGACTGACATAGGATAAGAGCTCCATAACTAGTATCTATTTTTAAAAATAATCTTTTTAAGTCTGGGAGTGGTGGCTCACACCTGTAATCCCAACACTTTGGGAGGCCAAGGCGGGTGGATCACGAAGTCAGGAGTTTGAGACCAGCCTGGCCAATATGGTGAAACCCCATCTCTACTAAAAATACAAAAATTAGTGGGGAGTGGTGGTGCACACCTGTAATCCCAGCTACTAGGGAGGCTGAGGCAGGAGAATCGCTTGAACCCGGAGGCGGAGGTTGCAGTGAGCCAAGATCAAGCCACTGCACTCCAGCCTGGGTGACAGAGCAAGACTCCATCTCAAAATAATAATAATAGTAATAATTTTTTTGATTATATAATAGTATATATGTATATAAAATACATGTATGTATTTTTATCTATATCCTCTGCTCTGACCCTCAAAGTAACCACGTCCAAGTTCAGGATTTGAAATCTGGAAACGTGGATTCAAAAATCCTTCACCTCTTTGAGCCTTGGTTTCATCATCTGTAAAATGGGGAGAATTGTTGATAGGAATATTAAATGAACTAATAAATGCAAAGCTGTTTGAGAAATATATGGCATATAGTAATCCCTGATTAAGTGTTAGTTCTTATTATTAATAATGCTATTATTAGGATTATTATTATTCGATTCATATGTTTACTGTTCAACAAATATTGAATGATAAACATATATGCTGGGTCCGGCATGGTGGCCCATGCCTGTAATTCCAGCACTTTGGGAGGCCAAGGCGGGCAGGTCACTTGAGGTCAAGAGTTTGAGACCAGCCTGGCCAACGTGGTGGAAACTCCATCTGTGCTAAAAATACAAAAATTAGCCGGGCATGGTGGTGGGTGCCTGTAATCCCAGCTACTCGGGAGGCTGAGACAGGAGAATCACTTGAACCCAGGAGGTGGAGGTTGCAGTGAGCCAAGATTGCACCACTGCACTCCAGCCTGAGCCACAGAGCAAGACTCTGTCTCAAAAAAAAAAAAAAAAAAAAATATATATATATATATATAGTATTTTTAGTAGAGATGGGGTTTTGCCATCTCTTATATATTTTTATATATTTATATTTTTTATATATTTATATATATTTATATGTATTTTATATATTTATATATATGTGCTGAAATCTAAAATAAGACATATCACTTAAACCAGCTATCATAGGACCAATGGTAAAGAGCATAATTAGTAAATGCCCCCTTCTGCATTAATACGTAGATTGTATGTCACAATTTCATGTAGCAGGTGATGGGACTTCCTGACATTCTTGGGCCCAGCATACAATCTTTTTATTTCTTTTTTAGAGACAGGGTCTCATTGTGTTGCCCTAGGCTGGAGTGCAGTGTCATTATCACAGCTCGCCACAGCCTCAACTTCTCAGGCTCAAGTGATCCTCCCGCCTCATCCTCCCAAGTAGCTGGGACCATAGGCACACGCCATGATGTCTGACTAATTTTTTATTTTTTTTTGTGGAGATGGGGGTCTCCCTATGTTGCTCAGGCTAGTCTCAAACTCCTGGACTCAAGTGATCCTCCTGCTTTGGCCTCCCAAAGTGCTGGGATTATAGGCATGAGCCACTTTGTCTGGCCTACAATTCCTTTTCTTTCTTTCTTTCTTTTTTTTTTTTTTTTTTGAGTTGAGTCTCACTCTGTCACCTAGGCTGTAGTGCAGTGGTGTGATCTCAGCTCACTGCAACCTATACCTCCCAGGCCCAAGCAATCCTCCCACCTCAACCTCCCGAGTAGCTGGGACCACAGGTGTACACCACCACGCCCAGCTAATTTTTTGTATTTTTGGTAGAGACAGGGTTTCACCATAGTTGTCCAGGCTGGTCTTGAACTCCTGAGCTCAAGCAATCCACCCGCCTTGGCCTCCCAAAGTGCTGGGATTACAGGTGTGGGTCACCATGCCCAGCCTTCAATTTCTTCAGATTATTGTATAATAATAAAATTTCTAAAAACAGATTACTATGAGAACACCTTGTAATGATAAATATTTTTCTTTCACATGGTGAAATCATAACTTACATGTATTTAACTCCCTCAAATTCAGTTATACATGTTCCATGGGGACATGGAGAGAGAGAGAACAATATAAATAATGCAATGATTCAGCAACCGGGTTCGCTGGAGTAGGTGTGAGATGGGATACTGGCATCTGGTGTTCCCTCCGTCAATCTCTGTTCCCACGTGCTTTTTAGCGAGCATCTTGCTGCTCTACTTATTAATCTAGGTACATATTTTTCAGCCACATGACCCCTAAAATAAGTCAACTCCTTCACCTTCACCTGGAGCAAAACTGTAAAAACAGCAACTTGTTCTAGATCTGGAGGCAAAATTGGTTCCAGCAGACCCACTGGGAAGTGGGAGGTGTTTGCTATGCTTTGTGGACAATTTAAGTGTTTAAAAGGCAATTTTGATGAGCCATGATTTTCATCTTAAGTGCCAACTTTAGAAGATAACCTTCATATAAAAGTTTCTCTACAGTTTGTATTTTAAAATATAAAATGGAAGAAAAAACTATCACCAGCTTTGCTTTTTTCCTCTTGGTTAATGGACTATCTATTAACGTCTCACTAAATGGCCAAATGGAGTCTCACAGTACACAGTTTGGGAAATGCTGCCTTAAGTTGCTCTGTGAAGCCTTAAGTTCGTGTAACCATGACTTAGCCATCTGTGAAATGGGTAGACCCATGGGGCATAGGAATTGGGGAATGTATTTTGCATCAAGTAGGACTGGTGTGGACCACAGGTGGAAATCCAGACAGGCTCGAGCAATGTTCAGGATACAGCAGCAAGTGACAGGTTCTGGCCAGCTGTCCCTACTGGGGCTGCAAGGACTAAGAGCCAGGATAAGGAGACAGGGCCTCGGTTATTGAAAATGGGATACAAAGCAGGGACTGGTTATGGCGGAAATTAACCAAGAGGCTGTTCAGCTTCTTCTATTCTCACAACCAATTCAGATCTGGATTCAAAGGCAGGGATGCAGCTACAAGAGGAGTTTGTGTTGGAGGTCTGTGTAGATAGGATGCTAAGCAGGTCTGTGTCAGCCAGGATCGTTTGGGCAGTAAGTGACAGAAACCCAACTTGCGTTAACCACAAAGCCTCAAAGGGGAATTTATTGGATCATGTAACTGGCCAGTTGAAGAGATGGTGCTGTCCTCGGACGTGGATGAAGATAAGAGTTCAAACTGTGTCATCAGGACGGATCCGTCTCCCTACATCCTGGCTCCATTTGCTTCTATTTGGCTTCCTTCTTGAACAACTCTGTATGTACAAGATATCCTCACATTCTCTTCTTTTAACAACCTCAGAGGAGCAAACAAGTCTTTCCTGATAGCTCTGCTAAGAAAGTCCCAGGAAAGACTCTGATTGATCAGATGTGAGTTACAGATCCATCCCTGAACCAATCACTGTGGCCAGGGCCAAGGTGTCATCCCATTGGCCAGCCTGGGTCATGTGCTGGCTCCCGTAGCAGGAAGTAGGGAGAAGACGAGGGAGCCGTGTGAGCCCTACGTGAACCACATCCAGTGGATTTTCCTTAGGAAGGAAGATTCTGTGACCAGACCAAATGGAAAAGGAAGTGGGGAGGGTAGGCAGACAAAAATCGGTGATCTATTACAAGGTCTTTCCAAAAGCCAGAAATTAGGGATTTCTAAGTGTACCTCTCTAGTCCTGGCTTGTCTCAGCCCTGCAGCTGGGCTGTGGAGACTCCATCAGCAATTGCTGACCCCCTATTCTTACCTCGGCCCCTTCCTGAGTCCCACCAGGAGCCCTGCTCCTCATCTGGGACATGCTTCTTGGCCCATGGAGGTTGCCAGCTCACCTTGGTACTTTACTACTATTTGGTTTCTGTGACCACCAAGCTGTTGCTTAAACCAAGCCGCCTATGGTGGCACCACTTTGGAGAATTCTTTTTTATTTTTTGAGACAGGTTCTCACTCTGGTTACCGAGACTGGAGTGCAGTGGTATGATCTTGGCTCACTGCAGCCTCGACCTCCCGGGTTCAGGTGATTTTCCCACCTCAGCCTCCCCAGTAGCTGGGACTATTGGTGCATGCCACTACACCCGGCTCATTTTTGTATTTTTAGTAGAGACGGGGTTTTGCCATGTTGGCCGGGCTGGTCTTGAACTCCTGACCTCAGGTGATCTGCCCGCCTCGGCCTGTCAAAGTGCTGAAATTACAGGCGTGAGCCACCGCACCCGGCTGGATAATTCTTTAGATTTTATTCCAAGTGGGTTGAGAAGCCATGGGAAGATTGTAAGCAAAGGAATAAAAGTTGGTTGCATTCTCTTTGGAGGATTTCCCTCTTCCCTGGAGACCAGTCCTCACAGAAGCTTTTCCAATGGCCACAGAAGACTAAGGAAGATTGAGAGAGGCACAGGAAACAATTCCACTCAGAGCTGCTGCTTCGCCACTGCCCAGTCAGCCTCCACTGGCGCCAACATGAGCCTATGCTGTCATTCCTGGGCCCAGGCTGGCTGTCGCTGTGGAGATGGTGCTGCTGTGCTAGTTTGTGGCTGTTAAAATGGAGCTCCTGGCTGGACACCTGTTTCCCAGTGGGTGGCCACAAACCTGTGAGTCTGGGCCTCCTCCAGCTGAGTAGAAGTGAGCCCAGCACAGAGGCCGGGGAGGCCCCAGACGCCAGGAGGAGCAAATCCAAATCCAACCCAAGCATGGCCCCTCTGACCCTGACCATCTTTTTTTTTTTTTTTTTTTGAGACAGAGTCTCCCTCTGTCACCCAGACTGGAGTGCAGTGGCACGATCTTGGCTCATTGCAACCCCCACCTCCTGGGTTCATGCGATTCTCCTGCCTCAGCCTCCCTAGTAGGGACTACAGGCATGCACCACTACACCCAGATAATGTCTGTATTTTTAGTAGAGATGGGGTTCTGCTATGTTGGCTAGGCTGGTCTCGAACTCCTGGCCTCAAGCGATCCGTCCGTCTTGGCTTCCCAAAATGCTGAGATTACAGGTGTGAGCCACTGCGCCCAGCCTGCCCCTGACTGTCTTCAGAAAAGTAGAAGCAGGAGGTCTGCCACATTCTCATCCCACCCTTGACACCTGGGTGATGTGCTAGAGCTTGAGGGGAAGGTCAGAGGTAACCCAGTTCGGGAAGTGACCCCGTAGGAGGAGAAGAATCCAGCCATGTGACACACAGTACGAAGAGAACAGTAAATGCAAAGACCTGGAAACAAGAGGAACAGCAAGGACAGCATGTCCCAGAACCTGGGGAGAGAGGAGGGAGCAGCCGGAGCTGAGGGCAGCTCAGGGGAAGAGTTGCTATTTGATTTTCAGTGCATGGGAAGCCACTGAAAAGTTTTATGCAGAGAAGTAAAACCATCTCACTCATGTTTCTAGAAGCCTTATGGGCCACTGTGCAGAGCATAGAGTGTGGTGGGACAAGAATGACGGTGAGGAACCAGTGAGAAGGTTCCTGGAGTCACCAGATGCGAGGAGATAGAGGCTTGGGCTAGAATGGGCTGGCGGAGCTGGAGAGAGGTGGACAAAGCTGAGATGTGTTTTGGAGGCAGAAATGATAGATTTGCTAGGAGGTGAAAGATGGCTCTAGATTCCTGAGGAACGATGATGCCTTTTACCAACCTGAAGAAGACCAAGGAGAGGCTTGAGGACTAACACGGAACTGTGAAGGAGGCCAGGCAAAGGTGGAGACTGCCGTGAGCTGTGATCACGCCACTGCACCCTCGCCTGGGTGACAGACTGAGAACCTGTCTTAAAATATATATGTAATAAAAAATAATAAATAAAGGGCCAGGCGTGGTGGCTCAACGCCTGTAATCCCAACACTGGGAGGCTGAAGCAGGTGGATCACCTGAGGTCAGAAGTTCAAGACCAGCCTGGTCAACATGGCGAAATCCCATCTCTACTAAAAATACAAAAATTAGCCAGACATGGTGGCACATGCCTGTAATCCCAGCTACTTGGGAGGCTGAGGCAGGAGAATCACTTGAACCTGGGAGGCAGAGGTTGCAGTGAGCCTAAATCACACCACTGCACTCCAGCCTGGGCAACAGAGTGAGACCCCATAAATAAATAAATAAATACATAAATAAAGGATATCAGGCAAGCAATTAAAACACCTGCCTACTACCATCTATCCGCATCCTTTTTTTCATGTCTAACACCAAAACACCAAAATAGCTGGAAACATATCATGTCAAAAGATAAGCATGATTCTTTCAAATGAATGGCTGTGGACTTATGAAAAGCTGCCTCCGCATCTGATTTTCTTGTTTCAAGGGGTAATGATGGAGGTTTCTCTCCTGCACCTGCAGGCCTCCGGGGATGCTGCCCCAGTGCAGCCTCCCACCCTGGGCTGGAGCCTCCCAGCCCCGCTGCATGGGTAGCACAGTGTTGGGAAGAGGAAGGAGCAGTTTGTCTGGCTTTTTCACAGGCCCACAGCTGGCCGGTACAGTGGCAGAGAAGGCGAGGCTGAGGTGGGGCTGGGGAAGCCAGCAGGGGCCTGATCATGGAGCGCCTTGAGCTGCATCCCACAGGTACTGAGAAAGCATGGAGAGCTGTCCCCCAGCCCCCAGCATCTTATTAGAAAATATTGAAACATAACAGAAAACATGAAGGGTTTTATGTTCATATTTTCATTTTAGAGAGATCATTCTGCTTGAAATATAACACCTACTGAGTACTGCTGAGGACTTAGCATGTGCCGGGTTCTGTTCTTAGCATGTGACATGTATTGGCCTATTTGATTCTCCTACATAATCCTGGAAGATTGGTTGTGGGAGTGGGTGATCATGACCTGAACAGCCTAACCATGTTTAGGGAACACTCTGTGTTATGCGTTCCACCACACAATCCATGTCACAGCTGAATGTCCCAGTTTCCCTTGCAGCTAGGACACAACAGGAGACCCAAGCTTTCCAAACATATGCCCCAGGCAACACTTTGATACACAAGGAATAACACTGGATGCTGGGTGTGCACAGAATTCAAATTCAGGAATGGAGGGAAGTACTGCCCTTTGACCCATACAATAGGGGATCCCCTTCCTTGGACCCCATGGCTTAGAGGGCCCCACTCTGTCCCTCTGCAGACTGTGAGCTGCCCTATGGAATGAGGGGTGTCTGAGGCTGTATTAGTTTCTATTTGTTACACAGCAGTGGAAACTAATACAGTCCCACAGGCCTAAATCAAGGCGTCAGCAGGCTGAGTTCCTGCCTGGAGACTCTGGGGAAAATTCACTTCCAAACTCATTTTTGTTGTTGGCAAAATTCAATCCCTTGAGGCTGCAGGACTGGGCTCTGCTCCTCACTGGCTGTCAGCCTGGGGCCACTCTCAGATTCTGAAGTCCTCCCACATTCCCTGCCACATGGTCCTCTCCATCTCCAAGCCTGCTATGACACAACGCATTGTTCTCATGCTTCAAATCTCTGACTTCTCTCCCGGGACCAGAAGAAGAATACTCTCTTCTTTTAAGGGGCTCATGTGATTGGGTCAGGTCAACTCTATCATATCATGGAGTCTCACCGTCTTGCCCAGGTGGGTCTTGAACACCTGGGCTCAAGTGATCCTCCTGCGTTGGCCTCCCAAAGTGCTGGGATTACAGGCGGGAACTGCTGTGCCCAGCCAAGGCCAGCATCTTCAGACTTCTCTGCCCTGTTTTCACATGGTCTTCTCCTCTTTGTGTGTGTGTCAAATCTCCTTCTGCCTCTCTTATAAGGACGCGTGTAATAGCACTCAGGGCCCACCTGGATGACACAGGGTCATCTCGCCATCTCAAAATCGTTAACTTTGGCCAGGTGCAGTGGCTCATGCCTGTAATCTCAGCACTTTGGGAGGCTGAGACAGGTGGATCACTTGAGGTCAGGAGTTCAAGACCAGCCTGGCCAGCATGGTGAAACCCTGTCTCTACTAAAAATACAAAAGTTAGCTGGGCGCGCACCTGTAGTCCCAGCTACTCAGGAGACTGAGGCAAAAGAATCTCTAGAACCTGGGAGGCAGAGACTGCAGTGAGCCAAGATTATGCCACTGCACTTCCAGCCTGGGGGACAGAGTGAGACTTCATCTCAAAAAAAAAAAAAAGATGACTGGGCACGGTGGCTCACATCTGTAATCCCAGCATTTGGGAGGCCCAGGTGGGCAGATCACCTGGGTTCAGGAGTTCATTCGAGACCAGCCTGGCCAACATGGTGAAAGTCTCTCTCTACTAAAAAAAAAAAAAAATACAAAAATTACCCAGATGTGGTGGCAGGTGCCTGTAATCCCAGCTACTTGGCAGGCCGAGGCAGGAGAATCACTTAAACCTGGGAGGCAGAGGGTGCAGTGAGCTGAGATCACTCTGCTGCACTCCAGCCTGGACGACAGAGCGAAACTCCATCTCAGAAAAACAAATTAACCAGGCATGGTGCTGCGTGCCTGTAGTCCCAGCTACTGGGAAGGCTGAGGTGGGAGGATTGCTTGATCCTGGGAGGTTGAGGCTGCAGTGAGCTGTGTTTGTGCCACTGCACTCCAGCCTGGGCGACAGAGTGAGACCCTATCTGAAAAAAAAAAAATCGGCCAGGCGCGGTGGCTCACGTCTGTAATCCCAGAACTCTGGGAGACTGAGGTGGGTGGATCACCTGAGGTCAGGAGTTCGAGACCAGCCTGACCAACAGGGTGAAACCCCGTCTCTACTAAAAATACAAAAATTAGCTGGGCATGGTGGCAGGCACCTATATAATCCCAGCTACTCGGGAGGCTGAGGCAGGAGAATCGCTTGAACTCAGGAGGCAGAGGTTGCAGTGAGCCGAGGTCATGGCATTGCACTCCAGCCTGGTGGCAGAGTGAGACTCCGTCTCAAAAAAAAGAAAGTCTCTTTTTACAACTTTTTTGAGGTATAACTTACATATCAGAAAATCACCGGTTTTAAATATACATTTCAATGACTTTTAGTAAATTTCCCAAGTTGTGCAACCATCATCACAATCCAGTTTCAGAACATTTCATCAGCCCAGTAAGAGCCCTCACACCCATTAACAGTCACTCCCCACTCCCACTTCCTCCTGGTGGTTGCTCAACCCAGGTAACCATGAATCTATTCTCTGCCTCTGGAGATTTGTCTTTTCTGGACAATCTTTCTTCTTAAACTCAGCAGAGTGAGTTCTGTTGTTTAGAACTAGAAACCCTGCCCAATAGAATACTAATATCCTCTTGTTTTGCAAGGGAGTTAGAGTCTCGCTCTGTCGCCCAGGCTGGAGTGCAGTGGTATGATCTCGCCTCACTTCGACCTCTACCTTCCGGATTCAAGCGATTCTCCTACCTCAGCTTCCTGAGTAGCTGGGATTACAGACGTGCACCAACACACCTGGCTAATTTTTGTACTTTTAGTAGAGATGGGGTCTCACCATGTTGGCCAAGCTGGTCTTGAACTCCTGACTTCAAATGGGCCACCCGCCTTGGCCTCCCAAAGTTCTGGGATTACAGGCATGAGCCACTGCACCCAGCCCTAATATCCTCTTATTACAAAAGAAGAAACAATGACTCAGAAAGATTAAGTCACTTACCCAAGGTCATGTAGTCAGTAAGCAATAGAGCTGAGACTGAACCTCACTCCAAAGTCTATGCTCTCACTAAAGTATTGCAGTGTAGAGAGTAGAGGGGACAGGGTGAGACTGGAGGAAGGGAGGGCATTTAGGAGACTATTGGGATGTCCAGATCTGAGAGCTGTTGGCGACCTGGACTGGGGAGGTGATAGAGGCAGAGGAGAGAAGTAGATGAATTTGAGCATATTAGGAAGTGAAACAGTAGGATTTGGCAACTGAACGGGTGAGTGGACAAGAAGGAGAGGATGAGTCAAAGAGTGCACCATGCTTCTGGCTTGGGCAACTGATGGGTACTGGAATAACTTGCTGGGATAGGAAATGCAGGAGAAACAGCCAATTTGGGGTGGAAGATGAGGTCAGGACTAAAGGCATTGAGTTTGAGGTGTCTATGGAATGTACAAATGGAGATGTTGAATGGATGGTTGGATATACGAATCTGCAGCTGAGATGTAGGTTTCTATATCACCAGCATATAGACGGCAACCAGAACCCTGGAAGAAGGTGCAACCGACCAGCAAGAGAAGATGTAGATGAGAAAGCAAAAGGGCCTAGAACACGCCCCAAAGGAGTGCTAACCTTTAAGGCGTGGGAGCGCAGAAGTCCCCAAAAGATTCTGAGGAGTAGCCACGGCGATCCAGTGAAAGTCAGGCACAAGTGGACTCCTGCAAGCTAAGGGAAGGAGGCGAGGGAAGTGGGGCATGGTCACAGTCAGTGTCAACTGCTGCTGAGAGTTCCAGGAAGGTCAGGTCCATGGTGTATCTATTGGATTTAGTGACAACGACATTGTTGTTTACTTGGCAAGAGAGGCTTTAGAGAAGGGATGGGGGTGGGAGCCAGACTAGAGTGGGTAGAGGAGTGAGTGAATCAAGATGCGGAAGTGGATGTGATGACTCGCCCTTTCTTTCTTCTTTCTTTCTTTTTTTTTTTTTTGAGATGCAGTCTTCCTCTGTCGCCCAGGCTGGAGTGCGATGGTGTGATCTCCACTCACCACAACCTCTGCCTCCTGGGTTCAAGTGATTCTCCTGCCTCAGCCTTCCAAGTAGCTGGGATTACAGGCATGTGCCACCACACCCGCCTAATTTTTTGTATTTTTAGTAGAGACGGGGTTTCACCATGTTGGCCAGGCTGGTCTCAAACTCCTGACCTCTTGATCCACCTGCCTCAGCCTCCCAAAGTGCTGGGATTACAGGCGTGAGCCACCGTACCCGGCCTGGTGACTCACTCTTTCAAGGGACTCAGCTATAAAGAAGAGAGGCATGGAGTGGTGGTAGGATGGATTAAGCTGGGGAGGGGAGGCATTTTTAAGATGAGAAATGATGTTTAAATGCAGATGGAAATGGGACAGGAGAGAAACGGAAGTTGATGGGATAAATGAAAATTATCATCATCATCTTCCTCACCATCACCAGCAGCAACCACAAGGAAAGCTCGTTCTGCTCTGGGACTGCCCTGTTAGACATTTCTTCCTTATACTGAGCCACAATCTATCTCCCTGTAACTTTCGCCTTTGGTTAGAGTTCTGCCTTGTGTCCCTCTTCTACTCTTCAAATGGCTGCACGCTGCTACTATGTCTGTCCTCTTCTTCAAACTCACAGCCCCCATCCTACGGGCCCTGTGCTCCCAGCCTGGTGACCCGACCCTCTACTGTCCCAGCCAAGTTCACATGACCATCCTCTTATTTGTCAAGCCTCTCTTTTTTTTTTTTTTTTTTTTTTTTTTTTTGAGGAGTCTTACTCTGTCCCAGGCTGGAGGGCATGGCACAATCTCAGCTCACTGCAACCTCTGCCTCCTGGTTTCAAGTGATTCTCCTGCCTCAGCCTCCTGAATGCTGGGATTACAGGCATACATCGCCATGCCTGGTTAATTTTTGTATTTTTAGTAGAGACGGGGTTTCACCATGTTGGCCAGGCTGGTCTTGAACTCCTGACCTCCAGTGATCCCCCTGCCTCAGCTTCCCAAAGTGCTGGGATTACAGCGTGAGCCACTGAGCCGGGCCAAGCCCCTCTGAAGAGGCAGTGTGCACACTCTTGCTTTGCTGATAGAAGCATGAAATGGTTCAAGTTTTTGTGATTTGGGAAAATGAACTCAGCTATAAAATGTGCACACCCAGAAGTTGTCCTATGGACTTAATGTCTTAGGGGTGAGAAGAAGCTTGTGCAGGGATTCCTGGCAACATGAATGCGGGATGGACAGACAGTGAGCACAGTGTTGAGGAGCACAGCCTGAGTGCATCTCCCTGAGATCAGGAACAGGACAAGGATGCCCGCTTTCACCGCTGCTGTTCGACATTGTACTGGAAGTTCTAGCCAGAGCAATTAGGCAAGAAAAAGCAATAAAAGGCATCCAGATTGTAAAGGATGAAGTAAAACTATCTTTAGTCACAGGTGGCACAATCCCATATAGGGAGAATCCCAAAGAATTCACAAGAAAACTGTTAGAGCAAATAAACTAATTCAGTCAAGTTGCAAGGAACAAGATCAACCACAAAAATTAATTGTGTGGGTTTTTTTTACACCAGCAATGAACATTTGAAAAGGAAATTCGAAAAAGTATTCCATTCACTGTAGCATTTAAGAAAGCTGAGGCTGTGAAGCTACATGGCTGTGTTTGGAGCTGGTGCTGCTATTTACCATGTGACCTTGGACAAGCTTCTCACTTCATTCATGACACCGTTTATTCAGCTATTAAGTGGGGGTAATAATAGTACCTTCCTTATAGAGTTGGTTTTTTGTTTTTGTTTTTGTTTTTGGTGGGGGAGAGTAAGGATTGCAAGAGTTAATATATGTTAGCAAAATGGACTTAGAAGAGTGGTTGGCACATGGTAAGGACTATATTAGGGTTACCAAAAAATGTTTATAATTGGGAAAATTGAACAAAGGTTCCAGTAAATATCCATCCCAGAGGCTGGTTGACAAATTATCACAATGTACCTTTTAGCTTGAACCATATGGAACTGCCTATATTCTATAGCTATGGCCTACAAAATGCAAAATGGGCAGTTTTTTTTGTTGTTGTTTGTTTGTTTGTTTGTTTGTCTTGAGACAGTCTCAGTCTGTCACCAGGCTGAAGTGCAGTGGCACGATCTTGGCTCACTGCAACCTCTGCCTCCCAGGTTCAAGCGATTCTCCTGCCTCAGCCTCCCAAGTAGCTGGGATTACAGGTGTGCACCACCACGCCCAGCTAATTTTTGTATTTTTAGTAGAGATGGGGTTTCCACCATGTTGGCCAGGCGGGTCTTGAACTCCTGGCCTCAATTAATCTGCCTGCCTCGGCCTCCCAGAGTTCTGGGATTACATGAGTGAGCCACCGAGCCCAGCCAAAATGGGCCGTTTCATATGTTCAATTTAAACACTAAGATACTCTTTAGCCACTGAAAATGACTGTGTATCATAGATCTATCTTTATCACAGATCTATCTTTACTGTCATAGAAAGAACTAATAACATATTATTGAACAAAAATAACAAGTTACAAAACAGCTTGCAGCCACGTTTGTAACATCAGTATATCTATTTGTGTGTCTAGGTGTGGACATAAAGAGATATCTAGAAGACACTCCCATTGCCTATGGGAATGACTTGGGCTGGGATCTTTTTTATTTATTTATTTATTTATTTATTTATTTATTTATTTATTTTGAGACAGAGTCTCACTCTGTCACCCAGGCTGGAGTGCAATGGCATGATCTTGGCTCACTGCAACCTCCGCCTCCCAGGTTCAAACGATTCTCCCACCTCAGCCTCCCAAGTAGCTGGAATTATAGGCACCCATCACCGCACCTAGCTAATTTTTGCCTTTTTAGTAGAAATGGGGTTTCGCCATGTTGCCCAGGCTGGTCTCAAACTCTTGATCTCAAATTATCCACCTGCCTCAGCCTCCCAAAGTGCTGGAATTACAGGCGTGAGTCACCGCACCCAGCTGTGATCTTAATTTATATTTTTTCTTTTTAACCCTTGATTTTTACCCTGTTTGACTGACTTTAGGAGTCTGACCCCCAAAACTGCAAAAGAATAAATTAGTGTTGTTGAAAGCCACTAAGTTTGTGGTAATTTGTTAGAGCAACAACCAGAAACTAATACAATCGGGATTAAACTTGCCCTGGGGGTGCTGGCTCTCCCCCACTTTCTTCTCAGAGCATCTCTTGGGTCCTCGCCCCTTGCTGAGCCCCCACCATGGCCGGGTGGACCAGCGATGGACCTGATCGGATTCTCCTCTTGGGATTTTAAATAAGAGATGCAGAGGCTGCACGCCAAGCTTCTCTGTGCCGCACTGCAGGCACAGTCCTGGCGCTACTGTTCTTTAGGGGTCCATGAAGATGTTTGTTGGCCTGGCTTAGGTGTGAGCTAAGAGATACAAGGGATACACTTTGGAGGCTCAGCCCTTTGATGTTACCTTTGCGCTGGAAGCCCAGGGGCTGTAAGACGGAGAGGAACTTTGCTGAAAGGGAGGTCCTCCCTGCAGAGCTTGAAGAGCAATCTAACCATGCTGGCATGGGGCCCATCCCACCTGTGATGCCAGTGTAAGTCTGTGACAGTCACTCATATTCAGAGCATGTGGATTGAGACTCTGAAGAACGACTTTATGGTGGGCACCTTCATCTCCATCTGGTGGGTCCAGAGCAAGCAGCCTCAGGGTCCCATGGGCCCAACCTCACCCTCCATCCTTATTTCCCTGCCACTCCAGGGCTCCTCCTCAGCCAGACTTGCCTGTGAGTGCCCCTTGATGGCTGTATTAGTCTGTTCTCACGCTGCTAATAAAGACATACCCAAGACCAGGTAATTTATAAAGGAAAGAGGTTTAATGGGCCCACAGTTCCACATGGCTGGGAAGGCCTCACAATCATGGCAGAGGGCGAAAGGCATGTCTTACATGGTGGCAGGCAAAAAGTGAATGACAACCAAGCAAAAGAAGAAACCTCTTATAAAACCATCAGATCCCATGAGACTTACTCACTATCACGAGAACAGTATGGGGGAAACTGCCCCCATGATTCAATTATCTCCCACCAGGTCCCTCCCACAACACATGGAAATTATGGGAGCTATAATTCAAGATGAAATTTGGATGGGGACACAGCCAAACCATATCAGTGGCCCTGGCTTCTCTCCCATTAGCTCTGTTCTACTTCCCAAAATCTTTCCAGCTTTGTTCTTTTTTAGAGACTGGAGTCTCACTGTGTTGCCCAGGCTTGTCTTGAACTCCTGGGCTCAAGGGATCCTCCTACCTCGGTCTAACAAGTAGCTGCGAATATAGGTGCACACCACCACACCCCCACAACTTACCCATCCTCCCCGGCTCAGTGAAATCCCTAGGTCCTTCACACTCCCGTTAGCTCCAGGTACCAGCGGCTTTGCCTTCTACAGAATGCATAACATTATAGCCTCTTAGAGCAAAAAGGTCATGGGGATGGGGAAGGCTGGGAGTTCTCTCTTCATTCAGGGATTAAACCTACCACCTGGAGGGGTGACATGGCTCACCTTAGTCACCAAGCAAGGTCGGGAGAGTATTTCTGGGATGGTCATTAGCACTTTCTTTCCAAAGGGAGGATACTACAAACTCACTTTCATGATCACAGTATCCCCCCCGACAGGTAAAGTGTGCAAACTCGCTTTCATTCCCTTTTTGTCTTTGACGCAGCTCTGAAGCATTTTAATTCTTAAAATTTACATGTTCATGATGACACAGAGACAGGTTTTCTGTTTAGGAGAGGGCCTGATTCCATTAAGGCTGATCGATCATATGTTGCACATTCTGGGATAAATATGAGAGATCAGAATTGAGCTTCCCAAATGGTGGGTCACATGACCCAGTGTTGTTCCAGGAGAACGTTGCAACATCCAGCATGAGAAAGCGCTGCATGCACCATGTATGTGTTGGGATGCTGGGCTGAAATGTATTAATGAGCAAGTGTTATCATATTTGTCTATGGAATTCTATTTAATAGCTATGTCTCGTATGTGCTGATTGGGTCTCAAATCTGGGTATCTTACCCCAACATCTTTCTTGAAAATCCTTCTTTTTAAATAAATGTTGGCCGTGTGCACTGGCTTATGCCTGTAATCCCAACACTTTGGGAGGCCAAGGCGGGTGGATCACCTGAGGTCAGGAGTTCAAGACCAGCCTGACCAACATGGAGAAACCCCATCTTTACTAAAAATACAAAAATTAGCTGGGCACGATGGTGGATGCCTGTAATCCCAGCTACTTGGGAGGCTGAGGCAGGAGAATCACTTGAACCTGGGAGGCGGAGGTTGCAGTAAGCTGAGATCGCGCCATTGCACTCCAGCCTTGGCAACAGAGTGAGACTCCGTCTCAAATAAGTAATAAATAAATGTTATAGAAATACTAAAGTGTATTGTGCATAATATAACACCCACGTACCACCATCCAACTTAAGAAATAAAGCATTACTAATCCAGTTTTGCTCCCTGCAAACTCATCCTTCATCCCATTCTCTTTCCTTTTGCTTTATAAACATCCTGCAGCCAGGCACAGTGGCTGCACCTGCAGCCTGAGCTACTTGGGAGGCTGAGATGGGAGGATCACTTGAGCCCAGGAGTTTGTGGCTGTCGTGTGCTGATTGCACCTGTGAAATAGCCACTGTGTTCCAGCATGGGCAACATAGCAAGACTCCATCTCTAAATGAAATCCTTTTTTTTTTTTTTCTTTTTGAGACAGAGTCTCACTCTATCACCCAGGCTGGAGTGCAGTGGCGCCATCTCGGCTCACTGCAACCTCCGTCTCCAGGGTTCCTGCCTCAGCCTCCGGAGTAGCTGGGACTACAGGCACATGCCACCACAACTGGCTAATTTTTGTATTTTTAGTAGAGACGGGGTTTGGCCAGGTTGGTTTCGAACCCAGGACCTCAGATGATCCACCTGCCTCGGCCTCCCAAAGATTACAGGCATGAGCCACCATGCCCAGCCTAAAAGAAATCCTGAATTTGACATTTTTAATTCCCTTGTTTGTTTTAATATTTCTACAGCACATATATGTCTACATATATAAAAAATATAATTTTTTATTGGGGTGAAATTCACATAACGTAAAATTAACCACTGTAAACATGAACAATTCAGTGGCATTTAGGACATTCATAGTACTGTGCAACCACCACCTCTATCTAGCTCCAGAACATTTTCATCACCCCAAAAGGACACTCCATGCCCCCCAGGAGTCACTCCCCATTTCTTCCCACTCTGTCCCCTGCAACGACCAATCTACTCTCTGTCTCTGTGGATTCACCTATTCTGGATATTTCATATAAATGGAATCATACAATATGTGGCCTTTTGTGACTGGTCTCTTTGACTTAGCTGGGTGTGGTGGCACGAGCTACCCACCTACTTGGGAGGCTGAGGCAGGAGAATCGCTTGAACTCCAGCCATAAATTATATTGTTTTCAAGGTTCATCAATATTACTCGCCCAGGCTGGAGTGCAGTAATGTGACCTTGGCCCCCTGCAACCTCCACCTCCCCGGTTCAAAGGATTCTCCTGCCTCACCCTCCCGAGTAGTTGGGATTACAGGCGCACACCACCACACCCGGCTAATTTTTTGTATTTTTAGTAGAGAGAGGGTTTCACCATGTTGGTCATGCTGGTCCTGAACTCCTAATCTCAAGTGATCCACCCACCTTGGCCTCCCAAAATGCTGAGATTACAGGTGTGAGACACTATGTCAGGCCTAGTCAATTCATTTTCACTGCTGCAAAGCATCTCATTTTAAAAAATTATTTTATTATTATTTTTTTGAGACAGGGTCTCACTCTGTTGCCCAGGCTGGAGTACAGGGGTGCAATCACAGCTTACTATAGCCTTGACCTCCCGGGCCCAAGCAATCCTCCCACTGTGGCCTCCAGAGTAGCTGGGACTACAGGCATGTGCCACCACACACAGCTAATTTTTGTTCTTTGTTTTTTGTTTTGTTTTGTTTTGTTTTTTGAGATGGAGCTTTGTTCTTGTTGCCCAGGCTGGAGTGCAGTGGCGCGATCTCAGCTCACCACAACCTCCATCTCCCAGGTTCAAGCGATTCTCCTGCCTCAGCCTCCCGAATAGGTGGGATTACAGGCTCACGCCACCGTACCCAGTTAATTTTTATTTTTAGTAGAGATGAGGTTTCACCATATTGGCCAGGATGGCCTCAAACTCCTGACCTCAGGTGATCCATCCGCCTTGGCATCCCAAAGTTCTGGGATTACAGGCGTGAGCCACTGTGCCTGGCTCAAAGCATCTCATTGTATGAATCCAACAATTTATTTATCCATTCGTTGTTTGAGTACATGTAGGTTATTTCCTGCTTTCCCTCTTACAAGCAATGCTGCAGAAACATTCTTGTCCATAGCTCCTCCGGCACATGTACAAGAGCTTCTCTAGGGCACAAATGTAAGAGTTTTATTGCTGGGCCATGGGGAATGCTCTTCTTCAAATGTACTTGCTATTGTCAAATCTGAGCTATCTTTTCAGGAGCCTACTACTGGTTCTCAGCCCTGGCTATGCATTAGAATCACTTGGGAACTTTAAAAAAATATGTGGGTATCTGGATAACTCCCCCGACCCGTGGAATCCTAGTCTCCAGGGATGGGACTGGGGACTTGAAAGCTCCCTGGGTGATTACACAGCCAAGGTGGAGAACAGCTGGGACTGAGTCTTGGCCCACTCTGTCTCAGCTTCCCAAGGTCAGCTCATAGAGGGCAGCCATCATCTTAGACTTGCTAATATCACTCAGCAGCTGAGCAGATAGAAGGGACTAAATAAATAAAGTCTGAATGAGTAAATAAAGCATTTAAAACAAACCCTTTAGGGCTGGGTGTGGTGGCTCACACCTGTAATCCCAGCACTTTGGGAGGCCAAGGTGGGTGGATCCCTTGAGGTTGGGCATTCAAGACCAGCCTGACCAACATGGCGAAACCTTGTCTCTACTAAAAATACAAAAATTAGCAAAGTGTGGTGGTACGCGCCTGTAATCCCAGCTACTCGGAAGGCTGAGGCAGGAGAATCACTTGAACCCGGCAGGCAGAAGTTGCAGTGAGCTGAGATGGAGTCACTGCACTCCAGCCCGGGCTACAGAGCAAGACTCCATCTCAAAAAAACATAATAAAACAAACCCTTTAGGCTGGGTGCGGTGGCGCATGCCGGTAATCCTGGTAACTATCTCCTACTGTTGTGACGATTAAAGGAGATGGTGCATGCAGAGTACTTGGCACATATGAAGTGCTCAATAAAGAGTAACTCCTGCAGCCTGGTGTGGTGGCCCACACCTGTAACCACAACATGTTGGGAGGCTCAACATGTTGGCAGGAGGATTGCTTGAGGCCAAGGGTTTGAGACCAGCCTGGGCAACATAAAGAGACCCCCGTCTCTATAAAAAATAATAAAAACTAGCTGAGCATGGTGATACATGCCTGTAGTTCCAGCTACTCAGGAGGCTGAGGTGGGAGGATCAACTTGAGCTCGGGAGTTGGAGGCTGCAGTGAGCTACGATCACGCCACTGCCCTCCAGCCTGGGCAACAGAGCAAGGCCCTTTCTCTGGAATAAAAAAAAAAGAGAGGCTGGGCGCAGTGGCTCACACCTGTAATCCCAGCTACTTGGGAGGCTGAGGCAGGAGAATCACTTGAACCTGGGAGGTGGAAGTTGCAGTGAGCCAAGATCGCACCATTGCACTCCAGTCTGGGCAACAAGAGCAAAACTCTGTTTCAAAAAAAAAAAAAGAGAGAGAGAGAGAGTAGCTGCCATTTTCAATGTTATTGATAAAGCAGGTGGGTGTTTCTGAAAATGCACCAGATGCAGCCTTAGACTGGAAGGTGCTGATGTGTTACTGAGCCTCCAGACAAAGCTGGCGAACCCACCGGGGCGAGACTTTATGACTTGAGAAGCTGTCCTATCTATGAGGGTCCATGTTAGGGAATATTAAAGAATAGGATTGGGGGCAGTAGCTTTCCTGTAGCAAGTGCTAGCTATGTGCCAGAT
Organism: Homo sapiens; assembly: GCF_000001405.40. Taxonomy (NCBI): domain Eukaryota; kingdom Metazoa; phylum Chordata; class Mammalia; order Primates; family Hominidae; genus Homo; species Homo sapiens. The sequence goes on from NC_000012.12 coordinate 121,154,563, forward strand.
ACTGGGCAAAGGAGTCTGCAGACGTCTCTCATTTCATCCTCACAATCCATGAGGCAGGTATGACTATTCTTCCCATTATCCAGAGAGGGAAAACAAGTCACACGGAAGCAAGTCACGCAGCAGAGCTAGGATTGGAACAGAAGTGCCTGCATCCTCCAACGCCTGCATCCCAACCCGCTGTGCTATGCCTCCCGTTGATGCTTTCCCATGTCTGCCATTTAGCTTTGCTCTGGTGAGTGACAAGCTGTACCAGCGGAAAGAGCCTGTCATCAGTTCTGTGCACACCAAGGTGAAGGGGATAGCAGAGGTGAAAGAGGAGATCGTGGAGAATGGAGTGAAGAAGTTGGTGCACAGTGTCTTTGACACCGCAGACTACACCTTCCCTTTGCAGGTGAGCACCTCGTAGCATTCTCCCAGGCTCGTCGCTGGTCACCGTCGCCAGGGCCTAGCTCCCTTCCCCTAGGATCTACAGCCTCACTCCAGAAAAAACGCTGGTCCTATTTTAAAAGCTCTGTGAACATCCCAACTGAGAAAACCTAAAAATTGCAAAACTGGGTGAGATCCAGGAGATGATTCTTTGCTTTATCAAGTCCTACAGGGTTTCTCAAAATAGCCTCATGTCCTGGTGCATTGAAAACAGGATTTGATTCACTCGCGCTTGATTTACCCGCAGCTTTTTAGACGCACAGCCACCAAGCCAGCAAGGTCTGCCGAGATTCAGAAGGACAGAGAACTTTCTACCAAAGAGCACCAGCCCTTCTAGATTGTGTAGCATTTCATCAACAAAAATGACTCCAGGAGACCATTCTTGGGTACATTTTTCCACAAAGAAAGGATGTAAATGACAAAAAGAAGAAAGGCATCGGTCACTGAGAGAAGGCGTGTGACTTCTAGATTTGCAAGCAGGGAAAATGAAAGCAGAATTGCCAAAAAAGAGAAATTAAAGTAGGGTTGAGGAGTCCAAAAAACAGATAAGGGGGCGAGAGGGACAAAGGGGCACGTTTGCGGCTTGGGGAGCTAAAATGCTTTGCAAAGACCCATGAAGCCCAAGCTGCTGTTTGTTTCTAACAGTGGGTCATTAAAATCCTGTGATTGCTCAGGTGGTGGGATGCCCTAGTGCCCTTTCATTAAAGTCTGGGAAAATCTGAACAGTGTTGTGATGAAGGCTGCTCCCCTACCCTCGCCTCCCCAGGTCTCCTGAGTTTCAATTTAATGAGATTTTTACTGCGTAAAAAAAAAACAAAAACAAAAACAAAAACATGAAAAGGCTGCTTTTGAGACTGCATTGGTAAATGACTCTTCAACCCATTCAAACGCTCCTTCACTCTCCCTCAGCTCAGCAGGGCTGCTCGTCCAGCTTTGATATTAAGCCCTTGGCATATTCCAAGTTGCCCACAGATCCTGATTTCTAGAAGCTTAGAAAAGTGGAGAGGTTCGCCCAGCAAGCTGGATTATTATAATTAAGTAGTTCTCTTTTCAAAGGCCTTGCATTTTCTTAGCCTCTCCTTCTCCACAGGGGAACTCTTTCTTCGTGATGACAAACTTTCTCAAAACAGAAGGCCAAGAGCAGCGGTTGTGTCCCGAGGTAAGGAGGGGACCTGGAGTGGTGGGTCAGGTCTTAAGAGTTCCTGGGGGAGGTGCAAGTCGGAAGAAGCAGAAATGCGGACCCTGGGGTGTATTTGAGCCCACAGATATCTACTGAGCACCTGCCTCTTTTGTGGGGTAGGGCTGGGCTGAGTGGAGGAAGGGAGAGAACACATGGCAGTGTCTCTCCATGGCCACCAGATCTTTGTCTGCCTGCCTCGGTCTCTGGTTCTAGCACTAGGGACCCGTGCAGACGGCAACCCTGCTCTTTCTATCTCTGGCTCTCTTCGCAGCTTATGACAATGGTGATTCTTGGCATTTGCACAACATTTCACATTTTACTTGAGGCTCACAATGACTTTAGGAGAAAAATGGCATTTTACAAACCAGAACACAGATTCAGAGATGTTGTGACTTCCCCCAGGGTCACACAGCTTGCTGCAGGCAGAGCCAGGGTTAGGACCTGAGTGTCCTCACTCACAGCTTCTCCTACCATGGTTCACAGTGAACTGTCTGCAGGGCTGGTCTTGGAAAACCCTGGCACACAGCTCTCTTGCTCATTCATCCACTTCTTAGAGTCTCAGCCTCTCCATCACGTGCATGTGCCCCCATGACTCCCTGCCACCACCCCAGACAATCTTTCCCAACTTGGCTTTGCTCTCTCCAAAGAGCCGCCTCTTTCTGGAAGAGCTTCTTCCCTATCAAATCATATTTGTTTTATTCTGGGCTAGGCATGGTGGCTCACACCTATAATCTCAGCACTTTGGGAGGCCAAGGCAGGAGGATCACTGGAGCCCAGGAGTTCAAGACCAGCCTGGGCAACATAGTGAGACCTTGTCTCTAAAAACAAAACAAAACAAAAACTGTATTTGTCCTATTCTTTACCTCACCATCCTGCTCTCTCCTCTTAAACCAGCTTTTCTTCTAAGTTTATCTATACCAGCGTGTTACTGCTAGGCATTACCTGTAACTCCCAACCTCCCAGCCTCCCCTCTCAGGTAACGTAACTGTGCTGTACCAGGGACCATTTCCAACACTGACCGTTGCAGCAGCGCTGGTGATACCCAGCCAGATCCTCCACTGATGAGCAGGACCAGCCCTGCCGGTGGAGTTTTGCTCACGGGCCCACTCTGGCAACAAGGTCTAGCTTCCTGAGTGTCCAGGACCTCTGGGCAAAAGTGCTGTCTTTGAGTACAGTCTTTGCCATCATTTGTACCCAAATTCAGAACCAAGATAACATTCCCTTGGTGTCTATCTTGATAACACTCCGTCTAAAAGGAGAGCTTTCTACATTTGTTTTGTCCTCATCACCCCTTAACTGTCCCTGCTGCTCAGATGAAATCTCTGACAGCCAGGCCAGCCAAGCCCTCCCTTCTGTCTCCCTTCCCAGCAGTGTTCCGTCTCCAATCCAGTTTGGGGGCCTGTTTCCCTTTTGTCCCATCCTTTGGTCATCTCTACACCACACTCTACCTCCATGTACACATAAAGACACTTTTGGACTTATTGAGACTTGGAAGAAAAAGAGTTAGGATAGCCCAGAGATTAAGAGCCTGGGCTCAGAAGCTAGACCGCTAAAGGTTCAAAACTTAAACTTCTTAACTCTGTGACCTCAGGCAGGTGACTCTTCACCTCTCTGTGCCAAGTTGTGTGCATCTGTAAAATGGGGCTGAGAACAAAACCTAGCTGTTCGGATTATTGAAACAAATGAGTGAATACCTGTGACACGCTTAAAACAAGGCATGGTACATTATAAGCACTCAATGAATGTCAGTTGTTATGATTCAAATGACATGTTACTCCTCAGATAGGATGTCACTCAGAGTGACTGGAACCCAACAGGTTCCATCGAAGCACTTCCAGCCCAGAGAGCACATGTGACTCTTTGGGATTTTAACTTATGCTCCAGGCTGGTTTGGGCTGGTCTAATTGGGCATTTGCCTCCTCTCTGCCCATCAACACCCCTCTATCTCGGGTTGTCTCGGTAAATATGACCAAGTTCCAGTTACACACCAACATGAATAGATATTTGCTCCATTTATCTGTGGCTGCAAAACAAACTACCCTGATCATGGTGGGCTTAACACAAGCATTTTATTAACTCTCACAGTTCAGTGGTTGACTGAGTTCAGCTGGTTGGTTCTTCTGCTGGTCTCACTAGGGATCTCTCAAGGAGCTGCAGTCAGATGGCAGCTGGGGTTGGCATCCCTTGGAGCCTCAATTGGCACCCAGGGATAGCTAGACATCTCTTCCTCTCTGGGAACCCCTAAGAGTTACCCTCTCTTCAAGGTCTGTCCGCATTGTCTCTCCAGCAGGGTAGTCAAACTTTCTAATAGTGGCTCAGGTTCCTCAAAACAAAACAAAAAAATAGAAGCTTCCAGGCCTTCTTAAGGCTTAGGCCTGGAACTGGCAACAGCATTCCTTCTGCTGCTTCTATTGGCTTTGCAGTCACAGCACAGGCTCAGCTTCAGAAAGTAGGGGAAACACTCCACCTCTCAATGGAGAAAGTGACCAAGAATTTGTGGCCATCTTTAATCCATGCAACAATCACAAAAGAGAAGATTAAAACAAAACTAATGTGCTGTTTTTTAAAAAAAAAATTAGAATTCCTTTTGGAGAGCAAAATAAAACTGATTTCTCTTCTTTCCTGAGATTCATCTCCAGTTGATAATGAAAATGTAACTTTCCATGAGCCACAATGAATGATCACACATTCATTCCTTCCATGACTATCAAGACCTACTATTTGCCAGGCACTTGGGCTGCAAAGATATGACCTTGGCTCTGTATTCAAAGGGTTCATAATCTAATCTGGGGAGTCACAAGGGGAGGAGACCAACGGCATGCCATGTGACAAGGCAGCCTGGGAAATAAAGAGATCATGAGAGAGTTTGAAAACTACAAGAAACATTCATTGAGCATGTACTATGTGCTAAACCCTTTCTTTTCATAACTCACTTAATCTTCACAACAACCAGGCAAGACAATTTGTTGGCTGGGCATGATGGCTCACGCCTATAATCCCAGCACTTTGGGAGGTCGAGGCAGGCAGATCATGAGGTCAGGAGTTCAAGACCAGCCTGGCCAAGATGGGGAAACACCGTCTCTACTAAAAATACAAAAATTAGCCAGGCATGGTGGTGCGTGCCTGTAATCCCAGCTACTCAGGAGGCTGAGGCAGGAGAATTGCCTGAACTCAGGAGGTGGAGGTTACAGTGAGCCAAGATCACACCATTGCACTCTAGCCTGGTCGACAGAGCAAGACTCTGTCTCCAAAAAAAAAAAAAAAAAAAAAAAGACAAATCTGTTCACCCTGCTTTTACAGATGAACAGTGAGCTGGCCAAGGTCTCTCAGCTAGAAAATGGTGCAGCTACTGCTGAACCAGATATACCTGGGTCCAAGACCTAGGTCCTTGACCTGAATCACTGTAGAAGCCACAAATTGCACAGATGACAAAGAGCAGAGGCCATTTTCACACCTATGTCATGTTCTGGCTTCCCCAAGACTGGCCATGAAGCCTGCTCCCTAGAAAACAGGAAGAGAAATATGCATAAACCAGGGCAGCTCATTTCTCTCTTCCGTGTTCTGTCCTTCAGCCCTGAGACCCAGCTGGTCTCATTTTCTTGGGCCAGGCGAGTGTCCTGGCCAATGTCTCTCAGTTCCATGTGTCCTGCTGAGTCTCCGCACCTGTTTGCCCTGCTCAGTCCTTTCAGCCACAGGGCCACTTGGACCAAGCCACCTGTCCCCCATCCCAGCCAGCATCCCTGAAAGTGATCCCTAGCTTCCCAGACCTCTGCTTTTCCCATTTTTATTTATTTGTATTGGGATATAATTCACATACCATAAACCCCACCATTTTAAAGTGTACATACGGTTCAGTGGTTTTTAGTATAATCACAGAGTTGTGCAACCATCACCACCGTCTAATTCCAGAATATTTTCTTCCTTCTTTCTTTCTTTTTTTTTCCTTTCTTTCTTTCTTTTTCTTTCTTTCTTCCTTCCTTCCTTTCTTTCTTTTTTTAGGTGGAGTTTTGCTCTTGTCACCCAGGCTGGAGTGCAGTGACGCAATCTCAGCTCACTGCAACCTCCACCTCCCAGGTTCAAGTGATTCTCCTGCCTCAGCCCCCCTAGTAGCTGGGATTACAGGCGCACACCACCACATCTGATAATTTTTGTATTTTTAGTAGAGACGGGGTTTCACCATGTTGAGCAGGCTGGTCTCAGACTCCTGACCTCAGGTGATCTGCCCGCCTTGGCCTCCCAAAGTGCTGGGATTACAGGCGTGATAAGCCACGGCGCCCAGCCCCCAGAACATTTTCATCACCTACAAAGGAAACCCCAAATCCAGTAGCAGTCACTCCCCATTCTCCCCTTCCCCTGTCCCTGGCCACAGTCTACTTTCTGTCTCTATAGATGCCTATTCTGGACATTTCCTATAAATAGAATTGTATATGGTGTGGCCTTTTGTGTCTGTCTTCTTTCACTCAGCATCATGTTCTCCAGGTCCATCCATGTTGTAGCCTGTGTCATTGCTTCATCCTTCTTATGGCTAAATAAGATTCTGTGTATGAATGTACCACATTTTATTTGTCCATTCATCCGTCAGTGGCCACTTGCGTGGTTTCCACTTTTTTGGCGATTCTGAGTAGTGCTGCTATAAGCATTCGTGTGCACATTCTGGTGGATATCGAATCACTTCTCCACGTCTTAGTAACACACGTCACTTACTCCCCACTCTGTCATCCTTCTATCTGCAGTATCCCACCCGCAGGACGCTCTGTTCCTCTGACCGAGGTTGTAAAAAGGGATGGATGGACCCGCAGAGCAAAGGTACCTTCTGTTTCTTTTCCCGAGACCCTAGGGGTGGATGGTCTGGCATCTTGGTGACATTTGTGATGCCCAGGTCAGGTCTTCAGCCTCTGCTCTCAGCTGCCCTCTTCCACCATCACCAAGCCATAGGCGAGTCTGCCCATGCTTCGGCTCTGTCCCCAGCAGACCAGCTGCTGACTGTAAACATGACTCCAGTTTTCCAGTGAGAGAAGAAGCTCCTAAAAACCTAGCAGGTTCAGGATTCTAATCGGTAGAAAATTCACATGGCCTATAGCATCATCTGAGTATTCTAAACTTTCCCCCTGAATTTCCTCAAAGGTTGAGGACCATGAACTTTTACCCCCAGGGAACCTGGCAGCAATACCCATATTAACCTGCAGAATTTTTTTTGTTTTTTATTTTATTTTATTTTTTAAACATTTTTTGCACTGTTTTATTTTGATTTTGATTTTGATTTTATTTATATCTAAGTGCAGTGCTATTGCGATACCTGCAGAATTTCTTTATCTCACATTTTAACTTAAAAAGGCACAGGGCAGCGAGCGCAGAGGCTGGTGCCTGTAATCCCAGCACTTTGGGAGGGTGAGGCAGATGGATGCTTGAGGTCAGGGGTTCGAGAACAGCCTGGAAAACATGGTGAAACCCCGTCTCTACTAAAAATACAAAAATCAGCCAGACATGGTGGCACACGCTTATAATCCCAGCTACTTGGGAGGCTGAGACGTGAGAATCACTTGAACCTGGAAGGCAGAGGTTGCAGTGAGCCAAGATCATGCCACTGCACTCCAGCATGGGTGACAGAGCGAGACCCCTTTAAAAAAAAAAAAAAAGGCACAGGGCAATTTTAAAAATACTGCAAATAGTAAAAAAAAAAAAATCAGTGGTTATAATGCAAACACACACAAAAAGGCATATGCCCATTACTGCATTCTACTCCATACTGTATGTGTATTTGAGTTAGTATAAAAGTTATTTTAACATTGCTCACTATTTAATTAATTCTCCCTTGGAAACTGATTAATCATCCTGGCACTCCAGGAAGATGTGCCATGCTGATTTCATGGCTTTGCACATCCTGGGCAGGCTGTGTACCCCTTGAGGGACTTGTGCCCCTTTGAGAGGCCATGTTCTAGTCCATTTATACTAAGTGAGAGCATACACCTGTTCCGCTCCCCTCATGGGCACCTTTTCTTATAAAGAAACAAAAGAGCCAGCAGAATCCACAGTCTTTCTGTGTTCTCTCTGATCTTTATTATGTTTTGCTTGTTTGCCTTGCCTTGTGTTCGTTGTGGTTAGGATGGGCTTGATGGAAGCTGAAGCTGCGTGGGTTGGAAAGCCTGGTCAAAGCCTAGTCTCTCGCCCGGGTTGAGTTAATGATGTCCCTCCTGGAGAACGTCCTCTCCGCAGTTCTTTCACATCTGTGGTTCTACGATGCTTTGACCCCTATAGGAATTCAGACCGGAAGGTGTGTAGTGTATGAAGGGAACCAGAAGACCTGTGAAGTCTCTGCCTGGTGCCCCATCGAGGCAGTGGAAGAGGCCCCCCGGTGAGTCGCATGGGGAGACAGACACAGTGGCCCTCAGCGGCGACCAGATGAGGCCTTGCCGAGGCTGCTTGGGCCTTCCCCTCTCAGCACAGCCCTGCAAAGTCCTGGGTCCTACCGGCTTGGGGACCCCTGCGCTCTGGATGCACTGCTTGGCACAAACTAGTATCTCTGGGAGGGCCATGGTGGTTGGTAAACTGTTGTAACACTCCTGTACCAACTGGTAAATAGCTACTACCCTGAGCATCCTTGGGTGTCCCTGGCCCCTTCCTTCCCCCAGATCTTCCAGGGTACCCCCAGACCCCCTCCTGTAGTGCCACAGCAGGATCCCTTCTGACTTGTCAGTGTCCATACTGAGTGATCAAGGATAGGAAGGAAGGAGGGAGATGGAAGGGAAGGACGAAGCGAGGAAAGAGAAGGGGAAGGGGAGGAAAAAGCAAAAGGGGTGAGGGTAAAAGAGGGGGGGAAGGAAGTTTTCTCAGATTAAATGCTTACAATGACATACAGATTTGGTGGTCCCTTGTATTGATGCTTCGCTTCAATACACAAAGTCACAATGTTAAATCTCAGAAGCCACAAGGGCTGATGTATTTCAGCAGAGAATAGTTAGAAAGACCTGGATTCAATTCCTAGCTCTAACACCATTTTGCTGTGTGTCCTTGGGAAAATGGCTTAACCTCTCTGAGTTTCAGTGTCCTCACCTGTAAAAGCAGAATAATAATTTCACCAACTTCATAGGGCTGTTGTAAGGATTAAATGAGATGATACTTGTACAGTTATTGTAAGGTAAGCCCCATGCATGCCTGGCTTACACACACACACACACACACACACACACACGCACACACACACACACACACAATCTACCCCTAGAAGTGTGGTGGTTCTAGACCAGCACTGTCCAATTGAACTTGATGCAGTGATGGAAATTTCTGTATCTGTGCTGTCCAATAGGGCAGCTACTAGGTACATGTGGCTATTGAGTACATGAAATGCGACTACTGAATTTTTGAAAGAGATGATAGATGATAGATAGAAAGATAGATAGATAGATAAATAGATAATAGATAGATAGACAGGTAGATAGATAGATAGATAGATAGATAGATAGATAGATAGATAGATAGATAGAGTTTTGCTATGTTGCCCAGGCTGGTTTTGAACTCCTGGGCTCAAGCGATCCTCCTGCCTTGGCCTCCCAAAGTGCTGGGGTTACAGGTTTGAGCCATTGCTCCCAGCCTGAATTTTTAATTAAATTTAAATTTAAATAGCCACACATGTCTAGTGGCTACCATATTGGACAGCGCAGTTCTAGACCGATGTGATTCAGGATCATTCCCTCAGCATCGTGGGGCAAAGAGAAAACTGCCCCAAGCTGGCCTGTAGAAGGCTCAGGCGAAGGTTTCCCAATGCCGGGATGGGGGGTGCGCTCAGCAGCATCACCCCTTATGATTCTCAATCGCTAATAGCTCCACTCAGGTTCATTTCTCGGTCAGGGGCATTTCTTTGTCACAGAAGGAATCACCCAGCTCTGGGAGATACAGCAGCCTCCACTCAGGTAGTCCTTGTTCAAGACAAGCGGCCCTTGACTGACTGCAGTTTCAGTTCCAGCTCTGCTATCAACTCACTCATTAAATAAACTGCATCTCCAGTGTGCCTGCCTCTGGGCTGGATTTTGACGTGACCTGGGCAAGCAACTCCCTGAACTTCAGTTTCTCATATATTATATGAATTAGCTAAGATGGTTCGTTTAATCATTCATTCAACACATCCATCACCACGTAGTAGGTGTTAGATATTTATTTCATACGTAACTACGCATAAGAGACTTTGCTAAGTTTTAGGTAAAATACAAGTCCCAGATACGGAGCAAGTCTCAACCACTGTACATACCTGAATGTGTAATTACATCACTGTGAGAGGTGCCACAGTAAATGCCACTGGGTCTTGTGTTAGTCCATTCTCACACAAAGAACTACCTAGCCAGGTGCGGTGGCTCACGCCTGTAATCCCAACACTTTGGCAGGCTGAGGCAGGCGGATCACTTGAGGTCAGGAGTTCGATACCAGCCTGGCAAACATGGTGAAACCCCATCTCTACTAAAAAATGCATAAATTAGCCAGGTGTGGTGGCACACGCCTGTAATCCCGGCTACTCGGGAGGCTGAGGCAGGAGAGTCGCTTGAACCCGGGAGGTGGAGGTTGCAGTGACCCAAGATCGCGCCACTGCACTCCAGCCTGGGTGACAGAGTGAGACTCCATCTCAGAAAAAAATAAAAATAAAAATAAAGAACTACCTGAGACCAAATACTTTACGAAAAAAAAGAGGTTTAATTGACTCACAGCTCCACAGGCTTAACAGGAAGCCTCAGGAGACTTACAATCATGGCAGAAGGCGAAGGGGAAGCAAACACATCTTACCATGATGGAGCAGGAGGCGGGTTTCGGGGGATGTGCCGCACACTTTTAAATGATCAGATCTCGTGAGAACTCACTCACTATCACAAGAACAGCAAGGAGGAAGTCCGCCCCCATGATTCAGTCACCTCCCACCAGGCCCCTCCTCTGGCACATGGGGATTACAATTCAAGATGAGATTTGGGTGGGGACACAGAGCCAAACCATATCAGATCTCAAGAAGGGAGAAATTCTTCTTGGAGGAGCTGGAGGGGCTTTGTGGAGAGTTTCAGAATGCTTTGCCCACTAGGTTTGCTGTATCCATTTCTCTTCATGTATCCCAAAGACCAAGCCAAGAAACCAGAAGCCTCTGGTCCCACTGGCCCATGGGCTCCCTCGGTTCCCCCCGTCACTAATGGCCATTTTGCATGTCTCTCTCCCAGGCCTGCTCTCTTGAACAGTGCCGAAAACTTCACTGTGCTCATCAAGAACAATATCGACTTCCCCGGCCACAACTACACCACGTAAGTGCCCAGGCTGCCTGGCTGTCTTAGTTATCTACTGCTGAGTAATAAATTATCCCAAACCTCAGAAGCCTGAAACAACAAACGCCTATTGTCTCCCACGGTTTCTGTGGGTCAGGAATCTGGGAATGACTTTGCTGCGTGGTTCTGGCTCAAGGTCTGTCAGGTTGTAGCCAAGCTGTCAACCAGGGCTGCAGTCATTTCTAGGCTTGACTGGGGCTGGAGAACACTTTTCCAAGCTCTCACACAGTTGCTCGTGGGAGAGCTCAGTTCCTCACCACGTGAACCTCGCCCTAGACCACTTGAGTATCCTTGGTATATGGTGGCTGGCTTCTCCCAGAGCAAGTGACCCAAGAGAGACAGAGCAAGCAACCAAGAGTATAACCAAGATGGAAGCCACAGTCTTTGGGGGGAGACCCCAACACTTCTGCCATATGCCATTGGTCACACAGATCAACCCTGGTCCAGTGTGAGAGGCCACTGCCCAGGGGTCCCAGGAGGCAGTGATCATTTGGGGCTTTCATGGAACCTCTCCACCACACTGGCTCACTCCTGGGAAAGAGACAGATCTGTTTTCAATCGAGATGTTTGTTTGTTTGTTTGCTTTTAATTATGCACAGGAGAAACATCCTGCCAGGTTTAAACATCACTTGTACCTTCCACAAGACTCAGAATCCACAGTGTCCCATTTTCCGACTAGGAGACATCTTCCGAGAAACAGGCGATAATTTTTCAGATGTGGCAATTCAGGTTGGTGGTGCTTTGTACACTGGGATGTGGGGCTGTGTGTCTAGGGATGGAGGATGTCAAACAGCCAAGAGGCCGGGCCACTGGGTCTTCATAATGTGGCTCACATTTACTGAGCATTTAGTAAATCCACCCGCTACGCTAAGGACTTTACCTACCATACCTCGTCAAATCCCAAAACAATCCTTATGAGTGAGAGCTACTTGGTGTATTCCTTTCCTGTGGCTGCTGTAGCAAGTTATCAAAGCTTAGTGGCTTCAAAGAACACATATTTGCTTATGTTGCCAGAGATCAGAAGTTGGAGATGATTTTCCCTGAGCCAGGGCAGTGCTCCCTCCGGGACTTTAAGGGAGAATCCAGTTCCTCAGCTTTTCCACCTTCTGGAGCTGCATTCCTTGCATTTCTTCAAAGCCAGCAGCATAACATCTTGCCTCAGTGGCCACTTTCACTCCCTATCCTGTGTCCAATCTCCCTTTGCCTCTGTCTTACAAAGAGAGAGAGCATTTACAAGAGGGGGCATTTAAGGACCAACTGGATAATCCAGGATAATCTCCCATCTCAAGATCCTTCATTTAGGCTGGGCACGGTGGCTCATGCCTGTAATCCCAGCACTTTGGGAGGCTGAGGTGGGTGGATCACCTGAGGTCAGGAGTTCAACACCAGCCTGGCCAACATGGTGAAAGCCCATCTTTACTAAAAATACAAAAAAAAAAAAAAAATAGCCGGGCATGATTGCAGGCTCCTGTAATCCCAGCTACTCGGGAGGCTGAGACAGGAGAATCGCTTGAACCTGGGAGGCAGAGGTTGCAGTGAGCCGAGATCGCACCACTGCACTCCAGCCTAGGTGACAAGAGCGAAACTCCATCTCAAAAAAAAAAAAAAAAATCCTTCATGTATTCGCATCTGCAAAGAGCTTTCCCTAGGGGAGTACTAGGAGGTAAAGCAGAAAAGATATTTGATAGAGTGCCCTGAATTCCAGTCTAATAAGTTTGGACTTGATCTTTAATGGGGGCGTGGGGGGCATTAAAGGTGTTTGGGTACAGGAGTGGTCTGTTGAAAGTTGTATTTTAGGACAATGAGTTTAACGGTGATGTGTCCCAGACGGGGGTAGGGAGAGTGAGGAGATGCGATTGTGGCTGCCACAATAACACTTGTGCGAGTTAGGTGGGGCTGTACATATGGTTCTTCAATCAGCATTTTTCCTCTAAAAACCTTAAGCAATCCTGGCTATGCAGGGAGATGTCTGGCGGTTGCGTAACTCACACCCAGCAGCCATAGAGACTGTCCCTTGTTGATCCTTCAGGGCGGAATAATGGGCATTGAGATCTACTGGGACTGCAACCTAGACCGTTGGTTCCATCACTGCCGTCCCAAATACAGTTTCCGTCGCCTTGACGACAAGACCACCAACGTGTCCTTGTACCCTGGCTACAACTTCAGGTAACTCCAAGGCCCAGGTCAAACTCACCCAGTGGCTGAATCGCATTCCCAGGAACTGGTGAGACTAATTTTGGTTTCCAAGGCAACAAGATGAATGAAAAAAGACTTTCTCTAAGAACTAGGTGATAACTGAATTTTTTCCATAATTTTTTAAAATTCTCAAAAGAGATGCACACTCTTTATTTTTTACTTATTTTTTTTTTTTTGAAATGGAGTCTCACTCTGTCACCCAGGCTGAAGTGCAGTGGCGCCATCTCAGTCACTGCAAACTTCCGCCTCCCAGGTTCAAGCGACTCTCCTGCCTCAGCCTCCCAAGTAGCTGAGATTATAGGCGGATGCACACTGTTTATAAAACAAAACTATTGGGAAACAGAAAAGCATAGAGGGGGATCAAAATCACCCATAATTCCCCTACCCTGAAATAATCAATAACAACCCTCGGGGGAATTTTCCTCATCTGTACCAATTATTTCATACAGCTCCTATGAGATAATAGCATATATATATATATCTTGTGGTATTCTGCGGGGTTTTTCATACCACAGCCACTCAAAATTCTTTGTAACCATCACATTAATGATCATAACATTCCATTTTGTAGGTGAACAAATAACAACTGCTACAATTCAGGCAGTGTTTTCTTTTCTTTTCTTTTCTTTTTTTTTTTTAGATGGAGTCACACTCTGCTTGCCCAGGCTGGAGTGCAGTGGCATGATCTCAGCTCACTGCAACCTCTGCCTCCTAGGTCCAAGCGATCCTCCCACCTCCCAAGTTTCTGGGACCACAGGCATGTGCCACCACACCCAGCTAATTTTTGTATATTCAGTAGAGATGGGGTTTCACTGTGTTGGCCAGTCTGGTCTCGAACTCTTGACCTCAAGTGATCTTCCCGCCTTGGCTTCCCAAAGTGCTAGGATTACAGGCATGAGCCACTGTGCCTGGCCCAAGGAGGGTTTTCCATATACCAAGCACTCCCCGTCGCCATCCCTAAATCTCCCAACAACCCTGGAAGGAAGATATTGTTTCTGGAAGATGATTTGCCCAAGACCCACAGCTGATAGTACATGTTGCATAATTCTAACCCACGTCACTCTGACCCCACACTCACACTCCATCCCTTCCTTCCCATCTCATGATTTTCTCACCTACGCCTCCATGATTGAATATTTGAGTTGCTTCCAGTTTTTCTATTACAAGTAACCACAGTGTGCATCTTTGCACATAAACTTCTCTTTGAATTCCAGGTTACTTCCTTAGGATAAATTTCTAGACTTATTGAATCAAAGGTTGTGAACATTTTATCATATGCTTTTTATTTTTAAAAATATCTATAGTTATAATGTTTCATTTTTTTTTCTGAGACAGAGTCTCACTCTGTCACCCAGGTTGGAGTGGACCGGGTGCAATTATAGCTCACTGCAACCTCTGCCTCCCAGGCCCAAGTGATCCTCCCACCTCAGCCTCCTGAGTAGCTAGGACTACAGGTGCACGCCACCATGCCCAGCTAATTTTTAAAATTTTTTTGTAGAGTCGGGGTCTCACTATATTGCCCAGGCTGGTCTCAAACTCCTGGCTCAAGCAATCCGCCTGCCTTGGCCTCCTAAAGCGTTGGGATTGCAGGTGTAAGCCACTGCACCTGGCCTATAATTTTCATTTCTAGGATTTTTATTTGGTGCTTTTTCAAAGTCATCTATTATTGTTCCAGTGAGTCCCATTCTTACCTTAAGGATCCTACTCCTTCTGTCCATTCTACTGTATCATTCCTTTCATACCGACCTATTATCTGAAGTAACTTGGGTGGGAGTTCTCCTCGTGGGCTTTGAAATACTGTCTTCAGTAGAAAAGATCTTATGCAAAGTTCTGCATGTGCTGTGTGTTATGGAGTATTCCTTATATATTACTCAAAGCAGCTCCATAAACTGGCAGGCAGCCCCTTAAATGTGTTTCTGTTTCTGTTTTTTTGTTTTTTGGTCTGCATGATGTTTTAAAACTTGAGACAGGCCAGGTGCGGTGGCTTATGCCTGTAATCCCAGCACTTTGGGAGGCCAAGGTGGGAGGATCACTTGAACCCGGGGGTTTGAGGCTAGCCTGGGCAACATAGGGAGACCCCATCTCTACAAATAATAATTTTTAAAACATCAGCCAGGTGTGGGGGCATGCACCTCTGGTCCCAGCTACTCAGGAGGCTGAGGCAGGAGGATTGCTTGAACCTGGGAGGTGGAGGCTGCAGTGAACCGTGGTTGTGCCACTGCACTCCAGCCTGGGTGACAGAGTGAGACCCTTACATGGTGGCCACTGGCTGGAGCTGAGTATCAGTGGTCCTATTTAGAAAGGGGCTGGGCTTTCTGGTTCATCACTGTCCCCGCCACTCCTTAGTGCTTATACCTGGCCCACATCACTCATTTCTGTCATCTGCCTGGCCCCTGTGTAGACGTTTGAGTTTGAAACCCTTGACTCAAAGGCGGGCTGATGCTTTTTGCTTCCTCTGGATCAATGGAATTTCATCCAAGGCAATGGAACCAGCTCCTAATTGTGATAACTTTTTGATCATCCCCTGCCGCTGTGCTGAATAGGCTTATGGCCATTAAGAAGAGAGGACAGGATGAATGGTCCCCTGACTGACTGCCCTTCCAGGGTGTTTTTTTAGCTGTCAGCAGAAGCATGCGGGGCAGTGTACCAATCAGGTGTCAGCAAGTGTCCTTCCAGCGACTGAGTTGAGCACAAAAACATCTGCTCCTGGAGAGACCTGAGCCCTCTGAAGGCCTCAGCCAGTTATGATGTTAATGTTCTTTTAGAACAAAGTGGTAGAGCATTTGTTGTCTGGAATGAGCACCAGAAGAAATCTCTGGCCAAAAATAAATTGTTGAGGGCCGGGAGCAGTGGCTTATGCCTGTAATCCCAACACTTTGGGAGGCCGAAGCAGGAGGATCACCTGAGGTCAGGAGTTCGAGACCAGCCTGGCCAACATGGTGAAACCCTGTCTCTCCTAAAAATACAAAAATTAGCTGGACGTGGTGACAGGTGCCTGTAATACAGCTACTGGGAGGCTGAGGCAGGGAGAACTGCTTGAACCCGGAAGGTGGAGGTTGCAGTGAGCCGGGGTCATGCCACTTCACTCCAGCCTGGGCGACAGAGCAAAGCTCTGTCTTTAAAAACAACTTAAATAAATAAATAAATTGTTGAGGTCTGATGAGTAAGTGGACAAGTTATTTTCCAGCAGACACACAAAAGAGAAGGAAATTACAGGTTATACGAGGTATTTCAGAAAATATAACTTTCTAAAACATAGGAAGTTGAAGAAGTTGATCACATTACAGAATTCTGTTGTTTAGAAAATGACCTGTGGCGAAATGTCCTTATTCAGTGAATAGGTGATTCCGCTTATGCACGACCTGTGTGAAGTGGATCAGGCCACCCAGAATGCACGACGCGCTTCTCAGGCCCAGCAGGAGTATGTGTCTGTGTTAATTTCCTGTGGCTGTTATGACTAATTGCCACAAATGTGGTGGCTTAAAACAACAGAAATTAATCTTCTTATAGTTCTGGAAGCCAGAAGTTTGGAATCAAGATGTCAGCAGGGCCACACTCGCTCTGATGCTCTACGGGAGGGTCCTCTCTTGCCTCTTCCAGCGTCTGGTGGCTCCAGGCATTCCATAACTTTATAGCAGCGTCCCACAAATCTCTGCCTCCATCCTCACATGGCCTTCTCCACTGTGTCTCTATGTCTTCAATCTCTTTTTTTTTTTTTTTTTTTTTTGAGGCAGGGTTTCACTCCAGTCTCCTAGACTGAAGTGCAATGGCGTAATTTCGGGTCACTGCAACCTCTGCCTCCCGGGCTCAAGCGATTTGATCTCTCCTTTATCTTATAAAGATACTAGTCATTGGATTTGGGGCTTACCCTAAATCCAGGATAATCTCATCTTGAGATGTTTAACTTAATTATATCTGCAAACACTGTATTTCCAAATAAGGTCATATCACAGCCACTAGGGATTAGATACTTGAACATATCTTATTTGGGGGCTCAACCCATTCCAGTGTACGAAAAACACTCTTGTTCAAGGCCCGATGTTTCTCAGGGCATAGCCCACTGACTACCTGCATCAGAATAATCACTTGGTACCTGTACTGGAAATACAGACTCCTAGAAACATCTCAGAGCTTCTGCAACCACTCTTTGAGTGAGGGGCTCAGGAGTCTGCCTCTGAACACACTCACCCCAAGTGATTCTTTCTTTCTTTTTTTTTTTTTTTTTGAGATGGAGTCTTGCTCTGTCCCCCAGGCTGGAGTGCAGTGGCGTGATCTCGGCTCACTGCAAGCTCCGCCTCCCGGGTTCACACGATTCTCTTGCCTCAGCCTCCCGAGTAGCTGGGACTACAGGTGCCCGCCACCACACCCGGCTAATTTTTTGCATTTTTAGTACAGACGGGGTTTCACCATGTTAGCCAGGATGGTCTCGATCTCCTGACCTCGTGATCTGCCTGCCTCGGCCTCCCAAAGTGCTGGGATTACAGGCGTGAGCCACTGCGCCCAGCCATCACCCCAAGTGATTCTTGCCTTCAGTTTAAGAGCCACTGTAACAAGACTCTGGAAGCAGAAATTCACGTGCTTACTACACAATGTTAACCTTCCCAGGCAAACCAACTCACATAGGGAGATAATGCCAATCCCAGGGCAGGCAGTGGCAATGCATGCTTGCTTGCGAATTAAAAAACAAATCACTGCCTGGGCACGTTGGCTCATGCCTATAATCCCAACAATTTGGGAGGCTGAGGTGGGTGCATCACTTGAGCTCAGGAGTTCAAGCCAGCCTGGGCAACACAGTGAGACCATCATCTCTATAAAAAAATTTTAAAAATTAGTCGGGTGTAATGGTTTGCACCTGTAGTCCCAGCTGCCGGGAGGCTGAAGTGGGAGGATGACTTGAGCCCGGGAGGCGGAGGCCACAGTGAGCTGTGTTCAAGCCACTGCACTCCAGCCTGGATGACAGAGCCAGATCCTGTCTCAAAAAAAACAAAAACAAACAACAACAACAAAGATAAATCACTCAATACATCAGCAAGAGAAAAAGCTCTCTTGAAATAGTCACATGCAAAGAAATTGAATTCCCTCCAGTCAGAAAGAGCCACTAAAGTGCCTGAGAATATCTGATCGATTTCAATGTCAGGTTTTGAGAGGTTTTTTAAAAACAGTTTCAGATGTTTCTTACTATTTTTTGGCAGAACATCTGCCATCTGCTTTCTTCTCTCCCTACATCTTGTAACTAGACGGTGAATTAATAACTCAGAAAAAATAAACATGTATATGTAACTTTATCTAAAAAGAATCATCAAAGTGTGGTGAGAAGAAGGGGCAGATTTAAAAGTTTTATGAAGCGTTCATTTTAAGCCTCCTTAATTATTCTTGAAAAACAAAACACACCACTTTTCCTGACTGCAGCACTGGTGAGGGTTGCATATCACGGGTGACTGTGATGATTTGTGCCTGGCGCTTAATTTTTAAAGTTAGTACTGAGTGATGACAGAGAGAGGTCAATGCCACTCAAAGAATATTTTGTTTGTTTGTTTGTTTGTTTGTTTGAGAGGCAGTCTTACTCTCTCACTCAGGCCGGAGTGCAGTGGTGTGATATCGGCTCACTGCAACCTCTGCCTCCTGGGTTCAAGTGATTCTCCTGCCTCAGCTTCCTGAGTAGCTGGGATTACAGGCGTCTGCCACCACATCCAGCTAATTTTTGTATTTTTAGTAGAGATGGGGTTTCATCATGTTGGCCAGGTTGGTCTCAAACTCCTGACCTGAGGTGATCTGCCTACCTTGGCCTCCCAAAGTGCTGGGATTACAGGCGTGAGCCATTGCACCTGGCCAAGAAGAATTTATTACATACTTTTCCCAAGAGATGGGGCCACACCACACCATACCAGGCCATACCAGGCCATGCCATGCTAGACAGGGCCACAGGAGGAAGTACCAGATCCGCTCAAGAGGCAGAATAAAGGGTAAAGAATGGTCCAGAGCTTTATTGTGTTACTCAGTGGAAGGGCAAGGCAGGACTAGGGAAACAGCTTAGGGTTAACTACTTTGAATAATGCCAGTAGGTTCTGAGTTACAGGAATGGTCTCTAAATGTCTGGCCCTCACCCTACCTGTCCCTAAGGAGAAATACTGGAGAGTTAGAAAAGGAGGTGGTTGAGGGATTGGTTGGAGGGTTTGTAATATGATTTTCACACCCTCACAAAAGCTGGATTGCAGAGGAGATGTAAACAACTTCAGCCTTGGGAGGCCAAGATGAAAGGATGGCTTGAAGCCAGGAGTTCAAGGCTGCAACAAGCTATGATTACACCACTGCACTCCAGCCTGGTTGAAGGAATGAGATCCTGATTCTACAAAACATTTTTGAAAAAAACTTTTTTATTTTTTCTTTTCTTTTCTTTTTTTTTTTTTTTTTTTGAGACAGTCTTGCTCTGTCACCCAGGCTAGAGCGCAGTGATACGATCTCGGCTCACTGTGACCTCCATCTCCTGGGTTCAAGTGATTCTCGTGCCTCAGCGTCCTGAGTAGCTGGGATTACAGGTGCCTGCCACCATGCACGGCTAATTTTTGTATTTTTAGTAGAGATGGGGTTTCACCATGTTGTCCGGGCTGGTCTTGAACTCCTGACCTCAAGTGATCCACCCGCCTCGGCCTCCCAAAGTGCTGGGATTACAGGTGTGAGCCACGGTGCCCGACCAAAAAATTTAAAAATAAAAATTAGCCACCTGTAGTGGTGCACGCTTGTAGTCCCACCCAGCTACTTGGGAGGCTGAGGTGGGAGTATCACTTGGGCCCAGGAGGTGGAGGCTGCAGTGAGCTCTGATCATGCCAGTGCTCTCCAACCTGGGTGACAGAACAAGACCCCACCTCAAAACAAAACAAAACAAAAAACACAACTTCAGCCTTTAGTTTGGCCCTGTGATTAATGATTGCCAAATAGGCATACACAGAATCTAAGAAAATACAGTTTGCTGAGGTGTGCCTGTCTCCAGTCCAGTAATTAGTATGCAAGATTTACCACCGCCCACTCCCACTTTGTTCTAGATGCCAAACCTCTTCTTCCCCCTTAAGGAATAGTCATATTGCTTGAAGTTTTTTTTTTTTAATTTCTCTGCTTGTTGTTAATCCTGTGTTGGTTTAAAATGTGCATTTTAATCTTAAGCGACAAGCTGATTTTCCGTCACTCTGAGATGATGCAGGTACAGGTGGTGACATGGGGAGGGGGGACTGCTCTTTGGTTCCAGGTGGTTGGAGAGAGACCCAGGGCTTTGGATTGTGTTCCTTCCCCTGCCACCTGTCACAGAGCCAGGGGACAGACCAGGAGGACTAGACAGGCCACTGTTTTGGCTTTTCCTTCCATAAAATACCAGCATTTTTTGCCAGATGCAGTGGCTCATGCCTGTAACCCCAGAACTTTGGGAGCCTGAGGCAGGCAAATCACTTGAGCTCAGGAGTTCGAGACCAGCCTGGGCAACATGGCAAAAGCCCGTCTCTACAAAAAATACAAAAAATTAGCCGAGCACGGTGGTGCATGCCTGTAGTCCCAGCTACCTGGGAGACTGAGGTGGGAGAATCATCTGAGCCTAGCAAGTCAAGGCTGCAGTGAGTGGTAATCCTGCTACTGCACTCCAGCCTGGGTGACAGCGTGAGACCCTGTCTCAAAAAAAAAAAAAAAAAAACCCAAAACCCAGCACTTTCAAAGGGATCTTACAAATACAGATCCTTTTCTTCCTACAGATACGCCAAGTACTACAAGGAAAACAATGTTGAGAAACGGACTCTGATAAAAGTCTTCGGGATCCGTTTTGACATCCTGGTTTTTGGCACCGTAAGTCTCGTTTCCCAGCTCCGGGCACCGGCATCCTATGACTGTGTCCTAATTACTGCTGTGGGGCCTCCATGGAGGGAAGGGTTTTGGTCTCAGCCTTCAGCTAGCACTGGGCATTTCGCACATGGGATAAAAGAGGAAGAAGATGTTCTCGGGCTGCTGTCCCTGAATGAGTCATCTGACGAGTACAGGAGTGGGCCTGGAAAGCAATTCTAACATTCGGCTTTAAAAATACTCTGATACTTAACAAGAGAGAGAAAGAAATCTCTCTGTAAAATAGTTTGTAAGTAACAGAATCCAATTCAAATTGGCTTAAGGGGAAAAAAAAAGTTTTGAGTGGGCTTTTTTGGGTTCACGTAACTGAAAAAATCCAGGGGTTATTTTTAAGCTACAAGCATGGTTGGATCCAGGTGTTCAAACAACAACATCATCATCAAGAACTTGCCACCTTCCGTGTCTTATATACGTCCTCCTTGGTCTTGGCAGCCATCTCTCTATGAAGGTATCAGGCAGCACCTTCGATCTGACCAGTTTAGCAACCTCAGTGAAAAGAAAACACCTCTTTGCCAGAAGGTTCAGCAAAGGTCTCAGACAAATGTCATTGGCTCTGATTGGCCCACTATGGATGACATGCCCACTGCTGAACTAATCACTGTGACCAGGGTCATGCCATACTCCCAGTGGTTAGTGTCGAACCAGCCCTAACCTAGCCCAGGGGCCAGCAGAGAGGCCAACACCCCAGCCCCTTCAACACACACACACACACACACACACACACACACACACACACACTACATGGACTGAAAAGAAAATTGGAGTGTTGCCTTCTGAAGATGGAAGGAAAAGATGCCAGCTATGCAAAAATCAACATATCCCACGACATCCTGTCCAAGAGCATGTTATCTATGTAAGACAGTGATAAGCAGGACTAGAAGCAATAAGATATAGCTGAGAGAATGCAAAGACCGCTGGGAATAAAAACCACAAGGCTGGGCCGGGCACGGTGGCTCATGCCTGTAATCCCAGCTCTTTGGGAGGCTGAGGCAGGTGGATCATGAGGTCAGGAGCTCAAGACCAGCCTGGCCAACATGGTGAAACCCTGTCTCTACTAAAAATGCAAAAAATTAGCTGGGCGTGGCGGTGGGTACTTGTAATCCCAGCTACTTGGGAGGCTGAGGCAGGAGTATCTCTTGAACCCAGGAGGCGGAGCTTGCAGTGAGCCGAGATTGCGCCACTGCACTCCAGCCTGGGCAAGAGTGCGAGACTCTGTCTCAAAAAAAAAAAAAAAAAAAAACCCACGAGGCCACCCAGACATTCCTTCCCTCTGCTTCTGAAGTAATGTCAAACCTTTTGGAGGAGAAGCTTGTCTGAAACCCTCACCTTGTATGGAGAAATGATAGCCCTTCAGTGGGTCTCCCCTTAATGTGTGGGCCCCAGTGCTTGCTCATGTAAAACCTTTATGGGTCCAAGCACACCCTGCACGGCTGAAGCAGGATGCCTGAGAGTCAGTTTCAGTCTGCGTAGTCTCTGCCTCAGCCAGCACTTGAACGCATCTATCCAAGTCACAGCATGAGGCTCCGCTCCCTGATAGAACCAACAATTGCACGTTGAAGCAAAAGAGCGTTGCTCTGAATTTCACCTGAGTAAACTCTCCCACTCTGTTTTTAGGGAGGAAAATTTGACATTATCCAGCTGGTTGTGTACATCGGCTCAACCCTCTCCTACTTCGGTCTGGTAAGAGATTCTCTTTTCCATGCTTTAGGAAAATGGTTTGGAGAAGGAAGTGACTAACGCAGCGCTTGTCTGCATTCTCCCCAGGCCGCTGTGTTCATCGACTTCCTCATCGACACTTACTCCAGTAACTGCTGTCGCTCCCATATTTATCCCTGGTGCAAGTGCTGTCAGCCCTGTGTGGTCAACGAATACTACTACAGGAAGAAGTGCGAGTCCATTGTGGAGCCAAAGCCGGTGAGGCCGCTGTGTTCACAGGACACCAAGACATGGAGAGATTCCATGAAATCACTCAGAAATGCACGAAAATTAGGCCCAAATCACAGGCTTCATCCTGTAGTGGATACGTCGCTGGGTTCTACCCCGATCAACCAACTCTCAGATAAATTTTTTGGTCTTAGAGAAGAATGGAAACAAAAATGGAGGGGCAAGATAGAGGGAAGGCAAATTTTTATGTCTAGGACTTGCCAATTTTGTCATTTATTTATTTATTTATTTATTTATTTATTTATTTATTTATTTATTTTCAGATGGAGTCTTGCTCTATCACCCAGGCTGGAGTGCAGAGGCATGATCTCGGCTCACTGCAGCCTCTGCCTCCCAGGTTTAAGTGATTCTCCTGCCTCAACCTCCCAAGTAGCTGGGACTACAGGGGCACACCACCACACCTGGCTAATTTTTGTATTTTTAGTAGAGATGGTGTTTAGCTATGTTGGCCAGGCTGGTCTCAAACTCCTGACTTCAAATGATCCACCCACTCGGCCTCCCACAGTGCTGGGATTATAAGTGTGAGCCACTGAGCCCAGCCTGTTTTGTCATTTATTAAATTGGTATAGCCAAAAAAGAAAAAAGAAAAGAAAAATAACAACTTTGGAGAACAATTTGGCAGTGACTAATGTTTAAATGGGACATACTTTACAGCCTGGCATTTTCAGTTCTCCATACCTGCCCTAGAGAAACACTCACATGAGTACCCGCAGTACATGAGTACAAGATGTTCAAAGCAGGATTGTTTATTAAATTATCAATAATATATGATTATTAACAGTGAAGAAATAGCATCTAACCAAATATCCAACAGGTGAATGGTGAAACTATGGTAAATCCATAGAAAGGAATACCAGGCACCAGCTTAAAAAAATGAGATAGATAATAATAATGGCAAACATTTACACAGCACTTCTAAATGCTTTATCTATTAACTCAATCTTCACAACAACCTGATGTAGACAGATGCTACTATTATCTCTTTCTATATATGAGGAAATTGAGCCACAGAAAGGTTAAATAATTGGCCCAAGGCTGGGCACAGTGGCTCACGCCTATAATCCCAACACTTTGGGAGGCCGAGGCAGGCAGATCACTTGAGGTCAAGAGTTCGAGACCAGCCTGGCCAACATGGTGAAACCCCATCTCTACTAAAAATACAAAAATTAGCCAGGCGTGGTGGTGCATGCCTGAAGTCCCAGCTACTTGGGAGGCTGAGGCAGGAGAATTGCTTGAACCTGGTAGGCAGAGGTTGCAGTGAGCTGAGATCATGCCATTGCACTCCAGCCTGAGTGACAGAGGGAAACTCTGTCTCAAAAAAAAAAAAAAAAAAAAAATTATAGGACTTGACAAGAGCAGATCTCCAAGACATTTTGTTAAAAGAAAAAAAGCAAACTGTAGAACAATATATGTTATATGATATATAGGTTAAAAAAAAATCACTAGACACAGAAGCTAATCTGTATATTTTCTGCATGTATATTCTATATATACACAAGTGTACACACACACACACATACATATACATATGTGTGGGTGTATATATGTACACAAAATTGTACCAGTGGCTGCTTCTGGAAAGGAGCTTAGGGTGGGGGAGTAGGAGTAGTCAAAGAGATTTTAGCGTCATCTGTATTGTTTTGATTTGATTAATTCAGACTTTATCAAGCAGGTCCTCTGCGTTCAACTCCATGATTTTCCCCAAAGATAAATCTCTGGTACCTAAAAACAAAGACGATTGGCTAGACGTGGTGGCTCACGCCTGTAGTCCCAGTACTTTGGGAGGCCAAGGAGGGTGGATCACCTGAGGTCAGGAGTTCAAAACCAGCCTGGCCAACATGGAGAAACCCCGTCTCTACTAAAAATACAAAAAATTAGCCAGGCATGGTGGCGCATGCCTGTAATCCCAGCTTCTCTAGAGGCTGAGGCAGGAGAATCGCTTGAACCCAGGAGGTGGAGGTTGTGGTGAGCCAGGATTGCGCCATTGCACTCCAGCCTGGGCAACAAGAGCGAAACTCCGTCTCAAAAAAAAAAAAAAAACAAAGACGATTTCTTTGTCTTTCCCTCATCCAAGAACATGATTGTCCTGTTCCAGCAGCTGATGCATAATTCACTGTCCATTGTATATGCATTCACAATTTGAAATAAAAGTTCATCTTTGCAGCTAAAACTAATCACCACTTCATGGCCCAAGATGAGATGAAATTTAACAAACATGTAAATAATTTAAGTTGCAATAGTACAAATTTCTGGAGATACTGAATCTAGAGTTACTGAAATTGACAGAATACAACAAAGAAATTTTATGCAGCAACTGGGGGGTCCAATGTAAAAACATTAAGCAGTAAGCTGTGGCTGTGTTGAATTTACAAGTTAAGATGCATGGGGTTCCGCCTGGCGTGGTGGCTCACTCCTGTAATCCCAGCACTTTGGTAGGCCAAGGCGGGCGGATCAACTGAGGTCAGGAGTTCAAGACCAGCCTGACCAACATGGAGAAACCCCGTCTCTACTAAAAATACAAAATTAGCTGGGCATGATGGTGCATGCCTGTAATCCCAGCTACTCAGGAGGCTGAGGCAGGAGAATCATTTGAACCTGGGAGGCGGAGGTTGCAGTGAGCCAAGATCATGCCATTGCACTCCAGCCTGGCAACAAGAGTGAACTCCAACTCAAAAAAAAAAAAAAAAAAAAGCATGGGGTTCCATTTCTGATTTATCTTTAGACTCAGAAATCATTAATTCTTGGTTAATGAGAGTTTTGAGCCAGCTTGTTCAATAGTCTATCATTTGGCAAATAGGAATTACAGTTGCCTTTAGATAGGCAATTCTTGATAATTCTGTACAAAAATGGGTAAACTTTCAAACCATCTTTTCCTAGACATTAAAGTATGTGTCCTTTGTGGATGAATCCCACATTAGGATGGTGAACCAGCAGCTACTAGGGAGAAGTCTGCAAGATGTCAAGGGCCAAGAAGTCCCAGTAAGTTAAATCATTTTGTCTTTTTTTTTTTTTTAAGAAAATTTACTGTTAAATATAAACACATCTAGAAACTTGTACAAATCAAAACTGATGGATTTTAACAAAGTAAACATACTCATATAACCGGCACTCAGATTAAACAATTGAAAATTACTAGCAGGAGTCCCTTTTATGCCCCCCTCCAATCACTACCCTCTCTTTCTCCTTTTTTAATTTTTAAAATTTGGCTGGGCACGGTGGCTCACACCTGCAATCCCAGCACTTTGGGAGGCCAAGGTGGGTGGATCACTTGAGGTCAGGAGTTCGAGACCAACCTAGCCAACATGGTGAAACCTCGTCTCTACTAAAAATACAAAAATTAGCCGGGTGGTGTGGTGGCACACATGTAATCCCAGCTACTCAGAAGGCTGAGGCAGGAGAACTGCTTGAACCCAGGAGGTGGAGGTTGCAGTGAGCCGAGATTGTGCCATTGCACTCCAGCCTGGGTGACAGAGCAAGACTCCATCTCAAAAAAAAAAAAGAAAAAAATGTATATTCTTAAATTACAAACGAGGTCTCACTATGTTGTCCAGGCTGGTCTCAAGCAGTCCTCCCACCTCAGCTGTACCAAGCCCACCAACTGCCCTCTCTTAAAAGTAGTCATTATCCTGTTTCCAAAGATTAATTTTACTTTGGCTAGAATTTTCTAAAAACTGAATCACGTAGTATGTAAGCGGTATATACGCGGTTGAGTGTCTGGCTTCCTTTACTCAACATTATTTTTGTGAGAGTTGTTCATGATGCCATGTATAGTTCATTCTCATTGTATAATTCTGTTTTATAAATATCCAACTTATTCAGCCATCCTACTGTTGATGGACATTTGGGTAGTGTCCAGTTTGGGGCTAATGCCAATAACGCTGCTATGCTCAACATATGGCACTCTACTGGACAGTTACCTAAGAGTGGAATTGCTGAGTCATAAGGCAGACATATGTTCGGTTTTAGGAGATACTAACAAACGGTGCTGAAAAATGGTTGTTCACATTTGCACTCTCCCCAGCAGTTCTGGTTGCTGGGCATCTTCAATTTCCTAGGGCTGAATTACCACAAACTAAGTGGCTTAAAACAACAGAAATGGCCAGGCATGGTGGCTCATGCCTGTAATCTCAGCACTTTGGGAGGCTGAGGCAGGCAGATCACCTGAGGTCAGGAGTTTGAGACCAGCCTGACCAACATGGAGAAACCCCATCTCTACTAAAAATACAAAAAAATAGCCAGGCATGGTGGCGGGCGACTGTAGTCCCAGCCACTCAGGAGGCTGAGGCAGGAGAATGGCATGAACCTGGGAGGCAGAGCTTGCAGTGAGCCAAGATTGCACCACTTTGAGAGGCCAAGGTGGGCGGATCACCTGAGGTCAGGAGTTCAGGAACAGCCTGGCCAACATGGCGAAACCCTGTCTCTATTAAAAATACAAAAATTAGCCAGGCGTGGTGGTGCACACCTGTAATCCCAGCTACTCAGGACGCTGAGGTGGGAGAATTGCTTGAACCTGGGAGGCAGAGGCTGCGGTTAGCTGAGATCACACCTCTGCACTCTAGCCTGGGCAACAGAACAAG
This sequence comes from Homo sapiens, assembly GCF_000001405.40. Lineage (NCBI taxonomy): Eukaryota > Metazoa > Chordata > Mammalia > Primates > Hominidae > Homo > Homo sapiens. Next base: position 121,182,054 of record NC_000012.12, read on the forward strand.
CTCCATCTAAAAAAAAAAAAAAAAAAGTCTTTTCTGCTCCTTTTGAAATATCAGTGAGTTTTCTTCTTTTTTTCTGTTAGTTGAATTGTACTGATTGATTTTCAAATATTAAGCCAAACTTGCATTCCTGAAGTAAACTCAATTTGAATGTGTTGTACTATTCTTTGTATTTATTGCTGAATTCCATTCACTAATATTTAGGATTTTTACATCTCTTCTTGAGAAAGACTGACCAAAGTGTTTCCATTCTTGTAATGTTCTTGTTGGATTTGTGTATGAAGTGAACTACAGTCATGCATCACTTAATGATGGGGATATGTTCTGAAAAACGCATCAGTAGCTGATTCTGTGGTTGTCTGAATATCATGGACTCTATTTACACAAACCTAAATAGAATAGCCTATTATACTTAGGTTATATGGTGTAGTCTATTGCTCCTAGGCTGCAAACCTGTACAGCATGTTACTGTACTGAATACGGTAAGCAACTGTAACAGAATGGTAAGATTTGTATATCTAAATATAGAAAAGGTACAGTGAAAATATGATATAAAAGCTTAAAAATGGTACATCTGCATAGGGCACTTACCATGAATGGAGCTTGTAGGACTGAAAGTTGCTCTGGGTGAGTCAGTGAGTAGTGAGTGAATGTGAAAGCCTAGGTTGTTACCGTGCACTACAGTAGACTTCATAAACACTGTACACTTAGGCTACACTAAATTTACTTCAAAATATTTATCTTTCTTCAATAATAAATTAATCTTAGCTTACTGTGACTGTTTTACTTTATAAATTTTTAAATTTTTTAAACTCTGTACAGTGGTATAAAAATATTTTCTTTCTCACCGGGAGTGGTGGCTCATGCCTGTAATCCCATCACTTTGGGAGGCCGAGGCAGGCGGATCACAAGATCAGGAGATTGAGACCATCCTGGCCAACATGGTGAAACCCCATCTCTACTAAAAATACAAAAAAATAGCCAGGCATGGTGGCAGGCGCCTGTAGTCCCAGCTACTCGGGAGGCTGAGGCAGGAGAATGGCGTGAACCCAGGAGGCAGAGCTTGCAGTGAGCCAAGATCACACCACTGCACTCCAGCCTGGGCGACAGAGCAAGACTCCATCTCAAAAAAAAAAAAATTCTTTCTCTATATCCTTATTCTATATACTTTTTTCTATTTTTAACATTTTTTATTTTTATTTTTACTTTTTAAATATTTTTGTTAAAAACTAAGTCATGGCCGGGTGCAGTGGCTCACGCTTGTAATCTCAGTACTTTGGGAGGCTGAGGTGGGTGGATCACTCGAGGTCAGGAGTTCAACACCAGCCTGGCCAATATGGTGAAACTCTGTCTCTACTAAAAATATAAAAATTAGCCGGGTGTGGTGGTGCGCGCCTGTAGTCCCAGCTACTCAGGAGGCTGAGGCAGAAGAATCGCTTGAACCCAGGAGGCGGAGGTTGCAGTAAGCCAAGATCATGCCACTGCACTCCAGCCTGGGAGACAGAGCAAGACTCCATCTCAAAAAAAAAAAACAACAAATACACACACACACACACACACACAAAAACCATTTCCAATAGTGCTAAGTCCTATGAAGAATGTGGAATACCACAGTGTGATAAGGGAATCATGTGGGAGAAAAGCTGCTAGATAGGGTGGTCAGGACAAGAGGTGACATCTCAACAGAGGCCTGGCTTTTCTGAATTTCATTTTCCAAAATCTGTAAAATAGGCCAGGTGCAGTGGCTCATGCCTGTAATCCCAGCACTTTGAGAGGCTGAGGCAGGTGGATCACCTGAGGTCAGGAGTTCCAAACCAGCCTGGCCAACATGTTGAAATCCTGTTTCTACTAGAAATACGAAAGAATTAGCTGGGCATGGTGGCATGCACCTGTAATACCAGCTACTTAGGAGGTTAAGGCATGAAAATTGTCTGAACCTGGGAGGTGAAAGTTGCAGTGAGCCAAGATCACACCACTGTGCTCCAGCCTGTGCGACAGAGTGAGACCCTCTCTCAAAAAAAAAAAAAAAATCTGTAAAATAAAGACAAGGATACATTATCTCACAAGCGTCTTCAAAGGCCTGAATGAGGCAATGCTTACAGAACACATGCATGGTCCTGATATCTACACCTAATAAATGACGGCTACTATAAATCATGTAATATTAAACGTAACTTTATAAGTTAATAAAATTAAAGAACCTAGAACCTGAGGGCTTGTCATGGCTAATAGGTTTGGAAACTTGCTTTTTCAGAGACCTGCGATGGACTTCACAGATTTGTCCAGGCTGCCCCTGGCCCTCCATGACACACCCCCGATTCCTGGACAACCAGAGGAGATACAGCTGCTTAGAAAGGAGGCGACTCCTAGATCCAGGGATAGCCCCGTCTGGTGCCAGTGTGGAAGCTGCCTCCCATCTCAACTCCCTGAGAGCCACAGGTGCCTGGAGGAGCTGTGCTGCCGGAAAAAGCCGGGGGCCTGCATCACCACCTCAGAGCTGTTCAGGAAGCTGGTCCTGTCCAGACACGTCCTGCAGTTCCTCCTGCTCTACCAGGAGCCCTTGCTGGCGCTGGATGTGGATTCCACCAACAGCCGGCTGCGGCACTGTGCCTACAGGTGCTACGCCACCTGGCGCTTCGGCTCCCAGGACATGGCTGACTTTGCCATCCTGCCCAGCTGCTGCCGCTGGAGGATCCGGAAAGAGTTTCCGAAGAGTGAAGGGCAGTACAGTGGCTTCAAGAGTCCTTACTGAAGCCAGGCACCGTGGCTCACGTCTGTAATCCCAGCGCTTTGGGAGGCCGAGGCAGGCAGATCACCTGAGGTCGGGAGTTGGAGACCCGCCTGGCTAACAAGGCGAAATCCTGTCTGTACTAAAAATACAAAAATCAGCCAGACATGGTGGCATGCACCTGCAATCCCAGCTACTCGGGAGGCTGAGGCACAAGAATCACTTGAACCCGGGAGGCAGAGGTTGTAGTGAGCCCAGATTGTGCCACTGCTCTCCAGCCTGGGAGGCACAGCAAACTGTCCCCCAAAAAAAAAAAAGAGTCCTTACCAATAGCAGGGGCTGCAGTAGCCATGTTAACATGACATTTACCAGCAACTTGAACTTCACCTGCAAAGCTCTGTGGCCACATTTTCAGCCAAAGGGAAATATGCTTTCATCTTCTGTTGCTCTCTGTGTCTGAGAGCAAAGTGACCTGGTTAAACAAACCAGAATCCCTCTACATGGACTCAGAGAAAAGAGATTGAGATGTAAGTCTCAACTCTGTCCCCAGGAAGTTGTGTGACCCTAGGCCTCTCACCTCTGTGCCTCTGTCTCCTTGTTGCCCAACTACTATCTCAGAGATATTGTGAGGACAAATTGAGACAGTGCACATGAACTGTCTTTTAATGTGTAAAGATCTACATGAATGCAAAACATTTCATTATGAGGTCAGACTAGGATAATGTCCAACTAAAAACAAACCCTTTTCATCCTGGCTGGAGAATGTGGAGAACTAAAGGTGGCCACAAATTCTTTGACACTCAAGTCCCCCAAGACCTAAGGGTTTTATCTCCTCCCCTTGAATATGGGTGGCTCTGATTGCTTTATCCAAAAGTGGAAGTGACATTGTGTCAGTTTCAGATCCTGATCTTAAGAGGCTGACAGCTTCTACTTGCTGTCCCTTGGAACTCTTGCTATCGGGGAAGCCAGACGCCATTTAAAAGTCTGCCTATCCTGGCCAGGTGTGGTGGCTCACACCTGTAATCCCAGCACTTTGGGAGACCAAGGCGGGCGGATCACTTAAAGTCAGGAGTCCAAGACCAGACTCGCCAACATGGTGAAACCGTATCTCTAATAAAAATACAAAAATTAGCTGGGCATGGTGCGGGCACCTGTAGTCCTAGCTATCAAGAGGCTGAGACAGGAGAAACACTTGAACCTGGGAGGTGGAGGTTGCATTGAGCTGAGATCGTGCCACTGCACTCCAGGCTGGGTGACAGAGCGAGACTCCATCTCAAAAAAAAAAAAAAGAAAAAAAAAATGTCTGCCTATCCTGAGACTGCCCTGCTGTGAGGAAGCCCAAGCAGTCACGTGGACAGTGCCTGACCAGCCCCAGCTTTCAAGCCATCCAAGCCCAGTCACCAAACATGAGAGAGAAGAAGCCTTCAGGTGATTCTGGACTCCACTAACATATGACTGATACCGCATGATACATCCCAAGTGAGAACTGCCCCATAAATCCAGAAAACCACATTGCTATCTTAAGTCCCTAAGTTTGGGGCTTATTTGTTCCACAGCAACAGGTAACTGGAACAGAGGGCAAGCCTGATGAATGGGCACACAGACTCAGCCCATACCTTCCCTGGTTCTAATGTTCTCAGGGAGCCCGGACCAACCCTGGGAGCCTCAGGAACTTAGGTTTCCACTGGACAGTTCTAGAAGGGCTATAGACCAAATCAGGTAACTCACCAGACCAGCCTTGGAATCTATCAAATCTAACTGCTGAGCTACCCAATGCATTCCGATCCTCATCACAATTCTTTGACTGAAGGCCGGGCGTGGTGGCTCACGCCTGTAATCCCAGCACTTTGGGAGGCTGAGGCGGGTGGATCACCTGAGGTCAGGAGTTCGAGACCAGCCTGGCCAACATGGTGAGACCCTGTCTCTACTAAGAATACAAAAATTAGGTGGGTGTGGCGGTGGGCGCCTGTAATCCCAGCTACTTGGGAGGCTGAGGCAGGAGAATCTCTTGAACCTGGAAGGTGGAGGTTGCAATAAGCCGAGATAGTGCCACTGCACTCCAGCCTAGATAACAGAGCAAGACTCTGTCTCAAAAAACAACAACAACAACAACAAAACAATTCTATGACTGAAAGTGACTAAAAAGCTGGCTTTATGCCATTAACACTCTGTACTTTGCAGCCAATCAGAACTGACGCAGTCTGGGTGCTAGCTGCTTCAAAAGCAACCCACACCACACTTTTACCATTTCCATACATCAACTGCTGAGAATATGAAAATGCACAGTGACAGGTTTTAGGATCCTGCTTCAGGATTTCCTTTTCCTGGTTTGGTCACTAGAGTTGGCTATTTATCTGTTTCTAAACAATAGCTATTTTATCGAATAGTTTAGAGACCACTATTAAATATTGTGACTGATGAAGGATCTGTGAATTTTTTTATATATGTTCTAAGAGTTACCATTTTGATACCTTTTAAAAACCAGCAGCTTTCTACTATATTCATGTAAGACAGCATGAATAAAACCATTTTTTGATACAGGGTTTTATTTGGCTTTAAACTCAGGAACCAAGTTAATTATGCCAGATTGAACTTTGATTTTTACTACCTTTTCAAAGATATTTTAAAAAGTGGATTACTACATATGATTTCTTTGGAGCTTACATTTCTTTACTTCACGAATTCTATGTCACTGTTACAAGTTTCCATTCTGATGGCTTCTGGGCCTTTGTACCTTTGTTTTTGGTGCCTTATTCCTAGTATGTTTCTATCACCTTAATGAGGCCGCAGATGGAGTCAGAATGTGAAATTACAAATAATCACTGGATCCATCTACTGTTTTCCATCACCTTCCCCACTGATGCTCTGGGCGAGAGAGTGATGTGTCACTTCAACTGTGTGTAATATGTCAGACACGTCCTACAATAACAGGCGTCATATTTGTATTATTTTTAGTTTACTGTAGAAAATAATGTCACCGCCAAAGGTGATGAGAGTCACGTTTTGTAGGATCTGTTTTCTTATACTTAAAGACAGACTTCTGCTACGGTAATTGCCAGTATTCATGGCTTCCTTTCTGTGTCAGAAGAGAAGGGATCTGCTTTCTCTTGGCTGATTTCACATAGCATTGGTAATAGACATGCATTTCTCTTTCTAAAGGGGAGTAACTTTTTAAACCCTTCCTGATTTTAGCCTGGCAATGTAAGTGTCCTTAATGTGACTGTTTTGATAATTAAAAAAAGGTATATAATTTATTTAAATCTTCATTTCCTTTCTTTTCAGAAGGTCCCCAAATCACAGTTAACTCATTCATTGACGCATTCACTCAACAACTATTCAATGAGGCACTCTCTAGAGACCAAGGATAAATAAGGTAGCCAGTCTCATAGAGATATGAGGAGATGGAAATTAATCAAATAATTCAAGCAAATGGCATCTTGCAACTTGTGCTGAGTATAATGGTGAAAAGGCAAATGATGGCATGAGAGCTTATAGTAGGGAAATTTGGCCTATTTGGGGAGATCAGCCTACCTGAGGAAGGAATGTTTTAGCTAAAATCTGAAGGATGAGTATTACTTAACTAGTGAATGCGGGAGGAAAGAGCATTCTAGGCAGAGAACAGTATGTGCAAAGGTCCTGGGGCAGGAAAAGCAGAGCAGGTTTATAGAACTTAAAGGAGAACTGTATGACTGTGCCATAAAAAGTACAGAGAAGTAAGGCATGAGTTACGGTTGGACAAGCAGGCAGGGGCTAGGCTGCCTGGAGCCTGTGGGCCATGGTAGAGTTTGTCTGTATCCTAAGACCTAAGCCACATAAGGGTTCTAAGCAGGAACCTGGTAAGATCACATTTAATTTTAATTTTTTTATTTTTATTTTTATTTTTGAGATGGAGTCTTGCTTTGTTGCCCAGGCTGGAGTGCAGTGGCTCAACCTCAGCTCACTGCAACCTCTGCCTCCTGGGTTCAAGCGATTCTCCTGTCTCAGCCTCCCAAGTATCTGGGATTACAGGCGCCTGCCACCACACCCAGCTAATTTTTGTATTTTTAGTAGAGACAGGGTTTCTCCATGTTGGCTAAGCTGGTCTCGAATGCCTGACCTCAAGTGATCCACCGGCCTCAGCCTCCCACAGTGCTGGGATTACAAGTGTAAGCCACCACACCCAGCCATATTAATTTATTTTATTTTATTTTATTTTATTTATTTTGAGACAGAGTTTCACTCTTGTTGCCTAGGCTGGAGTGCAATGCCACTATCTCAGCTCACTGCAACCTCCACCTCCTGGGTTCAATCAATTCTCCTGCCTCAGCCTCCTGAGTAGCCAGGATTACATGTGTGCCACCATCACGCCTGGCTAATTTTTGTATTTTTAGTAGAGACGGAGTTTCTCCATGTTGGTCAAACTGGTGCCGAATGCCTGACCTCAAGTGATTCACCAGCCTCGGCCTCCCAAAGTGCTGGGATTACAGGAGTACGCCACAGCGCCCAGCCACCAAATTAATTTTTAAAGATCACTATGATCGCTGTGTGGAAAATGAGCTGGGAGTGGTGGTGGATACAGTTTTTGTTTTTGTTTCAGTCTTTCCCTACTCCATGAAACATTTGCGCTATATATGCGGCCAAATGGAATGTTTCTCTTTTCTCCCCTCCTCTTCCTCTTGGGAAGTCACCAAAAAAAAAAAAAAAGAAAAAAAGAAAACAAATCAGCAGCAAGAGAAAAGGACGAAAAGCTCTGGTGGCCTTGAATTTTGGAATGGCCCCTGTCCCAAGCTGGCAGGGATGAGGCTGTGTGTTGAGCTTCAGATCACAGGAAGGAGTGCACCAAATCAGGAGATGAAGGGCAGTCAGCAGGACCCACTGGGTACCCACCGTGCAGTGTAAGGCCTAAAATTAAGCTCTAATATGAGGTGCTGCTTTGACATCAGGTGAAATCAGGAGTGCCTCACCCCAAGTTTCTCTCCCAGTCCTCCCTTGGCAAAGGGCGCCCAGTGAAACAGCCTTCCTTATCAAAAAGACCAGATGCAGTTCCTGCTAATCCCTGAGCGGCAGGTGTGAGTCTCCTGCCAACCCACGGAGTTGTCCAAATGAGCCAGTCACATCCTCCGGGGAACCAGGGCCTCCTCACCCTCTTGGTGCTACAAAGCCTGCCCCGCACTGGCCCTGGTTGTTCACTCTGTTTCTGTGTGGCCCTGCACGGCAAGTGGGGTCTTCCTCCCCGAGCTGTGAGTGTGTGTGACCAAAAACTGCTGCCAATCTCATTTGCCCAGTGTTGGGTGTCATGTGTTCAGCTACCGCCATAACCCTGGGGTGGGAACTGGGAATCCCTCCCTCACCACTGAGGTAAAGAGGTTATTAAAACATCCCTACTTCAGCTGGGTGCGGTGACTCACGCCTGTAATCCCAGCACTTTGGGAGGCTGAGGTGGGTGATCACCTGAGGTCAGGAGTTTGAGACCAGCCTGGCCGACATGGTGAAACCCTGTTTCTACTAAAAATACAAAAAATTAGCCAGGCGTGGTGGCGGGCACCTGTAATCCCAGCTACTTGGGAGGCTGAAGCAGGAGAATTGCTTGAACCCGGGAGGCAGAGGTTGCAGTGAGCCACGATCACACCATTGCACTCCAGCCTGGGCAACAAGAGCGAAACGCTGTCTCAAAAAAAAAAAACACCCTAATTCCAGGCCAACCAGCAGCCCTAAAAAATTAATCTTCGTTTGGCTTCTACCAAAAGTCATGGTCTACACAAAGCCCTGCCTACTAGAGGCAATAAGGAACCATGACCACCACCCCCATTTATTCAAATTACCCACTGGAATGCACCGAGTGGGGTTTCACCCTCTGCTGCTTGTATGTTTCTCAACCCATGTTCTAATCCCATGCAGTCATCATTCAGGAATCCCTGAGGATCCCCTGATTCAACTTCTCTTTTTTGAATAGATTAGAAATTCCTATCTTCTTTCACTTTTACTGTGACTTTTCAGCTTCCTGTTTTCCATTCCTGAGGGCTATGAATCATATTTCCAAAATAAATGATGATCTATGGAGAGGATTTTGCATTTCCAACATCCTTAGCTAATTTTAATGAATTATCATGGTCACATGATCCTAAGGCTTCAGGAATCGGAGGAAGTGGCTGACACTGACTTACCATTTTAACCAAACAATCACTGCACTTAAGCTTGGATAAGGGTCAAATAAAACTAACAGGGCTCTTATGCAAGCCCTTCCAGTCTGGTAAGTTATGAGTATTTATGTTTTATTTCCCCCCAAAAACAATAAGACCCTCAGAGGCAAGGAACTCATCTTGGTTTTTGTCCCTTACACACCTATCTCAGTCCAGTGGTATGATGGGCACTGGAAACAAACCACCTGGTTCAAATCCTGGCTTGGTCACTTATTGGCCAAGTGGCCTGATATGGTTTGGCTGTGTCCCCACCCAAATCTCATCTTGAATTGTTAGCTCCCATAATTCCCATGTGTTGTGGGAGGGACCTGGTGGGAGAGAATTGAATCATGGGGGCGGTTTCCCCCATATTGTTCTCGTGGTAGTGAATATGTCTCACGAGATCTGAGGGTTTTATAAGGGGTTTCTCCTCTTGCTTGGCTCTCATTCTTGTTTTGCCTGCCACCATGTAAGATGTGGCTTTGCTCCTCCTTGCCTTTGTCATGATTGTGAGGCCTCCCCAGCCCTCCCCAGGTGACACATTGGAACTGTGAGTCAATTAAACCTTTCCTATATAAATTATCCAGTCTTTGGTATGTCTTTATTAGCAGTGTGAGAACAGACTAATACATGGCTTTGGGCAGCTTCTCATGTCTAGCCATGGTAGCTATTCTTATGATTTGGATGGTGCCCAAGCATTGCTCTCGAGCTCCAGGCCCATATATTTAACCACCTCCAGATATTCTATACTTAAATGGTTTAGAGGCAATTCAAACAGCTACAAAAGACAAATCATGATCTCAGTTCACCCCACCCACATGTGACTTCCAGAGCTCCCAAGATCAGCCAGTAGCACCACCTGCCATCAGTTCAACTTCCCAAGCCAGAAATTCAAAGGATACCTTGATGTCTCCCTTCTCCTTCCCCGTTCTGTCCAATCTCATCTGTTCATTCAGCAAACACTTACTGAGCACCCCAGCACTGTACAGGAGCTAGGGATGAACAGGTGAATAAGAGAGGCTCTTTGGGAGGTTAGGTGCAGTGGGGCAGACAGGCAATCACGGTGAAAAGAAATGCAGTGAGGACAGCTTGGGATACAGAGTTTGAAAGAAACAAGCAGGATGCTGTGATAGGAGCAAGGGAGTTACTTCTGACAAGGGGCAGGGATAGTGTCTCCAAGGAAGTGACATTTACACTAGATCTGAATATCAAGAAGGAGCCAGCTGTAATGAGTTGAAAGAAGGGCATTCCAGGAAGAGGGATGGAAAACATAAAGCTGAGGGGTGAGAGAGAAATAAGAGTGTTCCAGAGCCTGGTGCAGGAGCACACACATGTAGTCCCAGCGACGAGAGATCATCCCTTAAGCCCAGGAGTTTGAGGCCAGCCTGGGTAACATAGTAATAATCTATCTCAAAAAGAAAAAAAAAGAAAAGAAAAGAAATGAGTGTGCTCCAGGACCTGTCAGATGGCCAGTGCAACTATGCGGTGAGAGACACAGTCTTGCTTGTTTTCTTACTGCCTCCTAAACTGGGTGGTTCCATCTCACTGAAACAGACGCTCAAAGAAAGGCGAAATTCACAGGCAAGCACAGCCTTGGGAGGGTTATGAAGCTGGTGAGATGTAAGCGGGCCCTCACTGGAGGAAGGGGCTGGAAACAGTGGGATGAGAGGAGGCATTCCCAACAGGACCAGCAGCACAAGCCAGGCCCAGAAACAAATGACTATCATAGTGGAGGGAGATTAAATGGGACTGATTTGGGGAAACCTTCAAAAAGAAAAAAAGGCTGAGATGTTTGAACCAGTTGCAAAGTTAAGATGGAGCCGTTCTTGGGGCTGACAGAGGACATGAGAAAAGCAGTGACTTAAGAAATCCCAGCCGGGTGCAGTGGCTCACGCCTGTAATCTCAGCACTTTGGGAGGCCAAGGCGGGCGGATCATGAGATCAGCAAGTGGAGACCATCCTGGCTTACACGGTGAAACTCCGTCTCTACTAAAAATACAAAAAATTAGCCAGGGGTGGTGGCATGCACCTATAGTCCCAGCTTCTCGGGAGGCTGAGGCAGGAGAATCGCTTGAACCTGGGAGGCAGAGGTTGCAGTGAGCCAAGATCGCTCCACTGCACTCCAGCCTGGGTGACAGAGCGAGACTCCTTCTCAAAAATTAAAAAAAAAAAAAAAATCCCTCAGACCGACATGAGGACGTGGGATGGGAGGGGAAGCCTGGGGAAGTGACATCATTTAGAAGTCAGCTGGGATTATATAGGAGTGACTCAGTAAGCCACCTGTGCTACTGAATTGGTGGTGGTGATAGAAAGAAAAGGAAGAGAGATATATATATATGGGGGGTTTTGTTGTTGTTGTTGTTTTTTGGTTGTTGTTGTTTTTGTTTTTGTTTTGTAGAGATACGGTCTCCCTATGTTGCCCAGGCTGGCCTTAAACTCCTGGCCTCAAGCAATCCTCCCGCCTGGGCCTCTCAAAGCTCTGGGATTATAGGTGTGAGCCATCACCCCCAGCCTGGCTAAATGAATTTTTAAAAATTCCTCTGAGTCCAACAGGAGGAGATTGGTTAAGTAAATTATGGCACAGTCATATAACAGGAGGGTATGCAGCTATTTTAAATGATGCCATAGCAAGATAGTTAATGGGCCAGGCACGGTGGCTCACACCTGTAATCCCAGTACTTTGGGAGGCCGAGGCGGGTGGATCACGAGGTCAGGAATTCGAAACCAGCCTGGCCATGTGGTGAAACCCCGTCTCTACTAAAAATACAAAAACCAGCTGGGTGTGGTGGTACGCGCCTGTAGTCCCAGCTGCTCAGGAGGCTCAGGCAGGAGAATCACTTGAAGTCGGGAGGCAGAGGTTGCAGTGAGCCGAGATCATGCCACTCACTGCACACCAGCCTGGGCGACACAGCAGGACTCCATCTCAAAAAAAAAAAGAAGGAAAATCCGATTGATAAAAATCTACATTTACAAAAAAAGTAAATGGGAGGGGCGAGAGTAATTTTTCTTTACAAAGGAGTTCATAAGAAGATAAGATTCCTTCAAGAACATCTGAATGAAATTGTAAGAACTGAGTCCTCCTTTTCAGGAGCTTGTCTATGGAAGAGGCACAGGGATGCGCAGACCCTGGCTGTGAGAACACTTTAGAACTCTTCTTCGTTTCCTTATTTGCAAAAGAAAAGGATTAGGCTAAGCATGCTCTCTAAGGTACTTTTAAATTTTTTATTTATTTGATTTATTTGATTTTTTTGGAGACAAGGTCTCACTCTGTCACCCAGGCTGGAGTGCAGTGGCATGAACACAGTTCACTGTAGCCTCAATCTTCTGGGCTCGACTGATCCTCCTGCCTCAGCCTCCCAAGTAGCTGGGACTACAGGCACATGCCACCATGCCTGGCTAATTTTTTATGTTTTGTAGAGACGAGGTCTCACCATGTTGCACAGGCTGGTCTCAAACTCCCAGGCTCAAATAATCCTCCTGACTTGGCCTCCCAAAGTGCTGGGATTACAGGCGTGAGCCACCACACCCAGCCTGTAAGGTACTTTTAATCTCAAAATGTGAGGATGGGATGGGCACGGTGGCTCACACTTGTAATCCCAGCACCTTGGGAGGCCGAGCTGGGTGGATCACGAGGTCAGGAGTTCAAGACCAGCCTGACCAACATGGTGAAACCCCATTTCTACTAAAAATACAAAAATGAGCCGGGCATGGAGGCGGGCGCCTGTAATCCCAGCAACTCTGGAGGCTGAGGCAAGGAGAATTGCCTGAACCTGGGAGGCTGAGGTTGCAGTGAACCAAGATCACGCCAGCCTAGGTGACAGAGCCAGACTGTCTCAAAAAAAAAAAAAAGTGATAATGATAATAATCTCAAAATGCTCTCTCCATTGTATAAGATGAGACCAATTTGTACCTGACAAGTGCTTGGCAAACCACCCGTAGGTGTCAGTGAATGTACTGCATTAGCTAAGGCTGAAGTCCATACTCTGGCCTCGAAGGCCCTACTCGATCTGGCCTCTGACTGTCTCTCAAGGGGTTAGCTCACATCACTCTCCTCCTTGCCCACTATGCTCCATTCATATTGACTTTCCTTCTGTTCCTGGAACATATCAAGCTCATTCCTACCTCAGGGACTCTGCACCTGCTATTCCCTTTGCCTAGAATACTTTCTCCTAGGAAAAGTATTCAGAGAGCTAGCTCCTTCCTGACATCCAGATCTCAGCTCAGATGGACTTTCTCAGAAAGGGCCTCACTCAAGCTATCAAGCTATCAGATATAGAAGGTACATTCTTTTTTTTTTTTTTTTTTTTTTTTGAGATGGAGTCTCACTCTTTCGCCCAGGCTGGAGTGCAGTGGCACAATCTCGGCTTACTGCAACCTCTGCCTCCCGGGTTTAAGCAATTCTCCTGCCTCAGCCTCCCAAATAGCTGGGATTACAGGCGCCCGCCACTGTGTCCGGCTAATTTTTGTATTTTTAGTAGAGACGGGGTTTCACCATGTTGGCCAGGCTGGTCTCGAACTCCTGACCTCAGGTGATCTGCCTGCCTTGGCCTCCCAAAGTGCTGGGATTACAGGCATGAGCCACCGTGCCTGGCCCATACATTCTTTTTTAGGATGCACAAGGAAGGGTTATAACAACAGATATGCATTAGATCATGTATTTTCCTCAATACATTCCCAACAGCAATATGATACAGACCAGGTTCTCTAACCACATTTCAAGGAAATTAGAAATTCATTTTCTTTTTTTTCTTTTTTTTTTTTTTTCATTTGAGACAGAGTCTCGCTCTGTCGCCAGGGCTGGAGTGCAGTGGTGCAATCTCGGCTCGCTGAAACCTCCACCTCCTGGGTTCAAGCAATTCTCCCTACCTCAGCCTCCCGAGTAGCTGGGATTACAGACGCCTGCCACCATGCCCGGCTAATTTTTGTATTTTTAGTAGAGACAGGGTTTCGCCATGTTGGCCAGGCTGGACTCGAACTCTTGACCTTAGGTGATCTGCCTGCCTCAGCTTCCCAAAGTGTTGGGATTATAAGCGTGAGCCACCACGCCAGCCAGAAATTAATTTTTAAGAGGTAGATTTTTAAAATATTTGGAAGCTGATTGAAATATTGTAAGAAATATTGCTAAATGACTCAATAGAACTGGATAATGAATGTAATATATGTCAAAATCGGTGGCACACAGCTAAAGCAGAACTTTATTTTCATATTTATATTATTTTTATTTTTATTTTTATTTTTATTTTATTTATTTATTTATTTTTGAGACGGAGTCTCACTCTGTTGCCCAGGCTGGAGTGCAGTGGCACGATCTTGGCTGACTGCAAGCTCCACCTCCCGGGTTCACACTATTTTTATTATTATTATTATTATTATTATTATTATCATTATTATTATTATTTGAGCTGTAGTCTCACTCTGTCGTGCAGACTGGAGTACAGTGGCGTGATCTTGGCTCACTGCAAACTCCGCCTACCAGGTTCAAGTGATTCTCCTGCCTCAGCCTCCCAAGTAACTGGGATTACAGGTGTGCACCACCACACGCAGATAATTTTTGTATTTTCGTAGAGATGGGGTTTCGCCATGTTGGCCAGTCTGTTCTCGAACTCCTGGCCTCAAGAAATCTGCCCTCCTCACCTCCCAAAGTGCTGGGACTACCGGCATGAGCCACTGCGCCCGGCCAAATGGCAGATTTTGTCCAAATGGAAGGCTAAGGCTGACCCTAAGGCTAACCCTAACCTTAGCCCTAATGCTAACCCTAATTGGGTTAGGGTAAAATGACTAAAGGCAAGAGATAAGCATTCTGGATATTTCTTAGGGCAGGAAAGAAGCAACTTTTATCCTCCACTGACCCAAAGAAATTGACTGTACTTTGTCCCCCACTTCCCACTCAATTTCCTACTTTGATGCCCATTCCCCCTCCCCTTGTCCATCCCAAGCTTCACTCTGGAGACAGTAGCTAAACCTGTGCTAGTTAAACTTGACCCAGATCTGTTAGAAAAGAAGGGGCTATTGCAAGAAGCAGGGCGGCTTCAAAGAAAGCCAAAAGAAACTAACTGTACTGAGTCACCCCACTTCCCTCTCAATTTCCTATTGCCCAGAGAATGGAACTCATGAGATAGAAAAACGAGAAAAAGGGAAGCAAGTGAAGAAAGGGATAGGGCGCTACTCTCCACAAACACTTCCTGTTGGCTGTGCTGACATCACTGCATGCCATGTATCTCATGATTCGGTGTGTAGCTCACACACCTAACGCCTTAGACAACAAGAGCGAAAATCCATCTCAAAAATAAATAAATAAATAAATAATTGGGGAAATCTCAACAGAACATTTTGTGATTCTTATGTGGACTTAAAGGTTATTCTTATCCACCTCTAAAACAACTGAAAATGCAAAATGTTATAACACGTTGATAGTTTTGGAGTCTGAGGAGTCCTGCTTTCCTTCCTTCCCTCTTAGCGACCAATTATTATCTCTTTATTTTATTTTATTTTTTTAGATGGAGTCTCGCTCTGTTGCCCAGGCTGCAGTGCAGCAGCACAATCTCGGCTCACTGCAACCTCCGCCTCCCGGGTTCAAGCAATTATCCTGCCTCAGCCTCCTGAGTAGCTGGGATTACAGGCACCCACCACCATTCCCAGCTAATTTTTGTATTTTTAGTAGAGACAGGGTTTCACCATGTTGGTCAGGCTGGTCTCGAACTCCTGACCTCGTGATCTGCCCACCTCAGCCTCCCAAAGTTCTGGGATTACAGGCATGAGCCACCCTGCCTGGCTATCTTTTTTTAAATTATTTTTTAGAGACATAGTCTCACCATGTTGCCCAGACTGGCTTTGAACTCCTGGGCTCAAGCCTCCTGAGTAGCTGGGACTATAGGCTATGAACTATTATCTTATGGAGGATAAAGGGAGGCATAATGAACCAGAAAAATTTGCAAGGAGACCTCCAGAATGTTTTATCAGAAACAAATGAGTTTGAGCTTTTACTCAACTGTAAAATGGGATTCTGAGTATCACTCACGTGAAGGTGGTTTTCAAAAGATAAAATGCTGTTCAGAGCCAAAGAAACGTGCATTCTTGTTGTGTCAGATTTAGATCTGCTGGAGAATGCTTATTTAGCTAATAATCCAGTAATTGTTGAGGGATGGGAAAGACTCAACACTGTGTGTTTCAGAAAACCTGTCTTCACCAGAGAAAAAAGCAGATGGGTCTTCACAACGAGACAAGTTATATAAAAGGCACACTTTGTTATTTTGTTTTGATTCAAACTTTCAGGTAAGCTTGAAGGTGTCTGATACAAGATCACAAGAAATGTAGTTTTCTATTTTTTTTCACACTTTAAAAAAAAATTCCCCACGGTTTTTGTTTTGTTTTGTTTTTGAGACACAGTCTCACTCTGTCACCCACAGCAAGTGCAGTAGCGCGATCTCGGCTCACTGAAACCTCTGTCTCCCGGGTTCAAGCAATTCTCCTGTCTCAGCCTCCCACGTAGCTGGGATTACAGGTGCCCACCACCATGCCTGGCTAATTTTTGTATTTTTAGTAGAGATGGGGTTTCACCATATTGGTCAGGCTGGTGTCAAACTCCTGACCTCAGGTGATCCACCCACCTTAGCCTCCCAAAATGCTGGGATTACAGGTGTGAGCCACTGTGCCCGGCTGGTTTGGGTTTTTTTGAAACAGGGTCTTGCTCTGTCACCCAGGCTGGAGTGCAGTTGTATGATCTTAGCTCTCCACCTCCTGGGCTCAAGGGATCCTCCCACCTCAGACTCCTGAGTAGCTGGAACTACAGACATGTGCCACCACGCCTGGCTAATTTTTTGTACTTTTTGTAGAGATGGGGTCTTGCCATGTTGCCCAGGCTGGTCTTGAACTCTTGGACTCAAGGGATCTGCCTGCCTCGGCCTCCCAAAGTGCTGGGATTACAGATATGAGCCACTGCGTCCGGCCAGAAATAGGGTTTTGGAAGGCACATTTCCTGGAAAGCCTCCCTGCTTCTTGTAATAGCCCCTTCTTTTCTAACAGATCTGTTTCAGGGTTCTTTGTTTCCTTGGTTCCCCGACCCCCCACCCCCGCCGCCCCACTGCCCTGTAAAACTGTCTTTCAAGGAAAGTTTGAGTTTAACTAGTACAGGTTTAGCCATTCTCTCCAGAGTGAAGCCTGGTGTGGACAAGGGAAGGAGGAGAGGGTGTCAATGGCTTATAGAGTTCTGGCCTAATACAGCCTGTCATCAGCCTTCCTGAAGTCCATTGACTTAATCCTTCTGAAGGTGACCGACTCATCCTGTTTGGCCTCGACCTTCCCGGTTTTAGCACAGAAAGTCCCTTGTCCAGGAAACCTCTCAGTCCCAGGTAAATCAGAGGGCTGATCAGCCAAGGACTTACCTTCCTTGCTTCCGTCTGTAACAGATACAAATACACAGCTTGAGTGGGATTCAGATCACTGTAAGCTTTTTATTTTTATGTATTTATTTTTTTTGAGACAGAGTCTCGCTCTATCACCCAGGCTGGAGTACAGTGGCGCAATCTCGGCTCACTGCAACCTCCGCCTCCCGGGTTCAAGCAATTCTCCTGCCTCAGTCTCCCAAGTAGCTGGAACTACAGGTACGTGCCACCACGCCCGGCTAATTTTTTGTATTTTTAGTACAGATGGGGTTTCACTGTGTTAGCCAGGATGGTCTCAATAGCCAGGATGGTCTCAATCTCCTGACCTCATAATCCACCCACCTCGGCCTCCCAAAGTGCTGAGATTACAGTCTTTTTTTTTTTTTTTTTTTTTTTTTTTGGAGCCGAAGTCTCCCTCTGTTGGTTTAGTGGTGCGATCTTGGCTCATCGCAACCTCTGCCTCACGGGTTCAAGCGATTCTCCTGCCTCAGCCTCCTGAGTAGCTGGGACTACAGGTGCATGCCACCATGCCTGGCTAATTTTTCTATTTTTAGTAGAGATAGGGTTTCCCTATGTTGGCCAGGCTGGTCTTGAACTCCTGACCTCATGATCTGCCCACCTTGGCCTCCCAAAGTGCTGAGATTACAGGCGTGAGCCACCGCGCCTGGCCTAATCTAGCACTTTAAAGACAAATACTAGGGAAGAAAAGAGATTGATTCAAAGAATCATTCTGGTCAGGCGCGGTGGCTCACACCTGTAATCCCAACACTTTGGAAGGCCAAGGCAGGAGGTTTGCTTGAGCCCAGGAATCAAGACCAGGCTGGGTAAAACAGTGAGACTCCATCTCTATCAAAAAAAAAAAAAAGATCATTCTCCCTGGATGAAGCAAGATGCTTCTCTTCTTTTGATGTGTATAATTTAGATTCTAACACACGCTGTTTTGTATCTTGCCTTGCCTTTTTCCTCACTTAACATTACAGCATAAGCATTTCCTCCATATAATTAAATATACTTCATAAACATTTTTAGGAGTAGCTTTAAAATTGTTTTTCTTTTCTTTTCTTTTCTTTTTTTCTGAAATGGAGTTTCGCTCTATCACCCAGGCTGGAGTGCAGCGGCACAATCTCGGCTCACTGCAACCTCCGCCTCCCGGGTTCAAGCGAGTCTCCTGCCTCAGCCTCCAAAGTAGCTGGTACTAGAGGCACCCGCCACCACACCCAGCTAATTTTTGTATTTTTAGTAGAGGCGGGGTTTCACCATGTTGGCCAGGCTGGTCTCGATCTCTTGACCTCGTGATCGGCCCACCTTGGCCTCCCAAAGTGCTGGGATTACAGGTGTGAGCCACCGTGCCCGGCCTTCTCTTAAGAAAAGTAATCAACTTCAGAGTAGACATTTTTAAAAATGCAGATAAGTATGCAGAGCAAAAATCATCTATAGTTTCACCCTTCCCAGAAAAACCAGTTAAGATTTTAATTTATGATCTGCCACACTTTTTTCTATAAACACAAAAATTTGAAGACCCAGTACACATATTGCCCTGTTATATTTTTCCATTTAATTATCTCAAATATCTTTCCACAGCATACTATCATTATTTTATTTTATTTTATCTTGAGATGGAGCCTCATTCAGCCGGGCGCAGTGGCTCACACCTATAAACCCAGCACTTTGGGAGGCCAAGGCGGGTGGTTCACCTGAGGTCAGGAGTTCGAGACCAGCCTGGCCAACATGGGGAAACCCCGTCTCTACTAAAAATACAAAAAATTAGCCAGGTGTGGTGGTGGGCGCCTATAATCCCAGCTACTTGGGAGGCTGAGGCAGGAGAATTGCTTGAACCCAGGAGATGGAGGTTGCAGTGAGCCAAGATCACGCCATTGCACTCCAGCCTGGGGGACAGAGCAACACTCTGTCTCTAAAAAAATAAATAAATAAAAAATAAAAAAGCTTTTCAATAGTTTTGCCTTGCTGGACTCACTGGGTTATGTCTGTAATCCCAGCACTTTGGGAAGCAGAGCTGGGAGAATTGCTTCAGGCCAGGAGTTTGACATCAGCCTGGGCAACATAGTGAGACCCCATTTCTTTCTTTTTTTTTTTTTTTTTAAGAATTTTAAAAAACGGGCGGGGCACAGTGGCTCACGCCTGTAATCCTAGCACTTTGGGAGGCCCAGGTGGGCAGATCACCTGAGGTCGGGAGTTCGAGACCAGCCTGACCAACATGGAGAAACCCCATCTCTACTAAAAATACAAAATTAGCCAAGCGTGGTGGTGCATGCCTGTAATCCCAGCTACTTGGGAGGCTGAGGCAGGAGGATTGCCTGAACCTGGGAGGCAGAGGTTGCGGTGAGCCAAGATCGCACCATTGCACTCCAGCCTGGGCAACAAGAGCGAAATTCCGTCTCAAAAAATAAAAATAAAAATAAAAAAAGTTAAAAACTAAAAAAAAAATCATAAATGTTACACATTTTCAACCAAGTAAAACGAAATAAAATATATAGATTTTACATTATTTCCATTCTATATATTACAATTTTTTCTTCGTGGCACAGTGACATGAAATTTCATTGTGAAATTTAAAAAGAAACAAACAAAAATTTGTTGTGAAAATCACATACAGGATTGATGAATTTGGGGCTGCCTCTTGTTTTCAGCAGTATCAGACAATTCCCCCACACTGCCTCTTGCAGTCACAGGTTATTCCCCATCCACCTTTTATTCTACGCTGCCTATCAAAGGGTGTGATCTCTGAGGTCTTTTACAGCCTAAAGACCGAATGTCAAATGTGCTAAGATGTCAAGATCCAGGTATTAGAATATGTCCAGCTCATCTGCAGGAATATCATCCTTCCCCATCTCCTCCATTTCAACAACCTGTAATTCCTCCCACCCACTGAATGGGAGAAAACATCTATAGATCATATATCTGATATGGAATTTGTATCTAGAATATATAAAGAAGTCTTACACTTTAAAACCATAATACAAGTGGCCGGCATGGTGGCTCACGCCTGTAATCCCAGCAATTTGGGAGGCCAAGGTGGGTGGATCATCTGAGGTCAGGAGTTTGAGACCAGCCTGATCAACAGGGTGAAACCCTGTCTTTACTAAAAATACAAAAATTAGCAGGGCATGGTGGTGGGTGCCTGTAATCCCAGCTACTACTTGGGAGGCTGAGGCAGGAGAATTGCTTGAACCTGGGAGGCGGAGGTTGCAGTGAGCTGACATCCCGCCACTGCACACCAGCCTGGGCAACAGAGAGAGACCCTGTGTCAAAAAAACGAAAAGGACGTTGGGTCTGATGGGGTTGAGAGGATTATCTGTGATCAACATATGGCCTGTTAGATAAGAGTCAGGGTTTTTCTGTTCTGTTTTTTTGCTTTTTGTTTTTTTTGTTGTTGTTGTTCCACAATAGATTCAGTCTCAAGCACTACCCAGGGAAAGCAACAGCAAAATTATAAAATAATTTATTCCTCACTTCTGCTATCAACTTGTTCTTTATTTAGACGTTCTGTTTCTGGAAGTATATATAATTATACTGTGTGCCACACGTATCTGTCATTCTGTTATACAATGACGTATTTCACAATGTCTATGTGCCAGATAAGCGAGTCTTACATCTTTAAATGCCTAAACATTTAATTTAAACATTTTTTCATTGTAGATTCTCCTAAACAAATGACACTGTCTCTTCTGACTGGCCTTTTGCGGCTCAAGGCCATTGTAACAAATGTCAGTCTTACATAACCATAACCAAATGACACCCTAAGGCACACTGAGGTCTCTAAACTAAATGGCCCCAGACTGATGAGCTTTTCGGAGTTCTTGGCTCTGCTTTTTATAGAAACATTTCTTTTTTATGGGCTATTTGTGTATCGCTGCTCTTAGTATTGGTGGCCTGGGGCAACGCGTCCCACCTCCTTCTAATTTGCTGCATTCAAACAAATGTTTGTTTTACCACCTACGTTACTGGTGACATAATACATTTTTTATCTGTTAGATCCTAGGGCTATAGACATAGTCTTTTCAATTCCAAGTTTCAGAAGGCTACTAGGTTAAGTAAAAAATGAACACTTATTATGAGATTATGGGGGTATCTCAAAGGTAAAGGTGAACGGGGGGAGGAGGCAGAACCAAGAAGTGGAAGCTCAACAGAAACCAGAGGCCGTTCCCTTCGTCTCTCTCACCTCTGTGCATCTTTGCCCGGCTGTTTCATACTTTTGCTTCTGCAGATTACTGTTCTCAGCTTCTCCATGCATACGATGGTTATGTCAAATCAGTTCCAGTCACCTGCAGAGAAGAAAGAGTTGTCACTATCCCAATGCCAAAGCCAGAGGAGAGACTGGCCCGGCTGGGTCAGTTTCCCACCTGTGGTCCAGTCAGCTGTGGCCAGGAAGATAAGGTCACATAGTATAAAAACAGCTGCTGCACCACCTCTGCGAGAAATGACAGCCTAGAGAAAGCAGGTACTGATGAACTGGCTTCACCAGCAACAAAGGAACCAGAAAATCGAAACTGCTCCAATCGCATCTGAACTAAAAAGAGGCCGGGCGCGGTGGCTCACGACTGTAACCCCACGCTTTGGGAGGCCGAGGCAGATGGATCGCTTGAACTCAGGAGTTCAAGACCAGCCTGGGCAACCTGGTGAAACCCCATCTCTACCAAAAATACAAAAAATTAGCTGGGCATGGTGGCGTGTGCATGTAGTCTTAGCTACTTGGGAGGCTGAGGTGGGAGGATTGCTCGAACCCAGGAGGCGGAGGTTGCACTGAGCCGAGATCATGCCACTGCATTCCAGTCCAGGTGACACAGGGAGACCCTGTCTCAAAAAGGAAAAAAAAAAGGTAAGCTTGGTGTGAGGGCCTGAGATGCTCCCCTGTGAAGAAGGAATATGACGTCTGGCCCCATGGATTCGTGGTATATACTTTGCTTTTCTTGAGACCTTGGTTGTTTACTCCCTGTTTACTGGAATTATTACTGAGACATAACTCACATACCATAAAATTTACTCTTTTTAAATGTACAATTCAGCGGCTTTTAGTATATTCACAGGTTCCGCAACTATCACCACTTTCTTTTCCAGCACATTTTCATCACCCTAAATGGAAACCTTGTACTCACCAGCAGCCACTTTCCATCCTTTCTTTCCCCCAGCCCCTGGCAACCACTAATCTACTATCAGTTTTGTTTTGTTTTGTTTTGTTTTGAGACGGAGTTTTGCCCTTGTCGCCCAGGCTGGAGTCCAATGGCGCGATCTCAGCTCACCGCAACCTCCGCCTCCCAGGTTCAAGCGATTTTCCTGCCTCAGCCTCCTGAGTAGCTGGGATTACAGGCGTGCACCACCATGCCCAGCTAATTTTGTATTTTTAGTAGAGATGGGGTTTCTCTATGTTGGTCAGGCTGGTCTCAAACTCCTGACCTCAGGTGATATGCACGCCTCAGCCTCCCAAAGTGCTGGGATTACAGGCGTGAGCCACCACACCCGGCCTCTACTTTCAGTTTCTATGGATTTGCCTATTCCAGACATTTCCTATACACAGAATCATACGATAAGTGCCCTGTGGCATCTGGCTCCTCTCACTCAGCGTGGTGTTTTCAAGGGTCATCCGTGGTGTGGCGCGTGTCAGTGCTTCCTTCCTGTGGCTGAATCATGTTCCATTGTATGGATGGACCACATTGTGTTTATGTGTTCATTAGTTGATGGACATTTAGATTGTTTCCACTTTTTGGCCATTATGAATGCTGCTATGAATACTCATGTACAAGTTTTTGCATGAACATTTTTCTTTTTCAGAGGAGGGGTGGAAGTTTATTTGAAATGCCTTAGGATGGGAAAGGAAGCTGTGCTTGGAAGAGGCCCAAGTGGGCATGGGAAGGTTAAAGAGACAAGGTCAGATGCCAAACATAGCTTTTCTTTTCTTTTTTTTTTTTCTTGATACGGAGTCTCGCTCTGTCACCCAGGCTGGAGTGCAATGGTGCGATCTCGGCTCACTGCAACCTCCCAGGTTCAAGTGATTCTCTTGCCTCAGCCTCCTGAGTAGCTGATTACAGGGATTACAGGCATGCACCACCATGCCTGGCTAATTTTTGTATTTTGAGTAGAGATGGGGTTTCTCCATGTTGCCCAGCCTGGTTTCGAACTCCTGGCCTCAAGTGATCCACCTGCCTCGGCCTCCCAAAGTGCTGGGATGACAGGCGTGAACCACGGAGCCCCGCCCAGAACATATCTTTTTAATTCTCTGGGGAAATCCTAGAAAAGGAATATCTTGGTCCTACGGTAATTTCTATGTTTAACATTTTGAGGAACTGCTGTTTTCCAAAGCAGCTGGCCCATTTTACATTCCCACGAGTAAAAAGCAGCTGGACCATTTTACATTCCCATGAGTAATGTGTGAGGGTTCCAGTTTCTCCACATCCTTGCCAGCTTTTTGATTGTCCATCTTTTTAATTATAACCATGCTAGTGGGGAGGAAATGGTATCTCACTGTGGCTTTGATTTGTATTTCCCTAACGATAATGATATCGAGCATCTTCTTGTGTTTATTGATCTCATGTGTATATCTTCTTTGGAGAAATGTCTATTCAGATATGTTTGCCCATTTTTAAATAGGGTTGTCATGTTATTGGTGAGTTTTAAGAGTTCTTACGATATCTGAAATACTAGATCCTTAACAGATATAGGATATGTGAATATTTTATCATTCTGTGGGTTTTTCCCTTTCTTGATGGTAACTTTGAAGCACGAACTTTTCAGTTTTGACAAAGTAGTCCAATTTATCTATTTTTTTCTTTTGTTGCCTTGCTTTAGGCAACAAAATCTAAATCTAAAAAACCACTGTCTAATCCGAGGTCACAAAGATTTGCCCCTATGTTTTCATCAGAGAGATTTATAATTTTAGCTCTTATATGTATGTCTTTGATCCATTTTTAATTTTCTCTCTTTCCTTATTATTTTTATTATATTATTTTTTTTAAGACAGAGTCTCACTGTGTCACCCAGGCTGGAGGGCAGTGGCACAATATCAGCTCACTGCAGCCTCCGCCTGCTGGGCTCAAGCAATTCTCCTACCTCAACCTCCCAAGTAGCTGGGATTACAGGCATGCACTACCACACCCGGCTAACTTTTGTATTTTTAGTAGAGATGGGGCTTCACCATGTTGGTCAGGCTGGTCTCAAACTCCCGACCTCAAGTGATCCACCTACCTCAACCTCTCAAAGTGCTGGGATTACAGGTGTGAGCCACACCTGGCCAATTTATTTTTTTAAAAATTTTATGTAGCTGGGACTACAACTACAGGTGCGTGCTACCATGCCCAGCTAATTTTTGTACTTTTTGTAGAGATGGGGTTTCACCATGTTGCCCAGGCTGGTCTGGAACTCCTGAGCTCAAGTGAGCCACCCACCTCGGCCCCCCAAAGTGCTGGGATTACAGGTGTGAGCCACCGCATCCCGCCTTCTTATTTATTTTTGAGACAGGGTCTCACTCTGTCACCCAGGCTGGAGTGCAGTGGCACAATTGCAGCTCACTACAACCTTGACCTCCTAAACTCAAGTGATCCTCCTGCCTCAGCCTCCCAAGTAGCTGGGACCACAGGCATGCACCAGCATGGCTGGCTAATTTTTAAAGTATTTATAGAGATGGGGGTCTCCCTATGTTGTCCAGGCTGGTCTCAAACTCCTGGGCTCTAGCAATCCTCCCAACTTAGTCTCTCAAAGTGCTGGGATTACAGGAATGGGCCACCATGTCTGGTCAATAAAGTTATTTTTTAAAAAGAGATAATCCAAGAGCAACAGTGTAAACAAAATAACTTTTCCAAATCATTTTTTAGGATCAGCTTCTTTGGTCAGGCCTAATGATGTTACCAACTAGTAATTTATAAAAACTTGCATTTCTACATTTTTCTTAACTGACCCCATTCCAAAACACAAGCAAACCATCTAAATTCAAGATTTGTGAGGTTGGGACTAACTCATTACTATAGGGTAAGTATGAATGAAGGCTGGAAATGTGTTTTGATTGCTGCCATTATTTTTTATTTTTATTTTTTCTGAGATGGAGTTTCACTCTTGTCGCCCAGGCTGGAGTGCAATGGCGTGATCAGCTCATGGCAACCTCCACCTCCCCGGTTCAAGCAATTCTCCTGCCTCAGCCTCCTGAGTAGCTGAGATTACAGGCATGCGCCACCACGCCCAGCTAATTTTTGTATTTTTAGTAGAGACGGGGTTTCTCCATTGTTGGTCAGGCTGGTCTCGAACTCCCAATGTCAGGTGATCCACCCACCTTGGCCTGCCAAAGTGCTGGGATTAAAGGTGTAAGCCACGTGCCTGGTGTTTTTTGGGGTTTGTTTGTTTGTTTTGAGATGGAGTCTGTCACCCAGGCTGGAGTGCAGTGGCACAATTTCAGCTCACTGCAACCTCCGCCTCCCAGGTTCAAGCAATTCTTCCTGCCTCAGCCTCCCGAGTAGCTGGGATTACAGGCACCTGCCATAAGGCCCAGCTAAGTTTTTTATATTTTCAGTAGAGATGAGGTTTCACCATGTTGGCCAGGCTGGTCTCCAGCTCCTGACCTCACATGATCATCCGCCTGCCTCGGCCTCCCAAAGTGCTGCAGTTATAGGTGTGAGCCACCGTGCCCAGCCATGTTTTGATTCTTAAGGAAATGATTTTTAAGTCCCCTTCCAATGAGGATTTAGCAATGGAGTTTTCTTCTTCTACAGATAATTTGAGGCTTCCCAATTGCACCAAACTCCATTTGGGCAGATACCTCACCTGTCCACTCCATAGCCCTAGCATCAAGAAAAGTGCCAAGCACACAACAGGCACTCAGTAAATTTCTGTCAAATGAATGAATAAAATACCACCACCTTTTCCTGAGACCATTTTGGACCAAGGCTGGCATGGGCATCTCTGTTCCTCCCTCTAACTTAAGAATTCCATCTCTTAGAGGCAGATGCTGCCTGTTTTCTGCAAATTTTATTATTCACCTTTCTATATTTGGAAAAACAAGTTGGTGTGGCTTACTTAGGAATCTCATATCCAGGAAATGAGCTAAAAATGTTGTATCAAAGATTATGCATAGGATCCACAAACTAAGAAGCAAGCAGATGAGAGCGGTTAGAGACATCGTGGTATATTTTCCGGAAGAAATGGTCCATGGATTAAAAATTGTCATTATGATGAGTCTGCAGTAACACAGAAACCACGTAGTGCGAATCAGAAAATGAAAAGCACAGCCATTGACTATGATTACAAACCAAAACTTTATACCAATTACCTGTTGGAATTTATGCTGCATGAAGGCAGGATATTTTGCTTGTCCTGTTCACTGGACAGTACTTGGCATAAAGGATGTGCTTATGAATATTTTCTGGGAAACTAAATATAACATTCACCTGTGAAAACACATCTGGGCCAGGCGCAGTGGCTCACGCCTGTAATCCCAACACTTTGGGAGCCCGAGGCGGGTGGATCATGGGAGGTCAGGAGCTGGAGATCAGCCTGGCCAACATGGTGAAAACCTGTCTCTAATAAAAATACAAAAATTAGCTGGGCGTGGTGGCGGGCACTTGTAATCCCAGCTACTCAAGAGGCTGAGGCAGGAGAATTGCTTGAACCTGGGAGGCGGAGGTTACAGTGAGCCGAGATCGCGCCACTGCACTCCAGACTGGACAAGAGTGAAACTCCGTCTCAAAAAAAAAAAGAAAAAGAAAAAGAAAAAACGTATCTGAAGGGAATGAACAAATACACATGCGGAAAATTGTATTCATGGGGTAGAACGGTGGCTGTTTCCCCCCCTTTCACTATTTTCTCTCCTAAAGTTGTGATAGCATTTTCTCAGTGGAAAGGATGACCACAGAATTATCTCCCCTGGGCTGCAACTAAGGAAGTATTTGGAGTGAGAATGCGACCAGGCTTCAAATCCAGGAGGGGTATTTTACAGGGCGTGTGGCTCTCACCCAGGGCTCACAGGACACCTGATATTTAGGCTGTTCCCCAAGAGGCTAAGGACAGCGCGGCCCCAGCTCCCCCAACCACAGCTGCCCAAGTTTAGGAGCCCGCACTCGTGAGCGATGGCTACTCCGCACAGCCCCGGGGTCCTCTACGGAAATCCCTGGCACCTATCAGTACCCCTAAGGGAGGTCGCTCGTTACCCCTCACTTGAACTCTGTCCCAAATGGGAGGTCACTCTCTCTTCGCGGACCCCATCTTCCCCGAAAGGGTCTCTTGTTCTCTCTGGCCCTCCTGAGAAGGTCATTACTCCCCAACTCGCCTTTTTTGTTGTTTTTTGGTTTCTGGTTTATTGAGGCAGGGTCTCGCTTCATCTCCCAGACTGGAGTGCAGTGGCGCGATCACAGCTCACACGGCAGCCTCTACCTCCTGGGCTCAAGCGATCCTCTCACCTCAGCCTCCCTGGGACTACAGGCGAGCGCCACTACGCCCGCTTTTTTTTTTTTTTTTTTTTTTTTTTTGTATTTTTGATAGAGACGAGGTCTCGCTATGTTGTCCAGGCTGGTCTCTAACTCAAGATTCCTCTCACCTCGGCCTCCGCAAGTGCTGGGATGACAGGTGTGAGCCACCGCCCCCGGCCCCTCGCCCGCCTTTTGAAGGAGCCTTTCGTCCTCAAGGGCGAGGCCACTCCCCCCCCGCGAGTTCCATGCCCCCTAGAGGGTCATCGTTCCCGACGGGGAGGTGGCGCCCTCCCCCGGGCCCCGGGCCCCGACCGCCCGTGCTGCCTCCTTCCGGGCCCTCCTCCGCGATGACGGCGCCGCCAGCAGGCCAGGCGGACTGGGCGGGGCTCCGAGCGGGGACTGGGACCCAGACCGACTAGGGGACTGGGAGCGGGCGGCGCGGCCATGGCGGGCTGCTGCGCCGCGCTGGCGGCCTTCCTGTTCGAGTACGACACGCCGCGCATCGTGCTCATCCGCAGCCGCAAAGTGGGGCTCATGAACCGCGCCGTGCAACTGCTCATCCTGGCCTACGTCATCGGGTGAGCGTGGGGCCGCGCGGGGGGCGCGGCGGGTGCTGCCCTCGCGTCCGCGCCGTGCGGCGGCTCATCCTGGCCTCGGTCACCTGGGCGAGTCCGGGAGCGGCGAGCCGAGGCGGTGACACCTTCCCTGGGCCCCAGCCGCCGCGCCGGGGCCCCGGGGGCGGGAGGCTGCTTGCTGCTGTTTTAAAACCACAGCCTGGGCCAGGCGCGGTGGCGCAAGCCTGTAATCCGAGCACTTTGGGAGCCCGAGGCGGGACCATCGCCTGAGCCCAGGAGTTCGAAACCAATTTGGGCAACATCGTGGGACCCCGTCTCTGCAAAAAATTAAAAATCATCCGGGCCTGGTGGCGCGCGCCTGGGGTCCCAGCTACTCAGGAGGCTGAGGTGGGAGGATCGCTTGAGCCCAAGAGGCTGAGGCTGCAGTGAGCTATGATCACACCACTTAACTCGAGCCTGGGAGACAGTCCGAGACCCGTCTGTTTACAAAATAAATAAAGGCAAAGCCTGGCTAGGCTGTTACCCTCTCCTGCCTGACCCCCCATAGTGCCCCTTGGCTGTAGGGGCTTCGCCCTGAACGTCTCAATCTTCGCTCTCCACTTCCCATCCTGCTGATTTGCTGACAAAACCAAAGCTTGGAATTTCCGCTTGGTTCCTTCTGGGTGGGTGGCTTTTGGTCATTTCTTTTGATCACTATGCGGTGTCACTATGTGGTAGTAGCGAGGTCAGACTGTAGCGAGTGTTTAAAGTTTGCTTCCTTTGTTTTCTGGGCTTGTGGGGCTTTTTGTGGTACCTGCCCTAGCCTAGTCAGTCATTCCCCATGCTGCCCCCTTAGGCTAGAGATGCCCTACCGCCCTCAGGCCTCGCTGAATGTGCCATTGTACTTGAAGGCACCTGTTACTTTTTTAATTTTTTTATTTTTTTGAGACGGAATTTCTCTCTTGTCGCCCGGGCTGGAGTGCAATGGCACGATCTCGGCTCACTGCAACCTCTGCCTCCCGGGTTCAAGCAATTCTCCTGTCTCAGTCTCCTGAGTGGCTGGGATTACAAGTGCCCGCCACCACGCCCGGCCAATTTTTGTATTTTTTAGTAGAGACGGGGTTTCAGGCTGGTCCTGAACTGACCTCAGGTGATCCGCCCACCTCAGCCTCCCAAAATGCTGGGATTACAGGCGTGAGCCCCCACGCGGGGCTGGCACCTGTTACAATTGAATACAACGCGAGAGAGAAGATGATAATTACCTTGCCACCTGGGGCCACTTTAAAGGCTTACCTGGGGTGTTCTGGTGTCTACAGCTGCTGGGCTGACACGTATTGCCTAGTGCAGTGGTCTCCAAACTGCACATTGGAACCATCTGGAAATCTTTGGCTCCCATCCCCAGACCCTTTTTTATTTTTTTGATGGAGTCTCCCTCTGTCGCCCAGGCTGGAGTGCAGTGGTGCAATCTTGGCTCGCTGCAACCTCCACCTCCCTGGTTCAAGCGATTCTCCTGCCTCAGCCTCCTGAGTAGCTGGGATTACAGGCACCCACCACCATGCCCGGCTAATTTTTGTATTTTTAGTAGGGACAGGGTTTCGCCATGTTGGCCAGGCTGGTCTCGAACTCCTGGCCTCAGGTGATCCACCCGCCG
Organism: Homo sapiens; assembly: GCF_000001405.40. NCBI lineage: Eukaryota > Metazoa > Chordata > Mammalia > Primates > Hominidae > Homo > Homo sapiens. The sequence goes on from NC_000012.12 coordinate 121,211,926, forward strand.
CAGCCTCCCAGAGTGCTGGGATTACAGGCGTGAGCCACCGCGCCCAGACGCATCCCCAGACCTTCTGATTTAATTGCTGCAGAGTATGATCGGCTGCCCAGGTGATTCTCATGTTCAGCAACGTTTCGGAACCAATGAACTGTGTTTCCCAAGTTTACCTGATCATGGAAGACTCATCTGAGGAATTGTTTAAAAGTAACAGATCCCCCCGTCTTTGGGGTGAGGTTTGGAATCTTAACACTGCCCAAGGGAAGCCCAAGCAGGTTTGGCTTCCAATATCTGTCAGCAGCAGCAGTAGATACAGACAGTATTCAAGAGGATGGCTTTCCAGGTGCAGACTCAACATCAGAACCACCTGGCCCACACCCAGATTTGGACTCATTGGCTCACACCTGTAGTCCCAGTGCTTTGGGAAGCCAAGGTGGGAGGATTGCTTGAGGCCAGGAGCTCAAGACCAGCCTGGACACAAGACCAGCCTGGACAACATAGCGAGACCCCATCTCTAAGAGAAAAATAAAGTTTAAAATGGTAAATTGTACTGATGGAGCAGTGCAAAAAAAAGAATTTTTTTTTTTTTTTTTTCTGAACACGGTGGCTCATGCCTATAATCTCAGCACTTTGGGAGGCCGAGGCGGGTGGATCACCTGAGGTCAGGAGTTCGAGACCAGCCTGGCCAACATGGTAAAACCCCGTCTCTACTAAAAGTACAAAAAATTAGCCAGGCCTAGTGGCTAATGCCTGTAATCCCGGCTACATGGGAGGCTGAGGCAGGAGAATCGTTTGAATCCAGGAGGCGGAGGTTGCAGTGAGCCCAGATTGCGCCACTGCACTCCAGCCTGGGCAACAAGAGCAAAACTCCATCTCAAATATATATATATATATATATATATATATATATATTTTTTTTTTTTTTTTGGAGACTCACTGCTAGCCAGTTAACTGAACTCACATCCCTGGTTGGACCTGAAGCATTTGGGGGCAGGAGCTCCCCTGCAGCTTTTTGCTTTTGGCGTTTGCTGCTAGTGGGAGGATCAGTGCACATCTACCTTAGGGTACCTGTAAAATTACAACTGCGGAAAATATCCATAGTGGTGTTGCACTGTATGGTAGCCACTAGTAACTTGCACCTGTTGAACACTTAACCGTTCCTACTCTACACTGAGATGTGCTATAACCTTAAAATACACACTGGATTTCAAAGACATAGTACAGAAAAAGAGGCTGGGCACAGTGGCTCATGCCTGAAATCACAGTACTTTGGGAGGCTGAGGTGGGAAGATCGCTTGAGCTCAAGAGTTTGAGACAAACCTGGGCAACATAGCGAGACCTTGCCTCTACAAAAAAATACAAAAATTAGCCTGGCATGGTGGCACACGCCTATAGGCCTACCTATTTGGGAGGTTGAGGCAGAAGGACTGCTTGAACCTGGGAGGTTGAGGCCACAGAGAGCTGTGATCACACCACCCTCCAGCCTGGGCAACAGAGCAAGACACTGTCTCAAAAAAACAAAGAGTACCACTATCACATGAAAACATTTTTTATTGATGACATGTTAAAATATTTTGGATATATTGGGTTACACAGAATATATCATTACAATTAATTTTTCCTGTCTCTTTTTTCTTTTTTTCTTTTTAAACGGCGCCTTGCTTTGTCACCCAGACTGGAGTGCAATGCACTGCAACCTCTGCCTCCCAGGCTCAAGTGATTCTACCATCTCAGCCTCTGGAATTATGGGACTACAGGTGCACACCACCATGACTGGCTAATTATTGTGTTTTTGTTTGTTTGTTTGTACAGATGAGAAATCTCATCTCTACAATCATGAGGTTTCCATGTTGCCCAGGCTGGTCTCGAACTCCTGAGCTCTAGCAATCTGTCTGCCTCGGCCTCCCAAAGTGCTGGGATTACAGGCATGAGCCACCGTGCCCAGCCCTTTCTATTTCTTTTTACTTTTTGACATGGCTACTAGAAACTTTTAAATTACAGGGTCTTGCCCTGTGGTAGCTCACGCCTGTAATCCCAATACTTTGGGAGGCTGAGGCAAGTGGATCCCTTGAGCTTAGGAATTTTGAGACCAGCCTGGGCAACGTAGTGAAACCCCATCTCTACCAAAAATACGAAAAATTAGCTTGGCATAGTGGCGCACACCTGTGGACCCAGCTACTTGGGAGGCTGAGGTGGGAGGATTGCTGTAGCCTGGGAGGCGGAGGTTGCAGTGAGCCAAGATTGTGCCACTGCACTTCAGCCTGGGCGACAGAGCGAGAGCCTGTCTCAAAAAAAAAAATATGTGGCTCGCGTTATGTTTTTATGGGACAGCGCAGCTCTGTAGGATTCCTTATGACGCATTCACTATCTCGGTCATGAGAATCTTTAAAGCAGTAAATGCTTTGCTTTTGTCCGTCTTGCTATAATCAAAACTGACTCAGGACCTGCATTAAGGCTCTTTTTTTTTTTAACCTCATCTCTTAACTTTTTGATGCAACTCATCTTAGTGAAATTGTGGTCTCCTCCTACAGCAACCCTCCCTCAAAAAAAGACCGAACACGCAATTCTCATCTATCTAACTCTGTTAACAATCATATGAGGAGGAAATAATCACATGATAATGAGTGGCATGAAACCCTGTGTCTCTAAATTAAGCAACTCACTGTACTTGATGAGTACATCAGTCTTCCTGCCCCAAGCTTTTGTGTGTCAGACTGGAATTAAATGGAAGCTTACACTGCAGCTGAATTCCTAGAAGCCCTGGACTTGTCAGGGGAAAAGCCCATGGGGGGAAAGCCCATCTCTAGGCTGGGCAATGAACTTGGAGACTGCTCGATCACACACACTCATAAGTAACAAAACCATTAATTTCTTTTCTTTTTTTTGGTGGAGGGACAGAGTCTCACTCTTGCCCAGGCTGGAGTGCAGTGGCATGATCTCAGCCCACTGCAATCTCCACCTCCCGGGTTCAAGTGATTCTCCTGCCTCAGCCTCCCGAGTATGTGGGACTACAGGCACCCACCACCACACCCAGCTAATTTTGTGTATTTTTAGTAGAGTCGGGGTTTCACAATGTTGGCCAGGCTGGTCTTGGACTCCTGACCTCAACAAAACCAGTGAATTTCTGAAGTCTCAGCATCTAGGACTTAGAAGAAGGAGAAGCCTAGCATTTCCTGATTCTATAAATAACAACACTGATAGTCTCTAGTAGATGTTTAACAGCAGTTCGAAGGGGAGGGGTTCTGATTTGTAGTACTGGCCAATTTCCACGGTGTCAGTACTTGCTCTGTGACCAACGATGACTCACAAACATTGTTGTAAACATTTGACCTACATTAATTCTTTTACCCTCACAAGAATCCTGTGAAGATCTACTATCATTCCCAGATTATAGATGGGAAAAACTGAGGCACAATGAGGTTAAGCACCTTGGCCAAAGTTATGCCTCGTGAATGGTGGAGCTGAGCCATGAACCAAGACCTCTGCCTCCAGTCTGTCCTAACCCCTATAAGCTAATGCCTGTAGATGGTTTTTTTTTTTTTTTTTTTTTTGAGACAGAGCCTTGCCCTGTCGCCCAGGCTGGAGTGCGGTGGCATCACAGCTCACTGCAGCCTCCGTCTCCCAGGCTCAAGTGATCCTCCCACCTCAGCCTCCCAAATAGCCGGGATTTTTATTGGACAGCACAGCTCTGTAGGATTCCTTATGACGTATTCACTGTCTCAGTCACGAGAATCTTTAAAGCAGTAAATGCTTTGCTTTTGTCCATCTTGCTATAATCAAAACTGACCATGCCCGGCTAATTTTTTATTTTTTGTAGAGATCCCTATGTTGCCCAGGCTTGTCTCGAGCTCTTGGGCACAAATGATCTTCCCCCCTTGACCTCCCAAAGTTCTGGGATTACAGGCGTGAGCCACTGTACCCAGCCCCTTTGGATTTTTAATTGTTCAAACTGGTAGTCATAGTCCCACTTCAGAGGAGAGAACCATATATGTGACCAGAATTCTTGGGGGAAAAGTAAGAAACTACTCTTAAAAGTTCCTTAAAGGGTAGAATTCTCTTTTCTAGAAAGAGTAGCCTAGGGTTGTCCAATCTTTTGGCTTTCGTGGGCCACACTGGAAGGAGAAATTATCTTGGGCCACACATTAAATATGCTAACACTAACAATAGCTGATGAGCTAAAAAACAAACTTTTTTTGATCACACAAAAAAAAATCTCATAACGTTTTAAGAAAGTTTACGAATTTGTGTTGGGCCTCATTCAAAGCCATCCTGGGCCGCATGCGGCCTGTGTGCTATGGGTTAGACAAGCTTAGAGTAGAGCATAGTGGGTGAGAGAAGAGGCTTCAGATGCTTCTGGCTTGAGTTCAAATCCTGACTCTGCCACTCACTAGCTGTGTGACCTTTGGCAAGTGACTTAACCTCTCTGTGTTTCCATTTCCTCCTCTGTAAAATGGAAATAATAATAATGATACCTGTCTCATAAAGTGGTCAGGATTAAATGAGTTAATACATATAAAGAGCTTAGATCAGTGCCTGGTGCCTATAAACACTCCAGTGGTAACTGTTATAATTTGTATTATCTCTTGGTGATTCCCATAGGTCACAGGCATTGAAAGTGCTCAAAGGGCCAGGTGCAGTGGCTCACGCCTGTAATCCCAGCACTTTGGGAGGTCGAGGTGGGTGGATCACCTGAGGTCAGGAGTTCGAGACCAGCCTGGCCAACATGGTGAAACCCCGTCTCTACTAAAAATACAAAATTAGCCAGGCGTGTTGGCGCATGCCTGTAATCCCAGCTACTTGGGAAGCTGAGGCAGGAGAATTGCCTGAACCCGGGAGGCGGAGGTTGCAGTGAGCCAAGATCACACCATTGCACTCCAGCTTAGGCAACAAGAGCGAAACATCGTCTCAAAAAAAAAAAAAGAGAAAATGCTCAAATGTAATAAAGACAGTATTCATCGAGCGTTTTCTCTGTGCCATCAGTGTGCTGAGTGCTTTACCTGCACCATCTCATTTATTTCCCGCAAACCCTCCTGTGGTTTAGGTGCTACCATCCCCATTTGGCAGAAGTGGAAATGGAGTCCCCTAGAAGGTACGTAGCTTGTAGAAAGTCATGTAATTAGTCAACATCGTACTTCCAGCCACTGGCCAGCAGAAGCTTCCCCATCAATTCAAATCCATTGAATCCTAATGGCAATTTAAGAGGCCTGTTTTATTTTATAGGTGGGTGTTTGTGTGGGAAAAGGGCTACCAGGAAACTGACTCCGTGGTCAGCTCCGTTACGACCAAGGTCAAGGGCGTGGCTGTGACCAACACTTCTAAACTTGGATTCCGGATCTGGGATGTGGCGGATTATGTGATACCAGCTCAGGTGTGTCTCCCACTGTGTCTTCTGTCTAACACTGACACCTTGCTCTTTACTGACTTTGCACACTTGATTAATGATTGACGTGGCCTGAGTCCTGACATCACCAATGCCCAGAATGATTGTTTTAGTCCAAGAAAACGGTGCAGCCAGATCTCTTTTCAGCTTAGGATCTAACAGAGTGTATCCAGGCAGCTGTGGTTCCTCAGCTTGAAAGCATGGCAGGCTGAAAGCCCTGAAAGATGAGAAAACAAATGTCTTAAATCCTGATAGAAATTCAAGTGGAAATATCACCTTTCCACATTTTGGGTTTGCATTATTGTCCCAAATACACGAGGTAAATCTTTTCAGACAGTGTAAAAACTTTAGGCCGGGCACAGTAGCTCACGTGTGTAATCCCAGCACTTTGGGAGGCTGGGGCGGGCAGATACCTTGAGCCCAGGAGTTTGAGACCAGCCTGGGCAATGTGGTGAAACCCCATCTCTATAAAAAAAAAAAAAAAGAAAAAAAAAGAAAAGAATTAGAGACCATTAGAGACCAAAACCCAAACAAGAAGGAAACAGAGACAGCAGCACAGGACTCCATCGGGAGCGAAAGGAAGGGAAGACATTGTTTACTGCTGCATACTAGTCTTCAGGCTGTTAATCTGCAAAGCTCCAAGTTAAACATTGACTCTTTAGTCCTGGTAACAGCTCTGCACCACACAGTCAAACCCGACATAGCCCTCCAGATGGCCTATGTGCTAAGGGACCGAGGGCGACCAGTAGAGATAAGCTGCCAACTCTTGGCTCAGAGCTCTTGCCAGGGAAAACAAGAACTCCAGAAACTCTTTCTTCAGGTGTGTTCTTCCCCCTGCCTTCTCAAGAGAAGGGTCTTGTGGGGTCCCCAGAGAGGAGACCGAGCTAATGAGCCATAAAAGTCAGGAGGAAGGGCCAGGTGCGGTGGCTCATGCCTGTAATCCCAGCACTTTGGGAGGCCGAGGTCGGTGTATCATGAGGTCAAGAGATTGAGACCATCCTGGCTAACATGGTGAAACCCTGTCTACTAAAAATACAAAAATTAGTGGGGTGTGGTGGTGGGTGCCTGTAGTCCCAGCTACTAGGGAGGCTGAGGCAGGAGAATCTCTTGAACCTGGGAGGCGGAGGTTGTAGTGAGCCGAGATAGTGCCACTGCACTCCAGCCTGGTGACAGAGCAAGACTCCGTCTCAAAAAAAAAGATCAAGTGGAACAGGGGATTTGCAGTTGGCTGGAGGGGGCAGTCCTGTTAGCATGTACCTGTCTCAGCAGAGAGACGGTTGCCTCCTGTGCAGGCATAGCCTTGTCCCGGTGAGCTCTGGGAATGTCATGCTCGGTGTGTTTACTGGGCAGATGAGGAAGGGCACAAGCCCCGCTTTTGTCCCTTGGTGGAAAGGAGCACCCCACAACTCAGCCTTCCGTGGTGGATCTGGGCGGGGGCCGTGTGAGTTCCCCAGGGCTTTCCTCATGAGCTTTCACGACGTCTGTGTTCTTTGTAGATGGAACACAGTCATCTATTTGCAGCCCCTTGGCTCATCTCCAGACTGAAATTACCCTTAATTTGAAGTAGATAAGTGATAGGAAACAGGCCAGATGTGGTGGTTCATGCCTGTAATCTCAACACTTTTGGAGGCCGAGGCAGAAGGATCACTTGAGCCCAGGAGTTTGAGGCTGAAGTGAACTGTGATCACGCCACTGCACTCCAGCTAGGGCAACAGAGCAAGACCCCAACTCTAAAAGAGAGAGAAAGAAGGAGAGATAGGAAACGAAAAGTAGACCATACTGGATTGTTCCAAGTATAACTCAGGAGAGTCGTAGGAGCGGCCTTCTCTAACACCAAATGCAGAGTGTGTTTGTACATTGAACACCTGGGAACGTGACAGGTGGCGGGAGAGAGGCTGCAGCTCATGCCACATCCTCACGCCTCCTCCTGTGGCCTTCTCCTTGTCTCCCAACATAGTTTGCCCTAGGCCTTTGGAGGACGCCAGCTATTTCTAGAGCTTCCACCACTTGTCAGACCGTGGGGTTGGGGATGTCTACAGACTGGTTGGTTTCTGAGTTGCCCTGATCCCCAAGATGGCTCCCACTACTGACTGTTATCCTCAGGAGTGTGAAATGCTAAAAGCTTTGGGCATCTCCTTTTAAAATGCCTGGGCCCAGCCAGGCGCAGTGGCTTACGCCTGTAGTCCCAGCACTTTTGGAGGCCAAGGCAGGAGGATCACTTGAGCTCAGGATTCAAGACCAGCCTGGGCAATATAGTGAGACCCCATCTTGATTGGATGGGTGGTGGATGGATGGATGGATGGATGGATGGATGGATGGATGGATAGATAGATAGATAGATAGATAGATAGATAGATAGATAGATGGAAAGAAAGAAAGAATAGATAAATGATAGGATAGGAGAAAGAAAGGGAAAGAAAGAAAAGAGAAGAGAAAAGAAAGAAAAGGGATAGGATAGATGACAGATGATAGGATAGATTAGATAGGTGATAGATAATCGATAAATAGAAAACAGATGATAGATATAGGATAGATTAGATAGATAGATAGATAGATAGATAGATAGATAGACAGATAATAGATAGATTAGATTAGATGGATGGACACCAGCCCCCAATGAGAGGAGGATCCAACTAGAATCTTTTGGGGTCTTTGCCTTTTATTCCTTATATGAGGAGGTCATTATCAGCAATTCTTCAGTCTCATCCCTAGCAAATTGCTTTCCAGAAACTCTAAATCAATTATTTGGCACCTTTATACATATAAGGAGGAAACAGAACCTTTTCAAAGAGAAATGTCACTTGCTGACCCTGACCGAGTCTTCTCTAGAATGTTTGATTTATAATTTCAGTTAGGAAAGAAAACCAGCCAGATTTGAGCCCCATGAGGCCTCATGTTTTTATTCCTCTGAGATAATCTGGTTGGCAGGGAATGTTTTTAGCACTTGTTGGCTCTTTCCCTCAGTAAGTCAAGTTTGATTGAGAAACCATTGTTTCAGTTTGCAGACCCCCCCCTTTTTTTAACTGCAGTCAAATTCACTTATAGAAACTAACCATTTTAAGTCGGGCACAGTGGCTCATGCTTGTAATCCCAGCACTTTGGGAGGCTGAGGCAGGTAGATCACTTGAGGCCAGGAGTTGGAGACCAGCCTAGCCAACATGGTGAAATCCTATCTCTACTAAAGATACAAAAATTAGCCAGGTGTGGTGATGTACACCTGTAGTCCCAGCTACTCAGGAGGGTGAGGCTGGAGAATCGCTTGAACCCAGGAGGCGGAGATTGCAGTAAGCCAAGATCGTGCCACTGCCCTGCAGCCTGGGCGACAGAGCAAGGCTCTGTCTCAAATAAATAAATAAATAAGAAAGAAATTAACCATTTTAAAATGAAAAATTCAGCACATTTAGTGCATTCACAGTGTTATGCAAGCATCACCTCTATCTAGTTCAAAACATTTCCATCACCCCAAAGGGAAGCCTCGTATGTTACACAACCACTCCCCATTCCCCACTTCTCTCACTCCCTGGCAACCCGTAAGTGCTTTGTCTCTATGGACTTGACTGTTCTGGAAATTTCACATCAATGTAATGGTATCCTGTGTGGCCTTTGTGTCTGGCTTCTTTCACTCAGCATCATGTTTTTGGGGTTCATCCATGTTGTAGCCTGTATCAGTGCTTTATTCCTTTATTTTATTTTTTGAGATGAAATCTCACTCTGTCACCCAGGCTGGAGTGCACTGGCGTGATCTCGGCTCACTGCAACCTCCACCTCCCAGGTTCCAGTGATTCTCCTGGCTCAGCCCCCTGAGTAGCTGGGATTACAGGTGCCCGCCACCACACCCGGCTCCTTTTGTGTGTGCGTGTGTCTGTGTGTGTTTGTGTGTGTGTGTGTGTGTGTGTGTGTGTGTTTTTAGTACAAAGTTTCACCATGTTGGCCAGGCTAATCTGGAATTCTTGACCTCAGGTGATCCTCCTGCCTCAGCCTCCCAAAGTGCTGGAATTACAGGTGTGAGCCACCATGCCTGGACCCTTCATTCCTTTTTATTCATGGCTGAATCACATTCCATCATGTGACTAGACTAGGACAGACATTTGGGCTGTTTCCACCATTTTTTTTTTTTTTTTGAGACAGAGTCTCGTGTCATCCAGGCTGGAGTGCAGTGGCGCGATGTCGGCTCGCTGCAACCTCCGACTCCCGGGTTCAAGCAATTCTCCTGCCTCAGCCTCCCAAGTAGCTGGGACTACAGGTGCCCGCCATCACACCCGGCTAATTTTTGTATTTTTAGTAGAGACGGGGGTTTCACTGTGTTGACCAGGCTGGTCTTGAACTCCTGACCTCGTGATCCGCCCGCCTCAGCCTCCCAAAGTGCTGGGATTACAGGCTTGAGCCACCGCGCCCGACCTGTTTCCACCTTTTGGCTCTTGTGAAAAGTGTTGCTCTGAATATTTATGTACAAGGACTTGTTTGAGTCACTGTTTTCCATTGGGTTATAAACTTTGATGGGAGAGAGCGGGAGAGCACGCGGTCAGTGTTTGAGTTGTCCTCTTCAGTCAGCGTCTGCCTTTCTTGGCTCTCCGTGAGTCCTCTGAGCGTGGCTTGCCCGTGCTGTCTCCCCTCTGCAGGAGGAAAACTCCCTCTTCGTCATGACCAACGTGATCCTCACCATGAACCAGACACAGGGCCTGTGCCCCGAGGTAGGAGGCCCCCGGGAAGAGCCCCAGGCCCCACACCCCTCTCCACGCCTGTCCACCTGTGTGTGGGGCCGGGCCACGTGGACTTTCTTTTCGCTCCTTCTTTTTCCAGATTCCAGATGCGACCACTGTGTGTAAATCAGATGCCAGCTGTACTGCCGGCTCTGCCGGCACCCACAGCAACGGTACGAGCTTGTGGCCTCCTGGGGAGGGCGGCCCCTGAGCAGATCGCCCCCACTGTGGAGCGTCTCTGATAGAGAAATCTTCCCAATTCCTTCACATGACCCTGGGTGAGCCAGGTGCCGAGGCTGGGGTCCTGGAGCCCCTCTACATTCACTGCTGTCATTGGAGCCCCACAAGCCATCCCAGCTCTTGCCCTACTGTTTTTTTTTTTGTTGTTGTTGTTGTTTTTTCTTGTTTTTTTTTTTGTTTTGTTTTTTTGTTTTTTTGAGCCAGAGTCTCGCTCTGTCACCCAAACTGGAGTGCAATGGCATGATCTCGGCTCACTGCAACCTCCACCTCCCAGTTTCAAACAATTCTCCTGCCTCAGCCTCCCGAGTAGCTGGGATTACAGGCATGCACCACCACGCCCAGCTAATTTTTGTACTTTTGGTAGAGATGGGTTTTACCATGTTGGCCAGGCTGGTCTCGAACTCCTGACCTCAGGTGATCCACCCGCCTCAGCCTCCCAAAGTGCTAGGATTACAGGCATGACCCACTGTGCCTGGCCTCTTGTCCCATTCTTTAGCTTGGCATCACCCTGGCTGAGATGTGGCTGGCACACAGGTAACTGTCTTCCTCCGATTCTAACTCCTGGACAGTGACACTGTCTAAATCCCAGATTTGCACAGCTCAAGACTGGCTGCATGGGAGGCTGGATGGGGCTCTCACTCCCTACTCCAAAAAGGTAGAAAATAGGAGACCCCTGTGGACATGGGACCCCCCTGCCACCCTTGTGCTTGTAGGAGTCTCAACAGGCAGGTGCGTAGCTTTCAACGGGTCTGTCAAGACGTGTGAGGTGGCGGCCTGGTGCCCGGTGGAGGATGACACACACGTGCCACAGTGAGTCCAGCCCTAGGGAAGGAAGTGCCTTTTTGTTTTGTTTTGTTTTAGACACAGTTTCACTCTGTATCCCAGGTTGGAGTGCAGTGGTGCGATCTTGGCTCACCACAACCTCCACCTCCCGTGTTCAAGTGATTTTCTGTGCCTCAGCCTCCCGAGTAGCTGAGATTATAGGCACCCACCACCACGCCCAACTAATTTTTTGTATTTTTAGTAGAGACGGGGTTTTGCCATGTTGGCCACGCTGGTCTCCAACTCCTGACCTCAAGTGATCCACCTGCCTTGGCCTCCCAAAGTGCTAGGATTACAGGCGGGAGCCACCACACCCAGCCAGAAGCCACCACACCCAGCCGGAAGCACCTTCAACTCTGCGTGTCAGCCTTGAACAGAGGTGGTCAAGGAGTTACACCTGTGTGTTGTGGCTTTTTGTGTGTTTCTGGTGTCTGTATGAAGTCAGGCTGCCCTAGGATGGCTGCTCTCAACCACAAGGCAGCGACCATCAGTGGCAAGATGGGCCACAAGTAGTCTGTCACTCACGAGAAGGGTGCAGGTGACTGACTTCCTTGTATGTTAGGACTCTGTCAGTTGCAAATAACTGACAGGAAACAGTTCTCAGTGCCTTAAGCACATGTGCACAAACACATACACACATACACATGCGTGCACAGCGGGGGGGCAGTGTATTGTCCGGCTGACCAAAAAGATCCAGCGTGGCCAGGAGAATCTCGTGCCAGGCTGAGGCAGAAGAATCTCTTGAACCTGGGAGGAGGAGGTTGCTGAGCTGAGATGGTGCCACTGCACTCCCTCCTGGGCGACAGAGGCCACTGCACTCCTGCCTGGGCGACAGAGTGAGAGACAAAGGACAACACCCTAGTCTCCCTTCCTGGCTCTGCATCCCGCCGTGCCAGCTTCACTCGCAGGACCCACAGCATAGCCCGGGAGGCAGCGCTGCACTTACAGCCCCCCAAGTCTGAGTCTCCCTTTCCAGCTGTCCCTGGAGATTCTAGACCTGTCCATCATCGTATCAATGGCCATATCTCTCAACCCATCTCTGTGGCTGGGGAATGGGTTTTGCTTATCAGCTTGGGCCTGGGTCACATGCCCACCTCTGCAGCTGGGGCTAGAGTCAGACCCACCCAAGTGACATAGGCAAGCATTGGGGAGATATGGCTTCCAAAGGACATTTGGGGTTCTGTTACCAGAAAAGCTGGGAGCAGATGCTGGGAAGAAAACAACGGATGTTTGCTACAGTGTATTTTAAACTAAACTAGACAGGTTCATCCTGGCGCGGTGGCTCATGCTGTAATCCTAACACTTTGGGAGGCTGAGGCAGTCGGATCATCTGAGGCCAGGAGTTCAAGACCAGCCTGGCCAACATGGAGAAACCCCGTCTCCACTAAAAATACAAAAATTAGGGTTAGGGTGGCGCTTGTCTGTAATCCCAGCTACTTGGGAGGCTGAGGTAGGAGAATTGCTTGAACCCGGGAAGTGGAGGTTGCAGTGAGCTGAGATCGCTCTTCTGCACTCTAGCTTGGGCGACAGAGAGAGACTCTGTCTCAAAAAATAAAAATTTAAAAAAATAAATAAATAAAAATTTAAAAATCAACTAAACTAGCCAGGTTCAAGGTTGCTCTAGAATAACATTCTTCGTGGTTGTAATTGGCTGTGCTTCATGGGGTGGAGTCCGGGCAGCGCTCTGAGAAGTGCGTGCAGCCTAGGGCCTTTCTCACCGAGAGCTCAGACCGAGGTCTCCATGAGCCCCGGGGAGCAGGAAGCCACTGAACCTCATCCTGGGTGTGTTGAGACAGAAGGAAAGGCTGAGAACTGCAGATTTAGAGATTGCTAAGGCAAAGGAAGGAGATAGAAAAAGAAAAGGAATCCTAGCATCTTAGAGCTGGAGAGGATCTCACAGAGCTGTGCTCTCCAACACAGGAGACTCTGGCCACGCGTGGCTATTGAAAATTGAAATATGGCTGGGTCCGAAAGGAGATGGGCTGTCCATAGGAAGTGCACTTATCATCAAATTGGATTTTTTTTTTTTTTTTTTGAGACGAAGTCTCGCTCTGTCGCCCAGGCTGGAGTACAGTGGCGTGATCTTGGCTCACCACAACCTCTGCCTCCCGGGTTCAAGTGATTCTCCTGCCTCAGCCTCCTGAGTAGCTGGGATTATAGGCACCCCCCACCACACCTTGCTAATTTTTGTATTTTTAGTAGAGATGCAGGTTTCACCATGTTGGCCAGGCTGGTCTCGAACTCCTGACCTCAGGTTATCCACCTGCCTCAGCCTCCCAAAGTGCTGGGATTATAGGTGTGAGCCACTGCACCCAGCCCGATTCTGTTTATTATTTATTTATTTTTTATTTATTTGTATTTATTTATTTATTTGAGATGGAGTCTCGCTCTGTCGCCCAGGCTGGAGTGCAGTGGCGCCATCTCTGTTCACTGCAAGCTCCGCCTCCTGCGCTCACGCCATTCTCCTGCCTCAGCCTCCCCAGTAGCTGGGACTACAGGCGCCCACCACCACACCCAGCTAATTTTTTTGTATTTTTAGTAGAGAGGGGGTTTCACTGTGTTAGCCAGGATGGTCTCGATCTCCTGACCTCGTGATCCACCTGCCTTGGCCTCCCAAAGTGCTGGGATTGCACGCGTGAGTCACCACGCCCGGCCCTGAATATTTATTATGAAAAAAAGAATGTATAATATCTCATTGATTTTTGTATGTTGGTTACATGTTGAAGTAATATTTTGGGTTACTGTATAAAATTTTACTTGTTTCTTTTACTTTGTAGTGTGGCTATTAGGAAACTTTAAGTTGGAGTGTGGCTTGTAGTTGTGTCTCATAAGATACTTTTTTTTTGACACAGGATCTTGCTCTGTCACCCAGTGCAGTGATAACGATCATGGCTCACTGCAGCTTCGAACTCCTGGACTCAAGTGATCTTCCCGCCTCATCCTCCTGTGTAGCTGGGACCACAGGGGCGCACCACCATGCCCAGCCAACTTATTTTTTGTAGAGACAGGGTCTCACCATGTTGCCCAGGCTGGTCTTGAACTCCTGGGCTCAAGCAACCCACCTGCCTTAGCCTCCCAAAGTGCTGGGATTACAGCGTGAGCCACCACACCTGGCCTCACAATATACTTTTATTGGACATCACTGTTGCAGATCTAATGCGGTGTAAAATGATTTTTAAGTGCACACTGATATAAGAAATAACATTGGCCAGGCACAGTGGCTCATGCCTATAATCCCAGCACTTTGGGAGGCAGAGACGGGTGGATCACTTGAGGCCAGGAGTTCAAAACCAGCCTGGCCAACATGGTGAAACCCCCTCTCTACTAAAAATATAAAAATTAGCCAGGCGTGGTGGTGCGCACCTGTAATCCCACTACTCAGGAGGCTGAGGCACGAGAATTGCTTGAACCCGGGAGATAGAAGTTGCAGTGAGCCAAGATCATGCCACTGCGCTCCAGCCCGGGTGACAGAATAAGACCCTGTCTCAAAAACAGAACAAAGACTAAAACGTTTTGGAACTAGACAGAGGTGATGATTGCACAACATTATGAATGTACTAAATGCCACAGAATTGTCCAGTTTAAAATGGTTAATTTTATGTTATGTGAATTTCATCTCAATTTCTCTAAAAAGGTGAGTTGATCTTAAAGTATTACATGTGAGGTACACAGGTGTGTGTGTGGGTGTTACGGTACAGGAAATGACAAAAACTTGAACACCCCTGTTGTAAGCCATCCCTCTTGAGGGAGTGGGGACTTTGAAGACCTGAGAGAAGTCCAGGCACAGTGGCCCATGCCTGTAATCCCAGCACTTTGGGAGACCGAGGTGGGTGGATCATCTGAGGTCAGGAGTTTGAGACCAGCCTGACCAACATGGTGAAACCCCATCTCTACTAAAAATATGAAAAAATTAGCCAGGCGTGGTGGTGCACGCCTGTAACCCCAGCTACTCGGGAGGCTGAGGCAGGAGAATCACTTGAACCCAGAGGTTGCAGTGAGCCGAGATCGCGGCATTGCACTCCAGCCTGAGCAACAGGAGCAAGACTCCATCTCAAAAAAAAAAAAAACCTGAGAGAAGCCCCTTGGTCCCAGCCTTTCTCTGACAGCAGTGGTGACAGGCTCAGCTCTCCTCCGAGTGCAGCCCTGTCACTGACCTTGCTCCTGTCTCAGGGCTGGGAAGACTGTTGATGTTGTCATTCCAAAGATCCCACCTGGATCAGGGGAACATCCCCCACAGAAGGGTTAGCCATACAGTGCCAGATTCTCCAGGAGAAATTCACCAAAGAAATGGAGTCCCCTTGGGGACAGATTCAACTTGTATTGTCAGCCAGGAGCTGACGTGGCACTTCTGAGAAGAGGCCGGCGCACCTGCTGGCGGGTGCTTTGTGCACTTTTCAGACAGGTCAGGATCCAGCCTGTAGGCAAATTTACTTTTGCTTTGACCTGTAAAACCGGATCTGCCCAGCCTTCATTCTCTCCCTGGAGAACGCCTGCGGCCCCAAAGCCAGGCCTACTGATTTCCAGTGAGGCCACAAATCCCCTCCCTGGTTAGCAATTCAGTTTTCACCGCCTTGGGGGAGAGGGCCTGCCCTTCCTTGAGGGGAAGAACCTGGAAGGCTCGGCTCAGTGTCTTCTCTTGGAAGAGAAGAGTGTGCATGCAGAAGGGTGTAGAAAATGCTAGACGTGTTTCATCTTCTTGACAAAATGACATTGTAAGATGTGTGTATATGTTTTTAAAAATATTACATAGGGGCTGAACATGGTGGCCCACTCCTGTAGTCCAGCACAGGGAGGCGGAGGTAGGAAGATTGCTTGAGGTCAGGAGTTCAAGACCAGCCTGGGCAATGTAGGAAGACTTCATGTCTACAAAAAAAAAAAAAAAAAATTTCATTAGCCAGGCATGGTGATGCATGCCTATAGTTCCAGCTACTTGAGAGGCTGAGGTGGGAGAACCCCCTGAGCCTGGGAGGTCGAGGCTACAAGAAGCTGTGTTCATGCAACTGTACTCCAGCCTGGGCAACAGAGCAAGACCCTGTCTCAAAAATATATATAGGCTGGGCGTGATGGCTTATGCCTGTAATCCCAGCACTTTGGGAGGCTGAAGCAGGCGGATCACTTGAGGCCAGGAGTTGGAGACCAGCCTGACCAACATGGTGGAACCCTGTCTCTACTAAAAATACAAAAAAAGTTAACCAGGCATAGTGGCTCACACCTGTGTAATCCCAGCTACACGGGAGGCTGAGGTGGCAGTGAGCTGAGATCGCGCCATTGCACTCAAGCCTGCACTCGAGGTGACAGAGTGACTCCATCTCAAAAAAAAAAAAAAAAAAATATATATATATATATATATACACACACACACACACAGACACACACACACAATACATATATATATGTGTGTATATATATATATATAACATGGTTATGTGAGTATTTGTATGTATTTTATTAACAGTAATGTTATCATTGTTTTTCAGACCTGCTTTTTTAAAGGCTGCAGAAAACTTCACTCTTTTGGTTAAGAACAACATCTGGTATCCCAAATTTAATTTCAGCAAGTAAGTGGTGGCCAGGTGTGTGAGTTCACCAGGGTCTTGGAGAAACTTCTGGCTCTTCTCTCTTCTCTGAGGTTTTCGTCGCTCTGATTTTCTGCTTCCTCTCGACTTTAGGAGGAATATCCTTCCCAACATCACCACTACTTACCTCAAGTCGTGCATTTATGATGCTAAAACAGATCCCTTCTGCCCCATATTCCGTCTTGGCAAAATAGTGGAGAACGCAGGACACAGTTTCCAGGACATGGCCGTGGAGGTGGGTGCGGGCCCTGGCTCTCCTGACCCAGCCCTGGAGGCGTCTCGTGCCAGGTGCTGAGGAAAGCCTTGCCGTGTCTCTGCTGCTCATCCCCAGGGAGGCATCATGGGCATCCAGGTCAACTGGGACTGCAACCTGGACAGAGCCGCCTCCCTCTGCTTGCCCAGGTACTCCTTCCGCCGCCTCGATACACGGGACGTTGAGCACAACGTATCTCCTGGCTACAATTTCAGGTGGGCGTGAGCTTGGGCCCCTCGCTCATGTTGTAGGGGGTGCTGGTGGCTGCGTACGTGCCAGTGGGCCGCCCACTGAAGACCAGCACTCAGGCAGCACCCCAAGGGCAGGCTGCCGGTCCCCCGTCCAAGGCGGCGGGAAGGCCATGCTGGGAAAATGCCCTTAGTGGTGTCCTGCTCCGGGGCCATCCCGGCCCCCGAGACCCCTCCTTGCCCTTTCCTGCCGCAAGAAACATGTTGAGATGGTTCTTAGAGCAGCCAGGAGAAGCTGGGGGCTTAAGCTTTCCAGCACCTGCCTCAGCCATGACCTCCATTCACTGCCTCAAGGAGCGGATGATCTTGTGATCCTCCAGTCCAAAGGCCTCTGGGGCCTGGCCCAGGAATTGGTTTCTCAAAGGTTGAACCTGTGCCAGAATCTCCAGAGTGCAGGGGACACAGGTCTGAGGCCCCTGAAAGGCCTTGCTGGGTTCCCTGCTGCAAATGCTGGCATCTCGGTGTCCTGGGGCAGATGTAAGCGAGTCCCACAAACAGTGGCTTGCAACTACAGGACTTGATTCTCTCACAGTTCTCACAGTTCTAGAGGCCACAACCTAAAATCCAGGCATCAGCAGGGCTGTGCTCGCTCTGAAGGCTCTGGAGAGAGTCCTTACTTGTCTCTCCTGGCTTCTGGTAGCCCACGGTGTTCCTTGGCTTGTGGATGCATCACTCCAGTCTCTGCCTCTCCTGTCATGAGGCCTTCTGCCTTGTATGTGTCTCTGTGTCTTTTCTTCTTGTAAGGATATCAGTCACTGAATTTAGGGCCCACCCTACTCTAGTATGACCTCATCTTAACAAATTACGTCTGCCAATATCCCATTTCCAAATAAGGTCACACTCCCAAGCTTCAGGTAGATGTGAATTTTTGGGGACACACTGTTCAACCCACTACAGCTGATGATCTCATGATCAGAATCTATAGCCAGGTAAATTTCCACGTACCCTTTGTTGCATTTTTCACAGTCCTTAAAAAGGAAGCGCTCCAGGCCGGGCGCAGTGACTCACACCTGTAATCCTAGCACTTTGGGAGGCCAAGGCGGGCAGATCACCTGAGGCCAGCATGGCGAAACCCCATCTCTACTAAAAAAAATACAAAAATTAGCTGGGCATGGTGGCGCATGCCTGTAATCCCAGCAACTTGGGAGGCTGAGGCAGGAGAATCGCTTGAGCCAGGGAGGCAGAGGTTGCAGTGAGCCGAGATCGCACTGCTGCACTCCAGCCTGGGCGACAAAGCAAGTCTCCGTCTCAGGGGGAAAAAAAAGAGGCCCTGCAAGGACCATCCCTGGGCGCGGTCAGCGGTGCTTTGGGCTGCACTTGCCTCCCCCTAGTGGTGACGTGTGGAATCCGATCCATACGGGATCCTAAGACCTCTGTAATTGTGGGATCTGCTGTCCTTTTGAACCTTCTGGCTCACTGAGTAAAGCAGATATTTGAATTTTTCTTTTCTAGCAGTTAGATTTGTGTTATTCCATCTCTACTGTCACACACTTCTTGTGGAAACCTCAAGCTTAGGTCAGAGCCCTAAAACGGAAAGAACTCAGGACGCCTATCCCCCAACCTCGGGCAGCACCAGGCCCTGCCTGTGTCTCCCAGGCCTGGCCCATGGCGTGGAAGTTGTGGGCCAGATAGAGCATGGAGCTAGGGTGCGGGCCGAGGCTCCTGATGGATCCCTGGAGAACATGGGGCAGCAGATGGTATGTCTTGACGGTTCTTCACCAACCATCCATCCCCTGCTCATGCGTGTGCGCTCTCTCGCGTGCTCGCTCTCTCTCTCTCTCATATATGTATATGTATATATGTGTATATATATATATAGCCATTATATATATAGCCATTATATATATATATTTTTTTTTTTTTCTTCTTTTTTAAGGGAGTGACTTGCTCTGTCACCCAGGTTGGAGTGCAGTGGTGCGATTTCAGCTCACTGCAGCCTTTGCCTCCCGGGTTCAAGACATTCTCCTGCCTCAGCCGCCTGAGTAGCTGGGATTACAGGCGCCCGCCACCACACCCAGCTAATTTTTTGTATTTTTATTAGAGACGGGGTTTCTCCACATTGGCCAGGGTGGTCTCGAGCTCCTCACCTCAAGTGATCCACCTGCCTCGGCCTCCCAAAGTGCCGGAATTACAGGTGTGAGCCACCGCACCCAGCCATATATTTTTAAATGGTCTTACTGAGATGCAATTCACATGCCATACCGTTCACACATTTGAAGTGCAGAATTCATAGTTTTCACTATATTCACAGATAAGTGCAGGCTTCACCACAGTCGATTTTAGAACATTTCCGTCATCTCAAAAAGAAACCCTGCACCCTTCTGTCATCCCCCGGCCCCTGGCAACAGTGGTCTACTTTCTGTCTCTGCAGATGTGCCTCTTCTGAGCATTTCATATAATCAATATGTGGCCTTTTGCGTCTGGCTCCTTCCCCTTAGCCTGATGTTTTCAAGCTTCATCCATGTCGTAGCCTGTGTCAGTACCTCGTCTCTTTTTATGGCCAAATCATATTCTGCTGTGTTGACAGACGACGTTTTGTTCATCTCTTTATCTGTGTGACGAACGAGTGGTTCTTTTTGTTGTTGTTGTTGTTGTTGAAGACTGTGTGCACAGAATCAATGTTTCTTTGAAAAAATAAATAAATTTAAAAAGCCCTAGGTCAAGAGATTGAGACCATCATGGCCAACTTGGTGAAACCCCGTCTCTACTAAAAAATCCAAAAATTAGCTGGGCATGGTGGTGTGCGCCTGTAGTCCCAGCTACTCGGGAGGCTGAGGCAGAAGAATTGCTTGAACTGGGGAGGTGGAGGTTGCAGTGAGCCAAGATTGGTGCCCCTACACTCCAGCCTGGCAACAGAGGGAGACTCCATCTCAAAAAAAAAAAAAAAAAAAGTCCCTGCACTGATGCTGTGTTGGGGCTGGCTTAGTCCCCTCCTGCAATGCTGGCTGGTCACATTCTTACTGTTAGATGTTGGAGGTCAGGGTCCCTTGAGGGAGGCAGGCAGGATGTACCAGGTGGGATGTTGAGAGCAAACTGTTCAGGTTCAGGAGAGGACACTGGTGCTGGAGGAGGAGGTCTCCCTGTGCCCCTGTACCTCGTGGGCCCCGCATCCTCCTGCTTGCACAGCCCGCCTCAGCCAGGAGAGGCCCCGAGCCGCTCCAGCGTCCATTCAGCCGGCAGAGTGGACCATTCACCTGTGCCAGCTCCACTCTAACGTTCTCTCACAGGGCCCAAGGTCCTGCCCCAGCCATCTCCCCCTGATCCATCCTCCTTCCCCTCAGGTTTGCCAAGTACTACAGAGACCTGGCTGGCAACGAGCAGCGCACGCTCATCAAGGCCTATGGCATCCGCTTCGACATCATTGTGTTTGGGAAGGTAGCTCGCCGCCACTGGCTCCCCTCCGTCACTCCCTGCAGGGACAAGGGGCCTCTCCCTGCCCCTGCAGAAACACTTTTTTTCTTTTTCGGTGTCTTGGCAGGCAGGGAAATTTGACATCATCCCCACTATGATCAACATCGGCTCTGGCCTGGCACTGCTAGGCATGGTGAGTGGTTTAGGCCCTGCCTTCACCCTCACGGTGAGGTGAGACCCTGGGCTGGGGTCCTGGTCCTGGCCCTAGGCCCTAGACCTCAGATGTGTTTCTAAACTTGACCCTCCTACCTTCTTTCCCTTGGCCCCCAGCCCTCCTCCCACCTTCCCTTCTCCAAGACCACCCCCCTCAGGTCCCAGCCTTCTCCCAAGAGATGGGAGTGCCTTTCCATTCCGGTAAAGATTCCAGGCTTCTCAGGAAGGGGCACGCAAAGAATAAGATGGGTTGATGGGTTGCAAGCATCCTGGCTCACTCTCACCCTATGCTAAACTCAGGCGACCGTGCTGTGTGACATCATAGTCCTCTACTGCATGAAGAAAAGACTCTACTATCGGGAGAAGAAATATAAATATGTGGAAGATTACGAGCAGGTAGGCCCCTCCTGGCCCCCAGCAGGCACAGGCCTCTCATCTCTTGGGTGTGGGAGCCCTGGGCGTGGGCCTGTCTGGGGAGGCCCTTCTGCAGAGGCTGGCACCAGTGTGGCGTGGTGTCCCCGTTAACCCGGGCAGTCCTGCCACTCTCAGCAGCTGCTCCATCCCTAGGCCCCTGTACTAGATTGACTCTTTAAACCCAGCCTCGTTTCAATGAGCGACATCTCAGGTTGGTGATGATAATGCATGCTCTGAGAATGCCTGTGGGCACACACTACTTCAGTGCACCTTGCGGAACAGGAAGGGTTGGGTTCCAGGCCTGGGACCAACTTGAGAACCCCTGGCGGTGAAGTCCCAGGAGCGCACCTCCCTCCCGCCTGCCACAAGGGGTCCCAGGGGCACCTTGATCTGCTTGTGTCCTTCTTTGCAGGGTCTTGCTAGTGAGCTGGACCAGTGAGGCCTACCCCACACCTGGGCTCTCCACAGCCCCATCAAAGAACAGAGAGGAGGAGGAGGGAGAAATGGCCACCACATCACCCCAGAGAAATTTCTGGAATCTGATTGAGTCTCCACTCCACAAGCACTCAGGGTTCCCCAGCAGCTCCTGTGTGTTGTGTGCAGGATCTGTTTGCCCACTCGGCCCAGGAGGTCAGCAGTCTGTTCTTGGCTGGGTCAACTCTGCTTTTCCCGCAACCTGGGGTTGTCGGGGGAGCGCTGGCCCGACGCAGTGGCACTGCTGTGGCTTTCAGGGCTGGAGCTGGCTTTGCTCAGAAGCCTCCTGTCTCCAGCTCTCTCCAGGACAGGCCCAGTCCTCTGAGGCACGGCGGCTCTGTTCAAGCACTTTATGCGGCAGGGGAGGCCGCCTGGCTGCAGTCACTAGACTTGTAGCAGGCCTGGGCTGCAGGCTTCCCCCCGACCATTCCCTGCAGCCATGCGGCAGAGCTGGCATTTCTCCTCAGAGAAGCGCTGTGCTAAGGTGATCGAGGACCAGACATTAAAGCGTGATTTTCTTAATCCCTGTCTGTTGTCTCATAGCATGTGCTAGAACTTTCCTTCCTACCCTTTTACGACAACCAGTAAATCCACTATTCCGGCTCACTGTGCTCAGAAAAGGTCCATGGGATGGTCTGTTTCTGGCACTTATGCACATTTTCCCCTACTTCTTTATTTATTTATTTTATTTTTGAGGCAGAGTCTCACTCTGTCGCCCAGGCTGGAGCGCAGTGGTGCAATCTCGGCTCATTGCAACCTCTGCCTCCCGGGTTCAAGCGATTCTCCTGCCTCAGCCTCCCGAGTAGCTGGGATTACAGGTGCATGCCACCATGCCCGGCTAATTTTTGTATTTTTAGTAGAGACAGGGTTTCACCACATTGGCCAGCCAGGCTGGTCTCGAACTCCTGACCTCAAATGATCCATCTGCCTTAGCCTCTCAAAGTGATTGGATTACAGGTGTGCGCCACCACACCTGGCCTATTTATTTTTTTTATTACCCAGGCTGGAGTGCAGTGGCGCAATCACTGCTCACTGCAGTCTCCACCTCCTGGGCTTAAGCGATCCTCCTACCTCAGCCTCCCATAGTGCTGGGATTACAAGCATGAGCCACTGCACCCAGCTGCCTACTTTTTAAAGCCTAATAATTTGTCATTAGCTTGTCTTCCTGCACAGTTCACAGGACACTTTTTCTCTAGTGACATCTTACCTGTGCCTCCATTTTGACATAAAATTACAATTCTATGCTGTGGGTAACACAATTTTTGGTAACATGGAAGTGGCTTCCTCTCCCTTCCCTGTTTGCTTCCCAAAAGTCTCCAACCAAAAGCAGCAGCACGCATACCTAGCTCCGCACAGGTTCGAAATGTTCATGAAGCTATTTCCAGCTGCAGCTTCACACCAACTAAATGTTTGTGTTTTTTTGTTTTTGAGACAGAGTCTTGCCCTATTGCCCAGGCTGGAGTGCAGTGGCATGATCTCGGCTCACTGCAACCTCTGCCTCCTGGGTTCAAGCAATTCTCCTGCCTCAGCCTCCCAAGTAGCTGGGATTACAGGCATCTGCCACCACACCCAGCTAATTTTTGTATTTTTAGTAGAGACAGAGGTTCACCATGTTGGCCAGGCTGGTCTGGAACTCCTGACCTCATGATCCACCGCCTCAGCCTCCCAAAGTGCTGGGATTACAGGCGTGAGCCACTGCACCCAGCCACACACCAGCTGAATTCTGCATCAGGTATTCAGAATCCCCCTAGAGGAAGCAGTTTGCCCTTCGCCTCTGCCATGAATTCACTTCCAAGTACTGAGAGGAACCATTATTTTACAAATACTCTGCTTCTGCTGGATAAATGGCCAACCTGGGCTTTTCTTGCTTTTGGAAAAAAAAAAAAAAGTTTACCAACTCCCTTTATTGAAGCTCTGGTTCATGCTGCCTTTTAAAAAAAAATGCTTGTTGCCTGTAATCCCAGGACTTTGGGAGGCCAAGGTGGATCACTTAAGCGTAGGCATTCAAGACCAGCCCAGTCAACATGGTGAGACCCTATCTCTACAAAAAATTAAATTAGCCGGGTGTGGCGGTATATATCTGTAGTCCCAGCTACTTGGGTGGCTGAGGCCGGAGGATCACTTGAGCCCAGGAGGTTGAGGCTGCAGTGAGCTATGATGGTGCCACTGTACTCCAGCCTGGGCACCAAAGTGAGACCCTGTCTGAAAAAATAAAAAGTGCTTGCTTAGGCACATGGGTCAAATGAAGCTGGAATGTTTAGGAATGGTGATATGGGCTGAATGTGTCTACCAAAATTCACATTTTGGAAACTTCATCCCCAAGGCAACCTTATTGGGAGGTGAAGCCTTGGGGAGGTGACTGAGTCAGGATTGCGCTGCCCTCATGAATGGGGTTGGTGCCCTATACGAGGGCTAGAGAGGGAGCTCATCCCCCGTCTGCCTTGCCACTGTCTGCCACGCGAGGACAAGTGTTCCTCCCTCCAAAGGATGCGGCACCAAGGCACCCTCTTGGAAGCAGAGAGCAGCCCTCACCAGATACCAAACCTGCCAGCACCTTGATCTTGAACTTCCTGGCCTCCAGAAATGTGAGAAATCAATTATTGTTCTTTATAAATTACCCAGTCTTAGGTCCCTGTAACAGCAGCACAAAACAGACTTAAGGGCAATGGGTGTGTTTATGATCTTGCTCGTCAAGGAGTGATGGTCACTGGCTGTCTTCCGAAGTGGGGGAGATGCTGTTTAGCCTCTTTTCTAAAACAAATGTGAAAGCAAGCCAGTGTTGGGGTGAGGGGCGGGTGTGTTTCTAGATGCCATGAACACCAGCAGGAGGCTGGGTGTGGTGATGCGCGCCTGTCATCCCAGCACTTTGGGAGGCTGAGGCAGGAGGATTACTTGGTCCAAGAGTTTGAGACCAGCCTGGGCAACAGGTAGTGAGACCTCATCCCTACAAATAATTTAAAAATTAGCCAGGCATGGTGGTGCACATCTGTAGTCCCAGCAACTCGGGAGGCTGAGGTGGGAGGACTGCTTGAGTCCAGGAGTTTGAGACCAGGCCTGGGTAATATAGTGAGATTCTGTCTCTATAAAAAATTTAAGAATTATCTGGGTGTGGGGGCTGGTGTGGTGGTGGGCCCCTGTGGTCCCAGCTACTTTGGAACCCAAAGTGGATGGATCACTTAAGCCTGAGAGGTGGAGATTGCAGTGAGCCGAGACTGCCACTGCACTCCAGGCTGGGTGACAGAACGAGACCCTGTCTCAAAAAAGAAAACCAGAAGGGTTTTGCTGGCAAATTCTAACCCTTGGACAACTGACTTAACTTTCTGGAGCCTCACCTCACAGACGATGATCCATAAAACGAGGTTAATCCCTACCTCGTGGGGTAAAGTGTCATGTGGCATACCAGGCCATAGTTCAGTGTGACTGAGACTGCTCGGGGGCTGCCCACCTGTCTGGCCTCCACCAGAATCTTGCAATTACCTGCCTGCGAAAGCAGTGCTGCTCAAACTTCAGCACACGGACGAGTCACCTGGGGAGCAGGTTTAAGCCAAGCCTGGGTATCTGCATTTATTTTTTTCTTTTAATTTTTGAAACAGGGTCTCGCCCTGTTGCCCAGGCTGGTGTGCAGTGGCATGATCACAGCTCACTGCAGCCTTGACCTCCAGGGTTCACGTAATCCCCCCACCTCAGCCTCCTGAGTAGCTGTGGGACCATAGGCATGCACCACCACACTCAATTAATTTTTTAATTTTTTTTTTTTTTTTTAAGAGATGGGGTCTTGCCATGTTGTCCAGGCTGGTCTCAAACTCCTAGGCTCAAGCAATCCTCCCACCTTGGCCTCCCAAAGTGCTGGGATTGCAGGTGTGAGCCACCGTGCCCGGCCGGCACCTGCGTTTCTAACCCACTCACAGGTGACACTGGCGCTACTGGTCTGGGAGCCACACTGAGTAGCAAGGTCCTAGGACATGCTCTAAATTAGAGATTTGCTGAATACATTAGCCTTGACTTGGGCATCTGACCTCGCTGTCAGCCTGAGGAAGGAATACAGACATCAGGGCAGGCGGCCTAAATAAACAATCACCAATACAAACCTCCCCAAGAGGCCCAGGCTTGGCACCATTTTGCTGTCTGTTTATTTCAACTGTACAGAGAAGCTTAAACACCTGTGGAAAAACACGAAAGGCTTAGTTGTCTCTTAAGTTCATGTACTTTTTAGTGATAAATACACAGTATTTAACTTTATACACCTGATAAAAGGAAAATGCATAGTAGAAAGGGTCGGGAATGAAACAGAAGCATCGGGCATTGAATCGATCACAGAGTAGAAAAATCTGCAGTCCCCAGAAACTCGGCCTCCAGCTGGAGAGGGGAACCAGCGTACCCTGAAACTTCCCTAGCACCTTGGAAGCAAGTGGAGGTCATGGTTCTTCCACTCGGCAACGTGAAGCTCCCCGCTGGAAGACAAGTGAGAGCGACAGGCCAGGCCTGTGTGTCCACCTGCACAGGCATTCTCCTTGTTCCAGAAAGGCTCTGAGGACGGAAGACCTGCCTCTCAGGAAAGGCCAGACCAGTAGGGAGAGGCCTCCGCAGCCCCAAGTGTCAACAAGGGGCTCAATAAGGCTTTCTGGGAGCCACTGGCAGCTGGTGGGATGGAAGGGGGAGGTGGAAAAGGGCAGAGGAAATGGGAAGTGGATGGAGGGTTTGTGCTTCCTTCGAGGCCACAAGTGCA
The DNA here is from genome assembly GCF_000001405.40 of Homo sapiens. Lineage (NCBI taxonomy): Eukaryota > Metazoa > Chordata > Mammalia > Primates > Hominidae > Homo > Homo sapiens. The sequence continues at coordinate 121,238,311 of NC_000012.12, forward strand.
GGCCACAGGTTGCTTACACCAAATTGGTCCCACAGATGAGCTAGCAATGGAAGAAATTATGGGCGTCCTCTTTGCCCACTGGAAGAGCTGCTCATAACAGCACCTCCTTTCCTGACAGAGCTGGCTTTTGAAAAATCAATGTGCTCCAAGAGTGGCAGCTCAAATGCTCTGTGTTTACAGCCATCTTGGCTTATCCTTTTCATGTGGGGCAGGTCCTTTCCACAGCTTTCTTTGGTGTTTCTTCATTAAAAGAAAAAAAAAAAGTCATCAATGTGGGTCTCCCCCACCCCACTGCCCCCACAGCTGGGTGCTGCCTGATTGCTGGCATTCCCTGGAAGAAATCTTAGATGGAAGGTTCCGTGGTGGGGAGAAATGGCATTGTCTGATGCAGCTGTGTAAACAAGAGAAGCCCTGCAGAAGCTCTAAGCACTGCTGCCCCCTGGGCCAGCCACCAGGCCAGGCCAGAGCCCACACAAGCAGGCTGGGCCTAAGACTAGGGACCCGCTGGCTTTAACCTCTGCAAGGTGCTTATTGCAAACTAACCAAGCCCCATCTGGTGCCAGAAGGGGTGGAGCTATTGAGTCCTCTCCCCATAAACATAAAGCCAGGAGGGCAAGAGGAAGTGCTGGGTTACAAAGACCCAGCAAGCAGGCCAGACGACCCTCTCTAGACTACCTGTCCTTTGCTCTTCAAAACCAGCATTCCCTAATTCTGAACTGCTTATAAGATAGCAAAACAAGTCTGGCTAAACTACAGTCAAGAGCTTAGGATCTATGGAAGCCAAGAAGGCCCAGGGCTCCATGAATGGGCTGGGCAGGGGCACGAGGCCTTGCCTTTGTCTGAGAAGTCCTCACACCACAGCTGATCAGATGGAAACAATGGGGAAGCAGAGTTTCCCGGTGCCGTCTTTCCCCAGCCCAGATTCCACCAAGCGCTGGAAAGCAGAGCTGGGAATCTCCCAAGGCAGAGTCCTTCCAGCTTTCCTCCCCCTCAACTTCACACTCCCCTACCTGTGGCTCTGGAAGGAGTCACACTTGAACCTCAACCAAACTTCCCAATATCAGTTGGAAGTCAAAAAGATGAACCCTTTCTTTCTGGACTTTTAGCTACAAAGGGGAACTTCCTGTGCCAAGCCCTGGTTTCCTCATACCCCAACGAGTGCTGTGGGTTTCAACAGTCTTCTCTAAAAGGGTGCCCCAAGGTTATTGTGTGGAGTCTAGGGAAGCTCAGATCCTCAGGATGATCATTTGTGTGTTGGTCCAGTGAAAGCATTTCCCACCTGGCCCTCCAGAAACTGGGTATTTCATTGACCACAACAATCAGCTAGGATTTAAAATGAAAACAAAACCTTAGCAGTCTTTAGAATATACAGGTTATGAACTAGCTAAGCTGCTAATATATATACAGGCGGGCATAGGTTTCATCGGCTCTAACTGATCACATGCCTGAAGCTGTGAAATATATCCTGGAAGCTCTAAATAGTTTCTGAACTACTGTGCTCTAGAGTTCACTCTAGTTAGAGACTTGAAAAATGTTTTTGTTTAATCTTAAGCCATGTAATGTACATGGAAGCATAGGATTTCACCCTGAAGTTTTCGTAATTTGACAAAGAGATTTACCAGAGCTCGGTCAGCTATCTCAGAAACCTGCTTTGAGCAGCTGTCATGAAGAAACACGTTCAGTCTTTCAGGAGAAATGTTTCCCCACCACAGCTGCTGAATACCCTTCCAGGCTTGGAAAATCCCCTTCCAGCAGCACTTATTAAATTTCAAGCCCTTTCTGTTTTCCTGACTACAATTCTACCCATAAAAAATTTAAAAATCCTTCTTACAAATAAGTTGCATCAAAGCTCCCTGCAGCTACTGAGGGCCAGCCCTGCTCTGACTCCTTGAGACCACGGCTCTGGAAGGTGCCATGGTTTCCGGTTTGCACTAGGAGCCACATCTAGCCCCCTACTCCCTCTCAAATGCAGCAACCACCTCCATGGCCTCAGACCGCCGGAGTTTTCTGCTCGCCTTTCCACAGTTGTCAAACCCCACACACAGTCACTTGGTATATCTGACGTGGTTCTGAAAATCACAATGAAGGATTTTTGGCATAAAAACGTTTTAAAAAGCAATTGTCCCAAAATGCACGTGGGTTTGGGTCTGCAACTCCTCACACCCGCCTGTCCAGCCAGCCAGCGGCCACGGTCGACGTCATGGAGTCAAGTCCTTTTTTTTTTTTTGTCCCCTTTAAAACAACAAAGGAAAAAACAAATAACCAGAGATGACGATCGAGGCTCTACACACGTGCTGGGTTTCCGTAGGACATGCTGCTATGGAAACGCGGTGCAGCAGCCCCCCAGAGGCGACGCGGCGCGCATGCGAGGTCGAGCGATCCAGGCAGCTACTCGGGCTCCATGGCCTCCTCCGGCCGCAGTGGATGCATGCGTGCGGGGGAGCCGGGGGCGGGGGCCCAGCAACTTTCCACGCAGGGACTGCCTCTCACAAGAGCACTTCCTCCTCCCCCACGGGGGGCGGGTCGGTGCCCTGGAGGTTGTCTTCGCTGCCTTGCTTCCTGCTCACCGAACAGAAAACCAACATTAAGACTCTGAGAAATGCCAGCGAGGCCCTGAGCCAGCTGCTCCCACATCTGGGCCCCCTGCCCAAGTGGGCCGTCGCGCACCCCCTGGAACGTGATCTACGTAACCCAGTCTTTGAGATCCTCTCCCCTTTTCCTTGCTCACATAAATTTTTCAAAGGAGACTTTGCACGCAGCCCCTCTGTAAATGAAAGACCAGCATCATTTGCCAAAAATAGCAAGGACCCGTACAACAGTTCCAAAACTATGTAACACCAAAATTCACTGCACAAATCCCAAGTAGAAGGCACCCCCCACCCCACGGCGCCTGTCATACCAGGTTTTTAGGTACTTCGATCCCCCACTTAGGCTATGAGCCCTTACAGGGAAGGGACTGTGACGCTTGTCCTCAGTCACCAGATGTTGAGTTCCTTGTGTGTGGGGGTGATCAGAGCCTCCCCTGCCTGGCCTGGCACACAGCTGGCCCTCAAGAAAGGGCAGATGACAACTGCTCCAGGGATCCTCCCGCCTCAGCCCTCCTGCAGCCAGCCCTGAGGGAGGAGCACCTCAGACAGAAGAGGAGGCCCCTTCCCTCTTGGAAGTGGGAGGAGGAGAGCCCTTGTTTCCCTGAAGAGCCCAGGCTGGAGCCGCCGGTGTGACAGCGTGGATGGCGTGACAGGTGCGAGGGGAATCCCCGAGCCTATCCCCTCACCACCATCACACAGCTCCCCTGTTCTTAGGGAGGTCACTGGGCATGCCACATGGGTTACTGTCTGTCCTTCCCCCACAACAATCCGTGTCTCCTGTCCAGGAGGGAGACTGTCCTTACACAAGGGAAAGGAAGCGTGATGTCTGGCTTGCTATGTTTCTGATGGAGAATGTGGGTAAGGTCCCTGGGGAGGGGGGCGCTGTAACTAGACGTTAGGTCAGGCCCTCAGTCTCTGCCCTCGCAGTTGCCTGTTGGTAGGGGTTGGGTCTTACTGCAGACGGCAGGCAGGCCCCCAGTCCAAGACCCCCAGTGCCTGAATCAGCTCTGTGAGCTCCCATGACCAAGGCATCCTACCTGCTGGGGGCTGAGGGCAGGGGATCCCAGGTGAAGAAAGGAAGGGGCAGCATAGCCCTTTGGGGCCAGTCTCCATCTGCTGGTGTCTTGCAATTTTGATCTCATTGAAACGAAGGCCGGGCACAGTGGCTCATGCCTGTAATCCCAGTACTTTGGGAGGCTGAGGCAGGCAGATCACCCGAGGTCAGGAGTTCAAGACCAGCCTGGCCAACATGGTGAAACCCCCATCTCTACTAAAAAAATACAAAAATTAGCTGGGCATGGTGGCACATGTCTGTAAACCCAGCTACTCAGGAAGCTGAGGCAGGAGAATCGCTTGAGCCTAGGAGGCAGAGGTTGCAGTGAGCCGAGATCACACCACTACACTCCAACACTCCAACCTGGGCAACAGTGCAAGACCCTGTCTCAAAAAAAAAAAAGAAAGAAAGAAAGAAAGAAAGAAAATAGGAAAGAAACCAACAGCAGACTTGCTCAGAGACAGGAGGCAGCCCCGGTTTGGCAAACCCTAAAATGGAGATTGAGAGGAGGAAGGCCGAGGAAAGGCCAGCCCGCTGGGTTTCCACTCCATCATCCGTGAGGCTCACACCCAAGGCGGGGCTGCCCAGGCGTCTGTCTGGGCACAAGCTGGGGACTGTGTCTGCCTTCTGAGACTGCTGAAGACCGGTTCTGAAGGACTGCCATTTTCCCTGCTCTATGCTGGAGGGCAAGGTTTCTCTCAAAAGCATAAATAATTCCCAAACAGGTGTTCCTCCTAGATTACCATATAAGCCCTGACTCCCACGGGATGGGTGGCCAATCCATTTCTTTTTCTTTTCTTTTTTTTTTGAGACGGAGTCTCGCTCTGTCGCCCAGGCTGGAGTGCTGTGGCGCAATCTCGGCTCACTGCAAGCTCCGCCTCCCGGGTTCACGCCATTCTCCTGCCTCAGCCTCCCGAGTAGCTGGGACTACAGGCGCCCGCCACCGCGCCCGGCTAATTTTTTGTATTTTTAGTAGAGACGGGGTTTCACTGTGTTAGCCAGGATGGTCTCGATCTCCTGACCTCGTCATTCGCCTGCCTTGGCCTCCCAAAGCGCTGGGATTACAGGCGTGAGCCACCGCGCCCAGCCTTTTTTTTTGAGACAGATTTTTGCTCTTGTTGCCCAGGCTGGAGTGCAATGACGTGATCTCAGCTCACCGCAACCTCCACCTCCTGGGTTCAAGTGATTCTCCTGCCTCACCTCCCGAGTAGCTGGGACTACAAGTGTGCGCCACCATGCCCGGCTAATATTTGTATTTTTAGTAGAGACGGGGTTTCACCATATTGGCCAGGCTGGTCTCAAACTCCTGACCTCATGATCCACCTGCCTCGGCCTCCCAAAGTGCTGGGATTACAGGCGTGAGCCACTGCATCCAGCCTGCTAGTCAATCCATTTCATCTCGTAAGCCAACTCCTAACACTTTGTACACAAATGTTCATAGCATCAGTCTTCATTCGATAGCCAAAAGGTGGAGACAAGTCCATCCACAGAGGAATGGATGAACAAAGTGAGGTGCATCCAAACAATGGAATCTTATTTGGCCATGAAAAGGAATGAAGCACTAATACATGTAGAGCATGGATGAACCTTGAAAACATGATGCTGAGAGAAAGAAGCCAGACACAGAAGGCCACGTAGTGTATGACGCCATTTATACGAAACGTCCAGAATAGGCAAATCCATACCTATTCTGAGTGGTTACTGGGGTGGGGGAGTTGGATGGGGACAGCTAAGGAGTGTAGGGTGTCTTCTTGGGCTGATGAAAATGTCGTAAAGTTGACGGTGGTAATGGCTGCAGAAGTCTGTATTAGAAACCACTGAATCATACACTTCCCGTGGGTGAATTACATGGTATGTGAATTGTACCTCAGTAAAGCTATGTTTAAGAAACAGAAGTGACTGCCTGGAGCTCCCACCAAGTCAGGTAGCCATGATGTGCTCAGTGGGAAGGGCAGTGGGGTCCCCACCCACCACAGCACCTGCAGCAGGGGTGCCCAGCAGGTTCTCCCAGTCTCATAAGGACACAAAGCCTCATCTGTCCTGGGAGGTTCTGGTCACCTGGGCTGGCTATGTGTATGAAGGAAGGGTGGCTGACAGCAAGAAGGTCTGCATCCACTCGGGTGAGGGAACTCTTACGTTACTTTGCAACAGGCAGGAAGGGGACTTATTTTCTAGGTCTAAACACATCAAAGAAAGAGAAGTGGAGGCTGGAGAGCCCCTAGCGAAGAGCCACACAGTGCAGCATGCCTGACCTATGTGCTGACCATGCGGACTCGGGGGGGCACCCATGGGCCCTGTGACAGAGCTTCAACACCATTGACGTGCACTGAGAAGACATGGGTGCCACACAGGATCTTCAGACCTGGGTGCATTCTCAGGCATTCCAGCTGGAGCGCCATGCACCCGCAGCCCCAGCCCACATGCATGACCCACCATTGGGTCCAAGCCCCCGAGGCCCCTCATTCTAATACTGGGTCTGGAGGCCCGCGGTGAGCCGGGCCACAGCAGCCCAGGCTGGAAGGAGCATCTGCCCGGGTGGGGATGCCCCCGTGCTCTGCAGCTGCCCACCCGCCCCCCTCAGGCCCCAGCAGAGGCTACGGCACAGGCAGGCGGGCGTTACCTTGAGCTCAGACAGGGACTCACATTCCCTGGTTGGTTTTTTGCTGGAATCACCAGAGGGAGGGAAAAGGGAAGTGAGAAGGGACCCTTGGGATCCACGGGATGCCCGTTCCCCCACCCTGAGACACTCAGACCCCAAACACCAGCTTCATAGAGCTGGAGCCAGGGTGGCGTTGACAGCAGATGAGTGGACACCTCTCTGCATGGACACACAGGGTCCTGAGTGAGACCACACTGCTCGCCCAGCACAGAGCCTCAAACCTCCCCATCAGGCACTCACGGTCCCGGGCCACAAAAGTGCTTTTCTTCTGACTGACCAAGAGCCCCCCAGCTACAGTGCAAGTTCCCGAGAAAGGTAAACTTCAGGTGGATTAGCTGTCAGCAAAAGGAGGTGGGCTGAGCCCAGGTTGGGGTGCTGACTGTCCCAGTGCACCAGGTGGGTTTCATCTGAGTCTCTCCAGATGGCACCACTTCAGGGAGGACCTGTGCAGAGTGGTCTGGGCAGGGCTGCCCCAAGCCTAGCCTCCAGCCACCACTCCCCCACCCAAGAAGGCAGGCGGCCACTCACGTGAGCAAGTTTCCAGGCGCTGACAGTGAGCGTTCCTCCCGCCGGCTGCCCTCGAATGGGTTCCCAAAGGAGCGTTTACGTATCATGGTCTTCACCAGGATCTGAAGAGGGAGAAAAGAGGAGGTGGCAGGCAACTGCTTGGCCATGTGGGGGCGATTCTGGGCAACATCCTCCCTCTTCCTTCTCCCCAGCCCCTGCCAGCTCCCAGGGCTGGTGACCGATGGCAGACTTTGAGAGAAACTGGGCAGCACCACCCCGCAACCAACCCCCGCCGAAAGAATCCTCTGGGAAAAGGTGCTGTCCTGCACCACACCCTCAGCCACTGCTCAGCGTCTCTCCCAGGCCTCCCTGCTTTCCACCTCCCTCCCTCCCATCCCTTCCAAAACCCAGATCTGGTCCCCTCACTCCCTGACTCAGCATCCCCACCCAGAGGGGTCTGGAACTTGGCCTGTGGTCAGCCAGAGAGCCCCGGAAAGTTCTGGAGCAAGGACGTGAACCAGTCATTCTTGGTGATGCTCTTGGCTGCCATTTCCCATGAAGGGAATGGCCTGAGGGCCCCATAAGAGTCACTGGGCCCCTCACCCCACCCCAACCAGGGCACGGTGCCCCTTCAAGCTGTTTTGGGAATTCACAGAGCTTCTGACTTTTTAAGCATTTGCTGCTAACAAGAAAAATAAGTGTTTAAGAAACACTGATTTACCAAAAGATGCAAACACCCAAATGCCCATCAACTGAAGAAGATAAACTCAAAGCGGTCTGTCTGTGCAATGGAACATGATTCAGCCATAAGGAGTGAAGCACTGATCCATGCTACAACACAAACGGACCCTGAAAACCTTCTCCTACGTCAAAGTAGCCAGGCCCGAAAGGCCTCAGAGTGTAGGATTCCACCAGAATACACAAATCTATAGACACAGAGGGCAGGTGAGTGGGTGCCAGGGCTGGGGGGAGGTGAATGGAGAGTCATTGCTGATGGGCGGGGGTGTGAAGTAATGAAAATGTTCAGAACTATTGAGGAGATAATTGCATGTCACTGTGAATGTCCCAAATGTCACTGAATTGTTCACTTTAATTTTATGTTATGTGAATTCTACCTCAATTTAAAAGAAGGAGCGGGGGGGGGGAGGCGGGCGTGGTGGCTCATGCTTGTAATACCAGCACTTTGGGAGGCTGAGGCAGGTGGATCACCTGAGGTCAGGAGTTTGAGACCAGCCTGGCCAGCATGGAGAAACCGCGTCTCCACTAAAAATACAAAAATTAGCTGGGCATGGTGGTAGGCACCTGTCATCCCAGCTACATGGGAGGCTGAGGCAGAAGAATTGCTTGAACCTGGGAGGCGGAGGTTGCAGTGAGCCAAGACCACACCACTGCACTCCAGCCTGGGCAACGAGAGCAAAACTCCATCTCAAAAAAAAAAGAGAGAGAGAATGAAGGCCTCTTCCCCTACTGAGGTTCTTACAGTCACTGGGACATGCCAGCCCCTCTTTCCTCTGTGTCTGAGCAGATGTCACTCCCCAGGTGAGCCCACCCTGCCGCCTCCCCTGTGGCCTTGTCAACCCAGAGCAGGAGCTCCTCCTCTGTGAAGCCCCCAGCCCTTGCATCTCTCTGCACTGGCCTCTGATCACACAGGAGGCTGATTCTTCCCAGGTCCATCTTTCTTATAAGGCCAGGAGCCCCTCCCCCAGCCCCCCAGCCCCCTACCCCTGAGAGCAGGCACTGGGCTAAGCTCATCTTTGACACCTATGCCTGGCACACACTGGCTGCTCCGTGTTTGCTAAATGATGAACACATGCAGGGGGCCTGGACCTTGCCATCTTGTCCCAAGTCAGACCACTTCCCAGTATCTACCCGCCCATCCCTGCTCCAGCTGCCCTGGTTCAAACCCTGATTCAAACCCATGCTCTTGGAGTAAACATGTAAAACCTCGCCACACCCTCCCTCCACCTTCCTTGCCCTGCTTCAGTGGCCCCACCCAGTGTGTTAGCCCGTCCGCCCTCTCTCGGCGGAGTTAACACCCTACCATCCTCTCGGTGTCTATCCACTTCTTCCCAGTGGGTCCAAGTGTGCCTCCATTAGGGGCATGTCCTGTGGTCCCTCTACTGCACTGTACATACATTTGTTGGTTTGACCAGCATCTGCCTCTCAAGCATGGCAGAGGCCATGGGGGTTTTGTTCATCACTCCACCCAGCCCCTGCTCCCAGCACAGGCCTGAGAAACCACTCGGTGTTCAACAAGTGTTTCCCGTATAATGAATGCCTACTCCAGACCTCCAGGGCCAGACGCTTTCTCCCAAGAACCCGTCCCAGAGACCCAGGAAGGAAAGGGAGGGCAACTGATTCAGGACTGAGAACCTCCTGAGCCTGGAACACAGTAACCCACGGTGGGTGCAGAGTCCGACGCCAGCTGTCTCCTCGTCTACAGGCACAAGGGGTGGTTGAGGAAGGGTGAGTGGGTGTGGGTGGGTCTTCAACAGTGAAGGTCCTGCACAGCCCCAGGTGGGGAAAGAGTGGAGGAAGATGTGGATGGATGCCCCAGCCAGGGCTCAGCTTTGGGAGGAGGAGAGAGGAAGTGTGTGGGGAAGCAGAGAAGAGAGGTGCAAAGCTGGAGGAGCAGGAGCAGCATCTGGGCTCCTACAGGGGCAATCCTTCACAGCTGGACCTTCTGTGCCTTTCCAGCCAGTCTCAAGGGTCCCTCCCAGAGCCCAGGGGCCCGCCGGCCCACTGGGACTAGTGCTGGCCAACTGCAACCAGGCCTTTCGAGGTGGCTGTGGTGGGACAACCTGCTGGTCTCTGTCCCCAAGCCTGCTGCCTGGAACCTGGATCCCTGGGACTCTTGGTCTCTCTCTTGGAGCTAACTGCCCTCCTGGACAGGGACTTGGTCAGTGGCGATTCCCAGAGCCTCCAAGGTTAGGCCTGAGGACTCTACATTCTGGCTCCTTCTTCCTGGGTCAGGATCCAAATTCAAGGCCATAAAAGGGGACCTACTTGCTCCTAAGCAATTCTCACTCTCAGGAGATGGGCAGAACTTTCTGAGTGTGTGCGTGGAAGTCCCTGCCCCTACCCCTGGTGGCTGCCCACACAGCAGACGTGAGATATGCTACGCCATCCACCCTGGAGCCTAAAATTCCAGCTAGGCGGGAATCCTGGCTTAGAGACCTGGGCTCCGGCTCCCAACCCTTGCCCCTGCCTGGAACTTCTCCTAGTTCCTCTCCCCTGATGAGCTCTGAAAGCAGGAATTCCAGAAGGATAATCTTCCCCTTCCTATGGTAACATGGAACCTGGCTCAGAAGATGCAGGGGTCACCTGGCCTGATACATGACCAAGGCCCAGAGGCCAGCAGCTGTGGATTAGGGGTGGCCCCCGGACATCTGACTCCCGGGCACCCGCCTGTGTCCGGCCTGTCCTGGCCAGGCCCCACCTCAGGCTCCTGGGTCCCTGCTCTGGGTCAGGGGTCCATCCACCTTACCACGGTTGCCAAGCTGGGAATGTGTTTGACTGAGTTCTCGACCTCCTCTTCAGTCACTTCGACCAGCGTGCAGTTCTCATCCTCCGACGGCAACGGCTCCGCCCCATGCCTCGTGACCCAGGGGTGCAGCTTCAACGAACGACAGGAGGGGTGAGGGGCAGGTGTGGCTGGCTACCGGGGGGCCCTGCCAGCGAGCGGAGCCACAAGGGCATGCAGGACGGAGAGGCAAGGGCCTGTGGTCAGGCATGCAAAACAGCTGGCGAGCAGAGGGCAGGGGTGAGCAAAGGGGCGGAAACATGAAGACGGAGAGACAGGACGGGAGGAGCTACAAGGCTGAAATGGAAGTGGGGCGATTCTCCATCCGGCCCCGGGTCTTGGCCGAAGTGATGGGAATTTGGCATCTGCCTTGCCTGGCTGCCCAAGGAGCATCCATCACTCCTCAGCCACAATCCCTGACACCTGGGAGGCTCAGTGCACAGCAGGCAGCATTCTCCCCATCTCACAGCAGGAGAGGCTTGGAGGCATGGTGGGACCAGCTGGCAGGACAGGATCAGGAGAGGACCCAGGCAGGGGTCTGCCCCCTTGGGTCCAAGCCCCAATCCATGATTTTTTGGGCTGCCTTCTGTTAAGACCTTCAAATGCCAGTTAGCTAGCTGCCTAGGAAGTCCCAGGGCAAATCTCTAGATTTCCTAGAGGGCCAGATATATGTGTGTGGCATTAGTGGAGATGTGTAGGGGAATACACTTTCCTAAAAGTGCTTTCTGCAAGAGGGTGGGATTCAGCAGGCTGGGGAGGTCGAATTGCTCATTAATTTCCTCCCATCCTCACTGCAGTTTCTCAAAGGGACGGGCCTTTGGAAAGGACCTGAGCTCTGGGAATAGGGTGTGGAGCACGGAGGCCCCATGCCGGTCTGCAGAGGGTGGATCCCATCAGCCCACGCCAATCAGAGCAAGTGCAGGCTGGCGGGTCATAGATCCCACTCCCACAGTCACAGTGCACACAATGCCCAAATCTTCCTACCCAGCCCTCAACAGCCCCCAGCAGCTCAGAGGCCCTGGGGCATAGGAGAACAGCGGTGCCAAGGAGGGTGTGGTGCTGTGGACACAAGGGTGTGGGGTCTGGCTGAGGCATGGCTGAGCCAAACAATTCCGAGCACGGGGCACAGGCTGAGCCAAGGGTACCTTGATTTCCGGCACCACGATCCTCGACTCGGGGTTCTTGTCCAGCATACGGGTGATCAGGTCCTTCAAGTCCTCAGCTATGTCGGGCCTGGGGATGGAGAGGCGTCAGGGTGGCAGACACGGGACCGCCAAGAACTCGGACAGGAGAGATGCGGGACGGCGGGAGATACTCACTGGTCTGGAAATTCCAGGGCCTGACTCTTGATCTTACTGTGTAAACACATGATCCGCTCGTCCATGAATGGGCACTGCAAAGAGGCCAGGGACAGAGTGGCAGTCAATGGCGGCCACATCTGCCCTTCGAGGGCCACCTGTGCTGTGCCACTCCACATAGGATACAGCAGAGAAATCAACAATTGCGGCCCAGGCTAGGGGGCAAGCAGTTCCCATTCTCCCCGAGAATGGCCAAGACACAGGGGTGTGGGGCCTGGCCGACGCAGGGCAGAGCCAGGAATGGCCCTCTCGAAGGGCTAGAGCCTTTCCCAAGCACACTGCAGGCTCCCTCTGTAGCTGGGCCTCAGTTTACCTACTTACACCAAAGCAAACACTGCTCGTCACCTACTTGCCAGGTGAACAACAGGAACAACAAGAATAACACAAAAGACTTTGTGTTATTTGTGGCAGCAGCAGTGATTTTCAAGGGCTTAGCCTGGATCGCGCCACGCCCTGCCCTGAGGTTTTCATTCACTGTTCCCCGTCCCTGGAATGTTCTTCTCACCAACATCTACGTGGCTTGGTCTCTCCCACCATGCAGGTGTCTGACTAAAGCTCACCTTCTCAGGGAGGACTTCCTGAAGCCCTGTCTAAAACAGACAACCCCCAATGCCGCCACCGCCCACATCACTCCTCATCGTAGCACTTATCCCTGACGTTATCGTACAGATTTGTTTATTGTTTAACCCCTCCCACGGGAACGTTAGCTCCAAGAAGGCAGGGATTTCTGGCTGTCTTGCTCACTGCGGACTCTCCGTGCCTAGGAGCGTTCCTGCACAAAGTAAGGGCTCAATAAATATCTGCTGAATTAATGGATACTTGAATTATTTCTGTCAATCCTCTCAGAAGTCATCAGAAATAATAAGTAGTATTCTCATTTTACAGAAGAGAAAAACAGAAGTTCAGAGAAATAATGTGTCCCAGGAAGTACGAAGAGGGATTTAAGCCTAGATTCAGCTGACTCTGAAGCCTATTTTTGCACCACCTTCTGGGTGACAAATCGATGCTTTCACCCAGCTGAGGGCCTGACTCAAGAGCAGCTTGGTCATGTGTGCTGGAAAAGGAATCCTTACACGGGACACTGAAAATGTTGGAGAAGGTGGCAGAGAGGTACCTGAACCACCCGTCTAAGGAAAACGATTTCATTAAGAGCAGTGACTTGAGCTCTACCTAATCACTGCCTTCTAAGGCATTTGGAAGGAAGAGTGGAGATGGTGGTAACTTACTCTGAAATACATTAAGAAACCAGATGGACTGAGGGATGGGTAAGGAATGAACAGACAAGCACAGGAAAAGGTTAATATAGTAGAATCCAGGTGGTGGGTATGTGGGTGTTCACTGGACACTTCTTCCAGCTTTGCTACATGATTGAAAAATTTTCTAATCAAATATTGAGAGGCAATCGGTATAAACTCCTTTACTTCTTCATGGGACCAGTTTCTTAGGCTTTCCTCAATAAGAACACAAGCTCAGGAAAGGGAAAAATCTACGTTTTTATTGCTCACATAATCAAACTGAACTTCAGAGTTAAAACGAGAAGGCCAGGCGTGGTGGCTCACACCTGTAATCCCAAATCCCAGCACTCTGGGAGGCCCAGGCTGGCAGATCATTTGAGGTCAGGAGTTTGAAACCAGTCTGGCCAACATGGCAAAACACTATCTCTACAAAAATACAAAAATTAGCCGGGTGTGGTGGCTGGCATCTGTAGTCCCAGCTACTCAGGAGGCTGAGGCAGGAGAATGGCTTGAACCCGGGAGGCGGAGGTTGCAGTGAGCCGAGATCGCACCACTACACTCCAGCCTGGGTGACAGAGCAAGACTCCATCTCAAAAAAAAAAAAAAAAAAAATAGAGAGAGAAGCCCCCAGATATCAATAATAACAAAATAACAACAACAGAAAAGCCCAAACAGCACTCCCTAAATCAATAATGGTAAACAGCTTTTAACTTCCATTCCAATGCTACCCCTCTGACAAAAGCTTCTAGGAATACCCTGACGGAAAGAACATCAGAGCAGTATCAGGCTCAGGAGGAACGAGCACAGTTATTGATTAGTGATGTCTGCCTTGGGCTCAGAAATGGGAGAGGTGGCAGAACTGCTGTCCTTGCCCTAAATTTATCAACTATTTATAAACTCTAGAGCCTCTGCCAATCCTTCTGTTTTAACAGATCATTTTTTCATAGATATGATCATGACATACATACACATGTATATTTAGGAAGGCATCCTTTTTCACATTGAGATCTAGGTGTAGAAATAAAATAACTCTTCTCTTATTTTATTTTTTGAGACGGAGTCTCGCTCTTGTTGCCCAGGCTGGAATACAATGGTGCAATCTCAGCTCACTGCAAGCTCCGCCTCCTGGGTTCAGGCGATTCTCCTGCTTCAGCCTCCAGAGTAGCTGGGACTATAGGCATGCGCCATCACGCCTGGCTAATTTTTTGTATTTTTAGTAAAGACGGGGTTTCACCATGTTGGCCAAGCTGGTCTCCAACTCCTAACCTCTGCCTCAGCCTCCCAAAGTGCTGGGTTTACAGGCGTGAGCCACCATGCCCAGCCTAAAATAACTCTTAAATAAGTAAGTACTGTCTCCCCGCAAGGGTGACTATTAACCCAGGGGCCACCCAGCAGTACTGAGGGGACAGACACCCCGCCCTCTTACCTGGCCAAAGACAAAGCAGTATAGTGTCACACCCATGGCCCAAACATCCAAGGCCTGCAAGAAAAAGAGCTTAGTGTGAGGGCATAAGGGGTGGTCCAGCCTCCAATCCTCCAGTTTTCCTTTGGGGAACCACCTCTTGACTTTCAGCCCTTGGAGTTGGGGCGGGACCAATCTTGTCTCCTAGGCTCTGGGGCAGGCACAGGATCCAGGCCAGGCCAATGAGAGCACCACTACCCCCAGCCACAGTGATTGGTTCAAGCATGGGCACATGACCCATGTTGGGCCAATCAGAGCCAACCCCAGGGTTTTCACAGGCACTATTCAGAATGAGGAATGCTCTTGCCACTGAGGTTGGCAAATGATAGAAAGTAACCTGGTCCCTGGGTGCCTGACCCACCTGTGGAGGAAACCAAATAAGAAAAACAACTGAAAGATGGCGGGAGATGGTTTCTGTTTGAGTCCCTGGATCTAGCCAAGCCTGAAGCCTACCCCTCAGTATCTTGATCCAGGGGATTCACTGTTTAAGCCTGTGTGCGTTGGGTTTCTGCTGCTTACAATCCAGAAGACACTAACACAGGCAGAACTCTGTGGCTGAGGCAGGCCCAAGCTTACCTTCCCAGAGAAGATCTTGCGGGTCTCAGAGAGCGACTCGGGTGCCATGAAGGCGGGCGTGCCCACGGTGTTGGAGAGGAGCGCGTCACTGCCCTTGAATTCATTGCTCACACCAAAGTCAGCGATCTTGATGTGCCCATCTTCTCCGACCAGGAGGTTGGAAGGTTTGATGTCACGGTGGATGATCTTCTGGTAGTGTACTGGGGAGGCGTAGACAGCAGGTGGGAGATAGGGGCAGGAAAACCTCGTGAGCACCTCTATGCGGCCACATGGCCTGGAGACACAGGCATGGCACCCCTCTGATGCCTTGTCTCCCACAGCCCCAGGCCTTTTCCAACCTTCCACTCCCCAAACCCGCTGGGCACTGACATGCTCTAAAAGATGAGGGGAAAAGTGTCTTCAAGGAAGTCCCAGCCCACCATCACCCCACCCCTTCTCAACAATGACACATAAAACACTGCCAATAGCAATTCGTAATCGCCTGTTATTTATTAAGTCACAAGTGACAGTGCATGGAAAGTTTTTGCTGGGCTTGGCTCACAGCTAGTTGTGAAACTGACAGTGAAACATAGTTTCATTTACCAACAGCCAATACTCAACTGATTTACCAAACCGACAATGACCTGAGCAGGCCGATTTGAAATGTGAACCACACACAGAACTCGGGGCTTGGCTAACTCCTCCTGGCTGGATATCAGCCCATGGTACAGGACAGTTCTATGGCCTGGAAGACCCAACTGCCATTTCTGGGGTGATGATGATGATGAAGACGATTTCAGTGAAAGCAGCAGCAGAGCACCAAGTGAGGGGCCCGGCCCTGCGTTGTGTTTCACATTCACATTTTACATTTAATTAAACCTCACAACCATCCTATGTGACAGGCAGGGATAAGAGATAACGTGGTGGCCGGGCACGGTGGCTCACGCCTGTCATCCCAGCACTTTGGGAGGCAAGGCAGGGGGATCACCTGAGGTCAGGAGTTCAAGACCAGCCTGGCCAACATAGCGAAACCCCATCTCTACAAAAAATACAAAAATTAGCCGGGCATGGTGGCGTACACCTGTAGTCCCAGCTACTTGGGAGGCTGAGGCATGAGAATTGCTTGAACCCAGGAGGCAGAGGTTGCAGTGACCTGAGATCGCGCCACTGCACTCCAGCCCAGGCAACAGGGCAAGAATCTCAAAGGAAAAAAAGAGCTAAGATGTTTAACAAGCAGAAGCAGAAAGGACACCTGCCAATCAAACCACTGATGTGTACTGGCTGATCTCAGCCCTGGTGAGAGATATGTTATCCCCATTTTACAGATGAGGAAGCTAAGGTTCCAGGAGGTGAACAGGACCCTGATCCCAGGGTCACTGGGAGGAATAAGAGACAAAAAAAATAGAGCCCCAAACAGTGCCTGGTGCACATAGAAAGTGCTAAATAGTCACTATTGCTACTGCTCTTCATTTTGCCAAGTGGCAGGAAGAAGGGTTTTGGCTCGCCTGGACCATGGCCATAGGGTGGCTCTCTGCAGCTGGCCCTGATTCTGCATTTCACACAATTCTGTTTCCCACTATGATGGTTGATACTGAGTGTCAACTTGATTGGACTGAAGGATACAAAGTATTAATCCTGGATGTGTCTGTGTGGGTGTTGCCAAAGGAGATTAACATTTGAGTCAGTGGGCTGGGGAAGGCAGACCCACAATCTAATCAGCTGCCAGCGAATATAAAGCAGGCAGAAAAACGTGAAAGGTGAGACTGGCCTAGCCTCCCAGCCTATGTTTTTTTCCTATCTGGATGCTTCCTGCCCTCAAACGTCAGACTCCACGTTCTTTAGTTTTGAGAGTTAGATGGGCTCTCCTTGCTCCTCAAGCTTGCAGACAGACTATATTGTGGGACCTTGTGATCGTGTAAGTTAATACTTAATAAACTCCCCTTTATATATATAATTATATATATAATTTTATATATATATAATTTTATATATATATAATTATATATATAATTTTATATATATATAATTATATATATAATTATATATATAATTTTATATATAATTTTATATATATATAATTATATATAATTTTATATATATAATTATATATATAATTTTATATATATAATTTTATATATATATATGTATCTCCTATTAGTTCTGTCCCTCTAGAGGACCCCAATCCACCCGCCCACCTCCCTGTGCTCCAGGAAGAAAATAAGACACTTTCCACTTTGCACCCACGCTCAGAATGCTAACTACCCACTGGGTGAGAGCCCTCCCGCAGGCCCTGCTCACAGTACTCGATGCCTTTGATCAGATCCTGGAAGTAGAAACGGGCCTGGTCTTCAGAGAGTGGTTTGAGGGTGGGCACTTCCATCACGGGCCTGAAAGGTCGACACTCATGTGAAACACAAAGCAGACCCGCCAGCCCTTGCCCTCTCTCATGAGCAGAGCCCAGTGGCACCTCACTCAGCTATGCAGCTACAGAAGCTTCTTGCATCACCCCTGCTGGGAGCTGGGACACTCACCCTTGGTTGACCAGTTCGAACACTGTAGGGAAGAAAAGGGTGAAACTGTTACATGGGAAACTGAACATCCATCTCTCTCTGTCCTCCCCACCTCCCAACCACCTCCAGAAACACCAAGAAAGACAGAAACTAGTATTAGAGCTGGGGAGAGGAACAGTCCACTGAACCAAGCTGGCCAAGGTCCTGCTTTGCTAAATTTCCATCAGAAGGCAAAGAACCAGGGATTTCTGACGTCCCCAGGCCCACAGTCTGGCTTGACTTCTAGTGCTCAAATTGGCCCAGGATCCACTGGTCAAAGAAAACACGGCAGGGGGCTGGGCACGGTGGCTCACGCCAGTGTAATCCCAACACTCTGGGAGGCCGAGGTGGGCGAATCACCTGAGGTCAAGAGCTCGAGACCAGCCTGGCCAACGTGGCAAAACCCTATCTCTACTAAAAATACAAAAATCAGCCGGGCGTGGTGGCAGGTGCCTGTAATCCCAGCTACTTGGGAGGCTGAGGCACAAGAATCACTTGAACCTGGACAGCGGAGGTTGCAGTGAGCCAAGATTGCACCCCTGCACTCTAGCCTGGGCAACAGAGCAAGAATGTCCCAAAAAAAAAATTTCTTTGAGATGAAATTTACGTAACATAAAATTACCCATTTTAAAGCGTGCAATTGAGTGGCATTTAGTATATTCACAATTTTGGGCAATCATCACAACTATCTAGTTCCAGAACATTCTCATCACCTCAAAAGAAAACCTCATACCCATTAGCAGTCACTCCCTATTCTTCCCTCCCTCAATCCCCTGGCCACCACCAATCTGTTTCCTGTCTCTATAGATTTGCCTGTTCTGGACATTTCATATAAATGGAATTGTACACTATGTGGCCTTTTGTGTCTGGCTTCTTTCACTTAGCATCATTAGCACGTTTTTAAGGTTCATCCACACTGGTGCATGGATCAGTGCTTCATTCCCTTTAATGGCTGAATAATATTCCATTGTATGGATAGACCACATTTTCTTTGTCCATTCATCTGTTGAGGGGCATATGGACTGTTTCTACTCTTTGGCTGTTGGGAAGTGCTGCAATGAACGTTCGTGTACATGGATATGTTCATGTGTGGATATCTGTTTTTGGTTCTTTTGGGTATATACCTAGGAGTGGAATTTCTGGGTCACGTGGTATAGTTATTTAATTTGATTCTGCTATGACAAGCATAAATTGGAATACAAGGCTGTACTTTAGGAAGTTAAAAAAAAAAAGAGCACAGTCGATTTCAAAATCCAGTGGAGGATGACTCTGGGGTTGCTTGTTGTTCTGGAATCATACACCCACAATGAGATGAGCATGTAATAGAAACCAGAGGGGATACCCCATTTTCCATGATGGGATTATTATGCACTGCATGCCGGTATTAAAACATCTCATGTAACCTATGACTATATCCACCTACCATGTACCCACAAAAATTAAAAAAACTTTTTTTTTTTTTTTGAAATGGAGTCTTGCTCTGTTGCCCAGGCTGGAGTGCAGTGGCACGATCTTGGCTCACTGCAACCTCTGCCTCCTGGGTTCAAGCGATTCTTCTGCCTCAGCCTCCCGAGTAGCTGGGACTACAGGCACCTGCCACCACACCCGGCTAATTTTTTGTATTTTTAGTAAAGATGGGGTTTCACCGTATTGGTCAGGCTGGTCTCGAACTTCTGACATCAGGTGATCCACCCACCTCGGCCTCCCAAAGTGCTGGGGTTACAGGCAAAAAAATTTTTTAAAAATGAAACCAAAGGGTTGTTTCAAAGCTCTCCAAGGGCTGAGGTGGCCAAGGGGAACAGGGAAGCTACTCAGACAAAAAGAAGGCTTAAAGGTTCTGATCAGGAAAAGAACTGAACTCTCCCAGGCCTTCCCCATCTTCAGTTTCATCAACCAGTGTGAGTTAGGGCAGATTTGCTATTGCTTCAGGCTGTAGTTAAAAACAAAGGCAATGCTGCTAAGGTACAGCTTCTACAGACAACCCAGCGCTGGCCCCCTCAGCTCTGGCCTTTCCTGCCTTGGTTATTTAAGTCTTCACTTGCAAGCTTCATGAATTTCTGCACCATCCTCCCACCCACCCAAGCACCATAAATCAGGTGGCATGAGGGAGGGTGGCCTGTTGAAACAGGTCTATTTTCAGTCGCTAACAGTTCAACCACTTTTGGGGCTGAGCAGTGGGTGGGAATTTTTTAACCTCTAGAAATAGAGATCGAGTTTTCTACTTTTTTTTTTTTTTTTTTTTGAGACAAAGTCTAGCTCTGTCACCCAGACTGGAGTGCAATGGCACGATCTCGGTTCACTGCAACCTCCGCTTCCCAGGTTGAAGTGATTCTCCTGCTTCACCCTCCCAAGTAGCTGAGATTACAGGCATGTGCCACCACATCTGGCTAATTTTGTATTTTTAGCAGAAACATGGTTTCACCATGTTGGTTAGGTTGGTCTCGAACTCCTGACCTCAGGGGATCCACCTGCCTTGGCCTCCCAAAGTGCTGAGATTACAGGCATGAGCCACCACACCCAGCCCCCTCCTCCACCTTTTTTTGTTTTATTGAGACAGGGTCTTACTCTGTCGCCCAGGCTAGAGTGCAGTGGCACAATCATAGCTCACTGCAGCCTCAAACTCCTGGCCTCAAGCAATCCTCCCACCTCAGCCTCCCAAGTGCTGGGGTTACAGGCATGAGCCACCGCACCTGGACTGAGTTTTCTGCCCTTTGCATGTCAGGCCTGTAGCTGCAGACCCTTTCTGATACCTACTACCCGGCCTCATGCACTGCCCTGTCTGTCTCAGTCTCACACGGCTGTGGCTGGAAAGTAAAATATAACCGTGTCAGGATTTTCAAAACCACTGGAATCACATACCCCAAATTAGCATGGCTTTCTGCAACTGCCACCTCGAGTTGTGAAAAACTATCCCTGCAGCTGCCCAGCTCAAGCAGATCACGAAACTCTTCTTTGAGGCTTGGACCATGTTCTCTTTATTCTCATTCCACCCGTCAGCTCAAACCCCCCAATGGCTTCCATCACTCTCAGAGTCAAAGCCAATTTTTTTTTTTTTTTTTTTTGAGACAGTCTCACTTTGTTGCCCAGGCTGGAATGCAGTGGCGCCATCTTGGCTCACTGCAACCTCCGCCTCTCAGGTTCAAGTGATTCTCGTGCCTCAGCCTCCCGAGTAGCCAAGATTATAGGTGCACACCCCCATGCCCAGCTAATTTTTGTATTTTTAGTAGAGACGGGGTTTCGCTATGCTGCCCAGGCTGGTCTCAAACTCCTGAGCTCAGGTGATCCACCCGCTCGGACTCCCAAAGCGCTGGGATTACAGGGGTGAGCCACTGTGCCCGATCCAAGTTCTTTACAATGTTGTAAAATACCTTCTGCCACCTGGTCCCTGCTGTTCTGCCCAAATGTCACCTTGGTGAGACATTCCCTGGGGAGCCACTGTATTTCTCCATCCCCCAACCCAAAACTAGCAGCCCCTCGTGTCCTGCTCGGGGTTTTTGTTTTGTTACGGTGTTGTCGCTTTCAAAACCCACGCATCACACTCAGGTGCGCTCCCCAAGGACAGGGGTTTTTGAATGTTGTCCCTGATGAACCTACAGCAGGGTCTGACAAATTGTAACATTTGTTGAATGAACAAAGGCACGCCTCAGAAAGAGCTCAAAGCCATTCTGACCTGGATCTGGGGTCCCAAGTGAGAGAATTACGCTAAGAATGCCATTCTGGGCTAAAATGACTTTTGGCATATTGTGATTTCTGCTGTATCTCCCCAAACTTCATTTATTTGCCTACTATGTTTATAATCTGGCCATACCTATATGCCACATCAATTATTTATTGAATGTTTTTCTTTAAATTGACTCAGTTTTTAATTTTTTAGCCTTGTCCTAGATGATAATATCCATGAAACTATGAGTTTGGGGTGCTGGTTATAGTTTTTCCTATACAATGTTAAATTAAATATAAAATTGTTTTTCTACCTTTTTTCTGTGTACCACCTAGAACAGTGCCCACCATATAGGAGGTTGTCAATATATACATGCTTTGGGAGGCCAATGCAGGAGGATCTCTTGGGCCCAGGCATTTGAGGCCAGGCTGGACAACATAGTGACACTTTGTCTCTAGAAAAATTTTAAAAATTAGCTGGGTATGGTGGCCCATGCCTATAATCCAGCTACTCAGGAGGCTGAGGTGGGAGGATCACTTGAGCCTGGGAGATCAAGGCTGCAGTGAGCTGTGGTCACACCACTGAACTGTAAGCCTGGGCAACGGAGCAAGACCCTGACTCAAAAAAAATAAATACATGCAAATGAATGAATAGGATCAGATAAAGTTCCAGCAAGAACTCCCTTCCACCTGCTGATCCCAACCAGGGGTGTGGCCTCCGGTGGGGCCAGCTGGACCAGGAAAGGGAAAGCTGTCTTTGGTGGAAGGTGCCAGGGCACAGGCTGCCTCGAGAGGACCCCTGGGCATTGGCAGGTGTGGTGCCTGGGTGAGGGTGGCAGAAGAAAAGGGCTTCCTTACCCATGTACAGATGGTCCTCATTGGGGTCATCCAGGACCTTGGCACAGCCACATGGAATAGGCAGGAGACGGATGGCGGGGGAGAAAAAGAGAGAATAGATATGAGCAGGGAGGAGGCAGCATCCACGTGGCTGCGTTTGCCAACAGGAGGGCTGCATTTGGCAGCGTGTTTCCCAGTTAAGATGGAAGATAGGGAAAACCCCCAGAGTGTGAGATCCTAATGGCTATTCGGAAAATAAATGCCTCTCTGTCTGATCCTCGAGGATCTGAACACTCAGGAGGTCGCAAAAGGGAGGGGCCAAAATACTCCCCTGGAAATATCTCATGCTTGAATAAGAATCCAGCCTATCTCCGGCTGGGCGCAGTGGCTCATGCCTGAAATCCCAGCACTTTGGGAGGCCGAGGCGGGCGGATCACCTGAGGTCGGGAGTTCAATACCAGCCTGACCAACATGGAGAAACCCCATCTCTACTAAAAATACAAAATTAGTCCGGTGTGGTGGTGCATGCCTGAGTAATCCACCTACTCAGGAGGCTGAGGCAGGAGAATCGCTTGAACCTGGGAGGCAGAGGTTGCAGTGAGCCACGATCACGCCATTACACTTCAGCCTGGATGACAGAGCAAGACTCTGTCTCAAAAAAAAAAAAAAAAGAATCCAACCCAGCTCCTAGGAGACAACGGTGTTCAGGGTGAAAATTCAAATCCTATCTGGGCTCAAGTGACTCCACGAAGCCTCCCCATTGCCCCTAACCCCACAGGAAATGATGTCTCCCTGCCCAGAACAGCCACAGCACTTTCTCTCTCTCCAAAGGGCAGGCATCAGGCTACATCCACCTTGATTTCCTCGGTGGCGTCCTGTACAGGGCACGGCATACAGAAGGTGCCCAGGGAATATCTGATGAATGAACAAACAGATGGGCTGGCAAAGAGTCTTGTTGGGTGAAAAGGCCAAATGCCATAGGGCAGCGGAGAGAAAAGACACCCTGCCAGGACCCAGGGCCCCTCGCTAACCAAATGCCCTTGGGCTTCCTGGAAAATGGCCAACTCTAGCACCAGTGAGTCGAGATTGTGTCACTTAGTGTGACCGGTGGTGATGGCCTGCAACTGCTATCTCTCTTCTTTGGGAAGAAACAAATGCAGCCTCCCTGGCTAGACTAGTCCCCCTGATTCTTCCCTCATCACGTCCGCTTTCTCCAGTCACCCAAGATCAATAAGACAACAGGCCCCAAGAAAGGGAGGCACCCTAGGCAGAGCCTGGGCTAGCAGCCTGAAGCCCTGAGCCATGCCCTGTGGGGAAGGCACACCCAGGGCCTTGTCCGCCTAGAGTTCTGCACCAGATGAGTCCCAGGCAAAGTGGTAGCTAGCCCTCACATCTCCCGAAGGCACCATGTACTCCCCCAAACAGAGGCTTCCAGCCCTTTCCACATGCAGCTCCCTGCCCTGCAATGCCTTTCCGTGACTTCTCATCCAGGAACCACCACGGCCATCTCAAACATCACTTCCTCTAAGAGGCCTCTCCCAGCTTCTCCCAGTGAGCTGGCTGCCCCCGCTTTGTACTCCCATGGCACTCTGAACATCCAGCACGGTGACAAGTCCTTGTCGTCTAGACCAGAGGTGCTCCAAACACAATCTGGAGATGTCTGCAGATCCCCAAGATGCTTCATGGAGTTTACAAGGTTCACTATTTTCACTTTAAAACGAAGACAGTATTTGCCTTTTTGACTATCATTCTCCACTAGTCTACAGGGTTTTCCAGAAACCTGATGATATGTGATGTCACAAAACATTGAATGCAAAAGCAGAGATGAGAATCCAAATGTCTCCTATCAAACCAAACAGTAACCCAAAAAAAGGCAAAAATGAAAAATGAAGCCACTCTTCTACTTTTTATTTTTCATAAAAATGTATTACTCGGCCGGGTGCAGTGGCTCACTCCTGTAATCCCAGCACTTTGGGAGGCCAAGGCGGCTGGATCACGAGTTCAGGAGATCAAGACCATCCTGACTAACACGGTGAAACCCCATCTCCATTAAAAATACAAAAAATTAGCCAGGCGTGGTAGCGGGCACCTGGAGTCCCAGCTACTTGGGAGGCTGACGCAGGAGAATCACTTCAACCCAACAGGCAGAGGTTGCAGTGAGCTGAGATTGTGCCACTGCACTCCAGCCTGGGCAACAGAGTGAGACTCCGTCTCAAAAAAAAAAAAATGTATTACTCATGTTAATACGCAATAAGCTTATTGTTTTCTTTTCTTTTTTAGAAACAGGGTCTCACTCTGTCTCCCAGGCTCGAGTGCAGTGGCACAATCATGGCTCACTGTAGCCTCGAACTCCTGGGCTGAAGTGATTCTCCCACCTCGGCCTTCGGAATAGCTGGGACCAAAGGCGTGCACCACCATACCGGGCTAATTTTTTAAATTTTTTGTAGAGACAAGGTTTCACCATGTTGCTCAGGCTGGTCTCAAACTGCTGTCCTCAGGTGATCCTCCCACCTCAGCCTCCCAAAGTGCTGGGATTATAGGCGTGAGCCATCGTGCCCAGCCTATTGTTTTTAAATAATTAATAGTTTAAATTTTCTCAGTTTTAAATTATAATGTGGTAGATATTAATAAATATAACTCATATAAGTGAAAGTGCTTTTGGGTCTTCAAAAAAAGTTTTTTTTTTTAGAGACAGAGTTTCACTCTTGTTGCCCAGGCTGGAATGCAATGGCGTGATCTCAGCTCACTGCAACCTCTGCCTCCCCAGTTCAAGCGATTCTCCTGCCTCAGCCTCCTGAAGTGGCTGGGATTACAGGCACCCGCCACCACGCCCAGCTAATTTTTTTGTATTTTTAATCGAGTACAAAGGCATCCTGAGACCAAAAAGTATGAGAACGGCTGATCTAGAGCAGGGGCTGGCAAACTACAGCATGTGGGCCAAATTCAGCCCTCTGTCTGGTTTGTTTGTTTGTTTGTTTGTTTTGTATTTTTAGTAAAGACAGGGTTTCACCATGTTGGCCAGGCTGGTCTCAAACTCCTGATCTCAAGTGATCTGTCCACCTTGGCCTCCCAGAGTGCTGTCATTATAAGCGCGAGCCAGTGCACCCGGACTTGTTTTTGTAAATAAAGTTTTACTAGAACACAGCCATGCCATTTGTTTACATCATGTGTGTGGCTGCTTTTGCGCTATGACTACCCATATGTGTAAGTAGAAAGAGAACCAGCTTCAAAGAGACAGAAATGGGTGAAGGGATCCCTCTGAGCCTCAATTCCTTTGTCCGTAAAATGAGAGTAATAAATATCTGACAGAAAAACAAAGCAGGCAAAAGAAAGAAGAGAAAAAATAGTTAATGTGAGTAACAAATACTCTTAGGGAGCAGTAAATACAACTCAGCCCTGCAGTGAGCGGTCTGGTGTGACCTGGCTCTCCCTGGAAACCAGTGGCGGGGTGTTTGGGTATTAACAAAGCCAGGGCCTCCCTCCCTCCTGGGCGCCTCCACCCTTTTACCTCCACCAGCTTCACCACATTGGGGTGGTCCAGCTTCTTGAGGATGGCAATTTCCTGGTACACCTGCTCAATGGGGCCCCTGGGCTGGATGCAGCCTCCAGGAGCTGGCCGGGTGCCTCGGGGTGGAGGGCGACCTGAAGGAAACAAAAACAGACCCAGGGTCAGGGCAAAGAGACTTTCCTCCGCAGAGGGCAGCTGCAGGTGGGATGCCAAAAGGTGGGATGCCAAAAAGCCACTCTGCAGGGCTGGAGTGGCTGCTGCCACCAGGGGCTTTAACTAACCCTCTACTCCTCTGTCTCCTCTGCTGCTGGAAGTGAGTGAGGGCGGAGCCCTCGGCCGTCCTGTGAATTCCCTCCTTCCCGTCACATCCCCAGTCCATGCCCTGGTCCACAGTGAAAGGCAGGAGTGCTGAGGCAACTGCAGTCTAGCTCAGCAATCTCAACACCCAGGGTGAGTCAATCACTTCCCCTCTCTGGGCTCAGTTTTTGCAGTCCATAAAATGGACATAAACATTAACTCTTATCTCCTTAACTCATAGCACAGATGGCTGGCTGGGCGCTATGGCTCATGCCTGTGATCCCAGCACTTTGGAAGGCTGAGGCGGGTGGATTTCTTGAGCCCAGGAGTTCAAGACCAGCCTGGGCAACACGGCGAAACCCTGACTCTATAAAAATCACAAAAAATTAGGGCCGGGCACAGTGCCTCATGCCTGTAATCCCAGCACTTTGGGAGGCCGAGACGGGTGGATCACAAGGTCAGGAGATTGAGACCATCCTGACTAACACAGTGAAACACTGTCTCGACTAAAAATACAAAAAATTAGCCGGGCGTGGTGGTGGGCGCCTGTAGTCCCAGCTACTGGGGAGGCTGAGGCAGGAGAATGGCGTGAACCTGGGAGGCGGAGCTTGCAGTGAGCCAAGATAGCGCCACTGCACTCGAGCCTGGGTGACACAGCAAGACTCAGTCTCAAAAATAATAATAATAATAATAATAATAATAATAATAATCACAAAAAATTAGTCAGGTATGGTGGCACGTGCCTGTGGTCCCAGTTACTCAAGAGGCTGGGGTGGGAGGATCACCTGCGCCCAGGAAGATCAAGCCTGCAGTGAGAAGTGATCATGCCACTGCACTCAGCCTGGGTGACAGAGCGAGACCCTATCAAAACAAAAAACAAAAAAAACAAAAACTAAATAGCACTGATGTAAAATGAAGCCAGGGAGAAGAAAAGAAGCAAGCATCGGGAGAGAAAAACAAAAGGCTATCTAGAAAGGAGAGGCACTCAGGCCACCGCTTGATCCTGCAGTAAACAATAGGCAGTCACAAGGATGTACAGACCCACAGTGAAAACCCTCACGATGGCACACATCCCATGTAAGTAAGGCTCTGAGTGTGACTAACAGAATAGAACAGGGATGTGATCGGCCTTGGAAAAGCAAAGGCAGAAGTACAGGTGTCAGAGGGAGGATGTGAAAGGAGGAAAGCTGAGTCCAAAGGAAAAGGGAGGGTGTGGGGAGGTGGGAGACACGCGTCATATAGCTGGAGAGAGGGGAAAGTGGTAGTGTGTGTCCACAGAGGAGCTGACCATCAGGAGAGCGTTCCACTGCCTGCTGGGGAAAGGGAGGTGCTACGGTCAGGATGTTTGTGCTCCTCCAAAATTCATATGTCAAAACCTAATCCCCAACGTGATGGTATTAGGAGATGGGACATTTGGGAGAAGAGTAGGTCACGAGGATACAGCTCTCATGAATGAGATTAGTGCTGTTATAAAAGAGACCTCAGGCTGGGCGCAGTGGCTCAGGCCTGTAATCCAAGCACTTTGGGAGGCCGAGGTGGGTGGATCATGAGGTCAGGAGATCGAGACCATCCTGGCCAAACCCCGTCTCTACTAAAAATACAAAAATTAGCCAGGTGTGGTGGTGCACGCCTGTAGCCCCAGCTACTTGGGAGCCTGAGGCAGGAGAATTGCCTGAACCCAGGAGGTGAAGTTTGCAGTGAACCAAGATAGCACCACTGTACTCCAGCCTGGTGACAGAGTGAGACTCTGTGACTCCGTCTCAAAAAAAAAAAAGACCCCAAAGAGCTGTCTAGCCCCTCTGCCATGTAAGGATGCGGTCAGAAGGCACTACCTATGTTTGTTTGTCTGTTTTGAGACAGGGTCTGTCTACCAGACTGGAGTGCAGTGGCGCAATCAAGAATCACTGCAGCCTTGAACTCCCAGGCTCAAGGGATCCTCCCGCCTCAGCCTCCCGAGTAGCTAGGACTACAGGTGCACACCACCATGCCCAGCTAATTTTTAAATTTTTGGTAGAGACAGGGGTCTCACTACATTGCCCACACTGGTCTCAAACTCCTGGGCTCAAGTGATTTGCCCACCACTGCCTCCCAAAGTGCTGGCGTGAGCCACCGCTCCCGGCCTGAGATGGTGCTAACTATGAACCAGCCTCCAGAAGTGTGAGAAATAAATATCGGTTAGGTTAAGCCACCCAGTCTCTCGTACGTTGTTACAGGACACCATTTGTTATTTTGTTAAGACAAGAGGTAAGAAGGAGTGTTTAAGCAAGCGAAATCCTCTATTGTCACTGGAAGAAGCCAGAAGCAGATGTCAAAAATTGATAATAGTGACGTGAGGATTATGACCTGGTGCAGCGTTTGGATAAGCAGGATAAACCAGGGTCCTACTGTTAGGATGGGTTTTTTTTTTTTTTTGAGATGGAGTCTCGCTCTGTCGCCTAGGCTGGAGTGCAGTGGCGCGATCTCGGCTCAGTGTAACCTCTGCTTCCCAGGTTCAAGCAATTCTCTGCCTCAGCCTCCCGAGTAGCTGGGATTACAGGCACCCACCATGCCTGGCTACTTTTTTGTATATTTAGTAGAGACAGGGTTTCACCATCTTGACCAGGCTGATCTTGAACTCCTGACCTCGTGATCCACCCGCCTCGGCCTCCCAAAGTGCTGGGATTACAGGCATGAGCCACCATGCCTGGCTGTTTGTTCTTATCTAATTTCTCTTTTTGGCCCAAGCTGACATTTTGCCCAGCAATGCTGGCAGGGAGCTTATGTTGAAGCAGCCTCTGATACTCTCACCTGCAGCCTATCATCTGACCACACACAGGAGCTACCAGCAACTAAAAGTGCTAAAAGCCAAGGCTGCCTATAGGAGAAGGAAAGAGGTCAGCAAGAAACTGGTCTCCATGATGAGCCCTCCTGTGCTCTGGCCTTTTTTTTTTTTTTTTTTTTTTTTTTTTTTTGGTAGATATAATTCAAATACCTCGTGGTATTTAAATTTTTTTAATTTATCTTTTTTTTTTTTTTTTTTTTTTGAGAGATGGAGTCTCAGTCTGTCGTCCAGGCTGGAGTGCAGTGGCGCAATCTCAGCTCACTCCAACCTCCGCCTCCTGGGTTCCAGCGATTCTCCTGCCTCAGCCTCTCGAGTAGCCAGGGATTTACAGATGCATGCCACCATGCCTGGCTAATTTTTGTATTTTTTTAGTAGATGCAGGGTTTCACCATATTGGCCAGAATGATCTCAAACTCCTGACCTCGTGATCCACCCACCTTGGCCTCCCAAAGTGCTAGGATTATAGGCATGAGCCACCGTGCCCTGCTAAATTTACCATTTTAAAATGTGTATTTTAATGGTTTTTAGTGCTGACAAGGTTGTGCAACCATCACCATTATCTATTGCATATTTTTTTTTCTTTTTTTGAGATGGAGTCTTGCTCTGTCACCCAGGCTGGAGTGCAGTGGCATGATCTCGGCTCACTGCAACCTCCACCTCCTTGGTTCATGCAATTCTCCTGCCTCAGCCTCCCGAGTAGCTGGGATTACAGGCACACACCACTACGCTCAGCTAGTTTTTCTATTTTTAGTAAAGATAGGGCTTCACCATGTTGGGCCTGGCTGGTCTTGAACTCCTGACCTCAAGTGATCCACTCGCCTCGGCCTCCCAGAGTGCTGGGATTACAGGTGTGAGCCACCGTGCCCGGCCAACTGCAGAATATTTTCAATGCCTCCCTAAATATCTATATACATATCTGATATCTATCAGCATTCACCCCTCATTTCCCCTGTTCCCCAGAGCCCCCAGCAATCACAAATCTACTTTTGTTCCTATGGATTGGCCTATTCTGGGTATTTCACATAAACAGAATCACATAATATGTGAGCTTTTGTGTTAGGCTTCTTTCACTTAGCATAATGTCTTCAAGACCCCTCTGTGTTGGGGCATGAATTGGTACTTCATTACTTTTCATGGCTGAATAATATTCCATTGGATGCATATATATATATATATACTCTATTCATATTACTTTTAATGGATGAATATTCCACTGGATGCATATATACTCTATTCATTCTCTGAAGCCGTGTGTGCTGTTTCCACTTTTTAGTTA
Organism: Homo sapiens; assembly: GCF_000001405.40. Classification (NCBI taxonomy): domain Eukaryota; kingdom Metazoa; phylum Chordata; class Mammalia; order Primates; family Hominidae; genus Homo; species Homo sapiens. Next base: position 121,268,200 of record NC_000012.12, read on the forward strand.
TTGTGGCTAAACCTGCTATGAACATTCACATACAAGCTCCTAGGTGAACACGGATGTCCTGTTCTCTTGGGTATATAAGTAGGAGTGAAATTACTGAGTCATACGGTAACACCATGTTTAACTTTTTGAGGAATTGCCAGTGTTTTCCTCTATTGGATTTTTTGACTTGATACCTATATAACTTTAATAAATATTTTTATTTTATTATTTTTTGAGACAGAGTCTTGCTCTGTCACCCAGGCTGGAGTGCAGTGGTGCGATCTTGGCTCACTGCAAACTCCTCCTCCCAGGTTCAAGCAATTCTTGTGCCTCAGCCTCCCAAGTAGCTGGAACTACAGGCATGTGGCACCATGCCCAGTGCAATGGTTCCCATTCAGGGGGCTCTGCCCTGTCTTGTCCCAGCCCCTGTACCTAACAACAAAGGCCCGCCAAACTCACGTGGAAAGCCGGCCTGCCGGATCAGCTTCTTTTTGGACAGCACCTTCATTGCCTGCAGGAAAATGAAGGACAGCACCTTTAGCCAGGTCCTGTTTAAAGCAGGGAGGAAAAGGGGAAGGAGGGCGCAGTCGGGGTTCCTCTACTCCAAAGCCGGCCCAAGCTCCTGGCCCCCTGGCAGGCTCAGGTCAACAGAGTGAGCCCCTCATTACCAGAGAGGGTCAAGCAGCCATGGGGTTGTAGGGAGGCTGGACTCCTGGGGTGCCTCCAGCTCTGAGGTGTTCCTGAGGCTCACGGTCGCCTCTCTCAGCTGGGAAACCACGAGCCTCAGGACTTGCTGCCATCGAATCAAAACACAAGTGAGCTGGAGCAATGGGCAAAGGAGGGGCAGGACTGGTTGTTTTACACACGGGGAAACTGAGGCTCAGCTGTTTTACACATGGGGAAACTGAGGCTCAGCTGTTTTACACATGGGGAAACTGAGGCTCAGCTGTTTTACACATGGAGAAATATCACTTGTCAAGGTCACATGGTTGGCACACGATAGATTCAGGTTCAAAACTACGCTGGACTGACTCCAAAGCCACCCACACAGACACCTGTCTCACTGCTGCCTTGTTCTCAATACTATGGAGGATGCAGAGATGACAGCTCAGAGGAAGGGCATAAAAGCCTTTTGCTGAATGAGTAACTTTTTCTGGGCCAATCCCCTCACCTCCCCATTTTCCTATCTGTAAAATGGGCATACCACTTCCTTCCTAAGGCACAAAATAAACATGACCTAAGAATAAAATGAGACAACAGCTAGGAAAACTTTCCAGGAAGCTGAGTGCTGGAAAGGAGGCTCTTCTGTGGATAAGGATGGGGGCAGGGAGGAGAATGCGGATACTCACATAGTAGGTATTGTCATTTTCATTGTAGGCCAACTTGACGACACCATAGGAGCCCTGGATAAAGGGAGATGCCCATGACATACTATCCAGAAGTTAAGATCTGCAAAATGAGAACCCTAATACAGACGTTGCAAACCGGCAGCCCATTGGTCAAATCTGTCCCGCAACTGTATTTTGTTGGAGCCCAGGTTTTTACAAAGTTTGGATTAGTTGCCAAGATTTAAAAACAGAAAGATCTGGGCGGAGCGCAGTGGCTCATACCTGTAATCCCAATACTTTGGGAGGCCGAGGCAGGCGGATCACTTGAGTTAAGGAGTTTGAGACCAGCCTGGCCAACATGATGAAACCGCGTCTCTACTAAAAATACAAAAATTAGCCGGGGCATGGTAGCAGGCACCTGTAATCCCAGCTACTCAGGGGGCTGAGGCTTGAGAATCACTTAAACCCGAAAGCAGAGGCTGCAGTGAGCCAAGATTTCGGCACTGTACTCCAGCCTGGGCGACACAGTGAAATTCAGTCTCAAAAAAAAACAGAAAGGTCTGATATAGAAATCTATATTCCTTGCCAGGCAAGGTGGCTTACACCTGTAATCCCAGCACTTTGGGAGGCCGAGGCGGGCAGATCACTTGAGGTCAGGTTTGAGAACAGCCTGGGCAACATAGTGAAACCCTGTCTCTACAAAAATTACAAAAATTAGCCAGGTGTGGTGGTGCACACCTGTACTCCCAACTACTTGGGAGGCTGAGGCAGGAGAATCGCTTGAGCCTAGGAGGCAGAGGTTGCAGTGAGCCGAGATTGCGCCACTGCGCTCCAGCCTTGGTGATAGAGCAACACCCTGTCTAAAAAAAAAAAAAAAAATCAAGATTCCTAGTTTATTTTGAAAAAATGGAAAGATCTAGCTATATGTAGCCCTCATTTCCATATGTTAATGGTTTGCCACTGTCCTTACCACTCCCTACTACCTTACAGCTGGCATGCCTCACTCCTTTATATTACTTACTTGTTTTCTACTGGCATTTGGAGTTTTGACCATGGTGATGATACCCCCCATTAGCTAAAACAAAAGCAAAACTAGATGTCAGAGTACCTCGGGGTGAAACAAAACCCCAAATGTATTGGGGATGTAACTATCACCAAGGCGATATGGAATTTCGTTGGAAGCTTTCTGAGCTTCTGCAGAAACATATTTAATTTTAAGATACAAGAAAACAAAACTAAACCAAAAACCTAGATCATTAATGACAAAACCCTCTCCACCAACCTCGCCTTCAAAGACTCCTCTCCTGCTCCCAGCTTTACCCCGTTCCCTCCACAGTATCTGAACGCCCCTGGTGAATGCAGAAAGCCAGCCTAGCCCCAGGGATATTTACCTTTCCAATTTCATCCTTCAGGGTATACTGATTCAGCTGCACACAGTCCTAGAGAGTAAGGAGAGACACGTGCAAAATGAATTTTAAGTTTGCAACTAGAGGCCAGGCACGGTGGCTCACACCTACAAGCCCTTCAGGAGACCAAGGTGGGAGGATCACTTGAGTTCAGGAGTTCCAGACCAGCCTGGCCAACATGGTGAAATCCCATCTCTATTAATAATATAAAAATTAGCCAGGCGTGGTGGTGGGCACCTGTAATCCCAGCTACTCAGGAGGCTGAGGCACGAGAATCGCGTGAGCCCAGGAGGTGGAGGTTGCTTGAGCGGAGATTGCACCATTGCACTCCAGCCTGGGCAAAAGAGTAAAACTGTGTCTCAAAAAAAAAAAAAAAAAAGTTTGCAACTAGATACATTTCTCCAAATTAAACACATACAGGTAACCAGAACCCAAATCAAGAAAGAGAACATCCCCAGCTCCCAGAAGCCACTCGCACCTCTGCCCTCCCCCAGGTGGCCACTCTCTTGACTTCTAACAACGCTGATTTTGCTTGTTGTACTTTGTCAAAATGTAACCACACACTGTGGACTCTTGTAAAACCCATTTTTTAAAGAAGGTTGTTCCTACTTTTAAAAAGTAAATTTTAAATCAAACAAGTAATCCTTGGCTACATTGTCCTGTAAAAACATAAAGTGATACAAGAAAAGCAAGTCTGTGCAACCTTGGGGTAGACAAGGGTTTCTTAGATAATACAAAAAAGGTACAGACAAAAGAAACAAATGATAAATTGGACTTCACCAAAATTAAAACTTTGGCTTTTTTTTCTTTTTGAGATGGAGTTTTGCTCTTGTTGCCCAGGCTGGAGTGCAATGGCACAATCTCAGCTCACCGCAACCTCCGCCTCCCAGATTCAAGCAATTCTCCTGCCTCAGCCTCCCAAGTAGCTGGGATTACAGGCACCCACCACCACGCCCAGCTAAATTCTTTGTATTTTTAGTAGAGATGGGGTTTCTCCATGTTGGCCAGGCTGGTCTCTAACTCCTGACCTCAGGTTATCCTCCCGCCTTGGCCTCCCAAAATGCTGGGATTACAGGCGTGAGCTACTGGGCCTAGCCTATTTTGTTTTTTGTAGAGATGGGTCTTCCTATGTTGCCCAGGCTGGTCTCAAACTCCTGGTCTTAAGTGATCCTCCCGCCTCAGTCTCCCAAGTAGCTGGGATTACAGGCATAAGCCATTGTACCAGGCCTTGACAGTTTCTTAACAAACATCTACCGTACCACAGGCCACTCTACCCAATAGAAGTGAAAATGTGTTTACAAAGACTTGCATATAAATATTAATAACAGCTTTAGTTGTAATAATAAAAAATTGGAAGCAATCCAAATGTCCTTCAACAGGTAAATGAATAAACAAACTGTGGTACGTCCATACAATTGAAATTATTCAGCAATAAAAAGGAACTACAGATATACGCCACAACATGGATAAATCTCAAAATCATGATGCTGTGAAAGAAGCTAAGCTAAAAAGGAGCCATTGCTCATAGGTCCTAGCTCTGTTTTTGGCTCATGCTGTGAATTCTCCCTCCTCTCAACTCTCCAGGGCCCAATTTTCATCTCCAATTATGAAAGTTTTTCCTGGCCTTCAAAATGTAGTCCCTATAGCCCCTTCAAAATCAGCCCCTTTGGCAGTGCACAGTGGCTCATGCCTGTAATCCCAGCACTTTGGGAGGCTGAGGCAGGTGGATCACCTGAGGTCAGGAGTTCGAGACCAGCCTGGCCAACATGGCATTACCCCATCTCTACTTAAAAAAAAAAAAAAAAAAAAAAATTAACTGGGCATGGTGGTGCACACCTGTAGTCCCAGCTACTCATGAGCTGAGGGAGGAGAATAGCTTGAACCTGGGAGGTGGAGGTTGCAGTGAGCCAAAATCACGCAACTGCACTCCAGCCTGGGCAACACAGCAACCCTCTGTCTCAACAACAACAACAAAAAAAAGCCCCTTTAGAAAGGCATCCTGATGTTGGGTCTTCTTCCAATTAAATTCATTCGTTCCTTCAACAAATATTTTTGCGCTCCTACTATGCACCAGGTACTGTGCTAGGCTCTGGGGATGGGATAGGGTGTGGAGGTGGATGAAATGATCCTATGGAGCTTACGTTCTGGCTGGGTGGAGACAGGCAATAAACAACTAAACCAACGCACAGATAATCAGATGCTGATTAACGTTATGAAGGAAAGCAAATAGGGCCATGGGGCAGAGAGAGGCTGGAGGGTGCTTTAGGGATGGTGGCCCGGGAAGCCTTTTGGAGGAGGTGATACTGGAGTTGAGACTTGGACATTATCGGAATAGGCCTTACAAAGTTGGCATGGGGTGGTGGGGGAGGTGGTTCCAAGCAGAAGGAACAGCGAGAGTACAGACCCAAGGCAAGAGCTTGGATTCCGAGGAATGTGAAGGCAGGAACAGAGGGAGCTTAGGGAGCTGGCAGCAGAATGGCAGGAGGGATGGGAAAGGGTCAGACCACACAGGGCCCTGTGAACCCTGGTGAGGATCTGAGTTCTCTGTATCCCCGCAGGGTTTACGGTAAGGGTCCTGTGAGAAATGCACAGCAAGTGCTGAACCCAGTGCCTGGTGCCAACACACGCTCGGCCAGGCGGGTCGTCGCCAGGCTCTCAGTGACCCGCCTCATTCCATCACACCTTCGCCCACACCTCAGTCTCTTTGCTGGAGGCTCCCTCCGGCCCTGCAACTGCTCTGTCCACACCCACAGGGGGTCACACACACCTGCCCCAGCAGCCCTCACCCATGAGTATAAATACCCCAGCTCCCTTGCCCCTGGTGGGATGACTGAGGCTGCTGCTCTGTGCTGTTCCCCAGGGTCCCACGGAAGGAAAAAGCCCCAGCGGCCCACACTCCACACTGGTAATCGGCTCCATGACCCACCCTTTGCTGACTGCCTTCCCTTCCCCATGCTGATTCACGACCCCCCTAGGGCCCCTTTTTGGCCCCAGCCGCCCCCAAGGTTCCCTGGAGTCAACTCCTAGGTCAACCGTGGCACTCAGATCCTTCTGGGGGAGCCCAACCTTCCACAGAGGCCCTGCTGGGGGCAGGGAAGGGCACCAGGGACCCCTAGGACCTGGCTCACCACCGGCTCACGCACCTGCATACCCGTGATGGAGACGTGGTGAGACTCCACTGTCGGCCGCCGGGGCAGCCGAGGCGAGGACTGCGGGGAGCTGACGGGTGAGTAGGGCAGGGACGGGCAGATGCAGCGTCCGTTCATGTCCAGGCTGCCACCGGCTGCCAGCCCACCCTGGGACCGCTCTTGCAGAGACAGCTTGCGACCGGAGAGGTGGGGCCGGGCCTGGGACCCGGAGGTGTCAAGGGGGACCTCTTGGCCATCGGCCTCCAGGGGCCGGTCCCGCGCCAAGCCGAGGTCCACAGCACAGCCCGGCTCACACTCGGTGACCACAATGAAGGACTCCATGCCCAGGTGGATGCTCAAGGATGAGAGGCCCCGCAGGGCCTCACAGGGCTTCTGGCTTTCGCTGCTGCTGCTGCCCCTGCCCCCCAGCTCATCCTGGGGGGCGGCCCGGTTGCTGCTGGGCTGGCTAGAGACACATGATGACATGGTGCATGCGCCAGCTTCATCCAGCACACTGGGGCACTCCCATCCGGCAGCGGAGCCACCTGCAGAAAGAGAAAGGGTCAGCTGGCCCAGCTCCTACGGGCAGGGACAGGAAAGGATCCCCTCTCCTCCTGGCCCAGGCTGCTGTCTAATTCCTGCCTCCAGTTGACATCCTAAAAAAATCTTGCAAAACATGGTGTGATCTGATCTCTGAGTCTATACAGAAAAGCAGAGTCTGCATCTTCTTATATTTTTTCTTTTATTATTTTTTCTTTTTTTTTCTTTTTTTTTTTTTTGAGACAAGGTCTCTCCCTCTCTCTGTTGCCCAGGCTGGAGTACAGTGGTGCGATCATAGCTCACTGTACCCTTGAACTCCTAGGCTCAAGTGATCCTCCCATCTCAGCCTCCCAAGTAGCTGGAACCACTTCTCACATACCATGACAATAATTCCTAACTCAATTCCTATAGGAACAAGTATAAGAAAACCCCCAAATAGAGCACACATATCCCCTACAGAATTGACAGCTGCTTCCAGCTCAAGCCAATTGTTGCTCGGCAGGAATCTGGGCCTACTATTGCTGGTCTTCCCTTTGTTTTTCCCAAGAGAAGCCCTAAGGAGGTTAATAAGTTTGCCTGACTTTTTATTTTTAAATGCTGGGCATTAACAATGCAGGTCAGGGCTGGACACGGTGGCTCACACCTGTAATCCTAGCATTTTGGGAGGCCAAGGCAGGCAGATTACTTGAAGCCAGGAATTCCAGATCAGCCTGGCCAACATGGTGAAACCTCATCTCTACTAAAAATACAAAAATTAGCCGGGCATGGTGGCGTGTGCCTGTAATCCCAGCTACTCAGGAGGCTGAGGCAGGAGAATCGCTGGAATCCAGGAGGCGGAGGTTGCAGTGAGCCGAGATCATGCCACTGCACTCCAGCCTCAGCAACTCAGCAATAGACCAAGACTGTCTCAAAAAAAAAAAAAAAAAAAAGGTCGGGGGGAATCAAGTATATGCCACAATATGGATGAACCTCTAAAATATTATGCTAACTGAAGGAAGCCAGTCACAAAAGGTCACATATATATGATTCTATTTATATGAAATTTTTAAAATATGCAACTCCACAGAGACAGAAAGTAGACTAATGGTTGCCTAGGACTATGGGGGTGGTGACATTAGTGGGTGTGGGGAATGGCTGCTTAATGGGCACAGGTTTTCCTTTTGGGGTGATCAAAACGTTTTGAAACTAGATAGAGGTAATGGTTGCACAGCATTGTGAACGTACTAAATGCCACTGAACTATACACTTCAAAATGGCCAACTTATGTTACATGAACTTATATCTCAATTTTTTAAAAAAGGCCAGGCACGGCAGCTCACGCCTGTAATCTCAGCACTTTGGGAGGACAGGGCGGGTGGATCATGAGGTCAGGAGTTCAAGGCCAGCCTGACCAACATGGTGAAACCCCATCTCTACTAAAAATACAAAAATTAGCCAAGTGTGGTGATGTACACCTGTAGTCCCAGCTACTCAGGAGGCTGAGGCAGGAGAATCACTTGAACCCGGGAGGCGGAGGTTGCAATGAGCCGAGATCACGCCACTGCACTTCAGCCTGGATGACAGAGTGAGACTCCATCTCAAAAAAAAAAAAAAAGAGAGAGAAGTCGGACACAGTGGTTCATACCTGTAATCCTCCCAGCACTTTGGGAGGCCAAGGCAGGTGGATCACCTGAGGTCAGGAGTTCAAGACCAGCCTGGCCAACCTGGTGAAACCCCATCTCTACTAAAAATACAAAAATTACCTGGGCATGGTGGTGGGCACCTGTAATCCCAGCTACTCGGGAGGCTGAGGCAGGAGAATCACTTGAATCCGGGAGGTGAAGGTTGCAATGACTGAGCCGAGATCGCACCACTGCACTGCAGCCTGGGTGACTGAACAAGACTCATCTCAAAAAATAAAAATAAAAAAGATTAACACATCCCCTTAGGCTGTCAATTCTTACCGTCTCTGGGACAGAACATTAACCTTTGCTTAACGTGTTTGACAAATTCTGCTGGACAAATGTCACAGGTACCACTGGAATTCAGGGAGTACATTTGTGGACAGACACCTGTGGATGATGGCCACTCCATGCTAATCACCCACATCACAAAGGGTCTCTCTGGACCATCCTGGCCAACATGGTGAAACCCCGTCTCTACTAAAAATACAACAATAAGCCAGGTGTAGTGGCTCATGCCTATAATCCTAGCTACTGGAGAGGCTGAGGCAGGAGAATTGCTTGAACCTGGGAGGCGGAGGTTGCAGTGAGCTGAGGTTGCACCACTGCACACCAGCCTGCCAACAGAGGGAGACTCCATCTCAAAAAAAAAGGGCGGGGTGGGGGGGGGGTCTCTCTAGATGTCCCAGGAAAACAGTGAGGGCTCAGCAGAGATTTTATGAATGAATAAAATGGTATCTCCGATGACATTGGGAGGTAGTGGGGTAAAAGAGAGGAAGGTACAGACAGCGGAAAGCCAGAGCTCCCTGGAGGATCTGGCTGAGAGGCAGAAAATGGCCCTCAGCGCTCTCGGAACGGTCCTTCCAGAAGAACTGATGAAATAGCTACTACGCCAGGCACGTGGCAGGGAAAGCCCAACAGGAAAGGCAAAAGGGAAAACCCAACGCCCCAGCCCTGACACGGGCCTGACTCATGCACACAGAGTGTGTGGTAAGAGAACGCCAAAGAGTCCAATCATGCGGCAAGATGTTCAACCTCACAGTAAGAGAACTGCAAATTCAAACTACAATCAGGCAGCCTGGTGGCTCCCCAAAAAGTTAAACGTAGAGTTGCCATATAACCAGCAATTCCTCTCCTAGGTATAGACCCAAAAGAATTGAAGGTAGGGATTCAAACGGATACTTGTACACTAATGTTCATAGCAACATCATTCACAATAGCCAAAAGGTATAACCAAGTGTCCATCAACAGACGAATGAATAAACAAAATGTGGCAGAGCCATACAACAGAATACTATACAGCCACAAAAAAGAAGGAAACTCTGACTCACACTACAACACAGACGAACCGTGAAGACATACGCTAAGTGAAGCAAGCCAGATACTAAAGGACAAGTGTTGTAAGATTTCAGTTACATGAAGTATCTAGAATAGTCAAATTCAGGCCAGATGCAGTGGTTCGCACCTGTAATCCCAACACCTTGGGAGGCCAAGGCAGGCAGATCACTTGAGGTTAGGAGTTCCAGATAAGCCCGGCCAATATGGTGAAACCCCATCTCTACTAAAAATACAAAAATTAGCCAGGCGTGGTGTTGGGCACCTGTCATCCCAGCTACTCAGGAGGCTGAAGCAGGAGAATCACTTGAACCCGGGAGGCACAGGTTGCAGTGAGGCGAGATTGCGCCACTGCACTCCAGCCTGGGTAACAGAGCAAGACTCCATCTAAAATAAATAAATAAATAAAAAGTGTTTTAAAGGAAAGAAAATACCTGTAACCATGATCGGAGTTATGATGATAAGGCCTAGGATGCTACGGGATCAGACGGGGCAGGAGGTCAGGAGAGGGGAGCAGTTGGTCTTATCTCCTATTTCTCTGTCCCCCATTCCCCCTTACTGTATCTCAGAAAGAAATCATCAACTCTGTCCCTGTCTCAGTTTCCCCATCAATGAGAGAATACAACTCAAGTTTGATATTTCTCTATGGCCCTAGCTGCTGCTACTTTACTTCTCCTTCTCATGGTCCTTATGTCCCAGAAGAGGAAACTCAAGATACCCTGAAGTTCAACAGCTTAAGGTCATTGACATCCTGTAAAGTTGGTGCCCATCTGATAGTCATAGGATTAGATGAACCAAGCACTCAGAATCATGCCCTGCAAGTGGTTAAGTACTCAAAAACTATTACTTCAACAAACACCTGTTGGATGCTATGGTTTGACTCTGTGTCCTCTCCCAAATCTCACCTTGAATTGTACTCCCATAATTCCCGTGTGTTGTGGGAGGGACCCAGTGGGAGATAATTGAATCACGGGGGCGGGTTCCCCCATACTGTTCTCATGGTGGTAAGCCTCACGAGATCTGATGGTTTTATCAGGGGGTTCCGCTTTTGCATCTTCCTCATTCTCGCTGCCTGCTGCCGTCCATGTAAGACCGGACTTGCTCCTCCTTGACTTCCGCCATGATTATGGGGCTTCCCCAGCCAAGTGGAACTATAAGTCCAGTTAAACCTTTCTGTTGTAAATTGCCCAGTCTCGGGTATGTCTTTATCAGCAGCGTGAAAACGGACTAATACAGATGCCCATGGCCTGCTCTGGTAGGTAGCCTATGCTCTGGAATGTTCCCACGAGGACCAATGTCCAAGCGAGCTGGCCTGCTCTTAAGTGTGTCCCTCAGCCCTGGCTGTGTGGCCTGCGTCCCCCAGGGCAGGCAGTCAGTCTCTCCCCTATCCTAGAGCTGCCTCTGATAGGGCTGCAAGAGTTCCTGAGAAGAAAATGAGGCTGAGCAGTGCCTGGGAAAGTCAATGGAGATTTGTTTTTTTCTCACCAACAGGAAAACAATTGCTTATCGAACTCTACACCAGGCCAAGGGCACTGAGCCATCCGCCCCCAGCAAGGCTGCTTTTAATCGGCCTCCTTGGCAAGCTGGCATCTGGCCCGGGCCTCCCTCACAGCTCTGACGGAGTCTCGGCCTCTGCGGTCTGTTGGAGGATGGAGAGGAGAGACAGCTCAGACCCCGGGCAGGGACGTCGGCGCTGGCAGGGCAAGCGTGAAACCCCAGAGCTCAGCAGAGAGGAGCCCCAGGGACGCAGGCCCTGACAGGAAGAGATGCATCCAGGGGCTTCTGGCCTCACAGACACCTAGAGTCTAGGCCAGTGTCCTGAACGGTTTGGGGGTCACAGACCCTACAAAGATCTGATGAAAGCTACCAACACTCTGTGCAGAAGAAATCATGCAAAAAGACAATAGTTTAGCCTGGAAACAGCAACGGCTAACATTCAACTGAGCTCTCATCAGGCACCCAGCACGGAGATAACCGCCTGGCCATGTAACCCTCACAGGACCAGGCCCTCTGCCAGGGAAGGACAGTGAAGCATTCGATTCCAGAGGGCGGAGCGTGAGAGGAGGACTTTTTTGCAAAGTTGCTTGGATTTGACAAAATGTCAGCCCTGGCCCTGCATCCTTCCCCATGAAATCCAGGCAGAGGCCATCCCCCAAGGCCTTGCCTCTACCCTGTTCCCTCTCACAGGGCAGCTCATCACGAGCCACCAGAGCCTTCCTGGAGCAGATGGACCCGGGACCCGGGCCAGGATGAGGGAAACGCTCCTTCCTCTGCCAGGAAGCTGAGTGGCGCAGGCCTCCAGGAAACACCTTCTCATTTCCTAGGGGCTGTTTCCAACCTGCATCCGCTACCTCCCGCGCAGCAAGCTGCCAGTGGGTGCCAAAGAGGTGCTCCCGAGCCCGGACACACCTGTGCAGGCTCCCCCGAGGTTGCCTCATCCTGGGCACAACAAAAAGGCCCAAAACAGCTCCGAGGATCCTGCCAAGGCCACGGACGATGTCCTGCCCGGGACATCAATGTCCTCCTTGGGAAAATGGGCTCAGCCAGCCAAAGTCAGGGACCCCAAACGGAGGGACCGGCTAAAGCCATGGCAGAAGAACATGGATTGTGAAGATTTTATGGACATTTATTAGTTCCCCAAATTAATACTTTTGTAATTTCTTATGCCTGTCTTTACTGCAATCTCTAAACATAAATTGTAAAGATTTCATGGACACTTATCACTTCCCCAGTCAATACCCTCGTGATTTCTTATGCCTGTCTTATTTAATCTCTTAATCCTGTCAGTTGAGGAGGATGTATATCGTCTCAGGACCCTGTGATAATTGCATTAACTGCACAAATTGTACAGCATGTGTGTTTGTGCAATATGAAATCTGAGCACCTTGAAAAAAGAACAGGATAACAGCAATCGTTCAGGGAATAAGAGAGATAACCTTAAACTCTGATCGCCGGTGAGCCGGGCAGAACAGAGCCATATTTCTCTTCTTTCAAAAGCAAATGGGAGAAATATCGCTGAATTCTTTTTCTCAGCATGGAACGTCCCTGAGAAAGAGAATGCGTACCTAGGGGTAGGTCTCTGAACTGGCACCCCCCGGGGCGTACCTGTCTCTTATGGTCGAGATTGCAGAGGTGAGATAGACTCCAGTCTCCCATAGCGCTCCCATCTCCCATAGCGCTCCCAGGCTTATTAGGAAGGGGAAATTCCCACCTGATAAATTTTGGTCAGACCGGTTGATCTCAAAACCCTGTCTCCTGATAAGATGTTATCAATGACAATGTTGCCCGAAACTTCATTAGCAATTTTAATTTCACCTGGGTCCTGTGGTCCTGTGATCTCACCCTGCCTCCACTTGCCTTGTGATATTCTATTACCCTGTTAAGTACTTGATGTCTGTCACCCACACCTATTCGCACACTCCCTCCCCTTTTGAAAATCCCTAATAAAAACTTGCTGGTTTTTGTGGCTTGTGGGGCATCACGGAACCTACCGACATGTGATGTCTCCCCCGGACGCCCAGCTTTAAAATTTCTCTCTTTTGTACTCTGTCCCTTTATTTCTCAAGCCAGCCGACGCTTAGGAAAATAGAAAAGAACCTATGTGATTATCGGGGCAGGTCCCCCGCTAGACGCGGGCCTCCAGGAAACACATTCTCATTTCCTAGGGGCTGTTTCCAACCTGCATCCGCTACCTCCCGCGCAGCAAGCTGCCAGTGGGTGCCAAAGAGGTGCTCCCAAGCCCGGACACACCTGTGCAGGCTCCCCTGAGGTTGCCTCATCCCGGGCACAACAAAAAGGCCCAAAACAGCTCCGAGGATCCTGCCAAGGCTACGGATGATGTCCTGCCCGGGACATCAATGTCCTCCTTGGGAAAATGGGCTCAGCCACACCCTGTCTCACATGGGGAAACTGAGGCCCACAGAGGTCCTCAAGGAAATGCGTTCATTCATTCATTCATTCATTTGTTCTTACATGTAGTAATTATAAAGCAATGATCACGTGCTGGATAAACAAAACAGATGTGGTTTTTGCCCTCGAGGGGACTGACAGTCCAATGAGGGGGACCAACATTTAAAAGTAGGTGCACAAGGCCGGGTGCGGTGGCTCATGCCTGGAATCCCAGCACTTTGGGAGGCCGAGACGGGTGGATCACCTGAGGTCAGGAGTTCAAGACTAGCCTGGCCAAATGGTGAAACCCCGTCTCTACTAAAAATACAAAAATAGCCAGGTGTGGTGGCGGGCGCCTGTAATCTCAGCTACTTGGGAGGCTGAGGCAGGAGAATCGCTTGAGCCTGGGAGGCAGAGGTTGTGGTGAGCCAAGATTGGGCCATTGCACTCTAGCCTGGGTGACAAAGCGAGAGTCCATCTTGAAAAAGAAAAAGTAGGTCCCAAGTGAATCTATAAGCACAGACTGGGGCAGAAGACCAGGATATGATCAAAGAGAATACCAGAGGGGACCACTTTAGATTTGAAGGGAGGCGGTGGGTGAAAGAAGGCCCCTCTTGGTGAACGTCTATTAGGCTGAGACCTACAGGGTGAGTAGATACTAAAGGAGCAGGAACTTGTTCCCAGCAGAGGAAACAGCTTCTGAGAAGGCCCTCTGTGGAAAAGAGGCGGGAGAGTGGAGGCAACAGAAACAAGTTTCCTGGGTCTGGAGCCCGGGAGCAGGAACAAAGTGGGGAAGGAGGGGCTGGAAGGGCTACAGCTTTGTGGGAAGTGGATGATGATGACGAGAGGGCAGCCCAGGGCAATGCTACAGGGACTGGGCTCAGACCCTGCTGTGAGTTGAACTGTGTCCCCCAAAAATGTTATGTGGCAGTTCTAACCCTCAGGACCTCAGAATGTGGCCTTATTTGGAGACAGGTCTTTACAGAGATTATGAAGTTAAAATGAGGTCATTAGGGTGGGCCCCAGTCCAACAGGCCTAGTCCAATAAATGGGAAAGGTAGACACACAGCCAGCCAGCACGGAGGGGGAAGGCCACACGGAGATGGAGGCGGAGACGATGCTCCTTCTAGAGGCCAAGGAGCATCAGAGATTATCAACAACCACCAGCAGCCAGGAGAGGCCTGGAACAGACTCCCCTCGGAGCCTTCAGAAGGGACGAACCCTGCCAAGGCTTGATCCCAGACTTCTGGCCTCCAGAAATGACAGAATATATCTCTGTTCTTTTTTTTCTTTTCTTTTCTTTTCTTTTTGACAGAGTCTTGCTCTGTCCCCCGGGCTGGAGTGCAATGGCGCAATTTCGGCTTACTGCAACCTCCGCCTCCCAAGTTCAAGTGCTTCTCCTGCCTCAGCCTCCTGAGTAGTTGGGATTACAGGCACCCACCACCATGCCCGGCTAATTTTTGTATTTTTAGTGGAGACAGGGTTTCACCATGTTGGTCAGGCTGGTCTCAAACTACTGACCTCAGATGATCCACCCGCCTCAGCCTCCCAAAGTGCTGAGATTACAGGCATGAGCCACCACGCCCTGCCTAATATCTCTGTTCTTTAAGCCGCCCAGTGTGAGACTTGGTCACGGCTTCTCTAGGAAGATAATACAGCACCCCACCCAACCAGTGGGGTTCGGAGAAGCCGGCTGCCTTGGAGGCCACAGACTCTGAGGCATTTCCCAAAGCTCTAGCGGGAGACCTGAGAGGCTCGGCTGCATCCACGGAGGCGGTGCTGGAATATTTCAGACCCAGGGCCCTAGCCCAGCTAAGCAGGGTTATCAGATCCAGTGACACCAACTGTTACAACTGGCTCTCTCCTTCAGCGCTCTTTAATTTGGGGCCACTGAAACAACTGAGTCCGCAAAAACAAAGGCCCTCCCTTGTCAGATGGCAATAGAGATATCTCAGGCCTCAGAGACCCCATCCTCATCATAGTCCCTAGAACAAAAACGTTGCAAATGATGACTCCTGTGTGACATCTGGCCACCGATATACTGGCCTTACACCAGGTTCAAAGCTATCTGAAGAAGTGGTGGCTCATGGCCGTAATCCCAGCACTCTGGGAGACCGAGGTGGGAGGATGACTTGATGCTGAATTCAAGATCAGCCTGGGCAACATAGTGAGACCCCATCTCTACAAAAAAAATTTTTTAAATTAGTTGGGCATGGTACTCACACCTGTAGTCCCAGCTACTCAGGAGGCTGAGGCGGGAGGATGGCTTGAGCCCAGGAGTTGGAGGCTGCAGTGAACTATGATTGCACCACTGCACTCCAGCCTGGGTGGCAGAATGAGATCCTTTCGCTAAATAAATAAATAAATAAATAAATAACCATTTGAATGAGATGCCAACATTTCAGAGCCAGGAGATTTCAGATAAAAGTGCAAATTTACAGATTTTCTTGAAGAACTGCACACTGATAGCACTGGGCCTGTGTTCTATCCTGGCAACCACTCGCTGCAGCTCTGGGCAGGGGACACACTCACCAGCACGCCACAGTCCTCACCACTTCCCAGTGCCTCTCCAAAGCTGAGGACAGGCTGCCTGCCACGGCCCACGCCCTCCCCTCGGCCCACATCTCATGCCCTGCCTCTCCGCTACAGGTGTCTGAGTCTGCAGCCCCTGCTTTCAAGTCACTGAATGTCAGTGCAAAGACAGGTGCACATCAGTGGTCACCTGCTCTGACCATTTCATTCCACCAATGAGGAAAATGAAGGTTCAGAAGGATTTACTGATTTGCCCAAAGTCACGCAGTGGTTCTAGGCAGGGCGACAATTGGGCTGAGTTTTGTTGTTCTTGTTTATTTTTATTTTTATTTATTTACTTATTTTTGAGATGGAGTCTCGCTCTGTTGCCCAGGCTAGAATGCAGTGGTGTGATCTCGGCTCAGCGCAACCTCTGCCTCCCAGGTTTAAGCAATTCTCCTGCTTCAGCTTCCCAAGTAGCTGGGGATTACAGGCACGCCACCATGCCCAGCTAATTTTTGTGTTTTTTGGTGGAGACAGGGTTTCACCATGTTGCCCAGGCTGGTCTCGAACTTCTGACTTCAAGTGATCCACCTGCCTTGGCCTCCCAAAGTGCTGGGATTACAGGCATGAGTCACCGCACCCGGCCGGGCTGAGTTTTTCAGGAAGGGGCCAACAATTACAGGCATAGCCCTGCCATGTCCACATATTGCGTCCTGAATAAAGTCCAGGCTGGACCAAAATCTCTAACAAGGGATTTGGGCAGGCAGCCCATTCCTCTGCCTTGCTGGGACCTCGACCTGTGTTTGAGAGAGATGAGAGCGAAAGCACAGGGTCTCAAAGTGCTTGGAGGAGAAATGCACAGGATTTGGGCACAGGGACATGGACATGACTAACTCATGAGAGCTGTGGCTTTGGCCTCCTTGTTTACAGCTGAATTCCCGGGCCTAGAACTTTCTAGGACACTGCTCGCACTCAGTAAATACTGACTAGAAGTTGTTGTTTATTTCTTCTGTCCCAAGGCCACTCAGAAGGTCAGAAGCTTTCTTTAGCTGGCCTAGAGTTGAAGTTTCTTTAGTCTGATAACAGCAGCCCAATTTATGTCTGGGAAGCCATCCCTCCATATGAGAGGTGGCCCTACAGGGCTGACCCCACCATCAGCTTCAGAGATTTGCATGTGACTCAAGCCTGGCCAGCTGGCTATCAATTGCTCTGGTCAAGTGGGTAACTCAAGAATAGATATGAGGCCGGGCGCAGTGGTTCACGCCTGTAATCCCAGCACTTTGGGAGGCCAAGGCGGACAGATCACTTGAGGCCAGGAGTTCGAGACCAGCCTAGCCAACATGGTGAAACTCCACCTCTACTATAAATACAGAAATTAGCCAGGTATGGTGGCGCATGCCTGTTATCCCAGCTACTCAGGAGGCTGAGGCACGAGAATCACTTGAACCCGGGAGGGGGAGGTTGCAGTGAGCCAAGATTGCACCACTGCACTCCAGCCTGGGCAACAGAGCAGGACCTTATCTAAAAAAGAAACAGAGTAGATGTGTGGGCCAGGCATGGTGGCTCACGCCTGTGCTCCTAGCACTGTGGAAGTCTGAGGTGGGCAGATCCCTTGAGCCCAGGAGTTTGAGACCAGCCTGGGCAACATGGCGAGACCTCATCGCTACAAAAATACAAAAAAAACCTAGCTGGGCATGGTGGCGTACACCTGTAGTCCCAGCTACTAGGGAGGCTGAGGTGGGAGGATCGCTTGAGCTGGGGAGGTTGATGCAGCAGTGAGCCGTGATCATGCCACCGCACTCTAGCCTGGGTGACAGAGCGAGACCCTGTCTCAAAAAAGAGAGTAGATGTGTGACCCAAGTCAGTCTATTGGGTCTTATTCTGTGATTTTGTGGAAGTGTTGAAAAGAAAGAATGTCCTTTCTGTTGAACCTAGAGCTCAGAGGATATATTCCTAAAGCTACCAGGGGCTGGAGAGAACCCTGCCTCAGAATGAAGTCTAAGAAGAGAGAAGAGAGGTAATGGATGGAAAAGAGCTGAGGTTGAAGACACTGTTTAGGCACCTGGATTCAGCCATGCCTGAAGCTCATGTACCTCAATTTTTAACTACATGAGCCAACATATTTCCATTTTTGCTTAAGCTATTTCGTGATTAGTTTTCCATCATTTACAGTCAAGGGCCCTGACTTACAAATGACAGAGCTGACTGACAGGGAAGCTGCTGTCTCCCTACACCCCAGGGCTCTCATCCAGGCCAAACTGCCAGGCAGCTACAAGGCCTCTGGCAACCTGGACAGCCTTCACCTTGACAGGCAACTTGACTTCCAACACTGCTTTTCTCTTTCTTTTAATCTTAAAACATCAAGGATGGGGCAGGGAAGGGCTGATGAACAGGGAGAGGAGAAGAAACTGGCATTTTCAACACAAGAATCGCATTGCTGCAGATGCAGTGATACTAATGGTTAGCCTTCTTGAGTGCTTGGCACTCTTCTAATCCTGCATCATCTCATTTAACTGTCACAACCACCTTATGAGTTATAGATACTGTTTTGTTTGGTTTGGTTTGGTTTGATTTGGTTTGGTTGAGGCAGGGTCTCACTCTGTCACCCAGGCTGGAGTACAGTGGCACAATCTTGGCTCACTGCAGCCTTGATCTCCCGGGCTCAAGCATTCCTCCCACCTCAGCCCCCCAAGTAGCTGCAACTACAGGTGCGCACCACTACGCCTGGCTAAATAGGTCCTGCTATTATCCCTGTTCCACCAGTGGGGAAACTGAGGCACAGAGAGCCTGGCTGACTTGCTCACAATCATCCAGCTTCTGAGTGCTTCAGGAGGGCACAAGTGTGAATGCTCACTATATAGAAGCTATTGCCAAGAAAGAACTTTGGCAGTTACTGAATTCACGACCCTCAGTTGGCTTCCTTTTTTTGGGGGGCGGGGCGGTTGGGGACAGGGTCTCACTCTATTGCCCAGGCTGGAATGCAGTGGTGCAATCATAGTTCACTGCAGCCTCGAACTCCTGGGCTCAGGTGATCCTCCCACCTTACCTCCCAAGTATCTGGGACTACAGGCATACACCACCACACTTGGCTAATTTTTTGTATTTTTGGTAGAGATGGGGTTTTGCCATGTTGCCCAGGCTGTTCTCAAACTCCTGGGCTCAAGTGATCCACCTGCCTCAGCCTCCCAAAGTGCTGGGATTATAGGCATGAGCCACTGTGCCTAGCTGGTTTCAATTTATTTTAAAACGAAATCTCTTAAATCTCTAATCCTGCCGTGCTAACTCTTCATCTTCCCCTCTAGCCCTTGTCCATATGCATCACATTTTACAAAATTAAAAATAGCGTATGCATATCATTTCACATCCTTGCTTCCATGTGTCATAAGAGCACATTCTCACATGGCTTTTGCAATCAGCGCAACAGAGGCTGCAGATGGAGTCACCGAGACTCAGAGAAGTTGAGATGACCTCATCCAGGCAGCCCAGCAGGCTCGCAGTTGGGCCAGGAGGAGATCCAGGTGGCCTGCCCTGCAGCCCAGTGACCCTTGAGGCCCTGGATACTCACAGAGTAAGCAGTTCCCCTGTCTTGCTGCTTGCCAGGGCCAACTGTCTTAAGAATTCTTAGGCAGCTATTACTTAGTCAGTAATGAAATATCACTGAAAGAATGGCCCCAGTCACGCAGTCAGACATCTAAAGCCAGCTGTGGGCCAGGTACAGTGGTGGCTCACGCCTATAATGCTAGTGCTTTGGGAGGCCGAAGCAGGAAGATCGCTTGAGGCCAGGATTCGAGACCAGCTTGGGCAACACAGCAAGACCCCATCACCACACAAAAAAATGTTTACATTAGCCAAGTGTGGTGCTGCACACCTGTGGTCCCAGCTCCGTCAGAGGCTGAGGTGAGAGGATCCCTTGAGGCCAGGAGGTTGGGGCTGTACTGAGCTATGATTGCACCATTGCATTCCAGCCTGTGCAACAGAGAAAGGCTCTGTCTCGAAAATTTTTAAATTTAAAAAATATAAATAAAAATAAAACCAGGTGTGCATGGGTGGCCCCAGCCTTGAAGTGTGAGGAGCTTACGAATGTGTGGGTGAGTTTGGGTATGTGTTTAGAGGAGGGAGGTATTTGGAAATAAAGTGTAGAAACCATCTTCCTTCCTTCCTCTTCCCCCACTGCATCCCTCTCAATCTTTCACTGAACCAAAGGAAGAGGTTGGAAAACAACTGGAATTTCAGTTTGTAATGAACAAGAAAAAGACTTCTACCCAGCATGCTCTTGGCAAATCAGAGATGGAGAGGGCCAGCTCGAAACCCACAGGCATCGGTGCCTGGGCTACCCACGGCCCCTCTCCCTCCCTCCTCCCCACCTTTTGGACATCATGCTAAATCTAGCTGCAAGCCTCCTCAGCTGAGGGACAAGAAGAGTGCAGGGAGCCAGCTCTGCAGCTCTGCGGGGCCCAACGTCCCCACACCTGGACCTAGAGGGCAGAACTGTCCAGGATGAACCGAATAAAATATTTCTCTGCCAGAAGCCTTGAAGGCAATACCCCAAAGCACATTTCAAAAATGAAAAAGGGAGTGTGCTCTCCCTTCTGCACCCTGGCCCCCGCAAAACACTGGTTCCCCATTTAAACTTCTCTAACAGAAGCTTCTCTCAGGCACCACCCACAATGCTCCTACCCCACCCGCTGGGTTCCTGCCTCATGCCTAAGCCACGTGGGCAGAGGGGCAACACCTTGGCCTCCCCACTGACTCCCACCCCCCTTTCCTCCGAGGACCACCATCCCTCTCTTTTCCAGGTTGGGATTAGCATTTTTATCTCTGCAACTGCCATCTCTCAACTATTTACAGAAGCCACCAGGATAAAAAGAGGCAACATAAAAATAGTTGCTCAGCAGCTTTCAGGATGGGGTGGGGTGGGGGTGGGGGCACTACAGAATCTTCTCATTTTCTTTCATTCCTTTTCAAAAGGGAAAGGATGTCAGAATTGTTCATCTTTTCCAAAAGGCTCTGAGACCACTCACCTGGGACAGGAACCAAGTCCCAGTATTTCTCAGTTCCCCAGGGTATAGCCTGTCACCAGCACCAATCCCCCCACCCCACCCCAACCAAAAGAGCGGGCTGGGTGAAGGGTCGAGCCTGCAGAGCCAGGGCGCCCCACTCTGCCCCGTTTCCGTCACCTCCTGGGCCTCCTTCCAGCTTTCCAAAAAGCGAGCCAGTTTAAAAAAACAAAGCAAAACTTTGGCTTTTCTCTATGCTTAAAATGTTTCATAATTGAAAAAAAAAAACTTCAGTGGCAATACTACAAACATGACTGAAACCGAAACACTGGCAGCTAAAATAATCCCTTTCCCATTTGGATCACTAACGTCCCCAACGGGGAAAGCAGCAGCCAGGGGTCTTCCCTACAAAATCTAACAGAACTCACATCATTTTAAAGATGTCTTTTTTATTATTATTATCTTGGTTTTGTTGAGAAAGGGGTCCAATCAGGGAAGAAAACAAATAATAATTCTAAATCTTATTTCTCAGAGCCCAAAACTATTCGGAAATGCTTTCCATCCCATAACCTGCCAGGGAAGGTGGACTCCACTCCATCAGAAAACGAGCATAATTTGCCAGTACAAGGAGCCAAAGTTGGGAGCGATGGCTCATGCCTGTAATCCCAGCACTTTCGGAGACTGAGGCGGGCGGATCACCTGAGGTCAGGAGTTCGAGACCAGCCTGGCCTACATGGTGAAACCTCGTCTCCACTAAAAATACAAAAATTAGCCAGGCGTGATGGGACGTGCCTGTAATTCCAGCTACTTGGAAGGTTGAGGCACGACAATCGCCTGAACCCAGGAGGCAGAGGTTGCGGTGAGCTGAGATCATGCTACTGCACTCCAGCCTGAGAGACAGAGCAAGACCCTGTCTTTAAAAAAAAAAAAAAAAAAGGCGGGGCGGGGAGCCAAGGGAGGCCTAAGACCTCAGGAAGAGAAGGTACATCAGGAAAGGATACAGATCCCAGAGGACCTTGAGCCTTGATTTTCTCATCTGTGAAATGGTGCCAGACCTACCTAAGAGGGTGGCTATAGAGTTGATCTTCTCTATGGCAGTCCCTAGTACACAGCGTGGCTCAAGCTAATTGTTCCGCAAAGATCACGTCCTCCCTTCCTTTCTGTACTCCGCTTCCCTTGTCTGGAACATGGAAGGGTTCAGGAGCTGATCTCTGCTGGCCTTCCTCTCAGGCCAGCTTTCCATTTCTGCTTTCTGGGCGGGTATTCCTGGCAAAGCTATCAGGACAGAATGGGCTGACTCCACTCACGGCCACAGGGCCGTGGCACTATCTCTCTGCTTTTCTCTACTTTGTGGATTTACTTACCTGGAAAAAAGTCTCACAAAATATATACTAATAAAATCACATGGGGACCTTCATTTAACAAAACAGGGCTGGTTGTAATGGCTGACAACTGTAATCCCAGCACTTTTGGAGGCCAAGGCAGGAGGATCACTTGAGC
Organism: Homo sapiens; assembly: GCF_000001405.40. NCBI lineage: Eukaryota > Metazoa > Chordata > Mammalia > Primates > Hominidae > Homo > Homo sapiens. Next base: position 121,290,476 of record NC_000012.12, read on the forward strand.
CCAAGAGTTTCAGACTAGCCTGGGCAACAAAGCAAGACCCTGTCTCTACAAAAAAATTAAAAATATTAGCCAGGCGTGGTGGCGCAGGGCTGTAGGCCCAGCTACTCAGGAGGCTGAGGCAGGAGGATCTCTTGAGCCTGGGAGGTTGAGGCTACGGTGGGCCATGATGGCAACACTGCACTCCAGCCTGGGCGAGTGAGTGAGATCCCATCTCAAAACACACAAAAAATCATCGTAACTGAAAAGAATGGAACTGAATAAAACCAAGACTGTCCCTGAAAATTGTAATGAAATGACCATGAATTGATCCAGGAGGCAATGGGTTTGTTTTGTTGTTATTGTTTTGTGGTTTTTTCTTTTTGACACGGAGTCTCGCTCTGTCACCCAGGCTGGAGTGCAGTCACACTGACCTCGGCTCACTGCAGCCTCTGCCTCCCGGGTTCAAGCGATTCTCCTGCCTCAGCCTCCAGAGCAGCTGGGATTACAGGCGCGTGTCAACACACCCGGCTAATTTTTGAATTTTTAGTAGAGATGGGGTTTCACCACGTTGGCCAGACTGGTCTTGAACTCCTGACCTTAAGTGATCCACCCGCCTTGGCCTCCCAAAGTGCTGGGATTACAGGCGTAAGCCACTGTGCCTGGCCAGCAATGGGTTTAAATGGGGAGCCACGATTCTTGCAAGGGGTAGGTAAGGGTGCATGAAGGGAATCCCGAAAACCTTGGGTTGGGAAACTGGTTCCTGAGTGATTTCAAGAAACCTTTCTTCCATCACCTGCTCCCTCCAAACAGAGTGACAAAAAAATGTCTTATGCCAAGAAGTTCATTAACTGAGGGGCTACAGAGACACGGGAATGGACAAAGTAGCCTTAAGACGCCTTTATGGTGGAAACAACCCAAATGTCTATCAATGGATGAATGTATACACAAAATGCGGTCCATCCACACAATGGAATAGTACTGGGCCGCAGAAGCGAATGAAGCACTGACAGCCACTATGGCATGGATCAGTCTTGAAAGCATGATGCTGAATGAAAGAAGCCAGACACAAAAGTCATATATTACATGATTCTATTTATATGAAATGTCCAAAACAAGCAAATCCAGAGAGACAGAAAGTAGGCTGGTGGTTGCCAGGGGCTGCAGGGAGGGGCACTGGGAAGAGAGAGTGACAGTTTAATGGGTACAAGGTTTCCTCTGGGGGTGATGAAAATGCTCTGGAACTAGACAGAAGTAGTGGTTGTACAACATTATAAATGTACTAAATGCCACTGAATTGTTCACTTTAAAATGGTTAAGTTTGGGCTGGGCATGGTGGCTCACGCCTGTAATCCCAGCACTTTGGGAGGCCGAGGCGGGCAGATCATGAGGTCAAGAGATCAAGACCATCCTAGCCAACATGGTGAAACCCCGTCTCTACTAAAAATACAAAAATTAGCTGGGCATGGTGTCACATGCCTGTAATCCCAGCTCCTTGGGAGGCTGAGGCAGGAGAATCGCTTGAACCCAGGAGCTGGAGGTTGCAGTGAGCCGAGATCACGCCACTGCACTCCAGCCTGGCGACAGAGTGAGACTCTGTCTCAAAAAAATAAATAAATAAAATAAAACAAAATAAAATAAAATGGTTAAGCTTATATTATGTGAATTTCACCTCAATTTTTTTTTTCTTTTGAGAAGGAGTCTTGCTTTGTCGCCCAGGCAGGAGTGCAGTGGCACGATCTTGGCTCAATGCAACATCCACCTCCCGGGTTCAAGCGATTCTCCTGTCTCAGTCTCCCGAGTGGCTGGGATTACAGGCACAAGCTACCAGGCTCAACTAATTTTTATTGTATTTTTAGTGGGGACGGGGTTTCGCTATGTTGGCCAGCCTGATCTTGAACTCCTAACCTCAAGTGATCTACCCGCCTCGGCCTCCCAAAGTGCTGGGATTACAGGCGTGAGCCACCGTGCCCAGCCCTCCTCAATTTTTTTAAAAAGAAGCCCTTACGAATCTCTACTAACAGGTCAGTAAGGCAACAAGCACAGCCTGAAAGAAGATCGGTTTCAAAAGGGAAATGCAATTTCCTCAACTGTTAGGAAAGAGACACAGACGCAAGGCTGAGGCTGCAGCAGCACCATGCAGCCAGCCGGCCTGAACCCCATATCCAGGTTCTCTAACCCCATCCAAAGAGAAGAAGTGAGTGGGAAAGCAAAACATGGAAGAAAAATAGCAGTAGGCCAGACACAATGGCTATAATCCAATCCCAGCACTTTGGGAGCCTGAGCCTAGAGGATCACTTGAGTCCAGGAGTTCGAGACCAGCCTGGGCAAAATAGTAAGACCCTGTTTCTATAAAGAAATTAAAATTTTAGCCAGGCATGGTGGCATGCACCTGTAGTCTCATCTGCTCTGGTGGTTGAGGTAGAAGGATCACTTGAGCCCAGGAGTTGGAGACTACAGTGAGCTATGATAGCACCACTGCCCTCCACCCTGAGCAACAAAGTGGGATCCCATCTCAAAAGAAAAAAAAAAAGAAAAAAAAAGCTGGGCGCCGTGGCTCACGCCTGTAATCCCAGCACTTTGGGAGGCCGAGGCAGGCGGATCATCTGAGGTCAGGAGTTCGAGACCAGCCTGGCTAACATGGTGAAACCCCGTTTCTACTAAAAATACAAAAAATTAGCCAGGCCTGGTGGTGTGTACCTGTAATCCCAGCCACTCGGGAGGCTGAGGCAGGAGAATCGCTTGAACCTGGGAGGCAGAGGTTGCAGTGAACCGAGATCACACCACTGTACTCTGGCTCGGGCAACAAGAGGGAAACTCCATCTCAAAGAAAAGAAAAGAAACAAAGCAAAGCAATAAGCAATATAAGACCCTCTGATTTAAAGGAAAATCTGAAATAGCATTTGCCCCAAATCCCCAGGATCAGGAAATGAAATGTTTCCCATAACCACCAGAAGAAAGTATGCTGGGGCGGGAAGAAGATCACAGGTGACCCTGAGCAAATTACTCAGCCTCTCTGAGCCCTTCATATAAAGAGGCTTCCATAAAATGAGTTGATAGAATAATGGTGATTCTGTGGCCCATGTTAAAATTTGAGCCAAAATGCCTTGAAAACAGGCTTGGCCTGCCCCACTTGGCCTGGTCCTCTCCCCTGAGAGTGGTGTCTGGCCACTCATCTTCCATCTAGGATGAGGTTCTCAAAGAGGAAACCCCCGGCTACTGCACAAAGTTCCCTGCTAGGTCACCCCACCCTATCCCCTTCCCCTCCTACTCCCATCCCATCTCCCATTTCTGGCCCATCCTTCAAGGCTCTGCACAAATGACACCTCCTTCAGGGAGCCTCCCAGATTCACACCAGTCTGAGGAGATTTCTCCAGAACCCTCAGTGCCCTGTGCTCCTTCGATCACAACAGCACTCATTCCTTGTGGTGTTTCTCAACAGTGGCACTGCTGGCATTTGGGGGAGGGTGATTTTTTTTTGTTTTTTGTTTGTTTTTTGAGAGGAAGTCTCCTTCTTGTGCCCCACGCTGGAGTGCAATGGCACGATCTCAGCACACTGCAACCTCCGCCTTCCAGGTTCAAGTGATTCTCCTGCCTCAGCCTCCCAAGTAGCTGGGATTACAGGTGTGTGCCACCACGCCCAGCTAATTTTTGTATTTTTAGTAGAGATGGGGTTTCACCATGTTGGCCAGGCTGGTCTCGAACTCCTGACCTCAGGTGATCCTCCTGCCTCGGCCTCCCAAAGTGCTGGGATTACAAGCGTGAGCCACCACGCCCAGCCAGGGGAGGGTGATTCTTTATGTCGTGGCCCTGGCCTGCCTACAGGACACTTTAGTAGGCATCCCTGACTCCCGCCCACTAAAAGCCAGGAGTGCTTAGCATCATTTTGACAACCAAAAGTCGCCCCCACACTTTCCCAAATCCCTGCCAGGAGGGTGGGACCACCCCCGGATGAGAACTAGTGCATTGTTATTAGTGACTATATTTAGCTACCAGCCCACTAGCCATATCTAAGGATGGGCAGTACTACAGACCCTGCATAGAGCTGCATCGGCAAACACTGATGTAGTGAATAAACAAAACAAAACAAACTCCTGGGCTCCTCAAGAAGCTCAGGGCAGCCTTGCCAGGGTCTCTGCTCTTGAACAGGTGCACAAAGGTTCTAAGGCCTGACATGCCTGCACTGGCTGTGTGACCCTGAGCAAGTTACTTAACTTCTCTGAGCCCTTCTATAAAATGGGGCTAAATCCTAGCAACACTGCAGGATTTCTGTAAACCTCAGTCTCCTAATCTCTACTATGGGGTTAAAATTCCCTACGTTGTAGGATTTGGTAGGCATTAAATGAGATAATGCATGTAACACATAGCACAGAATCTGGCAGGCAGCAAGAACTCAATAGATGTTAGTTTTTAATACTGTTATTATTATTATTGTCCAGGGCCAGGTGGCAGCTCATGCCTGTAATCCTAGCACTTGGGAGACTGACGTAGGCGGATCACTTGAGGTAAGGAGTTCAAGACCAGCCTGACCAACATGGTGAAACCCCTTCTCTACTAAAAATACAGAAATTAGCCAGGCATGGTGGTGGGCGCCTGTAATCCCAGCTACTGGAGAGGCTGAGGCATGAGAATCGCTTGAACCCGGGAGGCGGAGGTTGCAGTGAGCCAAGATTGTGCCACTGCACTCCACCCTGGGCAACAGAGACTCCGTCTCAAAATAAATAAATAAGTATTCTTATTATTATCCAAGTTAGGGGCTCATCAAATGATGGCTATTACTCTTCATTACAAAAATATGTTTTGCGTCCTCATCACCAATGCCTGCTTCCTCCATAGGAAGGGTGTGTGTCACCAATGCCTGCTTCCTCCATAGGAAGGGTGTATGAGCAGCAGTCTGGAAGGGGTATGTGGGGCTTGCCCTAAAGCTGCATTTGCATGGCATGCACACTATTTATTCTGAAACTGCATGTTTTTGTGGGGTGATTAGGGAAGAGGGTGGCTAACTCCCCCAAAGCCCTCCCCTTGTTGCAGCCCCCGCCTCCTCCAAGGAACAAAGGAGCTTATGGGGACATAAAGCCATCCTCTTCTCTCTCCTCTGGGGGCAGAGCTAGGGGAGGGGGAGTGGTAAATGGCAGCACAGCTCTAGGGCACCTGAAGTTTCTATCCCCTGCGTGGAGACTCCAAACACCAGGCTGGGGAAGGTAAAAGTAGCCTGTAGGGAGATGGACGCTGCAGGTCCCATCCGGAGGCCAGGTATCCCTCTCTTGCTGATAGCACTGAGACGCCCTCCCCAAAGCTCAGCCTTCTCGGGGAGATCGGAGGGGCTGAGCTGCATCCTGTCCAGCACTAAGTGAGAGTGGCCAGGAGGGCAGGCTGGCAGAGCTGTGAAAGCACCCACTTCCCCAGCTAGGCAGTGCAGGGGCTGGGGGAAAGCCAGGAAAAGCTCAAGGCTGGGTCGGGTGGCACCCCAGGCACAGAGCCCCAATGCTGAGAGGGGCTGGGTCCAGTGTCCCTGAGAGTCAGGCGGACGCCTCTCCGCATTCACAGCATACTGCAACCCCGAGGTGAATTTAGGTCAGAAGGACCAAGCCTGTGAGGCTCCGGCTGAGAGAAGAGGTGCGGTGGGGGTGGTCAAAGGGCAGACCGAAGACAGCCAAAGGTCCCCTAGGTCCCCACAACTGCTGGCCTAGGGTCCTGCCACCTGGTGTCCAAGCCACCAGGGCCTGGGTTTGCCCCGAGACAGGCAGGCTGCGGGGTGGGGGTGCTCCAAGTCCGCTGGTCCTCTCTTCCCCGGAACGCTCCAGATTTCCCCACCTGTCAAACGCGAGGGGCTGGGCCTAGGCCGCCTCCACGAACCCTGACGGACCCGGCCCCCGGTGACCCCGGTTCCAAACTCCAGGACCGCCCCTGCCACCCGGACAGGGCGCGGCCCAGCCGAGGAGGCCATCCCGAGGCCCAGGGCGCCCAGAGGACGCGGGGGAAGGGCTGTCGGGGACCGTGTCCCTCCACGTGGCGGGGCGTGGGGAGGCGCACGTGGGGTCCCTCCGTGTTGGGAGCCCCAGGCCAGCCTCCGGGCTTTGTGTGCCATGCCGGCGGCGGTCCCCCGCCTCGAGAGGGAAACGGAGCGGGCGCCCGGGGCCGCGGCGGCTGCGTCCCTTGCCCCGGGCCCGGCTACCGCCAGCTCACCTGGGCTCCGCGCCGCCGCCGCCTCCCGCGCTCTGCGCCCCCAGCTCGGCTCGGCTCGGCTCAGCTTGCTCTGCGCGGCCGCGCGCTCCTCTCCTCCGCCCGGGCGGCGGGCGCGCGGGGGGCGGGGGCGGGAGGAGCCGCCCGGCTCGGCTTGGGCGCGTCGCCGCCCCGGGCAGCGCGGGGATTGGCCACGGCGGCGGGAAACCCGAAAGCGGAACCGCCCGCGCCCGCCGCGCACCGCCCCCTGCGCGCCCCCGCCGGCTCGGCCCTGCGCCGGGGAGGGGTGGGGAGGCGGGAGCCTGCAAAGACGAAAGTAGCGAAGAGGCGAAGGGCAAGGAGCAGAAAGGGAGGAGGCGAAGAACGGGGGAAGAGAGGCCCGGCCGGGAGGATCGGAGGCGGCTGGGAGGAGAGCCTGGAGGGGCGCGGAGCGCAGGAGGTGGCGCCGCAACTTTGTACCCGCTCGCCCGCGGCGCGCACCTGCCCAGGTTCTTCCCGCGGCGCCCTCGGGCGGGCCGCGCCGGCAGCGCTTGCTTTGTTTAGCCAAATGCCGGGGCTGCAGGGCGCCTCCGGGCTGACCCTGGGAAAGTTCCCCCAAGCCGGCAAGAACACCCGGGGCCCCTCCTGTGGCGACCCGGCTGCTGCCCCTGCGCTAGGCGCCGGGCGGTGGATGCGGCCTGGACTTTGGGCCACCACCGACTCGGGGGAGCCCCCTTCCGCAGCTGCCTGCCGACTGACCACTTGCTCAGGGCCGGCCCTAAAGGCTGGGGGAAGGCGTTCCTCTCCCATCCCCAGCCCACCTGGATGCACCATTGAAGTTCATTCTGGCTTTTCCAGATGGCTACTTAGATGCTTTTTGTGAAATACAGCATATTCTTCCCATTCTCCCCTTTTTGGCACTTACTTTGCTGGAGCCTTAAGTGTGCGTTGGATCCCCCAGCTGGATAACAGCACTGTGCGGGGAAGAGGAGAAACGAAGACCTGGAGGGCTCCCTGAACCGTCCTACGGGGTCGAGCGACCCAGGGGATGTCTCACTGACCCTGCCAAACAGCCAAAAGGGAATCGAGTTGACAGGAGAGTCAACCTCCAAGTTAATAAAAGGTTCAAAGCCCTCTAGTTAACTGGGTGGATTTCCAGCCCGTTCCGATGTGCTTCTCTTGTATTTCTAGGCCGTAGGGACACTCACATGCAACGAGCCAATGAGAGCTCCACCCCGACTCCCTTTTTTTTTTTTTTTTTTTTCTTTTCTGAAACGGAGTCTCGCTCTGTCGCCCACGCTGGAGTGCAGTGACGCGATCTCGGATCACTGCAACCTCTGCCTCCCAGGTTCAAGCAGTTCTCTGCCTCAGTCTCCCGAGTAGCTGGGATTACAGGCGCCGGCCACCATACTTGGCTAATTTTTGTATTTTTCGTAGAGATGGGGTTTCACCATGTTGTCCAGGCTAATCTTGAATTCCTGACCTCGTGATCCACCCGCCTTGGCCTCCGAAAGTGCTGGGATTACAGGTGTGAGTCACCGCGCCCGGCCCACTCCCATTTTTTTTTCTTTGTTTTTTTTGTTTGTTTGTTTGTTTGTTTGTTTGTTTGTTTTGAGACAGGGTCTCTCTGTGTTGCCCAGGCTGGAGTGCAGTAGCACGATCACGGCTCGCTGCACCCTCGACCTCCCCAGGCTCAGGTGATCCTCCAGCCTCAGCCTCCTGAGTAGCTGGGACTACAGGCACACACCACCACACCTGGCTAATTTTTTCTATTTTTTGTAGAGACAGAGTTCTCCCTATGTTGCCCAGGCTGGTCTCAAACTCCTGGGCTCAAGTGATCCTCCTGCCTCTGCCTCCCAAAGTGCTGGGATTATAGGCATGAGCCAACATGCTCGGCCATCCACCTCTTCTGATGTTACTCAACGTGCATGCATTTGCTGGAAATGGCAAAAACCTGAGGCCGGGCATGGTGGCTCACGCCTATGATCCCAGCACTTTGGGAGGCCCGGGCGGAGAGATCACTTGAGGCCAGAAGTTCGAGACTAGCCTGGCCAGCATGGTGAAACCCCATCTCTATCAAAAATACAAAAATTAGCCCGGTGTGGTGGCGGTGCCCGTAATCCCAGCTACTCAGGAGGCTGAAGCACGAGAACCACTTGAACCGGGAGGCAGAGAGATCGCACCACTACCCTCCAGCCTGGACGACAGACCAAGACTGTTTCAAAAAAAAAAAAAAAAGTCTGGGCACAGTGGCTCACGCCTGTAATCCCAGCACTTTGGGAGGCCAAGGTGGGCAGATCACGAAGTCAGGAGTTCAAGTCCAGCCTGACCAGCATGGTGAAACCCCGTCTCTACTTAAAAAAAAAATGCAAAAATTAGCCAGGCATGGTGGCGCGCGCCTGTAATCCCAACTACTCAGGAGGCTGAGGCAGGAGAATCGCTTGAAACCCGGGAGGCAGAGGTTGCAGTGAGCCGAGATCATGCCACTGCACTCCAGCCTGGGTGACAGAGCAAGACTCCATCTCAAAAACAAAACAAAACAAAACAAAAACACAAAAAAAAAACCACCTGGGAACAACTTCCTATATGTTCATCAAAGGAATGGATAAATGAAACTCATTATAGTTGTTTGATGGAATACCATCTAATAGATAAAAGGGGTGCACTGGATCTGTACTGACATAAGGAAATCCCAAAAACATAATGTTGAGTAAAACAGCAAGTTGCAGAATACAACATGATGTACAATTTGTGTGTACCTTAAAATCCCATGCAGTAGATACTGTTCATGGACACATGCTTACATACAAGATTTTTAAAGTCAAAGAGAAGAATATACATTAAATTCATGACAGTGTGCCACAAAGAAGGAAAAAAGCACAGAACGGGACAGGGAGCATAAGGAATGTTGTAAAGTTTTATTCCTTTTAGTACTTATAAATGGCTGTGAGGCAAATGGCAAACTGTTAGCAATAGTCAATTCTGAATGGGGGATGCATAGTCCCGTATTTTTCTATATTCTCATATTTCCCCCCCCCCCCCCAAAAAAAATATGTATCAGGCCTGGTGGAGATTATCTGGGGCACTTTAAGGCAGGGTCAGCAAACTTTGTAAAGGGCCAGATAGTAAATATTTTAGGCTTTGCAAGCCATAGGCTCTGTAATGCAGCTACTCAACCCTGCCATCCTAGCAGCCACAGGAAATAGTAAATGAATGCATGCGGCAGTGTTCCAATAAAACTTTATTTACAGACACTGAAAACTGAATTTCATATGATTTTCATAAGTCACAAAATATTACTGTTTTGGTTTTTATTTAACCATTGAAAAATGTGAAAGGCCAGGTGTGGTGGCTTACACCTACACGCGTGATTACAATCTTAGCACTCTGGGAGGCCGAGGGGGCAGGATCACTTGAGCCTAGAAGTTTGAGACCAGCCTGGACAACATGGCAAGACCCATCTTGACAAAAAGAAAAAAGAAAAACGTAAAAACCATTCTTAGCAGGCCATAAAAAACAGGTGGCATGACAGATTTAGCTTATGGGCAATAAATAGTTTGGCAACCCTGCTTTACTAAGGTAACCAAAATAGATTTGGGTGTCCTTTCCTGTTACTGGATGTCTTTTCCTGGTACTTGTTAAACAATTCTGTATGTTTACATCATGTTACTAAATTGCCTGTGTTTTATTAGAACACTGTAGCTCACACAGGCAGAAACTTAGATATACACACAGCTGTGTAAACTTAAAAGCCAATTAAGTAAGAAAGGTTGGGAAGTGCCCCTACAAATCCAAACCCTAGCTCAAGAGTTGCTTTTCCTGATAGTTTCCTGAAATGCTGTGAGCCAGGCCCTCCCTGCCCGCTCCTCTCTCTGATGTCTTAAAGCAAGGACTGTACCATTTATTTGATGCTCAGCCACCTCCCTTCCTTCTTTATTCCTTCCTTTTTCACTCTGTGTTTTGACTTGCCAATAGACCTATATCTTCCTGGCATCTAGGCAGGTACCACATCTGAAACCTTTGTATACTCTCCGCATTGTGGGTGACAGCAATGACCCTGAAGTCAGATAGATTTTGTTCACATCCCAGTTTCACTAGTTACCAGCTCTGTGGCCTTGGGCAAATGACTTGATCTCTCCCAATTTGGTTTCGTCAGCTGTCAAATGGGGATAATAATAGTATCTAGCTCACAGGTTTCCCATGAGGTTTAAATCTAACGATGTATGTATGTAAAGATACTAGCTCTGTGCTTGGTACATAAGTCTTCAATGATGCTAACTAATTAAAATTAGCACAAAGCTAAAACCCCCATCAATATATGTGCTTTCCTTATTAAAGTTAATTAGAACAGGACAGAAACATCACAGTTGCAATTCTTTTTTTTTTTTTTTTTGAGACGGAGTTTTGCTCTTGCTGCCTGGTCTCACAGTTGCAATTCTTTTTTTTTTTTTTTTTTTGAGACGGAGGTTTGCTCTTGCTGCCTGGTCTCACAGTTGCAATTCCTTTTTTTTTTTTTTTTTGAGACGGAGTTTTGCTCTTGCTGCCTGGTCTCACAGTTGCAATTCTTTTTTTTTTTTTTTTTTTGAGACGGAGTTTTGCTCTTGCTGCCTGGTCTCACAGTTGCAATTCTTTTTTTTTTTTTTTGAGACGGAGTTTTGCTCTTGCTGCCTGGTCTCACAGTTGCAATTCTTTTTTTTTTTTTTTTTGAGACGGAGTTTTGCTCTTGCTGCCTGGTCTCACAGTTGCAATTCTTTTTTTTTTTTTTTGAGACGGAGTTTTGCTCTTGCTGCCTGGTCTCACAGTTGCAATTCTTTTTTTTTTTTTTTTTTGAGACGGAGTTTTGCTCTTGCTGCCTGGTCTCACAGTTGCAATTCTTTTTTTTTTTTTTTTGAGACGGAGTTTTGCTCTTGCTGCCTGGTCTCACAGTTGCAATTCTTCTAAGAATCATCCCACTGCCGGGCGCGGTGGCTCACGCCTGTGATCCCAGCACTTTGGGAGGCTGAGGTGGGCGGATCACCTGAGGTCAGGAGTTTGAGACCAGCCTGACCAACATGGAGAAACCCCGTCTCTCCTAAAAATACAAAATTAGCCAGGCATGGTGGCGCATGCCTGTAATCCCAGCTACTTGGGAGGCTGAGGCAGGAGAATCGCTTGAACCTAGGAGGCAGGGGTTGCAGTGAGCGGAGATCGCGCCATTGCACTCCAGCCTGGACGACAAGAGCTAAACTCTGTCTCAAAAAAAAAAAAATCCCACTTAAGGCAACCGTTTTCTTCTTAGAAATATGAAAGTAAGAATTTGCTTTGTTTTTTGGATTTTTCTCCTCCAAGAACACCAGAAAATTCTATTCTAGGCAAACAGATCTTGTTGTCCTGACAACAGATTGCCAAGAAAATAAGTAAACAAAGCATCTGAATCATATTTTTACAGAAAACTTGAACAGTACAAGGGAGGGGCTGGAAGCAAGAGTGTAAAATTACCTCACCCCCAAGGACAGCACTGTAATTTCCTGCGGAGGTTTCATCCTTCCTTTCTGAACCGTGTGCCGCTCATGTTGCTCACTGGAATGTTCCACCTCCCAAACCTTGAACATCCAGATGCAGACAGCAGGATTCATCACACCAATGTACTGGGAAAGGAAAAGAAATCTGGGGACCCCAAACTCACTAAGCCAAAGGGAAAAGTCAAGCTGGGAATTGGGTCATGCAAACCCGCCTCCCATTTTGGTTCCTAAATAAGGTGGCTACAAAGATGAAAAGCGACACACCTCCCTCACATTTTGCCCACAAGGAAATTCCTGGCGGCCCCCAAGATCTTTACCCTAAAGCAGTTCTGTTGAAGTTCTCCAAGGCAATGTAAATGGATAGCTTATCTTCACAGGTGCGGGGGACATAGGACAGAACTCAAAGTCATCCCTCTACTCACCTGAGACAAATGCGTATCTGATTGCTTCCTTGGCCCTATCTTCTATGTTATCTTATATAAAAATTCAGATTCGGCCCGGCGCGGTGGCTCACGCCTGTAATCCCAGCACTTTGGGAGGCCGAGGTGGGCGGATCACAAGATCAGGAGATCGAGACCATCCTGGCTAACACAGTGAGACCCCATCTCTACTAAAAATACAAAAAATTAGCCGGGCGAGGTGGCGGGCGCCTGTAGTCCCAGCTACGCCGGAGGCTGAGGCAGGAGAATGGCGTGAACCCCAGGGGGCGGAGCCTGCAGTGACCCGAGATCGCGCCACTGCACTGCAGCCTGGGCGACAGCGAGACTCAAAAAAAAAAAAAAAAAAAAAAAAAAAAAAAAATTTCAGATTCACCAAGCCAGGCAAAGGGATGAATGACTATTTTTCCCCTACCCACTCTCACATGAAAATTGTGTATTTCTCAATATCCTGCCCTTTCCCCTTTAAATACTGAAGCCTTCAAAATCATTTTCGGAGAAAGGCATACACCTGTCTCCCAGGTAGTTCCTTAACTTTGGCAAGTAAGCCTCCTAAAATGATTGAGACTTGCCTGGGTCATTTTCTTTGATTTACAGCACTTGTTGAATTTTTTTTTTTCCCATTCACCAGGACAGTAGAAAAACGCTGTCGCTAGCTAGGCGTGGTGGCAGGCACCTGTAATCCCAGCTACTTAGGAGGCTGAGTCAGGAGAATCACTTGAACCCAGGAGGCATAGGTTGCAATGAGCCGAGATCGGGCCGCTGCACTCTAGCCTGAGGGACAGAGCCAGACTCTGTCTCAAAAAAAGGAAAGAAAAATGCTGTGGGGCTGGGCACGGTGGCTCATGCCTGTAATCCCAGCACTTTGGGAGGCCAAGGCAGGGGATCACTTGAGGTCAGGAGTCCGAGACCAGCCTGGCCAACATGGTGAAACCCTGTCTCTGCTAAAAAATTCAAAAATTAGCCAGGTATGTTAGCACGTGCCTGTTATCCCAGCTACTCAGGAAGCTGAGGCACGAGAATCGCTTGGACCTGGGAGGAGGAGGTTGCAGTGAGCTGAGATCGTGTCACTGCACTCCAGCCTGGGCAACAGAGCGAGACTCCGTCTCAGAAAAAAAAAAAAAGAAAGAAAGAAAAGGAAAAAAATGCTGTCAAGTCAGGCTCAGAGGCACGCGCATGCAGTCCCAGCTACTTGGGAGGCTGAGGCAAGAGGATCACTTGAGCCTCAGATTTCAAGGCCAGCCTGGGCAACATAGTGAAACTATCTCTAAAAAAGAAAAGAAAAATGCTGTCAGAAAGAAGATCTTGAGAAGTTTCACTTCAACAGGCAGTGAGATTACTAGTCCCAAACATAAACAACATCATAGAAGAAGTGATGGGGGCACAGATGAGGAGGCTTTTCATTTGTCTCAGCATACATCTTCGAGGAAAAAAACTGGCCGGGCGCGGTGGCTCACACCTGTAATCCCAGCACTTTGGGAGGCCAAGGCGGGCAGATCACCTGAGGTCAGGAGTTCTAGACCAGCCTGACCAACATGGAAAAACCCCGTCTCTACTAAAACTACAAAATTAGCCAGGCATGGTGGTGCATGCCTGTAATCCTAGGCTGAGGCAGGGAGACTGAGGCAGGAGAATCGCTTGAACCCGGGAGGCAGAGGTTGCAGTGAACCAAGATCACGCCACTGCACTCCAGCCTGGCCAACAAGAGCAAAACTCGGTCTCAAAAAAAAAAAAAAGAAAGAAAGAAAAAGAAACAGGAAAAAAAAAAGCCAGTGTAACCACCCAAAAATATTAGGACCAAATTTAAAACACTTTGAACAAGTAGAAATATTCAGAGTATGGAGGTGAATACAAAGGCAGCCTGGTGATGTGAGAAAGAGCCTAGGCTGTGGAGCCCATCACTTCTGGGGCTGAATCCTGATTCTGGTCCTCACCAAGGTCGGGGCTGGGTCAGGCCCAACCTCCAGGGCCCGCTTTCCTGCCTGTAAAACAGGGATGATGTTTAGCTCACAAGCATTAGAGATGGTATGTGTGGAAGTACATAGCAGTGTCTGGCCCACATTGGGCACTACGTAAATAACAACTAATATTATCGTTTATGTGTTCAACAAACTGAAAAACAATGTTCACAAAAACAGGACAGTACTTTTGAAAATTCTAAGGGTAGGCCCAGCCCTGGAACCTATCAGCAGCGTGGCCTTGAGCAAGTAACTTAACCCCCTTATGCCTCCATCCTATCCTGTTCAATGGAATTCATGCTATTGCTAACTCTTGGAATTACTGTGAAGATTAAACGTGTTAATATAGCTAAGAACTTAAAACAGGGCACACGGCTGCTGGGTAGAGTTCCCACTGTGCCACCAGGTCAGAACACCTTTTTCCTTCTCTCCCTTAGAGGATACATCCTGAAGATCTCGGGTATAGACCCGAATGCCTGCTGCTTAAAAAGCTTCAATTCCGGCCAGGTGCGGTGGGTCATGCCTGTAATCCCAGCACTTTGGGAGGCCGAGGCGGGTGGATCATGAGGTCAGGAGTTCGAGACCAGCCTGGCCAATATGGTGAACCCCTATCTCTACTAAAAATACAAAAATTAGCTGGGCATGGTGGCGGGTTCCTGTAATCCCAGCTACTTGGGAGGCTGAGGCAGGAGAATCGCTTGAACCTGGGAGGCAGAGGTTGCGGTGAGCCGAGATTGCGCCATTGCACTCCAGCCTGGGCAATAGAGCGAGACTCCATCTCAAGAAAAAAAAAAAAAAAGAAAAAGTTTCAATTCCCTCCTCATTTAACCTTTTCCCCATTTAACCAGACGATCAATTCTTATACCCTTAAACCACTCATCATCACATCATTATGAAATTATTGACTCCTTTTTTTCCCCCCACCAAATGCTCTATCAGGAGAAAAGCCAGTTAGCTGTCACCCCGACAGTTCTGAGTTTTGGGGTCACAAATGTCTCTACTTTTCATTCAACCCACTCTGCTATCAGGGAGGAGACAAGCCCCTCAATCAACAAATCTAAGTCACAGATAGCAGGAGACCCCAGACCCCTTCTATTAGCTTTGGATTTAGGCCCTGTCTCCCTGCTAGGGTGAAGCTGCCATCAGCTGAGAGGCGCTTTGGGCAGGCTGGCTTTTCAGGTGTGCAAACTGTGCAGGGCTGTGGGCTCAGAAGGGCCCTATATTGGTTTAAGGCTCTGCCGTTGCTGTTTGAAATTATTTTATGTTTTTTTTTTTTGAGACAGGGTCTCACTGTGTCGCCCCAGGCTGGAGTGCAGTGGTGCGATCTCAGCTTACTGCAACCTCCGCCTCCTGGGTTCAAGCGGTTCTCCTGCCTCAGCCTCCCACGTAGCTGGGATTACAGGCGCCCACCACCATGCCTGGCTAATATTTGTATTTTTAGTAGAGATGGGGTTTTACCATGTTGCAAAGGCTGGTCTTGAACCCCTGACCTCAGGAGATCTGCCCACCTCAGCCTCCCAAAGTGCTGGGATTACAGGTGTGAGCCACCACACCCAGCCTTTTAAATTTTTACTTTTTAATAGAGGCCTCACATTTTTAGTTTGCACTGGATTCCATGAGTTGCATAGCTGGTCCTGGTCAGGCGTGATGACATCAAGCTTTTATGTTGGTATCTGTGGGGTCACCTGAACAACCTGACCCCATTTATTCAACCTTCTGCTGAGGCAGAGTAGCTAAGGCCACTTCTTAAATTGAAAGGCTCTTACTTTAAATACATTAATCAAAAATGACATCAGATGAAAAAATATACTTGAAAGAATAAAAAGGAACTGATAAGTTACCTCCTAAGAGGAAGTAGTACTTTTTTTTTTTTCTTGAGATAGAGTTTAGCTCTTGTCACCCAGGCTGCAGTGCAATGGCGTGATCTCGGCTCACTGCAAACTCTGCCTCCTAGGTTCAAGCGATTCTCCTGCCTCAGCCTCCCGAGTAGTTGGGACTACAGGCGCCCGCCACCACGCCCAGCTAATTTTTTTATTTTTAGTAGCGACGGGGTTTCACCATGTTAGACAGGCTGGTCTCAAGCTCCTAATCTCAGGTGATCCACTCATCTCAGCCTCCCAAAGTGCTGGGATTACAGGCTGAAGAATTACTTTTTACTACATAGCCTTTAATATTATTCAATGTTTACCATCTCTATATATAACCTTTCAAATGAATTTAAGATTTTCAGTCAACATACCAATTAGTCTCTATCTCTCCACCAAGTCTCTTGTTTCCAGAGCAGCTGTCTTTGGCCAGCAAATGTACCGTAATGGATACAACTGTTTTACACTGCTTCAAAGAGCCCTGAAGAGAAATTACTCCCCATCAGAAAAACTTTCTGATGGGAAATTTAACAGAGAAAGAACCAATAATAGGAGCTGCACAATTTAGTTGGTTCCCTGTTGCTTTATAAAGACTATTTGGGGCAGGCACGGTGGCTCACGCCTGTGATTCCAGCACTTTGGGAGGCTGAGGCAGGTGAATCACCTGAGGTCAGGAGTTTGAGACCAACCTGGTCAACATGGTGAAACCCCATCTCTACTAAAAATCCAAAAATTAGCCAGGCGTGGTGGTGCATGCCTGTAGTCCCAGCTACTTGGGAGGCTGAGACAGGAGACTCCCTTGAACCCAGGTGGATGTTGCAGTGAGCGAAGATCACGCCACTGCACTCCAGCCTGGGCAACAGAGCAAGGCTCCATCTAAAAAAACAAAAACAAAAAAACACAACTATTTGGATATAGCTGCTGCTTTGGACTTGAAACAATGGCATTTTTCTGTGAACACTCAAGGATAAGAAATTCATGAACAGAAAAAGCAATAACTGGCTCCTGCTTACTTGCAGGGTTAAGAAATGTAAACTATAATACACTATATATTTGGTGATAGCATCTCACACCTCTGAGCTTTGGACCCTTTCTTATTTATTTTTATTATTATGTTTCTGAGACAGAGTCTTGCTCTGTCGCCAGGCTGGAGTGCAGTAGTGCGATCTTGGCTCACTGCAACCTCCACCTCCCGGGTTCAAGTGATTCTCCTGCCCCAGCCTCCCGAGTAGCTGGGATTACAGGCATGCACCACTATGCCCAGCTAATTTTTGTATTTTTTTTTTTAGTAGAGATGGGGTTTCACCATGTTGGCCAGGCTGGTCTCCATCTCCTGACCTCATGATCCACCCGCCTCAGCCTCCCAAACTGCTGGGATTACAGGCGTGAGCCACCGCAGCCGGCCCCCTTAATTTATAATCACCTTACTCATGATGAATTCCTGGACGTAATTTATCATCATCCCTCATTTATAGAGTTAAATATAGAAAAAAAAAGTGCCCATGCAGAATATATAAGAAAGCCAACATCTAGAAAGGGACTGAAAAATGCTCCTGGTCATTGGTCCAAAAATTATGAAAAAATCTTTTCCTTCTTAATCTCCAGTCAGGGACCAACAAGTCCTCGTGAGCAGCCACAGGAACCACAAGCGCTGGTTCAGTCCAACAAGGCAGGGAGGCCTCAGAAGAAAGTCCAAGCCTCATACAGACCTGCACTGACCACCCTGGAGAGATCTACCAATTCCAGGAAGAGCTCTTGTCTGAGAATAGGTGCTAAATGAATTTACATAATGATGGAGTGTGTACAATTTCTAATCAAGATATTGGCAATTTTGCCCAGAGAGAACATAATCTGAGATGCTTGCACTAACTTGTTAGCAAAATACCCATTTATTAAGAAAAAGTTGGTGTCCTTTGCTACCAAAAGGGAAGAAAAGGGGAATAAAACAAATACGTAGTTACTAGCAACAAAATAAGACAAACTAATCAGAATGCTGTTTATTGACAAGATAGGGTGTCACAAATACATCATTTATAGGGAGAGAGGGGACATGAACAAGTCCAAAATCTTATACTCTGCACAGCAGCCCAGCAGGGATGTCCTCTCTAGAGATGGTTTATCAAGGGTACCCCATGAGAGGGCAGCTCCTGATGCAGCTGCCGGAAGAGCATCGCACACCGGTTCCTCTCCTGGGTCTTCCCCAGGGTATGGTAGAGTCTGGCCTGGAAGTAAACGACGTCCCTGATGCGCTCTTTGCAGTCAACCTTTGCAAAATAGTTCTTGGCTTCATTGAGGTTCTCGATGGCAGCCTCCAGAGCTGACGGAAAGGGGAAAATAACACACACATTTAACTCAACCCTTCACGTATAGTTTTCAAAACGTGGTATTTAGTTTTATTTGTTCAACAACTACCAGAAGATTCTTTTATATTCTCCATTCTTTGAGAGAGAAAAAACAAACCACTAGGGTGAGGTTTTCAAAAAGGTCTTTAAGACTGGGCGAAGTGGCTCATGCCTGTAATCCTAGCACTTTGGGAGGCCGAGGCGGGTGGATCACCTGAGGTCAGGAGTTCGACGCCAGCCTGGCCAACATGGTGAAACCTTGTCTCTACTAAAAATACAAAAATTAGCCAGGTGTGGTGGCAGGCACCTGTAATCCCAGCTACTTGGGAGGCTGAGGCAGGAGAGTCACTTGAACCCGGGAGGCAGAGGTTGCAGTGAGCTGAGATCACGCCGCTGCACTCCAGCCTGGGCGACAGAGTGACTCCATCTCAAAAAAAAAAAAAAAAAAAAAAGGCCGGGCGCAGTGGCTCACACCTATAATCCCAGCACTTTGGGAGGCTGAGGTGGGCAGATCACAAGGTCAGGAGTTCAAGATCAGCCTGACCAACATGGAGAAAGCCCTACTAAAAATACAAAAATTAGCCAGTCTTGGTGGTGTGCGCCTTTACATATTCAGGAGGCTGAGGCAGGAGAATTGCTTGAACCTGGAAGGCGGAGGTTGCAGTGAGCCGAGATCACGCCACTGCACTCCAGCCTGAGCTACAGAGTGAGACTTTGTCTCAAAAAAAAAAAAGTCTTTAACTCCTGACTTCTAGCCTGGTACTTGGCTCTATAGGGTTAAAATAGCCATTCACTTGTCCTCAATCTTTCTGCCAAGCATGCATGTGAAAGCACTTTAAAT
Source organism: Homo sapiens (assembly GCF_000001405.40). Classification (NCBI taxonomy): domain Eukaryota; kingdom Metazoa; phylum Chordata; class Mammalia; order Primates; family Hominidae; genus Homo; species Homo sapiens. The sequence continues at coordinate 121,309,558 of NC_000012.12, forward strand.
GCTGCATGAAATTTTAATATATATTTGTGAACACTCAGAACTTAAATGCTGTCCCAAATTTAATGTCTTTTCTTCTTCTGGGTCCTAAACTTTCAATGCTTTCTGGAATAGCATTGCCTAACAGTCTTCGTACAGCTTCCTACCTTCTGCTTTCTTCGGCTGATCGTAGGAAGCTGCTGAAGCCACCTGGCACTTGGCCACTAAGAACATGGCACGACCTTTGTCCAGGATAGCCCCGTCAGCCAAGATGGGCTCGATGGCCATGTGGAGAAGACTTAAGGCCTGTTCTGGGATTCCAAGAATGAGCTGAAAAAGAAACATCATGGCACTGTACATACCCAAACCCACTGCCCTTCACCAGGAAGCGTTTCATTTCTGGCAGTTCTCTCCTGAATGGCTATCTCTGGCTTACCTTTTACCTGACATGTACTACGTTAAAACAGGAACCACATTCCTAGAAAACACAACATGTGACAATCTGATTTCAGACTATGACAAATATAGCAGGGGGCGGTTATTCACACTATGAAAAGGTTCTTGTCTTTACAAAAAGATCCAGCATTAATATCCTTTAGCTTGGTGATTCTGAGGGGTTGAACTAGGTGGGAGAAAGGTAACAATCCAGAAAATAACTCAAAAGAATAAAGCAAAAGAAACAAGAGATTCCGGTTGGTGTTAGTATGTTTAAAAAAAAAAGAGAGAATTAAAATGGTACACTAGAGCTGGGCACAGTGGCTCATGCCTATAATCCCAACACTTTGGGAGCATGAGGCAGGAAGATCACTTGAGGCCATGAGTTCAAGACCAGCCTGGGCAACACAGCAAGACCCTGTCTCAAAAAACAAATTTAAAACAATTAGCTGAGCATGGTTGCACATGCCTGCAGTCCCAGTTACTCAGGAGGCTGAGGCAGGAGAATCACTTGAGCCCAGGAGGTCAAGGTTGCAGTGAGCCACAATCGTGCCACTGCACTCCAGCCTGGGCAACAGAGCAAGACTTTGTCTCAAAATAAAACTAGAAAACATCTACTTAACACACAAGAAAGCAGTAATGGAGGAACTGAGGGACAAAAAAGATATGACATATAGAAAACAAGGCAGGCGCAGTGGCTCACATCTGTAATCCCAGCACTTTGGGAGGTGCAGGCGGGCAGATCACTTGAGGTCAGGGGTTCGAGACCAGCCTGGCCAACATGGTGAAACCCTGTCTTTCCTAAAAATACAAAAATTAGCTGGGCATAGTGGCACGCACCTGTAATCTCAGTTACTTTGGTGGCTGAGACAGGAGAATCACTTGAACCCAGGAGGTAATGGATGCAGTGAGCAGAGATCACACCACTGCACTCCAGCCTGGGTGACAGAGTGAGACTCCATCTCAAAAAAAAAAAAAAAAAAAATCAAATTAGAAATAATGACATTAAAGGTAAATGAGTTAAACTCTCTAATTAAAAGGCAGAAATTGTGAGAACAAACTTTTTTTTTTTAAAGTATCCACTGTATGCTGTCTACAAGAGACTCACTGTAGATTAAAAGACACAAATAGTACTTTAAAAATTAGTCAGGCATGATGGTGCTCTCCTGTAGTCCTAGCTACTTGGGAGACTGAGTTGGGAGGATCCCATCAGCCCAGGAGTTCAAGGTTACAGTGAGCTACGATTGCAGCAATGCACTCCAGCCTGGACGACTGAGTGAGACCCTGTCTCTAAAAAAATAAAATAAAGACACAAATCAGCTGAAAGTAAAAGGATAGAAAAATATTCCATGCAAACAATAACCAAAAGAAAGCTGGAGTGCCTATATGAGTATCATACAATATAGAGTTTAAGTTAAAAACCGTTACAAGAGACAAGGAAAAAGGAGGACATTATATACTCATGAAACAGTCGATTCATCAAGATATAACAATTATAAACAAGCCAAACAACAGTGTTCCAAAGCATATGAAGCAAAAACTGACAGATTTGAAGGGAGAAATAGACAATTCAACAATAATAGGCCAGGCACAGTATCTCATGCCTGTAATCCCTGCACTTTGGGAAGCTGAGGCAGGTGGATCTCTTGAGACCAGGAGTTTGAGACCAGCCTGGGTAACATGGCAAAAACCCATCTCTACAAAAATATAAAAAATTAGCTGGTTATGGTAAGGCACACCAGTAATCCCAGATGCTCAGAAAAGTGAGGTGGGAGGATCACTTGAGCTCAGGCAGTTGAGGGTGCAGTGAGCCATGATTGTGCCATGGTATTCTAGCCTGGGCAACAGAGTGAGACTCTGTCTCAGACAAAATAAAACAAAACAAAAACCACAATAATAGTTGGGGAGCTCAATATCCCACCTTTCAATCGCAGATAGAAAAATTAGACAGAAGATCAGCAAGGAAAGAGAAGACTTGAATGACACTACAAATGAACTGGCCCTAACATATATATATAAAGCATGCCACCCAATGATACATCAGAATACAAATTATTCTCAAGTGCATATGGAACACTTTCCAGGATAGACTGTGTTTGGGCCACAAAATAACACTCAATAAATTTAAGAGGAATGAAATCATACAAAGAATCTCCTCTGATCACATTAAATCAAAAATCAGTAACAGAAGGAAACCAGAAAATTCACAAATATGTGGAAATTAACATACTCTTAAGTAACCAATGTGTCAAAGAATAAATCACAAGGGAAATTAGAAAATGCAATGAGGTGTATAAAAATACCACAGACTCTGGCTGGGCGCAGTGGCTCATGCCTGTAATCCCAGCACTCTGTGAGGCTGAGGCGGGTGGATCACCTGAGGGCAGGAGTTCGAGACCAGCCTGGCCAACATGATGAAACCCCATCTCTACTAAAAATACAAATATTACCCAGGTAGCCAGGCACAGCGGCTCACACCTGTAATCCCAGCACTTTGGGAGGCCGAGGCAGGCAGATCATGAGGTCAGGAGATCGAGACCATCCTAACACGATGAAACCCCAGCTCTACTAAAAATACAAAAAAAAAAATTAGCCTGGTGTGGTGGCACATGCCTGTAGTTCCAGCTACTAAGGAGGCTGAGGCAGAAGAATCACTTGAGCCTGGGAGGCAGAGGATGCAGTGAGCTGAGATCGCACCACCGCACTCCAGCCTAGGCGACAGAGCGAGACTCTGTCACAAAAAAAAAAAAAAAAAAAAAAAATTACCCTAGTGTGGTGGTGCACGTCTGTAATCCCAGCTACTTGGGAGGCTGAGGCAGGAGAATTGTTTGAACCCAGGAGGCGGAGGTTGCAGTGAGCCAAGACTGTGCCACTGCACTCCAACCTGGGTGACAGAGCAAGGCTCTGTCTCAAAAAAAAAATACACAGACTCTCATTTATGAAATTTGTGGGATAAACTACAAATTTATGAAATATAGTTCTCAAGGAAATTTATAACTGTAAAGGCCTACATTACAAAAGAAAGAAGATCTCAAATCAATAAGCGAATCTTCCACCTTAAGAAACTAGAAAAGAGGCCGGGCGCGGTGGTTCACGCCTGTAATCCCAGCACTTTGGGAGGCCAAGGCGGATGAATCACCTGAGGTCAGGCGTTCGAGGCCAGCCTGGCCAACATGGCGAAACCCCGTCTCTATTAAAATTACAAAAATTAGCCAGGCGTGGTAGCATGCGCCTGTAATCCCAGCTACTCGGGAGGCTGAGGTAGGAGAATTGCTTGAACCTGGGAGGCGGAGGTTGCAGAGAGCCAAGATTGCACCATTGCACTCCAGCCTCGGTGACAAGAGCTAAACTCCATCTCAAAAAAAAAGAAAGAAACTAGAAAACGAAAAGCAAACTAGACCTAAAGCTAACTAACAGAACCAAGGAAAAAATAAGGATTAAAGTGGAGATAAACAAAATGGAGACTAAGAGAACAACAGAGAGAATCAATAAAACCAAAAGTTGGTTCTTTGAAGAGATCGACAAAATTGATAAACTGTTAGACTGACCAAGAAAAAAGAGACAAGACTCAAATAACCGAAGTCAGGGATGACACTGGGGACTTTACTAACAACCTTACAAAAGTAAAATGGATTATACAAGAATACCATGAACAATTCTATGCAAGAAATTAGATAAAAGGTAAAATGAACAAATTCCTAGAAAGACCAAACTACTAAAATTGACTCAAGAAACAGGAAATCTGAATAGACCTATAACAACTAAAGAGACTGAATTAGTAACCAAAAAAACTTCCAACAAAGAAAAGCCCAGGGCCAGACTGCTTCACTGGTGAATTTTACCAAACTTTAAAACAATTAACACCAATCCTTCTCAAATTCTTCCCAGAAAAAGGAGAAGAGAGAATACTTTCTAACTCATTTTGTGGGGCCACTATTACCCTAATACTAAAGCCAAAGAAAGATATCACAAGAAAACCACAGATCAACATCCTTTATGAATACAGATGCAAAAATTCTCAACAAAATACTTGCAAACCAAATCCAATAGCACGTTAAAAGGAACATACACTATGACCATGTGAAATTTACTCCAGGAATGCAAGGTAGTTCAATACACAAATATATAAATAAAATGAAAGAAAAAATCGGGGCTGGGCGCAGTGGCTCACGCCTGTAATCCCAGTACCTTGGGAGGCAGAGGTGGGTGGATCATGAGGCCAGGAGTTAGAGACCAGCCTGACCAACATGGCAAAACCCTGTCTCTACTAAAATACAAAAATTACTTGGGCATGGTGGTGCACACCTGTGATCCCAGCTACTTGGGAAGCTGAGGCACAAGAACTGCTTGAACCTGGGAGACAGCCTGGGAGACAGAAGTTGCAGTGAGCCAAGACTGCACCACTGCATTCCAGCCTGGGCAACAGAGTGACACTCTATCTCAAAAACAAACAAACAAAAACCCATATGATCAAATCAATCAATGCAGAAAAAAAAAATTTGACAAAATCCAATACCTTTTCATGAAAAAAACACTAAATAAACTAGGAATAGAGGGAACTTCCTCAACCTCTATAAAAAACCCACAGCTAGCATGATATTTGATGATGAAAGACTGAACGCTTTCCCCCTACAGGAACAAAATAAGGACATACACTTTTTTTTTTTTTGAGAGGGAGTCTTGCTGTTGCCCAACCTGTAGTGCAGTGGCATGATCTCGGTTCACTACAACCTCCAGCTCCTGAGGACTGAGTTCAAGTGATTCTCAGTCCTCAGCCTACCTAGTAGCTGGGATTACAGGCATGCACCACCACCACTACACTCAGCTAATTTTTCTATTTTTAGTAGAGACGGGGTTTCACCATGTTGTCCAGGCTGGTCTCGAACTCCTGGCCTTAAGTAATCTGCCTTGGCCTCAAAAAGTGCTGGGATTACAGGTGTGAGACACCGAGCCAAGACACACACTTTTGTCACATTTATTCAACATGTATTGGAAGTTTTACTCAAAGCATTTAAGCAAGAAAAAGAAATACAGGGCATCTAAGTGGGAATGGAAGAGGTAAAACTATCTCTATTTGCAGATGACATGATCTTATACATACAAAACCATAAAAAAAAAATCCCCAAAACCTGTTACAGGTAATAAGTTTGGCAAAGTTGCAGGATATAAGATCAATATAAACTAGCAACCCAAAAATAAATGTTTAAAAAAATTTCATTTAAATTACCATCAAAAAGAATAAAATACTTAGGGATAAATTTAACCAAAGAAGTGAAAGATTTATATACAGAAAGCTACAAAACATTGTTGAAGTAAGTTAAAGATCCAAATAAAAGGAAAGACATCCTGTGTTCATGGGTTGGAAGAGAATAGCATTAAGATGGCAATGTTCTCCAAACTGACCTACAGATTCAAATACAATCCCTATCAAAATTACAACTACTGTTTTTGCAGAAATGAACAAGCTAATTCTAAAATCAACATATAATTGCAAGGGATGCTGAATAGCCAAAACAATCCTGAAAAAGAACAAAGACTCCCACTTCCTGATTTCAAAACTTACTACAAAGCTATAGTAATCAAAACAAAGTAGTACTGGCATAAGGGTAACATATAGATCAAGGGAATAGAATTGAGAGTCCGAAAATAAACCTATATATCTACGATCAGTTGTTTTCTTTTTTTTCTTTGATCAACTGGTTTTTAACAGGGGTACCAAAACCATTAAATGGGGAAAGAGGAGTCTTCAACAAATGGTGCTAGAATAACCTATATCCGTATGCAGAAGAATAAGAGTGGAGCCCTATCTCATAGTATATACAAAAATTAACTCAAAATTATTCAGACTTAAACATAAGCATTAAAACTATAATACTGTGAGAAGAAAACATAGAAGAAAATCTTCATGACATTAGATTTGTCAGTATCTTAGACATGATACTAAAAGCACAAGCAACAAAAGAAAAATAAATTGGACTTCATAAAAATTTTAAACTTTTGTATATCAAAAGACACTAACAAGAAAGTGAAAAGACCAAACACAGAACAGGAGAAAATATTTGTAAATTATATATCTGATAAGGGTCTAGTATCCACAATATATAAATAATTTTTACAAGTGAACATCAAAAAGATAAACAACTTAGTTAAAAAACAGGTAAAGGATCGGAATAGACGTTTCTCCAAAGAACATATGCAAATGGCCAATAAGCACATGAAAAGATACTCAACATCATTAGTCATTAGAGAAGTGCATATCAAAACCACAATGAGACACCCCTTCATACCCACTAGGAAGGATGTAATAATTAAAAATGGAAAATAACAAGGGTGGGCAAGATTGTGGAGAAATTGGAACCCTCATACATTGCAGGTTGAAACAAAATGGTGCAGCCACTGTGGCATTTCCTTAAGAAGTTAAACACAAAATTATCATGACTCAGCAATTCCGTTCGTAGGCATCAAATGAAAACAGGTATTCAACCCCGGGCGCGGTGGCTCACGCCTGTAATCCCAGCACTTTGGGAGGCCGAGGTGGGCGGATCACGAGGTCAGGAGATCGAGACCACCCTGGCTAACACAGTGAAACCCCATCTCTACTAAAAATACAAAAAAATAGCTGGGCGTGGTGGCGGGCGCCTGTAGTCCCACCTACTCGGAAGGCTGAGGCAGGAGAATGGCATGAACCCGGGAGGCGGAGCTTGCAGTGAGCCGAGATTGCACCACTGCACTCCAGCCTGGGTGACAGAGCGAGACTCTGTCTCAAAAAAAAAAAAAAAAAAAAAAAAAGAAAACAGGTGTTCAAACAAAAGCTGTACAGAAATGTAAAGAGCCGCTATTCATAACAGCCAAAAGGTGGAAACGACTCAAATGCCCATCAGCTGATGAATGGATAAGCAAAATGTGATCTAACCATACAGTGAAATATTCTTCAGCCATGAAAAACAATGAAGCACTGATACCTATTGCTACATGGATAAAACCTGAAAACATCAAGCTAAGTAAAAGAAGCCAATCAAAAAAGGCCACATTTATATGAGTCCAGTTATGCAAACTGTTCAGAATAGGCAAACTCATAGAGACAGAAACCGGTGAGAGGTTACCAGAGGCTGGGGGAAGGGAGGACTGGGGAATGACTGCTTAATGGGTACAGTTTCCTTTTCTATGTAATGAAAATACTCTGAAATTAGATAGCAGTAATGGTTGCACAATGTTGTCAATATTCTCAAAACCACTGAAATGTACACTTTAAAATGGTTAAAGTGGTAAATCTTGTGTTACATACTTTTTTTTTTTTTTTTTGAGATGGAGTCTCGCTCTGTTGCCCAGGCTGGGAGTACGGTGTCACGATCCTGGCTCACTGCAACCTCCGCCTCCCAGGGTCAAGCGATTCTCCTGCCTCAGCCTCCCGAGTGGCTGGGATTACAGGCACGTGCCACCACGCCCGGCTAATTTTTGTATTTTTAATAGAGATGGGGTTTCACCATGCTGGCCAGGCTGGTCTTGAACTCCTGACCTTGTGATCTGCCCACCTCAGCCTCCCAAAGTGCTGGGATTATAGGCATGAGCCACCACACCTGGCCATGTACATTTTATCTCAAGAAAAAAAAAAAGAATCACTGAGGAAGGTAGTAAGAAACAGATTCCTTAGCTCCACCCCTAGAGATTCTGACTCCGTAGGTCTGAGGCAAGGCCTCAGGTACGAAGATATTTTTTAAATCTCCGCAATAATTCTAATGTACAGCCAGTTTGGAGAACCTCCACTTTAATTAATAAATTCTTCCAGTGCATTTGACCTTCACTCATTCATTGATTAATATTTATTGAAAGCCTTCTATGTGTAGGGCCTATAAGGTACTAGGGAATATAGATGAAAATGAAGAGTCAATTCCTTCATGGCCTTTACTGGGGGAGAAAGAAAACAAACATAAAATACAATTTGATTTCCAAAAGCTTTCAATGAACATCTGTGTTCCTCATTTCTTTATTCACATCCCCTTGTTGCTAAATCAAGCATCACTCTGTGTCAGCTAATCATTAATATGATGCAGGTGTTCTCACTGAAGAGGCGAGTCCTCCTTACTGAATACACAGCTCAGGAAAGCCAGTGCCACTGGAAAGTGTCAGTTTGTCACCAGGTTCACACCTCCACAGGCCTCCTTGGAGGGCTTGCACAGGAAGACTACCTTTCCAGACGTCAATATGAACAAATGAAAACTCATTATTATCCTTTCAATACTCAAACGTAGTCACAGACTCACCAGCTCTTGAGCACAAATATGTGCTATAAAAACAGAGATCGGCTTACCTGCGCAAAAGCCAAGTTCAGCACTGTTTCAGAGGCCAAGTACTGTAACCGGTACTCCTTGGAGAGGGCCAGAGCCTGCAGGAGCATGGGCAGCGCGATGGTAGGGGAGGAAGATCGCCAGTACAGCTCTGCCACGGACAGTAGGACACTGACCGTAAAGAGGAAAACACAGGATGAGAAGATCCACCACCACATCTCCGTGAGATGTACAAGAGACCCCTTACCTGATCACCATTTCTGTGTTCTTCAGTTTCTGACAATGAACCAACAATTTTTGTAAAAGCTTATGTGCCTCTGACATTTGGTTCTGAGCTTGTAATACAACCGCTTTCCTGAAACAGAATCAAAATGAACACAAGTGTTTTAACTAGTCACTTTGAGGGTAAGAATCTCAATTTATTCAATTGCGCTATAAACCTCCCAAGGGAAAAAACTGTGCCTGATTTAATTTTTGTTGAAAGAGGCTGAGCGCGGTGGCTCACACCTGTAATCCCAGCACTTTGGGAGGCCGAGGCGGGCGAATCACAAGGTTAGGAGCTCGAGACCAGCCTGGCCAACATGGGGAAACCCTGCCTCTACTAAAAATACAAAAAATTAGCTGGGCGTAGTGGTGGGCACCTGTAATCCCAGCTACTCAGAAGGCTGAGGCAGGAGAATCGCTTGAACCCAGGAGGCAGAGATTGCAGTGAGCTGAGATCGTGCCACTGCACTCCAGCCTGGGCGACAGAGTGAGACTCTGCCTCAAAAAAAAAAAATGTTTTTGTTGTTGAAAGAATAAATTGTATGTGTGTATGAATGTGTGTGTGAGCATGTATGTGAGCATGCTGTGTATACACAAACACACACACACACACACACACACACACGCATGCAGGAAAAATTCTGGAATTATAGATAACAGCATGTTAATGATTATCTCTGGGAGATACTTATTTTCTTCATTTTGCTTATCTGTATTTTCTTTTTTTTTTTTTGGAGATGGAGTCTCACTCTGTTGCCTGGGCTGGAGGCAATGGTGCGATCTTGGCTCACTGCAACCTCCGCCTCATGGGTTCAAGCAATTCTCCTCCCTCAGCCTCCCAAGTAGCTGGGATTACAGGCACCCACCACCATGCCTGGCTAATTTTTTGTACTTTTAGTAGAGAGAGGGTTTCACCATGTTGGCCAGGCTGGTCTCAAACTCCTGACTTCAAGTGATGCGCCCGCCTCAGCCTCCCAAAGTGCTGGGATTACAGGTGTAAGTCACCATGCCCAGTTACAGGTGTAAGTCACCATGCCCAGCTGCTTACCTGTATTTTCTTATTTATTAAGAAAATAAAGTTTTTTTCTAAGCTAAAATAAATTAATGCACATATAAAACAAAAACAAAACCATTTAACAATTATTTTATTCTGGGGTTAGAGTTTTCAAGGTTTCTTACCTATAAACACCCTCTATGCTATTGAGAGCTGTGATTCCTGTAACAAGTGAATCAGCCAAATGATATTTGCCATCATTCATTGCTCTGTCAAACTGTATTTTTTGATCACATAGCATCCATAACTAGTAAGAAAAAAAAACACAATTAAGTACAAAATGGCGAATGTTCATCTTAATGAGTATATGAAAGTATTTTGGATTGCTTAGCAAATATCCTTACAATAATTCACACATATTCTTTTTTGGGGGGATTTAAAATTTTTTTAAAATATCTCAAGTATGTGAAAAAGCACAGAGAATAAAATAGCAGATACATGTGTGCCAATCATCAACTTTGTCAACTCACATTTTGCTTTATCTGCTTCATATACTATTAGATACCAATGAAGTCCTTTGCAAATTCTACGTCTCTTTCTCTTTTTTCAAAGTAGGCACTCAATTTGGTATTTATCATTCTCATTCAGGTTTTTTATACTTTTACAACATATACCCTTGTCTCTAAACAACATAGAGTATGAGCCTGTGTTTTTAAACTTTATATAAATAATATCATACTTGTAAGCATCCTTTGACAAGTTCCTTTTTAGCTCAATATTATTTTTCTGAGGGGAGATTATGTCCCACTTTATATTATAATAAAAGCTATTTTTATCAGAAATAAATCTATTGCCATGCAAAAGGCAGATTACCTGGGCGTGCTGACTATTAGGCGGAAATCGTTCCTTCAAGTGCTTTAACACTTCAGAAGCTGCAGCAAAACAGCCCTAAAGTAGAAACACACAATTTGATCAGCATAACCTGTGTTGAATCCACACCTGCTGTACCATGCACAGATGGTGACAGATTCACCTGTTCCCGTTCTTGATGCAGCAACCTGAGAGATACTGGTCAGAGACTCAAATTTCTTTTCTTTCTTTTTTTTTTTTGGGACAGAGTCTCGCTCTGTAGCCCTGCTGGAGTGCAGTGGCGCGATCTCGGCTCATTGCAAGCTCCGCTTCCCGGGTTCACGCCATTCTCCTGCCTCAGCCTCCTGAGTAGCTGGGACCACAGGTGCCTGCCACCATGTCCGGCTAATTTTTTTGTATTTTTAGTAGAGACGGGGTTTCACTGTGTTAGCCAGGATGGTCTCGATCTCCTGACCTCGTGATCTGCCCGCCTCAGCCTCCCAAAGTGCTGGAATTACAGGCGTGAGCCACCATGCCTGGCCAGAGACTCAAATTTCTAAGGGCCATTATTTAAAGGCTAATACAATTTATTTTAAAAATATTTTAAGACCAGGCATGGTGGCTAACGCCTGTAATCCCAGCACTTTGGGAGGCCAAGACGGGTGGATCACCTGAGGTTGGGAGTTCGAGACCAGCCTGACCAACATGGAGAAACCCCATCTTTGCTAATAATACAAAATTAGCTGGGCGTGGTGGCTCATGCCTGTAATCCCAGCTACTTGGGAGGCTGAGGCAGGAGAATCGCTTGAACCCAGGAGGCAGAGGTTGTGGTGCACTGAGATCGTGCCATTGCACTCCAGCCTAGGCAACAAGAACAAAATTCCGTCTCAAAAAAAAAAATTTTTTTTTAATTACACACGTAAGACATATCCATTCTAGAAAAACACTTACAAAATACATGTAAACAAGAACAAACAAATTACTTTTTTTTTTTTTTTTTTTTTTTTATGAGACAGGGTCTTGCTCTGTTTCCCAGGCTGGAATGCAGCAATGGTTTGATCTCAGCTCAATGCAGCCTCAACTTCCTAGGCTCAATCAATCCTCTCATCTCAGCCTCCCGAGTAGCAGGGAATACAGGTGCATGCCACCACACACCTGGCTATACAAAATCCTTTTTTTTTTTTTTTTTGAGACAGAGTCTTGCTCTGTCACCCAGGCTGGAGTGCAGTGGCATGATCTTGACTCACTGCAACCTCCTCCTCCTGGGTTCTAGCAATTCTGATGTCTTAGCCCCCACCTCCCGAGTAGCTGGAATTACAGGTGCGCGCCACCATGCTCAGCTAATTTTTGTATTTTTAGTAGAGGCAGTGTTTTGCCATGTTGGCCAGGCTGGTCTCAAACTCCTGGCCTCAAGCAATCCACCCACCTCAACCTCCTCAAGTGCTGGGATTACAGGCATGAGCCAATGTGCCCGGCTGACAAATTACTTTTGGGTTTTGCTGTTGTTGTTGCTTTTTTTTTTCTGAGACAGAGTCTCACTCTGTCACCAGGCTGGAGTGCAGTGGCATGATCTCAGCTCACTGCAACCTCTGCCTCCCGCGTTCAAGCGATTCTCCTGCCTCAGCCTCCTGAGTAGCTGGGATTACAGGTGCATGCCACCACGCCCAGCTAATATTTGTATTTTTAGGAGAGACAGGGTTTCACCATGTTGGTCAGGCTGCTCTCGATCTCATGACCTCGTGATCCGCCTGCCTCGGTCTCCCAAAGTGCTGGGATTACAGGCGTGAGCCACCGCACCTGGCCTGTTTTTTTTTTTGAGAGGGAGTCTCACTGTGTCACCCAGGCTGGAGTGCAGTGGTGTGGTCTAGGCTCACTGCAACCTCCACCTCCCAGGTTCAAGCAATTCTCTTGCCTCAGCCTCCCAAGTAGCTGGGATTACAGGCAGACACCACCACACCCAGCTAGTTTTTGTATTTTTAGTAGAGACAGGGTTTCACCATGTTGGTCAGTCTGGTCTCCAACTCCTGACCTCAGGTGATCTGCCCACCTCAGCCCCCCAAATTGCTGGGATTACAGGCATGAGCCACCGTGTCCAGCTTACATATATTTTTATAAATTACTTATAACACTGTTTACCACATGGTAGGCATCCAATGAATATTTGTTGAATGAATAAATCTTTCAATGTCAATAAATACAAATTTATATCATCGTAGTATTTTATCGGGAAAATCAATTATGGTACATGAAAATAATCTGGTTTTTGATATTTTGGTTATTTCTAATATTTTCCATTTAAAAAATGCTACAATGAATATCTTGGTGCATAGAGCTTTGCATACTGGTCCAATTATTTCCTTAGCATAAAACCTTAGAAGTAGGCTGGGTGCGGTAGCTCACGCCTGTAATCCCAGCACTCTGGGAGGCCAAGGAGGGCAGATCACTTGAGGCTAGAAGTTTGAGACCAGCCTGGCCAACATGGTGAAACCCCATCTCGACTAAAAGTACAAAAAAATAAGCCGGGCGCAGTGGCAGGTGCCTGTAATCCCAGCTACTCAGGAGGCAAAGGCAGGAGAATCGCTTGAACCCAGGAGGCAGAGGTTGCAGTGAGCTGAGATCACACCACTGCACTCCAGCCTTGGCCCCAGAGCAAAACTCCATCTCAAAAACAAAAACAAACAAACAAACAAAAAACCTTAGAAGTGGAAATGACAGGCACTTTTAAGTTCTTTGAGATATATTACTAAATTACCCTATATAAATGTACCAAGTACTTTCATACCAGAACTCTGTGCTTTTCTTCCTCTAACACTGAAGTATCTTTGCTTATATAATTGGTGAAAGTAGTACCTTAACTGCTTTAAATTTAATTTCAATGACTAGATTGAAATGTTTTCATGTTTTTGGGCCATGCTTTCTGTGAATGTACATTCATGACTTTTTTATACTCTTATATTGTCGGGATGTTTATCTTTTTTTTTTGAGACAAGGTTTTGCTCTACTGCCCAGGCTGGAGTGTAGTGGTGCAATCTCAGCTCATTGCAACCTCTACCTCCTAGGTTCAAGCAATCCTCCCACCTCAGCCTCCCTAGTAGCTGGAACTACAGGCATGTGCCACCACACACCACACCCAGCTAATTTTTGTATATTTTGTAGAGACGGGGTTTCACCATGTTGCATAGGCTGGTCTCAAACTCCTGAGCTCAAGTGATACGCCTGCTTCAGCCTCCCAAAGTGCTGGGATTACAAGTATAAAGATAAACAGCACCCAACTGGGAGGTTTATCTTATTGATCCCGAAATACTTTCAATTTGTCTCAATCCTTTCATGAGGTAATGCACTTTTTGTCTACATAGACGCTCAGGCCACATGTGGACTTTTATTTGAAGTGAATAAGCAGAAATTACATAGAATTACAATAAAAGATCATTATTCCTGTGATTTTAACTGGCCAGTCTCACCAATTATTTTCATGACCGCCACAGGGAGTCGGGCATGGGGATATAGATCCTGCAGTATCCCCCAAAAATATTCCCATCGTGGCCTGCAATTCCTGAGACTGAGAGAGGAGTGATATAAGATGAGCTAGAATTACATGGAAAGAGCAAAGGAGAATGGTTATATTAGAAAAAGAATTCACTCTACCTCCTCTGGGTTGCAAGAGGAAGCTCAGAAAGCAGTTCTGAGCCCCATAACTTATTTATGGGCTTACCGAAACCCCAATCACTCTCATACCACAAAACAACGTGCACCATCCAATTTACTTGAAGGAAAGTTTCAGAAGCAGATACAAGAGAAAGAAAAGAGTAACTGGAGACTCATGATAAAGCTGCCTTCTCTGCAGCTGGCCAAACTTAATTTCACAAGTATGAGTCTAACTTGTCTAATTAAAAATGTGACAGTCATCAGCCCAGTAAGTATATATATATCCACACGGTTGATGTTCTAAAACTAGAAAGATCTAAGGCAAGATGAAGAAAGGGGTAAAGGACTGACTTAAAAAAAAAAGGCAGCTACCTTCTAGTTGTGTACTAAAAGGCTTCCTAACACAGCCTGGCTGTTGAAGCCAAACAATGATTGGGTCAGCAGGTTTTTCACATAAGCCCAGAGGTGAAAGGGAGATGAAGATGGAATTATTAATATAGACCCAAAGAGCATGGTTACTTTTTAGGGTCTTACTCCCAGAAAAAAAAGACACAAAATTCTAACAAATGGCCTTGAACAAAGTTACAAGGCTAAAGAATTGAGCCACAAGGCACTGTGACTCACACCTGTAATTCCAACACTTTGGGAGGCCAAGGCAGGAAGATCACTTGAGGCCAGGAGTTCAAGATCAGCCTGGGCAACACAACATAGAAAGATTCCATCTCTAAGAAACAAGAATTAAAATAATTAGCTGGATGAGGTGGTGTGCACCTGTAGTCCCAGCTACTAGGCAGGTTGAGGTGGAGTTCAAGGCTGCAGTGAGCTATGATTGTGCCACCGCACTCCATCCTGGGCAACAGTGAGACCCCATCTCTTAAAAAAATAAAAAATACGCTGGGTGTGGTAATCCCAACACTGTGACACTGAAGTGGGAGGACTGCTTGAGCCCAGAAATTTGAGACTAGCCTGGGCAACAGAGTGAGATTCCATCTCTACAAAAAGATATTTTAATTAGCTGTGTGGTAGCACGCTCCTATAGTCTCAGCTACTCAGGAGGCTGAGGTGGGAGGATCACTTGAGCCCAGAAGGTTGAGGCTGCAGTTTGCTGTGATTGCACCACTACATTCCAGCCCTGGTGATACAGCGAGACCCTGTCTCAAAAAAAATTAAAAACTGGCTGGGCGCGGTGGCTAACGCCTATAATCCCAACACTCTGGGAGGCCAAGGCAGGTGGATCATTTGAGGTCAGGAGTTTCAGACCAGCTTGGCCAACATGGTAAGACCCCATCTCTACAAAAAACATAAAAATTAGCTGGGAGTAGTGGCACACACCTGTAATCCCAGCTACCTGGGAGGCTGAGGTAGGAGAATCGCTTGAACCCAGGAGGCAGAGGTTGCAGTGAGCTGAGATCACACCATTGCACTCCAGCCTGGGTGACAGAGTGAGACTCCCTCTCAAAAAAATAAAATTAAATTAAAAATAAATTAAAAATTAAAAATTAAAAAAAAAAAAGAATTGAACCAAGACTAAGGTTTTTGAAAAGTAGTTTTCTATTCTAATAGTAAAAAAAAATAATTTCGCCAGGCATGGTGGCTCACATCTATAATCCTAGCACTTTGGGAGGCTGAGGCAGGCGGATCACCTGAGGCCAGGAGTTCAAGACTATCCTGGCCAACATGGTGAAACCTCATCTCTACTAAAAATACAAAAATTAGCTGGGCATGGTGGTGGACACCTATAGTCCCAGCTATTCGGGAGGCTGAGAAACAAGAATTGCTTGAACCCCAGAGGCAGAGGTTGCAGTGAGCTGAGATCGTGCCACTGCACTCCAGACTGGGCGACAGAGCGACACTCCGTTTCAAAAAAACTAAATACTTCAATATGTTCACCGACTCATTCATTACCAGATGCTTCTCTTATCCAAGGCACCAGGAAAGGAAGAGAAGTGATGTTAAGGAGGTGCCAGTGCCACGAAGAGGGAAGAAACAAGCGAGAGACAGACTTGCAACATTCCCAGGGGAAGCAACCAGCTAGCCCTTTCGACCTCAGAAAACATGGGCAGTGCTTCCCAGACATGGGAAGAAACCAGCTGGCAAAGGCGCCGTGGAACCCATCAGTCAGGGCCCATCCACCCCTCAGTTTACACAGCCATGTAAGAGACTGTAAAATGCTAACATGTTTGCTATAGGGAAGTATGTCTAGACTTCTGAAAGGAGTGGAAACCACCCAAAAATCTTTAGGCTGCAATTAGGGAATGTTGAGTGTTATGATGCAATCTAACAGTAACAGGTATCACAAAGAGGAAGAGAAAAATATGATCAAGGAAACATCTGGATTGCCACAGCAGTGTTTACTGAGATGGAGGGCTTTAGATAAAATAGTTTTCCCTGACTCTTTCCCATGAAAGAAGATATTTTGAATAAAGGGAAGATAAAGCCTACAGTAGCAGAAGAGATACTTTAATTGATCCCTTATAAAGAGAATCTCGTCAAATTACTTGAGCTGTAAGTCATCAAGATTATGTCCCATTCCCACTGCTCTTCTTTGGAGTCAACCAGGTTTCGGTTGGAGACCTGCCTCTGACATTTACAGGTGTTGGATACAGGATTTAGCTCCCAGGACCTCAGTCTTTAGTTCTGTGAAATAGGGATAACAACAAACCTGAGCCCATGAAGTGGATTCTATGAGACAGTACCCATAAAATAGGCACAGGGACTGGCACAGAACAAATTTACAACCAACATTAGTTATTATGATTTCAGATATACTTCTATTATACTCTCCTCTCTCCTAAAACACACAAACCTCTGCTACCTTAAATGTCAAAGAATCCTATTTATTTCCTTAGTTACATGAAACTGGCTGACCTCTTAGAATTCCCTTCATTGATGCCAAAAAAAGACCTCAAATTCAACCAACTTTGCAGACTCCACCCTTGGTCCCCTTCCACTGGTGGGATTTCACTCTTTCAGCCACAGTGTCGAGCAGAACTGTCCAACACGTGTCCAGTGCTTTCCTCAAGCATTAGAGGAAAGAAATGGTAGAGCCTCCATTGCTCCAGAAGCACGTGGGCCCGGCCACCTGCCTACCTGCTCCGCGTGTAGCTCTGCGAGGTGGCAGAGTGCGACAGCAAAGGACTCTGTGTTGTTCTGCTGCACGCCCGCATTCACCGCCTCCAGGCTGTTCATGCTCAGCAACATCTGGGCCTGTTGCAGTGCCATGGTGCTGGGTGGGGAGAGGGAACAGGATTTCCTTTCAGCAGCAGACCTGGCTGCGCTTTGGCCATGCCCGTCAGCTATCTTGAGTGGAGGCGTAAAGTCATACACCTCACAGGCTCTGGCTTTCTTGGGAGCAGATGCCTCCCAGTGCCAGCAACCTTGCCCTCAGGATAAGAAAGGCAGAAAAGCATCCTGGATGTGCAGCGCGAGGAGACACGTAGTGGTTAGGGCACAGCTGGGAGTACACGCTCCCAGATCCCCCCGCCCCCACCCCATGTTCCCTGCAGTCATAGTATGTTAATTAGTTTTCACGGGTGAATTCAGACCCGATGCCATCCTGGCACAGACTGCTCTGGCAATGTAAGCAGTGGCCAGTGTCTGCAGCTGTTTCAGAGCACACCGTGCCAAAAAATTATCTGAAATACAAAAACAAGACTGGTAAAAAAGGCACTTCCTTTCATTACTGAATTCCTAGAAACAGACTGTCTAAGTGAGGGGTGAGGTAGCGACAGAACTCCAGGATTAAAATGCGGCAACAAAGTTTACTTCCAGGCTAAAAGTGGCTAAATGTGAAAGTACACAATAAGATGAAAATATTCCACAGAAAACACCTCAGTTAACAGAAAAGCAACTTTCTTTTACACAATAGTTTTGGGGTTCAGGTGACACTCAACTAGAGCAACCATGGATCATGCCTCCTATAAACAGGAAGGTTCCTGTCACAGAGCAGAGGAGCCCGGTGCTTGGAGTCAGATGACGTGGGTTTGAGTCCTTTCTCTGTCACTTGTTAACTGCGTTTGCGATCGCGGGTAGATCAGATGTGTGAACCCTGGTTTACTCTCCCAGCATGGAGATCACCCACCCATTACCTCACAAAGTGGTTGGGAGGAGTAAGAAGGAACATGCATGGGAAAAAAGTTTTCAGTCTGTGCAAAATACAAAATGTTTTATAGTCTAAAACATAGTCCCCTGCAGGAACAACATCTATCCAAGGCAGGTAAATCTTGTATGTATGGCCTTTCACAGAACCAGCTTGCTAGCTCCTGCTTCTCTCTAAAGAATTCACACCCCCAGGGCCTTGGGAGACCTACCTGCGGCCATACAGCCTCCAGATGGCCGTTTTCTGTGCGATGCTGATATCGATGAGCTCTGACAGGCTGTGTTTCCAGTGCAGGAGGTCGGAGTCCTTTAGGGCATCCATCAGCTTGTTTGCCGTCTTCCCAGCAAAAGCTCTCTGTTGAACAAGGGACTGTATTCCCAGGGAGGCGAGGTACTAAGGGGACAGATATACCCACGACCCAAGATAGAGATTACATGACAGAATTTGTTTTGCTCTTCAGAAATGTGGTGGATTTCACATTTCAGCACATGCACAGTGACAGCACTATTTAAAAGGAAAGTACCTATAACCTGGCCTTAACCCTGAGCCATACGAGATGTGTTCCTGAAAAACTGGGTCTGGGAGAGAGGCAGAGGGTACACGGGAAAGAGCCAGCAGGGCTTTAGCATTAGATGGACCTGGACTTAAACACTGCCTCTGCTACTTACTGTGTGACTTAGGGCCAGTCACTTAGCTTCTTAGCTAAGCCTCAGCTTCCTCATCTGTAAAATGGGCATCAAACCTATCATAAAGAATTATCGTAAGGATTACAATGAAATAATAGATGTCAAACAGTGCTGCGCACATATGTAATAGGAGATCAAAAAAGGATGCCTATCATGAGCAACAAAATTATCTTGTCATTAGCTTTTGGTGTCATCTTCAAGGATGAAAGCTCAACTAAAAAATGCCAGCTTAAATTCATGGCAAAAATTGTAGTTAAGCCTGCGCTTACTTCAAGGAGCCACTTTTGTCATTATAATCAATTCTGTACGTATGAGTTTCTTTCCCAGGTGTGAATCAATGGACAAGCTACAGATTTGTTTTTTGGTTTTAGGGTTGTTTTTGAGACGGAGTCTTGCTCTGTCGCCCAGGCTGGAGTGCAGTGCAGCAATCTCGGCTCACTGCAAACTCCGCCTCCCAGGTTCAAGCAATTCTTCTGCCTCAGCCTCCAGAGTAGCTGGGACTACAGGCGCCCACCACCACGCCCGGCTAATGTTTGTATTTTTAGTAGAGACGAGCTTTTACCATAACGGTCAGGCTGGTCTCAAACTCCTGACCTCACGATCCACCCGCCTTGGCCTCCCAAAGTGCTGGGATTATAGGTGTGAGCCACCACGCCAGGCCGATTTTAAAGTGTATACATTAAATTACTACCTGTAATTACTTTCCATTTTACTGAAGTCTGTCACAAACTTCATAAGACAGAATGCTTAAGCAATCCCACTGCCTATGGTCTAGTTTTCAATGGGTGTTTCTGAGAGAGAATAAGGTTCTCCAAGCTTGTGCTTCCTTTTTTTTTTTTTTTGAGATGGAATTTCATTCTTGTTGCCCAGGCTGGAGTGCAATGGCACAATCTCGGCTCACTGCAATCTCCACCTCCCAGGTTCAAGCGACTCTCCTGCCTCAGCCTCCTAAGTAGCTGGGATCACAGGCATGTCCCACCACACCCAGCTAATTTTGTATTTTTAGTAGAGAGAGGGTTTCACCATGTTGGCCAGGCTAGTCACGAACTCCTGACCTCAGGTGATCCACCCACCCCGGCCTCCCAAAGTGCTGGGATTACAGGTGTGAGCCACCACGCCCAGCCAGATAAGCCTTTTCAATGCCCCTCTGTGTATGTCATTGAGGACTATAATTCACGGCCTTCCCTATCACTCAAAACGAGAAAGGACAAATCTGCCTGTCAGGTTTACTGGTTCCTGGCTTTGTTTATTGTTTAAAACAAGGATCAGCAAACTTGTTGTGTAAAGGGCCAGAGAGTAAATAATTTCGATTTTTCAGGCCACACTTGGTTTCTGTCACGTATTTCTTCTCTGTTGTTGATTTTTTTTTTCTGCAATCACTTAAAAATGTAAAATCCACTCAGCCTGAAGCCCCTAAGTAGGCAGAAAGCCAGATTTGGCCCAAGGGCGGGAAAGTTCACCAATCCCTGGTTTAAAAATAAGCCTTTGCTAAAATTTTTCTAAGTGACTATGTGCTAAATTAATGTTGCTCAATAAACTAAACAATGATCTCTTATCAAATTGGTAAAGGGAATTTCCACAGATGTTATTAGGATACAGGGAACAGAGAGAAACCTACCACACAGAATTTAGTGGTCTGATTAATAATTAAAGTCATATGAAACTGCCAAGAATAAAACCACACTTTGAAACCCATTCTAAATCTATCGCTGGTTAATGACAGAGGTGGGCAGAAAAAGAGACAAAGGCTCGACCATTTATGGAAACAATCTCACAGAAAGATGAGCCTTACCGGTAACCCAAAATGTACTGCCTTCTTCACAGAATGCTCCAGCAGAACATAGCTATCGGATCTCTTCTGCCCCAGCACATAAAGCCAGCTCTGGCAAGAGAAATCATCAAAATATATCATAACAGTGGCAATGGCTGATGTTCTAGTGAAATATCAATGTGGTCATAAGAAAGAATTTAAAAGGGACAAAATGAATCCTCTCAAATACTCTTTCAAGAAATATCAAGAATCTCAATGAGACCTGTCAAACATATCAACATCATTAAAACCAGGCTGAAATAAATGAGTCATTGTTCTGCTTCACCTGACAGCCACTGAGTGGCAGGTGTTTCAGAAAAAAAGCATGAAGCTCCCATATGGCCTTCAATTGAGAAATAAGATTCTCAGGTGCTTGTCAAGTAGCTTCTGTGTTCCACTGCCCTGGTGATTTTGCTATTACAGGACAACATCTCACCCAGTTACTAAGTGTAGTATACATCTTTTGTTAATGCCAGTGCTAAATGTGATAAAGGTTTCTCTTCTTTCATGGCAAGTTGCATTAAACTTTGTAGAGCAGATATATGCCAAAAGCAAAACAGATGTCATGAATTAAGAAAGGTAAGTAAAGATAAGTTGCCCTTTCTGAATTCCCATGACCACCTAACTTGTTTCCTTTTGCTGCTGAAGATCTCTGCTCCAACTGCAAAACAACCCAATTCAACGGGGCCTTGTGAAGGCCAATTCAACCCGTGAACAAAACTCCCAAGACCAGAGGATGGCCTCACCAAACAGTGCTGGAGACACACGTGATCGTTGGACTCCTGGGCAATCCTAATTGCCTCCTGCAGGGCGAGCTCTGCCTGTTGACTAATGACAGACTAAACATTAATATCCCATTAATAATCACAAACATGCATAAGCAACCATAGCAGGAAGTCATCTGTACACAGTCATCCAAATGCAGGTCTCTGGGTTGGAAGCTGTAACTATTTCTGGGCTTATTCTCTCAGAGGCGTGCCCCAACCCTAGCAGCAGAAAACACTGACAGTGGAAATATAGGACATGTCTCTTCTAAGGGGAATTGCTACGAAAAGGGCATAAAGCAAAGGCTTTTATCTCCGCTTCTAAGATGTTTATTTTAAAGGTCCACTGCTGAGGGGAAGGGCAAGGAGAGGATATAATATTTTACTTTTCATGGCATTCTCTCCTACATTATTTGACCTTTTTTCTTACTATGTGCATTTGTTACTTTTATCATTTTTTCAAAATCACTTTTATGTTTGTTTGTTTGTTTTTTAGAGACAGGGTCTCCCTCTGTCACCCAGGTTGGAGTACAGTGGCACAATCCTAGCTCACTGCAGCCTTGAATTCCTGGACTCAGGCGATGGACCTCAGCCTCCTGAGTAGCTGGGACTAAGGCACTCACCACCATGCTTGGTCGGCTAATTTTTTTAAAAATAGATATAGAGTCTCACTATGTTCCCCAGGCTGGTAAACTTCTGGCCTCAGGCGATCCTCCTGCCTCAGCCTCCCAAGTAACTGGGACTACAGGCTCATACCACCATGCCCAGCTAATTTTTTTAAGGAGATAAAGTCTCACTGTGTTCCCCAGGCTGGTCTCCAACTCCTGGCCTCAAGCGATCCTCCTTCTTTGGCCTCCCAAAGTGCTGGGATTATAGGCATGAGCTATGGTGCCCAGCCCAAAGCTAGTTTTAGAAAGTATTTTGAGGATTCCCACTTCTGTAATATTTTTTCCTTTAAATCTCTGTTCAAATATTAAGTTGGCAGAGATCAAGGAGGGCTGATCTGCTACCTTTCTATTTAACCAGAGATTTACAAATTGAAGGAGTTGAGTGACCTGTATATGTATCTGGAGTAAGAGTGTTACTCAGGAAAACAAGAGCACTTCACCTTCACTTTCTAACCTCTTATCCTGGTCTATCACTATCTGAGATATTACAACTATGCTTAGCGTTGTTTATTCCCTATTTCCCCTGATATAAGCTCTATAACAAGTTTTTTTTTTTCTTTTTCACTGCTGTATCCCTAGTACCTACAATAGTGCCTAGTACACAGTAAATGCTCAATAAACAACTACAAGGATTTTCAAGAAATCCTTTTAGCTAAGTGACAAAGATTTACACAGGCCCATAGATCCAAGACCAGAAACAAAGAAGCCTGGGCCTGAGTAAATCAGGAATTAAGGAAAATGTACACATTAATAAAAATCTACCTCTCCTCATTTATATTCTGTGCAATTAGCTGTCTACCCATTGATAATATTGTAAACATAGACAAATTCTGAGATGGGTGCAGTAGCTTATGCCTATAATCCCAGCACTTTGGGAGGCCAAGGTGGGAGGATCACTTGAGACCAGGCGTTCAAGAACAACCTGGGCAACATAGCAAAACCTTGTCTCTATATTTTTAAAAATAAAAAGAAGAAATTCTGTTCATCAAAATATTATTTGTGGCCGGGCGCAGTGGCTCACGCCTGTAATCCCAGCACTTTGGGAGGCCGAGGCAGGTGGATCACCTGAGGTCAGGAGTTCGAGACCATCCTGACCGATATGGTGAAATCCCATCTCTACTAAAAATACAAAAATTAGTTGGGCATGGTGGCATGCACCTGTAGTCCCAGCTACTCGGGAAGCTGAGACAGGAGAATTTTTTACCTGAACCCAGGTGGCGAGATGGCAGTGAGTCGAGATCGAGCCACTGCACTCCAGCCTGGGCAACAGAGCAAGACTCCATCTCAAAAAACAAATAAATTAATTAATTAAATAAAGATTATTTGTATCCAGAAGGCTGTGTACAAATTTCTAACCCCCAGGGGAAGCAGTTCCTTACTAAGTTAAATAGGTTATTGGTAAATATTAAAAATGGCATTTCTATTATTTTTGAGTACATAAAAAAAGAAAGGCTCTGATCGAGAGGTTATTAAATGTGGGAAGACCAAAAGAAGTTAGTTATTACAAGATATCATGGAATGTTGCAAAAATCATGGAGTTTTGAGGAGCCTTAAATATTTTTGGGTACAACTATCAATCTGATGTTTGAATACCCTTAATAACATCTTTGGTCTAGGCCTCAGCACCTCACTGACACCTTCCTCAGAGGGTTCAATAAGGGGAAACTGTTTCCTTATAATGAGCAGAAATATTTTGTCCTTTAACCTACACTTACTTACCAGCTCTCAATCTTCTCCCGTAGCCATACCCTCAATCAATCTAAGCTCTTTTCACATGACTTTTCACTACATGAAGATGTCAAACACATGCTTGGATAAGTCATTTTTTTCCAGGCTAAACATGTCTCACATCCCTCCCACATTACTTATATGATATGGCTTTGAATGTCTCAACACCCTGAGACTGTTCCCTCCCCACACAAGCTTCAGCTTGTCTACATCCCTTTTAAAGCCTCACAACTGGGTTGGCCCAGTGGCTCATGCTTGTAATCCCAGCACTTTGGAAGGCCAAGGTGGGAGGATTGCTGGAAGCCAGGAGTTTGAAACCAGCCTGGGTAACAAAGCAAGATCCTACCTCTACAAAAAATAATTTTTAAAAAAATTAGCTGGGCATTGTGGTGCATGCCTGTAGTCACAGCTAGGAGGCTGAGATGGACTGCTTGCTTGAGCCCATGAGTTTGAGGTTACAGTTAGCTATGATCATACTACTGCACTCCAGCCTGGGTGACTGAGTGAGACCTTGTCTCTTAAAAACAAAAACAAAAACCTGACAACCAGAGATAAAAAGAATTCCCTAGGTGCTGCCTGACACAGAGAAAGGGATAGATGTCTCCATTATTGAACTGTGAACACTATGCTCCCATTAATACACGCTATAGTCTGTATAGAAGGATGCCTGTAGCAAAGACCACACTTCTCTCAACTGGTAAAAAGCCACAGGGCAGGTGGGGGGGTGAAGGGATCTTTGAATTAGTAATTTCCCACCTTTCACCATTATTTACATTATTTCATTATTTCCAAGATAGCCTCCATGTTTTGAAAGTTGTTTTATCTACTTAATTCTATTTACTAAAACATAATTGATCGATTTTCCTATTTCTATTCATTAAAAACAGAGGCACACTGAGGCAACAGTATAAACCAGTGTCACCTGACTGAGCAGCCTGAATTCTACCTGAAAGCAAACCTGACTTTCAGTAAGCCTATGTAGTCTTTCATCCAGTAAAGGTACAACTGCCTTCTGGCTTTTTGAAATACTAAAAATAGCTTCTGCATCCCCATTTTTACCTCCAAAAAATCCTTTAGGGACTCTCTGGCCTAATGACCTAATTTCTTTTTCACTGAACGGCCTGTTGTTCTTAGAAGTAATGAAAGAGGCTAGGCACTAAGACGGCAATGTTACATAGTGACACTAGGGGGCAGACTATTTAGGCAGAAGGTTTTCATAAACTGTTCCAGTGCCAATAAGGTTCCCTCTATGGAAGTTACTGACTAGTCCAGGTTGATGAGCTGCTTTCCTATCTTCTTTTTAAAAAATACATTTTTTAAAAATGCATCACAATTAACATTTGAGAATTCATTTCTTCCATTTCTTTTCCCTTTTCTTTTCTCCCAAAATAGCAAATCTTTATTTATTTTTTCTTTTTTTTTGAGACGGAGTTTCACTCTTGTTGCCCAGGCTGGAGTGCAATGGCGTGCTCTCGGCTCACTGCAACCTCCACCTCCCGGGTTCAAGCGATTCTCCTGCCTCAGTCTCCTGAGTAGCTGGGACTACAGGTGCCTGCCACCACACCTGGCTAATTTTTGTATTTTTAGTAGAGATGGGGTTTCACCATTTTGGCCAGGCTGGTCTTGAACTCCTGACCTCACGTGATCCACCCGCCTTGGCCTCCCAAAGTGCTGGGACTATAGGCGTGAGCCACCGCACCAGGCCAAACAGCAGACTTTTTATTGTCATCGGTTCCTTCAATTTGCGCAAGGACAAAGGTCTATAAACTTACTAGTGACCGAAGCGGCAGTGCAGGGCGGCAAGATTCAGAGCGGCGTATCTCAAGCTCCGGCCATAGCCCTCTTCCCCATTACTTTTGCTTTCGGCTCCGGTAAGAATCAGACGATCAAAATAATGGAGGAGACTGTGTGTTGAACTGAAAACATCTTGGACACGGAGGTTGTTTAAGTAGCTGAGATAATGCTAAAACAAGAAATAATCAATGTATTTTAAACGCTGTAAATATCTCTGGTGTAAGACAACTGCAGAGAGTTCCACTGTCTACAAACACTAGTGTATCCCATACCCTTCTAATAAGATGGTCATAGTTTAGCTTAATCTTCTCCCTAGAGGCAGAATAAAACAGCTTCAAGACACATTCCCCCTAGAGGGAGTCCACAAATTAAAAATGGGAGTTCCATTAGTATTTGTGTCAGTTTTATCTCAAATATACTCCACTATGCCACTGGTTACATGAGTGATAGATGAGAATACTGGGCCTTACCTAGTTCAAATATTGAGGAAAACTGAGTGTTCAGAATTAAAGATCCTAAAACCTGAATTCATATACAAATTATAAAATTAAGTTTTATTAATGTACAAGTTAAAACACACTGAGACTTACTAGTTTACTAAGTTAATTATTTTCATTTTTTTTTTAATCACTGAAACTTCCCTAACAGGCAGATCTCAGTTACTAGGAAGCAAAATAGATATATTTCTGCACCCAAAGTCAGATGGAAAATCCAAATACTATTTAAGAAAATTTTCCGAGTAAAAAATCCATTAAGGAATGGAATTATTAGAACTTTAAAAATAAACACTGACAAAAGAAGAGAAAGGAAAAGAGTTTTTCAGCCTCAAAACTGTCATTTAGGCTGGGCGTGATGGCTCATGCCTGTAATCCCAGCACTTTGGGAGGCCGAGGAGGGTGGATCACCTGAGGTCAGGAGTTCGAGACCAGCCTGGCCAACATGGTGAAACCCCGTCTCTACTAAAAATACAAAAAATTAGCTGAGCATTGTGGCGTGTGCCTGTACTCCCAGCTACTCGAGAGGCTGAGGCAGGAGAATCACTGAGAACCCGGGAGGCAGAGGTTGCAGTGAGCCAAGATCGCACCACTGCACGCCAGCCTGGGCAACAAGAGCGAAACTCAGTCTCCAAAACAAACAAACAAACACTGTTTTTTGCATCAGTCTAGTATATTATCTCCAGTCCAAACTTTACAACATCAGGAGGATGATGACTGAAAGAGAACATCAAGAGTAAGAAGAAATCGCCTATGGCCCGAGGAGGGAGGGAGGAGCTTTGCAACCTATACCGAGTTGTTTGCCTACCAAGAACACGATTTCCTTCAAGAACCTGGGCCAATGGGCTGATTCTCATTTGCACAGCTACTCAATATAAAAAGTAGCCTTGGCCAGGCGCAGTGGCTCACGCCTGTAATCCCAACACTTTGGGAGGCCGACGCGGGCAGATCATGAGGTCAGGAGATCAAGACCATCCTGGCCAACATGGTGAAACCCCATCTCTACTAAAAATACAAAAATTAGCTGGGCGTGGTGGCACGTGCCTGTAATCCCAGCTACCTGGGAGGCTGAGGCAGGAGAATCACTTGAACCAGGGAGTCGGAGGTTGCAGTGAGCCAAGGTCGTGCCACTGCACTCCAGCCTGGCAACAGAGTAAGACTCTGTTTCCAAAAACAAACAAACAAAAAAAGTTGCCTTGTCATTCCTTTCCAACACAGCAACAAATTCTGGGAAAGACTTACCGCTTCAGCAAAATCAGGATTAAATTTCAACAAATTGTTTAATTCCTTCTGCAAGGAAGCTGGAGTGAGGGCCTTAGTCTCATCATTCTTTAGCAAAGAAGCCTGAAATTTAAAAATGGTAACTCAGTAGAAAGAAAGGGTCAATAAACATATGAAAAGATATACTAACTAGCATCACCTGATTATTTTCTTTTCTACAGGGGTCCCTTCAGGCTCTGGCCCCTCATCTCGCCAGCCTTGGCTGGCCTTCCCTCACTCTAGGTAACACTGAAGGTGGACCCTGCCACATGCTCTCCTCTTGACCATCTACAACACTGTTTCCTCTTCCAGAAACACCAAGCCTCCCACCCATCGCTCCCCAGCCATATACTACCCAAAGCTGAGCAAACCGACGCCCATGCCTAGCTCATCCTCTGGGCCACCTGCTTCTGTCACCTTCTAGATGAAGGTGAGATCCTATAAGCCCCTCCATGCTCCCATAAGCCCTCTGCACTTACCCCCCCTGTGGCACTATCAAACTATAGTAAAATTGCCAATCTGACCCCACCCCAGACTGTAAGCTCCTTCCAGGCAGGTAATGTGTTTGCTTCTTGTATTTCCAGTGCCTGTATGGGGCCTTATGGGAGCCAGGTGGCTTGCCCCAGCTCTACTTATTTGTTTCATATGGACGATATCAGCAACAATTATATAAAATATGTAGAAAGTTAGCTACAAATTAAATGTTTACATTTAACTGGGTTATAGACACTTAACTCCAATTTTACCTAGATGAGTTTTTCTATAAGTAAAATAATTTCTAAGGGCAGGGTGTGGTGGTTGATGCCTGTAATCCCAGCACTTTGGGAGGCAGAGGCTGAGGCATGAGTATCGCTTGAGCCCAGGAGTTCAAGAACAACCTGGGCAATATACTGAGACCTCATCTCTATTTAAAAATAATAATTTCTTTAAAAAAAATTTTTTTAAAGTAAAAATAATTTCTAATTCCATTGTTAATTTATGTCATTATAGAAAATTATTGGCCAGGCGTGGTGGCTCACACCTGTAATCCCAGCACTTTGGGAGGCCGAGGAGGGCAGATCATGAGGTCAGGAGTTGGAGACCAGCCTGGCCAACATAGTGAAACCCTGTCTCTACTAAAGATACAAAACATTAGCCGGGTGTGGTGGCGCACACCTGTAATCCTAGCTACTCGGGAGGCTGAGGCAGGAGAATCACTTGAACTCGGGAGGCAGAGATTACAGTGAGCCGAAATCACGCCACTGCACTCCAGCCTGGGTGACAGGGCAAGACTCAGTCTCAAAAAAACAAAACAAAACAAAACAAAAAACAAATTATTATGTAGGTGTAGTATGGGGAAAAATTATTCCAAAAATATAGAAAACCTACAGAAGAAAACAAAAATCTTCTGCAATCTCACTACCCAGAAATAACGCTATTAATACTTTAGTGTATATTATCCTAGTCTTTGTTCTGTATGTGTGTATATATGTTACATATCATATTCTGATTTTGTTAAAAATATGTGTATACATATTATATAAATTTACAATATACCCTGTATTGTAAACATATATTGTGTATACATTACATTTTTAACAAAATCACAATATATGTTTATAATACAGGGTGTATTCCAAATTTATATAATGTGTATATACACATTATATTTTTAACAAAATCAGAATATGATATGTAACTTTATTTCCTGTTCTTTTCATTTTATATTGTAAACTTTGTCTCATCATCAAATATGACTTTTTTTTCTTTTTTTTTTTTTTTTTTGAGACAGAGTCTTGCTCTGTCGCCAAGGCTGGAGTGCAGTGGCACAATCTTGGCTCACTGCAACCTCCACCTCTCAGGTTCAAGTGATTCTTCTTGAATCCCAAGTAGCTGGGATTACAAGCATCCACCATCACATCTGGCTAATTTTTTGTATTTTCAGTAGAGACAGTGCTTCTCCATGTTGGCCAGGGTGGTCTCAAACTCCTGACCTCAGGTGATCCACCTGCCTCTGCCTCCCAAAGTGCTGGGATTATAGGCATGAGCCACTGTGCCCGGCCTGAAAATGTGATTTCTAAACCAAAACCAAAATCTAAACTTTCACTGTCATATTTATTGTAAATACTTTTTCCCAAAGTATTGGAGCCCAAGAACACCTTTGTTATTTGCCTTTTAATTTTTTAATTTTATTTCTTTTTGAGAAGGAGTCTCGCTCTGTCGCACAAGCTGAAGTACAGTGGCGAAATCTTGGCTCACTGCAAACTCCGCCTCATGGGTTCAAGCGATTCTTCTGCTTCAGCCTCCCAAGTAGCTGGGACGACAGGCACATGCCACCACATCAGCTAGTTTTTGTGTTTTAATAGAGACGGGGTTTCACCATGTTGGTCAGGCTGGTCTCGAACTCCTGACCTCAAATGATCCACCCGCCTTGGCCTTCCAGATTGCTGGGATTACAGGCATGAGCTGCCACGCCCATCCTGTTTGCCTGTTAATTATGTTAAAACAAGTCCTGACATGGAGATGCTTTCAATTTTTATTCTGAAAATCAAATTATCTTCTCCTACATGTTTTCTTCCAGTTTTTTTTTTTTTTTTTTTTTTTCCCAGATGGAGTGTCGTTCTTGTGGCCCAGGCTGGAGTGCAGTGGTGTGATCTCGGCTCACTGTAACCTCCACTCCCCAGGTTCAAGCGATTCTCCTGCCTCAGCCTCTGAAGTATTCCATAGCTTTTATGTTAGAAAGCTCTGGCCAGGCGCAGTGGCTCACGCCTGTAATCCCAGCACTTTGGGACGCCGAGGTGGGCAGATCACCTGAGGTCAGGTGTTTGAGACCAGCCTGCCCAACATGGCAAAATCCCGTCTCTACTAAAAACACAAAAAATTAGGCAGCTGTGGTGGCAGGCACCTCTAATCCCAGCTACTTAGGAGGCTGAGGCAGGAGAATCGCTTGAACCCGGGAGGCAGAGGTTGCAGTGAGCTGAGATCACCACCGCACTCCAGCCTGGGCAACAAAAGCAAAACTCCATCTCAAAAAAAAAAAAAAAACCAACAATGTGTAGCTCATTCTAGCCTAATTATCTAACTAAAGCTGTAAATATTTACATTTAACCCTGTAATCCATCTGTAATATACTGAGGTACAAGGTAAGGTAAGGAAGGATCCAGCTGTACTTTTTCCTTACAGTTAACCAATCACATAGACAGGTTTTTCTAATCTGTTTGAAATTCATCTGCAGAGGTAATTCCGTAAATTTTTTTTTTTTTTTTTGAGACGGAGTCTCACTTTGTCACCCAGGCCAGAGTGCAGTAGCGCAATCTTGGCTCACTGCAACCTCCGCTCACCGCAACCTCCACCTCCCGGGTTCAAGCGATTCTCCTGCCTCAGCCTCCCGAGTAGCTGGGATTACAGACGGGCATCACCACACCCGGCTAATTTTTGTGTGTGTGTTTTTTTTAGCAGAAACAGGGTTTCACCATGTTGGTCAGGCTGCTCTCAAACACCTGACCTTGTGATCCGCCTGCCTCAGCCTCCCAAAGTGCTGGGATTACAGGCGTGAGCCACCATGCCCAGCCTCCATCACTTTTGTCTAGATATAAACATTACATCTTTCTGCAGAAAGCTCATAACAAAATTAGGGAAAAGTAGAAAAATAGAGCAAAAACTAAAAATTCTATGCTGAAAATAACACAGAAAAATGTTCAGATTATGTTTCCAAGAAAATGAAAAAATATGGCTGAAAAGCATCCATAAGAAATGTTTGGGCTGGGCGTGGTGGCTCACACCTGTAATCCCAGCACTTCGGGAGGCAGAGGTGTCGGTGAGCTGAGATTATGCCACTGCACTCCAGCCTCAGTGACAGAGTGAGACTCCGTCTCAAAAAAAAGAAACAAAAAAGAAATGTTTGGGGCACGCTGGTTCATGTCTGTAATCCCAGCACTTTGGGAAGCCAAGGCAGGTGGATCACCTTAGATCGAGAGTTCAAGACCAGCCTGGCCAATGTGGTGAAACCCCATCTCTACTAAAGATACAAAAATTAGCCAAGTGTGGTGGTGCACGCCTGTAATCCCAGCTATTTGGGAGTCTGATGCATAAGAATAGCTTTAACCCAGGAGGCAGAGGTAGCAGGGACCCGAGATCATGCCACTGCACTCCAGCCTGGGCAATGCTCTAGCCTGGGCAACAGAGTAAGACTCTGTCTCAAAAACAACAAAAAAAGAGAGAAGTGTTTGGAGCAAAGTGTATTAATATCTGCAACTGGAAATATATATCAAAAAATAAGATGAAATGGTGGCTGAATAGAGAGTGGTTAGATAAGTAATAAATAGAACAAAAATATTAATTGTAGAATCGAGGTAATAGGTATGGGTAATTACCATACACTGCTTTTCAGGCTCTCTTTATGTTTGCAAATGTCTATAATAAAATGTTGAGAGAAGGGTTAAATCACAGGGTTTTAGGCTGTTAGTCACATACCATTACTAAATGAAACCTGGATTATAACTTTAATAGAAAAATAAAATCACACACAAAATAGGAAGGGGCACAGAGCTACAAGTGCTTCGTTAGTGAGGCAGAGGGGACCAAGAGTAAAGGCTGACACAGACTGACCAACAAACCTATGCACATAACGGGCCTATGCCACAACACACATCACAGGACTAGACACATCACAGGACTAGAACAGAAGTTCATGATAAATTACAGAATTCACATACCTGTTGAGAAAGAAAAAATTCTGCTTGTTTTTGGGACAGAGGCCCACTGCAAGATACCTCCTCTTCTCTGGAAAAAATAAAAAAACAAAAATAGTAAAGAATTACACAAAAGTAAAAATGATAACATTTATAAAATCAGATGGATTCTTGTATCGAAAGAGTTCAAAAAATTTAACTCTCTCCTCAGAACTAGGAAAGAAAAACATAAAAAGTGATGTTGAGATCAATGCACAGAGCCCATAAAGAAGCCCTGGCATGCATGGTCAAATGGTTTTTGGCAACAGTGCCAAGACCATTTGATAGGGAAAGGACAGCCTTTCCAACCAATGATGCTGGGAAAACTGCACATCCACATGCAAAAGCATGAAGGTGGATCCTTATCTAACACCATATTCAAAAATTAACTCACAAGGACTCAAAGACCTCAATGTGAGGCCAAGGACTCAAAGACCTCAATGTGAGGCCAAAAACCGTAAAACTCTTAGAAGATCTTCCTTCCACCTGCTAGTAATAAAAAATAAATAATACATTTTTAAATAAAAAAAATTAAAAACTCTTAGAAGAAAACATCGAGGAGGCCAAGCGCGGTGGCTCACACCTGTAATCCCAGCACTTTGGGAGGCCAAGGCAGGTGGATCACAAGGTCAAGAGATCAAGACCATCCTGACCAACATGGTGAAAACCTGTCTCTACTAAAATACAAAAAATTAGCCAAGTGTGGTAGTGCGTGCCTGTAGTCCCAGCTACTCAGGAGGCTGAGGCAGAAAAATTGTTTGATCCCGGGAGGTGGAGGTTGCAGCGAGCCAAGATCACGCCACTGCACTCCAGCCTGGCGGCAGAGCGAGACTTCATCTCAAAAAGAAAAGATCACAAAAAGAAAACAATTGAAATTTTCCTTTAAAAAAGAACTAAGAAATACATGTAAGTACATCCTATAAAATAAAAAGGTTCTCTAACAAAGTAATTTCTTTTAGACAAAGAATTATAATCATTAGTTAGATTTAAATATAAAGAATACATTTCTTCAATTTTCACGATGAAATTCAGTTTACTAAATATGCATGATTTTCTGAAACCATATACCTTTATAGAAAATATATTGGATTATACATAAATGACTTCTTAGAATAAGATAAAAACAAAAAGATGGAGTTAGACCTAAATAAATCAAGTTAAGAGAAAACCAACCCAAATAAGAAAAGTCTGAATTTTAACATTTCTGCAGAAGTGACACTTTGCTACTTTAAGCATATAAAGTAGCTAGAAAAAGGATTACACTGTAGCCTAGAAGCATTTCTGAGGGCAACTAACTAAAAGAGAAAGTAGAGAATAATAATAGTTAACATTTCTAGGCACAGTTCTGAATACTTTATATGAATTTATCATTTAATTCTGACAACCCTCTGGGGAAGGGGTATGAGCCCCATTTTGCAGATAAAGAGCTCAAAGCACAGAAAGGGTGAATAACTTGCCCAAGGTCTCAGAGACCAAAGGCAGAGGAGCAGCAGGCCAACCTGGGGATCTGACTGCAGAGCCAGACTCTTAACTCCACACTATG
Organism: Homo sapiens; assembly: GCF_000001405.40. Classification (NCBI taxonomy): domain Eukaryota; kingdom Metazoa; phylum Chordata; class Mammalia; order Primates; family Hominidae; genus Homo; species Homo sapiens. Next base: position 121,343,561 of record NC_000012.12, read on the forward strand.
TTGTCTTTCCACCAGACAAGAAGCATTTGTAAGGAAATGAGTTTTGGGGAGCAGTTAATGGTACTATTATCCTCTTGCTCTCAATATGTGCTGAACAAATCATTTAACAGTACAAAAACTACTCATAGAAAGTGCGATAAGCATTCCCCATTTATAAACAATGTCACCCCCTGCCACCCTGGGGATTACAGTAGCCTAACAGCCTGCAATGCAGTAAATAATAAGCTCCCAGGAAATGATAAGGTCCCTTGACCACCTCCTTAGGGCAGGTGGGGCTTAATTCTCTCAGAGCTCTGGACAGTGTATCTGTTTACTTGTCAGCCTTCCTCACCAGATCACAGGCTCTTTGACATCAGGGAATATGAAATACATACATATCTTTTTGCCTGCAAGTACAAGTAGTTTATTTGGAAGCAATCTCAGATAACAGTAGTTAGGGAAGGAGAAGTAAAACAGCAAAAGGAAGGACAGTTAATACAAAGTGTGTTACTGGGCCAGTTACCAGTATGGGTGATGGACTATATATTGATTCATCCAACATTCAGGTACAGAACACATTCTATGAGTCAGGCACTCTACTAAACACTGGGGAAATGTGATCAAACAAGACAGAGAAGGGTCTCAGTTCTCAAGGGGTGAAGAGGCAGGGGAAACAGATAAGCAAGCAAGCAAGTAAATTAAGAAGGTTACTTAGTAATGAGAGGTATGGAGGAATAAAGAAATAGAAAGTATTTGGGGCCGAGTGCGGTGGCTCACGCCTGTAATCCCAGCACTTTGGGAGGCCAAGGCGGGTGGATCACCTGAGGTCAGGAATTTGAGACCAGCCTGGCCAACACAGTGAAACCCCATCTCTACTAAAAATACAAAAATATTAGCGGGTGTGCTGGTGGGCACCTGTAATCCCAGCTACTTGGTTGGGAGGTGGAGGCAGGAGAATCACTTGAACCCAGGAGGTGGAGGTTGCAGTGAGTCAAGATTGTGCCATTGCACTCCAGGCTGGGTGACAGTGAGACTTGATCTCAAAAAAAAAAAAAAAAGAAAGAAAAAGAAAGTATTTGGGATAGGCGCTACCTCGTGGTCAGGGAGGCCCGTCTGAGGAAAGTTGAGCTGTGATCTGAAAGGTGAAAGGGAGCACATGAGGTGAAAAGCCAGGGAAGAGCATTCTAGGCAACCTGAGGTAGAAACTGATTGGAGTAGTCAAGAAACTGAAGGATAAAGTCAGAGCAGTCACTATGCTGAGAGTGAAGGAGAAAATAAAGAGAAAGAGGTCAGGGAAGTTCATTGGGCCAGGTTATACAGGCACTGAGGCCATGGTAAGCTCAAACTCCTCTCTAAGTTCCAAAGGGTTTAGGCAGAAAAGTGCTGGGATCTGATTAATATTCTTAGGGGCTTCCCCAGATGCTGCCTGAAGAACAGATGTAGGGAGACAGGAGTTAAGTCAAGGAGAAAAGTGATGCTAGTGCAGATTTGGTGAGTAGATTTGGTAGAGATTGGGTGCTTAGACTCCAGGGGTAGCAGTGGCTATGAGATAAGTGAACAAGTTCCAAACATAGCAGGGAGGAAGGACTGACTGGATCTGCTGAGGGACTGGGGTGAAGGACAGGGAGGAATCAAGGATACTACTGCATTTTGGGCTTGACCAACTAAGTGAGTAACTTCCTTACAACAGCTTCCTTAGAGGCTAGACCTTAGAAGGCATTCAATAAATTTTCACTGAATTAATCAAGTGTTACTTCACTCTGATGTGATGAACAATACCAGTCAGGGACCCAGCAGAAAACAAAGAACACATTCAAATTGAGTAGTCTGAGAAGAGTTTAACAAAGGATCAATTGACAAAAGTAGGGGAAAGGACAGAGAAGTCATAAGACACAATACAGTCCCCAGGACTGATAACAGTGGGGTACCTTTCACCTGGGGCCTGCAAACACTTGCTCCTAGTCACCGAACCCCCTGAAGGAGTGCAGAAAGAGCGACCTGACAGAAGCTGTGACCCTACAGCCAGCCCCCCAGGACCCCCAAGAAAGGGAGCCAATGAATCCACACTCCACGTCATTCTCCCTGGCCCTTGGGATTTCCTGCCAGTGCCTCCCATTGGCCAATCACAAGTCAGAGGGCAAGGGACCCACTGGTGCAGCCCTTATCAGTTAACTTCCCAGATCTGGAAGGGTAAAAAGGGCATAAGCCAGCACGTGAATTCTAAATGAACAAGGACTTATTGCACTTGAAATTATACTATTTCACAGGAAAAGGATCCCTGTCAGAAAAGCCAAATTACCTTACAGATACATCAAGTTCTTCTTTTTCCATTTTTCTTTCACCCTCATCTCTACTGGTCAGTTCCATATCAGCATCCTCCACTGTCTTTTTCTCACCATTCTGGAAGTACTGCTGAAGGGCAGTGTACAGTTTAAACACTTGGCTGAAAGAAAGCTTACTGTAGGCCAAGATCATGTGACGCAGAAACAAACCTACAAAATAAGACGAGAGACAAGGGGAAAGCATTAACTGACATCCAGGCTACGCAATGGCAACTCCACAATGGCAATGACTGTCTGCTGGAATTCTTCCTTCAGAAGAGTAAGAAAGAGACACTTGCAGTTGCCATTCCCTCCTCCTGGAATGTTCTTCCCCAGTCCTTTACAAAGCTGGTTTCTTCTTATACAGGGCACAATCTACCCACCCCACCTCCACCTGAAGGCTTCCATTTTACTTTCTTCATGGCTGTTACACTATCTGAAATGATATTTATGTGTTTACTTTTACCAACTGGCTCCCCCAACCAGAGGTAATCTCCATAAGAGGAAATTCCATGTCTATCTTACACGTCCAGAGCCTGGCACATAGGAAGAGAGAGAGAAATAGCTCACGCTGAATAACATAAAAATTACCATGCAAAAAAGCCAGAGGGATAGAGCATGGGATAAAGCTAATAGAAAAGCATCAAAGAAACACCACGTATGCCCTCACTTTGCATACTATATCAATAATGTATTTTTACTTACCTCTCTTCATAAGTCTGGGCTGGTGACCCTCACTTACAGATGGACCATGCAGGCAAGTGATCCAGAGGACTGTGAGAAAGAGCTGGGAACCCCTAAAAACCCCAGGACCAGGCTCTGACTCTTACTATTGTAGACAAAACAGAAGGTGCTTTTCCACAGTTAATGATTTAAATATAGATCAAAACAGTAAGGCAATAAATACAAACTGCAACACCTCCAACATCCCCACTGTGTCTGTTCACAGATATAGCAGAACAATGATAGACATGACTTAGAAAGCTGCTCACTTCAATGAAAATACTCTCTGCTCTTCTTAGAAGAGTTTCATACCTACTACACTTGTTTTGTGAACCTCTGGTTCAGTTCCAGAGAAAGAATCTGAAAGGTCATCAAAAAACTGTTCCATATCCTTCAACTCGCCTTCAGCCATCAGTTTGATTCTGAATGAGAAAATCGAGGTGCATATTTTAGAAAGGCCCTTTGAATAATTTCTCATGTTTCATATTCCTCAATTACCTCAAATAATGTATTTTACAGGCAATTCAGAGATTTGTATAAAATGGTGGCTCATAAAACAAACTTCATAATTCAAAATGTTACTCCCGTATTTCTGAAAAGTATCATTGTTGTTTTCTTGATCATAAAATTTGTCAAACTATCACATCAACCAATAAACATTCAATTATCTGCAATGACTAAAAAGAGTAAGATGGATCCATAAGGAATAATAAAATTTGGGGAAAAAAGCTATAAAACAGTATGCTTAATGTTACCCATTTTTCAGCCAGGTGCGGTTGCTCACACTTGTAATCCCAGCACTTTGCGAGGTGGAAGCGGAGGGATTGCTTGAGCCCAGGAGTTCAAGACCAGCCTAGGCAACAAAGCAAAATCCCATCTCTACTAAAAATACAAAAAATTAGCCAGGTTTGGTGGTGTATGCTTGTAGTCCCAGCTACTTGGGAGTCTGAGGTGGGAAGATCACCTGAGCTCAGGAAGTCCAGGCTGCGTTGAGCCCTGATTGCACCATTGTACTCCAGCCTGGGCAACAGAATGAGACCCTGTCTCCAAAGAAAAAGCTATCCATTTTTCAACAAAACAGAATTAAGTAAAGGCTCTTGGGAAAACAACCTAGGGTAATAAAGGTATCTTTTTAAAAGAATTAACTACCACATACCCTTTTGTGATTTTCATCTACCTTCACACCTTTTCATATATAAAGAAGAAAATGAAGTTTACCTGATCTGCACTGAATTTGCCAGCTGTGGACAAGACTCTTCAATTAACTTGTAAAGTTTTGACAGTGTAATATCTGGGCCCTGTGTAAAGGAGAGATAGGGAGGTATGGATTTTAAAGAGCTGGAGACTGATAAAGAATTGCAAACATAAATTCATTTATCAACCCCTCTGCTTTAATAATCACTCCAAACATGCAAATAAGGATTTTTCTATCTACCTAAAACACTAAAGTAATACTTCACATTTGCATACCATTTTTGTCTAGTCAGTGGAATGGTCTAAAATAGAAAAAAAGCATAGGATTTATAGTCTGAGGATCCACTGTTCCTTCCTTCTTAGCTTTGTAATCATTGCAAAATTGTGACCTCTGAGTTCTAGTTTCCTTCATCAGTAAAATGGAGATAATAATATCTCCCTTGTTTTTGGCAAAGATTAAATAAGATAATACAAAGTGCTTTGTAAACTGGAAAACACTATACAAATACTATTTTTCACAAACACAATCTCATTTGATCTTCTCCCAAACCTTGTAAGGTAGGCAGACATACTATGTGCTGAAGTCTATAAAGAGTATGACGAGAGGCCGGGCACAGTGGCTCATGCCTATAATCCCAACATTTTGGGAGGCCAAGGTGGGCAGATCACCTGAAGCCAGGAGTTCAAGACCAGCCTGGCCAACATGGCAAAACCCCGTCTCTACTAAAAACACAAAAATTAGCCAGGCATGGTGGCACACACCTGTAGTCCCAGCTACTTGGGAGGCTGAGGCGGGAGAATGGCTTGAACCTGGCAGGTGGAGGTTGCAGTGAGCCAAGATCACGCCATTGCACTCCAGCCTGGGCGACAGAGCAAGACTCCGTCTCCAATAAAAAAAAAAGAGTACCACAAGGAATAAAGAGTATGCAACCTCAGCTACCAAGAAGATTACAGTCTAGTTGAGATTTAAAACTAAATTTAGACTCTTTTTCAGAGAATAAGATGACTGCATATATGCCAACTTTAGATGTGGATAACCCAGCAATTGCACTTCTAGGGAAGTTATTTTGGCATACATTGTTTGAAATGAAGAAAAACTGAAAGGAGCCTGTAAGTCCAATAAAGACTTAATTTATAATACAGAGTTGAATTATGTTGCTTTTCTTACTGTGAAATATAATGCAGCCATTAAAAAGACCATTTGGGGCCTGGCGCAGTGGCTCACGCCTGTAATACCAGCGCCTTGGGAGGCTGAAGCAGGCAGATTACTTGAGGTCAGGAGTTCGAGACCAGCCTGGACAACATGGTGAAATCCCATGCCCAGGCTGCTCTTGAACTCCTAGGCTCAAGTGATCCTCCCACGTTGGCCTCCCAAAGTCTAGGCACCAAGCCAAAAATTAACTAATTTAAGAAATCAAACAGTTAGTAAAGGAGTTGAGGTCTGGCTGGGATGCTACTAGATGAACTCTACATACATTTTGATTAAAACTATACAGTAGGGGGCCAGGTGTGGTGGCTCATGCCTGTAATGCCAGCACTTTGGGAAGCTGAGGCAGGTGGATCCCTTGAGCCCAGGAGTTCAAGACTAGCCTGAGCAACATAGGGAGACTACATCTCTACCAAAATTTAAAAATTAGCCAGGCATGGTGGCAGGTGCCTGTAGTCCTAGCTACTTAGAAGACTGAGGTAGGAGGACAGCTTGAGCCTGGGAGGTGGAGGCTATGGTAAGCTAGGATCGCACCACGGCACTCCAGCCCAGGTGACTGAGGGAGTGAGATCCCACCACTCTAAAAAAATTAAAAAAAAAATAAATTTAAAAATAAAAAATTAAATAAAATAACTATATAGTAGTTAGCCAGGTTAAAAACCAGAAAGAATTCCAAACAGCAAAAAACAACATGAGCAGGAAGGTGAGAGTTAAGAGACCAGAATCACTGTTTCTATTTTTTTTTTTTTTTTGGAGACGGATGCCCAGGCTGGAGTGCAGTGATGTGATCTCAGCTCACTGCAACCTCCACCTCCTGGGTTCAAATGATTTCCTGCCTCAGCCTCCCGAGTAGCTGGGACTACAGGCGCACATCACAATGCCCGGCTAATTTTTTTTTGTATTTTTAGTAGAGATGGGGTTTCACTGTGTTGGCCAGGCTGGTCTCGAACTCCTGACCTCAAGTGATCCACCCACCTCAGCCTCCCAAAGTGCCGGGGTTACAGGTGTGATCCCACCCGGCCTTTTATTTACCAAAATTTTAGTATTATAACTTTAATAATGGAGGGAAATGCATTTATAGTAATAGCAGACGTGGCTAGCCCTGGGAGCCACAAGTTATAAAGACATCCCTTTTATTTAACTGGGTAGGTCTCTTGACCATGGTGTCCTCAGTTCTCCCCTCTTCCCATGCCCCTCACCCACAAATACAAGTGATAAATTTTTTAAAAAAGCCTTTATAAACTATACTAAGGAATATAAATGCAACTCTAGACACTAATTTTATTAGGTTTATCTTTTAAGATCCCATAATATAGAGGCCCAGGGACCCAGATCTGTTTCTGCCATCACTGTTACTCAACAGACAATGCTTATCCATCAAGGCACAGCTTCACACTTTCTGTAAGAAATCCTCGGGCCGGGCGCGGTGGCTCATGCCTGTAATCCCAGCACTTTGGGAGGCCGAGGCGGACAGATCACGAGGTCTGGAGATCGAGACCATCCCGGCTAACACGGTGAAACCCCGTCTCTACTAAAAATACAAAAAATTAGCCGGGCGTGGTGGCGGGAGCCTATAGTCCCAGCTACTCCGGAGGCTGAGGCAGGAGAATGGCGTGAACCCGGGAGGCGGAGCCTGCAGTGAGCCGTGATCGTGCCACTGCACTCTGGCCTGAGCGACGGAGCGAGACTCCGTCTCAAAAAAAAAAAAAAAATCCTCTCCATGAGTGCACTCATCCACCTCTATCGCATTTCATTCATTTTACAAAAAACTACTCAGGCATTCTAGGAGGCTTTGGGGATGTACCAGTAAACAAAAACAGGACTAAGTACTGAGCTGGTGGAGGTTACCGTCTAATGGGAGAGAAGGCCATCACTCACGTAACCATGAATATAAATGGAAAAACCACAACTGATATAGGGGAAGGTATATGCCATATGTGAACACACTAAAATGAAAATTCTAGTAATATTGAGCATTTACTACATGCTAGTAACAGTTTCTACTATTGTTCCCATTTTACAGAGAGAAAACTGAGACCCAAATGAATTAAGGAACTTAATTATCTGAGCTAAACCTGTGTCTGCAAAATGAAATAACACATGACGGCCGGGCGCAGTGGCTCACTCCTGTAATCCCAATACTCTGGGAGACCAGACGGGAGGATTGCTTGAGTCCAGGAGTTCCCGGCCAGCCTGGGTAACATGGCAAAATCCCGTCTCTACAAAAAATGCAAAAAAATTAGCTGGGCGTAGTGACCCGCGCCTGTACTCCCAGCTACTTGGGAGGCTGAGGTGGGAGGATCACCTGAGCCTGAGAGGTCGAGGCTGCAGTGAGCCGCGATCACACTACTGCACTCCAGCCTGGGCGACAAAGCGAGACCCTGTCTCAAAAAAATAATAATAATTTAAAACAAATTTTAAGTAAAGTGCTTAGCACACAGTTAAGTATTCAATCAGTGCTCGTCCTTGGCTTTATGCCTTTTTTTTTTTTGAAACGGAGTCTTGCACTGTCGCCCAAGCTGGAGTGCAGTGGCGCGATCTCGGCTCACTGCAACCTCCGCTTCCCAGGTTCTAGCGATTCTCCTGCCTCAGCCTCCCGAGTAGCTGAAATTACAGGTGCCCGCCACCACGTCCAGCTAATTTTTTGTGTTTTTAGTAGAGACGGGGTTTCACTACGTTGGTCAGGCTGGTCTCGAACTCCTGACCTCGTGATCCACCCGCCTTACCCTCCCAAAGTGCGGAGATTATAGGCGTGAGCCACTGCGCCCGGCCCGGTTTTATGGCATTTTTACTGTTTATTACGGTCCTCTAGGATAGGGAGCCTGTATGACTTATCCCTGTGTCTCCAACGCTCTATTGTATAGCCCCATTTTAAAGAAGATACAGGATCTGAGACTCTAACTCTCAGCTAATAAATACTGGAGCCAGACATGAACTTGCAAAAAAAAAAAATGCATGTAAAGCGCCTGGCCCACCGTAAACGCTCAGTACGTGTTAGCTACCGGTAGTAGCTATCTTTATTTCTTCACGTTCCTCCAGGCAGGGAGAGTATCTGATGGACACGAGTGTCCCCAAGCCCAGGGTTCCGCACAGAGCAGATGCTCAGTAAAAGTTTGCTGCACGAGCAGGAGCCAGCGGGCGCCTCTCACCTGCAGCAGGGGCAGGAGCAGCTGGTTGAGCCTCCGCCGCTCCATGAGGCTGACGGCGCCCTCGCCTGTGCGGCTCATCTCGTTCAGCAGCACCAGCACCGCGATCTTGTACGGCGTCACCCAGTCCTTGATGCCGAACACATTGGCGTGCACAACCCCATTGGTCATCATGGGATTGAAGTAGAGGCTCTCGTGGACGCTGGCCATGGCGGCCCGAGACTAAGTCTCGGGCCCGCGGCGCGCTGCCGCCAGTTGTCACCACAAGGCACAACACTACCGGGTCTACATCTCCGCCCGCCCTCACAATATCCCAGGAAACAGACATCCGCGTGCTCGCGGCATTTGTTAACCAATCAGAGCAGTCTGTCAGAGCACATGGGAGAGCGACAGCCAGTCAGAATGTACAAGAGTGCGGGGAGGGGTGCACCAAAAGACTGACTCCCTACAGAAACTTTTGCCGAGTGGGAGCAGGTTCCCAGGCTACGTGGACAGGGACCGGATGGGAGGGGAAGTCGATGCTTGGGGTCGGGGCTGAAGGGACTGAGGAGCTCCCAAAGTGGTTTTTTTGTTGTTGGTTGTTGTTGTTGGTGGTGGTGGTGGTGGTTGTCGTTGTTGTTGTTTGAGACGATATCTCGCTATGTTACCAAGACTGGAGGGCAGTGGTTATTCGTAGACGCCCTCAAAGAGCACTGCACCCTCCCAAATCCTGGGCTCGAGCGATCCTCCCGCCTTCCCGAGAAGCTGGGACTACAGGCAGCGCGCCTGGCTTGTTCATGTAATTTGAAAATAGTTCAAATAGAATGTTTAAATGATTGTGTTTAAAAGTACCGAAATTAAATTTGCACCCTTAAAGTATGTATTTATTATGTTACTTTTAAACTCAAATGTTTAGGAGTTTAACTCTGTCTTTTTAAAGATAGGAACATGAGATTTTTCTTCAGCGTTTCACAAATGCCATTTGCAGACAGCCAGATCAGGTTGCCAGTGGTCGTGTATCCTTACGTGAAATAGAACATTAGCAACATCACCTCCATGTGCTGAGTCAGTTTCCTACCTAATAAACTACAAAATCTATACTCTGCATTTCAAAGCCCTCCAAAAGCAATCCCCAGCCAACATTTTGAACCTGATTTTTCACAATTCCCCTTCCGTTCATCTGTACCTCTCCCAAGACACTTAGTTCTCTATACCCTGAATTATTATTAATGATCTGGTATCCCTATTAGTCTTTATGTCCCTTGAAAGAAAAACCACATACCATTCAACTTTGGCTATCCACATGCACACACTGTGCCTTGTGCCTTTTGTTTTGTTTTGTTTTGTTTTGAGACGGAGTCTCCTCTGTCGCCCAGGCTGGAGTGCAGTGGCGCGATCTCTGCTCACTGCAAGCTCTACCTCCCTGGTTCACGCCATTCTCCTGCTTCAGCCTACCGAGTAGCTGGGACTACAGGCATCGGCCACCACGCCCGGCTAATTTTTTGTATTTTTAGTAGAGACGGGGTGTCACCGTGTTAGCCAGGATGGTCTCAATCTCCTGACCTCGTGATCCTCCCGCCTCGGCCTCCCAAAGTGCTGGGATTACAGGCGTGAGCCACCGCGCCCGGCCTGCCTTGTGCCCATTTTTATGTTTGTTTAAATTATACTTTCTCTCTCTCTCATTCTGCTACCGAGGCTGGACTGCAGTGGCACGCTCACGGCTCACTGCAACCTCAGCCTCCAGTTAAAGTAGGTAATTAGACATGAGCAGGGCAGGAGACCCCCTCGCCCTCAGGAATGCCAGGCTCAAGCAATCCTCCCACCTCAGCCTCACGAGTAGTTGAGACTACAGGCTTGTGCCACCATGCATGGCTAATTTTTTTTTTTTTTTTTTCCCGATACGGAGTCTTGCTCTGTCGCCCAGTCTGGAGTACAGTCGCTCGATTTCGGCTCACTACAATCTCTACCTCCCGGGTTCAAGCAATTCTCCTGCCTCAGCCTCCCGAGTAGCTGGAACTACAGGCACGCACCACCACGCCCGGCTAATTTTTGTATTGTTTGTAGAGATGGGGTTTCACCATGTTGGCCCGGCTGGTCTTGAACTGGTTGAACTCCTGACCTCAGGTGACCCGCCCATCTCCGCCTCCAAAAGTGCTGGGATTACAGGCCTGAGCCACTGTGCCTGGATGCATGGCTAATTTTTTTATTTTTTGTAGACACGAGGTCTTGCGATGTTGTCCAGGCTGGTCTCGAACTCCTGGACTCAAGTGATCCTCCTGCCTCAGCCTCCCAAATTGCTACGATTAAAGGCATGGGCCACTGCATGCAGCCTCATGCCTGGTTTTTGTTTTCTCAATCGCTATTTGTTTAATGAATAATGAATGAATATGCATTATTAGTTCACAAAAACAAAAAAGAAGGCAGATATGTATAAGCTAAATGATGCTATCAAAAAAGAAGACATTGATATCTTGTAATACAAGCTTTCCTATCTTGAGAACTCTGTATGTTTTAGTTACCATACATAATTATTATATAACTATCTTTTATTTGTGAAAGGAGAAGCTGGCTTTTGCCAGGAATTTAATACTCACTTAACCTCTTTCTTTGCCTCGGTTTATTTTTATGCCTCACTCTATTAATGAAAAAGCATACTTACAATCTCCCAGCTCTTTAGGATATTTTTGCATATGTGTATACCATAAATAAGGTTTGACAAAGGGTCTGTGTGGAATAAACTAGTATTCAACCTTAAAATCCTGAGTAGGAACACTTAATGAATGGAAAGAGGAAAGTAATTTTACAAAATCCTAAATAACAATTTTACTGTAAATTGGTAAGACTTTCAAGCCATTGATTCATTTATTCAGTAACACTGTGCTAAGCTCCTGCTATATTTAAGGCACTGTTCTAGGTGCTGGGGACCAAAAGGGATGAATTTCTAAGCCAGAAGTTGCAAACTGAAGTTGCAATCTAAACTAAATGCGGCTCATTAGATATATTTTATTTGCTTTGCATGGTGTTTGCCAACACTTAAAAATTAGGATATTTCTGCCAACAAAGAACTACATTTCCAGCTTCACTTGAAAAATTTGAAAATTTGGTAACATGATTTATTCCTAGATGGTAACAACTGACTGGATATGCACAGCATAAGCTGCCTTTGGCCAGGTGCAATGGCTCATGCCTGTAATCCCAACATTTTGGGAGGCCAAGGCAGGCAGATCACTTGAGGTCAGGAGCTCGAGACCAGCCTGGGCAACATGGTGAAACCCTGTCTCTATTAAAAATATAAAAATTAGCCAGGCATGGTGGGGGGTGCCTGTAATCCCAGCTACTCGGGGGGCTGAGGCAGGAGGATCGGTTGAACCCAGGAGGCAGAGGTTGTAGTGAGCCGAGGTCATGCCACTGCACTCCAGCCTGGGCAACAGAGCAAAAACTCCATCTCAAAAATAAATAAATAAATAGGCTGGAGGTGGCGGCTCATGCCTATAATCCCAGCACCTTGGGAGGCAGAGGTGGGTGGATCACTTTGAGGCCAGGAGTTTGACACATGCCTGGCCAACATGGTGAAACCCTGTCTCTACTAAAAATACAAAAATTAGCCAGGTGTGCTGGGATGCACCTGTAATCCCAGCTACTTGGGAGGCTGAGGCCGGAGGATACCTTGAGCCCAGGAGTTCAAGGCTGCAGTGACCTATGATTACCACTGCACTCTAGCCTGGACGACAGAGTGAGACTCTGTCTCATAAATAAATAAATAAGCCACCTTTATTTAGGGCATGCCGTTTCCAACTCACTACAATCCTCATCAATCGTTATTGGGTTTTTTGTTTTGTTCTGTTTTGTTTTTTGGAGCCAGGGTCTCACTCTGTGGCCCAGGCTGGAGTGCGGTGGCATGATCACAGCTTACTGTAGCCTCCACCTCCTGTGCTCAAGCGATCCTCCCACCTCAGCCTCCCGAATAGCTGGGACCACAGGAATGCACCACCACATGTGGCTAATTTTTAATTTTTTTGTAGAGATAGAGTCTCACTGTGTTGCTCAGGCTGGTCTGTAAGTCCTGGGCTCACAAAATCCTCCCACCTCAGTCTCCCAAGATGCTGGGATTACAGGTGTCAGCCATCACACCCGGCCTAGACTTTTCTATATGTATATATCTGATTTTAAGAATGTTGCTAGGCCAGGCGCCATGGTTCACGCCTGTAATCACAGCACTTTGGGAGGCTGAGTCAGGTGGATCACCTGAGGTCAGGAGTTCAAGACCATCCTGACCAACATGGTGAAACCTTTTCTACTAAAAATAAAAAATTAGCCGGCCATGGTGGCGCATGCCTGTAATCCCAGCTATTTGGGAGGCTGAGGCAGGAGAATCGTTTGAACCCAGTAGGCAGAGGATACAGTGAACCAAGATCATTCCATTGCACTCCAGCCTAGGCAACAAGAGTGAAACTCCTTCTCAAAAAAAAAAAAAAAAAAAGAACATGGCTAAATATCAAAACCCTGAAAACATTTGAACTCTTTTGGACTTACTCCATCATCTTAGAGATCATGTGACCATTTTTGTAGCACTTTGTTCAAGCTTCATTTATTATGTGTATGATTTTATATCAATGACTTACTTAAGTAACTGCCTCCTCTGGTGGGCTGTCATAGGCAGGGAGCAGGTTTGCTTTTTTAAAAAAATCTTTGCATCCTTAGTTTCTGACACATTTAGTATATGCTCAGTTATTGTCAATATGCCTTTGAGTCAACTGTGCTGCAAATCCTTACATTCACTCAACAAATATTTTTGAGTACGTACTATATGCCAGACATTGTGCTAAGTCCATGCGAGTACAGCAGTGAATATACAAACTAGGTGTTTGACCTCGTGGAGGAAAACAATTGTCATAAGAAACTACCCAAGGCTGGGCACAGTGGCTTATGCCTGTAGTCCCAGCACTTGGGAGGCCGAGGGTGGGAGGATTGCTTGAGCCCAGGAGTTTAAGACCAGCCTGGACAACATGATAAGACCCTGTGTCTACAAGAAATTAAAAAAATAAATAAATAGCCAGGCATGGTGGTGTGTGCTTGTATTCCCAGTTACTAGGAGGCTGAGGTGGGAGAATCACTTGAGTCCAGGAGGTCAAGGCTGCAGTGAGCTGTGAGCATGCCACTATACTCCAGCCTGGGTGACAGTGAGACATTGTATCAAAATGAAAGAAAGGGAGAGAGAGAGAGAAAGAGAGAGAAGGAGGGAAGGAAGGGAGGGAAGGAAGGAGGGAAAAGAAAGAAAGAAAGAAAGAAAGAGAGAGAAAGAGAGAAGAAAGAGAAAAAAAGAGAAAGAGAAAGAAAGGGAGGGAGGGAAGGAAGGAAAGAGAGAGAGAAAGAACGGAGGGAGGGAGGGGAAAGAAAGAGAGAGAAGAAAGAGAAAGAAAGAGAGAGAGAAAGAGAAAGAGAGAGGGAGGGAGGGAAGGAAGGAGAGAGAGAGACAGAAAGAATGGAGGGAGGGAGGGAGGAAAAGAAAGAGGCCTGGGCACGGTGGCTCATGCCTGTAATCCCTACACTTTGGGATGCCAAGGCGGGTGGATCACCTGAGGTTAGGAGTTCGAGACCAGCCTGGCCAACACAATGAAACCCTATCTCTACTAAAAATACAAAAAATGAGCTGGGTGTGGTGGCGCATGCCTGTAATCCCAGCTACTCAGGAGGCTGAGGCAGGAGAACTGCTTGAACCCAGGAGGCAGAGGTTGCAGTGAGCCAAAATCACTCCACTGCACTCCAGCCTGGGCAAGAGAGTGAGACTCCATCTCAAAAAAAAAAAAAAGAAAAAGAAAAAGAAAACAAAGAGAGAATGAAAGGAAGGAAAGGAAGAAAGAAAAGAAAGAAACTAGCCAGAAGTCCCTTTGATGCACCAGTCTCTGTCTCCAGGAGACTAAGGAGGACCTGCCATTATAGATGGGTCATTGGCTGCTATAAATGCTGTTCCTTACACCAACATTTCAAAGCAGCACTCCAAGGTAATAAAGGAAGCACGGCTTTGTAACCTGCAGTGGACTTTGGTTTATTTATTTTTATTTATTTAGTTTGCCCAGCATACTCTACTGTCCTCCTCAAAAATGTGTTGTTTTTAATTTGCACGAAGTTGTAGAACATGTCCCTCTGGATACAGGGATGGGCATGGAGCCCTAGCACAGCTAATCAACGCTTCTCTGGGATTGCACTATGGACTCTAGAGAAAGAAGAGCTCCCTTTCTCCTGAGGTTGCTAAGCAAGGCTGTAGATGGCATATTCTTTGCTGCCTGTAGAGAAAGAGAAGAAGGCCAATCTGCAAAGAGAAATAGAATCAAGCATAATGAGAAAAACCATGATTCAAGAATATTTGTGATCGATGAGACAAAAGAGCTACCCTGGGAATCAGAACCCCCAGGTTCTAGTGTTGGCCTCGAAACCAGCTCTGTAATTCAAGCGACAACCCAGTTTTTTATCTCGGGTTAATCGCCTTCGCAATGAAAGGTCTGTACTAGATGATGTGTTAAGTCATCTGCAGTGCTAAAATTCTGACTTGTTACTCTTTATTTTTATTTAAAAATTTTTTGTTTGTTTGTTTGTTTTGAGACGGAGTCTCGCTCTGTCGCCAGGCTGGAGTGCAGTGGCGCGATCTCGGTTCACTGCAATCTCCGCTTCCCGGGTTCACGCCATTCTCCTGCCTCAGCCTCCAGAGTAGCTGGAACTACAGGTGCCCGCCACCATGCCCAGCTAATTTCTTTTTGTATTTTTAGTAGAGACGGGGTTTCACTGTGTTATCCAGGATGGTCTCGATCTCCTGACCTCGTGATCCGCCTGCCTCGGCGTCCCAAAGTGCTGGGATTCCAGGCGTAATCCCAGTAGCCTGTAATCCCAGCTACTCGGGAGGCTGAGGCATGAGAACCACTTGAACCCGGGAGGCAGAGGTTGCAATGAGCCGAGATCGGACCACTCCACTCTGGACTGGGTGACAGAGAGAGGCTCCATCTCAAAAACAAACAAACAAACAAAAAAATGTTTTAAAAATAAAAAGTCAGCCAGCGGCTGGATGCGGTGGCTCACGCCTGTAATCCCAACAATTTGGGAGGCCGAGTCAGGTAGATCACTTGAGCTCAGGAGTTAGAGACCAGCCTGGGTTACATGGTGAGACCCCATCTCTACTAAAATTAGTTAGGCATGGTGGTGCATGCCTGTAGTCCCAGCTACTCAGGAGGCTGAGGTGGGAGGATTACTTGAGCCCGGGAGGCGGAAGTTGCGGGGAGCCAAGATCGCACCACTGCACTCCACAGCCTGGGTGACAGACTGAGACCTCATCTCAAAAAAAAATAAAATAAAATTAACGTTAGCCAAGCACAGTGGCTCATACCAGTAATCCTAACACTTTGGGAGGCCAAGGCAAGAGGATCACTTTAAGCTAGGAGTTCGAGACCAGCCTGGGCAACATAGTGAGACCCCCATCTCTACAAAAATAAGTACAAAAATTAGCTGGGCATGGTGGCGTACACCTGTAGTCTTAGCTACATGGAAGGCTGCGGCAGGAGGATGGCTTGAGCCCAGAAATTTGAAGCTGCAGTGAGCTATGATCATACCATTGCACCCCAGCCTGGATAACAGAAGGAGACCCTGTCTCTAATAATTACAGTAATAATAACAATTTAAAGGTCAAACGTAAACATTACTATTTTAGGGCCAGGAGCAGCGGCTCACACCTATAATCTCAGCACTTTGGGAGGACAAAGTAGGAGGATTGCTTGAACCCAAGAGTTTGAGAGCAACTTAGGCAACACAGTGAGACCATGTCTTTCAAAAAAAAAATAATTACCATTTTAGGCCAGGCGCAGTGACTCATGCCTGTAATCCCAGCACTTTGGGAGGGTGAGGCGGGCGAATCACTTGAGATCAGGAGTTCGAGACCAGCCTGGCCAACACAGCAAAACCCCTATCTCTACTAAAAACACAAAAATTAGCCAGGCGTGGTGGCACGCACCTGTAATCCCAGCTACTCAGGAGGCTGAGGCACGATAATCGCTTGAACCCAGGAGGCAGAGGTTGCAATGAGCCGAGATCGGACCACTCCACTCCGGACTGGGTGACAGAGGAGACTCTATCTCAAAAAAAAAAACAAAACAACAACAAAAAAACCCTACCATTTTAATCACATACACAATTCAGTGTCATTTAGTACATTCACTGTGATATGCAACCTTCACTATTATTCGGTACCAGAACTTTTTCATCATCCCCAAAAAGAAAACACACGCACTTTAGCAGTGACTCCCCATTCTCCCATCCCTTCTCCCCAGCCTCCGGAAATCACTAGGCTGCTTCTTGTCTCTATGGATTTGCCTTTTCAGGATATTTACTATAAATAGAATCATACAATATGCAGCCTTTGGGATCTGATTTCTTTCACTTAGCATAACGTTGTTTCAAGGTTCATGCATGTTGCAGCGTGTCAGTACTCCATTCCTTTTTTTTTTTTTTTTTTTGAGATGGAGTCTCGCTCTGTTTCCCAGGCTGGAGTGCAGTGGCGCGATCTCGGCTCACTGCACCCTCCGCCTCCGGGGTTCAAGCCATTCTCCTGCCTCAGGCTCCAGAGTAGCTGGGATTACAGGTGCCCGCCACAACGCCCGTCTAATTTTTTTTTTTTTTGTATTTTTAGTAGAGACAAGGTTTCATGTGTTAGCCAGGATTGTCTCAATCTCCTGACCTTGTGATCGGCCCGCCTCAGCCTCCCAAAGTGCTGGGATTACAGGCGTGAGCCACCGTACCCGGCCACTCCATTCCTTTTAATGACTGAATCATATTCCATTGTATGGAGAGATCACATTTTGTTTACCCATTTGCCCATGGATGGACATTTGGGTGGTTTCCACATTTTGGCTATTGTGAGTAATGCTGCAATGAACCTGTGTCTACAAATTTCAGAGTATTTAATCTTCTCACAGGGCCACAGAATAAAATAGTGCTTAACAAAAAATAACTTAGGCCGGGTGCAATGGCTCACGCCTGTAATCCCAGCACTTTGGGAGGCCGAAGCGGGTGAATCACCTGAGGTCGGGAGTTCAAGACCAGCCTGGCCAACATGGAGAAAACCTCATCTCTACTAAAAATACAAAATTAGCTGGGCGTGGTGGTGCATGCCTGTAATCCCAGCTACTCAGGAGGCTGAGGCAGGAGAATTGCTTGAACCCGGGAGTCGGAGGTTACGGTGAGCTGAGATCGCACATTGCACTCCAGCCTGGGTAACAAAAGCGAAACTCCACCTCAAAAAAAAAACTTGTGAGACTGGGCGTGGTAGCCCACGCCTTTAATCCCAGCACTTTGGGAGGCTAAGGCAGATGAATCACTTAAGGCCAGGGGTTCGAGATGAGCTAGGCCAACATGGCGAAACCCCATCTTTACAAAATATACAAAAAGCAAACAAACAAAAAAGTTGGGCATGGTGGTGAGCGTCTCTAGTCCCAGCTACTCGGGAGGCTGAGGTGAGAGGATCACTTGAGCTCCAAAGGTGGAGGCTGCAGTGAGCTGAGATCGTGCCACTGCACTCCAGGCTCAGCAACAGAGCCAGACCCTATCTCAAAAAATAAAAATAAAAATAACATTTGAGTGGCTGAATTTCAGCAAGCTTGGGCAGGGACCTCTGGGTGCCCCTCAGACCACCCTGCTTCTGGCATGACAATCAGTCCATGGTTTTGGGTTGTTTTGGGGTTTTTTTTGTTTTTTGAGATGGTGGTCTCACTCTGTCATCCAGGCTGCAGTGTAGTGGTACAATCACAGTTCACTGCAGCCTCCATCTCCCAGGCTCAAGTGATCCTCCTACCTCAGTCTCCCAAGTAGCTGGAACTACAGCCACATGCCATAATGCCCGGCTAATTTTCTTGATTTTTAGTAGAGACAGGGTCTCACTATGTTGCCCAGGCTGGTCTCAAACTCCTGAGCTCAAGCGACCCTCCTGCCTCGGCCTCCCAAAGTCCTGGGTTTACCAGGGTGAGCCACCACTCCCGGCCTTCAATACATGTTAGTTAAATGGAAGGACATTACAGGCTGCCACCTAATTAGCTTTTATTTGCTTACCTCTATCTTTGCCTGTTTTTTTTTTTTTTTTTGAGATGGAGTCTCGCTCTGTCGCCCAGGCTGGAGTGCAGTGGCGGGATCTCGGCTCACTGCAAGCTCCGCCTCCCGGGTTCACGCCATTCTCCTGCCTCAGCCTCCCAAGTAGCTGGGACTACAGGCGCCCGCCACTACGCCTGGCTAATTTTTTGTATTTTTAGTAGAGACGGGGTTTCACCGTTTTAGCCGGGATGGTCTCGATCTCCTGACCTCGTGATCCGCCCGCCTCGGCCTCCCAAAGTGCTGGGATTACAGGCGTGAGCCACCGCGCCCGGCCTTTTTTTTTTTTTTTTTTTTGAGATGCGGTCTCGCTCTGTCACCCAGGCTGGAGTGTGCAGCAGCGCGATCTTGGCTCACTGCAACCTCTGCCTCCTGGGTTCCCACAATTCTCATGTCTCACCCTCCCAAGTAGCTGGGATTACAGGCATATGCCACCATGCCCAGCAATTTTTTGTATTTTTAGTAGAGACAAGGTTTCACCATGTTGGCCAGGCTGGTCTCGAACTCCTGACCTCAGGTAATCTACCCGTCTCAGCCTCCCAAAGTGCTGGGATTACAGGCATGAGCCACCGCGCCCAACCTCCTCTTTGTTAAAGACTCCCCACCACTTCAGTCCTCTTTCTTGCTTTCTTCCCCATAGACTCCAGCACCTGTATCTGCCTGTTATATCCTTGATCTGTCATAACACATCCCTTTTTGTCTTTATTTTTTATTTTATTTATTTATTTATTTATTTTACAAATGTAGTCTTGCTATGTTTCCCAGGCTGGATTTGAACTCCTGGGCTCAAGTGATCCTCCTGCCTCGACCTCCCTAGAAGCTAGGACTACACGCAGGTGCTACTGTGCCCGGTTTAAAACATCAATTCTTTTTTGCGCATGAGTGTTTTTAAAAATGCCTAATGAAAAAACAGTATTTATTTGCTATGGCTGCCATAACAAAGCACCACACACTGGGTGGCTTAATCAACAGAAATGTGTTGCCTCACAACTCTGGAGGCTAGAAGTCCAAGATCAAGGTGTGTGCAGGATCAATTCTTTCTGAAGGGTATGAATGAAGGATGTGTTCCAGGCCTCTCTCCTTGGCTTGGAGATGGTCATTTTCACATAGCCTGTACACATACCTGTGTTCGTATTTCCACCCCCGCTTTTTTTTTTTTTTTTTTTTTTTTGAGACGGAGTCTCACTCTGTTGCCCAGGCTGGAGTGTAGTGGCGCAATCTCAGCTCACTGCAACCTCCGCCTCCCGGGTTCAAGTGATTCTCCTGCCTCAGCCTCCCAAGTAGCTGGGATTACAGGTGCCCGCCACCACACCTGGCTAATTTTTGTATTTTTAGCAGAGACGAGGTTTCACCATGTTGGCCAGGCTGGTGTCGAACTCCTGACCTCAGGTAATCCACCCGCCTCGGCCTCCCAAAGTGCTGAGATTACAGGCGTGAGCCACCGCGTCCAGTCCATATTTCACCCTTTTATAAGGATACCAGTCATATTGAATTAGAGACCCACCCTGATTCATAGGATCCCATATTTTAACTAATCTACATCTGCAATGGCCCTATTTCCAAATAAGGTTACCTTCTGAGTTATTCAGGGTTAGGGCTTTAACATATAAATTTGGGCAGGTAGAAGCGGGGGACACAATTTCCCACAATGATAAAATGCAGTAAGGTTTGGAGGAAACTGACAGTTTCACACAGTACTGGAAGGAATATGAATTGATAGAGCCCTTAGAAGGGTTTATCCATCAGAGAGCAGGCAGGAAACAGAAGCTACAAACAAAAAGATGAATACAGAGAATTGGTTCCACAAGTAATGAAAGATCTAAGAACCCAAATGGGACAGAGATTAGCAATAAAGCTGGGTGCAGTGACTCACACCTATAACTCCAGCACTTTGGGAGATCAAGGAGGAAGAATTGCTTGAGCCCAGGAGTTCAAGACCAGCCTGGGCAACATAGCAAGACCTTGTCTCTACAAAAAAAGTTTAAAAATTGCTGGATGTGGGCTGGGCATGGTGGCTCATGCCTGTAATCCCAGCACTCTGGGAGGCCAAGGCGGGCGGATCACATGAGGTCAGGAGTTCGAGACTGGCCTGACCAACATGGCAAAACCCTGTCTACTAAAAATACAAAAATTAGCCAGGCATGCTGCCGTACGCCTGTAATCCCAGCTACTCAGGAGGCTGAGACAGGAGAAGTGCTTGAACCCAGGAGGCAAAGGTTGCAGTAAGCTGGAGATCCCGCCACTGTACTCCAGCCTGGGTGACAGAGCAAGACTCTGTCTCAAAAAAAAAAAAAAAATTGCTGGGTGTGGTGACACACACTTGTATTCCCAAATACTTGGGAGGCTGAGCAGGGAGAATCTCGGGATCCCAGGAGGTCAAGGCTGCAGTGAGCCACAATTTTGCCACTGCACTCCAGCCTGGGCAACAGAGCAAGACCCTGTCTCAGAGAGAGAGAGAGGGAGAGTGAGAGAGACAGAGAGGGAGAGAGAGAGACAGAGAGGAAGAAGAAAAAGAGGAAGAGGAAGACGAAGATGAAGAAAAAGAAGAAGAAGAAGATGAAGACGAAGAAGAAGAAAGAGAGAGAGAGAATGAGTAACAAGATCGTGCCACTCCCAAGTCGAAATGGACAAAGGAAGTGGTGAGCAGCTAGAGCCACTGAGAAGGAGTTGGTGATGCCAAGTAAAATACAGCCACTGTTGGAGGATGTTGCCTGAGGCAGAGAGAAAGGGCAAGAAATTCTGAAGCTTCTCCTTTTCCCTTGTCCTCCAATCTCCCTGTGGGGTATCCTATTAGTTCAACCCATCAGGGTGACTCAGGAGCCAGGAAAAGAAGCCTGTGACCACCACTATCTAATTCCAGAACATTTCCATCTCCCTAAAAAGAAACGCCATACCCAGTAGCAGTCACTCCCTATTCTCCCTCCCCCAACTCCTGGCAAGCACGAACCTACTTTCTGTCTCTGTAGATGGACCTATTCTGGAAATTCCATTCTGATGGATTTATACAGTATGTGGTCTTTTGTGTCTGGCTTCTTTTCATTTAGCTTCATGTTTCTGAGGTTCATCCACACCGTAGCATGGATCAGGACTTTATCCCTTTTTATGCCTAATATTCCATTGTATGGATAGACCACGTTTTGTTTATCCACTCAACAGTTCATGGACACTTGGGCTGTTTCCCACCTTTTGGCTATTGTGAATAGTGATGGTATGAACATTCACATATATGTTTTTGGATGAACATAGGTTTTCAGTTCTTTGGGTTACATACCTAGGAGTGGAATTTCTGGGTTGTATGCTAACTCTACATTTAACTTCTTGAGGAACTGCCAGACTGTTTTCCAAAGTGGCTGCACCATTTTACATCCACCAGCAATGACTCTACATTTCAATGAGCATGAGAAACCCAGCTTGCTATTTAACCATGAATCATGTTCAGCAATGTGATGATTTTGAAAGAACTAAATAATTATCAAAGATTTTAAAGTTATTCTGAGTAATGGATGATTATATTCCTGATTTCATGTATCTCTGAACACTGTACACCCCGAGTAGAATTGTGCCAGCTAGAGCCAATTTTCTCCATTGTTCATTAGACAGAAGTTCACCAGCAGCTAAGTGCTGACACATCATTCCCAGCATCCACCCCGGATGGGAAAGCCAGCAGTGTCACCGCACGCATGCTGGACCTGCTGCTGCTCAGATCTAAAACTTCTGAAAATGACAAACCCTAACCCTACAATTCTGAGACATGATGTTAGAGGGAATGGATAATTGCTCTGATTCCTCTGGGCAAGGAAAATGTAATGTGTGAACCGGTTCTCCTGTGTGCATGCATAAACACTCTCTTTTGATAATCCAAGAAAATCCAGCTGAAAGGGGGAAAAATGTCTCCTATTGAATAAAATGAGGCCTGACTTTGAGAAAGTCACGCAGAGTCTTAGGACTCACTCAATACAGAAAGTTCTGGGTAATTAACTGAGCTGCTGGGGAAACTCGATCGCTAGCCTGATAAGCATCACTAAGTATTTCCAGATCCAAGGTAGCATTTCAGCTTCTCAAGGCTCACGAACTGAATTGACCTCCCTCCCTGGGGAAAGGAATTCTCATTGTTGTCTCTGGACCACTTGTTTCATCCAAAGCCTCCTGAGTAACTAGGACTACAGTTGCACACCACCATGCCCAGCTAATTTTGTTTATTTTTTGTAGAGACAGGTCTCCCTATGTTGTCCAGGCTGGTCTCGAACTCCTGGAATCAAGCGATCCTCCAGCCTCTACCTCCCAAAGTGCTGGGACTATAGGCATGAGCCACTAAGCCGATCCATATTTTCTCAGGTATTATAAAAAGTGATACATACTGTTTGCAGAAAACATCAAAAATATAGAAAAGGAGAACAAGATAAATCAGAAATAGGAAAACTATCATTCCACAACCCAGTGATAACTTCTATGTCATTTTGATATATTTCCCTTTTCTTTGGTCATTGCTAAATCTCCATACATGCAGCAGCGTCTAGTATGTAATTGGCATGCAATAAATATTTGTTAAATGTATTTGTTTTTAAATTTTGGTAAAAGAAGTTAAACTGCCAGTGTGGTGGCTCACGCCTGTAATCCCAGCACTTTGGGAGGCCAAGGCGGGCGGAGACATAGGGAGACCTGTCTTTGCAAAAAATAAACTAAATTAGCTGGGCATGGTGGTGTGCAACTGTAGTCCTAGCTACTCAGGAGGCTGAGGTGGGAGGATCACTTGAACCTGGGAGGTGGAGGCTACAGCAAACCATGATCCTATCACTCCTGAGGTCAGAAGTTCAAGACCAGCCTGACCAATAAGATAAAACCCCGTCTCTACTAAAAATACAAAAAAAAAAGTTAGCCGGGCGTGGTGGCACGCACCTGTAATCCCAGCTACTCAGGAGGCTGAGACAGGAGACTCATTTGAACCTGGGAGGCGGAGGGTGCAGTGAGTTGAGACTGTGCCATTGACTCCAGCCTGGGCAACAAGAGTGAAACTCCATCTTAAAAAAGAAAAAAAAAAAAAGAAAGTTAAACCAAGCAAATTTTACCATAAAATTAGGTAGAATATGGGTATCATCGTGTTAGCTTTGTATCTTTTGATTTTCAAGTTTGGGATACTGAGGAAGTACTAAAGACAGGAACAAAGCACAGGGAAAAGGTGGGGTACCCTAGGCTGAAGGGAACAGCCTCTTTAAAATCACCCATTGAGAATCTTGTTCACTGCCAGGCACAGTGGCTCATATCTGTAATCCCAGCAATTTGGGAGGGTGAGGTGGGTGGATCACCTGAGCCTGAGAGTTCAAGACCAGCCTGGGCAAGAAAGCGATACTGCTTCTCTACTTAAAAAAAAAAAAAAATTAGATAGGCATGGTGGTGCATGTCTGTAGTCCCACCTATTCAGGAGGCTGAGGTAGGAAGATCACTTGAGCCCAGGAGTTTGAGGCTGCAGTGAGCCATGATCGCACCACTGCACTCCAGCCTGGGTGACAAAGGAAGACCCCGTCTCAAAAAAAGAAACAAAGAAAGAAAAAAAAGAATCCTGCTGGCACGGTGGCTCACACCTGTAATCCCAGCACACTGGGAGGCTGAGGCAGGCGGATCACTTGAGGTCAGGAGTTCGAGACCAGCCTGGCCAACATGGTGAAACTCCATCTCTACTAAAAATTCAAAAATAAGCCCTGTATTGTGGTGAGCGCCTATAATCCCAGCTACTTGGGAGGCTGAGGCAGGAGAATGGGTAGAACCCAGGAGGCGGGGGCAACAGAGTGAGACCTTGTCACAAAAAAAAAAAAAAAAAAAATCCTATTCAGAGGTGTACTCTAAAACATTTAATTTCTTTTTTTTTTTTTTTTTGAGACAGAGTCTCGCTCTGTCGCCCAGGGTGGAGTGCAGTGGTGGAATCTCAGCTCACTGCAACCTCTGCCTCCCGGGTTCAAGAAATTCTCTTGCCTCAAGCCTCCTGAGCAGCTGAGATTAC
Source organism: Homo sapiens (assembly GCF_000001405.40). Taxonomy (NCBI): domain Eukaryota; kingdom Metazoa; phylum Chordata; class Mammalia; order Primates; family Hominidae; genus Homo; species Homo sapiens. The sequence goes on from NC_000012.12 coordinate 121,368,227, forward strand.
AGGCATGCGCCACCGTGCCCAACTAATTTTTGTCTTTTTAGTAGAGATGGGATTTCACCGAGTTGGCCAGGCTAGTCTCAAACTCCTGACCTCAGGTGATCCTCCTGCCTCGGCCTCCCAAAATGCTGGGATTTCAGGCGTGAGCCACCGTGCCCGGCCTCTTTTTTCTTTAGCTTATTTTTTCAGAGACAGAGTCTCACTCTATCACCCAGGCTGGAGTGCAGTAGCATAATTGATCCAGTCTCACTGCAGCCTTGACCTCCCAGGCTCAAGTGATCCTCTCGCCTCAGCCTCCCAGGTAGCTGGGACCACAGCCACGTGTCACCACACCCAGCTAATGTTTTTAAAATTTTCTGTAGCGATGGGTCTTCCTATCTTACCCAGGCTACTCTCAAACTCCTGGGCTCAAGTTATCCTCTCGCCTCGGCCTCCCAAAGTGCTGGAATTACAGGCACGTCACTCCTTAAATAAATTCTGCCACATCTCACATAAGAAGGCAATTTCCCTGGCTGACTTGGAAGCTTATATTAACATTTTCTGGCCGCTGGTGTGTGTTTTGTATTGTAAAGACTTTCATCTACTCAGAAGCTGAGTTCCTTGAAAATCACTGCTAAATCTTTTGATGGTGGTTAAATTTTCCAGTGCCTTAAGGGAGATTGGAAATTAAAGACTAATGGGAGCCTGTTAAGCAAGCAGTCATACCGCAATGCATCCTCTGTAAAAAACTGAAATTATGTCCGGGCGCAGTGGCTCAGGCCTGTAATCCTAGCACTCTGGGAGGCCAAGGCCGGCGGATCACTTTAGGTCAGGAGTTTGAGACCACCCTGGCCAACATGGGGAAACCCCATCTCTACTAAAAAAAAATACAAAAAAAATTAGCCGATCGTGGTGGCATGCACCTGTAATCCCAATTACTCGGGAAGCTGAGGCAGGAGAATTGCTTGAACCCAGGAGGCGGAGGTTGCAGTCAACTGAGATCGTGCCACTGCACTCCAACCTGAGTGACAGAGTGAGACTCCATCTCAAAAAAAACAAAAACAAAACTGAAATTATGTTAATATATATTTGGTTGCCTAGAGTGGGGTAAGCTTGTACCACTTCAGCGTTCCTATAACTGTGATTTTCCACACTTCAACGTGCAAGTGAATCACCTGGAAAGCTTGTTAAATAAATACAGATTCTGTGTCGGGCGCGATGTCTCACGCCTGTAATCTCAGCACTTTCAGAGGCTGAGGCGGGCAGATCACTTGAGGCCAGGAGTTTGAGATCAGCCTGGCCAACATGGCAAAACGCCGTCTCTACTAAAAATACAAACATTAGACAGGTGTGGTGGCATGCATTGTAATCCCAGCTACTTGGAAGGCTGGGGCAGGAGAACCGCTTGAGCTCACGAGGCGGAGGTTGCAGTGAATTGAGATTGCACCACTGCACTCCAGCCTGGGCGACAGAGGGAGACTCCCTCAGTCTCAAAAATAAAATAAAATTAAAAAGTACAAATTCTCGTTCAGTTGGTCTGGGGCAGCCTGGGGTTGTGAATGTCTAACAGGCTCCCAGGTGATGTTGAGAATACGAGTCCTCTAACTATACATTGAGACGTGAAAGCTCATGATAGCCTAACTGGTCTCTACTATTAAAATCTCAGGGCACAGTTCTGTAGATGTAATGGGGGCATTAGGCTGGGTCTCATTGAGTTAGCCCATTAATCTAAATTCTCTCTCTCTACAGCTGAAGTGCTTAATTAATTAATAAACAAAGCTATCTTTTTCCCCTTTCTCTTTTTAAATTGAGGTAAAATTAACCATTTTAAAGTGAGCAATTCAGTCCCATTTAGTGCATTTACAATGTTGGGCAACTATCATCTCCATCTAGTTCCAAAACATTTTCATCACCCCTAAAAGACACTCTGTACCCATTAAGCAATCACTGCCCACTTTCCCCTCTCCCCAGCCCCTGGCAACCACCAATCTTCCTGTCTCTATGGATTTAACTCTTCCGGATAATCCATATGCAGATGATAATGTTCTGGAACAGATAGCGGTGATGGTTGCATGTGAAGGTACTAAATGCCACTGAATTGTACCATTTAAAATGGTTAAGGCCGGGCGTGGTGGCTCACGCCTGTAATCCCAGCACTTTGGGAGGCTGAGGGGGGTGGATCACGAGGTCAGGAGTTCAAGACCAGCCCGGCCAACATGGCGAAACCCCATCTCTACTAAAAATACAAAAATTAGCCAGGTGTGGTGGTGTGTGCCTGTAATCCAGGCTACTTGGGAGGCTGAGGCAGGAGAATCACTTGAATTCAGGAGGCAGAGGCTGCAGTGAGCCAAGATCGTGCCATTGCACTCCAGCCTGGGCGACAGAGTGAGACTGTCTCAAAAAAAAAAAAAAAAAAAAAAAAAAGGTTAAAATGGTGAATTTTATGTTAAGGGAATTTTACCACACTAGAAAAAAATATGAACATCTGCATTTTATAACAAAAGCTACTTGGCTGGTGACCTTCTCAAAAATAATTTGAGTTCTTTAGGATAAGGAAACTGAGGCCTTGGGGGTCACCCATCCCTTTCATGGCAGAATAGAAACCAGATTTCTTTTTTTTTCTTTTTTTTTTTTGAGACAGAGTCTTGCTCTGTCACACAGGCTGGAGCACAGTGGTGCAATCTCAGCCTGCTGCAGCCTCCACCTCCCAGGTTCAAGTGACTCTCCTGCCTCAGCGTCCCGAATAGCTGGGATCACAGATGTGCACCACCATGCCCAGCTAATTTTTGGATTTTTTAGTAGAGACGGGGTTTCACCATGTTGGCCAGGGTGGTCTCGAACTCCTGGCCTCAAATGATCCGCCCGCCACGGCCTCCCAAAGTGCTGGGATTACAGGCATGAGCCACCGTGCCTGGCCTCTGTTTTTTCTTTCTTTCTCTCTCTCTCTTCCTTCCTTCCTTCCTTTCTCTCTCTCTCCTTCTTTCTTTCTCTCTTTGTTTTTGGTTTTTTGGGTTTTTTTGAGATGGAGTCTTGCCTTTTGCCAGGCTGGAGTGCAGTAGAGCGATCTCGGCTCGCTGCAACCTCCGCCTCCCAGGGTAAAGCGATTCTCCTGCTTCACCCTCCCGAGTAGCTGGGACTACAGGAGTGCATGCCCAGCTAATTTTTGTATTTTTATTAGAGACAGGGTTTCAACATGTTGGCCAGGATGGTCTTGATCTCTTGACCTCGTGATCTGCCCGCCTTGGCCTCCCAAAGTGCTGGGATTACTTGTGTGAGCCAACAGGACGGGCCCCCCACCTCCCCACTCCCTCCCTCCCTCCCTTCCTTCCTCTCTCTCTCTCTGTTGCCCAGGCTGGAGTACAGTAGTGCAGTGACACAGTTACAGCTCACTGTGGCCTTGACCTCCTGGCCTTAGGTGATCCTCCCATCTCAGACTCTCAAGCAGCTGGGATTACAGGGGTGCACCACCATCCCGAGCTAATTTTTGTATTTTAGGTTGGTGCAAAAGCAATTGCGGTTTTTTACCATTGACAGTAATGGCAAAAGCCGCAATTGCTCTTGCATCAAGTTATTTTTTTTTTCTCTTTTCTTTTTTTTTTTTTTTCCGGTAGAGACCAGGTTTCACCATGTTGCCCAGGCTAGTCTAAAACTCCTAGGCTGGAATCATCTGCCCACTTTGGCCTCCCAAACTACTGGGATTACAGGTGCAAGTCACCATGCCTGGCCATGTCACTAGCTTTCTTATTGCCTCTGAAATTGGAAATATAACACTTGCCTTCTCTACTTCAAAATAAATAATAAAAAAAGTGTTTGAAAACTATAAAGCATTGTACAAACATAAATTTCTTATTGAATGCAGGGTAAATCATAATTATCTATTTGTAAAAGCAAATTTCTTTTTTCTTTTTTGAGACAGAGTCTCACTCTGTCGTCCAGGCTGGAGTGCAGTGATGCGATCTCAGCTCACTGCAACCTCTGCCTCCCGGGTTCAACTGATTCTGCTGCCTCAGCCTCCCGAGTAGCTGGGACCACAGGCCCACGCCACCATGACCGACTAATTTTTGTATTTTTAGTAGAGACGTGGTTTCACCATATTGGCCAGGCTGGTCTCGAATTCCCAACCTCATGATCCGCCCGCCTTGGCCTCCCAAAGTGCTGGAATTACAGGCATGAGCCACCGCACCCAGCCGTGTAAAAGCAAATTTCTAAGAATTTCAATTTTCCTAAATTGTATTTGGTCTATTCAGAGTTATCGCACACACTTAAATGTGCTACAATCACATCACTTTCAAAATTTTTATAATTCAGACTTTTCACTAATTCAGACAGACATTTTCCCAACCCACACAAATTGTTGAGATTTACTTTTTTATCAAAAGATACAGGCCGGGCACGGTGGCTCACGCCTGTAATCCCAGCACTTTGGGAGGCTGAGGTGGGCGGATCACTTGAGGTCAGGAATTCGAGACCAGCCTGGCCAATATGGTGAAACCCCCTCACTACTAAAAATATAAAAATTAGCTGGGTGTGGTGACATGTGCCTGTAGTCTCAGCTCCTCGGGAGGCTGAGGCAGGAGAATCGCTTAAACCCAGGAGGCAGAGGTTGCAGTGAGCTGAGATTGCACCACTGCACTCTAGCCTGGGTGACAGAGCAAGACTCTATCTATTAAAAAAAAAAATGATACAAGTGTGGATTGATACACTTGCAGGCATTTGAGCAAGAAGATTTCTAAAGTCTCTTCCAACCTCATGCTGAAAGAATTCAGACAAAAAAAAGCCTCAAGAGTAGGCAGACTAGGGCGAATTTAATCAGGGAAAATATGTTAAGCAAAACTGTATTTTGGGGAAAAGAGGAAAGCATGAGCGGGCAAGGGCCAAGACTAGAAAGGCAGTTGATGAATGAGAAAGAAAAATAAAATCTGGAAGGAAGGAGGTGGTAGTAACAGCAATTATCTTCTTAGGTCAAAGATTCTGGAACAGGCCAGGCACAATACCTCATGCCTGTAATCCTAGCATTTTGGGAGGCCAAGGAAGGTGGATCGCTTCAGCCCAGGAGCTCAAGACCAGCCTGGGCAACATGGCTACATTGTCTCTACAAAAGATACAAAAACTAGCCCGGGGCCGGGCGCGGTGTCTCATGCCTGTAATCCCAGCACTTTGGGAGGCCGAGGCAGGTGGATCACCTGAGGTCAGGATGTTCAAGACCAGCCTGACCAACATGGTGAAACCCCATCTCTATTAAAAATACAAAAAATTAGACGGGGGTGATGGCGAGCGCCTGTAATCCCAGCTACTCTGGAGGCTGAGGCAGGAGAATCGCTTGAACCTGGGAGGCGGAGGTTGCAGTGAGCTAAGATTGCACCATTGCACTCCAGTCTAGGCGACAAGAGCGAAACTCCGTTTCAAAAAAAAAAAAATTAGCTGGGTGCAGTGGCACACGCCTGTAGTCCTAGCTACTTTGGAGGCTGAGGTGGGATGATCGCTTGAGCCTAGGAGACAGAGGTTGCAGTGAGCTGAGATCACGCCACTGCACTCCAGCCTGGGCGACAGAGTGAGACTCCATCTCAAAAAAAAAAAAAAAAGAAAGGAGTGAATGCTGATGTGATGGGAGGGAAAAAATCATCCATCAGGGATGATGGTCAGGGAAGGTTTCAACTAGAGTAAATCTCAGTCTCTGGAGGAGATGCTGATGTAATGTGACCCATCAAGTGTCTCCAGCCTGCTTTAACAGTTGTCGGCATGGCTTGTCCTGCCGACACTTGAGACTTAACCACATTTCCGGTAAAACTAAAGAAATTTATCACCTTATCCTTCAAACTGACACCGATTTTTTTTTTTTTTTTGAGATGGAGTTGTGCTTTGTCGCCCAGGCTGGAGTGCAGTGGCGCCATCTCCTCTCACTGCAAGCTCTGCCTCCCAGGTTCATGCCATTCTCCTGCCTCAGCCTCCCTCGTAGCTGGGACTACAGGCGCCCACCACCACGCCTGGCTAATTTTTAATAGAGATGGGGTTTCACCGTGTTAGCCAGGATGATCTCGATCTCCTGACCTCATGATTCGCCCGCCTCGGCCTCCGAAAGCGAGAGGTGACAGCGTGCTGGCAGCCCTCACAGCCCTCACTCGCTCTCGGCGCCTCCTCAGCCTTGGCACCCACTCTGGCCGCACTTGAGGAGCCCTTCAGCCTGCCGCTGCACTGTGGGAGCCCCTTTCTGGGCTAGCCAAGGCCGGAGCCGGCTCCCTCAGCTTGCGGGGAGGTGTGGAGGGAGAGGCGAGGGCGGGAAACGGAGCTGTGCGCCACGCTTGCGGGCCAGTGCGAGTTCCAGGTGGGCATGGGCTCGGTGCGCCCTGCACTCGGAGCGGCCAGCCGGCCCCGCCGGCCTTGGGCAGTGAGGGGCTTAGCACCTGGGCCAGCAGCTGCTGTGCTCGACTTCTCGATGGGCCTTAGCTGCCTCCCTGCAGGGCAGGGCTCGGGACCTGCAGCCTGCCATGCCTGAGCCTCCCCCCACCCCCTGCCCCCCGCCCTGAGCTCCTTGGCAGCCGGAACCTCCCGGACGAGCCGAGCTAGTCCCTCCTGCTCCACGGCACCCGGTCCCATCAACCACCCAAGGGCTGAGGAGTACGGGCACATGGCACAGGACTGGCAGGCAGGTCCACCTGCAGCTCCTGTGCGGGATCCACTGGGTGAAGCCAGCTGGGCTCCTGAGTCTGGTGGGGACTTGGAGAATCTTTATGTCTAGCTAAGGGATTGTAAACACACCAATCTGCACTCTGTATCTAGTTATTCTGGTGGCGACTTGGAGAACCTTTATGTCTAGCTAAGGGATTGAAAATACACCAGTCAGCACTCTGTATCTAGCTCAAGGTTTGTAAACACACCAATCAGCACCCTGTGTTTGCTCAGGGTTTGTGACTGCACCAATCGGCACTCTGTATCTAGCTCAAGGTTTGTAAATGCACCAATCAGCACTCTGTGTCTAGCTCAGGGTTTGTAAATACACCAATGGACACTCTGTGTCTAGCTAATCTAGCGGGGAAGTGGAGAACTGGAGAACTTTTGTGTCTAGCTCAGGGATTGTTAAATGCACCAATCAGCACCCTGTCAAAATGGACCAATCAGCTCTCTGTAAAGCAGACCAATCAGCTCTCTGTAAAATGGACCAATCAGCAGGATGTGTGTGGGGCCAGATAAGAGAATAAAAGCAGGCTGCGGAGCCAGCAGCGACAATCGGTTGGGGTGTTTTTCAGGTGTGTGGGTGGTTTAGTTTTTTCGCTGTTTGGGGCCATATTGCTTTTATGAGCTGTGACACTCACCGCGAAAGTCTGCGAAGCTTCATTCATGTAAGCCCCCGAGACCACGAACCTGCCGAGAGGAACGAACAATTGTAGACGCGCCGCCTTAAGAGCTCTAACACTCACCGCGAAGGTCCGCAACTTCACTCCTGAGCCAGCGAGACCAGGAACCCACCAGAAGGAAAAAACTCTGGAACACATCGGAATATCAGAAAGAACAAACTCCAGACACGCCGCCTTTAACAACTGTAACACTCACAGCGAGTGTCTGCACTTCATTCTTGAAGTTAGTAAGATCAAGAACCCACCACTTCCGGACACAAAAGTAAGGGGATTACAGGTGGGAGCCCCCGCGCCTAGCCCAAACTGGCGCTGATTCTTCATTTGTATATCGCAGTTAGTAAAAGGGCTCCCTGACCCCTAGCCTTGAATTTGGGGAGTAATTTGATATTCTTGATCATCACTACCTCCTTTGTAATATATTCTTTCAAAGTATGTCTGTTTCCCTTTCCCCCAGTACTTGTCAGTATTTTGTTTGTGGGGCGCGGGGGGGGTCTCATTCTATTGCCCAGGCTGGAGTGCAGTGGCGTGATCTTGGCTCACTGCAACCTCTGCTTCCTGGGTTCAAGCGATTCTTCTGTCTTCTGAGTAGCTGGGATTATAGGTGAGCGACACCACGCCTGGCTAATTTTTGTATTTTTAGTGGCGATGAGGTTTCATCATGTTGGCTAGGCTGGTTTTGAACTCCTCACCTGAAGTAATCTGTTCACCTCGGCCTCCCAAAGTGCTGGGATTAAGAGGTGTCAACCACCGTGCCTAGCTAAATGTTTGCATTTTTTATGGAGACGGGGTTTCACCATGTTGCCCAGGCTGGTCTCAAACTCCTAGGCTCAAGCAATCTGCTTGCCTTGGCCTCCTAAAGTGCTGGGACTGCAGGTACGAGCCACTGCACTCAGCCTAAGGCATTTTCTTTTCTTTAAATTTATTTTTATATCTTACTTTATTCATTTATTTTTCGAGATGGAGTCCTGCTCTGTCACCCAGGGTGGAGTGCAGTGGCGTGCTCTTGGCTCACTGCGTCCTCCGCCTCCTGGGTTCAAGCAATTCTCCTGTCTCAGCCTCCCGAGTAGCTGGGATTGCAGGCATGTACCACCACATCTGACTATTTTTTCTATTTTTAGTAGGGACAGGGTTTCACCATGTTGGCCAGGCGGGTCTCGAACTCCTGACCTCAAGTAATCCACACGCCTTGGCCTCCTAAAGTGCTGGCATTACAGGCGTGAGCCACCATGCCCAGCTGTATTTTATTTTATAGAGACAGGGTTTCACTGTGTTACCCAGGTTAGTCTTGAACTCCTGGACTCAAGTGATCCTCTTGCCTTGACCTCCCAATGTGCTGGGGTTGCAGGCGTGAGCCCGTTCCCAGATATTTTCTGAACCTTTGTTCAGAAATACCAATGGTGAATAGGCAGTGGACAACATTTGGGGAATAGGCAGGAAGTGGGGAAGGTGCGGAGGGGGTGGAGATGAACACCCAAACTCTGGGGCCTTGCCTCTCAAATTTTAGACACCTTGAAAATATACCTGATTCCAATCTCTTACACAAATGGTAAACATAAATAGGAAGATAGCGCATTTGGCAAACAGGTGCCAAGCAACAGTCTTGAACAGATGATTGAACATTTCATTTGTTTCTCTGTTAATAATTAATCCATTTGGAATGTAAATTTCCAGCTAATCTTTTAACTCTTCTTTAGCCACTCTAGAGTAATAGGAAAAGGGTAGTAAGCTTCTGGATTTGATTTTTCCTAAGTACAAATTATCCTGAGAACTCAAATTACATGATTTTTCTTTTTCTTTCAGGAAAAGCATTCAGGTATAATTAAGTCGAACAACATCGTGCCCATAATTTTCCACTTTTAAGAGATGGGGTTTCACTCTGTCACCCAGGCTAAAGTGCAGTGGTAGGATTATAGCTCATTGCAGCCTTGATCTCCTGGCCTCAAGCCATCCTCCCACCTCAGCCTCCGAAAGTGTTGGGATAATAAGTGTAAACCACTGTGCCTGGTTTACTTTCTACATGTTAACACTAGTGATTAAATGAAGATTGAAAATAGAAACATGCTAGGGGAAAAATACTTTGAATGTTATCTATGGCTCCACTATATTGGAGAAGTTGTCAAACTTTTTACAAAATCAAAATGAAAAAAAAGACCAAAAAAAATTTTTTTGAGTGTCTCACTCTGTTACCCAGGCTGGAGTGCAATGGTGCAATCACCATGGTAGCCTTCACTGTGCAGGCTCAAGCCACCCTACCACGTCAGCCTCATGAGTAGCTGGGACCACAGGCACGCACCACCTTGCGTGGCTAGTTTTTTAATTTTTTTGTAGAGGCAGGGTCTTGCTATGTTGCCCAAGCTGGTCTCAAATTCCTGGGCTCAAGAGATCCTCCTGCCTTGGCCTCTGAAAGTGCTGGGATTACAGGTATGAGCCACTGTGCCCAGTGGAAAAGCAAATTCTTTTATTTTGTTTAGCTTGTTAAAAATTGAGATGAAATTCATATGACATCAAGTTAACCATTTTAAAGTAAATAATTTGGCCAGGCATGGTGGCTCACATCTGTAATCCCAGTACTTTGGGAGGCCAAGGTGGGCAGATCACCTGAGATCAGGAGTTCAAGACCAGCCTGGCCAACATGGTGAAACCCCATCTCTACTAAAAATAAAAAAAAATTAGCCAGGTGTGGTGGTGGCCACCTGTAATCCCAGCTACTCGGGAAGCTGAGGCAGGAGAATCATTTGAACCTGGGAGGTGGAGGTTGCAGTGAGCCAAGATTGCACCACTGCACTCCACCCTGGGCAACAGAGCAAGACTACATTTCAAAAATAAATAAAGTGAATAATTCAGCCTGGGCGTGGTGCTCATATCTGTAATCCCAGCACTTTGGGAAGCCGAGGCAGGCGGGTCACCTGAGGTCAGGAGTTATAACAGACCAGCCTGGCCAACATGGCAAAAGCCTGCCTACTAAAAATAAAAAAAAAAAAAAAAACTAGCTGGGCGTGGTAGTGAGCACCTGTAATCCCAGCTACTCGGGAGGCTGAGGCAGGAGAATCACTTGAACCCAGGAGGTGGAGGTTGCAGTGAGGAGAGATTGCACCACTGCAATCCAGCCTGGGCAACAGAGTGAGACTCCATCAGAATAAATAAAAATTTTAAAAATAAAGTGAATAATTCAGTAATATTAGTACATTCACCATGATGTACAACCACCACCTCTACCTTGTTTCAAAACTTCTTCATCACCGTAAAAGGAAACCCCGTGTCCACTAAGCAATTACTCCCTATTCCTCCACTCTCCTCAGCCCCTGGAAACCACCAGTGTGCTTTGTGTCTCTATGGATTCATTTATACCGGGCGTTTCATACAAATAGACTCAGCCAGGCATGGTGAATCCTGCCTGTAAGCCTAGCACTTTGGGAAGCAGAGGCTGGAGGATCATTTGAGGGCAGAAGTTTGAGACTAGACTGGGCAACAGAGCAAGACCCTGTCCCTGCAAAAACAAGGGGGGGATGTGATACAGTATGTGACCTTTCGTTTCTGGCTTATTTGACTTAGTAAAATGTTACCCAGATTCATTCATGTTGTAACATGTATCAGTACTTCATTTCTTATGGTTGAATAATATTCTGTTGTGTATATATACCACAATGTTTTAATCCATTCATCAGTTGATGGAAATTTGGGATATATCTGTCTTTTGACTCTTGTTTATAGCACTGCTATGAACATTCATGTACAAGTATTTGTTCTAGTATATGTTTTCAGTTCTTTTGAGTATATACTTAGGAGTAGAATGCTAATTCCTTTTTTTTCTTTTTTTTTTTTTTTTTTGGGAAACAGAGTCTCGGCCGGGCATTGTGGCTCACACCTGTAATCCCAGCACTTTGGGAGGCCAAGGTGGGTGAATCATGTGAGGTCAGGAGTTCGAGACCAGCCTGGCCAACATGGTGAAACCTCGCCTCTACTAAAAATACAAAAATTAGCCAGGCGTGGTTGTGCGTGCCTATAATCTCAGCTACTGGGGAGGCTGAGGCAGGAGAATTGCTTAAAACCCGGAAGCAGAGGCTGCAGTGAACCAAGATTGTGCCACTGCATTCCAGCCTGGATGACAGAACAAGATTCCATCTCAAAAAAAAAAAAAAAAAAAAAAGAAACAGAATCTTGCTCTGTTGCCCAGGCTGGAGCACAGTGGAGTAATCTCAGCTCACTGCAACCTCTGCCTCCCAGGTTCAAGTGATTCTCCTGCCTCAGCCTCCCAAGTAGCTGGGAATACAGGCATGTGCCACTGTGCCTGGCTAATTTTTATATTTTTAGTAGAGATGGTGTTTCACCATGGTGGCCAGGCTGGTCTTGAACCCCTGACCTCAAGTGATCCATCTGCCTCAGCCTCCCAAGTTCTGGGATTACAGGCGTGAGCCACTGTGCGCGGCCAGGAACTACCTTTTTGTATTCTAAGAGTTAGCTCCAAACTAGTCAATGCTGAAGGCCTTGACATTACAATTCTCATTTGTTTCTAAAATACATAAAGACGCTAAAACAATTGGCTTGATGGAAAAAAAAAGTTCAACTCAAGATAAACACTGCATGATCTCATTATGTGTGGTATCCAAAGAAGTCTAACTCATAGAAACGAGAGTAGGTTGGTTGACAAGAGCCATAGGGAGGGAGAAACAGGAGAATTTTGGTCAAAGGAAAGTTTCAATTATAAGATAAATAAATTCTGGAGATCAAAAATATAGCATATGGTAACCGTAACTAATAATAATGTAGGCCGGGCGCGGTGGCTCACGTCTGTAATCCCAGCACTTTGGATGGCCAAGGCGGGTGGATCACGAGGTCAGGAGATCAAGACCATCCTGGCTAACATGGTGAAACCCCATTTCTACTAAAAATACAAAAAATTAACCAGGCATGGTGGCGGGCGCCTGTAGTCCCATCTACTCGGGAGGCTGAGGCGGGAGAATGGCGTGAACCAGGGAGGTGGAGCTTGCAGTGAGCCAAGATTGTGCCACTGCACTCCAGCCTGGGCGACAAAGCAAGACTCCGTCTCAAAAAAATAATAATAAATAATAATAACAATGTATTGTATACTTGACATTTTCTAACACAGTAGAACTTAGTGTTCTTGCCACCAAAAAACGGTAATTACATGAGGTGGTGGATATGTTAATTAGCCTTTCGGTGGTGATCTTTTTTTGACAACGAGTTTCGCTCTTGTTCTTGTTGCCCAGGCTGGAGTGCAGTGGTGCCATCTGGGCTCACTGCAACCTCCACCTCCCGGGTTCAAGCGATTCTCCTGCTTCAGCCTCCCAAGTAGCTGGGATTACAGGCATGGGCCACCACGCCTGGCTGAATTTGTATTTTCAGTAGAGACGGGGTTTCTCCATGTTGGTCAGGCTGGTCTCGAATTCCCAACCTCAGGTGATCCGCCCGCATCGGCCTCCCAAAGTGCTGGGATTACAGGCATAAGCCACCACGCCTGGCTGTGGTGATCATTTTACAGTGTATAAATATATCAAAACATATTGTACACCGTGAATATATACAGTTTTTATTTGTCAATTACACCTCAATAAAGATGGGAGGGAAAGAAAAAGAAAAATGTTTAACTCTACCAAAAATAAAAGAAATGCAAATCAAAATAAGAAAAATGCCATTATTTAGACTCAGAAAGCCAGGCATGGTGGTTCATACCTGTAATCCCAACACTTTGGGAGGCTGAGGCAGGAGGGTTGCTTGAGGTCAGGAGTTCAAGACCAGCCTGGGAAACATAGCAAAACTCTACCTCTACAAAAAAAAATTTTTGGCCGGGCGTGGTGGCTCATGCCTGTAATCCCAACATGCTGTGAGGCTGAGGCAGGTGGGTCACTTGACGTCAGGAGTTAGAGACCAGCCTGGCCAACATGGTGAAACCCCATTTCTACTAAAATACAAAAATTAGCCGGGCATGGTGGCAGGCACCTGTAATCTCAGCTACTGGGGAGGCTGAGGCGTGAGAATCACTTGAACCGAGGAGGTGGAGGTTGCAGTGAGCAGAGATCGCACCACTGCACTCAAGCCTGGGTGAAAGAGTGATACTCTGTCTCAAAAAAAATTTTTTTTTTTTAATTAGCCAGATGTGGTGGCACGTACCTATAGTCCCAGCTACTCAGGAGGCTGAGGTGGGAGGATTGCTTGAAACCAGGAGTTTGAGGCTGCAGTGAGCTGTAATTGTGCCACTGCACTGCAGCCTGGGTGACAGAGTAAGATTCTATTTCTTTTTTTTTGGGGGGGTGGGGACGGAGTCTCGCTTTGTCTCCCAGGCTGGAGTGCAGTGGCACTGTCTCTGCTCATTGCAACCTCCACCTCCTGGGTTCAAGCAATTCTTTTGCCTCAGCCTCCAGAATATTAGAGGGATTAGGGTTGGGATTACAGTTGCCTGCCACCATGCCCGGCTAATTTTTGTATTTTTAGTAGAGATGGGGTTTCACCATGTTGGCTATATGCTGGTCTTGAATTCCTGACCTCAGGTGATCTGCCTACCTCGGCCTTTCAAAGTGCTGGGATTATAGACATGAGCCACCATGCCCAGCTTGATCCTATTTCAAATAAATAAATAAAATAGACACAGTATTGGCCAAGATTTGAGTAAATTAATAAGCGCTGATCAGAGTGCAGAGAATTGGGCTGTTTCTATACAAAACCAATAGAAATGCAAATTGATACACCCATTCTCTGGAAAAATTTGAATGTAGCCTGGACAACATAGCAAGACCCCCATGTCTTTAAAATAATGAGAACATCTGTGTTCTAACGCATAGTGCTTAGCTTTTTTTTTTTTCTTTTTTTTGAGAAGGAGTCGAGCTCTGTTGCCCAGGCTGGAGTGCAGTGGCACAATCTCGGCTCACTGCAACCTCTGCCTCCTAGGCTCAAACAATCCTCCTGCCTCAGCCTCCCGAGTAGCTGGGACTACAGCTGTGTGCCATGCCCGGCCTCTGGCCAGCATACTTTTTAAAAATTGGAAGACTCGGATGGGCACGGTGGCTCACGCCTGTAATCCCAGCACTTTGGGAGGCCAAGGTGGGCGGATCACGAGGTCAGAAGATGGAGACCATCCTGGCTAACACGGTGAAACCCCGTCTCTACTGAAAATACAAAAAATTAGCTGGGCATGGAGGCGTGCGCCTGTAGTCCCAGCTGCTGGGGAGACTGAGGCAGGAGAATGGCGTGAACCGGGGAGGTGGAGCTTGCAGTGAACTGAGATGCCGCCACTGCACTCCAGCCTGGGCGACAGAGCAAGACTCTTTCTCAAAAAAAAAAAAAATTAGAAGACTCAGTAAATGTTAAGTCTGGCTGTTGTAATTGTCAGATGTACATCAAAATGCTGGTACTGCTTATCTTTAAGTAGTGGAATCGTAATTTTAATATTCTTTTGTACACTTTTCTATATTTCTACAATAATGCATTTTCCTTTTGTAATCAGAAAAAAAAAAGAAAATTAAGATTTCGGTCCTCATAGCCGTCTTTATAGTCAACTTTCTAAGCAAGATAACTTTGCTTAAGGTAATTCTCACTGCTGTGGGACAGTGATTCCATATTGGATAAAGGCTTCGATATTTTTGGAAAGGCATCCCAATCTTTGCTACCCTCTCTTCTAATAAGAGTCGAGGTGAACACTATCAAACAACTGAAAAATACTTCTATCAGGTCAGCGCTCCAGGATATTTCTATTCTTAGACATAATAAGATTTGGAGAGCAGTGCTTTAGAGGCTGGGCAAGAATTTTAGAAAGCTAAGGATTACAACAGATCTGGACATTTCTCCCCCATCCCCATTAACAGTCATGAACTGAAAATTTCTATTAGGGGTCATTCATTTACAGGAAAAACAACGAAAACCAAGAAACTTGGATTATGTCATTCATCTACTAACATTTTTTATGGCACCCCTGTGCCTATTCTAGTACCTACACATTACTCAGCCAGGCATCTGAGGTCATTTTAAAGATAATTTTCAGGCAGGTGTGGTAGCTTAGGCCTGTAATCTCAGCATTTTGGGAGGCTGAGGTGGGAGAATTGCTTCAGCCCAGGAGTTCCAGACCATTTTGGGCAAGAGGGCAAAACTCCATCTCGACAAAAATTACAAAAATTAGCCAGGTGTGGTGGCGCCCACTGGTGGTTCCAGCTAATCAGGAGGCTGAGGCAGGAGGATCGCTTGAGCCCAGGGGTGGAGGCTGTAGTGAGCCGTGACTGTGCCACTGCACTCCAGCCTAGGCAACAGAGCAAGACCCTGTCTCAAACAAAAAAAAAAGTGATATTCAGAGCGACTTGAAACATGGATCTGAATCTAGGTACTGGAGTTTCCACTTTCAGCTTCGGGACTATCAGTTCACACCCAGCTATAAACATATCGAGCAAATTCCTAGAACTCTTCTATGAGTGTCATATCAATATACACACCTGCATATGTGTACTGCTGAGCCACCGCGCCTGGCCAAAAGTATTTTTTTCAAGCGTCTAATGGTGTAATAATTAGCCATTCAAATTAAAGGGGCCATTCTAAAGAATTAGCTTCAGCAGGTGGTGTGGCTCAGGCCTGTAATCCCAGCACTTCGGGAGGCCAAGGCAGGTGGATCACCTGAGGTCAAGAGTTCGAGACCAGCCAGGCCAACATGGAGAAACCCCGTCTCTACTAAAAAAACCATGAAAATTAGCCGAGTGTGGTGGTGTGCACCTGTAGTCCCAGCTACTCAGGAGGCTGAGGCAGGAGAATTGCTTGAACCTGGGAGGTGGAGGTTGCAGTGAGCTGAGATCTTGTCATTGCACTCCAGCCTGGACAACAAGAGCGAAACTCTGTCTCAAAAAAAAAAAAAAAAAAAAGTTGAAGTAGGGGAGATAAGAATTAAATAGAATTGAATCAGTTGAAACAAAAAAAAATTCAATACAAGATGAAAAGAGCTGTTTTGGAAATCTTGGCAGCAGTGCTGAAAAGAAAAGGCTATTTTATTAACCTTTTAGCAAAGACATAGTCAGATGTGTGTTCAAGAATACCATTTGAAATTATAGTCTTACAAAATTACTACAGGCAGCCAGGAATGGTGGGTCATGCTTGTAATCCCACCACTTTGGGAGGGCGAGGCAGGAGGATTGCTTGAGGCCAGGAGTCTGAGACCAGTCTGGGTAACATAGTGAGATCTTGTCTCTACAAAAAAAAAAAAAAAAAAAACGGGCCAGGCATGGTGTCTGTAGTCCCAGCTATTCAGGAGGCTGAGGGGGGAAGATCACTTGAGCCAGGAAGGTCAATGCTGCAGTAAGCCATGATCTTGCCACTGCACTCTAGCTTGGGCAATGGAGCAAGAGCCTGTCTCAAAAAGAAAAAAAAAAAGTACTGCTACAAGTATTGTGACTCTAGAAGGTGTAAGGGTTTCAGAATGAGGATGGACAAAGGTTGACATTTTTGGGAACAATTATTAGGCACATGTATCTCTTTTTTTTTTTTTTTTTTGAGATGGGGTCTCACTCTGTTGCCCAGGCTGCAGTGCAAATGGTGCAATCTCGGCTCTTCGCAACCTCTGTCTCCCGGGTTCAAGCAATTCTCTTGCCTCAGCCTCCTGAGTAGCTGGGATTACAGGCGCACGCCACCATGCCTGGCTAATTTTTGTATTTTTACTAGAAATGGGGTTTCACCATGTTGGTCAGGCTGGTCTCTAACTCCTGACCTTGTGATCCACCCACCTCGGCCTCCCAAAGTGCTGGGATAACAGGCATGAGCCCCCCGTGCCCAGCCTAGGCACATGTATATTCTTACATGATTGTAAATGAAGGTGGTGATGGATAAGAGTACTAATCTTTTTATCCTGCATAGTCTGAAATTGGAATTTTCAAGGCAACTCTTCTTATCACAACCATCTGAATGTCTCCTTCCCTGAATGTCTACTTTATTCATTTATCAGTTGATAATGTTCGTATTTCATTGCGTCTGTCTAATTTGGCTATAAATGTGCAAGAGCGTCAGCCTGTCTGCCTTGGATTGTAAACTGTTAGAGGAGAGAGGCAAGGTTTAGCTAATTCTCTGTGTGAATCATTTAGCATGGCATAGCACTACACACAATCAAGGTTTTAATAAATGTGTTGATTATGATCTTTGAAAAAAGGCTTAGTCCCATTTATCGTCTTCTCGACCTTGTCAGCACTTCTCAAGAGGGTGGGGAGAGTTGACTTAATCTACATTTTTTTTTTTTTGAGACAGAATCCCACTCTGTCATCCAGGCTGGAGTGCAGTGGTGTGATCTCGGCTCACTGCAACCTCTGCCTCCCCAGGTTCAAGCAATTCTTGTGCCTCAGCCTCCCAAGTAGTTGGGATTACAGGTATGCGCCACCATGCCCGGCTAATTTTTGTATTTTTAGTAGAGACAGGGTTTCACCATGTTGAACAGGCTGGTCTCAAACTCCACACCTGAAGTGATCTGCCCGCCTTGGCCTCCCAAAATGCTGGGATTACAGGCGTGAACCACCGCACCTGGCCTACTTTTAATACCTGAAGCTTATGCTAAATACGATAACTGCAACGTATCAGTGACGTCTGTTGGTGAATGTCTGAAATGTATTTTCACATTTCTGTAGCTGTTTGAGATGATATTACTTATATGGTACTTGGACACTTGACTTGAAGTAAATATGTTTTAAAATTGAATCACTTCAGTGTGAAATTCAAATTTTGTGGAATCCAAAAATATTTATTTTGACTTTTGCCAACTGTTATTGGGGATGGAATGCCTAATCCTTGAATTGTAACTTCAACAGAAAGGTCTCATTACCAGCACAGGGGTGAACAAAGGCTCAAGGAGACAGGAGACTTCTATATTTTGCCTCTTAACTATTTTTATTACAGTCAGTGATGTTAATCTCTAAAATATCCCAATAAATTAATGTAATCACTGCAGTTTTCTTTTTTTTTTTTTCTTTTTTTGAGACAGAGTTTCACTCTTGTTGCCCAGGCTGAAGTGCAATGGCACGATCTTGGCTCATTGCAACCTCCATCACCCGGGCTCAAGCGATTCTCCTGCCTCAGCCTCCTGAGTAGCTGGGATTACAGGCATCTGCCACCACGCCCGGCTGATTTTGTATTTATAGTAGAGACGGGGTTTCTCCATGTTGGTCAGGCTGGTCTCGAACTCCCAACCTCAGGTGATCTGCCCACCTCGGCCTCCCAAAGTGCTGGGATTACAGGCGTGAGCCACCATACCCAGCAGTTTTCTATCCATTCTATCAATATTCTATGCATTCATTCATATTTATTAAGTTGTCTATTATGTGCTAGGTTTTGAAATGTATAAAGAAGATGAAGGCCAGGTGTGGTGGCTCACACCTGTAATCCCAGCACTTTGGGAGGCTGAGGTGGGAGGAACACTTGAGCCCAGGGGTTTGAGATCAACTTAGGCACCATAGGGAGACCCTGTCTCACAAAACTTTTTTCAATAATTGTCTGGGTATGGTGGCATGTGCCTATGGTCCCCGCTACTCAGGAGGCTAAGGCAGGAGGATTGCTTGAGCCTAGGAGGTTAAGGCTGTGGTGAGCCATGTTTGTGCCACTGAACTCCAGCTTGGGCAACAAAAAGAAGGTAGACATGGTAACTGCCCTCATGGAGTGTAAAGTCTATCCAGACAAGTAACCAGTTACACAGTGGGCTGCATTTGTGGATGGGAGGAGATGTTGACTAGAGAGGAACAGACACAGACACACACAAACACACACATTTCTGGGATGACAGAAATGTTCTTATTTTGTTCTGGGTGAGTACATGAATGTATTCAGTCATCAAAACTCACCAAAGTGGCCAGGTGCGGTGGCTCACGCCTGTAATCCCAACACAGGCAGGAAGATCACATGAGGTCAGGAGTTCGAAACCAGCCTGGCCAAGATGGTGAAACCCCATCTCTATTAAAAATACAAAAAT
This sequence comes from Homo sapiens, assembly GCF_000001405.40. NCBI lineage: Eukaryota > Metazoa > Chordata > Mammalia > Primates > Hominidae > Homo > Homo sapiens. Next base: position 121,387,487 of record NC_000012.12, read on the forward strand.
TAGCCAGGCATGGTGGCACACGCTTGTAATCCCGGCTACTTGGGAGGCTGAGGCAGGAGAATCACTTGAACTTGGGAGGCGGAGGTTGCAGTGAGTCGAGATTGCGCCACTGAACTCCAGCCTGGGTGACAGAGGGAGACTCTGTCTCAAAACAAAAGCAAAACTCACTGAACTGAACACTTAAGTTTCGTGCATTTTATTATACCTTAATTGCACTTCAATTTAAAAAAAAAAGCAGAAAAGAAAAACCAAGGTAGCAAAATAGCGATTATAATACGGTATGACAGTGAGTATCGTGTATGATGTACATGTGTATCAGTGTGCCTGACAACTTTAGGAGTTAAGAGTACAGCTCCTTGAGAAAGTCTACAGAGCTGGTAGCTAAAGGTTGATTAAAGATAGCCAGTCCAGGAAGCCAATGAAGCGCTTCCTCTGAACTTGGAAGAGATGGGGAATTTACATCTCAAAAGAGCTTGCCTGTGCAAAGGCCCAGAGGTAGGAGAGTATGACCCACTGGGGCACTGCAAGCAGTTCAGTATGGTTACAGTGGAGGTTGTGAGGTGAGGGTGGTGGGAAGTAGGCCTGGAGGGGTGAGCAGGGAATGGACGATAAAGGACCCTGTAACACTATTTTAATAAATTTGGACTTTTTCATGAGGCCATTGGGAAACCCTAAAGGAATAAATGTGTGTGTGTGTGTATATATATACACACACACACACATTTATGAGTGAGATCTTGGCTCACTGCACCCTCTGCCTCCCGGGTTCAAGTGATTCTCCTGCCTCAGCCTCCCAAGTAGCTGGGATTACATGTGCGCGTCACCATGCCTGGCTAATTTTTGTATTTTAAGTAGAGACAGGGTTTCACCATGTTGGCCACGCTAGTCTTGAACTCCTGGCCTCAACTGATCTGCCCACCTCAGCCTCCCAAAGTACTGGGATTACAGGCATGAGCCGCCTTGCCCCACCATCCCAAAGGAATTTAAACAGGAAAAGACAAAGTCAGACTTTTCGTGTAAAGAGGCTTTTGTCCTCAGGATAGAGAGCAAACCAGAAGTGGGGATGACTAAGCAGGTGGTGGGGGTGGTGGGGTAGTGCAGATTGGAGCTCAAGCTCCTGCAGCTGCAATGAAGCAAGAGAAACAGTAAGAGCCATGGGCCAAGGGGATGAAGAAGTAGATGGATGTGAGTGGTGCACAGGGCTAGAGCTGCTCAAAGGCAAAGTCAAGGATGACTTGCAGTTCTCTAGCATGGTGCCATAGAGCATGGTAGGGAACCCAGGAAGAGGAGCATGGGTTGGAAGGAAGTGGGTACTGAGCTGACAAATCTGAAACGCAGGGAAGAGACGGATTGGCAGAGGCTCAGGAGACCCATATACAGACCTAGACAGGGAATTCCTGAGAATGGTTACCTATCTGGAGTACAGGGTGAGGTCATCCAGAAGAATCTGTCGAGTGAGAAGTGGAAAGGCCTGCAATACTTGTATCAACACCAAAACTTGAAGGGTGGGTAGAGGAGATGGAGAAGAAATTGCTCAGAGAGACAGAAGGAAAACCGAGAGAGTAGAGTAGGTGGCCCAGCACGGTGGCTCACGCCTGTAATCACAACACATTAGGAGGCTGAGACAGGAGGAGTGCTTGAGCCCAGAAGTTTAAGACCATCCTGGGAAACATAGGGAGACCCCGTCTCTACAAAAAATAATAATAAATTAGCTGGATGTGATGGTGCACATCTGTAATACCAGCTACTCAGGAGGCTTAGGCAGGAGGATTGCTTAAGCCCAGGAGGTCAAGGCTGCAGTGAGCCATCATGGTGCCACTGCACGCCAGCCTGGGTGACAGAGTAAGATCCTGACTCAAAAAATTTATTTATTTATTTATTTATTTATTTATTTATTGAGACGGAGTTTTGCTCTTGTTGCCCAGGCTGAAGTGCAGCGGTGTGATCACGGCTCACCACAATCTCTGCCTCCCAGGTTCAAGTGATTCTCCTGCCTCAGCCTCCTGAGTAGCTGGGATTACAGGCATGCACCACCACACCCGGCTAACTTTGTATTTTTAGTAGAGACGGGGTTTCTCCATGTTGGTCAGGCTGGTCTCGAACTCCCAACCTCAGGTGATCTGCCCACCTCAGCCTCCCGAAGTGTTGGGGTTATAGCATGAGCCGCTGAGCCTGGCCAAAAAATTTTTTAAGAAGAAAAGAAATCTGAAATCTATTTCATGTTATATCTGAAATAGACATGATATGCTTTCTCTTAGTTTTCTAAAAAATATGTTTAAACCCTTTTCTGGTTTAGAATTTACTGTAGTTTGGAGTATAAGATTTGTCCAGGTAAATTCCCAACATCCTTATCAAGGAGTCATCAGATAGTTTCCGTCTTTGAAGCCTGGGTTGTCTTTGAATTTAGAGCAAAGAATGGTTGGAGTTTTTCCAAAGTTGCCAGCAAAAAGCATGCGTTTAAGAGGTCAGACTTGGCTTCTGGTCCCATCTTTGCCTGTAGCTAGATGTGTGATCCTGAGCACACTTAACTCTTCTGGGAGGCACTTTGTCAATGTAAATTGAGAAAGTACATAAAGTGACCTTGAAGGGCCCTTCTAGCTCAAAAACTTTATAGCAAATGATGGACTCTTTTTTTTTTTTTTTTGAGACGAGGTGTCACTCTGTTGCCTAGGCTGAAGTGCAGTGGCAGGACCTCTGCTCACTGCAACCTCCACCTCCCAGGTTCAAGCAATTCTGCCTCAGCCTCCAGAGTTGCTGGTATTACAGGTGCCTGCCACCAAGCCTTGCTAATTTTTTGTATTTTTAGTAGAGACAGGGTTTCACCATGTTGGTCAGGCTGGTCTCAAACTCCTGACCTCAGGTGATCCGCCTGCCTGGGCCTCGCAAAGTGCAGGGATTACAGGCATGAGGTACTGTGCTCTGCCGGGACTCATTATTAAGTTCAGAATTTCTAGATCTTAGTGAGACTCCGTTCAAGCAAAACCATACTATGATACAACGGTTAACAAGATGAGAACCTGGCAAACTTTTAAATTTTTATTTATTTACTTATTATTTTTTAGAGCCGGTGTCTCTCTCTCTTGTCCAGGATGGCCTGCAGTTCCTGAGGTCAAGTGATCCTCTGGCCTCAGCCTCCCAAGTAGTGAGAACTATGGGTATGTGCCATCACGCTTGGCTAACCAACCCCCTGCTTAACCTGAGTTTGCAAATGTCAAAGTTGGAGATAGGTCATAAAATCGACTCACTGGTAGATTTTACAGACTGAATCTTGCTGTGTTGCCCAGGCTGGTCTATAAAACTTGGGCTCAAGTGATCCTCCCATTTGAGCCTCCCAAAGTGCTGGTATTACAGGTGTGAGCCATTTCCCCCAGCCCTGCAAATAAACCTATTTTCTTTTTAAATTACTCAGTCTCAAGTGTTCCTTTATAGCAACACCAATGGACTAAGACGTATATGAATGTAGATTTACTGTATAAGAATGAACTTGTTTTGGAAGGTCTGTCTTTTTATTGGAAGAATCGTAATTCTGGTGAGCATCATGCTGGACTGGGGATAGGAGAGTTGGCAGCTCTTCTTTCATCACTGCCTCACTGAGCCTCAGGCAAGACAGCTCACCTTCCCAAGCCATGAAAAGAAGAAAACCCTTTCTCCTTTCTGCCTGCTAAGGAGGGTTATTGGAGAAAAAGCCTGTAAAGTGCTCCAACTTCAGAGAAATATCAATTGGCCCTGTGTTATTTGTCTCACTCTCTGGAAACCACTTTATTTATTTATTTATTTATTTTATTTTGTTTTTCGAGACAGTCTTGCTCTGTGGCCCAGGCTGGAGTGCAGTGGTATGATCTCAGCTCACTACAACCTCTGCCTCCCGGGTTCAAGCAATTCTGCCTCAGCCTCCCGAGTAGCTGGGATTACATGTGCCCACCACCGCACCCAGCTAATTTTTGTATTTTTAGTAGAGATGGGGTTTCACCATCTTGGCCAGGCTGGTCTCGAACTCCTGACCTCGTGATCTGCCCGCCTTGGCCTCTCAAAGTGCTGGGATTACAGGCATGAGCCACCATGCCTGGCCTTTTTTTTTTTTAATTTATTTATTTGACACAGAGTCTCGTTCTGTCACCCAGGCTGGAGTGCAGTGGCATGATCTCGGCTCACTGCAACCTTCGCCTCCTGGATTCAAGTGATTGTCATGCCTCAACCTCCTGGGTAGCTGGGATTACAGGCACGCACCACCATGCCAGCCTAATTTTTGTATTTGTAGTAGAGACAGGGTTTCACCATGTTGGCCAGGCTGGTCTCAAACTCCTGAACTCAAGTGATCTGCCCGCCTCAGCCTCCAAAGTGTTGGGACATAGGCATGAGCTACCGTGCCTGGCCTGGGAACCACAGAAAGTTCTGTTTCTGTTTCACTTTCAGGATTCTTCAGCTATTTGGCAAAGTTGAAGACATAAGTTCCCGGTTCACAACCATTTTCTCCATTTTACAGAGGGAGAGACGTAAGGCAGAAGAAGATTACATGTACGAGTTGACAGCATAATTCACTGGCAGAATTCCAAAAAGATGCTATCAGTCCAAAAGAAAATGATTCTGGGGAGCCATCTGTTCTCCAGCTGCAGAGATGTTTCTCTAAAGTGCAATAAGTATTGTTGAAACCATCTTTACTGTAGCGGAAGTCAATCACAGTCTGGATTCAGATGGGAGCTGGTTTAAGCATTCAGATGAAGAGATACTTCGTCATTTCTACCAGTGAGTCAACTTTATGACCTATCTACAACTTTGGCATTTGCAAACTCAGGTTAAGCAGGGATGGTTAGAGAGTTTATTTGATCTTTTAAATTATAAAACTTATGCAATGAGTCCAAAAAAGATGGATTACCTTGAGTAGGTAAAATAGTTATATTTGTTAAATTGACCAAGGATAAATAAAAACATAGCAAACCAGATCCAATTCTCAAATATTTTGATCTGGCTCATATCTAGGCAACCAGAGTTGGGCACTCGTCTAATGATGATGCAGTTGAGCTTAGATGGGAGAGTGGTGGGGCATGGGTAGAGAGGTACACGTGCTGGAGATGAGACACGAATGGCAGAATGTAGAGAACTGTTAAAACTGGGTGATGGGTATGTGAGGGTTCATTGTATTATTCTATTTACTTTAAATATGTTTGACATTTTCCAGAATAAGAAATGGCTTAATACAGCAAGTTGCTAACCAACTTTTAAAAAGGCATATTATCTGCCTTCTATGACTTGTTATCATTGGGTGATTCCATTGTTAGGATAATAATAAAGCCTTCTACCCTATTGTCTTTTTTTTTTTTTTTTTTTTTTTTGAGACAGAGTCTTGCTCTGTCACCCAGGCTGGAGTGCAGTGGCACCATCTCGGCTCACTGCAAGCTCCGCCTCCCGGGTTCACGCCATTCTCCTGCCTCAGCCTCCCAAGTAGCTGGGACTACAGGCGCCCACCACCACACCCTGCTAATTTTTTTGTATTTTTAGTAGAGATGGGGTTTCACCATGTTAGCCAGGATGGTCTCGATCTCCTGACCTCATGATCCACCAGTCTCGGCCTCCCAAAGTGCTGGGATTACAGGCGTGAGCCACCGCACCCGGCCAAATACTCTTTTTTTTTTTTTTTTTTTGAGGAGTCTTGCTCTGTCGCCCAGGCTGGAGTGCAGTGGCGTGATCTCGGCTTACTGCAAGCTCCGCCTCCTGGGTTCACACCATTCTCCTGCCTCAGCCTCCTGGGTAGCTGGGACTACAGGTGCCTGCCACCACACCCAGCCAATTTCTTTTTCGATTTTTAGTGGAGACAGGGTTTCACCGTGTTAGCCAGGATGGTCTCGATCTGACCTCGTGATCCACTCGCCTTGGCCTCCCAAAGTGCTAGGATTACAGGCGTGAGCCACTGCGCCTGGCCTGTTGTCTTTTAAGTACACATCATGTTGAAAAAGATTATTCAGTAACTTACAAAAATTTAATTATTATTATTTTTTGAAACAGGGTCTCACTTTCTCACTCAAGTAGGAATGCAGTGGTGCAAACACGGTTAACTGCAGTCTCAACCTCCAGAGCTCAGGTGATCCTCCAACCTGAGTCTCTGGAGTAGCTGGGACTACAGGCTCCTGTCACCATGCCCAGTTAATTTTTTGTGTTTTTTGTAGAGCCCAGGCTGATCTCGAACTCCTCGGCTCAAGTTACCTGCCTGCCTTGGCCTCTCAAGTCATGAGTTACAGACATGAGCCACTGCACCTGGACTTATTAGTTTTTTTTGAGACAAGGTCTTGTTTTATCGTCCAGGTTGGAGTGCGGTGACACAATCACGGCTCACTGCAGTCTCACATTCCTGGGCTCAAGTAATCCTCCTGTCTCAGCCTCCTGAGTAGCTGGGACCACAGCCGTGCACCACCACACCTGGCTAATTTTTTATTTTTTGTAGAGACAGGGTTTCACTATGTTGCCCAGGCTGGTGTCCAACTCCTGGGCTCAAGCTGTTACCGAATGGAAAGTCTTGATTGTGAGTTGTCCAGGTTCTTGGCACGTTGAACAAAGAATTGAACAAAATGCACAAAGCAACAAAAGAATGAAGCAACAAAAGCACAGATTTATTGAAATGAAAGTACACTCCACAGAGTGGGAGCGGACTCAAGCAAGCAGCTCAAGAGCCCCAGCTGCAATGTTGTTTAGGGTTTTTATTAAACTAAAAGAATTTTGCAACATCCCTAGGTACCCTTTAGAGGCTTCCAATTGCTTACATCCTATGCCAATGAAGGATTTGCCCACAACCAATCAAAGGCTGAAGTGAAGGCTTGGCCCTCTACCAATTAGAGGCATTTACTGTTTGTGACCTAAGGGAGAGGGGATTTTGTAGAGGGAGGAGCCTCTGGCCCCTTATCACTTGGGCATGGAGAGGTGGGGTTTTCCTTCTGGTCCAGTTCCAAGAAGTCTGCTGCAGGTTGGCCTTAGGCTCCCTGTCTCCAGACCCTGTTCTCCTGCCTGAAAGTGGTGGTCCCACTTCGGCCTCCCAAAGTGCTGGGATTATAGGTGTGAGAGACCGTGCCCAACCTAATTGTGTATTTGAGATAGGGTCTTACTCTGTCACCTAGGCTGGAGTGCAGTGACACAATCATGGCTCACTATAGCCGTGACCTCCCAGGCCCACATGATCCTCCCACCTCAGCCTCCCAAGTAGCTGGGACCACAGGTGCGTGCCACCATACCCAGCTAATTTTTGTGTGTGTGTTTTGCAGAGATGGGGTCTCCCTATGTTGCCTAGGCTGGTCTCAGACTCCTGGGCTCGGCGAACCCCCTACTGGGCCTCTCAAGGTGCTGGGATTACAGGAGTGAGCTACCATGCCAGGCCTCAAAAATTTAGATAGTGGAACTTTTGCTTCTTCTTGACATTGAGAGAGGTTTGAAATTATTTGACTTTCAGCACATTGTGAATTCAATAAAATAATTTTTTGAGGTGCTAAAAAGAAACAACTCAGAAAATGGCCCCACTACATCCTAAGGATCCAATGCATCCTCAATTGCATTGAGTTGCAATAAATTATCCCATGTGTCTTGGCATTCCTACTTTTTGTCTCTGAAATACAAAGTATTAGGTTGTTATGATCATAACTTAACAGACAAAAATTTCCTGAACCACAATTGATACAATTAGTACACAATTGAAAGAGGAGGGTCATTGGCCGGGCATGCTGGCTCACGCCTGTAATCCCAGGACTCTGGGAGGCTGAGACTGGCGGATCACGAGGTCAGGAGATCGAGACCATCCTGGCTAACACAGTGAAACCCTGTCTCTACTAAAAATACAAAAAATTAGCCTGGCGTGGTGGTGGGCGCCTGTAGTCCCAGCTACCCAGGAGGCTGAGGCAGGAGAATGGCGTGAACCCCGGAGGTGGAGCTTGCAGTGAGCTGAGATTGCATCACTGCACTCCAGCCTGGGCGACAGAGCAAGACTCCATCTCAAAAAAAAAAAAAAAAAAAAAAAAAGAGGGTCATTATATAAAATTTGAAACAAAGAAAAAACTATGATCACAAAATGCATCTCTTTCATTGAAAAAAGAGTGATATTTAAGCACAAATCTCTCTCAACTTCAGAAGGTCCCAACTTCAGGTAGGTAGGCATTGTAAACTCATGTGTAACCTATTTACTCCCTTATGTTTTTTTTTTTTAAATCATTTTCCTTCTCCACCTTCCAGAAAAAAAAGTATTCACTCAAACTTTTATTGATGGGTGGGTGTGGTGGCTCATGCCTGTAATCCCAACACTTTGGGAGGCTGAGGCAGGGGGATCTCTTGAGGCTAGGACTTGGAGACCAGCCTGGGCAAAATGGTGAAACCCCTCTACTAAAAATACAAAAATTAGCTGGGCATGGTGGTGCACACCTGTAACCCCAGCTACTACTCGGGAGGCTGAGTCATGAGAATCACTTGAACCTGGGAGGTAGAGGTTGCAATGAGCCAAGATCGCGTCACTGCACTCTAGCCTAGGCGACAGAGCGAGACTCCGTCTCAAAAAAAAAAAAAAAAATACAATTCAGCTGGGCACGGTGGCTCACGCCTGTAATCCCAACACTTTGGGAGGCCAAAGTGGGCAGATCACTTGAGGTCAGGAGTTTGAGACCAGCCTGGCCAACATGGTGAAACCTCATCTCTCCTAAAAATAAAAAAGTTACCCGGATGTGTGGCATGCACCTGTCATCCCAGATACTCGGGAGGCTGAGGTAGAAGAATCACTTGAACCTGAGAGGCAGAGCTTGCAGTGAGCAGAGATTGTACCACCGCACTCCAGCCTGGGTGACAGAGGGAGACTCTCTCAAAAACAACAGCAACAACAAAAAACCAAACACAATTTACTGGGAGCTTGCTTATGCTAGGTACAGATCTGTGTGCTGGGGACAAAATAAGACAAGTCTTCCCAAGTATTGCACTGTTTTAAATTTTCCCCTGATACTTAAGTTTCTCCCTAGCCTTTGTTGTTTTCATTGTCCTTCTGTGGCCACTTTCCAGCTGCATTAACTCTTCTTTTTGTGTTCCTCAATATTAACAGCTTTATTGAGATATAATTCACATACCATATAATACACCCGTTTAAATTATACAATTTAGTAGTTTTTAGTATACTCACAGAGCTGTACAACCATTCACATAGCTAATTTTAGAACGTTTTCTTTTCCTTTTTTTTTTTTTTTTTTTGAGCAGGGTCTCGCTTTGTCACCCAGGCTGGAGTACAGTGGCTCACTGCAGCCTCGACCTCCTGGGCACAAGTGATCCTCCTACCTCAGCCTCCCGAGTAGCTGGGACTACAGGTGTGCACCACGATACCCAGTTAATTTTTGTTTTTATGTTTTGTAGAGATGGGATCTCCTTATGTTGCCCAGGCTGGTCTCGAACTCCCGGGTTCAGGTGATCCTCCCGTCTCAGCCTCCCAAAGTGCTCAGATTACAGCCATGAGCAATCACACCCGGCCTAGAATGTTTTGTTTTGTTTTGTTTTGTTTTTTGAGACAGAGTCTTGCTCTGTCACCCAGGCTGGAGTGCAGTGGCGTGATCTCGGCTCACTACAAACTCTGCCTCCCGGGTTCACGCCATTCTCCTGCCTCAGCCTCCCAAGTAGCTGGGACTACAGGCGCCCGCCACCGCGCCCGGCTAATTTTTTGTATTTTTTAGTAGAGATGGGGCTTCACCGTTGTCTGGATCTCCTGACCTCGTGATCCGCCCGCCTTGGCCTCCCAAAGTGCTGGGATTACAGGCGTGAGCCACCGCGCCCAGCCTCCTAGAATGTTTTCATTACCCCAAAAGAAACCTGTGTCTAGTAGCAGTCACTCCATTTCCCCCCTCCTCCTTCAGAGACCTTAATCACTACTCTACTTTCTATCTCTATGGATTGGCTTATTTTGGACATTTCCTGTAAATGGAATCATACAATATATAATCTTTTTGTATCTAGCTTTTTTCACTTAGCATTATTATTTTCTTTTTCTTTTCTTTTCTTTTCTTTTTTTTTTTTTTTTTGAGACAGGGCCTTGCTCTGTCGCTCAGGCTGGAGTGCAGTGGCGCAATTTTGGCTCACCGCAGCCTCAACCTCCTGGGTTCAAGAGATTCTCCCACCTCTGGCTCCCGAGTAGCTGGGATTACAGGCGTGCGTCGCCACATCCGGCTATTTTTTTTTTTTTTTTTTTTTGTATTTTTAGTAGAGATAGGGTTTCACCACGTTGGCCAGGCTGGTCTCGAACACCTGACCTCATGTGATCCGCCCGCCTCCGCCTCCTGAAGCCTTAGGACTACAGGAGTGAGTCACTGTACTCAGCCAGCCGCATGATGTTTTCAAGGTTCATCCATGTTGCAGTATGTATCAGTACTTCATTCCTTTTTTGGTCTAATAATATTCCACTGCATAGAGAGACCACATTTCCTTTAACCATTTCTCAGATAATGGACATTTGGGTTGTTTTTACTTTTTGACTATTATGAATAATGCTGCTAAGAACCATTAGCATGTACGTTTTTCTGTGGACCTAGGTTTTCATTTCTCTCGGGTATACACCTAGGAGTGGAATTTCTGGGTCTTATGGTAACTCTGTATGTTTTAACATTTTTGGGCCGGGCGCGGTGGCTCACGCCTGTAATCCCAGCACTTTGGGAGGCCGAGGTGGGCGGATCACGAGGTCAGGAGATCGAGACCATCCTGGCTAACACGGTGAAACCCGTCTCTACTAAAAATACAAAAAACTAGCCGGGCGCGGTGGCGGGCGCCTGTAGTCCCAGCTACTTGGGAGGCTGAGGCAGGAGAATGGCGTGAACCCAGGAGACGGAGCTTGCAGTGAGCAGAAATCGCGCCATTGCACTCCAGCCTGGGCGACAGAGCGAGACTCCGTCTCAAAAAAAAAAAAATTTTTTTTTTTAAGAATTGTCAGGCATTTTCATAGCAGCTGCATCATTTTACATTCCCACCATTCATGTATGAAGATTCCAAATTCTCCACATCCTCACCATCTATTTTCTTTCTTTTTAATGTTACCCATCCTTGCAGGCGCACAGCGGTATCCATGGATTTGATGTGCATTTCCTTGATAGTTAATGATGTTGAGCATCTTTCATGTGCTTATTAACTCTGGAGGTAGACCTGCCAGGCCTTTTCTAATGAGGGACAACCATGGCTTTGTACCCCAAGAACATTTTTATTGAGTTGCTTTGTGTCTAGATCATTAGGAGAATTAATTAATACTTTCTCTTCCAATGAAGCTCAGCTGCGTCCTACATCGTGAATGAAAGGCTTTCTGTACATTTTTCCAAAAAAAACCTAGGACTATTATGGATAAGAAGTGACATTATCTGAGCAGCACTTGAAGCAAGAGAAATACATACTCTGATGCATTATTTCAGTCTAAGGAAGTGGCCTGCCACGCACTCTCTCTCTCTCCGTGTGTTTTAATCTAATATAGCACAACTTGTCGAAGCAAATCTATAATGTATATAAATAACAGAACAGTCTTAGGTCCTCATGAAGAGCGAACTGACTTTTTTATGTTTAAAATCTTAAATACTGGTTAAGTTAGAGGTGAGATTAAAAAGTGTAGGAAAATCGGCTGGGCCCGGTGGCTAATCTCAGCACTTTGGAAGGCCGAGGTGGGCGGCTCACCTGAGGCCAGGAGTTCTAGACCAGCCTGGCCAACACAGTGAAAACCAGTCTCTACTAAAAATAGAAAAAATTAGCCGGGTGTGGGGCGGGCGCACGAAGTCCCAGCTACTAGGGAGGCTGAGGCAGGAGAATCCTTTGAACCCGGGAGACGGAGGTTGCAGTGAGCCGAGATCACACTATTGCACTCCAGCCTGGGCAAGAGCAAGACCTTGTCAAAAATAAAAAAAAGGTGTAGGAAAATAAACTGTCATCCAGTACAGCTGAAGAAATCGATACCTTAATTTACAACCTCAGTTTCTCTGTCCAAAGGCAATTCCAAGACTCGAGCAAATTCTTTTATTATGCTACGATTTTGGTTATTTTGAATACAGCTTTTCAAAGAGCCCTTGGGATTTGAGAGCCCTTGGTTTTCTAAGTGTTTTCAATAAGTCTTGTTTTTAAAGGCCGCGTCCTAGCGAGTGCAGCTGCCGCTCCTTACCGGACCCACGAGTGAGGAGCCCCGAGGTCATCACCGAGCATGAACGCGGGAACGTCTGGGAAGGAAATCTGAGGCCCTGCTCTGACGGTCATAACAAAGGCCTTCGAGCCAACCGGCGTGTTCAAATTCACCACGGCCCTTCCCGCGCTCCCCTCCCCGGAAACTTGACCACCTAGCCCAGAAAGCCGCAGCAGCTTCCTCAGGGACGCTATCTCCCATTTCAAACACCCAACCGAGAAAGCAGCGCCGCAGCGCGCCTTCCGCCACGCCCAGGTCCGCAGGTCTTCGCTCGGGGCGGAAAAGAATCCTCCCCGCGCACTCCCAGCCAGGAGGAACGCCAGAGGCCCCGCCCAATCCCTGTCGCTTCATTGGCTCTGGTGACCGGCCTCCCGAAAGTCGGCTTCCTATTGGTCGTCGTGGCCGCCGCTCTGCGCTTTTACCGGGGCACGCGGCGAGCGTGACCACGCCCCTTACGTCCGGACGCTCGGTCGCCTCCCGGGGCGCGGTAATCACCGCCCAGAGGGAAGGAGGTCGGCAGTGTGAGGAGCTGCTATGGTGCTGAGTTTCCTGGTAGAGCCGGCCGAGCTGAGGCGGTCGCGGCCATGAAGGTGAGGGGCCGGTGGAGCCGGACAGACCCTCCTCGCCAATCCTATCCTGCCAGGGCACCTGAAGCGCCTCCTTTCTTTCCGCCTTAGCGGTTACCTAGTCGTCATCTCGGAGAGCTGCGCTGAGGGGGGTCGCTTGCCCGGCTTCAGGTGCCCCAACCGAGCCAGGGCAGGCTGCCGGACCCTCTCGAGCTCCTCCAGTGCCACCCCCGTCAGCGACCCGAGCGGTGGGGAGAAGCCGGGCGTCCCTAGCGTTCGCGCCGGGTGGGCCCCTCTCTGCGCCGGGCCCTGTGCGCCTCCTCGGGGGCCTGAGGCAGAGCCGCCAGGGCTCGCCTGAGCCTCGGTCCCTTGGCGCGCGGCGTGCCCTTTCCCGCCCCGAGTCCTTGAACTAACCCAAGTGTTGGGGACATCGTGGGACCGAGGAGAACAGGAGGGGTGCAGGGGGTGGTGAGGCTAGGGCCAGGCTAACGGGTTAAAGAACTCTCAGGGTGGGGATGCCACCCGGAAGGGGTGCTTCGTAGGCTGCACGTCGGGGCCGCGAACTAGAGAAGGCTGGATGTGCCTCCATCGCCACTAGGTAAACGCAGCAAGGAATTTGGCAGCTTGAGTTCTCCAAGGTGGGAGTGAGAGCGTGGGAGCATTACTGATGAGAAGTTGAAGAAAAGGGGAAAGGGGAGCGGGGTTTCCGGCCTACTTCTGAGAGATGATTCTCAACCCGATCACTGAGAGTTCTGAAGAGCTTTGTGAACAGCAGTCAGTTCAGGGTATTGATTCATTTGCCGAACTCAAACCAAGTGGGATGAGTCATAAGGTGATGATAACTTTCAGACCTAGATGGTTTCGTTAATCTCAGTGCAGAGGTGTGCTGGGGGTGGGTAATCTAGCAGGTGAGCTGCTAGATTAACGCTGTCTCCATAAAGCGTCAAAGATTTACTATAGAAGATTGAAAAAGAGTGTCAGCTGGTCACAGAAATTCAGCACATGTTTTGTTGAACGTTTTCTGTGCGTTAGCCAAGAGGGAGACATGGTGAAGAGAAGTAATTCAAAATACAGTCTCATCCCTTAGGAAGGCAGTTTACCATTCAAAAGAAGAGTTATTTGTAAGTAACCATATTACAAGGCAGAAGGCTATAGGTATCAAAAAAAAAAAAAAAAAAAAGGCAGGGACAAAACACAGGAGCCAGAAAGGATACTTCTGGCTACAGAAAGCAAGGAATATTTTTGGAATAGGTAACTTTGGAACTGTGCCTTGAAGTATGAGGATATTGTAAAAGCTTATTTTTAACTTTCCAGTTTAGTTATAAAATATTATTACAGCTTGAAATATCTATTAAAGTATCTAGAAGTAGCTTTATTTCCTGAAAACCACCCTCTGCTGTGTTAAGATCCAAAAACAAAGCAGGGATCTTTATATATAATGCCTCGAAGAATCAGTATCTTTATTAATATTAAATTTGTGGCCCATTAAGGAACTAGCTATCGAAGGAAAGAATTAGAGACAGGTCCAGTGTTGAAATTTTTAAACAAGTTCTTTGAAAACAGACGTGTGTTTTGAATTGAAGTGGAAGGTACTACTTTCTAAGATGAAATTTTAGAAACAAAGTTTGGTGGCAATTGAAATTATAGAAAAGATACGTATTTTCAGAAGCAAAATATGGACCTGAATAGACATCAGCCTGTGCCAGATGACAGTTATAAATGATGCTTTTGTTTTTGTGAAACTGGATTTACACCATTGAGGATTTGGGCTGTTAAATGTTTATTATTTAACTTAATGTTGATTTATATTGAAATTGTTTAATTGTGGGTATGCTCATCTGTAGATTTCTGGGCAGAGACTGATTCCTGATGTCATGGAATGCTAACATGTGAATGTTCATGTAAGGAAATACTTCTTTCTGTGGAATTAAAATTACATTAAAAGCTAAGCAAGTATACCTGGCCGGGTGCAATAGCTCACGCCTATAATCCCAGCACTTTGGGAGGCCAAGGCAGATGGATCACTTGAGGTCAGGAGTTCGAGAACAGCTTGGCCAACATAGCAAAACCCTGTCTCGATTAAAAATTATTTTAAAAAGAAAAAAAGGAAAAAAAAAGTTAAGCAGTTAAAAATAAACAAGAAAAGCTAAGCAATTATATGGATAAGTACATGTTCACTCAAACCTGGAGCAGCTGGTTTTAGTATATGTACGGAATGGGTATTTACTTTCTCCCTTTGGCGTTTTGGTTTGGTTTGGTTTGGTTTGGTTTAGAAACTGATGTTTTGAAATAGGTCTTACCTCTCAGACTCAAGTAACTTTTTAACCTTGCAGTAACATCCAATCAACTTCCTATAAGGGATTAAAAAAAAAAATCCAAATTGGTGCCCTGTGTTAATTTGATTTAATCCTCTTTCCCATTTTTCCTTATTTATATTGATCTCACCATTAATTGTGCTAATCTGGGTTCTTCCAAGCTCAAAATGAGATATCAAGGAGAAAGTAATCTACTGAATGTAATTCCTTTTCCTTTTTTTTTCTCTGAAAGGTGGGGGAGTGGTACTAAGGATCAAGTATACTGTTAAAAGAAAACAAAAACCCAAGCATGAGGAAGGTAACATTTGTATCTATAGCACATGTTATTGTAATAATCGATCAGTTTGGCCAATGTCTTGTCTAAAAGTATTACATTTTAGAGTTCATCATCTGTTTTTGCAACCTGCTTAATGTCCAAATGGTATGAGAGAAATAATTTAGGATGTAGAATTCCTTCCTTTGTGGTATATGGTCGGATATTTGGTCACTAAGAAAGAGTTAGGTCCCTGCATATTGTATTTCAGTTGAAGCAGCAGTTTTGATAAGAAATCCTTTCACATTCTAAGGAGCATATGTTTCTCAAATGGCTCTAAATAGGATAAAGAGGCCGGGCGCGGTGGCTCACGCCTGTAGTCCCAGCACTTTGGGAGGCCGAGGCAGGCAGATCACAAGGTCAGGAGGTTGAGACCATCCTGGCTAACACAGTGAAACCCTGTCTCTACTAAAAATACAAAAAATTAGCTGGATGTGGTGGCGGGCGCCTGTAGTCCCAGCTACTCTGGAGGCTGAGGCAGGAGAATGGCGTGAACCCGGGAGGCAGAGTTTGCAGTGAGCCAAGATTGCGCCACTGCACTCCAGCCTGGGCAACAGAGCAAGACTCTGTCTCCAAAAAAAAAAACCAAAACAAAAAAAAAAAAGGATAAAGATTTTGCTTTTTTATCAACTGTTTTTTCTGCTTTGCTTTTAGTTATGTAGGAAAGTTTAACCTAACCAAGATTAAACTGTAAAACCGATTATTTTATATCACCGTTGCTAAGATTTAATACATCTTTTTCCTGTCGTTTAACACAGGACATTGAGTTTTAGCAAACTGAAGGTTGTCCAGAGTTTGAAACAAACCCTGGACATATAGTGGGTGAGTTCTCTGAGGAAGCTTTCATTGATGGAAGAACAGTATCGCTCCTTGGTCCTTGTAGATTCATGTAGCATCTGAGACAATTATTTTTGAATTTAAAACTTCTAGGTTCATCCTTAAAATAACTGTGTAAATAATATATTTAACTTAGAGTTATGGCAAGCAAGGTAGACGCTTATGAGAAGAGTCTATGGGTTTATTATTACATTGCTATTTACCTAGTTTAATAAAAAGTGAATGACTGTGTAGTAACATATTAGAGTTTTGGCAAGCAAGATAGACTCTTACGAGAAGAGTCTATGGCATTATTATTACCTTGCTATTTACCTAGTTTAATAAAAAGTGAATGACTTAGATCATTTAGTTTTCTGTTTCTTTTTTTTTTTTTTGAGATGGAATCTCACTCTGTCGCCAGGCTGGAGTGCAGTGGCACGATCTCAGCTCACTGCAACCTCTGCCTCTCGGGTTCAAACAGTTCTCCTGCCTCAGCTTCCCAAGTAGCTGCCATGCCCGGCTAATTTTTTTTTTTTTTCTTCGTATTTAGTAGAGACGGAGTTTCACAATGTTGCCCAGGCTGGTCCCAAACTCCTGAGCTCAGGCAGTCCACTTGCCTTGGCCTCCCAAACTGCTAGGATTACAGGCTTGAGCCATGGCACCTGGCCTAGTTGTCTGTTTTCATACTCATAAACTTTCTTTTCCCACTCTCCCCCTATACTTCTCTTGTGTCTGGCTGTCATTTAATCTTTTTTTTTTTTTTTTTTTTTTTTTGAGATGGAGTCTCTCTTTGTTGCCCAGGCTGGAGTGCGGTGGCACCATCTCAGCTTACTGCAGTCTCCGCCTCAAGTGATTCTCCTGCCTCAGCCTCCTGTGTAGCTGGGACTACAGTTGTGCACCACCACACCCAGCTAATTTTTTTTGGTATTTTTAGTAGAGACCGGGTTTCACCATCTTGGCTAGGCTGGTCTTGAACTCCTGACCTCAAGTGATTCTGGCCTCCTAAAGTGCTGGGATTAGAGGTGTGAGCTACTGCGCCCAGCCTGTCATTTAATCTTCATGGAAACTACCATAGCTTTTCTGATTCTTCGTTCTAGTCTGGCTGGTTGATAATATATTTAATGGAATCATTAAAAGTTTAGGGTTGAAAATTTGTGGTAAATTTGTGAATTCTTTAAATTGAGCATTTTGAAGTATTTTCTCCCCACAGGGATTCTGAAAACATATTAGATTATACACACACAGAAGCAAAGACAGCTGAACCTTGAGGCCATTTGAAAATCCTGGCACTGTGCCAGAAAGAGAGCTGGGCTGCTGCTCTTGCAAAGAAACAGAACACCTTTCCTCTTGCTTTTGTTGACTGTAATGATGTTTCATGGGCTTATATTGTTTGACTCTGACTGAGGAACCTGAGAGAGTCCTTATAACCTTATTGGCTGGAAACTGTCATTCCTACTCTTACGCAGATTATTTAGGTTTGTATTCTTTCCCCTCCCATTTGCTTCCTCTCCTTTGCTCCTACAGAGGGGAGGGGGCTTCTAATTCATTTTTGGGGAGGGAACAGTATGGGAGAAACACTGTCAGTCTCTGCTATGGGAGGAAAAAGAGGGACTTGAATATTGAGGAGTTTCAGTGAAGGAACTGACATGCTTGGCTCAGTACTTTCTGGGACCTTCTCACATTTGTCTTCCTGTAGTGAAGATGGAGTTCTGGTCTCCACTCAACTAGCTGGTAAGCTGCTCTTGGTCAGCTGTATATTATCCAGACTTGGCTACAGAGCTAAGGTTCTGTTCTCCAGTTGATGCTATCAGTAAAAACAAACATTTTAATTTCCATTTGTCTTCTTGCTTTTTTTTTCTTTTTGAGACAGGGTCTTGCTCTGTCACCTAGGCTGGAGTGCAGTGGTGCAATCTCTGCTTACCGCAACCTCCGTCTCCCAGGTTCAAGCAGTTCTCCTGCCTCACCCTTCTGAGTAGCTAGGATTACAGGCATCCACCACCATACCTGGCTAATTTTTGTATTTTTAGTAGAGACGGGGTTTCACCATGTTGACCAGGCTGGTCTGGAACTCCTGACCTCAGATGATCCTCCTGCCTCGGCCTCCCAAAGTGCTGGGATCACAGGCGTGAGCCACCGTGTCCGGCCTCTGTCTTATTTCTTTTTTTTTTTTCTTGAGACGGAGTCTTGCTCTGTTGCCCAGGCTGGAGTGCAGTGGTGCAATCTCGGCTCACTGCAAGCTCTGCCTCCCAGGTTCACGCCATTCTCCTGCCTCAGCCTCCTGAGTAGCTGGGACTACAAGTGCCTGCTACCACGTCCAGCTAATTTTTTGTATTTTTAGTAGAGACGGGGTTTCACCATGTTAGCCAGGATGGTCTCGATCTCCTGACCTTGTGATCTGCCTGCCTCGGCCTCCCAAAGTGCTGGGATTACATGAGCCACCGTGCCCGGCCTGTCTTATTTCTTAATTAGCTCCAAATTGGATGTGGAAAAAAGGTACTGTTACTGGCTCCCTAAAATCTTGGTGCACTGTCTTTGAAGAAAAGAGGAGAACTGGCATTGGATACCAGAATGACATGAGGATATCTAGGTGTCTGAGGCAGTCCAGGCAGGTTTTAGAATTTGATTTCTTATTATGGAATGTGTAAGTTGTTGTTGTTGTTGTTGTTTGAGACAGACTCTTGCTGTGTCGCCCAGGCTGGAGTGCAGTGGCGTGATCTCAGCTCACTGCAGCCTCCGCCTCCCATTTCAAGTGATTCTTGTGCCTCAACCTCCCCAGTGGCTGGGACTACAGGCACTTGCCACCACGCCTGACTAATTTTTTGTATTTCAGTAGAGATGGCGTTTCACCACGTTGCCCACGCTGGTCTCGAACTCCTGAGCTCAAGCAATCCGCCCACTTCAGCCTCCCAAAGTGCTAGGATTACAGGCGTGAGCCACCGCGCCGGGCTGGTGTTAAGTTTTTAAATACGATACCTGGTTTTTAACTGATATAAGCCAGGCAGACCATGGTCCTATGGTGGCTCTACTGAGAGCAGCTTTGGCTTAAGAGAGTGGGTAGGAAAGGGATTAGACTATCAAGAACAAGTCATTTATTTTTAGTAATCACTGATGACTAGAAAATAAACTCCAAACACAGGTGAATTCTCTGAGCTTGGAGTTTTGTGCTAGGCATAGGCAGACAGTTGCCTCATTCTCTTATTCTCTATGTTGTTTTAAACTACATTCATGGTCAAGAGAGGAAATTTAGCTATCTTCACGATTATCGTTCTTTTTTAAAAATATAATTTCAACTTTTAGATTTGGGGGTACACGTACAGACTTGTTACATGGGTATATTGAGTGACGCTAAAGTTTGGGGTACAGTTGGTCCCGCCAGCAGGTAGTGAACACAGTACCCAACAGTTAGTTTTTCACCCCTTGTTCCTTTCCTCCCTCCTTCCCCCTCCCCCCAGATTATTGTTCTTTCTAAACTGTTAGAAAAAGGGTTATACTTCTTACATACCACTTGGATGCATGTGGTATAACCCATGGAGTTTTGCTGCCAACTAAGGTCCCCAAGTAGGTCATGAAAGCCCAGATCATGGCTTGCATTTTGAAAGTTCCAGACTTTTCAGAGATCTGGCTTTGGGCTTTATTCACGGAGGAGTAACTGTAGGGTTTTTTTCCCCCAATGAACAAATAATGGATGGTGACCCTTCCATAAAGAAGGCACCACTTTGGAATTGAGGCCAGTGAATTGACTGCAAATTCAGAAGCCAAAAGGGTATGCCTAGTATACTGTCAGAAGCCAGAGGTGGGGGTATGCCTAGTATACAACAACTCAGTGAATTGACTGCAAATGCAGAAGCCAAAGGCATATGCCTAGTATACAACAACTCAGTGAACTGACTGCAAATTCGGAAGCCCAAGGGCTACGCCTAGTATGCTGTCTTTCCAGGAATTGAGTTTTCTCAAAATCTAGGAGGAAATGGAGTGGTTTGTAGAAGATGCTTCAATCTTACTATCAGTATGGAAGCAATGAATGAATAAAAGAAAAATAAAGGAATACAGGCTAATTTAACTGGAGGAAGATCTTAAAGTATAGGGAAGACAGAAATGGAACAGGAAAGAACATGAACTTAGGTCTCTAAAGCTTTTAAAAGGAGGGTGCAGAAGAGGGATCCTTGTTGGTTATGACCCTACCGGATATGGTAACTGGGTTCCAAGGAAATATAACAGAGGCAGAGTGTGAAGAGCTCAGAAAATAGATTGGCATATGTTCCCCCCATCCCTTGTCCCCCTCTCCACTGTAAGAGCTCAGATTCAATAAACCCTTGGGGAAATTGTCTTTTAAATAGTTCTCCAATTGCTTTTATAGGTTCTGTCAAGTCATAACAGAAAATGTGGGCCAAGCGTGGTAGCTCATGCCTGTAATCCCAGTGATTTGGGAGGCTGAAGCAGAAGGATCCCTTGAGCCCTGGAGTTTGAGATCAGCCTGGGCAGCATATCAAGACCCCGTCTCTAAAAAAATAAAAATAAATGGCCAGGTGTGGTGGCTCACGCCTGTAATCCCAACACTTTGGGAGGCTGAGGCAGGCAGATCACCTGAGGTCAGGAGTTCGAGACCAGCCTGGCCAACATGGTGAAACCCCGTCTCTACTAAAAATACAAAAAATTACCAGGGTGTGATGGCAGGCACTTGTAATCCCAGCTACTTGGGAGGCTGAGGCACAAGAATCACTTGAACTCAAGAGGCAGAGGTTGCAGTGAGCCAAGATCATACCACCGCACTCCAGCCTGGGTAACAAGAGTGAAACTCTGTCTAAAAAATAAAAATAAAAATAAAAATAAATAAAAACTAGAAAATGTGTACAGATTTAAGAGGGGAAAGATCAGTATAGGACACTTCAAGCACTGTTAGGTGAGTGTCAAGGTGACAGTTGTAGGTAGAGATGCCTTTGCCCTGAGGAGGCATGCAGAATAAATTTCTGAAATTTATGAGAAAGTACAGGAAGATGAAACATACTAAAGGAGAGCCAGGTAGATGGAGTCCAGGCTTGGAAGGATTTATCTTCTGGATGGATTCTTCATCCTGGAGGTGAAGAAGGACAAAAACACTTTGAACAATGGCTGCTTTTGATAGACCCAGAAATCACTGACTTTCTCCTCATATTGGGAGATTTCACACAAGAAAACGTGCAGAGGAGTTAAGGTGGGAAATAAAAGTTGGGGCCCAAAGGCAAAGAGCAAATAAAATCAAGGAGAGCACCAAAGTCCAGCAAAAGTTACAGGCCAATCTGTGGTAAAAAGGAAAGGGATTCATTGAAGAATCAGATTGTTAAAAACTCAGGTGACCCTTTCTTTTTTTTTTTGAGATGGAGTCTTGCTCGGTCACCCAGGCTGGAGTGCAGTGGTACAGTGGCGTGATATCTGCTCACTGCAACCTCCACCTCCCAGGTTCAAACGATTCTCCTGCCTCAGCCTCTCGAGTAGCTTGGACCACAGGCGTGCACCACCATGCCCGGCTAATTTTTGTATTTTTAGTAGAGACGGGGTTTTACCATGTTGGCCAGGCTGGTCTCAAACTCCTGTCCTCAGGTGACCTGCTGGCCTCGGCCTCCCAAACTGCTGGGATTATAGGCATGGACCACAACACTTGGCCAAAACTTAGCTGACCCTTTCTTAAAGGATTGGGTAAAACCAAAGTGGGATGCAAAATACTACATATCCCACAACAGAAAAACATGTAGACAGGTCTTGGGGAGTATGTTGCCGAGGCATTAGTTCCAGAACTCTAGGGCCACAGGCTTCCAAAGTAACCACAGCCCTTTCCACTCAGGAATTTGTGGAGGGTGATGTCCCAGCTGAAACAGTGTAGGCAGGAAGAAGACATCTTCCCTTTGACTGAGCAGGTCTTAAGCTTTTAACCTGGCCTGTATATCAGAATTACCCAGGGAGTTTTCAAAAAAATTCTGGTGCCCAGGCTGCACCACAGACCAGTGAAATCAGAACCTCTGGGCCTGGGACCCCAGGAATCAGTATTTTTAAAGACTTGCCTGGTGAGTCCAACATGCAGCCAAGGCTGAAAACCATTCTCTTAAGGGCAGTTTCACAACCCTAGGCAATTCCTTAGCAAGAAGTACTGACAGCAGCTACGAAGGTACAGGACTAAAACACCTGTTTCACTGAAGGGCAGCGGGGGTGGGTGTTACCTGGCACTTCAGTGCTAAAATGAATGTAAAGAAATTATGTTCATGGCCAGGCGTGGTGGCTCATACCTGTAATCCCAGCACTTTGGGAAGCCGAGGCGGGCGGATCATCTGAGGTCAGGAGTTCGAGACCAGCCTGACCAACATGGAGAAACCCTGCCTCTACTAAAAATACAAAATTAGCCGGGCATGGTGGCAGATGCCTGTAATCCCAGCTACTAGGAGGCTGAGGCAGCAGAATCGGTTGAACCTGGGAGGTAGAGGTTGCGGTGAGCCAAGATCGTGCCATCGCACTCCAACCTGGGCAACAAGAGCGAAACTCCGTCTCAAAAAAAAAGAAAAGGAATTATGTTCATTTCAGCACTGGGATGCCAGGAAATATGGGGCTTAAAGGGGAGATGGAAATTAAAATTTTCAAATATGCTGCATGGGGCTGGCGTGGTGGCTCATGCCTGTAATCCCAGCTCTTTGGGAGGCTGAGGCAGGCGGATTACGAGGTCAGGAGTTCGAGACCAGCCTGGACAACATGGTGAAACCCCGTCTCTACTAAAAATACAAAAATTAGCCGGGTGTGGTGGTGGGTGCCTGTAATCCCGGCTACTTGGGAGGCTGAAGCAGGAGAATTGCTTGAACCCGGGAGGCAGAGGTTGCAGTGAGCCGAGATTGCGCCACTGCATTCCATCCTGGGCAACAGAGCAAGATTCTGTCTCAAAACCACCAAAAAAAAAAAAATGCTGGATGGGAAAAAAAAAAATACTTCAAATATACTAGTGACAGGGGCTTCCCCTGCTTCAAATTTCTGAACTTTCCAGAAGGCTGGAGTGTTGCAAATGCTCCTCTCAGAGATGATAACTATAAGTGGATTTGCCCTTCAATATGATGCTAAGGTTATTCTCTCACTGGGAGATCATGTTCTCATTGGAAGATTTTGCCCAAATTTAAGTTCAGAGATTCTAATGAGGCTGCAACCTAAATTTTTCAGGATTGCTTCTTTACCTTCTATTCCTGTAGTATTTGGCTGACAGTAGTTAATATGTGTCTGAGTTGTACTGAATATTGGGTTATAGCAACATTTTTGCCTGGGACACTTTGGAGGTTGGCTTGGGCTTTTTTGTTGTTTGTTTTTGAGACAGGGTCTCACTCCGTCACCCAGGCTGGAGTGCGGTGGCGTAAGCATAGCTCACCATAGTCTCAACCTCCCAGGCTCAAGAGATCCTTTTGCCTCAGCCTCCGAGTAGCTGGGAGCACAGGCACATGCCACCACACCTGGCTAATTTTATTTTTTGTAGAGATAGAGTCTCCCTATGTTGCCCAGGCTGGTCTTGACCTGGCCTCAAACAATCCTCCCACCTTGGCCACCTAAAGTGCTGGGATTACAGGTGTGAGCCACCATTCCTGGCCTGTTTTTAATTTTTTATTTTATAATGAGGGCTAAATTAAGTGTTTTTCTTCATTTTCTTTCTGGGGAACAAAGAGGAAATTCCCTTCCTTGTATAGAAACGTGAGGAATGGGACAAAATTGTCCCCCTCCAAAATTGGTATCTACACAGAGAATCCATCTGTTTTCCCAAAATAAGTCCTTCTATTCCCTTTACCAGAGCTGTGTAGTTGAAAAAAAAATTTTCAGCCTAGAATTTTAATGCTCATACTCATTAACATGGTTTGAAAAATTGTATTCTTCCCTAATTCATTGTAAAACTATCCCTGATACAAAGGTCATAATCTCTGACAGTGCTGCTTTTAAAAAGGGGTGTCATTTGAGATTTTTGGTTTTCTTTACCAAGAAAACATATTTTGAACTTTCTAAATAGCATGTAAAATTTTATAATGTTACATTGTCTGTGAAGAGATAATAGGAATTTTTTACACAGTTACTTGTCAGTCATACCATGGTGGAAAGAGGAGCAGGAGAAAAAGAAGTTTTTGTCCATGAGGAACTTTCACTGTAGTCCAGGAGGCAACATCAGACATGAATTAGAAGGGGGATAAAAGCTAAGAGAGCTGTTGGTTTAGTAGCTACATTAGTAGGAAGCTAAACTTGTAAAACTGCACTTCTGTTAACCCTGGAATGAAGAGAAGTTTATCCTGGGAGTACTTTCTGCAGTTGAGGTATTTTTTTCCCCAAAAAATGTAACGTGCAAACTAAATTTTTTAGAACAAAGTTTTTCCAGTTTTAAGAGTGCATACTCTAAAGAACTGTGGATGAATCCTTTACTTAAAAGAACATTAACTTTATTATTATTAATTTTTTTTGAGATGGAGTCTCGCTCTGTCACCCAGGCTGGAGTGCAGTGGCGCAATCTTGGCTCACTGCAAACTCCGCCTCCTGGGTTCAAGCGATTCTCCTGCCTCAGCCTCCCGACTAGCTGGGACTACAGGCACGTGCCACCATGCCCAACTAATCTTTTTTTTTTTTTTTTTTTTTTTTTTTGAGATGGAGTCCCGCTCTGTTGCCCAGGCTGGAGTACAGTGGCGCAATCTCGGCTCACTGCAAGCTCTGCCTCCCGGGTTCACGCCATTCTCCCACCTTAGCCTCCCGAGTAGCTGGGACTACAGGTGCCCGCCACCACGCCAGGCTAATTTTGTTTTTGTTTTTTTAGTAGAGATGGGGTTTCACCGTGTCAGCCAGGATGGTCTTGATCTCCTGACCTCATGATCTGCCTGCCTTGTCCTCCCAAACTGCTAGGATTACAGGGGTGAGCCACCACGCCTGGCCTAATTTTTGTGTTTTTAGTAGAGATGGGGTTTTGCCATGTTGGTCAGTCCAGTCTCGAACTCCTGACTTCATGTGATCCACCCGCCTTGGCCTCCCAAAGTGATGAGATTACAGATGTGAGCCATTGTGCCTGGCTGAACACTAACTTTAAATTAACTCTTAGTGAATCTAGATGTTCATGCTTTTTTTTTTTTTTTTTTGAGATGGAGTCTCGCTGTGTCACCCAGGCTGGAGTGCAGTGGCGTGATCTCGGCTCACTGCAACCTCTGCCTCCTGGGTTCAAGTAATTCTCCTGCCTTAGCCTCCCAAGTAGCTGGGATTACAGGTGCCTGGGCCAGCTATTTTTGTATTTTTAGTAGAGACGGGGTTTCACCATGTTGGCCAGGCTGGTCTCGAACTCTTGACCTCATGATCTGCTCCCCCACCTCTGCCTCCCAAAGTGCTGGGATTACAGGCATGAGCCATTGTGCCCAGGCTATTTTTTTTTTCCTTCCTCTTTTCGAGGCAGAGTCTCACTCTGTCACCCAAGCTGGAGTGCAATGGTGCGATCTAGGCTCACTGCAACCTCCGCCTCCCCGGTTCAAGCGATTCTCCTGCCTCGGCCTTCCAAGTAGCTGGGATTACAGGCATCTGCCAATACGCCCAGCTAATTTTTTGTATTTTTAGTAGAGACGGCGTTTCGCCATGTTGTCCAGGCTGTTCTTGAACTCCTGACCTCAGGAGATCCACCTTCCTTGGCCTCCCAAAGTGCTGGGATTACAGGCATAAGCCACTGAGCCTGGCCAGATTTTCATGCTTTTAAGCACACCATGGCTGTAGAGTTTGAGGTATATAATCATTTAAAGGTATGGACTGTTATAATTTTACCTGTCCTTTTTTTTTTTTTTGAGACGGAGTTTTGCTCTTTTGCCCAAGCTGGAGTGCGGTGGCACAATCTTGGTTCACTGCACCCTCCGCCTCCTGGGTTCAAGCGATTCTCCTGCCTCAGCCTCCCGAGTAGCTGGGATTACAGAAGCCTGCCACCATGCCCAGCTTTTTTTTTTTTTTTTTTTTGAGATGGAGTCTCGCTTTGTTGCCCAGGCTGGAGTGCAGTGGTGCTATCTGGGCTCACTGCAAGCTCCGCCTCCCGGGTTCACGCCATTCTCCTGCCTCAGCCTCCCGAGTAGCTGGGACTACAGGCCCCACCAGCATGCCCAGCTAATTTTTTGTATTTTTAGTAGAGACAGGTTTCACCGTGTTGGCCAGGCTAGTCTTGAACTCCTGATCTCGTGATCCACCCGCCTCAGCCTCCCAAAGTGCTGGCATTACAGGTGTGAGCCACCGCGCCCGGCTTCACCTGACTTTTAAAGGCATCACTATTTCTTGAGAATTATAGGGTGTGAAGACTTATAATATTGAAATCCTTGGCTTTGATACTTCAGACTGTTTGAACCTTGTGTTGTGGTTTCTTCTTTACCTTCTCCTTTCTTTATAATACAACATTACTTCTGGGTAATAGCAGAAACAGCCATTATCCTTCTGTTGCATTCCAAAGTGCCTTTTGCATTTTAAGGTTGAGGGCTTTTTATTTGCTTTTTGTTTTAAGAGCTTGCTGGACAAACAGTCCAGCATTTTACATGCTATTATAAAATGTTTGACAGAATCAGATAATAAAATAAATGGAACTGTATTATTATATGCTGCCATTTTAACTAATACCTCAGCTATCTCGACTTCCATTACCTATCACATTATCTAGATTCTAGAATATGCTTAAGAATTAGGACAAAGGCAAAAGCCTATTCGTTCTAAACACTATAGCTTTTATTTTAAGCATGGGAAAATGCCTTTGGCCCTCGCTGAAAATTTATTCTTTTATGTATACTTGGGACAAGCATGGTTATCAGGTTTCTGAGACTGCAGTAAAAAGGAGACAGGTTACTCTGGGCAGGTATAGTGATAGCCCTGGTGGCTCAAAGAGAGGGAAGAGACAAGGAAAAAACCATAGAAAGCAATACATTAGTTCTGGGCCATTTAGTGGAGTAGCAAATAGCCCTTACGCCTTGGAAGGTCATGATGGTTATCAACTCATTAAAAATTATGTTTAGTATCTTCAGTTTGAAAAGGTAAAATAAAAAAATACTTTCCTGTTGTTGTTGTTGTTTTTTCGAGATGGACTCTCGCTCTGTCGCCCAGCCTGGAGTGCAGTGGCTTGATCTCGGATCACAACAATCTCCGCCTCCCGAATTCAAGCAATTCTCGTGCCTTTGGCCCTCGCTGAAAGCTGGGAGGCTGGGCACGGTGGCTCATGCCTGTAATCCCAGCACTTCGGGAGGCCGAGGTGGGTGGATCACCTGAGGTCAGGAGTTCGAGACCAGCCATGGTCAACATGGTGAAACCCTGTGTCTACCAAAACTACAAAAAATTAGCTGGGCATGGTGGCGGATGCCTGTAATCCCAGCTGCTGGGGAGGCTGAGGCAGGAGAATCGCTTGAGCCCGGGAGGCGGACGTTGCAGTGAGCCGAGATCACGCCATTACACTCCAGCCTGGGCAACAAGAGTGAAGTTCCATCTCAAGAAAAAAAAGAATTTGGAAAGTAGAGAAAATTTCAGAGAAAATAAATTACACATAATACATTAAAATCTATTCTGGTTTGTCTACAACTTCAGGTACAAAAAAATCTAGAGAGAGTTTCAGTTGGTGTTTTGATGTTTTCCAAGTCATTTAAAAAATTATTTACATATGCTATAGTATATTATACCCAATTACAAATGCGAAAACAGAGGTTTAAGGAAATGAAGTAATTTAAATTTATGGGCCTGGCATAGTGGCTCACACTTGTAATCTGAGCACTTCAGGAGGCCAAGGTAGGCAGATCACTTGAGGCCACGCATCTGAGACCAGCCTGGACAACATGGTGAAACCCAATCTCTACTAAAAATAAATTAGCCAAGTGTGTGGCGTGTGCCTGTAATCCTAGTTACTCGGGAGGCTGAGGCAGGAGAATCGCTTGAACCCAGGAGGTGGAGGTTGCAGTGAGCCGAGATTGCGCCACTGTACTCCAGCCTGGTTGACAATGAGACCCTGTTTTTAAATAAATAAATTTATTTTAAATAAATAAATAAATTGATGTTATTTCTGTTAAATAATAGCTGAGAAAATCTGCCTTAGACTGTAGAACTGTGGTGCAATGGCCACCAGCCTAATGTTGCCAGGTAAAATACAGGGTGCCTGAAAATTTGAATTTCAGATGAAAAACAAAGAATTTTTAGTATATGCATATCCCAAATATACCACAGGACAGACTTTTGTCCAGTCTTTTTTTTTTTTTTTTTTTTTACATGCCTGTGTACATGTATCTGTTTTGGGTGGGTAGGGAGGTTTTTTGTTCTGTAAAATTTGGATCATGTTCTCTTTTTGTTAAACAAGAGATCATGGGTATTGGCAATGCCAGATATTCTTTGGAAATAGCAGAAAATTCTTTCCAAATGGCTTGAAATTTCAGTGCCCAGAGGAATATAGTAATCTCAAAGTTATTGAGGGCAAACTTACCTCTCCAGAATAGCATTCCCTGAGGATCCCAGAGAGCCCAGATTCCACTTAGCTTTAAACTGTGGGATTTGTGTTCCTTTTTAGGCGGGTGCCACGTCTATGTGGGCTTCGTGCTGTGGGCTGCTGAATGAAGTCATGGGAACTGGAGCTGTCAGGGGCCAGCAGTCAGCATTTGCAGGAGCCACCGGTCCATTCAGATTTACACCAAACCCTGAGTTTTCCACCTACCCACCAGCAGCTACGGAAGGGCCCAACATAGTTTGTAAAGCCTGTGGGCTTTCATTTTCAGTCTTTAGAAAGAAGGTGAGTTGGATGAAATGTTACATAACAACACACATGGGTCAGCATTCTTGATTGTAGGTTATTTTGAATAGCTATTGAATTTTCATTTCTGTTTATAAAAATATCAAAAGCTTAGTTCCATTAGCCATTTTCCATCTAGAAAAATACTTAATTGGAGGGATTATATTACTGCTCAAGTTTTATAGACATTGTTTCTCATGTTCAGGCATCCTTTCTCCTGAACTTTGACCTGTTTGTATCATTTTATTTTCTATTATGTTTATTTCCAAAAGCAAGAAATTTGTTAGTCTGTAGTTTTGTTCACAAATGATTTACTGTAACTATGATTCAGATTCAAGTTTCAAAAAAGTATCCCGTACCTTAACTTTCAAATGAATAAATGAATGCAATAAATTAACTACTCTTTAGAGATTCAACATCAAATACTTAGCTAACAGTTATTTTCACTAAGATGGAAAGTCATTCAGAGACCCATCATATTGGTAGGCCTCCTTGCTCTCTTTGATCTTTAGTTTAGTCTTCTGAAATACTTAAGGAAAAAAAATGTTAGCTTGCAGGAACAATGCAGCGAGCAGAAACGACCACATCTTAGTGCCCTCTTTAAGCTTCTCTAGTGGCAAGGCTTTGATTGTGATTAGGCTGTGTAGTTTACAGATTACTGTATTAGTGGGTCCTGTATTTTCTTGGATTCACCTTGAGAGATCAGTTGCCTTTCTCTTTCCCTGTCAGTCTGTTATGCTTTTTGTCTCCTGCTCTTTAAATGGAGGAAATTGTTCATGTAGGAAAAGACCAGGAAGTGTGATTCTGCTTTCTGCTCTGTGTGGTTCAAGCTCTGTTTTGTTAATTACATGTTTATACCAAGGGGTGGAAAGGTTTTAATTCATTAACACAAGAGTGTGTTTTTCTTAAAGTCCTATATTAGAACTTCTGTGAATCCAGACTGCCTTGGCAATGAATATTTTGATTTTCATGGCTTTTGAAACATGAAAATACCTCTGGAAATAGTCTGGTGCCACTGGGGACTTCACTAAGAACTAAAATTAAATTTTAGTAGAAGGCAGAAAGAAAACTCATGCTTTCATAATGGTTTATATCTTGCTGTCATCAAATGCTTTTCTTTCTTCAGCATGTTTGCTGTGACTGCAAGAAGGATTTTTGCTCCGTTTGTTCAGTCTTACAAGAAAATCTCCGTAGATGTTCTACTTGTCACTTATTACAAGAGACAGCATTTCAGCGCCCTCAGTTAATGCGACTGAAGGTGAAGGACCTGCGGCAGTATCTCATTCTGAGAAATATACCCATAGATACTTGTCGTGAGAAAGAAGACTTGGTGGATCTAGTACTGTGCCATCATGGACTAGGCTCTGAGGACGACATGGACACAAGCAGTCTGAATTCTTCAAGGTCCCAGACTTCTAGCTTTTTTACACGTTCGTTTTTTTCAAACTATACAGCCCCCTCTGCTACTATGTCTTCGTTTCAGGGAGAGCTTATGGATGGAGACCAAACATCCAGATCTGGAGTGCCGGCACAGGTACGAGGGGGTAACTAATTACACCCAGGGCCCGGCACGCTTATTCTTGGCCGTATATGGTGGGGCCTTTAGTGCTTGATGACTTCTGATAAACTTCAAGTCATGTGCTGGAGTGAAGCTTCCACACCCAGCTGAACTCTGCACTTAAAGGCTGTCCTGATGTATAGTGTCTGCTGAGGTGCTAGGTGGCTCCAAAGTCTGCTGTCTGAAGGGTCCCAAAATAGCTCATCAGTCTCTTGGCCTTAGTTAATTTCTCTGTCTTACACAGTTAGACACTAACTGTTGAAGAAATGGCTGTGAAAAAGTAGCACATACACATTTGTAGTGTTATGTGTTAGTGCACGTGTTTCAGTGACCACAGAAAACAATCAGTAGTGTAAGTTAGCCTAATGCCCATTTGTCTTGCTACAGTGAAATTGTTCTAATTTAGTTAATGAAAGAGCCATCTGAATTAGTGAAAAAATGTAGTTATTTACTAATTGTAATTAATAATATTGTCCCAGTGAGGTCCTTGGACATCCTGATTGAATAACATGTAAAGGCTTGTAATTAATATTTACTTGTACGTGAGTGATTCTAAACTGCTGAAAGAAATGTTTTGAACAAATTTTTTCACGCTTAATTTTCTTCTCTGAAGAAGGGGGTTATTAAAAGTAGAGGAAAGCTGGATGCGGTGGTGTGAGCCTGCAGTCTGATACTTGGCAGGCTGAGGCAAGAGGATTGCTTTAGTTCAGGAGTACGAGGCTGCAGGTGTACCATGATTGCAACTGTGAATAGCCACTGTACCCCCAGCCTGGGCAACATAGCAAGACTTTTTTTTTTGTTTGGAGGCAGAGTCTCACTCTGTTGCCCAGGCTAGAGTGAAGTGGCGAGATCTTAGTTCACTGCAACCTCTGCCCCGCTGGGTTCAAGCAATTCTCCTGCCTCAGCCTTCCGAGTAGCTAGGATTACACCCCAGTTAATTTTTGTATTTTTAGTAAAGATGGGGTTTCACCATGTTGGTCAGGCTGGTCTCGAATACCTGACCTCAGGTTATCTACCTGCCTTGGCCTAAGTGCTAAGATTACAGGCATGAGCCAACCGCGCCTGGCCAAGAGTGTCTTTTAATTAGTAAATGAATAAATGCAGAGGGAAATTTGGTCTAATTGCCTTCTAGATATAGTCCTGTGTCCTCTAATAATGTTTTGGTCAGTGATAGACCACATACACGGCAGTGGTTCTGTAAGATTATAATACCATATTTTTATTGTACCTTTTTTGTGTTTAGATATGTTTAGATACACAAATACTTATTACTGTGTTATAGCTGCCTACAGTATTCAGTACACTAACGTGATGTACGGCTTCGTAGCCGGCCATGCCCTATAGCCTAGGTGTGTAGCAGGCTGTGCCATCTAGGTTTGTGGAAGTACACTGTGATGTTCGCACAATGACAAAATCGCCTAAGGACACATTACTCAGAACGTCTCCTAGTCGTCAAGCAACACATACTGTAGTCGTAAATTAGATAAGTCCAAGCCAGGAGTTTTATTATTCTCCCAAATGAGAATTGGCATATTTATGCTGCAAACATAAGGCACAGCTGACTTACATACCCCTTTTGGGTATACACCACCATTTGGGTGATGTGGATTGTTGGATGCTACAGTATGGTGCCTGGCAATCAGGGTGGAATATTTGAAATTGGGAACCGACCTAGCTTATTGGAGAGCTATTGTCAAATATAGTCAAAAGAAAATATGTGAAGGAAGGTACATAACCCAAACTGAAGAGATTTGTGTTTTCTAAAGTGTTCTGATTGAGAAATTTTAAAAACTAGAATTAGCCTCAGCCATCAGTGAAGTCTAGAAAGCCTTCGTTGGAATTAGATTGTCTAAGTACGCTGTGGTAGGACTGAGATCTTTCAAATCAGATGCCCCTGATGCTTGGGCTGACCCATCAGAGCTTTAGCTTTTTTCTGTCTGCATCTTACAGGCTCCAGTTAAACTAGCCATTTGCAGGTACTTTGATAATGACACAGTGCTGTCCCATATCCTTAATGGCTTTGGCATTCCATTATGGGACCTTCCTGAGAGAGTTAATACTCTGGTTAGATTTTATAACTTTACACACACACAGGAATTTGTGTTTTGAGCTAACTTTATGGAAGGTAGGTTCTTCATGCAATTTTGTAGGGCCCAACTTTTTGGAAGGGTCAGCAGCATTCTGAATCCAAAGATGTGCATTATGCTGGCTTTCTGGTCATCATGGGGAGCATCAATGACAAGGTTTTCTCTAGTGATAAATACAGATTGATTCCTGACCTAATCAGATACGTTGTATAAGTGTAGGTACAAAGTGAAATCACTTCAGCAAACACAGAAGATGATGATGACGACGATGATGAGGATGATGATGATGAAGAAGAAAACGCAGAGGATCGGGTGAGGCCACCTATAAAATTTGGTTTCCCTGACATGTCAGCCTGACAGGAAGGGACAGTGCCCTGTGGACATTCGCTAGATTAGTACAGGATGTTTCTTCTGGTTTGAATGTAGGACAGTATACTGAAACACTTCTAGGACTGCTGAGATGGCTGGGAGAATATTCAGGGCCAGTGATGAGTTTAGAGTGGGGAGGGTCTGGACTTATGGGACCAGGGCTAATGGATGCTCTGTGGTTTCAGAACCCCGGGCTCTCCAAGGAGAGAGTGAGAGCTTCACTGTCTGACTTGTCAAGCCTTGATGATGTGGAAGGAATGAGCGTGCGCCAGCTGAAGGAAATTCTGGCTCGGAATTTTGTCAACTATTCTGGCTGTTGTGAAAAATGGGAACTGGTAGAGAAAGTAAACCGGTTATACAAAGAGAATGAAGAAAACCAAAAGTCCTGTAGGTTTATCTTTTCATTTTTTCCCTGTAGTATTTTTCCTTAGGCTTTTAAAAACTGGGTTGTTTTTGTCACAATTAAGTCAAATTTATTTTTGAGAAAGCTGTGTACCATTTTACTGAGTATCAGTTAGTTACATGAGCCTGTTTATAGATCTGGAAAGGAGTAACTTCATTATGTGATGTTCATTATGGCTGCGAGACCACCACTGCCAAGTGAGTTAGAAAATTATTCAATTTGGTTTTTCTTACTATAATTAACTATTTGTTACAACCCTAATTAAATTCCTCGTCTCTGTAAAAATGCTTATTTTCTCACTAATGCCTTTGGCCGGCCAGTACCTTGGTTCTCTCAACTTTTAAATCTAACAGTAGGGGGAAAATTCCCTATAGCCCAGATGTTACATAGTTCTTAGCATCAACTATCTGTAGATTTCTGTGTAAGTCACAAAAAGCTGAGGTTAAGAACTTCTGAACTAGGCTGGGCTTGGTGGCTCACAACTGTAATTCTAGGACTTTGGGAGGCTGAGGCAGGAGGATCACTTGAGCCCAGGAGTTTGAGACCAGCCTGGGCAACATAGAGAGATCCCATCTCTAAAAAAAAAAAAAAAAAAAAAAAAAAACCAAAAAAACCTGGTGTGGTGGCACCAGCCTGTGGTCCCAGCTACTTGGGAGGCTGAGGGGGGAGGATTGCTTGAGCCTGCAGGGAGCCGTGGTCATGCCACTGCACTCCAGCCTAGGTGACAGAGCAAGACTGTCTCAAAACAAAACAAAACAGAACAAAAACTTCTCAACTATACATTGATGAAATTTGGCACAGAAATTCTTCCTCAGCTGGTAACACGATCAAGCCACGGAACATTTATGGACAAGAAAAAATAATTCAGTTGTATTTATTTTTTTCTTTTTAATTGTAAAAAAAATATATATGTACTTAATATTTTTAAATTGAGACAGGGTCTCACTATGTTGCCCAGACTAGTGCTGAATTAGGCGTGGGCCACCATGCCTGACCCTCAGTGGTGTTCAGACTAACAAATCTTATGTTCCTATCTAGCTTAAACAGCCCTCCCATCATTAACTTTTATCATCTTGAGTTTTGTCCTTTAAAAGCTGGTTATAATACAGCATTTGTTGATGAACAGGTTTATGCCCAGAATATGCACAAAATATTTTGGCAATCCTACTTCAAAGATGATGTCACAGTGGTAGATGCAGGAATCTTCATCCTCAGAGCTTTCAGAGGTCGTAGGCTGCTGGCTGGGAAATGGTTTTCTGGCAGTGAGGGGAGAAGTCAGTTGACTTCATAAATGTAAATAGCAACTATGTACAGTGCACAACGATAATGCCATTCCCACCCTTAAGTACTTTGCGGCGTAGGATATAACATGGTTGTTATTATGACAGCATGGTTTCCAGTGTCTTTCTCCATTAACTCACTGCATAATCTAACCCTAGTTCAATCTCTGGCTTGGGTGGAACACACATTTTGTTTTGAGCACAGCTGGCATCTTTCCTAGCTTGACTGGCTCCAAGTCACTACCAAGATTGTTCCCATATCCCTGACAAGATACTGGCTCCTCTGCTTTCCTAAGTTCTAAAGAGTGGGAAGGAACCCTCCACACAGAAGGAGAGACCAAGGCCCACTCTGATTTCATCTTGAGTTGCCTAGTGCCTTCTCCATTGGCATATCTGCCATCTCATCCCATAGATCCTTTCTCCCCAGGTCCACACCAGTAGTCGTGGGCCATGAACTAAGACCCCAGATCACAAGAATCTCTCCCCATGAATGGCAGTAAAACATTTCTCTTAAATCTAGAGACTACTGACCTTTCAAGCTTGAATTCCTGTTCTGTTCCAACTATTCATGATTCCCTTTGATCTCCTCTGACCTGTAGAAAGGGAAGCACCCAAATCCATAGCCCTATGGCCAAATCTCAGGCTGGGGTTAACTTTTTTTTAACTTATTCATCGTCTTTCTTATTCACAGACTGGATTTTCTCAGATGTAAAGGTGGGCCAAGAGCCAGGACGGCCCATCTCTTTCAAGTTAGACTTCAGCAGGGCCAGGAACACAGATGGCTTGAGATGATTCTAAGGCTAGGGAGGGAAGGATGCACAATTATTCCTAACTTTCCTAAGGGGGAACTAAGGCTCCTTTTCCTACTGAGATGAGGCTCCAGAGACTGTGGTGTTCCCAGGGCTACAAAGCTGGGGCAACTGAGTTAAATTCCAATAGCATCCTGACTCCAAAGCCCATCTACAGAAGACCAGCTGAGGGTTTCTTTTTCTAGTTACAGAAGTAATATATCCCTATCACAGATGTCTTGAATTAGACAAAGATATAAAATAGAAATACATAGCTAACATTTGTTGGGTACGTCAAGCATTTTATTCTTTACAAAACCCTGAGGTATAGCTTTTATCATTGCCATTTCTAGTGGAGAGAACCAAAGTGCAGAGAAGTTGGGATTATTTCTTGTACAACACTGGGGTGGCATTGGGCCTGCAGGGGTCATTCAGCAGGTGGCTGCTCAGCTTCGGACTGGGAGGGTGGCTGGCTGACTGGCCATGCCTGAAGCCGAGGCCTTAGCTCTCTGTTGCCTTTCAGATGGCGAGCGGCTGCAGCTGCAGGATGAGGAAGACGACAGCCTGTGTCGCATCTGCATGGATGCCGTCATCGACTGTGTCCTACTGGAGTGTGGGCACATGGTTACCTGCACCAAGTGCGGCAAGCGCATGAGTGAGTGTCCCATCTGCCGGCAGTATGTGGTGCGAGCCGTGCACGTGTTCAAGTCCTGAAACAGGCTCCCCTCACCAGGACAGTCACCCCCAAACTTGACCCCCAACATTTCAATGCACAGAAGGGACTGGAAAGTTATGTTCAAAGGCTGAAGCTATTTTAAAACATTATTTTGACTACTAAGTGGGGACAGAAAGATCCATCCTGAGTTGTGGAAACATTGGTCCATGCCGTGAGCCTGTCTGCCTGTGGACACGTGAGCTTCCCGGGCTCAGCTGGGCTTTATCACACATCCCGTGAACACTCATTGAAGTCAGCCTGTTTGCGCCATGTGGGCATCAGCCACTGCTGTCTTGGGAGGACACTTATCCTGTTCTCTTATTTCCCCTTCATCCTATTTTTAACTTAAACTGCTCAGATGTTTGAAACTTCTGTCCTCTTTGGATGAGATCAGTGTCCACAAGTGGCCGACATGGAACATGCTGAGCAGTGGCTCCTCTGAATGTTCACTTTATTAGTCATGTATATTTTAAATGCTAACATTTGATGAATGTAAGTTTCCACATTGTTGCTGTTTCTGCATTTAAACATAATTGGGAACAACTGACATTCTCTAGTCGACTGCCAGGGCCTTAGACTCCACATGTCCATTTTTGTTCAGGTATAGCTTTTTATAGCAAGGGCTGCATCTAGCTTCTTTTATTAGAAGTGTGTGTGCTAAATTCCTTATTAATGTGTAATCAGTTTACATTGTTTTGTATAGTGAAGGTGTATTTTCAGTGCTACCCGCTAGCTGATTTTAACTTTAGGAATAAAATTAGTTTTAAAAGCTTTTGTTTACATTGTCTTGGTCAGTTCCTAAATCAAGTGACCTGGCCTAGCACCCCTCTTCAGAAGAGATGGTGGGAGCACCTTCAAAGATGTCACATGGGGGCCGGGTGCGGTGGCTCACGCCTGTAATCCTAGGACCTTGTGAGGTTGAGGCTGGAGGAATGCTTGAGCTCACAAGTTCAAGACTAGCTTGGACAACATGGCGAAACCCTGTCTTTGGAAAAAATTAGCCAGGCGTGGTAGTCCCAGCTACTCAGGAGGCTGAGGTAGGAGGATGGCTTGAGCCTTGGGTGTGGAGGTTACAGTGAGCCAAGATCACACCACTGAAATCCAACTTGGGTAACAGAGCCAGACCTTGTCTCAAAAAAAAAAAAAAAGAAAAAAAAGAAAAAAACAATGCCACATGAGCAACAGTGCTTACATTTCCTGCTTGCTTATCAGTAAGGTTAACTGCTGATGTGCTGTTTCTTGTGTCCAGGTATTGCGCTAGGTGCTGTAGTTGCCTCTGCAGTCCTCAAAGCAACTTTCTGAAATAAACATTGCTTTGCTTCTCTAACCTCTGAGAAGTTAGACTTGTCTAAAACCTCATGGTTAAAAAGTGGCTATGCAGAATTTGAACCTAGCTCTGATGCCAGAGTTGCTCTTAACCCTTCCAGTACCACATAAGAAATGAGAAACTTG
Source organism: Homo sapiens (assembly GCF_000001405.40). Lineage (NCBI taxonomy): Eukaryota > Metazoa > Chordata > Mammalia > Primates > Hominidae > Homo > Homo sapiens. The sequence goes on from NC_000012.12 coordinate 121,425,030, forward strand.
GGCCAGGTGTGGTGGCTCATGCCTGTAATCCTAGCACTTTGGGAGGCTGAGGCGGGTGGATCATGAGGTCAAGAGTTCGAGACCAGCCTGGTCAACATGGTGAAACTGTCTCAACTAAAAATACGAAAATTAGCTGGGCATGGTGGCGGGTCCCTGTAATCCCAACTACTCAGGAGGCTGAGGCAGGAGAATCGCCTGAAACTGGAAGGCGGAGGTTGCAGTGAGCCAAGATCGTGCCATTGCACTCCAGGCTGGGCGACGAGCGAAACTCCGTCTCAAAAAAAAAAAAAAAAAAAGAGGAACTTGAGCTATTATGCAAAAATGTTGTGAAATCTCTTTTAGGTCCAACTTGACTTGACTCAGGATGGTTGAGTTGAGACCAACTGTCATTTCAGTGCAGCTGGGAGTGGCCACTTCTCAGAGTCTGTTATCTCCTGACTGTGCAGTGAGTAACACATATGGCCTTGGGTGCTCAGAATTTATTAGTCCATCAACAGAGCTGAAAATACCTGTGAACACCAGGAGGCAGATGCCCCTGTGCTTTGGGCAGAAAGTTTGTGTGGCTAATAGTAAAGAAAAAAATTTTCTGCTTTTGAAGATCAAAGCATGTAAATCAAGGCCTCCCACTTGTTTGTCTGCAACCACAATTGGTAGTAACTGGCTTGAGCAGGTCATGGTTTCCCTTTAGAAGCAGCATAAGTTGCCAGAGTTTTGTGGGCACTTGTGCTTTTTGTCTAAACTTTTTTTTTTTTTTTGAGACAGAGTCTCGCTCTGTTGCCCAGGCCGGAGTGCAGTGGCGTGATCTCAGCTCACTGCAAATTCCACCTCCTGGGTTCATGCCATTCTCCTGCCTCAGCCTCCCAAGTAGCTGGGACTACAGGCACCCGCCACCACGCCCGGCTAATTTTTCTGTATATTTAGTAGAGACGGGGTTTCACTGTGTTAGCCAGGATAGTCTCAATCTCCTGACCTCATGATCCACCCGCCTCTTCCTCCCAAAGTAATCTTTTGATGAGACTCTGGAAATCTTAACATTTCCTCCAAATTGGTAACTTGGTGGTGGCAAGTCTTTAAATCCAGGCCATAGAAGCTAAGCAGTAGGTGCTGGTTTTGTCTAAACTTAAATTCAAAAATTCAGATTTATACAGTCTTAGTTTAAAGCAGTTTAATGTTTACTCTTAGATTTGTGTATTAAGTTTTAGTGGCTTCTTTATAGAAAGAGTACAAAATGCTTGGTGGATTTTTTAGATAGTAGTTTGAAGTAACCCTGGTTTATTAGCCAGATAATAGAAATGTCAGACAACAGAAATGTTTAGTGTAACAGGCTTGATACTTGGAAATTGGCTTGTTTGGCAGAGGGCAAGCATTTCCCCCTGGAATTTGAATTTTTAAACTGGCATGCCTTTCTACCCCCTCCCCCCCCTTTTTTTTTTAAAGACAGAGTCTTGCTGTTGCCCACCCAGGCAGAGTACAGTGGCATGATCATAGCTCACTACAGTCTTAACTTCTGGGCTCAAGCAGCCCTCCCGCCTCAGCCTCCCCAGGAGCTGGCATATAATGCATACCACCATGCCTGGATAATTTTAAACAATTTTTTTTTTTTTTTTTTTTTTTTAGACAGAGTCTTGCTCTGTTGCCCAGGCTGAAGTTCAATGGTGCAATCTTGGCTTATCGCAACCTCCGCTTCCCAGGTTCAAGTGATTCTTCTGCCTTTTCCTCCTGAGTAGCTGGGATCACAGGTGCATACTACACTCCCAGCTAATTTTGTATTTTTAATAGAGACAGGGTTTTACCATGTTGGCCAGGCTGGTCTCAAACTCCTGACCTCGGGTGATTCGCCCGCCTCGGCCTCTCAAAGTGCTGGGGTTACAGGTATGAGCCACTGCACCCAGCCCCATGCTGCTTTAAGTAAATTTTTTAAATAGGTCATGTCATATGGATAAGTCTGCAGTGGAATACAGTGAAGTCTCTTTATCCCATCTTCACAATATGAAAGGATGTCATTTGAGGTGCCATGGTGTCTTCCTTTGTAAACATCAGATTCCCTAGAGGAAGGGACAGAGCCTCTTTTCTAGGTTACTAAGCTGTGATTTGACACAGCAAACATTCCCTTGGGTTTATGGTCCTTTCATTACTTCATCAGACATGGCGTGTAGGCTCAGAGTAGTTGCTTGTAGCATTTAGCCTCGGCTGGCCTCATCTTTGGCTCATTTTAAAAATAAAAGAGGCTGGGGACGGTGGCTCATCCCTGTAATCCCAGCACTTTAGGAGGCTGAGACCAGCAGATCACCTGAGGTCAGGAGTTCGAGACCAGCCTGGCCAACATGGTGGGTGAAACCCTATCTCTACTAAAAATACAAAAGTTAACTGGGCATGGTGGCAGGCACCTGTAGTCCCAACTACTGGGGAGGCTGAGGCAGGAGAATTGCTTGAACCTGGGAGGCAGAGGTTGCAGTGAGCTGAGATCATACCACTGCACTCCAGCCTGGACAAGAGCGAGACTCTGTCTCAAAATAAATAAAATAAAATAGGTCTGTACAGAGACCATGGATTTGTACTGAAGTACAATCTTACTGGATTGTTCAGTACTCTTGGGAGAGTTTATGGCCACTGTGTTATACAATGGCCTGTCCTGAAACTACAGATCTGCTGTGTCTCTGCTGTATTGCACATCCATGTGGTGGCTTGGATCCCCAGCCCTGGCAGCCCCTCCCTAGCAGACCTGTGTGCTCCAGGAACCCTTAGAGGAGAAACACTGCCTTCTAACCCTGAGCCCTACTTCCCTTAACTAGTCCCAGTTGCAGCCACAAATCTGTCTTGGCTACTAATGAGTGACTACGGGATCCGTTCACCAGAGAACAATGATTAACCTTAAAGCAATTCTTAAGGAAGAGGATGACTTTACTGGATATCAGGGTAGCTATATTATTAATGTTTGGAGGTTTGGAGAACTCAGGCTGTCAAGAAAACAAATATTACCATTCATGAGGACACTGCATTTTAAACAATCAATCAGGCTTACAAAAGAAAGTCACATTTTTATAAACCATGGAGTGAAGTGGATTCCTGAGTTAAATTCTGGGGTACAGTGGCTTCAAGTGTCTTTAGATTGAGTCAACAAGGGTCTGTGGATTTAAATTAACAGGAGACATGTATCTAGATGAGATCTTTCTCTTTTTTTTTTGAAATGCGGTCTCGCGGTCGCCAGGCTGGAGTATAATGGCGCAATCTCAGCTCACTGCAACCTCCGTGTCCTGGGTTCAAGCGATTCTCCTGTCTCAGCCTCCTGAGTAGCTGGGACTACAGGCATGCACCACCACTCCTGGCTAATTTTTGTATTTTTAGTAGAGATGGGGTTTCACCATATTGTGGTCAGGCTGGTCTTGAACTCCTGACCTCAGGTGATCCCTCCCAAAGTGCTGGATCCACTCCACGTGGCCTTGTCTCATTTTAATTAAAACTGTTTTGCCATAGTAAAAATAAAAGGGACAAATAGAAAACTCAGCCATCAGCAAGAAAAGGCTTCTTCCACAGGGGCAACATCGTACATTGCTCTTATCAATCACTGAGGAAGGAGGTTGGTTACTTTCTCCATCTTCAGATTCACTAGAGCAGTTGTTTCTGTATGTGAATATGACATCGCCAGCAGGGTCCTGTCTTTAAAAAAAATTCCGTAATCTAAAATTACTTCTCACTGGTTTCTGCATCTGCCACTTGGGGAAGCCACCTCATGACCAAGTGTTTCCTACAGCCACCATGGCCCAAGGCTACCTGTACAGGATGCAGCCTCCTGCAGTTGCTCCCACTGTCTCCCAAATCTGGCGAACTTTTAGGCAATGGTAATGGCAAGTAGCCATGGAATTAATTCTGTGTGGTAAGAGGCACACAGACAGATGATGAGCAGCTCTTCTCCTTAAAGAAGTCTGTGTCTAATTCCTACGCGTGGCCGTTGTCAGAGTATAGCTCTTTCCCGTTACCTTTACTAGCCAGAAACAGCTTGCTTGCTTTCTGAAGAAAGAGAAATGACGCACCACAGGGTACATCAGATGAATCAGAAATTACATTGTTTGGACTTCAAAACAGTGTTTACTGACTCTGGGCTTAAACTTCTAGTCCACTCCTAGAACAGAAACCCTCAAAGTTCAAGAGTGGTTTTTTTTGTACAATTGTTTATACAAATTCAACAAAGGTAAAATCGCATCAGGGAAGGTCTAGGAAACACCACCTTACAACAATGGCACTTATAAATGCAGAACTTTACAACTAGGAAATAGCCATGTTACAAACCTAAATGAGAACTCAACTCACACTTCAGAGGAGAGAAGCAAAAGCAAAAGAAAGGCTATGTGGGAGCATTTATTCTACGTCTTGACTCACTGTATAAATTAGATCTATGTAAGTACAAGAGCTCATGCTGGAGCAGAACCTCCTGAGTGCAAAGGCTGAAGTCGAAATTTTAAAATTTGAGAAAAGTGAATTCTCTACAGAGGAAACTTGGCAGAGTATCTTACTTTGACTATAATTTACATTTATCCACAACATGCTCATGTAACTCTTGAGGTACAAAGCAGACTCTCAACTTCCAGTTAAACATGCTTTTAAGTGGAAGGTCTTAGCCTACTTTGTTAGATCTGGGCACATTTGTAGATGGGTTGTGTCGATGAAGTACACGTTAAATTCTCTCCTACCTTAAGGAAATCAGGAAAATTGGCAATCTCAAAACAATAAAAACACTGGTATGCATTCAAACCTTGCATAAATAACTTTTAAACAATTTGTACAAAAATAGTTCTGCATAATGTAAGATGTAACAAAACCAACCAAACAAAAAAAAGTGTCAAGACGGCAGCAGATGTGGTGTGTGGTCCACTTTATGTCAACACCCAAAACCTCGGTGTTGCAAGGAATGAAGTGTCCAAAACACCACTACCACTAACAGAAACTCCTAAGCTCATGCTTCAGTATGAGAATTTCTCCGAAGTCCACCCTCCTCTCCGACAGGAATGTCTTCTTGTAAAGGCCGCCTTAGAAATGGTCCAGAAAGCAGTGCAGTTACGATTCAGAAAGACCAAAGGAAAGTGTCGGCTCACTCATCCCCCAAACGGGTGGTTGAACAGCTTCTCCCTTGGAAAGACTTGCAAAATGGAATTGCGTTGTGGTCTGTTGTCCCACGTTCCAAATGGAAAATAAAAGCCCTCATTTTTGTAAAGTCTCTCCCCTCCCAGAGCCCGCCCCGTATTTACATACTTATCCTTGGACTAACTCAGTTTTTGCAGGAGTTTTTCTTCTACTTGCCCAAACTGGACACTCACAGACATCTCGGCTATGAACTGCTCACAGCCTTCCTTGGTGACTTGCTTGCAGTACCTCAGGTCAATATGACAGATGTTTCCACAGCGTTTGAAGAAGGACAGGCACTGATCAGTGACCTTATTGCAGTCTGCAGAGAAGAAATAGTAATGTGAGGTGTGAAGGCCAGGAGCCAGAAGCCCCCCCGCCGCCAGACCCAGGCACTCAGCAGTGGGGACAGGTCAGAGCTCTACATATTCCAGTCCCTGCTGTGCTGCACTAAATAAAATGTTATTTGCTTAAAATCTCTCTTCTTCAAACGGGGAAGGGTCTCACCCGCCAGGTATAAAGGTTAATATATGCCTCAAAAGCATTCAGATAACCACGTGAAAATCACTTCTGATTTACCACACAGCTGCCTCTATACGTGCGTATGCTCATGTAAGTAGTTCTATGTGCTTTTACAATGATAGGTTCACACACCATGTCAAGTAGCTTGCTTTTCTCATCTAATATGTTGTTGATGAGTACTGCTCTATGTCTATTACTGTGCATTTATTTGCCTCCTCCCTTCAGATAAATTCCCAGAGGGGCATTGCTGGGTCACAGAAAGAACATCCCTAAGGGCATCTTGGGATCATTTTTGCTTTTGCAGGCCGCAGTGCTTTGGAGCAATTCACAGCATGAGGGACAGCTGTTTGGCCCTAACTCCAGGACTGACCGTGTGCCAGCAGCCTAGACACCAGACCAACATGCCCTTCTAGCAAAAGCAGAATTCAGACTTCATCACACCCTCATCTGCAGACACACCCTTTGTGCTTTTTTTTTTTGAGACAGAGTCTCGCTTTTGTCACCCAGGCTGGAGTGCAATGGTGCACTCTTGGCTCACTGCAACCTCCGCCTCCCAGGTTTAAGTGATTCTCCTGCCTCAGCCTCCTGAGTAGCTGGAATTATAGGCGTGTGCCACCATGTGCAACTTTTTTTTTTTTTTTTTTTTTTTTTTTGTAGTAAGTAGAAACTGGGTTCCACCATGTTGTCCAGGCTGGCCTCAAACTCCTGACCTCATGTGATCCGCCCACCTCAGCCTCCCAAAGTGCTGGGATTACAGGCTTGCGCTACTGTGCCTGGCCTCAATGGTATTACATTTGTGACCTTTGCTAATCATCCTTAGTATCAACACTTTCATTTCTTTATTAAATTGAGTGGGAATAAAAATACGAAGGGCAAACCGCAATCATGCATACAACATCTGTGCTATCTACATGTTATCAAAATCCCTGCAAGCCAGGAGGTGGTGTAAAGTAGTAAAGTCAGAGCACCACATACGCCACCAAACTGACTTCCTTTATACAGCTAGTCCTTTCAGACAGTGGCCTCCACATCAGCACAGAATCTTCAAACAGATGCTCACCAATTCGTGAACCTGGAGCAGTGGTGCTGGAAAGCTGTCTACATACACATAGGCATTCACAAGTGAAGGCCCTGCTTTTGGACTGAAGATGGGAAAACGAGAGATGCTTCAACAGATAACTCAGGTTTTCATGGGTTTTTTTCTTTTTTCTTTTTTTTTTTTTTTTTGGAGATGATGGAGTTTTGCTCTTGTTGCCCAGGCTGGAATGCAGTGGCACGACCTCGGCTTACTGCAACCTCCCCTTCCCAGGTTCAAGCGATTCTGCCTCAGCCTCCCAAGTAGCTGGGATTACAGGTGCCGGCCACCACGCCTGGCTAATTTTTTTAATTTTTAGTAGAGATGGGGTTTCACCATGTTAGCCAGGCTGGTCTTGAACTCCTGAACTCAAGTGATCCATCCAGCTCAGCCTCCCAAAGTGCTGGGATTATAGGTGTGAGCCACCGTGCCCGGCAATAACTCAGTTTTTCAAAGGGTATCCCTTAATCTTCTAATTAATCCCTCAAGTAGTTCCCCCTCAAATGGCTGACCCTCTTCATAATCTTACTGCAAAATCCAATGATGAAGGAAGTTGTAGAATGTTATCATACAATTCCTTCGGGAAACTCATGATCCCCAAAACTCAATACTTGATTCATTTTAAGTATAAAGAATAGGGATTTTACTAATATGTTTATTTTCATATACTTTTCATTTTTCATTATTTACTATGACATGTTGACCAGTTAGATTTGAACTCCTGGTCTCAAGTGATCCTCCCCACCCAGCCTCCCAGACCACTGGGATATAGGTGTTGAGCCTGTCTGACCAGGATGGTTTTCTTAGAGGATGTCCCACATTCACACTTGTCATCTTAAAGGTGTCATTTAGCTTGTTCCATCTCTCCTGTTTTTCCTATAAACTGCAGATATCCCAGAGGCTTGCTTAGATTCAGGCTAGACATTTTCAGCAAGAAATCACCCTCAGAATCTTCCATCTTGACCCTGTTCCCAGCTCCCTATCTGCCTTCCAGAGCACTGTCTAGCTCATCCCCAGAATGCGTCTCATTCCTTACTCAGATGCAGCTATGCTGTCCCCACTCCATCACCAGCTCAGGGATATTTTTCCCCTGTAATGTTTGCCTAGTTCCTGGCTAGAAGGGACTGACCCAAGTCCTGCCTCTCCCTTGACACCTTCAAGCACCAGAGCAGGCAGCTCCCATGCCAGAGAACTCTGCCATCTGGCTGGCACACTGCTGTGGCCTGTAGCTGTCAGACGGCTGAGGGGGCCTCAAGTGCATCCTGGCAGTTACCTGTCGGTGGTAAGGCAGCACTTGGTGTGAAGTGAGACCTGGAGGCCCAGCTGGCTCCTTTTCTGAGTTGTCTTTGGGTACTAATTTGGGCCCTCTTTGGAGGCTCATTCATGCCCAGCCAGCATTCTTCCTGGCTTGTGGTTCACATATTCCCCAAAACTGGAGCCCAAAGACCCTTCCAACAAAGAAGCTAGAAGGAAAAGACTTTCTTTGGTCCCTCTGTGCGTTAGAGTTCACTGCAGCCTGGTTTCTCGGACCTTCCACAGGCAGGCTGACAGATGTTTCCTGCTGGCGCGTGGGGCCCGCCTGCCCGCCCGCCAGCCTGTGGAGGAACATCACTTTTGTTAGCATCCTCATCAGTTCTCCCTCCGCCTTTAAACATTTTAGATCTGGAATCTCACTACTTTGCCCAGGCTGGTCTAGGACACCTGGGCTCAAGTGATCCTCCCACCTCAGCTTCCTGAGTAGCTGGGACTATAGGTGTGTGCCACCATGCCTAGCTTCAGGAATAAATTTAACCAAGGAAGAACTTGTACTTTGAAGACTATAAAGCATTGCTGAAAAAAACTAAATTAGACATAAATAAATGGAAAGTCAAGACTTAATACAGATGTCAGCTCAGCACTACCCACAGCAATCTACAGATTCAATGAAATTGCTATAAAATCCTAGTAGTATTTTTTGCAGAAATAGAAAAATCTATCCTAAAATTCATGTGAATGCATGGGGCTCCAAGTTGTCCAAACAATCCAAAAAAAGAACAAAGTTGAAGAACTTGAGCTAATCTGAAGCTGAGGTGGAAAACCACTTGAACCCAGGAGTATGATTCCAGCCTGAGCAACACAGTGAGATCCTGTCTCCAAATAAAATAAAATACATAGGCCGGGCGCGACTGCTCATGCCTGTAAGACCAGCACTTGGGAGGCTGAGGTGGGTGGATCACTTGAGCCTAGGAGTTCAAGACCAGCCTGAGCAACATAGCAAAAGCCTGTCTCTATAAAAAAACAAAAAACACCAAAATTAGCCAAACATGGTGCCTCTAGTCCCAACTACACAGGAGGCTGAGGTGGGAGGATCATTTTTGCCTGGAAGGTGGAGCCTGCAGTGAGCCATGATTACCTCACTGCACTCCAGCCTGGATGACAGAGTAAGCCCCGTCATTCATTCATTCATAAATAAAGCACGTTACAGGCATAAGGATAGACATATAGACCAATGGAATAGAATCAAGAGCTCGGCCAGGCGTGGTGACTCACGCCTATAATCCCAGCACTTTGGGAGGCCGAGGTGGGCGGATCACCTGAGGTCAGGAGTTCGAGACCAGCCTGGCCAACATGGCATGGTGGCACACACCTGTACTCCCAGCTACACAGGAGGCTGAGGCAGGAGAATCACTTGAACCCGGGAGGTGGAGGTTGCAGTGAGCCAAGATCGTGCCACTGCACTGCACTCCAGGCTGGGCAACAGAGCGAGACTCTCTATCAAAAAAAAAAAAAAAAAAAAAGAATCAGGAGCCCAGAAACAAACCCTCAAATATATGGTGAAGTGATTTTTGAAAAGGGTGCTGCCAACAGCATTCAATGAAGTAATAAATAATCTTTTCAATAAATGTTGCTGGAAAAATTGAATTTCGACATGCAAAAGAATAAGCTGGACCCGGCCGTGCGTGATGGCTCATGCCTGTAATCCCAGCACTTTGGGAAGCCAAGGCGGGTGGATCACAAGGTCAGGAGTTCAAGACCAGCCTGGCCAATATGGTGAAACCTCATCTCTACTAAAAAATACAAAAATTAGCCAGGTGTGGTGGCACGTGCCTGTAGTCCCAGCTACTTGGGAGACTGAGGCATGAGAATCACATGAACCCAGGAGGCGGAAGCTGCAGTGAGCTGACATTGCACCACTGCACTCAAACCTGGGCGACAGAGCAAGACTTTGTGTTGAAAAAAGAAAATGGGAAATTTTTCATGACATTAGACTTTGCAAAGATTGATATGACACCAAAATCACAGCCAACAAAGGGAAAAAAAAAAAAAAGGCCAGGTGCAGTGGCTCATGCCTGTAATTCTAACATTTTGGGAGGCTGGGGCAGGAGGACTACTTGAGCCCAGGGGTTTGAGACCAGTCTGGGCAACATAGCGAGACCCTGTCTCTAAAACAGAAAAAAAGTCTGGAGATGGATGTTGGTGACAGTTGCACAACATTGTGAATGTACTTAATGCCACTGAATTCTATGCCCAAAAATGGCTAAGGTGGTCCATTTTATATTATGTATTATTTTACTACAACATAATTATTTTTCTAATTTTGGAAGCTGGAGAAGAGGTAACAATTTAGGAGACCTGAGAAAGCTTAATTAACCCTAAAGTGGCTGAGGGGAAAGCAGAAAAGAATGATTATTCTATAGAACACCTCCAAGGTGTTTAGTTGTGATTTCTCAGAAATTCCTCTTGCATTGGAAGTGACATGTACATTGGAAGTGGGGCTAAAGATGGTGTTAGTAACAGAAGCACTGGTTGAAAATCTATTCAAGGAGCAGTAAGATGTCCAGATTCCTTCCCCAGCAGAAGACTGGGGTTTTAGTCTCTGATGGGCTGGGCTCCAGTGGGCACAGAAATTAGGGGTGCCCACTCAAAAGTGGGGGCTAAGGGAAAATTTACCTGCTGACTGTTGAGAACCTCCTTCCCCCATCAAGCCCCATACTTGACCATACCAATGGCGGTCCACCCTACACCCTTAGGAGATCAAGGAGAGTCTTTCTGGCAATCCTGACCAGCTTAAGAGAAAGATGGAAAGATGTGATGTCCAGGTTTCACCAAAGAAACGACACACAGAGACCACCCTGTAAGTGTCGTCCATAGCAGACAAGCTCCAACCGCGTGCCCAGAGCTTCTGATCACCCTTGAGTGGAGGGACAAGCAAGCATCAGCATTCAAGCTGAGGAGGGCCTCTGCTGAAGGCCACTGACAGCATTTGAAGGGAACAGTCAATGCAGAGAGAAGAAAATAAAACAATCATTCATATCCTCAGGTAGGAAAGTTATCTGGCTCCAAGAAACAACTGGCCATTCCACAAAAAGTTCAGAGAATACAGCTTGAAAATTAAACATATAGGTTGAACCATATGAAAATGCCAACATTTGACTACTTTTGACTTATAAAAACAGCAGTTTCATATGGTTCAACTGCACAACAGCAGAAACTAAAAACTCAGTGTATAAGTTGTGGCCGGACGCGGTGGCTCACGCCTGTAATCCCAGCACTTTGGGAGGCCGAGGCGGGCGGATCACGAGGTCAGGAGATCGAAACCATCCTGGCTAACACGGTGAAACCCCGTCTCTACTAAAAATACAAAAAATTAGCTGGGCGTGGTGGCGGGCACCTGTAGTCCCAGCTACTCGGGAGGCTGAGGCGGGAGAATGGCGTGAACCTGGGAGGCGGAGCTTGTAGTGAGCCGAGATCGCGCAATTGCACTCCAGCCTGGGCGACAGAGTGAGACTCCATCTCAAAAAAAAAAAAAAAAGTTGTATGATAAAGTAAGGGAAAACTCCCAGAAAATACAGCAAAAAGACATTGACATGGAAATGAGGAGGGAAGACAGGAATCAGAGGACTAGTCCAGAAAGAGGAAAACAGAAGGGGAGGAAGTTAAGAAAGAAGAAGTTTTTCTACAAGTGAAGAACACAGACGTCCAGACTGAACGGCTTCTGTGAGTGTTCAGCATGGTAGGTGAAATGGACTCAAACCTGTTTGTCATCAAAAATTGCAGACAATTACAGACGACTTTCTATTAACTTACAAGGAGAGAAAATAGATTCACTGACAGATGAAGAATCAAATGGTTTTAGACCTTGCCTCTGGAAGGCAGAAGATGGTGGAGCAAAACCTCCCACTTACTGTAGCAACAGGCTCCCAGACTAGGGTTCTATACCCAGCAGAACTAGCAACTAAATGGGAAGGTATATAATAAAAACAAATTCAGACACACAGGGTCTAGAAAATGTCTCTCACCAAATGTGAGAGTAAACCAAGAAAGAAGATATGAGATCAAGGAAGGAGGGTACCTAGGCCAAGACAGAGACCAAAGGAGTCCAGGATGGCAGCAGTGGGGCGGGCAGTCCCAGAGGAGAAAACGGAAGGGGAGGAAAAGAAGTCAGGAGGCAGCTCTCGTACAAAAACTGGTCAAGAAACTGATGAGTTGGGGGTGGGGAGGGGGAGAGCATTCAATTCTGTTGTACCATTTGCATAGAAACTAAGCAAAATGAGGCAATTAATAAAAACATTGAGCAAGAAAGAAAATGTACTCATAATACACTATTTGGCTCAACAGTGACCAACACTTAACATGGTCATAATAAGTGAAAGAATAGTGACAACCAAAAATTGGAAAAGATGGAGGGAGAAAAACGGGTGGGGAGTGGGAGGGAAGGATACAACAGTAATAAATCCTCATGTTATATAATAGCAAGCTAATAAATATATAATGTCCACATGGGAAAAAAAAAGAAATTGCAGTATATGGGCTGCCAAAGCAAGCACTAGGCTTGCTATTTTGAAATAGCAGAGGTAAACACTGGAAGAAAGAATTCAAGAGTTTAAGGCATTGTCTCAGGTAGTGAGGATGGGGTAAAGGGAAAGGCAGGGGACTGCCTTGAGCACCCAGTAAATTTTCCACGATGGAATTCGGCCAGAACAATAGCTAGAATTGCAACTTCCCTTGTCACGAGACCAGATCCTCCAACCAAGTTTAAGGATCTTGAGGCATGTCAACTGTCATCTATTTTGTGGCACAGACTTATTTCCCATCTCTGGTGCTTGCATCAGGACAAGCTTATTTTTCCAGTAACTCAACTGGTTACACCGATGAGAGGGGAATTTTTTTTTTTTTTAAGAAAATCTAGAAGAGTTTAGGTATAGAGATATGCCTTAGTATACTTCACAGCTCTTAACAAGAATGCAGGCCAGGCGTGGTGGCACACGCCTGTAATCCCAGCACTTTGGGAGGCAGAGGTGGGTGGATCACCTGAGGTGAGGAATTTGAGGCCAGCCTGGCCAACATGGTGAAACCTCATCTCTACTAAAAATACAAAACTTAGCCAGGCATGGTGGCAGGCGCCTGTAATCACAGCTACTCGGGAGACTGAGGCAGAAGAATCACTTGAACCTGGGAGGCAGAGGCTGGAGTGAGCCGAGATCGCACCACTGCACTCCAGCCTGGGTGACAGAGCAAGGCTCCATCTCAAAAAAAAAAAAAAAAGAATGCAGAGAGCTGTATGCACTGAGATAAAAAGATGACCTCAATTTATCATGCTGGAAAAACAAAATGCAAAAGATGATTTGCATGCACACACACAGCATGGCCCACACCGCAGGGGAGGGAATTTATACTGAGATCTCTGCTACGCATCCATAATAACTAAACCAGGATATAATGAAGAGATGTAATAAAATGCCAGCACTTAGAGTAAGACGACTCCCAGGCCCTCTCCAAAGGGCAGCTCCATCACCCATTCAAGGCCATGACCTGGCCCTTGAGCTGGAGAAGCCTCAATTCACTCTGGTTCTTTGCGTCCACGAGGTGGAACAATCCCTGCCACCAAAACTTCATGAGGAGAAGGAATGGCTTCCTAGGTCCCGAATGATCTCATCCCATCCAAAGCTCCCATGCCCCTGCTATGAGGCATGGTTGCCAGACAGTTTATCAGGCATAAATGTGGGATGCAGAGGAGAAAACAACGTGTATGTCACCACTGCGCTGTGTGAAAAATGTAATTTGATGAGATGGGGATGTCCTTAGTACTTGGTAATTTCTAAGGGTAAAAAAAAAAAAAAACCTGTAGTTTCTTTTTCTCTTTCTTTTTTTGCTCTCACGCAAACCCAACACCCCCCAATCCAGACCATCCTAAGCTACCAGACCAAAATTGGGTTAGTTGGGCGAAGAGCAGGCAGCATTGCTCTGTGTACCTCGCTGCATACTGGAGCCCCAAGTCCTTCAGAACCAACTGCCGCCCCAACGGCAAGTGCAGCGAGCGAAGATCCTGCACCACAGCGACAGACAGAGAACAATAATGGAACTCACTGTGGGTTTTTTTCTCTCCAACAACAGGCCCCTTGATAGCAGGGTCACAAGGGGTGCATGTAAGCAACGACAGCAAAGGCAGAAACCAAGCTCCCTCCTGCCCACCAGGGCCCTTGCCTCCCGGCCCCCACTGTCTCAACACCCTGGTTGTCAGGCACCGGCTCTTCTGCACCCCCTCGGGAAGCTGTCCCTTGTCCGTATTTTGGGTCAGGAACCACTGCTATGTGCTTGTGGCTGCTGCTAACTGGCACTATTTTGGGGTAGCAATTACTACAACTCCAATGGTAACTTTTTTTTTTTTTTTTTTTGAGACAGTTTTGGTCTTGTCACATAGGCTGGAGTGCAGTGGCGCCATCTTGGCTCACGGCGACCTCCACTGCCAGTTTCAAGCGATTCTCCTGCCTCAGCCTCCCGAGTAGCTGGGATTACAGGCGCCGGCCACCAACCCCCGGCTAATTTTTGTATTTTTTTGTAGAGACGGGGTTTCACCATGTTGGCCAGGCTAGTCTCGAACTCCTGTCCTTATGATCCACCTGCCTCGGCCTCCCAACGTGCTGGGATTACGGGCGTGAGCTACCGCACCCGGCCAACAGTAACTCTTTGTTTACTGTGTTTCCCCCCTGGACTGGGCTGTCTGTCTCAGTAAACGAGACACCTAGCACTGTGACCACATAGCTGTAGACACACGAATCGTTTTCCACAAATGTGAACCTCCTGGTTCTCCCACGGAGTGTTAGGCAGACCCGATGGGGGCCCCTGACTCACCAGACAGGTTGATCTCGGTTAAGGAGTCTCGGGTGGTGGTGCCAACAGCAGTGAGCAGGTTGATAGACTGGTCGGTGACGTGGTTACAGTAACTGAGGTGGAGCTTGGAGAGCAGGGGCATGTGGCGGATGATGAGCCGCAGGGAGGCATCTGTGATGTCCAGGCCTGCCAGGCGCAGCTCCACGATGTTCCGGAGCTTGCTCCGATTGTCCATCTGACCTGGTGGGGCAGGAAGGAGGGGGCAACCCGTCAATCTGACCGAGGAGGCCTGGTCATGCTGACATGACACTCTAAAAGGCCCACCAGCCAGACAGAACACTCAGATTTCATTTAGTTATAAACTGCTTCCTCCCAAAATCATAATTCCAACAGTGAAAAATCAGACTCCACATCAAAACTTAGATTTTCAGATTCTCTTGAAAAACTAAAAGACCTAGAAACACTATGCCCACATTCCACCCAGTAGTCATCAGCCAACCAGTGCAGAGGCTGCGCAGCATCTCCGATCCCCATGGCTTGGCGAGAAGCACGGACCTAGGCAGTCCAGCCCAGTCCAGGGGGAGGTGCCATCCTGGAAGCCTTTGCACAACCACACTGATCCCGATGGCAGTGGAGGCTTGAAACCAACGAGGGGCAAGTCAACAGAAAAGAAGTGAGATGCACGCAGAGCCCCATGAGCGAGTCAATAAGAAAGCAGTGAGACACACGCAGAGCCCCATGAGCGAGTCAACAGGAAAGCAGAGAGACGCACGCGGAGCCCCAGGAGCGAGTCTCACGTGTGCACAGGAGCCCCTGCCTCCTCCCAGATCCCCTCTGTGCCTGAAGCAAACTGAGAACATGGCAGCAGAGACTCATCCCTATGTCCTTTGGGGAACAGCTGGGGTCTGAGGGTAAAAGCAGATCCAACAGTCTAGCTCGCTCACCCCACCCCCACAGAAACCCCCAGCCTGGCAACTCACCTGGCCTGTTGTCTGTGGGCGGGGACAGGAGATCCCGCATCTGGGCATCCTTTAGTCCCTCCACCCACTGGACATCCAGGGTCCGGAGCAGCGGACAACTGGAGCTGCAAAGGGCCGAGACCGCGATCCATGAGCAGCCTGACAGCACCAAGTCCCGGAGCCCTGGGGGGACATAGAAAAGGGTGAAGGTCAGGGGATGTGTCCCCAGCCCTCACTGCAGCAGACACACTCGGGGCCACTGGCCCAGGGCTCACCAGGCAGCCGGTTGATGAGCCAGCTCAGCTGCTTCTTGGAGATATTGGTCCAGCTGAGGTCGAGGGAGACGGGCTGTCGCCGGATGATGCCACTCAGCATCAGGGGTGTGATAGACTTGCAGTGGTTCAGGTCAATGCGGGTCCACAACCGCTTATCGCAGCACCTGGGGACCGGCCCCGTGGGGACACATCGTCAGAGGTGGGGCTCCTCTAGGGAGCCCACACACAGCTCTTAACTGTCCCCACCTAACAACCTCTGGGAGGCTCCTTAACTCAGCGCTCTGGACCCTTCTCTATGTAGCACCTATCCTGCCCCCACGCGGGCACCTCCCACCTGCTCTAACAGCCATGGCCTCCACTCTCCATCAAGTATGTATGTATGTATTAAGACGGAGTCTCGCTCTGTTCCCAGGCTGGTGTGTAGTGGTGCAATCTCTGCTCACCACAACCTCCGTCTCCCAGGTTCAAGCTATTCTCCTGCCTCAGCCTCCCGAGTAGCTGGGATTACAGGTGTGCGCCACCACACCCGGCTAATTTTTTTATTTTTAGTAGAAATGAGGTTTCACCTTGTTGGCCAGGCTGGTCTTGAACTCCTGACTTCAAGTGATCCGCCCGCAAAGCGCTAGGATTACAGGCATGAGCCACTGCGCCCGGCCTCCATCAAGTATTTACCATGGGCTTTACAACGCCCTCTACCGGCCGTTCCTCCAAACAACCCCCATGAAGCTGGCGTCATGCCCGTTCATCCAAGAGGGTAAGGCAGAGCTAAGGCCAGAAAGCTGGTAAATATCGGCTGGACTGAAGTTGCAACTCGCAGCCTTGCTGGAAACCTGGACTAACTCTCCGAAGCCAAGGACTCCACGTGGTCCTCACTTCACCCTCCAGGAAGCTAAATCGGAATAAACGGGGTCACCTCCTCTGACAAGACCAGAGGGGCCGCTGTAGCCAGCTGGAACGCTTTGCGGAGCACAATGAAGCCATACTGGGGTTTGGAAGGAAAGAGCATCGCCAGCGACTCCACACACCACGGGCCATCCCTGGTGCCGCCTGAGCCTTAACCTAGAGCCCTACACAGGCCGCCGCTCACCAGCGGTTCCAGGTCCTGCAGACCCGCATGCACACACACAGGTCTTGGTGGCTGAGGTAGCTGAAGACGGCCATCCACACCTCCCTGTGCATGACGTGGGCTGCCCCATCGTCCAGGGGTAGCGAGTCAGGCGGGGGGCTGATGGGGGGTGGCCGGATCACATGGCGCTCCATCTGGATACACTTGGGCGGGGACACGGAGGGTGGGGGCCGGGAGATGACACGGGGCGGGCTGCGCAGGCTGGGCCCCAGCTGGTGCCGCAGCTCCCGGGGGGTGCCGTTGAGCCCCTTGCTGAAGCGGTGGGGACGCTCGCAGATGCCCGGGGGCCGCTTGGGCTCCTCGCCCTCGCTCTCAGGCTCCGACTTGATGGGCTGCTGGTTCTCGTTGGCCAGGCTGTTCTCCGTCCTCTGGATCTCGTGGTTGAGCTCCTTGCTCAGCTCCCTGCTCAGCTCCTTGTTGGGAAGCCGCCGCTTCCGGCGCATCTTCACCTTCTTCTTCTCCTCCGGGCCCTCGGCCCCTTCGGTGCTGGGTCCCGCGGTGGGGGAGCTGGAGCGGGAGTGGTCGCTCTCCCTGGTCTTGGGGGGCGCCTCGGGCAGTTCGTCCTCGGGTTCCTGCTTGAAGCGCCGGAGGGGCTTGTTGGCCAGCGCCATGCGGTCCTCGGCGTTCTTCCAGGACCGCCGCTGAGGGCGAGAGCGGAGACGCGTCAGCCTCTGGGGCTCAGGGCTGCGCCCGCCCAAGGCCTCCCGCCCCCCTGCCACGGGACTGTGGCCCAGGGAGCTGCGGTGCAGCTCTAACCGCTCAGGCCTGGGGCACAGGAGGGAGGGGAAGATGGTACCTTTTTCCTGAAAAGCTTATCTTCTTTGCCAGGTTTGAGCTGTCACGAAAAAGAAAGGACGCAGAGCTTGCTCCCCGGGCTCGTGGGATTTGGTCTCCTCGACACCCCACCCCACCACGAGTCCACAGTCTCCAGAGGAGGGGCTGGAGGGAGGCCTTCCCCACAAATGCCATCTCCACGTCTGACCGACAGACGGGCGAGCCCTGCCTGCAGCTTTCAAGGAAGAAGCTGGAAGTAGGAGTACAGTTGAACTGTTCCCACCCAACTGACCTCCCACCCCACAGACCTGGAGATGTGCAGCCGCCCATTCAAATCATCCTCGGCTCTGGGAGCCAGTTCTGGAGCACAGCCCTGTGGGAATCCCCGGCCCAGCAGGAATGGCTAGAGCTGGGAGAGACTCCTGGCGCCACCTTGTGGCTGGTGACAGCACGGCCCGTGGGTGGAGCAGGGCCACCAGGCTCCTCAGAGGTTCCCTGGACTCACAGCTTCCATCCCAACCAACAGAGGCTCTAGGCACAGACAGCTTCCCAGGCCCCAAGCCAGAACCACGAGCCAGAGATCTGGGGCCGAGACCTGGGAAGCCTCAGGAGAGGCAGCAGTGGGGTGGAGGACCAGCGGGGTGGGGTGGGGGACAGCCCAGGACTCGCCAGTCCCCGGGGCCTCAGGAGGGCGTGCGTCGTGGGAGCACCTGCTGCTGGAAGTAAGTGAGACTGGATCTCCACCAGGGGCTGAGGCTGCTGCCTAGAGGGGGCCTCGGCGAGAGGTGAGAGGAGGAACCGGGGGACGTTTGAAGCGATGAGGCCTAAAGGGGGGTGGAGTGGGAAGAGGAGTGACTCGCTGGTTTTCCCCTCCTTTCTTTGGGGCAGGGCTCTCAGGACTTAGGTGACCTGCTCAGGGCAGCAAGAGGCCGGGATTATCCCAAGCTCTACCTGCTGCCCACCCCCTGCCCCATCCCTCCAACCCAGCACCCGGGACCAGCCAGACCAACCCCTTTGCCTCCCAGCCCCTCCTGGTCCGTACCCGCTTGCGTCCACTCAGCTCCTGGGGCTTCTCGTATTTCCGCTTCTTCCTCAGGTGCACGTCGTCAGACTTTCTGCGCAGAAGGCCGTCCGGCGGCACCTTCTTCGAGTGCTCATCCGACCTGCGCCGGGGCGCCTCCTCACACTCACTCCTCCGCTTGGCAGGTTCCTGCCCTTCCTTGTTGTCCCGGTTCATCTTCTGCTCCTTGAGCAGGGAGCCGGGCAGGTTGGAGGCGTACTTAAAGCCAGGGCCACGCTTTTGCTTGTAGGCCAAAAAGAGAGAATGAACAGACCAACTGTATACCTTTGGACTTGCCCTTCCTCCTCCCCAGGCCGACGGCAACCCACCTGCCTGAAACTCCTGGGACAGGCTGGTCCCGGCCAGGCCCAGGCCCGCCCCTCTCCCGACTGACCCTGGGACTTGGAGCCCGGCACTCACTTTCCCGGTCTTGCCGGCGTGGTTACACTTCGGACACTCCCAGCAGTTTGGAAGCTCGTCGTTGACCACACCCTCTGACTCCTTAATCTGCGGGGAACACCAGGACTCAGAAGAGGGACGGGCGGAGAAGATGGCCCACGGGCACAAGGCTCTGTGACGCCACGTCTTCCAGAAGCAGCAGCACCCCCTCCCCAACGTCACATCTATCCCGTTTCCAGGCAAAAGAAAACACAGCTGCAGAGGCTGGCAGAGACGGGCAGCTGTGGATCCAGGCCAGGGTTCAGAGGCTGAGCCCCTTTGCTTCTCTGGGACCCTGGGCAAGACACTCCGTCTCTGTGGGCTGGTGCCCTCGGCCATAAAAGTTAGTGTGCCCATCTCACTGGGGGGGTATGACCCAGGTAAAGCCATGAGCTCAGCGCCTGGCATGCAGAAAGGACTCTGCAGAGGACTCTACTGGGTGCTGGGGGAAGGAGTGTGGTGTGGGGCCTTGTTCTCCCAGAAGCCTGGAGCCACCTGGAGGCGCTTCCTCTGGCCCAGCTACAAACAAGCAGCCTGTGTTTGCCATCTGCTGAGGCTCTGGAAACCCTCTCTGGTTCTGACATCCTGGGAGGTGGGGGTGTGTTTATTCCTTTGATGACACTGGGTCTCTGAGGTACTCCAGGCCCTCCTTGCCCCGGGCTTATCCCTTGACACACAGGATCACCCAGACTCAGGGGTCCTCCAGGAATTCACTGCACGACCTGCATCCCACCATCTCACCAGCATCTCCAGCAACCCTACCTGCCCCAGAGCGTCAGCACCACCTGTCCCCACTGGGCCACTCACCTTAAGGCATCCAGGGTGGATGATTTCATTGCAGATGGAGCACTCCATGAGCATGAGGTTAAACTTGCCTTCCTCCTCTTCCACCGTGTCTTCCTTCCCCGCCTCGCCACACACAAGGCACACGGCGGTGTGGGGCAGCACTGGCTGAGGAGCCAGGGAGAACAAGACAAGTCATCAGGGGTGGGGAGCACGGACCCCCAGGGGGGCCAGTTCAAGGGCAATGAGCTGCTCCCCTTGGGCCTGCCAGGAGACCCCCGGAAAGTGGCCCAGGCACATTCGCTCACTCATTCATTGAAATACGTATCAGGCTACTACCTCCACATGCCAGATACTACTCTTAATTGCTGGGGATACAGCAAGGAACAAGACAGCTCAAAATCTCTGCCATCCAGAGCTTACATTTTAGTGGAGGGAGGCAGACAAAATGGACAGAGCATGTTAGAGACAGAGACATGGGGAAAAATTAGAGGGCTGGAGTGAGGGGCAGAAGGGGGGCTGATTTTAAATATGGAGGTCAGGGAAGGCCTCACATTCAGAAAAGCCCCAAAGGAGCAGGGGCGTGAGCGCAGCCCAGATCCATGCGGATGAGATGAAGCTGCATCTCACCAGTGGGTATTCAAGGCACAGACCATGGACTGCGGGCTCCCAAGACCTTTACAGAAAGGTTAGGAGGTCAGAACTGTCTTCAGAATAACAGACGTTATTTGCCTTTTGCACAGTATTGATATTTGTACTGGCGGGTGAAACTCCTGGCCCCTCAGCACCAGGCAAGGCAAGGCCCCCAGCTCACCAGCAGCCATGGGGTGACTCATGCCATACGCTTATTAAAAAGATCACCAGGCCGGGCGCGGTGGCTCACGCCTGTAATCCCAGCACTTTGGGAGGCCAAGGCGGGCGGATCACAAGGTCAGGAGATCGAGACCATCCCGGCTACCACGGTGAAACCCCGTCTCTACTAAAAATACAAAAAGAAATTAGCCGGGCGTGGTGGCGGGCGCCTGTAGTCCCAGCTACTCGGGAGACTGAGGCAGGAGAATGGCGTGAACCCGGAAGACAGAGGTTGCAGTGAGCCGAGACCATGCCACTGCACTCCAGCCTGGGCGACAGAGCGAGACTCCGTCAAAAAAAAGATCACCAGTTTCATCTAAGAATATCTCTGATGAAACAGTAAAAATTACTTTATGAAAACCTTACCCTAGAGTACACATCCTTTTCATGTGCTTTGTGACAATAAGAAGTATGCGTAAAGTGCCTCGGCACACAGGTGACGCGTACCAAAGGAAAAGCACTCGTGACTGAGCTGGGAGGTGAAATGGCCACTTTCTCCACAGATTATTTTTACTTGAAGGAATGACTGATAGAAACCCCCTGGACACTGGTGTATTTTTGTGAAGATCAAAGAAGTGAGCTTGTCATTTCCAGAAAAATAACTGACAGCATTTGTTGCAAATGACAAAATTCAAGTTTCTGAATGAAAATTAGACTTTTGGAAAACTTTTATGAACCACCATAACCCGCACAGCTTCCCAATACTGAGAGACTTTTCCAATGAGATCAGTAATCATATTAACAAACGTGATTTCTAAAATAATATTATGTGCCAATATTTGGAAAATCCGCCTAACTCAGGGAGCCAATATTTTCCAGATGACCAATACATGGTGTTACAACATCATGCCTGAGCAAATGAGCTACTCAAAGGTCAAGACAGGCTAATGATTTTCAATGTAACAGTGTGAACAGCTCATTGATACAGTTTCAGACTCCACATTGCAACTAAACTTTAAAAAAAACTGTTGAGTTCTAGTTGAGTATCAGAGTATCCACAGTTATCAAAAAGGCTATTAAAATACTCCTCCCTTTTCCAAGTAGTATATATCTGTGTGAGGCAAAATTTTCCTCATACTCCCTCCAAAACAACATATCACAATAGACAAAACACAGAAGCAGATATGAAAATTCCAGGTCTTCTCTTTTTTTTTTTTATTTTTTGAGATGGAGTCTTGCTCTGTCACCCAGGCTGGAGTGCAGTGGCACGGTCTCGACTCACTGCAACCTCTGCCTCCTGGGTTCAAGCGATTCTCCTGCCTCAGCCTCCCGAGTAGCACAGGTGCCCGCCACCACGCCCAGCTAATTTTTTATATTTGTAGTAGAGATGCGGGGTTTCACCATGTTGGTCAGGCTGGTCTCGGACTCCTGACCTCATGATCCACCCACATCGGCCTCCCAAAGTGCCAGGATTACAGGCGTAAACCACCGCACCCGGCAATTCCAAGTCCTTTCTAATGAATCAGACATAACAGAGATTTACAAAAATATAAAACAACGCCATTCTTCTTATTTTTCTTTTGGAAAATGTAATTATTTCTCATAAAAATATGTTATTTCTTTTTTCTTATTTATTGTTGAGACGGTGTCTTGCTCTGTTGCCCAGTCTGGAGTGCAGTGACATGATCTCGGCTCACTGCAACCTCTGTCTGCCTCCTGGGTTCAAGCGATTCTCCCACCTCAGCCTCCCGAGTAGCTGGGACTACAGGCGTGCTGGGTAATTTTTGTATTTTTAGTAGAGATGGGGTTTCACCATGTTGGCCAGGCTTGTCTCAAACTCCTGACCTCGAGTGATCCTCCCACCTTAGCCTCCCAAAGTGTTGTGATTGCAGGCATTAGCCACCGCGCCCGGCCAAAATATGTTATTTCTATTAACACGTCATGGGTTTTCTTGTTATTTTAAGATAAATTTAAAATCTAAAAAAAAATTTCTTGGCCAGGAGTGATAGCACATGCCTGCAATCCCAGCACTTTGGGAGGCCAAGGCAGGCGGATTGCCTGAGCCCAGGAGTTTGAGACTAGCCTGGGCAACGTGGCAAAACCCTGTCTTTACAAAAAAATACAAAAATTAGTTGAGTGTAGTGGTGAATGCCTGTAGTCCCAGCTGCTCGGGAGACTGAGGTGGGAGGACTGCTTGAGCCCAGGAGGTAGAGGCTGCAGTGAGCCACGAGCACACCACTGCACTCCAGCCTGAGCGACACAGCAAGACTCTGTCTCAAAAAAAAAAAAAAAAAAAAAAAAAATCAGTTTTAATTTTTTTTTTTAGCTAAAGTCCTCTCACATCAAACTCAGTTTAAATTTCTAATACGGTCAATATTAATAAATATATAGCCTACATAAAAGAAAAGCTCTTTAGGGTCCTCATAATTTTGAAGAGCATGAAGGGGTCCCTGAGACCACGAAGTGTGAGAACTTGATGCACCCGGCTGTGAGCCCCCTGAGGCCAGGGCAGGTCAGCCTCATCCCGCCCAGTGCACCTGCAGACAGAGGAAGCACGCAGCCAACCTTTATTATGCTGCTCAGAGGAGCTTCAAGCAGGCTGGGATATACACGCCATTGGTAAGTGAAAAAGACTTGATTAAATGGCGCAAATGTTTGAATTCTAATAAACAGGACACAGAAGGCAAGGCAGTCATCGTTCCTTCCACAAATACCAAACACACATCTGCCACGGCCTGAAACAAGGTCCTGGGGCCACAGGAGCGAGGGAGATGGCTGCTCCCCATGAGCTATTTGGGAAGACAAAGACATTAAGTCGCTGAAATCCAAAGAAAACATGGAAAAATCATGTTCAAGAGTTCTCAGAAGCAGCAGAGGCTGATTTCTGGAGGACTTGGAGGACAGGGTGGAGAGAAGCCAAGTGGGCAAGGCCGCGGGGCCTCAAGGTGAATGAGGACAGAGCAGGCCAGGCCAAAGGGGACGTCTGGGGACCAGACTGCAGCGGGGGGCACAGGGTGAAGCACGGCCCACACGGCAAGAAGAGGGTCTGTGGTGGGGTGGGGCAGATGGCAGAACGGGCTCTGAGCCAGGTGGCAGGATGGGAGGCGGTGCCAGAGGCAAATCTCCTGCAGGGGCTGGCAGGGGGCTTGGGGCGCATGTGGGGGGGCAGACTGCAGGACACCAGCATGACATCGGCATGACACTGGCAGGGACATGGTGGAGAGGGGAGGCTACGGAGGCAGCCCCAGCGACGGAGCAAAGGGAGGGTCCAGAAAAGGAAGATAGGTGGGGCTGCGTATGTCACAGGTGGGTAACACGTGAGAAGTGCCCTGGCAGAGCAGAAGGGCTAGGAGAAGAGTAAGAAGGACCCCAAGGGTCAGGCCAAGCCTGCATCTGCCATCAGTTCCAGAAGCCACGTCAAGCTGAAGAGAGTAGGAGACGTAGAAAAATGGGGTTTCCTTCAACCAGCATGCGCTGTGCCAGGCACCAGAGCTGCAAAGATAAGATGGCACCCGAGACAGGTTTCCTATAACTGGGCCCAGCACACGGGGGCTGGGAGATAATAATGCCAAAGAGAAAAAGACAGTCGCGGGTTCATTACTGGCACACATTGGGTTTTAGGTGACACCGTTCTAAAAACCAACAGTTGCTATAGACAAGCTCTTTTAAATTCTATAGGATCCAATGGGTCACATGGACCCAGTCTCCAAAAAATGCACATCCATGCATGCACATAGACAAAAATGCATTTAATTTCAGGATGGCTCACAAATTCCCCGAAATCCATGGAAATGTCCTGGGGTTCGGGTACCAATTAAAAGCACAAGCAGTGGAACTGAACTTCTGCAGCAAAAGAAAGAACTGACAGAGTGAAAAGGCAATCTACAGGATGGAAGAAAATCCTTGCTAACCAGAGACCTGATAAGGGTTAATATCCAAAACATATCTAGAACTCCTCTAACTCAGCAACAAAAACCCCCAAAAGAAAGCCGATCTAGGCCAGATGCACTGTAATCCCAGCACTTTGGGAGGCCAAGGCGGGAGGGTGATCACCTGAGGTCAGGGGTTTGAGACCAGCCTAGACAATAGAGTGAAACCCTGCCTCTACCAAAAATACAAAAATTAGCTGGGTGTGGAGGTATGTGCCTGTAACTCCAGCTACTTGGGAGGCTGAGGTAGGATAATTTCTTGAACCCAGGAGGCAGAAGTTGCAGTGAGCCGAGACTGCGCCACTGCACTCCAGCCTGGGCAAAAGAATGAGACTCTGTCTCAAAAAAAAAAAAGAAAGAAAAAAAAGAAAAGAAAAAAGTAAATCAGTTTAAAAACGGGCTAAGGACTCAGACATTTCTCCAAAGAAGACAGACAAACAGCCAATAAGCACTTGAGAAGATGCTCAACATCACTAAGAATTAGGGAAAAGTAAATCAAAACTACAGTGAGACGTCACCTCATACAAATTAGGATGGCCACTAAAAACAAACTGAAAGCCCATAACATAACAGATGTTGGTGGGGACACAGAGAAACAGGAACCTTCATCGGGTGCGGTGGCTCACGCCTGTAATCCCAGCACTTTGGGAGGCCGAGGCGGGTGGATCACGAGGTCAGGAGATCCAGACCATCCTAGCCAACATGGTGAAACCCCGTCTCTACTAAAAATGCAAAAAAATTAGCCAGGCGTGGTGGCGGGCACTGGTAGTCCCAGCTACTCTGGAGGCTGAGGCAGGAAAAATGGCATGAACCCAGGAGGTGGAGCTTGCAGTGAGCCGAGATCGTGCCACTGCACTCCAGCCTGGGTGACAGAGCAAGACTCCATCAAAAAAAAAAAAGAGGAAGAAACAGGAACTTTCATGCACCCGTGGTGGGAATGTAAAACGGGATGGCCGCGGTGGCCAACAGTACAGAGGTTCCTCAAAAAGTTAAAAATAGAATCGTCATATGACCCAGCAAGCCCACTTCTGGGCATGGAGTTGACCCTTACACAGCACAGGATTGAACTGTGTGGGTCCGCTTATATGCCGATTTTTTTTCAACAAAAGTTATACTGAGTGTGCCTGCGTCTCCTGCCCCCCCCTTCTACCTCCTCCATCTCTTCTGCCTCTGCCACCTCTGAGACAGCAAGACCAACCCCTCCTCCTCTGCCTACACAATGTGAAGATGATGAGCATGAAGACCTTTATGATGATCCACTTCCACTTAATGAATGATAAATATATTTTCCTTATGATCTTCTTAATATTTTCTTTTCTCTAGCTTATTTTATTGTGAGAATACAGTATATAATACATATAAGATATGTGTTAATGGACTGTTTTTGTTACTGGTAAGGCTTCTGGTCAACAATAGGGCTAACAGTAGTTAAGTTTTAGGGGAGTCAAAAGTTACATGCAGATTTTCAACTGCACAGAGGTCAGATGGTGCCCCAACCCTTGTGTTGTTCAAGGGTCAATTGTATATCCAGAAGAATTCAAAACATGATCTCAAAGAGATATCTGCACACCCATATTCACTGCAGCACTATTCACAACAGGCAAGAGGTGAAAGCAATCCATATGTCCATCAACAGATGAATGGATAAAGAAAAGTTGAGCCAGGCGTGGTGGCTCACGCCTGTAATCCCAGCACTCTTGGAGGCCGAGGTGGGTAGATCACTTGAGGTCAGGAGTTCGAGACCAGCCTGGCCAACATGATGAAGCCCCGTCTGTACTAAAAATATAAAAATTAGCCAGATGTGGTGGCAGGTGCCTGTAATCCCAGCTACTCAGGAGACTGAGGCAGGAGAATCGCTTGAACCCAGGAGGCAGGGGTTGTTGTAAGCCAAGATTCCACTGCTGCACTCCAGCCTGGGCAACAGAGCAAGACTCCATCTCAGAAAAAAAAAAGAAAATTTGGTACAAATACACTTTCAGTATTAATCGGCCATAAAAAAAAAGGAAATTGTCATATGCTTCAACATGGATGAACCCTGAGGACTTTATGCTCAGGGCTATAAACAAGCCAATCCAATCACAGAAAGCCAATTACTGCATAATTCCACTTCTATGAGGTCCCGAGAGGAGTCAAGCTCTTAGAAACTGAAAGTGGAATGGTGGTTGCCCGGGCTGAGGGAGGGGAAAGGGGAGTAGAGCTTCAGTGGGTATGGAGTTTCAGTTTTGCAAAATGAAAAAGTTCTAGGGATCAGCTTCCCAAAAACGTGCATATGGTAATACTACTGTACTGCATACTTAAAAATGATTAATGTATTTTTTTTACCACAATTTCAAAAAACAAAACACAAGAAATATGCGTGGAAGGAGATGGCTGAGGTGTCTGGGCCTGCGGGGCATCGACAGCCAAGGAGGAAGGGCTCACCCTATGCCAGGCTGGGCCTGCAGATGAGCGCACCAGGGCCGAGGAATCCCGTCCCTCCAGCCGAGCCTGCTTTTCCACGGGGACTGGGAGATGACTCCTCCACAGGGAGGACCGCCGGCCCCCGGGGAGCAGCGCCCTGAGGAAGGCAGAGCATGTGGGTGTGTACAAGGGAATTCAAGGGCAAACCCCGCGACCTCGCCCCGTTGCGAAGTCCATGTCCACTGCCCTGTCTGGGGACGAGACCAGCGGCGCGGGGCCACTGCCGGAGCTGAGGCCAGGCGGTGTGGAGGGGCGGGCCAGGCTCTCCCGGGCGCGGCTCCTCAGTACCATAAATCACTCCTTGTTGGGGGCAGCCCCCTGAGATGGGGCGCTGACCTTCCACCCAGACTTCTGACTCTGAAGGCAGGGCCGGAAGGAAGGAAGGAAGGGCCCAGAACCGTCACCCAGAACCGTAATGTTGGCAACGGGGTCACAGACAGGACAGGCTGCCTGTCATCTTTAATGGCAGCAACTTCAAAGTACCTGAGCACCCTGGGAGGGAAGGAGCAGGAGGCCTGAGCCTGCGAAGCGGCCAGCGCCTTCCCGTCCACAGGAAGAGCTCTCGGGGAGTCCACAGCCCCGGCTTCTCTGTGTGCGGAGGGGCGGCCAGAGCGAGCAGCGGTCAGACACGCGGGCCGGCACGCAGGGGCCTGAATCGAGCGCAGGGCTGGGCGGGGGCCGCACTCACCGCGATGCACTGCCGCATGATGCAGCTCTGCTTCATGCGCCCGGGGCCCCCGAACTTCTTCATGTCCTTGCAGAAGTGGCACTCTCCGCACTCGGTCCGCAGGCAGGCCTCGCACTTGCGGCATCGCGTCCGGCGCCGCCGAGCTCCTGCCGTTGTCCGGTTGGCGGCCAACTTCACCGCGGAGGCCGGGCCCAGCTTCCCCTTGGGCCGACCCACAGCCCGGTTCTGCAGGGGAACAGACACGACTGGTCAGATGGGGAGACTGCAGGCACGGCCAGACCCCCGGAAAGGGTGTTAGGGAGCAAACTGTGTACCCCCAGAAAGACACGATGGGGGCTCTAAACCCCATTCCTCAGAGTGTGATCTTTATTTGGAGATGGGGGCTTTGCAGAGACCGTCAGGTTAAACGAGGTAATTCAGGTGAACGCTAATCCAGTATGACTGGTGTCCTTACGAAAGGGGAACTTTTGGACACAGAGACAGACACGCACGTAGAGAACGTGTGTGAAGACACAGGCCTTCCACAGACTGGAGCCCTGTCTACAAGCCAAGAAGTGCCAAGGATGGCAGCACATACCAGGAGCTGGAGGCGCGGGGAAGGACCCTCCCCTAGAGCCCGCAGAGCCAGCCCGGCCCGCCAGCCCACACCTTGACTTCAGACTCCTGGCCTCCAGAACCGGGAGAGAAGAAAGGCCGGTTGTTTTAAGCCACCCGTTATGGCAGCCCTAGGAGAGGACGACAGAGGGCGCGTGCTTCTTGCCGCAGCACACAGCTCGAGACCTTCCATGGCTGCACCCACAGGCTCGGACCCTGCCCACCTTTCCCACCTCCGTCTGCTCCCCAAGAAAGACCGCAAGGGGCCACACAATCGGTCTCTGTTCCCCCAGCCCGGAAGGCCAACCCCACCCCCGCCCAAGCCACTTGGCTGATGCCCACTCATTCCGTCTGGTCAGTTTACAGGCTGCTTTCTTCTGGAAGCCCCTACTGCCCACCTGCACTGGGTTCAGGGCCCCTCTGGGAGATCCTGTTAGAGCGCTCATGATGGTAATCATCTGTTCCTTCCCTTTGAGACGGGGCACAGGAGGGCACTCACCACAGGTGTCTTGTGCACCACTGCACCTCTCTACGAGCCAGCCTGGCATGCAGAATGCACTCAACAAACCAGAGCCACCCCAGGGAGGATGGGATAGTAACCTTTAGGTCCCTGACTACTCAGATCTTCCCTAGATGGGCTCCAAATGCTCCCTTCCCTGGGACTCACAGAAGAGAGAGACAGTAGGTGGACAGAGAGCTGGGCTAGTAGCTAAGCCAGGAAAATGGGACAGCCACAGCCCCTGCCCTCTGGTTCCCAGCCCCAGAGCCTCCTGCAGACCCATGATCTACGGGGGAGCCCTAAGCTAGCTGCTGAGGACACTGTCCACAGAGGTCCCCTGTCCACCTGGGACCTGTAGTGGGAGGGACCAGGATGGGAGAGCTTTTCTTGTCTGTGGCATCTTTCTGGAGAGCCTGGGGTGGCTGAGAAATGGTGAAGTCCCTGTCAGGGAGACACGTGGTCACCCTGGAAACCAGCTGACCTAACGGCATCTAACGCCTAAAGCCCCTTTTCAGCTAACTGAACACCCTTTGGTCCAGAGTCCCACCCTCTTCATTTCAGTGACTTGTCATACTTGAATCCCCAAACAAAACCCCATACTTTTGGGAGCACACAGACCCAGAAGAGCTGTTACTATTCATACACTCCAATGGAGAAGAAGGTCCACATCACAGGGACCCCCTCTCACAACACACACAACTCCCTGCACCCTAGGGGCTTCCTAGAAACTTCCAACTGCATAGGAAGAAAAACAGCCCCCCTTTCTCCTCAAATACAGCCTCGCCACCATCAACTTTCTTCTCCAGTGCAGTGGTCCCTGTAGAAAGCCCGCAGCCTCACGTGCCACCCACTTTGCTGTCAACACCTAAGCAGACCCCTCCCTCCGATTCACCTTCCCACAGCATTCAAGGAGCTTCCAGGCCCCCATCAGCCCGAGTGGCCCCTCAGGAAGCACTGGAGCTCTGGGCCTCTACCCTGCTCAACCTGCTGTGAACCCCAAAGAGGAAAGGGAGGTGCTCCCCGGCTCTACCACCCTCATCTCCCACTGGTCTTCCCCAGCTGCTCAGGACCCTCAGTCATGCCTGCCCTCTGCTCTGGGGCAGCCCAGCAGAAGGCCTTGTCACAGGGAGGGCAAGCCCTGGACTGCAGGGCCACCCACAGGCAAGCTGGCCACCACCAGTCACCTGGGTAAAGGGACCATCCAAAGCAGCAAAGGGCGCCAGGAACGGTGGCTCACGCCTATAAGCCCAGCATGCTGGGGTCTGAGGTGGGAGGATCACTTGAGGTCAGGAGTTCAACATCAGCCTGGGCAACATAGTGAGACCTACAAAAAATTTTTAAAATTAGCCAGGTGTAGTGGTGTGCACCTGCAGACCCAGCTACTCAGGAGGCTGAGGTGGGAGGATTGCTTGAGCCCAGGAATTTGAGGTGGCAGTGAGCTGTGATCATCCACTGTACTCCAGCCTAGGAGACAGAGCAAGACCCTGTCTCAAAAAACAAAAAAGGAAGAAATCCATCCTTACAATGAGGGCCGGATGCCCCCAACATACTCGCATAGTCCCACTGCGATTAGCACCTTTCGGGGGCCAAGTCCACCACACACTACACACATCCATCCGAGTCACGTCTGGCTGCCCACGTGAGAAGTAAAACGAGATCAGTTTTCAGAGCTTCCTGGATTTGAGAATGGCACAGAGCAGACTGTGAACCTGAAGCTGAGCAGCCAACAGAGCAGCCAAGGCCAGGCAGGCAGCGCTAAGGACCGAGATGACGGCCATGCCGCGTGAGGGCAGGGATTCCCTGAGCACCCCCATCTGCGGGCACCGTGGCCATCACTTTACTGATGATATTACCTAACTTTCCCAATAACAGCACTGCAGAGGATGCCTTCCTGAAGCCAGTAATTTGCCTGTGGTCATGGAACCAGCATGATGCGTGGACTCCGGTGCTGTGCACTGAACACACTAAACCACAGCAAATGCATGTGCGAAGTGCAGCGAGGGGCCCACAGACCCACTGGGATGGCCACATGCTCCTGGAAGGGCTTCCCAGCTAGTGCCACGATGCCTCAGTGCGAAGGGTGCCAACAAGAGGTGCAGAGAAGCACGGCTACTTCCAGAGAAGCGGAAATCCAAAAACGTTTCTCCCTGTCATCACAGCCTACAATAGCACTTTCTGATTCTACCCCTCCAAACGACAGGTGCCCTGTTACCAGCTCACTCTTCAAATACCTGGAACACAGGCAATGCTATGGGCGGCGTCTAAGGCCTCCAGTCAGGTGTGAAGTGGCCAGCGTGTGGGCCACCTCCCAGGACAAAACCAGATCCCCGGAGCTGGAGAGTCTAAAGACGAGCTTCTCTGGTAAAAAACTGAAAAAATTCCAGGAGTTCAAAGGAACGCCAGGTATCAATAGCCACTGAGTGCCTCTGGCCTCCCTGCCCCGAGGACAGTGTCTGGGCAAGTAAAAACGTTGGGCCAATCCAGTCTGAGTCTCGAAGCTCCTATGTCACTGCAAAACAAGCCCATTTGCCTGCACCAACCAAAGCACCTTCTCATCCAGCCTATGGAAAACAACCTGCCTGGACCTCAACAGCAGTTGAGACATCTGGGAAAATCACAGAGCACATACCAGACAACATCCTGAAAGAAGAGGTGTGAGAAGCTGCAGTCTCTCGAGACCTTGATGAGGCCCTGTCTAGCCGCTGCCAAATCAGGCCAGGAAGGTTTCTGCTGCCGGCAGTGGCCCCCGCCTGGCTCATCAAGAGTTGGTTCAACAACAGAGCAACGCAGGATCCTAATGAAGCCCACTGAAAAACCCACAGGTAAGACAGACCTCGGAGGCCTCCATTAAAAAGTCCAACTGGGACTCTGAAGACCCAACCAGGAAACGTGATGGCAGAATACAGAAAACAGTGACACAAAAAGGGACAAATGGAATAAAAAGGAAGGTGAGTCTGCCAGAGCTCTCTCCTTTCAGCACACAGCTTTCTCTGTCCTGATATCTTTTGGGTGCTACCCAAAGTTTCAAACGCCAATTCTTTTCTTTTCTTTTCTTTTCTTTTTTTTTGAGATAGAGTCTCACTGTGTCACCCAGGCCGGAGTGCAGTGGCGTCATCTTGGCTCACTATAACCTCTGGCTCCCGGGTTCAAGCAATTCTTGTGCTTCAGCCTCCCGAATAGCTGGAATTACAGGTGTGCGCCACCAAGCCCAGCTAAGTTTTATATTTTTAGTAGAGATAGCATTTCGTCATGTTGGCCAGGCTGGTCTCAAACTCCCGGCCTCAAGTGATTTGCCCGCCTCAGCCTCCTGAAGTGCTGGGGTTACAGGCATGAGTCACTGTGCCTGGCCTCAAACACCAATTCTAACTTCCACTCTGTCCTACCCCTGTCCCAGCAAAGGAAGTGACGGCATCCCCAGACATTCATTTACGAACCAGCATCCCCAACACCAAGGCGACTTGTTGATTTTATCAGCCCAGGAACCATATCCTCAGCCCACTATGAAAGGTTAGGAAGATCGGAAACATACACACA
Organism: Homo sapiens; assembly: GCF_000001405.40. Lineage (NCBI taxonomy): Eukaryota > Metazoa > Chordata > Mammalia > Primates > Hominidae > Homo > Homo sapiens. The sequence continues at coordinate 121,457,747 of NC_000012.12, forward strand.
CACACACACACACACACACACACACACACAAATATCTTGGTATTCCTACACCTCTTCTCCATCAGCAACTCAAGAGCATTGTCCTTTAAGTGAATGCTATCAAGGTTTATTCATTCATCCCACCAATATTTGAGTTCCTCTGGTCTACCAGATATTATCCACCAGAAAATGCATGGACAGAACCTCCTCAATCCCTCAGCTCTAAATTATAGGGATTAAAATTACTTAGATTAACCTAAATTAAAGGAAAGACATCCGTGTTCATGAATTGGAAGATTTAATATTGTTAAGATCGGTTATACTCCCCAAAGTGATCAACAGACTCAACGCGACCCCAAGCAAAATCCCAACTGGGGCTGGGCACAGTGGCTCACCCCTATAATCTCAGCACTTTGGGAGGCCAAGATAGGCAGATCGCTTGAGCTCAGGAGTTCAAGACCAGCCTGGCCAACAAAGCAAGATTCCAAAAAAATAAAAAGACTAGCTGAGTGTGCTGTCACACACCTGTAGTCCGAGCTACTCAGGAGGCTGAAGCTGGAGAATCACTTGAGCACAGGAAGCAGAGGTTGCACTGAGCTGAGATCAAGCCACTGCATCCAACCTGGACGACAGAATAAAACCTTGTCTCAAAAACAAAACAAGAATTAAAAAAATAAAAACAAAACAAAAACTCAACTGACTTTTCTGCAGAAATGGACACACTATCCTAAAATTCATGAAAATGCAAAAGACCTGGAATGGCCAAAACAATCTTAAAAAAATAGGGGGATGGGGGGTGGGGGCGGTGACTCACGCCTATAATCCCAGCACTTTGGGAGGCTGAGGCAGGTGGATCCCTTGAGGTCACAAGTTCAAGACCAGCCTGTCCAACATGGTGAAACCCCATCCCTACTAAAAATACAAAATTAGCCAGGCATGGTGGCACGTGCCTGTAATCCCAGCTACTTGGGAGGCTGAGGCAGGAGAATCACTTGAACCCAGTGGGTGGAGGTTACAGTGAGCCAAGATCATGACATTGCACTCCAGCCTGGGCAACAAGAGTGAAACTCCATCTAAAAAGGCTGGGCAAGGTGGCTCACTCCTGTAATCCCAGCACTTTGGGAGGCCAAGGTGGGCAGATCACAAGATCAACAGATTGAGACCATCCTGCTCAACCTGGTGAAACCCTGTCTCTACTAAAAATACAAAAATTAGCTGGTCATGGTGGCACACACCTGTAGTCCCAGCTACTCAGGAGGCTGAGGCAGGAGATTCACTTGAACCCGGGAGGCAGAGGTTGTAGTGAGCCAAGATCACACCACTGCACTCCAGCCTGGCAACAGAGCGAGACTCTGCCTCAAAAAAAAAAAAAAAAAAGACACACACTTTCTGATTTCAAAACTCACTACAAAGCTACAATAAACAAGGCTGTGATGGTAGTGGCATAAAGACAGACCTATAGATCAATGAAACAGAATTGAGAGTCCAGAAATAAAGTCATATTTTGACCAAATGATTTTTAATAAGGATGCCAAGGCAATTCAGTTGGGTAAAGAATGGTCTTTTCAACGTATGGTGCTGGGACGAATAGCTATCCACAAGCAAAAGAACAAAGATAGACCCCTACCTCACACCACATATACAAATTAACTCAAAAATGGATCAAAGACCTAAACACACAGCTAAAATTATAAACCTCTTAGAAGAAAACACAAGTGTAAATCTTTATGACTTTGAATTAGGCAAGGGTTTCTCTGATATGACACCAAAAGCACAGGTGTCAAAAAAAAGATAAATTCGACTTCATCAAAATTAAAAACTTTTGCTGGGCATGGTGGCTCACGCCTGTGATCCCAGCAGTTTGGGAGGCCAAGGCGGGAGGATCACCTGAGGTTGGGAGTTGGAGACCAGCCTCACAAGCATGGAGAAACCCCATCTCTACTAAAAATACAAAATTAGCCAGGTGTGGTTGCACATGCCTGTAATCCCAGCTACTCAGGAGGCTGAGGCAAGAGAATCGCTTGAACCCAGGAGGCAGAGGTTGCAGTGAGCCAAGATCACACCATTGCACTCCAGCCTGGGCAACAAGAGTGAAACTCCATCTCAGAAAAAAAAAAAAAAACTTTGGTGCTTTAAAGGGCACTATCATGTGCAAAGGCCCACAGAATGGGAGAAAATATTTGTAAATCATGTATCTAGCAAGCAGTTAGTACTTAGAATATACAAAGAACTCCGACAACTCAATAATAAAGAGATGAATAGGTAATTTTTAAATGGGCAAAGGATTTAAATAGCTATTTCTCCAAAAAAGATCTACAAATGGCCAGTAAGCACATGAAAAGATGCTTAACATCACTAACTAATAAAGTATGTAATTTGCACTGGAGACTCATTCATTAACCCCCTAATTCACAAATCCACCAACCCAAGTGTTTCCTGGCTGTGAATTATGTATCTGATTTGATGCTAAGTGCTAGAACTACAGAAATGAGTAAAATGTGTCCCCTAGTCTGAAAGGCATTACACTCTGGAAAAAGAAAGACATGCAACCACATAAATGCAATGCAACATCATTATGATGACATTAAAAACTAACATCTAGGTTGAGGCAGGAGAATCACTTAAACCAGGAGGTGGAGGTTCCAGTAAGCCAAGATCGTGCCCCTGCACTCCAGTGGCAGAGCTGTTTTTGAGACAGGGTCTCGCTCTGTCACCCAGGCTGGAGTGCAGTGGCGTGATCTCAGCTAACCGCAGCCTCGACTTCCCAGGGCTCAGGTGATCCTCCCACGTCAGCCTCCTTAGTAGCCGAGATACAGGCATGTGCCACCACACCAGCTAATTTTTATTTTCTTTTTCTTTTTTTTGAGCGACGGAGTCCCACTATGTCACACAGGCTGGTCTCGATCTTCTGGGTTCAAGTGACCCGACCGACTTGGCCTCCCAAAGTGCTAGGATTACAGGTGTGAGCCATCGAACCTGGCCAAAAGGTAACACTTACTTAAGTGCTAGTCATTCATCAATATCTGTATCAACAATCTTTTTTGTTTTTCTGGTAGGGATGGGGTCTTGCTATGTAACCCAGGCTGGTCTTGGACTCCTAGCCTCAAGCAATCCTACCACCTCAGGCTCCCAAAGCTTTAGGATTACCGGCGTGAACCACCACACTCTGTATCAATAATCTATGAGGAAGGAATTACTATTATCTCCATCTACAAGTGAGGAAACTGAGACATGGCACAGTTAAGTCATCCGCCCGATGTCATACTATCAATGAATGAGAAAGCTGAGATACAGACCCAGGCAGTGGCTCTAAAGCCTGGACCCTGGCATGCTAACCCAGAAGAGATGCCTCATATCATGGATAAGGGAGGCTGGAAAAAGCGCCCCAGAACATAGGAGGTGGTGACTAAGGTGGGTCTTAGAGGGAGAACAGGACCCTGCGTGCCAGGGGTGGGAGTGGGGTTACGAAGTGGATATTCTAGGCAGAAGGAAGAACAAGAGAGAGATGTGAAACTGCGTGACACATTCAAGGAACTGCAAATAGCTCGACACAGCTGCTGGAAAACAGCTCTGAAGTGGCTGGAGCCTCATCCTGCAGGGCCTCATCTACCACAGTAGGGAACTGGACCCATCACAGTAAGTTAAAGGCTTCACAACATGACTGTATTCTGGCAACAGTGAGGGGAGTGGATATTTTTGGGGCAGTGGGCAAGACAAAAGACAGGGAGATCAGCTGAAGATGATGAAGGCAGGAGCAGAAGGAATGGAAGGAATGAAGAGGAGGGGATGATTCAGGAGATGCTCTAGAAGCAGACCCAGTTTTAGAAGACCCGGTGATTGGCTGAACATGGGGTATGCAAGCAGACTTCTGGAGGACTTTGAGGTTTCCGACTTGAGCAACAGAAGAACAAGGGGGCTCGGGAGAGGGGAAGAAACAAGGACTGCTGTGGGCATGCGGAATCCAAGGGGCCCATGGGACAGCCAAGGAAGGTGTTGCCCAGCAAGCAGGTGGAACCAGAGCTAAGGTACACACCTGGGAACCGACACTGCATAGGTGCTCAAACTAGTTAAGTCCGTGAGGATGTCCAGGGGGAATGGAAGAGTGAAAAGAGAACTCCAACAGTCCCTTCAAGACTGAAAACATTCAACCGGCAGGTGAGGAAAACCAACCTGCTGAGAAATGGCCAGAAAGGCCAGACAAGCAGTAGGAGGCTGTGGCATCACAAGAGCCAGGCAAGTTTCAAGAAGGGAGCAGTTACAAGTTTCAACTGTCAAGAGAAGTGAGAAAAACAGTAAAATGTAGCTATATGTTTTTACAATTAAGACAGTCCCAAGTTTTCTGCCAAAGTACTCCAAATAACATTACACGGACAGCCCCACAAGGGAAGGCCACAGGCCCCCCGATTTCTTTGTGCATGCTAATGTTGTACTGTATCGCACGACACAGCTGTATTTATCTCAGTATTATTCCTGTCCTCAAATCTGCAAGCATAATGGACAGCCCAGGAAAAGCTGGATTTTACCAGAGTGTTGCAGGCCCCTTAACACACGCCTGTAGACTCCAGGCTCTGGGTTTTTTAATATAGAGAGAGTAAGGAGCAAGAGACTAAAAACACAAGAACTACCAGAAAGCCCAGGGGATGGGAGGACCTCTGAAGAATCTGAGGAAAGCTAAAGACCTCTTCCTCCAAAAATGTATATAGGCACAAAGTAACAAAACTTTTGCATACATTTTCAAGAAGGATCAGAGGCCCCTGTCTTAAAATTTCACTTTTTTTTTTTTTTTGAGACGGAGTCTCGTACTGTTGCCTGGGCTAGAGTGCAGTGGCACAATCTCAGCTCACTGCAACCTCTGCCTCCCAGGTTCAAGCGATTCTCTTACCTCAGCCTCCCTAGTAGCTGGGATTACAGGCATCTGCCCCATGCCCAGCTAATTTTTTGTATTTTTAGTAGAGACGGGGTTTCACCATGTTGGCCAGGCTGGTCTCAAACTCCTGACCTTGTGATTCGCCCGTCTCAGCCTCCCAAAGTGTTGGGATTTCAGGCGTGAGCCACCGCGCCCGGCTGGCAAAATTTCACTGTTTAAGAAGCTATAGGCCAGGTGTGGTAGCTCACACCTGTAATGCCAGCACTTTGGGAGGCTGAGGCAGCAGATCGTTTGAGCCCAGGAGTTCGAGCCCAGCCTGGGCAACACAGCAAAATTGCATCTCTACAAAAAACACAAAAATTAGCCAGGTGTGATGGCACCTCTGCACTCCAGCCTGTGCAACAAAGTGAGACCCTGCCTCAGCAAAAAAAAAAAAAAAAGAGGCCAGGCGTGGTGGCTCACGCCTATAATCCCAGCACTTTGGGAGGCCAAGGCGGGTGGATCACAAGGTCAGGAGTTCGAGACCAGCCTGACCAACATGGTGAAACCCCGTCTCTACTAAAAATACAAAAATTAGCCAGCCATGGTGGCGCACACCTGTAGTCCTAGCCACTCAGGAGGCTGAGGCAGGAAAAATCGCTTGAACCCAGGAAGCAGAGATTGCAGTGAGCTGAGATCGCGTCACTGCACTCCAGCCTGGACAACAGAGCGAGACTCCGTCTCAAAAAAAAAAAAAGCACTAAGACAAATACCTAATGCATGTGGGGCTTAAAACCTAGATGATGGGTTGATAGGTACAGCAAACCACCATGCCACATGTATACCTATATAACAAGCCTGCACGTTCTGCACATGTATCCGAGAACTTAAAGTAAAATAAAATAGCTATAATTGGTAACAATGGTTCTATGACCACATAAATTTCTGAGAGATTTTCTTCTCCATAATTTCCTGATTTTTTCAACAAGCTGTAGCCATTTTTATTTTTATTTAAAAAAATTTTTTTGAGAAAGGGTCTTACTCTGTCACCCAAGCTGGAATGCAATGGGGCCATCACTACTCACTGCAGCTTCGAACTCCTGCGCTCAAGCAATTCTCCCACCTCAGCCTCCGAGTAGCTGGGACTACAGGTGCATGACACCATACCTGGCTAATTTTTGTACTTTTTTGTAGATGGGATTTCACCATGTTGCCCAGGCTGGTCCCAAACACCCGAGCTCAAGCCATCCACCTGCCTCAGCCTCCCATAAGTGCTGGGATAACCGGCATGAGCCACTGTACCCAGCCTGTAGTCATTTTTATAGAAAAAATAATAGAAGCTGTTTTCACATCAAGAGAAAAAAAAAAACTGGCCAGGCGCAGTGGCTCATGCCTGTAATCCCAACACTTTGGAAAGCCAAGACAGGAGGATCATTGAGGCCAGAAGTTCAAGACCAGCCTGGGCAACATATCAAGACCCCATCTCTATATAAATAAAAAATAAAAAAATTAGTAGCTGAGTGTGGTGATGCGTGCCTGTAGTCCTGGCTACTCAGGAGGCTGAGGCAGGAGGATCGCTTGAGCCCAGGAGTTCAAGACTGCAATGAGTTATAATCATATCACTGTACTCCAGCCTGCGTGACAGAGCAGGACCCTGACTCAAAACAAAAAACAAGATGGAACAAGAATTCTTCTAAAAGCCCTCCTTTAGGAGACACCTCTTCAACTTGGAAAGCAAGCTGAAGAATTTTCTGACACATTTTGTACTAGAGAAGCAAATGAAGTCTGTGGGAGAAGTTCCCGCCAAGGGTGCACACCGGCAAAGAGCACACAAGGGGTCTCCCGCCAACATGGCTCGCTCACCGCGGGCCCATCCCCTGTCTCCTGTCCCACAGGCTGTGACACTTGGGGAAACCCAGGCTGCTGAGGGAAGGCATGGGGCAGACAGGCCAGCGCAGCACGACAGGTCTCAGGTGGGGATGAGAAGTACACAGGCTCGGAAGGTGGAGCAGCCAAAACTCTGATGGGGTGGGCGTGAGGGCTACACCAACTACAGAGATGGACGGGGCAGCAGCAGCCTCCCACCAGGGCCTCCCTCCGACGGGTCCTTTCATCCAGCAGGTGGGCAAGTCTACTTGTTCATCCACACTCCAGGACTTGGCAACCTCTCCTCATGAAGGATCTTCTCCTTTGGTGCCAAACCCATTCAGCAGGGTGGGACAGAGGTACAGAGAAACTTCGAGAAGAGCTGGGTCTGGAGCCTGCAAGCTGGAGACTCCAGAGACCCTCGCTGTGCTTTGGAAGATGCAAATGCTTTCGAGGTCCTCAGAGGAAGCCACTCTTCTCAGGCTCAGGCTGAGAAAACTGTTGAGGAAAGCATGCAGGGAGGCAAGGAGAGTGTCCCCCAACTACGGGGTACCTTAGCTGACAAACACCTTCTCTGTTGGGACTACGAGACAAGCCTGCCCCCCACTGCCCTGGCTTAGATGTCGTCTCCCTCAGTGCACTGAGTGGGAAAAAAAAATCATCTTAAAGTTAACAATACAACCTCAAGTCGTTGCTAAGGACTCCACAAGTGCCACAATCGGCTTGACCAATGTGAGAAGGAGGAAGAAAAAATTTGGCTACAGTGAATACAGGTTTGTTTGTTTTTGTTTTTGTTTTTGTTTTTTTGAGACAGAGTCTCACTCTCGTCGCTCAGGCTGGAGTGCAGTGGCACGATCTCGGCTCATTGCAACCGCAACCTCCGCCTCCTGGGTTCAAGCGATTCTCCTGCCTCAGCCTCCTGATTAGCTGGGATTAAAGGCACCGGCCACCACGCCGGGCTCACTTTTGTATTTTTAGTAGAGACAGGGTTTCACCATGTTGGCCAGGCTGGTCTCGAACTCCTGAGCTCAAGTGATCCACCCGCGTTGGCCTCCCAAAGTGCTGGGATTACAGGTGTGAGCCACCGCGCACGGCCTACAGGTCCTCTCTTAACAGAAGTTTCTCTCAGGAGTGGCAGGACCCGAAAACATGTTTTTAAGCCCAGAGACACAATAAGTCTTGCAGTGTCAAAGATTGTATCTACAGGCCATAGGGTATGACCAAATTTAAAAAACAAACAAAAATCAGCTAACAGGAACCCCAATCCTGAAACACCAAAGCTCAGTGGAGACATCAAAGCCCAGCTGACACAGAATACTGACATCCTACGAATGAATGACCAAATGCCCCAGAAATGGCAAACTGTCGCAGGATTAAGTAGACTCCAAACTGAAATGAAAATGTTCAAAGCAGGAATTGAAGTGTGATCTATGGAACAAGACTTTGAGAGCCATTCACACGTAGGGCTACTGACTTAATAAAAGTTCAAGCCAAAAGCACTTGAATCGTCCCTGGGTTAATCCAATCCGAAAGAGCCGTGAGATTCCTAACACCTCAAAACGCACACGTGCCTGAAAATTCTCCAACAAAGCTGAGAAAATAAAAATCAACTGCCTGTTAGGTAAAACCACTTAATACTACGTATAATACGATTTAAGCGCAGCCTATAGAGCACTTCCTCAATTGCACCTAATGATGAAAAAAAAAAAAAGTTACCACATTTTGGCTGGGTCATTCCACAACACCTTTATCCCACCAGGATTATAAATAAGCGTTTTATGCACCCAAGTCCGTCCAATGCCACATGCTAACTCAATCCATCCCATTCTTAATTCCTCGGACAGGTCTACCTGGCCTGCGTCCTGTTCCAAGTATTATTTTGCAGATTATACTTCGTAAAACCTCAACTTTTTTCGCCTTCTTCCTAAACACGAACCTTCCCGGAGTAAATTCACGCCGTAAACACACCCAGGGCTTTGTTTTACACACAGATTTCTCCCCCTGGTCCCGAGAGAGGTTGCTTTTCCTTCTGAATCCACCGAGGCCAACTCCTGCCATCTGGGGTCGCGGCTTCCTCCGCCGCCGCCGCCGCTGCCGCCGTGCGGATTCGCCCGGGTTCCGGGTGGCCCGCGCCGGCCCGCGGCTCGCACCCCTTCCTGTCTCCGTCTGCCCACGGCGGGCGGCGGGCGCGCGGCGCCCAGACAAAAGCTCGGGCCGTCGGGCCCACGGGCCCCGGGAGCGCTCCAGCCCCGAAGCCGAGGGTCCTGGCACAACTTTGCGAACGCAGAGGCAGGAGGTGCCGGCGCCCGCGGGGTCCGGGTGCTCCCGGGGCAGCCGGCACGCGCGTGGGCCGCGGGCGAGGGCGCCGGGGGAGGGCGCGGCGCGCCCCGCGGCCGCCGGCAACTTGCCCCGGGCCGTGGCCGGCGCCCGGCAGGCCCGCCCGACGGCGAGGCCCGGCGGCCCACATTGTCCCCGCGGTGCCCGATGGCCCCCAGTGCGCTCGCTCGGCCGCACACGCCCCCTGCCCGGGCCGGCTGCGGGCCTGCCGCGCTCCTCTACGCCCCGCTCGGGCCCGGCCCCGGCCGCCCCGCCGGCAGCGGCAGCAAAACTTTCTCCTCATCGCGGCGGCGGCGGCGTCGCGGCCGCCCTCGGCGCGTCAGACAGGCGGTCGGGAGGTCGTGCGGCGGGTCCCTCCCTCAGCCCCACCCCGGGCCGCCGACCTGGTCCGGCTCCGATTCATAGTCGTCGTCCTCGGCGCTCACGGACATGGCCATGGCTCATGGTGGGCCCAGGCTCGCGCGCGCTGACATGGCTGGAGCGGCGCCGCCGCCGCCGCCCGCCCGGAGCAGGCTCGGCTCGCCCTGGCTCGGGCTCGGGCTCGGGCTCGGGCTCCCGCTGCCGCGAGGAGGGAGCCGCGCCGCGCGCCTCGCACGCCCGCGCTGGAGGGGGCGGGGAGGGGCCGGCGGGGGAGGGCCGGGGCGCCATGCATATGCATGAGGCGAGCCAGGAAGGGGCTGGCCCCCCGGGCGGGCGGGCCAATGGCGCGGCCGCGGCGCTGGGGCCGCACACAAAGGGAGCCCGGCCTGCGGTGACACGGGGGCGGGCCGCCGAGGGCGGTCCCTCGCGGCCGGAGCGCGGGGACTGGGGCTGCGTGGGGGCGTGCCCCGCGCCCCGCCCGGCCCGGCCTGGCCCGCGCGCCGCGGGATGCACATGGGTGGCTGCACGCCGCCACCGCTGCAACAGGAAATGCGCGCCCGGCCTGGGGTGGGGTCCTTTGTGTGGTCCCGTGGGGCGTCTCGCGGAAGCCCGGGGGCGCCCGGGCCGTGGGGGACGACTCTGCACCCGACGCCAGGAGCGGGTCCCCAGGTCCCTTGCAGCAGGCACACGGGCTGCCGGGTTTGCACTCGCTGCAGGACCAGGACCTGAAGCGCACGAACCCGGGAACCCCCGACCCAGAGCCTGCAGGACCGCTGGCCTGGATAAGCTCTGAGAGCCCAGTCTCCCCCGACGCGGGCGGTTGGGCTGGGCCGGCCTCCTGGCGCTGCACCTCCGGCACTCGGGTTCGCCTTTGCAGGGTCAAGTAGTGCAGGCGGGAGTTCCACTCGAGTCGCCTGACGGGGGCTGTCAGAACGCCCTGACTCTACCCTGAGGTGGGCGCCCCCTCCCTTGGACAGGTACCGCCTTCTGAGTTGACCTCCGAAAGGTGGAGGACGTCGCAGGCCAGAACCCAGCTCTCCTAGGAGACTGGCTGCCCCTTAGGCTGGCTGGGGAGGTGTGGGTTTCTGAATTCTTAAGCTGCAAAGGTTCCTAGTGCTCACTCCAGCTGCAGCCCACTCCTGAAGAAAAGTGTTGCTAGAAATCCAGATAGATCTTCATTCATTCAAAAAAAAAGTCTATCGGGCACTTAAGCCAGCAGCCTCTCTGAAAGAGCTCATGACCATGAGCTAGAACGACCAAAGCTGTTATAAGCATCAAAACCAAAGCTAAACACAAGCTAAGGAGGACTTGGCATACATATCATCCACCTGTCCAAGGTAACACTAAATATGCACACCTGTACCTGTTCAGTTTCTCCATCTATACAAGGGGAAGGATTTACCAAGGGATGGATAACCTTCTGTAAAAAGATCAGAGGCTTTCCCAAGAATAAGCCATGAAATCAGGTGATCAGCTCTGCAATGGCCATCTGTTAGTCACGTCCAGGCCACTGGCCACGAAATCCAGTGAGAACAGAAGGGATGGGCAGGCTGGTCCTGGCCTGGCCTTTCAAAGAAGGCAGGCTGTGTGCCGGAGACCTTGTAAACAAAACTCAGGAGGCTTCTAGCAGAGTCGGCAAAAGTGAATAAGCAGGGATGTCAGTTTTACTGAGTGGATTTTAAAGTCTGAAATTTACACACCCACTATAGAAAAAATCCCAGTCGACTTGCTCTTTGCCGAAACGTATCTGTTCTGAGTTTCCTTCCTTACTCTCCTTTTTTTGAGACAGACTCTCACTCTGTCGCCCAGGCTGGAGTGCAGTGGATCTCGGCTCACTGCAACCTCCACCTCCTGGGTTCAATCGATTCGTGTGCCTCAGCCTCCAGAGTAGCTGGGATTACAGGTGGGCGCTACCACGCCCAGCTAATTTTTGTATTTTTAGTAAAGAGGGGGGTCTCACCATGTTGGCCAGGCTGGTCTGGAGCTCCTAGCCTCAAGTGATCCACCCACCTCAGCCTCCCAAAGTGCTGGGATTACAGGCATGAGCCACCATGCCCGGCCATCACTCCCCTCTTATTTTTCAGAATCTTCTCAAAGTTGCAACAGAAACAACAAGCAAAAGAATACACCCTAACCCCCCCACCCCACCCCACATCACTCCATTCCCAAAGGTCTCAGCTTTTTAAAAGCTACCTTGATGGCTGGGCGCGGTGGCTCACGCCTGTAATCCCAGCACTTTTGGGAGGCTGAGGAGGGTGAATCACCTGAGGTCAAGAATTCAAGACCAGCCTGGCCAACATGGTGAAACCCAGTGTCTACTAAAAATACAAAAATTAGCTCGGTGTGGTGGTGCGCACCTGTAATCCCAGCTACGTGGGGGTGCTGAGGCAGGAGAATCACTTAAACCTGGGAGGCAGAGGTTGCAGTGGGCCAAGATTGTGCCACTGCACTCCAGCCTGGGCGACAGAGCGAGACTCCATCTCAAAAAAAAAAAAAAAGGCTACCTTGTTGTCTGAAGTTTGTATCTGACCTCTTGCTGGCCACTCTACTCAGTAGGAGCCTCTAAAGAAAGAGGAGGGGCTCATAACATGCCAATCATGCTTCCACTTCATTGTGATTGGTCAAGCCTACAGGGGTATAGAGTCACCCAAATAACATAATACATCAAGAGAAATGTCTAGGCCAGGCACGGTGGCTCACACCTGTAATCCCAGCACTTTGGGAGACTGAGGAGGGTGGATTGCTTGAGGTTAGGAGTTCAAGACTAGCCTGGCCAACAGAGTGAAGCCCCGTCTCTACTAAAAATACAAAAATTAACAGGTCATGGTAGCACACACCTGTGATCCCAGCTGCTCAGGAGGCTGAGGCACAAGAATCACTTGAACCCAGCAGGCAGAGGTTGCAGTGGGCGGAGATCGTGCCACTGCCCTCCAGCCTGGGCAACAGAGTGATATTCTGTCTCAAAAAAAAAAAAAAAGGAGAGAGAGAGAGATGTCTGTAAGCAGGAATTCTTCTCAAAGGTTTTTCCCATTACCAATCAGGAGCAAAAGAATTATCTTGAGGTTGATTTCCTTTGAGGACTCTCAAAAGCTCACTTCTGAATTTAAGGAAGTAAAAAAACACAATTCTCAACTATCATGGCTCAAAGAGCGGAAAGGAAAAGTGCGGACAAACAAAAAAGTTGCCGCTAACACAAACTCCCTTCCTCCCTTTATATCATTTCAGAGATAGAAGGGGGTCTCTCCTGACCCCTTCACTTCACAGGTGAGGAAATGAAGGCCCAAAGAAAATTAGGGAGTGGCTTTCAAGACCAGAGTCTCTTATATAATACCATCCAGAGAAAGACCTCCCTCCAAGGGCCCAGGCAATAACAGCAGCTTTAAGCATGTTCAAAGGGCCAGACCAGTGGTAAGTCTGCTGTAGACATGATCTCACTTATTCCTTTAAACAGCCCCATAAGGTGGGTACTTGACAGATGAGGAGACTGAGGCGCATTGCCGCGAGGAAGGGAAAGGACCTGGATCTGACTCTGTAGGCAACTGGAGCCTGGGCTCTCAACTGCACCGCTCCAATGCTTCATGCCAGAGACGAGGAGGATGCCAAATGAGGCTGGTGACAAACTCAGGCTGAAGCAGAAGAAAATTAAGTGTCCCTTACTACATGCTATTAATTCTGTATTCTCAGTTCAAATCCAATTCCAAGGTGGGTAGGTATGGTTTGGATAGCCAGGTTGCTGTCTGATCTGGCAAGGGCCAACTGTGGAACCGGGAGGCCATGGTTAGGACATGATAACGTAGTGGGTTCCCTCCAAACACTAGGAAGGCCACTGTCCTGACACCTCTTACAAATTCCTCTTTTGACACTTGCAAAATGCTTCTTCTCTATTTCCCTAAAGCAAATTTCCTATAGTTAACTGGTGCACACAATTATCCAATATCTGTTTTGTATTAATAGTGTGCTGGACTATATATACAATACAAATTATGCCAGCCCTTGCCCAACAGAATTGCCAACTTAAAATTTAGCATGTACACTGTGCTTTTGGGTGGCCCTCCCTCCCTCCGTCTGACCTCATCTTCTAGCGACCCTAAAAACTGAATCCTCCCCCAATTCCACTGGGCCAAGCCTTAACTTATATTCTTAGAAAGAGGTCCCCAAAGCTGATGCCACCCAGCCAGTTGGATCCAGAACTTTCACCATGTGATGTGGAAATAAACAAAAACAGATGGAAGCCGAGTCCTCCTCCATCACAATTGTCACTCATGTCTCTGCTTTCTCTCTGGGTGTCGTGTACATTTCTGATCTGCCTATCAGAGAGTGAGAACCCAGAAATGACCCCTGGCTGCTAAGAGGTTTTGCCCAGACTCAGCCGTGTCAGGCAATGTGCAAAGGTGAAGGGAGGAGGGAAAACAGGAAGACGATGACACTTGGAGTTAGTCACCAGCCTCTCCATGCCCACTTCTAGGAATGGGCATGGGGAGGGCAGACTGGGCAGCAGCTGTCCCCGTGGACTCTGGTTTACCTAAGCGGAGGGGCTCTCCAGCGTGAAACCCCTTTCCTTGTGCCCATGTCACAAAGGCCACAGCTAAAGCTTGGGAACATCATTTTCCAGAGGCTCAGGGCAGAGAAACAGAATGGATCCTTTTAATGTTGAGACCAATGACGGGCTGGTACCCTCCTGGACCAATGGGCATCATTTGTAAACATGCCCCTAAGAAGGGAACAGAAGTGACCCATGCCTGTAATCCCAGGCTTTGGGCGTGGATCACTTGAGGTCAGGAGTTCGAGACCAACCTGGCCAACATGGTGAGACTCCGTCTCTATTAAAAATACAAAAAATTAGCCGGGCATGGTGACGCGTGCCTATAATCCCAGCTACTCGGGAGGCTGGGGCAGGAGAATCGCTTGAGCCTGGGAGGCAGAGGTTTCAGTGAGCCAAGATCATGCCACTGCACTCCACCCTGGGCAACAGAGCAACACCCTGTCTCAAAAAAAAGTAACAGAGCAGGAGGCCTGCATAGGGTTGCTTCCTACACAAGTAATATGCCTAACAAGCAATTGAGAATGCGCGCTTCAGTTATTTTACTATTATTTTACCATTTGTCTCTGCTCTTCAGGAGACTTGCCCCCCTTAACGGCAAAAGCAGAAGGTCTTTTGGAGAGTTATTTTTCTAACACAGTGTAAATAAAAGGAACTTTCTAACCACTTAACATAGCATTCCAGGGCTACCTGGATAAAACTGTAATTCGAACAGTGACAGTAGGACAGACCAGGGGCTGCAGTGATTTCTCTTAAGGAAATTCCTAATGTTACTTAATTGCTTTTTATTTTTCCCCTGGAGAGTCGTTCCACAAGCATTTAAAAACCACATATATTCATCATATAAATAGACTCTAAATAGACTAAGCTTTCTGTTAAGTGAGAATTCTTCTCCTAATTATGTCTCCTTACGTTACCAAAAACCACCCAATAAATATTTACATTCACTGGAAGATGTGTGACTGTGCACAGGATTTTTAAAAATTAACTAATTTAACAGGTGACTGGCATTGATCTGAGACATGTTTTTCCACCACTCACCCCATTCCCAATGCCTTTGCTGACCTTAGAAAGTTACTTCCCTTCTCTATTCATTTCCCTATCAAAATCCACACTAAGGCTCAGCGAGGCAAATTGAATGACACAAGTGGGTTCACTTTATAAACCACCCCCACATAAAAACATGAGAAGCTAAATATATGTAAAATGCCAGCCTAATTCTGGCCTATAATCAAGATTTTGTAATTTAATGATTTTTTTTTTATAACAAGATAAAATCTCCCTGTTGGTTTGCTTCCTAAACAGAGCACCAATCCCATTGTCTAGCCCATCATCCTCCAAAAAAGGACCTTGGAGAAATAAGATCTGAAGTTCTGTGGACCATAGACTCCAAACAAAAGCCCAAATCCAAAGATTATTCAAAATGAGATGACAGGTTGGGCGCAGTGGCTCACGCCTGTAATCCCAGCTCCTTGGGAAGCCAAGACAGGAGGATCACTTGAGGTTAGGAGTTCGAGACCAGCCTGGTTGACATGGTGAAATCCCATCTCTATTAAAACTACAAAAAATTAGCCGGGTGTGATGGTGGGCATCTGTAACCCCAGTTACTTGGGAGGCTGAGGCAGTAGAATCGCTTGAACCTGGGAGACGGAGGTTGCAGTGAGCCGAGATGGCACCACTGCACTCCGCCTGGGTGACAATGAGACTCTGTCTCAAAAAAAAAAAAAAAATCAAAATGAGATGATAAAGAAGACAGTAAATGGCTGGGCTCGGGTGGCTCATGCCTGTAATCCCAGCACTTTGGGAGGTCGAGGCAGGTGGATCACCTGAGCTCAGGAGTTTGAGACCAGCCTGGCCAACATGGAGAAACCCTGTCTCTACTAAAAATACAAAAGTCAGCCAGGCATGATGGCACACGCCTGTAATCCCAGCTACTTGGAAGGCTGAGGCAGGAGTAAAGCTTGAACCAGGGAGGCAGAGGTTGCAGTGAGACAAGATTGAGCCACTGCACTCCAGCCTGGGTGACAAGAGCAAAACTCCCAACTCAAAAAAAAAAAAAAGAGAGAGAGAGAGAGTAAAGAGGCCAAAATATGAATAAAATTATCATCACTGTTCATAGCAGTTTTATTCACAATAGCCACAGGTAGAAACGATTCAAATATCCATTTGATTTGTGAATAAACAAAACACGGTCTATCCCTACGATGGAATTATGATTCAGCCATAAAAAGGAGTGAAGTACTAACACATACTCCAAGGGGAATGAGCCTGGAGAGCATGATGCTGAGTACAAGAAACCAGACACAAAAGTCCACATATTGTATGATGCCATTTATATGAAAAGTCCAGAATAGACAAATCCATAGAGACAGAAAGCAGATTAGCGGTTGCCAGGGACCAGGGGAGGGGGAGCAGGGAGTGACAGCTGATGGGTACGGGGTTTCCTGTTGAGGGTGATGAAAATATTTTGGAACTAAATAGAAGTATTGGTTGTACAACATTGTGAACGTGTTAAATGACAATGAATTGTTCACTTTAAAATTTTTAGGTTAGGTACGGCCGGGCACGGTGGCTCACACCTGTAATCCCAGCACTTTGGGAGGCCGAGGTGGGCAGATCACGAGGTCGGGAGATCAAAACCATCCTGGTGAACACTGTGAAAACCCCGTCCCTACTAAAAAATACAAAAAAATTAGCTGGGCGCGGTAGCGGGTGCCTGTAGTCCCAGCTACTCAGGAGGCTGAGGCACGAGAATGGCGTGAACCCGGGGGGCAGAGCTTACAGTGAGCAGAGATCTCGCCACTGCACTACAGCCTGGGCAACAGAGCAAGACTCCATCTCAAAAAAATAAAAATTTAGGTTAGGTAGATATTACCTCAACAAAAAGCATATACAGTCATGCTCTTGCAGAAAAACGTTTTGGTCAATGATTGTGGTCCCACAAGAATATAATACCATATTTTTACTGTACCTTTTCTATGCTTAGATACAAAAATAGCTGGGCATGGTGGCTCACGCCTGTAATGCCAGCACTTTGGAAGGCTGAGGTGGGCGAATTCCTTGAACACAGGAGTTGGAGACCAACCTGGCAACACGGCAAAACCCTATCTCTACAAAAAATACAAACATTAGCTGGGCGTGGTGGTGCACATCTGCAGTCCCAGCACCTGGGGAGGCCGAGGAAGGAGGATCTCTTGAGCCTGGGAGTTTGAGGCTGCATTGAGCCATGATCATGCCACTCACTGCTCTCCAGCCTGGGAGACAGAGCGAGACTCTGTCTCAAACAAACAGAAAACCAAAAATACCTACCATAGTGTTACAGTTGCCTACAGTATTCATACAGTAGCATGCTGTACAAGTTTGCAGCCCAGGAGCAACAGGCTTTACCATACAGCCCAGGTGTGTAGAGGGCTATATCATCTAGGTTTGTATAAGGACATTCTATGACGAAATTGCCTAATGATGCATTCTTCAGAATGTATCCCTGTCATTAAACTACACATGACTCTGTGTGTGTGTGTGTGTGTGTGTGTGTGTGTGTGTGTGTGTGTGTATTTCATCAGACATGTCTTCCCTAGGTTAGCTAATCTGGTCAAAAATGGACACACAAAAAAACTATACCAAAACTTGGAGGCCAGGTGTGGAAGCTCATACCCGTAATGCCAACACTTTGGGAGGCTGAAGCAGGAGGATCACTTGAGCCCAGAGAGCTTGAGACCAGCCTGGGCAACACACTGAGACCCTGTCTTTACAAAAAATAGAAGAAAATTTAGCCAGGCAAGGTGGCATGCACTTTTAAGTCCCAGCTACTCAAGAGGCTGAGGTGTGAGGATCATTTGAGCCCAACAGGTTGCGGCTGCAGTGAGCCAAGATTGTGACTGCACTCAGTCACCCTGGGTGACAGACAGGGACTCTGTCTCAAAAAACAAAACAAAAAAAACAGGCACAGTGGCTCATGACTGTAATCCTAGGACTTTGAGAGGCTAAGGCAGGAGGATTGCTTGAGCCCAAGAGTTTGAGACCAGCCTGGGCAACATGGCAAGACCCCATCTATAAAAAAAAATTTTTTTTAGAAAGAAAATCTTGGAGATGAGGAGAAGACTAACCCCCCTGCCCCACAACCCCCACGTCTTTGAATAGATGTTATTTTCTCTCCAAGAGTTGGGGCATCTCCCTATGGCTCTATCATCACTCAAGAGAGATTTTAGGCCAGGGGCAGTGGCTCACACCTGTTATCCCAACACTTTGGGAGGGCAAGGTAGGAGGATTACTTGAGTCCAGGAGTTTGAGACCAGCCTGAGCAATAGAGTGAGACTCTGTGTCCAAAAAAAAAAAAAATGCCCGGCACGGTGGCTCACGCTTGTAATCCCAGCACTTTGGGAGGCCAAGGCGGGCAGATCACCTGAGGTCAGGAGTTCAAGACCAGCCTGGCCAACATGGTGAAACCCTGTCTCTACTAAAAATACAAAAATTAGCTGGGTATGGTGGCAGGCACCTGTAATCCCAGCTACTCGGGAGGCTGAGGCAGGAGAGTCACTCAAACCCGGGAGGCGGAGGTTGCAGTGAGCCAAGATTGTGCCATTACACTCCAGCCTGAAGGACGAGGGCGAGACTTCGCCTCAAAAAAAAAAAAATTAGCCGAGCATGGTAGTATGCCTGTAGTCCCAGCTATTTGGGAGGCTGAAGTGGGAGTACTGTTTGAGCTCAGGAGTCCCAGGCTGCAGTGAGCTATGATCACGCCACTGCACTCCACCCTGGGTGACCGAACAAGACAAGCGGCATCCAACAGGTAGTTTTTTGTTTTTTGTTTTTAAAAAAAAAAAACCCTGTCTCTTAAAAATAAAATTAAAAAGAGTGACTTTAGGTCCTATTCCTGAAAGGTAACACGGTTAGAAACTATAGGCCCTAAACCCCGGGATGTGTTAAAACTAACTGAAACAAAGAGATAGTTCAATCACCTCTTAAATGAGCTGCTAACAGTCACTGTGGGGGTCTGATGGGCTCCGATGACACTTTAATTCCAATACATATGGCTTTTCTCTCCCTCCTTCCTTCCCTCCCTCCTCCCTTTCCCTGGCTGCTGCCATGGGCCTCTCTCTTCAGTTACCATTCTTGTTCTTCATTTCATGGATTTTCATAGATCCATCAAGACACTCAAAATAGAAAAAGCCTGACAAAATCTATTGTCACCATTTGAAATAGCCATTAACCAACTCCTTACTTTGAAAATCAGCATTTAAAGGGCAAGAAGTGAAGCCCTCACACTGCTGGCTCAGGAGGAACTGTTTTTAGGGGTAGCCCCAGTTGACAAGGAAAAGCTCTGCCAAACATCGCCAGCTAATTCACACGGAATGACATTCTTCAAAGATCATTTTTCATCTCCTGATGAAACAATTTTTTTAATTTGAATCTTGTAGAGACGGAGTCTCACTCTGTCACCCAGGCTGGAGTGCAGTGGTGCCAATGATAGCTGACTGCAGATTCTAACTCCAGGCCTCAAGCAATCCCCCCATCTCATCCAACTAGCTGGGACTACAGGCACAAAGCCACCACACCAGGCTAATTTTTTTTATTTTTTGTGGAGGCATGGTCTCACCTTGGCTTCTAAAAATGGTACCTTCTAAAAAGGTATTGTAAAAATACCTTTCATTACAGGTATGAGCTACCATACCTGGCCTGGCCCCAGTTATTTTTATATATGTATGTATATATGTATTTATTTTTTTAAGAGACAAAGTCTACTCTGTCACCTACGCTGGAGTGCAGTGGCACAATCACAGCCCACTACACCCTCCAACTCCTGAGCTCAAGGGATCCTCCCTCCTTAGCCTCCTGAGGAGCTAGGACTACAGGTGCATGCCACCATGCCCAGCTAATTTTTTTCTTCTTTTCTTTTTGTCTTTCCTTTTTTTTTTTTTTGGAGATGGAGTTTTGCTCTTGTCACTCAGGCTGGAGTGCGATAGCATGATCTCGGTTCACTGCAACTTCTGCCTCCCGGGTTCAAGCGATTCTTGTGCCTCAGCCTCCAGAGTAGCTGGGATTATAGGTGTCTGCCACCACACCCAGCTAATTTTTATATTGTTAGTAGAGACAAAGTTTCACCATGTTGGCCAGGCTGGTCTCAAACTCTTGACCTCGGGTGATCCACCTGCCTTGGCCTCCCAAAGTGCTAGGATTACAGGTGTGAGCCATCGTGCCCAGGCTTTTTTCTTATTTTAAAACTTTTTTTTATCATTAAAAAAATTTTTATGGAGACGGGGATCTCATTATGTTGCCCAGGCTGGTCTTGAACTCCTGAGCTCAAGGGATCCTCCCGTCTCAGCCTCCCAAAGTGTTGGGATTACAGGCGTGAGCCACCTCAACTGGCCTTAAATCTTTTTAAAAGTTCTGTAGAAACAGGTTCTCTCCATGTTGCCCAGGATGGTCAACAAATAACCCTCCCGCCTTGGCCTCCCCTCCCAAAGTGCTGGGATTACAGGAATGAGCCACTGCGTCCAGCTTCCAATATTTTTTTTCTTTTTATGTTCAGCAGTACATGGGCGGGTTTGTTATATAGGTAAATGGTGTGTCGAAGGGGACTGGTGTACAGATCATTTCGCCACTCCGGTAGTAAGCACAACAATACCCAATAGGTAATGTTTTTTGATCCTCGCCCTCTCCTGCCTACCTCCACCCTCAAGTAGATCCTTTTTTTTTTTTTTTTAAGACGGAGTCGTGCTCTGTCGCCCAGGCTGAAGTGCAGTGGCGTGATCTCGGCTCACTGCAACCTCCGCCTCCCAAGTTCACGCCATTCTCCTGCCTCAGCCTCCCGAGTAGCTGAGACTACAGGCTCCCGCCACTACGCCCAGATAATTTTTTGTATTTTTAGTAGAGACGGGGTTTCACCGTGTTAACCAGGATGGTCTCGATCTTCTGACCTCATGATCCACCCGCCTCGGCCTCCCAAAGTGCTGGGATTACAGGCGTGAGCCACTGCGCCCAGCTGACCCCAATTATTTATACTGGGCTCAGGCTCTGTTTTTTTCTTTTTGAACACAGGGTCTCACTCTGTTGCCCAGGCTGGAAGGCAGTGGCACGATCTCGGCTCACTGCAATCTCCGTTGCCCAGGCTCAAGCAATCCTCCCACCTCAGCCTCCCAAGCAGCTGCGACTACAGGCACGTACCACCACAACCGGCTAATTTTTGTTTGTTTGTGTGTGTGTGTGTGTGTGTGTGTGTGTTTTGTAGAGACAGAGTTTCGTCATGTTGCCTAGGCTGTTCTCAAGCTCCTGGGCTCAACTGATCTTCCCGCCTTGGCCTCCCAAAGTACTGAGATTAAGGTTTGAGCCACGGCACTGGCCTCAGGCTGTGATCTTGAAGCTCAGGGGTAAAGGGAGTTCTCAATTTCTTTAATCTTTAAAATGGAAGTAATGAACTCCTATACCACAAGGAGGCGCTATAAATAAATTGGTAAACAGTGGAATGTCGGGTCTTTTTTTAAGAGATGGGGCTTGGCCGGGCGCGGTGGCTCAGGCCTGTAATCCCAGCACTTTGGGAGGCCAAGGCGGGCGGATCATGAGGTCAGAAGATCGAGACCATCCTGGCTAACAAGGTGAAACCCGCCCCTCCCCACCCCCGCCGTCTCTACTAAAAATACAAAAAATTAGCCAGGCATGGTGGCGGGTGCCTGTAGTCCCAGCTACTCGGAAGGCTGAGGCAGGAGAATGGCGTGAACCCGGGAGGCGGAGCTTGCAATGAGCCGAGATCGTGCCACTGCACTCCAGCCTGGGCGACAGAGCGAGACCCTGTCTCAAAAAAAAAAAAACAGATGGGGATTACACTGTCTTTAAAAGAGTGGTTCACATGTGTCCCAGCTACTTGGAAAGCTACTTGGGCCCAGAAGTTCGAGGCTGCAGTCAGCATCATTGCACTGAAGCCTGGGCGACAAACTGTGACTCCATTTTTCTCTCTCTCTCCTTTTTTTTGAGACGGAGTCTTGCTCTGTTGCCCAGGCTGGAGTGCAATGGCGTGATCTTGGCTCACTGCAACCTCCGACTCCCAAGTTCAAGCAATTCTCCTGCCTCAGCCTCCCAAGTAGCTGGGATTACAGGCACGTGCCACCACACCCAGCTAATTTTTGTATTTTTAGTAGAGACAGGGTTTCACCATGTTGGCCAAGCTGGTCTTGAACTCCTGACCTCAAGTGAGGCACCAGCCTCGGCCTCCCAAAGTGCTGGGATTACAGGTGTGAGCCACCATGCCCAGCTCTCTCGCTTTTAAAGAGACAGGGTCTTGCTGTTCTCACCCTGCCTAGAGTGCAATGGTGTGATCTTAGCTTAATGCAGCCTCTAACTCCTAGGCTCAAGCAGTCCTCTTGCCTCAGCCTCCCAAGTAGCTAGCACTTCAGGTGTCGCCCACCACACCTGGCTCCTGATGACATTATTGATACAGGAAAAAATGATCAACAAGTGCTGAAACCATCCACAAATGTCCAGGGAGGCGGGCAAGGAGGGGGCCAAGGCACCACCACCCAGATTCTCTGGAGCAAGGAGAGAAGAATAACTGAATAATGGGATATCAGACTTCCATTGCCTTAACCAATGATTATATTTACTTTAACCAAGACTTTAAAACTTATATCCAATTTACAGAAGTTGCAAGAACTAAAGAACAAGCTAAATGACACCACAAGACACACTTGGACAAATGCATAGAGTGGGATATTCTATGGGACATGTGGCTCTTTGTTTTCTACAAATCATGTCCTGAGAAAAGTCTGTATTAAAAGAGAGAATTAAGAACAGGTTCAGGCCAGGAACGGTGGCTCATGTCTGTAATCCCAGCACTCTGGGAGGTTGAGGCAGGAGAATCACTTGAGCTCTGGAGTTCAAGACCAGCCTGGGCAACATAATGAGACCCTGTCGCTACCAAAAAAAAAAAAAAAAAAAAAAAAGCCCCACAAAAAACTTAGCCGGGTGTGGTGGTGCACACCTGTAGTCCCAGGTACTCAGGAGGCTGAGGTGAGAGGAGCACTTGAGCCCAGGAGACAGGGTTGCAGTGAGCCAGTATCATGCTACTATAGTCCAGCTTGGGTGACAGAGCAAAAGACTGTCTTCAAGAAAACCCAAAAAACAAAAAAACAGATACTCCTTCCCATGCTGGCCCCACACCCGGCCATCGCCTGTCATCTTGTCTCATAAACACTAGCAAAGAAAAAAGAGAATCTAAATGACAAGAAAAAAAATGCTCTTTATAAGTGAGAGGTGTTTTTTTTGTTGTTTTTTTTTTTTTGAGATGGAGTCTCGCTCTGTCGCCCAGACCAGAGTGCAGTGGTGTGATCTCAGCTCACTGTCACCTCCACCTCCCGAGTTCAAGCGATTCTCCTGCCTCAGCTTCCCAAGTAGCTGGGACTACAGATGCACCACCATGCCCAGCTAATTTTTTTTTTGTATTTTCAGTAGAGACAGGGTTTCACCATGTTGGTCAGGCTGGTCTCCAATTCCAGACCTCAAATGATCCACCCGCCTCAGCCTCCCAAATTGTTGGGTGGTGTGAGCCACCGGGCCCAGCCGATGAGAGTATTTCTGATTCTCTTCATCCTGCTTTCCTGATGAGATGTTTCTGTTCGTTGGTGGAAGAGGTCAGTGATTTAGAGCAGGTTTGCACCTACTTTCTTTTTGTGTAATTAAGACTCCCCCCTTCATCCTTCCCAACTTTGTAACATGAAGCAAAAATAAGTGATGAAAATATTTCACCTGTCTAAACCCAACCTTGTCCCTTTTTCAATAGGTCACCTAAATTTGAGGGACAGATTATCTGACAACATCGTTTGGTTGAGCATACATCCATCTTCCTAACAAAGCCAAATTCGAGAAAGAAGTCGGGGGGGTGGGGGCGGGGAATGACAACTTATTCCTAATGTCAATGATCAAATGTCCTCCTTTAATGTGGGAAATACACAAAGTCTAAAGGATAAGCCATTATTCCAGAAATAAAACCATGGTAATGCCAAGCAATCGGTTATAGTACCTGCGTGGCTTTCTAATTACTCCAAAGGCCAGAGCCCTCAAGATCTCAATTGCTTTTCAAGAACTTATCTTAGGGTTTTTTTTGTTTGTTTGTTTGTTTGTTTGTTTGTTTTGAGACAGAGTTTTGCTCTTGTTGCCCAGGCTGGAGTGCAGTGGTGCAATCTCGGCTCACTGCAACCTCTGCCACCCAGGTTCAAGCGATTTTCCTGCCTCAGCCTCCCAAGTAGCTGGGATTACGGGCACCCGGCACCACATCCAGCTAATTTTTTAGTATTTTTAGTAGAGATGGGGTTTCATCATGTTGGCCAGGCTGGTCTAGAACTCCTGACCTCAGGTGATCCACCCGCCTCGGCCTCCCAAAGTGCAGGGATTACAGGCATGAGCCACCACACCCAGCCTATCTTAGGCATTATTAACTCAGCCAGCTGAGCAGGTTATCACACCAAAAAAGAAATCCTTGGCCACTGACTTTAATTACAGGTTATGTCAGGTGAACGTAGTCTTGAAGTTCCAGTAAAATGGTTCTAAAACAGACAATGCTGAAAAATTCCAGGTGATGTAAGATCTTTCTAAGTCTAGTGGGAAAAAAGGGGATGCCTAAATTTGTTTTTGTTCTTTTTGTTTTTTTCATTGTGTTGTTTTGAGACAGTCTTGCTCTATCACCAGGCTGGATCGCCAGGAGCTATCTTGGCTCACTGCAACCTCTGCCTCCTGGGTTCAAGCAATTCTCCTGCCTCAGCCTCCTGGGTAGCTGGGATTACAGGTACCCGCCACCACGCCCAGCTAATTTTTTGTATTTTAGTAGAGACAGGTTTCACCATGTTGTCCAGGATGGTCTCAATCTCCGGACCTCGTGATCCACTCGCTTCGGCCTCTCAAAGTGCTGGGATTACAGGCGTGAGCCACCGCACCCAGCCTTCTTAGTACTCTTCTAATGAGCATTCATTTAACATCTGGCGGGGACTGGGACACAGGAGTTACATAAAGAACAAGTGAGTCACAAACAGGACTCAGAAGCATTTGGAGTACAGGTGAAAGACAACAAAGACATGAAACTAATTGAATACGGCCTCATCTTTCAGAAGCTCTGGGAAAATCTTGCTATTGACTTCATTCATTCAACAAGTATTTCCTGGGCCCTTGCAATCTGGGAGCAGTTTGCGTTGACAGGATGCAAAAATGAATAAGGAAAACGTTATTGGGCCAGGTGCAGTGGCTCACACTTGTAATCCCAGCACTTTGGGAGGCCAAGCGGGGCGGATCACCTGAGGTCAGGAGTTCAAGACCAGTCTGGCCATGGTGAAATCCTGCCTCCACTAAAAATACAAAAATTACCTGGGCGTGGTGGGGGGCGCCTGTAATCCCAGCTACTCGGGAGGCTGAGGCAGGAGAATCGCTTGAACCCAGGAGGCAGAGGCTGCAGTGAGCCAGGATTGCGCCACTGCACTCCAGCCTGGGCAACAGAGCAAGACCCCATCTCAAAAAAAAAATAGTAAAACATTATTAAGACAAGCTCCATGCAGTGAACCGAGATTGCACCACTGCACTCCAGCCTGGGCAACAGTGCAAGACTCCGTCTCAAAAAAAATTTAAAAATATAAAAAAAACACACACCAAAGACAAGCTCCAGTCTCAAGATGCTAGTGGAGGCTCCGTTCACATATGTCCAGTCAACCAAAATGCAGAGTAGACCGGTATTAGGCCCTATGGCCAGGTGCAGTGGCTCACGCCTGTAATCCTAGCACTTTGGGAGGCTGAGGCAGGCGGATCTCTTGAGCCCAGGAGATTGAGACCAGCCTTGGCAGCATGGCAAGACCCCATCTCTACTAAAAAAAATACGAAAATTTAACTGGGCATGGTAGTGTGTATCTGTAGTCCCAGGTACCTGGGAGGTTGACATGTGAGGATCCCTTGAGTCCGGGAGGTGTAGGTTGCCATGAGCCGAGATTGCACCACCGCACTCCAGCCTGGGTGACAGAGTGAGACCCTATCTCAGAAAAAAAACAAAAACAACAAAAAAAACAAACAACAACAACACACACACACACACACACAAACACAAAATGCAGAGTAGAATGCAGAAGTGCAGTGGGGAGAGAAGTGTGGAAGCGCGTCAGCCAGGATCTTGGCAGGAATCGGATGGCACCAAGGCCCCCTCACACTGAGGCATAATGGAGAGTTTAGCAGAGGTTTGATTGACAAAACGTAAACAGGGCTAAGGGAAAACAGCCAGGCCTCGATGCAGCCAAGCCCAGGGACAGTGAAGAGCTGTTTCCTCCCCTTGGCCAATGGGCAAGGGGAGGGAACAGTGACCAGAAACAGAAAAGTTGAAGAAGGCCACACAATAGAGATGTGGTCTGCCATGGATGGAAACACTCAACCTGCAATGATCCCACAGGGAGGAAGCTGGAGAAATCAATACCCCGCCTCCCTCTCCTCCCACCTTCCCCTCTCCTGCAGGTGCTTCCCACAGGCTGAGCCCAACCAGAGGCCAGAGAGGCAAAGAAGCCCCTTGCAGCAGTCCATAAGGAGGGTGAGGCGGCTGGGGAGGGGCTGAGGTGCAACTGGAACGCGTCAGCTCAGGAGGCTCCCTGGTGAGGAGGGAACTGGGTTGGGGCTGGCATGGAGAGGATTTCTACATGGGAGAAATGGGGAAAAGGGCACTCCGAGAAGGAAGGAGTGTAAGCAAAGACAGAGGTGGACTGGTCCAAGGAAATCATGGAGGAATTTGGTTCCCCAGCAATGAAAGGAAGATGAGAGGAAGTCAGGAGAGTCTACGGCACAGCGACAGATGGCGACTTGGGCACTCAAGGCCAGGCTGACAAGCCGGGAGAGGCTTTTAACGAAGATGGAGGCCGGACATGGTGGCTCACGCCTGTAGTCCTAGCACTTTGGGAGGTCAAGGTGGGAGGATCACTTGGGCCCAGGAGGTCAAGACCAATCTGAGCAACAGAGTAAGACCCCATCTCTACAAAAAAAACAAAATTTAGCTGGGCATGATGGTGCACACCTGTGGTCCCAGCTACTTGGGAGGCTGAGGTGGGAGGATCCCTTGAGCCCGGGAGGTCGAGGCTGCAGTGAGCTGTGATTGCGACACTGCACTCCAGCCTGGGCAACAGAGCAAGACCCTGTCTCAGAAAATAGAAAAAAAACTTTAAAAAATAAAAATAAATAAAGAAGATGGAGAATCACTGAACGATTGATAACAAGGGTTGGGGGCTGACTGTATCCAACCCCAAAATTCATATGTTGAAATCCGAGCCCCTAGCACCCATATGATTGTTGTCCTTATAAAATGAGGAAATCTGGGCACAGACCCTTACACAGGGAAGATGAGGTGAAGACCCAGGGAGACCACAGCTACCTACAAGCCAAGGAGAGAGGCCTGAAGCAGATCCTCCCACAGCCCCAGATGGAACCTGCCTGCTGACACCCTGACCTTGGACTTCTGGCCTCCAGAACTATGAGGCGGTACGTTTCTGTCATGAGCCTTTGTTATGAAGCCCTAGTCGACTAATACACAAGGGAGTGCTGTGATGGGGTCTAAACTTCAGGAGGTTACTTTGACAGCTGGGAGACTAGAAGGGACTAAGCCTGGTGGCAAATGGGTGACACCAGTTTGAGGATGTTGAAAATCATTCTGTGATCGGGTTTCCAGAAAGAGGACACTAACCCGAAGTCGCCCTGTAAATTCAACACCTAGGGGCCATCCCTGACACCTCCCCTCAAACCAGCAGTAGAAGCATCCGATTGTCCTATCAGTGCTGCCTCCCAAATATATCTGGGATCCAACCTCTTCGTTGCCACAGTCACTACGCTAAACTGATCCACTGTTATGAGACCTTCAGCAATAGCCTCCTTGATGGCCTCGCCCTCACCAACTGTCCCAACTTCACACTATTCTGTCTTCAAAAACTTTCCGTCGGGGGGCAGTGGGAGGGGAGAACGGGGGGTGAGTGTTAAACAGGGCCAGGGTTCCGGGGCTTCTGTTTGGGGTGATGAAAGGGTCCTGGAGATGGTGGGTGGTGATGGCTGCACAACACGTTCAATAATAATAACGCCACTCAACTACGCAGGTAAAAATAGTTGAAATGATAACTTTTTTTTTTTTTGAGATGGAGTCTTGCTTTGTCACCCAGGTTGGAGTGCAGTGGCGTGATCTCGGCTCATTGCAACCTCCACCTCCTGGGTTCATACAATTCTCCTGCCTCTGCCTCCTGAATAGCTGGGATTACAGGCATGCGCCACCACACCTGGCTAATTTTTGTATTTTTAGTACAGACAGGGTTTCACCATGTTTGCCAGGCTGATCTCGAACTCCTGATCTCAAGTGATCCACCCACCTCAGCCTCCCAAAGTGCTGGAATTACAGGCGTGAGCCACCATGCCCTGCCTGAAATGGTAACTTTTATGCAACATATATTTTACCACATTTTTTTTTTTTTGAGATGGAGTCTTGCTCCTTTGCCAGGCTGGAGTTCAGTGGCACAATCTCGGCTCACTGCAACCTCCACCTCCCGGGTTCAAGCTATTCTCCTGCCTCAGACTCCTGAGTAGCTGGGATTACAGGTGCCCACCACCATGCCCGGCTAATTTTTGTATTTTTAGTAGACAGGGTTTCACCTTGTTGATCAGGCTGGTTTCGAACTCCTTTTTTTTTTTTTTTTTTTTTTTTTTTAGGGGAAACGGGGTTTCATCATCTTGGCCAGGCTGGTCTTGAACTCTTGACCTTGTGATCCACCCACCTCAGCCTCCCAAAGTGCTGAGATTACAGGCGTGAGCCACTGCGCCCGGCATTTTACCATAATTAATAAAAATCACAGACCGGGTGCAGTGGCTCACTCTTGTAATCCCCACACTTTGAAATACCAAGGCAGGCAGAGCACATGAGGTCAGGAATTTGAGACCAGCCTGGCCAATACGGTGAAACCCTGTCTCTACTAAAAATACAAAATTAGCCAGGAGTGGTAGCAGGTGCCTATAATCCCAGCTACTCGGGAGGCTGAGGCAGGAGAATTACCTGAGCCCAGGAGGCGGAGGTTGGTACTGAGCCAAGGTTGCACCACTGCACTCCAGCCTGGGTGACACAGTGAGAATCTGTCTCCAATAATAATAATCATAATCATAATCATCATCATCACAAAGCCAAGCATGGGGGTGCACACCTGCAGTCTCAGCTACTCAGGAGGCTGAGGTGGAATGATCTCTTAAGCCCAGCAGTGTGAGGCTACAGTGAACTATGATTGAGCCACTGCACTCCAGCATGAGCAACATAGTGAGACCCCCCCGATACAAAAAATAAACAAAATCAGTTGGGTGTGGCGGCGCATGCCTGTGGTCCCAGCTACTCAGGAGGCTGAGGTGGGAGGATCGCTTGAGCCCAGGAGGTGGAGACTGCAGTGAGCTATGATCACACCACTTGTACTCCAGCCTGGGCAACAGAGCAAGACCTTGTGTCAAACAAAAGAGAAAGGAAAGAAACAAAAGAAGGAAAGAAAGAAAGAACGAAAGAACTGGGGCATCCTTTTGCCACCCATATTTTTCTCTCAACGGGATTTTTCTGCTGTTGATGTTGTCTACAACATTATTTAGAAGCAGCAGAACATTCTCTGTGGGCATTCGTTGATTGGAGGTTTTTATGGACCTCCCAAGAATCTGCCAGACTCCAGACTCCATAAATGACTCAGACGTCAGGAGGAACACGTTTGGGATTCCAGATCGGAGGCCCAGGTTTCTCTTCGCGTGGTTCCCCTCACCAACCCTCCAAGGATCAACTTGATTCTCCTGCCTTTCTTTGCTCTCCTGGGACCCTCATCCTGGCCCTGCGGCTTCCATCGCAGCCTCCTCCCAGCATGTTGAGCTGCGCTCTTCCTCTTGGGGAGCTGCTCTCCCACAAGCCTTTCACCAGACCCGTCGTGCCCTCAGCACTGGACATCTGACACCCTTGGCCTTTGACACCCTCTCCTCCTACCCTGACCCAGTAGAGAACCCCATGGTCTCAGTGGCCTCAAACCCCCAGGGGCACATTCTCAGGCAAACCATCACTCCCCTCCAAAGAGCCTAGGACTCCTCCCGTCTAGGAGGAGGAAGAGATAAAGGAGAAGCAGCTTCTTTTTTTTTTTTTTTTTTGAGACAGGGTCTTGCCCTGTGGCACGGTGTCGCGATCTCGGCTCACTGCAAGCTCCGCCTCCCAGGTTCAAGTGATTGTACTGCGTCAGCCTCCTGAGTAGCTGGTATTACAGGTATGCGCCACCATGCCCGGCTAATTTTTTGTATTTTCAGTACAGGCAGGGTTTCACCATGTTGGCCAGGCTAGTCTCGAACTCCTGACCTCAACTGACCCGCCCGCCTCAGCCTCCCAAAGTGCTGGGATTATAGGCGTGAGCCATCCTACCTAGCTAAAGCAGCTTCTTAAATCAGTCCCCACTCCCAAACCCCCAGGAAGTGCCAGCCCATTTCAGCACAGCCATAACTATTGCAAAGAAATTAAGTCATTCAGGTCCTTGCTTGAGATTAAGTTTTGCACAAGCAAATGATAATTTTGGGATGGGAAATGCCTCTAAACCATTCAGCCCCTTCCGCTGCTCCCTGCTCCTCCTCTCGTGTCCTCGATTTCTATCAAGAACATCAAAAGCCTTCTGGGTGGGCAGATTCAGGGTTACTTTTAAACCATAATTACGAAAAACTAGACTAGCAAACACTGATTGATGGCCCACTCTAAAGGCATTTTACAGACAGCATCTCACCACAGGCCCGCAAGAAAGGCGCTGTTAGCACCTTTCACAGATGAGTAAACTGAGGCTGAGACTTGCCCAAGACAACACAGCTAGTCAGTGGTGAAGGAAGGAGTCCACCCACAGGTGCATCTGACCCCAAAAATGCATCCGAGTAGTGCAGAGAATGACCTGGGAAGCTTTTATTTATTCATTTGTATTTATGTATTGGTTTTTGTTTCCCAAGATGGAGTCTTGCTCTGTTGCCCAGGCTGGAGTGCAGTGGCATGATCTCAGCTCACTGAAACCTCCGCCTCCCAGGTTCAAGCAATTCTCCTGCCTCACCCTTCCGAGTAGCTGGGATTACAGGTGCCCACCACCAGGCCTGGCTAATTTTTTTTGGTTTTTTGTTTGTTTGTTTGTTTTGAGACGGAGTTTCGCTCTTGTTGCCCAGGCTGGAGTGCAATGGCGCGATCTTGGCTCACTGCAACCTCTGCCTCCTGGGTTCAAGCAATTCTCCTTCCTGCCTGAGCCTCTCGAGTAGCTGGGATTACAGGCGTACACCACCACGCCAGATAGTTTTGTATTTTTTAGAAGAGAGAGGGTTTCTCCATGTTGGTCAGGCTGGTCTTGAACTCCCGACCTCAGGTGATCCGCCCACCTCAGCCTCCCAAAGTGCTGCAATTACAGGTATGAGCCACCATGCCTGGCCTCTTTTTTGGTATTTTTAGTAAAGATGGTGTTTCACCATGTTGGCCAGGCTGGTCTTGAACTCCTGACCTGAAGTGATGTGCCCAACTCGGCCTCCCAAAGGGCTGGGATTACAGGTGTGAGCCACTGCGCCCGGCCGGGTTTTATTTATTTTATTTATTTTATTTATTTATTTATTTTTGAGACAGAATCACACTCTGTCACCCAGGCTGGGGTGCAGTGGAGTGATCATAGGTCACTGCAGCCTGCAGCTCCTGGGCTTAAGTGATCCTCCAGCCTGGGCCTCCCAAAGTGCTGAGACTACAGGCGTGAGCCACCGCACCCGCCCCTGAGAAGCTTTTATTTTTTAATGAGACCAAGACTCACTCTGTCACCCAGGCTGGAGTACAGTGATGCAATCTCAGCTCACTGCAACCTCCGCCTCACAGGTTCAAGTGATTCTCCTGCCTCAGCCTCCCAAGTATCTGGGACTACAGGCGCCTGCCACCATATCTGGCTAATTTTTGTATTTTTAGTAGAGATGGGGTTTTACCATGTTAGTGAGGCTGGTCTCGAACTCCTGGCCTCAAGTGATCCACCTGCCTCAGCCTCCCGAAGTGCTGGCATTATAGGTGTGAGCCACCACGCCTGGCCCTGAGCAGCTTTCAGAAAGTGCAGATCCCAGGCCCACCCCAAGCCTACTCAATGTGCTACGTCAAGTGCGGGGGCCAGGAAGCTGTATTTTTTCACAAGTCCCCCAGGTGAAGCTGATGCCACCAGCCTGGGGACTGGTCCTCATTACAGCACACGGCCTTCCTGGGAAATTACAGGACCCTGAGTAGGTGGCAATACACGACAGCCATTATTGCCAGCCTCCTCCGCCTCAACTGCACAGCATCAGCTTCATGACTGCGGGCCGACAGGACTGAGAGCGGGGCAGGGACCCGCCGGAAGCACTCGGGGCCTCTCTCACTGAATCACGTGCCTCTCCTTCAGGGAAAGGCTGTGTGTCACTCCGGAGGGACCCCAGACGGAGCAGGCCTCTGGGATGGAACGGACCAACTTCGGAGGAAAGGGGAGAGAGACAAAGCAGAAGCAAAGGTCACAAGGCATCGAGGGTGTGTTGCTTCCTCCTGTGGCTCCTGTGTGGCCCCAAAATGTCCCCGTAAGGAAGCTGATCCAACAGCTACTGATGAGGACTGTCTCCATGCCCCCATCAGGGTGCTTGTCCTCCACACTCCAGCCTCTCTGCTCCCATACTCCAGAAAAATTGCCAATAATTGAAATTCAAGTGGCAGCCTGGTTTGGCCACTAGAGATAATGGATGAAGAAGCTGGCAGGGTCCACAGGCTGGCTTGCTAGCCAGAGGCAGTCATGGCTGGGTCCTCCGTCCTTCCTCAGTTTCTTCCTCTGGGAATAAACCAGCAAGCCAGCCAGTAGCCATGTCTGGCAGCTGAGCCAGGGGTCAGCTCACTAATAAGGCCGAGGTCAGAGGCTGGGCCTCAAATAAGCTCCGTTCCTTCACCCAGCCTGTAAGGTCACAGACAGGCCCCCACCATCCTGCCCGTTGGTCATAAAAGGAAGCAGCCAGAGTGTAGACAGATCAAAACAAATCCTACACCACTCGTGGAAACAGCCAGTCGGGTGGATGGTGATAGATGGTGGCTCAGTAGCATCTTGGATATGAAGGACACCGCATCAGAAATGACCTCACAGCACCTAATCAGTTCCAGAAAAGGGCTTTGTTCTCCTGGAGGCAAGGTGGGAGATCAAAGCATTTCTTGCTAATCATCACTTAGCATTAATTACTTGTTAGGTAACCCGACCCAGATCAAATACCACTCCCTACCTCGCATCCTGAGGGCCTCAGTGAGCACCCTTGATCTTTCACCCCAACCTGCATCCAATGGGAGGAAGCTGCAACCTGGGAACCCAGAGACCCCGGGCAGCCCAGGCAGTCAGTCGTTTAGTTACTTCTTCCTTTCCTGTTAACTTTTTAACCCCACCAGCCAGGAAATGCATAAACATAGCAGGGGCCTCCCTCCCCACTCTCCCCGCCACATATCACTGGTTCCTCACTGTGCAATGACAGAAACCTGCACATCTGGGGTCCAACGCCTTTCTTCTCCTAAGGAAGTGGCCCGAGAGGCACTGCTGCACCTCTCCGAGCTCTGTGCTTCCTCAACTGCACTGGGGCGATAACACCCTCCATCTCCCAGCCTCATGGGAAGGGTAAAGTCAAATAGACAAACTGCATCTGGAAGCTGCTGTGTATACTGGGGAGTGCCCAGGAGTTTCAGCTGAGCTGGTGGTCATTTATTTTCAGGGCTCGGTGGTGGACCTGGGGTATTCATTCTTCTTCTGCTTCACACCATTTTGTGGCTCTGAAGTTATTTACTTCCTTATTTTTAAAATATTTATTTATGACCGGGCATGGTGGCTCACGCCTTTAATTCCAGCACTTTGGGAGGCCGAGGTGGGCACATCACCTAAGGTCAGGAGTTCAAGATCAGCCTGGCCAACATGGTGAAACCCCGTCTCTACTAAAAATACAAAAAATTTGCCGGGCGTGGTGGTACGCGCCTGTAATCCCAGCTATTCGGGAGGCTGAGGCAAGAGCATCACTTGAACCCAGGAAGCGGAGGTGGCAGTGAGCCGAGATTGCACCACTGCACTCCAGCCTGGTGACAAGAGCAAGATTCCATCTCAAAAAAAAAAAAAAAAAAAGTACACCTGAAGAAGATAATCAAAGAATTATGCAGAAGAGCACTGCTCAATAGAAATAACAGAAGGTAAGTCAGGCACTGTGGCTCACGCCTGTAATCACAACACTTTGGGAGACCGAGGCAGGCGGCTTGCTTGAGCTCAGGAGTTCAGCCTTGGCAACATGGCAAAACCTCATCTCTACCAAAACTACAAAAAACTAGCCAGGCGTGATGGCATGTGCCTGTGGTCCCAGCTACTCGGGAGGCTAAGATGGGAGGATCGCTTGATCCAGGGAGGCAGAGGTTGCAGTGACCTATGATTGCACCACTGCACTCCAGCCTGGGCAACAGAGTTAAGACTCTGTGTAAATAAATAAATAAAAGAAATAGAAGGTGAGCCACATAGGTACTTTTGAGTTTTTTTGTTGCCACATTTGAAAAGGTAAAAAGAAACAATGAAATTCATCGGAATAATCCATTTTGTTTCAACAATATATCAAAAATATAGTCATTTCAACTACAGTTGCCAGATTTAGCAAATAAAACTATAGTGCATCCCCAGGCTGAAGTGCAGTGGCGCCATCTCAGCTCACTGCAACCTCCACCTCCCAGGTTCAAGCAATTCTCTTGCCTCAGCCTCCTGAGTAGCTGGGATTACAGGCGCGTGCCACCATGCCCAGTTAATTTTTGTATTTTTAGTAGAGACGGAGTTTCGCCATGTTGGCCAGGCTAGTCTCGAACTCCTGACCTCAAGTGATCTGCCCACCTTGGCCTCTCAAAGTACTGGGATTACAGGCGAGAGCCACTGCACCAGGCCTGTAATAAGTGTTTGAAATTGACCAGACTGCCCAACATGGCAAAACTCTGTCTCTACTAAAAATACAAAAAATTAGCTGGGCATGGTGGCGGGTGCCTGTAATCCCAGCTACTCAGGAGACTGAGGCAGGAGAATCGCTTGAACTCCGGAGGCGGAGGATGCAGTGAGCCGAGATCACGCCACTGCACTCCAGCCTGGGTGACAAGAGCAAAACTCCGTCTCAAAAAAAAAAGAAAAAAAAAGAAAAAGAAAAGTGTTTGAAATCTGTTACAGCATACTTTTTTCTTTCTTTCTCCTTTTTGTTTTGAGACAGGGTCTCAATCTGTTGCCCAGACTGAAGTGCAGTGGTGCAATCACAGCTCACTGCAGCCTCAAGCTCCTGGGCTCAAGCGATCCTCCTGCTTAAGCCTCCCAAATAGCTGGGACTACAGGCATGCACTATCATGCCTGGCTTTTTTTTTTTTTTTTTTTTTTTTTTTTGGTAGAGATGAGTTCTCATTATGTTACCCAGGTTGATCTTGAACTCCTGGGCTCAGGTGATCCTCCCCCCTCAGCTTCTGGAGTAGCTGGAACAACAGGCATAAGCCACCATGCCTGGCTTCAGTGTTTTTTACAATAGCCAAAAAAAACCCCAAAAAAATCAGAAATTAACAAAATACCTCTTGGGGCTACTGAAGTCACAAATAATATTTAGAGTGCACTAACCTCAGGTCAGCCCTTGTCTGAAGGGTTTTGCATGCCTTATCTCATTTAGTTCTGACAACCACTGAAGAAAGTCTTGGTATAACCCATCTTTATAATCAAGGAAAGTAAGGCTCAGGACACTATGTAACTTGTCCAAGGAAGTAGTGAAGCTGCGTGGAGGCAGACGGATGGTACAGAGATGACCTGATACATATGTATCCCACCTAGGACCGCCTTTGGAAGGGTGCTCACCAAAACTGTTTTCTCTGGATGGTGGACTTTGAGGTGAGCACTGGATGAAAATTTGGCCTCTGCTGCCAAACTGACCGATCTTTGTGTACTTGGCTGTCCTAACGGGTGACTTGACCTTTTCAAGCCTCAGTTTCCTCATCTGTAAAATGACAGTCACAACTGTCTACCCCACAGAGTTGCTGAAGCGTAAATAAGATAAGGGCTGTGGAGGTCCAGACAACAAACTGCTCCTACAAAGTCCTCAACAATACAGCCATTATTCCTCTTCCTCATGTCCTGGTCCTTTCCCGTTTGATTAGACATTTTTTTTTTATTTTATTTTATTTTATTTTTTGAGATAGAGTCTCACTTTGTAGCCCAGACTGGAGTGCAGTGGTGCAGTCTCTGATCACTGCAACCTCCACCTCCCAGGTTCAAGTGATTCTCCTGCCTCAGCCTCCCAAGTAGCTGGGACCACATGTGTGCACCACCATGCTCGCATTTTTTGTATTTTTAGTAGAGACGGGGTTTTGCCATGTTGGCCAGGCTGGTCTCGAACTCCTGACCTCAGGTGATCCACCCGCCTAGACTTCCCAAAATGCTGAGATTATGGCGTGAGCCACCGCGCTCGACCGATTAGACATTTTTATGTTGAGCATCAACCAGTTTTACACACTGAGAAAAAGTTCCTTTCAAAAGAGGAGAAGACAGCCCATGAAGCAATTAAAGGAAAAGGGAAAAGGAAGGGAAGAAGCAAGGGAGTGAGGGAAGGAGAGACAGAAAATCCACCTAACCACAGGGAAAGGCGAGGTGTCAGCACCCCCCAGTTTTCCAAGTGACCACCAGGCGGCACTGTTCGCAGTTCCCACAGCTAGGTAAAGCAACCCCCTTTTAAAAACAAAAACATGGAACAAATCACCAAAATCCTTCATCTTAACTGCGGTGCCTTCATCTCAGGAGGCCCCATAGCTACCCAAAAAGTCGCGGCTGTTCACCCTACAGGAGGTGGGAAGGAGGTGGGAAGCGGCCGCCCGCTGCAGGCAGGCTGCGTCTTACCTTTGGAGTCTTCTTTGGCCAAGTCACCACAGGGACCCCAGTGATGGCCAGACTAGGGTCATCATCTGCGTGCTCCTTCAGGACGTTCTGTGGCCAAACAAAGCATCCATATTAGCCCAGGGGGAAGGGGAGGTCTCTGAAGACAGCTGAACAGCAGACATAGTCCAGCAAGGATCACACTCCACAAAGTCAGCGCCTGGCCATTGACTCCACCACCACCCACACATTCAATAGAAACCAAGTCACTAGGGTCCCCTGGGGCCCACGAAACACACAACGTTCCCCTCTGCCCTCTACAAAATTTCTTTAACAAAGCAAATCACATACCTCCCTGTGACTTCCACGTATGTATCACCCATGATCACAGTTATGACATCTAGCACTTGTCCAGAGCGTCGGGGACTCACACACAAACTTTTTCTTTTTTTTTTTTTTTTGAGACAGAATCTTGCTCTGTCACCCAGGCCGGAGTGCAGTTGTATAATCATAGCTCACTACATCCTTGACCACCTGGATCAAGTGATCCTCATGCCTTAGCCTCCTAAGTAGCTGAGACCACAGGTGCATGGCACCCTCCCTGGCTAAATTTTTTTTTTTTTTTTAGACAAAGTCTTACTCTGTCACCCAGGCTGGAGTTCAGTGGCGCAATCTGGGCTCAAGCAACTTCTGCCTCTTGGGTTCAAGCGATTTCCCTGCCCCAGCCTCCCGAGTAGCTGTGAATGCAGGTGTGCACCACCACGCTGGGCTAATTTTTGTATTTTTAGTACAGACAGGATTTTGCCATGTTGGCCAGGCTAGTCTCCAACTCCTGACCTCAAGTGACCCACCTGCCTTGGCCTCCCAAAGTGCTGGGATTACAGGCGTGAGCCAACACGCCCAGCCATAATTTTTAAATTTTTTTGTGCAGACAGGGTATATGCCATGTTGCCCAAGCTTGTCTCAAACTCCTGGCCTCGAGGAATCCTCCCTCCTTAGCCTACCAAAATGCTGGGATTACAGGGGTAAGCCACTGTGCCTCATTTAATTCCTACCAAGCACTCTGGGAGGGCTGGGCGGTGGCACTACGGATCCTCTAATGTTCACAAATTTAACTACGTACTCAGCGAAGCAAACAAAACCAACCTCCAGACCTTGATGCCTTCATAGAGCCATGACTCCGTCCTTTAGTCAGCTTGCTACATGTACCCTAACCCTGCTGTGTGACGACGTGTAAATGTTTTTTGCAACATGGGCCCTAAATACAAGAAGATGCTTGATCTGGTCTGACTGAGGATGGAGTCACGTGGCCAAATTGTGGCAGAAAAATGGGCTGCGTTGGACGGACTGCCAGGCTGCTTGGCGATCTCCCACGAGGCACACTGTGTTCACTCTCGGTGAGCAGTTTGAAGGTTCTTCAAAGGGAATTCTCACTCTGCCAGACTTTGGCCTTGTGTGGCTGGACTTTAGAACATCATCCAGGTATAAAATGCTACCCAGCTGAATTATCTAACAGCTAACTTACAGGGGAGGTTACCAAGGCCCAGAAAGGCTCACAGGATTTTAGTGCTACCCCAAACTATGAAGACAGACCCCCAGAACCCCACTCTCTGGCACCAGACTTTCTGCCCCAGGACCACCCACATAGGGTTTTTTTTGGCTACATCCACACATCCACAGCACCCCACAAAAAAATGTGTTTAAGCACACACAGAACTATCACTGGCCCATTCTGATCCTGGACCACGGATTGTTGAATTGTACAAAAACATTTTTTCCGGACATTTAAGAACAGAGTAAATCATACAGAAGCACTGAGCAGGAAGAGCAGAAGCGCTCAGGAGACAAATGAAGGTGAAGATTATTTTAATTCACCTTTCCTAATTCACTTCACTAGAAATGACTCCAGCTTACTTCCAGTTTACTCTGCTCATTGTCCTTTTTTTTTTTTTTTTTTTTTGAGACAGGGTGTGACTGTCACCCAGGCTGGAGTGCAGGGGCACAATCTCAGCTCACTGTAGCCTCAAACTCCTGGGCTCAAGTGATCCTCCCACCTCAGCCTCCTCAGTAGCCGGGACTACAAGTGCGTAACACCAAGCCCAGCTAATTGTATTATTTGTACAGATGGGTTCTCACCATGTTGCACAGGCTGGTCTTGAATTTCTGGGCTCAAGCAAAACACCTGCCTCAGCCCCCCAAAGTGCTGGGAGTGCGGATGTGAGCCCCCCAAAGTGCTGGGATTGCGAGTGTGAGCCTCCCAAAGTGCTGGGATTGCAGGTGTGAGCCCCCCAAAGTGCTGGGATTATAGGTGTGAGCCCCCCAAAGTGCTGGGATTGCAGGTGTGAGCCCCCCAAAGTGCTGGGATTATAGGTGTGAGCCTCCCAAAGTTCTGGGATTGCAGGTGTGAGCCACTGCACGCCTATCATACTTTCCTGATCATAATTTGCTTGCATGATTTTTCTTTTTTTTTTTTTGAGTGATTTTTCAAGATGTGGCTGTTAACCTGAAGAACTTCCTCCTTAGCCCACAGGAAACAGCAAACAGCACAGTGGTCAAGAATGTTGGCTCTAGAACTGGCTCCAGGGGTTTAAATCCCAGCCCCGGCACATACAGCTTCCCCAAAGTCCCATAGTCAATGTCAATGATTTGTAAATGCTATTTATAAAGTGTCTTTATTCACTGCTATATCCTCAAAGCCTCACATAATGACTAACCTAGAGTAAGCTTCCAATAAACAAAGTTGGGTTTTGTTTGTTTGTTTGTTTTTTGAGATGGAGTGTTACTCTGTCACCCAGGCTGGAGTGCAGTGGCACCATCTTGGTTCACTGCAACCTCTGCCTCCCAGGTTCAAGCGAGTCTCCTGCCTCAGCCTCCTGAGTAGCTAGGATTACAGGCGTGTGCCACCA
Organism: Homo sapiens; assembly: GCF_000001405.40. Lineage (NCBI taxonomy): Eukaryota > Metazoa > Chordata > Mammalia > Primates > Hominidae > Homo > Homo sapiens. Next base: position 121,497,461 of record NC_000012.12, read on the forward strand.
CCCCTGGCTAATTTTTGTTATTTTTAGTAGAGACAGGGTTTCACCATGTTGGCCAGGCTGGTCTCAAACTCCTAGCCTCAAGTGATCCACCCGCCTCGGCCTCCCAAAGTGCTGGGATTACAGGTGTGAGCCACCGCACCTGGCCCCAGAGTTTTTATAAAATAAAGCCACAAATACTAAAAGAGGGACAGTCTACAAAATGCCTGAACAGATCTCCTCAAAACTGTCAAGGTCATCAAAACAAGGAAAGTCTAAGAAACTATGGCAGCTAAGAGAAGACTGATGAGACTAAATGTAATATTGTACCTTGGGTGGGATCCTAGAACAGAAAAAAAAGTAAAAATGGTTTAACTCTGGCCAGTTGCGGTGGCTCACGCCTGTAATCCCAGCACTTTGGGAGGCCAAGGCGGGTGGATCACTTGAGGCCAGGAGTTAGACCATCCTGATCAACATGGAGAAACCCCATCACTACTAAAACTACAAAAATTAGCCAGATGTGGTGGTGTGTGCCTGTGGTCCCAGCGACCTGGGAAGCTGAGGTAGGAGGATCACTTGAACCCAGTAGGCAGAGGTTGTAGCGGGCCGAGACCATGCCACTGCACTCCAGTCTGAGAAACAGAGTAAGACTTTGTCTCAAAATAAATAAATAAATAAATAAATAAAGTTTTTCCCTCTTTCTAAAAAATCATTAAGAACAAATGAGCTTTCCAGAAATACACTCAGGTTTAGCCAGAGACCTCCCATTCCCCCCTGCATGTGGGCCCCAAATGGCTGGGGGAGAAGACCGTCACTTCCACAGGACATTTCAGCCACTTAGTCCAATCCCAAACTCTAGGATTGGGTAACAAATTCAAGATGTAACCGGACTGGAACAATAGGGAACGGTGAGGCCTGTGACAAACTGGAAAACACATGGCCCATTTAAAAAGGGGCAAGGCTACCCAACTCCAGCTTACCTCCTATGGGGATGAAAAGCCCACCAGATCTTTAATTTTTCAGAAGAAATCAAAGATGCAGAGTTTTATTTGAAATCTCTGCATTTTTAAATGTTAACAACTAACTAAAACTTTAAAAAACCCACTGTGAGTGAAACATCTGTGTGCTGGTTTGGCCCATGGGCCACCAATTTGCAAAGATGGCTCTGCATATGACTGAAAGTAATGCCCACCCCCCTTTGTTTTCTTTGAGTTTCCTTCTTAAATGTCTTACGATTTCTTGTCATTTCAATATCAGATTGGAGTCTAACTCACAAGCATTGAGGTAGAGGCCTCTTTAGAGGGATATTTAGTTACAAAAAGTTATTACTGCAGTTCTAAGTACTAGACATAATTAACAAATTAATAATAATAAATAATACATTTTTAAAGACTCTTTTAAAAAAACAGAGAGTTGCCCAGGCTTGAGTGCTGCGGTGTGATCACAGCTCACCACAGCCTCGAACTCCTGGGCTCAAGCAATTCTCCCACCTCAGCCTCCCAAGTAACTGGGAAAAGAATGCACCACCACGACCGACTAATTTTTTAATTTTTTAGTAGAGACAGGTTCTTGCTATGTTGCCCAGGTTGGTCTCAAATTCCTACGGTCAACTGATCCTCTGGCCTACTAAAGTGCTGGGATTACAGGTGTGAGCCACCACATCCAGTCAATAAATTTTTTTTTTTTTTTTTTGAGATGGAATCTTGCTCTGTCGCCCAGGCTAGAGTGCAGTGGCACAATCTTAGCTCACTGCAGCCTCTACCTCCCCAGTTCCACCGACTCCCTGCCTCAGCCTCCTGGGGAGCTGGGATTACAGGCACACACCACCATGCCCAGCTAATTTTTGTATCTTTTTTTTTTTTTTTAGTAGAGACAGGTTTCACCATGTTGGCCAGGCTGGTCTTGAACTGCTGACCTCAGGCGATCCACCCACCTCGGCCTCCCAAAGTGCTAGGATTATAGGCGTGAGCCACCACACCCGGCCAATAATTTTTTTAATTACAATTGTTCTTGGTAAGCCTGGGAAACACAGCGAGATCCCATCTCTACAAAAAAAATTTAAAAATTAGCTGGGCATGGTGGTGTGCACCTGTAGTCCTAGCTTCTTGGGGAGATTGAGGTGGGAGGATTGCTTGAGCCCAGGAGTTCGAGGCTGCAGTGAGCTATGATCACACAACTACACTCCAACCTGGGCAAAAGTAGGAGACTCTGTCTCTAAATAATAATAATGGCCAGGTGTGGTGGCTCACGCCTGTAATTCCAGCACTTTGAGAGGCCAAGGTGGACAAATCACCTGAGGTCAGGAGTTCAAGACAAGCCTGTCCAACATAGTGAAACCCCATCTCTATTAAAACTACAAAAAAATTAGCCAGGCATGGTGGCACGCGTCTGTGGTCTTAGCTGCTCGGGAGACTGAGGCAGGAGAATCACTTGAACCCGGAGGCAGAGGTTACAGTGAGCCAAGATCGCACCACTGCACTCTAGCCTGGGTGACAGAATGGGACTCTAACTCAAAAAAAAATAATTATTTAATAATAATTAAAAATAAAAAGAATTTTCCCCAAGTGCCCTGAGCCCAGGATCTCACACTCATACCTCCCGTTTCCCTCTGTGTGTGGCCCCCCTGCGGCCACCAGGGGGCGCCCTGGGCTCTGTCCCTCAGGGAAGAATTTTCATTTGTGTATGACAGGCTCCGGGAAAAGAAGATTATTCTAATTGGAGATTTCATCTCTGAGAAATAGGTTGTGCTGGAGGGAATCATGTCACTGGCTTCCCTAGGCCCTGCTTGAATTTATACACTCCCTGGGGCTCTCGGCAGCACAGATATAAGGAAGGCTGGGTGCCCTCACCAGCTCAGCCCCCTAAGGGTTACACCTTACACGCCCGTCCCCTCCGAAAGTCCAGGGCAGGTTTTCGAAGAGAAAGATCCAACCGTGGGACCCTTTCTGCGGGAAACTGCCCCGTACTGGACCTGACGAGATAACCACAGACAAGGGATGGCTGGGCCTGGGCGGCCCTTTATGCCAACTTCTCTCAAAGAGATAATTAGTTAACAATGGATTCGGGTCCCACTGCTTCCTAGGCTGGGGCTTTAATAATCAGAAACTCCCTCCATGCCATGACTAAAAATATCCCACTGTGAAAACAAGGCAGGCATCAGGGAAGAATCGCCATCCACAGGCCGGCAAAGGGAGGCGCAGCTTGGGGAACTCCTGCTCTGGGGAACCAGCACCCTCCGGGGTGCCCCCTTCTATGGGGAAAGAGACCCACCAGGCATCAACGCACCTGGGGTCTCTCAAGTACCCTCCCTCCATCCCAGCCCCACCGTCTGTGAAAACCCATCTGAAGTAGCTTGAATTGTGTCCCAAAAAATATGTGTTCAGGCCAGGCACAGTGGCTCCCGCCTGTAATCCCAGCACTTTGGGAGGCCGAGGCGGGCGGATCACTTGAGGCAAAGAGTTCGAGACCAGCCTGGTCAACATGGTGAGACCCTGTCTCTACTGAAAACACAAAAATTAGCCAGGCATGGCGGCACATGCCCATAGTCCCAGCTACTCAGGAGGATGAGGCAGGAGAATTGCTGGAACCCAGGAGGCGGGGGTTGTGGTGAGGCGAGATCACACCATTGAACTCCAGCCTGGGCAACAGAGCAAGATTCCATCTCAAAAAAAAATTTATTTTCAAGGTGAAATAATCCTGAATTTAGGGTAGACCCTAAACCCAATGTCAAGTGTCTTTATAATAAGAGAGATTTGGACAGAGACACAAAGAAGAAATCTACAAGAAAATGAAGGCAGATGGGTGTGGTGGCACCTGCCTGCAATCCCAGCTACTTGGGAGGCTGAGGCACGAGAATTGCTTGAACCCGGGAGGCGGATGTTGCAGCAAGCCAAGATCACGTCACTGCACTCCATCCAGCCTGTGCCACAGAGCAAGACTCTGTCTTCAAAAAAATAAATAAAATAAATACAAAGACCAAAAATAAGAAAAGAAAATGAAGGCAGAGACTGGAGTGATGCAGCCACATCCAAGGAATACCAAGAGCTGCCAGAAACCAGAGGAGGCCCGGAAGGATTCTCTTCTAGAGACTTTGGAGCGAGCAGAGCCCCGCTGACTCTTTTATTTCTGACTTCTGGCCCCCCAGGACTATTAAATAACATACTTGGTATTTTTTGTTGTTGTTTTTTGTTTGTTTGTTTTTTGAGACAGAGTCTTGCTCTGTCGCCCAGGCTGGAGTGCAGTGGCACAACCTCAGCTCACTGCAACCTCCGCCTCCTGGGTTCAAGCGATTCTCCTGCCTCAGCCTCCAGAGTAGCTGTGATTACAGGCACGCACCACCATGCCCTGCTAATTTTTTTGTATTTTTAGTAGAGATGGGGTTTCACTATGTTGGCCAGGCTGGTCTCGAACTCCTGACCTCATGATCCGCCCGCCTCGGCCTCCCAAAGTGCTGAGATGATAGGCGTGAGCCACCGTGCCTAGCCGAGAGTGTGATGATTTTAAAAAGCCAACTGCGCTGGTGATCTGGGCTTTACACCTCACTGTTCTACATGTCAGTAAGACCCAGAAGAGGCCGCATCAATGAACAGGTGTGTTCCAGGGTCGGGAACTGACGACCTCAAGAGAAAAAAGCTGTGAACACCTTCCACAGTCATGGGTTTCACAGGCTCGCACATTTGACCCTGCACCGGCCTGTTTTCATTCTATGGTGTCTGAAATTTTTGGCTCTAGTTTGCTGAGCTATTAAAGGCCCTGTGCTAAAGTGTCACCTCACGGAGTCCTCATGACCATGATGCTGTATTCCAAGTACTCCATTTTACTGCATTCCTCAAGAGCATTCGGCTGGTTTACAGATGGCACAGGGATTCGGTCTAATGCAGAACTTTTGGTCTTCAAAGAACACCTGGCCACACAGTGGCTCACACCTGTAATCCCAGCACCTGGGGAGGCCGAGATAGGCAGATTGCTTGAGGCCAGGAGTTCGAGACCAGCCTGGCCAACATGGCGAAACCCCACCTCTATTAAAATACAAGAATTAGCTGGGCGTGGTGGCGCATGCCTGTAATCCCAGCTACTTGGGAAGCTGAGGCAGGAGAATCACTTGAACCGAGGAGGCGGAGGTTGCAATGAGCCAAGATCACACCACTGCAGTCCAGCCTGGGCAACAGAGAGAGACTCGGACTCAAAAAAAAAGGTATCACCTGGCTGGATGAGGTGGTTCACACCTGTAATCCCAGCAGTTTGAGAGGCTGAGGTAGATGGATTGCTTGAGCCAAGGAGTTCGAGACCAGCCTGGGCAGCAGAGCGAGACCCCCATCTCTACCAAAAAAAAAAAAAAAAAAAAAAAAAAACTTAAATGAACTGAGCATGGTATCGCATGCCTGTAGTCCCAGCTACCTCGATCACCTGAGCTAGGAGGTCGAGGCTATGGAGAGCTGTTACTGTGCCACTGCTCTCCAGCCTCGGTGACAGAGCAAAAGACTCCATCTTGGTAAAAAAAATAAAATTTTTTTTTTAAAAAAGGAAATCAGGTTTTTTTGTGGGTTTTTTTTTTTTTTTGAGCAGAGTTTTGCTCTTGTCACCCAGGCTAGGGTGCAATGGCGCAATCTCAGCTCACTGCAACCTCCACCTCCCAGGTTCAAGTGATTCTCCTGCCTCAGTCTCTCTAGTAGCTGGGCCTACAGGCGTGCGCCATCACGCCCAACTAATCTTTGTATTTTTAGTAGAGATGGGGTTTTGCCATGTTTGCCAAGCTAGTCTCGAACTTCTGACCTCAGGTGATCCACCTGCCTTGGCCTCCCAAAGTGCTAGGATTACAGGCGTGAGTCACTGCGCCCGGGCTGTGGTGTTTTGTTTTTTTTTTTTCTTTTTTGAGACAGGGTCTGGCTCTGTCACCAAGGCTGGAGTACAGTGGTGCCATCACAGCTCACTGCAGCCTCAAACTCCTAGGCTCAGTAAATCCTCCTGCATCAGCCTTTCAAGTAGCTGGGACTACAGGCGCATGCCACTACTCCTGGCTAATTTTTTGTTCCTTTTGTTTTGTTTTGTTTTGTTTTTGTAGACTGGGGTCTCACTATGTTGCCCAGGGTGGCCTCAAACTCCTGAGCTCCAGCCACCCTCCCACTTTGGCCTCCCAAAGGGCTGGGATTACAGGTGTGAGTCACTGTGCACAGCCTAAACAGCAATCTTTAACTTGGAGGGGGGATGAGGGGGCTGCTGAGAGGTGAGAAGGGGGAAGGAAAGAGAAAGGGCAGGGGAAGTGTGGGTAGCTGGCCAAAGCCAGCCTGGCTCACCTTTAGCTGCAACCTATGTTCATGGCTTCCTTGTTCCTTAAAGTAATTCAGTGACACAGGTCCCTGCTGTTATGCCCATATCATAGTGAGGACACTGCAGTTTCACCCAAGGGTAAGTGCTTCAGAATGGCCATAAGAGTCCCAGAATCTGGTCCCCAGAAGGACAAAGCACATCCTCATTTTCCATACAGGTGAACAGAAAGGCGGACTGGCTTGCCCAAGGCCACACAGCGAGTAGCTAAGAGCAGAAACCAAACTTGAACTCCAGGGTCTCCTCTGTCCTGAGTTCTTGTCTTTCCCATCTCATACAGGCCAATATCTTGGCACTTCCATCACAGTAAGTGTCTATATTTATCATTTATGTTGAGACAGGGTCTCTGTCTGATGCAATCACAATTCACTGTAGCCTCCACCTCCTGGGCTCAAATGATCCTCCTGCCTCAGCCCTCTAACGCTGTACAGTCTCCCAGGTAGAGGTGCACACCACTATACATGGCTAATTTTTTATTTTTTATAGACATAGGATCTTGCTATGTTGCCAAAGTCAGTCTCAGACTCCTGGGCTCAACCAGTCCTCCTGCCTCGGTCTCCCAAACTGCTGGCATTACAGGCATAAGCAACATAGCAAGACGTAGTCTCTACAAATAATGAAAAAATTAACTGGGAGTAGTGGCATATGCCTGTAGTCCCAGCTACTTGGGAAGCTGAGATGGGAGGATTGCTTGAGCCTGGGGGGTTGAGGCTGCAGTGAGCTATGATTGTGCCACTGTACTCCAGGCTGGGTGACAGAGTGAGACCCCCATCTCAAAAAAAAACCAAAACCTACGTTACAATGAAATATCTAGAATAAGTAAATCCACGGGACAGAAAGCAGATTCGCAGTGAAGAGGGTATGGGACGTGGCAGCTCTTAGGTATGGGACTGTCCACAGTGATAAAAAGGTTCTGGAATAAGATAGTGGTGGTGGTTGCACACGATTGTGAATTGTTGGCCGGGGCGGTGGCTCATGCCTGTAATCCCAGCATTTCAGGAGGCCAAGCCAAGATTACCTGAGGCCTGGCCAATGTGATGAAACCCCATCTCTACTTAAAATATAAAAATTAGCCACCGAGCGCGGTGGCTCACGCCTGTAATCCCAGCACTATGGGAGGCCAAGGCGGGTGGATCACGAGGTCAGGAGATCGAGACCATCCTAGCTAACATGGTGAAACCCCGTCTCTACTAAAAATACAAAAAAATTAGCTGGGCGTTGTGGCAGGCGCCTGTAGTCCCAGCTACTCAGGAGGCTGAGGCAGGAGAATGGCGTGAACCCGGGAGGCAGAGCTTGCAGTGAGCCGAGATCACGCCACTGCACTCCAGCCTGGGCAACAGAGCAAGACTCTGTCTCAAAAAAAAAAAAAAAAAAAATCAGCCAGGTGTGGTAGCACATGCCTGTAATTCCAGCTACTCGGGAGGCTGAGGCACGAGAATCGCTTGAACCCAGGAGGCAGAGGTTGCAGTAAGCTGAGATCACATCACTGCACTCCAGCCTGGGCAACAGAGTGAGATTGCATCTCAAAAAAAAAAAAAAAAAATTGTGACTGTACCTAATGCCACTGACTTGGACACCTTAACATGGTTAAAATGGTAAATTGTGTTACGTGTGTCTTACCATAATTTAAAAAATACATCACACGAGGCTGTCCAACCACCTGAGCCCAGGGGCTCAAGATGAGCCTGGGCAACACAGCGAGACCTCTGTCTCTACAAAAAAGCTGTGATCATGCCACTGCACTCTAGCCTTGGTGACAGAGTAAGACTCTGTCTCAAAATTTAAAAACAACAACAAAATCACACAAATGAAAGAACAAATGGGTTTTTAGTATAAGCCAAAACCTAGCCATCTAGGGACTGAGTTGAATTGGGGGCTGTCTCCAATCACCAGGGCACTAGTTACCCTGAGCCACCACAAGCAGCAGCCTCTGAGGTCCCGGGAGAGAGCCCATCTTTCTGGAACACAAGCCAAAGATCCTAGCAGGTCAGTCATCAACAGGAAACCACCACAGCCCAGAAACACGAATCCCTCAATGGCAGTGGGGGAACTGGGCATCGGCTATGAATTGTCTCAGACCCATATTCCTGAGCTGTTTTTTATTTCTTGGCCAAAGCAAAAGAATCCTCAACAACAGAAAAGAGAGAACAAGGCGACAGAGCGTACATCTGGGGAGAACAGGCTGCCCACCCTCTGTGGCAGCACTCCCACCCTGAAAGTCAGTCCTGGGTTCAAAATCGTTTTTTTGTTTGCTTTTTTATTTATTTGAGACAGGGTCTTGTTCTGTCTCCCAGGCTGGAGTGCAGTGGCGCACTCATAGTTCACTGTAGCCTAGAACTCCTGGGCTCAAGTGATCCTCCTGCCTCAGCCCCTTGAGCAGCTGGGGCTACAGGCGCACACCACCACACCTGGCTAATTTTTGTTTTTGTACAGATAGGGTCTTACTATGTTGCCCAGGCTGGTCTCAAACTCCTGGGCTCGTGTGATCGGCCTTCCAAAATGTTAGGATTACAGGTGTGAGCCACTGCAGCAGGCCTCAAAATCTTTTCTGGGTCTCCAGGGAGAGTGAGGGGCTAATGCCTGTCAGACTAATCAGAAACTCTCCTGTTCTGGAAGAGGTGATGGCACCCACGTCCCCCAGGCAAGCATCTGGCCACACAACATTTAGAGACACTAGCAGCGGTCCCAATTTTCATGGAACCCTCAGGAGGCCTGTCCACCTAATTTACAAGCTCTTCAGCCTGAAAAGAGCCTCATTAGACAAGGCTAAACTAAATATCTCTAAAGACAGGTAAGTTCTGGGGAGGCCGAGGCAGGCGGATCACAAAGTCAGGGGATCAAGACCATCCTGGCCAACACGGTGAAACCCCCATCTCTACTAAAAAAGATACAAAAGACCAGGCGCGGTGGCTCACACCTGTAATCCCAGCACTTTGGGAGGCCGAGGCGGGCGAATCACCTGAGGTAGGGAGTTCAAGACCAGCCTGACCAACATGAAGAAAACCCATCTCTACTAAAAATACAAAATAGCCGGGTGTGGTGGCGCATGCCTGTAATCCCAGCTACTAGGGAGGCTGAGGCAGGAGAATCACTTGAACCCCAGAGGTGGAGGTTGTAGTGAGCCGAGATTGTGCCATTGCACTCCAGCCTGGGCATCAAGAGTGAAACTCCATCTCAAAAAAAAAAATTAGCCCGGCGAGGTGGCGGGCACCTGTAGTCCCAGCTACTCGGGAGGCTGAGGCAGGAGAATGGTGTGAACCCGGGAGGTGGAGCTTGCAGTAAGCCGAGATCACGCCACTGCACTCCAGCCTGGGCGACAGAGCGAGACTCTGTCTCAAGAAAAAAAAAAAAAAAAAAGACAGCTAAGTTCAATAAATGAGCTAAGTGACTAGGTTATACAAAAAAGACAGCGTGGGCAACATGGGAGACCCCATCTCTACAAAAATTACAAAAAAATTAGCCAGGGGTTGTGGCATGCCTATGGTCCCAGCTACTCGGGAGGCAGGGGTAGGACAATCACTTGAACCCGGGAGGCAGAGGTTGCAGTGAACCAAGATCATGTCACTGCACTTCAGCCTGGGCGACAGAGCAAGACTTCATCTCAAAAAAATAAAAGTACTCCAAAGGGTTGTTGGAAGGTTTCAATGTGTTTGTACAAGGAAAACACACCCAACAGCACCAAGTCATTGAGATGCCTCATTTCATATTATCACGAGCTGCCCGTGATTCCCCTGTGGGGAAGGAGGAAGTCTGCGCTGCTTGCGCTTTTTCTAACCCCTACCCCAGGCCTCCTCTACATCATCAAAGGGTCTAAGGTAAGTCCAGCCTCAGGCCAATCAGGTAGGTAGAGGCGAGGGATAGGAGGAGCCAAGTTTCATCCCTAGGAGGACATCTGTTCCCAGAACCAGCGACACCACACAGAAATAGATCACAGACACAAAGATGCTTTTAAAGGCAAAAATAGGCTAGGCCAGGCACAGTGGCTCATGCCTGTAATCCCAGCACCTTGGGAAGCTGAGGTGGGAGGATCGCTTGAGCTCAGTAGTTTGAGACCAGCCTGGGCAATGTGGTGAGACCCCATCTCTACAAAAAAATTAAAAATTAGCCGAGCATGGTGGCATGCACCTGTAGTCCCAGCTACTTGGGAGGCTGAGGCAGAAGGATCACTTGAGCCTGGGAGGTCGAGGCTGCAGGGAGCCAAGCTCGCACCACTGCATTCCAGCCTGTGCAACAGAGTAACACCCTGTCTGTCTCAACGGTAAAAAAATAAAGTAAAAAAGACTTTCCAAAAGCATGGAAAGACATTTCTTCTTCAGATTAGTATGGTTGTTTTGGGTTTTTTTTCAGGCAGGGTCTTGCTCTGTTGCCCAGGCTAGAGTGCAGTGGCGAGACCATGGCTCCCTATAGCAGTGACCTTCTGGGGTCAAGCAATCCTCTCTCCTCAGCCTCCAGAGTAGCTGGGACTACAGGCACAGGCCACTATGCCTGGCTAAATTTTTTATTTTTTGTAGAGATGGGGTCTCCCTATGTTGGCCAGGCTGGGCTCAAACTCCTGGCCTCAAATGATCCATCTGCCTCAGCTTCCCAAAGTGCTGGGATTAAGGCCTGAGCCACCGTGCCTGGCCCGCACCCAGTGAATCTTAATATATCTTTATCCCAGGCCCAACACAAGGTTTCCTAAGTAAATACAATGAACAAATGAACTACCAATCCTGAGTACTTTACAGCCACCGAAGAAGAAACTTAAATTCAGTTTCCAACCCCAGGAGGCAGCTAGCTGGCTTCCCTTGGGCATCAGACATTGGAGAAGGACACCCAGACGCCTCGGAGGCCTCAACCAAAAAGCCTTACTAATGCTGAGACAAGAGGCAGTTCCACACAGCGGTAGACACACAGAAGCTCTGCAGTCACCCCCGGGTCCTCATCCCAGCTCCACCATCCACTTACTGTGTGACCTCAGGCATGCCCCGTACCCTCTCTGAGCCTACTTCCTCATCCATTAAATGCAGGTCATAATGAAGACTTCCAAACTGCACGCAGCTACATAGTGCCCGCATCAGCTGGCCGTGTCAAGGACTGTGGGGATGTACAACCTGCTCATGTGAAACTGATTCGTGCTCCAACATGCTGGCCCAGGACAGCGAGGCTTCCTGACAAGGCTGGAGGGGTTCGTCTCTCGAGGCCAGTGACAGCAACTGCTGCACATGTCACACCTGCTGGTGGGGACTCAGGTTTCCAATAAGTGCTGAGAAGAAAACTCGTCAGCCACAGAGTGAGGTTCCAAAAGGGGGTCCTCTACAGCTCTTTTGTTTTTTTGAGACAGAGTCTTGCTCTGTTGCCCAGGCTGGAGTGCAGTGGTGCGATCTCAGCTCACTGCAACCTCCACCTCCCAGGTTCGAGCAATTCTTCTGCCTCAGCCTCCCAAGTAGCTGGGACTACAGGCATACGCCACCAGGCATGGCTAATTTTCCTTTTTTTTTTTTAGTAGAGACGGGGTTTCACCATGTTAGCCAGGCTGGTCTTGAACTCATGACTTCAAGTGATCTGCCCACCTCAGCCTCCCAGTGTTAGGATTACAGGTGTGAGCCACCCCACCCACCCTCTGCAGCTCTTAATGATGGCCTCTGCTTGGACACCCTACATAGGCTTTTGTGGACTGAGACCCCAGAAGCCCCCTCGCAGCGCCCACCCGAATGCTCAGAGCAATCTGCACAGAGCCATCGTGAGCTGAGCTGCACGTGTCACACTGAACGGGACCTGCCCGGCCCTCCTCGGCCGCCCAGCCCCAGACGCCACTCCTGCCCACCTTCACACCCTCCAGGAGTGCCTGGGGGTCCTCGATGCCCTCGGGGACACACTTCTTGTTCTCCGGGAGGGATTCCAGTTTCTCCACCAGAGCTTTCAGGCCCTTCAGTTCAAACTCAGTGAGATGGGTCCATTTGGCAGAGACCTCCGTGGCGGGAGAGCCGGTGGGGGTCTTGGGGTAGTCTACGGCCAATGTGGTGGACTTCACACTTTCCTCCGACTCATTAGACAAAGTCCTTTTGAGGAATCGCAGGGCAGGTGCTTTGGGCTTCTTCCCGAGGGCCTCCTGGTCCTCAGAGGGCGTGCTGGTGGGTGAAGTGGAGCCATCGGTGGGCGGTTTGGGTGCCCTGTCCCTGCCCTCGCCCTCCTCGTCCTTCTCCTCCTCCTCCTGAGGCTGCTGATCACAGGCCTCCTCCTCCATCTCCAGCCAGGAATCCGAAGAGAAGCCGTCTATGCTGGGCTTCCTCGGGGCATCTGTGGGGGCAGGGTCACAAGAAAGACCGAGATGACACCTAACTCCCTGCCAAGGTCTTTGGAACCTCCACTCACCAAAAGTCCCCTTTACTCCAGAGATCCAGCTTCTCTAACAATCCTAATGGTCAGTGCCTCCAGCCTCTGGAAAGGCCGTGGGGGACGCAGGTTCAGATCCCCACCCTGCTGCTTCCCGGCTGTGTGCACCCACATGGGTTGCCCCGCCTCTCTGAACACTGGCACTTTATTTATTTATATAAAGACAGTCTTGCTCAGTTGCCGAGGCTGGACTGTAGTGGCACAATCTCAGCTCGCTGCAACCTCCGCCTCCCGGGTTCAAGTGATCCTCCTGCTGGTGCGCCCACCACACTCAGCTAGTTTTTTTTTTAAGCTTTTTTTGTAGAGATGAGGTCTCGTTATATTGCCCAGGCTGGTATCTGGCACTTTACTTTTTAATGTCTAAAAATAAGTCGAGGCTGGGTGCAGTGGCTCACGCCTATAATCCCTACACTTTGAGGGGCCTAGGCGAGTGGATTGCTTGAGCCCAGGAGTTTGAGACCAGACTGAGAAACACAGTGAAACCCCATCTCTACAAAAAATACACAAATTAGCTGGGTGTGATGATGTGCACCTGTAGTCCCAGCTACTTGGGAGGCTGAGATGGGAGGATCACTTGAGCCTGGGAGGTGGAGGCTGCAGTAAGCCATGAATGCACCACTGCACTCCAACCTGGGCAACAGAGCAAGGCCCTGTCTCAAAAAATAATAATAATAATAATAATAATAATACTAAAATAAAATAAAAATAAGTCTAAGAGAGCATCTATTATATGATTCAACTCAGTGAAATGTCCCAGGCAGGGGACATCTATAGGGACAGAAAGTAGATGAGTAGTTGCCTAGGGCTGGGGAAAGGGCAGGGTAGGGAGATGAGACAACAGCTGAAGGGTATGAGTTTCTTTCTTTTCTTTTGTCTTTTCTCTTTTTTTTTTTGAGACAGAGTCTCGCTCTGTCACCCAGGCTGGAGTGCATTGGAGTGATCTCAGCTCACTGCAACCTCCATCTCCTGGGTTCAAGGGATTCTCCTGCCTCAGCCTCCCGAGTAGCTGAGATTACAGGTGAACCACCACACCCAGCTAATTTTTGTGTTTTTTAGTAGAGACAGGGTTTTACCTTGTTGGTCAGGTTGGTCTCGAACTCCTAACGTCAGGGATCCACCCGCCTCGGCCTCCCAAAATGCTAGGAATTTTTTTTTTTTTTTTTTTTTTTGAGACAGAGTCTCACTTTGTTGGCCAGACTGGAGTGCAATGGCGCGATCTCGGCACACCGCAACCTCCGCCTCCCAGGTTCAAGCGAGTCTCCTGCCTCAGCCTCCCGAGTACCTGGGATTACAGGCATGTGCCACCACACTGAACTAATTTCATATTTTTAGTAGAGACGAGGTGTCACCATGTTGGCCAGGCTGATCTCGAACTCCTGACCTCAAGTGATCCACACGCCTCAGCCTCCCAAAGTGCTGGGATTACAGGCGTGAGCCATCGCGCCCGGTGGTGCTAGGATTACAGGCATGAGCCACTGTGCCCGGCCCCGGGTTTCTTTTTGCGGTGATGAAAATGTGAAATTGACTGCAGCAGTGGCTGCATGTATCTGTGAATAGACTAAAAACCACTGGATTCTACACCCTAAATGGTGAATTGTGTGATATGGGAACTATATCCTAATAGGGCTGCTTAAAAAATATAAGGCAAAGGAAACACCCTCAGAAAGCCGTGGTGCGGAGTACACAGGTATCCCTGGGCACAGGCACTGGCACACAGCAGCTCTGGATGGAGGGGGTGTCTCCCTCACGTTGCCCCTTCTCATTGGCAGATGGACTGGGAGAGCCAGAGGGAAAACAGTGGCAGGAAAACGTAAGGAAGATGTGGGTACTGATTACCCAAGCACCACCTCGAGATTTCCTCCTGTGCCTGCGAATGGAATATTATTCTTCTGCCCTAAATGTCCAAGTGAAAGAACCAACCCTCGGCCTTCTGGCCTGGGGACTGCAGACACTCAGAAAGCCTCTCACTCTCCCCAGCCTCTGTCTCCGGGGGATCGTGGAGTTACTGTGATCATAGCGGCTCTCACGCTATTTCAGGATCATTTCCCTTCTCTCCTACCAGGCTGGGAGCTCCAGAAGGGCAGGTTGTAGGGTTTCGGGACTTTCCAACCCCCTGAATATCACATCATCAGGCGGGAATGAGGCTCGCGACAGACCTCACAGGCAAAGACTTCCCAGTGAAGGCCCCAGCAGAAACACTGGTTCCCCATCATACGCCCAGCCTGGAAACCCTGAACGTCATTAAGGATGGGGCATAAGGGAAGGGATGGAAGAGGCTTACTGTAAAGGGGAAATAAAAAAAGAATCTAAAAATCCTAGAGGCTGCAGGAAAAATTGTGCAGACCCTCAAGGAGACAGACCAGTCTCATCTTTCTATCCCCTGGTTAAAAAAAAAAAGATGCAGTGTCTGAGATGCTGCAGACTCTACATCATCCAGGAAAACCCCTGCACCACAACAGCTCAGACGCAGCCGAGAGGAATCACGTTCTTCCTCTAGATTGCTGGTCGGGGCTTGCAGTCACAGCCAGATCCAACTTCAGGGCGGGCGTCTGTGAGTCAAGATTCAAGGGCAGAGCCGTGTTCGGGGGGGATGATGTCCCTTTAAGTACTGGCAGCAGGGCTGGGCGCTGCAGCGGCTCCAAACACTCTCTCCTGCTCCTCCAGGCCCGCACCACCTGCCCTGGTCACCCCTCCTGCTGCCTCAAAGACAGCCTTGAGTTTTCAGAGACTGGCTGCATCTCACAGGACTGCTCTTACATAGATAAAAACCCAACCTCCAGTGCAGGAGGAAAAATCAGCTGGTGTCCACGGAAGAGCCAAAAGAACGAGGATTCTCTGCTCTGTGGGGTGATCCCGTTTTAGCAGCCAAGCCCGGGGCGGCCCCAACCTGCATCTACACAGCCATGGGCTGGAGGCCACACACGTGACTCTTTTGGGGATCCGAATTCATTTTCTTGGACTCTGTATTCCAGGTGGGAAACTGGCAAGAATGGCTTCCCCTGAGGGGTTCCTAGGATTCTGCCCAATACACTGATTCAACGAATCCCCAAAACTCAGGGAGTGTCTCCAGGCCCCACTGAGAAAATGATTTCTGCCCCAGCTGTGCAGCCGAGGCCGTGGGCTCCCTCCGGTTCACTCACCAATAAGCATCGACTCCCTCTGGTATTCCTGAGTGAGGTGGGAGCGCTGGGTCACACAGTACACGTATCTCTCCAGGACATACCAGCACATCTCATAGTAGAAGGGGTAACGGAATTTGGGCTGCACCTGAAAGCAAAGACGCAGGCAGGCAGAGGTCAGTTTCCAGAGGGCGAAGGGGGAAGGAGGGAGAGAAGTGCGGGGCAGGCTCCCTGCAGGTGAGGGTCACTGTCATCATCTTAGCGAGAGCATGGATGGTCGGGGGAGAAATGGTGGGGTGCTGGAAGGGAGATGCCGGCAGCATGCACAAATGAGGCGGAGGACGAGGCCCGCATGAGCGCCTCATCTCAAAGGTCCCTGAGCTGCACGCCCCAGAGGTTGGATGGGGGCCACTTGATGCTCCCGTGAGATGCAGAAAAACAGAATTCTCCCCTGACCTGCCTGCAGAGAGTGTGGGCACCTGCAGGTGGGAGCCGCTGCCTGATTCTAGCTACAACAGACATAGGTTCCTCCTTGTTTCTGAAAATTCCTGCACAGATTCTGCTGTTCCTCCCTCCTGCTTGAAAACCAGAAATCAACTTCCAAGCCTTATCTATTTGCAGACAGGTTATGGAGCCTCCTCCTGTTTGTTGGGAGGGAGGCCAGGCCAGCGGACCAATAAGAGTGAGGGGGTGTGGCCTCGCCTACCTCCAGGGGTGGGGCCTTGAAGGGGTCCATCTCCTGCTCCTCCCCACACCCGTCTGGCACTGCCCAGCCTGCAAGGCCACAAGGGCTCCCTCTGACAGAGGTCCCAGGTATGACCTGAGACCAGCGTGATGCTGAGCTGAGGGAGACACATCTCGGGTCTGGAGCAGGAGATCCCTTTTGTCCCACCTCTGTCACCCAGGCTGGAGTGCAGTGGCACGATCATAGCTCACTCAGCCTCGACCTCCTGGGCTCAAGCGACCCTCCTGCCTCAGCCCTGTGAGTAGCTGGGACTACTGGCGCGCGCACCACCACGCCTGGCTGGGTTTTTTTGTATTTTTTGTAGAGATGGGGTTTGCCATGTTGCTGGTTGGCTGTTTATCATAGAAGAGGAAGTAAAGGTGGAGACAGCTTTGTGTACTAGAACTGTCAAAAGGCCTGAGCCCCGGGAGATTCCACGGGGGGCAGTTCAGGGTCTGTACAGATGAGATGTCACCGAAAGATGGGAAGGAAACAACGCCACTGATGGACCCAACACAAGGATGGAAAGAGGTCCCTGACACCCACACGGGGCCTCTCCTGCAGAGGCCACACGATGGTCTCACATGCCCACACTCACACCTTGCTCCCTGGCTCTCTTGCCAAGAGGGTGTCTGCGGGGACGAGAAAGCCCTCCTCCCCTCCCTGATCCTATGCGAACTCAGGGAGTTGGATGGTGAACAATTACATTCTCCCACCTTCTAATCACACTCCCCTGCCCCTAATATCTTCACTCCCCTAATCGCACTCACCCATCCCCCCATTCACACTCCCCATCCCCCCATCACACTCCCCACCCTCCTATTCACACTCTCCACCCTCCTATTCACACCCCCCCACCCCCTAATCACACTCCCCACCCCCTAATCACACTCCCTATCCCCCTCTAATTACACTCCCCATCCCCCTCTAATCACACTCCCCACCCCCTCTAATCACACTCCCTATCCCCCTCTAATTACACTCCCCATCCCCCTCTAATCACACTCCCCACCCCCAATCACACTCCCCACCCCCAATCACACTCCCCACCCCCTCTAATCACACTCCCCACCCCCAATCACACTCCCCACCCCCTCTAATCACACTCCCCGTCCCCCAATCACACTTCCCATCCCCCAATCACACTCCCCATCCCCTGATCACACTCCCCATCCCCCTAATCACACTCCCCACCCCCTAATCACACTCCCCACTCCCCTAATCACACTCCCCATCCCCTAATCACACTCCCCATCCCCCAATCACACTCCCCATCCCCCAATCACACTCCCCGCCCCCAATCATACTCCCCGCCCCCAATCATACTCCCCATCCCCCAATCACACTCCCCATCCCCTGATCACACTCCCCATCCCCCTAATCACACTCCCCACCCCCTCTAATTACACTCCTCATCCCCCTAATCACACTCCCCACCCCCCTGATCACACTCCCCACCTCCAAATCGCACTCGCCACCCCCTCTAATCACACTCGCCACCCCCAACCACACTCTGCCACCCCCTAATCACACTCTCCCACCCTCCCCGAATCACACTTGCCCACCTCCACTGCCCTGCTCTCTGCTGACAATAAACAGGTGACATTCCCCATCTGGGACAAAGACAACTAGAAGCAGACCTCCGTTCTCCTTTTGCCCTAAAATGCTATTTTGCTGCATTTCTCAAAGTGCCCGTCTGGAAAAGGCCCAAACCCAGCGTCTCTGAGAGTCCTGGCTCTCACTCAGCTCCTGGCCTCAAGGCCTCCTCCCACTGCTGGGCCTCCTCTCTCCGCCTGCACACTGGGTGCTGGGCTCTGCCTGCCTCTGATGGATGGAATGCTTTGGAATGGGATCATGGCCACCACATGCTCTTCAGCCCCCTGGGGGATGCACGGAGTGGGGACCATCATCTAGCGGTTTCCTTGGCTCCAGCTCCTTTCCTGAGAACCCCAGTTTCAGTGCTGGGAGAAGAGTCATCTTTTCTCATAGTTACTAGATCGGTGCCCTCTGGAGTTTAAAAAAGAGGGGCTCCTAGGCATGAAGCAAACCTTGATTTCCTATGAAGAAGGGTTTAGGGGACCTCAGCCCCACCTCTATTCAAGAGAAACGGACAAAAGATTTTGGAACGAATTACCAGTACTTAAAAAGCAAGCTGAGGACGGACAGACCTCATCCACATTTCCTGACATGAGACTTGATTGGTAAAACTCTGAAGTCGGTTTTGACTTTTCAAATCTTTTTGACACCTTCCGAGCCATTCTGCTCGGACACCATGACCACCTGGGAATCTTTCTAAATTAGGGGAAAAAAATTGAGGGGGCTGCACTTCAGGAGGGAAAGATAAGTCTCCCTTCTTTGTTGCTGAACCCAATGGAAACCAGCTGGGTGAAAACAAATGCTGATGAAGGAATTCAAATTTTTATTTATTTATTTATTTTTTTTTCCAAGAGAGGACTGCGGGAAACAAAAATTTGCAAAGAATTGACTTACAAACAGGTTGTCGCCTTCCACCCTTCGCCTTCAAAAGGTTTCAGCCACATGCCTGGGGACATTAAACATACGGTTGCTCAACATTATTTGTTGACAGACTCGGAGCCTCACCAAATTGAGTTAACCAACGTCAGTCCAAAACAAAAGGCAAGGCAGTCACAAGGCATGCAATGCTCCCAGCCTGCAGGTCATCCGTCTACCAGAGGACCTCAGGGCCCACTCAGCGGCACCTGGCCTCAGCCCTTCCTCGGAGGTCCAAGTCATCTTCAAGCTGAGTGACCTCAGGAGATGACAACAAAAGGTTTCTCGAGTGTATCTAGAACTCCCAGGTCTCAAGGACTTGAAAAAGTCAAAATGTGAGAGTGGGTGGAAGTGTCCTACAATTTGTTTTTCTCCTGGAAAAAAAAAAAAAAAAATCAATGGAAAAAAAAAAAAGTCCAATGGTAGGGGGAAGGGGAG
The DNA here is from genome assembly GCF_000001405.40 of Homo sapiens. Classification (NCBI taxonomy): domain Eukaryota; kingdom Metazoa; phylum Chordata; class Mammalia; order Primates; family Hominidae; genus Homo; species Homo sapiens. Next base: position 121,516,928 of record NC_000012.12, read on the forward strand.
AGGGAAGGTAAATTATTTGCAATTTCCAAATAGATTCAGTGGCTGTAAGGGAATGGGGCATGTCGGCATTACCTTTTCTGGGAAGGCTGCTTTCACTAGAGCCACTGGGAGGGGGGGAAAGATAAATAAAAGATAAATATAAGAGAGATGGCAATTTAATGATCATTTGGACCATACCTATTCCCTATCAACCTAACTGAAGTTAAAAGAATGTAGTGATGATCGAGATGTTGTCTTAAGTATCAAATGCACAACATATCCACTCGTTGCTGTCACTCTTCCATCACTCTTCATAGCTTCAGGATGAGGGGAAGGGGAGATTTCATCTACAAGGGTTGGGGAATGGAAATCCACCATTCCCCAAACACCTGTATATGTTCGTGCCACCTCATGGGCAGTGACATTGCAGGATGGGGTCACCTATCATCTCGCCAGAAAAATTTAAATGGTGAAGGTAAGACACAGCTTCCTAGGGAACCCTGGGGTTCCCTAGTTTAGATAGGGGTCCCCACCTTGGGCCACAAAGGCAAATTCTTTTTCTTTTCTTTTTTTTTTTTTTGAGATGGAGTCTCGCTCTGTCGCCCAGGCTGGAGTGCAGTGGCTCAATCTAAGCACACTGTAACCTCTGCCTACTGGGTTCAAGCAATCCTCCTGCCTCAACCTCCCGATTAGCTGGGACTACAGGCATGAACCACCATGCCTGGCTAATTTTTGTATTTTTTTAGTAGAGATGGGGTTTCACCATGTTGGCCAGGCTGGTCTCGAACTCCTGACCTCAGATCATCCGCCTGCCTTGGCCTCCCAAAGTGCTGGGATTATAGGCGTCAGCCACCGGCGCCTGGCCAGGCAAATTCTTTTTCTAAGACAAAGCCACACCATGGAGCTTGGAGACTGACCGATGGTTCCCTCTGTCCCACCTCCTGCATTTGGTTTCCAGGCAAAGCCATGTTTTAGGACTCTTAAAACACTTTTTTTGAGGGGGGGGATGGAGTTTCGCTCTTGTTGCCCAGGCTGGAGTGCAGTGGTGCGATCTCAGCTCACTGCAACCTTTGCCTCCCGGGTTCAAGCAATTCTCCTGCCTCAGCCTCCTGAGTAGCTGGGATTACAGGCACACACCACCATGCTCGGCTAATTTTTGTATTTTTAGTAGAGACAGGGTTTCACCATGTTGGTCAGGCTGGTCTCGAACCCCTGACCTCAGATCATCCGCCCGCCTTGGCCTCCCAAAGTGCTGGGATTACAGGCGTGAGTCACCATGCCCAGCCTATAAAACAGTATTTTTAAATGGCCATAACCTTCTTAAGAAAGCTCTCAGGGCTGTAAAGAATGAAGCTGTAGTGAGCTAACAAAGAGCCCTGGCATCTTATCTGGTTCCAGAATTCTCTCCCCAGTGCCTTTTGTCTGCCTTGGCTCCTAAGGCATAAACAATTGGGCCTCGTAGCCAAGTCCCTCTCTCAAGACCAGAAATCAAGGCAGATTAAACAACCTGCCGCTGCTCCCAGCCCAGTCTGCCCCCAAGCCCCCGCTGCCAGCCTGCTTCGGTGAAACCAGATGGGGTGCCCACTCAGGGGAAGGGACAGTAGGCCCCGGTGGGGGAGGGGACCTGCCATTCTCAACGAGGACGTGATATTCCACGTAAGCTCAGTGTGATGCTCAGGGGTCCGGCCAGCACCCTGCCAGTCGTCATGGGTGGGGGAAGGGACCTGGGCTCCTAAGGGAACCATGGGGCCCAAATCCGCTGAGTTTACAATTGAATTCCCAGGGGGACGGGGTGGTTGTCCAGCAAGTAGCCACAGCCTTTAGAAATCCCAGCCTGACTCCGGCTTTCAGGAATTGCCTGGAAAGTCGTGGGCCTGACTTCCACTAGATTTCTCCATCTCTATTCCACACGTCTGCTCGTGCACAAACTGGCCTGTACTCCAGGACAGGCCAAAGAACAGTTGGCCGGAGCCCCAGACAGCATTGACCCAGACTGTGAGGTGACCGCTTGTATCCAAACAGTGCCTTTCTCCTGAATGGCATGGGGCGGCTCCTCCAGACCAGGGTGGGGGCTGGCCTTCCCCAGGTGGGATGGGGATGGTGGGCCACAGAGAGGTGAGGGGAAAAAGTCCACAAAACGATGGTCTCCCATGGAGCCCCAGCCCAGACCCAGGTCTCTCCAGATCTAGGCGTCACGTGTCAATCTGCAGAGGTACACATGCCTCACAACATCTGACCACTGAACTCAACTCCAGGTGGTCTCCAGGAAACCCCCAGACATGGGCCCACAATGCCGGGACTGTTCAATGTTCAGATACAAAGGCAGCAGCTAATACTTTGCTCATGTATGTGATTTTGTGCAAACCAAGGCCTGAAAACAAGACCAGGAGAGACAGGGGCTTGGTACAGAGCAGGTGCCCTTGTGAGACCTCTCCTTAGATCTATGCAGAGCAACACCTCACTGGGGCAAAAAGCCATCTCAGAAGCAAATCCCAAGAAGAAATGGTGTGGTCTGGCTACAGAATGGAATATTATTCAGCCATGAAAAGGAATGAAGCTCTGGCACATGCTACAATGTGGATGAACCTGGAAATCATTATGCTACATGAAAGAAACCAGACACAAAAGGCCACATGTTGAATGACTCCATTTACATCAAATGTCCAGAATAGGCAAATCCACAGAGATAGAAAATAGATTAGGGCTAGCCAGGGGAAAGGTGGGGAGACACAGGAAGTGACTGCTTGTGGGTACAAGGTTTCTTTTTGGGGTGATGAAAATGTTCTGGAATTAGTGGTGATCATGACACAATCTTATAAAGATACTAAAACCACTGAATTGTATACTTTGAATGGTAAATTTTAGGGTATATGAATTATATCTCAATTTAAAAGAAAATGAATATTTGAATAGCTGTGTTGAAAAAACAGGAACAAGTAGAACAAGAAATGGGACTTTTTTACCCCAAGTCTCTGGGTTTTGTTTGTTTCTTTGTTTTTTAGTATGAGACAGGTCCGGCTCTGTCGCCCAGGATGGAGTGCAGTGGCGTGATCTCGGTTCACTGCAACCTCCGCCTCCCGGGCTCAAACGACCCTCCCACCACAGCCTCTCAAGTAGCTGGGACTACAGGCGTACACCACCACGCCCAGCTTTTTTGTATTTTTGGTAAAGACAGGGTTTCATCATGTTGGCCTGGCTGGTCTCGAACTCCTGACCTCAAGTGATCCACCCACCTCGGCCTCCCAAAGTGCTGGGATTACAGGCAAGAGCCACCGCGCCCGGCCCCAAGTCTTCAGTTTTGACCCAGTTTGGGACCTGTCTTATGTGCCTAGGGACACGTGATCAAGTCCTAGCACGAGAAAGGCCATGGCAAGTTCAGGCCACTTGTCCTTTTCAGGGGACACTTGTGGAGCGAAGGACACACATCAGTTACCTAAGCCTCCGCCCATGTTCGTAGGACATGGGGTGAGTGAGGGAAACTTGACGTCTGGGAAACTAGCACCGTCCCTGTCAAGGGCAGAGAAAAGCCTCGGCCCCAGGAAACTAGAGACGTCCTCAGCAGACATGGAGACTACCTCAGAGACAGTACCCAGGGGGACTCAGGCACTGGCTTCCTCAGGCTTCCTCCCCAGTCAGATCTGGGGTCCCTGGGAGAACATATAGCCAAGACCTGACCTCAGACCAGGACAGGCCCTTCCAAGGTCCACACCCATCCTCCAAACAACAGCGACCAAATCCCCCTAATCCCTCACACCACTTTCTCCACGTGAGGAGGAAGAGGCAGGTCCCTGAAATCTCACGGTGCTTTCTCAGAGACACTTCCTCTTCCACAAGGGGGTTTTGGCTGCCCCCAACCTGGAGGTGAACAGAAACTCCAGGGCCTCCGGGTGTGGCTCCTACAGGCATTCCCCTGCCCCCCCTCCCCCGCCACAGAACCAGGACTGAAGCCAGCTTGAGAGAGGAATCGGGAGGGAGAGGGGAACTGTGGAGGACTTCAGTATGACCTGTCCCACACACCGAGCACCGGCAGAGCTCAGGGGCCAGGCGCGCACGCGAGGACAGAAGGGAACCTCCTTACCCGCGTCCTGTCCTCGATCTCGTAGATCCGCAGCTGCATGGGCACGTTAAAGCTGTGCAGGATGTTTCCGCCGAACACCAAAGAGTCTACAGGGGTGTAGACGGCATGGATCCAACCTGGGGTGGGAAGGGCAAGGAGAGGATGAGCCGCTGGCCCCTGTGGGCTCCCACACCTCACAAGGCTGCAGGGAGGGAGAGCGAGCGTGCAGGAGGGTGCAGGGAGTGGAGAAGAGCAGCCAGGGCCTGGGGCAGCGGCGCCCAGCAATGCCTGCTGCACAACGCCCAGGCCTGAGCCGCCGAGAGGACTCAGACTTGCAGCCTCGAGCAGCCACTGTCTGGCTCAAGTCAGGAGCTGGGAAGCTGCAGATCAGCCCCCACTTCTTGAGGACCGTGATGACAAAAGCTTCCTCTGGGGACCTGGCTGCAATGGCCAGCAGAGAGGCAGGCCCTTTCTCCACCTCCATGCAGGCCACGGAGCCTCACCTCCCCTCCCAGGTGGCACATGTGTCCAGAGTCTTTCCTCACCATCCCAGAGGGGTCACAAAGGATGGCTGGGAACCATGACGCAGGAGTGACGTCTTGCCAGAGCTGCAGGACCCAAGCACTTTCCTCCGCCCAAGTCCATCTTCTTGTCATCAAACTCCACCCAGGCCCCTTTCCATGTGGTCTCCTTGGTCACACAACGCCTGCATGCCCCCCTCAGCTCTGCCCTCCACTCTGCCCCACAGGCTGCTGGTAAGTCTCTCCTGCAGCTTCTCACAGCTGGGAGCCGCAGTTTTTCATCTCTCCAAACTCCTAGCCTGGAGCCAGACACAGTCACCATCACAAGGGAAACGGAGGCAGGGCCAGGTGTAGTGGTGCACCTCTGTGATCCCAGCACTTTGGGAGGCTGAGGCGGGAAGATCGCTTGAGCTCAGCAGTTTGAGATCAGCCTGGACAATATAGTAATACCTCATCTCTAAAAAAAATTAAATAAATAGCAGGGCATGGTGGTGCACACCTGCGGTCCCAGCTACTCAGGAGGCTGAGGTGGGAGGATCACTTGAGCTCCAGAGGTTGAAGCTTCAGTGAACTGTGATCACACCCCTGCACTCCAGCCTGGGTAACAGAGATAACCATCTCAAAAAGAAAAAAAAAGAAGAAACGATAATAGAGGGCCCACCTTGTGCCAGGCACAGTGGTCTAAGGGCTTTTCAGGCCTTAACTCATTAATTCTCATGAAATCCCGAAAAAGTATATACTATATTCATGGCCGGGCATGGTGGCTCACGCCTGTAATCCCAGCACTTTGGGAGGCCGAGGTGGGCGGATCACCTGAGGTCGGGAGTTCGAGACCAGCCTGACCAACATGGAGAAACCCTGTCTCTATTAAAAATACAAAATTAGCCAGGCGTGTTGGTGCATGCCTGTAATCCCAGCTACTCAGGAGGCTGAGGCAGGGGAATCGCTTGAACCCGGAAGGTGAGGTTGCAGTGAGCCGAGATCGCACCATTGCACTCCAGCCTGGGCAACAAGAGTGAAACTCCGTCTCAAAAAAAAAAAAAAAAGTATATACTATATTCAACCTCAATTTACAGATGAGGGCCAGGCACGGTGGCTCATGCCTATAATCCCAGCACTTTGGAAGACCGAGGCGGGAGGATCACCTGAAGTCAGGAGTTTGAGACCAGCCTGGTCAATATGGCGAAACCCCGTCTCCACTAAAAATACAAAAATTAGCCAGGCTTGGTGGCACATGCCTGTAGTCCCAGCTACTTGGGAGGCGGAGGCATGAGAATTGCTTGAACCCCGGAGGTGGAGGTTGCAGTGAGCCAAGATCGCACCACTGCACTCCAGCCTGGGAGACAGAGCCAAAAACAACAACAAAAATTATGGATGAGGAAAGTGAGGCACAGAAAAATGAAGTCACCTATCAGGATTTTGAGCCCGGGAAGTCGGGCTCTGCATGGTCCATGAAGGCTGGGAGAAAGCCCCTCATTCACTGGGACACACAGCTACTGCACTGCAATTCACAGTGGCCATACTGCAAGTGCTCAGGTGACATGTGTGTGGCTCCTGGCTGCCGGGTCACACAGCGTGGGGCTAGGAGATGGGCAGGAGGAGAATCAACCCCAATTCACAGATGCTGAAACTGAGGGCACAAAGGGGGAAGCCACTTGCTGAATGAGTCACAGCTGGCAAGCGACAGCGGCTCCGTTTTTAGCCAGCACGCTGCACAGCTGCCGCTGCATCAAAGGTTCTGCACAGGACTGCAAGTCCCGGGGGAAAGGCTGGGAAATACAGAGGGGAGGCAAAAGGAGAAACGCAGAGAGAAATAAGGACAAGGGCGGACAGAGGCGGAGCAACTCACAGTGAAGGACAGAGGAGGGTTGGCTGGGGGAATGGTGCAGCAGAGGGAAGGGTGGCGGTGCCCCAAGACCCTGCACCTTGAAGGGCCTGGCCCTGGAGGCCGCTGTCCCCTCCTCTCCCAGCCATGCACTTTATTCTTTTGCTCTGAGGAAAATTACAGCGACTGCCTCTGCCCCCCAAGCCCGAGCGGTTCCAGTCTGTCCCCCAATGAAACACGCCAGCCCTGAGTCATGGGTGGTCACCACTGCTGGGAGCAACGCTCCTGCCTGGAAGACAGCACAGACTGCGGGGCCACTGCTGGCATCCGCAGTGGACACTCAGCCGCTGTCCCTTCCCACCAGGGCAACGCATGGAACAGAGCTGGCCATCCTCAGGGGAGAGCAAGGGAAAGCTCATCACCAGAAGCCCAGTGCTGCCGGGTACAGGCACGAGGGCTTTGCTTTAGGCAACCTCGTTCTGTGCCTGGCTCCCCGGGTCTCTGGCGTGAGCCATGAAAGACAGCTGCTCTGTGCGGTTGCAAGCGGCCGTCGAGCTCCCCAGCTTCCCATCCCACGACCTTCACCCTCCTCTGCACAGAAGCATGGCTGCCGCCCTGAAAGAGCCTCTGTCTCCACATCCGCTTCAGTCTCCTGCCTCTGCTGCCTGCAGGCTGACCTCAACATTTCCATGTTTCCACCAAGTGGAACCATGCTATTGAATGCTGTTATTGTCGCCATCCCCGTTATCCTAGCAACATTTCCTAAGATTGGGACCCGGGACCACCGGGTCATGTGATGCACAGGCAGGTGCATCTTATATGGCCCCACAAGCCTACCTCCCTCCCTGCAGAAAGCCCAAGTCCAGGGGCTAGGGTTCCATCCTGTCCCCTCCACTCCCCTCCCTTCTGGGGAACTTGGTGAGCAAGTCCTGAATCCATATAAGCAATTGGCATTGGTATCTGTGGTTGTCTCTGTCGATCACAAGGGCTCTGGTAGAGGATGGTGCCCACATGCATCCATCTTTCCCAGCCCTGGACTCTCCCTGTTCTCCTGGCAGGTGCAGAGGCCAACGCACCTGACTTACATCTGTTGCCCTGACACGTGAGGAAAGAGGAACACAGAGGAGAGCTGCTGCTGCGAGGAGGGGGCAGGGGATCTGCACGCCCAGACACTCGAGGGATTCTAGAAGCTTTTACCCACTCCCCTTCGCAGCCAGGGCCTCAAGGGTGGGTCAGGCAGCCACCCCTGGATTAGCCGCCACTGCGTCCCTCCCCCAGCTCTGCTCACATCTGCTTCATTACCCACATGCCTCCCTCAGTAAGAAGGAGGTGTGGAAATAACAGCGTTTGTGGGCCCCATCCATACCCCTCCTCCGATGGCCTCTCGACAGCCCAGGAAGCATGAGAGCCGGTGCTCCCAGGCTGCTGCCTGGGCTGGGAACGCTGGCATCTGCCTCCTGCTTCCAGCCAGAGTCATCGACAATATGAAGGCAATAAACAGAGGCTATTCAGGCCAAGCGACCAGGGACAGATGCAGTCATAGATGGGAAGCCAGTGATACACAAAGCAGCACATTCTCTGGGACCTCAGGGGGCCCAAGAAGGGCAGCAGGGGCAGGTGGGGCTCACCCACAACCTGAGCGTCTGCTCAGGACTCGGAATCCAAAGGCCCCACCCACATCTGCCTCCACCTCTGTGGCTTTAGCAGGAATAAACCTAGAGGTCTCAGAACTGGGCAAGGGACACCTCACAGACGCCCACAACCCAACCGGACCCTGGCTTCTTTCACCGACATCAGTGAACTCCCTGCGCCGGGCCAGGATCAGGAACGAACCTGTGGCTGCTGACATGAAGTAAGGATACTCTCCCTTCAAGGACCTCATAGTTGGGACCAGGGGCCAATTACTTCACGCCACCCCATGTTTAAAAATGGGGATATTTCTTTTGTTGTTGTTTTGTTGGGTTTTTGTTTTTTTGAGACAGAGCCTTACTGTGTCACCCAGGCTGGAGTGCAGTGGTGCCATCTCGGCTCACTGCAACCTCCACCTCCCAGGTTCAAGCCATTCTCCTGCCTCAGCCTCCTGAGTAGCTGGAATCACAGGCACACAAATTTTTACTAGAGATGAGGTTTTACCATGTTGGCCAAGCCGGTCTCTAACTCCCAGCCTCAGGTGATCCGCCCACCTCAGCCTCCCAAAGTGCTAAGTGCTGGGATTACAGGCGTGAGCCACCGTGCCACGCCAGTACATTCCATGTGACAATCTGAAATGCTGCCTTCCACCTAGAAAAATAGGAAGGTCTGGATTCCCACCTGGCCCTAGCTGGACTGGCTGAGCAGGTACTGCCCAGTTTCCCACGGCCCCAACCCATCCAGTCCCCTTCCCTGCTTTAGACCCATTTGATAGATGGATCGTCTGAGGCCCAACCACGTGACACCATTAAGGAATTTCTTCTCAGACTTGCTGGAGTGTAAGAAATACCTGGGGCTACCATGATATTTGGGTCTTCAGTGGTTCTTTCTAGAATGCAAGGATGGGAAATAACTTTAGGCCAGCCCAAGTCACAGATCCCTGGGTCTTCCCCAGGCACTGCCATCCCCACTTATATGACAAATAAGGTCCCCATACTGGCCTCTGCCACCCTGGATGCCACCTGGCTGGATAAGCTGCTCTCAGGAGGGAGGGGATCTGTCTTATGTCCCCTCCAAGGCCCCCCACATCATCTGGCACCAAGTGGGCCCTTAAGAAAGTTTGTTAAATGAAGCCGAGACTGGTAGCTCACACCTGTAATCCCAGCACTTTGGGAGGCCAAGGCAGGCGGATCACTTGAAGTCAGGAGTTTGAAACCAGCCTGGCCAACATGATGAAACCCCGTCTCTACTAAAAATAGAAAAAATTAGCTGGGTGTGGTGGCACACGCCTGTAATCCCAGCTACTCAGGAGGCTGAGGCAGGAGAATCACTTGAACCCAGGAGGTAAAAGTTGCAGTGAGCCAATATTGTGCCATTGCCCTCCAGCCTGGGTGACAGAGCAAGACTCTGCCTCAGGGGAAAAAAAAAAGAAAGTTTGTTAAATGAGCAAATAGTTCTCACATAGTCAAGAGTCAAGAAGGAGGACCAGATCCCAAGTCTCCTGACTCCCAAGCTACTGGAGTTCAAAGTAGGTATATTTAGGAATATGTGTTTTCAAAGTAGGCACACCTGGGTTCTTGCTCTGACCTGGTCACTGTGAGATCTTGGGCCTTAGGTATTTTCTTTATTTGTTTAAAAAAAAATGGTGTCACATGCCTGTAGTCCCAGCTACCCTAGAGGCTGTGATAGGACGATTGTTTAAGCCCAGGAGGTCAAGGCAACACTGCAATGAGCTGTGATCACAACATTGCACTCCAGTCTGGGCACAAGAGCAAGACCATGTCTCTAAAACAAAATTTAAAAATTTTTTTAGCCGGGCACAGTGGCTCACACCTGTAATCCCAGCACTTGGGGAGGCCGAGGCGGGCCGATCACCTGAGGTCAGGAGTTCAAGACCAGCCTGGGCAACATGGTAAAACCACGTCTCTACTAAAACTACAAAAATTAGCTGGGCGTGGTGGTGCACACTTGTAATCCCAGCTACTCAGGAGGCTGAGGCAGGAGAATCACTTGAACCCAGGAGGCGGAGGTTGCAGTGAGCCGAGATCATGCCATTGCACTCCAGCCTTGGCAACAAGAGCAACGCTCTGTCTGAAAAATTAAATAAATTTCTTTTTTATATTTTTTGAGACGGAGTCTCGCTCTGTCGCCCAGGCTGGAGTGCAGTGACGTGATCTCTGCTCACTGCAAGCTCTGCCTCCCGGGTTCACACCATTCTCTGGCCTCAGCCTCCCGAGCAGCTGGTACTACATAGGCACCCGCCGCCACGCCCAGATAATTTTTTTTTTTTTGTATTTTTAGTAGAGACGGGGTTTCACCGTGTTAGCCAGGATGGTCTCAATCTCCTGATCTGCCCGCCTTGGCCTCCCAAAGTGCTGGGATTACAGGCGTGAGCCACTGTGCCCAGCCTAAAAAAAAATTGTTTAAAAAAAGGTGGGGAGGCCGGGCACGGTGGCTCACACCTGTAATCCCAGCACTTTGGGAGGCCAAGGCGGGCAGATCAGGAGATTGAGACCATCCTGGCTAACACGGTGAAACCCCGTCTCTACTAAAAATACAAAAAAAGTTAGCCGGGCATGGTGGCAGGCGCCTGTAGTCCCAGCTACTCAGGAGGCTGAAACAGGAGAATGGCGTGAACCCAGGAAGCAGAGCTTGCAGTGAGCTGAGATCGCGCCACTGCACTCCAGACTGGGTGACAGAGGGAGACTCCGTCTCAAAAAAAAAAAAAAAAAAAAAAAAGTGGGGAATATTACATTTTTCCATAAATGCTTGCAGAGAAGATACATAATGTACATAAAATGTTCACTGGATCAAGCCATGCTACTCCAGCCTGGGCAACAAAGTAAGACCCTGACTCAATAAAATAAAATAAAATTTGTAAATGTTCATTGCTTATAACTGTTAACTATAGCTCACCTAGGCTGGCACAGCCAGAGTGGGGAGGCCGAGCCTGCAAATGTGGCCAGTATGCTCCCATAGGCCAGGTTGAGTTGGAGGAAAAAGACATCACCTGGTTCACCCCAGGTACTTAAAGTTTCCAACCTCCTATTCCCCGGGGGTGACTTCCACCTCCAGCTTTCCTTACTGATAATTATAAGGCTAACACCTGGTGACCCCTAGGCACTGTTTACTGTGGCCTTGATGTCCTGACCCTGACGCTGTATTCTCACCTCCTGCCTCATCAAGGTATAGCCAGCTAGGCAGGGCAAGCTCAAACCCCTTTCTCCAGGTCATTCTACTCCTCAGTCACCTTCAACGGTCTTCCTCTTCCAGGCAGCTCTCCTAGGTTACCTAGGAATAAAGCCTGAAGAATAGCACCATTTAAAATCTTCCTTGGCAGCCGGGCGCTATGGCTTATGCCTGTAATCCCAGCACTTTGGGAGGCTGAGGCAGCAGGATCACTTGAGGCCAGGAATTTGAGACCAGGTTGATCAACATGGAAAAACCCCGTCTCCACTAAAAACACAAAAGTTAGCCGGGCCCGGTAGCGTACGCTTGTAATCCCAGCTACTCAGGAGGCTGAGGCATGAGAATTGCTTAAACTTGGGAGGTGGAGGTTGCAGTGAGTCGAGATGGTGCCCAGTGCACTCCAGCCTAGGCAACAGGGTGAGACTCTGTCTCAAAAAAATGAAAAAATAATAAATAAATAAATAAATAAATAAATAAGGTCTTCCTTGGATGCATAGCTGAATTCTATCAGACATTCAAAGATGACTTGGCAAGCCAAGCAGATCACCTGAGGTCAGGAGTTTGAGACCAGCCTGGGCAACATGGTGAAACCCCATCTCTACTAAAAATACAAAAATTAGCCAGGCGTGGCGGCACATGCCTGTAATCCCAGCTACTTGGGAGGCTGAGGCTGGAGAATCGCTTGAACTTGGGAGGCGGAGGTTACAGTGAGCTGAGATCGTGCCACTGCACTCCAGCTTGGGTAACAAGAGTGAAACTCTGTCTCAAAAAAACAAAACAAAACAAAGATGACTTGGTACCAATCCTGTTGACACTATTCCAAAAGAGAGGGAAAGAGAGAATCCTCTCTGAATCATTCTATGAAGCCAGTATCACCCTAATACCCAAACCAGGAAAGGACATAACAAAAAGGAAACTAAAGACCAATATCCCTGATTAACATAGATGCAAAAAACCTCAACAAAATACTAGTAACTAAATCCAACAGCATATCAACAAGATAATCCCTCCATGATCAAGTGGGTTTCATGCCAGGGATGGTTTAACATACACATGTCGATAAATGTGATACACCACGTAAACAGAATTAAAAATTAAAAAATCACACGATCATCTGAATAGACACAGAAAAAGCATTTGACAAAATCCAGCATCCCTTTATGATGAAAGTCTTCCTAAACCATCAGCATCCTATGAGCTTTCAGAGAACTGAAGACTCCATGAACCACGGACTGGGAGGCGTGAGGTCAGTGTGGCAGGAGGAGAGGTGCCTAAGGTCACACTGTGGCAATGAAAACTCAGGTCAGAGGTGGGAAATGCCAGAATTCAATTCTCTGCTTCAATACAGAAAAACTCCCATCCAGGGAGCTGCAAACCCTTTCTGGGTTTCCCAAGACTCTCTCCTCAAAGCCACAAATCAAGTACCACGAATCTCAGATGTGTGTCTGTACGTGGCTCAGAGGGTGTGAATGCTGGAGAGAATCCCCAGGCCTGGGGAGGACCTAAAATACTCATCTAGGGGCTGGGCGCGGTGGCTCATGTCTGTAATCCCAGCATTTTGGGAGGCCGAGGCGGGTGGATCACTTGACCCTAGGAGTTCGAGACCTGCCTGGACAACATGGCAAAACCCCGTTGCTACTAAAAATACAAAAATTAGCCGGGCATGGTGGCGTGTACCTGTAATCTCAGCTACTAGGGAGGCTGAGGCAGGAGAATCGCTTGAACCCGGGAGGCGGAGGTTGCAGTGAGCCAAGATTGCACCACCATGCTCCAGCCTGGCGACAGAGCAAGACTCTGTCTCAAAAAAAAAAAAAAAGAAGAGCAGGCGCAGTGGCTCACGCCTGTAATCCCAGCACTTTGGGAGGCCAAGGTGGGCAGATCATGAGGTCAGGAGATCAAGACCATCCTGGCTAACACAGTGAAAACGTGTCTCTACTAAAAACACAAAAAATTAGCCAGGCATGGTGGCGGGTGCCTGTGGTCCCAGCTATTCGGGAAGCTGAGGCAGGAGAATGGTGTGAACCCGGGAGGCGGAGCTTGCAGTGAGCCGAGATTGCGCCACTGCACTCCAGCCTGGGCAACAGAGCAAGACTCCCTCTCAAAAAAAAAAAAAAAAAAAAAATACTAATCTAGGTCAGTGGACCCCAGTCTCTGGTCCTTTAGTTTTCACTGGTTGGAAACAGAATGAGAAAAACTATCAAAGTTAAAGTACTATCCTTTATTCTGACATTTTATACTTGTAACTTTTTTAGTGTCAGAATAGACCATGGGGTTTGTTGATCTTAACACCCATCTTTAGCAAAATTATAAGTTGGCAACTCTGTATCTGTTCCTAAGTTTTTTTTCACTGGTCCATGAAATCAATGGCTGGGAACCGCTGAACTATGCTGCACCCTCCCTCCCACCCTACCCCACCCCTGTATCTCAGAGGGTGGCAAATTCCAACTGTCCCTTTTCTACTTCCCAAAACTCCAGGGGAAAAAATCCTGGTATCTCAATGCATGACCCTTCAGGCCAGAAGTCTTTGCCAGGACCTAACTGGACTCCTGCTTGCAGCAACTCAAATGCACATTTCCTCTTCCTGCCTTCAATAGACAGCCACGCCCACACCCCTGCTGCCAGGGCTTCTCAAGACCTCCCCCAGCTTGCTTAAGTCACCAACATCAACACCCACACCATCCCACACAGGGGAAAAGTGATGAGCCACCTCCCAGCTCTGCATAAGGCCTGGACAGAGAGACTTAAGGCCTGTTAGGCTCAGAGGATGGGGTTGGGAGGGAACTTGAGGGTCCCAGAGTTCAGCTCCACCCCACCACCATTGTAGAGAGAGCTGAGGTGCAGAGAGAGGAAGAGACCAGCTAACGTCACAGAGTCAGCAGCAAGGCCAAGAGCCTTCCAGTCATCCTTTGAATCCAGGGCCAATCCAGCAACACCTGCAGAGTGGATTGAGCACAGCTTAGAAGGAGGATGCCACCTCCTTCCCGAGTCTCCACTACTCCACATCTGCCAGGGTGTCCCCTATAAACGCTGACCACCAAGTGCAGTTCCCTTCCATCCCAAGCAGGGGTCGGTCCCTTCCCTGAGCCAAGCAGGTCTGAGGACAGACCTGGGGCCATGGTAACAAAGTCATCCCCGCACTAAACCCTGCTACTTCCAAATGCCAAATCTCCCTAATAGGGAAGTCTCCAGTTTCTGCCCAACTTTCTAGAAGCACCCAGGTGTTGGAGGCCCCATCCCCATAGCAGGAACTGCTACTACAACCACCACTAGTGCTTGATGTCCAGACCTAAGACCAGTTTCTAGCCCAACTCTCAGAAACATCTTGGTGGCCTCAAAGGATACTCCTATCCTCTGGTCCAAGCTTCCACCCAGTTGTAGATTGTCTGCAAGCACCTTGAGTCATCCATATCTACTTTCTACTTGTATGCCTCCAGTGACAGGGAGCTCACTACCTAACAGAGCAAGTTATTTCAACACCACTCGGCTATACTCCTTTCAGGAGACAATCCTTCACCTGGCTGACTGCAGTTACCATATGCCTTCACTTCCTCATGTAAAGCAACCCAATTCCTCCTTCAAACACATCTCACCTGATGTGGTTTCCAGACACACCCACACCCCACTTCAGGTTGATTTAACCTCCAAAGTACAATGACCAAGAGGAACAAAACCTCCTTCCTACAGGCTAGGTGCGGTGGCTCACATGTGTAATCCTAGCACTTTGGGAGGCCAAGGAGGGAGAATCCCTTGAGGCCAGGAGTTGGAGACCAGCCGGGACAACATGGCAAAACCCCACCTCTACTAAAAATACAAAAATTAGCTGGGCATGTTGGCGCACGTCTGTAATCCCAGCTACTTGGGAGGCTGAGACTTGGGAGGCTGAGACTTGGGAGGCTGACATGAGAACTGCTTGAACCTGGGAGGTGAAGGTTGCAGTGAGCCAAGATCACGCCACTGCACCCTAGCCTGGGTGACAGAGCAAGACTGTCTCAAAAAAAAAAGAAAAAAAGCACAACTCCTATGTGTGGCCTGACCCCCTCCCTCTACACAGCAGGACTATCACCTCTCTCATCCTAGGTAGAATGCTTCCATTAATGCAACCTAAGAGATAATTCCCTGACCCCTAGGTCATCAGCCACATCTACTAGTGACTGAGCCAGGAACCAGCCAAAAGCCCTTAGTCCATCTCCAGTGAACTGGAGGCAAGGAGATCTGAACTCACTCAGCCCTCATGACCACCCTGGGGAAATCTTAATCCTATTTTACAGATGGGAATAGAGGCACGAAGAAGTGAAGTCACAGCCTCTAAGTGGTCGATCCAGAATTCCACCTGAGGCCATGCACAGCCCTTCCCCAGACCCTGCCTCAGGGCAAACCCACCCCCATTACCCAACACACAATCTCCACAGGAAGTCCTGCACAGGGATTCGAGTCTCCCCTGAGAGGGCCCAAGGCCTTCTCCAAGGGAGAGAGAATTCCAGCCCGTAGGTGGTAGATACAGGTGGGATGTGAGGGGAAAACTGCACGGCTTTTCCCTCCAGCCCACGGCTGGCTCCCCTCGGGGACTGCCAATGGCCTGTCAAACCCACCAGGCCCAGAGCAACCCTCAGGGGGCCTAAAACCCTGGCTCAGGCCGCAGGAGACTCGAGGAGCCCAGAGAGTGCCCCTGGAAACCTACCGGAAGGGATGAAAAATGTGTAGCCCTGCTTCAGCTCAATTCTTTGGCATCGTTCCACACGGTCTCCCAGAAAGATGTCACTCTGTTTGCCTGACAGCACCCACTCCTCGTACAGCGCCAAATTGTGCAGCGTTGGAGGAATCAGCCAAAAAATCTTGGGAGAAAACACAGGCAGTCAGCTGGAGACCCAGGCCCAGACAAGACCCAGAGAGAGGGCCCCACCTGCCTGGCGGAAGGGGAGGGGGCGAGACAAGCTGTGTGTGGGGTGGGGGGTGTGGAGAGATGGCAGATCCATCCCTCTGGACTCTCTGCAAGGCCAGGTCCCTAGAGCCTCTGGGGAGGCAGGAAGGGCTGTGCCCACCTTCAGGGAACCTCCATTCCTGCTGAAATCCCAGGATGGGAGTACTTCCTGGACTGGGTGGGACATGCTTTCTCCCGAACCACAGGCTTGTCTAGGAGGTGGGGGAAGGAGAGGAAGGGAATTTCCTAAGTTGTAAGATAAAATAGCCCAGTAAATAAACCCAGCTTGTGCATACTTTGGAGGAGGAGGAAAAACATCTGGAATCAAGTGGGTTGACTTCCTCCCAGAATTTCTTCCAACACGTTCAGTTAAAACAAACGCACATGCAGACCCAGCCAAGCAGGGTGGCACAGGCTTATTTTCAAGAAGCACCCACCTCCATCAGGGACACCCACATCCCCACGTGGACACGCAACAAAAGCAGACACAGGGAGCACCCTTAGCATTCTGTCCCCAGTGCAAAATGTTCCTAGAGGCAGGTGGTGCTGGCAACTAGACTTTAAAGTAAAAAGGTCCCAGGGCAGGAGCTGAGATGACAGCCAGAGAAGATGAATGCTGGACGTTCTCGAGCCAAACCCAAGCTTCAAATCTGGCCCAAGGAGCTTTGAACACCAGACTGGGTGAGTGGAGCAGGCCTGCATGGGTGACTAGATGCGATGTAAAAGGGCTGAACTTGACCTTGCCCTCCAGAAGGAGGAGGTGGTTCTAGGGAAAGAAGCGACCCTGGGCCAGGAGCCATGGCCCACGCCTACAATCCCAGCACTTTGGAAGACCAAGACGAGAGGATCACGTGAGCCCAGGACTTTGAGAACAAGTCCCAGCTACTCGAGAGCTGAGGTGGGAAGATCGCTTGAGCCCAGGAGGTGGAGGCTACAGCGAGCTGTGATTTCGCCACTGCACTCCACCCTGGGTGACAGAGCAAGACCCTATCTCTTAAAAAATAATAATTTTTTAAAAAAAAAGCCGGGCACAGTGGCTCACGCCTCTAATCCCAGCACTTTGGGAGGCCAAGGCGGGCGGATCACGAGGTCAGGAGATCGAGACCATCCTGGCTAACACGGTGAAACCCCGTCTCTACTAAAAATACAAAAAATTAGCAGGGCGTGGTAGCAGGCACTTGTAGTCCCAGCTACTCAGGAGGCTGAGGCAGGAGAATGGCATGAACCCAGGAGGCAGAGCTTGCAGTGAGCCGAGATTGCACCACTGCACTCCAGCCTGGGCGACAGAGCGAGACTCCATCTCAAAAAAAAAAAAAAAGAGTAATCCTTAAAGTACTCCTGGGGCAGGGCTGGTTGGAGGAGGGAGGTGGGAGGAGAGGGAAAGGTAAGTGAGCCCCTCCCCACACAAACAGCTAGAGATGCATAGAAAGTTAAAGGCAACTGAAACTCACCTTCCCACCCCGGAAAACATGGTACCAAACGGAAGTGCCTCCAAAGTCGATGTGGAAGTCGGTGAAACAACCTTTCACGCTCATCAGACAGTACCTGCAACACAGAGGCAGGGAGACAGAACACAAGTCAAGATCTAAATCACAAGACGTAAGCAAAGGACTTCAGAGGTCCTGAACTGGTGCCCTTTTATAAACGCTGACGCTGGGGAATTTTCTTTTTTTCTTCTTTAAAAATCCAAATGTAATCGGAGTTCCCCACGGGGGAAGCCCCTGTGATCAGGTGACAAATCTCAAGCACTGGTCGCCTACCTACCCCAGAGGCTGGGAGTGATACACTTGTTTTCAGGTTCTTGCGAGAAGTGGCAACCCACAGACCACTTTACAGGTTCCTAACGGGGTGGGTTTCTACCTTTGCCCCACCTCTGCCCTCCCCCAGTTAGAGGCTTCCTCTCTGCTCCTTCACAGCTTGGATACCTGCAGTTCTCCCAAGCTGCCAGCCCCCTTTGTAGCAGCTGGGCCCCCTGGAATTCAGTTGTAAACCACCTGCACAGCTTGCCAATTACCAGTCCCCATTCATCTCCTCATTCATTCAACCAGAGGTCCAGCCCCGAGCCAGCTTTGGCCTTGAGAGAAATGCATAAGAATGCAGAAGACCCCTGCCCCTAACTGTGCGACACTCCTAAAGAAGCAATGCACAGGAAAAGTTAAATGACCAAAAAAAAAAAAACCCACACACACAAAAAACAAAAAAACAAAACTGCAATTGATTGCCAAGTAAGCAATGCAGCTAGAAAAGTAAGGGGGGGTTCCAGCCCCAAAAGACCAAGCGGTGTCTGGTCCCACGTATACAAAATGTGCAGAGTAGACAAATCTATAGAGACAGAAAGCAGATTAGTGGGTGTCAGGGGCTGGGGGGCAGGACAATGGGGAATGACTGCTAATGGGTACAGGGTTTCATTCTGGGGTGATGAAAATGTTCTAAAATTAACTGTGGTTGCAAAACTCTGTGAACATACTAAAACCCGTTGAATTGTACACTTTTACATGGGTGAACGGTCTGTGAATTATGTCTCAGTAAGGCTGTTATAAACAAGTAAAGAATTTAAGAGAAATTAAATTGGGGGTGGTGGCCATGCACAGAGGAAGAGAAGGAGGAGGAAGAACTTGGACCTTGGAGGCTGGGGCCGGGGAGTGAATCCAGGGGAAGCAGGAACTGGCCAGCAGCCATCCCCTTCTCAGTGCTATGGAGGGCTGGAGAGCCCACCCTTCCTTGCAGAAACACCCAGGGCTCCCCTCCTCCCTCAACTGCTGCCCTCTTAGGAGTGGGGCAGAGCTGAAGGAGGAGGGGGCACAGAGAAGGCTTCCAAGTCCAGGCCTGGCACATGACGGTGCCAGGGACCCCTCCCTGCCACTTGCCCCTTCCCACTAGAGCCCCAGGTGGCACGGATGGGCAGCCTCCCCACCGCTCACGCCCATGCACCTTGGCACCTCCGGAGCCCGCAACACATGCTTACCCCACTGACCTCTTTTCCCCGCTGCACTTTGCCTTTCCATGGTTTGGGGAAGAGGGAAGGAATGGGGCGGGGACGGACAGGGAGGAGCCAGCAGCGCGCCGGCACGAGTGGAGATAATGCGGGGAGTGGGGCTGAGCTGGTTAGAAGGCGGAGGGCTCCTGGTGCCCCCTCCCTCTGGCTGCCTTTTGCACCTCGCTTTCAGGTGGACCGGGGGCTCAGCAGTATGCAGGCGGCGTGCCCGCGTCCCTCCTCCCCATAGGCTGGAAGGAGCCTTAACCATGTGTCTGCAGGAGGCTGACAAATCAGAAGGCCTTCCAGTACATCAGAGCCCCGCTGCCTAGCAACCCCATCGGAGGGGTGTAGTTGACAGCACAGGACGCAGGCTGTCACGAAGACAGGCGCGGGCTGCGGAGCTGGCAATGGGGTGG
Organism: Homo sapiens; assembly: GCF_000001405.40. NCBI lineage: Eukaryota > Metazoa > Chordata > Mammalia > Primates > Hominidae > Homo > Homo sapiens. Next base: position 121,536,439 of record NC_000012.12, read on the forward strand.
TCAAAGTCCCGACTCTGGGCTCCACACCGTCCTCACCTGTAGGCCGGCTGGGCCCAGCGGGGTCCCCGCCTGAAGGCCTGGGTGATCCTCTTCTCTCTAAGGAAAGGGGGGGTCCTGAAGCCCTCACCCACCCCACCCCCACGGACCACACTGGCCTCTTCTCTCTAAGCACCACTTCAAAATATTAGTCTTCATTTCCCTAAAACCATCTCTTCGTCTTGGTTTTTTTTTTTTTTTCTTTTTTTAATCTAACCTTGGTTTCCACCCCCTCCAGGCCTCAGCTGAACACAGTCTAGGGAAAACAATCTAAGTATGTGCGGGGCGGAGCCCAGAGAACGTGCTTCTCTTGTCGACAGCTGGAAGCCCGCGGGTACCCACAGCAGAGAGGAGAGGACAGGAGCTCGCCTCTTGGGCTGCGGGCCCCAGGGCTGCCTGGCTAACCAGGTCACCCCCATCCTGCCATCCTCCAGCTCCCCGCAACCCCGACCTCCCCAGCACGTGCAGAAAAGAATCGCTGCAAGCTGGCTGCAGTGTGCAGGGAAAGTTCTCCAAGTTGAGTCTGTGTCTGATCTGCCCTCTGGGTCACCCTCCAGCATCCAGAGGCCCCTCGGGGGGCTGGGGCCGCCTCTTCCAGACCTGCCTCTCCCGGAGAGGCCCCTCCTCCCGGTGTCCCTCATTTCCTGGCCGCCAAGCCTGGCCGCCCCTCCCACCCCGCGATCGCAGGCATTAGGGGAGCCAGGGTGGCTGGGACAGCGCGGCTTTGTCCGGCCCCTGCAGCGACAGGCCACCCCCGCTCCCGCCCCGCGCTGGCTCCGGGGCTCCCCCCTGGCTGGTTTGCTCGCTCGCTCTGGCGTGACGCCTTTGCACTGACCTCTGCAGCTTCCTCTTCCCAAGCACACCGCAGTCACATGGGCACCCCGGCTCGGTGCCACGGCCGCTAAGCTCTCCCCACGGCCAGCCGGCTAGCCCGGCTTCCGCCTGGGCCTCGGCCGCCCCCGGCCGCCCCCAGCTCAGGTGGCTTCTGTGCAGCAAGGCACCCTCCAAGTTGGCGGCAGATCATCGGGAGCCCCCGAACCGAGCCCTTGGGGGTTCCCGCCTGCCACGGCCGGGCCAGCCGGGGAGGAGGGCGGCAGGAGGGTTGCTGCACCTGCAGCACCAACTTTGGGGCGCTGCCTGGGGGCTGCGGAGGCGGGGCGGCCCCGCCCCACCTTTTTCCCTCCAACTTGGCGTAACTCCCCCGGTGGCTCGGGAGGCGTCCCCGTGGGGAAAGGGCCGGGAGGGGCGCCGGAACGCTGACACCCGAGGGGCGCGGGAGGTGCCAAGAGCGCGCCGCACACTCGCACCCGACCCCGGGAGACACAAAGAGCGGCTCCGCGACGCCGGCCCTGTAGCCCGCGGGCGGGAGGCCACCCACACCCGCCCCGCGCAGCGCCACAAAGGAGGGGGCGCCCGGGCAGCGCGGCCCGCGGTTACCCTCGGCGGCGGCGGCGGCGGCTCCCGTGCGTCCCCTTCGGCTCCCGGGCGTCCCCTTCGGCTGCGGAGGCTCGACGCGCGCCCGGCCCCACTCCCGGCGGCAACGCGAGCCGAGCCCCCTCCACGGCGCTGCCAGGCCCCGGCCGAGGACGCGGGGCCCCCGCTCGCTGCCTTCCTTCCGCGGGGAGCCGGGCGCTGCCTGCGCTCATGCCCGCGCTGAAACTGAACACCCGCGGCGCGGGGCCGCCAGGGAGGCGGAGGGAGGCCGCGGGGCGACCGGGAAGCAACGCGGGCCGGCGCCAGGAGACGCCCCTCGCCCGGCCGGTGGGGGTGCAGGGCTGGCTCTCCCCACCCCCCTGAGCCCCGTGTTCCATAGCAGGTGACGGCCAGCAAAGCCACCTTCCTAAGATGTGCCCCTCCAGATACAGCCATAGAAAGGACCCGAGCTAGGGGCCGCGGGGAGAGTGGGATCCGGAGTATGGTAGCGCTGAGAAGGGGGAAGCCGCTCTGACCCCAAGGCCCACGCGCTGTGTGACCTTAAACAACTCACTTCCCCTCTCTGAACAGCATCCTCACTGCTCGGCACTGAAGTTCAATTCTGCATTCTAAGATGTTCTTTTACCACCCCTTCCCCTGCCTGGTGGCTTAGTGACTGTGTACCCTACATCATAGCATGGTTGAGAGACTCCTTTGAGATAAATACATATTCACCGCATCATCCAAACTGTGGTACCTGGATTACTTAATCCAAACTTCACAACAACCCTAAAAAGTCATTCCCAGGATTCTTCCTGTTTTCAGATAAGCACAGGGAGGCTTGTGACTCAAGCCTCGAGTTCGGGTCCAGCCTCCAGTTCGGGTCACCAGCCTATCAGAGGCAGTGCTCACCCAGGCAGCCTGTCTCCCAGTCCCTCAGCTTTGCCCCCATTGGTCTACCTGACACACCTCAACTCCAGGAGGAGTCCAGAGGTTACAGCCAAACCTCACCACTAACCTCCAGCTGCAGGTGGTGATCCCGCTCAAATCAGAAGTCCCACACTCAAGGTCACCAGAGTCCCCGCCCTCCTCCCACCCTGTCCCACACCCTTCTCCCAAACCACAAGGGGGCTGGAAATGGTCCCATAGCCACTGCAGGGGCAGATTCCAGCCTCTCCATTCTTTCTCCAAACCCCAGCCACCAGGACTACTGAGCAATATTAATTAACAGGTTCTAATTACCAGTGCTAATAATAATAATAGCTGTTTACATGCGTGATCTCGTTTCACCCCTAAGACAACCAACATAATGGTGCGCGCCTGTAGTCCCAGCTACCAGGGAGGCTGGGGTGGGAGGACTGCTTCACCTCACGAGGTCAAGGGTGAATCACGACTGCGCCACTGCACTCCAGCCCGGGTGACATAGGAGACCCTCTCCCAAAAAAAAAAAAAAAAAAAAAAAAAAAAAGAAAGAAAAGGATGTGGCATTAAATGAGCTAGGAGAGGAGACAGTCCTGATGGCCGGACCAGGCTATCCACATAAGAGAATTGTATTTTTAGTCACAAATGCCTCAGCTCCTTGAAGGCAGGGACTATATCCGATTCATCTGTGTAACCGTAGCACCCTGCAGCAACCCTATAATTACTTCACTGGGCTCTGTGACATTGGACTGATCTTCCCCCTTTCTGGAACTCAGAGTCCCACTAATCAGGGGCCTCTAACTGGTGTCTTCGTGGGTCACACCAGGCCCCAGAAGCACTTGGTTTGGCCAGCAGTTTTTTTTTTTAACTTTTAAAGGAATTTCTGAGTTATCCACAAGCCTCATCAGCCCCTAATGTGTTTGTTTGTTTGTTTGTCTGTTTGTTTTTTAAGACAGAGTCTTGCTCTTTTGCCCAAGCTGGAGTGGAGTGGCATGATCTCAGCGCACTGCAACCTCCAACTCCCGAGTTTAAGAGATTCTCATGCCTCAGCTTCCCAAGTAGCTGGGACTCCAGGGGCACACCACTACACCCGGCTGATTTTTGTATTTTTAGTACAGATGGGGTTTTGCTGTATTGGCTAGGCTGCTCTCGAACTCCTGGCCTCAAGCAATCCACCCACCTGGACCTCCTAAAGTGCTGAGATCACAGACATGAGCCACCGCAGCTCGCCTAACCCTACTACCTTGTACTCACTTGTTACCTGCATTGAACCACTATGAACCTCAGTTTCCTTGTCTATAAAATGGGGATAGTAACCCATGCCTCCCTTATTGAGATATGCATGCCAAGTGTCTATGGTGGTGCGTTGGTCCATACACACAGGAATGCTGGCTTTCTTTGTTCCTCTTTTAAAGGTAGAGCAGTTGAGAGAAAAAGCCAGGAATCTAAAGGCCTGGGGTCTAGTGCATGGCCCACAGCATCCTCCCTGTGCGGGGCCGGTTTCCCTATCTGACATATTACACAGGGATGATCATTTATAATGCCAGCAAACACAGCTGATGAGAGAGTAGGTCTTGAGGTTAAGGGTGAATGTGCAATGTAGACATAAAAGCCCCATACGGATGTGAAGGAGGGTTGACTGAAAAGTAGAGGATGAGGGCCAGGTGCAGTGGCTCACACCTATAATCCCAGCATTTTGGGAGGCTGAGGCAGGCGGATCACCTGAGGTCAGGAGTTCAAGACCAGCCTGGCCAACATGGTGAAACTCTGTCTCTACTGAAAAAATGCAAAAAAATTAGCCGGGTGTGGTGTTGCATGCCTGTAGTTCCAGCTAAATCGGGAGGCTGAGGCAGGAGAATCACTGGAACCCGGGAGGCAGAGGTTGCAGTGAGCCGAGATTGCATCACCGGCACTCCAGCCTGGGCAGCAGAGCGAGACTCTGTCTCAAAAAAAAAAAAAAAAAAAAAAAGTAGAGGATGCCAGAATTCCAATGCAGCCACATGGACAAATATCTTGCCCACCTGTGAACACTCTTCCACATCCACTGTGGGCTCTGTCTCCCCCATAGCATGGGAAGAAGGCAGGGCAGAGATGGCAGGACCCCTACATTGTAGAAGAAGAAACAGTCCCTTCAAGAGGATGGGCCAGGTGCAGTGGCTTGAGTTTGTAATCCCAACACTTTGGGAGGCCGAGGCGGGTGGATCACCTGAGGTTGGGAGTTCGAGACCAGCCTGACCAACATGGAGAAACCCTGTCTCTACTAAAAATACAAAATTAGCCAGCCGTGGTGGCACATGCCTGTAATCCCAGCTACTCAGGAGGCTGAGGCAGGAGAATCGCTTGAACCCAGGAGGCGGAGGTTGGGGTGAGCAGAGCTCGCACCATTGCACTCCAGCCTGGGCAACAAGAGTGAAACTCCACTCAAAATAAATAAATAAATAAGCCAGGGGATAGTGGCATACACCTGTAGTGCCAGCTACTCCAGAAGGAGGGAGGAGGATGCCTTGGGCCCAGGACTCTGAGGCTGCAATGAACTGTGATTGTGCCACTGCACTGAAGCCTTGGCAACAGAGACAGCCCCTGTCTCAAAAAAAAAAAAAAAAAAAAAAGGAAGGACGGAGGGAAGGAGGGAGGGAGGGAGGGAGAGAGGGAGGGAAATTTTATTTATCAAGCAGAATCCTATAGATAAAAGAGAAAAAAAAAGAAAGCCTTGCTGGAGTGAGAGAGTAGCAGAAGCCCCAAAATGTACACAAAATGTGCCCCAAAATGTGCCCAGCCCAGTGCCTCTGTTTCCTCTTCTCTGTGTGTCAGGTTCTCACTCCCCCAACAATTTCCCCAGTTCCTCCTGCCACCCCCAGAAAGTACACAGGGAAGAGAACCCACTCAACTATCAATTATCTGAGGGCCAAACCTATGCTTTATGTGGGGTCCCCATTTTGCTGGGCTTTTGAGCTCCTTTACTGCTTGTCAGATCACAGCATATCTTCATTCCACCAAGAAACTTGATCTCTACAAACCTGTATTCTACAGGAGCAAAGGAGGGGAGGAGACTCACTAATCCACTTCTGGAATCTATCACAGAACCCAGCGGTGCTAAGTGAAAAAGGTGAGCCCATGTCATAGAACTAGGCAACTGTGGAGGCTTTGAAACATGTCTACAAATGCTTTGATACACCTCCCTTCGAGAGGCAGAGCTAAATTCTCCTCCCCTTGAGTATGAGCTGGACTTAGTGATTTACTTTTAATTAACAGAATATGGCAGGAGCAAACAATATGTGACTTTCAAAATTAGGTCATAAATGGCACTGTGGCTTCCTCCTTGGTGTTTCTTGAACCATTCACTATGGGGAACCCACTGCCATATCATGAGGACACTCAAGCAGACCTATGGAGAGCTATATGTGGCAAGGAACTGAGGCCTCCTGCCAACAGCCACGGGGATGCACCATCTTGGAAGCGGATCTTCCAGCCCATAGAGGCTTCAGCTGACTGCAGCCCAGGCCTACATCATTCCCCCCACTGCAACATTTCTCACTATGTTGGCCAGGCTGCTCTTGAACTCCTGGGCTCAAGCACTCCACCCCCCTTGGCCTCCCAAAGTGCTGTGATTACAGGCGTAAGCCACCACACATGGCCAAGGCCTAACACAAGCTTATAAGAGACCCTGAGCCAGAACCACCCAGCTCAGTTGTTCCCAGATTCCTGAATCACAGAAACTGTGAGATAATGTTTGATGTTTTAAGCTGCTAAAATTTTTCTTAAGCTCTGAAGTTTTAGAATAATTATACAGCAATAAGCAACTAATGCAGGAATACTCCCAAATAACAGTCACTATCTATTTGGTTATAAGGAATTTTCTAAGACAAATGGTTCTATACATCCAATGCATTCCTGCAGGGTACAGATGAAGAAAAAGGCCATTGGCAGAGATGCACCTTGTCTTCAGTATTCATTCAGCCCAATCCTTTTTCCTGCTTTATGTTTCTCCATGACCATTAAACCTCCTAAATTATTCCCTCATTGGCTTTCCTGTCTCTTTTTTCCCACCACAATGTATGCTCCACGAGAATGGGGACTTGGCTTTATGCACTGAAGTCCACCCACTACTACATAGAATCATGTCTTGCACATAAGATAACTAATAAATTAACATACTCCTTGCAAATCTTTTGTCTCTGTGAAGGTGCAACTACCCCCACTCCACTCCTATTACTCCTACCTGTTTTTAAGTATCTCAACTAAAATAAAAATCACTGAGGCCCGGCGCAGTGGGTCATGGGTCATGCCTGTAATCCCAGCACGTTGGGAGGCTGAGGCGGGTAGATCACTTGAGGTCAGGAGTTCAAGACCAACTTGGCCAACATGGCGAAACCCCTGTCTCTACTAAAAATACAAAAATTAGCTGGGTGTAATGGCGGGAGCCTGTAATCCCAGCTACTTGGGAGGCTGATGCAGGAGAATCGCTTGAACCCCAGAGGTGGAGGTTACAGTAAGCTGAGATCTCACCACTGCGCTCCAGCCTGGGCGACAGAGTGAAACTCTTTCTCAAAAAAGAAAAAAGAAAAGAAAAACACTGAGTCCTAAGCCAGCTGGGCATGGTGGCTCACACCCATATTTGTAACTATCTGGATCACTTGAGGCCAGGAGTTCAAGACCAGCCTGGGTAACACAGAGACATCCCCCTGCTGCCATCTCTACAAATTTAAAAAAAAATTTTTTAATTTTTAAAAAGATCAGCCGGGCCTGGTGGCTCATGCCTGTAATCCCAGCACTTTGGGAGGTCGAGGTGGGCAGATCACGAGGTCAGGAGATCGAAACCATCCTGGCCAACATGGTGAAACCCCATCTCTACTAAAAATACAAAAATTAGCTGGGCATGGTGGCGTGTGCCTGTAATCCCAGCTACTCAGGAGGCTGAGGGAATCACTTAACCAGGGAGTCAGAGGTTGCAGTGAGTCGAGATCATGCCACTGCATTCCAGCCTGGCGACAGAGTGAGACTCCGTCTAAAAAACAAAAAACAAAATTAGGCCAGGAGTAGTGGCACACCCCACCTGTAATCCCAGCACTTTGGGAGGCCAAGGTCGGTGGACCACTTGAGTCCAGGAGGTCAAGACCAGCCTGGGCCAACATGGCGAAACCCCATATCTAACAAAATTAGCCAGGCGTGGTGGTGTGTGCCTATGGTCCCAGCTGCTCGGGAGGCTGAGAAAGGGAGGATTGCTTGAGCCTGGGAGGAGGAAGTTGCAACGACCCACAATTGCGCCACTGCACTCCAGCCTGGGCAACAGAGAGAGACCCTGCCTCAAAAAAAAAAAAAAAAAAAAAAAGCCAGGTACACACCTATAGTCCTAGCTACTCAGGAGGCTGATGTAGGAGGATCACTCAGGAAGCTGAGGTAGGAGGAGTCCTGGGAGTTTAAGGCTGCAGTAAGCTAGGACTGTGCACTACACTGCAGCCTGGGCAACAAAGCAAGACTCTGTCTCCAAAAAATAAAAAACAAATAAACAAAAAGATTCCTGGCTGGGCATGGTGGCTCACACCTGTAATCCCTGCACTTTGGGAAGCCAAGGCAGGTGATCACCTGAGGTCAGGAGCTCAAGACCAGCTTGGCCAACATGGTGAAACCCCGTCTCTACTAAAAATATAAACATTAGCCGGGTGTGTTGGTGCACACCTGTAGTCCCAGCTGCTCGGGAGGCTGAGGCAGGAGAATCGCTTGATCCCGGGAGGCGGAGGTTGCAGTGAGCTGAGATCATACCACCGCACTCCAGCCTGGACAACACAGTGAGTCTCCGTCCCCCCCCAAAAAAAGAAAAAATCAGCCAGGTGTGGTGGCTCACGCCTGTAATCCCAGTACTTTGGGAGGCCAAGGCGGGCAGATCACCTGAGGTCAGGAGTTCGAGACCGGCCTGGCCAACATGGTGAAACCCTGTCTCTACTAAAAATACAAAAATTAGCTGGGTGTGGTGGTGGGTGCCTGTAATCCCAGCTACTTGGGAGGCTGAGGCAGGAGAATCGTTTGAACCTGGGAGGCGGAGGTTGCAGTGAGCCGAGATCGTGCCATTGCACTCCAGCCTGGGCAACAGAGTGAGACCCTCTCTAAAAAAATAAAAATTAAAAAATTTTTAAAAATTCCTAAGCCCATCACCAAAAGTCCTGGAGCCGGGTGGGGGAAGCAGTCGTGTGTCTGTGTCACTTCTCTCTTCCCTACTGCAGTCCTTCCCTCAGGTGTGCTGACAGCCATCTCTACCCTCCAGGGCCTCCAGCATGAAAGCTCCATGATTTCTAGAAACAATGTCATCTTAATTAAATTCTACAGAACTGTTCTACGATCCCGGAGGACTTCATCAGGGTGGGATTTTTTTTACCTTGCTTATTAACTGAAATCGGTATTCTTTTCAGCAAAACAAATGGACTATTTCCAAGATGACAATTTCCTTCCTAACGAGGTTCGAATCCTCTAACCAGTTCCCATGACCACTGACGGGGTCCGTAGCTCTATTCGCCACACAATTCGACCCCAAGACAAATGGTCCTAGAAAACTGGCAGTGTGTGCACAGTGACAGACAACGGTTTTAAAAAAAGAAAAAAAAATGAGTGTGTGAGCCTCACTTTTTTTTTTGGTAATTAGATAGGATCCTCAATATATTAATAGAGCTTACTATTTAAAGGAATCTTTCAATAAAGTGCAGAATATGCTGAGTATCTCAGGAAGGCAAGGTAGGCATTAATTATGAAACTGAAATCTGTGTCACCCAGCGCAGTCTCTTTTGCATTCCTAAATCTATGTCCAGCTGGACCCTCAGCCCCTCCGCTCTCCCTGCCCGTCACTCCCAATTCCACACCATGCCGTGGCCTCCTCATGTTCACGTGCCCCCACGCCATCCAATCCCCATAGCAACAAGAGGACCTGCAGAATGCAAACCTGAACACATTTCTCTCTGCTCAAAATCTTGGAGAGGATTCCAGCTGTTCTTACAGGAAATGCAGACCCTCTGTTCTGCCTGGCCCACCCCACACCCACCCTGCATTCACTGCCTCTGTTCCAGCCCCACTGGCCTTCCTTCCACAGGTCCCCTGCCCCTCCCCACCATCCCAAGTCGACTACACACAGCCAGGAAAGCCCTCCCAGTCTTCTTCACCTAAGTAACCCTGCTCAGCCTTCAGACTCCAGCTCAGAACACCTTCCCCGACCACCTTGACTGGGCGAATCTCCTCCCCTAGTACCAGCTCTGGGGCACTGTGGGCCTCATCGCAGCTGCAAGTTCCCATCTATTTCTGTGATTACTGGATTTACATCTGTCTCCCCCATACACTGTGTATGCTCCAGGAGAGCAGGAACCTCTTCTGGTTTCCTCCCCACTGTAAACCCCAGTACTCAGCACCAATCAAGGGCTCAAGACATAGGCGCTGAATGAATGAATGAATCAATCAACCAATCAATGAACCATCATCTCAATCAATCAATGAGCCATCATCTGCCTCTAACTAATAATCTCTGAGTCCCACAGCCTTTTTTCGGGGCCCTTTTCACTTCTCTCCCATCTCCTCTGTCTTTTTTTTTTGCCTTTTTTTTTTTTTTTTTTTTTGAGACGGAGTCTCGCTCTGTCACCCAGGCTGGAGTGCAGTGGCGCGATCTCGGCTCACTGCAAGCTCCACCTCCTGGGTTCACATCATTCTCCTGCCTCAGCCTCCCGAGTAGCTGGGACTACAGGCGCCCGCCACCATGCCCGGCTAATTTTTTTTTGGTTTTTTTTTTTTGTTTGTTTGTTTAGTAGAGACGGGGTTTCACCATGTTAGCCAGGATGGTCTCGATCTCCTGACCTCGTGATCTGCCCACCTCGGCCTCCCAAAGTGCTGGGATTACAGGTGTGAGCCTCCGCGCCCAGCCTCTTTGTCTTTTTTTTTTTTTGAGACATGCTCTCATTCTGTCACCCAGGCTAGAGTGCAGTGATGCCATCTCGGCTCACTGTAAGCTCCATCTCCCAGGTTCAAGCAAATCTTCTGCTTCCTGCAGCTGGGACTACAGGCACCCACCACCACACCTGGCTAATTTATTTTTTTAGTAGAGATGGGGTTTTACCATGTTGGCCAAGCTGGTGTCAAACTCCTGACCCCAGGTGATCTGCCCCCTCTTGGCCTCGCAAAGTGCTGGGATTACAGGTGTGACCCACCGCACCTGGCCTCCTCTGTCATTTGAAGCTCAGGAAGAATGTCCTCTCCAAGAAGGGGATGTCCCCTGATGACACCAGCCAAATGGGATTCCTCTAGTCCCTGCTCCCCTCCCAGGACTGGAGCCACACCTCAGGCCCCTACGCGAGGCACAGCACTTTCTCCAGAGGGTAGGGGCTTGTAGTCTTGTTCCTGTTTTTACTTCCCCATCCCAGGAGCTCTGTCAATTTTGCTGCGACTGAATCCAAACAGAATGGAATTGAAAACAAGCCCTGCTCCCTCCCCACCTCGAGCCCAGTCTCTGCCTTTGATGCAGCCCAGATCCAAGGCATGGATGGAGCTTCAGCTTGAAGGGGAGGAAAACCGCCTACAAAGTAATTAAAGAAAGAGAGAGAGAGAGAGCTTGAAAGCAAAACCTTGAGAAGCCCAAGGGCCAGCCTGCTGGCCTCCCTTACAAAGCCTGGCATGCAGTCCGCACTCACTATGCACTGAATTAAGGGCTGAGTGAATGAAAAGTTCACAGCCTTGAAGCTCCTGGGGGCATTCCTGGCAGCAGGGCTGAGCAGACAGATGCTAATGGATTCAGGCCGCCAGCGCCAACTCTTCTAGGAAGCCCAGAGCAATGGCCCTGCCTGGGACAGCCTGTGTCTCCTTCCCCTTCCTTTTTTTTTTTTTTTTTTTTTTGAGACAGAGTCTCGCTCTGTCGCCCAGGCTGGAGTGCAGTGGCTCAATCACTGCAACCTTCGCCTCCCAGGTTCAAGCAATTATCCTGCCTCAGCCTCCTGAGTAGCTGGAATTACAGGCGTGCACCACCACACCGGGTCAATTTTTGTATTTTTCGTAGAGACAGAGTTTTGCCATGTTGGTCTGGCTGGTCTCGAACTCCTGACCTCGTGATCTGCCCGCCTCAGCCTCCCAAAGTGCTGGGATTACAGGTGTGAGCCACCCCGCCCGGCCTCTTTCCCCTTTCAGAGTTGGAAACAGAGCTGGAAGCCTCAAAGGTGACTTCCTCCTCCCAAAAGTTCTGTTACTCAAGTCCTTGAACATGGAGGGGCTCAAAGGTGCTACAGCCCATGTTAAATAATCAGTCTCAGGACTTGCTGGTAATGCCACATGTTGTGATGTCTTTGCTATTAAACCATGGTTGGCCAGGCGCCGTGACTCACGCCTGTACTTGGGAGGCTGAGGCAAGAGAATTGCTTGAACCCAGGAGGCGGAGGTTGCAGTCAGCAGAGATCGTGCCACTGCACTCCAGCCTGGGAGACAGAGCAAGACTCTGTCTCAGAAAAAAATAAAAATAAAAAAATAAACCATGGTTAACTTCTGTACCTAGTGTCAGCCTCCTGCTCAGAGGGCACTGTCTAAGGTACATCAGGTGAGCAGGTGGCCCCTGGACTATGTTTGGGAAAGGTTATTTTGGGTATGAGCTTCAAGGTCTCAACACCAAGGAACAAAAGAATGCCAGGTAGGTATTTCCCCATTGCTCACCAAAACCAAAGCATCCAATGTGGGCAGGTCCCCCGAAAATGCCCACTCCCAGGACACAATGTCTCATGGAGGGAGTGCACAAAAGTATGCACAGTTGTGCCCTTGCGTACAGACACACACACCGATGCAGAGGCGTCTGCCATCACTCCTCCTCAGATCACAGATCCCCAGGGGAGCTGGTCCCAGAGCAGACATCAGAGCCCCTGCAGCCAACCTGCACACGCGAAGGACCCCGTCCCTCCTGTCCCAGCTGTGCCCCCACAGGCACAGTCCTTCAGTTCTGAACGGGAGCGGTTGTGACGCTCAAGCCTTCACTGATGGCCAGGAGCCTCCTTCCCACCTCCCCACCTCCCCAAGCCTGGGGGTCAACCCTGCCAGCTCTGGCCACCAGCCAGGCAGTCTTACTTTTTCACTTTCGGGTACTTCATCTCTGCAATGGCGTTCGTGGCTTCTGTCTGCTTCTCCTTCAGATGCTGGGGCCACATGTTGTCCACCCAGTCCACCAGGTCTACCTGAAAGCCAGACCAGTGTGAGCACTGCATTTCTCCACTGCCGAGCCAGACACAAATACCCCTTTCCCCGGAGAGTCCTTGGGCCCCCCCGCTCCCCCAATCTACTGTGGGCTCAATAGTCCCAACATGGGAGGAAGGAAGGGCAGGGATGACAGGACCCACACTTTGTAGAAGGGAAGGAGATGAAACAGTCGCTGGGGGTCGGGCACGGTAGCTTATACCTCTAATCTAAGTGCTTTGGGAGGCTAAGGTGAGAGGGTCACTTGAACCCAGGAGTTCAAGGCCAGCCTGGGCAACATAGCAAGATCCCTGTCTCTACAAACCACGTTACCAACCTTAGTCACCCCTATGCCTGCCAAGCCCAGCCAGCCACACCCACATGAGCCTTTTTGCAAGGCACAACCCAGGTGGCAGGGGGACAGGGAAGGAGATGAGGTGGAAGGTATCTGGGGAGGGTACCTGGGCCCCGGACCTACCACAGTCGGACGCTTGACCAAGTGCTCCAGCTTGGTGTGGCTGAACTCTAGGCTGATGACGTTGTACAGCTTGTCCCGCTGGGCCTCGGGCGTCTCGTAGTAACGCACAAACTGGGACATGCTCATCTCCGTGCCCTTCTGGGTGTTCACATCCATCACGTCCACAAGCCGCCGGCTCCCTGGAGGCAGAAGCCACACACTGGTTGTTCCTGCCGGCTTAAGGCTCCAGATCCTACATGGGAGCCCCTCACTAAACAAAAGCTGCTCCTCCACGTTTCCCCACAGTCCTCACCCCTCTTCCTCATCTGTTCAATTACCTCACCCCATCGGCTTTCCTTCTGGGATCTGTCTCCCACCCACCTTGCTTCCCTGCACCACCATGGCCTCCACGCCAGTCTGCGATGACCTCAAAAGCTACCTAAAGGGGCCCAAGCAGCTGGGCATGGTGGCTTAAGGCTGTAATCCCAGCACTTTGGGAGGCCGAGGTGGAGGGATCACCTGAGGTCAGGAGTTTGAGACCAGCCTGGCCAACATGGTGAAACCCTGTATCTACTAAAAATACAAAGATGGCCAGGCATGATGGCTCATGCCTGTAATCCCAGCACTTTGGGAGGCCGAGGAGGGCGGATTACCTGAGGTCAGGAGTTCGAGACCAGCCTGGCCAACATAGTGAAACCCCGTTTCTACTAAAAATACAAAAAATAGCCGGGCGTGGTGGCTCACGCCTATAGTGCCAGCTACTCAGGAAACTGAGGCAAGAGGATAGCTTGAACCCGGAAGGCAGAGGTTGCAGTGAGCTGAGATGGCGCCACCTCACTCCAGCCTGGGCAACAGAGCAAGACTTTGTCTCAAAAAAAAAAAAAAGAAAGAAAGAAAAGGAAATAAACATATAAACAAGAAAATCCCAAGAAGCCAGTGACCACCTTTCTTCACAGCCACCTCAACAGGTTACAGGTTAAACCAGCCAAAGGCCACCATATGATGACAGCCCAAGGGCCAAATCCAGCCTACGGCCTATCATTGTGTGACCCAGAAGTTAAGAATTTTTTAACTTTCCTTTTTACTCTGTTGCCCAGACTGAGATCATGCAGTGGCACAATCTCGGCTCACTGCAACCTCCACTTCCTGGGTTCAAGCAATTCTCATGCCTCAGCCTCCTGAATAGCTGGGATTACAGGCATGTGCTACCACACCTTGCTAAGTTTTATATTTTTAGTAGAGATGGGGTTTCGCCATGTTGGTCAGGCTGGTCTTGAACTCCTGACCTCAAGGGATCCACCCACCTCAGCCTCCCAAAGTACTGGGATTACAGGCATGAGCCACCGCAACTGGCCTAGATTTTTTTTTCCCTACAATAGCCATACGTTTTGAGGGGTTTTCCATTTTTGTTAACGGAGGGGGAAAAATCAAAAGAAGAATACTATTTTGTGATATGAAAACTATATGAAACCCAAATTCTCAGGTCCATTTACAAAGCTTTCCTGGGGCACAGCCACGGTCATCGGTTCACATATTGTATAGGGCTGGCTCCGTGCGACAATGGCAGAGCTAAGTAGTTGCAACAGACCAAATGGCCTGAAAACCCGTAAGTATTTACTCTCTGGCACTTAACAGAGAAAGTTTGCTGGCCCTTGAACTAGACAGAACTCTCATGGAACTTAGATGTTGATATGGGTAATAGTCTCATCCCGTTCACTGAACCTGCCCTCTAACAGGCCCGTGGTCAATATTTGTTGAATAAATAAACATAGCCTTTCATGTGGTCGGAACTGAAAAATAAAAGTAACTCTGTGTAATCCCAGCACTTAGAAAAGCAGAGGTGGGAGGATGGTGCTTGAGCCTGGGAGTTTGAGACCAGCCTGGGGAACACAGCAAGATTCCATTCTTTTTTTTTTTTTTTTTTTGAGACAGGGTCTCGCTCTGTCACCCAGGCTGGAGAGCAATGGCACGATCGTGGCTCACTGCAGCCTCAACCTCCCTGGCTCGAGGGATCCTCCAGCCTCAGCCTCCTGAATAGCTGGGACTACAGGGCGGCACCACCACATCCAACCAGGTTTTTATTTTTTGTAGAGACAGGGTTTTGGTTTTCTTTGTTTGGTTGGTTGGTTTTTGAGACAAAGTCTCGCTCTGTCGCCCAGGTTGGAGTATAGTGGCACAATCTCAGCTTACTGCAACCTCCACCTGCGGGGTTCAAGTGATTCTCCTGCCTCAGCCTCCCGAGCAGCTGGAATTAAGGGCGTGCACCACCGCACCCGGCTCTTTTTCGTATTTTTAGTAGAGATGGAGTTTCGCCATATTGGCCAGGCTGGTCTTGAACTCCTGACCTCAAGTGATCCGCCCGCCTCAGCCTCCCAAAGTGCTGGGATTACAGGTGTGAGCCACCGCGCCCAGCATGACAGGGTTTCATTAAGTTGCCCAGGCTGGGAGACCACATTCTCCACAAAAAGGAAACAAAAAAAGAAAGTAACACCTTAAGTATGTAAGAGAACTTGGGTATTTCTATCTTTTGGGTTCAAGATCTAAATTTCACAGCAACCTGGAAAAGCAAGGTGAGACAGTCTGTTTTACAAATGGGGAGACCAAGGCCCAGAGACACAGCAACTGGCTCAAGCTCCCCAGAGTAGACTCTTACTACCAATTACAACCATTACCATTTACTATGTGTGTCAGCACAGGCGGGTTCTCTACATATATTATCTTGTGTTAGGTTCATCGTGGTCACAGCTCTGTGAAGCAGAACTTCAATTACACCCATTTAATGGAGGAGAAGCTGAGACTTGGACAACTAACTCGCCCAGGAATGCCCAATTCGTGAGTGGCAGAGTGGTATTTGAATCCAATTCATTCTAATGCCTAAGCCCAGGTTCCTCTCCCATCCCCCGAATACTGAATCTTGATCGTATGCTAAGGTTGAAACATGACCCCAGACCTGGCCAAGTGCAGTGGCTCATGCCTGTAATCCCAGCACTTTTGGAGGCCGAGATGGGTGGATCACCTGAGGTCAGGAGTTCAAGACCAGCCTGGCCAACATGGCAAAACCCTATCTCTACTAAAAATACAAAAATTAGCCAAGTATGGTGGCACACGTCTGTAATCCCAGCTACTTGGGAGGCTGAGGTAGGAGAATTGCTTGAACCCAGGAGGTGGAGGTTGCAGTGAGCTGAGGTCGTGCCATTGCACTCTAGCCTGGGTGACATGGTGAGACTCTGTCTTAATTAAAAAAAAAAAAAAAAAAGATTCCAGACCACAGCAGTGGCCAGGTCCCTCCCCATGGACCCTAGGAAGCAGTGGATCCAGGGGAAAGCAGCTTTTGTTTTGGCGTCTGGAGTGCAGATCCACCAGGGGGCATCCCCGTTCTTCGCTGGATATTCTGGCCTTGATCTTGGCAAGGCTAGCTCCTTCCTTACCCAGGTGCCTGGAATACGTGGGCGCCACTCAGATTTTCCAGGAGGCCCACCTGGCAGAAACCCTGCTGTCAGAACCCCAGTACCAGCCGGGCACGGTGGCTCACGCCTGTAATCCCAGCACTTTGGGAGGCTGAGGCGGGCAGATCATGAGGTCAGGAGATTGAGACCATCTTGGCTAACACGGTGAAACCCCGAGAATACTAAAAATACAAAAAATCCGCCGGGTGTGGTGGCGGGCGCCTGTAGTCCCAGCTACTTGGGAGGCTGAGTCAGGAGAATGGCGTGAACCCGGGAGGCGGGGTTGCAGCGAGCCGAGATCGCGCCACTGCACTACAGCCTGGGCGACAGAGCAAGACTCTGTCTCAAAAAAAAAAAAGAAAGAAAGAACCCCGGTACCCTCCCCACTCTCGCTCTCTGGCCAGCCTCCCACCTCCACCCACTTCTCCTCCCTAATCTTGCTCAAGGTCATGTCTGCAAAGCTCCCTGTGCAAAGGAGTCTGCTGGGCAGGTAGCAAATAGGATAAAGAGCACTAAAATCACGAACCCAGAGTCCTGCAAGTCAGCACTGAAGGCCAAGCTCAGCTACCCCTACCCACACACTGTTAAAATTTAGAGGGTTCGGTTCCCAGCGGAGCCTCCAGCCTGTGCCTCGGGCTCTTGGCTTCTCTGGGAATCAGTTTCTTCTTCATCTATAACATGGGGAACAAATAGCCAGCCCAGGAGCTGTCCTGAGACATAACTGAGTTCATGCACTTCACACTCACTTGGAGCACCTACAGGTAGGTAGCGTTACCGAGTCGGTCAGTTTCATCTGTAACTAGAGGTGGAGAAGGTGAGGAGCTGGGAAGTTTAGGGACTTGCCCAGCATCACAGCCAGTTAAATCGTTGCTGGCCAGTCCCAGTGAACAGACTGCTTAGGACCCTACAACATATTCAAGATGCAAATGGGTGTGGGGTTCTTCTGGGGAATGATGAAAAAGTTCTAAAATGGACTTTCATAATGGTTGCACAGCTCTGTGAATATACTGAAAACAAGTGAATTGTGGCCGGCCTTGGTGGCTGGTGGCTCACACCTGTAATCCCAACAGTTTGGGAGACAGAGCTGGAAGGAGCGCTGGGCCCTAGAAGTTTGAGATCAGCCTGGGTAATATAGTGACACCCCAGCTCCACACACACACACACACACACACACACACACACACACACACACACACACACAAATTGGCCAAGCATGGTGACCCACACCGGTGGTCCCAGCTACTCTGAAGGCTGAAGTGGGAGGACTGCTTGAGCGTCAGGAGGTTGAGGCTCCAGTGAGCCATGATCGTGCCACTGCACTCCAGCTTGGGCAACAGAGCCAGATCCTGTCTCAAAAAAAAAAAAAGTGGGGTGAAATGAATTGTATGGTCTGTGACTTATATTTCAATGAAACTTTTTACTTTTTTAAAATGGAGAGTCTCAGAGATGGCAAGTAATCTGGGAGTGTTTCCAAATAAATGTATACCTTGTATATATCATGATACTTGCCCTTTGTAACATACTTTTTTTTTTTTTTGAGACAAAGTCTCTCTTTTGTCCCCCAGGCTGGAGTGCGATGGCGATGGCGCGATCTCGGCTCACTGCAACCTCTGCCTCCCAGGTTCAAGCGATTCTCCTGCCTCAGCCCCCCGAGTAGCTGGGATTACAGGCGCCTGCCACCACGCCCAGCTAATTTTTGTATTTTCAGTAGAGACGGGGTTTTACCATGTTGTCCAGGCTGGTCTAGAACTCCTGACCTCAGGTGATCCACCTGCCTCAGCCTCCCAAAGTGCTGGGATTACAGGCGTGAGCCACCGCACCCGGCCTGTAACATACTTTAAATTAACACTTTTATACTCTCATTTAATCCCAGGTATATATACCTCTCTCACATGCACACAGGTATTAATCCACAAGTTATGATTTTCAGTCTTAGTCCAAATGTGGACCAGAAAAAACAAAAGAACATCTGCATCTGGGATTCATGCAGCACTCAAATATTTGATGAATGCAAGAGTAGGCTGAGTGTGGTGACTCACACCTGTAACCCCAACACTTTGGGAAGCTGAAGCAGGAGGATCACTTAAGCCCAGGAGTTCAAGACCAGCCTGGATAACATGTCAAGACCCCATCTCTACAAAAAATTTAAAAATTATCTGTGCATGTTGGCAGACACCAGTATTCCCAGCTACTTGGGAGGATCACTTGAGCCTGGAAGGCAGAGGCTACAGTGAGCAATGGCTGTGCCACTGCACTCCAGCCTAGGTGACAGAGTGAGACTCTATCTTAAAAAATAAAAAATTTTAAAAAACAGTAGATAGCAATCCTATTTTATAAAAAATGGATACCAATTTAAAATAATGTTTAATCATATCATTTAGTTATGAGGATATAGTAATTTACAAAATTATACCTTAAGACCCTGAAAATGTTATTTATTTTGCAAGTGTCAAAGTATCAAAAAAGAAAGAATAACTAGTCTGGGGTAATTTTATTTTTTTCTTTTGAGACAGAGTCTCGCTCTGTCTCCCAGGCTAGAGTGCAGTGGCACGATCTCAGCACACTGCAACCTCCACCTCCCTGGTTCAAGTAATTCTTGTGCCTAAACCACCAAAGTAGCTGGGATTACAGGCGTGGGCCA
Source organism: Homo sapiens (assembly GCF_000001405.40). NCBI lineage: Eukaryota > Metazoa > Chordata > Mammalia > Primates > Hominidae > Homo > Homo sapiens. The sequence goes on from NC_000012.12 coordinate 121,555,526, forward strand.
CCATACCCGGCTAATATTTGTATTTTTTGTAGGGACGGGGTTTCGCCATATTGCCCAGGCTGGTGTCAAACTCCTGGGCTCAAGTCATCTGCCCACCTAGGCCTCCCAAAATGTCTGAGATTATAGGCGTGAGCCACCACACCTGGCCAAAATTTTTTATAAGAATATAAATAAGTAAGTGATATAGTTTGGATATTTTTCCCCCCCAAATCTCAAATCTCATGTTGAAACATGAATATCTCTCAAATATCTCCAATGTTAGAGGTAGGAATTGGTGTGTGGTGTTTGGGACGTGAGGGTGGATCCTTCACGAATGCCTTGGTACCCTCCTTGCATAAAGAGTGAATTCCCACTCTATTAGTTCCCATGAGACTGAATTGGGTTTTTGTTTTGTTTTTTTTGTTTTTTGTTTTTTTTTTGAGACGGAGTCTCACTCTCTCACCTACACTGGAGTACAGTGGCACGATCTCGGCTCACTGCAACCTCTGCCTCCCAAGTTCAAGAGATCCTCCTGCCTCAGCCTCCCGAGTAGCTGGGACTACAAGAACGCACCACCACGCCTGGCTAATTTTTTGTATTTTAGTAGAGATGGGGTTTCACCATGTTGGCCAGGCTGGTCTTGAACTCCTGACATTGTGATCTGCCCTCCTCAGCCTCCCAAAATGCTGGGATTACAGGGGTGAGCCACTGCACTCGGCCTGTTTTTTGTTTTTTGAGACAAAGCCTCACTCTGCTCATTAGGCTGGAGTGCAGTGGCTTGAACATGGCTCACTGTAGCCTCAAACTCCTGGGCTCAAGCGATCCTCCTACCTCAGCCTCCCAAATAGCTGGGGCTACAGGCTGGATTATTTAGAAGCATTTGGCACCTCCCTCCTCTCTCTCTTGCTCCCTCTGTGGCTATGTGACACACCAGCTCACCCTCCCCTTCCATCATGACTGGAAGCTTCCTGAAGTCCTCACCAGAAGCAGATGCTGGCTCCATGCTTCCTGTACAGCCTGCAGAGCTGAATCAAATAAACCTTTCTTTATAAATAATCCAACCCAGCTGGGCACCATGGCTCAAGCCTGTAATCCCAGCACTTTGGGAGGCCGAGGCAAGTGGATCACTTGAGGTCAAGAGTTTGAGACTAACCTGGACAACATGGTGAAACCCTGTCTCTACTAAAAATACAAAAATTGAGCCAGGCCTGGTTATGCGCACCTGTAACCCCAGCTACTCAGGAGGCTGAGGCAGGAGAATCACTTGAATCCAGGAAGCGGAGGTTGCAGTGAGCTGAGATGGTGCCACTGCACTCCAACCTGGGCGACAGAGTGAGACTCTGTCCTTAAAAAAAAAAAAAAAATCCAACCTCAGGCATTCCTTTATAGCAACACAAAGTGAACTAAGCCAGTAAATCAATAAAAATGTAATTTTAAAAAGAAAAAAAGGTTGTAGGATTAGCTAAGATTATGACCCAGATCGAACAGTAGACGCAGGGAAGGCACTAACCAGAAATCAGCACCCTCCCCTCCTCAGCCTACCCAGTTCCCTGTAATTTGCTAACGGTTTTGGCTACCCACGTACCTCAAGGGGTACTGTGAGTTGAACTGCACTCCCCCAAAATATATGTTCAGTCCCTAATATCTGTGATACAGGGTCTTTGCTGACGTGATCAAGCTAGAATGAGATCATATGGGATTAGGGTAGGCCTAATAAGACAAGAGAATTTTTTTTTTTTTTTTTTTTTTTTGAGACAGAGTCTCACTCTGTTCCCCAGGATGGAGTTCAGTGGTACAATCTCAGCTCATTGCAACCTCTGCCTCCTGGGTTCAAGCGATTCTCCTGCCTCAACCTCCCGATTAGCTGGGATTACAGGCGCCTACCACCACTTCCGGCTAATTTTTTTGTATTTTTAGTAGAGACGGGGTTTCACCATTTTGCCCAGGCTGGTCTTGAACTCCTGACCTCAGGTGATCCACCCACCTCAGCCTCCCAAAGTGCTGGGATTACAGGCGTGAGCCACCGTGCCCAGCCATGACAAAGGAAATGTGGACACAGACACACAGAAGGAAGACAGCCACGTGAAGACGGAGGCAGAGATCAGAGTGACGCAGCTACAAGCCAAGGCGCACTAAGCACTGCCAGCCACCACCAGAAGCCAGAGAAGGCAAGGAAGGACCTGCCCCTAGAGACTTCAGGGGGAAATGTAGCCCTACAGACACCCTTAATTTTGGACTTCTAGCCTGCAGAAGTGTGAGAGAATAAACTTCTGTGGTTTTAAGCCACTCACTTTGTGGTACTTTGTTATGACAGCCTAGGAAACTAATCGAAGGGTTAGTGAGAGAATGACTGGGTATACCTACATGGCTCCATAAATGTGACATATTTACACAGGGGAGGGCTGGTCCCTCCCCTTGCCTCCCTCCCAGAGCCTGGTATAAGCGGATCACGGGGCCAACACCTTCTATAACGAAATCGCAGTTTACCTAGTAGCTTCACAAACAGAAAGGTGTCACCCACTGATGACCTCATACCACTTCATCCTAAATACCGTATTTCTTGGTTACTTGTTTCTTGTCTTTCCACCCTGCTGCTCTGTGAGTGCCGTGAGGGCAGGAGGCTTGCCTGTCTTGATCGCTACTCTAGTCCAGATTTCTAGAACAGAGACTGGTGCAGGCTAGGAGCTCACTCTTTGTCGCATGAGGAATGAGTGCTGTTATTTACTTTTATGTTCTGTGTGGCATCTGACACACGACTTCACAGACAAATGGCAGGTGAACTAAAGACCTGACCTGGGGGTGGTTCTGGGTGGGCACGTGTAACAAAAAAGATGAAGCCATGAAGCCCCACCTGGAATCACCTGGTAGGTCCTGAGCAGCCCTGGGACAGCACGGCTCAACACAGAAGGACAGACATGTGTGGAGAAGGCCTGTGTTTCCTTTTCTTTTTCTTTTTTTTTTTTTTTTGAGACGGAGTCTCACTCTGTTGCCCAGGCTAGAGTACAGTGGTGCGATCTCGGCTCACTGCAGCCTCCGCCTCTTGGGTTCAAGCGATTTTCCTGCCTCAGCCTCCCAAGTAGCTGGGACTACAGGCGCATGCCACCATGCCCCAGCTAATTTTTGTATTTTTTGTAGAGACGGGGTTTCCTCATGTTGGCCAAGATGGTCTCAAACTCCTGACGTCAAGTGATTTGCCCGCCTCGGCCTCCCAAAGTGCTGGGATTACAGGCGTGAGACACTGCGCCCAGCCTAATTTTTGTATTTTTAGTAGAGATGGGGTTTAGCCATGTTGGCCAGGATGGTCTCGAATTCCTGACCTCAAGTGATTTGCCCACCTCAGCCTCTGAAAGTGCTGGGATTACAGGCATGAACCATGGCACCCAGCCTCCTTTTCTGAGGAATAACCATGCCTCCCACTGCCATCGCCGCCCTCCCCAGCACCTCCTAGGCACCCTCTTGGCCTCCGCTACTTTGCAGCTTTTCACATCACAGATGCCACTTGGGACCAGTGTTCAAGACTCCCAGTCAGGCCAGGGCCAAGCCAGGGTCCCCGCTGACTACACCTCAGCCTGCTCCGCCCTCTGATGCAAGGGAGTCAGGACTTAAGGGACTGGCTTAACTCAGCTGTATGCCTGCCTCAGACCAGGGAAGGGCTGTGGGGAGCAGCTGGGGCTGAAGTCATAGGGGGAAGCGTATAGGCAAGAGGCCTGGGCAGGCCAAGTGACCGTCTTAGGAGCAGAAGGTCGGGAGGCTTGGTTCTAAGAAGAGTTTCCTTAGTGTGCCGGGAGCTCTGAGCAGCTCCCCAGGTGTCCTGGAAGCTGGACTTCCAGGTCTATGGGAGGGGTGGGAGGGGAAGTGGTGGGAGGAGGAAGGAAAGTCAGTTCTGTTGGGCACCTGGGCTTCACGGACCTCCCCTCCCCCAGGGAAACAGAAATGGACAGGTCACCTGTTCATGCCACACAGCTGGGGTCCAGCCCCCACGGGGCAGCAGGAAACACAGACGTGACAGAACACTACCCAGAGTGGCACGGTGATAGCAACAGAGGGGACCAGGGAGGCAGGAGATGTAGGGAGAATCCAGAGAGTGAAAGAGACTTAAAATGCAGCTCAACCAGGCCAGGTGCAGTGGCTCATGCCTGTAATCCCAGCACTTTGGGAGGCCGAGGCAGGAGGATCACCTGAGGTCGGGAGTTCGAGACCAGCCTGACCAACATGGAGAAACTCCGTCTCTACTAAAAAAAACACAAAATTAGTCAGGCATGGTGGCGCATGCCTGTAATCCCAGCTACTCGGAAGGCTGAGGCAGGAGAACTGCTTAAACCCGGGAGGCAGAGGTTGAGATGAGCTGAGATTGTGCCACTGCACTCTAGCCTGAGCAACAAGAGCAAAACTCCATCTCAAAAAAAAAAAAAAAGGAGTAACATCTATGATATATATATGAAACAAGTAGAAATTTGATCATTGAAAATGGGTATTTAATAATTTTAAGGAGTCACTGTGTTTTTATATGTTTTTATTTAGGAGACGTCTCGCTCTATCACCCAGGCTGGAGTGCAATGGTGCCATCATGGTTCCCTGCAGCCTCGACCTGTTGGGCTCAAGCGATCCTCCGACCTCAGCCTCCCAAGGAGGTTGGGACTATGGGCATGAGTCACCATGCCTGGCTTTATTTTCTTTTGTAGAGACAGGGTTTCACTCTGTTTGAGACCAGGCTGGTCTCAAACTCCTGGCCTCAAGTGATCCTACTGCCTCAGCCTCCCAAAGCACTGGGATGACAGGCATGAGCCACCTCACCCAGCCTGGACTGACCCATTTCCAGAACTCAGTTGCCTTGTGTGTAAAGGCAGGAAGAAACTGACTTTATACTTTTTCTTTCCTTCACCACAGAACCCCTTCTTCAAACAGAAGCTTTGATGACAGCCAAATACACATAAATAAAAACAAAACAAGCAGCTCAGGCTGATGCAGGAGGTGGGTGGGGGGTGCTCAGAATTCAGACCTAGATCCCTGGGGTTTCCCTTTGAAATTCACTGGGTTGGGGCATTTTTGGGTCCTTTCCCAGGGGCGAGGCACTGAGTTTCAGTTCCTGAATACTCGGATCACTTCCCTTAAATGTATAAAGTGGGCAGGGGCAGGGGCAGTGGGGGCAGAGGAAGAGACGGGGGCCGCCAGTCCCTTTTGGCCTGAGCTGAGAGATGAAGAATGAGCCCTCCAGCCTCCCGGTCTGATCTGCCACAGGAGCAAAGGGAACCAGGCACACAGGCTGAGTCTCTAAGCAAGAGGTTTGGCACCGGGGAGGAGGCAGGTAGCCTAAAGGGATGGAGGGGACAGATCAGTGCCAAGAATGGAATGCAGCCCTCCCAGCCTTTAGGAGCAGCCATCCCTAGAGCAGCTGACAGGGACAAGCGTCCCTTCAGACCTGCAAGGGATCCACACTGCTGGGGCTCTCGGGTTCCTGAAGTCAGTGGGTTACAGGAGAAATTTTCCACATGGGGCAGTGCCTGGAGTTCCTAGGCAGGCCAGCAGCCTCCCTCCCTCCGCCGCCCACCCACCCCAGGATCATCGGTGTTCTGGCTCCCGGGCTGCACACACATCCAACAGGTTCCAGCTGCGGAAATTAGTCCATGGCCCTGTGGCCCCTGCTTTGAAGGTTCCATCCGTCAGCTCCGAAAGCCTCGGGCTCGGGGCCAGGACGAGGCTGCTGAAAGTCATCTTGAAGGCTAATGTGAAACATACACGGGCGCGACCCCAAACTCCCCAGAGCCCGGCTCTTCCGAGAGCTCACAGAACTCTTCCACATCACAGTTCTGGAACCTTCTCCAGCATCCTCACATTTCTGGACTGGTTTTGTATTTTGTTCCTCATCCGTGTCACACAGGTAGCACTGATTAGCAAGAGCACTGGTCACAGGTTCAAATCCGACTCTGCTCTACTGTTTTGAAATAGCAGTGAGGCCTGAGTTCGAGTGATACGCCCGCCTCAGCCTCCCAAAGTGCTGGGGTTACAGGGGTGCACCATGGCGCCTGGCCCCTCTCCCTGCATTTCTATCTGTCCTGGCAATTGGATGCCTCCCCTACCTGCCGCTCTGGCCTTGACCTCTCTCATGAGATCCAACTCAATGTGCCCGGAACCACACCCATCTATGTCCAGCCCCAAGTTGCTTTTCTTCTGGGGGTCTATTGGAAGCATTGTGTTCTCCCAATCACTGAAAGTCAAACCTACATGTGACTCTGATGTGCCAAGCACTATCTGAGCAACTCAAAAATAATTTGTCTACAGGCCTCAGTTTTTCCCATTTGTGAAATGGGGAAGCAGGACTGGAAGAACTCTAAGACTCCTTCCCGAGCTTAAAATGGAAAAAGTCTATGATTTTAAACCAACTTTAGGCCGGGAGCGGTGGCTCATGCCTGTAATCCCAACACTTTGGGAGGCTGAGGTAGGCGGATCACCTGAGGTCAGGAGTTCGAGACCAGCCTGGCCAACATGGCGAAACCCTGTCTCTACTAAAAATACAAAAATTAGCCGGGCGTGGTGGTGCGAGCCTATAATCCCAGCTACTCAGGAGGCTGAGGCAGGAGAAGCTTGAACCTGGGCGGCAGAGGTTGCAGCGAGCCGAGATCAAGCCACTGCACTCCAACATGGGTGACTTTTTTTCCATGACTCTGTCTTGGGGAAAAAAAAAACTTTAAAAAGGCCTGGCCAGCACAGTAGTTCACGCCTGTAATCCCAGCTCTTTGGGAGGCCAAGGCGAACAGATCACCTGAGGCCAGGAGTTTGAGACCAGCCTGGCCAACGTGGCAAAACCCCATCTCTACTAAAAATACAAAAAATTAGCCGGGCGTGGTGGTATGAGCCTGTAATCCCAGCTACTCAGGAGGCTGAGCCAGGAGAATCATTTGAACCTGGGAGGCGGAAGTTGCAGTGAGCTGAGATGGGGTCACTGTACTCCAGCCTGAGCAACAGAGTGAGACTCTGTCTCAAAAAAAAAGTCTGGGGACAAGTCAGCCAGCTTTGATTTCCAAGGGGTGAGAACTTAGTTTTTCTCCAAAACACAGTCCATCAAGGGCAAGATCCACAGCTCCTGACTAGCACCAGGCTAGACACCATACAGACACCCAGTAAATCTGTAAGGGAAGAAAGCATGGAGGAGGAGGAGGAGGAAGGGGGGAGGAAGAGAAAGAGGAGGAGGAAGAGAGGGGGGAGGAGGAGGGGAAAGAGATAACATGGGCTTTGAAGACACCCAGGGCCAGGTGCAGTCCTGGCTCCACTGCCTACCAGCTGTGAGGTTCGATCCCTCCAAGCCTCAGATGCCCCACCTGGAAAAGTGAATGCCTAATTCATATGACTACTGAGGAGAACAAAGTGAATCCCTATGGCACATATGCGATAAAAGATAGGTGATTATTAGTATAATTGCATGAATACCGAATGAAGTCATTTGTCATGAAGGTTCAAGAAAAGGGCCAAAGAAAGCATCAGTTGGTTTGGATTCTCTCATTAGAGAGAAATCCGATAAAGACATAATATGTGGGCCCTGGTGCAATGGCTCTCGCCTGTAATCCCAGCTACTTGGAAGGCTAAGGTGGGTGGATCGCTTAGGCCCGTGAGTTTGCGAGCAGCCTGGGCAACATAGCGAGACTCATCTCTACAAAAAATAAAAAATAACAACAATTAGCCGTGCATGCCCATAGTCCCAGCTACTAGGGAGGCTGAGGCAGCAAGATCACTTGAACCCAGGAGGTCAAGTCTGCAGTGAGGTGTGATTGTGCCACTGCCTGGGCGACAGAGTGAGATGCTGTCTCAAAAAAACAAAAAAAGAAGGCCGGGCTCGATGGCTCACGCCTGTAATCCCAGCACTTTGGGAGGCCGAAATGGGTGGATCACTTGAGCCCAGGAGTTCGAGACCAGCCTGGCCAATATGGTGAAACCCCATCTCCACTAAAAATACAAAAATTAGCCGGGCGTGGCGGCGGCTGCCCGTAATCCTGGCTACTCGGGAGGCTGAGGCACGAGAACTGCTTGAACTCAGGAGGTGGAGGTTACAGTGACCCAAGATCGCACCACTGCACTTCAGCCTGGGTGATAGAGTGAGACTCTGCCAAAAAAAAAAGTCAAAACAAAACAAAACAAAAGGCCAGGCACAGTGGCTCACGCCTGTAATCCCAGCACTTTAGGAGGCTGAGGCAGGCAGATCACCTGAGGTCAGGAGTTTGAGACCAGCCTGGCCAACGTGGTGAAACTCCGTCTCTACTAAAAATACAAAAAGTAGCAAATCTCAGCTACTTGGGAGGCTGAGGCAGGAGAATCACTTGAACCTGGGAGGCAGAGGTTGCAGTGAGCCCAGATCACACCACTGCACTCCATATTGGGCAACAGAGTGAGACTCTGTCTCAAAAAAAAAATTAAAAAAAAAGACAAACCTAGGCAACATAAGGAAATCCTGCCTCTACAAACATTTAAAAATGATCTGGGCATGGTGGCGCACCTGTAGTCCCAGCTACTTGGGAGGTTGAGGTGGGAGAATCACTTGAGACCAGGAGGTTGAGGCGGCAGTGAGCTGTAATCACACAACTGGACTCCAGCCTCAGCAACAGAGCAGAACCCCCCACAACAAAGAGTATACTGTCTAGGTCCCAATCAGTGCAACAAAACAAGGAAATATATTAAAAGAGGTCAGGTACTGTGGCTCACGCCTGTAATCTCAGCACTTTGGGAAGCTGAAGCGGGTGGATCACGAGGTCAGGAGATCGAGACCATCCCAGCTAAGATGGTGAAACCCCGTCTCTACTAAAAATACAAAAAAATTAGCCGGGCGTGGTGGCGGGCACCTGAAGTCCCAGCTACTTGGGAGGCTGAGGCAGGAAAATGGCGTGAACCCGGGAGGCGGAGCTTGCAGTGAGCCGAGATGGCGCCACTGCACTTCAGCCTGGGCAACAGAGCGAGAATCCGTCTCAACAAAAATAAATAAATAAAATAAAATAAATAAAAGGCATAAAGATTGGAAAGAAGAAACAAAACTGCTATTGTTAATAGATGGTATAATTGCTTAACTTAAAATAACAAACCCCAAAAATCAAATACCTAGGAATAAACCTAAGAAGATATGCAAGTCTTCTACAAAAACCCTACAAATCAACGGAACAATATGCGATGTTCACTGAATAGAAAACTCCGTATAATAAAAACTTCCTGTTGATCCACAAAATCAACAAGATTCCAATCAAAATTACAGCCACCTTTAAAGAAATATGGACAAGGTGATTTTAAGATTCATATGGAAACACAAAGGGTCACAAGACAAGGCAATCTTTTTTTTTTCTCTTTTCTTTTTCTTATTTTTTTGAGACAGGATCCCTCTCTGTCACCCAGGCTTGAGTACAGTGGCATGATCTTGGCTCACTGCAGCCTCCGCCTCTGGGGTTCAAGCAATTCTCCTGCCTCAGCTGGATAGGAGAGTAGCTGGGATTGCAGGCGTGCACCACCACACCCAGCTGATTTTTGTATTTTTTTCTAAAGAGGGGTTTCATCATGTTGCCTAGGCTGGTCTCAAACTCCTAGACTCAAGCGATCCTCCCTCCTAGGTCTCCGAAAGTGCTGGTATTACAGGCTTAAGCCACCACGCCCGGCCTGAAAAGGAAATCTTGGAAAAGAACAAAGCTGAAGAACTTATCACAGAGTGAGTCCTATCATAAAGCTAGTTAAGACAGTGTGGCACTGGCTTCATAATAGACACACCAGCCAGGAACTGACCCACACTAATGGAGTCACCTCATTTATGACAAAACAAGATTTCATTGCCAATGGGGAAAGGACTTTTTTTTTTTTTTTTAAGACAGAGTTTCATTCTTGTTGCCCAGGCTGGAATGCAATGGCACGATCTCAGCAGACCGCAACTTCCACCTCCTGGGTTCAAGCAATTCTCCTGCCTCAGCCTTCCCGAGTAGCTAGGATTACAGGCATGTGCCACCACGCCCAGCTAATTTTCTATTTTTAGTAAAGACGGAGTTTCTCCATGTTACTCAGGCTGGTCTCGAACTCCCAACCTCAGGTGATCTGCCCACCTTGGCCTCCCAAAGTGCTAGAATTAAAACGCGCGGGCCACCGCGCCTGGCCAAGAGGATTTTTTTTTCTTTTTTCTGAGATGGAGTCTCGTTCTGTTGCCCAGGCTGGAGTGCAGTGGCGCAATCTTGGCTCACTGCAACCTCCGCCCCACCGGGTTCAAGCAATTCTCCTGCCCCAGCCTCCTGAGTAGCTGGGATTACAGGCACCTGCCACCACACCCGGCTTATTTTTTGTATTTTTAGTAGAGACGGGGTTTCACCATGTTGGCCAGGCTGGTCTCGAACTCCTGACCTGAGGTGATCCACCCATCTTGGCCTCCCAAAGTGCTGGGATTACAGATGTGAGCCACCGTGCCCGGCCCAGGAATTTTTTTTTTTTTTTAATAATAATAACAGTGCTGGGTCAACTGGACATCCATATGGGAAAAAAGGGGAGACCTTGACCTCATCTTCCACCAAACAGAAAAATCTATTCCAGATGAACTATAGATCAAAATATAATCGTTCAAACAATAAGGCTTTTTGAGAAAAACGTGAAAATCTTCATGACCTTAGAGCAGGCAAAATTTTCTTAAGCCAGATACAAAAAGAATTAATGCAACAAGCAGAGCTAAATAGTCTGTGTTAAAATTAAGAACTTCTAGGCCAGGCGTGGTGGCTCACACCTGTAATCCCAACACTGGGAGGCTGAGGCGGGAGGATTACAAGGTCAGGAGTTCAAGACCAGCCTGGCCAACATGGTGAAACTCCGTCTCTACTCAAAATACAAAAATTGGCTGGGTGCAGTGGCTCACGCCTGTAATCCCAGCACTCTGGGAAGCTGAGGCAGGCAGGTCACCTGAGGCCAGGAGTTCGAGACCATCCTGGCCAATATGGTAAAACCCTGTCTCTACTAAAAATATAAAAATGAGCTGGGCATGGTGGCGGGTGCCTGTAATTCCAGCTACTCGGGAGGCTGAGGCAGGAGAATCGCTTGAACGGGGAGGCGGAGGTTGCAGTGAGCCGAGATCGCGCCAATGCACTCCAGCCCGGGCGACAAGCGAAATTCTGTCTCAAAAATAAATAAATAAATAAATAAAAATTAGCCGGGCATGGTGGCCGGCACCTGTAATCCCAGCTATTCAGGAGGATGAGGCAGGAGAATCGCTTGAATCCAGGAGGCAGAGGTTGCAGTGAGCCAAGATCATGCCACTGCACTCCAACCTGGGCTACAGAGCAAGACTCTGTCCTGAAACAAACAAACGAACAAAACAAACCTTCTGCTCATTCAAAGACACCTTTTTAGGAATGTGAAAAGACAAGCCACAAAGTGGGAGTTTTTTTTTCTTTTTTTTGAGATGGAGTCTTGTTCTGTCACCCAGGCTGGAGGGCAGTGGCGCAATCTCAGCTCACTGCAACCTCCGCCTCCCAGGTTCAGGTGATTCTCCTGCCTCAGCCTCCTGAGTAGCTGGGATTACAGGTGTGAGCCACCACACCCTGCCTCTCATTTTTGTATTTTTAGTAGAGACGAGGTTTTACCATGTTGGCCAGGCCGGTCTCAAACTCCTGACCTCTGTGGTAATCCACCCACCTCAGCCTCCCAAAGTGCTGGGATTACTGGCATGAGCCACCGCCCCCCACCTGGGAATATATATATATCTGACAAAAGACTCACATCCAGAATATATAAAAAAGTCTTATAGTCTGAATTGTGTCTACCTATAAGGTGTATATATTAATATGCTGAAGTCCTCACCCCCAGCACCTCAGAATGTAGCCATATTTGGAGATAGGGTCTTTAAAAATGTAATTAAGTGAAAATGACATCTTTAGGGTGAGCCCTCATCTAATATGACTGGTGTCCTTATAAGAAGAGTTTAGGGGCTGGGCACTGTGGCTCACGCATGCAATTGCAGCACTTCGCGATGGCGAGGCGGGAGGATCACTTGAGCCCAGGAGTCTGAGAACAGCCTGGGCAACAAAGCAAGACCCGTCTCTACAAAAAAGAATAGTTTAGGACAGACATGCAAAGGGAAAACCACATGAGGGCAGGGAGAAGACAGCCAACTACAAGCCAAGAAGAGAGACCTTCAAATAAACCACAGCTGCTGCCACTTTGATCTCGGATTCCTTGCCTCCAGAATTGTCAGAAAATACATTTCTTTTTTTTTTTTTTTTTTTTTTGAGACGGAGTCTCACTCTCTCACCCAGGCTGGAGTATAGTGGTGCAATCTCGGCTCACTGTAACCTCCACCTCCCGGGTTCAAGCCATTCTCCGGGTTCAAGCAATTCTCCTGCCTCAGCCTCAGGAGTAGCTGGGATTACAGCTGTGCACCACCAAGCCCGGCTAATTTTTGTATTTTTAGTAGACACTGAGTTTCACCATGTTGGCCAGGCTGATCTAGAACTTCTGACCTTAGGTGATCCGCCCACCTCAGCCTCCCAAAGTGCTGGGATTACAGGCGTGAGCCACTGCGCCCAGCCTAAGAAAATAAATTGTTGTTGAAGCCCCCATCTGTGGTACTTTCTTACGGCAGCCCAAGCAAACGAATACACCTGACAATTAATAAGAGCCAACCCTTTGAAATAATGGAGAAAAGACCTGATGAGACATTTCAGAAAATATCCAACCACGAAACAAAGGCCAGGTGCAGTGGCTCGCACCTGTAACCCCAGCACTTTGGGAGGTCGAAGCAGGAGAATTGCTTGGGCTCAGAAATTTGAGACTAGCCTGGGCAACATGGTGAAATCTCATCTCTACGAAAAATATAAAAGCGTGGTGGCGGGCGCCTCTAATCCCAGCTACTCAGGAGGCTGAGGCAGGAGAAACGCTTGAACCCAGGAGGCAGAGGTTGCAGTGAGCCAAGATGGTGCCACTGCACTTCAGCCTGGGCAACAAGAGCGAAACTCCATCTCAAAAAAACAAACAAACAAAATCACACACACATACACACAAAAAAAGAAAAGAAATCTACAACTACACACAACAAACAATATGGACGAATTGTATATACACAAAGCTGAGCAAAAGAAGCCAAAAACTAAAGAAGACATCCTCCACGATTTCACTGGCATAAAATGTGAAAACAGGCGAAACTCATCCAAGGGGCTAGAAGTCAGGTTCACTAGCAGTGGAGGGCGGAGACTACATGGGCAGACGCAGGGGATTCTGGGTACTGGTTACCCTGATGTGTTCAGTTTGTTAAAATTAATCGAGCTACGTGGTTACCATATGTGCACTTTTCTGCATGTATATTATACTTCAATGAATGGGGTTTTTTTAAGGGTACAGTGTTACAGAAATGGAAACTGCTTTTTTGTTAAAAAAAAAAAAAAAAAAAGGCTTGGAGCTGGGAACAGACTGCTGATGGAGAAAAGCCCAATTTTAGGACATTAGAGAAGAGTCTGCAGCCCCGAGTTGTGTCCTGAACACCTGGTAGTGCACAAATCCCTTTCTCAAACGGCCACGTCCCGTGGTGCAGTGCCCAGGGCAAGGTAAGACACTGGAAGACAGAGGCTGCAAGACACAGGCTGCGACCCCGCAATGACTGGGAGGGCTGGCCCAACCTTCCCCACACACTGCCCTCCAAAGCAGACTCTCACGTCTGTTAGGGCTGTGTTTATGTCACCCAGCAACCCTGGAGAATCACTGCTTCCCCACTTTCAGTCCACGTGGTTCTGCTGGGCTGACCCCAGCCAGCAACTCCAGTCTGGCTGAAGGCTGTGCTAAGACTGTCAGAGCCAATCCAGAGGCATCTAAGGGAATGACTGAGGTTTTGGGAAGGACCCTGAGCTGGCAGGATAGACGCCTGAAGCTGCTGTGGGCCCCTTCTTCACCCACCCTCCCTACCCTCCCATGGGGAGAAGCCTGCCAAGAATGAAGCAGAAAGAGGGAGTCGAAGTGGGAAGCAGAAAGGAGAAACAGACTCAATTTCTCAAGATCATTTTGGAGCATCCAGACATAGATGTCCCCGGAGGTTACATGCTGAACTTACGACCTAAGTCTATGAATTTCCTTTTGCTTAGGACAGCTAGAGTTACATTTGTCACTTAGGTCACTTATAACAAATGTGCCCTATCACCACTCTCTGGAAGCCTGTGTGCAGCTCAGAGACCGAAATGGGCATAATAATTCCCCAGGCCAACTGCAGTCAGCGGCCTCCCTCAGAGTTCAGAGCAGCTGTCCCTCTGCAAAGCACTTGAACATTCATCGCTCCATTTGATCATCACAGAAATACCAAGGGAGAGGGGGCTGGATGACTGTTCCTGCTTTCTTTTTTCTTTTCTTTCTTTCTTTCTTTCTTTTTTTTTTTGAGACAGGATCTCGCTCTGTTGCCCTGACAGAGTGGAGTGGAGTGCAGTGGCGTGATCTTGGCTCACTACAGCCTCAAACTCCTAGGCTCAAGTGATGTGTCCCACCTCAGCCTCCTGAGGAGCTGGGACTACCGAGGCATGCCACCAAGCCCAGCTAATTTTTGTGTTTTGGGTTTTTTGGGTTTTTTTGGTTTTGTTTTGTTTTGTTTGAGACAGAGTATTGCTCTTGTTGCCCAGGCTGGAGTGCAATGGCCAATCTCTGCTCACTGCAACCTCTGCCTCCAGGGTTCAGGCAATTCTCCTGCCTCAGCCCCCCAAGTAGCTGGGATTACAGGTGCCCGCCACCATGACCGGCTGATTTTTTTGTATTTTTAGTAGGGACAGGGTTTCACCATGTTGACCAGGCTGGTCTCAAACTCCTGACCTCAGGTGATCCACCTGCCTCAGCCTCCGAAAGTGCTGGGATTCCAAGCGTGAGCCACTGCGCCTGGCCATTTTTGTGTTTTTTGTAGAGACGAGGTTTTGCCATGCTCCCCAGGCTGGTCTTGAACTCCTGGCCTCAATCGATCCTCCTACCTTGGCCTCCCAAAGTGCTGGAACTAGCAGGTGTGAGCCACCGCACCCAGCCTGCATATCTTTAACATGCTTTTGGGTCAATTATTCTGGCTGGATCATCTGACACATCTGACACACTGGCCGGCTGCTTTCATCCTCCACACAGACACACCAGAGTTGGCTTCTATAAAACTTCAATCAAATGACCTCACTGCATAGCCACTAGCATGGCTATCGTCAAAGAGACAGACAATAACAAGTGTTAACAAGGATGTAGGGAAACCAGAACCCCTACACACTGCTTATGGGAGTGTAAAATGACACAGCTGCTTTGGTAAACAGTCTGGCAGTTCCTCAGTAAGTTAAACACAGTTACCACATGATCCAGCAATTCCACTCCTAAAGATATACCCAAGATAAGTGAAGATGCATGTTCAACAAAAACCTGTATGTGAATATTTTTAGCAACATTATTCATAACAGCCAAAAAGTAGAAACAACCAAAATGTCCATCAACAAATGTGGTCCAAAAACAAATGTTTTTGGATAAACAAAATGTAGTCTATCCATACAATGGAATATTATTCAGCCAAGAAAGAGAGTGAAGTACTGCCTCATGCTGCAACATGGATTGCCTTGAGAACATGACACCAAGTGAAAGGAGCCAGACACAAAGGATCGTGTGTTCTATGATTCCACTTGAATGAAATGTCCAGAATCAGCAACTTCATAGAGACACAAGGCAGATTAGCAGTCATGCTAATCTAACAGCGATGGGGGAATTGATACAGTGTTTCTTTTGGGGGTGATAGAAATATTCTGGAATTTAGTGGGGATGGTTATACAGCATTGTGAATATATTAAAACCAATGACTTGTGCCTTTTCTTTTTTTGGGAAAGAGTCTCAGTCTGTCACCCAGGCTGGAGTGCAGTGGTGCAATCTCGGCTCACTGCAACCTCTGCCTCCCAGGTTCAAGTGATTCTCCTGCCTCAGCCTCCCGAGTAGCTGGGATTACAGGAATGTGCCACCACACGTGGTGAATTTTTGTATTTTTAGCAGAGACGGGGTTTCATCATGTTGGCCAGGCTGGTCTTGACTTGAGGTCAGGACCTCAAGTGATCTGCCCGCCTCAACTTCCCAAAGCGCTGGGATTACAGGCGTGAGCCACCGCGCCCAACCAACTTCTACATTTTAAAATGGTTAAGTGGCAACTTTTATAGTATGTGAATATGATCTCAATTTTTTTTTTTTTTTGAGACAGTGTCTCACTGTGTCGCCTGGGCTGGAGTGCAGTGGCGCAATCTTGGCTCACTACAACCTCTGCCTCCCGGGTTCAAGAGATTCTCCTGCCTCAGCCTCCCGAGTAGCTGGGATTACAGCCGCCCGCCACTACACCCAGCTAATTTTTTGTATTTTTTAGTGGAGACGGAGTTTCACCATGTTGGCCAGGCTGGTCTCAAACTCCTGACCTTGTGATTCGCCCGCGTCGGCCTCCCAAAGTGCTGGGATTACAGGCATGAGCCACGGCGCCCAGCCACTCTTCTCAATTTTTTAAATGTGGCCAGGTGCATGGTTCAAGACCAGCCTGGGCAATGTAGTAGCAAGACCCCATCTCTACAAAAATAAGTAAATAACTAACTGGGTGTGGTGGTACACGGCTGTGGTCCCAGCTATTCTCGAGGCTAAGGTGGGCGGATCGCTTAGGCCCAGGAGTTGCAGGCTGTAGTGAGTCATAATCACGCCGCTGCACTCTAGCTTGGACAAAAGCACGAGACTGGTCTCTAAAACATATAAATAAAATTAAATAAAAATGTTTCAAACCCAACCCAAGAAAATAATCAGATCACAGAGATACTCCCTTCACCCCACTTTAAAGCTCCCCAGTGGCTTCCCAACACACTAGAAGTCAAACCCAAATTCCCTACAGGAACCTGGGAGGCCCTCACATCCCAGCTCCGTGGCCTCTGCCACCTCTTCTGCCACTTTCTCACTCACTCACTCACTCAGTTCCGCACTCCAAGTTTATCCCCCGACTTCCCTTGTGCCCTTGCTCTTCCCTCAACCTAGAATGTCTTTTCCCACAGCTGATTCTCATCAGTCAGGTCTCTGTTCAAATGCCCCCCTTCATCCCAGAGAGGGCCTCCCTGACCACCCTGTCTAAAATGAAGCCCCACCACGTGCCATGCCATTATTCTGTTTATTTTTACATAGCCCTGTCACCATCAGAAAAGACATTTCATTTTATGATTATTATTTATTTTAGAGATAGGTCTCGCTCTGTTGCCCAGGCTGGAGTGAAGTGATGCAATCATGGCCTGCGGGCGTGAACTCCTGGGCTCAAGTGAGCCTCCCGTCACAGCCTCCCAAGTAGCTACAACTACAGACACACACCACCACACCTGGATAAATTTTTTTTTTTTTTTTTTTTTGAGTTGGAGTCTTGCTCCGTCACCCAGGCTGGAGTGCAGTGGCACGATCTCGGCTCACCACAACCTCTACCTCCTAGGTTCAAGCTATTCTCCTGCCTCAGCCTCCCAAGTAGCTGGGACTACAGGCGCCTGCCACTACGCCCGGCTAATTTTTGTATTTTCAGTAGAGACGGGGTTTCACCATGTTGGCCAGGCTGGTCTCGAAATCTTGACCTCGTGATCCTCCCGCCTCAGCCTCCCAAAGTGCTGAGATTACAGGTGTGAGCCACTGTGCCCGGCCTAATTTTTTTTTTTTTTTAGAGATGGGGTCTCACTATGTTGCCCAGGCTGGTCTCAAACTCCTGGCCTCAAGCAATCCTCCCGCCTCAGCCTCCCAAAGTGCTAGGATTACAGGCATGAGCCACCGTGCTCAGCCAGATATATCATTGTAAACACTGTTTACTTTTTTTTTTTTTTTGAGACAGAGTCTTACTCTGTTACCTAGGCTGGAGTGCAGTGGCATGATCTCAGCTCGCTGCAGCCTCTGCCTCCTGGACTGAAGTGATCCTCTCACCTCGGCCTCCAGAGTAGCTGGGACTACAGGTATGCACCACCACGCCCAGCTAATTTTTTGTAGAGAGAGGGTTTCACCATGTTGCCCAGTCTGATCTCAAATTCTTGGGCTCAAGCGATCTGCCTGTCTCAGCCTTCCAAAGTGCTGGGATTACAGGCGTGAGCCACCACCCTCGGCCTACTGTTTACTTCTTTTTTTTTTTTTTTGAGACGGAGTCTCGCTCTGTCGCCCAGGCTGGAGCGCAGTGGCGCCATCTCTGCTCACAGCAAGCTCCGCCGCCTCCCAGGTTCACACCATTCTCCTGCCTCAGCCTCCCGAGCAGCTGGGACCACAGGCGCCCGCCACCACGCCTGGCTAATTTTTTGTATTTTTAGTAGAGACGGGGTTTCACTGTGTTAGCCAGGATGGTCTCGATCTCCTGACCTCATGATCCACCCGCCTCGGCCTCCCAAAGTGCTGGGATTACAGGTGTGAGCCACTGCACCCGGCCACTGTTTACTTCTTGACTGCCTCTTGTACCCACCAAGAGGGCAGGGAACTTATCCATCTGTTTGCAACTCTGACCTTGCCCACCAAGTAGCTAAAAAGTGTTTTTCTGGAAAGAATAGATTGATTGAACAACTGCCTGTAAGATCTGAAATGCCACCTACTACTGGCCGAGCGTCCAGAGTACTAAGTCATCAGCCACCTGCAGGTGCTCAGGGAGCTCATGTGCATTTGCTGAGCTCGCAGTTCCAAGCCCTGCCCCAGGCTTGTCTAGAACCCCAAGGAAGCAGGAGGAACAGCCCCTCGCCTCGAAAGCCTTAAAGTCTATGAGGGATCATAAAGCACCCAGTGTTTACCCGGCAACCCACAAACAAATGCAGAAGAGAGATCTCAGATTGCGTTGCTGACACCCAGGCTGGAGGCAGCGTCCAAATGGGCCTCATAAAACTGTGTACCGGCAAACGCCCTCTGATACAGCTTCTTAAGACTGCAACCCTACCTGTTCTCCAGAATGAAACGGTTGCAGCTCACACCTGCTCCTGCCTTCTCCCGTGGGGACTTTGTTTTGAGAGGCAGTTAAAAGTCTAAATGGGCAGGTGGTGACCGCCTCTTTCCCCTTCCCTACTTCAGCATGTCTGAGCCACACACACGGCAAGCGACTTACCCACTAGGAGTTTGACGTCTCGGACTGTGAAATCAGGGTCAGGCATCCTGGGGAAAGAGGAGCACAGACCTTTGGTGAGAGGCCAGAAACAACAGAGCTAGACTACCCTGGGCCCGGGGGGAAGCCATTTTTCCAAGAGAGATCCTTTCCCCTCAGTTTGGGAACTCAAAATGAGAACATCCAGAGGGAGAGAAGTAGACCAGTTGATGCCTCCAGGGAGGGTCACCCCAGAACCACTGAGGCCCTTCCCTACCCCAAGAGGCAACTCAAACCTGAACCTCAGCAGAGGGTAGGACATCCACTGTCCACCCCATTTTTCCAGGGAAGCTGGAAGTGTGGGGTCAAAGGTAAGGGCCAGAGCTAGACATTCAAATGCCTGCTTTCTTTTAGGGTGGGTAGCCCTCTCTATGTCTCTTTCTCCCTCTAGAAAATACTCTCCATGAGGAGTTTTATGCAAAGTGGGACGGACCCCTTTAAGTTCAGAGGGAAAAAAAGACACGCATTGTACTAGTTCCAGGGATGTGGTAATATGGGCTACAATTCACTATTAATTAACAATGATGCCCAAGGTTTAAATCCTACTCACAGGGATGGACTCTTGAGCAAGTCTGGGAGCAGATGCTGGAGAGAGGCTGCCTGGGACGACACCCCAAGCCTCCTCCCCTGCCCCTGCCCAAGGGGCACAAACCTGTTCTTCCAGCCTGCCTCCCAGACCTCTCCCCCAACCTGGAGCTCTGACAGATCTCAGTGAATGAAAACAGACATAGTGGAGGGGCAAGCTGCAGGGCAGGCAAAGAAAGGGGAGACATTGGCACCCCAGGAATCTGCATAAGAAACATGTATCTAGGTGCCCTGGGTCTGGGCTTAGAGGCTGGCTAGTCTCTTTGCAGCTCAGGCTCTGCCTCAGTCTCCTGATCTGGAGCAAGGGGAAGGAGGAGAGGTACAATTCTCTGTAGGAGGTCACTGAGTGTAACTGGGGTGGGTCAGGGAAAAAAGTCAACACTGCTTAATTACCCTATGTCCTCTCTCTGCCCAAAGTCCCTGCAAAAGACCAGTCTTTGGAGAGTGTTTCCCCTTTGTCAGGCCTTGAACAAGGAGATGCTGTTCCCAGATCGTGAAAAAAGATCCTTCTCAGTGATGAGAGGTGGGAAGAGGGTGGAAGAAATCCATCCCAAGCTATAAAGTATGTTAGGGAGGAAGACGGGGGAAGGAGTGATTAGTTTCAGCAACTTACTTAATTCCCAGTCCATCCTTTTCTCGAAATATCAGGGGAACCCTGAGAGCTTCTCTCTGTACGTACTCATAGTTGAAATCTGTTTGGATATTTGAATTAAAACAAGTTGGTTAAGTCACGAAGGAGCAAATGAACCGGGATCTGTTGGTTAGGGGAAGAAAACTGATGGACGAAGGGGCAGGGGGTCCAGGAGATGCAGGCACCAGCTGTACAGCAAAAGCTCCTTGGAAAATGATCGGGAAATGGATTAGGCAAAGCCCAAGAGAAGCCATGCCAACGATCAGCTCCTCTGCCTACTCAGTCAGTCATTCTCGGCATGCCCCACCGGTCCAAACTTGTCAATGAACAGCCCAAGGCCAGCGAGGGTTGGGGAGGAAGACTCAAAAGAGCACCGCACAAAAAGAGTCCCAGCCATTGCTGAGAAAGAGGGATAGACAGAGACACGCATCCCAAGCCGCGCTCGGAAAGTAAAGGGACTGCAAAATTGAAGAATGCCACCTGGGAGGATCTGAAGGCCCAGAGAGGAGGCTGGGAGGAGGGCCCTCATTGTAGCTGAGCATCAGTGAAAATCTTATTGTAATATCCTGCATAGTGAAGGGGAGGGGGGAAAAGCCGGTTTCCCTGGAAACTGTGTATTTGGTGCCAAAATAACTAGGGAACTGGGCACAGCTTTGTTGTCTTAAGAGTGAAATTCTGCTGTAGCCATCACAGTCCTTGCTTCAGCTGGATAACCGGGAGGGAGGCTCCCCAGGGGAAGGCTGTGTAAAGGGGGCATAGCAAGACCCAAGGAAAATTCACAGGCTCGCTCTCTGTCTGGGGTTTTTCTAGTACAGTCCCCAAATCCTTACCCAAAGTCCTGGAGGATGAAGGAGGCCTCTAATTTCTTTCCTTCCCCAATTCTGAAACCAGTGAATCTGACCCAACCATACACCCCTGAATATGAAGGTGATGGGTCTTGAGATAAATTCTCACGTCCCCCAAATCCTCAGGTAACTAAAGTAATCCGCAAGGTAAGAAGGCCTCTCCGACCGTCAGAAGGGAGAAGAAGAGGCCTCAGGCCACTGAAGCTGCTAGCCCAGGGAAACAGTTCACAGGGCAGCCTTGGGGGAGGAGGAGGCCAAGACAACTCCCCTCCGAAGAGAGACAGAGAACAAAACCCAAAGCCGGGGAAAGCCCTGACCTCAGCAGCTCAGATCCCCAGGGGCTCACAGTGAATGGGGATTCCTAAGGATTTAAAGGAAGAGAAGTTTAAGAAGCTTCTATTTTGAATCCAGGCTAAGGGCTCCTGTTTCTAAGCTCCTCCCTCAAGTTTTGGGGCCAGATCTGAATTAAAGAGCAAAGCCCTGGGCCCTCCCCTTTGAAAGAAGCCGGGAGAGCAGATCTAAGGATACACTTTAGCTCTCCCTGGCTGGAATACCGGCCCTCTAGACCCACCCACCCTAGGCACCCCATCCCCCAGGGTCAGCTTCAACTTCCTCAAATCAGCCTGAGAAAAAGCTCTGAAATCCTGGGCTGAGAATTCCTCCCAAATGACTAGGAAGAGTTTGCATATTGTTTGCACATAGGATCCACCAAATGACTCAACTCAGTAAAAATGGGGGAAGAAAGGAGAGGAATTAAAATTCCACTTATGTAGAGAAAATTTAAATCAGCTGGGACTAGCACCCTGCTCTAGGACCAGGCAGGCTGGGAGAAATTTATTCTTCCCTCCCCCAACAAACACCCCTCACCACCGGAGCCCAGCGCTCCAGGAGGCAATGGGCACAAAAGAGAAATCGCAAAACTGCAAAGCTGGGAGTCTCTTCTCAGAGCTAACCCCACAGCCACAGCCACTCAACCAGAACCTGGAGGAGGGAAGGAGGCACTCCAGGTTATCAGCTCACTGAGGGATGGAAGGGTTTTCCAAGGGGCGTGGGGGGAACAAAATAGAAACTTTGTAACTTAAAGGAAATTGAAATATCTGAAAGGGAAAAGGAGTGAAGGGCCTGGGAAGGCTAGGTAGGGCATGTTCAAAACCCCAATCCCGCAGGCAATACTAGGTTCCTCAACCAGGAGCCACACTGGCTGCAGGCTGGGAAGGCCAGGGCTCTGGAGGCCTCAGAGGCAACCCAGGGCGTCACCTTAACATCTGGAGGGTGACCCCCACCACCCTCCTAGTAGGAGAGCCAGGGAGAAACTCAGGCCGTGAAGGTCTCCAAAACCCTGGAGGCGTCCCCAGATTCCGCTCTCAATTGGGTGGGCCCACAAGGAACAGAGCTCTCCAAGTCTCAGGCCTGGGAGGAGACCCATTTCCTCACTTCAAACTGCCAGGGGACAGGGATCTCCCCCAGAAGCCTGAAGGGAAGTCACCCCCTGACCCCAATTCTTGGCTTCAACCTATCAAGGCTGTAGCGCTAGACAGCTCCGGCCCAGGTAGGGGTTCAGGTCAACAGCTTCAGGGCTCATGGGGTCCCTGATCCAATCTGGCAGAGCCCATGGGGGAATGCGGCTCTGCGGACCCCAGGCCTAAGGGGGCATCGTCCCAAACACCCGACGCGCCCCCATCACCAGTTCCTCACTGGCAGGCCCCAAGCGGGAACGGGATTGGGAAGGCTTCGGGCCTGGGGGGCCTTACCCCGATGCCCCAGGGGCGCCCTGAACCCAGTTCCAGCCAGGCGGCGGCACCTCAGGCAGCGCAGGGAGCGCGACCGGCTCGGGGAGGGGGAGGACGCGGCGCTCCCGCCCTCCCTCGGTCCGCCTGTCCATCTCCAGGTCCCTCTGTCCGCCGGCCCCCTGGCTCTGCCCACCCTGGGGCTGGTGGTGGGCGCGGGCCGGGCCTAGGCCCATGCCCGGCCCCCCTTACTGCCTGCCCTCCTCCCTCACCACCCCACCCCACCCCCCCAGTGCTCGGCCTCGTTTCGTCACCGGATCCCCTGGAATGGGGGACGCGGGCGCGAAATACGAACCCAGCCACCGGCAGCTCCCTCCCCACGTGCGCTCGGCCCGCAGCGCAGAGGGCGGCCCGGGGTGGGGGCGCCTCACCTTTGCCCTCCATGGCGTGCACGAAGTCCCCCTGGTACAGCTGGCTGCGAAGCTTCTCCTCCAGGCTGAAGCCGCGGACGCTGACGATCTCCTCCACGTCCGACAAGTCCTCGTTCTCGTCGTATCGCTGGCGGTCAATCGGGCGCTGCGAGGACCCAAACCAGAGAGCCCGGGACATTATTGTGGGGGCTGGAGGTCGCCTCTCAACCTGGGCCCAGCACTAACAGGTGCAGCAGCCGAGCGCCCCCTGCACCCCACCATTGCAACCCAAGCAACTTTGCGCAATTGCCAAAGATGCTGAAAAGCAGGACAAGGAGAGGGGCCCGCACCCCGAGGGTCCAGCTGCGCTCTACGCGGGGTACTCCCCTCCGGTGTCTTCGGAAGCACTGAAGGGACATCTGGGGACCCTCCCCTGCCCCCCGCCCCCGAAATGTGCTGGGCTTCGCCCACTCGGCCGGGAGCCTGGTTATGTAACCCGCGAAGGGGGCTCCGGACACGGGCTGGCGGGGCAAATGTAGGCCCCAGGAGGAGCCGCTGCGGCGCCCGGCTCGGCGGTAACAGCAGCCCCAGCGGCCGCGGCGGCAGAGCCGGGAAGCCGGAACCGGGGGCCGGCGGCATTTCTAAAGCTGGAGCCGCCCCCGAGCTACCGGGGAAGCTGGAAAGCTGAAATGGAAGGGCTGAGACCCCAGCCGCCCCCGCCGCCCGCCCGCCAGTGCAAGAAGAGGAGGTGGGGGGAGGAGAATCGGGGCTTGGAAGGGGGAGAGGCAGACGGCCCGCCACAAAGCTCGGATCGGAGACCCCAAAACGCACCAGCAGCTGCCTCATCTCCCCACAAGCGCGCGCGCACACTCACTTCCTAAGGAGACTCCCCCACCACTCCCCGCATCCCCCTGCCTCCTCCCTCCACCGCCCAGCGCCCGGCCCCTCAGCCCCCCAGATTCCGGGCGAACCCCGAGCCCGCTCAGCCCCCCTCCACGCCTTTCCCCGATACCACCTCCCCACTTAAGTGTCTGAGACTCTAAGCCTCACAAGGGGCTGGAGGAGTAAGCAGCTTGCTTCCTTTTGCATGCAATTTATTATATTTTTTTCCCGGTCCTCTTGCAAAATACAGAAAAGGAAAGAAAAGGCAGCGAGAAACAACCAAAAAAAAAAAAAAAAAGATCTATCATATGCCAGATACAGATTTGGAAAAAAAAAAAAAAAAAAAAAGCTACACACCAATCTTCTTCCAGAGTCTTTCTCTGCCTCCATTTTTTTAGGAGAGTTCACCAATTAATTGTCAACACTCCTGCCCCCTGCATTTTGGCCGAGGGGGGAAGGAGGGAAGACCAAAGAAAACAAACCAAAAAATAAATAAATAAAGCAAGCCAGAGCCGAGATCTACAAAGTTTTGCACCAACACTTAGGCAGATCCGTTTGCAAAGTCCTAGGAAACCATTTTCAGCAGTTGTGGGGGGGGGGAGGCGTCGACGTCATAATCCCCGGAACGTAAACATTGTTGCCGATCGCGCTCGGAGCCCGCGGCCGGGCTATTTGGGGGGGCTCTCGGCCCGGGCTTGGGGGGGTGGGGGCGGCGGCCCGAGGAGGTATGGGGCGGGGAGGGAGCCCGGGAGGCACCGGGCGCCGTTAGCGCCGTGGCATCGCTGTTTTGTTGTTGGGTCACGAGTGCGCCTCTGCACGCAGGCGCCGCCGCCGCCCGGGAGTTGTGTGCAGAGCTGACTTTTGGAGGGCCGAGTTGCAGGCGGCGGGCGCATCCCGGAGATGGCGGGGCAGGGAGGGAGGGAAGGAGGAGGGGGCGGGGAGGGAGGTGCAGATTTGCACGGCTGGCCTCAGCGGGAGGCGCGGAAATGCAAGCCGAGCATGCTGGCGTGAAAGCCCCCGGGGCCTGGCACCCCCAAAAACGACCCCCCACCTCCGTTCCTGCCCTCATTGCCCAGGGCTACCCCTCTTCCTCTTCTTTCATCCACCCCTCCCCCAACATTACCTGTGTGGCCGACTCAAATTCAAAGCATTTTGTATATATAACTGTTTTCTTTTTTTGCTTTTCTGCTGCATGTCTTTTTCGTGGGGGGTGATCCTCTGCAGATCCCCCCATTTGCGGACCCGCCATGTGGAGGAGGCATTTGGGGGGCTCAGAAGGAAATTAGCTCGGCTTCCATACCTATAAGGACTGCCTAACTTTTAAACTCCCGGCACTCAAAGATGTGGACACACACACGTACAGGAAATACAGCCAGACCAGAGCCTTTGCAGTCCGCAGCTGACCGGAAGACGTTGCCTTTCATTCATTCATTCTGCCCGCCTCTGTGGACTCCTTTACTAGGCGACCAGCCCTGAAACAGAAGTTGGACATTTTTTAAAGGTTCTTGCGCTCGGCAAGGGGAGCAGATAGATGCTCAGGAGCGAAAGACGCAGAGAATTGGATCTGGCGCCTCCTAACGCAGCCCGCACAGGAGCGAAGGGTAAGCCCTTGTTGGTAGTTTATAGAAGACAAGTCGGTGGAAAGGTGCATGGTGCTCTGGGATAGGTGGGGGGAACTCTAGTGCCCTTGATGAAGCCCCTACAGGGCTTCTTAGCGGAGGTATCGGCACCCTCCGTACATACATGGGTGTCATTAGGTCCCTGTCCACTTACTAGTGTTTTTGACTACCCCAGCACTGGTCCTGGGTTGTCTTGTCCTCCCATCATGAGCAACAGTCAGGTCGACTTGGCTTGAGAAAAGCTAGCCCTAAACATTCCTCCAGCCCCAGCTGTGGCGCCCTGCTAGGCCTGATCTTGCGGGTAAAGATGCTGATAAAATGACATGGCAAGAGGGAGACGATAAAGGGACATTGTAGATAGCAGGCTTTGAGCCTGACATTTTATTTCTGCCATAACCCTGTGGGATACTTGGAGCAGGTCATTTTGCAGATAGGGAAACTGAAGCTCAGAGAAATTATGAATCTGAATGATTGCTGTGCTCCCATATGGTCCCCAGGCTATCAGACAGACCTGTGGGGAGGACGTGGCTTCCCCACCAGGAGATACGATGTCACTATCAGCATCGTATTGGCCGTCCTAAGAGACAGCTTCCCCCTCACTCACCTTAGAAGTTTCCTGTCCTATCTGACTGTAGTCTTTCCCACCCATCCTCAAAGGCTACTCTTTGAAGTTTGTTTTCATTCATGTTCACTAGCTGTAAAAATCTTTTAAGCAGGGATGAGGCTGGGAAACATCAAAATTTGTTTCCAAACTGAAATCGCCCACGTTGGCTGCTGCGTGCAATCAGTAGCCCTTCGTGTGAGTGCTGCCGGTTCTGCCTTCAGTCCGTCCAGAACCATGGACCATTTTATTTGTTCCTGTCTTTCTCACAAGAACCCTTTAAGGGAAATCGTCTTGTTCGTTCCCATTTTGCAAAGGAGGAAATTAGGACTAAGAAAAGCAAAGCCACTCACCCAGGATCACATAGCGCGTATGTGCCGCTGCCAGGGCTCACACTGGAGCCTGGCTTGGCCATCACGTGCTTTTTTTTTTTTTTTTTTTTTTTTTAGTAACTTACCAGCCTCACTACTGCCCCATAATGAAATAAACATGTTCAAAGGAGGCTGCATGGGCTGGAGAGTGACGCAAAGTGAATTAAGTGAAATAAAGCAAAAAATATATAATAGAATGCTTCATCTAATTAATTCTTTTTTCTCCCTGAGGCCCTTCTTTCTCTCCAAGTGGCCTCATAGTGGCCCCAAAAGCTGGCATCAGAAAAAGGTCCAATGGCAGCCACCTTAGTATAAAAACAGTTAAGTCCATCTATCACCTCCACGAGGAGTTCCTGGCCTGTCAGAGTGGGAAGGGGCTGGGTAGTCACCTCATTTAATCCCCCCCCTTTACAAACCTCGAGGAAACCGCAAACACGAGAAAAGAATGGGCCAGCCGGGGGTTTGTTCCCCTTGGCCTCCCCCAGAATGCCTGCCCTGCTGCCGGGTCCTAAGTGGCCACTCAATAAATGTTGGGCCCTTGATGAATCACCTTCCCCCTCGATATTTGCATTTTCTCTTTATCAGTAATTGGCAGATGAAAGGCTTTGTCCTCCAGTTGAAAGAATTCCAAGCATTTGCTCAAAGTGGGGGAGGAGGTTATTTTGGACCAAAGGGGGAAGGGCCAAGACCCTGGAGCTCCCAGTGTTGACTAATTGTCCCAGAGAAGTGGAGAGTAGGTAAGGGAAGAGAGAAGGTGAAGGTGCTTACCCCAGAGATGTACTTTTTCTTGCAGGAAAACACCGGGCCGGTTGTATTGGAAACATAATAATAATTATTTCCTGGACCCTCCTGCTCGATCTTACAAAGGGCCCAGTCAAATCCTGCCTGAGTTACCCCCATTCATTCTTCATTCATCAAAGGTTGATTGAGCAACTCTGTGCCCAAAGACAGAGAGGCTAGAGAAAAGAAGATGCAGCGTGGGGCATGCAGATTGGGGCATACTCGAGGCTGGGTAGGACGATGGACCTGCAGCTTCCCAAGGAAAGGGTGGACACTGGATGTAGCTCTCAGAAACCAGAATCTTGATAAGAAATTGAAGTTGTTCTCATATTCATATATGATTATCATAACTCCTGATTTTTCTTTTCTTTTTTTTGAGAGAGGGTCTTGCTCTGTTGCCCAGGCTGGAGTGCAGTGACACAATCTCAGCTCACTGCAACCTCCACCTCCTGGACTCAGCAATGCTCCACCTTAGCCTTCCAAGTAGCTGAGACTACAGGAGTGCACCACCATGCCCAGCTAATTTTTGTATTTTTGGTAGAGACAGGGTTTTGCCGTGTTGCCCAGGCTGGTCTCCAACTCCTAGGCTCAAGTGTTCCTCCCACCTCGGCCTCCCAAAGTGCTGAGATTACAGCCGTAAGCCACCACACCTGGCCCTGTTTTGTTTTAATTTAAGGATATCTAATCATTCCACATCAGCATATGTGGAATGCTATAGCACATCAGCTATAGTTTCCTTATTCTTTCTAATGATTTCATAGCATTTCATTGGGCAGATAAATGGTGCAAGAATGATTTAATTAGTTCCCTAACTTTTAGATGGTTTTCAATCTTTTTCTATTGCAAACAGAGCTATAAGGGATTGCAGCTTTGTGCTTGAGTCTGTCAGTAGAATATATATCTGAAAGTGATCATCCACGTCTCAGGATTCCTACCCTATCACCAACTATTTGTCCTTGAGAAGTTTATTTGTAAGATCTGAGCAGGTGGGACAACCTCATATCCAACTGGTATCCCCAGGAGTCTACGCAGTGCCATGCCCTTGGCAGGCACTCAGAGAGAGTGGTTTAAGGGCTAACACTGCAAGCATTCACACTGTAATCAGATGGCCTCTTCTAGGAAACCTTTGCTGATATCCTTGGCCCCCTTTCCCCATGGACCCTTCATTCATTCCACAAATGTTTGTGGAAGGTTGATTAGGGGGACCCTGTATCAAATCAGCCTCTTAGGTATATATAGCCTGGTAGGTGAGTTAAAACAAATTCTGGAAAGCACTCTAAGGCTGTGCTGTTTGATGGGATACATTAGCTACATACAGCTACTTAAATTTAATTAAAATAAAATGTAAAATTCAGCTCCTTAACCCAGTACCTACATTTGAAGGGGCTAGAAGTGACAGCACTGAATGGTGCAGATACAGAATATCCCTATCATTGGCTGGGCGCTGTGGGTCACACCTGTAATCCCAGCATTTTGGGATGCTGAGGCAGGTGGATCACCTGAGGTCAGGAGTTCAAGACCAGCCTGGCCAACAGGATGAAACCCCCGTCTCTATTAAAAATACAAAAATTGGACAAGCGTGGTGGTGCACACCTGTAATCCCAGCAACTCGGGAGGCTGAGGCAGGAGAATTGCTTGAACCCAGGAGGCAGAGTTTGCAATGAGCTGATTGCACCACTGCACTCAAGCCTGGGTGACAGAGGGGGATTCTGTCTCAAAAAAAAAAAAAGAATATCTTGAATAACTCTATCATCTTCTGTGGGACAGCCCTGAAGGGAGGCTTAGCATAGTGGGCAACCCTGTGGGCTCTGGATTCCTGTAAGCTCTGAGTTCGAATCCTATCATTATTTCCTAGCTATAAAATTTGGCCAAGCAAGTTAACCTGTCTTTGAGCCTCAGCCATAAAGGTGGGGAATTACAGCCCCTTATGGAGATTTGGCAAGGATTCAAAGGTACTGCAAATGTGAGGGGCTTTGCACAAAGTCATAGTAATATTATAAAAAATCTGGAGTGAAGCCAGGCGCAGTGGCTCATGCCTATAATCCCAGCAATTTGGGAGGCCAAGGCGGACAGATCACCTGTGCTCAGGAGTTCGAGACCAGCTTGGGCAACATGATAAAACCCTATCTCTACTAAAAATACAAAAATTAGCTGGGTGTGGTGGCGTGCGCCTGTAGTCCCAGCTACTCAGGAGGCTGAGGCACAAGAACCGCTTGAACCCAGGAGGCAGAGGTTGCAGTGAGCCAAGATCATTCACTGCACTCCAGCCTGGGTGACATCCCGAGACTCCGTCTCCAAACCAAAACGAAACTAAACAACATGCAGAATACTAATAATACTAAGTTGTGCGGACCATGTAAGGAAACCAAAAGGGTTATGTCTGTATCTACATGCTTTTTTTTTTTTTTTTTTTTTTGTGAGACAGAGTCTTGCTATAACACCCAGGCTGGAGTACAATGGCACAATCTCGGCTCACTGAAACCTCCGCCTCCCGGGTTCAAGCAATTCTCCTGCCTCAGCCTCCCAAGTAGCTGGGACTACAGGCGCATACCACCATGCCCGGCTGATTTTTGTGTTTTTAGTAGAGACAGGGTTTCACCATACTGGCCAGGCAGGTCTCAAACTTCTGACCTCAGGTGATCCGCCCATCTCGGCCTCCCAGACTGCTGGGACTACAGGCATGAGCCACCGTGCCCGACCCATACATTCTTTAGTATGTGCAGAATTTCCTTTGGAAAGATCAAAAAGTGAGAAAAAGAACTGGGAAAAGAGAAGAAAGCCTATTTTTTGGTAAAGTGATATTTTTACCACATATGTACATGAACGGTGCCTGATTTTAAACCTTATTGACTTAATCTCATTTTAGATGCTGTAGTACCTCTTGAATTTTGTACCGCACAGATGTATTACCTACTCAAAAATAATTCCATTTTATTCCTTTTTTAAGTCTATAAGATTCAAAATCAGGCAAACCTAAACCAAAACTAAATTTTTTTTTTTTTTTTGAGACAGGGTCTTGCTCTGTCACCCAGGCTCTGGTGTGCAGTGGTGTGATCACAGCTCACTGTAGCCTCCACCTCCCGCGCTCAGGCAATGCTCCCACCTCAGACTCCCGAGTAGCTGGGACTTGTAGGCATGCAAGACCAGGCCCAGCTAATTTTGGTACTTTTTGTAGGGACTCTGTTTTGCCATGTTACTCAGGCTGTTCTCAAACTCCTGAGCTCAAGTGATCCACCCCTCAGCCTCCCAAAGTGGGGGATTACAGGCTAAATATTCTTTAGATATAGATACATAAGTCACAAAACAGGAATAAAAGCAAGGAATGATTAACACAAAATGCTGCAAAAGACCATTCAGGAAAGGAATGTGAACAGAGATACTAGTGACTTTCTGTTTCTTAATCCACCTGCTGGGCATCTAAGACTGTTCCTTAAAGTATAGTTAAATATTTTTCAGATTCTATTGTATTTATGAGATATTCCACAATTTTTTCTTTTTCTTTTTTTTCTTTTTTTTTTTGAGACGGAGTCTCGCTCTGTCGCCCAGGCTGGAGTGCAGTGGCATGATCTCGGGTCACTGCAACCTCTGCCTCCCTGGTTCAAGCGATTCTCCTGCCTCAGCCTCCTGAGTAGCTGGGACTACAGGCAAATGCCGCCACACCCAGCTAATTTTTGTATTTTTTGTAGAGACGGGGTTTTGCCATGTTGGCCAGGCTGGTCTCGAACTTCTGAGCTCAGGTGATCTGCCCGCCTCAGCCTCCCAAAGTGCTGGGATTACAGGCCTGAGGCACTGCGCCCAGCCTTATTTTCTTGTATTATTGTATCACAGAAATATACACACCAGCCAGGTGCTGTGGCTCATGCCTGTAATCCCACCACTTTGGAAGGCCAAGGTGGGCAGATCATTTGAGGTAAGGAGTTGGAGACCAGCCTGGTCAACATGATGAGACCCTGTCTCTACTAAAAATACAAAAATTAGCCAGGCATGGCGACACGCGCCTGTAATCCCACCTACTCAGGAGGCTGAGGCAGGAAAATTGCTTAAACCCGGGAGGCAGAGATTGCAGTGAGCCAAAATCATGCCACTGCACTCCAGCATGGGTGACTAAGCAAGTCTCCATCTCAAAAAAAAAAAAGAAAGAAAGAAAGAAATATACACACCATCTCTCATCTTGCCTTTCACTGACTATAATCTTGGACCCCTTTCCACGTGCTATCTGTAGAACTGCCATTCTAAAGTATTATTTAGGCTGGGCGCGGTGGCTCACGCCTGTAATCCCAACACTGGGAGGCTGAGGCAGGCGGATCACCTGAGGTCAAGAGTTGGAGACCAGCCTGGCCAACATGGTGAAACCCCGTCTCTACTAAAAATACCAAAAATTTGTTGGGCGTGGCGGCATGTGCCTGTAATCCCAGCTACTCGGGAGGTTAAGACAGGAGAATCGCTGGAACCCGGGAGTCAGAGGTTGCAGTGATCCGAGATCGCACCATTGCACCCCAGGGGCCTAGACAACAAGAGCGAAACTTCGTCTCAAAAAAAAAAAAAAAGAAAAGAAAAAGAAAAAAAGTATTATTTAAGTGTTACATAAATCTGAGTGTTGTGATAGAAAATTCGATTGGTTTTAAAAAGTCACAGAGTAAAGTGTATATTATGACCCATTTATGTCAAAACAAGCTATTTATAGTAATATTTGTATATATATATGTGTGCCCCCCCACCAAAAAAAAAAAAAGATAAGAAAGGCTTGGAGACTGGGCACGGTGGCTCACTCCTGTAATCCTAGCACTTTGGGAGGCTGAGGCAGATGGATCACCTGAGGTCAGGAGTTCGAGACCAGTCTGGCCAACATGGCGAAACCCTGTCTCTACTAAAGATACAAAAATTAGCTGGGCGTGGTGGCGCTCGCCTGTAATCCCAGCTACTTGAGAGGCTGAGGAAGGAGAATCGCTTGAACCTGGGAGGTAGAAGTTGCAATGAGCCGAGATCATGCCACTGCACTTCAGCCTGCCCAACGGGAGCAAGACTCCATCTCAAAAAAAAAAAAAAGAAAGGCTTGGAATTGCGCGGCAAACCACTACCTTTGATTCCCTCACAGGAGGGGAGAAAATTTTAACGGGGTTATATTTATATATTATTTGCGTCTTTAACAACAATTTTGACCTTTTACATTTGTCAAATATTTCAAACATAATGAAAGTTATAAAATAAATAAAGAGGGCCTAGTGCAGTGGCTCACGCGTATAATCCTAACATTTTGGGAGGCTCAGGCAGGCAGATCACCTGAGGTCAGGGGTTCGAGACCAGCCTGGGCACCATGGCAAAGCCCCGTCTCTACTAAAAATACACAAATTGGCCAGGTGTGGTTACATCTGTAATCTCAGCTACTCAGGAGGCTGAGGCAGGAGAATCGCTTGACTCAGGAGGCAGAGGTTGCAGTGACCCGAGATGGTGCCACTGCACTTCAGCCTGGGCAACAGAGTGAGACTCCCTCTCAAAAAAAATTAATAAAATAAATAAAGACTCGTGTATCCAGCATCCAGTGTTGGCAAATGTTAGAGATTTGCCATATTTGTATGAGTTTTGCAATTTAAAACAAATATTCTTTTTTTTTTTTTTTTTATGACGGAGACTCACTGTCGCCCAGGTTGGACTACAGTGACATGATCCCGGCTCACTGCAACCTCCACCTCCCGGGTTCAAGCGATTCTCTTGCCTCAGCCTCCTCCTGCCTCAGCCTCCGGAGTAGCTGGGATTACAGGCGTGTGCCACCATGCCCAGCTAATTTTGTATTTTTAGTAGAGACAGGGTTTCACCACATTAGCCAGGCTGATCTCGAACTCCTGACCTCAGGTAATCCGCCTGCCTCTGTCTCCCAAAGTGCTGGGATTACAGGCGTGAGCCAATGCGCCAGGCTCCTGAAACAAATATTCTTACTTGGGAAATAGTCTTAATCTGGGAGGATAACAGACCATACTATTTCTGTTAAAGTGATTGGGGTCTCCAGGCCGGGCGCGGTGGCTCACGCCTATAATCCTAGCACTTTGGGAGGCCGAGGCGGGTGGATCACCTGAGGTCAGGAGTTCAAGACCAGCCTGGCCAACATGGTGAAACCCTGTCTCTACTAAAAAAAAAATACAAAAAAATTAGCTCGGCATGGTGGCGGGCACCTGTAATCCCAGCTACTTCAGGAGGCTGAGACAGGAGAACCCCGTGAACCTGGGAGGCGGAGGTTGCAGTGAGCCGAGATTCTACCACTGTACTCCAGCCTGGGCGACAAGAGTGAAATTTTATCTCAAAAAAAAAAAAAAAAAGAAAAAAAAAAAAAGAACGTGATTGGGGTCTCCAAAGACCTTTTCTTTTTATTCCTCAGTCTTTTGTAGATTGAGTAAAAAGACTAAGGAAGACCAAAATGCATGCATATAGACTGTCAAGCCTTGGCCATTTGGGGAAGACTTCAGTTTCTCTCTAGAATTCTTCATTTTATTTATTTATTTAGAGACGGAGTCTTGCTCTGTCGCCCAGGCTGGAGTGCAATGCCACGATCTCGGCTCACTGCAACCTCCACCTGCCGGGTACAAGCTATTCTCCTGTCTCAGCCTCCTGAGTAGCTGGGATTACAGGTGCCCACCACCATGCCTGGCTCATTTTTGTGTTTTTAGTAGAGGCAGGGTTTCACCATGTTGGCCAGGCTGCTCTCGAACTCCAGACCTCAGGTGGATGCACCCGCCTCGGCCTCCCAAAGTGCTGGGACTACAGGCGTGTGCCACCGCGCCCAGCGAATTCTTCATTTTATAATCTGTCTCTTCCACTGTGAGGGTTGAAAGGAACACTGAATATAACAGGTGAGTTAATTAAGGGGTTAATGCCAGGAAGAGTCACGAAAGTTCAAAGATTCTTTAAAAAACTTGTCTTTTTAGGGCGGGCGCGGTGGCTCACGCCTGTAATCCCATCACTTTGGGAGGCCGAGGCGTGTGGATCACCTGAGGTCAGAAGTTTGAGACCAGCCTGGCCAACATGGTGAAACCCCCCCTCTACTAAAAATACAAAAATTAACCGGGCGTGGTGGCGCGTGCCTGTAATCACAGCTACTAGCGGGGCTGAGGCAGGAAGATCGCTTGTACCCGAGAGGCGGAGGTTGTGGTGAGCCGAGATCGCGCCACTGCACTCCAGCCTGGGCAACAGAGCGAGACTCTGTCTCAAAAAAACAAAAAAGAAAAAAAAGAAAAAAAAAAAAAAAAATTGCCTCTTTGGATTGATGGACAAGTACTTTAACCAATGGAAATAAAAATCTAAGCATTACTTCATCATACTCAATTGTGATTGGTTGACGATCCCCGAGGGAGGGCTCAGAGGGCTGGCAATTAACCCTTTCAGGGAAAATCAGGCCTTTTGCATTTATTTTATTTTAAAGTTGAAGTAGTAACAGATGAAAAGCCTACAAAAGTCCCCGGACTTTCAAATACCACATTTCAGTCTTAGCCCAGAAAGCAGGATTTCGCCCCACAAAGGAATAGTCAAGGACAAATTTCCTGGAGAAAAGTTTTGAACTTTTAGAACGGGGAATCCGCTGACCTCGCTGAGTAAGTGAGAAGGTTGATTCACTTTTTGTGCTGTTGGAACAGGGACCAGTGTTGGAGATGATTCCATTAATCTTGCGAAGTGATCAGTCACTGGGAGGATTGAATTGCATTTCCTGCCTAAAGATAGAGACAGATGACCTTTGCTGCAGCCCTCAGACCCCCAGTTCACAGCTGGGGAGAGGATGTGTCAGCGTTTACTTTCAGGTCTCACCCTGCCCTTTGTTCAAAATTCAGACTCTTTTGTGTTTAGGCTGCTGCTGGGGTTTTTGTAGTTGTTGATGCTGCTTTTTTTTTTTTTTTTTTTTTTTTTTTTATATAACCGCCCACATCCTGCAACTTCTGAGAAACAAACTCTCTATTTGGTAGAAGATAAAATCTGGAGGTGCCTCGGAGAGGGAACCAGAATAGACAGGGAATTCCGACAGGCCATTGGGCCTTTAGGCTTTAATTACTGCCCTCACCCCTTCCTGGACTCCCTAAATGCTGCAGGCTGAACTGGATGGAGCCAAAAGTCCAGCAAAATGAATAACAATGCTTCGTGTTTATATGGCTCTACTACAAGAAAGCTTTTACACACATTACCTCATGGAAGAGGCACTGCTAAAGCAGAAGTATTTACATAAATGAACATTCGCAGTTCCTAAATGTAGTCAGCTGCATGACCTAGGACAAAGTGTCCAAACTTAAGTCTCAGTTTTCTCATCTGTAAAATGGGGTCACATGAAAGTTACCAGAGGAGGCCGGGCGCAGTGGCTCACGCCTGTAATCCCAGCACTTTGGGAGGCTGAGGTGGGCGGATCACAAGGTCAGGAGATGGAGACCATCCTGGCGAACACGGTGAAACCCCATCTCTACAAAAAATTAGCAGGGCGTGGTGGCTGGCACCTGTAGTCCCAGCTACTCAGGAGGCTGAGGCAGGAGAATGGCGTGAACCCAGGAGGCGGAGCTTGCAGTGAGCCGAGATCTCGCCACTGCACTCCAGCCTGGGTGACAGAGCGAGACTCCATCTCAAAAAAAAAAAAGTTACCAGAGGGTCAAGGCGCGATGGCTCACACCTGTAATCCCAGCACTTTGGGAGGCCGAGGCAGGCAGATCCCCTGAAGTCAGGAGTTTGAGACCAACTTGGCCAACATGGGGAAGCCCCATCTCTACTAAAAACATAAAACTTAGCTGGGCATGGTGGCTCATGCCTGCAATCTCAGCTACTTGGGAGGCTGAGGCAAGAGAAATGCTTGAACCTGGGAGGCGGAGGTTGCAGAGCCTAGATCGTGCTACTGCACTCCAGCCTGGGTGACAGCAAGACTACGTCTCAAAAAAAGAAAGAAAGAAAGAAAGAAAGAAAAAGAAAAATAGGCCGGGCGAGGTGTCTCATGTCTGTAATTCCAGCACTTTGGGAGGCCAAGGCAGGCAGATCACCTGAGGTCGGGAGTTCGAGACAAGCCTGACTAACATGGAGAAACCCCGTCTCTACTGAAAATACAAAATTAGCCAGGCATGGTGGCGCATGCCTGCAATCCCAGCTACTTGGGAGGCTGAGGCAGGAGAATCGCTTGAACCCGAGAGGTGAAGGTTGCGGTGAGCCAAAATCACACCATTACACTCCAGCCTGAGCAACAAGAGCAAAACTCCATCTCAAAAAATAATAATAATAAAATAGTTACCCGACAATTGAATGAGCCAATGTTCTATAACAGGACTCAATAAATGGTGTGTCTTAATTAAAATGAGGTTGACCTCCTGGGCTCCAGAACGATGACAGCTAGCTGTGGATTGGGCAAATTTAGCTTTTCCCCAAGGGGAACGCCTTGGGGAAGCCTGCCTGGAATGTATGGATTGAGTCCCCTTGCTTGTACATCCTGTCCCTCACCAGACTCCAAAGTCTGACCGTGCTGAACTATTTTGAGTTCTTTGACTAAACCTGCTCTTTCCTCCTCTAGACCTTTGCATATGCCAGTCTATTCCCGCAGCCCTTCTTCCCTCCTGTTTCTCCTGGAATCTGCTTTGCTCTCTCTCTTTCCTGCCCCCTCCCAGTAATTACCACATCATCTTACTGTTGCCTGTGCCTTCACCAGACTGTAAGCCCTGGAGGGCAGTACCTGGTCTGTCTCATTCATGGATATAGCTCTAGCAAAGTGCCTGCATGTTCTCTAAAAATACTTGTGGTTTTTTTTTTATTATTTTATTTTTTTGAGACGGAGTCTCACTCTGTCGCCCAGGATGGAGTGCAGTGGTGCGACCTTGGCTCACTGCAACCTCTGCCTTGCCTCCGGAGTTCAAGCGATCCTCCTGCCTCGGCCTCCCAAGTAGCTGGGATTACAGGCACCCACCGCCACACCCAGGTAATATTTGTATTTTTAGTAGAGACGAGGTTTTGCCGTGTTGGCCAGGCTGGAAAACATACTTGTTGAATGGAAACCCAGCACCCCAATTCCTTCTCCCCAAATCCCAAAACTACTCACCCTTCTGGAAATCTCAAATAACTGCTGAAATTTTCTGTTTTCCTGGATAACCAAATTATAATACCCTTTACAGATGGTGTCCATGGCTTTTAACCCTCCTTGAAATGACATTCATTAATCCCACAACTATTTATTGAATGCCTCCTTGATTCACACAGAAAGCAACCTTAGGCAGGCACTGTGGCTCATACCTGTAATCCCAACAATTTGGGAGGTCAAAGCGGGTGGATCCCTTGAGCCCAGGAGTTAGAGACCAGCCTGGGCAACATGGTGAAACCCCATATCTACAAAACAAAAACAAAACACAGCAGCCTTGATAGGAAACTCTCCTCTTCATCCCGCGTCACCTATTCATGGCAGAGAGTGTGACGATCCCCCTGATGCGGCTGAGATGTTCTGAAATGAAGACGTTGGCTCTCATCCCCAGCCTGAAGAGAGAAAATTCTGAGATGGCTCCCTTACAGATTGAGAGCAGGTGAGTTTACCTCTACTCTCACGCAAAACTCTCATTCAGAACACCTGTCACAACTAATAGACTACTCACGTGTCCACAGTCTAACACCACTCAATAAAAGGAAAATTCCCCGTCTAATCCCAGCACTACAGGAGGCCAAGGCAGGAGGCTCACTTGAGAGCCCAGAAGTTTGAGAACAGCCTAGGCAACATAATTAGGCCCTGTCTCTGTTAAAAAAAAAAAAAAAAAAAAAGGAAAAGTCTCTGAGGAGTCTGAGGAGACCAACCTTGTTCGTCCTCTTCACTATTTTATTTATTTATTTATTTATTTATTTATTTATTTTGAGACAGAGTCTCGCTCTGTCGCCCAGGCTGGAGTGCAGTGGCACCAATCTCGGCTCACTGCAAGCTCCACCTCCCGGGTTCACGCCATTCTCCTGCCTCAGCCTCCCCAGTAGCTAGGACCACAGGCGCCCACCATCACACCCGGCTAATTTTTTGTATTTTTAGTACAGACGGGGTTTCACCGTGTTAGCCAAGTTGGTCTCGATCTCCTGACCTCGTGATCCACCCGCCTCAGCCTCCCAAAGTGCTGGGATTACAGGTGTGAGCCACTGCACCCGGCCTCTTCACTGTTTATTTTCAGGTCCTAGGACCCAGCTCATAAAACATACTCAACGAATGTTTGTTGAATGAATGAATTCCTCAACCTCCAAAACTATGTATATTTTCAGCTTGATCAACTATCCTTAAAGTGTACCTCTTTGAACAAGATACCGGCTGGGTGCGGTGGCTCATGCCTGTAATCCCAGCACTTTGGGAGGCCAAGGCAGGCAGATCACCTGAAGTCAGGAGTTTGAGACCAGCCTTGCCAACATGGTGAAACCCTATCTCTACTAAAAATACAAAAATTAGCCGGGCATTGTGGTGGGCACCTGTAGTCCCAGCTACTCAGGAGGCCGAGGCAGGAGAATCGCTTGAACCCGGAAGGTTAAGGTTGCAGTGAGCCGAGATGGCGCAGCTGCACTCCAGCCTGGGTGACAGAGTGAAACTGTGTCTCAAAAAAAAAAAAGTCCTGACACACTGGCTCACGCCTGTAATCCTAGCACTTTGGGAGGCCAAGACGAGCAGATTGCCTGAACTCAGGAGTTTGAGACCAGCCTGGGTAACATGGTGAAACCCCGTGTCTACTAAAACACAAAAAATTAGCCAGGGGTCGCAGTGTGCGCTTGTAGTTCCAGCTACTCGGAAGGTTGAAGCAGAATTGCTTGAACCCAACAGGCGGAGGTGCAGTGAGCTGAGATCATGCCACTGCACTCCAGCCTGGGTGACAGAGGCAAGACTCCGTCTCCAAAAAAAAAAGATACCAAGTTTCTTAGAGGTATAAAAAATACGTTGGTGTGCCTTGGCGAGGCGGGAACACCTTTCTAGCTCCAAAGTCCAGACCCTTACCCACTCTATTCCACACTGCCACCCTTATTCATGACACCTGTTGCACACAAACTGAGTCATGGGGACCAGCCATCATTGCTCGCAGCTGAGGCCTAAAAACGCGTACCCTGCGTCCCCTCCACCGCCACCAGCCAGCAGTCTGGGAGGCACCCCTAGCTCATGATGCCGGGTAGAGGAGGGGCCGCTGTTTGCATGTGACTCTAGCTTCCTCACTGCTAGGCTGTGCCTAATTATTTTATTTTTATTTATTTATCTATCTATTTATTTATTTATTTATTGAGACGGAGTCTTGCTCTGTCGCCCAGGCTCGAGTGCAGTAGCGCCATCTTGGCTCACTGCAAGCTCCGCCTCCCGGGTTCACGCCATTCTCCTGCCTCAGCCTCCCAAGGAGCTGGGACTACAGGCGCCCGCCACCACGCCCGGCTAATTTTTTGTATTTTTAATAGATACGGGGTTTCACCGTGCTAGCCAGGATGATCTCGATCTACTGACCTCGTGATCCGCCCGCCTCGGCCTCCCAAAGTGCTGGGATTATAGGCGTGAGCCACCGCGCCCGGCGGCTGTGGCTAATTATTAGGTAACTAGCGTCGTTGGGTCTCCCTACCTGAAGGCCTAAAGGCTGGAGATAAGAGGGCTGAAGGGGAGTAGAGCCAGGACTGGTGGGCCTGGGAGCCACCAATAGTCCCAGAAGATCCTACGGGGACTTTGCCTTCTGCTCCTGATCTCTGGAATCGATTCATCAGCCTGAGCTTCGACTCCAGCCTCTGCATCCGCTTCTCCCAAGGTGATTCCTCAATGTCTGCTCTGGGCACCTCATGGATGCATCGCAAGGGCTTTAGGGAGTCCTCTGCTCACAGGGATTGACCTACCCGCTTGCCAGGTCTCAAGCTCTTGAGAGAAAGCCTGATGCTCTTTTTGTCTTCACCTCCATCCTAGGCACTGGGTAGGAACACAGCCAAGAACGATTGCAGGATGGGTCCTTCCAGGACACTGACGTCTCAGCTTGCGCACTGTGAGTCCCTGGACGAGTTACTCCACCTCTCTGAACCTCCTCCTCACTTGCATAATGGGAAAAATAATGGACATAGGAAGATGAAACAAGACCTTGGAGACCACATTTACCATCTTATTTTCCTTGTTCCTTTTTCTTTTCTTTTTTTGTTTTTGTTTGTTTGTTTTTTGGAGACAGGGTCTCACTCTGTCACCCAGGCTGGCGTGCAATGGCGCGATCTCAGCTCACTGCAGCCTCTGCCTCCTGTGTTCAAGGGATCCTCCCACCTCAGCCTCCCGGGTAGCTGGCACCACAGACGCACACCACCATGCCTGGCTAAATTTTTTTGTATTTTTAGTAGAAGTGGGGTTTTACCATGTTGGCCAGGCTGTTCTCGAACTCCTGGCCTCAAGTGATCCGTCCACCTCGGCCTCCCAAAGTGCTGGGATTACAGGCGTGAACCACTGAGCCCGGCCCCTTGTTCCCTGTTCTGTTTCTTTTTCACTGTTATCACTGATCACCATCGATCATATTATCTACATATCTATTAGATTGGCGCAAAAGTAATTGCTGTTTTTGCCATTACCTCCAATGGCATTACTTTCAGTGGCAAAAACTGCAATTACTTTTGCGCCAACCTAATATATTGAGACAGGGTCTCTCTCTGTCACCCAGGCTGCTGGAGGGCAGTGACACAATCACAGCTCACTGCCATGTCCAACTCCTGGATTCAAGTGATCCTCCCGCCTCAGTCTCCTGATTACCTGGGACTACAGGCATGTATCACCACACCCAGCCGGTTTTTTTGTTTGTTTGTTTTTGAAACAGTTTTGCTTTTGCCCCCCAGGCTGGAGTGCAATGGCATGATCTTGGTTCACTGCAACCTCTGCCTCCGGGGTTCAAGCGATTCTCCTGTCTCAGCCTCCCAAGTAGCTGGGATTACAGGTGCCTACCACCACACCTGGCTAATTTTTGGTTTTGTGGGTGTGTGTGTGTGTGTGTGTGTGTGTGTGTGTGTGTGTTGGAGTCTGGCTCTGTCACCCAGGCTGCTGGAGTGCAATGGCGCAATCTTCAGCTCACTGCAACCTCTGCCTCCTGGGTTTAAGCAATTCTCCTGCCTCAGACTCCTGAGTAGCTGAGATTACAGGTGTCCACCACCACGCCCGGCTAATTTTTGTATTTTTAGTAGAGACAGGGTTTCACCGTGTTGGCCAGGCTGGTCTCCATCTCCTGACCTCAGGTGATCCACCTGCCTCAGCCTCCCAAAGTGCTGGGACTACAGGCGTGAGCCACCACGCCCGGCTCAAGTTTCTCTTTTTCTTTTTTTTTTTTTACATTTTGTAGAGACAGGGTCTCACTATGTTGCCCAGGCTGGTCTTGAACTCCTGATCTCAAGCAATCCTCCCTCTCTGGCTCCCGAAGTGCGGGGATAATAGGCATGAACCACTGTGCACAGCCCATATTTTATATTCTACTTAACTGAGTTTCTTTAGTTTTTATTCCTCCCACTAGGATGTCTGTTTTGTTTACCTCCATATCTCCAGCCCCTAGAACAGAACTTGGTTCATGGTGGGTTCAGTAACTATTTGAATTAAATGAATAGATGGACGTAAAATGGTTAGTACTGCGGTGCCCAGTAATGGTAGGTATCAAACTTAGTCTCTGTGCTCCAACAGAAAGCAGTGTAATTTAAGATGGGCACAGTGGGCTGGGCGCGGTGGCTCACACCTGTAATCCCAGCACTTTGGGAGGCCGAGGCAGGTGGATCACCTGGGGTCAGGAGTTCGAGACTGGCCTGGCCAACATGGTAAAACCTTGTCTCTACTAAAAATACACAAAATTAGCTGGGTGTGGTGGTGGTCACCTGTAATCCCAGCTACTTGGGAGGCTGAGGCAGGAGAATTGCTTCAACCTGGGAGGTGGAGGTTGCAGTGAGCCAAGATCACGCCACTGCACTCCAGCCTGGGCGACAGAGCGAGACTCCGTCTCAAAAAAAAAAAAAGATGGGCACAGTGGCTCCCGCCTGTAATCCCAGCACTTTGGGAGGCCGAGGTGGGCAGATCACCCGAGGTCAGGAGTTCGAGACCAGCCTGGCCAACATGGTGAAAAACCCTGTCTCTACTAAAAATACAAAAATTAGCCGGGTATGGTGGCACACGCCTATAGTCCCAGCTACTTGGGAGGCTGAAGCAGGAGAATCACTTGAACCTGGGAGGCAGAGATTGCAGTAAGCCAAAATCTGGCCACTGCACTCCAGCCAGGGTGACAGAGCCAGACTCCATCTCAAAAAAAAAAGAACGAAAGAAAGAGAGCAGTGTAATTGGAGCAGGGAAAATGCAGCATCGTAATAGGAGGTACAGGTTAGGAGCTCTGGCTGAGAAATCCCGTCTGTACCATGTACCAGCTGTGTGACCTGGAACAGAAGAATGAATTCACCTTCCTGAGGCTCAGTCTCCTCATCTGTCAAATGCAGGTGATGTAGGACCTCCTGGGAAGGATGTGAGCATGCAGGAGATGGTAAATGAAAAGCACTTAGCAGAGTGTCTGGTGCATAATAAGTGCTCAGAAAACACTGGCCTACGCTGTTCATTATAGTAATACTCAGATGAGGGGGACCTCTGAGTCAATTAAACAGTTGCTAAGCACTTAAAATATGTCACGGGCCAGCGAGTCCAGTAAACATTTATTGACTTAAATCTGTGAACTCCTTAAGGGAAGGGACTGTGTCTACATTGTCATGATCCCGGCCCCAGAAGATGCTAATTAATGTGAAAACATGCTGGAAAAGTTACATACTGAACTCAAATATGAGTTAGAATACAGAATAGCTATTAGAGTAATAACACCCATTGCCTAACATGTGCCAGGCTTGCTGTTGGGTGTTGGAGAAAGGGCAGGGAGCTTAAACAAACATGGGAACTTACAGCTTAGCAGGGGAGACAGACTTTGTTCTGAGAATTGCACAGATAGAGAGGAAACTCTGAAGTTGATAAATATCACAAAGAAGACATATGTGGTGCTGTGAGTTCCATAATATGGAGGGAGGGAGGGTTGACCTGGTCTCGGACTGGGGAGGGAGTGATGCCTAGAGCTGAGCTCTGAAGAAAAGTTCTTTGCTAGGCTGAGTGTTGGGGAAGTGCTCTCAGCAGATGAAATGGCAGATAGAATAGGCCTTCTGACTGAGGCACACATGTGCTAAAGGGCGCAAAAGAAGGCCCATATGACACAAGCATAGTGAGCTGAGGGTGCGATTGGGGGTGAAATAAACTGCAAAAATTAGTAGACACTTTGGGAACTAGCTGGGCAATGTCTGATAAAGCTGAAGGTGTGTGTAACCTATGATGCAGCCGCTCCACAGCTGAGGACATTGTTGACAGAAATGCAGGAGTGCACTGGGAAGCATGAACAAGAATGATGGCCCTAGCAGCATTGTATATCATCACAAAAAACTGGAAATAGGCTGGGCGCGGTGACTCATGCCTGTAATCCCAGCACTTTGGGAGGCCAAGGCAGGCAGATCACCTGAGGTCAGGAGTTCGAGACCAGCCTGGCCAACACGGTGAGACCCCATCTCTACTAAAAATACAAAAATTAGCCGGGTGTGGTGGCACATGCCTATAATCCCAGCTACTCGGGAGGCTGATCAGGAGAACTGCTTGAACCCGGGAGGCGGAGGTTGCAATGAGCCAGGATCGTACCACTGCACTCCAGCCTGGGGCAACAGAGCAAGACTTTGTCTCAAAAAAAAAAAAAAAAAAAAAAAAAAGACAGGTTCAGGCCTGGTGTGGTAGCTCACATTTGTAATGCCAGCACTTTA
This sequence comes from Homo sapiens, assembly GCF_000001405.40. NCBI lineage: Eukaryota > Metazoa > Chordata > Mammalia > Primates > Hominidae > Homo > Homo sapiens. The sequence continues at coordinate 121,599,786 of NC_000012.12, forward strand.
GGAGGCCAAGACAGGAGAATCGCTTTAGTCCAGGAGTTTGAGACCAGCCTGGGCAACTTAGTGAGACTCTGTCTCTGCAAAAAAAAATGTAAAAGTATGGGCGCGGTGGCTCATGCCTGTAATCCCAGCATTTTGGGAGGCCGAGGCAGGTGGATCACCTGAGGTCAGGAGTTCGAGACCAGCCTGGCCAACATGGCAAAACCCCATCTCTACTAAAAATACAAAAATTTGCTGGGCATGGTGGTGTGTGCCTGTAATCCCAGCTACTCAGGAGGCTAAGGCAGGAGAATCACTTGAACCTGGGAGGCGGAGGTTGCAGTGAGCCAAGATTGCACCATTGCACTCCAGCCTGGGCAACAAGAGCAAAACTCCATCTCAAAAAGAAAAATGAAAAAAATTAGCTGGGTGTGGTGGTGCACTCCTGTGGTACCAGTTTCTCTGGAAGCTAAGGTGGGAGGATCACTTGAGCCCACAAAATCAAGGCTGCAGTGAGCCATGATCGCAACACTGCACTCCAGCCTGGGCAACAGAGTGAGACCCTGTCTCCAAAAAAAAAAAAAAAAAAAAATTCTGGGCACGGTGGTTCACGCCTGTATTCCCAGCACTTTGGGAGGCCCAGGCAGGTGGATCACTTGAGGTCAGGAGTTCAAGACCAGCCTGGACAACAGGCTGTATTTTGTATTTTGTCTATTAAAAATAGAAAAATTAGCTCGGCATGGTGGCGTGTGCCTGTAATTCCAGCTACTTGGGAGGCTAAGGCAGAGTTACTTAAATCTGGGAGGTGGAAGTTGCAGTGAGCTGAGATCGCGCCACTGCACTCCAGCCTGGGCGACAGGGAGACTCCATCTCAAAAAAATAAAAAAATAAAAAATACAGGCAGGTTCTTGCAACATGTATTTCCTGTGTACCAGACCTTGTGTTAGTCCTTCCTTCATGCATTCAACATGTATTAAACACCTACTGTGTGCCAGGCCTGATGCCTGTAATTTATTCATACATTATTTATTCAATCCAAGCAGGATTTATGGAGTGCTTAGGTAATGCTAAGCTCTGAGCTTGTCATTCAATGCAATGTATGTTTATCAAGCAGCTACTGTATACAGCTGTCCCAATCAGTGCCTGGGTACACAGTAGTTCAATAAATGCCTGAATGAATGAACGCCCTCAAGGAGCCCCCAGTCTTCCTGCTAACATGGCCTGTAAATAAATAACTCTAACACACAAAGATAAGGCTAGAAGGTGGGTGTGTTTAGAGTGCAGAGGGCCCCTTATCACCTGTACTGCCAGGTACCTTTCTCAGGGCCATATCTTCTCACCTGGGAACCAGCTCTTTGAAGGTGAGGCCAGGCTGGCCCCTAGCTCACCTGCCTGTCCATCCCCGGGCACCCATGGAGGACTTTGCCTGCAGCTCCCACTCAATCATTGCCTGCTGTCTAATTACGGCCGCTTCCGTGACCGCAGTTGTTCCTTCCTTCATACACCAGGCAAGAGGGCAGCAGCTGAGTTCTAACCCTGGAGCTCTGGCAAAGGGCCTGCACTTCTGACAGGTGCCCTCCCTCAGATTTGGCCTGATTTTCCATCTATGAAATGAAAGATTTGATTCTCCTCCTCCTTGACTTCTTAACACCTTGCCTGGACTCCTATAATGGCAAGTTAATTTTGAAAAATTATAGAGGTAATCCATGATCTAATTTTGCAAAAACCCAGACAATGCATAGAAATCATTGAAGATGGGCCAGGCGTGGTGTCTCACGCCTGTAATCCCAGCACTTTGGGAGGCCAAGGCGGGCGGATCACCTGAGGTCAGGAGTTCGAGACCAGCCTGGCCAACATGGCGAAACCCTGTCTCCACTAAAAATACAAAAATTAGCCAGGCATGGTGGTGCATGCTAGTAATCCCAGCTACTCAGGAGGCTGAGGCAGGGGAGTCGCTTGAACCCAGGAAGCGGAGGTTGCAGTGAGCCGAGATCATGCCGTTGCACTCCAGCCTGGGCAACAGAGTGAGACTTCATCTCTAAAAAAATAAATAAATAAATAAATAAAAGAAATCATTGAAGACTCAAATCTTCACTAGAGTCACAAAGCTTTGCACAATCCAAAACTTTCCTTCCTTCCTTCTTTTTTTTATTTATTTATTTATTTTATTTTATTTTTTTGAGATGGAGTTTCGCTCTTGTTGCCCAGGCTGGAGTACAATGGTGTGATCTCGGCTCACTGCAACCTCCACCTCCCAGGTTCAAGCGATTCTCCTGCCTCAGCCTCCCGAGTAGCTGGGATTACAGGCATATGCCACCACACCCAGCCAATTTTTTGCATTTTTAGTAGAGATGGGGTTTCTCCATATTGGTCAGGCTGGTCTTGAACTCCCAACCTCAGGTGATCCGCCCACCTCGGCCTCCGAAAGTGCTGGGATTACAGACATGAGCTATCGCGCTCAGCCTCCTCCTCTTTAACTGTGGTAAAATATATTCTGCAGGTTTTTTTTGTGATGGTTGTTTGTTTGTTTGTTTGTTTGTTTGTTTGTTTGTTTTTGAGATGGAGTCTCGCTCTGTCGCCCAGGCTGGAGTGCAGTGACACCATCTCGGTTCACTGCAACCTCACCTTCCTGGTTCAAGCCATTCTCCTGGCTCAGCCTCAGAGTGGCTGGGACTATAGGCATGCGCCGCCACACCCCACTAATTGTTTTGTGTTTTTTGTAGAGACAAGGTGTCTCCATGTTGTCCAGGCTGGTCTCTAACTCCTAGGCTCAAGAGATCTGCCCACCTCAGCCTCCCAAGGTGCTGGGATTATAGGCTTGAGCAACCATGCCTGGCCTCCTTTTTTTGTGGGGGAGACAGGATCTTGCTGTGTTGCTTAAGCTGGAGTGCAGTAGTGCAATCATAGCTCACTGCAGCCTCAACCTCCTGGGCTTAAGCAAGCCTCTTGTCTCAGCCTCTCGAGTAGCTGGGGCTATAGGTGGACACCACCACACCCAGCTAATTTTTAATTTTTTTATAGAGATGGGGGTCTCACCATGTTGCCCAGGCTGGTCTCAAACTCCTGTCTCAAGTGCTCCACCTACCTCCCCAAAGTGCTGGGATTACAGGGCGGGAGCCACTGCGTCTGACTGTATATTACCTTTTATTGTGGTCTTATCATCAGTTAGTTTAGAACATTTACAGGATGAACTTTAATAATGTATTGATTATTTTGGCAAGAAAATGGCTAATAATATTTGCCGTAGTAAAACTGAGTCATTAGATTACTTTCTGGAGTTACTTACTGCCAAGCAAAGTAATAAAGACTGTTCCACTGTGGGAAGGTGTGAAAATAAATAACATTACGCGATTCTGAGCTTAAAAATAGGAAATAAACTTATATGTACGGTTTTAAAAATAATAATATAGGGGCCGGGAGCGGTGGCTCATGCCTGTAATCCCAGCACTTTGGGAGGCCGAGGCAGGTTGATCCAAGGTCAGGAGATCGAGACCATCCTGGCCAGCATGGTGAAACCTTGTCTCTACCAAAAATACAAAACTTAGCCAGGCATGGTGGCACACACCTGTAGTCCCAGCTACTTGGGAGGCTGAGACAGGAGAATCGCTTGAACCCAGGAGGCTTGCAGTGAGCCAAGATTGCACCACTGCACTCCAGCCTGGGCGATAGAGGGAGACTCCATCCCAAAAAAAAAAAAAATAATATATATATATATATATATATATATACACACACACACACACACACACAATTATTACTATCGACTTAAGAGAGAAAACATTAACAGTTTCATAGCAGTGCTATTGACAACAACCACAAAGGTGAAAATGACCCAAATGTCCATCAGTAGATAAATGGAAAAATAAAACATGGTATATGGAATATAATATAATATGGAATATGATTCAGACTTAAAAACAAAGGAAATTCTGACACATGCTGCAACAAGATAAACCTTGAAGACATGCTAAGTGAAATAAGCCAGACATGAATGGACAAATATGGTATGATTCCATTAATATGAAGTACCTAGAGTATTTCAATTCATGGAAACAGAAAACAGAATGATGGGCCCAAGGGCTGGGCGTGGAGGCTTATGCCCGTAATTCCAGCACTTTGAGAGGCCAAGGCGGGTGGATCATCTGAGGTCGGGAGTTCGAGACCAGTCTGACCAACATGGAGAAACCCTATCTCATGGCCGGGTGTGGTGGCTCATGCCTGTAATCCCAGCAGTTTGGGAGGCCGAGGCGGGCTGATCACCTGAGGTCGGGAGTTTGAGACCAGCCTGACCTGCAGGGAGAAACCCTGTCTCTACTAAAAATACAAAATTAGCCAGGCGTGGTGGCACATGCCTGTAATCCTACCTACTAGGGAGGCTGAGGCAGGAGAATCGCTTGAACCCGGGAGGCGGAGGTTGCGGTGAGCCGAGATCGTGCCATTGCACTCCAGCCTGGGCAACAAGAGCGAAACCCCATCTCAAAACAAAAAAAAGAGAGAAAAAGAAAACCCATCTCTACTAAAAATACAAAATTAGCTGGGCGTGGTGGCGCATGCCTGTAATCCCAGTTACTGGGGAGGCTAAGGTAGGAGAATTGCTTGAACCCGGGCAGCGGAGGTTATGATGAGCCAAGATTGTGCCATTACACTCCAGCCTGGACAACAAGAGCGAAACTCCATCTCAAAAAAAAAAAAAAAAAAGAGTCAGGCGTGGTGGCGCGTAGCTGTAATCCCAGATACTTGGGAGGGTGAGACAGACGAATCACTTGAACGTGGGAGGCAGAGGTTGCAGTGAGCCGAGACTGAGCGACTGCATGTCAGCCTGGGCGACAGAGTGAAACTCTATCTCAAAAAAAAAAAAAAAAGAAAGAAAGAAAGAAAAGAGAGAAAGAAAACAGAATAGAATATAGAATAGATATAATGGTGGTGGCCAGGGGCTGGATGGAGGGGGATATTCTGGGGAGTTAGGTTTAATGGGGACAGACTTTTTGTTTGAGAGGATGGAAAAGTTCTAGACGTGGATGGTGGTGATGGTTGTACAACAGTGTGAATATGCTTAATGTCATGGAGCTGTACACTTAAAAATTGTTACAATGATAAATTTTATGTTACATATATTTTGTCACAATTAAAAAAAGCAGCAGTACTCACTCACTTTGGCAGCACGTATACTGAAATTGAAACCGCACATAGCACTTTAGCATGGCCCTTGCGCGAGAATGACAAGCAGATTCATGAGGCTGAGACATTCCATGTTAAAACAGCAGCAACAGAAGCCCAGCAATCCCAGTGTCTCTTTGAAATTCTCCATGGCCGGGCGTGGTGGCTCACGCCTGTAATCCCAGCACTTTGGGAGGCCAAGGTGGGTGGATCACGAGGTCAGGAGATCCAGATCATCCTAGCTAACATGGTGAAACCCCATCTCTACTAAAAATACAAAAAAAATTTAGCCGGGTGTGGTGGCGGGCGCCTGTAGTCCCAGCTACTCAGGAAGCTGAGGCAGGGGAATGGAGTGAACCCAGGAGGCGGAGCTTGCAGTGAGCCGAGATGGCACCACTGCACTCCAGCCTGGGCAACAGAGTGAGACCCCATCTCAAAAAAAAAAAAAAAAAGAAATTCTCCACGGACCCATCCCAGTCTCTTCCTCCTAACCCCCTGAAAGTACTAGTATATTTTTGTATTTATCGCTTATTGTACCATTGCAGGGTTTTTTTGTTTGTTTATTTGTTTTTGAGATGGAGTCTTGCTCTGTCACCCAGGCTGGAGTGCAGTGGCGCGATCTCAGCTCACTGCAACCTCTGCCTGCCGGGTTCAAGTGATTCTCCTGCCTCAGCCTCCCGAGTAGCTGGGATTACAGGTGCCCGCCACCATGCCTGGCTAATTTTTGTATTTTTTGGTAGATATGGAGTTTCACCATCTTGGCCAGGCTGGTCTTGAACTCCAGGCTGGTCTTGAACTCCTGACTTCGTGATCCACCCGCCTCGGCCTCCCAAAGTGCTGGGATTATAGGCATGAGCCAGCACGCCCGGCCTTTTTTTAAATTTTTTTTCGAGACAGAGTCCCACTCTATCACCCACCCTGGAGTGCGGTAGCGCAGTCTCGTTTACTGCAATCCCCTCCTCCCAAGTTCAAGGGATTCTCCTGCCTCAGCCTCCCAAGTAGCTGGCATTACAGCTGCGCACCACCACACCCACCTAATTTTTGTATTTTTTAGTAGAGACGGGGTTTTGCCATGTTAGCCCAGCTGGTCCCAAACTCCTGACCGCCTGCCTCAGCCTCTCAAAGTGCTGGGATCACAGGCGTGAGCCACCGTGCGCTGGCCTAGTTTTTATATATATTGTTTTCTTTGGCATGTTCTTTTTGTTTTGAATCATTCACTTGTTTCCTTTTTATTTTTAGAGATGGGGGTCTCCCTCTCTCACCCAGGCTGGAGTGCACTGATGCAATCACAGCTCACTGCAGCCTCAAACTCCTAGGCTCAAGGGATCCTCCTTCCTTAGCCTCCCCAGTAGCTAGGACCACAGGTGCAAGCCAGCATGCCTGGCCAATTTTTTACTTTTATTTTTTGTAGAGACAGGGTTTCGCCATGTTGCCCAGGCTGGTCTTGAACTCCTGGCCTCAAAATATCTCCCTGCCTCTGCCTCCCAAAGTGCTGGGTTTACAGGTGTGAGCCAATGCACCCAGCCATTTCTTCTTTTTTGATTTAAAAATATTTAATTGATAATGGCCAGGCGTGGTGGCTCACATCTGTAATCCCAGCACTTTGGGAAGCCAAGGCGGGTGGATCATGAGGTCAGGAGTTCAAGACCAGCCTGGCCAACATGGTGAAACCCTGTCTCTACTAAAAATACAAAAATTAGCCGGGCGTGGTGGTGCGCGCCTGTAATCCCAGCTACTCAGGAGGCTGAGGCAGGAGAATAGCTCGAACCCGGGAGGCAGAGGTTGCCGTGAGCCGAGATCGTGCCATTGCACTCCAGCCTGAGACAGAGCAAGACTCTATCTCAAAAAAAAATTTTAACTGATAAATTGAATTGTATATATTCAAGATGTACAGTGTGATGAGTTGAAATCCATTGTGTCCTGATTACCATGGTCATATTGATTAACGCATATCCATCACTCCCATAGTTTCCATTTTACTTGTCCTGTCTTTGAATTTTATGTAAATAGACTTGATAGTATACATATACAATTGTCCGAATGTTAGTGTCCCCCCAAAATTCATGTGTTGGAACCTAATACCCAATGCAATAGTATTAAGAGATAGGTCCTTTGGGAGGTGATTAAGTTATAAGGTTCTGCGTGTGTGAAGGGATTAGTGCCCTCATAAAAGCAGCTCGAGGGGGCTATGTGCTGTGGCTCATGCCTGTAGTCCCAGAACTTTGGGAGGCTGAGGTAGGCAGATTGCTTGAGCCCAGGAGTTCGAGACTGGCCTGGGCAAACATGGGGAGACCCCGTCTCACTACACAATATTAGCCGGTTGTGGTGGTGCATTCCTGTGGTCCCAGCTACCCAGGATGCTGAGGTGGAAGGATCACCTGAGCCTGGGAGAATGAGGCTGTAGTGAGCTGTGATTGTACCACTACACTTCAGCCTGGGCGACAGAGTGAGATCCTGTCTCAACAACAGCAACAACCAAATAAATAAATAAAAGAGGTCCCCAGCCTGGCCAACATGGCGAAATCCTGTGTCTACTAAAAATACAAAAATGTGCTAGGTGTGGTGGTGCATGCCTGTGATCCCCAAGGGAGGAGAATCACTTAAATCCAGAAGCTGGAGCTTGCAGTGAGCTGAGATCATGCCATTGCACTCCAGCTTGGACGACAGAACTGACCTTGTCTGGAAAAGAAAAAAAGAGACCCGAGTGGAGAAGCTAGCCCCTTTCCACCATGGAAGATACAGCAACAGGGTGCCATTTTTGAAGTAAACTAAGTCCTCACCAGAGACCGAGTCTGCTGGTGACTTGACCTTGAACTTCCCAGCCCCCAGAACTATGACCAATACATTGCTGTTGTTTTATTTATTTATTTATTTTATTTTATCTGAGACAGAGTTTCACTCTCTCACCCAGGCTGGAGTGCAGTGGCTTGATCTCAGCTCAATGCAACCTCTGCCTCCCAGGTTCAAGCAATTTTCCTGTCCCAGCCTCCCGAGTAGCTGGGATTACAGGTGCCCACCACCATGCCCAGCTAATTTTTTGTATTTTTAGTAGAGACAGGGTTTCAACATTTTTGCCAGGCTGGTCTTGAACTCCTGACCTCAGGTGATCCACCCACCTCAGCCTCCCAAAGTGCTGGGATTACAAGCGTGAGCCACCATGCCCAGCCTAGTTTTATTATTTGTAGAGATGGGGTCTGGCCATGTTACCCAGGCTGATCTGGAACTCCTGGGCTCAAGTGATCCTCCTGACTTGACCTCCAAATGTGCTGGGATTATAGGCACCTGGCTTGAAATTTTGTTTGTTTGTTTTGTTTTGTTTTGAGATGGGGGCTTACTCTGTCACCCAGGCTGGAGAGCAGTGGTGCGATCTCCACCCGCTGCAACCTCTGCCTCCCAGGTTTAAGCGATTCTGATGCCTCAGCCTCCTGAGTAGTTGGGATTACAGTCATGCGTCACAACACACTGCCTGGCTAATTTTTGTATTTTTGGTAGTGATGGGGTTTCGCCATGTTGGCCAGGCTGGTCTTGAACTCCTAACCTCAGGTGATCTACCCGCCTTGGCCTCCCAAAGTGCTGACATTGCAAACGTGAGCCACCACACTGGAGAGATAGGCAGGAACTAGATCACATCAGTCTTTCCCATGCTGGGGAAGGCGCTTGGATTTCATCCTAACTCAGATTCTCAGATGCATGGTCACTGGAGGGCTGTACACAGTGTGGCAGGCTGAGTAAATGTCCCCCAGGGATGTCCATGTCTTACTGTCTGGCACCTGTGAATATGTGACCGTATATGGATGAAGGGACTTTGCGGATGTGATGGAGTGAAGGATTTTAAGATTGATCCTGGATTACCTGGGTGGGCCCAGTGTAACCACAGGTGTCCTCAGGAGAGGTAGAGGAGGTCAGAGAAGCGATGTGACAATGGAAGCAGAGTCTGGAGAGGCGTGACCTGCTTTAGAAACAGAAGGGGCTGCACACTAAGGAATGCAGGCAGCCAGCAGAAGGGAAAAAGCAAGAAATGGATTTTCCCATTATCTCATTGGAGCCTCCAAAGGAACCAGCCCTGCTGTCACCTTAATTTTGGCCCCTGATGATTCATTTTGAACTTCTTACCTCTAGAACTAAGATAATGAATTTGTGTGTGTGTGTGTGTGTGTGTGTTTGTGTGTGTGTTTTGAGATGGAGTCTCACTCTGTCTCGCCCAGGCTGGAGTGCAGTGATGTGATCTCGGCTCACTGCAAGCTCCGCCTCCCGGGTTCAAGCAATTCTCCTGCCTCAGCCTCCCGAGTCGCTGGGATTACAGGCACCCGCCACCACGCCTGGTTAATTTTTGCTTTTTTTTTTTTTTTTTTTTTTGGAGACAAAGACTCGGTCTTGTCCCCCAGGCTGGAGTGTGATGGCGCAATCTCGGCTCACTGCAACCTCTGCCTCCTGGGTTCAAGAGATTCTCATGCCTCAGCCACCTGAGTAGCTGGGATTACAGGAGACTGCCACCACGCCCGGCTAATTTTTGAAATTTTAGTAGAGATGGGGTTTCACCATGTTGGCCAGGCTGGTCTCGAACTCTTGACCTCAGGTGATCTGCCCACCTCGGCTTCCCAAAGTGCTGGGATTACAGGCATGAACCGCCGCGCCCGGCCAATTTATGGTAATTTCTTACAGCAGCAATGGGAAACTAATACAAGCAGAGAAAGGACATGATCAGATTTATGTTTCAAAAACTATTTCTTGTTGCTATTACAGAATGGGCTTTAGCGGGATCAGCAGAAGCAGAGAGCCCGGGTGGGTAACTGCAGACGTGTGGGTGGGCAACAATGGCAGCCCGGATGTGATGGAATGGTTGCTGCTGGACGGAAGAGCTCAGATCTCAAGAAAATGCTAGGGGAGGCCGGGCGCAGTGGCTCACGCCTGTAATCCCAGCACCTTGGGAGGCCGAGGCAGGTGGATCACGAGGTCAGGAGATCGAGACCATCCTGGCTAACAAGGTGAAACCCCGTCTCTACTAAAAAATACAAAAAAAAATTAGCTGGGCGTGGTGGCGGGCGCCTGTAGTCCCAGCTACTCAGGAGGCTGAGGCAGGAGAATGGTGTGAACCCGGGAGGCGGAGCTTGCAGTGAGCCGAGATCGCGCCACTGCACTCCAGCCTGGGCGACGGAGCGAGACTCCGTTTCAAAAAAAAAAAGAAAAAGAAAAAGAAAATGCTAGGGGCTAGAACTGACTGGGTTTATTGATGAATTGGATATTGTGGGGAAGGGTGCAGTCTAGGAAAGTGACTGCAGCGTGACTCCTGGGGTGATCAGAACTACAATTTCTCCAGCTTCTCTGGGGCCTCACAGAGCCACACTGTGTTTGACAGGCTGTTCCCAGGATGCGGGTGTTTTTATGTGATTAGGCTGGAACTGTTCTCTGGGAAATAAATGCCCTCAGTCTAAAGGGCTTTTACGAGCCAGGGCAGGGGATTAAAGGCGGCCGGGCTGTGGAGAAATCCCAGGGTTAGGAGACAGCTGAGCATGGAGACTTTTAATCTAAACCTTAAACGTTTTTATTTTCCACTCCTTGAACTCAGGGTGTCACTTTAAATACATGTTTGGCAACATCAGCTGTTCTATTTTTCTTTTTAATTATACAAAGCGAGATCCTGGAAATGGCTCAGCCCCAGGCTGGGGGAGGCAAGGGAAGTTTGGCAATGGTAGGAGGCAGAGAAACCAACTAAAAATCTAGTGGATTTGAAATCCTTTTGAGGGAGCACAGAGGCCAAACTTCGAGCCACCCTGAACTTGGTAAGAGCTGCCCTGACTCAGGATTTCTAAAAGGAGACCGACAGACTCACCAGCTTAGAATGGAGAGAGGACAGATGGACACGTCTCCAAGACAAAAATATCACCAGCCCTAGCACTGTTCCTGTACCTCGAATTTATTCCCAGGCCCTGTCCTGTTAGCTCAGCTCTTTTCATTTCTTTTCTTCTTTCTTTCTCTTTCTTTCTTTTCTTTCTTTCCCTTTCTTCTTGCTCTTTCTTTCTTTTCTTTTCTTTCTTTCTCTTTTTCTCATTTCTTTTCCTCTTTCTCTCTCTCTCTTTTTTTTTTTTTATTAGAGGCAGGGTTTTACTATGTTGCCCAGGCTGGTCTTGAACTCCTGGGCTCAAGCGATCCTCCTGCCTCAGCCTCCCAAAGTACTGGGATTACAGGTGTGAGCCACTGTGCCTGGCCCTGTTACCTCCTTTCATCCTCTGAGCAGAAAACAGCTAACTAGGTTGTTCATGACATCTATGGGGTACTCCCTACTGTGTGCCAGCTGCTGGGCTCACCTGCTTACACGTGTTACACTGTTGTAGGCAGTCAGCTATTCTATAAGTAGGTGCTATTATTATCCCCGTTTTCTAGATGGGGAATCTGGAATCTCCAGAGAGAACGGATGGAACCCCCACACCCCAGTGTTGGGCCTGCACTTCTTTGCCCTTGGACCCCTCCCTTGCCTTTCTCTAGCCTTGCTCCAGATCACAGGGTGGCCAACCTTTGGCAGGGTGGCTTCCTGCACAGATGGACCAACTGGAGGCAGTGCCAGGAGCCTGGTGGGTGGGAGGAGCCTGGTGGTGGGAGGAGCCTGGTGGGTGGGAGGAGCCAGGTGGTGGGAGGAGGGGAATCCAGGGTGTTCCTACCCCTCTGCCTCAGGTGGGATCTCCAGCTCCACCTCCCACCAGACAGGTCCACTGTGGCTCTGGCTTCTGCCTGAGGACTCCAGTCCCTCTTCGGTACCAGAAACACCACCCCCTGCCTCTGTCCCTCCAACCCCAGGGTGATAGCAGTCCTCCTGCTGGGGCTAACCTGGGGGCTGCCCTTCCCCTGCCTGCCTTTTCCTGTAAGTCTTCCATTACCCCTGGAGCAATTCTCAGGATAAATGCTCTTAGTGTGGTAACTGTTTGTCCTGGTCAGATTCTCACAGATATACTACCTTCACTAAAGACTTACAGATCAGTCAATTCATTCAATCTGGAAGGCAGCAATCCTCTTTCTCTGAGCACAGCACATCCCATGAGAGGGAAGGTTGGAGCCACCATTTACTGAGCGCTGTGCTAATTGCCAGACAACTTTTCTTTCATGAAACACTCATAACAACCTCTTTGCCAAGTCCCATCAATATTCCCCTTTCACAGATGGGGCTCAGAGAGGCTGGGGTGCTTGCCCAAAGTGGCACAGTTACAAACTGACAAAACTGGGATTCAAATCCAAGAGTGCCTAGCTCCAAACTCTGCATAATGATCTAATCTCATCTGAACACACTTGCAGCCCCATTAGAATTCAACTTCCTTGGCTGGCTGAAGACCCCACCCCAAATCACTCCAGCCTCCTTGTATTCTTTTCTTCTTCTTTTTTTTTTTTTTTTTTTGAGATGGAGTCTCACTCTGTTGCCCAGGCTGGAGTGCAGTGGCGCGATCTTGGCTCACTGCAAGCTCTGCCTCCCAGGTTCACGCCATTCTCCTGCCTCAGCCTCCCGAGTAGCTGGGACTACAGGCATCCGCCACCACGCCCAGCTAATTTTTTGTATTTTTAGTAGAGACAGGGTTTCACCATGTTAGCCAGGATGGTCTCGATCTCCTGACCTCGTGATCCGCCTGCCTTGGCCTCCCAAAGTCCTGGCGTGAGCCACCGCTCCTGACCTGTTTTTTGTTTTTTGTTTTTTTTTTTTTGAGACAGAGTCTCACTCTGTCACCCAGGCTGGAGTACAATGGCCTGATCTCAGCTCACTGCAACCCCCGCCTCCTGGGTTCAAACGATTCTTCCACCTCAGCCTCCCGAGTAGCTGGGACTACAGGCGTACACCACCATTCCCAGCTAACTTTTGTATTTTTTAGTAGAGACAGGGTTTCGCCATGTTGCCCAGGCTGGTCTCCTGACCGCAGGTGATCCGCCCACCTCGGCCTCCCAAAGTGCTGGGATTACAGGCGTGAGCCATCACGCCCGGCCCCCCCAAAAAAATTTTTTTAAGTCCCACAAACTGGGTGGCTTAGGAGAGAAACTTATTGTCTCACAGTTCTGGAGGCCAGAAGTCCAAAATCAAGATGTCAGCAAGGCCACGGTCCCTCGGAAGGAACCAGGGAAGGACATGCCCCAGGCCCTGCTGCTCGAGCTACCTGGCTTGTAGACGGCCGTCTTCTTGTGTCCATTCATGTGGTCTTCCCTCTGTACATGTCTGTCTGTGTCTAAATTTCCTCCTTTGTTTTTGTTTTTTGTTTTTTGTTTTTTTTTTCTGACAGAGTTTCGCTCTTGTTGCCCAGGCTGGCGTGCAGTGGTGCGATCTTGGCTCACTACAACCTCCTCCTCCCGGGTTCAAGCCATTCTCCTACCTTAGCCTCCCGAGTAACTGGGATTACAGGCACATGCCACCACGCCCGGCTAATTTTGTATTTTTAGTAGAGATAAGTTTTCTCCATGTTGGTCAGGCTGGTCTCCAACTCCTGACCTCAGGTGATCCGCCCGCCTCGGCCTCCCAAAAGGCTGGGATTACAGGCGTGAGCCACGGTGCCTGGCTGTTTTTGTCTTTTTTGAGACAGGGTCTCACACTGTTGCCAAGGCTGGAGTGCAGTGTCACGCTCACAGCTCAGTGCAGCTTTGACCTCATGGGATCAAGCAATGCTCCTGCCTCAGCCTCACTAGTAGCGGGAACCCCAGACAAGAGCCACTGCTCCTTGCAAATTTCACACTTCTCCTTTTTATAAGGATATTAGTAATATTGGAAGAGGGCTGTATGAGTCTGTTCTGTCATTGCTATAAAGAAATACCAAGCTGGGCACGGTGACTCACACCTGTAATTCCAGCACTTTGGGAGGCCCAGGCCAGCAGATCACCTGAGGTCAGGAGTTCGGGACAAGTCTGGCCAAAATGGGGAAACCCTGTCTCTACTAAAACTACAAAACATTAGTCGGACGTTGTGGCAGGCGCCTATAATCCCAGCTACTCGGGAGGCTGAGGCAGGAGAATCGCTTGAACCCAGGAGGTGGAGGTTGCAGTGAGGCGAGATTGCACCACTGCACTCCAGCCTGGGCAACAAGCACAAAATTCCATTTAGAAAAAAAAAAAAAAAAATGAAAAGAAATACCTGAGGCTGGGCACCATGGTTCACGCCTGTAATCCCAGCATTTTGGGAGGCCGAGGCGGACAGATCATTTGAGGCCAGGAGTTCGAGACCAGCCTGGCCAACATGGCGAAACCCCCTCTCTACTAAAAATACAAAAATTAGCCGGGCGTGGTGATGCACTCCTGTAATCCCAGCTACTCGGGAGGCTGAGGCAGGAGAATTGCTTGAACCAGGGAGGTGGAGGTTGCAGTGAGCCAACATTGAGCCACTGCACTCCAGCCTGGAAGACAGAGCGAGACTCCATCTCAAAAAAAAAAAAAAAAAAAATACCTAGGCCGGGCACAGTGGCTCACGCCTGTACTCCCAGCACTTTGGGAGGCTGAGGCAGGTGGATCACGAGGTCAGCAGTTCAACCTGCCGGTCCAAGATGGTGAATCCTCATCTCTACTAAAAATACAAAAATTAGCTGGGCGTGGTGGCAGGCACCTGTAATCCCAGCTACTCGGGAGGCGGAGGCAGAGAATTGCTTGCACCCAGAGGCGGAAGTTAAAGTGAGCCCAGATCGCGCCACTGCACTCCAGCCTGGGCAACAGAGTGAGACTCTGTCTCGAAAAAAAAAAAGAAAAAGAAATACCTAAGACTGAGTAATTTATAAAGAAAAGAGGATGAATACAAAAAAATCAGCTGGGCGTGGTGGCAGTCGCCTGTAGTCCCAGCTACTCCGGAGGCTGAAGCAGGAGAATGGCCGTGAACCCGGGAGGTGGAGCTTGCAGTGAGCTGATATTGCGCCACTGCACTCCAGCCTGGGCGACAGAGCGAGACTCCGTCAAAAAAAAAAAAAGAAAGAAAGAAAGAAAGAAAAGAGGATTAATTGGCTCTTGGTTCGGAAGGTTGTGCAGGAAACATTGCAGCATCTGCTTCTGGGGAGGCCTCAAGAAGCTTCCAATCATGGCGGAAGGCAAAGGAGGAACCAGCCCTTCACATGGCGGGAGCAGGAGGAAGAGAGGGGCGGGGAGGTGCTATACACTTTTAAACAACCAGATCTCACTCACTGTCATAGCACCAAGAGGATGGTGCTAAACCATTCATGAGAAACTGGCCCCGTGATCCAATCACCTCTCACCAGGCTCCATCTCCAACACTGGGGATTACAATTGAACATGAGATTTGGGTGGGGACACAGATCCAAACGAAATAAGTGCCCACCCTATGACCTCATTTTAATTTGATTACCTCTGTAAAGGCTGTATTTCCAAATGAGGTCACATTCTTCGTTTTTTTTTGTTTGTGGTTTTTTTTTTTTTTTTTAGAGAGTTTCACTCTTTCGCCCAGGCTGGAGTGCAATGGCACAATCTCAGCTGACTGCAACCTCTGCCTTCCAGTGTCAAGAGATTCTCCTGCCTCAGCCTCCCAAGTAGCTAGGATTACAACAGTCGCTTGCCTTCACACCCAGCTAATTTTTGTATTTTTAGTAGAGATCGGGTTTCACCATGTTGGCCAGGCTGGTCTCCAACTCCTGACCTCCTGATCCACCCTCCTCGGCCTCCCAAAGTGCTGGGATTACAGATGTGAGCCACCGTGCCTGGCCACAGTCTTCTTCTTTTGTTTTTTTTTGAGACGGAGTCTCGCTCTGTCACCCAGGCTGGAGTGCAGTGGCGTGATCTCGGCTCACTGCAAGTTCTGCCTTCCAGGTTCACGCCATTCTCCTGCCTCAGCCTCCCGAGTAGCTGGGACTACAAGCACCTGCCACCATGCCTGGCTAATTTTTTGTATTTTTTTCATTAGAGACGGGGGTTTCACCGTGTTAGCCAGGATGGTCTCGATCTCCTGACCTCGTGATCCGCCTGCCTCGGCCTCCCAAAGTGCTGGGATTACAGGCGTGAGCCATCGTGCCCAGCCGGCCACATTCTTCTTTTTGAGGTGGAGTTTCACTCTTGTCTGCCGGGCTGCAGTGCAATGGCGCAATCTTGGCTCACTGCAACCTCCACCTCCTGGCTACTTTTTGTATTTTCAGTAGAGATGGGGTTTCACCATGTTTGCCAGGCTGGTCTTGAACTCCTGACCTCAGGTGATCCGCCTGCCTCAGTCTCCCAAGGTGTTGAAATTACAGGCGTGAGCCACTGCGCCCAGCCCCAAATGAGGTCACATTCTGAGGTACTGAGGTTTAGGACTGCAATGTCTTTTTTGGGGGGACACAGTTTAACCTTTAAGAGTCCAACCTGATCTCATGTGTCTGATCTCTGCAGTGTGGCCTGCTTTGCTAATAGAGGATGTCAGACCGTCCAGGAAAATGATCCTGCTGACACCCACCAAGTTAAGGGATATAGTGATTCTCCAAGGCATATGTGTATTGACAAAATTTACCCCAACATTCTGTACAGCAAATTCAGTTTTGAAAAAGGAGAACTAGACTAGGCGTGGTGGCTCATGCCTGTAATCCAGCACTTTGGGAGGCTGAGGTGGGTGGATCACCTGAGGTCACGAGTTCAAGACCAGCCTGACCAACATGTAGAAACCTCGTCTCTACTAAAAATGTAAAAATTACCCGGGCGTGGTGGTGCATGCCTGTAATCCCAGCTACTCGGGAGGCTGAGGCAGGAGAATCACTTGAATCCAGGAGGTGGAGGTTGCAGTGAGCTGAGATCATGCCATTGCGCTCCAGCCTGGGCAACAAGAGCAAAACTCCGTCTCAAAAAAAAAAAAAAAAAAAGAAAGAAAGAAAAGAAAAGAAAAAGAGAACTAGGCTGGGTAGGTTAGCTCACGCCTGTAATCCCAGCATTTTGGGAGGCCATGGCAGGAGGATCGCTTGTGTCCAGGAGTTTTGAGACTGGCCTAGGCAACATATTAGATCCCATCTTTATAAATAATAAAAAATTAGCCAGGTGTGGTGGTGTGTGCATGTAGTCTCAGCTACTTGGCAGGCTGAGGTGGGAGGGTCACTTGAACCCAGGAGGTCAAGGCTGCAGTGAGCCATAATCGTGCCTCTGGACTCCAGTCTAGGCAACAGAATGAAACTTCATCTCAAAACAACAACAACAAAAAAGAAGCTGGTCACAGTGGCTCTAGCCTTTAATCCCAGCACTTTGGGAGGCTGAGGCAAGCGGATCGCTTGAGCCCAGGAGTTCAAGACCAGCCTGGGCAACGTGGCAAGACCCCCTGTCTCTACAAAAAAAAAAAAAAAAAAAAAAACACAAAAATTAGCCAGATGTGGTGATGCAGGCCTGTAGCCCTAGCTACTTGGGAGGCTGAGCTGAGAGGATCACTTGCACCCGGGAGGCAGAGGTTATAGTGGGCTGAGATTGTGCCACTGCACTCCAGTCTGGGCAAGAGACCAAGACCCCTGTGAAAAAAAAAGAAGGAAGGAAGGAAGGGAGGAAGGGAGGGAGGGAACAAGTTGAAGGTCTTACCTCTACCTGACTTTAAGACTTATTTTGAGGCCGGGCGTGGTGACTCATGTCTGTAATCTCAGCACTTTGGGAGGCTGAGGTGGGTGAATAACCTGAGGTCAGGAGTTCCAGACCAGCCTGGCCAACACGGCGAATCCCTGTTTCTACTAAAAATACAAAAATTAGCTGGATGTGGCAGCAGGCACCTGTAATCCTAGCTACTCGGGAGGCTGAAGCAGGAGAATCGCTTGAACCCGGGAGCCGAGGTTGCAGTGAGCCCAGAACGTGCCATTGCACTCCAGCCTGGGCAATAGAGAGAGACTCTGTCTTAAAAAAGAGACTTTTTTTTTTGAGACAGGGTCTTGCTCTGTCACCCAGGCTGAAGTGTAGTGGCCCCGTCTCGGCTCACTGCAACCTCCACCTCCCAGGTTCAAGCAATTCTCCTGCCTCAGCCTCCCGAGTAGCTGGGACTACAGGTGCGTGCCACCACATCCGGCTAATTTTTGTATGTTTAGTAGAGACAGGATTTCACTGCGTTGACCAGGCTGGTCTCAAACTCCTAACCTCGTGATCCGCCCGCCTCGGCCTCCCAAAGTGCTGGGATTACAGGCGTGAACCACCATGCCCGGCCGAGACTTTTTTTTTTTTAATTTTGAGGAATTTATGGGGTTTTTTTTCCCCAAGACTTATTTTATTTTTATTTATTTATTTATTAATTTATTTACTTTTTTTTTTTTTTTTGAGATGGAGTCTCACTCTGTCACCCAGGCTAGAGTGCAATGGCGCGATCTCAGCTCACTACAAGCTCTGCCTCCCGGGTTCATGCCATTCTCCTGCCTCAGCCTCCAGAGTAGCTGGGACTACAGGCGCCTGCCACCACGCCTGGCTAATTTTTTGTATTTTTAGTAGAGATGAGGTTTCACCGTGTTAGCCAGGATGGTCTCGATCTCCTGACCTTGTGATCGGCCCGCCTCGGCCTCCCAAAGTGCTGGGATTACAGGCATGAGCCACTGCGCCCGGCCAATTTATTTACTTTTGAGACGGAGTCTTACTCTGTCGCCCAGTATGGAGTGCAGTGGCGTGACCTCGGCTCACTGCTACCTCCGTCTCCCGGGTTCAAGGGTTCTCCTGCCTTAGCCTCCCAAATAGCTGGGACTACAGGTGCGGGCCACCATGCCCAGCTAATTTTTGTATTTTTAGTAGAGATGAGGTTTCACCATGTTGGTCAGACTGGTCTCAAACTCCTGACCTCAAGTGATCCGCCCACCTTGGCCCCCCCAAAGTACTGGGGTTACAGGTGTGAGCCACCACGCCCTGCCCCCAAGATTTACTTTAAACCTAGAGTAATCAACACAGTATCTATTGGCATGAGAGTAGACAAATAGATCCACAGACTAGAATAGAGAGTTCAGAAACAGTCTGTCATGTATAGTAGTCACGTGATTTTTGACAAAAATGTCCATGCATTTCAGTGGGGAAAGCTTGCTTCACTCAAAAATCTGTATTTGATTGATGGGCTATAGGCTCAGCTACTTGAGAAGCTGAGGCAGGAGTGAGAATCACTTGAGTCATGAATTTGAGGCTGTAGTGTGCAATGATCACACCTATGAAGAGCCACTGCACTCCAGCCTGGGCAACAGAGCAAGACCTTGTCTCTAAGAAAAAAACAGAAATAGAAAAAAATCAGTATGACACGGATCACAGACCTAAACATACAAGCAAAAACACTTTTATTTTTGGCGGGGTGGGTGGAGGGTAGAGACAGGGTTCCACTATGTTGCCCAGGCTGGTCTCAAACCTCCTGGTCTCAAGTGATCCTCTCGACCTGGCCTCCCCAGGTGCTGAGATTATAGGCATGAGCCACCATGCCTGGCCTAAAACTTTTAAAAGAAAACACAGGTGAATATCTTCGTGACCTTGTGGTTGGCAAAGATTTCTTTTTTTCTTTTTTTTTTTTTTTAAATAGAGTCTTACTCTATGGCCCAGGCTGGAGTGTAATGGTGTGATCTCAGCTCACTGCAACCTCCGCCTCTTGGGTTCAAGTGATTCTTGTGCCTCAGCCTCTTGAATAGCTGGGATTACAGGCATGTGCCACCATGCCCGGATAATTTTTGTATTTTTAGTAGAGATGCAGTTTCACCATGCTGGCCAGGCTGGTCTCGAACTCCTGACCTCAGGTGATCCGTCCACCTCAGCCTCCCAAAATGCTGGGATTACAGGCATGAGTCACCGCGTCGTCAGCAAAGATTTCTTATCCAGGCCAGAAAAAGTTCTCACTTTTAAAGGCATGGGCACAAACTCAGACCCAACAAAGACTTCTGACCAGTGAGGGGGTAGGAGTGGAGGGAGGAAGAATGAGCACTATAAGCCCAGAAACTGGAGAGCAAGGAGACAGAGTTCACACTCCCCTGGCATAGTCTAAGCTCCAGAGTCAGAGAACCATTCTGAGACCAACACCAGGGCTCACCAACCCGACCCCATTCTGCATTTTGTAACCAGCCCCCTGACAGTGTCTCACTTGGTTTCCAGCCTCCTTCACCCCAATTCTTTGACCATGAAAACCTTCAAGATCACTCACAAAAGCTGCCTCCCAGATGTCTTGTGGAGCTGGCACCAGGGCTGGCTGGCAGAGGGATTTCATGCATTCTGAGTCAGGACACAAGGAAGGACTGACAGGGAAGCTGCCCCCAGCTCCATACAAGGACAACTTTTGAAGTATCAGACAACCAATCAGACATGCTCAGCTTCTAGAAGGAGTGAGCTTCCCATCGCCAGGGGTATGAAAACATTGTTCTAGCCGGGCTTGGTGGTGCATGCCTGTGGAGCCCAGGAGTCCGAATGCAGCCTGGGTAACACAATGAGACCCCTGTCTCCCCACCACCAAAAAAAAAAAAAAAACTGTGGGGAAAAGTTAGTAACCATGGACCCCTCTAGGATCCTGGGGCAGGAGGCAGGGATGGTCCAGACACCCCACCCAAGTTTTTATTACTTGTGATCTGTGCAGATGGGGAAATTCAAACCACACAGAATATTAGGAGAGGGGTGAGGAGCGTGACATAGTAGCTGGGGAAAGGAAACCCTCACCACCCCAAAGCCCCCTCTGAGTCACCACTCCCAGATCCTTTTGTTCCTCTAAAATCAGCAAATCTCTCCTCCCAGCTTCCGGCCTCTTCCCCCTCCAGACCTCAGGCCCTCTTAGCTGCTAAATGTTGTGTGTTCCTAGTCCTGAACTGGGGGTTTCTGGGAACCAAGGACATTGCATTGTTTTGTTCATTGAACCTGTTTCCATTGGCAGTAGCCAGTGGGAGGCCCTGGGGTGATAGCGACGTGATT
Organism: Homo sapiens; assembly: GCF_000001405.40. Classification (NCBI taxonomy): domain Eukaryota; kingdom Metazoa; phylum Chordata; class Mammalia; order Primates; family Hominidae; genus Homo; species Homo sapiens. The sequence continues at coordinate 121,620,711 of NC_000012.12, forward strand.
GATTGATTGATTGATTTTGAGAGACTGAGTCTCCCTCTGTCGCCCAGGCTGGAGTTCAGTGGCAGGATCTCGGCTCACTGCAACTTTCGCCTCCTGGATTCAAGCAATTCTTCTGCCTCAGCCTCCGGAGTAGCTGGGATTACAGGCCTGGCCACCACACCCAACTAATTTTTTCTTTTTTGAGATGGAGTCTAGCTCTGTCACCCAGGCTGGAGTGCAGTGGTGTGATCTCGGCTCATTGCAACCTCTGCCTCCCGGGTTCAAGCAATTTTCCTGCCTCAGCCTCCCAAGTAGCTGGGACTACAGGTGTGTGCCCCCACGCTCGACTAATTTTTGTATTTTTAGTAGAGACGGGGTTTCACCATGTTGGCCAGACTGGTCTCAAACTCCAGACCTCGTGATCTGCCCGCCTTGGACTCCTAAAGTGCTGGGATTACAGGTGTGAGCCACCGCGCCCGGCTAATTTTTTCTTATTTTGACACAGGGTCTTACTCTGTCGCCCAGGCTACAGTGCAGTGGCGTGATCTCTGCTCACTCCAACCTCTGCCTGCCGGGTTCAAGCACTTCTTCTGCCTCAGCCTCCCAAGTAGCTGGGATTATAGGCATGCACCACCAAGCCCGGCTAATTTTTGTATTTTTAGAAGAGATGGGCTTTTACCATGTTGACCAGGCTGGTCTTGAACTCCTGACCTCAGGTGATCCACCTGCCTCAGCCTCCGAAAGGGCTGGAATTACAGGCGTGAGTCACCGTGCCCGGCCTAATTTTTGTATTTTTAATGGAGACGGAGTTTCGCCATGTTGGCCAGGCTGGTCTCAAACTCCTGACCTTAAGTGATCTACCGCCTCGGCCTCCCAAAGTGTTGGAATTATAAGCATGAGCCACCACACCTGGCCCATGATTCATTTATTTATTTAGTTGTTTTTTCTTTGAGACAGGATCTCGCTTTATTGCCTAGGTTGGAGGACAGTGGTGTGATCACCGCAGCTTCATTCCAAGAAGCTGGGAGTACAGGCTCACGCCACCACATCTGGTTTATTTATTTATTTATTGAGACAGAGTATTGCTTTTATTGCCCAGGCTGGAGTGCAATGGCATAATCTCATCTCATCGCAAACTCCACCTCCCGGGTTCAGGCGGTTCTCCTGCCTTAGCCTCCCAAGTAGCTGGGATTACAGGCATGCGCCACCACACCAGCTAATTTTTGTATTTTTAGTAGAGACGAGGTTTCTCCATGTTGGTCAGGCTGGTCTTGAACTCCTGTCCTCTCAGGTGATCCGCCCACCTCAGCCTCCCAAAGTGCTGGGATTACAGGTGTGAGCCACCGTGCCTAGTCTTATTTATTTATTTATTTGGAGACAGAGTCTCGCTCTGTCGCCCAGGCTGGAGTGCAGTGGCACCATCTTGGCTTACTGCAAGCTCCGCCTCCCGGGTTCACGCCATTCTCCTGCCTCAGCCTCCCAAGTAGCTGGGACTACAGGCGCCCGCCACCACACCCAGCTAATTTTTTTGTATTTTTAGTAGAGACGGGGTTTCACCGTGTTAGCCAGGATGGTCTCAATCTCCTGACCTCGCGATCCGCCGGTTTCAGCCTCCCAAAGTGCTGGGATTATAGGTGTGAGCCACCGCGCCTGGCCTTTTTTTTTTTTTTTTTTTTTAAGTAGAGATGTGCTACTGCACTCCAGCCTGGGTGACTATTGAGACCCTGTCTCAATAAATAAATAAATAAATAAATAAATAAATAAATAAATAAATAAGGCCAGGCGCAGTGGCTCACATCTGTAATCCCAGCACTCTGGGAGGCTGAGGCAGGCAGATCATCTGAGTTCAGGAGTTCGAGACTAGCCTGGACAACATGGTGAAACCCTGTCTCTACTAAAAATATAAAAAATTAGCTGGGTGTGCTGGTGGGCACCTGTAATCCTAGTTACTCAGGAGGCTGAGGCAGAAGAATCGCTTGAACCTAGGAATTGGAGGTTGCAGTGAGCTGAGATTGAGCCACTACGCTCTAGCCTGGGGGACAGAGCGAGACTCCATCTTAAAAATAATAAAAATAAAAATAAAATAAAATGTTTAAATACGTTGGGCACAATGGTTTACACCTGTAATCCCAGCACTTTGGGAGGCTGAGATGGGTGGATCACTTGAGGTCAGGAGTTCGAGACCAGCCTGGCCAACATGGTGAAACCCTGACTCTACTAAAAATACAAAAAATTAGCTGGGTGTGGTGATGGACACCTGTAATCCCAGTTATTTAGGAGGCTGAGCCAGAATAATCGGTTGAACCCAGGAGGCGGAGGTTGCAGTGAGCCGAGATCGAGCCACTGCACTGCAGCCTGGGGAACAGAGAGAGACTCTGTCCTAAAATAATAATAAAATAAAATAAAATGTTTGAATAGGCTGGACACAGTGGCTCATGCTTGTAATTCCAGAACTTTGGGAGGCCCAGATGGGAGGATCCCTTGAGCCCAGGAGTTTGAGACCAGCATGCTCAACATGGGGAGACGCTGTCACTATTATTTTTTATTGGAGACGGAGTCTCCCTCTGTCGCCCAGGCTTGAGTGCAGCAGCCTGATCTCAGCTCACTGCAACCTCTGCCTCCTGCGTTCAAGCAATTATCCTACCTCAGCTTCCCCAGTTGCTAGGATTATAGGCGTGCCCCATCATACCTGGCTAATTTTTTTTGTATTTTTAGTAGAGATGGGGGTTTCACCATGTTAGCCAGGCTGGTCTCGAACTCCTGACCTTAGGTGATCCACCCGCTTGGGCCTTCCAAAGTGTTGGGATAACAGGTGTGAGCCACCGCGCCTGGCCACACTTTTTTTTTTTTTTAATGCTTAAACAGATGAACAGGTCAACTAAATAAGCTAGATGATTTCAGATGCTGTAGTGATCACAGCTATAAAGGGAAGAAATCAGGATGAGGTGACAGATTGTGACACCGGGGCTACTTCAATAGAGGGAAGGTCTCTCAGGAGGTGCTATTTGAGCTGAGACACAAATGTTGAGTGAAAGGGGTAAGAAGTACAAAGGCGGGCCATGGCGCGGTGCGTCACGCCTGTAATCCCAGCACTTTGGGAGGCTGAGGCGGGTGGATCACCAGGTCAAGAGATCGAGACCATCCTGGTCCATATGGTGAAACCCCGTCTCTACTAAAAATACCAAAAATAGCTGGGCGTGGTGGCGCGCGCCTGTAGTCCCAGCTACTCGGCAGGCTGAAGCAGGAGAATTGCTTGAACCCGGGAGGCGGAGGTTGCAGTGAGCCGAGATCGCTCCACTGCACTCCAGCCTGGTGACAGAGTGAGACTCCGTCTCAAAAAAAAAAAAAAAAAAGTACAAAGGCCACCAGGGAAACAAAGCCAGTAGGGTGAGATTTCAAATTCCAAATTCCCCAATTTTTTTTTTTTTTTTTGAGAGGGACTCTCGCTCTGTCGCTCAGGCTGGAGTGCAGTGGCTCGATCTCGGCTCACTGCAAGCTCCGCCTCCCAAGTTCAAACGATTCTCCTGCCTCAGCCTCCCTGGTAACTGGGACTAGGGAGTCACCTGACTAATTTTTTTAGTAGAGACAGGGTTTCACCATGTTGGCTAGGCTGGTCTGGAACTACTGACCTTGTGATCTGCCTGCCTCGGCCTCCCAAAGTGTTGGGATTATAGGCGTGAGTCACCGCGCCCGGCCCCCATCTTTATTTTAAAAAAGCCAAGAAAAGGACAAAAAACCAAACACCGCATGTTCTCACTCATAGGTGGGAATTGAACAATGAGAACACATGGACACAGGAAGGGGAACATCACACTCCGGGGACTGTTGTGGGGTGGGGAAAGGGGGGAGGGATAGCATTAGGAGATATACCTAATGCTAAATGACGAGTTAATGGGTGCAGCACACCAACATGGCACATGTATACATATGTAACTAACCTGCACATTGTGCACATGTACCCTAAAACTTAAAGTATAATAATAATAAAATTAAATTTTAAAAAAAAAGCCAAGAAAGGGCTCTGCGGGAACCAGAGACTTCTTGGGGGCAGAGGTTTTCATCCCACAACGGTTGGGTGGGGGCGCGCCCTCTAGTGGTGACAAGAGTTACGTTTCACCCCGCCAACCGGCAATGTCACATGCTCGTCACTCATTCCTGTCTCTCCCATAGTTATTCATTCAACAAAAAATTACTGAGGACCGATTGTATGCCGAGGAATATTCTAGATGCTGAGGGTAGAGCTGTGAAGCTGATAGTAAAGGTCCCTGCCCCGGAGTTTACCTCCTAGGAGACATTCCCTAGCACAGTCCTGCATACACCCCCACCTCACCTCTGCTCCCCAAAATTGGCCTTCCAACGCTCCAACAGCCAAATATCCCTGCTTAAAGGTCTTGGCATGAGCAGTTCCCTCGCCGTCCTGGAAAGCTAGATCCTGTCTGTTTGCATGGCGGGCTCTGGTCTCAGCTTAAATGTGACCTAAGTCAGAAAGGTGTGATCTCACTTATTTCCTGCCCCTCTCCACACTCCACTAAAATATAATATTCGGGCCGGGCATGGAGGCTCATGCCTGTAATCGCAGCACTTTGTGAGGCCGAGGCGGGCGGATCTCCTGACGTCAGGAGTTCCAGGCTAGCCTGGCCAACATGGCAAAACCCCGTCTCTACTAAAAATACAAAAATTAGCCAGGTGTGGTGGCGGGCGCCTGTAATCCCAGCTACGCAGCAGGCTGAGGCAGGAGAATCGCTTGAACCGGGAGGTGGAGGTTGCAGTGAGCCAAGATCGCGCCATTGCACTCCTCCAGCCTGGGCGACAAGAGCAAAACCCTGTCTCAAAAAAAAAAAAAAAAAAAAAATATATATATATATATATATATATATATATATACACACACACACACATATATATACATATATATGTGTATATATGTGTGTGTGTATATATATATATAAAATATTCAATGAAGGTTATCATTTTCCTGGAATCCCTCAGCGTAGCACGTAATAGTTGCTCAGAAGACACTTGCTGAATAGGTTTGAAGATTCACTGGTTTAAAAAATATCAGGTGGCCGGGCACGGTGGCTCACGCTTGTAATCCCAGCACTCTGGGAGGCCGAGGCGGGCGGATCACAAGGTCAGGAGTTTGAGACCAGCCTGGCCAATATGGTGAAACCCCATCTCTACTAAAAATACAAAAATTAGCAGGGCATGGTGGCGGGAGCCTGTAATCCTAGCTACTCGGGAGGCTGAGGCAGGAGAATTGCTTGAACCCAGTAATAAAAAAATAATAAATCAGGAACCGGTCACCTCAATACGTATCAGATGCTGGTGAACACAGGTGGACAAAGTGGTTAACAGACAGGTTTTGTCCATCTCGTTCACCACCCTACCCAGCCTCAGCACCTAGACCAGTGTTGGCACCCAGTGGGCGCCAAATAAACACTGCTTGAACTCCAGACGTCAGCCGCTCTTTTTCCTACAGACCTTGAGCCACCTTGTTCCAAAGGGGATATGGGCCTCAGGAGGCGCCCAGAGGTGACCTCAGGCGGCCCGACCCAGGAGTCCAAGCTCCAGGAGCAGGGCCACGGGAGCAGCTGCGGAGAGGGGCGGCGCCAGGAGCCGGAGCGGGCAGCCGGGCGCTTCCAGGAAAAGTGGCGGGCGGCGGCGCGCCAGGGACCGTGGGCGGTGCCGTCGGAGCGGGCGGGTCACGTGACGCCCACAACAACGCCCACTTCTTGGTGGGCGGGGCACAGGTGGGCGGGGAGCATGCAAAACAGCCCAGGGCGGCGGCCAATCGCGGCGCGCGCCGGGGGTCCAGGCCCCGGGGATCCGAGGCGCCGCCCGCGCGCAGTCTCTGGTCACTGCCGCCCGGGGGCTTTTGCCAGCGGCGCCGCGGGCCTGCGTGCTGGGGCAGCGGGCACTTCTTCGACCTCGTCCTCCTCGTCCTGTGCGGCCGGCCGGGTGAGGCCGGGCCCGCGTAGGGGGCAGTCGGCGGCTGCCTCCGGCGGAGGTGCCTCGCGGCGCCCGGGCCGGCCCGCGCCTCGGCGGCGTGCTCCATGCATCCGGAGCCCGCCCCGCCCCCGAGCCGCAGCAGTCCCGAGCTTCCCCCAAGCGGCGGCAGCACCACCAGCGGCAGCCGCCGGAGCCGCCGCCGCAGCGGGGACGGGGAGCCCCCGGGGGCCCCGCCCCGCCACCGCCGCCGTCCGCCGTCACCTACCCGGACTGGATCGGCCAGAGTTACTCCGAGGTGATGAGCCTCAACGAGCACTCCATGCAGGCGCTGTCCTGGCGCAAGCTCTACTTGAGCCGCGCCAAGCTTAAAGCCTCCAGCCGGACCTCGGCTCTGCTCTCCGGCTTCGCCATGGTGAGCTCCGGCCGCCCTGCCCTGCCCCCTCTACTGTCCCGGCTGCTCCCGCCCGCAGCCCCGACGGGGCTCTCTGGGCGGGCCGGGCGGGCCAGAGTGAGGGGAAGAGCTGGGAGAAACCGTGGTGAGCGCTGCGCGGGGGGCAGAGGTGCTGGACGTGAGCACTGGTGGGCGCCGAGTACTCCGATCTGGGGTGGTGACAAGCCATATCAGAGTCCGGGCTCGGGGTGCTTGGGTGCCTCCACATGGCCATGCCTGCCCCAGCAAGAGTGGTAGATGCATCCCGAAGTTAGCTCTGTAAGAAGCCCGCCCCATGTGCGTTCAGGAGCGAAAGGAGGGACTCAGAAGCTCTAACCCAGCTGGGGGCGTCAGGAGGTGGGGACAAGGAGAAAGACCTTGCGCTGTCTTGTGCCCCGGCACCCGAGGCCGGAAGTTGTTAGCCGTGTTCTTTTATCAGCTCCTAGAGGGGATTTCCTGACACCCCTTTTCCACCGCATTTTCCGAGAGCCTCAGCCTGGGGGTTTGACAACCAGTCCCCCTCAGTTTTTTCTCCAGAAACTTGCCACTGAGTCACTGCGTGTGAGGGAGGAGGGAGGGACATGTTCCCGTTGAATGGGCTCTTTATTTTTTATTTGTTCCAAGACGGAGTCTCGCTCTGTCGCCCAGGCTGGAGTGCAGTGGTGCAATCTCGGCTCACTGAAATTTCCACCTCCTGAGTTCAAGCGATTCTCATGCCTCAGCCTCCCGAGTAGCTGGGATTACAGGCTCGCGCCACCACGCCCGGCTAATTTTTGTGTTCTTAGTAGAGACGGGGTTTCACCCTGTTGGCCAGGCTGATCTTTAACTCTCGACCTCGTGATCTGCCAAATCTCGGCCTCCCAAAGTGCTGGGATTACAGGCGTGAGCTACCACACCCGGCCCAATGGGCTCTTTCTTGATCTAGGGCATAGGCATGCTTTCCTTTCCCCACCATCCCAAAGAGCTGGAGTGCAAAGCCTCTGAGGTGTGGGGTGGGTGAGGCTGCGGATGGGCCTGAGAAGTGGCTCTGGGGATACCCTCAGGCTTGGCATATTGAAGTTTCTCCGTTGCAGGGGACTACATAATAACTACATTATTACCACTCGGTGATATCAGCCTGCCATGAATGGACTCTGCTCCCCGCCCCTCAGTTCTGTAGACCAGAGCACTCCTGCCCCCGCCACCAGTGAGCTAAGCCCTTGGCCTTGAGGGAGGGAGTGGCTGCACCCTTCGTGTTTTCTTGGGAAGGGAGTGTGTCTGAAACTCTCCCTGCTTTGCCTTGCAGCAGAGCCTGAATTTTTTAAGGCCCAGAGCACGCTGGGCCACAGTGGAAAGGCCGGGAGATGGGGAGTGGGAAGCAGCCTTCCCTGCTCAGTTACTTGCTGCCTGTGTGACCTCAAGCAACTCACTCTCCCTGTCCGGGCCTCAATTCCTGAATTGATCAAAGAAGGCTGCTACTCAAAAGTTTCTCTGACTTTGAGAATAAAATTGAGGGAGCCCCTGAAAGGAGATCAGGGAGTGTGTTTGCATAAACAGACGGCACTCTCATTTTTAGTTTAGACAGGACGGACTTCTGCTCTGTTAATTTCAAATCCTAAGAGACCAGGTTCTGCCTGCTGCCTGAAGAATCTCTAAAAGCAGCTGGCATTTACTGAACACTCACTCAGTGCTAGGTGCCTTAACTCCTGGGCTTACTCAACAACCCTCTGTGGTGATTTTGTCAAAGGGCTCTCCCAAGACCGCACAGCCAGTCTGGTGGAGCGGGATTTGAACCCAGCTCTGCTGGTGTTCAGAACTTGCTCAGGCACTTGTACCCATTGCGGTGTATAGGAACTCTGATTGATGTCCAGCCAGGGATGTGTTAGGACACTAGGAAATGAGAAATAGGGCAAAAGAGTTTCTTTTTTTTTTTTTTTTTTTTTGAGACGGAGTCTTGCTCTGTCACCCAGGCTGGAGTGCAGTGGTGCGATCTTGGCTCACTGCAAGCTCTGACTCCTGGGTTCACGCCATTCTGCTGCCTCAGCCTCTGGAGTAGCTGGGACTACAGGCGCCCACAACCACGCCTGGCTAATTTTTTTTGTATTTTTTTAGTAGAGACGGGGTTTCACCGTGTTAGCGAGGATCGTCTCGATCTCCTGACCTCATGATCCACCCGCCTCGGCCTCCCAAAGTGCTGGGATTAGAGGCGTGAGCCACCGGCGCCCGGCCGCAAAAGAGTTTCTTTTAAGCCAAAGAAAGTTTTATAATTGGTGGTGGGGAGGGAGCTACCAGTTGTCAGCTTTTCCCTGCAGCGCTTGGTATTTAAGATAATGGTTCCCCCTTTTCTTGTGGTCATGAGTTTATAGCTGCCCCAGGCTCCTTCTCACTCCTGAGGGGTGAGATCCAGATGAATGACACTTTCCTGCCTTCTCAAGTCCCTTCTTCCTTTCGAAGACAGGCCTCATGGTCAAATGTCACCTCCTTCTCTTGCTAAAAACAGTGTGGGGAAGTCAGGAGACTGGGGCAGCCAGTGGCATGGAGTGGGCCTTGGCCCACCCAGTCTGTCTCTTGGGGACTTTTATTTTCCCCCACCTGGGTGGAGAAGGCTTCCTGGCACTACTGATGGAATCCCCAAAGTTCTGCAGGCAGGGAAGGACCGAACCCCATGATACTCTCCATTCTGCAGTTACAAGAAGGTAACTGCATGTGCCATGAAGTTGGAAATCTATAGGAGGGATGGGATTGGGTGCAGGGTCTGACCATGCCCCACTCCCACTTAGACACCCAGCCTGTAAGTGAGCTTGGGAGAGGAGAGGGTGCCAGCAGCCCCAACGCCATGGTAACAGAGTGACAAGTTTCCTGGATTACTCTCCCTTGGCTTATGAGTCAGCACAACCAACTTCCTGCCCCCAGAGGGCTTCCTTCCCAGAGACCTGGAAAGTCAGAGGAGCTGACTTGACCTTTGATTGCCAAGGGATGGGGTCAACCAGGTGAGATTGAGGGAGGGTCTCCCACAAATCCTGGAGGGGATTGAGAGGTTCCCCACTTCATGGGTAGAACAGCCTGGCCAGGTGGCCGGGAAGTGTTGGGGATGGCTGGTGGGTGACCTCAGGCAAGAGGCTTTACTTCTTTGAAGCCAGTTTTCTTTTCTTTTCTTTTCTTTTTTTTTGAGACGGAGTTTCCTCTTTGTTGCCCAGGCTGGAGTGCAGTAGCACAATCTCAGCTCACTGCAACCTCCACCTCCCAGGTTCAAGCGATTCTCCTGCCTCAGCCTCCCGAATAGCTGGGATTACAGGCACACACCACCTCACCTGGCTAATTTTTGTATTTTTAGTAGAGACGGGGTTTCACCATGTTGGCCAGGGTGGTCTCAAACTCCTGATCTCAGGTGATCCACCCGCCTCGGCCTCCCAAAGTGCTGGGATTACAGGTGTGAGCCACCATGCCTGGCTGAAGCCAGTTTTTTAATGTGTATGGAGATGGCAGGTATCCTGCTCTCCCATGGACTCATATGAAGGTTCATTATGAGGCCAGACTGGGCCCATGAAACACAGGAATTTTCAGGGTCTGATGATGCACACCTTGCCCGGACCCTCTCTGATCTGCAGATGAGATTCTTGCTCCACACGGCAGTTCTAGGAACAGCAGGCCTCAGGCGCACCATCCTCCAAACTCTAATGAGAGATACAAAGCAAGGGGGCCTGGATATAGCATAGGATCAGCATCCCGTAGAGCTCCTTAAGCCCAGAGTACTCTTGTGGGCTTTGATTCAGGTCCTCTGTGCCTCAGTTTATACTTCATTGAGAGGCAGCCAGCCTCAGCCTGACCCCGTCCCCTGCAGGACTGGCGAGCATATGTGGTGATCTTGTCTGCTGGGGAAGGCAGGCTGTAACATTAGCCTGAGCTGAAGATAATTGGGAAGGTCAGTCTGCTGCCGTAAACAAAATGCTTTCCATGACCTGGGATCAATTATTTTTGGATTATCTGCCTCCTCAGTTCTCTGCCCGCCAGCACCCTTTTGTTCCCAAGTTCTAGAGCTGGTTCAGAAGTTTCCTGTAATTTCTATGAAAATGAGTTGGAAGGAACGACTCAAGTCATAAGACACTGAGCCTCTGTGACGTGTTCAGAGTTCAGGGACCATGTAAATGAGCAAGAAATTGCTATTACTATTCCTAGTACTGATCACTGATAGTAATTATTATTGCTGTTGTTGATTGGGCTCTTGCAATAGGCTAGATGGTGCCCCACGTAGCATCTTGTGTGATCCTCCTATAAACCAGGTGAGTATAGGTGATGGTCATTGAGAGGAAAGACTTGCGCATGGTCACCTGGCTGGGAAGCTGCAGAGCCCTGTGGCTGTGGTGTAGCGCCATTGCTGTGGGAGAGAAAGCATCAGAGAGTGTAGGGGAACAGAGCTGAGAAGCTCAAGCAGGGTAAGGTCAGAACAGACACTTGAGCAAGACAACTTGGTTCAAATCCCAGCTCTACCTCTTATAAGGGCAAGACCTTAGGCAAGTCATTTAACCTTTCTGGGCCTCAGTTTCTTCATCTTTAAAATGGAGTACGGCCGGGCGCATTGGCTCACGCTTGTAATCCCAGCACTTTGGGAGGCCGAAGTGGGCGAATCACCTGAGGTCAGGAGTTCAAGACCAGCCTGGCCAACATGGTGAAACCCCATCTCTACTAAAAATACAAAAATTAGCCGGGTGTAGTTGTGCATACCTGTAATTCCAGCTACTCGGGAGGCTGAGGCAGAAGAATTGCTTGAACCTGGGAGGCGGAGGTTGCAATGAGCAGAGGTTGCACCACTGCACTCCAGCCTGGGCAACAGAGTGAGACTCCATCTCAAAAAAAAAAAAAAAAAAAATTTTTGCAGAGCACTTACAGTATCTGACCCGAGTATCCCAGAAACTTGCTTACCCTTTTTTCCATTGTGTTAGGGCTGCTAAGGGTTAACTGAGAAGAATCTGGTTCTTGCCGAGCCTTGAGTGTGGTGGAGTTAGGACTTGAGAAAGCCTTCAAGTCAAAGGAAATGGCAGGAACAGTTAAAGAAGAGAAATTACAGGGCCTAGGGGAAAGGTACAGGGGCTGTGGTTGGGGTTGAGGGTCTTCAGGAAGTAGTAGAGAACGGTGAATTTAGCCAGGCAAGATGATGGAGGGCCTTGATTGGGTGGGAAATTTGAACTCTTGGATAGGCAACAGGGAGCCATTGAAGGTTTTAGACAGGAGTTACATGATGAATTCTATGATGACGGTGGTGGTGGTTGTGATTACTGTTTACTGAAACCCTGTTGTGCCAGGCATGAGCCTGAACGCTTTTCTTTCATTCTTACTGAATCCTCACCATAGCTCTTAAAAGTATGTACTGTAAACAGGAAAACTAAGGCTCCTAGAAGTTAAGATTCTCCAGCTAGTAGAATTCCAGCTCTGGTCTTTCTGGCTGGGAGCCAGTTGAAGAGAAAGTCTGGGTCTGTGTCCCGCTGACCCTGTATGCAAATTCAGCCTATTCATGGCTTGTAACAAATTTACTAAGTTGCAACCAACACATTTTGTTGTTTCTTTCTTTTGATAACTTTGGTACCAAGCTCCTGGTCCTTTTTAGAATGAGATAAGGGTGAAATGAAACAAAGTCGCAGCACGCATTGCATCTTGCAAGACCTTACTGATGTGCTGTAAGGCTAAATGTTGATTGGTTAAACTTTTGTTTCTGTTATAAACGCGTGTGTGTCTATTTATAGAAACATTTGGAGTCCTGGACTGTCATGGTCAAGACTTTGTAAACCACTGCACACTAGGCCTCAATACCCTCTTAAGAGATGGTTTGCATTTGAGGTGGGGCCGGCAGGCTCAGACAGCTCCGGGTGACCCTGCATGGTTGCGGCCTAGAGGGCCTCATGTTCCAGGCTGCAGCCACCCACCCTCCTAAAAGGGTGGACAAGAAAAGAACTAGGCCAGGGGAAGGAAGGCTGTGGGACCTGAGGTCAGGCCCAGCATGGGAGGGCTGCCTCAGAGGGCCTGGACTTGCAGGCGCCAGGTGCCCAGGGTCTCCATGGAGCCCAGCAGGAGCCAGGAGAGATAGCTGGCAATCAGGCGAGGTGGGCTGACGGCTGGTATGGTCCGTCAGGGCCAGCCAGGCCTTGCCCTTCGCAGAATTATGTAACCCTCTTCTTGGCCCTTGCTAAGGTTTGGCATCTCTAGCCAAAACCCTATTGGGGGGATCCATGGACCAGTGTGAGGTGGAGCTGGTGGTCTTTTGCCTTTCCTATCCCTTATAGGGCTTGCCTCGCCAGGTTCAGGCGGCCAGTGGCTGGCGGGGGGCTGTTTATTTTGGGCTGACGGGCTATATTTACCTTGTGAAGCTGCGTGCGATCTGATCTGATCCAATCTTGCTGGGGCTCAGCTGGGGCTCTGGCAGTCAGCTGCCAGATCTGTAGGGCCCCTGGCCCTCCCCCTGCCACCCAAGGGGAGATTTCCAGAGCAGGAAGTATCCTGGAAAAAGTGGTGGCATTTATTCCTGTGACTTTTTCATCAAGCTCCATGACACATGCCAACCGTTCCTTTCTTCTCACTTTTTTTTTTCCCAGTTGCAAGATTTTATTAAAATTTTTTTTGTTTGTTTCTTAGAACTTTATTTATTTATTTATTTATTTATTTATTTATTTATTGATCATTCTTGGGTGTTTCTCGCAGAGGGGGATTTGGCAGGGTCATGGGACAATAGTGGAGGGAAGGTCAGCAGATAAACAAGTGAACAAAGGTCTCTGGTTTTCCTAGGCAGAGGACCCTGCGGCCTTCCGCAGTGTTTGTGTCCCTGGGTACTTGAGATTAGGGAGTGGTGATGACTCTTAACGAGCATGCTGCCTTCAAGCATCTGTTTAACAAAGCACATCTTGCACCGCCCTTAATCCGTTTAACCCTGAGTGGACACAGCACATGTTTCAGAGAGCACAGGGTTGGGGGTAAGGTCACAGATCAACAGGATCCCAAGGCAGAAGAATTTTTCTTAGTACAGAACAAAATGAAAAGTCTCCCACGTCTACCTCTTTCTACACAGACACGGCAATCATCCGATTTCTCAATCTTTTCCCCACCTTTCCCGCCTTTCTATTCCACAAAACCGCCATTGTCATCATGGCCCGTTCTCAATGAGCTGTTGGGTACACCTCCCAGACGGGGTGGTGGCCGGGCAGAGGGGCTCCTCACTTCCCAGTAGGGGCGGCCAGGCAGAGGCGCCCCGCACCTCCCGGACGGGGCGGCTGGCCGGGCAGAGGCTGCAATCTCGGCACTTTGGGAGGCCAAGGCAGGCGGCTGGGAGGTGGATGTTGTAGCGAGCCGAGATCACGCCACTGCACTCCAGCCTGGGCACCATTGAGCACTGAGTGAAGGAGACTCCGTCTGCAATCCCGGCACCTCGGGAGGCCGAGGCTGGCGGATCACTCGCGGTTAGGAGCTGGAGACCAGCCCGGCCAACACAGCGAAACCCCGTCTCCACCCAAAAGATACGAAAACCAGTCAGGCGTGGCGGCGCACGCCTGCAATCGCAGGCACTCGGCAGGCTGAGGCAGGAGAATCAGGCAGGGAGGCTGCAGTGAGCTGAGATGGCAGCAGTACAGTCCAGCTTCGGCTCGGCATCAGAGGGAGACTGTGGAAAGAGAGGGAGAGGGAGACTGTGGGGAGAGGGAGGGGGAGGGAGAGGGAGAGGGAGAGGGCCTTTCTTCTCACTTTGAATCATTCTTTTACACGGCCCCCTGAACCCTGTGGCATTGAACTTGGTTCCAAGTGTGGGCACATACAGCCTGCCTAAGTGGACGGAGTTCCAGGAATCGTAGGGTCTGGTGAGGGTAATGGGCTTTCTTCCGGAGCAGGGCAGCAGGCCCTTTCCTCTTCCTCGGAGAGCCCAGCCTCTCCCCTCTCCCCAGCCCAAAACCTCAGGGCTGGCGAGTGTGGGTGTCCCCGGGCCGTGTGCGTCCCAACAGCTGCACTGCTTTCTGGCCCTGGAGCCTGTGGGTGTGACAAATGGTGTGGAATGTGGTGGTCTCTGTCCTGTGGAGGTGGCCATCAGGCCAGGTGTGGCGTGGGGTACACATCCTTGTGGCCGAGGTTTGGAGCTGGAGCTGCCTCTAAATATAGCAAGCGAGGCCCCGAGTCGGGGTTGGAAGGTGGGTATGTGGGGTCCCTGTCTCCAGTCTGAGCTGAGGGTATCCAGGCACTATTTCTCTTCCATCCACTTCAAGCTCTGTTTTTCTCCTTTTTTCTTTTCTTTTCTTTTTTTTAGAGATAGAGTCCTGCTCTGTTGCCCAGGTTGTAGTGCAGTGATGGGATCATAGCTCACTGCAGCCTTGAACTCCTGGGCTCAAGGGATCCTCCTGCCTTAGCCTCTCAAGTAGCTGGGACTGGCCAGGTGCGGTGGCTCACACCTGTAATCCCAGCACTTTGTGAGGCTGAGGTGGGGAGATCATCTGAGGTCGGGAGTTCAAGACCAGCCTGAGCAACAAGGTGAAACCCCGTCTCTACTAAAAATACAAAAGTTAGCTGGGCATAGTGGCGGGCGCCTGTAATCCCAGCTACTCAGGAGGCTGAGGCAGGAGAATCGCTTGAACCCGGGAGGGGGAGGTTGCAGTGAGCCAAATTGTGCCAGCGCACTCCAGCCTGGGTGACAGAGTGAGACTCCATCTCAAAAAACAAAAAGTAGCTGGGGCTACAGTCATGCCCACTATATCCAGCTAATTTTTTTTTCTTTGTGTGTGTGTGTGTGTCTGTGTGTGTGTGTGAGATAGGGTCTCACTTTGTTGCCCAGGCTGGGGTGCAGTAGCGCAATCACGGCTCATTGTAGCCTCAACCTCCTGGGCTCAAGGGATTCTCTCACCTCAGCCTTCTGAGTAGCTAGGACTACAGGTATACTCACTACACCCAGCTAATTTTTTGATTTTGTAGAGATGAGGTCTCACTGTGTTGCCCAGGGAGATCTCGAATTCCTGGACTCAAGTGATCCTCCTACATCAGCTCCCTAAATTGCTGGATTACAGGTGTGTGCCTGCTTTATGTGTTTTTCTTTCTTTCTTTCTTTCTTTTTTTTTTTTTTTTTTTTTTTAGACAGAGTTTCGCTCTTGTTGCCCTGGCTGGAGTGCAATGGCGCGATCTTGGTTCACTGCAACCTCCACCTCCTGGGTTCAAGCGATTCTCCTGCCTCAGCCTCCTGAGCAGCTGGGACTATAGGCACGCATTACCACGCCCAGCTAATTTTTGTATTTTTAGTAGAGACGGGGTTTCACCATATTGGCCAGGCTGGTCTCGAGCTCTTGACCTCGTGATCCACCCACCTCGGCCTCCCAAAGTGCTGGGATTGCATACGTGAGCCACCGCGCCCGGCCCTGTGTTTTTCTTTTTAACCAAGATTTATTGAGCTGCTGTAGCTGGCCCTATGCTAAACATCTACATATGAAAACTACATTTAATCTCAGCCACCATGTGAGGGAGGTGCTCCTTTGCCCCCTTCATACCCGGGCTGTGGAGCCAAGTGGACTTGGTTTTGAATCCAGCAGCAGAGTAACCCTTTGGACAGCTGACATCACCTTTCTGAGCCTCAGTTTCCTCGTTTGTAAAAGAAGAATAATGGTATTAGTAACTCGTGGGATTCTCTTTTTTTTTTTTTTTTTTGAGACAGACCATGCTCTGTCACCAAGACTGGAGTGTAGTGGCACTATCTTGGCTCACTGCAACCTCTGCCTCCCGGGTTCAAGCGATTCTCCTGCCTCAGCCTCCCAATTAGCTGGGATTACAGGTGCCCACCACCACACCCCAGCTAATTTTTTTTTTTTTTTTGAGATGGAGTCTCACTCTGTTGCCCACACCGGAGTATAGTGGCATGATTTCGGTTCACTGCAACCTCCATGTCCAGGTTCAAGCGATTCTCATGGCTCAGCCTCCCAATTTTCTGGGATTACAGGTGTGTGCCACCACACTCAGCTAATTTTTTTGTATTTTAAGTAGAGGCAGGGTGTCACCATGTTGGCCCGGCTGATCTTGAACTCCTAACCTCAAGTTATCTGCCTGCTTCGGCCTCCCAAAGTGCTGGGATTACAGGCATGAGCCACCACACCTGGCCCACCCCTGACTAATTTTTGTATTTTTAGTAGAGACAGGGTTTCACCATGTTGGCCAGGCTGGTCTTGAACTCCTGGCCTCAAGTGATCCACCCTCCTCAGCTTCCCAGTGTGCTGGGATTACAGGCATGAGCCACTGCCCCTGTCAGCCTCTATTTTATAGGTGTGGAAGCTGTGGCACAGAGAGGTTGAGATCCTTATCCAAGGTCAACAGCTTTGTAAGTGGAGGAGCCAGTTTGCAGCCAGCTGTGTGGTTTGTTCTGTGGTCCTGACTGCATAGAGGGGGAGAGACACTACCTCGGGGGTGGCTGGGGCACAGGCGAGGCACCAAGTAGGGAGCAGAATGGGACTGCAGACCTGTATACAGGCCCCCCATACACACCCCAGCGGCCAGCTCAGGGCCTGAGCCACCTAAAGGCTCCAGACGTTTCCAGTGAGTGGATCAGTAGCAGTGGACCTGGGGCAGCTCAGCAACAGCCGCTGCTGCTTGTCCTGTCTTGGGTTTCAGGTTCCGGGGTGGCAGGCCAGAGCAGGAAGAGGAAGTGCTGGGGGTGGGGAGGTGGCAGGAGACACTGGCTGCTGGAGGGGGCTCCCCTCTTCCAGGTGTGGGCAGGCCTGGGGGCAGAGACAAGGGAGCTGCAGGATGTGGCCCTCCATCTGCCGTGCCCTGGTGACCTACCCCACGTCTTGTGTCCAGCACCCACATGTGCTGAGATACCCTCACCCGCATGGACTCAGAATTCTCAGGGCTGGCTTTCGGCCACCAAAGATCTTAAACACGGTAGAAATCCTGATGGCATTGCCCCAAATTTATATGAGCTTGAAATGTTTTGTAAACGCCTGGACTGAGAAGTACATACTGCCATCCACTGTGGGCATTCTTAGACAAAAGCCTGTGAATCCTGTTGAAATTGTCAGAAAAGTCCTGTGAATAAATGATACTTGGCTGTTTTAAGGAGAGTGTCCACCATCTTCAGATTCTCAGAGATGTCCGACCCCAAGTCAGATCCAGATTGTGACCTTCATCTCGCTGCAGCCCCTTTTTTTATGGGTGTTGAGGAGGGTCTTGGCCAAGGTTACCGGTAAACAGGCAGTTAAGGAGCTGGAACATGGGTTTGCCAGTTTGGCCTGGCGTTCTTTATGCCTGAGTGTGCCCCTCTGGAGGATGTTGTAAAGAGACTGTGGGGTGGGGATGAGGTTCCTAAACTGAGTAATAATGAAGCTCACTTTTATTGAGGGTTTGTTGTGTGCCGGACACTACCTGTTTTACATGGATTGACTCTCTTAATCCTCAGAAGAAGCCTTCGAGGCTTGTCCCATTATTCCCATTTTACAGATGTGAAAACAGAGGCACAGAAAGTTGAAAGCTTGCCAGAGTCATACAGCCCAATCAAGGGCAGGGGAGTCAGGGTTCAAGCCAGGCAGACTGTAAAAGGAGAGCGGTGGGGAAGGAAGGAGTCCACACCCCTACCTAGGGCAGGAGGGGTGAGGACAGGAATTCCCTGCCTGCTGGGGGCCAGGCTAGTGTGCGGCTAATGGAGAAACTTCAACATTAGGCTTGCCGCTCTGAGCCTGCCACATATATAGCAAACACCTTATAAAGAGTCACTGTCCTTGATGGAATGACTGCCATAGGTATCCGCCATCTCCCTACCCCTGTCCCTCCAGCCCTCATGGGTTGACCATGGTTGTGTGCCCACTGCCCGCTGCTCCTGGCCCAGATCTGATAAGCTGGCTCCTTTGCATGGGGGTGACTTGCAAGGCCCAGGTGAGGAGCAGCGGGTGTCTGGCCCGGAGCATGCCCCTGGTGACCTCGGGTCCACAGGTCTCCAGGAACTGGGGGCAGCTGGTGTGTCAGCCCTGGGGCTGGGGAGGAGACAGCCCCAGGGTGTACTGGCCACCCAGCCTGCACCAGGGCTGGGCCCGTCGCTTCTGGGAAGCCTGCTCTGTATGTCAGGTCGTGCGCTGTGTTCTCAGAAGGGCCTGAGTGTGCCCTGGGAGGGCAGCCACCACCCCTCTGCATGTCCCCAGAGCAGGGCATGAAGGAGAAGCCTCTGCTTGGGTGTGAGGATGTGGGGCCAGCAGGCATGATGGCTGGCGATTGCTTTTTTTAATGCTTTTATTTTAACCATAGTAAAATACGCATAACAAAATTTACCATTTTGACCACTGATGGTGGTGGTTGGTACTAATTTTAATTTTATTATTATTATTATTATTATTATTATTATTATTATTATTATTATTGAGTTAGAGTCTCACTCTATTGCCCAGGCTGGAGTGCAGTGGCACGATCTCAGCTCACTGCAACCTCCGCCACCCGGGTTCAAGTGATTCTCCTGCCTCAGCCTCCCAAGTAGCTGGGATTACAGGCACGTGCCACCACGCCCAGCTAATTTTTGTATTTTCAGTAGAGATGGGGTTTCACCATGTTGGCCAGGCTGGTCTCCAACTCCTGACCTCAGGTGATCCACCCGCCTCAATTTCCCAAAGTGCTGGGATTACAGGCATGAGCCACTGGGCCCGGCCTGATTTTATTTTTTTTAGAGACAAGGTCTTGCTCTGGTGCCCAGACTGGAGGGCCATGGGGCAGTCATAGCTCACCACCACCTCAAACTCCTGGGCTCCAGCGATCCTTCCCCACCAGACTCCCAAGTAGCTAGAACTACAGGTGTGCACCACCACCCCCCAGCTAATTAAACAAATTTTTTTTATAGAGGTGGGGTTTCTCTGTGTTGCCTGGCTGCTCTCGAACTCCTGGCCTCAAGCAGTCCTCCCACCGCAGCCTCCACAAGTATTGAGATTACAGGCGTGAGCCACTGTGCCTGTCCTGCGGCTGGTTTCTAATACCTGGCTAGGTGGTAATAGCAGTGTTTTGGGAGGTGGTTACCATGTGCCAGCTCTCATTTAATTGTTAAAATAATTCTATGAATTGGCTGGGTGTGGTGGCTCACACATGTAATCCCAACACTTTGGGAGGCTGAGGCAGGCAGGTGGGTCACCTGAGGTTGGGAGTTCGAGACCAGCCTGGCCGACATGGTGAAACCCCGTCTCTACCAAAAGTACAAAAAAGTAGCAAGGTGTGGTGGCGCATGCCTGTAATCCCAGGTACTCGGGAGGCTGAGGCAGGAGGATCACTTGAACCCGGGAGTGGAGGTTGCAGTCAGCCGAGATCGCATCACTGGGCTCCAGCCTGGGCAAAAGAGCACGACTCTGTTTGGAGAAAAAAAAAAAAAAAATCCTATGAACTACTATTATATCCCTATTTTACGGATAAGAAAGTCGAGGCTCAGGCCGGGCGCGGTGGCTCACACCTGTAATCCCAGCACTTTGGGAGGCTGAGGCGGGCGGATCACGAGGTCAGAAGATCGAGACCATCCTGGCTAACACGGTGAAACCCCGTCTGCTAAAAATACAAAAAATTAGCCGGGCGTGGTGGCAGGCGCCTGTAGTCCCGGCTACTTGGGAGGCTGAGGCAGGAGAATGGCGTGAACCCGGGAGGTGGAGCTTGCAGTGAGCCGAGATCGCGACACTGCACTCCAGCCTAGCTTGGGCAACAGAGTGAGACTCCCTCTCAAAAAAAAAGAAAAGAAAAGAAAATCGAGGCTCAGAGAGGTTAAGTGACTTTCCCAGGGTTGCACAGTTAGTGAGTGCCAGGGCTGGGATTCAGATCCAGGCAGCCTTGGCTCTTGCTTTCTGTAGGGCTTTCTGCCACTCTCATCCACAAGTGGATAGGCCTTACTATCCCCATTGTAGACATATGAAAACTGAGGCTCGGAGAGGCCAAGCGACTGGCCAGGGTCCCAGAGCCTGACAGGAGGAGAGCTAGGACTGAAGAGTAGTAGTGTGGGCTGGGACCGCTGGCACTCATCCTGCCTGTCCCCCCGCAGGTGGCAATGGTGGAGGTGCAGCTGGACGCTGACCACGACTACCCACCGGGGCTGCTCATCGCCTTCAGTGCCTGCACCACAGTGCTGGTGGCTGTGCACCTGTTTGCGCTCATGATCAGCACCTGCATCCTGCCCAACATCGAGGCGGTGAGCAACGTGCACAATCTCAACTCGGTCAAGGAGTCCCCCCATGAGCGCATGCACCGCCACATCGAGCTGGCCTGGGCCTTCTCCACCGTCATCGGCACGCTGCTCTTCCTAGCTGAGGTGGTGCTGCTCTGCTGGGTCAAGTTCTTGCCCCTCAAGAAGCAGCCAGGCCAGCCAAGGCCCACCAGCAAGCCCCCCGCCAGTGGCGCAGCAGCCAACGTCAGCACCAGCGGCATCACCCCGGGCCAGGCAGCTGCCATCGCCTCGACCACCATCATGGTGCCCTTCGGCCTGATCTTTATCGTCTTCGCCGTCCACTTCTACCGCTCACTGGTTAGCCATAAGACTGACCGACAGTTCCAGGAGCTCAACGAGCTGGCGGAGTTTGCCCGCTTACAGGACCAGCTGGACCACAGAGGGGACCACCCCCTGACGCCCGGCAGCCACTATGCCTAGGCCCATGTGGTCTGGGCCCTTCCAGTGCTTTGGCCTTACGCCCTTCCCCTTGACCTTGTCCTGCCCCAGCCTCACGGACAGCCTGCGCAGGGGGCTGGGCTTCAGCAAGGGGCAGAGCATGGAGGGAAGAGGATTTTTATAAGAGAAATTTCTGCACTTTGAAACTGTCCTCTAAGAGAATAAGCATTTCCTGTTCTTCCAGCTCCAGGTCCACCTCCTGTTGGGAGGCGGTGGGGGGCCAAAGTGGGGCCACACACTCGCTGTGTCCCCTCTCCTCCCCTGTGCCAGTGCCACCTGGGTGCCTCCTCCTGTCCTGTCCGTCTCAACCTCCCTCCCGTCCAGCATTGAGTGTGTACATGTGTGTGTGACACATAAATATACTCATAAGGACACCTCCTTCCCGTGTCTTGTATTTGTTGGGCCTGGGCTACTGCTCACCCTGGTTAGGTGAGCCTCTAGGAAAACTTAAAACAAATTTTAAGCCAGGTATGGTGGCACATACCTGTGGTCTCAGCTATTCAGGAGGCCAAGGCAGGAGGATCTCTTGAGCCCAGGAGTTTGAGACCCCATCTCAAACAAAAAATACAAAAATTAGCCAGCCACGGCGCCTGCACTTCCAGCTCCTTTGAGAGACTGAGGCAGGAAGATTGCCTAAGCCCAGGAGGCCAAGTCTGCAGTGAGCTATGGTAACACCACTGCACTCCAACCTGGGCAACAGAGGGAGACTCTGTCTCTAAAAAAATAGAAAAATTTGCCCTGCATGGTGGCTCACGCCTGTAATCCTAGCCCTTTGGAAGGCCAAGGCGGGCAGATCACTTGAGGTCGGGAGTTCGAGACCAGCCTGACCAACATGGAGAAACCCCATCTGTACTAAAAATACAAAATTAGCTGGGTTTGGTGGCGCATGCTTGTAATCCCAGCTACTCGGGAGGCTGAGGCAGGAGAATCGCTTGAACCCAGGAGGCGGAGGTTGCAGTGAGCTGAGATCGCGCCATTGCACTCCAGCCTGGGCAACAACAGTGAAACTCCGTCTCAAAAAAAAAAGAAAAAAAAATTCAACATTTTATTTTGAGAAATTTCAAACCTACAAAAAGTTGCAGGAATAGTGTCTATCTGAAATACATATTCAGTCTTTTCTTTAGAAGTCTTTTTTTTTTTTTTTTTTTTAAATAGAGCCTCACTCTGTCACCCAGGCTGGAGTGCAGTGGCGCGATCTGTAAAATCACTGTGAGCACTGACTTAGCACATACTGGACCGTTGCTCCTAGGAGAAATACAGGGTTGCGTTCCTGTGAGCTTTGGTCGTGATATTTTCATCAGCTGATCAATATGTAATCTTGTTTTATGTGTATTTCTGTTTAAAGATTCATATATATATGTGTATATATATATATGGTTGAGTTGTTACCGTTGAACTCACAGCCCACAGGACTAGAACACATGCCTAAATAAAGTTTATCTAACATACTTGTTTTCTCCATATGTATATCCATCATAACCTTCTTGCACTGAGGAATATTAGATAATATATATATGTATTTATGTATTATACATATATATATATATTTTTTTTTTTGAGACAGAGTTTTGCTCTTGTTGCCCAGGCTGGAGTGCAAGGGCACGATCTCTGCTCACTGCAACCTCCACCTTCTGGTTTCTTTCTTTTGTTTGAAACAAAGTTTTACCTTGTTGCCCAGGCTCCAGTGCAGCGGCACAATCTCAGCTTACTACAGCCTTTGCCTCCCAGGTTCAAGTGATTCTCCTGCCTCAGCCTCTTGAGTAGCTAGGATTACAGGCATGCACCACCATGCCCAGCTGATTTTTGTGTTTTTAGTAGAGACGGGGTTTTACCACGTTGGCCAGGCTGGTCTCGAACTCCTGACCTCAAGCTATCCACCCGCCTGGGCCTCCCAAAGTGCTGGGATTACAGGCATGAGCCACTGCGCCCAGCCCACCTTCTGGTTTCCAGCGATTCTCCTGCCTCAGCCTCCTGAATACTTGGGATTACAGGCACCGGCTACCACACCCGGCTAATTTTTTTGTATTTTTAGTAGAGGCAGGGGTTTCGCTGTGTGGGCCAGGCTGGTCTGGAACTCGACCCCGTTATCCACCCACCTTGGCCTCCCAAAGTTCTGGGATTACAGGCGTGAGCCACTGGACCCGGCCTATTATTATATATATATATTTTGAAACAGTCTCACTCCATCCCCCAGGCTGGAGTGCAGTGGCACAATCTCTGATCACATGCAGCTTCCGCTTCCTAGGTTCAAGTGATTCTTCTGCCTCAGCCTCCCAAGTAGCTAGAATCACAGGAGCGCGCCACCACACCCAGCAAATTTTTGTATTTTTAGTAGACGGGATTTCACCATGTTGGCCGGGCTGGTCTCGAACTCCTGACCTCACGTTATCTGCCCGCCTCAGCCTCCCAAAGTGCTGGGATTACAGACATGAGCCACTGCTCCCTGCCTATTTTATTTTAGAGACAGGGTTTCCCTCTGTCACCCAGGCTGGAGTACAGTGGCATGACCATAGCTCACTGTAACCACCAACTCCTGAGCTGAAGTGATCCTCCCTGCAGTGAGCTCTGGTCACTCCACCTCCCAAGTAGCTAGGACCACAGGCACATATCACCATGCCCAGCTTTTTTTTTTTTTTTTTTTTTGAGACGGAGTTTCACTCTTGTTGTCCAGGCTGGAGTGCAATGGTGCGATCTCGGCTCACAGCAATCTCCACCTCCCGGGTTCAAGCCATTCTCCTGCCTCAGCCTCCTGAGTAGCTGGGATTACAGGCATACGCCACCACGCCTAGCTAATTTTGTATTTTTAGTAGAGATGGGGTTTCTCCATGTTGGTCAGGCTGGTCTCGAACTCCAGACCTCAGGTGATCCACCCACCTCGGCCTCCCAAAGTGCTGGGATTATAGGTGTGAGCCACCGCGCCCAGCTTTCTTTTTTTTTTTTTGAGATAGAGGTTTACTCTTGTTGCCTAGGCTAGAGTGCAATGGTGCGATCTCGGCTCACTGCAAAGCTGGCAAAGTCACAGACACTGACTGAAGACTGAGGAGGGACTGTGTCTACCTTCCCCCTGAGGCATGTGCTGTAGTTACCGGTATGGTCCTTCATGCCTAAATACTTCCTCCTAAAACTAAGGACATTTCCCTACATGACGACAATCCAGTGATCAAATCCAGGCAATTATCAGATAGAACATTCCTGTTCAGTTTCCCAAATGTCCCAGTAATGTCCCTTCTAGTGACGTTTTTTCCACTTGAGGATTGTGTGTCACAACGAGATATCACTTCCTAGTCTCCTTTATTATTTTTATTTTATTATTATTTTTTTGAGACGGAGTCTCACTCTGTCGCCCAGGCTGGAGTGCAGTGGCATGATCTTGGCTCACTGCAAACCCCGCCTCCTAGGTTCAAGCGATTCTTCTGCATCAGCTGCCCGAGTAGCTGGGATTACAGGTGCCCACCACCACGCCGGGCTAATTTTTGTATTTTTAGTAGAGAAGGTGTTTCACCATGTTGGCTAGGCTGGTCTCAAACTCCCAGTCTCAAGTGATCCCCTCGCCTTGGCCTTTCAAAGTGTTAGGATTACAGGCGTGAGCCACCGTGCCCAGCCTTAGTCTCCTTTAATTTGGAACAATTCCTCAGCCTTTTTTTTGTTTGTTTGTGTTTGAGACAGGGACTTCCCATGTCACCCAGGCTAGAGGGCAGCCTCAACCTCCTAGGCTCAAGCAATCCTTCCACCTCAGCCTCCTGAGTAGCTGGGAATACAGGCACATGCCACTACGCCTGGATAATGTTTGTATTTTTTATAGAAACAGGGCCTCTCTTGCCCAGGCTGGTCTTGAACTCCTGGCTTCAAGGGATCCTCCCACCTTGGCCTCCCGAACTGCTGAGATTGCAGCTGTGAGCCACAGCACCCAGGCTAGCCTTTGTCTTTAAAAAACTTTTTGGCTGGGCTCAGTGGCTCACGCCTGTAATCCCAGAACTTTGGGAGGCCGAGGCGGGCGGATCACGAGGTCAGGAGATCAAGACCATCCTGGCTAACAGGGTGAAACCCCGTCTCTACTAAAAAATACAAAAAGTTAGCTGGGCGTGGTGGTGGCTGCCTGTAGTCCCAGCTGCTCGGGAGGCTGAGGCAGGAGAATGGCGTGAACCCGGGAGGTGGAGCTTGCAGTGAGCCGAGATTGCACCACTGCACTCCAGCCTGGGCGACAGAGAGAGAGTCCGTCTCAAAAAAAAAAAAGAATACAAAAATTAGCTGGTCGTGGTGGTGCGTGCGTGTAATCCCAGCTACTCGGGAGACTGAGACAGGAGAATCTCTTGAACCTGGGAGCTGGAGGTTGCAGTGAGCTGAGAGCGTGCCACTGCACTCCAGCCTGCTGGACAGAGCAAGACTCCAAAAAAGAAAAATCATTATGTGCAGCTGCTATTCTACGCACTATGCATCAACTCATTTAACCCTCAGCACCCTTATATGGTGGGTACCTTTTTTTTTTTTTTTTTTTTTGAGACGGAGTCTCTCACTTTTGTCACCCAGGCTGGAGTGCAATGGCGCGATCTCGGCTCACTGCAAGCTCCACCTCCCAGGTTCCCGCCATTCTCCTCCCTCAACCTCCCGACTAGCTGAGACTACAGGCGCCCGTCACCATGCCCGGCTAATTTTTTGTATTTTTAGTAGAGACGGGGTTTCACCACGTTAGCCAGGATGGTCTCGATCTCCTGACCTCGTGATCCGCCCATCTCGGCCTCCCAAAGTGCTGGGATTACAGGCGTGAGCCACCGCGCCCGGCCAGTGGTGAGTACTATTATTATCTCCATTTTGCAGAAGGTAAAATTCATGCCCGTGGAAGTTAAGTAAATTGCCAGGATTTGAACCTGGATAGTCTGGCTCAGAGCCTAGGCCCTCACAAAGATCTTACCTGGGCTGATTCTGGCTTTGCTTTAAATGGAGGGCCGGGTGTGGTGGCTCATACCTGTAATCCCAGCACTATGGAAGGCTGAGGCAGCTGTATCACCTGAAGTCAGCAGTGTTTGAGACCAGCTTGACCAACAGGGTGAAACCCCATCTCTACTAAAAATACAAAAATTAGCCAGGCGTAGTGGAGCACACCTGTAATCCCAGCTACTTGGGAGGCTGAGGCAGGAGAATCATTTGAACCTGGGAGGCAGAGGTTGCAATGAGCTGAGATCACGGCATTGCACTCCAGCCTGGGCGACAAGAGCAAAACTCGGTCCCAAATAAATATATACATACATACATACATACATACATACACACACACACACACATACATACATTAAAGAACTGTTGGAAGCCCTAGCTGCATGGGGCCACCTTCTTACAGAGCAACAATGAGCAGCAGCTGCACTGCAGCCACACTCTCCCCAGGGCCTATTTTTTCCACAGTCCCCAGCACTCCCTCTTGTCTCACACCAGGCCGCCTTCACTCATGTGACTTTCTTGGCCTCATTAGGCCTTTGAGTTTGAGATTTCTGTCTGTCCCAAACATCTAATATAGAAAGTGGTTATGCTCACGCCTGTAATCCCAGCACTTTAGGAGGATGAGGCAGGTAGATGACTTGAACCCAGGAGTTTGAGACCAGCCTGGGCAACATGGCGAAACCCTGTCTCTACACAAAATACAAAAATTAGTTGGGCATGGTGGCACGCGCCTGTAATCCCAGCTACTTGGGAAACTGAGGCTGGAAGATCGCTTGAGTCTGGGAAGTAGAGGGTGCAGTGATCCTTGATTGTGCTACTGGACTCCAGCCTGGGCAACAGACCCTGTCTCAAAAAAGAAAAATTTAAACCAAGTTTTTAATTAGTTTTATAAAAGAATGTAGTCTGGCTGAAGTGAAATGTGGGTGGAGCATCAGCAGGCCTGATATTTCTCTTTCTCCTATCATTGTTGTCCCAGGTGCTTCACAGAACCCCAAGACTCTGGAGAAACACAATTTGGAAAGTGTGGCCTTAAGTTCTTGTCCTGTGCGGACTGGGACACAGTGAACGGCAGCTTCATAGTCTGGGTGGGGAAGGGGACCCTCCTTTTCCCTCCAGCAGCATTTGCAGTCCTGTGTCACATGCTCCAGGATCCACACTTCTTTTTTGTTTGTTTTGTTTTGTTTTGAGACAGAGTCTCATTCTGTCGCCCAGACTGGAGTACAGTGGTGAAATCTTGGCTCACTGCAACCTCCGCCTCCCGGGTTCAAACGATCCTCCTGCCTCAGCCTCCCAAGTAGCTGGGATTATAGGTGCACACTACCACGCCTGGCTAATTTTTGTATTTTTTGGTACAGATGGAGGTTTCACCATGTCGGCCAGGCTAGTCTGGAACTCCTGGCCTCATGTGATCCACCCGCTTCAGCCTCCCAAAGTGTTGGGACTACAGGCGTGAGCCACCACGCCTGGCCTAATCCACACTTTTGAAGGGTATCAAGTAGATGAGGGAGGGACCTCTATGAACCCCCACTGCTCCCCAGAGAAGTCCTGGACTTTTTTTTTTTTTTTTTTTTTTGAGACCAAGTCTCACTCTGTTGCCCAAGCTAGAGTGCAGTGGCGCGATTTCAGCTCACTGCAACCTCTGCCTCTCGGGTTCAAGGGATTCTCCTGCCTCGGCCTCCCGAGTAGCTGGGACTACAGGCATGAGCCACCACGCCCGGCTAATTTTTGTATTTTTAGCAGAGATGGGCTTTCACCACACTGGCCAGGCTGGTTTCCAACTCCTGACCTCAGGTGATCCACCTGCCTCAGCCTCCCAAAGTGCTGGGATTACAGGCGTGAGCTACCGCACCCGGCCGTCCTGGACATCTTTTACGTATTCCCCTAGGACAGCCACCTCCCTACTTCTGTAGGGATGCAAGATCCAGCTGGAATTATTTCTGGGCTAGGATCCTGTTGTCTTGGGTTCTTGTTCCTAAACTGGCCGGGACTCGACTCATCAGCCAGGCTTGTCAAATGCAGGTTTCGAAGCCCTTGGAGGATTCTGATTTAAGTAGGTCTGGGTGTGTCTTTGGAATCTATTTCTAACAAGCACCCCAGGTGCTCTCACACCCAGGCAACTTAGACAAACACTCCTAGTTAGGAGCACAGTCTCTTTAACTTCATTTTTATTTACATTTTGAATACATAATACATTCACATGGTTCCAAACACAACACTGAAAAGTTGTTCTTCAGCTCCTGTTCCCAAGTCCCCAATTCTCCCCAGAGACAACCATCTTTGCCAGTTTATTGTGTTTAAATCTAGCGACATTTTGTACATAAACAAGCACACCCTCTTCCAACATTTTTTTTTTTTTTGAGATGGAGTCTCGCTCTGTTGCCCAGGCTGGAGAGCAGCGGCACGATCTCGGCTCGGCGTGATCTTGGCTCACCACTACCTCCGCCTCCTGGGTTCAAGTGATTCTCCTGCCTCAGCCTCCTGAGTAGCTGGGATTATAGATGCACTCCACCACACCCAGCTAATTTTTGTATTTTTAGTAGAGACAGGGTTTCACCATGTTGGTCAGGCTGGTCTCGAACTCCTGACCTCTTGATCCGCCTGCCTCGGCCTCTCAAAGTGCTAGGATTACAGGCATGAGCCACCATGCCCTGCCCCCACTTTTTCTTTAAAAATGGTAACCCTTTACACTCTTCTGCACATTAAGAACAGCTAGACCTAAGTTTAAGCACAGTACTAGCTTGATGACTTGTGATCCTCCCTGAACCTGTTTCCTCCTCTAAAATGGCAGTAATAGCAAGACACCTCACTGTTGTCGGGGAGTGCCAGGAGAGAATGCTTGCTGCGAAGCTGTCAGCACACGGCCTGGAATAGAGTGAGTGCTCCATATCTGGAAGTTATGATTAATTCTGCATCCTAGGGTGGCCAGGCGGGGCTTCCCAGTGCCAGAGGTACAGACTGAGAACCACACCCTTGGTGAGGCCACCCTACTTATGACTTAGGGGGCAGAGAGAACCTCAGTAAGGTCAGTGGTGTTTATTGAGGCTTTACTATGTGCTATGTGCCTCTTGCTGAGGTCTTAGCTAGAATCGTGGTATTTCAGGGTTTCTCAACATTTTTTTTTTTTTTTTTTTTGGAGATGGTGTCTCGCTCTGTCGCCCAGGCTGGAGTGCAATGGCGCAATCTCGGCTCACTGCAACCTCTGCCACCCAGGTTCAAGCAATTCTCCTGCCTCAGCCTCCCAAGTAGTTGGGATTACAGGTGCTGAATTCTTTTTTTTTTTTTTTTTTGTAGCATGGTGATATTGCACTATGCTTAACCGCATCCCTGGTCTCTACTCACTCAATGCCAGTAGCCTTCTTCCTGCCTGTTGTGACATCAAAAATGTCATACATTGCCAAATGTCCCCAAGAAAGAGTGGGGCTGAGGGAGGACAAAATCCTACCCACAGTTTAAAACCACCGCCTTATCTCATCCTCACAGTAACTAACCACAGTAACCCCAGGTGGTAAGTACTGTTAATGCCCCATATTGCAAGTGAGGAGACCAACAGAACAGAGTTTGGGTGACATTCCTGAGAACACACAGCTCCGAGATTCACGCCCAGGCACTGTGACTCCAGAGCTCACCTGCCCATTATGCAAGAACATCTGATCTTGGCTGGGAGCAGTGGCTCACACCTGTAATCCCAGCACTTTGGGAGTCCAAGGCGGGCAGATCACGAGGTCAGGAGATCGAGACCGTCCTGGCCAACATGGTGAAACCCTGTCTCTACTAAAAATACAAAAAATTAGCCTTGGTGGCAGGTGCCTGTAATCCCAGCTACTTGGGAGGCTGAGGCAGGATAATCGCTTGAACCAGGGAGGCGAGGTTGCAGTGAGCCGAGATTGTGCCACTGCACTCCAGCCTGGGTGACAGAGCAAGACTCTGTCTCAAAAAAAAAAAAAAAAAAAAAAAAAAGGCCAGGCTCGATGGCTCACACCTGTAATCCCAGCACTTTAGGAGACTGAGCGGGGCAGATCACGAGGTCAGGAGTTCAAGACCAGCCTGACCAACATGGTGATACCCCATCTCTACTAAAAATACAAAAATTAGCTGGGCTCAGTGGCATGCGCCTGTAATCCCAGCTACTCAGGAGGCTGAGGTAGGAGAATCGCTTGAACATGGGAGGCAGAGGTTGCAGTGAGCTGAGATCGCGCCACTGCATTCCAGCCTGGGCAATAGAGGGAGACTACGTCTTAAAAAAAAAAAATCACCTGGGGAATTTTCTGAAAGCTCAGGCCTCACCCCAGATGAATTAGATGTGAACCTGTGAATCTCTGGGCATGGGACCTGGGCTTCCACAGCTTTGCAAAGTTTCCATGGGATTTCAAGGTTGAGAGCCCTGTGTTAGGCTGAGAAGTGGTCAGGAAATTTTATGATCTCCAATCTTGGCAGCCAGTGTGGCAGGATACAGGCCTTCTCTCTGGGTCATCTGGGTTATCTCACAGGGGACCTGCCATTTCTTTCTCTTTTTCTTTTCCTTTCTTTTATATTTTAAAATTTTTTTTTGTAGAGTCAGGGTCTTGCTATGTTGCCTAAGCTGGTCTCGAACTCCTGGCCTCAGGCAGTCCTCTTACCTTGGCCTCCCAAGTTCTGGGATTACAGGAATGAGCCACTGCACCCGGCCTAAGACCTGCCCTTACTCCCCCAAGCTAAACCCAGGCAGCCCAGCCAAGGCAGGTCTTCCCTCTTCTAAACCTGAAAGCCCTGCTGAGCCCCCTCGAGTGCCCCATCCTTATCCCATAGGCCCAGGCTTATACCACTTGGTTATTCTTTATTCTCATGCATTCCAGGATGAGATCAGAGAATGAAGAGGGTCCCGAGGACAGCCTGGGAGAGAAGCACCAGCCTTCCTATTGGCAAGAAATGACCCAGTGCTGGGGGTAGTGAGGGGCCCTATGAGGGTGCCGGGGTCATGCCTGGAGCTGCTGCTGACTCCTCCAGCCAGAGCCGCACTGGTCTGAGCGATCGGGTGACACAGGCTTGAATTTCTCCTGAAGCGTTTGTGTTCTCTGCAGGGGAGAGAGGGATGGTGGAGCTGGCATTTGAAAGACGCTGTTACCAATGTCCTCTCCTCAAACCCTCACATCATGCCCAGGAGGACTTGGACTGGACAAGACCCCACTGGACAGATGTGTAAATGGAGGCTGAAGGCCAACTGCCTTACTCAAGGGTGTTCAGAAGCCAGGAGACCACCTCCTTTCAACCCCGTGCCCAGCTCAGTTGTGTGGCCCAGGGTGCAAATAGAAGGTTTCAGGCAGGACTGGAATGCACTGGTCTTCAGTGAAATGGTTTGTTTGTTTGTTTATTTGTTTGTTTGTTTGTTTTTTGAGACACAGTCTCACCCAGACTGGAGTGCAGTGGCACAGTCTCAGCTCACTGCAACCTCTGCCTCCCAGGTTCAAGCAATTCTCTGCCTCAGCCTCCTGAGTAGCTGGAATTACAGGTGCCCTCCCCCACGCCCAGCTAATTTTTGTGTTTTTAGTACAGATGGGGTTTCACCATCTTGGCCAAGCTAGTCTTGAACTCCTGACCTCGTGATCCACCCACCTCGGCCTCCCAAAGTGCTGGGATTACAGGATTATAGGATTACTGTGCCTGGCGAGTTTTGTTTTTTTTGAGACAGAGTCCCATTCTGTCGCCCAGGCTGGAGTGCAGTGGTGCAATCTCAGCTCACTGCAACCTTCACCTCCCGGGTTCAAGTGATTCCCCTGCCTCAGCCTCTCGAGTAGCTGGGACTACAGGTGCCTGCCACCACACCTGGCTAACTTTTATATTTTTAGTAGAGATGGGGTTTCACCATGTTGGCCAGGCTGGTCTCAAATTCCTGACCTCAACTTATCCGCCTGCCTTGGCCTCCCAAAGTGCTGGGATTAAAGGCAAGAGCCACCACAGCCGGTCAAAAGGGGTTTTGAAGAGGAAGCGTCAAAAAGGACACCTGGGACTGTAGGAGGCAAGAAGCCTGCCCTCGATGGTCTTGCTCCCCCACTCCCCGACCCCAAGCCCTTTGGAGACCCCAGGAGATCTGTGCATTGTTCTGGGCCCTGGAGCAGCCTCAGCCACATCAGAACTTGGCAGGTGTGCCCACCCCTCACCTGGCATCAATCTCCTTCCTCTGTCTTCCTGAACATGGCCAAGGCCTCCGCCAGCACACCATCAGGGTCTAGGATTTTGACCTGGAGGGAAATACCAAGAAGTTGGTTTGGAGAGCATGGAGGACCCAGGCTGCCAGCCTTGACTGGCGCTGCCTGCCGTGTGGGGTGCTGCCAGCCTCATCAGGAGCCACCTCCCTTGCTAGGGATGCCCTGACTGAAAACAAAACCTTGTCTGTTCCCTGTCTGGGCTTGGCTGGGCCTGGCAGATCTGGCCTGGGCATGGCTGGGGATGCTGGCTTCTGTCTCTGTCTGGGTGTGGCCACAGGGCCCTGGTGAGGGCTGCCCACCTCAGGAATGGGGAACTGAGTGGGCTCAGGGGCCTCGTCACGGCCAAAGTCGATCATCGTCCCGCATTTGGCCATATTGTCCACCCAGAAGCCTTCAAACAGCTGGCCGTGGTCCAGATGGAAGAAACGCCCCGCCCCGTTCTTCATGCCTCTCTCCCAGCAGCCCTCGTAGCGGTTCCCGTTCTCTGGGGGAAAGGACAGGGAGGTGTGGTGCAGGGTACACCAAACTAAGCTAGACCCCCAGGGGTCGCTCTTCCAGAGCTCAGTGCAAATCCTAACACATTGGGAGGCCAAGATGGGAGGCTCATAAGCCCAGGAGATCAAGACCAGCCTGAGCAACATAGTGAGACCACATCTCTGCAAAAAAAAAAATTTTTTTAATTAGCTGGGCATAGTGGTGTGCACCTATAGTCCCAGCTACTCTGGAGGCTGAGGTGGGAGGATGGCTTGAGCTCAAGAAGTTGAGGCTGCAGTGAGCTGAGATTGCCCCACAGCACTCCAGCCTGAGTGACAACCTCCGCCTCCCGAGTTCAAGTGATTCTCCTGCCTCAGCCTCCTGAGTAGCTGGGATTACAGGTGTATACCACCACATGCAGCTACTTTTTGTATTTTTAGTAGAGACAGGGTTTCTCCACGTTGGCCAGGCTGATCTCAAACTCCTGACCTCATGATCCGCCCGCCTCTGCCTCCCAAAGTGCTGGGATTACAGGCATGAGCCACTGCGCCTGGCTTTTTTTTTAAAAATTGAGATATAAGTTCATATAACATAAGTTGGCCATTTTGAAGTGTATAGTTCAGTGGCATTTAGTACATTCACAATGCTGTGCAACCATTACCTCTATCTAGTTTCAAAACGTTTTAATCACCCGAAAAGGAAACCCTGTGCCCATTAAGCAGCCATTCCCCACACCCACTAATGTCACCACCCCCATAGTCCTAGGCAACCATTAGTCTACTTTCTGTCTCTGTGGAGGTGCGTGTCCTAAAAATTTCATATAAATAGCATCATATATATGTGACCTTTTGTGACTGAGGGGAGAGATAGGGTGCTCTTCCTCTCTTGTCCCACATTGACACAAGGGTCAGTGTGGGACAAGAGTGTGGGGTGTGGCCTGTCTCTGTGGGACCAAATGGGCGTGGCCAGCTCGCTGCCGGGGGCGTGGTCGGGTGGGCGGGGCCGGCGGGGGTGGG
Organism: Homo sapiens; assembly: GCF_000001405.40. Classification (NCBI taxonomy): domain Eukaryota; kingdom Metazoa; phylum Chordata; class Mammalia; order Primates; family Hominidae; genus Homo; species Homo sapiens. The sequence continues at coordinate 121,654,266 of NC_000012.12, forward strand.
GCACTCACTCAGGCGCAGCATGCCCTCCCCGTTGGGCTTGTCGTTCTCCCACTGTCCCTCGTAGATGTCGCCGTTGCTGTAATACATGCGGCCCCACCCGCTGCGCTGGCTGCCACACCAGTCACCCTCATAATACTCCTTGGGTCCGAAAAACTGGATCCCATAACCCTGAAAGTACGAAGATGCTACTACTCAGGGCGCCCCCCAACACCACCAGGAAAGCCCACCGTCTTCCCAGGCACCCCTAGAGCCACACACCCCAGCTTCTTCCTTCTTCCTCAGCCCTACGTCCAAGCGGAGGGTCGTGTCTTAGCGGAGTATCCTGTCTTTTTTGTTTGTTTGTTTGTTTTTAGACAGAGATCCACTCTGTCACCCAGGCTGGAGTGCAGTGATGTGATCTCGGCTCACTGTAACCTCCGTCCCCCGGGTTCAAGTGATTCTCCTGCCTCAGCCTCCCGAGAAGCTGGGATTACAAACACGCATCACCACGCCCTGCTAATTTTTGTATTTTTAGGAGAGACAGGGTTTCACCATGTTGGCCAGGCTGGTCTTGAACTCCTGACTTCAAGTGATCCGCCCGCCTCAGCCTCCCAAAGTGCTGGGATTACAGGTGTGAGCCATAGTGCCCACCGATAATGTCTTGAAGGATCTCCCCATGCTCTGTTTCTCTCTGTCCCTCTGCTGGCGCCTCCATGCAGCCAGTCATTAAACTCCCTCCTTACTGACCCACCCTCTCCTCTCTCATCCCCACCACACCATGCGCCATGCAGCCCCTACAGCGCCGGAGGACTCTTTAAATCGCCCATCTAGGCTGGGCGCTGTGGCTCACCGGCTCACTTTAGGAGGCTGAGGTGGGTGGATCACTTGAGGTCAGGAGTTTGAGACCAGCCTGGCCAACATGGTGAAACCCCATCTCTACCAAAAATACAAAAAATTAGCTGGGCGTGATGGCGGCGCCTGTGATCCCAGTTACTGGGGAGGCTGAGGCAGGAGAATCACTTGAACCTGGGAGATGGAGGTTGCAGTGAGCTGAGAATGCACGGTAGCCTAGGTGACAGGGTGAGACGCTATCTCAAAAAAAAAAAAAATCGCCCATCTGATCATGCTCGCCCCCCTCCCACTCTTATTTTGACCCAGAAAAATGAACATAAACACCATACTTAGCCTGGCGTGGTGGCTTACGCCTATAATCCCAGCACTTTGGGAGGCCGAGGCAGATGGATCACCTGAGGTCAGGAGTTTTAGACCAGCCTGACCAACGTGGCAAAACCCTGTCTCTATTAAAAATATAAAAAATTAGCTGAGTGTGGTGGTGGGCACCTGTAATACTAGCTACTTGGGAGGCTGAGGCAGAAGAATTGCTTGAACCCAGGAGTCGGAGGTTGCAGTGAGCCCAGATCGTGCCATTGCACTCCCACCTGGGCAACAGAGCAAGACTGTCTCAAAAAACAAACAAACAAACAAACAAAAAACACCACACTTAGGCTGGGCGCTGTGGCTCACGCTTGTAATCCCAGCACTTTGGGAGGCCAAGGCAGGCGGATCACAAGGTCAGGAGATCGAGACCATCCTGGCTAACATGGTGAAAACCCGTCTCTACTAAAAATACAAAAAAATTAGCTGGGTGTGGTGGTGGGTGCCCGTAGTCCCAGCTACTCGGGAGGCTGAGGCAGGAGAAGGCCGTGAACCAGGAGGCGGAGCTTGCAGTGAGCCAAGATCGCGCCACTGTACTCCAGCCTGGGCAACAGAGAAAGACTCCGTCTCAAAAAACAAAAAACACCACACTTAGTGTCCAACCACAGGGAAACAAGGTCTGTTTGCAGATCACACCCGAGGAGGTTGGGTTGAGAAGCCAAGTCTACTCCTCAAAATCCTGATTTCCCACATATCCCTGAGGGCCCCCGCAACTCTTCTCCTCACTCCTGTCCCAGGGCAGACACACTCTGCTGTTTTACATCTCGTTCCCTTTGCTATTTTTTTGCCTCCCATCTTTCTCCCTTTTTTTTCTTCCTGGCTAACTCCTAGCATCTTTTAGTGTCACCTCCTACAGGAAGCCTGCCCTGAATTCCCTCTTTTTGAGACAAGTCTTGCTCTGTTGTCCAGGCTGGAGTGTAGTGGCACCACCATAGCTCACTATAACCTCAGCCTCCTGAGATCAAGCAATCCTCCTGCCTCAGCCTTTTGAAAAGTTGGGACTACAGATGTGCACCACAACATCTAGCTAATTATTATTATTATATAGTTTTATTTATTTATTTATTTATTTTGAGATGGAGTCTCACTCTGTTGCCCAGGCTGAAGTGCAGTGGCGTGATCTCGGTTCACTGCCACCTCTGCCTCCTGGCTTCAAGCGATTCTAATGTCTCCGTCTCCCTAGCTGGGACTACAGGTACACACCACTATGCCCGGCTAATTTTTTTTGTGTTTTTTATTTAGTAGAGACGGGGGTTTCACCATGTTGGCCAGGCTAGTCTCGAACTCCTGACCTCAAGTGATACACCCCTGTCTGCCTCCCAAATTGCTGGGATTACAGGCGTGAGCCATTGTGCTTAGCCTTCTGTCCTGAATTCTCTAGGCTGGGCTTGATGACCTTCCTCTGGGCACCCTGTGAAAACATCCCTCCTAATACCATATTCTACGTAAATTGGTTATTCAGGGCTTTCTCTTCCTACTTGCCAATAAACAATTTGGGAGCAGAGAACATGAAACCCTGGGCTCTACCACTTGCTAGCTGTGTGACTCCAGGCAAGACTGAAACTGCCTTTGCAAAATTATGACTGAGACAGTGAAAGAGATTTAATTTAACTGACTCCATCTTGCTTCTAACCTCTAAGCTGTCCATGTCCATTCCTGGGCTTAAGCTGAACTAACTTTGGGAGAAACTTATAGTTTATAGTTTAAACAAAGACAGTAACAGCCCTTTCCCGAAGACCTCCTTCTTGCCTGGGGACTAGATTGCCTTTGTAGGATTAACATTAGCTACAAGATTATAAATTATGGTTTAGGAGTCATGCAGCTGGAAGCTACAAGATTCTGATCCTCACTAAACTGCTCCTAAGATCAATGCTTAAGATATTTTGCAGACCTTGCACTTGATGGATCAGCTGGCACTACCCAAATCAATAAACTGATTTATGTGATCTTGTGGCTCCCCACCTAGGAACTGACTCAGGGCAAGAAGACAGCTTTGACTCCCTGTGATTTTATCTCTGACCAATCAGCACGCCTGGCTTACTCTTTCCCCCACCCACCAAGTTATCCTTAAAAACTCTGCAGCCAGAATGTTCCGGGAGACTGATTTGAGTAATAATACAACCCAGGGCCAGGCGCGGTGGCTCATGCCCGTAATCTTAGCACTTTGGGAGGCCCAGGCTGGCGGATCACCTGAGGTCGGGAGTTCGAGACCAGCCTGGCCAATATGGAGAAACTCTGTCTCTACTAAAAATACAAAATTAGCAGTGTGTGGTACCACATGCCTGTAATCCCAGCTACTCGGGAGACTGAGGCAGGAGAATCGCTTGAACCCAGGAGGCGGAGGTTGCGGTGAGCCGAGATCACACCATTGCACTCCAGCGTGGCGACAAGAGCGAAACTCCATCTCAAAAAATAAATAAATTAATAATAATAATAATAAAACTCAGGTCTCCCACACAGCCAGTTCTGTGTTAATTACTCTTTCTCTATTGCAATTCCCGTCTTGATGAATCGGCTCTGTCTGGGGAGCAAGAAGACAGCTTTGACTCCCTATGATTTTATCTCTGACCAATCAGCACTCCTGGTTCACTGTCTTTCCCCCACCCACCAAGTTATCCTTAAAAACTCTGCTGCTGGAATGTTCGGGGAGACTGATTTGAGTAATAATACAACTCAAGGCCAGGCACCGGCAAGGTGAACCCCTTGGGCAGTTACAAGACACCTCATCTCTTCGAGCTTGTTTGCTTATCAATAAAATGGGCATGAAGATGATGATGATGATGAGCTGTTGCTGTGAGAGTTAACTGAATATTAAATGTGTTTCAGGCCGGGCGCGGTGGCTCACGCCTGTAATCCCAGCACTTTGGAAGGCCGAGGCGGGCGGATCACGAGGTCAGGGGATGGAGACCATCCTGGCTAACACGGTGAAACCCCGTCTTTACTGAAAATACAAAAAATTAGCCGGGCGTGGTGGCGGGCGCCTGTAGTCCCAGCAACCTGGGAAGCTGAGGCAGGAGAATGGCGTGAACCCGGGAGGCGGAGCTCGCAGTGAGCCAAGATGGCGCCACTGCACTCCAGCCTGGGCGGCAGGATGAGACTCCCTCTCAAAAAAAAAAAAAAAAAAAAAAGTTTTAAATATGTGTTTCAGGCTCACAGTAGCAGTTGCTCAGTTGCAATACTGTTTATTATTAGTGTCTCTGGGACTGATGGTGAGGATTCCTCCACACTTGTGGGAGTAGATGGAGGGAACCTGTGCCCAGCTTGGGTGTTTCCGGGCTGAGCACGCGCCTCTGGCTGGCTTCGGCCCCCCGGGACCCTCCTCTCCTGTCCCCTGCTCTCTTGCTCCCACTTTTCCTACCTCCCTTTTATTCAGGCCCAGCAGAAAGGGGATTCTCAGAAAGTGATACCTGGGGAAAAGAAAGCCAGGAAACGAGGGGGAAAAGGGTGGAGGCGACTTCGTCCCCACAAGCCTGGCTGGCTCCTCGCAACCGCAGGGTTTCGTGGGCTCCTCCCTGGCCTTCTGTTGCTTCCTGTTTCCTGGGTTTTGTTCTGAGAAACTTTGCAATTCCCCCACCCCTTCCTTCTCCCACGAGCAGCACAACCCTGTCCTCCTCCCTGTAGACCTCCCCTCTCTTTTCTCCCAGGCCTCTCTCGGCTTCCCCTAAACACACACGCGCGCACACACACACACACACACACACACACACACCCCGGCTGGCAGGCCTGCTCACCGATTTCTTATCACCTTTCCACCAGCCTGAGTAGACTCTCCTGCACTTTCCTGTCTGTTGGTCAGGAAGGCTGAGGGTGCCGTAGCCGTCTCGCTTCCCAAACTTCCAGTCCCCCTCATAGATGGCTCCTTTCTTCTTCCAGACCTGTGTTCCTTTCCCTGGTGACACACAGATGGGCAATGCTGCAGACATGGCCGCCGGGGGGTGGGGGTGGTGTGCCTGCCTGAGCCTCAGGGGCCCCCAACTAGACGAATCTAGAGAGCTGGGACAGGCTCTGCGCATCATCCTAGACACCAAGTACCCAGGAGAAGGCCAGGAAAGTTCCATTTCTTTCTTTCTTTCTTTCTTTCTTTTTTTTTTTTGAGGCAGTGTCTCACTCTGTCGCCCAGGCTGGAGTGCAGTGGCGCGATCTCAGCTCACTGCAACCTCTGCCTCCCGGGTTCAGGAGATACTCCTGCCTCAGCCTCCAGAGTAGCTAGGACTACAGGTGTGCGCCAACACACTTAGCTAATTTTGTGTTTTAGTAAAGATGGGGTTCCATGTTGGCCAGGCAGGTCTGAAACTCCTGACCTCAAGTGATATGCCCACCTCGGTCTCCCAAAGTGCTGGGATTACAGGCGTGAGCCACTGCGTCCGGCCAGAGGTAATTCTCTTATTTGTTGATTAGTGTCGCATGCCTGTCTTTTCCAGGAGAATGTGAGCTGCAGGAGGGCACAGACTTTGGTCTGTTTTGTTCCCTGCACTGAAAAACTGTGCCTGGAGGCTGGGTGCAGTGGCTCGAGCCTGTAATCCCAGCACTTTGGGAGGCTGAGGCGGGTGGATCACCTGAGGTCAGGAGTTCGAGACCAGCCTGACCAAAATGGCGAAACCCTGTGTCTACTAAAAATACAAAAATTAGCCAGGCGTGGTGGCAGGCGCCTGTAATCCCAGCTACTCAGGAAGCTGAGGCATGAGAATCTCTTGAACCTGGGAGGCGTGGGTTGCAGTGAGCCGAGATGACGTCGTTGCAGTGAGCCGAGATGACGTCATTGCACTCCAGCCTGGGAGACGAGCGAAACTCCATCTCAAAATCAAACAAACAAACAAACAAACTGTTCCTGGCATGTTGTAGGTGACTAATACCTGCTAATTTACTGTTTTCTCTTTTTTTTTCTTTCTTTCTTTCTTTTTTTTTTTTTTGAGACAGAGTCTTGCTGTGTTGCCCAGGCTGAAGTGCAGTGTTGCGATCTCGGCTCACTGCAACCTCCGCCTCCTGGTTCAAGAGATTCTCCTGCCTTAGCCACCCCAGTAGCTAGAATTACAGGTGCCCGCCACCATGCCCAGCTAATTTTTGTATTTTTAGTAGAGACGGGGTTTTACCATATTGGCCAGGCTGGTCTCTAACTCCTGACATCGTGATCCGTCTGCCTTGGCCACCCATAATACTGGGATTGCAGGCATGAGCCACCGCACCCGGCCTTTTTTTTTCTTTCTTTCTTTCTTTTTTTTTTTTTTTAAGACGGAGTTTTGCTATCGTTGCCTGGGCTGGAGTGCAATGGCACGATCTCGGCTCACTGCAACTTCCACCTCTCAGGTACAAGCAATTCTTCCACCTCATCCCCCCAAGTAGCTGGGATTACAGGAATGCACCAGCACGCCTGGCTAATTTTGTATTTTCAGTAGAGACGGGGGTCTCTCCATGTTGGTCAGGCTGGTCTCGAACTCCCGACCTTAGGTGATCTGTCCGCCTCGGCTTCCCAAAGTGCTAGGATTACAGGCGTGAGCCACCGCGCCTGGCCTTTTTCTTTCTTTTTTTTAGACAGGATCTGGCTGTGTTGGCTATGCTGACGTACACAGCTCGCTGCAGCCTCAACCACCCAGGCTCAAATGATCCTTCTGCCTCAGCCTCCTGAGTAGCTGAGACCACAGGTGCATGCCACTACACCTGGCTAATTTTTTAAAAAAATTTTATAGAGGCAGAGTCTCTCTATGTTGCCCAGGCTGGTCTCAAACTACTGGGCTCAAGCAGTCCTCCTGCCTAGGCTTCCCAAAGTATTGGGATTACAGGCATGAGGCACCACACCAGGCATTTCTTTCTTTTTAGAGATGGGGTCTTGCTATGTTACCCAGGCTGGTCTTGAACTCTTGAGCTAAAGAGATTCTCCCTTCTCAGCCTCTCGACGAGCTGGGAATACAAGCACACACCAGTACACCGAGCTTAATACATATTTAACAAAACGATGAATAAAATATTTGTGGAGTACCAATATTGGTCAATTCATGTCTGGGTCCTTGGTAACCCAGGAACAAATTCAACATTATCCCTCTGAGCTTTGTGACCTTGACCAAGTAAGTTAATTCTTTGGGTCTCTCTGAGCCTCAGATATCTCAGCTGTAAAATGGGTATAAGAATATCTTATGGGGGGGCTGGGCGCAGTGGCTCACGCCTGTAACCCAGCAGTTTGGGAGGCCGAGGCGCGCTGATCACTTGAGGTCAGGAGTTTGAGACCAGCCTGGCCAACATAGTGAAACCTGGTCTCTACTAAAAATACAAAAATTAGCTGGGCGTGGTGGTGCTTGCCTGTAATCCCAGCTACTCTGGAGGCTGAGGTAGGAGAATCACTTGAATCTGGGAGGTGGAGGTTGCAGTGAGCTGAGATGGCGCCACTGCACTCCAGCTTGGGCGACAGAGTGAGACTGTGAAAGAAAGAAAGAGAAGGAGAGAGGGAGGGAGGAAGGGAGGAAGGGAGGAAGGAAGGAAGGGAAGAAAGAAAGAAAACGTGCCATTTGTGACAACATGGATGAATCTGGAGGACATTATGCCAAGTGAAATAAGCCAAGCAGAGAAAGACAAATACTGCATGATTTTACTTATATGTGGAATCTAAAAAGTCAAACTCATAGAAACAGTAAAATAGCAATTAGCAGGGGCTGGTGGGGTGGGGAAAATGTGGAGATGTTCTGTCAAAGGGTGCATACTTTTTGTTACAAGATGTACAAGATTTGGAGACCTAAGGCTGGGCACAGTGGCTCACTCCTATAATCCCAGCAATTTGGGAGGCTGAGGCAGGTAAATCACTTGAGGCTAGAAGTTCAAGACTAGCCTGGGCAACATGGTTAAGCCCTGTCTCTACTAAATATACACAAATTAGCCTGGTGTGGTGGCGCATGCCTATAATCCCAGCTACTCAGTAGGTTGAGGTAGGAGAATTGCTTGAACGTCAGAGGCAGAGGTTGCAGTGAGTGAGATTGCGCCACTGCACTCCAGCCTGGACGACAGAGCGAGACTGTCTCAAAACAAACAGGTCGGGTGCGGTGGCTCGTGTCTGTAATCCCAGCACTTTGGGAGGCCGAGGCAGGCGGATGATGAGGTCAGGAGATCGAGACCATCCTGGCCAACATGGTGAAACCCCGTCTCTACTAAAAATACAAAAATTAGCTGGGCATGGTGGTGAGCACCTGTAATTCTAGCTACTGGGGAGGCTAAGGCTGGAGAATCTCTTGAACCAGGAGGCGGAGGTTGTAGTGAGCCGAGATCGCAACACTGCACTTCAGGCTGGGCAAGAGTGAGACTGAAAAAAAAAAAAAACGCCGGGCATGATGGCTCACACCTGTAATCTCAGTACTTTAGAAGGCTGAAGCGGGCAGATCACCTGAGGTCAGGAGTTCAAGAACAGCCTGGCCAACATAGTGAAAGTCCCAGCTACTTGGGAGGTTGGAGGCAAGAGAATCATTTGAACCCGGGTGGCAGAGGTTGCAGTGATCCAAGATCGCACCACCGCCCTCCAGCCTGGCAACAGAGCGGGACTCCGTCTCAAAAAGACAAAACAAAACAAAAACAAAGATCTGGAGACCTGGTGTACAGCATCGTTCTATATTAATACTGTATTGGTGTATTGGATACTGTACTTGAAATTTGCTAAGAGAATAGATCTTAATTGTTCTCCCCACACACAAACAAAATGGTAATAATGTGAGGAGATGGATATGCTAATTACTTTGATTGTACTAATAATTTCGAAATGTAGACTTTTTTTTTTTTTTTTGAGACAGAGTTTCATTCTTGTTGCTCAGGCTGGAGTGCAACGGTGCAATCTCGGCTCACTGCAACCTCCGCCTCCTGGGTTCAAGCGATTCTCCTGTCTCAGCCTCCTGAGTAGCTGGGATTACAGGCATGCGCCACCACGTTTGGCTAATTTTGTATTTTTAGTAGAGACGGTGTTTCCCCATGTTGGCCAGGCTGGTCTCCAACTCACGACCTCAGGAGATCCACCCATCTCAGCCTCCCAAAGTGCTGGGATTACAGGCGTAAGCCACTGCGTCCGGCCTTCGAAATGTAGACTTTTAAGAAAATATCTTACTACACATCTTAAGTATATACAATTTTTCTTTGTCAATCATACCGCAATAAAGCCGAGGGAGAAAAGATTCAATTTGTGAGCAATTACGGGACCATTCTAATTTTCTGAAAAGAAAAACAGTATCTCATGGGGTTGTTTCTTATCACTAGATTCCAGGATATGTGTACAGCACTTAGAGCCTACAAGTAGGAAATACGATGTCAATGTTAGCCTTTATTGGTTTTTTTTATTTTTTTATTTTTTTTTTCCTCTCTCAAATCATGGGAGCCTTTGTTATTATTTTTGCCCTTGGGGAGCCCATGGTCTGGTAGGGCCCAACCACATTGTAGGGGCTGTTGGGTTGTTTGCGTTTGTCCTGCCCCTCACTTCCTCCTGGTTTTATTTCCTTTGGGGACACCACTCTCCCACTCTAAACCCCCAAGGTTTGGGTGGCTGACTCCGCCCCCTGGCAGGCCTACCCAATCAGTGTATTCTACCCACCAGGCTGCTGTGATTGGGTCAGTGCAGGCCACCTGACCCAAGTTGGTCCAATGAGACTCCGTGTAAGTCCATTTGGGCCACCACACCCACCCGGGCCTGCAAGGGGAGGAAGCTGACTTAAGAAGGAACTCAACGCAGAGGAAAGCAAAATGGAGACATGGAGGGAGACGCCAAGTTCCAGTGACATTAAGCCCCTGAATCCCACCATGGCTGAACTTGCATTACTGAAGCCCTCCTGAGTTGAATTTCTGCCTCTTGCAAATGAAAGAGGCCTGATGAATACCCACATAGTTCAATTTCAATATACGAAGGTAGGCACTGAGATTTCAATATCAGAAGAAGGGCACTTGGTCAAATCTGGGGACTCAGAGACTTCCTGGAGGGGGTGACGTTGGGGCCAGGAAGGGCAGTCCAGGCACAGGGAACTGCATGAGTAAAGGCAAAGAGGTTTGAAAATGATGGTTGCAGCCGGGCGAGGTGGCTCACGCCTGTAATCGCAGCACTTTGGGAGGCCAAGGCGGGCGGATCACTTGAGGTCGGGAGTTCGAGACCAGCCTGGCCAACATGGCGAAATCTCGTCTCTACTGAAGATACAAAAATTAACCGGGCATGGTAGCAGGTGCCTGTAATCACAGCTACTTGGGAGGCAGGAGAATCGCTTGAACCCAGGAGCAACAGAGTGATTGGCTAGCCAATACATTGATTGGCTAGGCCTGCTAGGGGGGCGGAGTCAGCCCACCCGAACCTTGGGGATTTAGAGTGGGAGAGGGGTGTCCCTAAAGGAAATAAAACCGGGAGGAAGTGAGGGGCAGGACAGGCGAAAACAACCTGTTTTTTTTTTTTTTTTTGTAGCCCCTACCAAAAAAAAAAAAAAAAAGACACTGATGGATGCTCATGACTATGCCTTCCGTGGGTGGCTTCAGTCTCTCCTACCGCAGGCAAATGCAGGAGACACATGGGAATCAATAGGCTGGGAATTAGAGGGGAAAGGTGCTTTTTCTCTGCTAGTCCATTTTGAAAAATCTCATCTCAATTTTTTGATTTGCCCAGTTGGATTACGTGCTCATTTCTGTGACCAAGGTAGCAGGGGCCTGTTATTAGAAGAAGGTGAAGAGTGAGAGCAGGAGGCATCCAACAGTCGAGTTAGGGGTTGATACGCACAGTATATGGCCTGTGCTGGGGAAAGTCCCTAGCCTAACAGTACTGGAGTACCTCGTATAGGAGTCCTGAGACCTGGTTTTAAGATCTCGCGTTTTCTTTTTCTTTCCTTTTTTTTTTTTTTTTTTTTTTTTTTTTTTGAGACGGTGTCTCGCTCTGTCGCCCAGGCTGGAGTGCACTGGCGCGATCTCGGCTCACTGCAAGCTCCGCCTCCCAGGTTCACGCCATTCTCCTGCCTCAGCCTCCTCAGTAGCTGGGACTACAGGCGCCCGCCACCACGCCCGGCTAATTTTTTGGATTAGAAAACGCGAGGTCTTGGCCGGGCGCGGTGGCTCACGCCTGTAATCCCGGCACTTTGGCAGGCTGAGGCGGGCGGATCACGAGGTCAGGAGTTCGAGGCCAGCTAACCAACATGGTGAAACCTCGTCTCTACTGAAAATACAAAAATTAGCTGGGCTTGGTGGCGTGCATCTGTAATCCCAGCTACTCAGGAGGCTGAGGCAGGATAATCGCTTGAACCTGGGAGGCAGAAGTTGCAGTGAGCCGAGATCACACCATTGCACTCCAGCCTGGGCGACAGAATGAGACTCTGTCTCAAAAAAAAAAAAAAAAAAAAAAAGACCTGGCATTTTCTGCTACTGTTTGGGTGACTGAATCAGTTGAGGGTTCGGGGTCCAGACGACCCAACAGAAACCATACTGCACTGTCTTCTGCAGTGCAGTGATGCTGGTTGTCGGAACACTGAAGACCCTAGGACAGTTTGAAATGCTAGTTATTTCAAATAGAGAAAATTTAATACAGGGGATGGAAGAGCTGAGAGTCTGCACAGGACACAGTGAGGCAAACCAAAACTTATCAAGTAGGAAAATAAGGGGAAAAGGCTGGGCATGATGGCTCACACTTGTAATCCCAGAACTTTGGGAGGCCAAGGTGGGCAGATCACTTGAGGTCAGGAATTCGAAACCAGCCTGGCCAACATGGTGAATCCGTGTCTCACTTATTTATTTATTTGTCTTTTTTTTTCTTCCTTTTTGTGGAGAACGGGGTCTCGCTATATTGCCCAAGCAGGCCTTGAACTCCTGGGCTCAAGCTATCTCCCACCTCTGCCTCCCTGAGAGCTGGGATTACAGGCGTGAGCTACCGCACCTGGCAAGTGAATCCCCATCTCTACCAGAAAATACAAAAATTGGCTGGGCGTGGTGGTGTGTGCCTTTAGTCCCAGCTACTTGGGAGGCTGAGGTACAAGAATCACTTGAACCTGGGAAGTGGAGGTTTCAGTGAGCCGAGATCGCAGCACTGCACTCCATCCTGGGCGACAGAGCACAACTCTGTCTCAAACAAGACAAAACTATATCAGGAAGTGAAGAGGATTCCTCCATCCTGTCACTAAGATGCTGGCAGCCATGTGTATCATGCAGAGGTATACTTGCAGGAGGAGAGAAAAAAGGCCAGCCAGGGAGAAGCAGATAGATGGAGAAGTTGTCCTAAGCCTTCCCTGAGGATGGCTCCATTCCTGCCTTTCTAATAATTTGCTTTTATGGGGTGCTTCGTTCTCCTGCTGGATGTCTCTCACCTGGATGTCTGCAAGGGCCTCTGAGGGGTCTTCCTGCCCCCACCTCATTCACAACTAAATAGCCAGCATGGGTGTTATGGGACATGAATCAGATCATGTCATTCCTATGCTCTAAACCCTCCCTGTGTCACAGAGTCAAATCCAAAGTTCTTACCATGGCTGACAGGGTCCTATATGATCTGACTACCCTTCTTCTTTAACCCACAACCTCTTTTTTTTTTTTTTTTTTTTTTGAGATGGAGATTCGTTCTTGGAAACTCCCTGGCTGGAGTGCAATGGCGCAATCTCAGCTCACTGTAACCTCCTCCTCCCAGGTTCAAGCAATTCTCTTATCTCAGCCTCCCAAGTAGCTGGGATTACAGGTGCCTGCCATCATGTCTGGTCTAATTTTTGTATTTTTAGTAGAGACGGAGTTTCACCATGTTGGCTAGGCTGGTCTCGAACTCCTGACCTCAGGCGATATGCCTGTCTCGGCCTCCCAAAGTGCTGGGATTTCAGGCATAAGCGACCGCGCCAGGACTGTTTATCTTGAGGCAGAGTCTTGCTCTGGCACCCAGGCTGGAGTGCAGTGGCATGATATTGGCTCACTGTAACCTCCACCTCCTGGGTTCAAGCAATTCTCCTGCCTCAGCCTCCCTAGTGGCTGGGATTACAGGCGTTCACCACTCGATCCAGCTAATTTTTTGTATTTTTAGTAGAGATGGGGTTTTGCCATGTTGGCCAGCCTGGTGTTGAACTCCTGACCTCAAGTGATCTGCCTGCCTCGGCCTCTCAAAGTGCTGGGATTACAGGTGTGAGCCACTGTCCCCGGCCTGCAACCTCTCTGACCTCCTCCTCTTCCTCACTCTGTTTCACCCACACCGTCCTCCTGGCTGTTCCTTGAACACCCCAGGTATATTCTCTGCTCCAGCTGGTCCTGCCACCTTCTATGCTAGTTCCTGCAAACATCCACTCAGTTACTCCCTCTCCTCCAAGTCTTTTTTTTTTTCTTTTTTTTTTGGAGACGGAGTCTTGCTCTGTCGCCCAGGCTGGAGTGCAGTGGCGAGATCTCGGTTCACTGCAAGCTCCGCCTCCTGGGTTCACGCCATTCTCCTGCCTCAGCCTCCCGAGTAGCTGGGACTACAGGCGCCCACTACCACAGCCAGCTAATTTTTTGTATTTTTAGTAGAGACAGGGTTTCACTGTGTTAGCCAGGATGGTCTCAATCTCCTGACCTCATGATCCGCCCGCCTCGGCTTCCCAAAGTGCTGGGATTACAGGCGTGATCCACCACGCCCAGCCCCACCTGGCCCATTTTTGTATTTTTTTAGTAGAGATGGGATTTCACCATATTGGCCAAGGTGGTCTTGAACTCCTGACCTCAGGTGATCTGCCTGCCTCGGCCTCCCAAAGTGCTGGGATTACAGATGTGAGCCACCACACCCAGCCTGGAACTGGGATCCTAACCCAGGTTTATTTGACTGCAAAGCACTTAACCCAGCAAGGCAGGAGAGCAGGATGGTTAAGAGCACAGAATTGGGCTGGGCGCAGTGGCTAAACGCCTGTAATCCCAGCACTTTGGGAGGCCGAGGCGGGCGGATCACTCGAGGTCGGGAGTTCAAGACCAGCCTGACCAACACGGAGAAACCCCGTCTTACTAAAAATACAAAAGTAGCCAGGCGTGGTGGCACATGCCTGTAATCCCAGCTACTCTGGAGGCTGAGGCAGGAGAATCGCCTGAACTCGGGAGGTAGAGGTTGCGGTGAGCCAAGATCGTGCCATTGCACTCCAGCGTGGGCAACAAGAGTGAAACTCCGTCTAAAAAAATAAAAAGAGCACAGAATCTAGCCAGGCACAGTGACTCCCACTTGTAATCCCAGCAATTCAGGAGGCTTGGACAGGAGGATTGCTTGAGCCCAGGATCTCGAGGCTGCAGTGAGCTATGAAGGCACCACTGCACTCCAGCCTGTTTTTTTGAGACAGAGCAAGACCTTGTCCCCTCAAAAAAAAAGAGTACAGAGTCTGGAATTGCAAGACTGGAGTGAGCAGCAGTGCCACATTTTAAAATAAAAGCTCTTTTTTCTTTATTTTTTTCCCCAGTCAGGATTTAGTTTGTATCAACAGGACCCCTTTGCCCCCTGCTGGTCAGACTTGGAGCCCCAGCTCCTCCTTGTGGGATGGAGTAGGGGGTCCTCCCTTGTGCCTGGCGCTCAGCCCTCTGCAGAGCATCACAGCTGAATGCGAAGCCCAGAACCCCACTGCAAGCTGGCTTCAGGGGCGTGGCTTTTCTTGTTGCCAGCCAGCCCAGTGCTTAACCCAGGTCTCAGAAGGCAGGAACTGAGCCCCCTAGGTCCCAGAGCCCCGGGGGCAGGCCAGTTTCTCAAGACCCTCTGTCCACTGCTGGTCCTGAGACCCTCACTCAGTTGAAGTCAGGGCTGAGTTTGTTCAGAAGCCCCAGCATGTGAAGGCCCCCAGCTGGCCTGGGCCAGCGCTCACCCTGGGGGAGCCTTGGGGACACATCTCATGTCCCCAGTGAGCTCTGCACTCTGCCTTCCTGGCCCTGTTGCCCACTGTGGCTCTGACCCCACTCCGGCCGCCCGTCCCGGAGTCCCACTCACCGTGTTTCACGTTGTCCTTCCACTCGCCCACATAGTAGTCGCCATTCACAGCGTATACCTGGCTCCGCAGGCCGTTCCTCTGGGCCTTCCGGTCCCACCCCTTCCACAGGGACTCCGACTTTTTTGGGCACTTAGAGACTGGCATGGTGGCTGCTTCTGCAAGGCTGGAGGGTGCTGGAAAGGGGTTAGGGACATCTGGGGCTCAGCGCGCCCCGTGTAATGCCGGGATCCTGAGCTCAAGTGGGGAGAGTCATGTGTGTTCTGAGTCCCTGGGGCAGGTGAACAGCCCTTAGTGGGGATCCTTTAGTGCTGGACTGACCTTTGGTTGGCCCCTCCCTTGCCTCTCCTGGGGCCCCCTCCCAGGGGGTCTGATGGCACAATTACTTGGGAATCTAGGGAAACCAGTAGAGCAGGAGGGTTTGTGATGGCATCAGGGAGAAGCTGCCCCCAGGGAGGGGGTGGCGGTCATATATACATATATATATATATATATATTTTTTTTTTTATGTCTTCTAAATATTTTTATTTATTTATGTATTTATTTATTTATTTAGAGATGGAATCTTGCTTTGTTGCCCAGGCTGGAGTGCAGTGGCACCATCTCGGCTTACTACAACCTCTGCCTCCTGGGTTCAAGTGATTCTCGTGCCTCAGCCTCCTAAGTAGCTGGTATTACAGGCGCCCACCACCACGCCTGGCTAATTTTTGTATTTTTAGTAGAGACGGGGGTTTCACCATGCTGGGCAGGTTGGTCTCAATTTCCTGATCTCAAATGATCCATCCACCTCAGCCTCTCCAAGTGCTGGGATTACAGGCATGAGCCACTGAGCCAAATATGAATCCAAAATATGAACCCAAAATATGGGTTACATATTTTGACAATCACACCTAGGAGTAGGGAAAAATAATTCCAGGCAAAGAAAATAGGCAGAGCAAAAGCTGGGAGTGGGGAAACAATCTCAGGTCCTAAATTCTATGCCGTTGGGATTTTTTCTTCTCCCATTTCCAAATATCACATGTACTATTAATCTTTATATGTAAATTAACTCACTTGGCAGAGGTTGCAGTAAGCCGAGATCATGCCGCTGCACGCCAGCTTGGATGACAGAGTGAGAACTTTTCTCAAGAAGAAAATAAAAATAAGTTAACTCACTTTAAAAAAATCAATACATATATTGAAAAAAGGAGGGCCAGGCGCAGTGGCTCATGCCTGTAATCCCAGCACTTTGGGAGGCCGAGGCGGGTGGATCACCTGAGGTCAGGAGTTCGAGACCAGCCTAGTCAACATGGTGAACCCTTGTCTCTACTAAAAATACAAAAATTAGCCAGGCCTGGTGGTACGCGCCTGTAATCCCAGCTACTCAGGAGGCTGAGGCATGAGAACAGCTTGAATCCAGGAGGCGGAGGTTGCAGTGAGCCGAGATTGCACCATTGCACTACAGGTTGGGAGACAGAGCAAGACTCAGTCTTAAAAAATAATAATAAAATAGGCCGGGCTCAGTGGCTCACGCCTGTAATCCCCAGCACTTTGGGAGGCCGAGGCGGATGGATCACCCGAGGTCAGGAGTTCAACACCAGCCTGGCCAACATGGCGAAACCCTGTCTGTACTAAAAATACAAAAATTAGCTGGGTGTGGTGGCGGGCGCCTGTAATCCCAGCTACTCGGGAGGCTGAGGCAGGAGAATCGCTTGAACCAGGGAGGAGAAGGCTGCAGTGAGCCGAGATTGCACCACTGCACTCCAGCCTGGGCGAGACAGAGTGAGACTCTGTCTCAAAAAAAAAAAAAGACTGGGCGCGGTGGCTCACGCCTGTAATCCCAGCACTTTGGGAGGCCGAGGCGGGTGGATCACGAGGTCAGGAGATTGAGACCATCCTGACTAACATGGTGAAACCCCGTCTCTACTAAAAATACAAAAGATTAGCCGGGCGTGGTGGCGGGCGCCTGTAGTCCCAGCTACTCGGGAGGCTGAGGCAGGAGAATGGCATGACCCGGGAGGCGGAGCTTGCAATGAGCCGAGATCGCGCCACTGCACTCCAGCCTGGGCAACAGAGCAAGACTCCATCTCAAAAAAAAAAAAAAATTAGAAGAATGGAGACTTTACGTATCATTATTATAAATAGAAAACCAGTAGCAGGTACCCTAAGGCAATAATAAATGTAAAAATGAAAACACTGAAAGAACCAATTTAAGTCTTAGCTAGATGCTATGGCTTAGAGTTGACTGAGCTCCAAGGTCTCTGTTAAAAATAGGAATTAGCAAGGCCGGGAGCGGTGGCACACGCCTGTAATCCCAGCACTTTGGGAGGCCGAGGTGGGCAGATCACGAGGTCGGGAGTTCGAGACCAGCCTGGCCAACATAGTGAAACCGCGTCTCTACTCAAACTACAAAAATTAGCCGGGCGTGGTTGACGACGCCTGTAATCCCAGCTACTCGGGAGGCTGAGGCAGGAGAATCGCTTGAAACCGGAAAGCGGATGTTGCAGTGAGAGCTGAGATCTGCCACTGCACTCAGCCTGGGCAAAAAGAGTGAAACTCCGTCTCAAAAAAAAAAAAAAAGATTAGCAAATGTTAAAAGAGGTGTTAATGCCATGTAATCACCAGACTGACTCCTCTTGGCTTACTCAGAATTGCAAGAGAACCCAGACTCTAATAACTTTCTTATGATGTCATTGGGTGTTACTTCACACCTCATCAGTGTAACCTAAAATCACCCTCCATCCCACAGTTTAGGGAACATAGGTTCTACTCCGGAGGAGGCTGTAGTCCTAACACCTGAGCTGTTGACAGGAAATGAAAGTCGGCCCAGGTTGTTTTGATGCTGAGTAACAAAGACCGGCCTGGCGGCATGGGGGCTGCCGCCTGCAATCCCAGCACGTTGGGAAGCTGATGCGGGAGGATCACATGAGTCCGAGAGTTGGAGACCAGCCTGGGCAACCATAGTGAGACCTTATCTCTACAAAAAAAAAAAAAATTAGCTGGGCATGGTGGCGCAGGCCTGTAGTCCCAGCTGCGCGGGAGGCTGAGGTGGGAAGATGCCTTGATCCTAGGAGGTCGGGACTGCAGTGAGCTATCATCCGGCGCCACTGCATTCCAGCCTGGGCGGGAGACCCTGTCTCAAGGGAAAAAAAAACAAAACAAAAAACCCACAGTGGAAGAGGGAGGAGCCGGGAACCAGACGGCTTGGGGTCAGTCAGGAGTCCTGGGCCTGCCCCACCTGCGCCCGGCTCACCTGCGCTCACCTGCGGGATCGCAGCATCCAGCCTCAATGTCCGTCAGCTGCGCGCGCCGCGGGCCCGGCCGGGGTCGCTATGGCAACGCGCCGCCCCAGCCTACCAACCAAGCAGTGCCCGCCCCTTCCTGCCGAGACCCGGTAGCGGCAAAATTTGATAGGCAAACTTACGTCACACTGTTGTTTTGTTTGTTTTGTTTTGTTTTGTTTTGTTTTTTGAGATGGAGTCTCACTCTGTCGCCCAGGCTGGAGTGCAGTGGCGCGGTTTCGGCTCACTGCAACCTCCGCCTCCCGGATTCAAGCCATTCTCCCTGCTTCAGCCTCCCAAGTAACTGTGGTTATAGGGGCTTGCCACCACGCCCAGCTAATTTTTTGTATTTTTAGTAGACACGGGGTTTGGCTAGGCTGGTCTTGAACTCCTAACCTCAAGTGATCCGCCCACGTCGCTTCCCAAAGTGCTGGGATTAGAGGCGTGAGCCACCGTGCCTGGCCGTCACACTGGACCTTAGCCTTGTTGGGGTTTGGACTGCTCTGAGCGTCTAATGGGAGCCCTAGAGACCCCCCGGCCCCTGAAGGGTGCCTACTTATTACCCTCCACAAGTCGGCTTCAGTCACTCTCGGCTCACACCCTCCAGGGGCTACCCTGGTCACTCAGGGTAAAAGCCACAGCCCTTCCAGTGGCCTTCAAGGCCCTGGTGATCTGCTCGCCCCTCCCCTTTCCACTCACACCTTGCCCCCCCACTCCTGGCAACCCGTCTCTGCTCCAGCCACACACTTGCTTCATTGCTGTTCCTGGAAAATACTGGGCATGTTCTGGCCTCGGGGCCTTTGCCTCTTTTGTGCCTGCTGCCAGGACATCTGTTCCTCCGGAAAGCAGCCTGGATCATTCCCTTCTCTCCTTCAGGGCTTTATTCAAAAATCACCTTCTCAGTGAGGAGTTCCTGGAATCACCCTATTTAAAGTTGGAATTTCCATATACACTTGCCAACCCCCTCATTTCTGTTTTATGTCCTCTTTAGCACTTAGCACCACCACACATACACCCCTTATTTATTGTCTGTCTCTTGGAAGATAAACTTTTTTTTTCTTCCAACTTCTATTTTCAATAAAAATTTCAAACACAGAAAAAAAAATAACTACAATGAACACCTGTTACCGCCTCTGCCTATGTTTAACAATTACTGGCATTTTGCCCTATTTGAAAACAGAAAAGTTTTTGTGCTTTCTCACTGCCATCTCTGTAGGACCTAGAGGTGTGCCAGACACACAAAGTTGTTCAATAAATATTTGTTGGATAAATGAATGAATGAATGAATGATGTGCTTTGGGGGACTCCTGCTGCGGGGGTTGGTGGTCCTCAGGTTAAGGATTCCTTCTAGAAAGGAGTCAGAGTCTCAGCCGGGTGTGGTGGCTCATGCCTGTAATCCCAGCACTTTGGGAGGCCAAGGTGGGTGGATCACTTGAGATCAGGAGTTCAAGACCAGCCTGGCCAACATGGTGAAACCCCATCTCTACTAAAAATACAAAAGTTAGCGGGGCATGGTGTCCCACACCTGTAATCCCAGCTATTCGGGAGGCTGAGGCAGGAGAATTGCTTGAACCCTGGAGAGGGAGGCTGCAGTGAGCCAAGATCACTCTGGGCAAAAGAGTGAGACCCTGTCAAAAAAAAAAAAAAAAAGAAGTAACAGAGAGATAGAGGAAAGAGAGGAAGAAAGAGACAGAGGCCAGGTGCAGTGGCTTACGCCTGTAATCCCAGCACTTTGGGAGGCCGAGGTGGGCGGATCACGAGGTCAGGAGATCGAGACCATCCTGGCTAACACGGTGAAACCCTGTCTCTACTAAAAATACAAAAAATTAGCCGGGCGTGGTGGCGGGCGCCTGTAGTCCCAGCTACTCGGGAGGCTGAGGCAGGAGAATGGCATGAACCCGGGAGGCGGAGCTTGCAGTGAGTCGAGATCGCGCCACTGCACTCCAGCCTGGGCGACAGAGCGAAGACTCTGTCTCAAAAAAAAAAAAAAAAAAAAAGAAAGAGAAGGAAAGAAGAAAGAAGGAAAGAAAGAATGAAGAGAGAGAAAAAGAAAGCGAGAGAGAGAATGAAAAAGAAGGAAAGAAAGAGAGAGAGAGAAAGGGAAAGGGAAACCAGAGTCTCCAGGCATGGTTGTGGAAATGATACTTTGCTGTGGAGTGCTCAGCTTGCCTCATCTGCTTCCCAAGCTGTGTGCCCACAGGGCTGTGTCCTCCTGGAAGGACCACTTTTTCTACTTGGCACAAGGTACCGTCCAGGCTGGAGACAACCCTGAGAGGACCTGCTCTTCTGGGGTGGGGATCCCTCTGCTGTACAGAAGCAGCTCTATCTGCTGCAGACCATTCTGTCCATGCTATCCCAGGCTGCAACCCCAACACTGAGCACAGGCCTGGTGCACAGGTGCACAGCACACACTTGGCAAATCTCTGTGGAACAGAGAAATGGGTGGATATCCTGTCATCTGCCCCTTTGTCCTCAGATCCGTTCTTTTTATTTTATTTTTTTATTATTGTTTTTTGAGACAGAGTCTTGCTCTGTTACCCAGGCTGGAGTGCAGTCGCACGATCTCGGCTCACTGCAGCCTCCGCCTCATGGGTTCAAGGGATTCTCCCACCTCAGCCTCCAGAGTAGCTGGGATTACAGATGGCAGCCACCATGCCCTGCTAATTTTTGTATTTTTAGTAGAGGCGGGGTTTCACCATGTTGACCAGGCTGGTCTCCAACTCCTGAACTTAGGTGATCATCCCGCCTCGGCCTCCCAAAGTGCTGGGATTATAGGCGGGAGCTACTGCACCCGGCCTCATTATTTTTATTTTTTATATTTTATTTTATTTTATTTATTTATTTATTTTGAGACAGAGTCTCGCTCTGTCACCCAGGCTGGAGTGCAGTGGTGCAATCTCGGCTCACTGCAAGCTCCGCCTCCCTGGTTCACGCCATTCTTCTGCCTCAGCCTCCCGAGTAGTTGGGACTATAGGCGCCCGCCACCACGCCTGGCTAATTTTTTGTATTTTTAGTAGAGACGGGTTTCACCGTGTTAGCCAGGATGGTCTCGATCTCCTAACCTCGTGATCCTCCCACCTCGGCCTCCCAAAGTGCTGGGATTACAGGCATGAGCCACCGCGCCAAGCCTTATTTTTTATTTTTTGTTTTATTTATTTTTATTTTTTGAGACAGAGTCTCACTTTGTCACCCAGGCTGGCGTGTAGTGGCACGATCTCTGCTCACTGCAACCTCTGCCTCCCGGGTTCAAGTGATTCTCCTGCCTCAGCCTCCCGAGTAGCTAGGATTACAGGTATGCATCACCATGCCCGGCTAATTTTTGTATTTTTTGTAGAGACGGGGTTTCACCATGTTGGCCAGGCTGGTCTTGAACTCCTGACCTCAGGTGAGCCACCCACCTTGGCCTCCCAAAGTGCTGGGATTACAGGCATGAGCCACTGAGCCTGGCCTTTTTATTTTTCTTCTATTTTTTTTTTTATAGACAATATCTTGCTTTGTACCCAGGCTAGAGTGCAGCAGCGCAATCAGAGCTCACTGCAGCCTTGAACTCCTGGGCTCAAGAGATTATCTTGCCTCAGCCTCCTCAGTAGCTGGGACTGCAGGGACACACCACCACACTTCGCTACTTTTTTTTTTTTTTTTTTTTTTGGAGACAGGTTTCACTATTTTGCCTAGGCCGGTCTCGAACTCCTGGCCTCAAGTCTCCTCCCCGCCTTAGCCTCTCAAAGTGCTAGGATTACAAGTGCCAGCCACCACACCAGGCAGATCCATTATTTGCCCTTCTCCTGCTGTGCTTTGTTTGGCAGGGATGCTGCCTCCTGCCTCTGGGCAGTGACTTCCCCGCAGTGACTTCTGGCTGCATTCAGCCAATGGCAGATGCTGGGGTCTTTCCCTCTTTCTCTGCTTCAGGGAGTGTCTCTGGCAGAAAGTGCACCTGGTTTCATCTCTTGCTGCCCAGGTCTGGCCTGTGGGCTCTGTGAGCACTTCTTCCCTTCGCCTCTCCAGCCCTAGGTATCATCTTTTCTCCTGCTGCTCTTTCTATCCATCCAACACTGTTATCACTATGAAGAAATTCTTTTTGTGGAACTACTTGGCACGTGATTTGGGTTTTCTACCAAGACTCTGACTGCTAGAGTAGTGTGGTCAGGTGTCCCATAACACCAAAAATATATGTCCCTGGTAAGATTGCTGCCCAGTTGGTGCAGGTGACCCGAGACTGCAGCCAACACTGCTGGTGCCCACCTTGGTCCCTTTAGGTCCTTCCTACCAGTTCTGTGTGCTGACCCCAGGTTTCTTTTTCTTTCTTTCTTTCTTTTTTTTTCTTTCTTTTTTTTTTTTTTTGAGACAGAGTCTCATTCTGTCGCCCTGGCTGGAGTACAATGGCGCGATCTCAGCTCACTGCAACCTCTGCCTCCTGGGTTGAAGCGATTCTTGTGCCTCAGCCTCCTGAGTGACTGGGATTACAAGCGCTCACCACCACGCCCGGGTAATTTTTGTATTTTTAGTATAGACAGGGTTTCACCATGTTGGCCAGGCTGGTCTCAAACTCCTGACCTCAGGTGATCCACCTGCCTCGGCCTCCCACAGTGCTGGGATTACCGGTGTGAGCCACTGTGCCTGGCCTGACCCCCTGGTTTCTAAGTACTTTGGTTCTTTCACCTCCAGTTCTTCAGACGACGGTCCCTGAGTTACTGAAGCCACTTCACCTGTTTGGGCAGACAGCTGGGAGTGCCCAGAGCTGACACCCTCCAGGTGACCCACAGGTAACGGCTGACCCACGCTGGAGTGTAGGAGCCTTGCTTCAAGACCACACAGACTTTGAGGTGATGTTTTTCCTTTTTTTCTTTTTGGTGATTTCTTATTTTGGTAATATATACATAACATTAAAGTTACCATTTTATTTTTGTCCCAACTACAAACTTATATTTTAAATATTTTTAAGTGCACACTTTAGGGGCATTAAGTACATTGACATTGTCCTACAACCATCACCTCCATCCATCTCCAGAACTTTTTCATCTTGCCAAACAAACATTCAGCCCCATTCAACACTAACTCTTGTTCCCCTTCCCTTTCCTCAGCCCCTGGCACTCACCATTCTGCTTTTTTTTTTTTTTTTTTTTTTTTTTCTGAGACAGAGTTTCACTCTTGTTGCCCACGCTGGAGTACAATGGCGCCGTCTCCGCTCACTGTAACCTCTGCCTCCCAGGTTCAAGCCTTTCTCCTGCCTCAGCCTCCTGGGTAGCTGGGATTACAGGCAACCACCACCACGCCCAGCCAATTTTTGTATTTTTAGTAGAGATGGGGTTTCACCATGTTGGCCAGCCTGGTCTTGAACTTCTGACCTCGGGTGATCTACCTGCCTCGGCCTCCCAAAGTGCTGTGATAAGAGGCATAAGTCACTGCTCCTGGCCAGTGCTTTTTTTAAAAAAAACAGTCAGATCTCATGAGAACTCACTCTCCCGATGACAGCACCAAAAGGGATGGTATTAAACCATGAGAAACCTCTCCCATGATCCACTCACCTCCCAGCAGGCCCCACCTCCAGCATTGGGGATTACATTTCAATATAAGATTTGGGAAGGGACGCAGATCCAAACCATATCATAGAAGTAGGGTCTCATTCTGTCGCCCAGGCTGGAATGTAGTGGCATGAACATGGCTCACTGCAGCCTCAAACTCCTGGGCTCAAGTGATCTTCCTGCCTTGGCCTCCCAATAGCAGGGATTACAGGCACACACCACCACACCCATCTAATTATCTTATTTTTTGTAGAGATAGGGGGTCTCACTATGTTGCCCAGGATAGTCTCAAACTCCTGGGCTCAAACGACCCTCCCGCCTGGGCCTCTCAAAGTGCTGGGATTACTTTGAGAGGGCATGAGCCCCTGCACCTGGCCTTATTGCATCATCTATATTTAATTCATTGGGTGCACCTTTCTCTCTCCCAGTAGACTGTAATTGATGGATAGAAAACTTCCTCAGTGTATCTTCCTGCCTTATACAAGGTTCTTTGGTTGCCAGTAGAGAAAGCATTTCATATTACCCCAAAAGGGAAATTTATTACAAGGATGTTAAGAGTCTTTCGTGGAGTCTAATAACAGGAAATTCAGCTGGAGTTTACAAGGAACTGGACTCCAGCGTTGGACACCTGTCTACAGCAAAGCCTCCTCTCTCTCTCTCTCTCTCTCTCTCTCTCCCCCTCCCCGCCTCAGTCTTTCTGGTTCTGTGAATCAGCTTTCTCATGGTGGGAAGCAGCTGCCCCTTTTATCACCTCAGTTCCAATCCCTCAAACAAACTTACTGGCTGTTTCTGAATTCCAATCCCCAAACCCTGATTGGCCCAGCTGGGTCTGGAGTCGGCCCCTGGCCAGTCATGCTGCTGCCACTGTGGTTCTTTTTATGAAATTTTCCTCTCCTCCTTAGGTACCTAGCCAGCAGCCCAGGCCCATCTTCAACCCGGTACAAACTGTCTCTTGCCTGTTGGCCTGTCCAGAGCCACCCTGCCACTCGTTGAGGGGTGCCTCATGACTTGGAACCTTCTCTTCCTTGACCAGCCTAAGACACAGCCCCAAGCCTCAGTCCCAGCATGGCAAAGAGCTCATTCGCAGCCCCTAATCAGACCCTGGCTCAGAGGAAGCCAGGACCGCCCCATCGAGAAGAATCTGGGCCAAATTAGGGCTCATCTGCATCTGCAGGCCAGCCGGAAGGGCAGGTTACACAAATCTATGAGATTATTCTCCCTATGGGGTCAGAGTTGGGTAACATTATTCACAACACCTGAGTAGGTGGTTCAGGCTGGCCCCTCCCAGATACTGACATGCCAAGAGCATTAGGCCTGGGGGGCTCCTGTCCCAAATACCCTTCGGGTAATCACTTCCAGATCTGAGTGGCAAGGATATGGCTGAGCGCCATATTCAAGGATCTTGTTTACAGCTTTGGGTGAGAGGAGTTGCCCTGTATAGTCTGGGGCAAGAGGGACTCCCCTCAACACCCACAGATAAATGTCCCCTCAATCAGCAAGGCATGGTCTTGTTGACCCTCTTCTGGGCACAGACCTTTAGCTTTCTTCCTGGATGTTCAGCCTTGGCAGGGAGTCCTGAGATTTGTTTTTTTTTTTTTTTCTTTTACAGAGTCTCGCTCTGTCACCCAGGCTGGAGTGCAGTGATGCGATCTTGGCTCACTGCAACCTCCACCTCCTGGGTTAAAGTGATTCTTGTACCTCGGCCTCTCAAGTAGCTGGGACTACGGGCACTGCCACCATGCCCGGCTAATTTTGTATTTTTAGTAGAGACGGTTTCACCACGTTGGCCAGCCCGGTCTCCAACTCCTGACCTCAAGTGATCCGCCCACCTCGGTCTCCCAAAGTGCTGGGATTACAGGCATGGGCCATAGCACATAATAGACAAAAGGTGGACACCATCCAGATATCCATCAATAGATGAGCAGATAAACAGAATGCGCTCTGTTCATGCCATGGAATCCTATTTGGCTATAAAAAGGAATGAAGTTCTTTTTTTTTTTTTTTTTGGGATGGAGTCTCGCTTTGTCACCCAGGCTGGAATGCAGTGGCACCATCTCGGCTCACTGCAAGCTCCACCTCCCAGGTTCACACCATTCTCCTGCTTCAGCCTCCAGAGTAGCTGGGACTACAGGCGCCCGCCACCATGTCTGGCTAATTTTTTGTATTTTTTTTTAGTAGGGATGGGGTTTCACTGTGTTAGGCAGGATGGTCTCGATCTCCTGACCTCGTGATCCGCCAGCCTCAGCCTCCCAAAGTGCTGGGATTACAGGCGTGAGCCACCGCGCCCAGCTTTTTTTTTTTTTTCTAAGACAGAATCTCACTCTCTCGCCCTTGCTGAAGTGCAGTGGTGCAATCTCGGCTCACTGCAACCTTCTCTTACCAGGTTCAAGAGATTCTCCCACTTCAGGCTCCAGAGTAGCTGGGATTACAGGCGTGTGCCACAACACCTGGCTAATTTTGTATTTTTACTAGAGACGAGGTTTCACTATGTTGGCCAGGCTGGTCTCGAACTCCTAACCTTAAGTGATCTGCCCAACTTGGCCTCCCAAAGTGCTGAGATTACAGGCGTGAGCCACTGCACCCGGCCTAGGAATGAAATTCTGATAGGTGCTACAAAATGGTGAACCGTAAAAATGTAATGCTGGCGGCCGGGCGCGGTGGCTCACACCTGTGATCCCGCACTTTGGGAGGCCGAGGCAGGTGGATCACCTGAGGTCAGGAGTTTGAGACCAGCCTGGCCAACATGGTGAAACCCCATGTCTACTAAAAATACAAAAACTTAGCTGGGTGTCGTGGTGGACGCCTGTAATCCCAGGTACTCGGGAGGCTGAGGCGGGAGAATCTCTTGAACCCAGGAGGCAGAGGTTGCACAGTGAGCTGAGATCGCATCACTGCACTCCAGCCTGGGCAACAAGAGCAAAACTCCGACTCAAAAAAAGAAAAAAAAAGCCCATAATGCTAAGTGGAAGTGTATAAATGCTAAAAGGACACACAGTATGTGATTCCATTCATTTGAAATGTCTGAGATAGGCAAAGGCACAGAGACAGACGGTAGATTAGTGCTTGCCAGGGACTGGAGAGGGAAGTGATAGCTAAGGACTACAGGGTTTCTTTTGAAAATGTTCTTAATTTCACGGTGCTGATAGTTGCATAAGTCTGTGGACACACTAAAAACCATTGGACTGTACACTTATTTATTTATTTATTTATTTTGAAAATGTTCTCAATTTCACCATTCTGATAGTTGCAGAAGTCTGTGGACACACTAAAAGCCATTGAATTGTACACTTTATTTATTTATTTATTTATTTTGAAAATGTTCTCAATTTCACCGTGCTGATAGTTGCATAAGTCTGTGGACACACTAAAAACCATTGAATTGTACACTTATTTATTTATTTTGAAAATGTTCTCAATTTCACCGTGCTGATAGTTGCATAAGTCTGTGGACACACTAAAAACTATTGAATTGTACACTTCATTTATTTATTTATTTATTTAAGATGGAGTCTCACTCTGTCGTCCAGGCTGGAGTGCAGTGGCACGATCTAGGCTCAAGCGATTCTCCTGCCTCAGCCTCCCGAGTAGCTGGGATTACAGGCGCCTGCCACCATGCCCAGCTAATTTTTGTATTTTCAGTAGAGACGGGGTTTCACCGCATTGGCCAGGCTGGTCTCAAACTCCTGACCTTGTGATCAGCACGCCTCAGCCTCCCAAAGTGCTGGGATTACAGGTGTAAGCCACCGTGCCTGGCCAGAATTCACTCATTTAAAGTGTACAGCTGGGAACGGTGGCTCAGGCCTGTAATCCAGCACTTTGGAAGGCTAAGGTGGGCGGATCACCTGAGGTCAGGAGTTTGAGACCAGCCTGACCAACATGGAGAAACCCCGTCTCTACTAAAAATACAAAATTAGCCGGGCTTGATGGTGCATACCTGTAATCCCAGCTACTCCGGAGGCTAAGGCAGGAGAATCGCTTGAACCTGGGAGGCGGAGGTTGCAGTGAGCCAAGATCACGCCATTGCACTCCAGCCTGGGCAACAAGAGCGACACTCCGTCTCAAAAAAAAAAAAAGAAAAAAGAAAAAAAAGAAAAAGTCTCTCATGCAGAATGAGCGCCCTCTAGGGGCTGTCAGGTGTCCAGAGCGAGTCACAGACCACTTTTTTTTTTTTTTTGAGATTTCTGCTAAATTGAAAACCAGGTAAATGTCAAAAGAAGGTAACATAGAATGGGCTAAATTTTGTTTAACTTTTTATGGAAGTGTAAAGTGCATATAGAAAAGTGGGGCAGGCATGGTGGCTCACCCCTGTAATCCCAACACTTTGGGAGGCCCAAGTAGGAGGATTGCTTAAGGTCAGATCAGACCAGCCTGGGCAACATAGTGAGACCCCCATCTCAAAAAAAATTAAAAAAATTTAAAAATAGCTGGATGTGGTAGTGCATGCCTGTAGTCTCAGCTACTCAGGAGGTTGAGGCGAGATCACTTGAGCCCAGGAGGTCGAGAGGTCGAGGCTTCAGTGAGTGGTGATCCCACCACTGCACTTCAGCCTTGGTGACAGAGCAAGACCCTGTCTCAAAAAAAAAAAAAAAGGGGGGGGGCCAGGAGCGGTGGCTCACACCTGTAATCCCAACACTTTCAGAGGCCAATGCAGATAGATTGCTTGAGACCAGGCATTTGAGACCAACCTGGGCAACATGGCTAAATCTCGTCTCTACAAAAAAATTTTTTTAATTAGCTGGGCAATGTGGTGCATGCCTATGGTCCCACCTACTCCAGAGGCTGAGGTGGGAGGATCACCCAAGGCCCAGGAAGTGAAGGTTGCAGTGACCAGTAATCATGCCTATGCATACCAGCCTGGGTGGCAAAGTGAGACCCTGTCTCAAAAAAAAAAAAAAGTGGAAATATCATCAGTGTATACCTTGATAAATTTTCACAAACTGAACACAGCATTTTGTCAAAACCAATAGTCTCTGGGACCATCTCTCTCCGGAACAATGCCAAAAGTCTAAATTCGAGTCCTTCTATATGTGTGAGGACACTCCTGAGTTGACTTTGTAGGCCCCTTTTTTTGTCTCCTTTTTCCCCTTATTTTTCCAAAGGAAAATGAGGTGCCATCTGGGCCGGGCACGGTGGCTCATGCCTGTAATCCCAGCACTTTGGGAGGCCGAGGTGGGAGGATCACGAGGTCAGGAGTTCGAGACCAGCCTGGCCAATATGGTGAAACCCCGTCTCTACTAAAAATACAAAAATTAGCTGGGCGTGGTGGCCAGCGCCTGTAGTCCCAGCTACTCCGGAGGCTGAGGCAGGAGAATCGCTTGAACCCGGGAGGCGGAGGTTGCAGTGAGCCGATATTGTGCCACTGCACTCCAGCCTGGGCGACAGAATGAGGCTACGTCTCAAAAAAAAAAAAAAAGAAAAAAGAAAATGAGGTGTCATCAATGAGGTGGCTATTTTTGTTTGTTTATTTATTTATTTATGTATTTATATTATTATTTTTAGAGACAGGGGCTCACTCTGTTGCCCAGGGTGGAGTAAAGTGGCCTGATCATACCTCACTGCAGCTTTGAACTCCTGCCTCAGCCTCCCTTGTATTTATTTATTTATTTATTTATTTGTGAGGCAGAGTCTCACTTTGTCACCCAGGCTGGAGTGCAGCGGTGTACTCATGGCTTACTGCAGCCTCAACCTCCTGGGCTCAAGTGATCCTCTCACCTCAGCCTCCCAAGGAACTGGGACCACAGGTGTGTACCACCACACTCGGTTAACTTTTGTATTTTTTGTAGAGACCAGGTTTCGTTGTGTTGCCCAGGCTGGTCTCGATCTCGTAGGCTAGAGTGATCCTCCTGCCTCAGCCTCCCAAAGTGCTGAGATTACAAGTGTGAGCCACTGTGCCTGTCCCCTCCCTTGTATTTGAATTTAAATTTAAGTTAGATAAAATTAAAAATTCCTCAGTCACAGTAGCCGCGTTCCAAGTGCTTTGTGGACACATGCTGGACTATATGGGACAGACATATGCAGACATTGTGGCACCCTCGCCAGTTCTACTGGACAGAGCTGCTCTAGGGATGAGTTTTCACTGTAGCCTCAATCCCTTCTTTGGAGAGTTTCCTTTTGCTTCTCTCTCTCCCCCTAACCCTCTTTCTCCAGAAAAAAAAAGGGTCAGGCTGGATGTGGTGGCTACGCCTATAATCCCAGCACTCTGGCCTGCCTGGTCTCGGCCTCTCAAAGTGTGACTTGAGGTCAGGAGTTCAAGACCAGCCTGGCCAATATGGTGAAACCTCGTCTCTAATAAAAATACAAAAATTAGCTGGGCATGGTGGCAGGCACCTGTAATCCCAGCTACTCCAGAGGCTGAGGCAGGAGAATTGCTTGAACCCAGGAGGCAGAGGTTGCAGTGAGCCGAGATCGCGCCATTGCACTCCAGCCTGGGCAACAGAGCAAGGCTCCGTTTCAAAAAAAAAAAAAAAAAAAGGTCAACAACATGCTCTGTCAAAACCTAACATCATGTCTGCAGGGATAAGCCAGTGAAAATTACAGTGTTAGAAAATAGTTGTTAGGCAAAGAAATAAAGCTAATAAATCATCCCAAGGAAAAATGCATGGCCTCACTAGAATTAAATAAATGAAAATTAAAATAACCCTGCCATACCATTACATACTGTCTAGACTAGGAAAAATGTGTAAAAATGATGGCCTGCGATATTGGAAAAAGAGACACCATTACACATGGCTAGCCATCCTCGCAATTAGGTAAATCTTCCTGAAGAACCATCTGGAACTGTTACAGGAACTATAAAACCATTTTCTGACTGAATAATTCCACTTAATGACTATTTGTTCAACATATATAGCTGGCATGAGGCACAGTACTTGGCACTTCACATACTTTTTTTTGTTTTTTGGTTTTTTTTGAGACGGAGTCTCGCTCTGTCGCCCAGGCTGGAGTGCAGTGGCGCGATCTCAGCTCACTGCAAACGCCGCCTCCTGGGTTCAAGAGATTCTCCTGCCTCAGCTTCCTGACTTCACACACACTTTTTAAAGAATTTACTTTTTGCAACAATCCTGTGAGATTGGTAGGTATCCTGATCTTTGTTTTAAAAAGAAGCAAACTGTCCAGGCGCAGTGGCTCACCGCTGTAATCCCAGCACTTTGGGAGGCTGAGGTAGGAGGATCACTTGGGTCAGGAGTTCAAGACCAGCCTGGCCAACACAGCAAACCCGGTCTCTACTAAAAATACAAAAATTAGCTGGGCGTGGTGGCTGAGGCAGGTGGATCACTTGAGGTCAGGAGTTCGAGACCAGTCTGGCCAACATAGTGGAACCTCGTCTCTACTAAAAATACAAAAATTAGCTTGGTGTGGTGGTGCACACCTGTAATCCCAGCTACTCAGGAGGCTGAGGCAGGAGAATTGCTTGAACCTGGGAGGTGGAGGTTGCAATGAGCCAAGATCGTGCCACTGCACGCCAGTCTGGGCAACAGAGTGAGACCCTGTCTCAAACAATAAAATAAAAATAAATAAATAAAAAGCAGGCAACTGTTAGGTTCCCAGAAGTTAGGTGACATATCCACAGTAAAAGAGCAAGGAAGTGAAAGAGCCAAAATTCAGTCGCAGGCCTCTTAACCTGGGAAGACCGGCCCAGAACCCCACATTGCCTCCCATTCCAGAGAATTGCCTTCAGTCAGGTCATCCCAGTGCTTTGAGAGGCCAAGGCAGGAAAATCGCTTGAGGCCAGGAGTTCCAGTCTAGCTTGGGCAACAAGACCATGTCTCTATATAGTCCTCGCTACTTGGGAGGCTGAGGTAGGACGATTGCTCGAGCCCATGAATTAGAGGCTGCAGTGAGCTACGCACTCCAGCCTGGGAGACACAGTGAGACACAATCTTAAAAGAAAAAAAGAAAAGAAAAAAGCCAGATGTGGTGATGCGCACCTGTAGTACAGCTACTCGGGAGGGTGAGGTAGGATCGCTTGAGCCCAGGAGATGGAGGCTGCAGTGAGTTATGATCTCGCCACTGTATTCTAGCCTGGATGGCAGAGTGAGACCCCGTCTCTTAAAAAATAATAATAAATAAAAATAATTTTAAAGAGAGGCTGGGGCCGGGCACGGTGGCTCACGCCTGTAATCCCAGCACTTTGGGAGGCCGAGGCGGGCAGATCATGAGGTCAGGAGTTTGAGACCAGCCTGGCCAACATGGTGAAAACCCGTCTCTAGTTAAAAATACAAAAAAATTAGCCAGGTGTGGTGGCGGGTGTCTGTAATGCCAGCTACTCGGGAGGCTGAGGTAGGAGAGAATCGCTTGAACCCGGGAGGCGGAGGTTGCAGGGAGCCCAGATCGCGTCATTGCATGCCAGCCTGGGCAACAAGAATGAAACTTTGTCTCAAAAAAAAAAAAAAAAAAGAGAGAGAGAATTGCCACCAAAGAAAGGAATAGTACACTGGGATGGAGGAATAAATTTATGCAAAAATATACATATGAACGTAATTATTACATATTATTACAGGAGAAAAATTGTAAAATGCACACAGCAATGTAAGTTTGGTTTACACATAGTAGGTGCTCAATAAATGCTTAATATAAAAAAGCAATTCGGTTGTATCTACAGCTAACAATATACTATATGGTACACTTTAAAAATACTCTCATGTCAAGTATTTTTACCACAATAAAATAAAATAAAATTATTTTAAAAACCCCAAACCAAAAAATCCATAATTCGGAGGAATTCTGGCCCTTTAAAAGCCAGAGGCTGGTTAAGAGAGAAAGGCGGGTCCTGGAGCTGGTGTAATAAGCTCTTTGCCTTATTTAAATGAGCATGCGTGAAGGTCGCCCCGGTGCCTGAGTCACGTTCC
Source organism: Homo sapiens (assembly GCF_000001405.40). NCBI lineage: Eukaryota > Metazoa > Chordata > Mammalia > Primates > Hominidae > Homo > Homo sapiens. The sequence continues at coordinate 121,686,968 of NC_000012.12, forward strand.
TGTACTCAATGCGCCTGCGCTTCCTGAAGCCAGACTGGGCCCTCGGCTCCGCCCGCCTATTTAAGTGGGCGGAGACAGTCGCGTGAGTTCAGTGGACCCACAATCTCCCGCGCAATTAACCAGACCCGCCCCTTTACACATGCGCATACGTCAGCAGTTGACAGTTGCTGAAGGACCCCTGGAGTTGGGCCTGCGCTCTGGACGCTCCTGCCGGAAGTGGGCGGGATCGCGTTGCAACGCGGCAAGGGCGATGAGAGCGCGGAGGAGGCGCTGGTGGCCGAGTTTGGGGCGGGGACTGTCCCCAATGCTCCGCAGCAAGGTTACTCGACCAAAAAATGTCACGACTGGGAATATGAACACAGAGAATTTACCCTTCAATTTAAAAAAGATTTGAGCCGGGCGCGGTGGCTCACACCTGTAATCCCAGCACTTTGGGAGGCCGAGGCGGGTGGATCACCTGAGGTCAGGAGTTCGAGACCAGTCTGGCCAACATGGTGAAACCCCGTCTCTGCCGAAACAAAATACAAAAATTAGCTGGGCATGGTGGCGGGCGCCTGTAATCCTAGCTACTCGAGAGGCTGAGGCAGGAGAACCTCTTGAACCCAGGAGGTGGAGGTTGCAGTGAGCTGAGATTGCACCATTGCACTCCAGCCTGGGTGACAAGAGTGAAACTCTGTCTAAAAAAAAAAAAAGAATCAGCCGGGCGCGGTGGCTCACGCCTGTAAACCCAGCACTTTGGGAGGCTGAGGCAGGTAGATCACCCGAGGTCGGGAGTTGGAGACAAGCCTGACCAACATGGAGAAACCCTGTCTCTACTAAAAATACAAAATTAGCCCGGCATGGTGGCTCATGCCTGTAATCCCAGCTACTCGGGAGGCTGAGGCAGGAGAATCTCTTGAACCCAGGAGGCAGAGGTTGTGGTGAGCCGAGATCGCGCCACTGCAGCCATTGCACTCTGGCCTGGGCAACAAGAGCGAAACTCTGTCTCAAAAAAAAAAATGGTAATAATAAAATTTTTAAAAAGAGCCCTAAACCAAGAATGGACCTGCTTTGAAAAGAATGAACTGCTTCGTATGTCCCTCATAAAAAGCATAGAAAAGTAATGAAAAAGCAACATGGAAACCCTTAAATGGACTCAAAATCTACACCTAGTTAATATGATGTTCCCTGCATTCAGAAGGGCCTTGTGCTTGGGTTAATACCCTCCTGTTGCTATTTCAAAATTCTTTTTTTTTTTTTTTGGAGTCTCCCTCTGTTGCCCAGCCTGGAGTTCAGTAATGTGATCATGGCTCACTGCAACCTCCACCTCCCAGGTTCAACTGATTCTCCCACCTCAGCCTCCCGAGTAGCTGGGATTACGTGCGTGTGCCACTATGCCCGGCTAATTTTTAATTTTTAGTAGAAATGGGGTTTCATCATGTTGGCCAGGCTGGTCTTGAACACCTGACCTTAGGCTTCCTGACCTGATCCACCCCCCTCGGCCTCCCAAAGTGCTGGGATTACAGGTGTGTGCCCTTGCGCCCGGCCCATTTTCAAATTCTTCATAATTTTTTTTTTTTTTTGAGACATGGTCTCCCTCTGTTGCCCAGGCTTGAGTGCAGTGGTGCGATCACAGCTCACTGTAGCCTTGACTTTTTAGACAAGCGATCCTCCTGCCTCAGCCTCCTGAGTAGGTGGGACCACAGGCGTGTGCCACTATGCCCGCTAATTTTTTATTTTTATAGAGATGGGGTCTCGCTATCTTGCCTAGGCTGGCCTTGAACTCCTGGGCTCAAGCGATCCTCCTGCTTCAGCCTCCCAAAGTGCTGGGATTACAGGTATCAGCCACTGTATGCAGCCCCCTGCTCTTAAATAGAGCCTCATGAGAGAAACAGTCCCCTTCCCAGCTGTGGACATAGTTACGTGAGGATGTGATAGAGGCTGTGACATGCTGAGAAATACAGCCAACCTGCTGCAGATGGCAGAGAAAAAGAACTTGACCCTTAATGACATTCCTGAGCCATTCACAACACTGTAAGGTCATTGGACCCATTGTTCTGTGACATAGTAAATTTTCCTTATTGGTTAAGCACTTTTGGTTACATTTCCTTTTACTTGCAGGTTGGCTGATTGTGGAGGCTAAAGCAACTCTACCTTGCCAGCTTATCCACCATGTGGACTTCTAATTAATCTCAGTTGCCGGAATGCCTCTAAGATTTCTACGTTATCTACTGTGAAGAGCAAGTAATTACTGCAAATCCTGCCCTTGGGTCAAAACAACCTTGATGACATATTCCTTCTGAAGCACATATACTCTTTCCCTAGGTATATAAGCCTTGGGTCTGGGGGCTAACGGTGCAGGGATCCATCATCTCACAGCCACCCAAGACATGGCTTTTGTTCAAAAATCCCTATTAAATGTTTCATTCTGAGACTGGGTGGGTGGCTCACGCCTGTAATCCTAGTGCTTTGGGAGGCCAAGACAGGAGGAATGCTTGAGGCCAGGAGTTTGAGAGCAACCTGGACAAAGTGGTGAGACCTCATTGCTACAAAAAAATGGAAAACCTTAACCAAGTGTGCTGCGGTGCACCTATAGTCCCAGCTACTCAGGAAGCTGAGGCAGGAGCATTGCTTGAGCCCAGAAGTCTGAGGCTACAGTGAGCCATGATTGTGCCACTGCACTCCAGCCTGGGCAACAGAGCAAGACTCTGTCTCTAAAAAACAAAAAAGTTTCTTTCTGAGAAACCAGGTTTGTCAGCTTCCTTCAGCTCTCAGCCCTTGCAGGTAGGTTTGCTCATGGTAGAACACTGATACGTCACCCCCAAGCTATCCCAAGAAACCATGGTCACTGGCTTGGTAATGTGTTAGCTTGGCTAGTTGAATTGCATTTCCCAGAATTCCTTTTTCTATGTTTTTCTGGTTGGGTGGGCCATAAAGGGCAATTTTCTGTGGCATGAGATTTGGTGTGTGGAAGTAGAGCAGCAGCCATACTCTTACTGATGCCTGGAAGGCCGGGGCAGAGTCACCAGCCACTTCTGCATCTCCTGAACATTGTCCTTTACCTGCCTGCGGTGGGTCCACCTGCCCCTGGATCCTTGTTTGGCTGCTGTGACCCCTGAGCCAGCTCCCTGCCTAAGGGCACCAGTGTTTCCTGCAGGACACCCATGCCATCAAAGTTGGGGACAATGAGGACTGACCTAGGTTTCAGTCTGTGCTTGTAGATTTCAGCTCTTGCTCATGGGTTCCAGATCGTTCTTGCTCTTCCCTACTTTACATCCATCTTCTGTTCTCAGCTGCCTGCCCTGCAGACTTCAGGCTCCAGCATCAGACACAGAGACCCAGCGTTATGGAGACTGTCTAACCAGATCTCACAATTGTGGAAGATCCCAACTCCTACAGAAATCTCTTAAAAACCACGTGTGGCTGGGCACAGTGGCTCATGTATGTAATTCCAGCACTTTGGGAGGCTGAGGTGAGTGGATCTCTTGAGCCCAGGAGTTTGAGACCAGCCTGGAGCAACATGGTGAAACTGTGTCTCTACAAAAGATACAAAAATTAGCTGGGCATGGTGGCATGCGCCTGTAGTCCCAGCTACTCAGGAGGCTGAGGTGGGAGGGTGACTTGAGCCCAGGAATTGAAGGCTGTAGTGAGCTGTGATTGTGCCCCTGCACTCCAGCTGGGGTGACAGAGCGAGACCCTGTCTCAAAAACAACCCCTCCCCCAAAAAAGTCACCTGGATGAGGCCAGGCGCGGTGGCTCATGCCTGTAATCCCAACACTTTGGGAGGCTGAGGCGGGCGGATCACGAGGTTAGGAAATCGAGACCATCATGGCTAACATGGTGAAACCCCGTCTCTACTAAAAATACACAAAATTAGCCGGGCGTGGTGGCGGGCACCTGTAGTCCCAGCTACTCAGGAGGCTGAGGCAGGAAAATGGCGTGAACCCGGGAGGCGGAGCTTGCAGTGAGCTGAGATTGCACCACTGCACTCCAGCCTGGGCGACAGAGCAAGACTCTGTCTCAAAAAAAAAAAAAAAAAAAAAAGTCACCTGGATGAAGCCTGTGCAGCCATTTCAGCCAAAGATGCTACTGGAGATGATGCCCAACACAAAGAGAGGGCAGAAATACCCCAGCTTCCCCTCCTGCCTTCCAGCCTCCCACCAGTGCCTTCCATTGACTGAGCCCAGCAGGAAGGCTGGAAAGCTCAGTCTGCGTGTTCATCACCTTGGGAAACGGAGCAGAGCAGGCGGAAGGGTAAGGAGGGGATCGGATGTCATTCAGGCAAATGACAAGTACACTAAATATTCACCCACTCGATACATATTTATTGAGTGCCGGGAGCCACGCTAAGTGCTGAGGCTACTGCCTTGCTCAAAGCAGACAAAGTCCCGTGGTTGGAGATTGGAATTGTTTTAGGATGCCAGTGAGAAGCCTAAACCGCAGGAAGACACACGGTCTCAACCACATGCTATAGCAATTACTTATATATAACATTTCCCTAACCAGACAACATGCTGGCATTGGCAGATGTTAAATGAACCAAACTGAAATACAATACACTTCTCAATTTAACCCCTCTCCAGAAAGAAGCACATGAATTTGGCAGCTCCTTTAAAGATGCTAATAAGTTTGAAACATCCTTTCTATTGCCTCATGGCTCTATCACGGGAAGTACTTACAGTTTTGGAGTTACCGTTCATCTAAATTCTTTGATATAATTACATTGCTAGGACACTTTTTTTTTTTTTTTTGAGTTGGAGTCTCGCTCTGTTGCCCAGGCTGGAGTGCAGTGGCACGATCTCGGCTCACTGCAACCTCTGCCTCCTGAGTTCAAGCGATTCTCCTGCCTCAGCCTCCCAAGTAGCTGGGACTACAGGCGCCACCATCACGCCTGGTTAATTTTTTGTATTTTTAGTAGAGACAAGGTTTCACTATGTTGGCCAGGCTGTTCTTGAACTCCTGACCTCAGGTGATCTGCCCGCTTCAGCCTTCTAAAGTACTGAGATTACAGGTGTGAGCCATCATGCCCGGCGTTTTTTTTTTTTCAGTCTCACTCTGTTGCCCAGGCTGCAGTGCAGTGGCACGATCTCGGCTCACTACAACCTCCGCCTCCTGGGTTCAAGCAATTCTCCTGCCTTAGCTTCCCAAGTAGCTGGGATTACAGGCGCCCACCACCACACCCGGCTAATTTTTGTATTTTTAGTAGAGACAGGGTTTCACCATGTTGGCCAGGCTGGTCTTGAACTCCTGACCTTAAGTGATCCATCCGCTTCATCCTCCCAAAGGCATGAGCCGTCCTGTCCGGCCATGATATATTCGTTTTTTGTTTTGTTTTTGTTTTTTTTTTTTGAAACGGAGTTTCACTCTTGTTGCCCAGGCTAGAGTGCAGTGGCACAATCTCCGCTCACTGCAACCTCCGCCTCCTGGGTTCAAGTGATTCTCCTGCCTCAACCTCCCAAGTAGCTGGGATTACAGGAGCCCACCACTATGCCTGGCTAATTTTTTTGTATTTTTAGTAAAAACGGGGTTTTACCATGTTGGCCAGGCTGGTCTCAAACTCCTGACCTCAGGTGATCCTCCCGCCTCAGCCTCCCAAAGTGCTGGGATTACAGGCATGAGCCACTGCACCCCGCCATATTAGTTTTTTTTGTTGTTGTTGTTGTTTTTAAGACACAGGCTCTTGCTATGTTGTCCAGGCTGGCCTCAAACTCCTGGGCTGAAGCTGTCCTCCTGCCTCAGCCTCCAGAGTGGCTGAGATGACAAAGATGCATGCACCAGGGCACACTTATCATGTAAATTATTTGGGGTGGATCATGCCAGTTCCTAAATCAAATAATTAACTGGTTTTCCTTAATCTAGAGACAGTAACAAATAATGTGGATCTCATTCATCACTCAAGATGTTAGGCGCTATGGCTGGGTTCTGTGGCTCACGCCTGTCATCCCAGTGCTTTGGGAGGCTGAGGTGGGAGGATGGCTTGAACCCAGGAGGCCAAGGCTGCAGTGAGCCATGATGGTGCCACTGCACTACAGCCTGGGCAACAGAGCAAGACCCTGTCTTTCTTTCTTTTCTTTCTTTCTTTTTTTTTTTTTTTTTTTGAGACAGAGTTTTGGTCTGTCACCCAGGCTGGAGTACAGTGGTCTGATCTTGGCTCACTGCAGCCTCCACCTCGTGGGTTCAAGTGATTCTGCTGCCTCAGCCTCCCAAGTAGCTGGGACCACAAGCGCGTGCCACCACGCCTGGTTAATTTTTTTGTTGTATTTTTTGTAGAGATGGAGTTACACCATGTTGGCTGGGCAGATGTCAAACTCAAGTGACCTCAAGTGATTTGCCTGCCTTGGCCTCCCAAAGTGCTGGGATTACAGGCAAGAGCCATGGCGCCCAGCCATATCTCACCTCCTAAAATAAAACAAAATCAACCAGGCAGGATGGCACACACTTGTAGTTCAGCTCCTCAGGAGGCTGCATTGAAAGGATTGCTTGAGCTCGGGAGATCAAGGCTGCTCTGAGCTGTGATTATGCCGTGGCACTCTAGACAGGGCAACAGAAAAAAAAAAAAAAAGAATGTCACAGCAGCGAAATGAATGAATTATAGTCACATGTAACAATGGCTGAGTCTAATATGGAGCTATAATACCAACTACAGGAAGACAGATAGACATGTATATATATATGTGTGTGTGTGTGTGTGTGTGTGTATAATTTATATTAATAATTATGTTCAGCCAGGTGCTGTGGCTCACGCCTATAATCTCAGCACTTTGGAAGGCTGAGGCGGGCAGATCATCTGAGGTCAGGAGTTCGAGACCAGCCTGGTCAACATGGTGAAACCCTGTCTCTACTAAAAATACAAAAATTGGCGTGGTGGCATGCGCTTGTAATTCCAGCTACTCAGGAGGCTGAGGCAGGAGAATCACTTGAACCCAGGAGGTGGAGGTTGCAGTGAACTGAGATGGCACCATTGCACTCCAGCCTAGGCAACAGAGCAAGACTCCATCTCAAAAAATAAATAAATAAATAAATAAAAATAATTATGTTCATACATAACTTTAAAAATAAAAGATCCAAACCAGGAAAAATAAATATAAGTGGTAAAACTACAAAGAAAAGCAACTAAATTACCAGAAAAGCAAGGCTGTGGTTACGTCTGGGGGAAAGAAGGAGGCCAAGGCTGAGAGTCTGCATGTTCCAGGATTCTGGGCTCTGGCAGTGATTAATTTCATGACCTGGGTGGTATGTACCTAGGTGTTCAGCTTACTATTACTTGACAAACTGTACATAATGGTTTTTGTGCTTTCCTCTATGCTTATTTCGTGAGAAAATATAAATGTAAAAAAAAGCTGACAAAAGCAAGTCTCAGCACATTGTTGTTTTAAATGTAATAGATTAGTATACAATTTATTTACAAGATGAACAGTACACAACATAATGAGATATAAAAGAACATAAATTGAACTAGAATGATATACCCCAAGTTCACAATAGTGGTTGCTTCTGGAGAGTGAGAAAGTGGGGATTAATGTATAATTATATGCCAGGTGCAGTAGCTCACACCTGTAATCCCAGCACTTTGGGAGGCCAAGACAGGAGGATCGCTTTGAGACCAGCCTGGTCAACATACTGAGACTGCCATCTCTACAGAAAATGTAAAAAATTAGCCGGGTGTGGTGGCATGCACTTGTAGTCCCAGCTACTCGAGAAGTTGAGGTAAAAGGATCACTTGAGCCTGGGAGGTCAAGGATACAGTGAACTGAGATCACATCACCGTGCTCTAGCCTGGGCGACAGAGACAGACCTTGTCTCAAATAAATAAATAAATTAAATATTTTTTAAAAGGCCAGGCCTGGTGGCTCACGCCTGTAATTCCCAGCACTTTGGGAGACCGAGGTGGGCAGATCACGAGGTCAATAGATCGAGACCATCCTGGCCAAAATGGTGAAACCCCATCTCTACTAAAGATACAAAAATTAGCTGGGCATGGTGGCTTACACCTGTAGTCCCAGCTATTCAGGAGGCTGAGGCACAAGAATCACTTGAACCTGGGAGGCGGAGGTTGCAGTGAGCCGAGATCGTGCCACTGCACTCCAGCCTGGGTGACAGAGTGAGATTCTGTCTCAAAAAAAGAAAAAAAGAGGCCAGGTGCGGTGGCTCATGCCTGTAATCCCAGCACTTTGGGAGGCCGAGGCGGGTGGATCATGCGGTCAGGAGATCGAGACCATCCTGGCTGACATGGCGAAACCCCATCTCTACTAAAAATATAAAAAATTAGCCAGGCGTGGTGGTGGGCGCCTGTAGTCCCAGCTACTTGGGAGGCTGAGGCAGGAGAATGGTGCGAACCTGGGAGGCGGAGCTTGCAGTGAGCCGAGATCGCACCACTGCACTTCAGCCTGGATGACAGAGCAAGACTCCGTCTCAAAAAAAAAAAAATATATATATATATATATATATATAATTATATAATAATATGTAATTCTAATCTAGTGGTTTTTAAGGTATTCACAGGGTTGTGCGACCACTACCGCTATCTACTTTTGGAATATTTTCATCACTTCGAAAGGAACCTGATACCCATTAGTTGTCACTCTTCCTTTCCCCACTCCCCCAGCCCCTGGCAAGCACTTCTCTGCTTTCTGTCTCTCTGAATTTGCCTGTTCTGGACATTTCCTATAAGTGGAATCATACCCTATGTAGTCTTTTGTGATGCACGACCTTCACTTCCCACGATGTCTTCAAGGTTTTTCCATGTGACAACCTGTGTCAATACATCATTCTGTTGGATGGCTGAATCATATTCCATTGTGCGGTAGATCACATTTTGTTTATTCATTCATCAGTGGATGGACACTTGCATTGTTTCCACTTTTTGGCTTTTAGGAATAATGCTAGTATCAACATTTGTGTACAAGTTTTTGTGTGGACATAATGTTTCATTTCGTTTGGTGCTACACCCAGAAGTGGAATCGCTCTGTCGTATGGTAACGGTGTTTCATATTTTGAGGAACTGCCAAACTGTCTTCCGAAGTGGCTGCACCATTTCACATTCCCATCGGTAATACGTGAGGGTCTTAATTTCTCCACATCTTTAACATTTATGATTGTCTTTTTAACTTTAGCTATTCTAGTGAGTGAGATCACTCTGATCCGATTTGCATTTCCCTAATAATTAATGATGTTGAACTCAGGATGTCTTTGTTAAATGCAGAAATAACCATGTAAATTTCCAGATTAAATCGCCACATCAAAATTTTTATATGATTAATTTGAACAATTAATACTTTAGTTATTTTCTGATTACAAAAGCAGTATATACTCAAATGATTATTCCCAAAGTCAGGGTAATCCTTTGAGGGGAAGAGAGAGAGAGCCAGGATCGGAGAAGAGGGACATTGGTCATTTAAAGCGATGGCATGGCCAGGCCCAGTGGCTCACACCTGTAATCCCAGCACCTTGGGAGGCCAAGGTGGGAGGATCACTTGAGGTAAGGAGTTTGAGACCAGCCTGGCCAATATGGTGAAATACCATCTCTACAAAAATACAAAAATTAGCTGGGCATGGTGGTGGGTGCCTGTAATCTCAGCTACTTGGGAGGCTGAGCAGGAGAATCCTTTGAACCCTGGAGGCAGAGGTTGCAGAGAGCCGAGATCAGGCCACTGTACTCCAGCCTGGGGAACAAGGGCAAAACTCCATCTAAAAAAAAAAAGAAAAGAATGATGGCAATGTCTTCTTCTTGACCTGGGTCAGTTACACAGATTGACTTTGTAATTATTATTTAAATTACATCTGTACATTTTTTTTTTTTTTTTGAGATGGAGTCTCGCTCTGTCACCCAAGCTGGAGTGCAGTGGCGTGATCTCAGCTCACTGCAAGCTCCACCTCCCGGGTTCACGCCATTCTCCTGCCTCAGCCTCCCGAGTAGCTGGGACTACAGGCGCCCACCACCACGCCCGGCTAATTTTTTGTATTTTTAGTAGAGACGGGGTTTCACTGTGTTAGCCAGAATGGTCTCGATCTCCTGACCTTGTAATCCACCCGCCTCGGCCTCCCAAAGTGCTGAGATTACAGGCGTGAACCACCATGCCCGGCCTACATCCGTACATTTTATGCACAAAAGATTATTACTGTTTCACATTATTACTGTGGAAAATTTGGAAAGCAAATGTTTTGCCTTATCAAAGATGAATAAGGATGAATGTTTACACCATCTAATCATATCAGTGAGTTTTTCTTTGAGTGGTAGGTTTTCAGATTGTGAGAAAAATGGAAAAATAATATTTGTTAATAAATCTTCAACAAACGTTTCGCCTTTTGTTAGATGAAAGAAATTTCAAGATGTTGCCAGCAGGTGGCAGAATAAAATAAGATTTAATCTTGTAGCCCAAAAAGCAAATCAAAACAAAAACGTAAGCAGCAGCCAGCCCTTTACCTGGTCATTGGAAAACATTTCTTATAAATTTCCCAGCCATATCTGCCATAATAGAAAATAACCTGGTAAACAGGGCCTCATTGGAAAACTTTCATTTTATTTTTTTTGAGATGGATCTCGCTCTGTTGCCCAGGCTAGAGTACAGTGGCGTGATCTTGGCTCACTGCAAACTCTGCCTCCTGGGGTCAAGCGATTCTCCTGCCTCAGCCTCATGAGTAGCTGGGATTACAGGCGCCCGCACCATGCCCGGCTAATTTTGGTATCTTTACTAGAGATGGGGTTTCACCATGTTGGCTAAAACTTTAAATTTGGACACCAAGCCAAAAAAATCATTCTCATCATCCCTTTCATTAAGATACATTTATTTGGGGCAGGAGGGAGGATGCAAAAACTGGGAAGAGGGTGGTGGCAGTGATGGGAGATGGGTTATGTATCAGGTGTGATGATTGGATAAATAAATACAATAAGGAGGCCAGGCACAGTGGCTCATGCCTGTAATCCCAGCACTTTAAGAGGCTGAGGCCAGTGGATCACCTGAGGTCAGGAGTTGGAAACCAGCCTGGCCAACATGGTGAAACCCTGTCACTATCAAAAAAGGAAAAAATTAGCTGGGTGTGGTGGTGGGCACCTGTAATCCCAGCTATTTAGGAGGCTGAGGCATGAGAATCTCTTGACCTGGGAGGCGGAGGTTGCAGTGAGCCAAGATCATGGAATGCCATCACATTCCATCCTGTCTATCCTGGGCAACAGAGCAAGACTCCATCTCAAAAAAAAAAAAAAAAAGGCCAGGCGCGGTGGCTCATGCCTGTAAATCCCAGCACTTTGGAAGGCCGAGGCGGATGTATCACAAGGTCAGGAGATCGAGACTATCCTGGCTAACACAGTGAAACCCCGTGTCTACTAAAAATACAAAAAATTAGCCGGGTGCGGTGGTGGGCACCTGTAGTCCCAGCTACTCCGGAGGCTGAGGCAGGAGAATGGTGTGAACCCGGGAGGCGGAGCTTACAGTGAGCCAAGATCGCGCCACTGCACTCCAGCCTAGGTGACAAAAAAAAAAAAAAAAAAGATCGAAGAACTGTTTCATATTACAGGCAGCCAAAGAGACATGACACCTGAATGTGATGGAGAATCTTGGATTGGATCCTTTGCTATAAAGGATGCCGGCCGGGCGCGGTGGCTCATGCCTGTAATCCCAGCACTTTGGGAGGCCAAGGCGGCAGATCACCTGAGGTCGGGAATTCGAGACCAGCCTGACCAACATGGAGAAACTCCGTCTCTACTAAAAATACAAAATTAGCCGGGCGTGGTGGCGCATGCCTGTAATCCCAGCTACTCGGGAGGCTGAGGCAGGAGAATTGCTTGAACCTGGGACGCGGAGGTTGCGGTGAGCCGTGATTGTGCCATTGCACTCCAGCCTGGGTAACAAGAGTGAAATTCCGTCTCAAAAAAAAAAAAAAAGAAAGAAAAATATAAAGGATGCCATTGGAGGGTGGGCATGGTGGCTCATGCCCGTAATCCCAGCACTTTGGGAAAGGCTGAGGCTGGAGGATTGCTTGAGCCCAGTAGTTTGAGACCAGGCTAGGCAGCATGGTGAGATTCAGCTCTACAAAAGTCACCAAAGACCATACATAGTAAGACTCCATTCATATGAAATGTCCAGAATAGGCAAATCTTTTTTTTTTTTTTTTTTTTTTTTTTGGGATGGAGTCTTGCTCTGTCGCCCAGGCTGGAGTGCAGTGGCGCAATGTCGGCTCACTGCAAGCTCTGCCTCCTGGGTTCACACCATTCTCCTGCCTCAGCCTCCAGAGTAGCTGGGGCTACAGGCGCCCGCCACCATGCCCGGCTAATTTTTGTTGTATTTTTTTTAGTAGAGACAGGGTTTCACCGTGTTAGCCAGGATGGTCTCGATCTCCTGACCTCATGATCCGCCTATATCGGCCTCCCACAGTGCTGGGATTATAGGCGTGAGCCATCGTGCCCGGCCAGAATAGGCAAATCTCTATAGAGAAAGTAGATTAGTGGCTTCCAGGAGCTGATGGTAAAGGAGTGACTGTTAATGGGTATGAGGTTTTTTGGGGGAGCATGATGAAAATGTCCTGGAGTTAGGTCATGGTAGTGGTTGTATAACCTATGAATTTACTAAAAACCACTGAATTATTGCTTTTAAAACCAACTTAAAGGGGTAAATGATATCTTAATACAGGTGTTATCTTTATTGCTTCCTTTTTTTTTTTTTTTTTTTTTTTTTTTTTTGCAGACAGAGTCTCGCTCTGTCGTCCAGGCTGGAGGGTAGTGGTGAGATCTTGGCTCACTGCAACCTCCACCTCCCAGGTTCAAGCAATTCTCCTGCCTCAGCCTCCCAAGTAGCTGGGATTACAGGCATGCGCCACCACGCCCGGCTAATTTTGTATTTTTAATAGAGATGGGGTTTCACCATGTTGGCCAGGCTGGTCTCAAACTCCTGACCTCAAGTGATCTATCCTCTCAGCCTCCCAAAGTGCTGGGATTACAGGCATGAGCCACTGTGCCTGACCAAAACATTTATTTATTTATTTATTTATCTATCTATCTGAGATGGAGTCTCGCTCTCTCACCCAGGCTGGAGTGCGGTAGTGCGATCTCGGCTCACTGCAAGCTCCGCCTCCCGGGTTCACGCCATTCTCCTGCCTCAGCCTCCCAAGTAGCTGGGAATACAGGTGCCCGTCACCACGCCCGGCTAATTTTTTGTGTTTTTAGTAGAGACGGGGTTTCATCGTGTTAGCCAGGATGGTCTGGATCTCCTGACCTCGGGGTCCGCCCGCCTCGGCCTCCCAAAGTGCTGGGATTACAGGCGTGAGCCACCTCGCCCTGCCCAAAACATTTATTTTTTAAAAAACACAAATACGGGAAGCTGAGGCAGGAGAATGGCGTGAACCCGGGAGGCGGAGCTTGCAGTGAGCCAAGATAGCGCCACTGCAGCAGTCCGGCCTGGGCAAAAGAGAGAGACTCCGTCTCAAAAAATAAAAAAATAAAAAATTTAAAAAACACAAATATCGTCTGGGCGTGGTGGCTCATGCCTTCAATCCCAGCACTTTGGAAGTTCAAGGTGGGGGGATCATGCGGTCAAGAGATCGAGACCATCCTGGCCAACATGGTGAAACCCGGTCTCTACTAAAAATACAAAAAAAAATGAGCCGGGAGTGGCAGCGTGCGCCTGTAATCCCAGCTACTTGGGAGGCTAAGGCAGGAGAATCGCTTGAACCTGGGAGGCGGAGGTTGCAGTGAGCTGAGATCGCACCACTGCACTCCAGCCTGGCGACAGAGTGAGACTCAGTCTCTAAAAAAATAAACAAATAAAATAAAAAACAAAAGAAAACACAAATATCTAGTGCTGACATGCTAGGCACTTCGCCTACCTACATTATTACATTTCATCCTTGCAACAATCCTACAAGGAGGACTTAAAATCCTTCTTATAGGGGCAGGTAAATAAAGTATTCTCCTGCAAGAACTAAAACTGGGATTTTTTTTTTTTCTTTTTGAGATGGAGTCTCACTCTATCGCCCAGGCTGGAGTGCAGTGGCACGATCTTGGCTCACTGCAACCTCTGCCTCCCAGGTTCAAGTCATTCTCCTGCCTCAGCCTCTTGAGTAGCTGGAACTACAGGCGCCCGCCACCACGTCCAGCTAATTTTTGTATTTTTAGTAGAGACGGGGTTTGACCATGTTGACCGGGCTAGTCTCAAACTCCTGACCTCAGGTAATCCACCTGCCTCAGCCTCCCAAAGTGCTGGGATTACAGGCATAAGCCACTGCGTCTGGCATAACTTTTTGTTTCTTTGTTTGCTTGTTTTGAGACAGGGTCTCACTCTGTTACCCAGACTGGAGTGCAGTGGCACTATCTTGGCTCACTGCAACATCTACCTCTCAGTTTCATATGATTCTTCTGCCTCAGCCTCCCAAGTAGCTGGGTCTACAAGTGTATACCACCATGCCCAGGTAGTTTTTGTATTTTTTGTAGTGACAGGGTTTTGCCGTGTTGCCCAGGCTGCTCTCAAACCCCTGGGCTCAAGCGATCCTCCCACCTGGCCTCCCAAAGTGCTGGGATAACCTGATCATGTAACTTTAATCAATAGGTACACATTATTTTTGGTCCTACTTTTCTTTGCTAAACATGACTTAATATAGCTGTTTACAGGTATCCATTTAATTCCCATAATTATCATTTTAATAGCTGCATGGCATGACGTGAAATAGACTATAGTTCACCCAGCTGTTGCCCTATTGTGGGTATTGAGGATGTATCCATTGTGTGGCTGATCTGAAAAGTGCTGCTATAAACATATTTGCACAAATTGTTTGTTATAATCTTTGGGACTATTTTGAGCAAGGGCATTTGTTGGAAGTAGAAGAAGGAAAAGTCTGAGGAATTTTAACTTCTCCTTGGACAGGTGCCCTTGCTTTTAGAATTGGCTCTTAGTATTTTGCAATGCTTAAGTAGCACAGCTGCTATTAATAGTAGCTACATGATCTTGGGTAAATTCCTTCACCTCTCTGCACCTTAGACTCTAGCACTGGCTGGTAACTTGTAGAATTACAGGATCCTGGGCCTCTCCTAGAACCTACTGAATCAGAATCTGCATTTTAGCAAGATCCCCAGGTGGTGATTCATGGGCACATTAAAAGTCAGAGAGGCTGGGCATGGTGGCTCACACCTGTAATCCCAGCACTTTGAGAGGATCACTTGAGCCCAGGAGTTTGAGACTAGCCTGGGCAACATAGCAAGACCCCGTCTCTACGAGAAATAAAAGAATCAGCTGGGCATGGTGGCACACCTGTAGTCCCAGTTACTCAGGAAGCTGAGGGGAAAGAATTGCTCAAGCCTGGGAGCTGGAGGCTGCAGTGAGCTGTGATCGCACCACTGCACTCCAGCTTGGATGACAGAGACCTTGTCTCAAAAGAAAAAAGAAAGAAAGAAAAAAACAGTTGGAGAAATCATGACTTAGAGTACTTACCTGTAAAATAGGTATAATAAAGGTCTTATGTCATAAGACTGTTATGTAGATAATGCATGTACACACACACACACACACGCACACACACACAGTGTAGAGAAGAGTGCCAGGCACATAGTGAGTGTGTGTTTGCTACTTTTGTGACTCTCCCCAGCTGGTTGAGCAAATCCGCAGGCTGGCGGTCCCTAAGTAGAATGTCTCAAAGAGAACAAAAGGTGAGGGTGGAGGTGAGGGTGAGGGAGGATAGTCTCCCACCATACTTTCTCACCCACCATAATCACAGTCCCCAGAGAGCCAGGTCCAGCCTCCGGTTGCTGATGAGTGCGTCTGAAAGCACTCTGGGGGCGGGGCGTGGTGGCTCACGCCTATAATCCCAGCACTTTGGCAAACCAAGGCAGGCGGATCACCTGAGGTCAGGAGTTCGAGACCAGCCTGGCCAATGTGGCGAAACCCCATCTCTACTAAAAATACAAAAATTAGCCAGGCGAGGTGGCACACACCTGTAATTCCAGCTACTTGGGAGGTGAGGCAGGAGAATTGCTTGAACCCGGGAGATGGAGGTTGCAGTGAGCCGAGACTGTGCCACTGCAATCCAGCTTGGGTGACAGAGCAAGACTCTGTCTTTAAAAAAAAAAATGGAAGTGCTTTGGGCAAGAGCAAGAACCGGGACAGGGCAGCAGCCAAGTCAACCCTGATACTTGGCACATGAGCGGCTGCTCAGATCGGGGTGGCTGGCAGGTGCCATCTACAGAAGGGCTCATAAATAATGCACATGGAGTCCTGACCCCACAGAGAGAAGAGTCCCTCCGATTCGCAACCTGACCGCCTGGCTGACCTGCCCATGGCACCTGCCTGGATCTCCCTGGGAGGCAGGGCCAGCCTCCCCTGCCCAGAGGCAACTTGAGGCTGAAGGACCTGTTTGGATTGCAAGCTGCAAGCAGAGGTGAAGGGGTATCTGCTTCCCAAATCCTCTGCTTGGTAACATTATATTCTTCCTCCAAGGTCCTGTGTTTTTGTAGCCCCAATGAAATGAACTGTTTTCTGTTTTTTCACCATTCAAGTGATTTAACTGCTTTTAGAATCTTCACAACAACATTGGTTTATTCTCTTCATGACACATTGTACTGGGAGTCTTAAATGTCTCCAGTGACCAGCAGGTAACATAAACCGATGATGGAGTTTATGTTATGGAGGCCTGGGCAAGACAACTGGGAATGGTGGGGACTGCGGCAACAGGCAGGGCCCATGTAATGGTGCTAGCTGTTCCTATGTTCCAGCCAATCGCCATGCAGGAATGTGAACCCAGTGTGTCCAGATCTTCCCTTCTTTTTTTTTTTTTTTTTCTTTTTTTTGAGATGGAGTCTTGCTCTGTTGCCCGGGCTGGAGTGCAGTGGTGCGATCTCAGCTCACTGCAAGCTCCACCTCCCGAGTTACACCATTCAATTGCATCAGCCTCCTGAGTAGCTGGGATTACAGGCGCCCGCCACCACGCCCGGCTAATTTTTTTGTATTTTTAGTAGAGACGGGGTTTCTCCATGTTGGCCAGGATGGTCTCGATCTCCTGACCTTGTGATCCACCCGCCTCAGCCTCCCAAAGTGCTGGGATTACAGGCGTGAGCCACAGCTCCTGGCCTTATTTTTTTTTAAAGAGGGAGTCTTGGTCTGTTGCCCAGGCCAGAGTGCAGTGACGTGATCTTGGCTCACTACAACCTCCACCTCCCAGATTCAAGCAATTCTCCTGCTTCAGCCTCCGGAGTAGCTGGGACTACAGGCGCTCATCACCACACCTGTCTAATTATTGTATTTTTAGTAGAGACGAGGTTTCACCATGTTGGCCAGGCTGGTCTCAAACTCCTGACCTCAGGTGATCTGCCCGCCTTGACCTCCCAAAGTGCTGGGATTACAGGCATGAGCCACTGCACCTGGCCTCAACATGGGTGAGTCACAAATGCATTTGGCTGAGATGTAGTAACAGTGTAGATTTACTTTCTCACCTGAAAGAACAAAACAAAATAGATAAAATATATATGAAACAATGTTTTTCAAGACATCAGACATCAGTCAACAGAGGACAGTGATCCCTGAGGGACAGGGAACAAACGGGGTGAGCCCAGTGATTGCCCCCGCAATGCTACTGTCTTGGGAGTTTCCAGGCCATGATGCAGAGAGGGGGAACTCAGGTGGAGTCTGGCAGACCCCCTGAGTTGAGCAAACACAGCTAAGAGTTCAGGGGGACCAGGGAGGTTAGAGTTCTGGAGAGGATACAGCTGCACACAGAGAATCCCAGAGATCTGCAGCGAGCCCTTCTCCAGTCATCCTTTGAGTGATGCTCAGCCCACTCACGACATCAAAGGGCAGACCCAAGGCCAGAGAAAGAACCACCTGAAATGATTAGAGGTGCGAGTGCATTCTGCTTGTGCCACCAGCCAGCCTCAAAAACCTCAGGGTTCTTGGGGGATTGGTCTTGCCTCGGTAGTGGGGAAAAATTAGCTCTAGACTAAGTTGCACCTTTTTTGTTGTTTTTTATTGTTGTTGTTGTTGTTGAGACAGAGGCTTGCTCTGTCACCCAGGCTGGAGTGCAGTGGCGTGGTCTCTGCTCACTGGCGCGGTCTCTGCTCACTGCAACCTCTGTCTCCTGGGTTCAAGCAAGACTCCTGCCTCAGCCTCCTGAGTAGCTGGGATTACAGGTGCCTGCCACCTCACCCAGCTAATTTTTGTATTTTTAGTAGAGATGGAGTTTCACCATGTTGACCAGGCTGGTCTTTCTGACCTCAAGTGATCCATCTGTCTTGGCCTCCCAAAGTGCTGGGATTACAGGGGTCAGCCATCTTGCCCAGCCTTTTAAAATTTAATTTAATTTAATTTAATTTTTGAGATAGCGTCTCGCTCTGTTGCCCAGGTTGGAGTGCAGTGGTGTAATCTCGGCTCACTGCAGACTCTGCCTCCTGGGTTCAAGCAATTGTCATGCCTCAGCCTCCGGAGTAGCTGGGGTTACAGGCGCATGCCACCATGCTTGGCTAATTTTTGTATTTTCAGTAGAGACAGGGTTTCACCATGTTGGCCAGGCTGGTCTCGAACTCCTGACTTCAGGTGATCCACCTGCCTTGGCCTCCCAGTGTGCTGGGATTATAGGCATGAGCCACCTTGCTCAGCCTTGTTGTTTTTTTAGGAAAAGGTGGGGCCAAGGCACAGAGCAAGCAGGACAGGGGAAGGGGAGGGTGGTCCAGGGGAAAGAGGAAAGAACATTTTTAAGGATACCAAAATATAGAAGAAGTAGAAAGAGGAGGAGGAAAGAGGAGGAAAAATGATGAAGAAAAAGAAAGAGAAAGAGAATCCAGCAAGGTAAAATCCACAATGTCTAACATCCAATCAACAATAACCAGGCAAACATGCAGGAAAATATCACTATTAAAGAGGACAAAAATACATCAACTGAAACCAATCCAAAACTGACACAGATATGAGAATTAGTAGATAAGGATATTAAGATAGTTACTGAAACTGTATTTCATATGTTTATAAAGTTAAGTAGAAACATAGAAGGTACAAAGACAAATAGAACTTCTAGTGATGAAAACTACAGTATGTGAGATAAAAAATACTCCAGATGGGATTAATAGCAGATTAGACATTATAGTAGAAAAGATTAGTGACCTAGAAGACATGACGCTAGAAACTGTCCATTTTTGGTGTGTTATTTCATGATTGTATTTGTCTGTTTAAACTCATACAATTGTGTTCCCAAAAGAATAAATTTGGAAGAGGCAACACCTTCACTCCACACCAGAGAATATCTCTTTCTGGTTTGCAAAAATTGAAAAAAAAAAAAAAAAAAAGAAAGAGTTTTACTACTTGTTAGTTATACCTTACTAAAGCTGACAGAAAAAAAAAACTTTGGAATATAATGCCTGGATTATTATTATTATTATTATTATTTTTTTTAATGAGACAGTCTCCCTCTATTGCCCAGGCTGGAGTGCAATGGCACGGTCTTGGCTCACTGCCACCTCCGCCTCCTGGGTTCAAGCGATTCTCCTGCCTCAGCCTCCCTAGTAGCTGGGACTACAGGTGTGTGCCACCACCACGCCTGGCTAGTTTTTTTGTAGTTTTAGTAGAGATGGGGTTTTACCATATTGGCCAGGCTGGTCTCAAACTCCTGACCTTGTGACCTGCCCGCCTCAGCCTCCCAAAGTGTTGGGATTACAGGCGTAAGCCACCGCACCTGGCCAATGCCTGGAATTTACTTCAAAATAATATAAGGGTCAGGAAAAATGGGTGGGAACGTAGATGAAACAAAGTTGGTCATGATGTGTTGAAACTCACTATTAGATATTATTTTCTCTACTTATAAATTTCTCCAAACTTTTCTTTGTAAAAGAAAAATAAATAAATAAATAAATATTTCAGGTTGATTTTTTTTTTTTTTTTTTTTTTTGAGACGGAGTTTCACTCTTGTTGCCCAGGCTGGAGTGCAATGGTGGAATCTCGGCTCACCACAACCTCCGCCTCCTGGGTTCACGCGATTCTCCTGCCTCACCCTCCCTAGTAGCTGGGATTACAGGCATGTGCCACCATGCCCGGCTAATTTTGTATTTTTAGTAGAGACAGGATTTCTTCATGTTGGTCGGGCTGGTCTCAAACTCCCAACCTCAGGTGATCCGTCCGCCTTGGCCTCCCAAAGTGCTGGGATTACAGGCATGAGCCATTCTGCCCGGCCATTCAGCTTGGATTTTTAAACCCACAGGAATGTAAGCTCCATAAGGGTAGGCATTTTGTCTTCTTTTGTTCATTGATATGTCTATTTTGTTGAATTTTTATTTTATTTATTTATTTTTTTGAGATGGAGCCTCACTCTGTTGTCCATGCTGGAGTGCAGTGGCATGATCTCGGCTCACTGTAACCTCCACTTCCTGGGTTCAAGTGATTCTCCTGCCTCAGCCTCCCAAGTAGCTGGGATTACAGGCACCCACCACCATGCCCGGCTAATTTTTTGTATTTTTAGTAGAGACGGGGTCTCACCATGTTGGCCAGGCTGGTCTCAAACTCCTGTCCTCAGGTGATCCACCCGATTCGGCCTCCCAAAGTGCTGGGATAACAGGCGTGAGCTACTGTACCGGGCATTTTTTTTCTTTTTGAGATGGAGTCTTGCTCTGTCGCCAGGCTGGAGTGCAATGGCGCAGTCTTGGCTCACTGCAACTTCCACCTCCTGGGTTCAAGCGATTCTCCTGCCTCAGCCTCCCAAGTAGCTGGGATTACAGGCACCTGCCACCATACCCGGCTAATTTTTTGTATTTTTAGTAGAGACGGGGTTTCACTGTGTTAGCCAGGATGTTCTGGATCTCCTTACTTTGTGATCCACCCGCCTCAGCCTCCCAAAGTGCTGGGATTACAGGCGTGAGCCACCGTGCCCGGCCCAACATTGTTTTAATCAATAAATACACACACACACACACACACACACACACACACACACACACGTATTTTTTTGTTTTAAACGGAGTCTCGCTCTTGTTACCCAGGCTGGAGTGCAATGGTGTCATCTTGGACCACTGCAACCTCTGCCTCCTGGGTTCAAGTGATTCTCCTGTCTCAGCCTCCAGAGTAGCTGGGATTACAGGCGTCGCCACCATGCCTGGCTAATTTTGTATTTTTAGTAGAAACGAGGTTTCACTATGTTGGTCAGGCTGGTCTCAAACTCCTGACCTCAAGCAATCCACCCACCTCGGCCTTCCAAAGTGCTGGGGTTATAGGCATGAGCCACCACACCTGGCCTATATACATATATATTTTTTTCTTTTGAGACGGAGTCTCTGTCATCCAGGCTGGAGTGCAGTGGCACGATCTCAGCTCACTGCAACCTCTGTCTCCTGAATTCAAGCGATTCTCCTGCCTCAGCCTCCAGAGTAGCTAGGATTATAGCCACACCCAGCTAATTTTTGTATTTTTAGTAGAGACAGGATTTCATCATGTTGGCCAGGCTGGTCTTGAACTCCTGACCTCAGGTGATCTCCCCACCTCGGCCTCCCAAAGTGCTGGGATTACAAGCGTGAGCCACTGCGCCTGGCCATGTTTTAGTAAATATTTTAAAAATAGATGAGTGATTTCTCCTTTTCAGTTTGCAGTTCCAGCATTAGACCCTGGAAACTACTGATCTGAAGACAGAAACCAACCTTTATGCACCTGAATGTTCCCACCCCCGGGGGCCGATACTTGCAATGCCACAGACAATTTTTGAACTTGACTGCCCCACAGTCCACCAGCGAGCTTGGGAACCTCTGATTTGTTAATTAATTGATAGGGCTCTGGTTTAGGAGTCAGAGATGATAACTTTAATTCAAAGTGAGCCATTAATTAGCTGGGAATCGTGGGCAGGTCACACCCCTCTTCAGTCCTCAATTAAGACCTGCAAATATTTCTCTGTGTGCTTATGTGCATATTTCCCATTACAAATCCTCAGAGGGGCTTTTGAACCCCAAAAGTTGGGGACCTCTGCACTAGATGGTCTTTAAAGTTCATTCCTTTAACAAATATTTATTGAGGGCCTACTATGTGCCAAGCCTTGGGGCTGAACAAAGCCTGAGACACAGACAAGTTCCCTGAGATCTTGTGGAGGTTACATTCCTATGGAGGGAAACAACCAACCACCATGGGAACAAACAATTACAGATGATGGTAAGTCACAGGAAGGAAATGAAACAGGTGATAGGGAAGTGATGGGGTGATGGGGGGAGGCCGGCCCTCCAGGTGTTCAGGAAGGGTCTTTTTTCAGAGGTGGTATTATGGGTTTGAACTGTGTTCCCCAAAAAGACATGTTCTGTTTTCTTTCTTTCCTTTCTCCCTTTTTTCCGTCTTTCTTTCCTTCCTTCCTTCCCTCCTTCCTTCCTTCCTTCTTTCTTTCAGACAGAGTCTCGCTCTGTCATCCAGGCTGGAGAGCAGTGGCGCGATCTTGGCTCACTGCAACCTCCGCCTCCCAAGTTCAAGCGATTCTCCTGCCTCAGACTCCCGAGTAGCTGAGATTACAGGTGCCAGCCACCATGTCTGGCTTATTTTTGTAGTTTTAGTAGAGACGAGGTTTCACCATGTTGGTCAGTCTGGTTTTGAACTCCTGGCCTCAAGTGATCCACCTGCCTTGGCCTCCCAAAGTGCTGCGAATACAGGTGTGAGCCACTGGGAGGCCAGAACTTCAAGTGATCTGCCTGCCTCAGCCTCCCGAAATGCTGGGATTACAGGTGTGAGTCACTGCGCCTGGCCTCATTCCTATGTCTCTAATGCCTGGAACAATGTCTGACACATAGTAGATACTCAATCTTTTTTTTTTTTTTTTCAAAGACAGGGTCTTGCTATGTTGCCCAGGCAACTCAACATTTACTCAACAATTAAGTATCCACTATGTGGTTGTTTCCCTCCACGGGAATGTAACCTCCACAAGATCTCAGGGAACTTGTCTGTGTCTCAGGCTTTGTTGGAACCCGAGGGCTTGACACATAGTAGACCCTCAGTAAATATTTGTTAAAGGAATGAACTTTAACACTTAGTAACACTTAGTATCACTTAACACTTAGTATCACTTTCTAACACTTGGAATGTGACCCTATTTGGAAATAGGGCCTTTCCAGATGTAAAGTTGAGATGTGATCACACTAGGAAAGGGTGTCTTTTTTTTATTTTTATTTTTTTGAGAGAGGCTCTTGTCCTGTCACCCAGGCTAGTGTGCAGTGGTGTGATGACAGCTCACTACTGGAGGCTGCGAAGGCCCCGAGCCCTGGGAGCCCATGCTATTTATTGGTAATCCAACAGAGAAACAGGTGGTGAGAATGTGGAGGTCAAGAGGGCACGTTGCATTAAGCCCATGATTTACAGCTGTGATGGTTTAGCATTTGCTCCGCTACTTAAGATAATGGAGAGCAGGTTCTTTTAACACAAGATACAATTGATCCTGGGTGAGCAAGGAGCAAGGAGCCAGCAAGTCTAGACACATTCCAGAGCCACGAGCCCTGGATTCTATCCAAGCCACGAGGGGTTTTATGCCCTGGGCTTAGATTATGGTGCATCAGGGCAGCCTTCCACCCTTTAGCACAGAGCTTGGTGTTCCAAAGGCCACAAGGGGTTTTAGACCTTGGACCCTGGACATGTTCCAAGACTCTTTTACATTGTGTCAGACATACAAGCCCTGCCTCAGCTTCTCCCAACACTCAGCTTTTCCCAACACACTACAGCCTCGACCTCTGGAGCTCAAGTGATCCTCCCATCTCAGCCTCCCAAGGAGCTGGGAATACAGGCTTGTACCATAATGCCCGGCTAATTTTTGTATTTTTAGTAGAAATGGGGTCTCACTATGTTGGCCAGGCTGGTCTCCAACTCCTGGCCTCTAGTGATCTGCCCACCTCGGCCTCCCAAAGTGCTGGGATTACAGGCGTGAGCCACCATGCCTGGCCAGAAAGGGTGTCTTTTTAAGAGAGGACACACACAGACATGCACACAGGAAAGAAGACGGTGCAACAGGGTAGAGATTGGGGTGATGCAGCTGCGAGCTAAGGAACGCCAGTGAAGGAGCCCCCCGCCACCACATACACCCACAAGCTATGAGGAGGGAAGGATTCTGCCCAGAGCTTCAGAGGGAGCACTGCTTTGCTGACACCTTCCTCTCAGATTTCTAGATGCCAGAACTGTGAGACAATACATTTCTTTCTTTTCTTTTTTTCTTTCCTTCCTTCCCTCCCTTCCTTCCTCTCTCTCTCTTTTTTTTGAGACTCAGTTTCACTCTTGTTGCCTAGGTTGGAGTGCAATGGCACGATCTCAGCTCACCACAACCTCCACCTCCCTGGTTCAAGTGATTCTCCTGCATCAGCCTCCTGAGTAACTGGATTACAGGCATGTGCCACCACACCTGGCTAATTTTTTTGTGTGTTTTTAGTAGAGATGGGGTTTCTCCATGTTGGTCAGGCTGGTCTTGAACTCCCAACCTCAGGTGATCCTCCTGCCTCAGCCTCCCAAAGTGCTGGGATTACAAGCGTGAGCGACCGCGCCCGGCCTCCTTCTTTCTTTATGAGACTGGGTCTCGCTCTGTTACCCAGGCTGGGGTGCAGTGGTGCAATCATAGCTTACTGCAGCCTTGACCTCCCAGGCCCAAGGAATTCTTGGACCTCAGCCTCCGGAGTAGCTGGGACCACAGGCGCGTGCCACCACACCCAGCTAATCTGTAAATTTTTTGTAGAAACAAGGTCTCCTTATGTTGCCCCCGTTGGTGAGAATACATTTCTATTGTTTAAACTACCCAGGTTGTGGTTATGGCAGCTTTAGCAACGAACACAGGGGGCCGGGCACGGTGGCTCATGCCTGTAATCCTAGCACTTTGGGAGGCCAAGTCGGGCGGATTACTTAAGGTCAGGAGTTCGAGAGCAGCCTGGCCAACACTGCAAAACCCCGCCTCTACTAAAAATACAAAAATTAGCTGGATGTGGTATAACCTGGCTACTCCAGAGGCTGAGGTATGAGACGCACTTGATTCCGGGAGGCGGAAGTTGCAGTGAGCTGAGATCACACCACTGCACTCCAGCCTAGGCGACAGAAAAAAAAAAAAACACCCATAAAAATAGAAGAAAAAAGAAAGATAAAAAAGTAAAGTAACACAGGTGTCATTTGAAACTGAGGCCTGAATGATGAAAAAAAGGCACATCGTATGAAGATTTAGAGGGAAGAAAGTTCCATGCAAGGTCAGGAAGAGAAAAAGCAATGGCTGGAGGGTACGAGTCCAGGGCGGTGAGATAGAAGGGACTGGAAAGCTAGGCAGGGGCAGTTCTTGCAGGACTTGGCAGAGGAGGGGACAGAACTGGATTTAATCAGCTTGGAGGCGGTTGTCCCTTGAGCGACAGAAACAGCTGTTAAGAACGTCACCCAGAGCGTTAGAGGGCAGGAATCTAGGATGTATTAGCTGCAGCACATAATAATGACAACGTGAAATGACCGTGCCCTCTCTGCGCTGCGCCGCCCGGCCCCCGACCTTTTTGGATGGTCGATGTCAGCGCCAGCCTTCCGGGGCGCTGGCCTGGGCTCAAGTCAGGCAATGACCAGGGGCCGGTGAGCTTTCATTTCACCTCCCCCAAATCTCCTTTCCCCAAACTCTAGACACCCCCAAAACACACAATCTAAGTCAAATAATCTCTGCAAATGCAACCTGCAGACAAGTCCCCCAACTCTTCCTGGAAGAGACAGATTCTGGAGGCGCAGAGGCACTGCCAAGGGGGCCGCAACAGACCCCGAAAGACCTTGCGAGCCTGCCATGTCCCGGTCCGGAACGCCGCACGCGGGGCGGGGCGGGGCACATGCGCACGCGCGGCCCCGCCTCCCAGGCGTGGGGCGGGGCGGGCGCCGGGGCGGGGCCGTGACGTCAGTTGCGCGCGTGGCTCTGGCTGCGCAGGAACAGCTGGTGCCTCCGAGGGCGGTCGGCGAGCGCGCGGGCGTGGGGCGCTGGGGGGCCGGTCGGGCAGCGCTGCGGGAGCAGCCGCCGGCACCGCCGCCTTGCACCATCGCATCATGTCCGGGCAGCTGGAGCGTTGCGAGCGCGAATGGCACGAGCTGGAGGGAGAATTTCAAGAACTGCAGGTAGGGCCAGGCCACCTGGTCCCGCAACTCTGCTGCCCGCGGTGCAGCGCCTTGCCCTTCCTGAGCCCCCCGGCCCGGGCGGTGGGGACAGTCAGGGCCTAGGGAGTGCCCCGGAGAGGCCCTGGGGGCGGACGGGAGGCATGGACCAGCCCCCTCCCATCACCCGGCGCTTCAGCTCTTCGTCCACGTGGGGCGCCGGGTCGCAGCCCCCTCTTCCGCCGCCCTCCCACTGGCTCTCTGCTCCACGCACCCCCTTCGCTGCAGAAAGTTGGTCTGTGGCCTCTGAGGCAAGTTCCAGGCGTGTTCATCTGTGGGGGTGGTTCAAAGAGAACAGCCCAGCCCCCACCTCTGCAGGGTCTCCCCAGATCTCACCCCGCCCCCTCCCATCTGCTTTTGGTAGCTCAGCTCCCACCCCGTGCTCTGGCGGGGCAGCACTATCCTGCAGCTCTGTTTTGGGAGGTGTACTTAAGAGCTGTTCACCTTGAACCTCTAGGTTGTGCTTGGGGATTAGGGACCCCTATTTCCTGTCTTTGGGGGCTCTGACGCTGCTGCAGGCTGATTTTGGCGTGGAGAGCATCTGTCAGTTCGGACAGCTGAGTAGCCTCACCCAGTGATAGGGGAAACTCCCAGCTCTATCCTTCTGGCCCGGAGCCTTACACGGGGTGGAGTGAGGGCGGGTGTAAGGCGGGGGTCCCCTGAGAGAATGGCATTGCTGCTGGGTGTGGGGAGCGGTCCTGGCAGCAGTTGTTCCTGCTAAGAGGTTCAGAGAGGCCCCAGCTACCTACCGTGTTGACTAGAGACGCCTCAGGAAACCTTGGGGTTGACCAAGAGGGACTCGGTGACTATTTTTGAAGACAGGGCTGTTCCCTCTCCAGTCACGGGATTGTTTTTCGGGGGGTTGGCTTTGCCTGAAATTACATTGCACACTATCACCCCAGTCCTCTCATTTGGAGCAGTGACATTGTCCCTGTCCATGTACCTCTTGTCTGCAGTTCAGTTGGCCTCCTACAGTGTGCAGAGGGGAGAGGAGGTTGCCAAGGGTGTCTCTGATGGGTCTTTCTAGACACGTGGTTGTAGATTCTGATCAATAGACAGAGGGTTGCTGGAGAGCCGGGGCAGGAATGGGGGTGCCCTTTCAGGCATGAATAGAGGGGAAGGGACCTAGACACATCTCGACCTGTCCAGCATGTGTAGGTTGATGCCTTCTCTTCTAGGGCCTGGGTCCCATCCGGTTCTCAGGGGACTGTTTTGGCTCCACTCCCACGGAGAAGACTCAGCCACTTCTTGTTTTGTTTTGTTTTGTTTTGTTTTTGTGACAGAGTCTCACTGTCGCCCAGGCTGGAGTGCAGTGGCGTGATCTCGGCTTACTACAGCCTCCGCCTCCCGGGTTCGAGCCATTCTCTGCCTCAGCCTCCTGAGTAGCTGGAATTACGGGTGTGCGCCACCGTGCCCGGCTAATTTTTTTGTGTTTTAGTAGAGATAGGGTTTCACTATGTTGGCCAGGCTTCTGACCTCAGGTGATTCACCCACCTCGGCCTCCCAAAGTGCTGAGATTACAGGCATGAGCCACTGTGCCTGGCCCTCAGCCACTTCTTTTTTTTTTTTTTTTTTTTTTTGAGATAGAGTCTTGCTCTGTCACCAGACTTGAGTGCAGTGGCACGATCGTGGCTCACTGCAACCTCCGCCTCCCGGATTCAAGCGATTCTCCTGCCTCAGTCTCCCAAGTAGCAGAGATTATAGGTGCGCGCCACCATGCCCAGCTAATTTTTGTATTTTTAGTAGAGACAGGGTTTCACCATGTTGGCCAGGATGGTCTCAATCTCTTGACCTCGTGATCTGCCTGCCTCGGCCTCCCAAAGTGCTGGGATTACAGTAGTGAGCCACCGTGCCTGGTCCTCAGCCACTTCTTAATGCTTTGTCTTACTGGGCTCGGAGGTCATGGTCAGCTGTGGAACCAAGTGGGTGTTAGGGTTGGGAATGGGAGAAGAGAAGAGGTTTGCTGTGTGAAGCTTGTGTTGTTCATAATTCCTGTCCCTTGCTTTGCCTTAGACAAGGAGGAGGAGGGGGAAGAGTCTTAACACTTCAGAGTGAGGCCCAGCGCGGCGGCTCATGCCTGTAATTCCAGAACTTTGGGAGACCGAGGCGGGTGGATCACAAGGTTTGGAGTTTGAGACCAGCCTGGCCAACACAGTGAGACCCTGTCTCTACTAAAAATGCAAAATTAGCTGGGTGTGGTGGCATGTACCTATAATCCCAGATCCTCGAGTGGCTGAGGCAGGAATTGCTTGAAACTGGGAGGGGGAGGTTGCAGTGAGACAAGACTGTGCCATTGCACTCCAGCCTGGGCAACAGAGCAAGACTCCGTCTCAAAAACAAAACAAAACAAAAAACAGCAACAACACTTAAGAGCTGTGCAATTAATGCAATTAACAGCAATTAGATAGCAAGTCTTGGCAGGCAGAGGTTGCAAAGGAGTTGTTTGACTCTTTCTTAGGACTTGGTCCTCAGATGCTGAGGTATGTTAGGGACAAAGGGATTGGGAATCAATTCTTGATTTTGTTCCCTGGTGCACAGCAAGGGTTGTAGAAGAAGGTCTGAGTGAGTGGAAACTGATGCCTCCTGCTCGGTTCATGATGGGGGAACTAGAAGGGACTGCATCCTACTTTGGGGAAGAGGGAGCCTGCTTGCTGCAGGCTTTGGTGGTCACCTGCTGGGTCAGGGGCCAGTCAGGGATGGCTCCCGGTGTCAAGATCATAGATCGGAGCAGAAACTGCCATCTACATCTTCAATTCACAGATGAGGAAACTGAAGCTTGGGCATGCTGATTCCCTGGACGGGGGCCACACAGCTAGTTAGTGGTAAAGTTGGGGCCATAATTTAGTTCTCTAAATATTGGTAGGCCCCTCTCTGCCTTCTCACGTTCCCCTTCATGTTAGATGTGAGAGCTCTGAACTCTCAAGATGCAAGGCTCTGGGACTCTGTATATGGTAAGTAGGATGTCCATTGCGTATGTGCTGGGCAGTTTCGGATACGAGATATTTGTTGGGAGCTCGGTGCATTGGCTCATACCTGTAATCTCAGCACTTTGGGAGGACAAGTTGGGAGGACCGCTCCCAGCAGGATTGCCCAGCAGTTTGAGACCAGCCTGGGAAACATAGGGAAACCCCTGTCTCTACAAACAGTAAAAAAAAAAAATTGCTGGGTGTGGTGGTGCATGGTTGTGGTCCCAGCTACTAGGGAGGCTGGAGTAGGAGGGCTGTTTGAGCCCCAGAGGTCAAGGCTGCAGTGAGCCATGATTGCACCACTGTACTCTAGCCTGGGTGACAGAGTTAGACCCTCTCTCTCAAAAAAAAAAAAAAAGAGATTTGTTGGGGAACAAGCAGGTAACAGCAGGTAGGTAGGTGGGCACACTGAACTAGAAAGCTTAACAATAGGAAGGATTTTTTTTCTACTAGAAAATCCTGGTCTATTTTAATTTTCCTACATCTTCCTTAGAATCCGGGTTGAGGGTTTCATATTTGTATCTCATTGATTCTGGGGTGATGTGTAACAATGTGTAATGTCTCTGTGTCTTACCTCTTTTTCTCTTTTTTTTTCTTTCTTTTTTTTTTTTTTTGAGACACAGTCTTGCTCTGTCGCCCAAACTAGAGTACAGTGGCACAATCTTGGCTCACTGCAACCTTTGCCTCCCGGGTTAAAGCTATTCTCCTGCCTCAGCCTCCTGAGTAGCTGGGATTACAGGCACCCGCCACCGTGCCCGGCTAATTTTTATATTTTTAGCAGAGACAGGGTTTCACCATCTTGGCCAGTCTGGTCTAGAACTCCTGACCTCGTGATCCATCTGCCTTGGCCTCCCAAAGTGCTGGGATTACAGGCGTGAGCCACTGCACCTGGCTTTCCTTTTTTGAATGAAGGAAAGAAAGAGCAAACCTAATTCTCAGACCCCAGAAGATTTGAAAGATCTTTGGAATTTCCCTCCTCCCCACCCCAAGAAAACCCAATGTAATCTCTGGGACTGAGGAGAGGAAAGGATCAGTTTTCTTTGGACTGTGATTTGCATGTGTCAGGGCCTTCCTGAACCCTGGGGCACAGTTGAGTCTCCATGAGGACTTAGTTTTTGGGTGGCTGGGGTTTCAGGCATGCTGGTGAGTTGAGTGCTAGTCTGAGACCAGTGTGCTCCTGGTCTCCTGGCCTGTGGCGTGACCGCAGAAGGTCACTTACA
Organism: Homo sapiens; assembly: GCF_000001405.40. Lineage (NCBI taxonomy): Eukaryota > Metazoa > Chordata > Mammalia > Primates > Hominidae > Homo > Homo sapiens. The sequence goes on from NC_000012.12 coordinate 121,717,187, forward strand.
GACACAAGGGCAAGTAATTTAATGAGCATTTCCTGCCTTGCATCACTGGAAACCTGATCTCGTTCCTCCCAGCCAAGGAAGAAGGTGGCCCGTAGCAGCTTTTCCCTAAGTCTGACCTCACAGTGATGCAAGGGCCTTGAAGGCCATGGTAAAGATTTTGGCTTTTACTGCTAATGACATGTACATCCGTCTGGCTGCTGTGTATAGAATAGACATCAGGGAGACAGGCTCGAAGCAAGAAGATCAGCATTATTTCATTAATAACCCTATGAAATTGATCCTAGAATCTCTGTTTTACAGAGGTTAAGTCACTTATCCAAGGTCACATGGCCTGTCAGTGCAGGAGCCAGGATTCGAACCCAGGCTGTTGAACACCAGTGTCTGTGCTCTTAACTACTGCCCTAGGCTCATCTGTGCCCTGAGTACTCCTGTTAGCTTTTGTTTCTCTTCTATCTTGGCTTGTGGGGCGTCTTTCTTTCTTTTTTATTTGAGACGGAGTCTCGCTCTGTTGCCCAGGCTGGAGTGCAGTGGCTCGATCTCAGCTCACCACAACCTCCGCCTTCCAGGTTCAAGCGATTCTCCTGCCTCAGCCTCCCGAGTAGCTGGGATTACAGATGTGTGCCACCACTCCTGGCTAATTTTTGTATTTTTAGTAGAGACAGGGTTTCACTATGTTGGCCAGGCTGGTCTCGAATTCCTGACCTTGTGATCCGCCTGCCTCAGCCTCCCAAAGTGCTGGGATTACAAGCGTGAGCTACCGCACCCAGCCGGGCATCTTTCTTTAGTAGCAGATTGTGCAGAAAAAGACACTGCACAGGGAATCAGTATTCTTGAGTTCAGGTCCTAGCTTTGCCATTGTCTAGTATCTGAATTTGGTGAGCCACCTCTCTCAGGTTGAGTTTCTTTATCTAAAAACAAAGGCTGACAATAATAATAATCATAACAACAACAATAACAATAATAGCTAACTGCGTGAAACACAGATTATCCCATTTAATCTAAATATCAACCCATGGCCTGGCGCAGTGGCCCATGCCTGTAATCCCAGCACTTTGGGAGGCTAAGGAGGGCAGAGCACTTTGAGCTTAGGTGTTCAAGACCAGCCTGGGCAACATGGTGAAACCCCATCACTATAAAACAAACAAACAAACAAAAAACAAAAAAAAACCTTAGCTGGGCATTGGTCGCTCGCTCCTGTAATCCCAGCTACTTGGGAGGCTGAGGCTGAAGAATCGCTTGAACCCAGAAGGCGGAGGTTGCAGTGAGCCAAGATCGTGCCAGGGTACTCCAGCCTGGGTGACAGAGTGAGATCCTGTCTCAAAAATAAATGAATGAGTGAATGAATGAATGACAACCCTGTTTTTTAGATGAGGAGATTGAAGCTAAGAGATGCTGAGTAACTTGAAAGTCATGGAGCCAGAATTCGAACCCATGCCTGCTGTATAACTCAGATACTAATACCGTGGGCTCCAAAAGTATCCTGAGACTCTTAGCTCTAGAAGAAAAGTTTTGAACTTGCTGGGTCCCTTTTCATTTATATAGTGCTTTCACACAATGCACTATCAGGACTCTTAGTTGCAAATGAAAAAAACCCAGTCTGACTGGTTTTAAGCCAAAAGAGGGTTTATTGAGTCAAGTCTAGTGGCAAATGGCTTCAGGCAAGGCTGGATCCAGGAGCTCAGGTGATGTCTGTGTCTGTGTGTGGATGTCTCTCTCTCTCTCCTCTGTGTCAGCATTATTCTCAGGCAGTCCCTCCCATGTTGTGGCAAAGATGGCCAGGTGGCCCTCAGCTGACATCTGTCAGCTTAGCAGCTCTGGCAGAAACAGAGCATCCTTTCCCCCTGTGGTTTCAGCAAGCGTCCCAGGGCTGACTCTCATTGGCCCAGCTTGGGTCATGTGACTATGCCTTACTTAACCAGTCACTGTGGCACTGATTGGCCAGGTCACGGTCACATATCTGCTCCTGAAGCCTAAAAGTGGGATCAGTGCCACCACACTACATGAAACGAGTTGGGGAGGGATGGTCCCATGAAGGAAAATCAAAAAGCTGGTAGTTTAAAAAAAAAAAACAGAGAGAGGGATGCTGGACAGGCACCTTTTGGGGGGCTAATAGAAATTGTTGGCTGGGTGTAGTGGCCTATGCCTGTAATCCCAACAGGAGGCTGAGGCAGGTAGATCGCTTGAGCCCAGGAGTTTGAGACCAGCCTGGGCAATGTAGTAAGACCCTGACTCTACAAAAAACCACAAAAATTAGCTAGGCATGGTGGCGTGCACCCATGGTCCCACCTACTTGGGAGGCTGAAGTGGGAGGATTACCTAAGTTCAGGAAGTGGAGGTTGCAGTAAGCTGAGATCCTGCCACTGCACCCCAGCCTGGGTGACAGAGTGAGACCCTGTCTCAAAAAATGTTTTTTTCTTCAAGGGAAACAGTGGCATCGATTGGACACTGCTTAAATTGCTAACGGGGGTAGTTTAAGGGGGTGGTTCACAGTTGCATGTTAGGCCACACTGCATTCTTTTTTTTTTGAGACGGAGTTTTGCTCTTGTTGTCCAGGCTGGAGTACAATGGCTCTGTCTCGGCTCACTGCAACCTCTGCCTCTCGGGTTCAAGTGATTCTCCTGCCTCAGCCTCCTGAGTAGCTGTAGCTAGGACTACAGGCACATGCCACCACACCTGGCTAATTTTTGTATTTTTAGTAGAGACAGGGTTTCACCATGTTGGCCAGCTGGTCTCGAACTCCTGACCTCAGGTGATCTGCCCACCTCGGCCTCCCAGAGTGCTGGGATTATAGGCATGAGCCACCTTGCCCGGCCCACACTACATTCTTGATGATGTCACATCTTTGTGACAGTGCCTAGCCTGCTGCATGCACCTCATCTCCTAGCTCTTTCACAGCTGATGACACCGAGGCACAGAGGGATTACATAACTCAGCTAATAAGTGGCAGGCTCTGGATCTGAACTCGGGCAACTTGATGGCAGCATCAAATCACTTAACCATTGTGTTTTCATGCCACCCAAATGCGTGCCTCCCACGCACAGACCCCCACTTACCGCTCCCGTAACATACCGTTCATGGATTCTGACACATGACTCAGAATCTGTCCCGCACAGGACGCATACACGTTAGGCGAAGTCATCCTTGGTGGTGTTTCTATGGTGATGAGTCCTGGTTAAGTATAGTCAGCGTCTGAAAGTCTATTTGAAGTTGATTTCTTAGAGCTATATAAAAGTAATCTCTTGTCCAGGCACAGTGGCTCATGCCTGTAATCCCAGCACCTTGGGAGGCCAAGATAGGCAGGTCATTTGAGCTCAGGAGTTTGAGACCAGCCTAGGCAACATGGCAAAACCCCTGTCTCTACAAAAAATACAAAAATTAGCCAGGCATGGTGGCACAGGCCTGTAGTTTCAGCTACTCGGGTGGTTGAGAGAGGAGGATCGCCTGAGCCCAGGGAGGTGAAGGCTGTGGTGAGCAGCCATGATTGTGTCACTGCACTCCAGACTGGGCGACAGAGTAAGACTGTGTCTCAAAAGAAAAAAAAAAGGAATCTCTTGAAAGTTTACCACCAGCAAGAGGCACAGCTCTAAGGCACCACACTTAAGTGGCGGTATGGCCCTATTGCAGTCTACTGGACTGCCCAGCGACTTCTGATGCTCCTGGGCCAGAACCATGTCTGTAAATGCCGTGAGATTCCTCTAGCAATTCCTGCAACACATGTTGACTCCCCAGTCCTGGATCTTCCGACAGCCAAGATGTGTTAAGGAGGTGTCTTCAGATGTTTCACATCTGTACTGGGAACAGGAGTCATTAACCTCATCTTCCCACTGGGGCAGAGCTTGGGTCTCAGAGGACAGCAGAGGTGGCAGAGATCCCTGAATCTTCCAAAGGAAACTTGCTTGTTTGTGTCTTCTACATGCGGAGGATGGTAATTAGACAAGTAGGGAAGATGCTCTGGGCATGACAGCTCACAGAGCTCATGTGAGCAGTTCTCCTTTTTGTTGTTGTTTTGTAAGAGAGGGTCTCACTTTGTCGCCCAGGCTGGAATGCAGTGGTCCCATCATGGATCACTGCAGCTTCAACTTCCTGGGTTCAAGTGATTCTCCCTCTTCAGCCTCCTGAGTATCTGGGACTACAGGCACACACCACCACACTTGGCTAAGTTTTGTAATTTTTGTAGAGATGGGGTTTTGTCATGTTGCCCAGGCTGGTCTTGAACTTCTGGCCTCAAGCATTCCTCCCATCTCAGCCTCCCAAAGTGCTGAGACTATAGGTATGAGTGCCTGGTCCTCCTTTTTTTTTTTCAACCAAGAGTTTCACTCTTGTTGCCCAGGCTGGAGTGCAGTGGTGCCATCTTGGCTCACTGCAACCTCCGCCTTCTGGTTTCAAGCAATTCTTCTGCCTCAGTCTCCCGAGTAGCTGGGATTGCAGGCAGGCACCACCACGCCCAGCTAATTTTTGTATTTTTAGTAGATGGGGTTTCACCATGTTGGCCAAGCTGGTCTTGAACTCCTAACCTCGTGATCCGCCCACTCCAGCCTCCCAAAGTGCTGGGATTACAGGCATAAGCCACTGCATTCAGCCCTGGCCCTCCTTTTTTTTTGAATGGAATCAGTTCTACTTTTTTTTTTTTTTTTTTTTTTGAGACAGCGTCTTGCTCTGTCGCCCAGGCTGGAGTGCAGTGGCTCAATCTTAGCTCATTGCAACCTCTGCCTCCCGGGTTCAAGCGATTTTCCTGCCTCAGCCTCCTGAGTAGCTGGGACTACAGGCATGTGCCACCATGCCCAGCTAATTTTTGTATTTTTAGTAGAGTTTCACCATGTTGGCCAGGATGGTCTCGATCTCTTGACCTTGTGATCCGCCCGCTTTGGCCTCTCAAAGTGCTGGGATTATAGGCGTGAGCCACCACACCTGGCCTTTTTTTTTTTTTTTTGAGATAGAGTCTCGCTCTGTTGCCCAGGCTGGAATACAGTGGCACGATCTCGGCTCACTGCAACCTCTGCCTCCCGGGTTCAAGCGATTCTTCTGCCTCAGCCCCCTGAGTAGTTGGTATTACAGGCGTGTGCTACCACAGCAGGCTAATTTTTTTATTTGTAGTAGATACGGGGTTTTACCATGTTGATCAGGCTAGTGTCGAACTCCTGACCTTGTGATCTGCTCACCTCAGCCTCCCACAGTGCTGGGATTAGAGGCGTAAGCCACTGTGCCCGGCCTCCATTCTACATTTTTATAAGTAATACATATTCACACAGTTAAAAATTCATGTAGCAGCCATGCATAGTAGTTTTTATAACACAACTAAAAACTGGCAACCTGAACGTCCGTGGGAATGGATCATTACACTGAGCACCCAGAGAGAGGTGAAGCAGGAGAGTGAATAAACTGAGCTACCTGTGTTAACATCCTGCAGAAAGTTGCAGAGGGGTATGTACAATGTGGCACTTGCAATAAAGGCAAAAACATTGAAAACAACACAGTATATTGCTTAATGATACATTGTATGTAGTCCAAGTATAAAGACTTGCAAAGGAGTGATAAAGACCACAGTTGGTGCTATCATGGAAATTCAGACAGGGCCCAAGCAAGAAGTCAATGGCTGTCTCAGGAAGGTCTCGCTGAAAATAAGGGGCTGTTTACAAAGGTGTGGGCAGTTTTTTAAATTTACTTTTTTTTTTTTTTTTTGAGATGGAGTTTCGCTCTTGTTGCCCAGGCTGGAGTGCAATGGCGCGATCTTGGCTCACTGCAACCTCCGCCTCCCGGGTTCAAGCAATTCTCTTGCCTCAGCCTCCCAAGTAGCTGAGATTACAGGCATGCACCTCCACACCCGGCTAATTTTGTATTTGTAGTAGAGACGGGGTTTCTCCATGTTAGTCAGGCTGGTCTCAAACTCCTGACCTCAGGTGATCCGCCTGCCTCGCCTCCCAAAGTGCTGGGATTACAGACATGAGCCACCGCGCCTGGCTTTTGTTTGTTTGTTTGTTTGTTTTGTTTTGTTTTAAGAGAGAGGGGGGTCTAACTCCATCGTTCAGGCTGAAGTGCAGTGGCGGTATCATAGCTCACTGCAGCCTTGAACTCCTAGGCTCAAGCTATCTTCCCACCTCAGCCTCCTGAGTAGCTGGGACTACAGGCATGTGCCACTGTGCTCAGCTAATGTTCTAATCTTCTGCAGAGACAGGGTCTTGCTGTGTTGCCCAGGCTCAGGTATGGGCAGTTTAATGGCTGGAGCTGGCCACAGCAGGGAGCTGTTACTAGTCCTGATCCTGAAAGGGGAGGAGTCACCAGAGCTTGGCACAAGCTTGTGCTGGCGGGGCAGGAGCTGCCAGTGAGGAGCTGTAGTGGATGAAGGGGGCAGCAGAACAGGGAGGAGGCAGGAGAAACAGATACCCCAGCCTCTCTCTTCTCCCGCCCTCCAGTCTTCTGGTGACTACCATTGACTAAACTCAACTGGAGGGCAGTTCCTAGGGATCAGCCTCCCAGGGCACAGAGAAAGCCAGGACTGATCTGGGGTGGGCATGGGTTGAGGAAATTACCACAATCTACCTCTTTGGCAGGGGCAGAGGATGGGAATACCATGTAGGAGGGATCCATGAGGCCATTCAACTCTGTGTGTACTATTCCTTCTTTTCTTTTGTTTTTCTTTTGAGACAAGGTCTCTGACACTCGGACTAGAGTGCGGGGGTGTGATCATGACCACGGCAGCCTTCACCTCCTGGCTCAAGTGATCCTCCTGTCTCAGTCTCGCAAGTAGCTGTGACTACAGGCACATACCACCATGCCAGTTATAATTAAATTTTTTTTTTGAGACATGGGATCTCACTGTGTTGTCCAGGCTGGTCTCAAGTGATCCTTTTTTTTTTTTTTTTTTTTTTTTTGAGATGGAGTCTTGCACTGTCACCCAGGCTGGAGTGCAGTGGCACGATCTCCACTCACTGCATCCTTCACCTCCTGGGTTCAAGTGATTCTCCTGCCTCAGCCTCCATAGTAGCTGGGATTACAGGCACCGGCCACCACACCCAGCTAATTTTTTGTATTTTTAGTAGAGACGGTTTCACTATGTTGGCCAGACTGGTCTTGAACTCCTGACTTCGTGATCCGCCCGCCTCAGCCTCTCAAAGTGCTGGGATTACAGGTGTGAGCAACTGTGCCCAGCCAGATAATTTTTATATTTTTGGTAGACACAGGGTTTCACCATGTTGGTCAGGCTGATCTCGAACTCCCGGCCTCAAGCAAGTGATCCACCCGCCTTGGCCTCCCAAAGTGCTGGGATTACAGCTGTGAGCCACTGCACCTGGCTGTACTATTTCTTAGGTTTATGGTGAGAAGATGGATGTTAATTAAATGATGTTATGTCTTTTTTTTTTCACATGCCTTAACTGTTTCATAATAAAATATGCAGGAGACCAAAAAATAATGCAACATACTAAAAGTTGTGTTTTTTTTTTTTTGAGATGGAGTCTCGCTCTGTCACCCAGGCTGGAATGCAGTCGCGCAATCTCGACTCATTGCAAGCTCTGCCTCCCAGGTTCACGCCATTCTCCTGCCTCAGCCTCTCGAGTAGCTGGGACTACAGGCGCCCGCCACCACACCCGGCTAAGTTTTTGTATTTTTAGTAGAGACGAGGTTTCACCACATTAGCCAGGATGGTCTCGATCTCCTGACTTTGTGATCCACCCGCCTTGGCCTCCCAAAGTGCTGGGATTACAGGTGTGAGCCACCGCGCCTGGCCAACATACTAAAAGTTTTATAAAGAGAAACAGTTCTATAGGCTCCATGTCAGTCATTTACGTGGTTAGGACCATGCAAATATCACTTACAGCAGAATCAAGTAGTGTACTATGATTGTATTTTTCTCTCTTGGATGAATAAGTGTCTTGGTATTTGATTCCTTACTGCCAATGTTTTCCTTATAATTACCCTTTTTCCCCTTTGTTCTGATTTGGGTATTCTATGAAGTGTGCTTTGTTTGTTTGTTTGGATTGGCTTTGAAGTAGGCAGCTGGGGAGCTGGGGTTTGCCTTGTGCTGCAGAATGGATTTTCTTCCACAACTGTCTATCAGTGCCCCCAGCACTCTAAGTTAAATTTTTAGAGCTAGGGATTCGATGGTGGGAGTCAATCATGTTTAATGTGCTGGTGGTCCCTGCACTGTCTGCAGAGAGCTGCCTCCCATTTTTGGGTGAGGGTCTCCCGTGTTCTAATCTACTGCTGCCAAGGTTGGAAATAAAAATAGCAGTTTGGCATCTTCTTTAAAAGTTAGACAGAAATTTACCATATGACCCAGCAATTCCATTCCTAGGTATCTACCCAAGAGAAATGAAAAGACAGGTCCACACAGACTTACATGACATCGGATCTTCATAGCAGCATTATTCACGATACAGTAACCAAAAAGTCAAAACAACCCAAACAACTGGTGTATCTGGGCCACATTTTTATTGCTGACTAGCAATAAAAGGAAACAAAACAGATCCATGCTACAAAAACATGATGCTAAGTCAAAAAAGCCAGATGCAAAAACCCCATGCTGTGTGATTCCATTTATATGAAATATGCAGAAAAGAACTATAGAGACAGGGCCAGGCATGGTGCCTCACGCCTGTAATCCCAGCACTCTGGGAGGCCAAGGAGGGCAGATCACCTGAGGTCAGGGGTTCGAGACCAGCCTGGCCAACATGGTGAAACCGCATCTCTACTATAAATACAAGAATTAGCCGGGTGTGGTGATGCGTACCTGTAGTCCCAGCTACTGAGGAGGCTGAGGCAGGAGAATGGCTTGAACCTGAGAGGCGGAGGTTGCAGTAAGCAGAGATCATGCCACTGCACTCCAGCCTGGGCAACAAGCGAGACTCTGTCTCAAAAAAAAAAAAACAAAAAAAAAACCACCTCTGGACAGAAAGGTGGTTAAAGGTTGCTGTGGGTTAGGAAGAAGGGGAGATGGAGAGTGACTGCGAAGAGACACCGGGGATCTTATTGGGTGATAGAAGGTTCTAACACGAGATGTGGTGATGGTTGTACAACCTGGTAAATGTATAAAAATCACTGAATTATATTATTAAAATGGGTGAATTGTATGGCATGTAAATTATATATCAATGAAGTTGTTAAAAATAATGCTTCGGCTGGGCGCAGTGGCTCACGCCTGTAATCCCAGCACTTTGGGAGGCCGATGCAGGTGGATCATGAGGTCAGGAGATCGAGACCATCCTGGCTAACATGGTGAAACCGCGTCTCTACTAAAAATAGAAAAAATTAGCCGGGCATGGTGGCAGGCACCTGTAGTCCCAGCTACTCGGGAGGCTGATGCAGGAGAAAGGCATGAACCTGGGAGGCGGAGCTTGCAGTGAGCCGAGATCGCGCTACTGCACTCCAGCCTGGGTGACAGAGCGAGACTCTGTCTCAAAAAAAAAAATAAAATAAAATAATAATAATAATGCTTCAGGCCAGGTGCAGGGGCTCATTCATGCCTATAATCCCAGCACTTGGGAAGGCCAAGGTAGGTGGATTGCCTGAGGTCAGGAGTTTGAGACCAACCTGACCAACATGGTGAAACTCTGTCTCTACTAAAAAAATACAAAAATTAGCCAGGCATGGAGGTACGTGCCTGTAATCCCAGCTACTTGGGAGGCTGAGGCAGGGAGAATTGCTTGAACCCAGGAGATGGAGGTTGCAGTGAACTGAGGTCTTGCCATTGCACTTCAGCCTGGGCAACAGAGTGGGACTCTGTCTCAAAAAAAAAAAAAAAAAAAAAAAAAAAAAGCTTCAGGCTGGGCACGGTGGCTCACGCCTGTAATCCCAGCACTTTGGGAGGCTAAGGCAGGATCAGCCTGGGCAACATGGCAAACACCCATCTCTACTACAAATACAAAAATTAGTCAGTTTCATAACCCGGTCTCAAAATAAATAGATACATACAAATAATTTTAAAATGCTTTAGTTTCTCCGTTTGGTAGAAAAACACCCAATGTGGGTGTTCAGAGATATGCATTTTTAGGGGTGCTGCTTAGTTCCTGGCTTGATGAAGGAATCATTCAAGCAGCCTCCAAGTCCCTGGTTTTTCACATCTTTAGGATGACATCCAGGGGCCATGGCTCATGCCTGTCATCCCAGCACTTTGGGAGGCCAAGGCAAGAGGATTGCTTGAACCCAGGAGTTTGAGACCAGCCTGGGCAGCATAATGAGACCCCGTCTCTGCAAAAAAATAAAAAATGAGCCAGGCATGGTCGTGCGTGCCCATGGTTCCAGCTTCTCGGGAGGCTGAGGCAGGAGGATCACTTGAGCTGGGGAAGTTGAGGCTGTGGTGAGCTGTGATTGCACCACTGCCCTTCCAGCCCGCATGACAGAGAGAGACCCTGTCTCAAAAAAAAAAAAAAAAAAAAAAAGACCGTGCCCTGGTTAAGAGATTCGTAACATTGGCCCGGTGCGGTGGCTCACGCTTGTAATCCCAGCACTTTGGGAGGCCGAGGCGGGCGGATCACGAGGTCAGGAGATAGAGACCATCCTGGCTAACACGGTGAAACCCTGTCTTTACTAAAAAATACAAAAAATTAGACAGGCGTGGTGGCAGGCGCCAGTAGTCCCAGCTACTCGGGAGGCTGAGGCAGGAGAATGGCGTGAACCCGGGAGGTGGAGCTGGCAGTGAGCCAAGATCGTGCCACTGCACTCCAGCCTGGGCGACAGAGCGACACTCCATCTCAAAAAAAAAAAAAAAAAAAGAGATTGGTAACAATGAGTCCAAGGTTCAGAGCTTCTTTTCTTAACTAAGTGTGGTTAACTTTGCTCAGAAGGAAAGTTCTGTTCTTTGCCATATTAATCTGATTTTTGACACTCACTTTTCTTTTTCCCCCTAAGACAGAGTCTCACTCTGTCGCCCAGGCTAGAGTGCAGTGGTGTGATCTCGGTTCACTGCGCCCTCTGCCTTCCGGGTTCAAGTGATTCTCCGGCCTCAGCCTCCCAAATAGCTGGGATTACAGGTGCCTGCCAGGACGCTTGGCGAATTTTTGTATTTTTAGTAGGGAATGGGTTTCACAGGCCGGGCACGGTGGCTCACGCCTGTAATGCCAGCACTTTGGGAGGCAGAGGTGGGCGGATCATGAGGTCAGGAGATCGAGACCATCCTGGCTAACACAGTGAAACCCTGCCTCTACTAAAAATACAAAAAATTAGCCGGGCATGGTGGTGGGCGCCTGTGGTCCCAGCTACTCGGGAGGCTGAGGCAGGAGAATGGCGTGAACTTGGGAGATGGAGCTTGCAGTGAGCCGAGATTACGCCACTGTACTCCAGCCTGGGCGACAGAGCGAGACTCCGTCTCAAAAAAAAAAAAAAAGAGAATGGGTTTCACCATGTTGGCCAGGCTTGTGTCAAACCCCTGACCTCAGATGATCCGCCCACCTCGGCCTCCCAAAGTGCTGGGATTACAGGCATGAGCCACCGCGCCCGGCCGACACTCACTTCTGAAATGGAAACACTCAGCCCCAACTGGGAAGGTAAAACAGAACAGCACAGAACGTGTTTACTTATGTAATTAGGAAGTCAGAAGGGTGCTACCTTCAGGTGTAAGCAGTTCCAGGAGCTCAGGTGCAATCATTAGGGCTCCGCTTTCATCTACCTCTCTGCCCTGTTTTCCCAAACTGGGTTCATTCTCAGGCTGGGTCCTCCAGAGACTGGCAAGACAGCCCTATGAGCTCTGGGTCCCCATCTTGCTACCTTCAGAACTAGGGAGAGAAGAGTTTCTCTTTCTCAGCAGTTCTCATAAATCCTCTTCTACTGAGTTTTGCTGGTTCCAGATGCCCATCCCTGAATTACCTGCTGGGTTGGGAGGCCGATGTTCTGACTGGCCAGGCCTGGGCCATGTGCTCTCTCCTGGAGCCTGTGGCCAGGCCTAACCCTGCTTCTAGCCACATTTCATGGACTGAGTGTGGCAGAGGGATGGGTACCGCAAAAAACTATGGGGATGTTAACCAGAAGGGGAATGGCTGCCTGATTGGCAAAAACAGCAGAAAGCCTCCATCCGGCCAGCTGGTTCCATTCGAGGCCACAGGGCCAAGGTTGCTTGGAGGCTTGCAGTGCCTCCGTTGGCTCACCCTCTGCTCCCGGAAAAAGCATCTCAAAGCACAGATCCAACTGAGGGCCTGCTGGAGACACCCTGATGTGCAAAGAGTAGCCAGGGACTCCAAGGGAAGACTGGGATTGTATCTCGTCCACCTGGCAGAAATGCCCCATGCACAGTGCATCAAGACAGCTGCATAGAAAACAGTATGGCAGTTCCTCAAAAAATTAAACATCGAATTACCATATGGTCCAGCAATTCCACTTCTGGGGTATATACCTAAAACAATTGAAAGCAGGTGGGATGTGGTGGCTCACACCTGTAATCCCAGCACTTTGGGAGGCTGAAGTGGGAGAATAGCGTCAGCCCAGGAGTTGGAGATCAGCCTGGGCAACATAGACCATCTCTACAAGAAAAAAAAAAAAAAGCTGACAGGGTGGCACATGCCTGTAGTTCTAGCTACTCGGGAGGCTGAGGTGGGAGGATCGCTTGAGCCCAGGAGTTTGAGGCTGCAGTGAGCCATGATTGTGCCACTGCACCGCAGCCTGGGCGACAGAGAGCGATCCCGTCTTTTAAAATATAGAAAGCGGGGTTTCAGAAAGATATTTGTACACCCATGCTCACGGCAGCACTATTCACAATAGCCAAAAGATGGAAGCAACCCATCTTCCATCCATCAGTGGAGGCGTGGATAAATAAAATGTGGCTCGTCCATATAGTGGACTACTAGCCTTAAAAAGGAAGGAAATTCTGGCCAGGTGCGGTGGCTCACGCCTGTAATCCCAGCACTTTGGGTGGCTGAGGTGGGCAGATCATGAGGTCAGGAGATCGATACCATCCTGGCCAACATGGTGAAACCCCGTCTCTACTAAAAATACAAAAATTAGCTGGGCGTGGTAGCAGGCGCCTGTAATCCCAGCTACTCAAGAGGCTGAGGAAGGAGAATCCCTGGAACCCAGGAAGCGGAGGTTGCAGTGAGCCAGGATTGGGCCGCTGCACTCCAGCCTGGCAACAGAGTGAGACTCCATCTCAAAAAAAAAAAAAAAGAAGGAAATTCTGATACATGCCATGATACAGGTGAGCCTGGAGCACATTATGCTAAGTGATAAATAAGCCAGTCATTAAAGGACACATACTGGTCTGGGCACGGTGGCTCACACCTGTAATCTCAGCACTTTAGGAGGCAGAGGCGGGCAGATCATGAGGTCAGGAGATCGAGACCATCCTGGCCAATATGGTGAAACCCCTTCTCTACTAAAAAAAAAAATACAAAAATTAGCTGGGCATGATACTGCATGCCTGTAGCCCCAACTACTTGGAAGGCTGAGACAGGAGAGTCACTTCAATCCAGGAGGCGGAGGTTTCAGTGAGCCGAGATCACTCCACTGCACTCCAGCCTGGCGACAGAGCGAGACACAGTCAAAAAAAAAAAAAAAACAAACAAAAAAAAACCGGGCGCGGTGGCTCACACCTGTAATCCCAGCAGTTTGGGAGGCTGAGGCGGGTGGATCACCTGAGGTTGGGAGTTCGAGACCAGCCTGACCAACATGGAGAAATGCCATCTCTACTAAAAATACAAAAATTAGCTGGGCATGGTGGCACATGCCTGTAATCCCAGCTACTCGGGAGGCTGAGGCAGGAGAATCACTTGAACCCAGGAGGCGGAGGTTTCGGTGAGCCGAGATTGCGCCACTGCACTCCAGTCTGGGTAACAAGAGCGAAACTCTGTCTCAAAAAAAAAAAAGAAAAGACACATACTGTATGATTCCACTTACAGGCGGTACCTAGAGTAGTCAAATTCGTAGAGACAGAAGACAGAATAGTGATTGCCAGGGGCTGAGGGGAAGGTGAAATGGGGAATTATTTGATGGGTTCATAGTTTCTGTTTGGCATGGTGAAGTTCTGGAAATGGATTGTGGTATAGTCACACATTGCATACTGATGTGTCTGTCAAAGACAGTGGTCCTATGAGATTATGATGCTATATTTTTACTGTACCTTTTTCTGTGTTTAGATACATTTATTTATTTATTTTATTTTTTTCAGGCGTAGTCTTGCTTTGTCGCCCAGGCTGGAGTGCAGTGGTGCGATCTAGGCTCACTGCAACGTCTGCCTCCCCAGCTCAAGTGATTCTCCTGCCTCAGCCTCCTGAGTAGCTGAGATTACAGGCGGGTGCCACCATGCCTGGCTAATTTTTGTAGTATTTTTAGCAGAGAAGGGGTTTTGCCATACTGGCCAGGCTGGTTTCAAACTCCTGGCCTCAAGTGATCTGCCCTAGGCCCTGTTTAGATACATTTAGATACATGAATACTTACCACTGTGTTACAGTCTGCTACAGTATTGAGTACAGTAGCATGCTGTGTAGGTTTGTAGCCCAGGAGCAATAGTCTATACCATCCAGGTTTCTGTAGGTGTACTCTAACGTTTGCGTAATGACGGCATCGCCTAATAATGCATTTCTTAGAACGATCCTGTTTCTTAAGCGACACATGACTGTACCACAGTATGAGTGTAATGCCATCGCATTGTACAATTAAAATGATTAAGAGGATAAATATTTTGTGTATTTTATCACAATTTAAAACATTTACAAATGGTTAAAAGTTATGTATATTTTACCACAATTAAAAAATGAAAGAGAGGTTCATGCCTGTAATCCCAGTACTTTGGGAGGCCGAGGCAGGCGGATCACCTGAGGTCAGGAGTTTGAGACCAGCCTGGCTAACACGGTGAAATGCTGTCTCTATTAAACATACAAAAATTAGCTGGGCGTGGTGGCGGGCGCCTGTAGCCCCAGCTACTCGGGAGGCTGAAGCAGTAGAATCTCTTGAACCCAAAAGGCAGAGGTTGCAGTGAGCAGAGATCGGGCCATTGCACTCCAGCCTGGGCAGCAGAGCAAGACTCCATCTCAAAAGGAAAGAAAGAGTCTGGAAAAAAGTAAGGATACAAGAAATGAATTGATGACCTTTCCCACTGCTTGTGAGGCTGGCACAAGGGTGGAATCCACGAAGACTGGGCGTGGGCGCAGAATGCCTTGCGGGTGGAGAATGTGTCACACTAAGGTCCTTGTTTGTGGCTCCCCTCACTCCATGTTGTCCTCCTCGTGGCTGGCAAATCCTGAGCCTAGAGCTAAGGCTGGGGGTGGACTAGGTGTGTGTGACCTCCAGTGAGGGATCCCTCCCCTTTACCCCTGAAATGACTCTGGCCAATGACAGAGCGAGAGAATTGCAGGGGAGCAGGAATGACCTCGTGTATCAGGGGACAAAATTATGGGAAGGCCCACGGATTAACCATTCTTATCCAGTCACCATCACCAGTGGAACATTAGAAAAGTACCTGAAAAAAATTAAATGTTTATAGCATGGAGTGTTGCTCAGATGTGGACAGCTGTTATATGCTGTGGGTGGGACTATAAATTGGTATAGCTACTCTGAAGGGCAGTTTGCCAAAACTTACTAAATCTAATAACAAGGCCGGACGCGGTGGCTCACGCCTGTAATCCCAGCACTTTGGGAGGCCGAGGCAGGTGGATCACAAAGTCAGGAGATCCAGACCATCCTGGTTAACATGGTGAAACCCTGTCTCTACTAAAAATACAAAAAATTAGCCGGGCGTGGTGGCACGTGCCTGTAGTCCCAGCTACTTGGGAGGCTGAGGCAGGAGAATCACTTGAACCTGGGAGGCGGAGGTTGCAGTGAGCCGAGGTCGCGCCACTGCACTCCAGCCTGGGCAACAGAGGGAGACTCTGTCTCAAAAAAAAAAAAAAAAAATCTAATAACAAGCCTGTACCCTCTGACCTGCAATTTTACCTCTCTTCCCCAGAGAAATCTTCTCTAGAGACATACTTGCCTGTGTGCCCAGAGAGGCCGTGCAAGGATACTATTCTTTTGCATTGTTGGTTATAGTCAGACACAGGAAGCAACATAAATATCCAGCAATAGGGGAAGGACTAAAGAAACTAGAGTATATCTGTAGCACAAAATATGCATACCACTAAAGAGTGGAGTGTATCCATATATTCTTTTTTTATTTTTGAGAGAGAGAGTCTCGCTCTGTTGCCCAGGCTGGAGTGCCCTGGCATGATCTCGGCTCACTGCAAGCTCCGCCTCCTGGGTTCACACCATTCTCCTGCCTCAGCCTCCCAAGTAGCTGGGACTACAGGCGCCCGCCACCATGCCTGGCTAATTTTTTGTATTTTTAGTAAAGAAGGGGTTTCACCATGTTAGCTAGGATGGGTTTGATCTCCTGACCTCATGATCCGCCCGCCTCGGCCTCCCAAAGTGCTGGGATTATAGGCGTGAGCCACCGTGCCTGGTATTTTTTTTTTTTTTGAGACAGAGTCTCACTCTGTTGCCCAGGCCGGAGTGCAATGGTGTGACCTCGGCTCACTGCAGCCTCTGCCTTGGGTTCAAGCAACTCTCATGCCTCAGCCTCCCAAGTAACTGGGATTACAGGTGTGCACCATCATGCCTGGCTAATTTTTGTATTTTTAGTAGAGATGGGGTTTCGCCATGTAGGCCAGGCTGGTCTCGAACTCTTGACCTCAAGTGATCCGCCCACCTCGGCCTCCCAAAGTGCTAGGATTACAGGTGTGAGCCACTGCACCTGGCCCCATATATTGTTATGTGCGTAGATCTCCAAGACATATTATTGAGTGAGAAAAGCAAGTTATGGAATCTAATGTATATTCTGATACTGTTAATATACTTTTAAAAAACCCAAAGGATGTGTTTAGGGTATAAGCTACGCTGCTGTCACAAAGAGATCTGAAAGTAAAATGCCTGGAATTAAGTAGTTTCTTTGTCACATGACAGTCCAGAGGGCGGCGTGGCCCAGGGTGAGTGGTGTTTTTTATCTACGGTGCATAAAACAACGGCTGCCTGATGCTCGTGGATTCTGTGGGTCAGGAATATAGACAGGGCATAGAGGGAGGCCTGACTGTGCTCTGTGATGTCTGGTGCCTTTTCTGGGAAAACTTGAGTGGCGAGGGGTAACTCACATGGCTGGGGCTGGAATCTTCTGGAGGTTTCTTTCTTTTTCTTTTTTTTTGAGATGGAGTTTTGCTCTTGTTGCCCAGGCTGGAGTGCAATGGCATGATCTTGGCTCACTGCAACCTCTGCCTCCCAGGTTCAAGCAATTCTCCTGCCTCAGCCTCCTGAGTAGCTGGCATTACAGGCATGAACCACCATGCCTGGCTAATTTTGTACTTTTAGTAGAGATGGGGTTTCTCCATGTTGGTCAGGTTGGTCTCGAACTCCCGACCTCAGATGATCCACCCACCTTGGCATCCGAAAGTGCTGGGATTACAGGCGTGAGCCACCACGCCTGGCCATGAAAGTTTCTTTTTCTTTGTTTTTTTAGTTTGCAAAATAAGTTTTATTTTTACTTCTTTTAAAAAATGGACAGGCTGGGCATGGTGGCTCACACCTG
Source organism: Homo sapiens (assembly GCF_000001405.40). Lineage (NCBI taxonomy): Eukaryota > Metazoa > Chordata > Mammalia > Primates > Hominidae > Homo > Homo sapiens. Next base: position 121,734,657 of record NC_000012.12, read on the forward strand.
TAATCCCAGCACTTTGCGAGGCTGAGATGGGTGGATCACCTGAGGTCAGGAGTTTGAAACCAGCCTGGCCAACATGGCAAAACCCATCTCTACTAAAAATACAAAAATTAGCTGGGCGTGATGGCAGGTGCCTGTAATCCCAGGTACTTTGGAGGCTGAGGCAGGAGAATCACTTGAACCTGGGAGGTGGAGGTTGCAGCGAGCTGAGATAGTGCCATTGCACTCCAGCCTGGGCGACAAGAGCAAAACTACATCTCAAAAAAAGAAAAAAAAAAGGACATTAATATTTAGTATATATGTACATAACTTCACCCAGGCTATTCTGGACATGCTGCCCATGGGTTAGCCCTGCTCTTCAAGGAGCAGTAAAATACAAAAAATTAGCTGGGTGTGGTGGCATGCGCCTGTAGTCCCAGCTACTTGGGAGGCTGAGGCAGGAGAATCACTTGAACCCAGGAGGCAGAGGTTGCAGTGATCCAAGATCGCACCAGTGCACTCTAGCCTGGGCAACAGAGCAAGACTCTGTCTCAAAAAAAAAAAAAAACAAAAAAAAAAACCCAGAAACAAAACCTCCCAACTTAGTGAAAACAAGGCATTCAGTGACAGACCAGCAGCAGAAACTGCTTATTACCAATTTATACTAGTTATTTTATGAAGTCATATCTGTATAAAAACAAACATTAAAGAGAATAAATAGATTTAAATAAAGTTGCAAGCATAATTACAAATAAATACCATATTACCAGATTTTTTTTTTTTTTGAGACAGAGTCTTGCTCTGTTGCCAGGCTGGAGTGCAGTGGCACGATCTCGGCTCACTGCAACCTCCGCGTCCTGGGATCAAGTAATTCTCCTGCCTCAGCCTCCCGAGTAGCTGGGACTACAGGCGCACACCACCATGGGCAGCTAATTTTTGTATTTTTAGTAGAGATAGGGTTTCACAATGTTGGCCAGGATGGCCTCGATCTGTTGACTTTGTGATCCGCCTGCCTTGGCCTCCCAAAATGCTGGGATTACAGGCATGAGCCACCGTGCCCGGCCTTTTTTTTTTTTGAGACCAAGTCTCACTCTGTCGCCCAGGCTGGAGTGCAGTGGCGCATTCTCGGCTCACTGCAACCTCCGCCTCCTGGGTTCAAGTGAGTCTTCTGCCTCAGTCCCCTGAGTAGCTGGGATTACAGGCGCATACCACCACACACGGCTAATTTTTATATTTTTAGTAGAGACGGGGGTTTCACCGTGTTAGTCAGGCTGGTCTTGAACCCCTGACCTCGTGATCCACCCGCATCGGCCTCCCAAAGTGTTGGGATTACAGTGCGCCTGGCCATATTACCAGATTTTAAACAATAATCTATAAAAGTGTTACTACCTAAGGACTTTCACTCAAGAAGAAAAACTACATAGTAACACCAAACTTGCAGGGTGGTGAGTTACTAGATACGTTTTCTCTAAATGGAAGCTTACCTAGCTTCAGCAACATTTCTGGATGAGGCATCAAGTTACTGTTGCACATTTTATTTATTTATTTATTTATTTTTAAGACGGCGTGTCTCGCTCTGTGGCCCAGGCTGGAGTGCAGTGGCGTGGTCTCAGCTCACTGCAACCTCTGCCTCCCAGGTTCACTCCATTCTCCTGCCTCAGCCTCCTGCCACCATGCCTGGCTAATTGTTTGGTGTTTTTTTTTTTTTTGTATTTTTAGTAGAGACGGGGTTTTACCATGTTAGCCAGGATTGTCTCGATCTCCTGACCTTGTGATCCGCCCGCCTTGGCCTCCCAAAGTGCTGGGATTACAGGCGTGAGCCACCGTGCCCGGCCGGTCTCGAACTCTTGACCTCAGGTGATCCGCCTGCCTTGGCCTCCCAAAGTGCTGGGATTACAGGTGTGAGCCACCATGCCCGGCCTTCTTTTTCTTTTTGAGACAGAGTCTCCCTCTGTTGACCAGGCTGGAGCGCAGTGGCACACTCTCAGCACACTGCAACCTCCGCCTCCCGGGTTCAAGCAATCCTCCTGCCTCAGCCTCTGGAGTAGCTGGGATTATAGGCATGCACCACCACACTAATTTTTGTAATTTTAGTAGAGATGAGGTTTCACCATGTTGGCAAGGCTGGTCTCAAACTCCTGACCTCAGGTGATCTGCCCACTTTGGCCTCCCAAAGTGTCGGGATTACAGGTGCGAGCCACTGCACCTGGCCTGGACGTTTCTTTACGTACATGTCTGGAACCTATGCGGGACTGACAGATTTGTCTTAGTTGGGGCTACTGATTGGAGTGACTACCTGGGACTTGTCTCTGTGGTTAAAGCTTCTATATAGCATGGTTGCCTCAGGATAGCTGGACTTTTTGCTCCAAGAGCAACTAGTTCCACTTCCTTAGTTGCTCCAGGAACTTAGGTGGAAGCCACAGGGCCTTCCGTGACTTTTTCTCAGAAGTTATGTAGTGTCAATTCTGCCATATTCTATTGTCAGACTAGTCACAAGCCTACCTAGATTTAAGGAGAGAGAACAGAGGCACTGCCTCTCTATGTGAGGCATAATAAAGAATAGGTGACCCTGTTTTAAAACCATCACAGTGGACGGGACATGGTGGCTTACGTCTGTAAACCCAGACTTTGGGAGGCCGAGGTGGGCGGATTACCCAAGGTCATGAGTTTGATACCAGCCTGGCCAAAATGATGAAACCCTGTTTCTACTAAAAATACAAAAATTAGCTGGGTGTGGTTGCATGCACCCTTAATCTCAGCTACTCGGGAGGCTGAGGCAGGAGAATCACTTGAACCTAGGAGGCGGAGGTTGCAGTAAGCCGAGATTGTGCCACTGCACTCCAGCGTGGGTGACAGAGCAAGACTCTGTCTCAAAAAAAAAAAAGTCACAGTTGGGAAGCTCTGTCCCATGAGGTTGCGTTGGGACTCAGGTTAGTTTGGTTGGGGAGGGGCAATGGCCTCTGCCATTTGCATCATGTGACTTCCATTTCTGGCTTCAAGGTAACTGAGCCCTTTGTTGCATTTCCCAGCCAGGGAAGAGAGGGTGGAGGGCAAGCAGTTCCTAATAAAAAATGTGGTTCAGAACTTGCACAAGTTGCCAGGTGCAGTGTCTCACATCTGTAACCCCAGCACTTTGGGAGGCCAAAGTGGGCGCATCACTTGAGGCCAGGAGTTTGAGACCAGCCTAGTCAACATGGTGAAACCCCATCTCTACTAAAAATACAAAAATTAGTTGGACATGGTGGTGCACGCCTGTAGTCCCAGCTACTTGGGAGGCTGAGGCACAAGAATTACTTGAACCCGGGAGGTGGAGCATACAGTGACCTGAGGTGGAGCCCCTGCACTCTAGCCTGGGTGATAGAGTGAGACCCTGTCTCCACAAAAAAAAAAAAAAAAAGAAAGTCCAGGCACAGTGGCTCACACCTGTAATCTATTCTACTAAAAATCTACTCTACTAAAAATATAAAAATACAAAAATTAGCTGGGCATGGTGGCGCATGCCTGTAATCCCAGCTACTCGGGAGGCTGAGGCAGGAGAATTGCTTGAACCCAGGAGGCAGAGGTTGCAGTGAGCCGAGATTGCGCCACTGGACTCCAGCCTGGCCACAGAGAGAGACTCCATCTCAAAAAAAAAAGCAGACCTCAGCCATAGCTGTGGTGTTTTAATTTTTAACAAGGATGATGTCTTCATGTTTTACTTGTGACATTAAATATTAATTGAAACAGATGAGGGCCTGATGAGCATCTGGCAGCTGATTTTGCAGCCCTGGTCTTATCTCTCCATGGCGGGACCCAGCACCAAAGGCCACCAGGAGGGGTGCGGGCCCCTTATCTCGCAGCAGCCTCTCAGGCCAGGGCCCCGTCTTCCCCAAGGTTGCATCATCTGGGCAGGATCTCTCCACCTCTGTCCTCCTTGTCTGGGTTCATTACCAGCAGGTATTTGTTGGACATACAGGGCTGTTTAGCACTGAATAATTCAAAAGTGATTAAAACACAGCCTTTCTCCACACAGATAACTTATTAATTACCAGTGGAAAGTTGGACGCTACATAGCGCAGAAACTGGATGGGCATCCTGGCTGCCTTTACCAAGCAAAGTTAGCATCGTGGACACGGTGTCCCTACTGGCAGGAGCCACTAATAAGGGCACAACATCCTTTTAGTAGCATGCTGGTCCCCACACATACCCCAAATCATGAGGAAACATCCGCAGACCCCCACTGGGGGACATTCTTCCAGACAACTGGACCGAACTCTTTAAAAACTTAAGTTCGGCCGGGCATGGTGGCTCATGCCTGTAATCCCAGCACTTTGGGAGGCCGAGGTGGGAGGATCATTTGAGGTCAGGAGTTCCAGACCAGCCTGGCCAACATGGTGAAACCCCGTCCATCTCTACTAAAAATACAAAAATTAGCTGGGTATGGTGGCACCTATAATCCCAGCTACTTGGGAGGCTGAGGCAGGAGAATTGCTTGAACCCGGGAGGCAGAGGTTGCAGTGAGCCAAGATCGCACCACTGTACTCTGGCCTGGGCGACAAGAGTCAAACTCTGTCTCAAAAAACAAAAAACAAAAACAAACTTAAATTCACGAAAGACAGAGATTGGGAGATTGTTCTAGATTAAAGGAGAGTAAAGAGATATGAACAGTACCAGAAGGCATGAGACTGAATTGGATCCAAGATCTGGAGGAAAATTGCCATAAAAGAGACAGTTAGCAAAATTTGAATTTGAGTGGTATATGAGGCCATAGCATTGTGTTATATCAACGTTACATTTTCTAGACAATTGACCCTTGAACAAGGTGGGGTTAGGGGTGCCAATCAGTCAAAAAGCCAAATATGTAACTTCTTTTTTTTTTGGAACAGAGTCTCCCTCTGTTACTGAGGCTGGAGTGCAGTGACACGATCTCAGCTAACTACAGCCACCACCTCCTGGGTTCAAGTAATCCTCCCACCTCAGCCTTCCGAGTAGCTGGGACTACAGGCGCCCGCCACCACACCTGGCTAATTTTTGTATTTTTAGTAGAGACGGGTTTCACCATGTTGACCAGGCTGGTCTTGAACTCCTGGCCTCAAGTGATCCACACACCACAGCCTCCCAAAGTGCTGGGATTACAAGTGTGAACCACCCAGCCTGGCCGGAAACTTTTGACTCCTGCAACACTTCTTTTTTTTTTTTTTTTTTTTTTTGAGACAGAGTGCAGTGGTGTGATCTCAGCTCACTGCAATCTCCCCCTCCCGGGTTGAAGCGATTCTCCTGCCTCAGCCTCCTGAGTACCTGGGATTACAGGTGCCCGCCACCATGCCCGGCTAATTTTTGTGTTTTTAGTAGAGATGGGGTTTCACCATGTTGGTCAGCCTGGTCTCAAACTCCTGACCTCAGGTGATCGGCCCATCTTGGCCTCCCAAAGTGTTGGGATTACAGGCGTGAGCCAACGCGCCCGGCGACTCCCACAAAACTTCTATCAGCCTAATGTTGACCAGAGTCTCACTGATAACAGATACAGTTGATTAACACACATTTTATGTATGCATTATACATTGTATTCTTACAATAAAGAAAGCTAGAGAGGCCTGGCACGGTGGCTCATGCTTGTAATCCCAGCACTTTGGGAGGCTGAGGCAGGTGAATCATCTGAGTTTGGGAGTTCGAGACCAGCCTGACCAACATGGAGAAACCCTGTCTCTACTAAAAATACAAAATTAGCCAGGCGTGGTGGTGCATGCCTGTAATCCCAGCTACTCGGGAGGCTGAGGCAGGAGAATCGCTTGAACCCGGGGAGGTGAAGGTTGCAGTGATTCGAGATCATGCCACTGCACTCCAGCCTGGGCAACAAGAGTGAGACTCTGTCTTAAAAAAAAAAACCAAAAAGCTGGAGAAAAGAAAGTGTTATTAAGAAAATCATAAGGAAGAGAAAATATATTTACTCTTCATTAAGTGGAAGTGCACCATTGTAAAGGTCTTCATCCTTTGTGTCTTCACATTGAGGAGTAGCAGGAGGAGGAAGAGGAGGGCTTGGTCTTGCTGTCTCGGGGTGGCAGAGGTGGAAGAAAATCTGTGTATAAGTGGACATGCAGTTGAAACCCGTGTCGTTTAAGGGTCAGTTGCATTTGATAATTGTACTATGGATATTTGAGAGAATATAGCTGTTCTTACTATATACACACTGTACTATTTAGGAGAAAAGAGGTGTGTTGCCTGCAACTGACTCCCAAATGGTTTAGCACTGGAGTGGGCAAATCTTTTTGGTAAAAGGCCAAATAGTAAAAATTTTGAGCTTTATGGGCCATATGGTCTCTGTCACAACTACTTGTTTTGCTGTTAGAGTCCCAGCACAGCCACAGGGAATATTTGAATGGGTGGGTGTGGCTGTGTTCCAATAAAACTTTATTTATGGATACTGCAATGCCAATTTATATAATTTTCACACACCACGAAAGATTCTTGTGATTTTTTTTCAACCCTGCAAAACCCATTTCTGTCTTACTGAGCATACAAAATTAGGTAGCCAGACTTGGCCTGCGGCGGTGGTTTACGAATGCCTGCTTGATAGAGAAAAAGAACACACAGGCAGGCACACATACATGGGGGATAAAGCAAATACAGCATGATGGAACAGCTAGTGAATCTGGTGAAGAATAGAGGCGAGTTCTTTGTATTGTTTTTGTAATTCTGCAAGCTTGAAATTATTATTATTACTATTATTATTATTTTGAGACAGAGTTTCACTCTTGTTGCCCAAGCTGGAGTGCAATGGCGCGATCTCGGCTCACCACAACCTGTGCCTCCCGGGTTCAAGCGATTCTCCTGATTCAGCCTCCTGAATAGCTGGGATTACAGGCATGTGCCATCACGCCTGGCTAATTTTGTGTTGTTAGTAGAGACAGGGTTTCTCCATGTTAGTCAGGCTGGTTTCAAACTTCTGACTTCAGGTGATCCATCTGCCTTGGCCTCCCAAAGTGCTGGGATTACAGGCATGAGCCACTGCGCCTGAAATTATTATTATTATTATTCATTTATTTATTTATTTGAGACGGAGTCTCACTCTGGAGTGCAGTGGCATAATCTCAGCTCACCGCAACCTCCACCTCCTGGGTTCAAGCAATTCTCATGCCTTAGCCTCCCGAGTAGCTGGGATTACAGGCGTGAGCCACCATGCCCAACTTGAAATTATTTTAAAATAAAAACATTAAGTAAAATAAAAGCATTGATTTTTCCTTCCTGGGGGGCCCAGGAAGGAGAGAAGGGAGTCACCCTTTCATCTTCCTAGTGGGTGGGCCAAGGTGACTCACTCACAGCATTCTTGGATGTCTCCTAATTGTCATCTAGTTAATTCTTAGCCTTTGCCTCTTCCTTATTTACTGACTTAACTTCCTTTTTTTTTTTTTGAGATGGAGTCTTGCTCTGTCACCTAGGCTGGAGTGCCGTGGCACGATCTCAGCTCACTGCAACCTCCGACTCCCAGATTCAAACGATTCTCCTGTCTCAGCCTCCAGAGTAGCTGGGACTACAGGCATACGCCACCATGCCCGGCTGATTTTTGTATTTTTAGTAGAGACAGGGTTTCACTATTTTGGTCAGGCTGGTCTCGAACTCCTGACCTCAAATTATCTGCCTGCCTTGGCCTCCCAAAGTGCTGGGATTACAGACGTGAGCCACCGTGCCCGGCCTGACTTAATTTTCATACCTAGGTGCCTTGCTTGGCAGGCAGGGGAGTTTAGCCTCTGTGCTCACTGTTGGACCATCCCCTTTTGCTCTCCCTCTAATAAATCCATCTCTTCAACTGCTAAAAACAAAACAAAACAAAAAAAATCACTTTAAATATGTTTGTTGGCTTATCGTTGCTTTGTTTTTCAATGTTTTTTAATTCCTCAAGACCCATGTTGACCTTGTCTGTATCATTCTAATTTTGGTACATGTGCTGCCAAAGTGAGCAGTGGCTTATTGTTTTTGTTTTTATTTTTATTTTTTGAGACGGAGTTTCATACTTTCGCCCAGGCTGGAGTGAAGTGGCGTGGTCTTAGTTCACTGCAACCTCCGCCCCCTGGGTTCAAGTGATTCTCCTGCCTCAGTCTCCCAAGTAGTTGGGATTACAGACGCCCGCCTGGCTAATTTTTACATTTTTAGTAGAGACGGGGTTTTGCCATGTTGGCCAGGCTGGTCTCGAACTCCTGACCTCTGATCTACCTGCCTCAGCCTCCCAAAGTGCTGGGATTACAGGCGTGAGCCAGCGCGTCCGGCCAGCTTATTGTTTTTAATGTCATGGTCTTCATCTCCCATGCTGGTTTCCCTAGATTGTTGGTGTTTGTCTTAGAAGTCCAGAGATAAGGGGTTGTTTCCCTGCCTGTGGTGGTATTTATTTGGAGGTATGTGATGGTGGCAAAGTCAAGAAGTTACTGTTTTCTGTTCCCCCAGCACTGGGGCGAAGTCTCTTATATTTTTCCTGGCCTTGTGGCCCTGAATGGTTATTTCAGGAATGAGCTATTGAATTCATTGGAGTGACTGTGTCTGGAGTGGGGAGGGTGGCTTTAAGGAAAGGGGTATGTGCTTTTCTTAGTTGACCTAACAGGAACTCTCTTCATTGTCAGGATCAGAAACTCAACTCAAAGTGAACACTAAATAAAGAGTGATTTATTGGCTGGGTGTGGTGAGTCACGCCTGTAATCCCAGCACTTTGGCAGGCCGAAGCGGGCAGGTCACAAGGCCAGGAGTTCGAGACCAGCCTGGCCAATATGGTGAAACCCCATCTCTACTAAAAATACCAAAAAAAAAAAAATTAGCTGGGCGTAGTTGTGGGCACCTGTAGTCCCAGCTACTTGGGAGGCTGAGGCAGGAGAATCGCTTGAACCCAGGAGGCGGAGGTTGCAGTGAGCCAAGATCATGCCACTGCACTCCAGCCTGGGTGACAGAGCGAGACTCTCTCAAAAAAAAAAAGAAAAGAAAATGAGCTGTTCATATTCTCCCACACACCCTCCCCCGGGTCCCCTGTTCTTCAGGAGACGCACAGGATCTACAAGCAGAAGCTGGAGGAGCTGGCTGCGCTGCAGACGCTGTGTAGCAGTTCCATCAGTAAGCAGAAGAAGCACCTCAAGGACTTGAAGCTTACACTCCAGAGGTAGGTGCAGCTGTAGCCCGGGGGCTGCCCTGGTTCTGAGGGACAGAAGTCCAACTCAAAACAGGCTGAAGCAGAGAATGGAAATCTCAGTGGAAAAAGACAGGACTGGGAGTTGCTTCAGGCATCACTGGATCCAGGAGTCAAAGGGTGTTTTGGGGCATGTATTTTTCCCTCTAAATTCTGCCTTCCTCTGGATTGGTGTCACTCTCAGGGTGACTGTCCCCTTCACCAGCAGTGCCAGGCTTATATTCTCCAGCCTTGCTTCCTGCCGGCTGTGCCACCCTGGCTGAAGGAGAGTGTCTCTCTTTTTTTTTTTTTTTTTTTCTTGAAATGGAGTCTTTCACTCTGTTGCCCAGGCTGGAGTGCCATGGCATGATTTCGGCTCACTGCAACCTCTGTCTCCTGGGTTCAAGCGATTCTCCTGCCTCAGCCTCCTGAGTAGCTGTGATTACAGGCATGAGCCACTGTGCCTGGCCGAGAGTTTCTCGTTCCCAGTACTTCAGCCGACATTCTGGGTTCAGTCCTCATTGGCTGGGATTGGTTGAATGCCCATTTGTGAACCAATCACTGAGAAGCTGCTTGGGCAGCGCCATGCCGTGTGCTAAGTCTGTGGCCCTGGGCGGTGGAGGGATGGCCACATGGGTGATGGGAGAAGAAGATAAGTAGTTTCCCGGGTGAAAGTTGGGTGCTGTTATAGGAAGGTGCCCTGCCGGACAAGTAAGCAGGCAGCGTCCTTTTGTGGGTGTGGGGTGCCCTCCCCACTGGGGTTGCTGGTGTAGTGGCCACTAGGCTGCCATCCCTGGTGGAGATGTGCTTGAGCTCATAGCTTAGTTCAGTTCCCAAGGCCTGGATCGTGTTCATTTCCTGACACTCATGGTCTCCAGGTCTGGGAAGTCCCCTCCTGCCTGGTATGTGAAGGGGCCCAGTGGATGCCGTGACCCCATTGTCAGGCAGGGAAACTGAGGCTCCAAGTGACTTGTCCCAGGTCACTTAGCTGGGCCTCCATTTTAGAATCTGGGACTCCTGGTCAACTCTTTCCTTGTGGACAATTTTGGAGGAAGGTCCTGATTATAGCTCTCAGTGTGGCTGGCCATTTTGGAAATGGAGGCCCGCAACTAAGGGGTAGAGAGTGTGGATGGCCCTGTGCAAACACGTCACCAGATGTGGCTTTGGAAAAACACATCTTGGTAATGGCAGGGCTCAGAGTCTAGAGTTTCTTCAGATTCTCAGTGATTGCTTCACAGATGGGCACATGGCGAACCCCAGCACTATTGATGGGTCTTTGTGGGGGCCGTGCAGTGCACTGTGGGATAGTGAGTAGCATCCCTGGCCTCTGCCCACTGATGCCAGTAGCACTCCTGCCCCAGGTGTGTCCACCAAGATCTCTCCAGGCATTGCCAGCTGTCCTCAGTTGAGAAGTGCTGGGTTAGAAGGTTGACCCGTGAGTTAGGGTCTTAGACCAAGGACCCCTGTCATTCTGAGATGTGTCTGCTGACTTGTTTTCTGGTTTTGAGAGTTCCGTGTTACCAAAGAATAACAGACCATGATTGGTCGACTGCTTATGCTTTCAGGTGCCTTTTTGTCTGTCTCTTGGTCATCTGTAGGTTATTCCTTTATTTCTATTTTTTAAAATTATTTTCATTCATTCATTCATTCATTCAGAGATGAAGTCTCGCTCTGTTGCCCAGGCTGGGGTGCAGTGGTGCAATCTCGGCTCACTGCAACCTCTGCCTCCCGGGTTCAAGCAATTCTTCCTGTCTCAGCCTCCCGAGTAGCTGGGATTACAGGTGCCCGCCACCACGCCCAGCTAATTTTTGTACTTTTACTAGAGACAGGGTTTCACCATGTTGGCCAGGCTGGTCTCAAATTCCTGACCTTAAGTGATCATCCTGCCTCGGCCTCCCAAAGTGCTGAGATTACAGGTGTGAGCCACCATGCCTGGCCTTACTTTTTTTGAGATAGTGTCTTGCTCTGTCACCCAGGCTGGAGTGCAGTGGCGCAATCACGGCTCACCACAGCCTTGATCTCCTGGGCTCAAGCGATCCTCCCACCTTAGCCTCATGAATACTAGGACTACATGCATGTACCACCATGCTTGGTTGTTGTTTTTTGTTATTGTTGTTGTTGTTTTTGAGATGGAGTTTTGCTCTGTCACCCAGGCTGGAATGCAGTGGTGCTATCTTGGCTCACTGAACCTCTGCCTCCCGGGTTCAAGTGATTCTCCTGCCTCAGCCTCCCAAGTAGCTGGGATTATAGGGGCCTGCCACCACACCCAGCTGATTTTTATATTTTCAGTAGAGACAGGGTTTTGCCATTTTGGCCAGGCTGGTCTCGAACTCCTGACTTCAGGTGATCTGCCCACTTCAGTTTCCCAAAGTGCTGGGATTACAGGCATGAGCCACCACACCCAGCCCCTGGTTGTTTTCTTAAACCGCCCCCCCACTTTTTTTTTTTTTTGAGACAGAGTTTCGCTCTTGTTGCCCAGGCTGGAGTGCAATGGTGCGATCTTGGCTCACTGCAACCTCTGCCTCCCGGGTTCAAGCGATTCTCCTGCCTCAGCCTCCCGAGTAGCTGGGATTACAGGCATGCACCACCATGCCCAGCTAATTTTGTATTTTTAGTAGAGACGGGGTTTCTCCATATTGGTCATGCTGGTCTTGAACTCCCAACCTCAGGTGATCGGCCCACCTCAGCCTCCCAACGTATTGGGATTACAGGCTTGAGCCACTGCACCCGGCCTTGGTTGTTTTCTTTAATTAATTTTTTATAGAGACGGGGTCTTGCTATGTTAGTCAGGCTGGTCTCAAACTCATGGCCTCAAGTGATCCTCCTGCCCTGGCCTCCCAAAGTGCTGGGATCATAGGCGTATGTGCTGGGACTATAACATCATGCCTGCTAGCTATTTCTTTAGAAAAATGAGAAGAAGGCCGGGCGTGGTGGCTCACGCCGGTAATCCCAACACTTTGGGAGGCCGAGGCAGGCAGATCATGAGGTCAGGAGATCGAGACCATCCTGGCTAACATGGTGAAACCCCATCTCTTCTAAAAATACAAAAAAAAAATTAGCTGGGCGTGGTGGCAGGCACCTGTAATCCCAGCTACTTGGGAGGCTGAGGCAGGAGAATGGCGTGAACCCAGGAGGCGGAGCTTGCAGCGAGCCGAGATGGCGCCACTGCACTCCAGCCTGGGCGACAGAGCAAGACTCTGTCTCAAAAAAAAAAAGAAAAGAAAAGAAAAATGAGAAGAAAAATAGTATTGTCAGTAATTATCCCTTGAGCTCATACTATCAAGTATTATTCTAGATGCTCTATGCTGTACTTACTCATTTAATCCTCACCAGGCTATTGTCTGTGAGGTAGGCTTGAGGTTATCCCGGCTTTTCAGGTATGGAAAATAAGGCAGAGAGGTTTAAGGACTTTCTGAAAGTCACAAGACTACCTGGGAGGCAGCATCACTCCTCCAACCCCGAGAGTTGAGATGGGGAACTGCGGTTGCGAGAGGCACTGGGGTAGAAGGTGGGAGGCTGGGGTAGAAGGCGGGAGGCTGGGGTAGAAGGCGGGAGGCACTGGGGTAGAAGGCGGGAGGCTGGGGTAAAAGGCGGGAGGCTGGGGTAGAAGGCGGGAGGCTGGGGTAGAAGGCGGGAGGCTGGGGTAGAAGGCGGGAGGCTGGGGTAGAAGGCGGGAGGCTGGGGTAGAAGGCGGGAGGCTGGGGTAGAAGGCGGGAGGCTGGGGTAGAAGGCGGGAGGCTGGGGTAGAAGGCGGGAGGCTGGGGTAGAAGGCGGGAGGCTGGGGTAGAAGGCGGGAGGCTGGGGTAGAAGGCGGGAGGCACTGGGGTAGAAGGCGGGAGGCTGGGGTAGAAGGCGGGAGGCTGGGGTAGAAGGCGGGAGGCTGGGGTAGAAGGCGGGAGGCTGGGGTAGAAGGCGGGAGGCTGGGGTAGAAGGCGGGAGGCTGGGGTAGAAGGCGGGAGGCTGGGGTAGAAGGCGGGAGGCTGGGGTAGAAGGCGGGAGGCTGGGGTAGAAGGCGGGAGGCTGGGGTAGAAGGCGGGAGGCTGGGGTAGAAGGCGGGAGGCTGGGGTAGAAGGCGGGAGGCTGGGGTAGAAGGCGGGAGGCTGGGGTAGAAGGTGGGAGGCACTGGGGTAGAAGGTGGGAGGCTGGGGTAGAAGGTGGGAGGCACTGGGGTAGAAGGTGGGAGGCTGGGGTAGAAGGTGGGAGGCACTGGGGTAGAAGGTGGGAGGCTGGGGTAGAAGGTGGGAGGCACTGGGGTAGAAGGTGGGAGGCTGGGGTAGAAGGTGGGAGGCACTGGGGTAGAAGGTGGGAGGCTGGGGTAGAAGGTGGGAGGCACTGGGGTAGAAGGTGGGAGGCTGGGGTAGAAGGTGGGAGGCTGGGGTAGAAGGTGGGAGGCTGGGGTAGAAGGTGGGAGGCACTGGGGTAGAAGGTGGGAGGCTGGGGTAGAAGGTGGGAGGCTGGGGTAGAAGGTAGGAGGCACTGGGGTAGAAGGTGGGAGGCTGGGGCCCGGGGAGTCCATAGCCCTCCTCCCTCTGAGTGACGCCCCTTCCCCTGTGCCTGCATCTCTGTCCGCAGGTGCAAACGCCATGCCAGTCGGGAGGAGGCGGAGCTCGTTCAGCAGATGGCAGCGAACATCAAGGAGCGGCAGGACGTCTTCTTCGACATGGAGGCCTACCTGCCCAAGAAGAACGGGTAGGAGCTGGCAACCTCCCCACCCCTAGCACAGGCCCATGCCCAGGCCTAGCACAGCTGGTCCATATAACTCTCGCCTTCCTGCTGGTGCTCAGATTGAAGGGGAAAGAGGGAAACAAGGGCAGGAGAGATAAGGAGCCTTCCTTACACATTCCTCCATGAGCCCAGGAGGGGACCTTAGCCACACCGTGTGACAGCAGCATTCCTGGGAGGTCCGTTGCAAGGAACCAGCACTCACTGCATGCCTGCTGACACCTGGGGTTAAGAGGGAAACTGTCCTCTCCCAGGAGAACAAACATGCATTGCGTGCCTCCTGCACGCTCAGAGCTGTGCCGGGACCTCCTGTGATGTCACCTGGTTTATCCTCAACAATCTGTGCGTCAGACCAAGAGATGCCCATTTTTACAAGATTCAGAGACATCAGCGAATGTTTGGCCACACCAGGATGTGAACAGCAGACATTCTGACTCCAAAGCCCACGTTCTTTGTATTTTCCCCCTTCAGAGAAGTCCCCGTTCCCTCCCTTAAGTGATGTCATTGCCACCTTGTTCTGGAGAGAGAGAGCTGCTTACAGCCTCATATCATCATGACCTGACTTAACGCTGCTGAGCACAGTCAGTTCACCCTGACCCTGTTTTCCGGATCAGCCTCGCGCTGAGTCAGAGCCGTGCATTAGGAGGAGGGGCTCCTTTCAGGCCTGTAGCGGGTGGGAGGGAGCTGGCTAGCCCTGTTATATTTTAACCCATTCCTCCGAGCTTCTCCTTTTTGACTGTGTTCGAATAGACCCCATGAGTTAAGTGATGATCATTTTCTGCAGAATGAGCAGCAGCCTAGCATTCGTGACCCTCTTACAGTGTCATGCGTGTCTGCCTTCCTGCCCCTCTGTCCCTAGGCCTCTGTGCCTCTTAACCTCAGTTGGGAATCTTTGGATTGCAAACGATAGAAAACCCAACTCAAGGCCGGGCGCGGTGGCTTGTGCCTGTCATCCCAGCACTTCGGGAGGCCGAGGTGGGAGGATCACTTGAGCCCAGGAATTCAAGACCAGCCTGGACAACATTGTGAGACCACATCTCTACAAAACTTTAACAAAATTGGTGTGCTGGTGTGTACCCATAATCCCAGCTACTTTGGCGACTGAGGTGGGAGGACTACTTGAGCCTAGAGGTTCAAGACTGCAGTGACGCTGGGCACAGTGGCTCATGCCTGTAATCCCAGCACTTTGGGAGACGGAGGCAGGTGGATCACTTAAGGTTAGGAGTTCAAGACCAGCCTGGCCAACATGGTGAAACCCCTAAACCTACTAAAAATACAAAAATTAGCTGGCCTGGTGGCACGTGCCTGTAATCCCAGCTACTTGGGAGGCTGAGGCAGCAGAATTGCTTGAACCCAGGAGGTGGAGGTTATAGCGAGTCCTGATCGTGCCACTGCAGTCCAGTCTGGGTGACAGACCGAGACTCTGTCTCAAAAAAAAAAAAAAACAAAAAACACTGCAGTGAGCTATGATCATACCATTGCACTCTAGCCTGGGCAACAGAGTGAGACCCTGTCTCTAAAAATAATAACAATGATAATAATAATAATAATGAAAAATAAAGAAAATTCTTTAAAAATTGACCTAGAGGTTGTACCTTTGCCTCCACCTCATTGGCTATGCTTAGTCACCTGCTCACATCTGGCTGCAAGGCAGGCTTAGAAATACGGTCTCTAGGGTAGCATGGAGGAGAAATCGACTCCTCACACTGTCCTGTCACAGGTTAATGTCCTTTGGTTAGTTGTCATTCTCACTCGATGTGGGGGCCCATTTGCCCGCTGAGCTTAGGCCCCCTATCTTCTAACATCAGTGCTTGGGATGTGCTCATTAAGTGTGTTGAGTTTGAATGTTGTTGATTCGCACCCACCTGCTAAGGATCATGCCCCTCACAGGTGTTTCCTTCCAGGCTCTACTTGAACCTGGTCCTCGGCAATGTGAACGTGACCCTCCTCAGCAACCAGGCCAAGTAAGTGTCCCCCACCCACCACCCAGACCCACACCTCACACCGCCCCCACACCCACACCCACACCCCAAACCCCACACTGAGAACCCACACCCCACATCCACACCCACACCAACACCCCACACCTCAAACCCACACCCACACTCCACACCAACACCCCACCCACACCAACACCAACACCAACACCACACCCACACCCCACACTGCGAACCCACACCCACACCCACACCCACACCCCACACCACACACTCAAAACCCACACCCCATGCCAACACCCCACCCACACCCTACACCCACACCCCATACTCACACCCCACACTCCACACTCACACTCCACACCTTACAGCCACACCTACACCCCACACCCCATACACAACACCCCACACCAACACCACACACCACACTCCACACCCCATACCCACACCCCACACCCACACCACACACCACACCCCACATCCCACACCCACACCCCACACCCCACACCCACACCTCACCCCACACCCCACACTAACACCCCACACCCACACCACACACCCCACACCCACACCCCACACCCCACACCCCATATTCACACCCCACACCCAACACCCACACCCCAAACTGACACCCACTCTCTACACCCATATCACACTCCACACTCACACCCCACACCTACACCCCACACCCACACCCCAAACCCAAACCCACACCCCACACCTTACACCCATACCTATACCCCAAACCCACACCCCACACCTAACACCCCATACCCCACACCCACACCTATACTCACACCCCACACCCAACACCCCACACCCCCATTCACACCCCACACCTAATACCCAACACCCCACACCCCACACCGACACCTATACCCACACCCCACACCCACACCCCATACCCCACACCCACACCACACACCCCACACCCACACCCCACCCCACACCCACACCCCACCCCACACCCCATATTCACATCCCACCCCACTCTCACCCCACACCCTATCCTACACCCCAACCCACACCCCGTCTCACGCTTTTCACCTGGCTCAGAGGCCTCCGGCATTCTGTTCCTTCAGCTCAGGGAAGTTGCATCTAAGCTAGAATTTTTGCATAAATAAAAACCTGGTCACAGGTGAGGCGCTGGCTTTTGGAGTTTCTGACACTCTCCTCCTCTGTAGGTAGAGCACCTGGGAGAGGGTTGGTTCCTTGGTTCCTTCCCTTCCTTCCCTCCCTCCCCTCCCTCCCCTCCCTCCCTTCCTCCAAGTCAGTATGTTGGGTGGACAGGACTTCCCATTTCGCACAAGAAATGGCCCTGCTCTGTTTCACGCCCTATCACACACATAGGGAGATGGGCAGTCCAGTCTACTCTGAGTCTACCCCATTTCCAGACAGCCGCAAACCCTGGCCTTTCAGCAGCAGCAGTTGGTTGAGGGAAGAGGCCCTGTCTCTGCCCCCTGCCTGTCCCCAGCATGGGCCCAGAGCCCCAGACCAGAGTCCAGGGACATGGGCCTTCTGCATACTTGGCCCTCTTCCCCTCATTGGTCACCACTAACCCGTCAAGGCCAGGTCTTTCCTTTAGTGGAATGGGAAGGTCCTTATGGGCCATGGCAGTGGCTGAAGGACAAGGGTCTGATGGGGCTGAGGGCCATGCCCAGGTGCTGGAATAGTCATGGTAAGGGGCACACCCCTGGGCGTGTCTGTCGTGGCAGGTTCGCCTACAAGGACGAATATGAGAAGTTCAAGCTCTACCTGACCATCATCCTGCTCCTGGGTGCCGTGGCATGTCGATTTGTCCTTCACTACAGGTAGTGGGTGTGGCCGTGTGTGCCTGGGCCTGGGCATGCAGACGTCAGGTGGGGGCCGGGAGAGAGGGATCCAGGGGACCCGGAGCCTCTCCTGCTTCTGTGTTGTTTGGCATGATGAGGTGTAGGGGAGAGAGGGGCCATTTCTCATGGGAAATGCCAGTCCTGTCTGCCCCACCTCCATCCAACAAGTATCTGTTAAACGGCTGCTGGAAAGGCCTTGTACTGTACTAGTTAAGAAGGAGTTCATTACCTGGCGCGGTGGCTCACGCCTGTAATCCCAGTACTTTGGGAGGCCGAGGCAGGCAGATCATTTGAGGTCAGGAGTTCAAGACCAGCCTGGCCAACATGGTGAAACCCTGTCTCTACTAAAAATGCAAAAATTAGCCAGGCATGGTGGAGTATGTCTTTAGTCCCAGCTACTCGGAAGGGTGAGACAGGAGAATCGCTTGAACCCAGGAGGCAGAGGTTGCAGTGAGTTGAGATCGCTGCACTCCAGCCTGGGTGACAGAGTCTTGCTCTGTCACCCCAAAAAAAAGGAGTTCACTGTGGTCTATCTGTACAGTGGCATATCATTCAGCTATGAAGAGAAATGAAAAGTTGGGCGTGGTGGCTCACACCTGTAATCCCAGTACAGTACTTTGGGAGGCAGGAGGACTACTCGAGGTCAGGAGTTTGAGCCTATCCTGGGTAACACAGCAAGACCCCCATCTCTACAAAGATAAAAAATAAAATTATTTAGCTGGGTGCAGTGGCTCACACCTGTAATCTCAGCACTTTGGGAGGCTGAGATGGGAGGACTGTTTGAGTCCAGGAGTTTGAGGCTGCAGTGAGCCATGATCACACCACTGCACTTTAGCCTTGGGGACAGAGGGAGACCTGGTCTGAACAAAAGGGAGAGAGAAATGAAGTACTGTCACCAGTACGGAGCCAGGCTGCAGCATGGATGAACCTTGAAAATGTGATGCTGAGTTAAAGAACCAGTCACAAAAAGATACACAGTAGGATTCCATTGCTGAGAACTGCCCAGAACAGGCAAATCTATAGAGACGGGGAGTAGGTGAGTGGTGGCCAGGGGCTGCGGGAGGCAGGAAGGAGGGCATGACTGCTACTGGGTACAAGGTTTTTTTTTAGAGTAATAAGAATGTTCTCCCAGCCTGGGCAACATGGTCAAACCCTGTCTCTACTGAAAATACAAAAATTAGCCAGGCGTGGTGGTGGGTGCCTGTAATCCCAGCTACCCAAGAGGTTGAGGCAGGAGAATCACTTGAACCTGGGAGGCAGAGGTTGCAATGAGCCAAGATTGTGCCACTGCACTCCAGCCTGGACAACAGAGCGAGACCTTGTCTCAAAAACAAACAAAAAAAAAAAGAATGTTCTGGAGTTAGGTAATGGTTGTACAACTCTGAATATACTAAAAATCACTAAATTATATACTTTAAAAGAACAAGTTTTATGGTATGTGAATTATATCCCAATTATATTTAAAAAAAAAAAGAGAAAAAGAGAAAAGAAAATGGTTTTGAGACCAACTGGCTGTTACTATGGGCAGGTTCCCTCTGGGAGCCTCAGTCTCCCCATCTGTAAAACAAGGGTGACGGCAGTCCCTGCCTCACAGGGCTGTGACAATTCAGGGAGCTGGCACCGTGTGTGGAAGCTCCACCCTGGCTGGCACGTGGAGGCGCTGCTGGGGGTGCTCCCCAGCTGCTGGTACCGTCCAAGTGCAGCACAGCCATGCCGTGAGGCTGTGGGCTGCTGCTGCCCTGCCTGGGCTGCTGTTCCTTTCTCTGGCCCTGGGTTCTCTGTCCCCAGGGGAAGCGGTCAAGTACGGTTTGGGCATTTGGCCTATGTGCCAAGCGTTTATTGCCTGGCAGGCACTTGGCTGGGCATCCGGCTGCTGGTCTGGCCACTTGAATGCCCAAACAAAGGCTCTTTCAGGCCCTGGGCCCGTGCTCGCCTGCTGCCCAGAGCCTGGCCTGTTTCCACGAGGGCAAAGGCTGCACACATCTGTACTACTCCTCATGTGCCTCCCTCAAAGAGGGTAAAAGTTGTCAATGTGCAGCCACAGTCCCTTGCACAGGGACCTCCAGGGCCCTCCGAAGGCAAACCCTTGCTGTCCTGAGGCCCAAGGTTCCCCGAGGGCCTGGGCGTCTCTTTTTCTCCTACCTGCTTCTGTGTTCATCTCCTAGGGCCACTGTAACTAAGTACCATAGACTGGGGGCTTAAAACGACAGACACATTTTCCCACAGTTCTGGAAGCCGGCGGTCTGAAAGCAGGGCGTGGCAGGGCCATGCCGCTCCACAGGCTTCGGGGAGGGAGGACCCTTCCTCGCCTCTCCAGCTTCTGGGAATTGCCAGCAAGCCCGTATTGCCTGGCTTAAAGCTGTGTTTCACTCGCCTCTGTCTCTGTCACCACGCCACACGGCCTCCTTCCCTAGTGTAAGGACACTAGACACTGGATTTAGAGCCCACCCTAACACAGTATGACCTCATTTGAACTAATTCCATCTACAAAGACCCTGTTTCCAAATAAGGTCACATTCTGAGGTCCCAGTGGACGTGAATTTTGGAAGGATGCTATTCAACCCAGTACACCTTCTATAGGCTAAAAACGGGGCAGAGGAGGGGGATTGGACGGGCCGTTCATCTCTGTGCCGGTGCCCCCGGGAAGCCTGCCCTGCTGTTTAACCTTAGGCAAATGACGAACCTCTCCCAGCCTCAGTTTCTTGACAGATACAGTGAGCGTGACAGGAGCTACTTGGCAGGGCAGCTTGGAGGGCAGGAGAAGCTGTGTCTGGAGACTGGTTAGACTGGTGCCTGTTTAAATATTAGCACCGGTTAGCATCACCGTTGTTTTGGGCTAAGACTGGGCATACGGGAAAAAGGCTCACAGCTTCATAGCTAGTGCGTCCACAGAGCAGGATTCTCTTTTCTTCCTCTTGCCCCTCTTGGGATGGTTTCCTGGCTAGGCTCCCCACCCGGAGGCCCTTCTTGGTACCACTAAGCCTGCAGCTGGGCATGGCCAGCATCCTCTAGGGTTCTGGGTCCAGCTCTGCCACTCACGGGCTTTGTGACCTGAAGTGGATCCCTGGGCCTCTCTGTCTGTCTCCTCACCTTTTCCACAGGCTCCAGGACATCTACTCCACCAGTACTCCTTGGGCGTTTGGAGGCTTTGGTGAGGCAGCAGGAGAGTTGGAAGCCTCCTTCTGCTGCCTTCAGGCCAAGAGGCTGTGCCTGGTTAGGACTGTCCTCTATCAGGTTTGAACCAGGCTAGGAAAGAGGTAGTCAGAGTTAATTTTGGCTCGAGTGGGCTTGGGTTTGGACCTCACTCCAGTGCTTGCCGTCTGTGTGATCTGTAAAATGGGAAGTGGTACTGTCTTAGTGTGGGTTGGCCCAGAAGAGACCCCCAAGACAAGCATTTTAGTGCCAGTAGTTTATTTAGGAGGTGATCCCAGGAGACACTGGTAGTGGAATGGGAAGTGAGGCAAGAAAGCATTATCCTGTGGGTAGTTGGAGCTCAATACTGCTAGGGAATGAGGGGACAGCGTAGAACATGCCTCAGAGTTATCCCACCTGAGGGTGAGGGAGCTGGGGTATTTATCCACCATTTGCTATCAGTTGGGGCAGTTGAGGACTGACCCCAGAGGGTGTTAATTGCTCCACCCTTCTGATCTGCACCTTGCACCAGCAGAGTAGATGCTGGTGGCTTGATAAAGCCCCCCAGGAACACCCAGAGTGGCGGGTTCTGGTAGTTGGAAGTCATGCCGACAGGGATGTGGTAAGTGCACCTGCTTTAGGAACCAGTTCTGTAGTGTCCAAGAATCCAGAGCGATCATCTATGCAAAATGCCTGCAAGGTTATAAGTTCCCAATAATTAGTCTCTGCCTAGTGCTGAATAATGATCCCCAAAGATGTTCATGTCCTGGTCTCCAGAGCCCGTGAATAAGTTACCTTACAGAAGGGACTCTGCAGATGTGATTAAGACTCTTGAGATGGGCCGGGTGTGGTGGTTCATGCCTGTAATCCCAGCACTTTGGAAGGCTGAGGTTGGAGGATCGCTTGAGCCCAGGAGTTCAAAACCAGCCTGGGCAACATGGCGAAACCCCCTCTCTACAAAAAATACAAAAATTAGTCGGGCCTGATGGCATGCATCTGTAATCCCAGCTACTCGGGAGGCCAAGGCAGGAGAATTACTTGAACAAAAGAGCAAAACTCTGTCTCTAGATGGAGTCTTGCTATGACCAGTCCTAGCTGGTCTCAAACTCCTAAAGTCTTTGTCCTTGACCCCAACAGGGAAGGTCCCATGTACCTCCCAGTGTCACACAGACTTATCCAGTATGGGAACAGAAATGGCCGCTGGGTGCAGTCTATCTTCATAAAAGGGAGGGAACCCCCCCGAATCTCCTCCATTTCTCTCCCTAAACTGGGAGATGATTTCACCAACTGTAAGGGCCCTGGGGGCAAAATGAAAGGAGGATGCAACTGCTTTGAAGCTTTGTGGCCCTACTTTGTGGTCACAGACAACAGTCACTCTCTGCCCACACCTTGCTGAACCTTTGCTCACAGAGTTCGTCTCAAGAGAGTCAGGAACAGACCCTGGAATCTCAGGGCCTCAGTTCAAATCTGGCTCTGCCTCTTCCCGGCTGTGGGACTGTGGGCAAGTCAGTTGTTCTCCTGAGCTGACACTCCCCACCTGGAGAGCAGGGAGAAGACATGCACCTCCCGTGCAGGGCTGCTGAGGACACTAGCTGAGGACGGTGCCTGAGAGTAGCAGGGCAGTGTACGGTGTCCGTCATGACTTCGGCAGCACCAGAGAGCGTCCACAGTCTCAGAAGCACAGCTCTGAGGACATCAGAGGTCAACATGACTTGAACAGGAAATGAGTGTGGCAAGGGAGGGAGCTCGGCCTCCCTGGGCGGTGGGGGGGGGGGGTGTCACTTATTTATTATTTATATTTTTGAGACAGAGTCTCACTCTGTCACCCAGGCTGGAGTACAGTGGTGTGATCTCAGCTCACTGCAACCTCTGTCTCCTGGGTTCAAGCGATTCACCTGCCTCAGCATCCCGAGTAGCTGAGATCACAGGAGCGCACCACCACACCCGGATAATTTTTTGTATTTTGTTTTGTTTTGTTTTTTTGAGACAGAGTCTCACTCTGTCTCCGAGGCTGGAGTGCAGTGGCGCGATCTTGGCTCACTGCAAGCTCCGCCTCCCGGGTTCACACCATTCTCCTGCCTCAGCCTCCCAAGTAGCTGGGACTACAGGTGCTTACCACTGCGCCCGGCTAATTATTATTATTATTTATTTTTTTTTTGAGACAGAGTCTTGCTTTGTCGCCCAGGCTGGAGTGCAGTGGCACGATCTTGGCTCACTGCAAGCTCTGCCTCCTGGGTTCATGCCATTCTCCTGCCTCAGCCTCCCGAGTAGCTGGGACTACAGGTGCCCGCCACCATGCCCGGCTACTTTTTTGTATTTTTAGTAGAGACGGGGTTTCACCATGTTAGCCAGGATGGTCTCGATCTCCTGACCTCGTGATCCACCCACCTCGGCCTCCCAAAGTGTTGGGATTACAGGCGTGAGCCACCACGCCCAGCCGATTTTTTTGTATTTTTAATAGAGATGGGGTTTCACCATGTTGGCCAGGCTGGTCTTGAACTCCTGACCTCAAGTGATCCACCCACGTTAGCCTCCCAGAGTGCTGGAATTATAGGCGCAAGCCACTGTGCCCAGCCAAGAAAAGTTTTTAAAATTAGCCTGATGTGGTATTGTGCACCTGTATTCCCACCTACTTAGGAGTCTGAGGTGAGAGGATCGCTTGAGCCCAGGAGATTAAGGCTACAGTGGGCCATGATCACGTCACTGCACTCCAGCCTGACTCTAAAAACAGAAAAAAATTGCCAAAGACAGAGCCTTTGTCAGTGCCTCCTCAGACAGACTGGCAGTGGTGGGGAAGCCCTCAGAGGGGCGTCTGTCACTGACTCTCTCACAGAGTTCTTTTCCCTGGGGATGCTCACATGGTGGGTCGGCCTCTCCACTTCACAGATTGCAGGGCTGAGGCCAGTGGGGCTCTGATAATCCCCACACAGCGGTCTGCCGGCCCTCCATGCTGACCAGGTACAGCATGCTCCACAGCCCGGGTCTGTCGCCTTCAAAGCTGGATCGGCCCAGCCCCGCGCTGTGGTCACCATGGAGGAGGACGGCCCAGCCCCGCGCTGTGGTCACCATGGAGGAGGATGGCCTAGCTCCACGCTGTGGCCACCATGGAGGAGGACGGCCCAGCCCCGCGCTGTGGTCACCATGGAGGAGGATGGCCTAGCTCCACGCTGTGGCCACCATGGAGGAGGACGGCCCAGCCCCGTGCTGTGGTCACCATGGAGGAGGACGGCCCAGCCCCGCGCTGTGGTCACCATGGAGGAGGACGGCCCAGCCCCGCGCTGTGGTCACCATGGAGGAGGATGGCCTAGCTCCACGCTGTGGTCACCATGGAGGAGGACGGCCCAGCTCCACGCTGTGGTCACCATGGAGGAGGACGGCCCAGCCCTGCGCTGTGGTCACCATGGAGGAGGACGGCCTAGCCCCGTGCTGTGGTCACCATGGAGGAGGACGGCCTAGCTCCACGTTGTGGTCACCATAGAGGAGGACGGCCCAGCCCCGTGCTGTGGTCACCATGGAGGAGGACGGCCTAGCCCCGTGCTGTGGTCACCATGGAGGAGGACGGCCCAGCCCCGCGCTGTGGTCACCATGGAGGAGGAAAAGGAGTTCTTCAGTTAGTGTTACAGACAATATGGCCCACTGGGATTTTTTTATATATGTAACAAAGTTTACAGATGGTTTAAGGGGACACAGGGAGTTTATAGCTTAACACTGCAGACAACCTAAAATAGAACATAGAGTGTCTACTGTTTTTTTTTTTTTTCTGAGGTGGAGTCTCGCTCACTCCCCTCGGCCTCCCAAAGTGCTGGGATTACAGGCGTGAGCCACCGCACCCAGCCAAGTCTCCTGTTCTTAAAGTTCTCCCGTTAGTGGTGGTAGTATTCAAGTTCCCTGCGGCAAATCCGAACGGGTCTGCAGCGACCTCCATTCTTGCCTCTTCAGAAGAAAGAATTTGACTGAGGGGCATAAGGCAGAAGAAGAAACAAGTTTTAGAGCAGGAGTGAAAGTATATTAAAAAGCTTGGCCGGATGCGGTGGCTCACGCTTGTAGTCCCAACACTTTGAGAGGCCGAGGCAGGTGGATCACCTGAGGTCAGGAGTTTGAGACCAGCCTGGCCAATGTGGTGAAACCCTGTCTCTGTTGAAAATACAAAGATTAGCTGGGTGTGGTGGCAGGCGCCTGTAATCCCATCTACTCTGGAGGCTGAGGCAAGAAAATCGCTTGAACCCAGGAGGTGGAGGTTGCAGTGAGCCGAGATCCCACCATTGCACTCCAGCCTGGGTGAAAGAGTGAAACTCCGTGTCAAACAAACAAAACGCTTTAGAGCAGGAATGAAAAGCCACTGGGCGCAGTGGCTCATGCCTGTAATGCCAGCACTTTTGGGAGGCTGAGTTGGGTGAATCACTTGTGGTCAGGAGTTCGATACCAGCCTGGCCAACATGGTGAAACCCCATCTCTACTAAAAATACAAAAATCAGGCCGGGTGCGATAACTCACCCCTGTAATCCCAGCACTTTGGGAAGCCGAGGCAGGTGGATCACGAGGTCAAGAGATCGAGACCATCCTGACCAACATGGTGAAACCTCTTCTCTACTAAAAGTACAAAAATCAGCTGGGCATCATGGTGTGCACCCATAGTCCCAGCTACTCAGGAGGCTGAGGCAGGAAAATCACTTGAACCCAGGAGGCGGAGGTTGCAGTAAGCCGAGATCACGCCACCGCACTCCAGCCTGGCCCCAGAGCGAAACTACGTCTCAAAAAAAAAAAAAAAAAAAAAAAATTAGCTGGGTGTGGTGGAGCATGCCTGTAGTCCCAGCTACTCGGGAGGCTGAGGCAGGAGAATCGGTTGAACCCGGGAGGCAGAGGTTGCAGTGAGCCAAGATTGCGCCACTGCACTCCAGCCTGAGCGAGACTCTGTCTCAAAAAAAAAAAGAAAAAGTAAAGTACACTTAGAAGAGGGCCGAGCGGGCATCTTGGAGGACAAGTGTGCGGTGTGCCCTTTGACCTGGGGTCTTATATGCTGGCAGACTTCCGGGGGTCTGGTGACCCTCCTCTGATTCTTCCCTTGGGGTGGGCTGTCTGCATGCGCAGTGGCCTGCGAGCTGGGAGGGGCGCGTGCGCAGTTTGTTTCCTGGAGTTGCACACATGCTCACTTGAGGCATCCTTCCCTTTGCCAGTGGAATGTCCCCGGAAAGTCATGTACGAGTTAAACACTGTCATTTTGCCTCCTAGTGCACGTGCTTGAGCCCACTTGCTCAGCTCCTGAGATCTTACCAGGAGGCTGCTGATCACCAGCTTCATGTTTTTCCTATCTATAGGGAGATTGCCTTTCCCTGGCACTGGGTGTGGCCAATTATTATTTAAGAGAGACAGTTAACAACCACCTGACCATTACCTGATGGTCACCTGACATTCCTGGTTGGAGGGGGCCCTGTTTATATCTGATTAGCTACCTACTCTAACTCTCTAACATCACAGACGGTAGGGCCCATAGGTAATTTTTTGTATTAAATACATGTAACAAAGTTTACAGATGCTTTAAGGGGGCAGAGGGAGTTTATATCTTAACACTGCAGGCAACCTTAAATAGAACATTAAGTCTCCCATTCTTTTGTTTTTTTTTGGGACAGAGTCTCGCTCTGTCGCTCAGGCTGGAGTGCAATGGCACGATCTCAGCTCACTGCAACCTCCACCTCCTGGGTTCAAGCAATTCTCCTACCTCAGCCTCCCAAGCAGCTGGGACTACAGGTGTGTGCCACCACACCCTGGTAATTTTTGTATTTTTAGTAGAGATGGAGTTTCACCATATTGGCCAAACTGGTCTCGAACTCCTGGCCTCAAGTGATCCATCTGTCTCAGCCTCCCCAAGTGCTGGGATTACAGGCGGGAGCCACCACGCCTGGCCAAGTCTCCCGTTCTTAAAGTCCTTCCGTTAACATCCCACCAGAAATTTCACATCACATGGGAAGAGTTTAGAAGACAGACAGGTTGCCCTGGGCTGAGTGGTCAGGGAAGGAGGGGGAGACTCAGCTGGAGCTTGAAGCGCAGGTGGGACTCAGGGAGAAAGATGAGGAGGTTCAGAGGCATTTGCAGGGCCGGGGAAGACGCTCAAGAGACCAAGCTCCCCCTGCCTCCCTGGTGTCATAAGGGCTTCCAGAGGCAGCGCGTGCTGTGGGCAGCCCTCAGCCTGGTTTGCTGCTCTGTGAGGTGAGGGTGGGATGGCTGTGCCTGGTTCTCACGCCCGCACCCCTCCCGGGGGCTGTTTCCTTGCACAGGGTGACTGACGAAGTCTTCAACTTCCTGCTGGTGTGGTATTACTGCACCCTGACCATTCGGGAGAGCATTCTCATCAGCAACGGCTCAAGGTACCTGGGCACCTGGCTTTGTGGGGAGCACAAGAGGAGTTAAAGGGAAATGTCACGAGGGGCGTCAGATGGGGGCCGACACCCTCAGGCTGCATTCCTCTCCTCCTTGGGGGTTGCTCTGTGACTGTTCAGATCCAGGAAGGAGGAAAGCTGATGCTGTTGATGCGGCAGCTCTTGTTTATGATCAGCCTCTTGCTTATGAGCAATAGAAGACCTAACTCAGACTGGCTCAACACAATAAGAAACATATTTTCTCATAAAAAGAAGTGAGCGGCATGGCACGGTGGCTCACGCCTGTAATCCCAGCACTTTGGGAGGCCGAGGGGGGCAGATCACGAGGTCAGGAGATGGAGACCAGTCTGGCCAACATAGTGAAACCCTGTCTCTACTAAAAATACAAAAAATTAGCCGGGTGTGGTCCCAGCTACTCAGAAGGCTGAGGCAGAATAGCGTGAACCCAGGAGGCAGAGGTTGCAGTGAGCTGAGATCGCACCATTGCACTCCAGCCCAGGGACAATGCAGGACTCTGTCTCAAAAAAAAAAAAAAAAGAGGTGACCCATTGTTCTGCCTTCAGTTAAGTCTTGATCCAAGTGCTCTCCGTCTCTCACTTCTGCCTTCTGTGTTGTGTTTATCTCAGGCTGCTATTGGGGCACCCAGCAACTCCAGGCTCATGTCACTATTTATAGCATTCCCAGCAAACGGAGCACATTCCTCTCTTCCAAGACTCTCACTGGGTCGCACTGGCTATGTCCAGGTGCAGAATGGATCATGTACCTATCCCTGAACCAGTCACTGTTGCCAGGGATTGCAGTGCTGTGACTGGCCAGGCTGGAGCCTCACACCCACCCTGATAGCCGTCACTGGGAGCGGAGAAGCTGAGTGTCAGGAGAGGAATGGTTCCTCAGAGGAAAACTGGGAGACCGTTACTAGGAGGATGGACGGGTTTTGGTGACAAGAGTGGGTGGGTGGTCTTCTACGGGGAGATAGAGGGGAGAGTGGACAGGTGAAGAGGATATTAGGCCAAACCTGCCCCACCAGAGAGATGATGCTGGGGAGGACAGAGGCCGGGCTAGGAGTGTGGACTCCTGGGTTCCGGTCCCAGTGCAGTCACTGAGCAGCCCTGTGACCCTGGGCAAGCCATGTATCCTCTTTGGACTGTTTCAGAGTCCCACGGGGGAGTGGGTGTGTCACAGTGGTGCTGAGTGAGTCCAGGCAAGACTGGGGGTTCCCTTGGCCCCCATCTCTGAAGGGCTCTGAGTGCGAGAAGCCCTGTTGTTTTCTCTCAGTCTCTTTCCTGCCCTGCCTGCCTCTAAGCTGAGTCTTGAGACCCAGTTAAAACCCATGACTTGCCACCTGGAGGACCTATTTTCCAAAGGTCTAATTCCTTTTGGGGGTGGCCATTGGAACCTCGGCATGCCTTTTTTTTTTTTTTTTTTTTTTTGAGACGAAGTCTTGCTCTGTCGCCCAGGCTGGAGTGCAGTGGCGCAATCTCGGCTCACTGCAACCTCCGCCTCCCGGGTTCACGCCATTCTCCTGCCTCAGCCTCTTGAGTAGCTGGGACTACAGGCGCCCGCCACCACACCCGGCTAATTTTTTGTATTTTTAGTAGAGATGGGGTTTCACTGTGTTAGCCAGGATGGTCTCGATCTCCTGACCTCGTGATCCGCCCACCTCAGCCTCCCAAAGTGCTGGGATTACAGGCGTGAGCCACTGCACCTGGCCGAGATGGAGTCTTGTTCTGTGGCCTAGACTGGAGTGCAGTGGCACCATCTCAGCTCACTGCAACCTCTGCCTCCCAGTTGAAGCGATTCTTCTGTCTCAGCCTCCCGAGTAGCTAGGATCACAGGTGCGTGCCACCACGCCCAGCTAATTTTTGTATTTTTAGTAGAGACTGGGTTTCATCATGTTGGCCAGGCTGGTCTCAAACTCTTGACCTCAAGTGATCTGCCCTCCTTGGCCTCCCAAAGTGTTGGGATTACAGGTGTGAGCCACCGCGCCCTGCCAACGTGCCATTCCGGTTCCTGTTCTTTCCTGAAACAAAAAGTAACAAGCTCCTGCTTCCTCCTTCCTCCTGGGAACTAGTGAGGAACACCCAGGAGCTGCGCAGCCCCCACCGCCTAATGTGCCACCTTCCCACTTGTTTGCCTTGTGGTTTCGTATGGCAGGTCCCTGCCCTACACTGAACGTAGAGCCTGGAGGTAAGGAGAGCCCCCCTCCTGCCTGGCCTCCTGAGGGCAACAGGAAGTTTCACGAATGCAACCTTGTAGCTGCACACAGCCATTTAGAAAACATCAGTGTGTAGGCCAGGCATGGTGGCTCACGCCTGTAATCCCAGCATTTTGGGAGGCAGAGGTGGGCAGATCACTGGAGCCCAGGAGTTCAAGACCAGCCTGGGCAACAAAATAAGATTTCATCTTTACCAAAAAAAAAAAAAAAAAATTAGCTGGGCATGGTGGTGTGTGCCTGTAGTCCCAGCTAATTAAAAAATTAACCAGGCATGGGCCAGGTGCGGTGGCTCATGCCTGTAATCCCAGCACTTTGGGAGGCCAAGGCGGTGGATCACCTGAGGTCAGGAGTTTGAGACCAGCCTGACCAACATGGGGAAACCCCATCTCTCCTAAAAATACAAAATTAGCCGGGCGTGGTGGTGCATGCCTGTAATCCCAGCTACTCAGGAAGGCTGAGGCAGGAGAATTGCTTGAACCCGGGAGGCTGAGGTTGTGGTGAGCCGAGATCATGCCACTGCACTCCAGCCTGGGCAACAAGAGTGAAACTCGGTCTAAAAAA
Source organism: Homo sapiens (assembly GCF_000001405.40). Lineage (NCBI taxonomy): Eukaryota > Metazoa > Chordata > Mammalia > Primates > Hominidae > Homo > Homo sapiens. The sequence goes on from NC_000012.12 coordinate 121,764,527, forward strand.
AAATTAGCCAGGCATGGTGGTGTACACCTGTAGTCCTAGCTACTCAGGAGGCTGAGGTGGGAGGATTGTATGAGCCCAGGAGGTTGAGGCCACTGCACTCCAGCCTAGGCAAGTGAGACCCTGACTCAAAAAAAAAAAAGTGCTCTGGGGCATGTGATGCCTCTAGCAATCATTAACACTTTAGTAAGAGTTACTCTGGGCAGCTTTTTATTCTAATGTGACGCTGTGGATGGGGGGCGACCAGAGAGATGGGAGCAGCACTGAGTGGAGGTCTCTGCAAGTGTGGGACTCTCCAGCAAAACAGAGAGGGCTGCTAACAGGGCAAAAATGGACTTCCAAAGCCAGCCTCCCTTGCCTAACAGTTTAGCAGGAGCTGTTCAGAGTTCCTGGAGTTCACTCTCTGACAGGAGAGCAGGGATGGTTGTCCCTGAGCTTGCAATTCAAAGCTTCGTGTGAGTCTGCTCTACCCTCCATCTGCCATTCATCAGACATTTATTGAGTGTCTCCTAAGTACCAAACACTGAACTAAGGACTCCAAGATAACTTACACTCTGCCTCCTGGGAGCACCCACAGAGGTTTTTTTCTTTTCTTTCTTTTCTTTCTTTTTTTTTTTTTTTTTTGAGACAGAGTCGTGCTCTGTCACTTAGGCTGGAGTGCAGTGGTGTGTTCTCGGCTCACTGCAGCCTCCGCCTCCTGGGTTCAAGCAATTCTCCTGCCTCAGCCTCCCAAGTAGCTGGGATTAGAGGTGCACACCACCATGCCTAGCTAATTTTTGTATTTTTAGTAGAGATGGGGTTTCACCGTGCTGGCCAGGCTGATCTTGAACTCCTGACCTCAGGTGATCTGCTCACCTCGGCCTTCTGAAGTGCTGGGATTAGAGGCATGAGCCACTGTGCCCAGCCCCGAGTTTTTTTTACTAAGGACCTTTTATGGCATATATGGTTCAAGGAATTTGAGGTTGCAATGGAACCATTCCTCCAGGCCTGTCTCCCCTTGGTGGTCTGAGGCAGGGGTTTGAATGGGCAAGTGGAGTCTGGAATGGGGCCTCTGGGCCCAAATAGATGCATTATCTTCTATTTAGGTTAGTCTAAAAGTATTTGTGTTTTGCAGTCATTTTTTGCACCAACCTAATAGAAGGACTACAGGAGCTGGGGCCAGCTTGTCGGGGAGGGAGCAAGGCAGGTGGGCTAAATCCGAGTGACTCATACTTGTGACTCATCTTCCACATCTGTTGGAGATTTAGCCTCCGCCCTCCTCCAGCTCCTCCTCAGGGCTGATTGATCCTGGGGGCAGGCAAGGGAGATGCCTTGGAGGCCTCCCCTCCTGCTTGGTTCTTTACCAGGGAGTAGCTCAGAAGCCCTTGCAGGAGAGCCTGTGTGGAGGCGGTGGGAGGTGAGACTGGGATGAACTCTAGTTTCTCATCCCTGAAGCATCCACTCACTCGGGGCTGGTGCGCGCCGTCAACACCCCACAGTCTTTGCCGAAGTGACCCAAACCCAAGTTCTGCGTGAGGAAGGGTCCTGGGGCCATCACGGCATTCTAGAGACGGCGTCGCTGAACCCTACGGGCCTCCTGGGGGCCTGCTGCCCTGTTTTGTCTGATGGAGGCGCTTTTGTCCAGTTCTGGCTGCACCTGAGATTTGAATTGGGACAGGAGGTGTGGTCAGGGGAGCAGGTAGGGGTGGGGACTTCCTCATCGAGATATGAAGCCACCCTCGGTTTGTGTCTGGTGCCTGCCAAGTGAGATGCCACTCATCAGCTCAGCATAATAAGCAAGTCAGCTCTTGTAAACTTGAAAATGATGGAAAACCATCCCATAGGGACTAAACCTGAAGGGGTCTTATGGGCCCATGTAACTGGGAATTTCCATTCAAGGAGGTCAGGAGGGCTCAGGAGGTGTTCATGGCCCGGCTCCAGCTCCCTGTTCTGTTTTCCCCTGCGATGGCCCCCAGCGGCCCCCAGGCAGGCCTCCCACCAGCAGTAACCCCTGGGCTGACAGACCTCCCTCCACCCCAGTTGGAATCTTGACACAGACTTCTGATTGGCCAGGCTTGGGTGACCTACTGATCTCTGAGAGCCAGTCACTGTTGCCAGAGGACTGCAGAGGGTCCTGATTGGTTGGCTGGGGGTCATGTGCTTGGGTATAAGACTGTGGTCTATCCCAGCCACCCAGACTGAGTGTGGGGGTGAGGTGGTTCCCCACAGGGGCAAAGCAGAGGCCACCCAATGAGGATGGGCTGTGATCAGCAACTGGGCAAAACAGCCGATGTCTATTACAGTTAGTTCTGGGCCAGAATGAGTAATGACTCGGTGATCATGTTTGGTTTTCTAGGGAGCCAGCCTAGGGTGCCTGCCTCCAACTGGCTTTTCTAGGAGGGATCCTCAGTGGAGAAGCCATTCCCCACTGTCTAGATGGCCCAAGGCACAGAGCCAGGAGTGGCCTGGGGTTCACAGTGGCTGGTGCACATATCTCCTGCACACTCACAGCCATGTTAATGTGTCCTGAAGGGAGAAGTCTACCCTTGCAATTTCCAGATATTGGGACATGCTGTCCCTACGTCTGGCCATTGATGCACCTGCTCCTCCTGGAGCTCATAAAATAAAAAAAGGCCGTGAGCTCCTGCAAGGTTTCTTTTTTGTTTTGTTTTGTTTGAGATGGAGTCTCGCTCTGTCGCCCAGGCTGGAGTGCAGTGGTGCGATCTCGGCTCACTGCAAGCTCCGCGTCCCGGGTTCACGCCATTCTCCTGCCTCAACCTCCCGAGTAGCTGGGACTACAGGCACCCGCCACCACGCCCGGCTAATTTTTGTATTTTTTAGTAGAGACGGGGTTTCACTATGTTAGCCAGGATGGTCTCGATCTCCTGACCTGGTGATCTGCCCGCCTCGGCCTCCCAAAGTGCTGGGATTACAGGCGTGAGCCACCGCGCCCAGCTGCCCCTGCAAGCTTTAACTTCTGTGGTGAAATGAGCCCAGAGAGTGACTGCAAATGGGTGTAGGTTTCTTTCTGCAATGATAAAAAGGTTTTAAAACAGATTCTGGTGACAGTTGCACAACTCTGTGAATATACTAAAAGCCACTCAGTTGTGCACTTTCAGTGAGTGAATTGTACGGTATCTGAATCACATCACAGTAAAATGGCTACATAAACACATGTGCACACAACCAGCCCAGAGCCCCGGGGTGTGCAGATGGACGCCTGGGCTTGTGAATGCCGGGCCAGGGAAGGAGCGATTTCTAGCCTCACCCGATGTCACTGAGCTGTGTTTATTGGTGGCATCTGTCAGAGCTGGGCTCTGGGCACGGCGAGCTGTGAAATGAAAAGCTGCTGCTCAGTCAGGCTTGTTGCCTGGAGTCTGTGTCTGCCTCAGGCTGCTCCTAGACAGAGGGCATTTCTCAGGGGAGCTTTGGGAGCAGGACAAAGGAGTGTGGCGCCTGCCAAGTGCTGAGGGCTGACGTGGCTCTGCAGAGCTCTGGGAAGTTGCAGAGAGACCTCCTGGTTGCTCTTCAAGCTGGAAGTTGGGGGATCTGGCCAACTGCCTTTGCTGTCAGAAATTTGGAGCCCAGGGGCTTCTTAGACTCTGACAGGCGAGACTAGGATACATGAGTGGAGGTGGGAGTTTTCTGGGGACAAAGAAGTAGATGGACATCTCACCCTGTCCCCATGACCGCACGTGGCACCTGCAACAATCTCCTGTCACCTCTGCGCTGGTGGCATCCAGATTAGCTGCTGCTTTCACCAGCCACACCTCCCAGGCATCATTCATGTCAACATTTATTGAGTGCCTGTTGTTTACCTGGTGCTGTTAGTGCTGTGAACACAGAGCTGCATAAAACCTTGCCCCTCAGCATAACTCCTGGGGAACACACAGGCTGTTGCTTGAAAAGCCAATTTATGCCCAGAACTGTTGCATGGGCCGTCAAGGGAAGAGTGATGGTTTAGATCCAGTCTCGTTCTTACGATGTGCGTATGCGAGACCCTGCCTGGAAAAAAAAGAGAAAGCACGTGGGCGTGTGTGTGGACCCATTTCCCTGCCCAGTCCCAAGAGAGTTCTGGAGGGATGAAGGTTAATGACTGTTCCCACGAGCATCCCCAGCCTCCACCTCCCAGTCCTGGGGAGGAGGGAGTTGGCTGCTCCTGGGTGCATTTGGCAAGTTGCTGCCATGTGTTTGGACTAGAGGAGCCTGGGGAGGCCAGCCAAGGCCTGAGACACACTCTGGGATGTTGAAGGTTACAGGGTTGAGGGGTCCAACTCCTTTTTTCCTAGGCTGCCCCTGATGCTGGGGGTGGGGGGTGACAACCAGGCTCTACCCAACTGTGGATCAGGAGCCCCCAGCTGGGCCGGGTGCAGTGACTCATGCCTGTAATCCCAGCACTTTGGGAGGCCGAGGCAGGTGGATCCCCTGAGGTCAGGAGTTCGAGACCAGCCTGGCCAACCTGTTGAAATCCTGTCTCTACTAAAAATACAAAAATTAGCCAGGTGTGGTGGCAGGCGCCTGTAGTCGCAGCTACTCGGGAGACTGAGGCAGGAGAATTGCCTGAACCCAGGAGGCGGAGGTTGTAGTGAGCCAAGAATGTGCCATTGCACTCCAGCCTGGGCAATAGAGCAAGACTGTCTCAAAAAAAAAAAAAAAAGGCAAAAAAAAAAACCCCAAAAAACCCAGCTGGGGGAGTGCTGAGTTCTGGAAACAGAGTTCCCATAGCCTCTGGACTGGATAGATGAAGTCCAGGGCTGGGCAAGGGCCTCCTGTCACTGAGATGACAGGAGATGGGCCTGGGGCATGTAGCTCCTGGGGAGAAGCTGCCTCGGAGATGGTGTGAGGTGCCGCGTGTGGCATCCATCAGCCTCTGCTTCTGTACAGGGCAATGTCATAGCTGCAGTCCTGTGTAAGAATGTCTGGCCAGGCACAGTGGGTCACGACTATAATCCTAGCACTTTGGAAGGCCAAGGCAAGAGGATTGCTTGAGCCCAGGAATTTGAGACCAGTCGGGGCAACATAGCAAGACCCTGTCTCTAAAAAAAAAAAAATTTAGCTGGGCGTGGTGGCGCACGCCTGTGATCCCAGCTACTCAGGAGGCTGAGGTGGGAGAATTGCTTGACCTGGGAGGTCAGGGCTGCAGTGAGCCATGATTGCACCACTGCACTCCAGACAGGGTGACAGAGTGAGACCCTGCCTGGAAAAGAGAAAACGTGTGTGTGTGTGTGTGTGTGTACATGCATGCTTATTCAACACATTTATTGAGCAGCTGCTTGGAACCCAGGGTCACAGATAGACTGGTGAACAATAGAGACAAGACCCCTGCTCAATCTAGAGGTGACATAGGGGTGGGAGAGGGGGCAGATCACAGGAAGAAAGGCACGTAATTGCAGACAGTGATCCATGCCATGAAGGAGGTGAAGTGGGGCAGTGTGATCCGAGTGGGGCCATCAGGCTGGTTCAGATAAGGCGGTCAGGAGGCCTTTGTGAGGTGACAGCTAGTCTGAAGCTTGCACTTGGACGAGGAGCCAGGCACGTCAAGGTCTTGGAGCAGAGAGAGCAGCAAGTCCAAAGGCCCTGGGTGAGCCCGCTGGGTGTAGCTGTAGGAAGTACCGCCCGCCGAGTGTCCTAAGCCACAGAGTGTATTTCCTCACAGTTTGGTGCTGGAAGTCTAGAATGGAGGTACTGGCGGGGCTGGTTTCTCCTGAGACCATTCTCTGTGGCTCACAGATGGCATCTCCCCGTGTGTCCTCATGTGGCCTTTTCTCTGTGCACAAACAGCCCTGGTGTCTCTCCCCTTCTTGCAGAGACACCAGTCACACTGGACTAGGGCCCACCAGTGTGACCTTGTTTTACCTCAGTCCCCTCTTCAAAGGCCCTGTCTTCAAATACAGTCACGGACGTTCTAAGGTGCTGGGGGGCTCAGCTTCAGTGCAGGAATTGGAGCCACTATTCAGTCTGTAGGAGGCCCTGAGGTGGCAGCAGGCAGGCTTGGCGGGTTCTAGGAGAGCCCACATTCCTGGAGGGCCTGCGTGCTGGGGAGAAGACCTGGTGGGGAGGACAGGAGCCGTGCCTGGAGCGCCCGCGTGCTGGGGAGAGGACCAGGTGGGGAGGACAGGAGTGAGGCTTGAAGGCAGGTGAGGCTAGGGGTGTGCTCTGAGGGTTGCTGGAAACCACTGGAAGCCCAAGTGGGAGTCCAGGCTAATCTGCAGCTGGTTTGTGTGGGATGGTGCAGCCCTGTGGGACAGAGAGGAGGGCACGGTCAGGGTTCCAGTCTGTTTCTTACTCCAAGAAGCCGTCTCTGAGTGCAGAGTAACCCCTGCTGCATAGGTGGGGCCTCAGCGAGACACATGCCTGCGTTGCTCTCCCCTCCTGAGCACTTTCCGTTCTCTCCCTCTCCCGAGAATTAAAGGCTGGTGGGTGTCTCACCACTACGTCTCCACATTCCTGTCCGGAGTGATGCTGACCTGGTGAGTAGCCCCTCGCTGGGCCCCTCCAGCCTCCCAGGGAGTAGAGCCTGGGGCCCGGGAATGGGGAGGGGGCTGATCCAGACAGCGGTGGGGGGTGTGCTCCAGGGCCAACTTGGGAAAGAAAGTATGAGCCTGCAGCTGCGCCGGGCTGCGCGGGCCCCACCCAGCCCGTGAGGGGTTCTCCAGGGAATGGTTTCGGGTGTCCCTGGCCAGGGCAGAGGTAGCGGGGCTGCAAGGCTGGAGGGAGCGAGTGAGGCTGGGCACTGAAGGAGACTGCGGAGGACAGAGGGGTCACAGGGAGTTAGCGCTTCTGCACGGCCATGTGGACCCCTGTGCTTCTAGAAAGGAAGATGGGATGACCTCGCCCAGCCCCAGGGATAGAAGGGCGGAAGTCTGGACCTCAGTTTGACTTTATACACCTTTTCGCCTCTTCTGGTTGGAATGGAGTTGGGGCGGGGAGGAATGTCTCATTTCATAGTGGGCCCCACCTTTGTTTTTTCCTACCTTCTCTCCAGGCCTAATGGACCCATTTATCAGAAGTTTCGCAACCAGTTCTTAGCATTTTCCATTTTTCAGAGTGAGTGACTGTTGCCTGGATTTGGGGGAAGGGACATGGTTTTCTGAGACTTTCACCAAGGGAGGGCCCCAGCTGACATCAATCAGTGCTTGCCTGTGTGGCAGGGAGACCAGACTGGGGGAGAGGGTCCCAGAAATCCAGAAGGAGAGCTGTCCCCGCCCCAGGTCAGCTCCACCCACCTCCCAGCCCCCAGCACTGCCTGCTCCTTCCCCAGGCTGGAACCCTGCCAACTGTGACCTTTGGGAACTGAGTAGCATTGGGGATACCAGCCTTTTTTCCAGTCCTAAATAAGTCCTCCAAATGGAAATATATATTATTTTTCTCATCTGAAAATTGCTCTGGATTTGTATACTGGTCCCAAGGGTTGCCTCTGGGGAAGGGGGCTTGAATGCTTGGGGACAGGGAGAGCGTCTTACTTTTCACCAACCTGTTTGTTCCCTTTAAATTTTATCCCATGTGTGTATTGCCTTTCTTTCCCTTTCTTTCTTTCTCTTTCTTTCTTTCTTTTTCTTCCTTTCTTTTTCTTTCTTTCTCTTTCTCTCTCTCTCTCTTTCTCTCTTTCTCTCTCTCTCTCTTTCTCTCTTTCTTTCTTTCTTTCTGATGGAGTCTTGCTCTGTTGCCCAGGCTGGAGTGCAGTGGCGCGATCTTGGCTCACTGCAACCTCCGCCTCCTGGGTTCAAACGATTCTTCTGCCTCAGCCTCCCGGGTGGCTGGGACTACAGGTGCGCACCACCACGCCCAGCTAATTTTTTTTATTTTTAATAAAGATGAGATTTCACCATGTTGGTCAGGGTGGTCTGGAACTCCTGACCTCAGGTGGTCCACCCACCTCTGCCACCCAAAGTGTTGGGATTACAGGCATGAGCCACCACGCCGTACCGTTTCTTTCTTTTTTTTTTTTTTTGAGATGGAGTTTCTGTCTGTCACCCAGGCTGGAGTGCGGTGTTGTGATCTCGGCTCACTGCAACCTCCACCTCCCGGTTCAAGCGATTCTCCTGCCAAGTAGCTGGGATTACAGGTGCCTGCCACCATGCCTGGTTACTTTTTGTATTTTGGTAGAGATGAGATTTCACCAGTTGGCCAGGCTGGTCTTGAACTCCTGGCCTCAAGGGATCTGCCTGCCTTGGCTTCCCAAAGTGTTGGGATTACAGGCATGAGCCATCACGCCTGGCTGTATTGACTTTTCAGATACTACAACCTACATTTTAAGTTAAAACCTGCTTGCAAACAAATACAAATGTATAAAGCCAAGAATGGAAATTGTATATCAGCCCACCCTAGAGGTGACGTTAGTTAAGATCTATGTCCTCTCAAAAGTTTTTATTCATAAATAGGTATATACATGTGTGTATTACATTATGTATCTTTTACAAGTATGGGACCTTTCTGTACATAGAGCTTTACTATTATAACCTGCCTTTTGAATTTTTAACAGTTTATCATGGCTATTTTTCATGTCATTACCACCTCATTTTTAGCAACAACGAAGTATCCCATTGGATGGAACTCTGTCTTGTGTCTTAGCATTGCACAGAGCTCCCAACATAGCACTGGCATAGCTTGCATTCCAGCAAGCATCTATTGAGTGTCTACTGCATGGAAAATTCCAGAAGTTTCAAATCTAGTTGGGGCTTAGATGGGTCCTCACATACCTGTGTTCTCTCTGTGTTCTGGATAAGGGCTAAAGCAGGTTCAGACCAGAGTGTGTGTGTCTGTTTGTGGTGTGTGGGCGTGGGAGAGGGTTGTAACCAGGGCACCCTTTCTGCTTCTGCCCAGTAAAGACCCATCAGCCTGTGCTTGGGGCAGAGAGGTGTGGCCCTGTCTTCCGGGGACACCAGGCCCTGAGCCCAGGTGCTGTGCTCCCCCTGCAGGCTGCGTCCAGTTCCTGCAATATTATTACCAGAGGGGCTGCCTCTACCGGCTGCGGGCCCTGGGGGAGAGGAACCACCTGGATCTCACAGTGGGTGAGTAGCTGGGCCTGGGTTGGAGCCGGGGCAGGTACTGGACCTGCCAGCTCCCCACACCGGGAGTGCAGCCCTGCGAGCACCTCCCATACAGCGGAGCCAGGCCGCTGCCCTTTATCCGAAGCGCCTTCCAGAATTCATCCTGGATTCTGTTTCAGCTGCCAAGTGCCAGGCCAGCTGCATACCAGGCCCCGAGGGCAGGGCCTCTGTCTCAGCCTCTGGAAGTGTCTATTTTTTTGTGTGTGTTCTAGAATACACACACACAAATTAGCCATTTGTGTGTAACATGTCTACATACCAACACGTATAAGTATATAAATGCATGTACACGGGGGAGACATGCCTCACTCTGAAGCCATAGGAGTGCCAGCCAGAAAAGTGAGGAGACACCTCATTGAGAATTTCAGGGGAAACTGTTTTTAATACAACTCTGCTATCTTTTTTTTTTTTTTTTTTTTTTTTGAGACGGAGTCTCACTCTTGCCCAGGCTGCATTGCAGTGGCACGATCTCTATTCACTGCAACCTCCGCCTCCCGGGTTCAAGTGATTCTCCCGCCTCAGCCTCCTGAGTAGCTGGGATTACAGGCATGTGCCACCACGCCCGGCTAATTTTTGTATTTTTAGTAGAAATGGGGTTTCACCTTGTTGGCCAGGCTGGTCTCAAACTGCTGGCCTCAAGTGATCTGCCCACCTTGGCCTCCCAACGTGCTGGGATTATAGGCGTGGGCCACTGCACCTGGCCAACTCTGCTGTCTTTTGACATAGTCATTTCCATCAAATTACTCTCCTAAGTAGGTCCTCCTGTCTCAAGACTCGATAGAACTAATGCATGTGAAAATTCATTATAAAATGCAAAACCCTGTGCAGATTAAAGAAATTAGTAACAACATAGCGCCCAGTGTCTGTGTGTTGTCACCTGGCTCTTGGTGGCTTGAAGAGAGAGAGCAGTCAGGCCAGGTGACAGGGTTGCTATTGTCATAGTGAATGCCCACCCAGCTATGACAGGTGAGGGCTGACCCCCCGCATGTGTGACTGTCCCTGGCTCATCTTAGGGTGACTGGTGTGGCTGGGGGTGGGCGTCTGGTGGAGCTGTGGGGGCAGCGGACCCCCTCAGCGGGTCCTTTTTCTTCCCTCCTCTCCACAGAAGGGTTCCAGTCCTGGATGTGGCGGGGCCTCACCTTTCTCCTGCCCTTCCTCTTCTGTGGCCATGTGAGTCCCCCTGGAGTTTGTGGGTATCTCCTGTCTGGGCTGACCCCCAGGAACAGAAGGTCTTCAGGCCTTGCCCTCCTTCTCCATCCGTCCCCATGCTGGGGCCCACAGCATCCTGGGGCCGGGGCAGCCTCTGGGCCCAGGGATGCCAAGGCAGGAGCCAGAACTGACCTAGCTCTGCCCTGGCCTCGGGTGCCTGCATTTCATTTTGGGGGTGTCTGTCAGTGTTGTGGGTAGTTGATACCCAAAGTTGGGTGAGGGGCCTGGCCATCACCCTGGCTTTCTACGTGGCCGGCCAGGGGAGTCTGGTGGGTGAGCAGCGCCTGCCTTCCTCTCCAGTTCTGGCAGCTCTACAATGCCGTCACGCTGTTTGAGCTCTCCAGCCACGAGGAATGCAGAGAATGGCAGGTATGGGGGGTGGGGGCATGCTCGGGGGAGGTTCCCGGGAGGGCTGGGGTGGCAGGGATGGGGTGTATGTGTGGCATGCTGGGGTGCGGATTCCTGGGGAGGGCTGGGATGGCAGATGTGGGGGTGGGGTGTGTGCGTGTGTGTGGTGTGCTGTGGGGAGGTTCCTGGGGCGGGCTGGGCTGGCAGGTGTGGGGTGTTGTGGGGGGCCTGCTTGGCGGGAGGCTTCTGGAAGGGCTAGGGGTGGAGCCTCTCCCAATCTGTGGATCCCAAGGAGGTTCGCCCCATCGAGCCCTTCCCAGGCCCTGCCCAAGCCTGAGGCCTCACCCTTCCCCCAGGTCTCCTGAATCTCTGCCTTCGATGGCAAAACCCTGCAGTTTGGGAGTTTGGGGGCAGCTGTGCTGGAGATTCTGGGGTGCTGGGGGCAGGGGTTCAGCAGGGCAGATGCCCCAGCCTCGCCCTCCTCTCTGGACTCCCCCAGGTGTTCGTACTGGCGTTCACCTTCCTCATCCTCTTCCTCGGCAACTTCCTGACCACGCTCAAAGTCGTGCATGCCAAGCTCCAGAAGAACAGAGGCAAGACAAAGCAGCCGTGAGCCTCGGGCTCCTGTGCCCTCGGCCCGGACTTCAGACTGCAGGGGGCTCCCGGGCTCCTTCCCAGCAGCCCTCTCAGGCCCGTGGCATCGCTGGGAGAGGGCCCAGGCCCTGGTCCCCCAGTGGACCCCAGTGGTCTAGAGGAATGTGAGCCCCGCCTGTCCGCACAGTGTCCGCCCACCTATTTATGACATATTTAATGCTGGGTCCCCCATCGTCCCTGGAACCCGAGGCCTCACTCCTGTGCTTGAAGGTGGCTGAGGCCGGGCCAGTCTTCCTGGGGATGGGGCCTGAAGCCTCAGGGAGCCCCTCTGTTCCCACTCCTGTCATTTGAACCCCTCTGGGTGGGGTTTGGATGTGCCTCGCGGGGTTGGATTTATGCTGACCTGCTACTTACCAGGCCCAGGCTGGGGTGGTGTGAACCCTCAGTGTCCTGTGGCGCCCCCACCCCGGGGCCACTCTGCTTCTGCTGTGAGCCCCCTCCTCGCCCACCCCGCCACGTGGTGAGGGTTATTTTAAGTTCTCAGAGACCCACCGCGTCTGCCTCGTGCTCTTCTTGCCCCTGGAGCGCTGGGGGCATCCTGAGTCAGGCTGTGAGAAGATTCGCCACCAGAGGGCGCCCCGGGCCCTGGGTCGTCCAAGGGGACAAGGACGTTCCCGTCTGTGCTTCGGGGTTCCCTGACCCCCCCATCCTGCAGCCCACCTTCCTGCAGTGTCGTGGCAGGTACTTGGAGAGTGGGACCAAGACCCTTGGCCCCTGTGGAGGGGAACCACCTCCCCCCTCCTTCCCAGAGCTTCTGGATGTTGTGGGAGGGAGGTGGGGGTGCCTGGCAGGCTCACCCCCAGGGGCCGCACCCTGAGGCGGGGTCAGAGCCACTGGGCATCGCTTGGGTGAGATTCTGCATTCGACGGGAGGCAGAGAGGCCACCAGGTTTGGCTGAGTGCTCTGCCCCACCATTCATATATGGGCCTCAGCTCCCCCTAACTGTGGCCCTACAAATCCCTAGGCCAGACCTCACAGCAGTGCCCACAGGCATGCCTTGTTTAGCCCTCCTCAAGGAATTTTAAAATTTTTAATTACTTTTTTTTTTTTTGAGACAGGGTCTGTTGCCTAGGCGGGAGTGCAGTGGCATCATAGGTCACTGTAGCCTCCGCCTCCAGGGCTCAAGGGATCCTCCCACCTCAGCCTCTGGAGTAGCTGGGACCACAATCACACACCACCATGCCCTGCTCCTTTTTTTTTTTTTTTTTTGAGATGGGAGTCTCGATCTGTTACCCAGGCTGGAGTGCAGTGACACAATCTCAGCTCACTGCAACCTCTGCCTCCCAGGTTCAAGTGATTCTCCTGCCTCAGCCTCCCGAGTAACTGGGACTACAGGCGCGTGCCACCATGCCTGGCTTTTGTTTTGTTTTGTTTTGTTTTGTATTTTTAGTAGAGACAGGGTTTCACCATGTTTGCCAGGATAGTCTCGATCTCTTGACCTTGTGATCTGCCTGCCTCAGCCTCCCAAAGTGCTGGGATTACAGGTGTGAGCCACCATGCCTGGTCACCCTGCTACTTTTTAATACTTTTTAGTAGAGATGGGGTCTCACTATGTTGCCCAGGCTGGTCTCCAACTCATGGGCTCAACTCATCCTCCTATCTTGGCCTCCCAAAGCGCTGGGATTACAGGTGTGAGCCACTGTGCCTGGCCTGATTACATTTTTAAAATGAGATTTCCCCACCCCTACAGTGAGATTCCACATAAAAATCCAGATTTCTGCTTTCCCTAGAAAAACGGACCTGGCAACATTCCCGTGGCACAGGACGCCTACTCTCCAGTTGCCACAGGCCCTGCCACCCCCCTGCCCTTCATTCTGGTCTCCTTTCTGGTCCTTTTTAGGCACCTGCGTTTGCCCTAGATTAGGAGTCAGCTAGCTGTCTGTAAAGGGCCAGATGGCAACTATTTTGAGCTTTATGGGCCAGGTGGTTTGTGGCAGCTACTCTTCACCTGCAGCCCCAGAGCACAAGGCAATGCAGAAAGGAATGGGTGTTGCTGTGTTCCAATAAAACTTTATTTACAAATCAGGCTGTGGCCAGATGTGGCCCACAGGCTGTAGTTGTTGGACCTCTACCGTAGACCATCATGAGGCCTGGGGTTCTTCGAGAACAAGAACTCCTTGGTTGATTCCCCAGGGTACGGCAGGGCCTTGGGAACCTGGGTGGGTTGGGGAGGGTCTCAGAAGGCTCCTTCCTTTGGCAACCTGACTTCTTGGAAGCTCAGGTTTAGCTGACGCCCCAGCACTGGGCCAGGGGGGCTGAGGCAGGAGATATGGGGAAGGCTAGGAGTTGCCTGAAGCCATTATCCCATCTTAGGCGACACCGACTCCTAGGCGCCCTCCAGAGCCAAGCAGCTTGCGACTTCTGGTAGGCACCGGAATCCCCTGGGATGCTTGTTTTAAAAGTCCTGGGCCGGGCACGGTGGCTCACGCCTGTAATCCCAGCACTTTGGGAGGCTAAGGCGGGTGGATCACGAGGTCAGGAGTTCAAGACCAGCCTGGCCAACATGGTGAAACCCTGTCTCTACTAAAAATACAAAAATTAGCCGGACGTGGTGGTGTGCGCATGTAGTCCCAGCTACTCAGGAGGCTGAGGCAAGAGAATCGCTTGAACCCAGGAGGTGGAGCTTGCAGTGAGCCAAGATCATGCCACTGCACTCTAGCCTGAGTGACAGAATGAGACTCTGTCCCAAAAAAAAAAAAAAAAAAAAATTCCCAGACCCTCGGCCCCAGACCTTCCCAAAGGAGGCTCAGGGATTAGGTATCTGGCTGTTGGTGACACAGGTGGTCTATGAACCAGTTCTGAGAAACTGTCCCGCGTGGACAGGGGGTAGATCCCATCAGTTCTCAAAGGAGGCCAGGATGTCTCGCCTCCTGAACTCCACAGGCTGGTAGAAGCGGGGCTTGAGGGACAGCAGGTTGGGAGCTTGAGGACTAAGTGGGCCAGTCCTGTCCTACCACAGTGGGGGGAACAGTCCACAGAAAACTTGCTCATGACCACACTGGGAGCCGACTGTTCTTCCCATCCCAAGTCTCTGACACTGGGGGCTTTGGGTGAAACCTTAAGGAGATGGTCAGATGGGTGGTCCAGGGTATACTTTTAACAACTGAGAAGCCATTTTTTCTGCCCCCTGGGCACATGTGCCCAGCTCTGCAAAGACAGTGGCCAAGTTGAAGACAAGTCTTCCATGTGGGGTGGAGATGGGAGGGGTGGGTGCCAGGCTGCAGCCTGTGTCCTCCTGATAGGCCCAGCCCCCTCGGTGGCCTCCGTGTTCCTGGGGGAAGGAAGGAAGGAGCTGGAGGATACAGTGGTGCCTATCTCGGGAGCCCAGGGAGGCAGGGACACAGGAGTGGCAGGCTTGGGGCGCCCGCGTGGAACAGTGCCAGGTCTACGTTTACCCACTACCAGATAGACTTTTTCATTTCAAGCATAACTTGAGTCTGCACTGGGGAGACACTCGTGGTGGGGGTGGCTGTGATGAGGGCACTTGCGAGTCCCGACAACAGACACTGGCTCCTGCACCCACATCACCACCATGTCCCAGGGGCAGCCTGGAGGGGAGTTTGTGGTCAGAGCCCCAGCCAGGAAAGGAGAGAGTTCCAGAATGTTCCAAGAGTCTAGCCGCAGGCCCCAGACACCATGAGCTGGAGGGTCGGGATGGGGCAGCCTCCCTGGTGCAATCGGCACCTGGGCCCCCGGGCCCTGTCAGTGCTGTCGTGAGGTCTGTCTGCCCTGGGTCAGAGCAGCAGGCAGAGCCGGCGCTTCTTCTGCCGTTGCGCCTTCTTCAGAGCGCTGAGAGCCACCTTGGCGGCCTCCCGGAAGACGTCCTCCACATTCTCCCGAAACTTGGCGGAACATTCCAGGTAGAGAGCAGCTCGGATCTGTTCGCAGGCGCTCAGGCCCTGGGTGGGGGGAGGAGCCAGCATTAGGTGAGGGGCCCCTGGAGGTCTCCTAGCACCACCTGGTGGGTTTGGGACTGGCTCTGAGGACTCTGCAGGGATGGAGGCCTTGGTTTGGGCCTGTCTGTCTCCTCCATCCTGGCTGCCCCTCACAGTGTGTGGGTGGAATGGAGGGCCAGGGCAGTGCAGCCCGCAGGTTGGAAGAAGCCCTGTCCAGGCCCCCACCCTGGCCTCTCTCCAGCTCCGGGCAGGGAGGGGCTGAATCCTGAGACCCGGGGTTGGTTCCCCCAGGTGTCTCCCAGGCCTGTGAGAAGAGTTGGAGGCCTCAAGACAGAAAGGACTTCCAGCCACCTCTCTCCCTTCTCTGAAAGTACCATTTAGGCAAATTAATTTGCCCTTTTATTTATTTATTTTTGAGATGGAGTTTTGCTCTTGTTACCCAGGCTGGAGTGCAATGGCGCGATCTTGGTTCATCACAACCTCTGCCACCCAGGTTCAAGCGATTCTCCTGCCTCAGCCTCCCGAGTAGCTGGGATTACAGGCATGCGCCACCATGCCCGGCTAATGTTGTATTTTTAGTAGAGATGGGGTTTCTCTCATGTTGGTCAGGCTGGTCTCAAACTCCCAACCTCAGGTGATTCGCCCGCCTCGGCCTCCCAAAGTGCTGGGATTACAGGCGTGAGCCACTATGCCCGGCCGGATTTGCCCTTATTAATGGTTATTTCTTGTGAAAGTTTCTTTTTGCCTTTGCATTCCTTTTATTCTGTTTATTCCCCCATGCCTCACCCAAAGAGTTGCACGGTCAATTGGCCCGTGAAGGGGACGCCTACTTTCAAACAAGGCAGACAGGACACGACAGGACGGCGGCTCATAGCACAGACTTTGGATTGCAGTGGATGGGACCAGATCCTGGCTCCACTTCTCGCTAGCTGTGTGGCCCTGGGCAAGCTGCTTAACCTCTCTGGGCCTCAGTTTCTCCCCCTGTAAACTGGGGGATGTGAACAGCGCCTGCCTCCGAGTCCTAAGGATTGGGAGTAGTCGTGTAAAGTGCTCAGGTCCACAGGCCATCAATACTAATAGTTAAAAATTATTCTTAGAATCTTGCTTCCCTCAGCTCCCTGAAAGGCCACTAAGGCACCCCAGTTGCAGAGGCCAAAGGTCCGGGAGGCTTCACAGCCACGGCTGTGCCCCAGGGTCTTGGCCCCGGCCCACCTGCATGTAGGTGATGGGCTCCAGCTGGGCGGCCCGGAGCTTCCGCAGCTGCTCCTTGTCCTTCCTCAGGTCTGTCTTGCAGCCGATGAGCACCATGGGGATCCCGCGGCAGAAATGCGTGACCTCAGGGAACCACTGTGGAGGGAGGAGGCGGGATCAGGGGTGCGGCCGGGCCCAGATGTGGGGCCACCACCCAGGAGGCCGGCCTCACCTTGATGAGGACGTTGTCGTAGCTGGTGGGATTCATGACGTCATAGCAGATGAGCACGAGGTGGGTGTTCTGGTAGGACAGGGGCCGCAGCCGGTCATAGTCTTCTTGCCCTGAAAGCACAGAGCAGCGGGGGTCAGGGGACGTCCCCTCCCTGTCTGGACTCTGACGGGTGAAGGGGAAGGGGCCAGGCAAGTGACCCTGCCTTAGGGCCTCAATTTCCTCATCTATACAATGGGCAGCAAGCCAGGAGTGCTGGCACAGGCCTGTGGTCGCAGCTACTCGGGAGGCTGAGGCCGGAGGATCGCTTGAGCCCAGGAGGTCAAGGCTACAGTGAGCCGTGATCATGCCACTGCACTCCAGCCTGGGTGACAGAGCGAGACCCTGTCTCTTAACAACAAAACCCATGAGCGGCAGCCCCCCAGTCCTGGATGGTGGTAAAGAATCCTCAAGATCAAACCCACGCAGTGCTGAGAGCTTGGCCTGATTCTAGGGCTGGGGCTGGAGAAACTGCTAGAGATGATGCCGATAGCCAGTGTGATCCCCCTGCCCTGATGGTCAAGGGCAGAGTGCAGACTGGAACCCTCCCCTCCCCAAAGATTCAGACCTGTGGGGCTGAGTGGGCTCATAGTGTCCCCAAGTCCTGAGAGGCTGGTGTCTGGCTTCAGCCTCCAGCTTCTCAGGTTCTGATGCAGTCAGCTGAGTTCCCTGCCTATTCTTGCAAGCACTAGGAGGAGGGTGGTGGGTTGCTGGGAACAGCACCGAGCGCCCTCCCCACCCAGATTCACAGAGCACACTCCCTGGGGGGATACTTTAATCCGGAGGCCGTGACGCCTGGCTCCGCCCCGAGACGAGCTGAATCCAAATACGGATCTAGGCTTGAGCTTGGTTGGGTTTGCTTTTTTCTTCTTCTTCTTTATAAACAATTCTTTGTAACTTTTTGTATTGACAGTTTCAAACTTACAGTAAAATTGCAACACGAGTATGAAGAGCTCTCTGACTGTGATTCACCACCTGTTTGCATTGGCCCCTCTGACTTTATCTGGAGACAGACACTTCTGTTTCTCCCTGTCAGGGCACGGTAACTGTAGACATCTGCCTCTTCACCCCTTAGCTCAGCGCCTATCTGCTGAGAACAAGGGCGTTCTCTCCCCTGCCCCAAGCCCCCAGAAACCGCATGGACTCTGCATTCTAATCTGATCCACAGACCATAGTCAGATTTTGACCATTTCACCAATATTGTCCTTTATTTTTTTCCCCGTTGAGGAGCCAGCCCAGCCCAGGGTTCTACACTGCACTTAGTCATCCTGCCCCGGTATTTTTTTAAAATCCCCACAGTGAGAACTGAGAGCTTTTCAGGCTCATTGGTGACCAGCCCCCCGCCCCTCCACTTCCTTCCACTGAACAAGGAACGTGGAGGCCCAGGAATCCCCCTGCCCTGTCCGCAGCTGTTGCAGGTGCTGGGTGGCACCAGCCTGCCCCCCGTTCCTTCTCTGCCAGACACCTCTCAGGACAAGTGGCCTCTCCACGGAGTACCACCAGGCCATGTCTGCTCCTAACCCCTTGCTGGTGATGGGGCATGGCCACCCTCTCCCCACTGGATCCCCCTCAACCCAGGGACCTCCAAAAGTCTTCAGCCAGCTCCCCCATGGAACAGTGCTTAAGGGTGAGGTCACTAGAGACAGATGAGACACATGTTCAAATCCCAGCTCTGCCCTCACTGGCTGTGTGACCTTGACTTAGACAGGACAGTGGTGGGAGTCTTGGCTTCCCCATCTGGGACATGAAAATCATAAAATCTACCTCACGGGGCTGTCACCAGCCAAGGCACACCATTGCACTCCAGCCTGGGTGACAAGAGCGAAACTCTGTCTCAAAAAAAATAAAAATAAAAATAAAAAATGAATTAACATAAAGCATTCAACGCCTCAGTTGCACAAGCCTCATTTCAGGTGATGAACTGCCGCCCGGGGCTCATGGCTAATGCAGTGATTGGGGCAGGTGCACGGCATTTCCTCCACTGCAGAAAGTTCTACTGGACGGTGGGCCCCTGTCTACTGCTGGCCACCCCCCGCCCCTACACCATCCTCATCTAAGTCCTCGTCTGTCCCTCTTCCCTGCCTCCTGCAGCCCTTTGATGAATCCATTATCCACCTGACAGCTGGATGGATCTTAAAACACAAGTCATATCCTGGCCCCCTCTCCACAACTGAAGCATCTTCAATGGCTCCCTATTGCCCCCCCCCCCACCTTTTCTTTGAGACAAGAGTCTCGCTCTGTCACCCAGGCTGGAGTGCAGTGTCCCAATCTCAGCTCACTGCAACCTCTGCCTGCCGGGTTCAAGCAATTCTCCTGCCACAGCCTCCCAAGTAGCTGAGATTACAGGTGCTTGCCACCATGCCTGGCTAATTTTTGTTTTTGAGACAGAGTTTCGCTCTTGTTGCCCAGGCTGGAGTGCAATGGCGCGATCTCGGCTCACTGCAACCTACACCTCCCAGGTTCAAGTGATTCTCCTGCCTCAGCCTCCCGAGTAGCTAGGATTACAGGCGCCCACCACCACACCCAGCTAATTTTGTATTTTTAGTAGAGATGGGGTTTCTCCATGTTGGTCAGGCTGGTCTCGAACTCCCGACCTCTGGTGATCCACTCACCTCGACCTTCCAAAGTGCTGGGATTACAGGGATGAAATTTTTGTATTTTTTAAGTAGAGATGGGGTTTTTGCCATCTTGGCCAGGCTGGTCTTGAACTCCTGACCTCAGGTCATCCACCTGCCTCGGCCTCCCAGAGTGCTGGGATTATAGGCATGAGCCACCGTGCCTGGCCCCTATTGCCCTTTGCATAAAATCCAAACATCTCCCCTGGTTCACATGACTTCATCGCCTGCCACACCCGCTTGCTCACTGCAGTCCCGCCAAGGCACCATCTCACTGTTTCTCAAACCCACCAAGCTCTCATGTCCCAGCCTTTGTGCTTGCTGTTCCACATGCCAGGAAGGTCCTTCCCTCATTTCTCTTTTCACCGTTTTCTCTCTAGCATTTTATTCTTAAACATCCAGATTAACCATCTATATTTTTTCCCTTTTGAGGATAACTGCCTGCCCTCTGCGACTGCCTTTATAATAATACATCCTATACTCTATGCAGTTTTCAGGGTGCTTTAGTCTAGAAATGGTTAAGAAATCCTTGGTGAAGCGTGGTGGCTCATGCTTGTAATCCCAGCACTTTGGGAGGCCGAGGCAGGGGGATCACGAGGTCAGGATTTTGAGACCAGTCTAACCAAGATGGTGAGACCCCGTCTCTACTAAAAATACAAAAATTAGCTGGGTGTGGTGGCAGGTGCCTGTAGTCCCAGCTACTCCAGAGGCTGAGGCAGGAGAATTGCTTGAACCTGGGAGGCAGAGGTTGCAGTGAGCCGAGATCGTGCCATTGCACTCTAGCCTGGGTGACAGAGCAAGACGTCGTCTCAAAAAAAAAAAAAAAGAAAAAAAAATCCTTACATGACAGCCAGATATGGTAGGGAAATGATGAATACTCCCACAACATAGGAAGAACCTGAGAGTCACAGAAATGAAGTGATTTGCTTGAGGTCAATGACTCAGTGACTGGGCCAGGAGTCAACCCCAGCTCATGAAATTCCAAGTGGGATGTTCCTTCTGCTGATACACACTAACGTGCTATTTTGTTTTGTATTGTGCAAAAATAGGTTCTGGTCCTTTAAGATGTAACAATGGGGTTCACAGTTCTGGCATAACTTATTCCCTTTTACAAATATGGCCGGAGTGAACAGGTACATTAGTCCCCCTAACCCACAAGGGTGGATTCCAAGACCCCCAGTGGATGTTTGAAACCACAGTCTAGAACTCTAGATACGCTGTTTTTTTCTATATGTACACACCTATAAGACAGCTTAGTTTATGAATTAGGCACAGTAAGAGATTAACAACAAGAATAAAATAAAACAGGGCCAGGCACCGTGGCTCACACCTGTAATCCCAGCACTTTGGGAAGCCAAGGCGGGAGGATCACTTGAACTCAGGAGTTCAAGACCAGCCTGGCTTGTTACCGAGCCAGCTACTGACTGACTCACAGGCAGGTGGTGTCTCCAGCAGGGATACACAGAGGAAGGGGCGAATCATATCCCGGGTGGGATGCAGCAGGACAGCGCACGATCTCATCACGCTGCTCAGAGCAGTGCATGATCTAAAATTTATGAATTATTTCTCGAATTTTCCAGGTAATATTTTCAGACCTCAGGTAACTGAAACTACAGAAAGTGAAACCGTGGATAAGGTTATAAAATGGGGCCCCCTTGGACGTCTTCTCTCATTTCTTTTTTTCTTTACTTTTTTTTTTTTTTTTTTTTTGGAGACAGGGTCTTGCTCTGTTGCCCAGGCTGGAGTGCAGTGGCACGATCTCAGCTCACTGTAAGCTACGCCTCCTGGGTTCAAGTGGTTCTCCTGCCTCAGCCTCTTGAGTAGCTGGGACTACAGGCAGGTGCCACCATGCCTGGCTAATTTTTTTTGTATTTTTATTATTTTATTTTATTTTTGAGACGGAGTCTCACTCTGTCACCCAGGCTGGAGTGCAGTGGTGCGATCTCAGCTCACTGCAACCTCCGCCTCCCGGGTTCAAGCGATTCTCCTGCCTCAGCCTCCTGAGTAGCTGGGACTTGACAGGTGCCCGCCACCACACCAAGCTAATTTTTTGTACTTTTAGTAGAGACGGGGTTTCACTGTGTTAGCCAGGATGGTCTCGATCTCCTGACCTCGTGATCCGCCCACCTCAGCCTCCCAAAGTGCTGGGATTACAGGTGTGAGCCACGTGCCCAGCCTTTTCTTTTCTTTGTTTGTTTTGAGACAGAATCTCACTCTATCGCCCAGGCTGGAATGCAGTGGCGTGATCTCGGCTCACTGCAAACTCCGCCTTCTGGGTTCACGCCATTCTTCTGCTTCAAGCCTCCAGAGTAGCTGGGACTACAGGCGCCCACCACCACGCCCGGCTAATTTTTTTTTTATTTTTTTAAGTAGAGACGGGGTTTCACCGTGTAAGCCAGGATGGTCTCGATCTCCTGACCTTGTGATCCACCCGCCTCGGCCTCCCAAAGTGCTGGGATTACAGGTGTGAGCCACAGCACCTGGCCTTTTTTCTGTATTTTTAGTAGAGACGGCGTTTCACCATGTTGGCCAGGCTAGTCTCAAACTCCTGACCTGAGATGATCCACCTGCCTCGGCCTCCCAAAGTGCTGGGATTACAGGCGTGAGCCACCATGTCAGCCAAGGTTGTTCCACTCTCGTCACACACAGCAGAGACAAGGGTTGAGACTTGCCCACTGGGTTTGGCAACTATGGCATGCAGTGACATCAGGACAGGAGGTGGCGGGGCAGGCATCAGGCTGCAGTGGGTGAGGGAAGAAGTCAGCCCCGGGGCGCTGGAGGCAGTCACACCCTGCCTGCCTTTCCTGGGGCCTCTGCCCTTGCTGTTCACTCCTCCAGAAGGCTCTTTCAACAGGGAGCAGTGTGGCTCCTTCCCTCCTCTCCTTCAGGGCTCTATGGAATGTCGCCTCCTCCCAGAGACCTTTCCTGACTGCTCTGAAACAGCTTCCTTGGCAGTCTGCCCCATGACAGTGGCTTTACTCATGGCTCTCACCCCTACCTGATTTCACAATACTTCTCTGGGGCCGGGCGGGGTGATTCACACCTGTAATCCCAGCACTTTTGGAGGCTGAGGCAGGTGGATCACTTGAGGTCAGGAGTTCGAGACCAATCTGGCCAACATGGTGAAACCCTGTCTCTACTAAAAATACAAAAAACTGGCCGGGTATGGGGCCAGGCACGTGTAGTCCCAGCTACTTGGGAGGCTGAGGCTGGAGAATTGCTTGAACCCAGGAGGCTGAGGTTGCAGTGAGCTGAGATCGTGCCATTTCACTACAGCCTGAGGAACACAGCGAGACTCTGTCTCAAAACAAAAACAAAAATCAAAAACAAAAAAAACAGTAATTCTCTGGGTTTTTTGGTTTGCCTCTCCTGCGGGCAGGAACCACCTCTGTGCTGTTCACTGTTGGGTCCCTGGGAACACAGGCGAGCTCAATACCTGTTTGGTGAAGGAAGGCTCAAAGGAAGGAGTGGTTGAAGAGGGTTAATCGTCATCTCTCTGGCTTTAGGTGCCCTGCAGCCTTGGCAAGGGCATTCCACTTCCTGACCTGTGTTCATTCAAGCAGCCACCCTGGGAGGTGCGCTGGGTGGGGACAGTTCTTCCTGTTAAGAACGCAAGTGGTGGAGGGGGCCTTTGTCAAGGTCAGAGACAAGCACCCTGTGAGCCAGAGGCCAACCAGTCCCCAAGGTCAGCTGCCTGCCAGGCCATTCTAAAAGCACCAGTTCTTCCAGGAAGCTGTCCCCAGCCTTCCCAACCGGGAATTAACCTCTGGGCCTCAGTTTTCTCATCTGTGAAATGGAGATGTGAAAAGTGAGCGAGCCTTGATGACAGTCATAATAAAGATGGTTAATATCGACTCTCTTTCTCTCATATAAAAGTCATGGTCTAGACCGGGCGCTGTGGCGCATGCTTGTAATCCCAGCACTTTGGGAGGCTGAGGCGGGCGGATCGCTTGAGGTCAAGAGTTCAAGACCAGCCTGGGCAACATGGTGAAACGCTGTCTCTACTAAAAATACAAAAATTAGCCGGATGTGGTGGCATATGCCTGTAATCCCAGCTACTTGGGAGGCTGAGGCAGGGGAATCACTTGAGCTGGGGAGGTGGAGCAGAGATTGAACCACTACACTCCAGCCTGGGCAACAGAGTGAGACTCTGCCTCAAAAAAAAAAAAAAAAAAAGGGGGGGGGGGCGGGGTTTGCTCTGTTGCTCAGGCTGGAGTGCAGTGGTGTGATCATAGCTCACTCCAGCCTCAACCTCCTGGGCTCAAGCCATCCTCCTGCCTCAGCCTCCTGAGGAGCTGGGGCCGCAGGTGTGTACCACTGTGTTACATGCCAGGTCTAGCTCAAAGCCCTTCACCTGGATTAACTCATCTTTCCCCCAAAAGCCCTACAAGGTAGACACTATTGTTGGCCCCATTTTACAGGCTGAGAAACGGAAGCACAGAGAGCTGGAGTGACTTGCCCCAGGCCACACAGCTAAGGGGAAGCTTTGTAAATAACAGAGGACCTTACTGGAGTATTTTTTTTTCTTAGCCTACCCCAGAAAACAGGAAGGAATCCTCACCCTACTTGTCCCAGCCCTGACCAGGTGAGGAAAAATGTCAGCCCTCTCAAGAAAGAGGGCCTCTGGAAAGGGAGAGGCAGCCAGCTCCGACTCCAGCACCTCCTCCAGGTTGCCTTCCTGGCTTGACTCTGCCCAACCCAGCTTTCCCTAGAATTCAGTGTGGGCCTTTGGGGCGTGGGGGTGGTGGGGGGACCAGGCCTGCAGAGGACTACTTCCGTGTGCACCAACCCCATGCCCACTTGGGGATGGGGGAGCGTACTATTAATAAATACCTTCTCTCATATGAGTCAGGAGGGTCAGGTTCCATTCACTCATGCACATTCTGGGCAGGACTGTTCAGGGCAGCCTCCACATCTCGAATTGACGCCCACATTTCCCTCTCTGGGTGTCAATTTCCTTATCTGGGAGAGGGGGTGATAACAGTGATAACCCTCCCCCTAATCTGGAAGGTGAAAGCCCAGGAGAAGGGAGGCAATGCTTAGAGCGGGAGCAGTGCAGGGGCAGGGGTGGAGTGGGGGGCAGTGCCGGGAGGCAGGAGGACTGCTATTGTGGTTACTGTTGAAACTTCCAGGAGAAGTTAATAGCCTGGCATGGTGGGTGGTCAGAACCCCAGAATCTTTGGACCCAGAAGCTTCAGGGGCCTCCCAGCCACCAGGTGATACCATTACCCTCCACATTCTACCTAAAATGATACCAGGGCTGAAAGGGTCCATGTCACCTGCCCGTAGTCACAGAGGGGGCCCATCCAGCCTCTGCAGATGGGCTTAGAGGTTAAAACAGCCCAGGTAGACCAGGCGTGGTGGCTCACACCTGTAATCCCAGCACTTTGGGAGGCTGACATGGGAGGATCACTTGAGCCCAAGAGGCTGTGGCTGCAATGAGTTATGATCATGCTATGGCACTCCAGCCTGGGTGACAGAGCGAGACCCTGTCTCTAACCATTCCCCACCTCAAAAAAAAACCCAGGAATTACATGCAAAGGATGCACGTGCTTCTGGTGAGGAAGTCTCTAGGCCTGGGCTCCCCCTAGAGCCGCCCATCGTCCTGACGTGCACTCAGGCGGTGCGGCAGGGCTGGGCGGAAGGGAGGCTCATGCCGCACACAGGGCTATTTTCTTGGTGGGATGAGGCTTTGCCAAGGAAGTCCTGCTTCCAGGGACAGGGGTCTCTAAGGCCCAGAGCAGAGTTGAGGAAAAAAGACCTCAAATCTGCAGGAGGACACACAGGGCGGGTGGACCCCAGCTCCAGCTGCGGCGTTGGTCAGGGAGGGGTACTGGCAGCATGAGAAGTGAAGCTGCCAGAAGAGGAACCCACTTTTACTCACTCTGCTGGGGGCCGCCCACCTGTGCTTTCCCAGGGAGACAGGGGCTGGGCAGCCCCAGCTGGGAGTTGAGACCACCTTCTGGGTGACCCCAGCCTTGTCTCAGCCCAGGCCTCCGGTGCTTCTGGGGCTCACAACACACATCTGTCCCTGGTTCCTTGTCTTAGCAAATCCTACTCCATTGCCTAACAATTTTCTTTCTGTTCCCATCTCAGGCTGAAAAGGGGACCACCGCTCCCCGGGCAACCCCTATCCCATCCTGTGCCCCTCTAACCCTGGACCCCACACCTTGGCCCTGATGAGCTCACTCTCCCGTCTGTGTCTTCACAGCCCACCTCACCCCGCCTCCCCCGGCCCAGGAAACTTCAGACTTCACCGCAGCTTCCTGCCTCAGAGGATGTCAGGGCCCCGGTGAGGCCGACAGAGCAGTGAGTGCCATGGCCCCCGCCCCTTCCCTTCTGAGCCCTGCGAGCCCCGTCACCCGATCTGCCCTCCCTCCGCTGTGGTGTCTGTAACTACTTCCTCAGGAGGGAGACAGCCACACGGGCCTTCCACGAGGGCCCCTGTGGGCAGCGTCCGGCCCCTGCCCAGGACCAGCGTTTGGTCCTGGGTGTGGAGAAATTCAGCCTCTGAGAGCCACCCCTGTCTCACAGCTCTGGTGGCCACCAGTCGGGAAGATGCCCCTTCCGCCACTGTGTGTGGCCCATTGGGTTCTAGAACTTTCTACAACTACGTTTACTAGACTCATTTCTGGCTTGGCCATTCCCTCACCCTCTTGGCCTTTGCCTCTCTCTACGTGGCCGCCTGGCCATGGCTTTCTGTCCTGTTCTCCTGAGAGCCGTCCACCTGCAGGCCGAGATGAATCATCTCCGGCATTCGGATCCACTACCCATTCATTCCATCACCTTCCAGGCCTTGCTCCATGACAAGCACTGGGACCTGGGCTCTCCCTGGTGGCACTCACTGACCAGGGGATTTCCTCCTATGAGCAAGCCTTCCCTGGTCACGGGGGGATACCCTACAGGGAGCAGCCAGATCTCTTCTCCCTGGGTGCCCCTCCTTGGGGTCTGTCAGACTGTGAGGCTAGCCACCTCCCCTGAGCCCTGCTTCTCTGCTGCTTGGAAGAGACTTGCCAGGGAAGATAGATCTCCCCGCTGCAGCAGGGTCTGGGGGTCAGCTTGGGGCATGGCACCGTAGATTCCAAAGCACAGGCTTGAGCTAGGGCTGGGCAGGGATGGTAGGAGGATCTTTTTAATTTTTTTTAATTTTTATTTTTTGAAACAGGGTCTCGCTCTGTTGCCCAGGCTGGAGTGCAGTAGCGTGATCTTGACTCACTGCAATTTCCGCCTCCTGGGTTCAAGCAATTCTCCTGCCTCAGCCTTCCGAGTAGCTGGGACTATAGGTATGTGCCAACACGCCTGGCTAATTTTTATACTTTTAGTAGAGACGGGGTTTCATCATGTTGCCCAGGCTGGTCTTGAACTCCTGGCTTCAAGCAATCCTCCTGCCTCAGCCTCCCAAAGTGCTGGGAGATGTAGTCTCGCCCTGTCACCCAGGCTGGACTGCAATGGCACAATCTCGGCTCACTGCAACCTCTGCCTCCCGGGTTCAAACGATTCTCCTGCCTCAGCCTCCCGAGTAGCTGGGATTACAGGTGCCCACCACCACACCCAGCTAATTTTTGGATTTTTAGTAGAGATGGGGTTTCACCATGTTGGGCAGGCTGGTGGACATCATATATTAATCTGATTTAATCCTCATGACCCTCTTAGTGCTCATGACAGATCAGGAAACTGAGGCCCAGACATCCCCAATGATACGTAGCCAATAGAGCTGGGGTCAAAGCCCAGATCTGACTCCAAAGAGGATGGCAGGAACAGGATGGGACCATGGATGGGATCCCCATGGTGCCAGTGGTCGCCTGCTTCTGGTGACTGTAGCAGGGGATGCTCCTCCATCCCTCTGGTAGCAGCTCTTAGCACAAATTCTTCCTACAGCAACTTGCAGCTTTCCAGAATCTCCACAACTCAATCTACTCTGACATGTTCCTTGAGCATCTCTCTCTGGGCAAGGCCAGAAAGGCCATCCCTGTTCTTATGATGTGGAGGCTGCCCTGAACAGTGAACCCCGGGACCTGATAGGGGAGGCCCTGATGGCAGAGGAGGAGGAAAGAAAAAACCTCCTGACCTCTTGCAGGGCAGTGGGTTGCTGTGAATGTCTCCACCCAGCAGCACTTGACTCAAAAAGTGGGTCAATGACCTTGCCCCTCCCTGGCTACTGCACAGGAAACATGAGAGTAAAGGTGTCCCAGACCATGACTTTTACTACCCCCGGGCCACGCCCCGGGAATTCCTCTGATGCCTCAGCTCTCCCAGCTCACCAGGGGCTAGAGACAGGCGCTGTTTTGGGGTTGGCCCTACAGGGCCCACATCCCACAAAGACAGGTTCCTCAGAGGCCACGATAGGACCTGCTGAAGTCGGAATGGAGGGGGGCTCTGAGCTAGGACAGCCCCTTTTCGGGTCCTCTCCAAGGTCTAGGTGGGGGTGGAGGTGTCTGGATTTTGGCTCCATCCTAGGTCAGTGTCTGACCTCACCTCACACACACAAGGCTTGGCTGGCCGGAGAGGGCCACCGGATGACGTGGTTCCCTGCAGGTCACTAAACACTGAGTCACAGAGGTGGGGTGAGGCCCCACCTGGGGATCTCAACCTTTGGTCCCCAATGTTGATGAAGCCCAGATGGGAGTCAGGGTCCTCCCACTGACTGTTTCTCCTGTCCCCACCCCTCACAACACCGACTCCCAAGCAATTGCACATAAATCCGTAAACCACCCGTGGGGGCCTGCAGGTGGCAGGCAGAGCCTGGTGTGGGGCCCCTGCCCCCAGTGCTCTGTTCCTTCCTCAGTTCATTTTCTACACTGTCTGGTTTTGTCCCAGGGAACTAGGAAAGCACAGAAGTAATTGTAGCCACGCAATTCCAGAACCACCAACTGCAAGCCGTGGAATCCTGGGAGCTGCAGACACAGAACTCGCATCCACAGGACCCCAGAGCCTCAGGCTGCAGAGCGCAGGCCACAGAGCCCTGGAGCCACAGGCTGATCTGCAGCCGGGAGCATCCCAGAACCACAGGACCCAGACACACAGCCCAGGCAATCCGAGCACCAAGGGACTCAAATCTGCAGCTCACAGAGTCTGCAGAGACCACAGCAGGTAGCGCAGCAATCCTGGAACCATGGGAGGCCCAAGAGCAGCCCACTGCTTTCTAGAACCACAGGAGAGGAACGAGCTGTGGGCTCTCAGCACAGAGCTGGGAGGGTGGCCCCAGAGTTCACCTCCTCCTCCAAACACCTTCCACTTACGTATAGGGCTTGGCCTCTAGGGCCCCGCAGCCAGCGCCCCTGAGCGGCCTCCAGGAGTGAAGAGCCGGCCAAGGCCCTGCCAAGGCTGCAGGGCGGGGACACCCAGTGGGGGACGCCCGGGAGGGGAAACCCTTCGGGCGGGCGGACCCTCGGGCCCCCCGGCGCGCAGGCGCACTCACCGGCCGTGTCGTAGAGGTTCAGGGTCACCTCCTTGCTGCCAACGGTCACGCTGGCCGTGTACTTCTCGAACACCGATGGGGCGTAGTGCTGCGGGAGAGGGGGTCGGGTTGGTCCTTAGTGGGGCCGGCGGGGGCCAAAGTTCCAGCTGAATCCACTGTCCACCCCCCTCACTCGTCCCGGATCAGCCCCCCCTCACCCCGCTGGGCTCTGGAATTCCCGAGGGGGCGCCCCGGGGTGGCGGCCGCCTGTCCGTGCTCGGGACGCTGGGGACTGAGGGTCGGGGCTCTGGGCTCAGGGTAAGGGGCGTCCCTCGCCCCCACCCCAGCCCCGCTGCGGGCCTCACCTCGGGGAAGGAGCCCTGGCTGTACACCATGAGCAGCGAGGTCTTGCCGCAGCCGCCGTCGCCCACGATCACGATCTTCAGCTCCTTCCTGCCCGGACCGGGGGCGGCGGTCTGGGCCAGGGCCCCGGGGGCATCCATTGCCCGGAGCCCGCAGCACTGGCGGCGGCGCGCCGGGCACTAGCGGAGCCAAGAGGTCGGGGGCGGGGCGGGGCCGGAACCAGCCCCGCCCACTCGGAGCAGCGCCGCCTCCGCCAGGCAGCCTCCCGGCCGACCTCCCAGCCTCAGTTTCCTTTCTGCTAAGGTCTCAGCCCTGGGTGTGGGTATTCAGCTCTCAGTCCCAGGGATACTGCAGCACCGGAAAAACGGGGCTCAGCTGCGAGCAAAGCTCCCACCCCCAACCCACCGCCACCCTCCGCGCGTCACGTCGCGCCCCTCGCCGGCGAGACCCGATCGTGGCTGCCCAGCGACTCCAGGTGCCCCTGATTAGCAGGCTCCGCCTTCGGCAGGGACCCTCTGATTGGCTGGCGCGGCCAGACAGGGTCTCCCGGATTGGCTGGCTGTGCCTCCGCACCGGGTTCGAGAAGCCCCCGGCCTCCAGCTCCGGGAAGAGCCCCTCAACTTTGCACTGCCCCAGCGGTGTGGCTTGGCACATGTCCGCCTCTGGCCTCAGCTTCCCCACAGGAGGTAGCGGCGGTGGCACCAGGGAAGATGCTGACGCGAGAGTCATGTCTGCCCACCTCGCCTGGGCCAGGGACGCCAGCGTGCACGCGGGTTCGGGGTGAGGGACTGGGCTCCGCTTACCCGCACCCCGACCCTGGGCTGCAGGGTGGACGTCTGACGCCCTCTGCCGGGCAATCGCCTCGGCGCCGGCCGCTCCGGGCGCAGGTTGGCCCGAAACCACTAGGGGCGGCCGCCTCCTTCCGGCAGGAGCCAGAGGCGTGAACCACGCAAGACGTCGTCAGGGAGGGGCAGGTTGGAGTAGCTCTAGTTGAAGTCAACTTGGTCCCTCTCCTGGAGCTTTGGAGACTGATAACCCCACACCCACCAAGAAATGTAAGAAAATGCGTTTCCTTGCCAGCAGCCACATGTCCTTCATCCCAGGAATCCCCCCAACTCTCCCATCCCCTGATCAAAACAGCTTATTTGTTGAGCACTTACTGTAGGCAGTGCTATCAGGGCTGCTGGCTGAATTACCCGTAACCCCCACCCCTCCTCTTACTCCTCACCCTGGGCGGGCTGACTGCCCTCTGCACCACCCAGATGAGTCGACAGGGTGGCAGAGGGACCCCCCCCTGGAGCCGGTCCACGGCAGACAGGCACGAGAGCATGGCCGAGAGTGGGATCCTACCAGCTGGGGTAGGAAGAGCCCATTTCTAACAAAACCCCCAACAGCAGCATGGTTGGGGGCAAGTGGCCTTCGTAGTTTCCTCAGATAGGGGCTGGCAGGACTCAGGATCTTTTTGCTGGCGACCCCACCCCGAAGACTCCCAGTTTTCAAGGTCTCGGCAAGGGTCATGTAAACCTCACTTCGTGGAGGAAAACCGCCAACCTGGCAGTTCCATGGTCAAGGTTCTCACAGTGCAAGCAAGGCACGGTCTGACCACCAGAGGGCAGCAGCGACCGCCCACAGAATCCCAAGACCACAGCAGAGCTGGGAAGGGGAGGCCGGGGAGGCACCCCAGGTTCTCAGTGGACGCCCTCTTCAGGCACTGGGCAAAGGGTAATCTCCTGGGTCAAGCACCCCCTAGACAAATGCACAGCAACTCATCCATTCCTTTTTTGCAACACGTTTATTGAGAGGCAGTTGTGCTCCAGCCTTCCAGGAGGTCACAGTCTTAGGGGAAGCAGTGCAATGGAGGTTGGAAGCAGGGGAACCCTTTACTGAAGGCTGAGCGCTGGCTGGCACACTAGGCCTGGCAGCACTGGAGGGCAGGCAGGGAAAGTAGGGTGGGTAACCCAGCCTGGCAAATGCACGGCAGCTAGAAAACCTCTTCAGGTTCTGGGGTGGCTGGGCCATGAGAGGGGAGGCCAGGCAGGGCTGTCAAGGTAACCGGGGTCAGATCATGGAGTTGCCTGCCAGGCTCCACAGGAGTGGGGGACAGAAGCAGAGCAACCCAGCTACCAGCCGGGCCCTGAGCTCCCTCAGGGTGACCAGGGAGGAGCTGTGACTGGCTGGGGAGGCAGGGCTGGGGCCGAGGTTCCCCAGGACGACAGGAGGGAGCCAAGGCACTCTAAGAGGTGGAAGAAGAGGACCAGAAGCTGGTGAGTGCATCACTGGAGCCCATAGGAGGGCTCCTGACTGTCCTCAAAAGCCTCAGACCTCAGTGTCCACTTTCTCCATCCAAGAAATGGGGCTGTGATCTCTGCTTATGACAGCACAAGCTTGCACAGAAGTGGAGGCGGGAAATAAGCACAAGTGTGCCTTCCCAGCCCGGCCTGGGTCCAGGCAGAACAGCTGATACTGGCCCCAGTCTGCCCACCCACCCCTGCTGGCCAGGAGGCTGGCAGAACCCCAGCCCCACCTGCCTGGAGCGCGTTTGATTTGGACTCGACTGTTGTGGTGATGGAGGGGGGCTGGATCTGTAGCTAAAAATACCTCGGAGCCAAGCCAGCTGCTCAGAGCTTCCTCGGAGGCTGGGCCGCGCTGGGCCCACTGAGGAACTGGGCATGCCCACCCAGGAGGTAGCTCCCTTACCTGCTAGAGGTTGAGGGCCTGAGTCACTCCCCCTTCCAGTCACCAGGAATTCCTGGAGAGTTTGAGAAAGCAAGAAAGATTCTTTAAGCTGGTTCCTGACACAACAGCTGTTAGGCCACTGAAGCCTGGGGGAGCGGCCGGGTGGCATTTGTGGGGTCAGCTCATCGGTGTCCACACAGGGGCCTATGCCATAGTGCGGCCAACAGGGAAACTGAGCCCTGGAGAGTTGCAGGGGCCCAGCCACTGCTGTGTTGTCAGAGCAAAGTCCAGCCAGCCCCAGTGAGGCTGGAGGCAACGCTGTGGCACCCACTTCCCTGGATGCCTGAGAACCCTGCAGAGGGGCCACCCACATGAGGCAGAAGACACTCAGCCTTCAGGGATGAAGCTACTCCCTGAGGTCCCAGGGACGGGAGCTGGCCTGGCAAATACATCTACCCTGCCTGAGCAGTCCCCAGGCCTTGGCTGCCCATGAGCACTCGGGGACAGGCCAGAGACAAGGCCACTCCTTGAGTGCTAAAAGTTCCCGTCACAAAAGCCAGACTCAGCAACAGCTCAAAACATTATTGTCCGGCCAGGCGCGGTGGCTCATGCCTGTAATCCCAGCACTTTGGGAGGCCGAGGTGGGCGGATCACCTGAGGTCAGTTTGAGACCAGCCTGACCAACATGGAGAAACCCTGTCTCTACTAAAAATACAAAATTATCCGGGCGTGGTGGCACATGCCTGTAATCCCAGCTACTCGGAGGCTGAGGCAGGAGAATCGCTTGAACCCTGGAGGCGGAGGTTGCGGTGAGCCCAGATCACACCATTGCCTGGGCAACAAGAGCGAAACTCTGTCTCAAAAAAAAAAAAAAAAAAATTATTGCTGGACCTGCTCCTCCCAGCGCTCAGGGGCAGGAGCTTGCTGGAAGTCACATGCCAGCTACAGATGCACTGGGCCAGACGACCTGAGATGGTGGTGCCACCTCACTGCACAGCCCAGGCAGAGGCTGTGTCTCCACCCAGAGGGTCCGAAAGGTCATGTTCCACGCTAGGGCTCCGGGCGGAGAGGCCGGAAGAGGCGGGGATGCCGGCGACTCAGTAGTAAGGCAAGTCCTGCCACCTCCTGGCCGGCCCTTCCGCTGGCGTGGCCCTCTCTCTGCAAGCCCTGGGGCCCAGCGCCAGCAGCGGCCCCGCCCCGCGTTCGCTGGGTGACCGGTGGGCGGGGCGCCCTCGAGGGACCAGCAGGAACAGCAGCAGGAGGACAAACTGCCTCACCCTCCCTGCCCCAAGAGGTGATGGTGGGGGGACAAAGAAAGAAGAGGGACCAAAGCAGAGAGAGAGGGGTACAGTCCAGCCAGGTGGGTCCCGACACCGTGCCGAGAACCACATCCAGACCACAGCTGAGCACCCAACAGCTCACTGATTGGATCCAGGGAGGGGAGAAACTGGCTGGAGCCCTCCAGGGTGCAGCTGGGAGGGAGACGTACATCAATTACTTAATTATCCAAAGCAGGTGGGGAGTAAAGACCCCACCCGGAGAGCAACGAAGACTCTAAAGGGAGGCGCCACACCCTCGGGCGGCAGAGGGTAACGTGAGAGCAACGGGGTTCAATGGCAGAGCCAAATTTAAAACAGGTTTCAGGGAGTATAGAAGGAGGAGGCTTTTGGGATATTAACAATGTGAACCTCAATTTTTATCAGGTGCTTTCGCCCTCTTGCTGTACTTGGGCAGCGGGGAGTCTGGGCAGGAACACTCTTCCCTCCCAGCAAAGGAGCTGGACCCAGCACGGCTCATCGGGGATTGAAGACCCAGCCCTGGCCCTCACAGGAGGAGCCAACAGCACCACGCCAGTTACTTCCAACCAGACAGTCCCGGGCAGGGATGCCAGCAGACAGCTGGCACGGGAGGAAGCCCAAAATAACCCAGACAGCTGGGGTGAGGGGGTGCCATGGGCACAGGCGCTGGCTGCCAAGTCAAGCCACCTGGAACCCCATCCTGGCTCTATTGGTGGTGGCCTTGTGACCTTGGGGAGTCACTTCTCCCCGGACCATGGGTGGGTGACCCAAATCTTGACCCCATCATGGAACAGCCCCTGTGGATGGGGAAAGGCCTGCAGCTGGACTCAACCACTCCAGAGGAGAACCGCGTTGGCCGCCTTCCCAGGGAGCGCCAGATTCCCCTTTGCCCTGAGGCAGGGACACGTGCTTCAGCAGGTGGGCTGGTGCGGGGGGAAGCTCTGAGGCAGCCCAGCCCCCACCCCCTGCAGCCACTCCCAGCAATAACCACGATCACAATGGAGGCCAACTAAAAGCTTGGGAGGAGGGCCTCTTTAACGCACTTAATCCTCCCACCACCCTTTCCAGCAGGCATCCTTATCACTTTACAGGGAGACACTCACCCAAGGTCACCAGCACTGAGAGATCCTAGCCCATGGCGAACTATCTCCCTTAACTTAGCACCAAGATACCTTTAGCAAGATCTCCTTGTTAATCCGAACAGGCCCCCAGAGCTCGGTGTAGCCCTCACAGCGGGAGTGGGGCACAAGTCCCAAATAGGGGAGGTGGTGTGATCAGGAGCACCTGGACCCAAATGGTTCATCAAAGCAATCACAAAGCAGAAATCACAAGGAGGGGGGCTCCGAGACCAAGGGCCGCCATCTCCAGCTGTGGAGCTTCTTAGACACTGAGATGGGAAACTATTCAATACATGAAGTCGGCTAGCGTTAGAATGAAATCAATTACTATGTGCCAAGCGTGGAACGTGGCACTTCTGCGTCAAAACCCCAGGTGTTACCAGGCTAGGGGCTGGAGTCTCAAAATGTGTTCCCAGACCACAGCATCAGCCTCACCTCACCTGGGAACTTGTTAGAAATGCCAGTCCTAAGGACCAACCCACTGAATCAGACACTTGGGCACCAGGCCCGGTGGTCCATTTTCAGTGAGCCCCCCTTCCGGTGTGATTCTGATGCCGGTTCCAGACTAAGAACCACTGATCTAGCCCTGTTTTCGGAGATGGAGAAATAGGCTTGGAGGCTATACCGCTTACGCAAGGCCATAGCTGTTCAATGGCTCGCCAGGTTTCAAATCCAGCTTTGTCTGGTTCTAGAAACAAGGCTTATATACAGGCCTGCCCATTCGGGGACTGGAGAAGAAAACAATCCCAGGAAGGTGGAGAAGCGTCAAGGAAGGCCCTTTCATAGAGAAAGGTGGCCGGAACCTCGGGTCTCTGTTCTTTGCCTCTCTAGCAGCCAGACATCAGAGGACGGCTCACACTGTCACCCCACATGCCCCACGGGGGCGGCTGGAGGGAAGGCCACAGCACAGTTGGGCTTTCTGACAGTGACCTGTGTCTTTCAGAAGTAGGCGGCACCCAGGGCCCTCCCCCCGCCGAAGAACACACAACTGGGAAATACTTGCAAGTGGATCCTCTCGTATGCTGCTATATTCGGCAGAGACTTACACGCCCCAAATGCCTGACAACAGAAGCTGACAGACGGGGATGGATGGCCCCGGCGGCCCAGCAGGCGGCCCTACGCGCTCGCAGCTGGGGGGGGGGGGGTGGGGTGGGGCGGGGCCGCAGAACCAGCCCGGCGTGTTTGGGGTTCGGCCCTCCCTGGGCTGCAGGCCAGAGCCCCCCAAATCTCCCTCACGGTCTGGGCAAGTACTCACACCTACCTTAGTGGGAGGACTGTCAGAGTCAAACTAGGCCTGCCCCTGCCGTTGACAGAAGGAAAGATTGTCCATTCGGGGGGTGCCCGAACGTCGCCCCTTCTCCGGCCCAGAACCTGGAGGAGAGGAAGGTGGAGGGCGGATCAGGGCGTTGGGGGAGAGAGATGTGACCGGCCGAATACACAGCAGACGGGCTCCGGGGCTGAAAGGGAGCACCCCAGACGCCGCCCCTCCCCCAGCGGCCCGGGCGGCCGGGGGTGGCTGAGTCAGAAGGTTCAACCCCGGCCCGGGCGGCGGCTCATCTGCATTTCCAAAGGCCCGCCCCGCCCGCACCCTCCCCGGGAAGGGCCGGAGATCTGAGGCTTCGCCGGGAGCCCCGCGCCTCGGGGGATCCCGGGGCCCCCCCTCCGCTTTCCCAGGCTTCCCCCACCTCCTGCCTGGAGAGCTGGGCTGGAGGGCTGCCCAACGGGGCGTCTGCGGCCACCCCGAGGGCCTCCCGCCCTGAGTGAGGACAAAGGGGGCGACCCCCCGCCCCGCGCTGACTCGGCTCTCAGAGGGCGACTGGGAGGTCGGACCTGGGCGCCCAGAGCTGGGTGGGCAGCGGGGGGCGGCCTGGGGTCAGGGCCAGGCCGGTCCGCGGCTTCCGGAGGAGCCGGTGGGACCCGGGGCGGCCTCGAAGCCCCGCCGACCCCGTGGCCCTCGGCTGCGGGCGCCCGCGCAGGACAAAGACGAAAGAGGGAAGCGGTCCGGGGCGAGGCCTCCTGGTGCCCGCGTGGGCCGCCGGGTCGCCCAGCCCCCTACCCCTGCCGCTCCTCCCGCCCGGCGCGCGGCGGCCGCCACCGCCCCAGCCACGGGCAGCGCGCGAAATGGCGCCCATCAGGCCGCCGCGCCCGGCTGAGGCGAGCGCGGGAGGCGCGGCGCGCGACGCCCCCGAGGCCCACGGCCCCCGAAACGGCCCCCGACACCCGGTCGCCAGCGCTGCGCCCCGCGGGCTCTCGGGGCCCGACCTGGCCGCGGGCCCGCCTCCTGCTCCGGGCTCCCCACGACCGGGGGGACGGAGGAAAGGAGGAAGGAAGGAAAGAGAGCCGCCGCCATTAGCAAAGCAGCCCTGCCCGGCTGGGCCCGCCTGCCAGACCAGCCCGGCCCAGCCGCGACGGGCTCGAAGCCTGTAAAGAAAACTGGTGTTTGGGAGGAGGAGCGAGCGCGGCCGGGAGGACAGCAGCTCCGGGCTGCGGGCGGAGATGCTGCGTCATGGTGCCAACATGGACGCCGGCCTTTTGTCCTCCTTCGCGTTGCCAGCGCAGGCGCGCCCCGGAGCCCCGAGAAGCCGGCTTCGGGGTGCGGAATCCTCACGATCGAAAGGAAAGTGGGCCCAAGGCTGGGCGATGAGGCTCCCTAGTGTTTTAAGCCCCCCCGTCTCCAAAGCACTTCAATTTCTTCTCCCCATCCAGGTTCAGACCTGGGAAGAGCGAGGGGGCGAAGGCAGGCGGCTCCATGGACCCCCGAGGGTCGCTGCGAAGCCCGTCTTCTCGCCCTTGGGGCAGAAGAGGCACAGGGGTCCGAAGAGCCCTTCGTGTCCCAACCCCCCGCCCACTGCCCGCTCCGGCTGCCAAATACAATGCTCCAGAATCCTCCTTCTCCTCTCAGCTCCCAAACACTTGCAGCCCTTGCTTGGCCTGCAAAAGGGTTTCCTCGAAGGGGCAAAAGGCACTTTTTATCTTTCTTACTTACCCGCTCAGCCCGGTGCCATGGAGTCTAGAAGATCAAGCTGGGCGGTGGTTTTGGAGACGTTATTGTAAAAACATATATATTTTTTGATTTAGTTGGGAAATTTGGGGGTTATGGTGGTGTCTTTGTTCTTATTACCTTTTTGTAAGTTACACCCTCACGTTCTGCTCCTTCCACTTCTGCAAACTTTCCAGGGTTGGGTAGGCAAAAAGGCGGCTTCGCTGAGGACTGTTTACTGCTCTGGATATAGCAATGGTGTGATCGTCATTAAGAGACAAAAGGCGAAAATACAGTCAAATCAAACAAAAGGCACAAGACGCACCAGCCGCCCAACCACCATAGAAAATACCCCCCACTTAACGTTGGTGTTTGCTGGAACCAGCTAGGACTTGTTTTCCAGTTTTAATCTAGTTTCCTGTGACGGCTTTAGTCTCTCTACACAAAGAAAAGGTCTTCCTTTCCCTCACCCACCAGCTCCCCCCAACCCCCAACACCAAAGACGAGAAAAACAGGGCTGTTTTTCTTCAAATAGATCGATTTTCAAAGAAAGTGTACAAGCTACGGGGAAGAAAGCTGACTAGCATTTAGTGCTGTAAACATTTTCAAAAGCATAAAGCTAGAACCTTAGCTTTATAAAGCAAGATCGTCTCAAGCATCTTAACTGGCTTATATTAGACAAGAGAGACAAAGACATACATGCAGATGAAGGTTCGGAAAATTAAGGACATCTCAGCAACATTAACATCAAAACTGTACTGCGTCAGGACAGAATGGATTGGGTACTTACAATGTAAAAGGTTTTT
The DNA here is from genome assembly GCF_000001405.40 of Homo sapiens. Classification (NCBI taxonomy): domain Eukaryota; kingdom Metazoa; phylum Chordata; class Mammalia; order Primates; family Hominidae; genus Homo; species Homo sapiens. The sequence goes on from NC_000012.12 coordinate 121,802,372, forward strand.
TAAAAACTAAAAGAGTAACAACTGCTCACAATTTTTTGTTGCTGCCATTTCGCTAGTCCTAAAGCTATATACATTTAAAACATTACCTTGTTAAAAAGAGAGAAGGAGTTAATAAGATGGCCAGGTTTAAGTGTTTAATAGAGGAAACTAGATATATTTAAAAATTTATTGTTCAGTCAAGAGAATACAGATTAAGACAGCTCCAAGCTCCCCCCACCCACCCATAGAACAAAAAGAGGAAAAAAAATATGTCATTTACTTAGGTTTTTTTGGAATTCAAAACTGTTAACTGCTGACATGAATGGTGTGCTATGACCTAGTTATACAAGACAAAGATGGATTCCAAGTCATAAGGAAAAATCCAGATCTTTTTAAAAAGTCTTCTCCAGTCTTCCAACTGTGAGTCCTTGGGCCTGTTGACAAATGTTAAACACACTGAGACGTCCTGAACTGGATGGTAGAGTCAAAGGAAAAACATTCCCCATTTGCAACAAAGGAAAAACCCACTTGGCCATTTAATTCCATTGCAGAAAAATGGCTTCCCTCATCTGTTGGCCTCTCCTTCGTGTCTGATGAAGGATGTTTTGAGATCAGCGTCTAATAACTCAAGCCCTATAGAAGCCGCGCGCTGATTGGCTGCCGCGCCCTGCCGCCCTGCTCCAGCCAATTACCTACCCACGGCCAAATTACAAACCCCGAAAAGAGCCCCAATATGAGCTACACCAGCTCCGAGCCCCGGCGAGGCGGCTCCTGCGCCTCGGCCGCCAGAGAGGAGCGGCAGAGGGGGCTGCAAACGCGTCCTCGCGAAGCCCGGGAGCCTCGGAGTTGAACTCACAAAATGGAAGCCGCGCGCTGATTGGCCGCCGCCACTCCCGGACCTTTAATAAAGAAAGGGGAAGGAAAAGATAAATGCAAAAAAGGGGGACTCTCTCCTCCGCGGGTGGCTGGAGGAAGGGGGGGAAGCATGTGTTCAGGACAATTACAGGGCGCTCCCCTCCAAAAATAAAAACAGAAGAAGGCGTCTATCGCCCAGGTCCAGGCGAGGGCTGCATCCTCCCAGGAATGCGAATGCTAACGTGGTGAACCCTGGTCTCCCTTCCCCAGCTCAGCTCCGGGGAGGGGGTCGCGGGCCGCAGGAGGAAGCCGGAGCGCAGATACCTCGATTGCAACTCCTCTGAGTCGACGCCGGCCTCCCCCCGCGGCTCCCAGCGTCCACACACACCCTCGGCCCCCCAGACCCCAGCCATCTCCCCGGGCCCCGCGCGCCCGCCTCCGGCCCGGGCAGTTTGGAAACAGTTTTGCAGGCCCGGGACGCACGCCGCGGCGGTCGCGGCTCTGAGGGTAGTCCCGGCCGCGGGAGGTAGAGCCCGGGGAGACCCCCTCCCCCGCCAGCCAAGACCCCCACCCCAGTCCCAGAAAAATAAATAAATTAAAAGGCCTTCCCCCGGGGAGGGGGAGGCAGTGTGGGAGCGCGCGAGTGAGGGGTGGGGGGCCGCTGGGGCCCGGGGCTTTGGCGGCGCAGCTGCCGCCGCCGGGAGAGTGCCTGGGGAAGCGGCGAGGAAGGAGAGGGGAGGAGGAAGAGGAGGAGGAGGAGGAAGAGGAGGAGGGTGAGCGCTCGGGTCGGGCTCCTTAGCGGTGTATTGTGGGATGTGCGGCTACTGGGAGCCGAGCCTCCGCCGCCAGCCGCCTCCCGGGCAGCAGCAGCAGCAGCGGCGGCGGCAGCGGCAGCAGCTCCGGGCCCGGCAGCCGCGGCGGCGGCGCCCCCCCTTCCTGGCCCCCGGTCCGGCCGCCCCGGCCTCGGCTCCCTCGGGGGACACCATGTACTGGCTGGCGGCGCAGGGAGGCCGGCGCCCGGCGGGGATGTAAGCGCGGCTCGGGGAGGGAGAGGCCGCGGCCGGCAGCCGGGCGGCCCAAGCCCCCGGCCCCGGCCCTGGCCCGAGCGGGCGAGCGGGCGGGCGGGCGGCGGCGCCGCCAGGCCCTGCCGCCAGCCTCGCGCCAGAGCCGGGCCGAGCTAGCGGGTGAGCGCCACGCCGGGCGGCCGGGCGGGCACCATGGGCCGGAGTCCGCGTCCTCCGGGCGCCCCGGGCCCCGCCAGCCCGCCCAGGGGACCCCCGGGAGCCCCTCGCTGCCGCCCCGAGACGGTGGCCGAGCGGGCGGGCGCGTAATTCTCCCGGAAGGGTTATTCTCTCGCTCCATTCTTGTTTTGGGGGGAGCCAGCGAGACAGCTCCTTTCGGGGCGCGCTGGCAAGGTGGGAGGGGGTGGGGGCCTGCCGATTGGATTCTTTCGCGTGTGTGTAGAAGCGGCCGCCGCCGCCGCCGCGGCGGAGACGACAACAACTTGCTGGTTTTCAGGTTGGGTTAACGGCATGGAGAACAGTCACCCCCCCCACCACCACCACCAGCAGCCCCCGCCGCAGCCCGGCCCTTCGGGCGAGAGGAGGAACCACCATTGGAGAAGTTACAAGTTGATGATTGACCCGGCTCTGAAAAAGGGGCATCATAAACTGTACCGCTACGATGGGCAGCATTTCAGCCTGGCGGTGAGTAGCCGGCGCGCCCCCCCAGCCGTGCCCCGCGTCGTGTCCGGGGAGACGCGCCTAGCGGCCAGGGACCCCCCGCCCGATCCCCCGGCCAACTGTCAGACGGGGCCCCAGCCCTGGAGTTTGACAAGTGCCTCGAGAAAGGGGTCTGCCCATGGGGAGGGGGACCAGTTCTCTCATCCCGGCCCCCCAATTTCTCCCCACAGATGTCCAGCAACCGCCCGGTGGAAATTGTCGAAGATCCCCGGGTCGTCGGGATCTGGACCAAAAACAAGGAGCTGGAGCTGTCGGTGCCCAAATTCAAGGTAGGACCCCTCCCCACTGCCCCGCCGTCCCTCCCCCACCTCCCCGAGTTCGAAAATAACGCCAGTCCTGACCGAGCCCAGCCGGATTCCCAGTTCCCGCCGTCCGGGGCCAGGGAAGTTTTGGCGGGGAGGGGTAGAGCGCTGGCGAGAGGGTGTCCCCTCTCAGCTACTGAAAACAAAATAACACTGGGTGAAACTGTAATCACGGCGCAGATACAGTGTCCTGCACGCCCCGCGGGGGGCTCGGCTCCGAGACTCTCCCCTCTCGCTAGCCCACTACAGGACAACTTCTTAAGCCTGAGGGGTCGCCCCTGACCCGGCAGCAGGAAGAGAAGGCCAGAAAGGGGGGTGGGGAAAGAGAAACTGTTTCTTTTTCCCCTTTCCTTCCGAACCCAGAGGACTTCCACGTTCCAAACGATTTAATCCTCCGCTTCCCGGGCCCGCCCGCGTGCATTTTTTTTTTCCAAAAAAAATTTTTTTTTTTTTTTTAATTTTTAGTTTTTTTACCCTTTATTGTTTTCAACGGGTGGGCGAGTTGCGGGCGGGGCGGGGGGGATGTTGTGTTTTCCCTTAGGTTTAAACGTTCTTCAAACTCCCTTCCCCCTCGGCCCCTGCCAGATCGATGAGTTCTACGTGGGCCCGGTGCCTCCGAAGCAGGTGACATTTGCCAAGCTGAATGATAACATCCGTGAAAACTTCCTGAGGGACATGTGCAAGAAGTATGGGGAGGTGGAGGAGGTGGAGATTTTGTACAACCCCAAGACCAAGAAGCACCTGGGCATCGCCAAGGTGGTCTTTGCCACGGTCCGGGGAGCCAAGGATGCCGTTCAGCACTTGCACAGCACTTCCGTCATGGGCAACATTATCCACGTGGAGCTGGACACCAAAGGTGAGCCTGGCAGGGGAGGAGCGTGGGGAGACCTGTCAGCCCGACCCTTTCCCTCCCCACCCTTCCTGCAGCGTGGGGAGGACCCCCCCTCACTCTTCCTTGGGATCCCCCCCCACAACCTTATTTCTTAGCCCCCTCCTGAGGGTAGAGTCGCGTGGAGCTAAATGTGTTGTCTGTTGCTAGGAGACAGTCTGTAATTTACCAAATGTGCCGGTCCTTGGCCACCGCACCCCTAGGGACCACCCGGAGGCTTCCCCACCGCTGACACCCCCGCGGGCCCCCTCTCTGAGCCCTGGTGGCTTGGGTTTAGACAGTCCCCAGTGTTGCCTGTGTTAGGGGAGGAGACAGAGTTTGTTTACTTGTGGGGGACTGAGGAAGTGCCACTAGGATGCCTTGAAATACATCAAGAGAAGGTCTGAAAACTGAAAAGAGAGTCCTCTAAGGATCCAGGGTGTCCCCCCACCTCCTTGCTGCCCCTTCCCCTCTGGAAGTGGCAGCCAATCTGGGGCCAGGAGTGTTGTTTCATTGATAAGGTTCTCGACAGAGCCGCCGGGGAAGAGCAGAGCCGGGAAGAGGGAAGAGCCAGGCAGGCGGCTCTGGGTGCTCAAGGGTTGACACTGTGTCTTCCCTCCTCTCTCTTAAAGAGACCGCAGCACCTCCCCTGCTCTGGAATCAGCTAGGTGCTCTCTGGAGCTGGCTGGGGAGGCCATACCTCCCACCCTGTGGGTCTTCGGAGGCCCCTGCAGGACCAAGGGGCTTGGAGGACTCGAGGGCATTCCCCAAAGTGTGCCTGAGGCCTCTTTAGGGAAGCTCCCACCTATAAAAGAAGGTGCCGAGTGCTTTGAGGGCCAGCCAGCTTGTGGGGAGATGTCATTCGGTCCCTAGCCCACCGGGGTCCCCTGGGAAACCCTGCCTGGGAGGGCAAAAGTGCAGCTTCCAGGAATTTTGTGAGCATGGCGTTCAGGGACAACTGGGACACACCAAACCCAAGGCAGGAAAATCAGAACTTTTCTTTTTTTGCGTTTAATGATTAAAATGTATTGACCGAGCTCTAAGCCGGTGCCGGGGGGTGGTGGCAGTTATTCCACGCACACTTGCCGAGCCTGTGCCCGGTTCTGTTCCTCCTCTCAGGGCACAGCCCTCTTTTTCTGTCCAGTCCACAGTCCCTCCCACCCCTTTCCCTAGCTTCTCAGTCTCTGGGGGTTGGGGGGGCAGTGAGGACCTTGGGTGGCTGCAGCACGATTTCTCCCTGATAATTGAATTGAACATGGTAACCCCTTTCCTATCACGTGCCCACATTTTAAGGAGCAGCCAGGTCTCAACAAAATTTCAATTCTGTAAAAAAAAAAAAAAAAAGAAAAGAAAAGAAAAGAAAAAAAACACAAAAGCCCTCAGAGACTGCCAACTAAGTTTGTATTTCAAGAAAGAGACCAGTAAAGTGTAGCTCCAGGAACGTGTCTTTTTTGCATATGTAAGCAGCTGCCTCTGAGGCTCTATAAATATCGATAACCCCTGGGCCCTGGTCTATAAAAGCCTCCTTCTGCTGAGGGGTGGAGGGTTCAAGCCCAAGGTAGTCCCCAGGCCACCCTGGGGCCCTCAGCCTGGTCAGGGCCTGTGGAGTTCACAGTAATGTGCTACTAGAGCGTGTTGCAAACTCTGCTGCTCACCTGGCCCCAGATATTTAACAAACTCTGGCTTCTGTGTCACGGGCTTCCCTTCCTCTTACTGCAAGCCCCTGGGTATTGAGCAGAAAGGGGAAGACCTGGCTCTGTGGGTGCCATGGCCCAGGTAATGCAGGGGTGGGGGGGGGCTGGGCGTCGCGGGTGGCACCTCTGGGTTTGGGTTTGGGGGAGTCTCAGCCCCAGGAGACATGAGCTTCTGGATCTCAGGATCAGAAAAATGGTGCAGCTCAGCAGCTTTGTTGAAGAGGTGGGGACCCTGAGCGAGGTGCAGAGGGGTGGGAACTCAGGGCCACACAGCCTCCCTAGGACTGGGGTCTCGGGCACAAGGGACCCACCAGGGTGCCACACAGGTTGGAATCCTTGTGGGGGCTGCCCCATCCTGGAACCTCACTGAGTTCCCCCTTTCCTGCCCATCTACAGGGGAAACCCGAATGCGGTTCTATGAACTGTTGGTCACTGGCCGATACACCCCCCAGACCCTCCCAGTGGGCGAGCTGGACGCTGTCTCTCCAATCGTGAATGAGACCCTGCAGGTGGGTTTATGGCCGTCAGTCTGCCCCATCGCCAGCTCTTTGATGTGCCCCCCACCTCTGGAAAGCCTCACCAACTCTCTTATGGGACCCCCAGCCTACCCCCACCTCACTCCAGCTTTGGAGACCAAGGCCTAGGAGGGTGTGAAGCCTGGCCACGCCCCCCACAATTGGGAGCAGGGCCTAGAGCCCCATTTTCCCAAGTGCTCCTGCAGTAGGGCTCCATGGGATTGGTTCTGTTTCCTGTGGCTTCTCCCCTCCCCAGCACAGGCTGTGATTCCCACAGACCCAGAGCCTGCCCTGGCCCGCTTTTCCACGTTGATGCCAAACATTGCTGTTTCCGGGGTCCTTAGTGTCTGGTGTCCTGGGCATGCCACTACCCCTAAACCCAGAAACCAGAGTTCATGCCCTGCCTTCCAGAGCAAGGCTGACTCCTTCCAAACCACTGCCTTCCAGGACACAGGGACAACTCTCGCGTGGGGCGAGTCTCATGCCAGCTCCTCCCTGGCATCAGGCTGACTAGCTGCCACTGGCCTGTTCATCACTTTTTTTTTGTTTTATTTATTTTTTTGAGACAGAGTCTCAGTCTGTCCCCAGGCTGGAGTGCAGTGGTGCGATCTCAGCTCACTGCAAGCTCCACCTCCTGGGCTCAAGTGATTCTCTTGCCTCAGCCTCCTGAGTAGCTGGGATTACAGGCACACGCCACCACACCTGGCTAATTTTTATATTTTTGGTTAGTAGAGGTGGGGTTTCACCATGTTGTCCAGGCTGGTCTTGAACTCCTGACCTCAAGTGATCCACCTGCCTCGGCTTCCCAAAGTGCTGGGGTTACAGTCATGAGCCACCACGCCTGGCCTCTGTTTATCACTTTAAATCCTAAAGCACTGGGTGACTAGGAGGACAAAGCCCTTGGCCATCCTCTCGTGCACAAGATTGTAGTTCTTGGTCATAATCCTGCCTGGAAGGTCTTTGATTTCTGACAGCCTGAGGCAGAAAGAAAATCCCAGCCTAAACCAAGATGTTACAGTCTTCTTTTTTCTCTGCCTCCTCTGGAATTAGGAATGACCCTCAAGGTTCCCTGAACATATTTGGCTACCCCTAAGATTAGAGAAAAAGTTAGTACCATCCTGACACTCCTCCTCAATCTCCCCCACTTCCATTCCTTATGCTGCAGTTCTAGAGCAGTTTGGCTCTGAGCTTCCCAGCAGCCAGAGTGAGAAGGGAAAATAGCCCTGTTCCATTGCATGTTTTCCCCCAGTGGTCTGACATCTCTGTCTCTCCTTAGCTGTCAGATGCCCTGAAGCGCCTCAAGGATGGAGGCCTGTCTGCAGGCTGTGGCTCCGGCTCCTCCTCTGTCACCCCCAATAGCGGTGGGACACCCTTCTCCCAGGACACAGCTTATTCCAGCTGCCGCCTGGACACACCCAACTCCTATGGACAGGGCACCCCGCTCACACCGCGCCTGGGCACCCCTTTCTCACAGGACTCCAGCTACTCCAGCCGCCAGCCCACACCCTCATACCTCTTCAGCCAGGACCCTGCAGTGACCTTCAAGGCCCGGCGCCACGAGAGCAAGTTCACGGACGCCTACAACCGCCGCCACGAACATCATTATGTACACAATTCTCCCGCGGTCACTGCGGTGGCCGGGGCCACAGCCGCTTTCCGGGGTTCCTCGGACCTCCCGTTCGGAGCAGTCGGCGGCACTGGGGGCAGCAGCGGTCCCCCGTTCAAGGCTCAACCACAGGATTCAGCCACATTTGCCCACACTCCACCACCCGCCCAAGCAACCCCTGCTCCTGGATTCAAGTCTGCTTTCTCTCCGTATCAGACCCCAGTGGCCCACTTCCCTCCACCCCCGGAAGAGCCCACCGCCACAGCCGCTTTTGGGGCCCGCGACAGTGGGGAGTTCCGGAGGGCACCGGCGCCCCCACCCCTGCCACCTGCTGAGCCTCTGGCCAAGGAGAAGCCAGGCACGCCACCCGGCCCGCCGCCCCCCGACACCAACAGCATGGAGCTGGGCGGCCGGCCCACCTTCGGCTGGAGTCCTGAGCCCTGTGACAGCCCTGGCACGCCCACGCTGGAGTCGTCCCCTGCAGGGCCAGAGAAACCCCACGACAGCCTGGACTCGCGCATCGAGATGCTGCTGAAGGAGCAGCGCACCAAGCTGCTCTTCCTGAGGGAGCCGGACTCGGACACCGAGCTGCAGATGGAGGGCAGCCCCATCTCCTCCTCCTCCTCCCAGCTCTCCCCACTGGCCCCCTTTGGCACCAACTCCCAGCCAGGCTTCCGGGGCCCCACGCCCCCCTCGTCACGCCCCTCCAGCACCGGCCTGGAGGATATCAGCCCAACACCCCTCCCAGACTCCGACGAGGACGAGGAGCTCGACCTGGGCCTTGGGCCTCGGCCTCCACCTGAGCCAGGCCCCCCGGACCCTGCTGGGCTTCTGAGCCAGACAGCTGAGGTGGCCTTGGACCTGGTTGGAGACAGAACCCCGACCTCAGAGAAGATGGATGAGGTACCACCGTGTCTGTCCATCTGTCTGGGACTGGTTTTGTCTATCTTGTATCTCCCTTTCCCCCTTCAAGCATTTAGCATGACTAGCTAAGATGCGGAAGCAATGGGGCTAGGAAAGCCAATATAACAGGTGGAACTTACAGAATAAAAAGGGGATGCAGAAAACACCAGGGGCTGTGATTGAGCAATTGGTTTGGCAATGAGCTCCCTAGCAGCCGTGGAGAGAAGGAAAGCATGGCCTAGTTCTGATGCTCTCCTTGTTAGGTAAGAAGTCAGCTTTTCCTAGGGATAAATTCTGGCCTGAGCTGCTTTGGTAGGCGTTTGCTGAGAGTTCAGAGAGTATGAGCTGTGGGGATGGCTCTTGGTCCCCTTGTCTGTTGCGTGGCTTGGGAATGATCAGGGAGAGTCCTGGCCCTCAGGCAGAGGGGAGGAGAGAGATTGGCCAGAATACTGTGCTGGGCTAAGTGGGGTGAAGCCCCGGAGCATTGTCTCCTAGAGCCTGGTGCCCTCTGAAGAGGGGGAAACCATGGCAGACAGGGAGGGTGCTGGTTTCCCTTCTTCTCCCACTGGCTCCAGGGATGAAGGAGTTAAGAGCTAACTTGGGGTGGGGGTGGGGTGCCATGTAGCCAGAAAAAGGCAAAGTTGACCATCCCCCACCCTCTCCTCAGGTCATGGGGTCTCGTTGCCTAAACCTCCAGCCTCAGGAAGTCCCGCCCAGGGGTTGGGGGTGAGGGTGCCACGTGCCAGGTTCCCCTGGGAGGGTGTTGGGTCATCTTCCTTGGCTCCACTCCTCCTTCTCGGTCCAGGCACCTGCCTTGGAGCCGTAGTCCCGGTGGGCATGGGCAGTCAGGGGCTTAGACAGAGCTCTGCGTCCCTGTGGGCGGAGGGGAGGAGGACTGCCCCCTTCTTGGGCCCTTTGATTAGGCGGGTCTGGCTGCATCAGGGAGGAACGAGAGGAACTTGGCTTGCCTGGGAGGGTGCTGCAGGTGGCTGGGGCTCCAGGGGGCCTCCAAGCAGTTCTGGGGAAGTGGTTTCTGGCATCAAGGGGTCCAGGCAGGGGGCCTTGGCAGGGGGCGTTGACAGGTGTGCAGCTGTAGGGGGGCCGCCGGCCCTGGCACCCGTCTCCTCCGCTCCGTCTAGGCTGCCTGGGGTGAGGAGTGTTTACCATGCTGACCACGGTCCAGGGCTGAGAGGCCCGCAGTGGCTGGAGCGAAAGGCAGGCTGAGGCCCCGGGAGCGAGGGTCTGGGACTGCCCGGCCGCCAGCGCAGGGAGTCGCCGAGTGCCGGGAAGCTCCGGGCCGGCCCGCGGGCGCCCCCTGCTGGCGCCGGGGAATAGCGCCTGGGCTTTCTGCGGCCGCGCGCAGTGCGGGGAGCTGGACCCCGTCCCATCCTAGGTGGGGGAGCGGCGCAGGCGGGGCCAGCCGAGGGTGCAGGGGGGGCTTTTCTTCTAAACAGTGGCTGGTCGTTAAAAGTTCAGGCTCAAGTTCTTGAGTCCTGCCAAGTCACTTACTGGTTATGTGACCCTGGAAAAGGCACTTTTGCCTTTCTGAGTCTCAGTTTCGTCATCTGCCAAATGGGCCTGTGAGAGTCCCTGCAGCACAGGACCTCAGCTTAAGTGAGGTGCCGCACAGGATGCTCCCGGCACCGCCAGGCCTGCTGGACTCCCAGTTCTCAGCAAATTCCTGCCGCTTCTCACCCCGAGACTGCTGGGCAGAGGGAGGGGCAGGGCCGGCCGGGGCTGGAGCGCAGGATCTGCCTCCCTGTGATTGGCTGGCGGCGGCGGCCCGGGTTAACCCTCTGTGTGCCGCGGCGCGCTGTGCTCGGCTCTGTCCAGGACTGATCTGGGGAGTGCTCTCTGAGGATCCACCCGAGCCCGTCTGTCTCTTCTTGATGTGCATGGGGATCCTGAGAAGGAGAGTGTGTGCGTGCGTGCGTGTGTGTGTGTGTATGTGTGCACAGAGGGGACCTGGTAAAGTCCAGAGCTTCCTGCCGCTGCCTTAGTTTGGGTAGTCTCCGTCCTCCTACCCCGCTACCTGCAGTTTTCCTCTGAGGCCTTCCTCACCTGTAGTCTGACCTCTGATCTTGCAACTTGCACAGACTCCACCTCCACCCCCACTCCCCCTCAGCCTTCAAAGGTCCCCCCACCCCAAGTCCAGACCTGTCCACTCGGCTCCCTAAAGCCCCACGCCCATCCTTGACACCTCCCACATTTACCCCTCACCACCGCCCTGGATCCCAGCTGCAGCCCCGCACTGGGCAGGTCCTGGGCTCCAGACCTTCTTCTGACTGGCTGTGCCGCGGGGCCACGGCTGAGGCTCTGAGTGTGTTTATTAACTGTCAAATGGGTCGGAGCAGAGCCCCCCGCCCTGTGAGGTTATCTTTCGGATAAAAAATGAGGCAGCCGTCTGCAGCGCTTAGCCCCACGCGGGCCCACACTGATTGTGCAGTCACGAGACTAGGTGAAAAGAGTAATCAAGGAAAAATAAATAACAACACACTTCCTGTTTATGGGCCTTAGTGCTGCTAAACCCCCGCTCCAATGTCACCTTTCCTGCCTGGCCGTCTGCCGCAGAGTGAGGACAGCAGGGTGACTGAGAGCACAGGCTGCAGAACCACTTCCTGGTTCAAATCCCGGCTCCATCTCTTCTTGGCTGTGTGGCCTTGGGCAGGTTACTTAAATTCTCTGTGCCCCAGTTTCCTCGTGGGGCAAAAATGGAGTTGAAAATAGGGCTGTTCTGAGGATTAGCTGAGTTAATAAATGTGGAGCGTTTAGAAAGGCCCTGGCACATAAGAGACACTATGGAAGTGGCAACTATTTCTGCACACAAGTTGCAACAGAATCTCTGAAATTGCAACAGTTTCATCCTCTGTGCCCCACCCGTCTCCCTGCCTTCTTTCTCTCCCTCACGTTTCCCGTATTCACCCTCATCATCCTTTTGCCTTTTCCTGCTGGCTCCGCTCCACAAGAGTAAGATGTTTGCCTGCCTCTTCAACTTTGTGTCCCCAGCACCTAGACCAGTGCCTGGCACACAGGTACTGAGCAAATGTTTGTTGAATTGGAATGAATGAATGAATTCTAGTGGTAACTCCATGAGGCAGGGACTATGATGCCCATTTTGCAAATGAAGACGCTGAGGCTTGGAGAGGCTGAATGGCTTGCACTGGGTCACACAGCTGGGAGTGCCACTGATTGCTAGTCTTGCAGAGGGGACTCCGAGAGCCCCTTGGCCTTCCAGACTCACCTCACTGTCTCTCCCTGCTCTCTCTGCAGGGCCAGCAGTCCTCAGGCGAGGACATGGAGATCTCGGATGACGAGATGCCCTCGGCCCCCATCACCAGCGCTGACTGCCCCAAGCCCATGGTGGTGACCCCAGGAGCGGCAGCCGTGGCAGCCCCTTCTGTGCTAGCCCCAACCCTGCCGCTGCCCCCGCCACCTGGCTTCCCCCCGCTGCCCCCCCCACCACCACCACCCCCACCGCAGCCTGGCTTCCCCATGCCCCCACCGCTGCCCCCACCGCCGCCCCCACCCCCTCCAGCCCACCCTGCTGTGACAGTGCCCCCACCACCCTTGCCAGCGCCGCCTGGAGTCCCGCCCCCACCCATCCTGCCACCACTGCCCCCCTTTCCGCCGGGCCTGTTCCCTGTGATGCAGGTGGACATGAGCCACGTGCTGGGTGGCCAGTGGGGCGGCATGCCCATGTCCTTCCAGATGCAAACGCAGGTGCTCAGCCGGCTGATGACGGGCCAGGGCGCCTGCCCCTACCCGCCCTTCATGGCCGCTGCGGCCGCCGCTGCCTCAGCTGGGCTCCAGTTTGTCAACCTGCCGCCCTACCGGGGCCCCTTCTCCCTGAGCAACTCCGGCCCAGGCCGCGGGCAGCACTGGCCACCACTGCCCAAGTTTGACCCGTCAGTGCCTCCACCAGGCTACATGCCACGCCAGGAGGACCCACACAAAGCCACGGTGGATGGCGTCCTGCTGGTGGTCCTCAAAGAACTCAAGGCCATCATGAAGCGTGACCTGAACCGCAAGATGGTGGAAGTGGTGGCTTTCCGGGCCTTTGACGAGTGGTGGGACAAGAAGGAGCGGATGGCCAAGGTGGGTGGGTGGGTGCAGGGCTCTGCAGGGTGGCTGTGGAGGGGGGCAGGTCCCCAGCCGGGCACCTCCTCTTTCCCTGAGACTGTTAACTGGAAACGCTGCCGTGGACCCCACTATGGGAGCTCCATTTCATGTGGCCACTTTCAAAGTTCCGCAAACTGTGCTCCACTTCAGCAGCCACTAGATGCACACGGCTCTTTGAATTTAAATGAGTGGCCAGGCATGGTGGCGTACACCTTTAATCCCAGCACTTTGGGAGGCTGAGGTGGGAGGATTGCTTGAGCCTAGGAGTTCAAGATCAGCCTGAGCAGTATAGCAAGAGCCCATCTCTAAAAATAAATGTGCAAATTAACTTAAATGAATTAAAACAGAGTAAAATTAAAACTCCTCCTTTGTACATGCCACATTTCAAGTGCTCGGGAGCCACAGGTGCCTAGTGGTAGTACACAGGATAGCTGGTGCAGACTGCCCCCCCCGCCCATTGCAGACAGCTCACAGCTGCGACTCCCTTTGAACTTGACTCCCCTCACCTCCCCTCATGCCGCCTTTTACACGGAGCCCTGTCTTGGACCACTTTTTTCCTTTTTTTGTTTTTTTGAGACAGGGTCTCGCTGTATCGTCCAGGCTGGAGTGTAGTGGCGCAATCATAGCTCACTGCACCCTCAACCTCCCTGTGCTCAAGGGATCCTCTCACCTCAGCCTCCAAGTAGCTGGGACTACAGGCATGTACCACCACACCCAGCTAATTTGTGTGTTTTTCTGTAAAGACAGAGTTTCACCACGTTGCCCAGGCTGGTCTTGAACTCCTAGGCTCAAGTGATCCTCTGCCTTTTGGGCTGGGATTATATGCGTCAGCCACCGCTCCTGGCCTACTTACTATTTTCTTTTCTTTCTTTTTTTTTTTTTTTTTTTTCGGAGATGGAGTCTCACTCTGTCACCCTGGCTGGAGTGCAATGGCGTGATCTCAGCCCTCTGCAGCCTCCACCTCCTGGGTTCAAGCGATTCTCCTGCCTCAGTGTCCTAAGTAGCTGGGACTATAGGCACCCACTACCATGCCTGGCTGATTTTTGTATTTTTAGTAGAGATGGGGTTTCACCTTGTTGGCCAGGCTGGTCTCGAACTCCTGACCTCAAGTGATCCACCTGCTTCAGCCTACCAAAGTGCTGGGATTACAGATGTGAGCCACTATGCCTGGTCTCTTTTTTCCTTTTTAACATATTATTTGCCTGTTTGCAATCTTACAGGTAATCTAAAATTACTTATTTTCTCCATAAGAGAGAACTTTTTCTTGAATACTTTAAACTCCCCTTAATCCCTCCCCTCCACCCCATTCCCCCCTGCTCCCCTCCCTCGACCGTGGTTATGAGTTTGAGTGTCCCCTGGAGCCTGCTTTGGGAAATGCTTGCTTTCTGCCACAGAGGTAAGCAGCACTTGTCAGAGCCTGTTTGTCATCCGTTTAACTGGGCAGTAAAATTAGAATGAACCGTCTGAAATCACTGATACACAGCTCTTTATGGTTCAGCCAAATTATACTGACCCTACAGTAACAGCTAATAGCTATTCCATTCACAATTTGAATAAAAAGAGCCACCAGGCCTCATGTGCCCTGCACCTTGCAAAGCTCTTCATGTGGCTCGTTTTGTTAATTCTCACAGCATCCCTTTGAAGGCAGAGCATTTCAGAACCACAGGGGCAACCCCTTAGTGAGCAGTGAAATAAAGCCAGTAGGTCCTGTTTTTAATGCATGGGAAGAGAAGAGAAAATGGGATAGTGTAAATCTTACCTTGTGAAGGTGGTGTTGCACAGATGTGTCCCTATGGTGTAGTTTTTGGATTGTCTGCAAAGTGCAAAGGCCACTGTTGTAAGGAAGGCAGGTACAGTAGTCCTATTCTACAGGGGAGGACATTGAGATCTATGAGGCAGAGCGGTGCTCTAGAGCCTCGTGGGTAACGGCATAGTGTGGCCAGGTGTGTAGGGAATGAGGATGCAGTTACCTGTGGTGGCTGTTACTGCCGAGTGGAAGGCAGGTAGCCTGGGGAGGGCTCCCTGCAAGGGTTGGTGGTGCCAGAAGCGGTGACGGTCCCCTCCTGTCTCCACCCCAGGCCTCGCTGACCCCGGTGAAGTCGGGCGAGCACAAGGACGAGGACAGGCCGAAGCCCAAGGACCGCATCGCCTCGTGCCTGCTGGAGTCATGGGGCAAGGGCGAGGGCCTGGGCTACGAGGGCCTGGGCCTGGGCATTGGGCTGCGTGGGGCCATTCGCCTGCCCTCCTTCAAGGTCAAGAGGAAGGAGCCACCAGACACCACCTCATCTGGCGACCAGAAGCGGCTGCGGCCCTCGACCTCTGTGGATGAGGAAGATGAAGGTTCGTGCTCTGGGTGCTGGGGTCCCCTTCTTCCGCATCCCCCCAGCCCAGCTCTGACTCCCTCCCTTCCTGCAGAGTCCGAGCGAGAGCGAGACCGGGATATGGCAGACACCCCCTGTGAGCTCGCCAAGCGGGACCCCAAGGGCGTGGGTGTGCGGCGGCGGCCGGCGCGGCCTCTGGAGCTGGACAGTGGTGGGGAGGAGGACGAGAAGGAGTCATTGTCGGCGTCCTCGTCCTCATCCGCGTCATCATCCTCGGGGTCCTCAACCACCTCACCCTCGTCCTCGGCCTCCGACAAGGAGGAGGAACAGGAGAGCACCGAGGAGGAAGAGGAGGCGGAGGAGGAGGAGGAGGAGGAAGTCCCCAGGAGCCAGCTCTCCTCCTCCTCAACCTCATCCACATCAGATAAGGTGCCTAGCAGGCCAGGAAGCCTCAGGGGGCCGGGCCAGGCGACGAGGGCCAGACCCTTCGGCTCACCTGTCCCCACTCTTCCTTCTCCCCCAGGATGACGACGATGACGACAGTGATGACCGGGACGAGTCTGAGAACGATGACGAGGACACAGCCCTGTCAGAGGCGAGTGAGAAGGACGAAGGGGACTCGGATGAAGGTGAGCAGGGAGGCCGTGGCTGCCTGGCCCTCCCGGAGTCCCTCTTTCCCCGGGGCAGAGCCTGAGCAATTGTCAGAAATACTTCTGAGCCAAAATGTTGTGCTTTTGAGACGTTACCTTGTTAAAACACACACACAGGGTGGCGTACGGTTCCATCTTCAGGGAGTGCCGTGAACATAATGGCATGTCCATAGAAATAGAAAGCAGGTCTGTGGTCCTTAGGGCTGGGGAGCCCGGTGTTCAGGGGGGCTTGCTCAGCCTACATGGCTTCCTTTTCAACTGATAAAAATACTTAGGGACCAGATCGAGGTGGTGGTTGTGCAACATTACAAATGTACTAAATGCTGCTGGAATTATCACTTTGTAACGAGCAGTTGGCCGGACGCAGTGGCTTACACCTGTAATCCCAGCACTTTGAGAGGCCTAGGCGAGTGGATCACCTGAGGTTAGGAGTTCGAGACCAGCCTGGCCAACATGGTGAAACCCCGTCTCTACTAAAAATGCAAAAAATAGCCAGGCGTGGTGGTGGGCACCTGTAATCCCAGCTACTTGGGAGGCTGAGGCAGGAGAATTGCTTGAATCCAGGAGGCAGAGGTTGCAGTGAGCTGAGATCATGCCACTGCACTCCAGCCTGGGTGACAGAGTGACACTCCACCTCAAAAAAAATAATAAATAAAATTTTTTTTACAAAGTGAGCAGTTTTTGGCTGGGCGCAGTGGCTCACGCCTGTAATCCCAGCACTTTGGGAGGCCAAGGCAAGTGGATCACGAGGTCAACAGATCGAGACCATCCTGGCTAACACGGTGAAACCCCGTCTCTAATAAAAATACAAAAAATTAGCCGGGCATGGTGGCAGGTGCCTGTAGTCCTAGCTACTCAGGAGGCTGAGGCAGGAGAATGGCGTGAACCCAGGAGGCGGAGCTTGCAGTGAGCCGGGATCGCCCCACTGCACTCCACCCTGGGCGACAGAGCGAGACTCCGTCTCAAAAAAAAAAAAAAAAAGTGAGCAGTTTTCTGTTATGTTAATTTTACCTCAGTTTTTAAAAGCGACTACTAGCGGCCGGGTGTGGTGGCTCACTCCTTTAATCCCAGCACTTTGGGAGGCTGAGGCAAGTGGATCACCTGAGGTCAGGAGTTTGAAACCAGCCTGGCTAACATGGTGAAACCCTGTCTCTACTAAAAGTACAAAATTAGCCGGGCGTGGTGGTGCATGCCTGTAATCCCAGCTACTTGGGAGGCTGAGGCAGGAGAATCGCTTGAACCCAGGAAGTGGAGGTTGCAGTGAGCCGAGATCGTGCCACTGCACTCCAGTCTGGGCAACAAGAGCAAAACTCAAAAAAAAGAAAAAAAAGACTCCTAGTGAACACATGCCCCACACACATATCTGAGGGCCGTGTTCAGCCTGGGTGCCACCAGTTTGAGGCCATTGGTGAGGGGTCTGGTGGGGGCTGGGGCACAGCGGGTCCTCAGGCAGCCCCTCGTCTGTGTCCCCCATCCAGAGGAGACAGTGAGCATTGTAACCTCCAAGGCCGAAGCCACGTCGTCCAGTGAGAGTTCCGAGTCTTCTGAGTTTGAGTCAAGCTCCGAGTCCTCGCCCTCATCCTCGGAGGATGAGGAGGAGGTAGTGGCCAGGGAAGAGGAGGAAGAAGAGGAGGAGGAGGAGATGGTGGCCGAGGAAAGCATGGCTTCTGCAGGCCCTGAGGACTTTGAGCAGGACGGGGAGGAAGCGGCTCTGGCCCCGGGGGCACCTGCAGTGGACTCGTTGGGCATGGAAGAGGAGGTGGACATCGAGACTGAGGCTGTGGCCCCTGAGGAGCGGCCCTCCATGCTGGACGAGCCCCCCTTGCCTGTGGGTGTTGAAGAGCCAGCGGACTCCAGGGAGCCGCCTGAGGAACCAGGCCTGAGCCAGGAAGGGGCCATGTTGCTGTCTCCAGAGCCCCCTGCCAAGGAGGTGGAGGCTCGACCCCCATTGTCCCCTGAGCGAGCTCCAGGTAACACCTGCAACCCCCTGGGAGGGTGGTGGGAGGGAGGCAGGAAGTCCTCACTGTCAGAATCAGCCCGGGCTTCCTGGGGTAGATCGCTGACCGTCCCCAGCCTCAGTTTCCCGTGTAAAACGAGATCAGCCGGTTGTGCCTCCCTCGAGCGAGATGAGGTGTTGGGTGCCAGCACTGAGCCTGGCACTGCATGGATCAACCCAAAGGGGAACGACTGCTATTTTTCAGTCCTCACTGCCAGCGTTTCCCTGGTGGCTTGGTCCTTGGACCATCAGTCCCATGAGATGCTCCCCAAAAGGAGGATGGGTGTCCATGGTCACTTGAGTGACAAGTCGGTGGGGTAGGCCCTGGGGTGCTGGGCCAGGTGAGGGCTGCAGGCATTGCCCCCTCCGGCATCGTGATGCTGCTGCACAGAGCATATGAGAACTCTAACTGCATGGCCAGTAGAACTTTCCACAGTGATGGCAGCGTTCTCAGGCTGTGCTGTCCAGCACTGTAGCCTTCAGACACAATGTTGCTACCAAACTCTTGAAACGTGGCCAGTGGCACAGTGGAACTGAATTTATAATAGTGTTCAATTTATTTTGGCTTACATAGATAGCTGCATGTGGTTAGCACCTACCTCTTTTTTTATTTTTATTTTTATTTTTTTTGAGACATAGTCCCGCTCTGTCACCCAGGCTGGAGTGCAGTGGCACGATCTCGGCTCACCGCAAGCTCCGCCTCCCAGGTTCACGCCATTCTCCTGCCTCAGCCTCCAGAGTAGCTGGGACTACAGGCACTCGCCACCACACCCGACTAATTTTTTGTATTTTTAGTAGAGATGGGGTTTCTCCGCGTTAGCCAGGATGGTCTCGATCTCCTGACCTCATGATCCACCCACCTCGGCCTCCCAAAGTGCTGGGATTACAGGCGTGAGCCACCATGCCCGGTCCTAGCACCTACCTTTAATAAGTCCTTCAGGAAAGGATTACAGCTGCCCCTGTACATTGAACACATGGCTAGGGCCCACGGACATGCAGTTTTCAACCAAATATGGACGGAAAAGACCGGTGGGATGCGAAACCCACTGTATATGGAGGGCGATCGCCTATACGTGGGTTCTGCAAGGCAGACTACAAGCTTTGAGTATGTGCAGATTTAGGTATACCAGGGAGTGTTAGAACCAATTCTCTGTGTGTATTGAGGGACGACTGTGTTTTGTTTAATGTAATGTATTTTGTTTTGTTTATTCCACCATTAACCACAGTCTTTGAACATTGACTCAATACTAAGCCTCTATTGTGTCCCTGCTATTATTTTAGGCAGTAGCAATGCAACAGTGGACCAAACAGACAAAAATATCTGCTCCCACGGAGCAGGGGAACAGATGACAACAGATCAATTAGAAAATGAAAAACAGGTGGCAGGCTCCTGTAATCCCAGCTACTTGGGAGGCTGAGGCAGGAGAATTGCTTGAACCCGGGTGGCAGAGGTTGCAGCGAGCCGAGATCGTGCCACACTGCACTCCAGCCTGGGCGATAGAGTGAGACTGTCTTAAAAAAAAAAAAAAAGAAAGAAAAAGAAATGTGCCGGGCGCGGTGGCTCACACCTGTAATCCCAGCACTGTGGGAAGCCGAGGTAGGCAGATCAACTGAGGTCAGGAGTTTGAGACCAGCCAGGCCAGCATGACGAAACCCCATCTCTACTAAAAGTACAAAAAATTAGCAGGGCGTGGTGGCACGTGCCTGTAATCCCAGCGGCTTGGGAGGCTGAGGAAGGAGAATTGCTTGAACCTGGGAGGAGGAGGTTGCAGTGAGCTGAGATTGTGCCATTGCACTCCAGCCTGGGTGACAGAGTGAGACTGTCTCGAAAAAATAAAAATAAAATAATGTAAAAATAGAAAATGAAAAAGATGTATTCTGTGGTCGGGCATGGTGGCTCACATCTGTAATTCCAGCACTTTGGGAGGCCAAGGCTGGCGGATCACTTGAGGCCAGGAGTTCAAGACCAGCCTAGGCAACATAGAGCCCATCTCTACAAAACATTTAAAGATTAGCTGGGCGTGGTGGCACATTCCTGTAGTCCCACCTACTCAGGAGCCTTAGGCAGGAGGATCCCTTGAGCCCTGGCGGTCTAGGCTGCAGTGACCGTGATCATGCCACTGCATTCCACCCGTCTCAAAAATAAAAAAATAAGTAAATTCATTAAAAAATTAAGAAGTGTATCCTGTGACAGTGGAGATAAGTGCTAGGAAAAAAATCCTTGAAGGCTCCGACAAGTCCTGCAGAAAAGAGACTTGTTGAATTTTATTCAGTCATAGAGCAGATTTTCTTGGGCCACAGGGACTTTGTTCTGAAGACGTAGTATGAAAGGCTGGAATACATGTCTCCTGCATCTGTGATTTAGCCTAGCAACATTGATAAAGCACATACTGTGTGCCTGACACTGGGTTGGGCGCTGAGGAGTCCTTGAGGGGTTTAGCTGGAGAAGGACAGGTCCCGTGCTCAGACTCAGGGCTGTGAGCCTGCCAGGTATGGAGCACAAAATAAGGCACTGAGAGACGTTTGGATTGAATAGTAAATGTCTCGTGTTCGCTCACCTCTCTGCAGAACATGACCTGGAAGTGGAGCCGGAGCCCCCTATGATGCTCCCCTTGCCGCTGCAACCACCATTGCCGCCCCCACGACCACCCCGGCCACCCAGCCCACCGCCGGAGCCTGAGACCACAGATGCCTCACACCCATCTGTCCCTCCGGAGCCCCTTGCCGAGGACCACCCCCCGCATACTCCAGGCCTCTGTGGCAGCCTGGCCAAGTCGCAGAGCACAGAGACGGTGCCAGCCACACCAGGCGGGGAGCCCCCGCTATCAGGGGGCAGCAGTGGCCTGTCCCTGAGCTCTCCGCAAGTGCCCGGCAGCCCCTTCTCCTACCCAGCCCCGTCCCCTAGCTTGAGCAGTGGGGGCCTCCCTCGGACACCTGGCCGGGACTTCAGCTTCACACCCACCTTCTCCGAGCCCAGCGGGCCCTTGCTCCTGCCCGTCTGCCCACTCCCCACTGGCCGACGCGATGAACGCTCCGGGCCCCTGGCCTCCCCGGTGCTCCTGGAGACGGGCCTGCCCCTCCCTCTGCCCCTTCCCCTGCCCTTGCCCTTGGCATTGCCCGCCGTCTTGCGGGCCCAGGCTCGTGCGCCCACCCCGCTGCCACCCCTGCTGCCCGCCCCCCTGGCCTCTTGCCCTCCCCCAATGAAGAGGAAGCCGGGCCGGCCCCGGCGATCCCCACCATCTATGCTCTCCTTGGATGGGCCCTTGGTCCGACCACCAGCAGGGGCCGCCCTTGGAAGGGAACTCCTGCTCCTGCCGGGCCAGCCACAGACCCCCGTCTTCCCCAGCACCCATGACCCCCGGACGGTGACCCTGGACTTCCGGAACGCGGGGATCCCAGCCCCTCCACCACCCCTTCCCCCCCAGCCACCCCCACCCCCACCTCCCCCACCTGTAGAGCCCACCAAGCTGCCCTTTAAGGAGCTAGACAACCAGTGGCCCTCCGAGGCCATTCCTCCGGGCCCCCGTGGGCGCGATGAGGTCACTGAGGAATACATGGAGTTGGCCAAGAGCCGGGGGCCGTGGCGCCGGCCACCTAAGAAGCGCCATGAGGACCTGGTGCCACCTGCGGGCTCGCCCGAACTCTCGCCACCCCAGCCCCTCTTCCGGCCCCGCTCGGAGTTTGAGGAGATGACCATCCTGTATGACATCTGGAACGGTGGCATCGATGAGGAGGACATCCGCTTCCTGTGTGTCACCTACGAGCGACTGCTACAGCAGGACAATGGCATGGACTGGCTTAACGACACGCTCTGGGTCTACCATCCCTATATCCTGCTGGCATGGGGGGCTCTGCACCTTCTGGGATGCAGGAAGTCCCTGCTCACCTCTCTGGGCCCCACCACCCAGTCTGTAGCAGCCCGCGGTGCCCATGAAGGTGACAGCATGCACCACCGTCACTTCCCAAGCAGGGTTTGTGTCCCGGCACCATGCCAGGCTCCCGAGTGAATCATTGGCACGTTTTAAGGACTCCCTCTGCGCCAGGCCCATCTCACCCCCAGAGTTAGCAGGTCTCAGGGTCACATGTAACAGCAGTGCCGTGCAGCTTAACAGCACACACGGGCGCAGGGCCTCCTTGTCCTGTCCCCTTCATAACCTCAGGTAATCCCGGTAGCCTGGTGAAGATGGGGGCTATGATTCCCATTTTACATATGAAGAAGCTAAGGCTCAGAGAGGTTCAGTGACCTGTCCAAAGACACAGCTACAGGTGGCAGAGTTGAGATTTGAACCCAGGCAAACCTGGCTCTAGAGTCCAGGCTCTTCACCACCAGGCTTTCATGAGGCTTGGCTGTTCACATAGGCCAGTGAGGCTAGACCTCTCATTATCCCTGCTGTATTAGACTGATTTGTGAGCACTCAGTTTGTGTCAAGAGCTCTGCTCAAGTGCCGGGCACCATGGCTCACAGCTGTAATCCCAGCACTATGGGAGGCTGAGGCGGACGGATCACTCGAGGCCAGAAGTTTGAGACCAGCCTGGCCAACATGGCAAAACCCCATTTCTACTAAAAATACAAAAATTAGCCGGGTGTGGTAGCACATGCCTATAATTCCAGCTACTCTGGAGGCTGAGGCAGGAGAATTGCTTGAACCCGGGAGGCACAGGTTGTAGTGAGCCAAGATCGCACCACTGCACTCCAGCCTGGGTGACAGAACAAGACTCTGTCTCAAAAAAAAAAAAAAACTCTGCTAAGGACCATAAGCATATTTCATCACTTGCAGAGAGGCATCACTGTCACCCCAATTTACAGATGGGAAACTGAGCAGAAAGTTGTTAAAACACCCAGCACTTTGGGAGGCCGAGGTGGATGGATCACTTGATCTCTGGAGGTTGAAGCCAGCCTGGGAAACATAGCAAAACCCCATCTCTACAAAAAAAATCCAGAAATTAGTTGGGTGTGGTGGCGCACGCCTGTAGCCCCAGCTGCTCAGAAGGCTGAGGCTGCAGTAAGCTGAGATTGCACCACTGCACTCGAGCCTGGGCAACAGGAGACCCTGTCTCAAAAAAAAAAAAAAAAAAAAAGACACCTAGAGCCATGCAACTAGGTATTGACCGTCAGCAGGGTTGGTCAGCGGGC
The DNA here is from genome assembly GCF_000001405.40 of Homo sapiens. Classification (NCBI taxonomy): domain Eukaryota; kingdom Metazoa; phylum Chordata; class Mammalia; order Primates; family Hominidae; genus Homo; species Homo sapiens. Next base: position 121,825,056 of record NC_000012.12, read on the forward strand.
AGCCACGTGGAGGTGGCATGGGAGTGGGCAGTAGAACTGGACATCGCTGTCCCTGAAGGGTGGTCTGAGGATGGGCGGGACCAGTCTATGAAGGGACCAGAAGGGGCTCTCAGAATGTCCATGTGGCCCTTGACCCACACCCACCCACCAGCCTCTCTTCAGCTAAGAAGAAGAAACGGGACGATGGCATCCGCGAGCACGTGACGGGCTGTGCCCGCAGTGAGGGCTTCTACACCATCGACAAGAAGGACAAGCTCAGATACCTCAACAGCAGCCGTGCCAGCACCGATGAGCCCCCCGCAGACACCCAGGTACTGCCAGGGCTCCTGGACACATCAGAGCCTGCTGGGCTGGGCCACGGGGATCCAGGGCACTCATGGAGGGGTGCCAGGCAGAGGGAGGAGTTGTGAGGCCAGAGGGGCTGGCACACAGAGGGTGCAAGTGGAAGGGGAGAGGCGGGTGGGCGGGGCCTAGGAGAAGGAAGGAGTTTGCCTTAGTCCCATGGGCCCTGGAGCACCTCCAAAGGGTTTAATTAGGGATGTGACGGAGCTGTATTTCCGCAAGTTCATTCATTTTTTGTTTTTTGCTTGGGTTTTTTTTTTAGGGGGGGACAAAGCCTTGCTCTGTCACATAGGCTGAAGTGCAGTGGCACAGTCTCAGCTCACTGCAACCTCTGCCTCCTGGGTTCAAATGATTCTCCTGCCTCAGCCTCCTGAGTAGCTGGGATTACAGGTGCCCACCACCATGCCTGGCTAATTTTTTGTATTTTTAGTAGAGATGGGGTTTTGCCATGTTGGCCAGGTTGGTCTCGAACTCCTGACCTCAAGTAATTCGCCTGCCTTGGTCTCCCAAACTGCTGGGATTATAAGCATAAGCCACATCGCATGGCCTCATTCATTCTTTTTTTAATCCAGTAAATATCTGTTGAGTACATGCTGTGTACCGGGCACTGTTCTGGGTCTATAGCAGTGAACAAAACCAAATCCTATTCCTCGTGGAATTTAATTATTTATTTTTATTTTTAAATTAAAAAAAAATTGAGACGGGGTCTCACTCTGTAGCCCAAGCTGATCTGGAACTCCTGGGCTCAAGCGATCCTCCCGTCTCAGCCTCCCAAAGTGTTGAGATTATAGGTGTGAGCCACGGTACCCAGCTGGAATTTATATTTTAATGGGGACTCATAGGAAATAATCAAGTGAAGAAAGAAGCACGTAATTCCAGGCAGGGAAAATGCGATGGAGAAAACAGGAGAGGGGTTAGGGATTACCAAGTCAAAGGGGAGTCAGAGAGGGTCAGACCCAGGCGAAGTGTGGGAAGGCGCCATGTGGATGCCAGAGAGACTACAGAGAAGTGAAAAAGCGACTTCCATAAAAAGTTAAAACCAGAGAGGGGCTCACTGACCCCAGCAGGCCTCCCTAGGACAGCAGCAGTGCAAAGGCCCTGAGGCAGCAGGGAGCTCCATGGTGTGAGGAAGGGAAGGGAGAGGCCACTTGTGGGAGAGACAGCACAGGCCACCAGGGTCGGGGGTACTGTGGTGGTAAGTGACCTGTCTCCTGGGGTGACAGGCAGCAGAGGGAGGTTGTGAGAGGAGCTGGGGTGGTGTGGAGCTGGTGCAGGGGTCCTGAGGGCAGACTGTTCGGGTTGCTGCGGTTTCCAGACCGGATGTGCCGGACTTAGCTGGGCCGCGAGGAGCCATTAGCTGTGGAAGAATATGAGGAAGTGGGATGGACAGGACCAGGGCTGGCCTGGGTACAGGAGACAGGGATGGGCGGGGGGTGACAGCCCAGGGTGTGGCTGGGGTCGGGGGTGCTGGGAAGCTGGACACCAGGCCTGAGATGGGGAGGCTGATATGCTATCACCACGAGGCAGCTTGAGTTCTGCGGGTTCTGAAAACACCCAGGCAGAGAGGTCTTGGTGGGCATGTGGGTATGGCGGAGCTTAGGATGGGGATCTCCGGCCCGGGGACCTAAGTGTAGGCATCGCCAGGAGAGAAGTGGTGACTGAAGGTCACAGCAGGGTGACCTCACCTGGGAGGGCACTTGGGGCAGAGGCCTGGGATGCTCCAAAGGTTAATGGCTGGGGCAGAGGCCCAGGGAGGCCAAGAGCAGGACGTGACACAAGGGTTTCGGAAGGATCCCCGATTTTGAACGCTTGTGGGGTGAGAGGGGTCTGGGTGAGAGCCAAGGAGGGGGTCAGGGTAGACAAAACTTTCGGCTGAAATGGGGAAAAGACAGCGCCAGGCAAGAGTGAGTCTCGTCGTTTTGAAGATAGAAGGAGCTTGAGACGCTCAGATACTGATGGGATGGAGGAGGCAGGGAAGCGGTGACAATTAGGGACCGACAGGTGTGGAGAAGCCCAGAGCAAGGAGCCCAGGACACTGGGGATGACAGAGATCCAGAGCCTAGGGTGGGACCGCCGAGGACACGGCCAGCTCCGCTGAGCCCCGCACACCGTCCACTGCAGGGCATGAGCATCCCAGCACAGCCCCACGCCTCCACCCGGGCAGGCTCGGAGCGGCGTTCGGAGCAGCGCCGCCTGCTGTCCTCCTTCACTGGCAGCTGTGACAGTGACCTGCTCAAGTTCAACCAGCTCAAGGTGAGGCCGGGCTTCACCCAGATCGCCGGGGTGGCGGCAGGACCTGAGACCGGGGCTCACCTCTCCCCCTCTTCCCTCCCACAGTTCCGGAAGAAAAAGCTCAAGTTCTGCAAGAGCCACATTCACGACTGGGGCTTGTTCGCCATGGAGCCCATCGCGGCTGACGAGATGGTCATCGAGTACGTGGGCCAGAATATCCGTCAGGTAGGCACCGCCCGGCAGGATGGGCACCGGGGTGGGCATGGGGCCGGCCCAGCCAGACTGACCCCCTTTTGTGGCCAGGTGATCGCAGACATGCGGGAGAAGCGTTATGAGGACGAGGGCATCGGGAGCAGCTACATGTTCCGGGTGGACCATGACACCATCATCGACGCCACCAAGTGCGGCAACTTCGCGCGCTTCATCAACCACAGCTGCAACGTGAGTGCCCAGCGGGGGGTGGCCCCTGCCCCTGCTCCTGCCCCTGGCCCTGCTTCTGTGCCAGGAGGGCCTGGAAGCCCCGGCACGGGAATCAGCTCGGCCTCCTTCCCAAGCTCAGGTTGGCCAAGGGTTATAGGGAGAGGAGGACATGTGAGGTCTTTTACCAGGAGCTCTACTCCTCTGAGCCTCAGTTTCTCATCTGTCAAATGGGCATAGTGAGACTTCTGTGGCATTTAGAGGACTCAAAGAAGTGGTTGGTTCAGTTCATTGGTAATTTCGGAGTTATTTCTCTGCGTTAGCCTTTTCTCCGTGCCTTCATTGGTCAGGCTCAGTCCTGCTCGGGCCGAGCTGTCCACTAGAACTTTCTGCAAGGGGGAGGTGCACTGCGTGCATCTGTGCTGTGGGTTAGCCACATGTGTGGTGGTGAGCACTGGAAATGTGCCCAGTGCATCTGGGGACCTGAGTTTTAAATTTTATTTCATTTTGATGAATTTAAACTTAATTAGCTTGTGACGACTGTATTGGGTGGTGCAGGCCTAGAGGGGAGGGACACTGATAACAGGGATTTGAGTGCTGAAGGAAGAGCACAGGAAGCTCTGAGCAGGAGGCAGGCATGTTCCGGGGTGGATGCCCCTGACTTTGGGTTCAAGTCTTGGCATTGCAGCTTAGTGAGTTACTTAATGTCTCTTATGCCTGAGTTTCCTTGTCTGTAAAACAGAGACAATAACAGTCTCTCCTTTTAGGTTGTTGGGAGGGCCACATAGGTGGGTCACTGCACGTGGGCCATTTGAGTGCTGGCCAGGCCAGTCCTCAGCGCCTGCTGGCTCTCTTCGTTGTGACTTGATCCTTGCCTGGGTGGTAGGGACTTTCCTGTGAATATCCGGGGAGATCTGAGGGGTGAGAGGGAATTGCCCAGGGGAAGCGGTGCTGGGGCAAGGGGAACTGCGTGTTCAAAGGCCCTGGGGCAGTTGGGAGAACACCTGTTTGAGAGATAGCAAGGGAGGCAGTGGGCATGGGGTGGGGTAAGAGGATGGGGTGGGCAGGGCTGAGGGTGGCCAAGCTGAGGAACTAAGTTTCTCTGAGAGCCAAGGTCGCTGGAAGGTTGGAGCCATCGGGCAACAGGTTCTGCTATCCCTTTGGAAACGTTTCCCTGGCTGCTGGGGCAGGAGTGGATTTTTTCAGGGGTGAGAGTGGCCAAGGGGGCTGTAGCAGGCGGGTGAGCAGTGATGGGGGCCTGAGCGTGGCTGGTGGCCCCAGAAGTGGAGAGCAGTAGACACAACCAAGAGGCCCTTCCGGGACTGAACTCACCGGCCCTGGTTGGGGCCAGATCTGGACTGAAGGAGGCAGGGAGGCAGATGCTCTGGGGCCTGGGTGTGTGGTGCAGCGGCTGCCCAGAGCAGGAGCAGATCATGCTTTAGGTGTGAGCTAAGTCAAAGACAGTACCCAGGGCTGCCACTGGCAGACAGCAGGTAGTTGCATTTATGGGCTTGGAGGCCTTTACCTTTTCTGTAAAGGGCCAGATAATAAATGTTTTTGGCTTGGTGGCTCAGATGATCTCTATGGCAACTACTGAACTTGGCTATTGTAACAAAAGCAGCCACAAATTATATGCAAATGAATGGGAGAATGGATATGGCTATGTGCCAGTAAAACTTTATTTACAAAAACAGGCTGCTAGGGGCTATAGTTTGCTGACCCTTTTTTTAGAGCTCAGAAGTGAGACCTGAGCTAAAAATAGACATACATTTGGGAGGCACTTGTACTACGAATGGAAATGAAAGGCCTGGGAAATAATTTTTATCATCATTATTTAATATCAGAGGCAAGGGGTCACCCCTGGGGGTCGGGGGAGCCAAGGTCCAGAGCAGAGCAGTGGGCTGGGGGTCACGTGGCATGTCAGGCCTTAAGCACAGGCCTGGTTGGGTTTGGGGGGTCTGCAGTGGTGGGGGACCCTGGGGGACCAGGGGCTCATTCTCCCCCCCACCTTGCCTGCAGCCCAACTGCTATGCCAAGGTGATCACGGTGGAGTCACAGAAGAAGATAGTCATCTACTCGAAGCAGCACATTAACGTCAATGAGGAGATTACCTATGACTATAAGTTCCCCATCGAGGACGTCAAGATCCCCTGCCTCTGTGGCTCCGAGAACTGCCGGGGGACCCTCAACTAGGCCCCGGCACCAGACTCAAAGGATGTCAGCCGTAGCCCTGGGACTCCCGAGCGTGGAGCCCCTGGCCCCGGGGCCCGGCCCCCCGCGCCCGCCCCCATTTCAGGTGCTGTCCTCTACCCAGCGGCCATTCAGGGCCTGGCGCCCCACACTACCCCCTGGAGCCCCTGGCTCCGGCCCCTCCGCGGGAAAGGGCTTCTCTGTCGTTCAGCCCACGTCTCTCTCATTTTAACAAACGCCCCTTTCAGGATTTCTGTTTAACTCCAGCATCAGCTTCTCTCTCTCCGTCTCTCCTCCCCTCTCTCTCTTCTCTGTCTCTTCTCTCTCCCACCATCACCCTCGGCCTCTTCCTGTGAATGCTGCTACGTTGTTTTGTCTTCTCTATTTTTTTCCTCGTTGTGAGAAAAGACATTTAACCGTTGAAATGTGAAGGTGGAATCAGAGAGGGGCCCCGCGGGGGTCTGCAGAGGCCTCAGTGTGGCTGTGCGTGGCCCGTGTCCTGGAAGCCACCCGGACCTGGACGCAGGGCCAGGTGCTGTGGGAAGGATGGAGGCCCCCACGGCCTTGACCTCAGAACACTACGCCCTGAAAGCGCCCCTCACTGCCCGTGGGCACAGTGAGGAGACCCCACACCTTTCCCCACCCGAGCTGCAGCCTGTTCCTTCCCCAGAGGCCTGGGGCACCACTGACCCGGTGGACCCTGATGGAGCTAAGCTGTCCCAGGCAGGGGTCTCCGCTCTGGGCTTTCCCTGCCACCTCACACCCCAGCACCCCCTAAACCTTGGGTTCAATGTTTACTTTCTCATTCGGATGCCAGCAACGCGGGAGCCTCTCGGAGGCCCCAGTGCAGGTGAGGGGCGCTGAGAACGCGGGCAGCCACTCTCTTCTGCCCTTGCCTTCGCCCTGGGTGGGACAGGGCTCCCAAGGGCAGGCGGGTCCCCCAGTCCCGCCATTACGGGTTGTCAGACCGTCTGCGTGTGGCATTTTTTGGCTTATAAGCTTCACCCACTCACCCCCAACCCACACCCCACATCCCCCTGCCGGCAGCCCCTCAACCTAAGAAGGCCAGAGCATATTTATTTTCGGAGGGAGCAGATTACTTCTCCCAGAGAAAGGAAAATCTTGGAAAAGATTTAAAAACACAAATCTAAGCCTTGACGGTTTTTTTTTCCCTTTTGACCCCCTTCCCATCTCTTCAGAATTTATTCCCATGGCTTTTTTTTTTCTTGTGCGTGTATAAAATCAAAAGGAAGGGGAAAAAGGTTTTTGAAGTTCAGAACCAACTTCTGTATATAGAGGCTGCCGCAAAGGACTTTCTCTTGGGAACATTGTTTCTTGTAGAAACATGCGGGAAGACATTTTTTGCTCATTTCTTTGTACTTCCAAAAAAAAAGGAAAAAAAAGACAAAAGCAAGTCCCCCCGTACCCCAGAAAGCAGAGGAGGCGTGTAAATAATTTCTGGAAAGTGACTGTTGTGACCCGGAGTCCTCATCAAGATGAGCGCGCTCCATGAGGGAGCTGCTCCCACCCTGCGGACGCAGGCGGCCGGAGCCTCTGGTATCTCAGCTTGTGTCAAGCTTGTTATCATGTAAATTCTGTACAAAGAATTGTTATTTTTCTCTTTTTTGTTGTTGGTGGTTTTGTTGTGTGTTTTTTGTTGTTTTTTTTTTATTCCTTTCCCCCAGGCCCTCTCTATTTGAGACTGTGCCCGCCGGTTTCAAGATCAAGGAAATTGGTGGCAACAAGACACAGATGGGGTACCTGGGCACAGCGGCGAACTTCTCTTCCGTTTGCGGTTTTCTGCCTAATTGTGCAACTGAGGAAATAATTTATTTTTCACATGAGGAAATGCGTAGCTTGTAGAGACGGCTGATTCAAGTTACATGTACAGCCTCCAAAGGGCTGTCTCCATTCTGTCCCCTTCCCATAAAAGAAGTGGGGGTGTTCGAGAAGACCAGGGAAGGGACCCTTGCCTCACCCCTCCCCCTGGCCTCACCTTGCTCCCAGCCATCGTGCCCAGTGTTAACCTCGGCTGGCCTTCACTAAGGGGACTAGACCTCCCTCTCCCCAGGAGCCCCAGCCCCAGAGTGGTTTGCAATAATCAAGATATGTGTCGAGTCATTTTTCTTTCAACTCCCTCATTTTTCATTGAACAAATCTCTGCTTTTCAAGAGTTGGGGGTTTCTGCTATTTTTTGCTTTCTCTCCCTCCCCCTGCAAAGATGAGAACCAATGAGTTTTAGGGATGTTTGTGCGGGTAGACTCCATCATCCATATGTAACTTGTTTTGAAGAGAAGTGTTTCCGTTGTGTGTCTTGATGTAAATATTTGTTCATATTTTTGTGAATTCAATACTATGTACCATTGTATTATAGTAACTTTTATAAAGCAAACCATAAATATACTGACTTTTCTTACAGATACGCCGTCTCTCTTGCTCTCCTCTCTCCCTCTCCTCTTTATTCTTTCTTTCTGTTGGGAGCACATCCTGCTTCTGTGGAGGGTGGAGTGGTCCACTCAGACACTCAGATCAGCAGGGGTTTTTTTGTTTGTTTTTGAGACAGGGTCTCACTCTGTCACCTCAGGCTGGAGTGCAGTGGTGCAATCATGGCTCACTGCAGCCTTGACTTCCTGGGCTCAAGTGATCCTCCCACCTCAGCCTCCTGAGTAGCTGGGACTACAGGAGCACACCACCATGCCCAGCTAATTTTTAAGAAATTTTTCTGTAGAGACGGGGTCTCCCTATGTTGCCCAGGCTGGTTTCAAACTCCTGGGCTCAAGCAATCCTCCCACCTCAGCCTCCCAAAGTAGTGGGATTACAGATGTGAGCCACCGTGCCCAGCCTGAACTTGTAGGTGGGTTTTGTGAAATGGGCCAAATTATAGTCACCACTAGACCTTCCACAGCTTTTAAGTGTGATTTCTAGATTTTTTTCTTAAAACCTCAGGTTTCTGACTCATGAGGTCTGCAATGAAGGAAATAAGATCAGGTATCCTTTTACTATCACTAGAAGAACGTAGGTGGTTCCTCAGAAATGTTTAACACTTAAGGAGATGCCCCCCTGGTCTGCATTTGAGGGAGGAAAAAGGGCTGATAAAATAGTAGAAGTTGAGAAGAATTAAATCTATCCTGTATTCATGGCATTTCAGAGATGCTGTGCCCCAGTCAGTCTCAGCTCTGCTTGACCCAGTAGACGGGTGATAAAGGGCTTATAGTTGGCGTCCACGGTAAATGTCTCCAAGAAGACGTAAAACCTTAGCAAAAAGCAATATGCCTGAAAAGACGCTGTACGTCACTTCCTACTGGAGAAATGTGAATTATCCCAGGATGCCGTTTCCCCCTGTCAGGTTGGCAAATATTAAAAGGTGGAGGAAACCCAATTTGAGGGAGCAGGAGGCTGGGGTACTCTCGTGTGTCATTAGGGGAAGCCAAAAATCACTGCAACCTTTAGGAGGAAAAATACCTATTAGTAATCATTATTTAAAATGCACACGGCCGGCACGGTGGCTCACGCCTGTGATCCCAGCACTTTGGGAGGCCTAGGAGGGCAGATCACCTGAGGTCAGGAGTTCGAGCTAGCCTAGCCAACATGGTAAAACCCCATCTCTATTAAAAATACAAAAAAATTAGCCGAGTGTGGTGGTGCACGCCTGTAATCCCAGATACTTGGGAGGCTGAGGTGGGAGAATCGCTTGAACCCAGAAGGTGGAGGTTGCAGGGAGCCGAGATCATGCCACTGCACTCCAGCCTGGGCGACAGAGTGAGACCTCGTCTCAAAATAAAATGATCAAATGCACACAAAAGTCTTGGCTCCGTTGTTCCACTGTGAGGAATTGAGCCTGACAGATACAGTGGGCAACAATATGAAGAAGAGTGTTCTTCGCAGCCTCATTTCTGGTATCAACGAAACGAAGGGAGAGTAAATTGTCCGTTCACAGTGGGCTGCTTTTAGGAATTGTGCATCCAGACAGGTGGACACTCCCGTAAGTGGATTCATGGGAATAGAGGGCTGAGGTCCGGGCTGAGCCAGGAAAGAGAAGGAAGTGTCTGGCCATTAATTCAATCAACCAATATTTATTGAGCACCTTGTATGTGCCAGGTACTCTTCTAGGCTCTGGGGATAGGAATGAAGGAAACATACTGTTCTTGAGGGCGAGCCAGACAAATGTGAAAAGTAAGTGCAATAGTAAGGAGGAATAAAGCTAAGAGAAGGGGGTGTAGCTGAAGGAATATACAATTTTACCTTTATTATTTATTTTAGAGACAAGGTCTAGTTCTGTCACCCAGGCTGGAGTGCAGTGGCATGATCATAGCTCACTGCAGCCTCGATCTGCTGAGCTCAATGATCCCCCCACTTCAACCTCCTAAGCTGATCAGGGCCATAGGCACACTTTACCATACCAGCTAATTTTAAAAATTTCTTTTCTTTTTTTTTTTCTTGAGACAGAGTTTTGCTCTTGTTGCCCAGGCTAGAGTGCAATGGTACAATCTCGGCTCACTGCAACCTCCACCTGCCGAGTTCAAGCAATTCTCCTGCCTCAGCTTCCTGAGTAGGGATTACAGGGATTACTAGGATTACAGGCATGTGCCACCAAGCCCAGCTAATTTTGTATTTTTAGTAGAGATGGGATTTCTCCATGTTAAGCATGCTGGTCTCGAACTCCTGACCTCAGGGGATGTGCCCTCCTCGGCCTCCCAAAGTGCTGGGATTATAGGTGTAAGCCACCGCGCCAGGGCTTTTTCTTTCTTTCTTTTCTTTCTTTCTTTCTTTCTTTCTTTCTTTCTTTCTTTCTTTTTTCTTTTTTTTTCTTTTTTTTTTTTTTTGTTGTTGTTGTTGTTGAGACAGAGTCTTGCTCTGTCACCCAGGCTTGAGTGCAGTGGTGCAATCTTGGCTCACTGCAACTTCTGCCTTCTGGGTTCAAGCCATTCTCCCACCTCAGCCTCCCGGGTAGCTGGGACTACGGGCATGTGCCACCATGCCCGGCTAAGTTTTTTGTATTTTTAGTAGAGATGGAGTTTCACCATGCTGGCCAGGCTGGTCTCCAACTCCTGACCTCAAGTGATCCGCCCGCCTTGGCCTCCCAAAGTGCTGGGATTCTAGACATGAGCCACCGTGCCCGGCCTTTTTTTCTTTCTTTTTTTTTTTTTTTGAGGCAGTCTCTCTCTGTTGCCCAGGCTGGAGTGCAATGGTATGGTCTCGGCTCACTGCAACCTCTGCCTCCCAGGTTCCCAGGTTCAAGGGATTCTCATGCCTCAGCCTCCTGAGTAGCTGGGACTATAGCTGCGCACCACCATACCCAGCTAGTTTTTTTATTATTAGAAGAGACGAAACCCTATCTCTATTTTTTATTTTATTTATTTTATTGAGACAGAGTCTCACTCTGTCGCCCAGGCTGGAGTGCAGTGGCGCAATCTCGGTTACTGCAACCTCCGCCTCCTGGGTTCAGGATATTCTCCTGCCTCAGCCTCCTGAGTAGCTGGGATTACAGGCATGTGCCATCATGCCCGGCTAATGTTTGTATTTTTAGTAGAGACGGGGTTTCACCATGTTGGCCAGGCTGGTCTCAAATGCCTAACCTCAAGTAATCTTCCCGCCTCAGCCTTTCAAAGTGCTGGGATTACAGGTGTGAGCCACCTGTATCCGGCCAATTTTTAAATTTTTATAGAAATAGGGTCTCACTATGTTTCCCAAGCTGGTCTTGAACTCCTGGGCTCAAGCAATCCTCTGGCCTCGGCCTCCCAAAGTGCCAGGATTATAGGTACGAGCCACTGCGCCTGTCTTCATCTTCTCTCTTGAACTTGCTCTCCTGTCATATTTTCTACTTTGGTCAATGACACTTCTGTTCTCTGCCTCCACCCACCGCTGCCTGCCACTGACCACCTAAGCTCAAAGGCCAGGGATCCTGGATTTAAACCTTCTCTTTCCCTCCCTTACCTACCAAATCTGATGCTTCTTCCCTATTCCTCAAATCCATCCACCTCTTCCTCTGCTCCTCAGTCCCAAGAGATAACTCCTTTCTTCATTGCCTCTATTGTATTGTGGGGGCCAAAATGGGAGCCCCTCTCCAGCTTCTCAGGAGGCTGAGGCAGGAGAAAGGATCACTTGAGGCCAGGAGTTTGAGGCCAGCCTGGGAAACATGGAGAAACCCTGTCTCTACTAAAAATACAAAAATTAGCCAGGCGTGGTGGCATATGCCTATGGTCCCAGCTATTAGGGAGGCTGAGGTAGGAGGATCGCTGAAACTGGGGAGATCAAGGCTGCAGTGAACTGTGATCATGCCACTGCTCTCCAGCCTTGGTGACAGAGACCTCAGACAGAGAGAGGGAGGTCCCAGACAGACTTGGGTTCCCTTGTGGGCAAGAGCCCCTCCCCCCAAAATAAGACTATTCATATAGCATTGACTGTGCCAGCCTCTGTTTTAAACGTCTTTGATACTAGCAACAGGGCTAGGAGGAGGGTATTATTATAATTCCCACTTAACATAGGAAACTGAAGCACTGAGAGGTCAAGTAGCTTGCCATAGGTCACACAGCTACCACGTGGCTATCTGAGAGGTGAACTCAGGCAGCCTGGCTCTCTAGTATGTTCTCAGCTAGTGGGTGTCTGCTCTGCATGCTTTATTTATTTATTTATGTATTTATGAGATGGAGTTTCGCTCTTTTTGCCCAGGCTGGAGTGCAGTGGTGCGATCTCACTGCAACCTCTGCCTCCTGGGTTCGAGTGATTCTCCTGCCTCAGCCTCCCGAGTAGCTGGGATTACAGGTGCGCACCACCAGGCCCAGCTAATTTTGTATTTTTAATAGAGATGGGGTTTCACCATGTTGGCCAGGCTGGTCTTGAACTCCCGACCTCAGGTGATCCACCCACCTTGACCTCCCAATATTTATTTTTGAGATGGAGTCTCACTCTGCCACCCAGGCTAGAGTGCAGAGGCGTGATCTCGGCTCACTGCAAGCTCCACTTCCCAGGTTCAAAGGATTCTCCTGCCTCAGCCTCCCGAGTAGCTGGGATTACAGGCACCCTCCTCCATTCCCGGCTAATTTTTGTATTTTTAGTAGAGGCGAGGTTTCACCCTGTTGGGCAGGCTGGTCTCTAACTCCTGACCTCAAGTGATCCACCTGCCTCAGCCTCCCAAAGTGCTGGGATTACAGGCATGAGCTACCGCACCTGGCCATATGTGCCCAACTTTCTAAAATGTTGACTCAAATTTGTTTGAAACCATGCAGGCAAAACGAAGTAGGTCTATGAGCCACATTTGGTCTGTAAGCCACTAGTTTGCATCCTTCTGGGTTATACAATTTCCCTTCTTCACATTAAGTCACAGGAGAATAGAGGGGGAGTATTTTTTTTGCACGGAATCCTTTGGGTTCTCTCTGATCTCTTTATTTCTGAAGTTCGTGATCCCAGAAGCTCTGATTTCTTCTATAATCTGAAAAAAATCCCCAATTCCCACCATTATACCAACTCAGAGTATTTTTTTCTTCTATTGAGCTCTGCTGCCTCCTAGCTCTGAGTTGACTTATCCTCACGGAGGGTTCTCAAGCATTAGAAGCAGAAAGAGGCCAGAGACAGTGGCTCATTCCTATAATTCCAGCACTTTGGAAGGCTGAGGTGGGCGGATCACCTGAGACCAGGAATTCGAGACTGGCCAACATAGTGAGATCCCATCTCCATGAAAAATAAAAACAAAATTAGCTGGGCGTGGTGGCACATGCCTATAGTCCCAGCTACTTGGGAGGCTGAGGTAGGAGGATCACCTGAGCTCAGAAGGTGGAGGTTGCAGTAAGCCAAGAGCACACCACTGCACTCCAGCCTGAGCAATGGAGTGAGACTCTGTCTAAAAAAAAAAAAAAAAGAGAGAAAAAGAAAAAAAAAAGAGGCCAAATTTGCCCACCACCAACTCTTACCTGGTTTTGAAGAAAGAATCTCCTTCCTAGGGTTTTAGGACCCAGCTGCCTCATTCTTTTGCAAGGATCACTCACTCTTCTATGAGTATGAACAAGCCCCTTTCCAAAAGAAGTCCTCACTGCGGGCAAGGCTGGGGCAGTGCAGCTGCGTGGGTGGTCATGGGCACTGCCCTGCTGAGGGCAGGGACTGGGATACCAGGCCCCTCCTACCTGCTTTATCTCTGAGACCAGGAACCAAGGGACCATATCCTACAGTTGATGAGCAGGGATGCTGCCCCTAGAGTCCCTTGTCTAACACTCTCCCCTCTCCTGTGTTCAGAGGTTTGGGCTCTGGGTAGCAAAACTGAAGACAGCTCATCTTTAGAGATCATCGGCCGGGCGCGGTGGCTCACGCCTGTAATCCCAGCACTTTGGGAGGCCGAGACCATCCTGGCTAACAAGGTGAAACTCCGTCTCTGCTAAAAATACAAAAAATTAGCCGGGCGTGGTGGCGGGCGCCTGTAGTCCCAGCTACTCGGGAGGCTGAGGCAGGAGAATGGCGTGAACCCGGGAGGCGGAGCTTGCAGTGAGCCGAGATCGCACCACTGCACTCCAGCCTGGGGGACAGAGCGAAACTCCGTCTCAACAACAACAAAAAGAGATCATCAAGCCGGCAGACAAGATGCTGCCAAACTCTGACCCCACCTCAGGGCCTTTCTCCGTTCGCTCTTCCTGGAATCCTTTTCCCGAGCATGGTCCCATGGCTGGCTCCCAAATGTCACCTTCTCGGAGAGGTCTTCCGTTATCAAAATTAGCTCCCCTGCGATCTTCGCTTCCACATATTCTCATCAACTGCCTTTTTTTTTTTTGAGACAGGGTCTCACTCTTGCCCAGGCTGGAGTGCAGTGTCAGGATCAGGGCTCGCTGCAGCTTAGACCTCTGTCCATCAATCGATCCTCCCACCTCAGCCTCCTGAGTAGCTGGGACCACAGGTGTGCGCCACTACGCCAGGCTAATTTTTATTTGTTATTTGTGTAGACGCAGGGGGGTCGGGGTCTTGCTATGTTACCGGGCTGGGCTCGAACTCCTGGCCTCAAGCGATCCTCCCACCTCTGCCTCCCAAAGCGCTGAAATTACAGGTGTGAGCCACCACGCCCGGCTCATCGCTTGCTTTATTGTCTGAATCGCGTTTATCTCTCTACAAAAGCAGTGTCATCCGTCTTTCCCTCCAGAGCAAGTCCCCTTCCTTCCCTGGTTCCAGAATTCCCCTCTCCGCGTGGTCCCGCTGGCAAAGCGCTGGCACCCGCAGCTCCTCGGTCCCGCGGCGCTGGCGGCCGCCCTGGCCTCCCCCTGGCTGCCATAAGGCACTACTGCCTTATGCGCAACACAAACACAGACACAGTATTGGACCGGGGCACGCTTTAATCGGGAGGGCTGGAGCAGAGGGCGGCCCCGCCGAGGGGCGTGGTCAGTGTGGGCGGAGCCTTGGGGGCCGAGTCCGCTGGTGGGCGGGACCCAAGGGGAGCAGCCAGTAGGGAAGTTGGGCGAGTTCCAGAATCAGGGGGCGTGGCTGTGTGGCTGTGGCCTCCGTGGGGTGGGCGGGGCTTACATGCCGGGCACCACCCCATTGGTCTCCATGTTGGTGAGGTTACCCCGCAGGTTCTGCTCCTCCTCGAAAGCCTTGAACAGTGAGTTGAAGTTGCCGGCTCCAAAACCCTGTGGCGGGAAAGAGAGGAGATGAGCCAAGGACCCAGAAAACCGAGTGTGCTAGCTGCCTGTCCCCTCGGGCCTGCCGGGGACAAGCAGTACCTGGTGGTTGTGGCGCTGGATGACTTCCAGGAAGAGCGTGGGCCGGTCCTGCACCGGTTTGGTGAAGATCTGCAGGAGGTAGCCTTTCTCGTCGTAGTCCACCAGGATTTTCAGCTCCTAGGCGGGAGACAGGGGGCTCTGCTAGGGGAGGCTGGCACGGTGAGATCCTTGGAAAGTCCACAGGGGCTCCTGCACCCCAAAAGTCTGGAAATGACCTCTTTTTCTGGCAGTTCAGCCACCTCCAAATATATCCCCAAACTGTCCTATTACTATCCCCCTACTACAGTTCCTAAGGCACCATTCAAGACTGCTGCCCGCTTCTAATCTTGTATCCTTACAATCCATCCTCCCCGCAGACATTATCAGGACACTTTCTTTTTCTTTTTTGAGACGGAGCCTTGCGCTGTTACCCAGGCTGGAGTGCGGTGGCGCAATCTTGGCTCACTGAAACCTCCGCCTTCCGGGTTCAAGCGATTCTCCTGTCTCAGCCTCCCGAGTAGCTGGGACTACAGGCGCAGGCTACCATGCCCGGCTAATTTTTGTATTTTTAGTAAGACGGGGTTTCACGATATTGGTCAGGCTGGTCTCGAACTCCTGACCTCAGGTGATCCACCCACCTCGACCTCCCAAAGTGTTGGGATTACAGGCGTGAGCCACCATGACCTGCTGCGGGATCTTTTAAAAGTCGGATCATGTCATTCCCCTGTTTAAAATCCTCCAGTGGAAATCGGAACCCTCATGTACTGCTGGTGGGACTGTAAAATGGTGCAACCACTTTGGAAAACAGTCTGGCAGCTTCTCAAAAAGTTAAACATATAGTGTTGCTTCCTTAAAATACGGATTAAAAAAAAAAAAGGGGGTGGCCAGGCATGGTGGCTCACTTTGGGAGGCCGAGGCAGGTGGATCACCTGAGCTCAGTTCGAGACCAGCCTGGCCAACATGGGGAAACCCAGTCACTACAAAAAAAAATACAAAAATTAGGCTGGGCAAGGTGGCTCACGCCTGTAATCCCAGCACTCTGGGAGGCTGAGGTGAGTGAATCACCCGAGGTCAGGAGTTCGAGACCAGCCTGGCCAACATGGTGAAACCCCATCTCTACTAAAAATAAAAATAAAAATAAATTGGCTGGGCATGGTGGCACACGCCTGTTATCCCAGCTACTCAGGAGGCAGAGGCAGGAGAATCGCTTGAACCCGGGAAGTGGAGGTTGCAGTGAGCCAAGATCGGCCACTGCTCTCCAGCCTGGGCAACAGAGCAAGACTCTGTCTCAAAAAAAAAAAAAAAAAAATTAGCTGGGCGTGGTGGCGGGCGCCTATAATCCCAGCTACTGGGGAGGCTGAGGCAGGAGAATTGCTTGAACCCAGGAGGCTGGAGGTTGCAATGGGCCAAGATCGCACCACTGCACCCCAGCCTGGGAAACAAAGCAAGACTCCATCTCTAAACAAACAAAAGGGAACATGGAATTACCATGTGACCTAGCTACTCCTAGATATATTCCAAAGTGCATTGAAAACACGTCCACACAGAGCCTTGTACATAGATGTTCACAGTAGCATTACGTATAACACCCCAAAAGTGGAAACAACCCAAATATCTATCAACGAGGAATAGATAAACAATGTGTGTCTATCTATACAATGGGATATTTTTCAGCCACAAAAAGGAACGAAGCACTGACACACACCCCACGCAGATGAACCTTGAGCACATGCTATGGGAAAGAAGCTGCTCACAATAGGCCTATTTTGTGATTCCTTTTTTTTTTTTTCCGAGATGGAGTTTCACTCTGTCGCCCAGGCTGGAGTGCAATGGCGCGATCTCGGCTCACTGCAACCTCCCCTTCCCTGGGTTCAAGCAATTCTCCGGCCTCAGGCTCCCCAGTAGCTGGGATTACAGGCATCTGCTATCACACCCAGCTAATTTTTGTATTTTTAGTAGAGACAGGGTTTCACCATGTTGGCCAGGCTGGTCTTGAACTCCTGACCTCATGATCCGCCCACCTCAGCCTCCCAAAGTGCTGGGATTACAGGCATGAGCCACCGTGCCTGGACTTTGTGATTCCTTTTGATGAAATGTCCAGAATAGGCAAATCTATAGAGACTGAAGGTAGATTAATGGTGCCTAGGGCTGGGGTGGGAGGGGGGAAGGGAACAGAGGGGGTTGGGAGGTGCTGGCTAAGAGGCTCAAGGTTTCTTTTTGGGGTGACAAAAATGTTCTAAAATTGATTTTTTGCCCAGGCTGGAATGCAGTAGCCTGATCATGGCTCACTGCAGCTTTGACCTCCTGGCCTCAAGTGATCCTCTCACCTCAGCCTCCTGAGTAGCTGGGACTACAGGCACGAACCACCATGCCCAGCTAATTTTTTAAAACTGTTTTTTTTGTAGATACAGGGTCGCCCTGTGTTTCTCAGGCTGGTCTTAAACTCCTGGCCTCAAGCAATCCTCTCACTTCAACCTCCCAAAATGCTGGGATTATAGGTGTGAGCCACTGTGTCTGGCCTAACTGTTTTTGTTTTTCTTTTAGACAGGGTATCACCCAGGCTGGAGTGCAGTGGCCTGATGATGGCTCACTGTAGCCTCTACCTCCTGGGTTGAAGTGATTCTCCCACTTCAGCCTCCCCAGTAGCTGGGACCACAGACACAGATCACCACGCACAGCTAATTTTTTTTTTTCTTTTTGTAGAGATGGGGGTTTCGCCATATTGACCAGGCTGGTCTCAAACTCCTGACCTCAAGTGATCCACCTGCCTTGGCCTCCCAAAGTGCTGGGATTACAGGCATGAACCACCATACCTAGTCCTAAAATGGATCTTTTTTTTTTTTTTTTTTTTTTTTGAGACAGAGTCTCACTGTGTCGCCCAGGCTGGAATGTAGTAGCGCAATCTCGGCTCACTGCAACCTCCGCCTCCCGGGTTCAAGTGATTCTCCTGCCTCAGCCTCCTGAGTAGCTGGGATTACAGGCATGTGTCACCACGCCTGGCTAATTTTTGTATTTTTAGTAGAGGCAGGGTTTCACCATGTTGGTCAGGCTGGTCTCGAACTCCTGACCTCATGATCCGCCCGCCTCGGCCTCCCAAAGTACTGAGATTACAAGCATGAACCACCACACCCAGTCCTAAAATGGATTTTGATGATAGTTGCACAACATAGCAAATAGCTAGAAATCATAGAATTGTACACCTTAAAAAAATGACATGTTATGTGACATATGTCAATAACACTGCTAAAACCAAACCAAAAAACCCTCCAGTGGTTTCTGGTCACAAAAGAACAAAATCCAGATTCCTGAATAATAGCTCACAAGAGGAACTGGCTCTTGCTTACCTGTCTGACCTAGGTCATCGCTCAAAAACAGCCTCCCATCCACTCTAGCCTATTCTTTCTGTTCCTCAGACGCTCAGGGCATGCTCCTACCTCGGCCCTTGCTGATCCCTCTGCCAGGAATGCCTTTCTTCCCGCTGTTCACATGGCCAGCTCCCGCTCATGATCTAGACTTCACTCAGATGTCACCTCCTCAGAGAGGCCCTCCCTGACCAGTCTCTGTAAAGCAGCCCCAGGCTGCCTGTTTGAACTTCCTGCACTGACTATCTCTGACCGTGCTTTTATTGTTTATTTGTTTGTCATCTGTCTCCTCCTCCCACATAGACCCTAGAATAAATGTCCTTTGCCAGCAGGGACTTGGTCTGGGCTCCCCTCCGGGCTGAGACAATATTTCTGAAAAGATGCAATGCAGAGCTCATACTCCCCCCACAAGGCTGCGGATCCTGCCTGGGCCTCACCTCCAGGGCATCAATGTTCTCCTTCACCTTGATCTTGGCCGTCTTCAGCTTCTCCCGCAGTTGTTTGTAGTACGTGGAGGGAACAGATAAGAACTCCAGGCCTCTCTCTCTCAAGTGGCGAATCTGTTTCAGAGCAAAGCTGAGGTCAGCCTTCGGCCTCCAAGTTCAACTCCCCTAGCCAGGTGGAGGTGCTGGGTCATCAGGATACAGGGTCCCTATCCTAGCTCCCCTCAACTGCCAGGATGCTGTGTGGCCTCTTCCCCTTTCTTCTCTGTCATGGGCCCCGTTAGAACAACAACTGCTAGATTTATAGAACACTCACCATGTGCCTGCCTTGAGCACTTTCTTTTTTTCTTTTTTTTTGAGATGGAGTCTCTGTTGCCCAGGCTGGAGTGCAGTGGCACGATCTTAGCTCACTGCAACCTCTGCCTCCCGGTTCAAGCGATTCTCCTGCTTCAGCCTCCTGAGTAGCTGGGATTACAGGTGACTACCATCACACTCAGCTATGTATTTTTAGTAGAGATGGGGTTTCACCATGTTAGCCAGGTTGGTCTCGAACTCCTGACCTCAGGCGATCCACCTACCTCGGCCTCCCAAAGTGCTGGGATTACAGGCGTGAGCCACTGAGCCCGGCCTGAGCACTTTCTACGTATTCCCTCATTATGTCCATGCAGCAATCTTTTGAGGCAGCTGAAGGACTATTCTCCCATTTCATAGCTGGGGAAACTGAGGCATGAAACGATTAAGGATCTATTAGGCCGAGTGTGGTGGCTCACGCCTGTAAGCCCAGCACTTTTGGAGGCTGAGGCGGGCAGATCACTTGAAGTCAGGAGTTGGAGACCAGCCTGACCAACATGGCAAAATCCTGTCTCTATTAAAAATACAAAAAAAAGGCCGGGCGAGGTGGCTCACGCCTGTAATCCCAGCACATTGGGAGGCCAAGATGGGTGATCACGAGGTTAGGAGATCAAGACCATCCTGGCTAACACAGTGAAACCCCTACTAAAAATACAAAAAAAAAATTAGCTGGGCGTGGTGGTGGGAGCGTGTAGTCCCAGCTACTTGGGAGGCTGAGGCAGGAGAATGGCGTAAACCCGGGAGGCAGAGCTTGCAGTGAGCCGAGATCGCGTCACTGCAATCTAGCCTGAGCAACAGAGCGAGACTCTGTCTCAAAATAAAATAAAATAAATAAAAAATAAAAAATAAAAATAAAATACAAAAAAAGTTATCCAGGCGTGGTGTCATGCACCTGTAATCCCAGCTACTTGGGAGGCTGAGGCAGGAGAATCGCTTGAACCCAGGAGGTGGAGGTTGCAGTGAGCCAAAATCGCACCACTGCACTCCAGCCTAGAAGACAGAGCAAGACTGCATCTCAAAAAAGAAGGATATATATATATATACACACACATATATATATTTGAGAGACAGGGTCTTTGTTCTGTCACCCAGGCTGCAGTGCAGTGGCATGATCTTAGCTCACTGCAGCCTCAACCTCCCCAGGCTCAGCTGATCCTCCTACTTCAGACTTCTGGGTAACTAGAACCACAGGTGTGCACCACCACACCTGGCTAATTTTTTGATTTTTTTGTAAAGATGAGGTCTTATGGCCGGGCGCAGTGGCTCACACCTGTAATCCCAGCACTTTGGGAGGCCAAGGTGGGCAGATCACAAGATCAGGAGATCGAGACCATCCTGGCTAACACAGTGAAACCCCGTCTCTACTAAAAATACAAAAAAAAACATTAGCTGGGCGTGGTGGCGGGTGCCTGTAGTCCCAGCTACTTGGGAGGCTGAGGCAGGAGAATGGCGTGAACCCAGGAGGCGGAGCTTGCAGTGAGCCGAGATCGCGCCACTGCACTCCAGCCTGGGCGACAGAGCCAGGCTCCGTCTCAAAAAAAAAAAAAAAAAAAAGGATGAGGTCTTACTATGTTGCCCACGTTGGTCTTGAACTTCTGAGCTCAAGCAGTCCTCCTGCCTCGGCCTCCCACAGTGTCTGACCCCCCAATTTAAATGTGCAATGCCATTCACCCTTGCTGTCCCAATTCCCTGCTTTACTTTCTTCCTGGGTGCTCTCTACCATCTAGCATTTATATTTTACTTATTTTGTTTATTGCTCCACAAGGGCAGAAACTGTTATAGGCATGAGCCACCATGCCCAACCTTAATTTCCTCATTTTAAAAAAAATTTCTTTTTTGAGGTTGCGGGGAGATAGGGCCTCACTCTCTGTCACCTAGGCTGGAGAAAAGTGGCTCAATCATAGCTAACTGCAGCCTTGAAATCCTTGGCTAAATGGATCCTCCTGCTTCAGCCTCCCAAGTAGCTAGGACTACAGGCATGAACCACCAAGCCTGGTTAATTTTGTTTACTTTTTGCAGAGACAGGGTCCCACTGTTTTCCAGGCTGATCTCTAACTTATGGGCTCAAACAATCCTTCTGCTTTGGCCTCCCGTGTAGTTGGGACTACAGGCATAAGCCACTGTGCCCAGTCCTAATTTCCTTTATTAATTACTATTATTTTTTTCTAAAGCAGAATTTCACTCTTGTCGCCCAGGCTGTGGTACAGTGGTGCGACCTTGGCTCACTGCAACCTCTACCTCCTGAGTTCAAGCACTTCTCTTGCCTCAGCCTCCTGAGAAGCTGGGATTACAGGTGCCCGCAACCACGCCCAGATAATTTTTGTATTTTTAGTAGAGATGGGGTTTCACCATGTTGGCCAGGCTGGTCTCAAACTCCTGACCTCAGGTGATCCCCCTGCCTTGGCCACCCAAAGTGCTGGGATTACAGGTGTGAGCCACTGTGCCCGGCCCTAATTTCCTGATTTTTAAGGTAAGGCAACTAAAGTCCAGAGACAGCACTGAATCTCCCAGAGACACAGAGCAAGCCACTGGCAGAACCGGGACCATCACCCAGGCTTCCTGATACCCTGGCGCCTGCTACCTCCAAAGCCCAGGGGTTCTGTGGAGACTGAACTCTCTGGGGGTGGGTGTGGCTGTGCCTGCCCATGAGTTGCAAGAAGCAGTGAGGGAGTCCTGTCAGTCTCCCAGCCCAGAGAAACGGGCCCAGGACTGCCGCCACCCGCCCTCTCAATTTTGCAGAGATCGTCCCTGGCTCTGAATGAGAGAGGAATTCGGACAGGGAAGGGGGTTCTAACCGCTGTGATGATGTCTTCGGTCTTGAGAGCGATGTGCTGGACCCCAGCGCCCCCGTTATAGTCCACATATTCCTGGGGGAGGGAAACAAGGAGACCACTGTCATTTGCCCCATCACCCACATCCCTGACCCTACAAGAGCCCCCAGACCTCTTCCCTGCTCCCCTCTCCCCCAGCCAGGGGCGGCCTCACCTGGATCTGGGACTTCTTCTTGCCAGGCGCTGGCTCATTGATGGGCATCTTGATGGACTCTTCATAGTTGGCCACCACAATGGATCGCAGAGAGCTATATTCCGTGTGCACCTGCGTGTCATCCACGGACCAGAAGCGGTGGAACTGCAGGTTTTTCAGGTACCTGTAGGGTGGGCGGTGGAACACATATGCTCTGAGCGCCTCCAGGGACGGCCTCCATCACCCATTTCCACCTTCCAGAATCTGTCCCTGAGCAGGCTCCAGAAAGGAGATGCCACTGCCATCATACCCATCAGAGATTTAGATCTTTTTGTTGTTGTTGTTGCTCGAGACAGAGTCTCACTCTTGCCCAGGCTGGAGTGCAGTGGTGCAGTCTTGGCTCACTGCAGCCTCAATCTCCAGGCTCAATTGCTCCTCCCACCTCAGCTTCCCAAGTAGCTGGGACTACAGGCATGTGCTACCACACCTGGATAATTTTGGGGTATTTTTATTTTTTGTTTTTTGAGACGGAGTTTCGCTCTTTTCGCCCAGGCTGGAATGCAGTGACGCAATCTCGGCTCGCTGCAGCTGCCACTTCCTGGGTCCAGGCGATTCTCCTGCCTCAGCCTCCCAAGTAGCTGGGATTACAGGCATGCACCACCATGCCCAACTAATTTTTTGTATTTAGTAGAGACAGTGTTTCACTGTGTTGGTCAGGCTGGTCTCGAACTCCTAACCTCAGGTGATCCACCCGCCTCGGCCTCCCAAAGTGCTGGGATTACAGGCATGAGCCACTGTGCCCGGCCGTATTTTTTGTAGAGATGGGGTCTCACTATGTTGCCCAGGCTGTCTTGAACTCCTGGGTTCAAGCCATCCACCTGCCTGGGCCTCCAAAGTACTAAGATTCCAAATATGGGCCACCACGCCCAGCCTAGATTTGTACCTTTATGATGACATTTTTCCTTCAGGTGGAAGTGTCTTGGAACGAAATACATACAGGACGGCAAGGCTCCCACAGATGGAAGTAAAGTGCTTTGAGAAAAAGGCCCTTGCTTGGAATTTGGACAGGGGGCTCTCTGGGTGGTGGCAACCTTCCTCCAAGCCTCCCTGGACTGTGATGTCCCCAGGGTTCCTCAGAAGGAGGGCCTGTGGGTCGCTTTGGGCCTCAAGTCCACTGGTCTCCATGTTGACAGTTTTACAGTGAATAAATGCATCAGTGGCCTCAGGCTAACTCCCAACATCTTGTGCTGTATTTTCCACTTTTATTTTATTTTACTTTATTATTATTATTATTATTTTGAGACAAAGTCTCTCTCTCTCACCCAGGCTGGAGTGCAGTGGCGTAATCTCAGCTCACTGCAACCTCCGCCTTCCTGGTTCAAGCGATTCTCCTGTCTCAGCTTCCCAAGTAGCTGGGATTACAGGCACACACTGCCACACCCAGCTAATTTTTGTATTTTTAGTAGAGACCGGGGTTCGCCATGTTGGTCAGGCTGGTCTTGAACTCCTGACCTCAGGTGATCCACCCGCCTCCGCCTCCCAAAGTGCTGGGATTACAGGCGTGAGCAAGTGCGCCCGGTCTATTTTATTTTATTTGTTTATTGGAGACAAAATCTTGCTCTGTTTCCCAGGCTGGAGTCTCACTCTGTCGCCCAACCTCCACCTCCCGGGTTCAAGCGATTCTCCTGCCTCAGCCTCTTGAGTAACTGGAATTACAGGGGCCCAACACCTCGCCCACTGAGTTTTTATATTTTTAGTAGAGACGGGGTTTCTCCATATTGGTCAGGCTGGTGTTGAACCCCTGACCTCAAGTGATCCTCCCACCTCGGCTTCCCAGAATGCTGGGATTACGGGTGTGAGCCACTGCACCCAGTCGTATTTTCCATGTTAGTGCAAGGACCAGGGAGTGGGCCAGTCCACCGTGAGGACCCGTCATCTTCACGCAGAGGGAGAGGGCCAAGGTCTCACCATTCGGAGGCGGACACCATCTCCTGATCAGGCTGGTTTCCCACAATGTGGTCGATCATCTCCAGACTGCATTTGGGCCTGGGAAGGGAAGAAGATGGGGGTGAGAAGGTGGCTACCCCCCAGATTGCTCCCTTCTCCATGACCCCTCAATAATAATAATAGCTCACACTTCTGTTTTTGGAGTTCTATTTTTTTGTAGAGATGGAGTCTCTACAAAAAGAGAGACTCTTTTTTTTGCCCAGGTTGGTCTAAAACTCTGGGGCTCAAGTGAACCTCCTGCTTCAGACTCCCAAAGTGCTGGGATTATAGGTATGAGCCACTGCGCCTGGACTCACACTTATGTAGCATTTACTAATGGGCCGGACATTTTATTTTGTCAACTCATTTACTATTACAGTCCCCATTTTACAGATGAAGAAACTGAGGCCTAGAGAGATGAAGCGACTTGCCCAGGGTGAAATGGCTGTGAAGTAACAGAGCTGGGATTTGAACCCGGGGAAGTTTGGTTGCAGAGGCCATGGTCTCAGCCTCTGTGCCACCTCTTCAAGCACCCCTGAGGACTTCCAGGAATTCCCTAGCCGGCTCCATTCTGCCCCAACACACATGCGCAGTGGACATGGAGGAAGGGGCATTACTTTTCACAGTCCCTCAGGGCTTTCCACCCACCTCTGCCCTGAGGGACACTCACAGTTTAGGAAGTAGGGGGTCCATGAACGCTGGGGCCTCATATCCAGGCAAGAATTGGCCGATGTAGTTCATCTTCTCCACCAGGGTGTGTGTGGTGTCCCCA
The DNA here is from genome assembly GCF_000001405.40 of Homo sapiens. Taxonomy (NCBI): domain Eukaryota; kingdom Metazoa; phylum Chordata; class Mammalia; order Primates; family Hominidae; genus Homo; species Homo sapiens. Next base: position 121,849,789 of record NC_000012.12, read on the forward strand.
TACTACGGGTGGAAAACAGCCTGGCTCGGCCCCTGGGCACCCATCCCCGCCGAGGACAGAGCACATTTCATAGCGCTAACGTAGCCCCGGGTTCCAACCTGCATCTGACCCTAACCAGATGCGTGATCTTGGGTAAGTCACTTCTCCTTTCTGAAATGAATTGCAATCTGTCACTTGTTTGAGAGTTTCCGTGAGGGCGGGGACACTGTTTTGCTCATGATGGTGTACCCAGCGCCAAGCTCAGTGCCTGGCACAGGGGAGGTACTCAATGAAGCACCTACTTCATTTATTTCAGTAGGTCAACTAGATGAAGAACGCAGGAGGGCATTGGATTAAATTATACTGAAGAGCAGCCTGGCGCGGTGGCTTAGGCCTGTAATCCCAGCACTTTGGGAGGCCAAGGCGGGTGGATCATGAGGTCAGGAGATCGAGACCATCCTGGCGAACACGGTGAAATCCTGTCTCTACTAAAAAATACAAAAAATTAGCCGGGTGTGGTGGCGTGGCGGGTGCCCGTAGTCCCAGCTACTTGGGAGGCTGAGACAGGAGAATGGCATGAACCCAGGAGGCAGAGCTTGCAGTGAGCAGAGATCGTGCCACTACACTCCAGCCTGGGCGACAGAATGAGACTCCGTCTCAAAAAAAAAATTATACTGAAGAGTTCTGTCAGCCACTTTAACCATCTTTTTTTTTTTTTTTTTTTAAGGCGGAGTCTCACTCTGTCACTCAGGCTGGAGTGCATTGGCACGATCTCGGCTTACTGCAACCTCCATCTCCCGGGTTCAAGCCATTCTCCTGCCTCAGCCTCCTGAGTAGCTGGGATTATAGGCGTGTACCACCATGCCGGGCCCACCTCAACATCCCAAAGTGCCGGGATTACAGGCATGAGCCACTGTACCTAGCCTTTTTTTTTTTTTTTTTTTTTGTTTGAGACGGAGTCTTGCTTGTTGGCCAGGCTAGAGTGTAGTGGTGTGATCTTGGCTCTCTGCAACCTCCGCCTCCCAGGTTCAAGCGATTCTCCTGCCTCAGCCTCCCAAATAGCTGGGACTACAAGCACGTGCCACCACACCTGGCTAATTTTTTTTTTTTTTTGAGACAGAGCTCCGCTCTTGTTGCCCAGGCTGGAGTGCAATGGTGCGATCTTGGCTCACCACAACGTCTGCCTCCCGGGTTCAAGCGATTCTCCTGCCTCAGCCTCCTGAGTAGCTGGGATTACAGGCATGCACCACCACGTCCAGCCAATTTTGTATTTTTAGTAGAGATGGGGTTTCTCCATGTTGGTCAGGCTGGTCTCAAACTCCCAACCTCAGGTGATCCGCCCCCTTGGCCTTCCAAAGTGCTGGGATTACAAGCATGAGCCACCGTGCCCAGCCCCACACCTGGCTAATTTTTGTGTTGTTTTACTTAGTGACATGGGGTTTTACCATTTTGGCCAGGCTGGTCTTGAACTCCTGACCTCAAGTGATCCACCCACCTTGGCCTCCCAAAGTGCTGGGATTACAGGCACACTTTAACCATTTTTATGTTTAATTTAATTTTTTAACTTTTATTTTTTAAAATTTTTATTTATTTATTTGAGATGGAGTCTCGCTCTGTCGCCCAGGCTGGAGTACAGTGGTGCAACCTTGGCTCACTGCAACCTCTGTCTCCCGGGTTCAAGTGATTCTTCTGCCTCAGCCTCCCGAGTAGCTGGGATTACAGGCGCCTGTCATGCCCAGCTAATTTTTGTATATTTAGTAAAGACAGGGTTTTGCCACGTTGGCCAGGCTGGTCTCGAACTCCTGAACTCAGGTGATCCACCTGCCTCGGCCTCACAAAGTGCTGGGATTACAGGCACACTTTAACCATTTTTATGTTTAATTTAATTTTTTAACTTTTTAAAACATTTTTATTCATTTATTTATTTATTTATTTTTTTTTTTTTTTTTTTTTTTTTTTTGAGACGGAGTCTCGCTCTGTCGCCCAGGCTGGAGTGCAGTGGCGCGATCTCGGCTCACTGCAAGCTCCGCCTCCCGGGTTCACGCCATTCTCCTGCCTCAGCCTCCCGAGTAGCTGGGACTACAGGCGCCCGCTACCACGCCCGGCTACTTTTTTGTATTTTTTTTTTTTTTTTTTTAGTAGAGACGGGGTTTCACCGTGTTAGCCAGGATGGTCTCGATCTCCTGACCTCGTGATCCGCCCGCCTCGGCCTCCCAAAGTGCTGGGATTACAGGCGTGAGCCACCGCGCCCGGCCTATTCATTTATTTTTGAGACAGAGTCTCACTCTGTCAACCAGGCTGAAGTGCAGTGGTGTGATAACAGCTCACTGCAGCCTCTACCTCCTGGACTCAAGCAATCCTCCCACCTCAGCCTCCCATGTAGGTGGGACCACAGGCATGCTCCATCATGCCTGGCCAATTTTTAATTTTTTCGTAGAGATGGGGTCTCACTTTGTTGCGCAGGCTGGTCTCAAATTCCTGGGCTCAAGCAGTCCTCTTGCCTTGGCCTCCCAAATTGCTGAGATTACAGGTGTGAGCCACTGCACCTGGCCTATTTATTTTTTATTTGTATTTTTAATTTTTGTAGAGATGGGGTCTCCCTATCTTGCCCATGCTGGTCTCGAACTCCTGGCCTCAAGTGATCCTCCTGCCTCAGCCTCCCAAACTGCTGGGATTATAGGTGTGAGCCACTGTGCCCAGCCCTTTATGTTGAATTTAATCTCAAGGAGGTAAGAGCTATGATTGTCTCTGTATTACAGTAACACGGGTCCTAAACAGAATTGGTCATCTTTGCTGAGTGTCTAATGTGCCAGGCACTGTTCTAAGTGCTATACACAAATGACCTCATTGGATCCTTTTTTTTTTTTTTTTTTTTTTTTTTTTTTGAGAGGGAGTCTTGTTCTGTCGCCCAGGCTGGAGTGCAGAGGTGCAATCTTGGCTCACTGCAACCTCTGCCTCCTGGGTTCAAGCGATTCTCCCACCTCAGCCTCCCAAGTAGCTGGGACTACAGGTGCACACCACCATGCCTGGCTAACTTTTGTATTTTTTTTTAGTAGAGGTGGGGTTTCACCATGTTGGCCAGGCTAACTTCTGACCTCAAGTGATTCGCCCGCCTCAGCCTCCTACAGTGCTGGGATTATGGGCGTGAGCCACTGCGCCCAGTTCTCATTGGATCCTTACGATGACCCTATGAGGAGTCATAGTTGAAGATACTGAGGCTTGCAGCCATAAAAAGGAACAAGATCATGTCCTTTACGGGGACATGGATGGAGCTGGAAGCCGTTATCCTCAGCAAACTAACGCAGGAACAGAAAACCAAACACTGCATGTTCTCACTTAGAAGTGAGAGCTAAATGATGAGAAAAGATGGACACATCACGGGGAACAACAGACACTAGGGCCTGTCAGGTGGGGGAGGTCGGGGAGGGAGTGCACCAAGGAGAGTAGCTAACAGATGCCGGGCTTAATACCTAGGTGATGGGATGATCTGTGTAGCAAACCACCATGCATGCGTTTACCTATGTAACAAACTTGAACATCCAGCACATATACCCCAGAACCTATAATAAAAGTTGAAGAGGTGGGGCGCGGTGGCTCACACTTATAATCCCAGCACTTTGGGAGGCTGAGGCGGGCGGATCACAAGGTCAGGAGATCGAGACCATCCTGGATAACACGGTGAAACCTCTACTAAAAATACAAAATTTAGCCGGGCGTGGTGGCGGGCGCCTGTAGTCCCAGCTACTCGGGAGGCTGAGGCAGGAGAATGGCGTGAACCCGGAAGGCAGCGCTTGCAGTGAGCCGAGATCGTGCCACTGCACTCCAGCCTGGGCGACAGAGCGAGACTCCATCTCAAAAAAAAAAAAAAAAAGAAAAAAGAAAGTTGAAGAAAACAGCCTGGCACGGTGGCTCACGCCTGTAATCCCAGCACTTTGGGAGGCTGAGGCGGATGGATCACTTGAGGTCAGGAGTTCGAGACCAGCCTGGCCAACATGGCAAAACCCTGTCTCTACTAAAAACACAAAAATTAGCCGTGTGTGCGGGTGGATGCCTGTAATCCCCAGGAGGCTGAGACAGAAGAATCACTTGAGCCCAGGAGGCAGAGGTTGCAGTGAGCTGAGATCACGCGACTGCACTCCAGCCTGGGCGACAGAGAGACTCCGTCTGAAAAAAGAAAAAAGAATAAAAAAAAAAGAAAAAGGCCGGGCACAGTGGCCCACGCCTGTAATCCCAGCACTTTGGGAGGCTGAGTTGGGCGGATCACCAGGTCAGGAGATTGAGACCATCCTGGCTAACACGGTGAAACCCCATCTCTACTAAAAATACAAAAAAGAAAAAATTAGCCGGGCATGGTGGCACGCACTTGTGGTCCCAACTACTCGGGAGGCTGAGGCAGGAGAGTCACTTGAACCTGGGAGGCGGAGGTTGCAGAGAGCCAAGATCACACCACTACACTCCAGCCTGGGCGACAGAGCGAGACTCCATCTTTAAAAAAAAATTTTTTTGAGGAAAACAAAAAGATACTGCTGAGGCACAGGAAAGTTAAGCGCATGTCCCAGACCACATAGGTGTTCCAGTTCCAGTCTTTGCTCATTTAAACAGAGTCATAGAGAGGTACAGTAATATGCCCAAAGTCACACAGCTCGTGTGGGAACTGATGTCCCCAGACCCCATCCTTCTCCCTTCTTCAGAGCCCCTGCCTTCACCCCCTTGCTGTCATCCTCCCGCACTGGGAGGAAGGGAAGCCTGGGAGGAGTGGCTGGTGGCTCCTGCAGTCCCCGTACACTGGCCAGGCAATACGGGGGACAGACTTGAGGGACAATGTCTGTGCTCCAAGGCCCATGGGTGGGATGGTTTGATGGAGTCAGCTGCGGGGCTCCTGGCATCTCAGTGGTGCCGACAGCAGGAGGGGTGGGGGCACCAAAGGGAACTCACCGTCTGCAGCACAGCAAACTTCACCTTCCCAAACTTGTCTTGCTCTACCCAGGGCTCCCGCATGATTTTGGCGCCCCGTTCCCGTGCTTTCTGCAGAGAAGATGGGATCGGGGAATTGGTGAGGGCTGGAGCCTTCCAGAACCCTTGCCTGCTGCTCCTGCCTGGTGGCCTCTGCGTGGTCCTGCAGGCCCCTCCAGTTTCTCCAGCCCCAGGTAGGAACCCCAGCCAGCTTCAGCCATTACCCCCAATACTCATGCTCATTTGGCAAATAGGGAAACTGAGGCCCAGGCCCAGAGTTGGGGCTATGGGAGACAAACTAGGTAGGGATGGGTGTCTGTCCTGCCTCTGCTAACTCCCCCTGTGATCAGTCCCCTTCTCTAGTCCTCAATTTCACCATCTGTAAAAAGAATGGTTGGATGAGAATAATAAGAAGATTCATGCATTTATTTAGCAAAACTGGACTGCATGACAGTGCTTATATCATGCACCAGGCTCTGTTCTAGATTCTAACCTCGTTCATCCTCACAGCAACATTATGCAAAAGTACTATTATCATCTCCATTCTCTAGGTGAGGACGTTGAAGCACAGAGACATTAAGTCACTTGCCCGAAGTCACACGGCTAAGATTCAGACCTGGAGAGCCTGGCTCTGGAACGCACACTCTGAATCTGTAGGCTGCCTGTTGGGTACAGTGTTTGGTTTAGAGTTGTGCTCAAGAAACAGTAATTCTGAGGCCAGGCAAAATGGCTCATGCCTGTAATCCCAGCACTTTAGGAGGCCGAGGTGGGTGGATCACTTGAGGTCAGGAGTTCAAGACCAGCCTGGCCAATATGGCAAAACTCCATCTCTACTAAAATACAAAAATTAGCTGGGCATGGTGGCAGGCGCCTGTAATCCCAGCTACTCGGGAGGCTGAGGCAGGAGAATCGCTTGAACCCAGGAGGTGGAGGTTGCAGTGAGCCAAGATTGCGCCACTGCTCTCCAGCCTGGGCAACAGAGCAAGACTCTGACACACACACACACACAAAAGAAAGAAAAAGAAAATGAAAAAAGAAAAAAAAGGAAATGACCAGCCTGACCAACAAGGAGAAACCCCATCTCTACTAAAAATACAAAACTAGCCGGGCGTGGTGGCGCATGCCTGTAATCCTAGCTACTTAGGAGGCTGAGGCAGGAGAATTGCTTGAATCCAGGAGGCAGAAGTTGCGGTGAGCCGAGATCGTGCCATTGCACTCCAACCTGGGCAACAAGAGCAAAACTCCGTCTCACAAAAAAAAAAAAAAAAAAAAAAGGAAATGGTAATTCTAATTTCCTCCTTTGACAACCCAGCTGTGGTTAGCCCCATCTGGCAGCTGTGGAAACTGAGGCTCAGTGAGAGAGAGGACACGGGGGAAGGCAGGGCACCCCCGGAGCCCAGGTGTGTGTCACACCAGCATCTGGGCTTGTCACTGTGATGCAGCATCTGGGCTTGTCACTGTGATGCAGCATCTGAGCTTGTCACTGTGATGTGGCATCTGGGCTTGTCACTGTGATGCAGCAGTGTCCTTCCAGCCCTGACTGATGGGGTCCCCATGGCAGACGGAGGCCTTCCTCTCTCAGTCCACCCAGGTGCTTTCTTACCTGCACGATGTAGTCACAATCTTCCACCTCGAACGCAATGTCCTTCACTCCGTCACCGTGTTTCACCAGGTGATCGCCCATCTCTGTGGCCGGCAGGGAGAGGATGGCACTGGAGTCTGGAGTCTAGGTCCCCTCACCTGGCTTTTAGTCTCCATCCAGGCCCTGAACCCAGAGCCCACCCACGGAGCCATGCGTCCACCCTCCCAGAACCCAGATCCCACCCACAGAGCCATGCGTCCACCCTCCCCGGGCACCTCACCTTTGTTCCAGGGGTTGAGCGCTGAGGAGAGGACAAACACAATCTAAGATAGGAGGAGAAGGAGGTGAGGCTAGTGGCTCAGGGGGGCATGGGGAGGTGCACCCATCGGCCCCTCCCTGCCGACCCGAAACACCCCTGATGGAGCACAAGAACTCCTGGACCTGGGTTCTAGCTCCTTCTCTGCCTTAGTTTCCCACACTGGTCCTGAGGGATGGGGCTTTCAGCCAGACCCCCTCTGGATCCTCAGAGGAACTGCTAGGTCAGGTCTCCCTCGGGGAGAGAACTCCAGGGACCCCATCGGTCAGGGCACTGCTTAAAATTCCTCTCCTCTGATATCCCAGGTTTTCTGAGCACCTGTGGGGTCAGTGTTGGGCCAGGCTGAGGAGGAAACGAAACTAGGAAGGGCCGTGTTGCATGGCTGTACAAAGATGCCAGCGGAGGGGTCGGTGGGAGCTGAATTATATGTTTTTGTTGTTGTTGTTGGGGTTTTTTGTTGTTTTTTGTTTTTTTTTGTTGAGATGGAGTCTTGCTCTGTCGCCCAGGCTGGAGTGCAGTGGCACGACGTTGGCTCACTGCAACCTCTGCCTCCCGGGTTCAAGCGATGTGCCTGCCTCAGCCTCCTGAGTAGCTGGGATTACAGGTGCCCACCATCATGCCCAGCTAATTTTTCTATTTTTAATAGAGATGGGGTTTCACCATGTTGGCCAGGCAGGGGTTGGGGGCTGTCCTGGGGGTGGTGACTCACCTTCCCTTGTTTGATTACATGGCTGACCACCTCCCGGGAACCGGTCTCCAGGCCCCTGTAGGCTAGAGGTTCAAAGCCCATCTTGCTGCAGTAGAATGACGTGGCCTGAATCACAGGGTTGCAGCAGGGTTCATGAGGGTCAAGGGGCCAGCATGGGGGACTTCCGCAAGAGAGCCCCTGGCCCCCCTCAGCCTGCCTGCCCTATTGCCTCAGGGGCAGAGACCCTCCTGGGAAGATAGACTGCTGCCTGCACATTTTGCTGACAGATAACTTTCCCGCTGGTGTAATTAGGATTCAGAGTATCTGGCCCACCCCTGGCCTGATCCTCCCTCCCAAGGGCCAATCACAGACCCTGCTGGAGGCCTGCCCTTGTCAGGCAGCCCTCTGCCCTGCCGTCTGCTCACTCCAGCACCTTGCCCCGGCTTCTACCTGCTTGGCGTTGCCAACCCAGAAGGTCACAGAGTGGAAGTGGAGGAATCGGCCTCTCTCAGGCTGCAGAAGGAGAGAAGAGGTGAGGTTGAGTCCCTGAAAGTGAGTCTAGAAAAGTGCGGGTGGAGTGATGTCCCCTAGCCACCCTCCTTATTCCAGCCTCAACCACAGAACTTAGGAGCAGCGGAACCCCATGCAGCCTTGCCAAGCCTCAAAAGAGGTTTCTCATGTGGAAGTTGAGCTCCTGGGTGTCTTGGATGGGGAAACCCCCTCAGGAGGCCTGCCAAGGTTTCACACAGGGAAATAGACTTATGTTGCAGCAATATGGATTTAAGTTAGACCTTAGAAAGAACTTCCAGATGGGATTAAAAGATTGGCAGGCATTTGAGAAGGGGTACAGGTTTTGTTTTGGTTTTTGTTTCTGAGATGGAGTTTTGCTCTATTGCCCAGGCTGGAGTGGAGTGCAGTGGTGCAATCTTGGCTCACTGCAACTTCCGCCTCCCAGGTTCAAGCGATCCTAGGGTTCAAGTGATCTCCCCCACCTTAGCCTCCTGAGTAGCTGGGATTACAGGGGTGCGCTACCATGCCCGGCTAATTTTCGTATTTTTAGTAGAGACGGGGTTTCCTCATGTTGACCAGGCTGGTCTCGAACTCCTGACCTCAAGTATTTGCCTGCCTTGGCCTCCCAAAGCACTGGGATTACAGGCATGAGCCACCATGCCCGGCCAGGATACAAGTTTGTTGTGAGGGTGAGGTTGAGTCCAGCTCAGTCTCGGGGAGCCCCGGGGGTAAAGCTGAGTGTGCAGGCATGCACGTCATGTATCCACTCCAGTCCTTCCTCTTCTGCTCTCTGCTGAAACCCCAGTCTCCCTGCACTCCGACCCCCTTCTAGACTCAGGCCCCTACATTTCCCACATTTCGCCTGCTTACCTTTGCCCCTTTGTCACTGTAAGTCGTCTAAGGAGAAAAAGAAGGACAGTGAGACTTGGAGGTTCCAACACAAGGTGCTTCTGGAAGCGTTACTGAAGATGTCCCACCCAAGGGGAGATGGCCATGGCACTTACCATGATTGATCTTAGTCAAACCTCCTACTGGGACTAGAGGCCTGGGGAGTGCTGGGCCGGAGTATTTAACCCCAAGCAGGTCCCGCCCAGGCCTCCTGGCCTACCTGGGGGATGGGGTGGGGAGCTGAGCCCAGCCCTGGAAGGTTCCAGGCCTGGGGACCTCTGATCCAGCCGCAGCCTCATTGAACAGGATGGTGTTGCCAGGCCCAGAGAGGGGCAGTGACGTCCACTAGTCAGTGGGAGGCAGAGTCAGGGCCAGAAGCCAAGGGCAAGCTTTTCCAGGACGCTGGGAATGTGACCATTACTGCCCAGAATCCAAAGCTCAGAAGCCAAGGCCGGCTGGAGTGCAGTGGCGGCTCCAGAACTCTTGCCTAGAGGAAATTTGAGGGGGCATTTGGAGACTGGCCCCAAAGTCCTGTTTGCGTCACAGCGTTGTATTCCATAGCTCTGAGAGGCACGGCAGGAGAAGGTTTGCATCCTGGCTCTGTTACATACAGTGTGACTTGGGAAAATCACCATATCCCTTTGAGCCTCATTTGTAAAACAGGAATGAGAATAGTGTGGTGGGGATTAAAGGAGATAAGCACGCTCTTTGGAACAGGACCTGGCACACAGGACACTCTCAGTGTTGGTTATAATTCATTGGGACAGAGAACATTCCTAGGCCATGAGGTCAGCAAGCGGCAGGGAAGAACTGGAACATGAACCGGGCTATTCTAACTCCAGGACCCACACTTTAAATTGCTAGATTGCCCTCTATACAAATGGGAGATATTGATATCCCCATCAGATGGGGAAACTGAGGCCTGGAGAGGTGAACACATGTCTCCCAGGTCATGGAACTGGTAAGAGCAGAGCCCCAAACTCTGGCCTGTTTGATTCTGAAGTTGGATCTCATTGCACCAGTGCAGACCACTTCTCCCTCCTTTTCTCTATTTTCTGGGCCATTCAGGAGGCAGGCAAGGTGGTCCCACCCCCTTATTCTGCCTGTCCTGGGCCTGCCCAGTGTGCTCCCAGTGTCCACCTCAGCTCCTTAAGTCTAAATTTCCAACTGGGGGCCGGGGGTGGTGGCTCACGCCTGTAATCCCAGCACTTTGGGAGGCCAAGGAGGGAGGATCACTTGAGGCCAGGAGTTTGAGACCAGCCTGGCAACATGGTAAAACCTCATCTCTACTAAAAATACAAACATTAGCTGGGCACGGTGGTGCACGTCTGTAGTCCCAGCTACTCAGGGGACTGAGGCAGGAGGATCACTTGAACCAAGGAGGCAGAGATTGCAGTGAGCAGTGATCATGCCACTGCCCTCCAGCCTGGGTGACAGAGTGAGACTCCATCTCAAATAAATAAATAAATATCCAACTGGGAAAACTTGAGTGGAGGTGGCCCAGGGTGGATCTCACAGGCCCAGAAGGTTCCCATGGAGGAGAAGAGCTCTGTGTAGCCTGCCTATCCCCTCCAGGCCAGCAGGAACATCTTGTCACTTTGATTGCTGTGGCCAACTCAAACCCCCACTCCTGGAGCCTGCCCTGGCTTATATGCTAAGCACAAAGGCCAATGTTTACTAACTCAAGGAAGTGTGTCAACAGCAGTGGGTTGCAAAGGCTGGCAGGCATCTAGAGGTAGGAACTCTGTCCCCAACACTGTAGGTCTCAGTCCCATGCTGGGTGCACCCCTAGATGCCATTCACATGTCTGGGCAGAGAGCAGGGAGGCAAGCCTGCAGGGCCCAGTATCCAGAGTCCCCTCCCTGATGCTCTCTGTTCAGGCTGGGCTCCACTGGATAACAGATCAGCAGTGGCTGGGTGTGACTGTCTCTGTTCTTCATGCCCGACCATGCAGAGGTGGGTTCCAGAGGCCTTGCTCAAGAAGCTCACTGATCAGATGGGTTCATAGGACGCATCCTTGAAAATACCCTGGTGTGCAGAAAAGCATTCACCTAGCTGGGCCTGGTAGTGAGCACCTGTAGTCCCCAGCCACTCAGGAGGCTGAGGTGGGAGGATCACTTGAGTCCAGGAGTTAAAGGTTGCAGTGAGCTATGATCACGCCACTGCACTCTAGCCTGGGGAACAGGGTGAGAACTTGTATCAAAAATAGATAAGGCAGGGCCCAGTGGCTCACACCTGTAATCCTAGCACTTTGGGAGGCCGAGGAGGGAGGATCACTTGAGGTTAGGTGTTCGAGACCAGCCTGGCCAACATGGTGAAACCCTATCTCTACTAAAAATACAAAAATTAGCCTGGATGCAGTGGCTCATGCCTATAATCCTAGCACTTTAGGAGGCTGAGGCGGGTGGGTCACCTGAGGTCAGGAGTTTGAGACCAGCCTGACCAATATGGTGAAACACCGTCTCTACTAAAAATACAAAAATTAGCTGGGCATGGTGGCAGGCACCTGTAGTCCCATCTACTTGGGAGGCTGAGACAGGAGAATTGCTTGAACCCAGGAGGTGGAGGTTGCAGTGAGCCGAGATCATGCCACTGCACTCCAGCCTGAGCAACAGAGTAAGACTCTGTCTCAAAAAAAAAAAAAAAATTAGCTGGGTGTGGTGGTGTGTGCCTGTAATCCCACCCAGCTACTTGGGAGGCTGAGGCAGGAGAATCACTTGAACCCAGGAGGTGGAGGTTGCAATGCGAGATTGTGCCACTGCGCTCCAGCCTGGGCGACAGAATGAGACCCTGTCTCAAAATAAAGAAATAAGTAAGTAAGTAAGTAAATAAAATGGAACAAGTCTCAGTTACTGATAGTTCTTACTATAGTGTTTGCTAATATTACAGCTTCTGGAAAAAAACATGAAAAAGAGGCAATCTCTAAATGGAGATACACTTTCAGGGTTTTAAAAAGCAGTTTTTAGTTGCTAATGAGCCCTTGTGAAACCACACAGCTGACCCTTAGAGTCATGATTTTCTAGCTGATAGGGATCTTTTTACAGGCGTCCACCCGGGCTCTGAAACTGACAGACTTAAAGGGCTTAAGAAAGCCTCGCTTCGCTCTTAGCCTCGAGACAAACAGTCTCTTGGCTTAGCTACTGCAGAAGAAAATCCTGAATTCACGAATTCTAGTTTTCCAAACCTGATCCCAAGCTGAAAGCTCTGCAAGGGGACGGTTGCTTGAGCCCAAGAGGTCGAGGCTGCAATGAGCTATGATCGCACCACTGCACTCCAGCCTCGGTGACAGAGTGAGACCCTGTCTTAAAAAAAGAGAAAAAAAAATGCTGAAACCTGATGCTGTCTGCTGTGAGCTGTTTCAGTGTCAGCATGAATTCTGCCAAACTAAAAAAATGGGCAAAATTGCTCCACTCAACACACAGGACTTTAACTCTAGGACCCTGGCAGATTAGAGACATCCCTCCCTGGGGCCATATGCTGTGCAAACATCGTGGATGCTGCTGGACAGTGTGGGTCACTTACAGATGTCCATGATGAAAGAGTTCCTCTCTAATGGGACCATTTACATTGGGCTGCTCTTCAGCTCTGCATTTCTTTTTTTTTTTTTTTTGAGACGGAGTCTCGCTCTTGCTGCCCAGGCTGGAGTGCAATGGTGCGATCTCGGCTTATTACAACCTCCGCCTCCCAGGTTCAATCGATTCTCCTGTCTCAGCATCCCAAGTAGCAGGGATTACAGGCATGTGCCACCACGCCCAGCTAATTTTGTATTTTTAGTAGAGATGGGGTTTCACCATGTTGGTCAGGCATGTCTCGAACTCCTGACCTCAGGTGATCTGCCCACCTCGGCCTCCCAAAGTGCTGGGATTACAGGCGTGAGCCACCGCTCTCGGCCTTTTTTTTTTTTTTTTTTTTTTTTTTTTTGAGACAGAGTCTCCCTCTGTGGCCCAGGCTGGAGTGCAGTGGCGTGATCTTGGCATCTCGGCTCAATGCAAGCTTTTTTTTTTTTTTTTTTTTTTTTTAGGCTGGAGTGCAATGGTGCAATCTCGGCTCACTGCAAGCTCCACCTCCAAGGTTCACGCCATTCTCCTGCCTCAGCCTCCGGAGTAGCTGGGAATACAGGCACCTGCCACCTGGCTCAGCTAATGTTTTGTATTTTTAGTAGAGATGAGGTTTCACCGTGTTAGCCAGGATGGTCTCAATCTCCTGACCTCGTGATTCGCTCGCCTTGGCCTCCCAAAGTGCCGGGATTATAGGCGTGAGCCACCGCGCCCGGCACCCCCCCTCCTTTTTTTTTTTTTAAGATGGTCTTGGGATGTCTCCCAAGCTGAAGTGCAATGGCGTGATCTCTGCTCACTGCAACCTCCGCCTCCTAGGTTCAAGTGATTCTCCCGCCTCAGTCTCCCAAGTAGTTAAGACTACAGGCATGCGCCACCACACCAAGCTAATTTTTGTATTTTTTATCAGAGACAGGGCTTCGCCATGTTGGCGAGGCTGATCTCGAACTCTTGGCCTCAGGTGATCTTCCCGCCTCGGCCTCCCAAAGTGCTGGGATTACAGGCGTGAGCCACTGCGCCCAGCCAGCTCTGCATTTCTGGTGCTGATTCCTTCCTAACTTGTGATTCCTGCCCAAAGCAACAAGCCGAGAGAGGGTACATCACAGGGACCGTGATCCTTCCACGCACTCCTTCAGACTGGACTCTCAAAACTCCCCACCAAATGTTTCACTGCAGTTGATCGTTGTGTCTGACTTTCTCAATTCGTTGCAATTTGCAACAATGGACTAATAGCCTGATTCTCCTTCCCGCATCTTTGTCCTGACGTACTCACCTTAGTAAGGCTGTCTGTTAAATGCAACTGTCCCTCAAAAGGCATTATTTCTTCTATGCTGCTCACTACAGAAATGATCAGAATGAAAAGCATTGGTGGCGAGCCAGGAGCAGTGGCTGACACCTGTAATCCCAGCACTTTAAGAGGCTGAGATGGGGGGATCCCTTGAGCCCAGGAGTTCAAGGGTACAGTGAGCTATAATTGCACCACTGCACTTCAGCCTGGGCAGCAGAATGAGACCCTGTCTCTAAAAGAAAAAAAAAAAGAAAGAAAAGGGTGGAGAGTTATATAAGCCCATTTTGGAAATTTGTGAAAATCCAGGATTTTGCCCCTTCCACTTCCTGAACCTGAAATGAAGCTTTCTGGTTAAGTTGTATAAAAATGTTTTTCTGTGAAAAGGTTTTTGTCCCTCTTGGCTGGGCACGGTGGCTCATGCCTGTAATCCCAGCACTTTGGGAGGCCAAGGCAGGCAGATCATTTGAGGTCAGGAATTTGAGACCAGCCTGGCCAACATAGCGAAACCCTGTTTCTACTAAAAATACAAAAAAAAAAAAAAAAAAAAAAATTAGCTGGGCATGGTGGTACACACCTGTAATCCTAGCTACTCAGGAGGCTGAGGCAGGAGAATCACTTGAACCCGGGAGGCAGGGTTCATTGAGCTGAGATCGTGCCACTGCACTCCAGCCTGGCGACAGAGCAAGACTCTGTCACACAAAAAAAAGAAAAAATATCTTATTAAAGCCAGGTACAGTGGCTCATACCTGTAATCCCAGCACTTTGGGAGGCGGAGGCAGGAGGATCACTTGAGGCCAGGGGTTCAAGACCAACCTGGGCAACCTAGTGAGACCCTGTCTCTACAAAAAGTTTAAAAAGTAGCCGGCTATAGTGGTGCATGCCCGTAGTCCCAGCTACTCAGGAGGCTAAGTGGGGAAGATCTCTTGAGCCCAGGAGCTTAAGACTGAAGTGAGCTATGATTGTACCATTGTACTCCAGCCTGGGCAACAGAGGGAGGCCCTGACTATTAAAAAAAAAAAAAAAATGGCCGGGCGCAGTGGCTCACGTCTGTAATCCCAGCACTTTGGGAGGCCAAGGCAGACGGATCACGAGGTCAGGAGATCGAGACCATCCTGGCTAACATGGTGAAACCCCGTCTCTACTAAAAATACAAAAAATTAGCCAGGCATGGTGGCAGGCGCCTGTAGTCCCAGCTACTTGGGAGGCTGAGGCAGGAGAATGGAGTGAACCCGGGGCGCGGAGCTTGCAGTGAGCCAGGATTGCACCACTGCACTCCAGCCTGGGCGACAGAGTGAGACTCCGTCTCAAAAACAACAACAACAACAACAACAACAACAAAAAACTCCTGTTATAGACAATACCCACATTAATTCCCATCCTCAATTTTAAGGCTATTATCACTTCCACTGGTTCATCTTAGGGTAGAAAATATTATAAACGTCTGGGCATATTGGCTCACGCCTGTAATCCCAGCACTTTGGGAGGCTGAGGTGGGTGGATCACTTGAGGTCAGGAGTTCGAGACCAGCCTAGTCAACATGGTGAAACCCCGTCTCTACTAAAAATACAAAAATTAGCTGGGCATGATGGCGGGCACCCGTAGTTTCGGCTACTCGGGAGGGTGAGGCAGGAGAATCGCTTGAACCTGGGAGTCGGAGGCTGCAGTGAGCTGAGATCATGCCAGTGCACTCTAACCTGGGCGACACAGCGACACTCTCTTTCTTTCTTTCTTTCTTTCTTTGAGACAGAGTTTCGCTTTTGTTGCCCAGGCTGGAGTGCACTGGCATGATCTCAGCTTACTGCAACCTCCGCCTCCCGGGTTCAACCAATTCTCCTGCCTCAGCCTCCCAAGTAACTGGGATTATGGGTGCCCGCCACCACACCCGGCTATTTTTTGTATTTTTAGTAGAGATGGGGTTTCGTCATGTTGGCCAGGCTGGTCTCACACCCTGACCTCACGTGATCTGTCCGCCTTGGCCTCCCAAAGTGCTGGGATTACAGGCATGAGCCACTGTGCCCAGCCACGACACTCTCTTTCAAAAAAAAGGAAAAAAAAAAAGAAAGAAAATATTATAAACAAAGTAATCTAAAGTAATCTAAGTATCCATCAACAGGAGAT
The DNA here is from genome assembly GCF_000001405.40 of Homo sapiens. Classification (NCBI taxonomy): domain Eukaryota; kingdom Metazoa; phylum Chordata; class Mammalia; order Primates; family Hominidae; genus Homo; species Homo sapiens. The sequence goes on from NC_000012.12 coordinate 121,865,665, forward strand.
TGGCTTAATACAATAAAACATTAACTATTAAAAATAATCAAGAGGCTGGGTGTGGTGGCTCATGCCTGTAATCCCAGCACTTTGGGAGGCCAAAGCGGGAGGATCACCTGAGGTCAGGAGTTCAAGGCCAGCCTGGGCAACATGGCGAAACCCCATCTCTACTAAAAAAATAAAAAGAGCTGGGCGTAGTGTTGGGCGCCTGTAATCCCATCTACTCGAGAGGCTGAGGCACAAATTGCTTGAACCTCAGAGGTGGAGGTTGCGGTAAGCCTAGATTGAGCCACTGCACTCCAGCCTGGGCAACAGAGTGAGACTCTGTTTTTTAAAAAACAAAGCAAAACAAAACAAAAAGGTGGGGCGCCGTGGCTCACGCCTGTACTCCTAGCACTTTGGGAGGCCGAGGTGGTTGGATCACGAGGTCGGGAGATCGAGACCATCCTGGCTAACACGGTGAAACCCTGTCTCTACTAAAAATACAAAAACAAAATTAGCCAGGCATGGTGGCAGGCGCCTGTAGTCCCAGCTACTCGGGAGGCTGAGGCAGGAGAATGGTGTGAACTCGGGAGGCAGAGCTTGCAGTGAGCAGAGATCTTGCCACTGCACTCCAGCCTGGGGGACACAGCGAGACTCCGCCTCAAAAAAAAAAAAAAAAGAATAAATAAACTTTCTAGATGTTCTAGATGGTGATGGGAAAAAGCTCTAAGATATGTTACGTTTAAAAAAAAAAAGGCACGGAGCAGTGTATATAAGTTACCATTTGTGTAAAAAAAAAACCCCACAGTTTACAGATGGTTTTAATTTTGTTCTTACAGTTTATTTGAATTTTCCACAGTACAAAACATGCCAACGGTTCTCAGCCATTTGACGGAGTTTAAATAAAGAGAACCAATGCAACCTTGCCATTTGGAATCTTCTGCTGTTGGGAGCACCCCAAGCTTAGTGACTTCAGGGTTTATTTCATACTTCTCTGCACATCTAGTTGGCCTTTCTGGTTCTGCAGCAAAGTCTATTTACATGTTTTACATCATAATTTACATGATTTAAGATTTTGTAAATATGGCTTCTATTTGTTGAGCTATAACTTACACAGAGTGAAATTCATAGAACTGTACACTGAAAAGAGTATTTCAGCGTACAGTTCTATGAATTTTGAAAACATATACAGTTGCATAACTATGACCTCAATCAAGATACAGGACAATTCCATTACCCCAAAATGTAATCACCACAAATCCACCCTCGCTGTGCACCTTTGTCCTCAATCCACCCTCATCCCAACCCCTGGCAACCACTGATCTATTTTCTTTCCTTACAGCTTTGCCTTTTCTAGAATGTCATATAAATGAATCAAGCAGTATGTAGCCTTTTCAGTCTTGCTTCATTCACCCAACAAAATACATTTGAGGCCGGGTGTGGTGGCTCACGCCTGTAATCCCAGCACTTTGGGAGGCGGAGGTGGGCAGATCACCTGAAGTCAGGAATTCAAAAACCAGTCTGGCCAACATGGCAAAACCCCATCTCTACTAAAAATACAAAAATTAGCTGGGTATGGTGGCACGCATCTGTAGTCCCAGTGACTCAGGAGGCTGACGCATGAGAATCGCTGGAACCCAGGATGTGGAGGCTGCAGTGAGCCAAGATTGCACCACTGCACTCCAGCCTGGGAGACAGAGAGAGACCCTGTCTCAAAAAAAAAAAAAAAAAATTGAGATTCATCCACGTTGATGCTTGCATCCAGACTTTACTTTCTTGTTTTTCTTTTCTTTTCTTTTTTTTTTAGACAAGGTCTCACTCATTCTGTTACCTAGGCTGGAATGCAGTGGGACTACAGGCACACACCAACATGACTGGCTAAATTGTTTTTTTTGAGACGAATTCTCACTCTGTCACCTAGGCTAGAGTGCAGTGGTGTGATCTTGGCTCACTGCAACCTCCACCTCCCAGGTTCAAGTGATTCTCCTGCCTCAGCTTCCCGAGTAGCTGGGATTACAGGTGCACATCACCATGCCTGGCTAATTTTTGTATTTTTAATAGAGACAGGGTTTTGCCATGTTGGCTCGGCTGGTCTCTAACTCCTGACCTCAAGTGGTCCGCCTGCCTCGGCCTCCCAAAGGGAGGGACCCCTGGGATTACAGGTGTCAGCCACCGTGCCCGACACCACTGGCTAAATTTTTGTTTGTTTGTTTGTAGAGTCAAGGTTTTGCTATGTTGCCCAGGCTGGTCTTGAACTCCTGGCTTCAAGAAATTCTCCCACCTTGGCCTCCCAATATGTTGGCATTATAGGTGTGAGCCACAGTGCCCCGCCCAAACTTTGTTTCTCTCTATTGCTGAGCAGTGTTTCATTGTATGCTTGTGCCAGAGTTTAATACTGCTCATTGGCCAGGCACAGTGGCTCATGCTTATAATGCCAGCACTTTCAGAGGCTGAGGCAGGAGGATCACTTGAGCCCAGGAGGTCAAGGCTGCAATGATCACTTCACTGCACTCCAGCCTGGGTGACACAGCGAGACCCTGTTCCCAAAAAAATGAAAACCCAAACAAACAACACTGCTTAGTTGCTTTCTGTAATCAGCCTATTAACAAATCAAGGGAGAATGAGTCTTGGTTACAAAACAGAATACAAATGTGAAGGGTTAGAGAACAGAAGCTGGGCAATACACTTCCTCATCTTTTTTTGTTTTGTTTTGTTTTGTTTTTTGAGACGGAGTCTTGCACTGTTGCCCAGGCTGGAGTGCAGTGGCGCGATCTCGGCTCACTGGCCTCAAGTGATCCTCCCGTCTCAGCCTCCCAAAGTGCTGGGGTTACAGGTGTGAGTCAACACACCCAGCCCTTTGCCTGTCTATTTCTTTCTTTTTTCTTTTTTTTTTTTTTTTTGAGATGGAGTCTTGCTCTGTCCCCCAAGCTGGAGTGCAGTGGCAAAATCTTGGCTCACTGCAGCCTCTGCCTCCCAGGTTCAAGTGATTCTCCTGCCTCAGCCTCCTGAGTAGCCTGGGATTACAGGCCTGTGCCCCCATGCCCAGCTAGTTTTTATATTTTTATTAGACATAGAGTTTCACCATGTTGGCCAGGCTGGTCTCAAACTCCTGGCCTCAAATGATCCACCTGCCTCAGCCTCCCGAAGTGCTGGGATTACAGGCATGAGCCACCATGCCCGGCCCCTTTGCCTATTTCTTAATCGAATTATAGTCTTTTTATTATTGAGCTATAAGAGTTCTCTTTGTTTGTTTTCTTACTTTTGAGGCAGACTCTCGCCCTATCATCCAGGCTGGAGTGCAAGTGCAGTGGCACGATCATATTTCACTGTAACCTCAACCTCCCTGGCTCCAGCGATCCTCCCAGCTCAGCCTTCCAAGTAGTTGGGACTACAGGCATGTGCCACTGTGCCCAGCCAATTAAAAACAATTTTTTGGCTGGGTGTGGTGGCTCATGCCTGTAATCCTAGCACTTTGGGAGGCCGAGGCGGATCACTTGAGGTCAGGAGTTCGAGACCAGCCTGGCCAACATGGTGAAACCCTGTCTGTACTAAAAATACAAAAATTAACCGGACATGGTGGCAGACGCCTATAATCCCAGCTGCTCAGGAGACTGAGGCAGGAGAATCGCTTGAACCTGGGAGACGGAGGTTGCAGTGAGCCAGGATCGCGCCATTGCCCTCCAGCCTGGGTGACAAGAGTGAAACTTCGTCTCAAAAAAAAAAAAAAAAAAAAAAAATTGGTGGATATGGGGTCTCACTATGTTGCCCAGGCTTGTCTTGAACTCCTGGGCTCAGGGGGTCCTCCCGCCAAAGTACTGGGATTATAGTCATGAGCCACTGGTGTGGAAAGAGTTCTTAATATATTCTAGATATAAATCCCTTATCGAATATATTTGGAAGTATTTTTTCCCCATTTTGTAGGTTTTCACTTTTTTTTTTTTAGTGCAGTGGCTCTCGGCCCACTGCAACCTCTGCCTCCTGGGTTCAAGAGATTCTCTTGCCTCAGCCTCCTGAGTAGCTAGGATTAAAGGCGCCCACCACCAGGCCCAACTAATTTTTGTGTTTTTAGTAGAGACAGGGTTTCACCATGTTGCCCAGGCTGGTCTCAAACTCCTGACCTCAAGTGATCCACCCACCTTGGCCTCCCAAAGTGCTGGAATTACTGGCGTGAGCCACCATGCCTGGCCTTCACTTTCTTAATTGTATTATTTTTAGTGCAACAGCTTTTAATTTTGATGAAGTCCAGCGTATCTACCTGTTCTTCAGTCACTTGTGCTTTAGTGTCCTAAGAAGTGGGCTGATTATTATTATTATTATTATTTTAGAGATGGGGTCTTCCTGTGTTGCCTAGGCTAACCTTGAACTCCTGGGCTCAAGCAGTCCTTCTGCCTCGGCCTTCCACAATGCTGGGATTACAGGCATGAACCACCACACCCAGCGTAAGCTGATTTTTTTTTTTTTTTTAGCTTAAAAGGAAAAAATCTTCTGCAGAAGGAACATGATTCACCAGATGGTTACCTCTGGAGGCAGCACACTTTTTCAAAATAATTAAAATAATGTTAACACAAACTAAATTCCCATTTTCTGGTCACTTTGTTTTATGTGCCAGGCACTGTACTAAGCACATTCCATGCTCTGCTCTTTACTCATTAAATCCACAACAACCCTGTTAAGTAGGTGCTCTCATATCCCCATTTCACAGATTAGAAGATGGAGGCTTACTAGCTAGGTGTGGTGGCGCATGCCTGTAATCCCAGCTACTAGGGAGGCTGAGGCGGGAGAACCACTTGAACCAGGAGGCGGAGGTTGCAGTGAGTGGAGATCGTGCCACTGCACTCCAGCCTGAGTGACACAGTAAGACTCTGTCTCAAAAAAAAAAAAAAAGAAGGCAAGGATGGGTGATCTCATTGTCAGGGGGTTTAGATTTTATCTTTGAGACAATAGGGAGCTATTGAAGGTTTTTTTTTTTTTTTTTTGAGACAGAGTTTCACTCTTGTTACTTAGGTTGGAGTGCAATGGCGGGATCTCAGCTCACCACAACCTCTGCCTCCTGGGTTCAAGCGATTCTCCTGCCTCAGCCTCCTGAGTAGCTGGGATTATAGGCATGTGCCACCACACCTGGCTAATTTTGTATTTTTAGTAGAGATGGGGTTTCTCCATGTTGGTCAGGCTGGTCGTGAACTCCCGACCTCAGTTGATCCGCCCGCCTCGGTCTCCCAAAGTGCTGGGATTACAGTCATGAGCCACCGCACCCGGCCTATTGAAGGTTTTATAGTAGAGATGCAACGTGATCAGAACATTAAAGCTTGCTCTGCTCTAGGTGAGCACAGGGAAGAGAGCTGGGCTGGAAACCCAGCTGCCCAGAGCTGCTGTGCCATTGCCCAGTGGCCTATTTGTGATTCTCCATTAGGTTTGGGGAAGATAAGTAAACCAAGAAGCTTTACATTTAAAAATTGGATCTAGGCTGTAATCCCCTCACTTTGGGAGGCCGAGGCAGACAGATCGCTTGAGCCTAGGAATTCAACATGACCCTGGGTAACATGGCAAAACCCCATTTCTACAAAAAAAAACCCCAAAATCAGCCAGGTGTGGTGGGGCACACCTGTAGTCCTAGCTGCTCAGGAGGCTGAGACGGGTGAATCGATTGAGCCCAGGAGGTTGAGGCTACAGTGAGCTGTGATTATGCCACTGCACTCCAGCCTGGGTGACAGAGTGAGACCCTGTCTCAATTAAAAAAAAAAAATGCATCTAAAAGCAGTCAAATAGCCCTGTGCTCTGCTTCCTGCAATCTACAACTGGAGACTCCCAAACAGGCAGAACTAGTGAGGATTCAGAGGCAGAAGTCCATGGACAGAACCTCACCCCTCCCCTGCCAGGCCCCACAGCTCTCCCAAGCAAGGGCAGCTGGGACCAGAGCAGGTGAAGGCTGGCCCGGGTGCCCAGCTAGTCTTGTTATCAGGGCTGGTGATCCTGGGCAGGGCCACTTAGGTGGGGCTGGTCTTTATCTCTTGAGGTACAGAGCCCATGTGTCTGAGCTTTGTGGTGACAGGAAGCTGTATCACCAGGCACCAGTGATGGCTGGGAGGGACCAGAGAGTTGGTGGCACGGGACATAGGACCCCTGGGCTCTGAAGACTGTGTAATCTTGGGCCACTCCTGGCATCCTCTGAGTCTTAGTGTCCTAACTGTGCAAGCCAGGGAGCACTGGAGCTGGTGTGGACCGTAGGATGTCCTCTGTTCCTGGCACCGGGGCATTGAGGAGTGTCCTGGAGATTTCTTTTCTCTCTTTTTTTTCTTTTTGAGATGGAGTCTCGGGCTGGGCGCGGTGGCTCACGACTGTAATCCCAGCACTTTGGGAGGCCGAGGCGGGTGGATCACAAGGTCAGGAGTTCAAGACCAGCCTGGCCAAGATGGTGAAACCCCGTCTCTACTAAAAATACAAAAAAAAAAAAAATTAGCTGGGCGTGGTGGTGGGCACCTGTAATCCCAGCCACTCAGGAGGCTGAGGCAGAGAATTGCTTGAACCTGGGAGGCGGAGGTTGCAGTGAGCCAAGATCACGCCACTACACTCCAGCCTGGGCGACAGAGCGAGACTCCTCTCAAAAAAAAAAAAGAGATGGAGTCTTGCTCTGTCGCCCAGGCTGGAGTGCAATGGTGCACTCCCACTGCAACCTCCGCCTCCCAGCTTCAAGTGATTCTCCTGCCTCAGCCTCCTGAGTAGCTGGGACTAACAGGAGCCCGCCACCAGGACCAGTTAGTTTCTTTTGTATTTTTAGTAGAGACGGGGTTTCACCATGTTGGCCAGTCTAGTCTTGAACTACTGACCTCAAGTGATCCACCTGCCTCAGCCTCCCAAAGCATTGGGATTGCAGGCATGAGCCACCGTGCCTGGCCTAAAATTTCTTGTCTCTCCAGCATCCACTCCTGTTCTCATAACAGCGTCTCCCTTCTCCATCCTTTCCCTGCTCCGTTCATGTCGTTTGGGTGGGGCATGTGAGCCAGGACTGGGCAGTGAGAATCCCTGTGATTGGTTCAGGGCTGGGCACCTGGCCAGAACTGGCCATATGGATTTGCTCTGGATCTTCTGCTTGAGAAAAGAGGCTCACTCTGAGCTCTGAGTATGCTGCACTGATCCAGTGGTGCTGCGGGGGCCAACCCTGAGTCAGCTGAAGGAAAACATGCTTGTATATAAAGCCAGAACAGAGAAACCAGAGCTGAGAGAAGATAGGCTGATTCCTGATGTCTGAGCAACTTGTTCCAGGCAGAAACAAGCTCCTGGATGAGTCAAACCTTTTTCCCTTTTGCTTAAGCTAGTTTGAGTTGGGTTTCTGGCATTTACAACCACTGGTGCTGACAAACACAAAGAAAGAAACAATAACACCACCACCATCTGTGAGCATGTATTCACTGTCAAGCACCGAGGTAGGGATCATGGGGATTGTCTGTTCCACAGGGAGGTAGTACTTGATCATTTTGTTTGCATTTGCTGGCACACATAAAATAAAGTTGACTGATTTTAGCAGTTTTTATTATTATTTTAAAACTCTCTGCAGACATTGCATCCCTGTGGTAGATTCTACTGTCCATAACCCTTCAAGGAAGGCCTCAATGCCCAGCTGTAGGGAGACTGGTTGGCTGTCACCTCCTATCGGATCTGCCTCAGCTGTAGAGACTTGGCCACAGCTTTCCCAGAGCAGCCCACTTTTTGTGATTGAGCAAGGGAGTAGAGAGGCTGGTCCCTTTCAGCCCAATGGGGGTGACTCTGACCAGTGAGTCTGTCTCCAGGGCCCCGGTAGGGCTGGCCAAGGCCTTGTGGAGTCTCCACCACTGAGTTCTCCTTCTCCCCAGTCCAGCCTCCTCTGCTTCCTTTCACTGATGTGGATCCTTAAAATCATTTTATGGCCGGGCGCGGTGGCTCACGCCTGTAATCCCAGCACTTTGGGAAGCTGAGGCGGGCGGATCACAAGGTCAGGAGATCGAGACCATCCTGGATAACACCATGAAACCCCATCTCTACTAAAAAAATACAAAAAATTAGCTGGGCGTGCTGGCGGGCGCCTGTGGTCCCAGCTACGCGGGAGGCTGAGGCAGGAGAATGGCGTGAACCCGGGAGGTGGAGCTTGCAGTGAGCCGAGATCGCGCCACTGCACTCCAGCCTGGGAGACAGAGACTCCGTCTCAAAAAAAAAAAATCATTTTATGGCCAGGCATGGCGGTTCACGCCTGTAATCCCAGCGCTTTGGGAGGCAGAGGCAGAGGATCGCTTCTGTCCAGGAGTTCAAGGCTGCAGTGGGCTATGATTTTGCCACTGCACTCCAGCCTGGGTGACAGAGCAAGACCCTGTCTCAAACAAAACAACAGCAAGAAAAAAATCTTGCACCCTAAGCTCTGTCTCATCCTCTGCTCCTAGACAACCCAACGCATGACAGCTCCCTTATGACTTGTACCTGATGGGGTGGGAAAGAGGTGATGGAGGCAGCACCCCCCGGTATATGCCACGGCTAAGCACTGTGCCCATTTTATCTCTCAGCTTTCTATTTTTCTCCTCTCATTTTGCAGATGAGGAACTTGAGATTCAAGAAGAGGAAGAATTGCCCAAATAACTTGTTCTTTGTGGCTAGAAAATGCTTACATGGAACTCACCAGGCCACATTCATATTACTATGTTTGTGATCATCCAAACATAAAACCAGTTCCTAGGCCGTGTGCGGTGGCTCACATCTGTAATCCTAGAATTTTGGGAGGCCGAGGTGGGTGGATCACCTGAGGTCAGGAGTTCGAGGCCAGCCTGGCCAACATGGTGAAACCCCCATCTCTGCTAAAAATACAAAAATTAGCTGGGCGTGGTGGCGGGCGCCTGTAATCCCAGCTACTTGGGAGGCTGAGGCAGGAGAATCGCTTGAACCTGGGAGGCAGAGGTTGCAGTGAGCCGAGATCACGCCATTGCACTCCAGCCTGGGCAACAAGAGCAAAACTCCATCTCAAAACAAACAAACAAGCAAACAAACAAAACCAAAAACAGTTCCTGCTTCCAAGATTTTAAGGCATTAACATCCATTTGGGAGATGTGTGCATGTGAAACATCCATTTGGGAGACACCTGAAACATCTGAACTTTCTTTGTCACTTTCTTTTTTTTTTTTTGAGACGTAGTTTCGCTCTTGTTACCCAGGCTGGAGTGCAATGGCACGATCTCTGCCCACCGCAACCTCTGCCTCCCGGGTTCAAGCGATTCCCTTGCCTCAACCTCCCGAGTAGCTGGGATTACAGGCATGTGCCACCACATCCGGCTAATTTTGTGTTTTTAGTAGAGAGGGGTTTCTCCATGCTGGTCAGGCTGGTCTCGAACTCCCAACCTCAGGTGATCTGTCTGCCTCAGCCTCCCAAAGTGCTGGGATTACAGGCGTGAGCCACCGTGCCTGGCCTTGTCACTTTCTTAAGTCTAAAACAAGGCCTGGCAAACATTTTCCATAAAAAGCCATATGGTAAATATTTCTGCTTTGTGGGCTATCAGGCCTCTGCTGAAACTACTGTAGCCTGCAAACAGCCACAGACAATAGGTGAACAAATTGGTGTGGCTATGTGCCAATAAAAACTTATTTACAAAAACAGTCAATGAGGGAAAAAACAGACAGTGGTCCAGATTTAGACCAAGGGCCATGGTTTACCCACCCCTGCCTAGGCAATCAACAAAACAGTAACCTTGGTTTGTAGCATTTCCTGAATTCTGTGGTGTAGATACTCTGTATGGTCAATTTCTTTTCTTTTTTTTCTCCCCCTTTTTCTTTCTTTCTTTTTTTTTTTTTTTTGAGACATGGTCTCACTGTGTCACCTAGACCGAAGTGCAGTGGCTCAATCTCGGCTCACTGCAACCTCCATCTGCCAGGCTGAAGCAATCCTCCTACCTCAGCCTCCCAAGTAGCTGGAATTATAGGTATGTGCCACCAAGCCCGGCTAATTTTTGAATTTCTTATATAGACAGGGTTTCACCATGTTGCCCAGGCTGGTGGCAAACTCTTGGGCTCAAGTACACTGCCCACTTCGGCGTCCCAAAGTGTTGGGATTACAGGCATGAGCCACTGCACCTGGCCGGTATGGTCAATTTCGAGTATCAACATGAAGTCATTGAACTTGGGGTTAAGCTAAGTACAGTACATACCAAACGGATACAAACAGAAGTAAATAACCCCAAAAGCACAGATGAGGCTGGGTACATTGGCTCACATCTATATTCCCACCATTTTGGGAGGCTGAGTCTGGAGGATCATTTCAGTCCTGGAGTTCAAGACCAGCCTGGGCAACAAAGCAAAATCCCATCTCAAAAAGAACAGAGTAGAGAAGAGAAGAGACAGCATTGGTGATACTAAAACTTAGTAAAAATGATTAGGAAGTTGAGGCCAGGCGTGGTGGCTCACGCCTGTAATCCAGCACCTGGGAAGGCCGAGGTGGGAGGATCACCTGAGGTCAGGAGTTTCAGACAGGCTTGGTCAAAATGGCGAAACCCCATCTCTACTAAATATACAAAAATTAGCTGGGCGTGGTGGCGGGCGCCTGTAGTCCCAGCTACCTGAGAGGCTGAGGCAGGAGAATCGCTGGAACCCAGGAAGTGGAAGCTGCAGTGAGCCAAGATTGTGCCACTGCACTTGAGGCTGGGCCACAGCGAGACTGTGTCTAAAAAATAATAATAATAAAAACTGGCCCACAAACTTCCTGGAGAATTGACCGTGGGCTCTCCTGAGTGAATAGGAGCTACTTCCCTGCTTTCGTTGCCTGAGGTTTAGAGGTGGGAGGCCCCCATGATAGGGAAAACAGCCACCAGGGAGGCCGAACAGCTGATACGGGATCAAGGCCCGGGGTACATCAAAGGGCTTTTCCTTCCTCTCAGGCTAAATTACCATCACGTCAGTAGCTCCATCACTTGCATAAGCGGAGGGTAAGGTTACTCAAGCCCAGCCATCGATCCCTTTCAGGCTGAACCTGTGTCCTCATCATCCAAAGTCCCCATGCTTGCATACGTCTCCCACCCTTCAGTTTGGAGCACTGACTTTCATCGTTGGCAAGGGCAATGGGGAGTTCTCTTTGGCCTCTGATTTGCTGAATTGCCTTCAATACATGGCTTAACCTCTCTGAACCCCCATCCCCATTTCCGAGTCTTAGGAAGAACTGTGGCAGGGCGCGGTGGCTCATGCCTGTAATCCCAGATCTTTGGGAGGCTGAAGTGGGCTGAAGTGGGAGGATCACTTGAGGTCAGGAGTTCGAGACCAGCCTGGCCAACATGGTGAAACCCCGTCTGTACTAAAAATACAAAAATTAGCCGGGCATGGTGGTGCACGCCTGTAAGCCCAGCTACAAGGGAGGCTGAGGCAGGAGAATTGCTTGAACCCAGGAGGCGGAGGTTGCAGTGAGCCAAGATTGCGTCACTGTACTCTAGCCTGGGTGACACAGCAAGACTCCATCTCCAAAAAAAAAAAAAAAAAAGAACTGTTATGAGTCTCTGTTACCTACAGGGATAGAAGTGAGTGACTACATGTCCAGTGCTTTGCATGCAACACAACCACCCTGTGAGGGAGGTATTATTCTACCCATTGTACAGTTGAAGAAACTGAGACTCAGAGAAGCTAACTGGCTCATACTAGTAGGTAGAGTTGGGATTCATCTCTCCTTACCCCAAATCCTAGTTTTTCATCCTTTCTGGTGTGCCTTACTGCCTCTAGAGCCCCTCCAGATTTTTACAAATGAGAGGGGTGTGAGAGGCTGCTGGCCACAGACCTGAAACCTAAATGTGCCAGGAGAGCAACAGAGAAGAGCTGGGTGAGGTTGGGCGCGGTGGTTCACGCCTGTAGTCCCAGCACTTTGGGAGGCAGAGGCAGGTGGATCACTTGAGGCCAGGAGTTCGAGACCAGCCTGGCCAACATGGTAAGACCCCCATCTCTACTAAAAATACAAAAATGAGCCGAGTGTGGTGGCACATGCCTGTAATCCCAGCTACTCAGGAGGCTGAGGCACCAGAATAGCTTGAACTTGGGAGGTGGAGGTTGCAGTAAGCTGAGATCGTGCCACTGCGCTCCAGCCTGGGTGACGGATTGAGACTCTGTCTCAAAATAATAATAATAATAAACAGAAGAGCTGGGTGGGATTGGGGAAAGCTGCATCCCACCCCCACACTCTGCCAACGAGGGCAGTAACTTAGCTCCAGACAGTTGTTGCCTGTGGGTACATGGGCCTGGTGTGGCCGGATTTTGTTCAAAAGAAGTTAGCAATGTGAATTTTTATGTGAAATCCTTTGATTTGAAGATTGTCTTGTTTTGAATTCTATTTGTATGAAATATCCAGAATAGGTAAATCCACAGACCCACAGTGCAGACTGGTGGCTGCCGGGCTCTGCGGGGAGGGAGGAAGGGAAAGTGACTGCTTAAGGAGAATGGGTGTCCTTTTGGGGTGATGGAAAGAAGTATTCTGGAACCAGATAGAGGTGGTGGTTGCACAACATTGTGAATTACTAAATGCTGCTGAATGTTTTCACTGTTTTGTGACTCTCATCTCAATAAATTGAATTGGTTTTAAATTTTTCTTTATGATTTTGTGCGTTTTTAGATATTGGGAAATAGCATTTTTATTGAAGATGAGTATACATGGAGAAGTGCATAAGTGTATAGCTCTGAATTGTCACAAACAGAACACACCTGTTTAACCAGCTCAGCTATGTGGTTTTTTGTTTGTTTTGTTTTTTTATTGAGATAGTCTCACTCTGTCGCCCAGGCTGGGGTATAGTGGTATGATCTTGGCTCACTGCAACCTCTACCTCCTGGGTTCAAGCAATTCTCCTGCCTCAGCCTCCCAAGTAGCTGGGATTACAGGCGTACGCCACCACGCCCGGCTAATTTTTGTATTTTTAGTAGAGATGAGGTTTTGCCATGTTGGCCAGGCTGGTCTCAAACTCCTGACCTCAAGTGATCCACCCACCTCAGCCTCCCAAAGTGTTGGGATTACAGGCATGAACCACTGTGCCCAGGTTACAGATATGTGTTTTGGTTTTTCGTTCTTTTTTTTTTTTTTTGAGACAGGTTCTCACTCTGTTGCCCAGGTTGGAGTGTAGTGACACCATCATAACTCACTGCAGCCTCAAAATCCTGGGCTCAAGTGATCCTCCCACCTCAGCCTCCCCAGCAGCTGGGACTACAGGCATGTGCTACCACACCAGGCTATTTTTTTTTCCTTTGGCAAAGATGGGGGTCTCACTATGTTGTCTCGGCTGGTCTCAAACTCCTGGGCTCAAACCATCCTCCCGCCTTGGCCTCCCAAAGTGTGGAGATTACAGATGTGAGCCACCATGACTGACTTATTTTGTTCTTTAATACATAACTTATAGGCCGGGTGAGGTGGCTTCTGACTGTAATCCCAGCACTTTGGGAGGCTGAGGCGGGTGTATCGCCTGAGGTCAGGAGTTTGAGACCAGCCTGGCCACCTTGGCGAAGCTCTGTCGCTACTAAAAATACAAAAATTAGCCAGGCGTGGTGGTGGGCACCTGTAATCCCAGCTACTCAGGAGGCTGAGGCCAGAGAATTGCTTGAACCCAGGAGGCGGAGGTTGCAATGAGCCGAGATTGCACTCCAGTCTGGGCAACAAGAGGGAAAATCTGTCTAAATAAATAAATAAATAATTAATTAAAAAATAACTAATACAACTTGGTTGGGGCGGGGTGGGGGGATGAAAATACACATAATTAAGAGGAAAAAAAAGTAAAGAAAACAAGCCTACTGATAATCCTTCATCTACAGACAACCACCTTGGATGATCTGGGAATGCCCACCCAGACTACTCTTTTCTTTTCTTTCCTTTTCTCTTCTGTTCTCTTCTCTTCTCTTCTCTTTTTTCTTTTCTTTTCTTTTCTCTTATTTGATGGGGTCTTTCTCTGTTGCCCAAGCTGGAGTGCAGTGGTGTGATCAGCTCAGTGCAGCCTTAAACTCCTGGGCTCAAGGGATCCTCCCATCTCGGCCTGAGTAGCTGGGACTACAGGCAAGCACCACCATGCCTGGCCCACACAGACTACTTTCTAAAAATGTATAAACATATATAGATATGACAAGATATACAGATAATGATACATATGATTTGATACTTATGCTAATTTTTTTACATATACTTTGTAAACACTTTTGTCATGGCAATAAATACACATGTTCACCTGGTGTGTGTATATGTGTGTGTTTCATTGAAAAGCTATACTGGGTGGGGCCAGGTGCAGTGGCTCATGCCTGTAATCCCAGCACTTTGGGAGGCAGAGGTGGGTGGATCACTTGAGCCCAGGAATTCGAGACCAGCTTGGACAATGGCCAGAACAGATCTCTACAAAAATTTAAAAATTAGCTGGGTGTGGTGGTGTATGTATATGGTCCCAGCTATTGGGGAGGCTGAGGTGGGGGGATTGCTTGAGCCTGGGAGGTTGAGGCTGCAGTGAGCCATGATTGCACCACTACACTCAAGCCTGAGTGACAGAGCGAGACCCTGTATCAAAATGAAAAAAAGAAAAAAAAAAAAAAAGAAAGGCTGTACCATGATTTCTTTTTTCTTTCTTTCTTTTTTTTTCAGATGGTGTCTTGCTCTGTCGCCCAGACTCGGGTACAGTGGCATGATCTCGGCTCATTGCAACCTCTGCCTCCCAGGTTTAAGAGATTCTCCTGCCTCCGCTTCCCTGGGATTACATGCGCCCACCATCACACCCAGATAATTTTTGAATTTTTAATAGAGATGGGGTTTCACCATCTTGGCCACGCTGGTCTTGAACTCCTGACCTCGTGATCCACCCGCCTTGGCCTCCCAAAGTGCTGGGATTATAGGCGTGAGCCACCATGCCCGGCCTGTACCATGATTTCTTTAACCAGCTCCTAGAATCAAGCATTACCAAGATCTTCCCATTAGAAACAGCATGGATGGTGATCTAGCTCATTTGAATGTAGAGTTTAATGCTCTTTAACAATTGCTTTATTAAATTACTCTGAATTTATATTAATAAGTATCTTATTACTATTTTATGTTTTGTAGAGACAGAGTCTTGTCATGTTGCCCAGGCTAGTCTCAAACTTCTGGCCTCAAGTGATTCTCCTGCATTGGCCTTCCAACATGCTAGGATTACAGACATGAGCCACCATGCCAGGCAGTATCTTATTATTGTTATTATTTTCAAGGGTCTCAATCTGTCACCCAGGCTGGTGTGCAGTGGCGTGACCTCAGCTCACTGCAACCACTGCCTCCCAGGCTCAAGCAATCCCCCCACATCAGCCTCCCAAGTAGCTGGGACTACAAGTGTGTCCCACCACGCCAGGCTAATTTTTTGTATTTTTAGTAGTAGGATTTCGCCATGTTGGCCAGGCTGGTCTCGAACTCCTGACCTCAGGTGATCTGCCCACCTTGGCCTCCCAGTGTTGGGATTACAGGCGTGAGCCAACGTGCACAACCCAGTATCTTATTTTTAAAAATTACTTTCTGCTCTGCTCCACGCTCTGCCCAGGTACTAAATATTAACACCCTCACAGGTATAACTGCTTCCCTTTTTCCATTCTATGGGGGAGTTGACTTTACTGAATAAAAATAGGATGATTTACTATGTGGGTCTCTGCATCTTACTTTTCCAAATGCTTAATTATTGGCAACTGTGGTGGATATTCCTTTAGCCCCTCCAAATCTCTTCCCTCCCTGCCCTTCTCTGTGCCCCAAGCCTTATCACCTTCAGCCAACCTGAGACCCTGGCAGGAAAGGAGAGGAGAGACAAGTGGGGGTATCTCTTCCTTGGCTTCCTCCCTGCCAGACGTTGTTTTAGCAGCTGTTTTAGCAGCAGCTATGTCCCTGTACTGAAGGCCACACTCCTGTTGGGTGACTACAACTCTCTCTAGGTTTCCAAACCCTCCCTTCTCTTGCCCCTTTAGGCTTAAGGGGTGGGGTAAGAGACCCCATGCTCACCAGCCCCAGGTGGCTTCATTATCCTTATCTGCTCCCATGACTTTGTTTTTTTGTTTGTTTGTTTGTTTTGTTTTGAGATGGAGTCTTGCTCTGTCGCCAGTCTGGAGTGCAGTGGTGCGATCTTGGCTCGTTGCAAACTCCGCCTCCCGGGTTCAAGCGATTCTCCTGCCTCAGCCTCCCAACTAGCTGGGACTATAGGCATGTGCCACCATGCTCAGCTAATTTTTTGTATTTTTAATAGAGACAGGGTTTCACCATGTTGGCCAGGATGGTCTTGATCTCCTGACCTCATGATCCGCCCACCTCAGCCTCCCAAACTATTGGGATTACAGGCGTGAGCCACCGCGCCCAACCTAATTTTCGTATTTTCATTAGAGATGGGGTTTCACCATGTTCGCCAGGCTGGTCTTGAACTCCTGACCTCAGGTGATCCTCCCGCCTAGGCCTCTCAAAGTGCTGGGATTACAGGCATGAGCCACTGTGCTGGCCTGATTAAGCAACTAATTTACAATTCTTAAAAACTTTTAGGGGGCCAACTCATGAGCGAGCCTGCCACCTTTATGGCTGTCAGAGTCCAGACCCTTGTTTTATAGATTCAGGAAACGAGGGGAGGATTTGTCGTTTGTAGGATTCCTGGGCCAGAGTGAGGTGAAACATGGAAAGTGTGGTGGTCCTCAAGTCAGGCAGTATGAATTCTGACCAACCAGGTCTCGCCAGGGATCTCTAGTTCCCTGGCTCTATTTCCCATGTGTTTGTCTCTTGGCCTACCTCTCGTTCTGAAATGAAGATGAGCAAGATGTGAAAGCTTGAGAGAGGCAACTGAAGTTCTCCTAGATCTTGGCAGCTTTCTAAAACAAAGGTTTTGCTGGGCTGTCTGTGGCCACTGCAGGGAAGATGAAACAGAACAACTGGAAAGGGGAAAGACAGCTCTCTCAGACTGTTCCCTTGCAATCCTCAAACAGTCCAACATTTGAAGATAAACAAGCCTCAGTCCACATTCTCTAAGAATCTCCAGTGCATGGGACAGACAGGTAAACATGCATTTACAATACCAAGTGAAAAGTGCAGAAAACAGCCCAGCTGTGGGGTGGGACACATAATGATTTCCAGGGAGGTAGTATTTCTTTTTCTTTTTGTTTTTGAGAGGGATCTTTTTCTTTTTGTTTTTGAGAGGGAGTCTTGCTCTGTTGCCCAGGCTGGAGTACAGTGGTGTAATCTCAGCTCACTGCAACCTCTGCCTCCCAGCTTCTCCTGCCTCAGCCTCCTGAGTAGCTGGGATTACAGGCACCTGCCACCAAACCCAACTAATCTATTTTAGTAGAGATGGGGTTTCACCATGTTGGCCAGGCTGGTCTTGAACTACCGACCTCAAGTGAGCCACCCGCCTCGGCCTCCCAAAGTGCTGGGATTACAGGTGTGAGCCACCTCACCCAGCCTTGAGCTGGATCTTGAAGGAGAGGTTCAAGTCAGCCTGGCCTGAGATGGTGTTCCAGGGTGGGAAGAGCAGGTGCTAAGACCCAGTGCTAAGAGAGACTGAGCAAAAAACGTGCCAGAAACTGTTAGAAGTTCAGCATGGCTGGAGCATAAGTTGTGTGTGTGTGTGTGTGTGTGTGTGTGTGTGTGTGTGTGTGTGTGTGTGTGTGTGGTGGGGTACAGGGATGGGAGGTGGTCTAAAGGCAAGCAGAGATCAGGAGTCTTAAAGGCCAAGAGAAGGGCACTGAAGCCATTAAGCAGTAGCGTGCCAATGTCACTCTTGGGAAGGTTGTTCTGGCTGCTTTGGAGACTGGGTTAAAGTGCGCAACCTGAGACAGTTCAAAGACTGCCCAATCAGGAGGAAGAGGTGGCGGGGTAGGAGTAGAGGTGGAGGAGATGGGTGGATTTGGGAGCTATGAAGGCAGTCACAGGATAGAGGTTTATTATAATGACAGCAATATTGACAAGCTCATAATGTAGTAACCTAACAACAGCTCTCTTTTCAGACCGCATGGGTAAGAATCTTCTCCTCACCCTTTTTATTTGGAAAAATTTCAAACCTCAGAAGAACTGCAAGATAGTTCCCCCACACAACCAACTTTTCCTTTTCCTTCTTTCTTTTTTTTTTTTTTTTGATAGAAACTGGGTCTTGCCACGTTGCTCAGGCTGGTCTCAAATTCCTAGGATCAGGGGATCCTCCCACTTCTGCCTCCCAAAGTGCTAGGATTATAGCCATGAGCTGCCTACAAAAGTTTCCTTGAACATGCATATACTCTTCATGTGGATTTGCTAATTGTTACATTTTGCCTCTTTCTCCCCTTGTATCATTTTCTTTGAACCACTTGCAAGTTAGTAGCTGAAACCATGACGCTACACATCTAAATATTTGAGCATTTATCTCCTTACCATAAAAAGAGTTTCTTTCACATAATTGCAACATCATTATCTGACTGAGGAAACTTAACACTGATATACTATAATTTAATATAAAGTTCATATTTAGATTTCATCAATTGGCCCAGTAAGTCTTTTAAAGCCGCTGTTTCTCATTAATAATTCAAGTAAGGATCATGTATTGCATTTAGTCATCGTTTCTCTTTTCCTCTCTTTTTTTTTTTTTTTTTGAGACGGAGTTTCGCTCTGTCGCCCAGGCTGGAGTGCAGTGGCATGATCGCCGCTCACTGCAACCTCTGCCTCAAGCAATTCCCCGGCCTCAGCCTCCCAAGTAGCTGGGATTACAGGTGTGTGCCGCTGTGCCCGGCTGATTTTTGTATTTTTACTAGAGATGGGGTTTTACTATGTTGGCCAGGCTGGTCTCAAACCCCTGACCTTATGTGATCCACCCACTTCGGCCACCCAAAATGCCGGGATTACGGGCGTGAACCATCATGCCTGGTCCTCCGCTAATTAATTTTTTTTTTTGTAGAGACGTAAGTCTTGCTATATTGCCCAGGCTGGTCTTAAACTCCTGGACTCAAGGGATCCTCCTGCCTTGATCTCCCAGAGATATAGGACTACAGACATGAGCCACTGCACCTGTATCTCTCTCTCTCTCTCTTTTGACAATGTTAGAAATGTTAGTTTATTTTTCTACCTTTTCTCTTTTTTTCTTCTTTCTGTTTAAAGTTTGTTTTAAAATTTTATCTTGAAGTGGTTTTAAACTCACAGAAAAGTTCCAAAAATATTATAAAGAACATTTATATGTTTCACCAATTATTTACATTTTGTAAATGTAAATAATTTACATTTACAAATAATTTACAGAGTCACCAATTATTAACATTTTGCCGTATTTACTTTATCTCTCTCTTGTCTACAAATATATATCTCTTTCTTTTTCTTGAGACGGAGTCTCACTATATGGTCCAGGCTGGAGTGCAGTGGCACGATCTCGGCTCACTACAACCTCCACCTCCCAGGTTCAAGCGATTCTCTCCTGCCTCAGTCTCCCGAGTAGCTGGGATTACAGGTGCCTGCCACCACGCCCAGCTGATTTTTGTATTTTTAGTAGAGACGGGGTTTCACCATGTTGGTCAGGCTAATCTCAAACTCCTGACCTCAAGTGATCCACCCCCCTCAGCCTCCCAAAGTGCTGAGATTACAGGCGTGAGCCACCATGCCCGGCCTTACATATATATCTGTATTTTTTTTTTTTTTAGATGAAGTCTTGCTCTGTCGCCAGGCTGTAGTGCAGTAGCACCATCTCGGCTCATTGTAACCTCTGCCTCCCGGATTCAAGTGATCCTCCTGACTCAATCTCCCGAGTAGCTGTGACTACAGGCATGAGTCACCACGTCCAGCTAATTTTTGTATTTTTGGTGGAGACAGAGTTTCACCATGTTGGCCAGGATGGTCTCCATCTCTTGACCTTGTGATCCGCCCACCTCGGTGTCCCAAAGTGCTGGGATTACAGGTGTGAGCCACCACGCCCGGCCTATATCTGTATTCTTTTCTGAACCATTTGAAAGTAAATTGCCTCTCTTAACCCTAAATACTACAGGGTACTTTTTCTAAGGGCACTGTCTTACAAAACCACAGTGAAAGTATCAAAATCAGGAAATTTTCAGATATCAAGGGTGGGAGGATATTACAATTTTTTTAAAAATCAGGAAATTTGGCCAGGTGCGGTGGCTCACGCCTGTAATCCCAGCACATTGGGAGGCTAAGGCGGGTGGATTGCCTGAGGTCAGGAGTTCTAGACCAGTCTGGCCAACATGGTGAAACCTTGTCTCTACTAAAAATACAAAAAAATTAGCCGAGCATGGTGGCATACGCCTGTAATCCCAGCTACTCGGGAGGCAGGGGAATTGCTTGAACCAGGGAGGTGGACGTTGCAGTGAGCCGAGATCTCGCCACTGCACTCCAGCCTGGGCAACAGAGCCACCACGCCCGGATAATTTTTGTATTTTTAGTAGGGACAAGGTTTCAGCATGTTGGCCAGGCTGGTCTTGAACTCCTGACCTCAGGTGATCCAGCCGCCTCGGTCTCCCAAAATGCTGAGATAACAGGCGTAAGCCACCGCACCTGGCCACATATTGCATTTAGTTTTTTTTTTTTTTTTTGAGATGGGGTCTCACTCTCTCGCCCGGGCTGGAGTGCAGTGGCACGATCTCTGCTCACTGCAAGCTCTGTCTCCCAGGTTCATGCCATTCTCCTGCCTCAGCCTCCTGAGTAGCTGGGACTACAGGCACGTGCCACCATGCCCGGCTAAATTTTTGTATTTTTAGTAGAGATGGAGTTTCACCGTGTTAGCCAGGATGGTCTCGATCTCCTAACCTCATGATCCACCTGGCTTGGCCTCCCAAAGTGCTGGGATTACAGGCGTGAGCCACCGCGCCTGGCCTAGTTTTTTTTTTTTTTTTTTTTTTGAGACGGAGTCTTGCTCTGCCGCTCAGGCAGTGAGCCACCTGCCCTGGCCTCCCAAAATGCTAGGATTATAGCCATAAGCAGCTTACAAAACAGTTTTCTTGAACATGCTTATACTCTTCACGTGGATTTGCTAATTGTTACATTTTGCCTCTTTCTCCCCTTGTATCACTTTCTTCGGACCACTTGCAAGTTAGTAGCAGAAATCATGACACTACACATCTAAATAATTGAGCATTTATCTCGTTCCAATAAAGATAAAAGTGATTCTCTCATATAATTGCAACACCATTATCTGACTGAGGAAATTTAACACTGATATACTATAATTTAATATAAAGTTCATATTTAGATTTCACCAGTTGGCCCAATAAGTCTTGTAAAGCTGCTGTTTCTCATTAAATAATTCAAGTAAGGATCATGTATTGCATTTAGTCATTATTTCTCTCTTCCTCCCTTTTTAACTTTATTATTTATTTATTTATTTGAGACAGAGTCTCACTCGGTCACTCAGGCTGGAGTGCAGTGACATGATCTCAGCTCATTGCAACCTCTGCCTCCCCGGTTCAAGCGATTCTCCTGCGTCAGCCTCCCAGGTAGCTGGGATTACAAGTGTGTGGCACTGTGCCTTGGTAACTTTTGTATTTTTAGTAGAGACGGTGTTTCACCATGTTGGCCAGGCTGGTCTTGAACTCCTGACCTCAAGTGATCCACCCACCTCAGCCTCCCAAAGTGCTGGGATTACAGGTGTGAATCACCACACCTGGTCCTCTGCTAATTAATTATTATTTTTTTTTTTTTGTAGAGATGGAGGTCTTGCTATGTTGCCCAGGCTAGTCTCAAACTCCTGGACCTAAGGGATCCTCCTGCCTTGATCTCCCAGCATAATGGGACTACAGGTATGAGCCACTGCACCTGTATTTCTCTCTCTCTCTCTCTCGATAATGTTAGAAATGTTAGTTTATTTTTGAGGGGTGCGGTAGCTCACTCCTGTAATCCCAGCACTTTGAAAGGCCGAGCTGGGCTGGATCACTTGAGGCCAGGGGTTCGAGACCTCAGCCTCCTGAGTACCTGGGATTACAGGTGTGTGCCACCACACCCGGCTAATATTTTATATTTTTGGTAGAGACAGGGTTTCACCATGTTGGCGAGGCTAGTCTCAAACTCCTGACCTCAAATGATCTGCTTGCCACAGCCTCCCAAAGTGCTGGGATTATAGGCATGAGCCACCACACCTGGCCCATTGCATTTAGTTGATGCACATCTTTAGTGTTCTTAAATCTAGGCAATTGCATATCCGCCTCCTTTCTCTGTCCCCCACCCCTTATTCCCCATGTGTATTTCACAACATTGACTTTTTTTGAAGTTTTCAGGCCAGTTGTTTTGAAGTATGTCCCTTCTTTTGGATATGTCTGTTTTCCAATGATTAGATTCAGGGCAAACATGTTTGAATACTACACAGATGACCGCTGAGCCCTTTTCAAGACAAAATATTAGAGGCACATGGTCAGATATCAAAGTTGATTGTTTAGGTAAGCTGGGTTGGAATTTTGGCCTCACATTTTGCTAGTTGGGTAAATTGGTTATTGAGACGGTTTTCTCAGCTGTCAAATTGGGATGTAATAATCTAGCTTCATGAGGTTGTTGAATTAATATATGTAAGGCATTTAGAACAGCGTCTGGCACATTATAAGTATCAATAAATAAACACTGTTACCGTTATTATTATCACTACGATTTTTAGAGGCCTTAACAGGAACATCCAGCACCTTCAACAGTATATGGCTCATAGGAATCATTCCATGAATATTTGTTAGCAGAAGGACAGCTCTATGAGATAGATTGCTATCAATTACTGCCCCATTTTACAGATGAGGAAACTGAGGCCCAGAGAAGCCAAGTAGTGACCTAGGGTCACACAGATTGCCGTTAAGTGGCAAGATACGGGGTGTGTACTCAGGCATATCGGATCTGTAAAGTGAGGGATAAGGAACCTTAATGTATTTTGTAAATCCTCCAGGGCTGTGTGGATGTGAAGAACTGAATTGGAGCGCCACGCAGCGGTTCTCTGGCGTACAGTATCCATCCATACAGTAGGCGCTCAATAAATGTCTGCTGCACGAATGAGAAAATGAGTCAGCTGGGGCGAGATCATCCCCTAGCGTTGGTGTGCAATTGCGTGGGGATCCATTGCTTCCGACGCTACTCCTGCCGGGTCACCACAGGCGCACGTGTTCCGGCAGGGCGCGGCTTCCGGTGACCCAGCTCCGCCCTAAGCCCCATCCCAAGCCCCGCCCCTTGACTGTTCTCGCGTTCGCGGACGGCTGTGGTGTTTTGGCGCATGGGCGGAGCCGTAGTTACGGTCGACTGGGGCGTCGTCCCTAGCCCGGGAGCCGGGTCTCTGGAGTCGCGGCCCGGGGTTCACGATGTCCGACGAGGAAGCGAGGCAGAGCGGAGGCTCCTCGCAGGCCGGCGTCGTGACTGTCAGCGACGTCCAGGAGCTGATGCGGCGCAAGGAGGAGATAGAAGCGCAGATCAAGGCCAACTATGACGTGCTGGAAAGCGTGAGTGTGGGTTCGGGGCGCCCCAAGTCGCCTAACCCGGCCCGGAGTCCCTGGGGTACTGGGATGCCAGGGCGGCCTCAGTTTGGGCGCTCCGCAACGGATCTCCCTGGGAGGCCCAAGGCGCCGCAAGTGCGGCCTCTGTCGGCACAAGAAGGCAGGCAAAGAACTTTAGCAACTGAAGAGTTAGCCATATTGATATCCAGCAAGAGTTTGTGGAGCCCTGCTGTGTGCTAGGCGCTGGTTTAAGTGCTGTGCATTGTTGAGTTAATTTAATCTTTGCAACAACCCTTTGAGGTGGATGCTGTTACTCTTTCCATTTTAGGGAGGGGGAAACAGGTGTTACTTGGTGATTAAACAGCTGTCATGTGCCTCGCTGACTGCCTTATCTTAATTTTGTACTTTTTGTAAAGACAGAGTCTCACTGTGTTGCCCAGGTTGGTATCGAACTCATGGCCTCAAGCGATCCTTCCACCTCGGCCTTTCAAAGTGCTGGGATTACAGGCGTGAGCTACTGCACCCGGCATTTGCTGATTGTATCGTGAATTCTTAAACTTCAGTGTGTATATGAATTACCTGGGGATCTTATTAAAATGCAGATTTTGTTTGAGGCAAGGGAGCAGATTCTGCATTTGTAGCAAACTCCCAGCAATGCTGATGCTAGTGGTCTAAGGACCGAACTTTGAGTTACAAATAAGGCTCATCATCCTTATTGCATAAGGAGGAAACTGAGGCCCAGAGTGGGGCAAACGCCTATCTAAGGTCATGTAGTTCGGAAGTGGCAGTGGTGGGTCTGGCTCAAAAGCTGATGCAGGTTTTCTTATGCCATCTAGTGTAAAATCACAGATCAGTTTGCAGAGGAAGATGCAATTAATTATGCCCAAGTAGGGTGGGATGGAATGCATTTTAGGTGATGTAAGATGAAGTTTCTTTTTTTTTTGTCTGAGACGGAGTCTTGCTTTGTCACCCAGGCTGGAGTGCAGTGGCTCAATCTCGGCTCACTGCAGCCTCTGCCTCCTGGGTTCAAGTGATTCTCCTGCCTCAGCCTCCCGAGTAGTAGGGATTACAGGCGAGCGCCAGTACGCCAGGCTAATTTTTTATTTTAAGTAAAAGCAGGGTTTCACCATGTTGGTCAGGCCGGTGTTGGATTCCTGACCTCAGGTGATCCGCCCACCTTGGCCTCCCCAAGTGCTGGGATTACAGGCGTGAGCCACCGCGTCCGGCCATAAGATGAAGTTTCATACGGAGGGCCAGAGAACCATTTTACTGGGTGCTGACTATATGCTCAAAGTGGGATTCAGACTTCAGGTCTGTTACATTCAGAACCTGTGCTTTCAAGCAAATTACCAGCAATTTCTCAAACTTTAGTTTACTTTCTACCACATGCAGTATACTATATGCATATACCACTTGTGTTATTCCTTTGATATTTTTATTTAAATAGATCTACTTTTAATCTTATATAAATGTATTATTATTGTTATTATTATTATTGAGACAGGGTCTCGCTCTGTTGCCCAGGCTGGAGTTCAGTGGCACCATCTTGGTTCACTGCAGCCTCAATCTCCTGGTGTCAAGCAATCCTCCCACCTCAGCCTCCCAAGTAGCTGAGACTGCAGGTACGTGCCACCACGCCCAGCTAATTTTTGTATTTTTTGTAGCTATGGGGTCTCACTATGTTGCTTGCTCAGACTGGTCTGAAACTCCTGGGCTCAAGCAGTCCTCCTGCCTCTGCCTCCCAAAGTGTTGGGGTTACAGGCATGAGCCACAGTGCCTTGCCCATAAATGTATTTTAAAAGGAAATTTCAAAACTCCGCTGCATATGGAAAATGATAATCTCTTCTCTTAAATATAAGGTCAGATGCTTTGCATGTTGATACGGCATGTTGGTTGCTTCTGGCTAGCTGCTGTTGCTTGCTGAAAGCTTTCAGCCTGAAACCGTGCTCTATATTTGTTTTTAAAAAGTGGGTTTGGGCCGGGCCTGGTGGCTCACGCCTGTAATCCCAGCACTTTGGGAGGCCAAGGTGGGTGGATCACCTGAGGCCAGGATGGTCTCGATCTCCTGACCTCGTGATCCGCCCGCCTCGGCCTCCCAAAGTGCTGGGATTACAGGCTTGAGCCACCGCGCCAGGCCTACAAAAAATTTTTTTAAAAATTAGTTGGGCGTGGTGGTGCATGCCTGTAGTCCTAGCTACTTGGGAGGCTGAGGCAGGAGGATTGCTTGAACCCTGAATGTTGAGGCTGCAGGGAGCTATAATTGCACCACTGCACTCTCTTGTGGGTGACAGAGTGAGATGCTGTCTCTTTAAAAAAAAAAAAAAAAAAAAGGCCGGGTGCGGTGGCTCATGCCTCTAATCCCAGCACTTTGGGAGGCCGAGGCGGGCGGATCACGAGGTCAGGAGATCGAGACCATCCTGGCTAACACAGTGAAACCCCGTCTCTACTAAAAATACAAAAAATTAGCTGGACGTGGTGGCCAGCGCCTGTAGTCCCAGCTACTCTGGAGGCTGAGGCAGGAGAATGGCCTGAACCCGGGATGTGGAGCTTGCAGTGAGCCAAGATTGCGCCACTGCACTTCAGCCTGGGTGACAGAGCGAGACTCCGTCTCAAGAAAAAAGAAAAAAAAAAAAAAGACTGGGCATGGTGGCTCACGTCTGTAATCCCAGCACTTTGGAAGGCCGAGGTGTGTGGATCGCTTGAGGTCAGGAGTCCGAGACCAGCCTGGCCAACATGGTGAAACCCCGTCTCAACGAAAAATACAAAAATTAGCCAGGTGTGGTGGTACACATCTATAATCCCAGCTACCCGGGAGGCTGATGCAAGAGAATCACTTGAACCTGGGAGGCGGAGGTTGCAGTGAACCAAGACTGCACCACGACACTCCAGCCTGGGTGACAGAGATTCCATCTCAAAAAAAAAAAAAAAAAAAAAAAGAAGTGGACAGCTAAAACTATAAATCTCGTATAATAAAGCATAGGAGTAAATCTTCATGACCTTGGATTAGGCAAAGCCTTTTTAGATATGGCACCAAAAACACAAGCTACAAAAGAAAAAATGATAAGTTGGACTTCAACTTTAAAACTGTGTTTCAAAGGGCATAGTAAAATGAAAAGATAAGCTCCAGAATGGGAGAAAATATTTGCATATCATTTCTCTGATAAGAGGATAGTATCTAGACTATAATAAGAGCTCTTACAACTCAATAATAAAAAGACAGCCAATTAGAAGACAGGGAAAGGATCTGAATAAACATTTCTCCAAAGAAAATATGGTCAATACAAATGGTCAATGGCCAGGCGTGGTGGCTCATGCCTGTAATCCCAGGACTTTGGGAGTCTGAGGCAGGAGGATCACTTGAGGCCAGGGGTTTGAGACTAGCCTGGGCAACACAGTAAGAGCCTATCTTTACAAAAAATTCAAAATTAAAGGCCGGGCATGGTGGCTCATGCCTGTAATCCCAGCACTTTGGGAGGCCGAGGCTGGCAGATCACGAGGTCAGGAGATCGAGACCATCCTGGTTAACACGGTGAAACCCCGTCTCTACTAAAAATACAAAAAAATTAGCCGGGTGTGGTGGCAGACGCCTGTAGTCCCAGCTACTCGGGAGGCTGAGGCAGGAGAAGGGCCTGAACCCAGGAGGCGGAGCTTGCAGTGAGCCAAGATCTCGCCACTGTACTCTAGCCTGGGCAACAGAGCGAGACTCTGTCTTTAAAAAAAAAAAATTAAAAATTAAAAATTAGCCAGGTGTGATGACATGTGCCTGTGGTCCCAGCTACTTAGGAGGCTGAGACAGATCGCTTGAACCCAGGAGTTTAAGGCGGCAGTGAGCTATGAACACACCACTGCACCCGATCCTGGGCAACAGAAGATCTTGTCTCAAACCAATACAAACACAAAAGCCATTACCTTTTACACTTTACATGGGTCAGTTATATGGTATCTGAATTATATCTCAATAAAACTGTTATAAAAACAGAGGGTACTAGAGATAGCAAGTAACTGGGGTGTTGCAGAGACCAGCACCAAATGGACACTTTTGCCTTGACAATTGCAGGATTGTAGAGAATTGGGAGAGGAATATGTATTTTTGATTCAGGGTTATTTAATGCCGTGTGTGTGAGCTGCTAGTGTTATGGATCCCATCCTTTGAGAAGCATTATCCAATGTGATATTGATTCTCAAAGGC
The DNA here is from genome assembly GCF_000001405.40 of Homo sapiens. Classification (NCBI taxonomy): domain Eukaryota; kingdom Metazoa; phylum Chordata; class Mammalia; order Primates; family Hominidae; genus Homo; species Homo sapiens. Next base: position 121,893,178 of record NC_000012.12, read on the forward strand.
TGGTCAACCCTTAACCACTGTGGGAAGGCAGGAGCAGATACAGGTTTTTAGCCCCTGGCGCATTTCTGCAGTGTCACGGCGAGTCCTGTGTTAGGGGAGTGTGGAGAACTATCTCCCTGCGCAGTGGACAGTAGGTTTGGGTGTAACCCGGAGGCTTCCAGAGAGAAAGGGAGCAAAATGAATGGAATCCCTCTTCTCAGTGCCTGTGTACACTGGCAGCTTGTCCCTGGACTGACTAATCCTTACAGCCACTATTTATGACTTCTGCGCGTAGTCGTTTTCTGAGGCCACCTTAACACCACAGAGTTGGTGACTTAAAACAGGAATTTACTTTGTCCCAGCTCTGGAGGCCAGAAGTCTGAAATCAAGGTGTCAGCAGGGTTGGCTCCTTCTGCAGGCTCTGAGAGAGAAGCTCCCAAGCCTTTCTCCTGGCCTCTGGTGACTGCTGGCGGTCCTTGGCCTACAGCTGTGTCACTTGAACCTCTGCCTGCATCTTCATGTGGCCTTCCTCCTGTGTCTGTCCCACACCTACCTCTGCCTTTCTTTTATGAGGACACCAGCCACCAGATGAGCTTATCTCGAGATCCTTAACATAATTACATCTACAAAGACTCTTTTTCAAATAAAGTCATATTTACAGGTTCTGGGGGTTAGCTCGTGGTTATCTGTTTTTGGGGGCCGCTCTTCAACCCACTATGCTGTGTATGCGCGTGGCATGTGCTAAGTACTCTGCAGGTCAGCTCGTTAGTTCTTGCAGCAGGTAGGGAGGGAGGCGAGTGCTCCTATTCCCATTTTATAATTGAGGAAGCTGAGGCTTAGAGAGGAGAAGGTCTCAGCTAAGGATGCCCAGCTTGTACATGGCAGAGTTGAGATTCAAATTAAAGTCTAACCAATTGCAAAGCCCCTCCCCTGAACCATGTGACTGGTTTCACTGCTTTTGTGTACTCTCCTCTGACTCATGTTAAAAAAAAAAAAAGTGTTGTTTTGAATAAAGAATACATTCCCATAGGCAAAATTCAAAACCTACAGAGGGGTATAAAATGGACTGTCTCTCTCCCTGCCCTGTCACCTAGCCACCCAGTTCTTCTCCCCGGAGGCAGCTGGTGCTATCAGTTTCCTTCTTCAGATCTTTTTATTTTCAGAAGAATCAAAGCCCTGCCACAGCTGGGTGCTGTCTGGGCTTTTCACTCCCCTCTAGCTTCCAGGGCCAGCAGCCAGGTGTCAGCCACCTGTGGGAAGGAGGGTGTGAAGGAGTGGAGGAAGAGGCTGGCCTTGGGGATGATGCTCAAAGGAGTCTTTGGTTTTATCGGCACTGTTTTAACTTCAAAAAAGAATGGATTCATGCATTACTTGCGTCGTTAAAAATAAAAAATGAAAAACACAGTGCCCACCCCAGGGTAGTTGTGAGGGCATGAGTAGAGCCCCTGGTGTAAGTGATCAGTATGTGGCAGTTTTCATTACTGTCACCTTTATTATGACTTCAGAGGAGAAGGGTCTGGGGAAAGACATCCTGGGGACATTACACCCATGAGCACCTTTTAACCACGTTTCTTTCCTCCAGCAAAAAGGCATTGGGATGAACGAGCCGCTGGTGGACTGTGAGGGCTACCCCCGGTCAGACGTGGACCTGTACCAAGTCCGCACCGCCAGGCACAACATCATATGTGAGTGGCCCTCTTAGAAGACTTTCCCCACCTTGTGGTGGGAAGGTGTTAAAGGCATACAAATAAAACCAACTATCTGTATTATCTACTGCCTTCTCTTCTGCCTTGATGGGATTGTCTTGTCCCCATCCAAGGACTGAGAACCAAGGGAATGGGCTAGACTCTAAGGTTCTATATTTCTGGTTTCATTTTCTCTCTCTCTCTCTCTCTCTTTTTTTTTTGAGTCAGGGTCTTGCTCTGTCTTCCAGGCTGGAGTGCAGTGGTGCTAACATGACTCACTGCAGTCTCAACCCCCCAGGCTCCAAGTGCTCCTTCTGCCTCAGCCTCCCAAGTAGCTGGGACTATAGGCATGTGTCGCTGTGCCTGGCTAATTTTTTTTAGTAGAGACGAGTCTCACTAAGTGGCCCAGGTGAGTCTTGAACTCCTGGACTCAAGTGGTCCTCCTGCCTTGGCCTTCCAAGGTGCTGATTGTTTTTAATTAAAGAGCTAGCAGAGAGTACAGATTGGATAGTATATTTGTTTTCTGTTTCTGCCATAACAAATGACGTGATTTGTTTTTAATTAAAGAGCTAGCAGAGAGTACAGATTGGATAGTATATTTGTTTCTGTTTCTGCCATAACAAATGACCACAGACTTAGTAGCTGGAGATAAGAAGTCCAGATGGGTCTCACTGGACTAAAATCAAGGTGTTGGCAGGGCTGGCTCCTTCTGGAGGATCTAGGGGAGAACCTGTTCCTGGTCTTTTCTGGTTTCCAAAGGCTGCCCACCGTCCTTGGCTCATGGCTTCGTCCATCTACACAGCCAGCAGTCGCATTTCCCTCCCTCTGATTCTGTCATAACATCTCTTTCTCTCACTCTCCTGCCTCCCTCTTTCACCTATAAAGACCTCTGTGATGACACCAGGCCCACCTGGATAATCCAGGATCATGTCCGAATCTTAAGGTCCTTAATCACATCTGCAGAGCCTCTTTTGCCATGTAAGGTGGCATATTCCCAGCTTCTAGGGGCTAGGATGTGGATGTGTTGGGGGCCATTATCCACTCAGCCATAGGTAGGCAACCGTCTCCACCACAGAGTCCTATTAGCATTTATCCTCCACATTTTTCACTTACTAACTCCTCTTTAATCTGTTTGAATCTTGATTCCATCTGCATCACATCTTATTTATTTATTTATTTTTTGAGACGGAGTCTCGCTCTGTCACCCAGGTTGGAGTGCAGTGGCACGATCTTGGCTCACTGCAACTTCCACCTCCCGAGTGACAGAGCAAGAGACCGTCTCAAAAAAAAAAAAAAAATCTGTTTGAGCAATTCCTTATTGGTCTTTTTTTGAAAAATCTGTTCTCGGCCGGGTGCGGTGGCTCATGCCTGTAATCCCAGCACTTTGGGAAGCCAAGGCGGGCAGATCACCTGAGGTCAGGAGTTTGAGTCTAGCCTGACCAACATGGCAAAATCCTGTCTGTACTAAAAATAGAAAAATTAACTGGATGTGGTGGCACATGCCTGTAATTCCAGCTACTTGGGAGGCTGAGACAGGAGAATCACTTGAACCCAGGAGGCAGAGGTTGCAAAGAGCCGAGATTACACCACTGCACTCCACCCTGGGCGACAGAGCAAACAAAACTCTGTCTCAAAAAAAAGAAAGAAAATCTATTCTCAAAACAGCCCTTTTTAAAGAACAGTTATAGATTTACATAAAAATTGGAAAATAATGGCTGGGTGCGGTGGCTCACGCCTGTAATCCCAGCACACTGGGAGGCCGAGGTGGGCAGATCACCTGAGGTCGGGAGTTCGAGACCAGCCTGACCAACATGGAGAAACCCTGTCTCTACTAAAAATACAAAATTAGCTGGGCATGGTGGCACGAACCTGTAATCCCAGCTACTCAGGAGGTTGAGGCAGGAGAATCACTTGAACCCAGGAGGCGGAGGTTGCCGTGAGCCGAGATTGTGCCATTGCACTCCAGCCTGGGCAACAAGAGTGAAACTCTGTCTCAAAAAAAAAAAAAAAAAGAAAAGAAAAAAAAATTGGAAAATAATGCATAGGTCCTTTGGCTTCTGTATGTAATCTCCCGTGTTGTTAACAGCATATATACACATACATGTGTATATATCTACACATACATGTAAATATATACACACATACATGTGTATGTAAAATATACACATGCGTGTATATATGCAAAATACACATATGAGTGAATGACTCAGGCTGGGTGTAACCAAGATTTCACTTTTCTCTGAAATCCTCTAGAAGGAAAAATGCTGCATAAGCTGGGCACAGAGGCTCATGCCTGTAATCCCAGCACTTTGGGAGGCTGAGGCCTCCCAAATATATACACATGTGTATACACACAGGTTCAAGTGATTCTCCAGCCTTAGCTTCCCAAGTAGCTGGGATTACAGGTGCCCACCATCACACCGGACTAATTTTTTTTTTTTTTTTGAGATGGAATCTTGCTTAGCCACCTAGGCTGGAGTGCAGTGGCATGATCTCGGCTCACTCACTGCACTCACCATCTCCCGGGTTCAAGTGATTCTCCCATCTCAGCCTCCCAAGTAGCTGAGATTACAGGCATCCGCCATCGTGCCCGGCTAATTTTTATATTTTAGTAGAGACAGGGTTTCACCATGTTGGCCAGGCTGGTCTTGAACTCCTGACCTCAGGTGATCCGCCCGCCTCGGCCTCGACAGGCGTGAGCCACCATGCCTGGCCTAATTTTTTAGTAGTATTTTTTTAGTAGAGACGGGATTTCACCATGTTGGCCAGGCTGGTCTCCAACTCCTGACCTCAGGTGATCCGCCCGCCTCGGCCTCGACAGGCGTGAGCCACCATGCCTGGCCTAATTTTTTAGTAGTATTTTTTTAGTAGAGACGGGATTTCACCATGTTGGCCAGGCTGGTCTCGAACTCCTGACCTCAGGTGATCTGCCCGCCTCGGCCTCGCAAAGTGCTGGGATTACAGGCATGAGCCACCGCGCCCAGCTAACAGCTTATGTTAATATGGTACGTTTGTTATAATTGCAAATTTGTTTTTTGAAATACACTGCAGAAACATTTTGTACTGAAAAAAACCCTTTCAACATTTTGATTAGAATTGTAATATGTTGTAAATAGTCGTTCGTTCCATTCCCCAACAGCTGTGTATTGAGCACTTCCCTGTGCCAGGCATTGCAGAGTCTAGGGATGCTGTGGACCTCACTGGGGGAGGGCTTTTCTAGTGAAAGTGACCATGTATTATGTAAGTCTGCCTCCCAAGTGCATGTCTCCACTTGTTCAGATCTGGGTTCTTTTCCCACATCTGCTCCTGTGGGTTGAGAACTTGAATCCCTTCATGACTGAGGGTCTTGCCTTTGCTCCAAAGTGACAGTGGCAGAGGAGGCAGGTCAGGTAGTACCGCAATCCCACTGACAGGCACAAGGTATCAAAATACCAGCTGCTGTGCTGGCGTGGCCTGCAGATTGCCATGGTGGTTCACAACATTTTGAATTAGCTATCTGTACTGAAAAATCAGAGAATTTCACTTCAAAGATCCCAATTTTCAGCTTTTCTGGAAAAATCAAAGATTTTGTAGCATTGGGTCTTCCTCCCAAACCCAGCCAATTGGCAAGAGCCCTGTAGCAGGGGTGCCCTTTGGCCACCTCCCTGTGGACTCCCTCTCCTGGACTGAATGTCTCCAGGATTACTAGGCTTATGCAGCACTTTTTTTTTTTTTTTTTGAGACGAATTCTTGCTTTGTCGCCAGGCTGGAGGGCAGTGGTGCGATCTCGGCTCACTGCAACCTCCACCTCCTGGGTTCAAGTAATTCTCCTGCTTCAGCCTCCCAAGTAGCTGGGATTACAGGCACCCGCCACCACGCCCAGCTAATTTTTGTTTTTGTTTTGTTTTGTTTTGTTTTTGAGACGGAGTCTTGCTCTGTTGCCCAGGCTAGAGTGCAGTGGCGCGATCTCGGCTCACTGCAATCTCCGCCTCCCTGGTTCACGCCAATCTCCTGCCTCAGCCTCCCGAGTAGCTGGGACTACAGGCGCCTGCCATCATGCCCGGCTAATTTTTGTATTTTTAGTAGAGACGGGGTTTCACCGTGTTAGCCAGGATGGTCTCCATCTCCTGACCTCGTGATCCGGCCACCTTGACTTCCCAAAGTTCTGGGATTACAGGCCTGAGCCACCACGCTCGGCCTAATTTTTGTATTTTTTAGTAGAGACGGGGTTTCACCATGTTGGCAAGGTGGTCGCGATCTCTTGACCTCGTGATCTGCCTGCCTCGGCCTCCCACAGTGCTGGGATTACAGGCGTGAGCCTCTGTGCCCGGCTTATGCAGCATTTTTCCTTCTAGAGGATTTCAGAGAAAAGTGAAATCTTGATTACACCCAGCCTGAGTCATTCATTCACATGATCACAGCGCTGGCCCCTCATACATATGCCTTTGAGTTCATGGCTGTGGATTCAGCTGGTTGTTACCTTCCTTCTGCTCACCTCTCAGGGCTCACCCGAGACAGCACTGCCTTCAGGAAGCCTTCCCTCATATCCTAGACTAGCGAGGGCAGACTTTGCTGCTGGCCAGGCCTCCCTGCAGTCATCAGATGTTATTGTAATTACTTATTCTGGAGCTGCTCCTTGCAGGACTGAATGCTCCATGAGGGAATGTCCTCTGTCTTGGTCAGAGACTCCTTCTCACCTCTAGCTCCACATCTGGCATGTAATAAGCACTTGTTAACTCTTCAGTGAATAAATGTAGGAGTCTTGTGTCCTCCACTGTCTTCCTTGGCCCCTGATGTGTGGTTCTCATCCCAGGCCTGCAGAATGATCACAAGGCAGTGATGAAGCAGGTGGAGGAGGCCCTGCACCAGCTGCACGCTCGCGACAAGGAGAAGCAGGCCCGGGACATGGCTGAGGCCCACAAAGAGGCCATGAGCCGCAAACTGGGTCAGAGTGAGAGCCAGGGCCCTCCACGGGCCTTCGCCAAAGTGAACAGCATCAGCCCCGGCTCCCCAGCCAGCATCGCGGTAATCCAGGGGTTGGCCACTCAAGTCCATGCCCAGGGGACACGGTGGGTCAGGTAGCCTTCGGGGATGTGGAAAGACAGACTAGTTCTCTCCGTGCTGCGGTGCTGAGTTCAGTTACTCATTTAACAAACACTGACTGAGGCCTGTCGTGTATCCAGCCCTGTGCTGGGGGCAGAGTTTTAGAGAGGGGTCAGCCCCGGCTGCCCACTACATTGGTGGGGGAGTGACCTCTTCCCAGTGACAGAAGATGATAAATGTCCCAAGAGAGGGAGAGGATCTCTTCTTGGGGCTCATTTTAGCTGGGCACTGAATGATGAAAATGAGAATGGCATCTTGCCAAATGAGTTATGCATCTTATGTGGTGTCTTAAAAAAAACATTAGGCTGGGCACAGTGGCTCATGCGTGTAATCCCAGCACTTGAGAAGGCTGAGGCGACTTGGAAAGCTGAGATGGGAGGATCACTTGGGCTCAGGAAGTCGAAGTTGCAGTGAGCTGTGACTGTGCCACTGCACTCCAGCCTGGGTGACAGAGTGAGACCTTGTCTTAAAAAAAATTTTTTTTTGACCGGGAGCATTGGCTCACGCCTGTAATCCCAGCATGTTGGGAGGCCGAGGCCAGTGGATCACTTGAGGTCAGGAGTTCGAGACCAACCTGGCCAACATGGCGAAACCCCGTCTCTACTAAAAATACGAAAATCATGCCACTGCACTCCAGCCTGGGCAACAGAGTGAGACTCCGTCTCAAAAAAAAAAAAAAAATTTACCCATTTAAAGTCCGTATACAGTTTAGTGTCTTTTGGTGTATTCACAGAGCCATGCATTACCACAATCAATTTTCTTTCTATTTAAAAAATTTGCAGCCAGGTGCAGTGGCTCACGCCTGTAATCCCAGCACTTTGGGAGGCTTAGGTGGGCGATCACCTTATGTCAGGAGTTCAAGACCAGCCTGGCCAACATGGCGAAACCCCATCTCTACTAAAAATACAAACATTAGCCGGGTGTGGTGACATGTGCCTGTAATCCCAGCTACTCGGGAGGCTGAGGCAGGAGAATCGCCTGAACCCAGGAGGTGGAGGTTGCAGTGAGCGGAGATCGTGCCACTACACTCCAGAGCCTGGGCGACAGAGTGAGACTCTGTCTAAAAAAAAAAAAAAAAAAAAAAGGAGATGGGGTTTCGCTCTGTTGCGTAGGTTGGTCTCCATCTCCTGGGCTCAAGTGATTCTACCACCTTGGCCTCCCAAAATGCTGGGATTATAGGCATGAGCCACCATGCCCAGCCATAATCAATTTCAGAACATTGTCATTGTCTTGTAAAGAAACTCTGTAGTGATTTGCCATCACTTCCCAATCCCCCAGCTCCCCGCACCCAGTTATCTACTTTCTGTCTCTATGTATTTGTCTATTCTGGATATTTCCTATAAGTTGAATCATATAATATGTGACCTTTTATGACTGGCTTCTTTCACTTAGCAAATTTTCAAGTCATCTGTATTGAGCATGGATCAGTGCTTCATTTGTTTACAGACAGGGTCTCACTCTCTCACCCAGACTTCAGTGCCATGGTGCCATCATAGCTCACTGCAACCTCAAACTCGCAGAGTCAAGTGATCCTCCTGTCTCAGCCTCCCAAGCAGCTAGGACTGTAGGCACATGTAACCATGCCTGGTTAATTTTTTATTTCCTTTTTTTTTTAGAGATGGGTTCTCACTATGTTGCCCAGGCTGGTCTTGAACTCCTGGCCTCAAGCGATCCTTCTTCCTCGGCCTCCCAAAGTGCTAGAATTACAGGCATGAGCTGTCATGCCTGGCCCTTCATTCCTTCTTTTTTTTTTTTTTTTTTTTTTTTTTTGAGACGGAGTCTCGCTCTGTCGCCCAGGCTGGAGTGCAGTGGCACGATCTCGGCTCACTGCAAGCTCCGCCTCCCAGGTTCACGCCATTCTCCTGCCTCATCCTCCCGAGTAGCTGGGACTACAGGCGCCTGCCATCACGTCCAGCTAATTTTTATTTTTTGTATTTTTAGTAGAGACAGGGTTTCACTTTGTTAGCCAGGGTGGTCTCGATCTCCTGACCTCGTGATCCGCCCGCCTCAGCCTCCCAAAGTGCTGGGATTACAGGCGTGAGCCACTGTGCCTGGCCCTTCATTCCTTTTTATGGCCAAATAATATTCCACTGCCTGGATATATCATATTTTATTTATCCATTTGTCAGTTAATGGACATTTGAATTGTTACCACTTTTTGGCTATTACGAAGCATGTTGCTGCGAACATTCTTGTACAGTTTTTTTGTGGAGATGTAGTTAAATTTAATTCCACAGCCACTTCTGGGATAGGTCCTAATCTTTACTCATTTCATCCTCGAGGAAAAGCCTTGCAGACCTGAAGTAACTTATGTCAGGACACATAGTTCCTGCCAGGTGGAATGGGGTCCTAAACCCTGGTCAGGACACATAGTTCCTGCCAGGTGGAATGGGGTCCTAAACCCTGGTCAGGACACATAGTTCCTGCCAGGTGGAATGGGGTCCTAAACCCTGGTCCTACCAGTCTTCTTTAATGGTCACAAGTCTGTAAGTTACACAGAAGCTCCCTATCATTCACTACCCCATCTACTGCATCTAACCCAGTGCCAGTTGGCCCACAACAAATACTTGTTACAGGGGTGAATGAGTGGTGGTCTGTCTTCTTAGGACCTAGAACAAGAGCGTCACTCTAGTCTTGGATGCGCCCTGTGCCTGTGGCTGCTTGTCTGGGGGCTTCTAGGGCAAGTGTCTTGTCTAAATGTTGATCACTGAATAAAATGGGCCCAGCCTGGCTTGCCTTCTCTTACCCTTGAACCTGGGTTAGGACCGCAGAGAGCAGCATTTGGCCTTTCCCATGCTCCTCAAGGCCTTCACAGTGTCTGGTAACTGCCAGCTCTCAGACATTGGGCAGACCTGGTCATCTTTACTAGAGCTGCCCTCAAAGGAACCCCAGGAGGAGGTGGCCCCGTTACCCACTGCCCCTTCCTGCATGAGGTGTCTACATCCCTGACCTCTTTGTTCTGAGCCTACCCTGTAGAAAACAAGCTCGTGACCTTGGCATTAAATTGGGTATTGAAGGTTAGAGACCACCAGGAGCACACTGAACCTCTAGCCTGATTTTCCATTTTTCCTTCCCTCTCCAGGGTCTGCAAGTGGATGATGAGATTGTGGAGTTCGGCTCTGTGAACACCCAGAACTTCCAGTCACTGCATAACATTGGCAGTGTGGTGCAGCACAGTGAGGGGGTGAGTGGGGCTACCTGGTGTCTCGGTCTGTTTGGGTTTTTCTAACAGTATGCCATAGACTGCGTGGCTTACAAACAACAGAAGTTCATTTTTCACAGCTCTGGAGGCAGGGAAGTCCAAGATCCAGGCACCAGCCAATTTGGTGTCTGGGGAGGGCTTGCTTCCTAACTCCTAGGTGGTGCCTTCTTGCTGTGTCCTCACATGGCAGAAAGGGGAGGAACCCTGGGAGCTCTTGTATAAGGGCACTAATCCCAGTGGGGGCGCCACCCCTCATGACCTAATCACCTTGCAGAGGCCCCACCCCTAATACCATCACATTGGTGGTTAGGATTTCAACATATGAATTTCAGGGGGCCACAGACATTCAGGTCATAGCACTCGGCCTCTGGTCTATAGCCCTGGAGTTACTGGAAGTGTTGCTGAGGCCCTGGACTGCTGCCTTCATGGTGTTGCTCAGCACAGCCCCATTCAAGGACTTGGCACCTGCTATTCCTTCTGTTTAGAATGCTCTTCCTCTTCATCCTCCTTCTGTTTTACACTGGTGACATGCTCGCAGGGGGCCTTTCCTGGCTACCCTAACCCAAATTCCCCTCTCCTCTGCCCTGTCTCTGTTTTCATTTAACAAGGTTTCTTAGAGATCTTTTCTTTTTTTTTTTTTTTTTTTTAAGACAGGGTCATGCTGTGTCACCCAGGCTAGAGTGTGGTGGTGCTATCATAACTACCTCACGGCTAATTTTTTTATATTTTGTGGAGGCGGGGTCTTGCTATGTTGTCCAGGCTGGAATTTTTGTTGTTGTTTTGTAGCAAAGATCCACACTTTTCAGGAGTGATACTGTGGCAAAGCCCAGGAAAATTATTAACTAAAGTTTTTGGTTCCCAAATGAAGTCTCCAGTTAACCCAACAGTTGTGGATTTTTTGACTCCTGCTTAGCTGCACGGTTCATCTACTTGTAACCCATCAGTGCAGGCCAGGCCAGGTCAGGTCAGGAGATGGCTGGCAGTTGCCTATGCCCCTGCTAGTGGTCAGGCCATCGTTTCTGCACTGATACTGTCATCAAATCTGTAACTTGTATGGACGTTTAAAATGATGATTTTGTGAAATTTATCAGTTTTTTTGCTTATGGCTCTTGCATTTTGTGTCCATTTAAAGAAATTCTTTTTTTTTTTTTTAATTAAGAAATTCTTGGCTGGGCGTGGTGGCTCACTCCTGTAATCCCAGCACTTTAGGAGGGCGAGGTGGGTGGATCACGAAGTCAGGAGTTGGAGACCATCCTGGCTAACACGGTGAAACCCCGTCTCTACTAAAAATACAAAAAATTAGCCGGGTGTGGTGGCACACACTTGTAGTCCCAGTTACTTGGGAGACTGAGGAAGGAGAATCGCTTGAACCCAGGAGGCAGAGCTTGCAGTGAGCCGAGATCGCGCCATTGCACTCCAGCCTAGGCGACAGAGCAAGACTCTGTCTCAAAAAAAGAAATTCTTTTAATTCTTTTATTGTTTTATTTCTGTTTTTCCTTTAGTCCATCTGAAATTTATTATTATTATTATTATTATTATTATTATTATTTGAGATGGAGTCTCGCTCTGTCACCCAGGCTGGAGTGCAGTGGTGCGATCTTGGCTCACTGCAACCTCCGCCTCCCAGGTTCAAGTGATTCTCCTGCCTCAGCCTCCTGAGTAGCTGGGATTACAGGCGCCCACCACCATGCCTGGCTAATTTTTGTATTTTTAGTAGAGATGGGGTTTCGCTATGTTGGCCAGGCTGGTCTCAAACTGGCCTCCCAAAGTGCTGGGACTACAGATGTGAGCCACTGCGCCTGGTCTATTTTTATTATTTTTACAACAGTTTTATTGAGATTTAATGCACATACTACACAGTTCACCCATTTAAAGTGGTTTTTAGTGTAGTCACAGAATTATGCAGCCATCACAATTGTACATTTTCATCACTTCTCCTCCTGAGGCAGCCACTTTCCAGCCACATGTCCTTCAGAAAGACTGCTCATATACCAGCACACAGAGCTGCCAGTTGATTTTATTTTATTAAGGTGTAATTTACCTGCACCAGATCCACCTTTTTCAGTGTACAGTCCCATGAGTTTTCTTCTTTTTCTTTTCTTTTTTTTTTTTTAGATGGAGTCTTGCTCTGTCGCCCAGGCTGGAGTGCAGTGGTGCAGTCTCGGGGGGGCTACTGCAAGCTCTGCCTCCCAGGTTCACGCCATTCTCCTGCCTCAGCCTCCCGAGTAGCTGGGACTACAGGCATGTGCCACCATGCCCAGCTAATTTTTTTGTATTTTTAGTAGAGATGGGGTTTCACTGTGTTAGCCAGGATGGTCTCGATCTCCTGACCTCGTGATCCACCTGCCTTGGCCTCCCAAAGTGCTGGGATTACAGGTGTGAGCCACCACACCCAGCCGAGTTTTCTTTTTTTTTTCTTTAAGATGGAGTTTTGCTCTTTTGCCCAGTCTGGAGTGCAGTGGCACGATCTCGGCTCACTGCAACCTCTGCCTCCCAGGTTCAAGCGATTCTCCAGCCTCAGTCTCCCAAGTAGCTGGGATTATAGGTGCCCACCACCACGCCCAGCTAATTTTTTTTTGTATTTTTAGTAGAGACAGGGTTTCAGCATGTTGGCCAGGCTGGTCTCAAACTCCTAACCTCAGGTGATCCACCCACCTCAGCCTCCCAAAGTTCTGGGATTACAGGAGTGAGCCACTGTGGCCTGCCATTCCCGTGAGTTTTCACAAATGTATGTAGTATGTCATTGCCACCACGATGAAGGTCAAGAGCATTCCAACACCCCATAAAATTGCCTCAGGCTTCTTTGTAGTTAATCCCTCACCGTCAACTTCCAGAATGTCATAGAGAGAAAAACCACACAATATATTGCCTTTTGAGTCTGGTGTTCTTCACTCAGCCCAGTGGATTCTGAGACTTCTGTCTGTTGTGTGGATCTGTGAGAAGAGCTGCTGGTTTTTAATCTGTTTTATCCAGTTAAATGTATTCTCAGCTTCCGTGTAGGCTTATAAATCCTTCTTTATAAAAGTAGTGATTCAATTTTAAGCAAAATGAATCTTTTCTTCATGTGAAATTTCACGGGGAATTCCAAGATGTCACTGGATAAAGGCTGAGCTGTCTTGGTGGGCTGGAGGATGGAGAAGGTCGTGTGTTGTGAGTAGGGCCTTTCTGGCTTCAGCCTCATCCCCTCAGGGGACCTGAGCTCAGCTGGAGAATCAAGAATCCGGGTTTGGTTGTCTGTTTTGTGAGTCAAGAAAAAAAACCTTGCATAGCACAGTGGCTCACACCTGTAATCCCAGCACTTTGGGAGGCTGAGGCGGGTGGATCACCTGAGGTCAGGAGTTCAAGACCAGCCTGGCCAACATGGTGAAACCCCATCTCTACTAAAAATAAGAAATTAGGCCTGGCACGGTGGCTCACACCTGTAATCCCAGCACTTTAAGAGGCCAAAGTGGGCAGATCACAAGGTCAAGAGATCGAGACCATCCTGCCCAACATGGTGAAAACCGGTCTCTACTAAAAATACAAAAAAAAAAAAAAAATTATCTGGGTGTGGTGGTGTGTGCCTGTAGTCCCAGCTACTTGGGCTGCTGAGGCAGGAGAATCACTTGAACCTCGGAGGCAGAGGTTGCAGTGAACCAAGATCACGCCACTGCACTCCAGCCTGGGCCGCACAGCGAGACTCTCCCATCTCAAAAAAAAAAAAATTAGGTGTGGTGGTACTCTCCAGCTACTTGGGAGGCCGAGGCAGGAGAATTGCTTGAACCCGGGAGGCAGAGGTTGCAGTGAGCTTAGATCATGCCACTGCACCCTAGCCTGGGCGACAGAGTGAGGCTCTGTGTCAAAAAAAAAAAAAAAACCAAAAAACTCACAGTGTTCTATTGTGAGACATTTAGATAGTTTGCCATTTTGTGGAGATTAACACTCTTGCAGATGGATTTCTATTTCTTTTTTTATTTTTTTTGAGACGAAGTTTTTCTCTTGTTGCCTAGGCTGGAGTGCAATGGCATGATCTCAGCTCACTGCAACCTCCGCCTCACAGATTCAAGCGATTCTCCTGCCTCAGCCTCCCAAGTAGTTGGGACTACAGGCACCCGCCACCACGCCCAGCTAATTTTTGTATTTTCAGTAGAGATGGGGTTTCACCATGTTGGCCAGGCGGGTCTTGAACTCCTGACCTCAGGTGATCTGCCCGCCTCGGCCTCCCAAAGTGCTGGGATTACAGGCGTGAGCCACTGTGCCCGGCCTTTCTTTGTTTTTTTTTTTGTTTGTTTTTTATTTGAGATGGAGTCTTGCTCTGTCACCCAGGCTGGAGTGCAGTGGCATTATCTCAGCTCACTGCAACCTCTGCCTCCCGGCACCTGGCCTTTTTTAGCGAACTTCCTACAGCTGGGATTTCTAGATCAAATGCATACATTTTCAAGGGGAAAAGATCTTTAAAAAATTATAAATGACTGCTGATGGATAATGGATTTCTTTTTGGGTGATGAAAATGATCCAGAATTAGATAGTGGTGGTTGTTTATACTAAATACATTGAATATACTGAACTCTGAATATACTAAAACTCACTTAATTGTATACTTTAAAATGGTGAATTTTATTGTATGCAAATTATGTCTCAATGATAAAAATAGGCTGGCTGCAGTGGCTCACGCCTGTGTTCCCAACACTTTGGGAGGCCAAGGCAGGAGGATCACTTGAGGCCAGGAGTTTGAGACCAGCCTGGGCAATATTGTGAGACTGTGTCTCTCCAAAATATTTTTTAAGAAATTGGCCAAGCATAGTGGCATGTGGCCAAGCTGCTCTGGAGGCTGAGGCAGGAGGATCACTTGACCCTAGGAGTTCAAGGGTGCAGTAAGCCAAGGTCACACCACTGCACTCCAGCCTGGATGACAGAGTGAAACCCTGTCTCAAATAAATAAAATACATATTTATCCTTAAAATCACATAGTGCAATTGTATTTACAAACAAAAGTCCTAGTGTTATAGCTCTAAGAATTTGTCTACCAGGTTTTCTGGTCATCGCTGGAAACACCCTCTCCCCTCAAAAATAAATTTTTTTTTTTTTTTGAGACAGAGTTGTCGCTCTTGTTGCCCAGGCTGGAGTGCAGTGGCGCGATCTTGGCTCACTGCAACCTCCGCCTCCCGGGTTCAAGCAATTCTCCTGCCTCAGCCTCCTGAGTAGCTGGGATTACAGGCATGCACCACCAAGCCCGGCTAATTTTGTATTTTTAGTAGAGATGGAGTTTCTCCATGTTGGTCAGGCTGGTCTCTTAATTCCTGACCTCAGATGATCTGCCCGCTTCGGCCTCCCAAAGTGCTGAGATTATAGGCGTGAGCCACTGTGCCTGGCCCCAAAATAATTTTTTAAAAAGTCCTGTGTCTCTCCCTTCCTTAGTGCCTCTTCCGCTGCACATGCTGGGTCCTGGGCGAGGTACTGGGGCTGTAACGGGGAACGAAACAAACAGGGTCCTTGCCTTGGGAGCACTTTGGTGGGGGAGCCAGGCCTTAATCAAATAATCTCAGCTGTATAATGATACACACTGATAAGTGTTATGAAGGAAGAGTGTTAAGAAGCTCAGAGAGTAAATCATGGGGCCCTGATTTGGTTTGGGATTGAAGGAGTGTTCCTCAGGAAGTGACCTTCAGATGTGTATAGAAGTTTCTCTGGTCGAGGGGAAGCTGGCAGGGAGAAAAGCCTTCAAAGCAGGTTCATAGGCCCTGGGGTGGGAGGATCAAAGAACTCAAAGGAGGGTGGAGCCCAGAGCAGAATGGAGAGAAGGGGAGGAGGTGAGGCCAGGAGGTGTTAAGGTCAGGCCTGTGGTCCTTAGTAAAGATTGTGCTGTTTTTTTCCTGAGGTGCAGAAGGGAGCCACCGCACAGTTCCAGATTGGGGTGTGACAGGGGTAAGAAGCCTTCTCTGGATGTTAGGTAGAGAACAGATTGGAGGGTGACAGAGCTGTAGCAGTCAGTCAAGAGAGGATGGTGGCTGTGACAAATGGGGTGGAGGAAGGGGTCAATCAAAGAGACATTTAGGGTGTAAAATCCATGGGCCTTAACCTGATGGAGTGTGTCAAGGAGGCCTCCAGGTTTCCAGCCTGCCCAGGGCTGTCATTTATAGAACTGGAAGCACACAAGTGTGTCCCTCACACAGTTTCCACACGTGGGTGCATGCGTCTACAGCCACTGCCTTTTTTTTTTTTTTTAGGACAGGGTCTCTCGCTCTGCTGCCCAGGCTGGAGTGCAGTGGTGCAATCATAGCTCACTGCAGCCTCAAACTCCAGGGCTTGAGCAGTCCTCCTGCCTTGGCCTCCCAGGTAGCTGGGACTACAGGTGTGCACCACCACACCTGGCTAATTTTTTTTTTTTTCATTTTTTGTAGAGACAGGGTCTTGCTATGTTGCCTAGGCCGGTCTAGAACTCCTGGGCTCAAGTGAGCCTCCAGCCTCAGCCCCTCAAAACATTCAGATTATTAAGCATGAGCCACCACGCCTGGCTGTGATTGCTTTTTGACAAAGATGACACAGAAAAGGCCTAATGTACATGTTACTCTGCATTTCCGCCCACTTCGAAGGGAATTCCTTGTCGGCACATTTGTATCTTCATTCCTTTGAATGATCCCACCATGTTCCATTGGTCGGTTCACCATCTTTTACTTAGCCAGCCTCCCATGTTCGACATTTAGGTTGTTTCCAGTGTTTGGCCGTAACAAACAGTGGTGTAGCGAGTGTCCTTGCCTGTGGGAGAATTTCTGCCATGTTGCTAGATGTGTCATTACTGAGTTAAAGGCAGTGCACATTTACCCTTCATAGATCTTGTCAAGGTGTCCTCCAAGAAGCTTGTGCCAGTGCACCTTCTCTCAAGTAGCACCTGTGAGTGCGTCTGTTTCTAGCTTTCCCAACTATGTTACAGTCTTTGGCAATAACATAGATATTCTTTGACAATCTGGTAGGAAATGACTTTTTTTTTTTTTTTTTTTTTGAGATGGAGTCTCGCTCTATAGCCAGGCTGGAGTGCAGCGGCATGATCTCAGCTCACTGCAGCCTCCGCCTCCCAGGTTCAAGCGATTCTCCTGCCTCAGCCTCCCAAGTAGCTGGGACTACAGGTGCCTGCCACCATGCCCAGCTAATGTTTGTATTTTTAGTAGAGATGGGTTTTCACTATGTTGGCCAGGATGGTCTCTATCTCTTGACCTCATGATCCGCCTGCCTTGGCCTCCCAAGGTGCTGGGATTACAGGTGTGAGCTACCATGCCCGGCCTATGCTGTATTTTCTTAGATTTAGAGATTCCATTGATAGACCTGACATATTTATTTTTTTGTGGTAAATATACATAATATAAAAATTACCATTTTAGGCCGGGCGCGGTGGCTCACGCCTATAATCCCAGCACTTTGGGAGGCCAAGGTGGGCGGATCACCTGAGGTCAGGAGCTGGAGACCAGCCTGCCAGCGTGGTGAAACCCTATCTCTACTAAAAATACAAAATTAGCCGGGCGTCGTGGTGGGCGCCTGTAATCCCAGTTACTCTGGAGGCTGAGGCAGGAGAATTGCCTGAACCCGGGAGGCAGAGGTTGCAGTGAGCCGAGATCACGCCACTGCACTCTGGCCTGGGTGACAAGAGTGAAACTTTGTCTCAAAAAAAAAAAAATTACCATTTTAACCATTAAAAAATCTACACTTTAGTGGCATTAAGTACATTCACATTATTTTGCAAATATCACCCCTACCCATCTCCCATCTCCAAAACTTTTTCACCCTCCTAAACTGAAACCCAAATCTCCATTAAACACTAACTCTCCATTCCCACTTTCCGCAGGCCCTGGCACCCACCATCCTACTTTCTGTCTCTATGAATTTGACTACTCCAGGGACCTCATCTAGGTGAAATCTTACATACTGTGTAGTTTTTTTGTTTTGTTTTGTTTTGTTTTTGAGATGGTGTCTCGCTCTGTTGCCCAGGCTGGAGTGCAGTGGCTCAATCTCCACTCACTGCACCCTCCACCTCCCAGGTTTGAGCCATTCTTCTATCTCAGCCTCCTGAGTAGCTGGGACTACAGGCGTATGCCACCAGGCATGGCTAATTTTTGTATTTTTAGTAGAGATGGGGTTTTGCCATGTTGGCCAGGCTGGTCTTAAACTCCTTATCTCAGATGATCTGCCTGCCTCTGCCTCCCAAAGTGCTGGGATTACAGGACACTGTATAGTTTTTGTCTGGCTTATTTCACTTAGCATAATGTCCTCAAGGTTCATCCATGTTACAGCATGTGTCAGAATTTCCTTCCTTTTAAAGGCTGTATAATATTCGACTGTATGTATACACCACATTATTTTTATCCATTCATTAGTCAATGGACACTAGGATTGCTTCCACCTTTTTGTTGTGAACAATGCTGCTTTGAACATGGTTGTAGCAATATCTGTTCAAATCTCTGCTTTCATTTCTTTGTATATATGCCCAGAAATTTAATTGCTGCATCATGTGGTCATTCTATGTTTAAAGTTTCTAAAATTTTTTTTAACTTCAATATATGAACTTTTTTTTTTTTTTTGAGATGGAGTCTTGCTCTCACCCAGGCTGGAGTGCAGTGGTGCAATCTCAGCTCACTGCAACCTCCGCCTCCCAGGTTAGTGATTCTCCTGTCTTAGCCTCCTGAGTAGCTGGGATTACAGGCACCCACCACCACTCCCAGCTAATTTTTGTATTTTTAGTAGAGACTGGGTTTCACCATGTTGACCAGGCTCGCCTCGAACTCCTGACCTCAAGTAATCCACCTGCCTTGGCCTCCCAAAGTGCTGGGATTGCAGGCGTGAACCACCACACCTGGCCTATGAACATTTTAAAATGTCAAAGATGACTTCCAGGTTTCTGGAATGAGCTTGCTTATTTATTTATTTATTTATTTATTTATTTATTTATTTATTTATTTATTTATTTTGAGACAGGTTCTCTGTTGCCAAGGCTGGAGTGCAGTGGTGTGATCTTGGCTCACTGCAATCTGGACTTCCCAGGCTCAAGCAATCCTCCCACCTCAGCCTTGAGAGTAGCTGGGACTACAGGCATGTGCCACCATGCCCAGCTAATTTTTGCATTTTGTGGTTTTGCCGTGTTGCCCAGGCTGGTCTTGAATTCCTGGGCTCAAGCGATCCCACCCGTCTTGGCCTCCCAAAGTGCTGCTATTATAGGCGTGAGCCACCGTGCCCGGCGCTTTGTTTAGGTTTTGGAGGACCCTCCATTACTGTTTTCCACTGCCGTGCACCGTTTCACATTCCCACCAGTGGTGCACAGGGCTCCATTTTCCCCGCTTCCTCGCCAGCACTTGTTTTCTGTTTCATAATCAGTGTGTGGTAGAATCTCATTGTGGTTTTGATTTTCATTTCTCTTATGATTAGTGACATGGAGCATCTTTTCCTGTGCTTTTTGATCATTTGTATATCTTCTTTGAAGAAATGTCTATTTAGGCTGGGCGCTGTGTCTCATGCCTGTAATCCCAGTGCTTTGGGAGGCTGAGGCGGGCGGATCACTCGAGCTCAGGAGTTTGAGACCAGCCTGGGGATCATGGTGAAACCTGTCTCTGGAAAAAAATACAAAAATTAGCCAGGTGTGGAGGATTGTGCCTGTAGTCACAGCTACTCAGGAGGCTGAGGCAGGAGAATCGCTTGAGCCCAGGAGGCAGAGGTTGCAGTGAGCTAAGGGATTGCATCACTACACTCCAGCCTGGGCAACAGGAGTGAAACCCTGTCTCAAAAAAAAAAAAAAAAAAAGAAAGAAAAAGAAAGGTCTATTCAAGTCCTTTGCTCATTTTCTTTTCTTTTCTTTTTTTTTTTTTTTGAGACGGAGTCTCGCTCTGTCACCCAGGCTGGAGTGCAGTGGCACAATCTCGGCTCACTGCAAACTCCGCCTCCTGGGTTGACGCCATTCTCCTGCCTCAGCCTCCCGAGTAGCTGGGACTACAGGCGTCCACCACCAAGCCTGGCTAATTTTTTTTGTGTGTGTATTTTTAGTAGAGATAGGGTTTCACTGTGTTAGCCACGATGGTGTCAATCTCCTGACTTTGTGATCTGCCCACCTTGGCCTCCCAAAGTGCTGGGATTACAGGCGTGAGCCACCGCGCCTGGCCTTTTTTTTTGTATTTTTAGTAGAGACGGGGTTTCACCGTGTTAGCCAGGATGGTCTTGATCTCCTGACCTCATGATCCGCCTGCCTTGGCCTCCCAAAGTGTTGGGATTACAGGCGTGAGCCACCACACCCAGCCCTTTGCTCATATTCTAATCAGATTTTTTTGTTGATGTTGAGGTATAGGAGTTCTTTATATGTTCTGGATGTTAAATCCTTATTAGATATATGATTTGCATGTATTTTCTTTTTTCTTTTTTTTTTTTTTTTAAGACAGAATCTCACTCTGTCACCCAGGCTGGAGTGCAGTGGCACATTCATGGCTCACTGCAGCCTTGAGCTTCTGGGCTCAAGTGATCCTCCCACCTCAGCCTCCCAAGTAGCTGGGACTACAGATGTGCGTCATCAAGCCTGGCTAATTAAAAAAAATATATGTTTTTTGTAAAGACGAGATCTCTCTTTGTTGCCGGGCTGGTCTTGAACTTTTGAGCTGAGGCAGTCCTCCTGCCTGGGCCTCTGAATGTGTTGGGATTACAGGCATGAGCCACCGTACCCAGCATGTATGTATTTTCTCCTATCATGTGGGTTGCCTTTTCACTCTGTTAATAGTGTCATTTGATACATAGAAGTTTTAGATTTTGATGGCATCTTGTTTTATTTATTTATTTTTATTTTTTTGAGACAGGGTCTCACTCTGTTGCCCAGGCTGGAGTGCAGTGGTGCAGTCACAGCTCACTGCAGCCTTGACCTCCCTTGAGCAATCCTCCTGCCTCAGCCTCCCGAGTAGCTGGGACTATAGGTGCACACCACCATGCCTCGCTAATTTTTATACTTTTTGTAGAGTCAGGGTTTCACCATGCCCAGCCTGGTCTTCAACTCCTGGGCTCAAGTGATCTTCCTGCCTCCCAAAGTGCTGGGATTACTGGCGTGAGCCACCGTGCCTGGATATCGTATTTTAATTTGTAATTTTTTTGGTATGTACTCCCCCTGCTTTAATTTTAATTTTTTAAATTAAAGTACTATATACAGGCTGGGTGTGGTGGCTCATGCCTGTAATCCCAGCACTTTGGGAGGCTGAGGTGGGTGGATCACCTGAGATCAGGAGTTCAAGACCAGCCTGGCCAACATGGCGAAACCCCATCTCTATTAAAAATACAAAAATTATCTGGGCATGGTGGCACGTGCCTGTAATCCCAGTTGCTCAGGAGGCTGAGGCAGGAGAATTGCTTGAACCGGGGAGGCGGAGGTTGCAGTGAGCCGAGATTGTGCCACTGTACTCCAGCCTGCGCGACAGAGAACCCATCTCAAAAAAAAGAAAGTAATACATACATGCCAGGTGTGGTGGCACATGCCCAAAATCCCAGCACTTTGGGATGCTGAGGTGGGCAGATCACTTGAGCCCAGGAGTTTGAGACCAGGCTGGCCAGTATGGTGAAACCCTGTCTCTACTAAATATACAGAAACATTAGCTGAGCATGGTGCTGCATGCCTGTAGTCCCAGCTACTCAGGAGGCTGAGGCACGAGAATTGCTTGAACCTAGGAGGCTGAGGTTGCGGTGAGCTGAGATTGCACCACTACACTCCAGCCTGGGCAACAGAGCAAGACTCTGTCTCAGAAAAATAAAGCAATACATACGCATGGTTAAAAAATTAATGATATGGAAATATATAAAAGTAAACATCTTCTTTTTCCAAAGGACTAGTCCTCTCTGGAAGTAACCACTCTTAACAAGTTTTTCCATGTTCTTCCAGAAAACTTCGCACACTAGAGCAACACAGGTGTCCTTTTAGAAAATATTATCGGCCGGGCACGGTGGCTCACACCTGTAATCCCAGCACTTTGGGAGGCTGAGGTGGGTGGATCACCTGAGATCAGGAGTTCTGAGACCAGCCTGGCCAACATGGCGAAACCCTGTCTCTACTAAAAATACTAAAATTAGGCGGGTGTGGTGGCGGGCACCTGTAGTCCCAGCTACTCAGGAGGCTGGGGCATGAGAATTGCTAGAACCTGGGAAGCAGAGGTTGCAGTGAGCCAAGATTGTGCCACTGCACTCCAGCCTGGGTGACAGAGTGAGACTGTGTCTCAAAAAAAAAAAAAAAGAAAGAAAATATTATCAAATAGGTTCATACTTTGGTGGGGTTTTGGTTTGTTTTGACTAAAACCCTTCATTCTCTGTACTGTATTTGAACAATACCTATTGATGGACATTTCTGGTGTTTTCAGTTTTTGAATTTCTACACAGTCCTGGAATGAACATTTCATTTGTATGTCTCGCTAATTTTTATACTTTTTGTAGAGTGCTGGGATTACAGGCATTTGTATGTCTTGTAATTTGTATGTCATCTTGCAATTGTGTACTATGTACCTTGGATGTACCTTTTAAAGATCGTTGGTGGTGGGACACGTGTTTTTTGAGGAAGATGGTACTGAGGTCAGCACCCTGGCTGCCCTGAGAGTGCAGTGCCACGTTCCCCACCCTCTCGCCAACCACAGGATTATGCTGCAAATGTAAATCTTTACCAATTTGATAGGCAAAAAATGGGATCTCAGCATTTTAGCCTGCATCTCTGAGTACTAACGAGGCTGAACACGAAATGAGCTTATTTTCTTTTCAGAAGCCCCTGAATGTGACAGTGATCCGCAGGGGGGAAAAACACCAGCTTAGACTTGTTCCAACACGCTGGGCAGGAAAAGGACTGCTGGGGTAAAGTATCTGTTTCTGTTCATTCTCACTGGGGCATCATTTGAGTGTTTGTTAAACATGAAGCTGGAGGGGAAGGCTGGGGAGACATTGGGGAATAATGGGAATCCCCAGTTTGCATGGAAACTGCAGATAAATCCTCGTGGTAGGAACGAGACTACAGCTCTAGAAGCAGAGGGAGCCCCAGAGTCTCTCCTGGGAGTCTCTCCAGTTCATTCATGCACTAGGCATTTGCTTTAAAAGAATGAAAGAACATTGGTGAAAAGGTCAGAAGGGCTCAGCCTCTGACCTTCCTGAAGGGAGCCTCCAAACTTACGCCATTCCTTTTCTTCTTTCTTCCAGCTGCAACATTATTCCTCTGCAAAGATGATTGTCCCTGGGGAACAGTAACAGGAAAGCATCTTCCCTTGCCCTGGACTTGGGTCTAGGGATTTCCAACTTGTCTTCTCTCCCTGAAGCATAAGGATCTGGAAGAGGCTTGTAACCTGAACTTCTGTGTGGTGGCAGTACTGTGGCCCACCAGTGTAATCTCCCTGGATTAAGGCATTCTTAAAAACTTAGGCTTGGCCTCTTTCACAAATTAGGCCACGGCCCTAAATAGGAATTCCCTGGATTGTGGGCAAGTGGGCGGAAGTTATTCTGGCAGGTACTGGTGTGATTATTATTATTATTTTTAATAAAGAGTTTTACAGTGCTGATATGACCCTGTTGTCACCCCAGCTGAATTTCTTATGACCCTCCCAAACCAAAGCTCAGATGGGGTCAGAAGAGCTTCATAGAAAGTTGGGCAAAACAGGCTAGCAATTGCAAAGTCAGGCTTTGACCAACATATTTCTTTGCACTGAGGCCTTGCTGCTGTGGATACGGAAATGGTTAAGTACTGTGCTTCCTCAGCAGCTGGGCTGTCAGGGCCATAGTAGCTCCCTTTGGAGAACAGGGAAAGCCTGGAGGCTTCCCAGGTGGCCCAGCGTGGTGTCCTGTCAGCTTCCTCTTTAGGAACCCACCAGAGGGCAGCAAGCTCCTTTCACTTCGCTAGTAAGAACCCCTCCGTTTTTGTGTGTTTTTGTTTTTGTTTTCTGGAGACAAGGTCTTGCTTTGTCACCCAGGCTGGAGTGCAGTGTCGTGATCAAGGTTCACTGAAGCCTTGACGCTGTGGGCACTGCCTCAGCCGCCCAAGTATCTGGGACCACAGGCGTGCACCACCATGCATAGCTAATTTATTTTTTGTAGAGACAGGGTCTCCCTGTGTTGACCAGGTTGGTCTCGAACTCCTGGGCTCAAGCAGTCCTCCTGCCTTGGCCTCCTAAAGTGCTGGGATCACAGGCGTGAGCCACTGCGCCCAGCCCACTGCTAGTTTGACTTTTTATAATTGAACCTCCTGGCTATGCCCTGAGATCAGCGCTATTTTGTAAACCGCTGAGGTATGGATAGGAACGAGTAGATCAGACCTCTTGAAAATGCTTATTCTTCCTCCCTTTTATTTTTTGTCTCTTTTAAGATGGTAAAATGGTTCTCAGGGATTCCTGCCAATACTTTGAATTATTTTTTCCTCTCCATGGTATCAGTGTTCATTTCCCCAGTTCTTGCACACCGCTTTCTGTTTTGGCAGTTCTGCCAGGCAAGCCCTGTGTTCCTTGGGACTGGTTTTGCTGTGGTTGGATACAGATACCAGCTTGCCTTGATGGGATTGGTATTGCTGTGTGCTTCCAGCCACAGGTTCTCACACTCAATTCCAAAGCCTTCCTATTGGGCGAATTCCCTCAAACTCTATTTGACCTGACAGCCATACGTATTCCCCTCTGGTAGCCACAGACATGCTGTGTTTACCAATGTTTGCTGTTTAAATTGCATGTTCTAATTCCACGTATTTTCCAGTCTCTTTTATAAAGTCTCAGACTATAATAAACACAGCTTGCCCAGTTTATCCTTTCTTTTTTATTTTAAGATGTATGCATATTAATCAATTTACCATCACTGGGGCATGGCAGTGTGGGCGGGGAGAATTATTCACATTCTCCTAAAATGACAGCAGCAGAGAGCCTTCTGCCTCAGTGGCTCTGGCTGGTTTCCTGCAGGGGTCCCAGTGGAAACCCGTGTGGCCACCTGTTGCCGTCTTCCATGAGATGTTAGTGGAGAGCCACTTTGACGTGGAATGATCCTAATAGATATAGCCAGACCGGTTTTGCGGAAACGCTTTGTGCTGAGAACCGCAAGCTGGTGCACCCTGTGTCATATCTGCCCCCAGCCAGCTGGAATTGTCTGCAACACGCGGTGCCCGGTGAGGAGGCAGGCAGGACGGTTGTGTGCTGCATCCATGAGACCTGGAAATTCAGTTTGCTTTTGGAAAAGAGCATTGTATCCGAGTTCATACTTCTCCACCCCATCTTGCCAAGGTTGCGGAAAGTAAAAATTGGCAGTATTGGCCGCTGCAGCTTCTTAGGGGACGGGACCATGTGAAAAGGTGGGATCGTGCGAGCGGAGGAAGGACAGAAAAGCGAGGAAAGTCTATGCCGCCAGCGACCGGCAGGAGGCACGTCGGGCACGCTCGTCACCGTTTCCTGGCACGTGACCACCGCCCTGCCCTGTCGCTTTAGGGCCTGTCGCTTCCGGCGGTGGCGGTTGCCATGGGGACGGAGCTTGGGTGGCAACCAGAACTAGGGAGCTGGTGGAGAAGGTGGCGGCCGCTGGAAGGAGGCCCGGGAGGTGGCTGAGGGGTCCAGGCGGCGGGACGACTCTGGCCTTTTGAAGACCGGGGTGGGTGCTCTCTGTAAGTCCGGGGCGGAGGCCACGCGGCCCTGGCGAGGGGGCCCCCGACCTGGCGGGGTCTGGTGCCCCTTGGGGGGCGCTCACCCGACCTGGCCCTTGTGGGGCCTGGGGCGGCCCCAGGGAGACCTGAGTTGGAGGCAGAGGCCGCACCTGGGCTTTAATCCCCTCGCAGAGCCACGCACCTGGCACCCCTGCCCCAAACCCCTGCGGCTCGAACCCGGCTGTCCAGACGCGCCGGCGAAGTTGGGCTCAGTCAAAAGAGGCTCGGTGGTGAGAGCCCTAGACTTGATTCAGAGCAGTGATTTTTCAGCTGGAGAAACTAAGTGCCAGAGAAATCTCGTTCTTACTAGCGGTGTCATCTTGAATAAGTCACTTCACCTCTCAGAGCCTCAAACTCATTTATCCATTCATTATTTATTTATTATTATTATTATTATTTTTTTTTTACCAGAGATGAATTTGAGGAGCTGATACATTTAGTGCTGAGAAAGAAATTAAGAAATAGAAATACCTTTTCTACTCTGTACTCTCTGGGACTTTATTTTCAAAGTGTTGAGTTCTCTTATTCTAATGTCACTGAAAATGTAGGGATTTTTTTTGTTCGGGGTCCAACTCTTTAGGGATAAAGTATCCATCCTTATTGTTTTCCTAGTTCAAACTCTTGTTTGTTGTAAGGAATAAATGGAGAATATGCCAGAAGGCTTTCAAACTGTTCATTTCTTTGCACATTAGGGTTGCTTTTCTCTCAAATAATAACAACTGCTACCATTTTTTCAAGCTGTATGTGCCAGAATTGTGATGAGCATTTTATATATGTTATCACTTCTCTACAACAACCCTAGAATTTAGGATTATTCTTTTCATTTTGCCCATGAGAAAATGCAGACTCTGAGGGGTAAAGTGACTTGCCCAAGGTCACAGAGCAAGTACGTGGTGGAAATGGGATTCAATGCTAGGACAAGCTGACAGCAAGGCCCTTGCTTTTAACCACTAGGCTACCCTGCTTCTTCTCGTATTCCTGTTTCTAGAATTGTTGCTAATATGTGGGTTATGCATTTTGCTGCCTGTGGGAATATAAATATATTTTAAATGAGTAAAAAGGCTACAAGGTGTTTATTCCCAGAAAGTTGACAGGCCCTGGATCAGTATTTTTAAGATCTGGGCCACAAATACATATACTTTAAGATTTCCCAGCTGCGCGTGATGGCTCACGCCTGTAATCCCAGCACTTTGGGAAGCCAAGGCGGGCGGATCACTTGAGGTCAGGAGTTTAAGACCAGACTGGCCAAAATGGTGAAACCCTGCCTCCATTGAAAAAATACAAAAATTAGCTGGGTGTGGTGGCAGACGCCTGTAATCCCAGCTGCTCGGGAGGCTGAGGCAGGAGAATAGCTTGAACCCTGGAGGCAGTAATTGCAGTGAGCCAAGATCGTGCCACTGCACTCCAGCCTGGGCAACAAGAACAAAACTCTGTCTCAAGAGAAAAAAAAAAAAAAGGTTTCCCACAAATGTGACTTTTTTTTTTTTTTTTTTTTTTTGAGAGAGGGTCTCGCTCTGTTGCCCAGGCTGGACTGCAGTGGCATGATCTTGGCTCGCTGCAACCTCCGCCTCCCAGATTCAAGCTATTCTCCTGCCTCGGCCTTCTGAGTAGCTCAGATTACAGGCACCACCACCACACCAGGCTTTTTGTATTTTTTTTTTTTTTTTGAGACGGAGTCTCGCTGTGTTGCCCAGGCTGGAGTGCAGTGGCACGATCTCGGCTCACTGCAAGCTCCGCCTCCCGGGTTCACACCATTCTCCTGCCTCAGCCTCCCGAGTAGCTGGGACTACAGGCGCCCACCGCCAAGCCCGGCTAATTTTTTGTATTTTTAGTAGAGACGGGGTTTCACCGTGTTAGCCAGGATGGTCTCGATCTCCTGACCTCGTGATCCACCCGCGTCAGCCTCCCAAAGTGCTGGGATTACAGGCGTGAGCCACCACGCCCGGCCAACTTTTTGTATTTTTAGTAGAGATGGGGTTTCACCATGTTGGCCAGGCTGGTCTCAAACTCCTGACCTCAACTGATCCTCCCGCCTCAGCCTCCCAAAGTGTTGGGATTACAGGCGTGAGCCACTGTGCCTGGCCAGAAATATGACATTCTTTTTTTGTTTTTATTTTTGAGACAGAACTTTGCTCTTGTTACCCAGGCTGGAGTGCAATGGTATGATCTTGGCTCACTGCAACCTCTGCCTCCCAGGTTCAAGCGATTCTCCTGCCTCAGCCTCCCAAGTAGCTGGGATTACAGGCGCCTGCCACCACACCCAGCTAATTTTTGTATTTTTAGTAGAAACGGGGTTTCATCATGTTGGCCAGGCTGGTCTCAAACTCCTGACCTCAGGTGATCCATCTGCATTGGCCTCCCATAGTGCTGGGATTACAGGCATGAGCCACCGTGCCTGGTCAGAAACATGACATTCTTTTTATTCCTATGGAAAGGGAACAGAGCCATTTATGCACATTTCATCAGTAGGTTAGTGCACTAGGAGATGGAAATGGGAAGCTGAGGGCCAGCTGGTTATTATGGTCAAAATCTCTCTAGAGGAAACTCTACAGAGAAGAATGTCAGATGCAGCAGAAGCTCCCCGAGAAGCAACAGGAGAAAATGGAGAAACAGAAATGAAAGAAGAGGAGGAACCTAATCCAAATTATAAAGAAGTAGAAGATCCACAACAGGAATCAAAAGATGACACAATAGCATGGAGAGAGTCTCAGGAGGAGGAGAGGAAAACGGGCGAGGAGGAAGGGGAGGAGGAGGGGAAGGAGGACAAAAAGATTGTCATGGAAGAAACTGAGGAAAAGGCTGGAGAAGTCCAAGAGAAGGAGGCTTCAGGAATACAGGAAGAAACCACAGTAGAGCCCCAAGAAGTCACAGCGTCCATGATCCGTTTGGAGACACAGATTACTGATTCCCAGTCAATCACATCAGGAATTTTCCCAGTAAGTAGTCATCTTAATTCATTCATCAATTCATTCAGAATCATTAGTTGAATGCTTAGTATAGGCCAGACTATGGGAACACAAAACCAAATAAGGTACAATCCATTCCTTTTTTTTTTTTTTTGAGACAGAGTCTCACTGTTGCCCAGGCTGGAGTGCAGGGGCACAATCTCAGCCTGCTGCAACCTCCGCCTCCTGGGTTCAAACTATTCTCCTGCCTCAGTCTCCTGAGTAGCTAAGATTACAGGCATCCACCACCACACCCAGCTAATGTTTTATATTTTCAGTAGAGATGGGGTTTCGGTCTTACCATGTTGGCCAGACTGGTCTCAAATGCATGATCTCAAATGATCTGCCCACCTTGGCCTCCCAAAGTGCTAGGATTACAGGCACACGCCACCACGCCCGGCCACAATCCATTCTTTTTTTTTTTTTTTTTTTGAGACAGAGTTTCACTCTTGTTGCCCAGGCTGGAGTGCAATGGCGTGATCTCGGCTCACTGCAACCTCTGCCTCCTGGGTTCAAGTGATTCTCCTGCCTCAGCCTCCCGAGTAGTGAGATTACAGGCGTCCGCCACCTCGCCTGGCTGATTTTTTTGTATTTTTAGTAGAGGCAGGCTGTCACTTATGTTGGCCAGGCTGGTCTCAAACTCTTGACCTCAGGTGATCCACCAGCTTTGGCCTCCCAAAGTGCTAGGAGCCCCTGCACCTGGCCACAATCCATTCTTTTAAGGAGCTCTAAGGTGTGTAGGGAGGCAGACCTATGAGTGCAGTGAGTGAAAGATGCACAGGAGATGAAACAGGGCCTCTTAACTCAGTTTGGAGGATGGCCAGGGAAAGCTTCCTGGAGGAGGTGTGTGCCACAGCTGAGGTGCTCGCCTTAGAATGGAGTCGGTATGATAATAGGAGTGTAGGCTTCCCACAGACTGCTCCCAGTAGGAGAACTTAGCTGTGGCCTAAGAATAGGTCACTGTCTGTAGCTAGTCAGCCTTTTGGAGACCACGAGTGCCACTTAGAAGAATGATTTTGCCATTGTGGGTCTGCTGGTAGGCCAAGAATAAACTTGAACACACCCACGTTTGTCCTGTTCTTTTCTTTTCTCTTTTCTTTTCTTTTTTCTTTTTTGAGACGGAGTCTCGCTCTGTCGCCCAGGCTGGAGTACAGTGGTGCAATCTTGGCTCACTGCAAGCTCCGCCTCCTGGGTTCATGCTATTCTCCTGCCTCAGCCTCCCGAGTAGCTGGGACTACAGGCGCCCGCCACCACGCCCAGCTAATTTTTTGTTTTTGTATTTTTAGTAGAGATGGGGTTTCACCATGTTAGCCAGGATGGTCTCGATCTCCTGACCTCGTGATCTGCCCGCCTCGGCCTCCCAAAGTGCTGGGATTACAGGCGTGAACCACCGTGCCTGGCTCTTTTCTTATCTTTTCCTTTTCCCCCTCCCCTCCCCTCTCCTCCCCTTCCTGTCCCTTCTTCTCTCCTCTCATCCCTCCTTCCTTTCTGGGGTCTCACTTTGTCACCTAGGCTGGAGTACAGTGACATGATCTTTCACAAGCAGCCTCAACCTCCCAGGCTCAAGCAATCCTCTCACCTCAGCCTCCTGAGTAGCTGGGGCTACAGGCATGTACCACCACGCCCAGCTAATTTTGTTCATTTTTGGTAGACATAAGGTGGCACTGTGTTGCCCAGGCTGGTCTTGAACTCCTGGGCTCAAGTGATCCTCCCCTCTTGGCCTCCCAAAGTGTTGGGATTACAGGGGTGAGCCATTATACCCCATCTTGTTTTGTTTTTTAAGTACAAAATGTTCCAGCCTCTTTTAAAAAACATTTCATAATTCCTAGGTGAGGCTAACACTAAGACTGGCTGACTGGGAATAGAAAAGGTGAATAAATGGTGAGTAGCAGCACATATGGAATCATGATATTTTATTTCTTTTTAAAGAAAACCCAAAGAGGTAGCAAGTCAAAGCTTTCCTTACAATTGGAGGATGCAGAAACAGATGAGCTTTTAAGAGACCTGAGCACACAAATTGAATTTCTTGATTTGGATCAAATCAGTCCTGAGGAACAACAGATTAGTTCCCCTGAAAGGCAGCCCTCAGGAGAGCTTGAGGAGAAAACCGACCGGATGCCCCAAGATGAACTGGGACAAGAAAGAAGGGACTTGGAGCCAGAAAACAGAGAGGAGGGACAAGAAAGGAGAGTATCCGACATCCAGTCCAAAGCAGGGATCTCCCGGGAGTCACTGGTGTCCAGCACCACAGAGGACATTCTGTTTCAAAAGGATAAAAGCACCCCGGTGTATCCCTTGGTAAGTGTAATGCTTTTAAATCTCCCCCAGTGCTTTTGAGAGTGTTGCGCAATAGGGGAATTTTATGCATGTTGGGGGAAAAAGAATACCACCAGAAGGATACTTTTTAAACTAATAATAGACTTGTGTTTTTTTTTTTAAGACAGTCTTGCTTTGTCGCCCAGGCTGGAGTGCAGTGGCACGATCTTGGCTCACTGCAGCCTCCACCTCCCAGGTTCAAGCAATTCTTGTGCCTCAGTCTCCCGAGTAGCTAGGATTACAGGCATGAGCCACCACGCCTGGCTAATTTTTGTATTTTTAGTAGAGATGGCGTCTCGCCACGCCATGTTGGCCAGGTTGGTCTTGAACTCCTGACCTCAGATCATCCACCTGCTTCGGTCTCCCAAAGTGCTGGGATTACAGGCGTGAGCCACCACGCCCGGCCTAGACTTGTGTCTTTTTTTTTTTTTTTTTTTTTTGGAGACACAGTTTCACTCTTTTTGCCCAGGCTGGAGTGCAATGGCACGATCTTGGCTCACTGCAACCTCCGCCTCCCGGGTTCAAGCGATTCTCCTGCCTCAGCCTCCCAAGTAGCTGGGATTACAGGCGCCTGCCACCATGCCTGGCTTTTTTTGTATTTTTAGTAGAGATGGGATTTCACCATGTTGGCCAGGGTGATCTCGATCTCTGGACCTCGTGATCCGCCCACCTCGGCCTCCCAAAGTGCTGGGATTACAGGCGTGAGCCACCACGCCCGGCCTAGACTTGTGTCTTTTAAAGTTCGGTTAAGAGCTCCGACTGGAACACGTGTGACTGAACATGAACTTGAGAGCGGCATCTGCGTTCAATGGTGTTGCTCAGCAGGCAGGAAATTCCAGACATAGTTTGTCTGTTGCATAGGGTGCTATTTCACGTGGGAGATCCAAACTCCATTCCGCCCCTTTCCCCAGCTTCCTCCTCCCCCTTTCCTTCCCGCTTCCTCTCCCTCTTCTTCCCTTCCCTCTTCTTCCCCTCCCCTCTCCTTTCCCTTTTCTCTCTTCCCTCCTGTCTCCTCTCCTTTTTTCTCTCACATTGTAAAACTCCTCCTTCATGCTGCCAATTCCACCCCTTCCCCTTCTTGCCTCACCTCTTCTGCCTTTATCTTTACATGACCCCAAAACCATCCATTCCAAGAGGGTCCCAGAGTGGAAGGTAATGGAGGAGTGAAAGCCGCAGTGAAAAGCCCCAGGCAGTCCAGAGGAATCTGCCTTTGCCACTGCTGAAAATATTCCAGGGAGGCACCATCTGCGAGGAGTAAAAATATTATCATTTACCAGGAGAAGGAAAAGGAGGAGTTTTTTCCTTCTTCCTCCATCTGCTACTTTCTGAAAATTGTTTCCTAGGATTCATCCTTCCTGTAGATTCATGCCTTTGGAAGATGTGGAAGCGATTGAATGGATATCAAATACTTAATGTAGTTCCTAAGACATAGTGAGTACTCAGTAAGTGTCCGCAACTGTGTGTCATGACGATGACGGTGGCAAGACGTCTGGAGGGAAATGCAGGCAACTGGAAACCTCCTTTCTGCATATGGGCTTCATTTGAGCCCCGTGTGACAGCCTCTCTCCCACAGCTTGCAACTGTTCACTCCGAGAGAAAGAATAATTGAGCTTTAGGGCTCACAAAGACTCTTGTCTTGTTTAGCCAGCAAACATAAATCAGGCAATGTCTCTAAGAAGGTGTATTCTTTGTGTCAGGGGCACAGCTATCTGGACTTGGCAAGAGCCACTCCCCCAAGTTTTGGGTCTCGCTTAGCCTTGGTCTCACTGCGGAACCAAAACGGCAGAACCAAAAATTTTCTAGACTGTCTTCCTTTACAAATTACTTTAGCTTTTATTTATTTATTTATTTTTTGAGGTGGAGTCTTGCTCTGTCACCTAGGCTGGAGTGCAGTGGCGT
Organism: Homo sapiens; assembly: GCF_000001405.40. Taxonomy (NCBI): domain Eukaryota; kingdom Metazoa; phylum Chordata; class Mammalia; order Primates; family Hominidae; genus Homo; species Homo sapiens. The sequence continues at coordinate 121,925,908 of NC_000012.12, forward strand.
GATCTTGGATCACTGCAACCTCCACCTCCTGGGTTCAAGTGATTCTCCTGCCTCAGCCTCCCGAGTAGCTGGGACTACAGGCATGCACCACCACGCCCAGCTAATTTTTTGTAATTTTTTTTTTTTTTTTTTTTTTTTTAGTAGAGACGGAGTTTCACCGTGTTAGCCCGGATGGTCTTGATCTCCTGACCATGCAATCTGCCCGCCTAGGCCTCCCAGAGTGCTGGGATTACAGGCGTGAGCCACCATGCCCGGCCTTTTTTAAGAGACAGAGCCCTGCTGTGTTGCCCAGGCTGGACTAGAACTCAATCCTCCCACTTCAGCCTCCTGACATTTCTTTAGCTTATTGCATGTATCTTCTTTCTTCTTTCTTTTTCCTTCACTTTCTTTTTCTTTCTCTCTTTCTCCTTTATTATTTTTTTCTTTTTGTTTATTTTGAGACAGGCTCTCACTCTATCACCCAGACTGGAGTGCAGTGGTGCGATCATGGTTCACTGCAACCTCCGTCTCCTGGGTTCAATGGATCTTCCCACCTCAGCCTCCCCAGTATCTGGGACTACAGGTGTGTATCACCACACCCAGCTAATTTTAAAAATCTTTTTTAGAGATGGGGTCTCACTATGTCTCTCAGGCTGGCCTTGAACTCCTAAGCTCAAGCAATCCTCCCGCCTCGGCCTCCCAAAGTGTTGAGATTATAGGTGTGAGCTACCGTACCCGGCCTCAATTTTTTCTTTTTGTTAAAACTATTCAGTGTTGGCCGGGCGCGGTGGCTCACACCTGTAATCCCAGCACTTTGGGAGCCCAAGGTGGGTGGATCACCTGAGGTCAGGAGTTCAAGACCAGCCTGATCAACATGGTGAAACCCCTCTCCACTAAAAATACAAAATCAGCCGGGCGTGGTGGTGCATGCCTGTAATCCCAGCTACTTAGGAGACTGAGCCAGGAGAATCGCTTGAACCCAGGAAGGCAGAAGTTGCAGTGAGCCAAGATTGCGCCATTGCACTTCAGCCTGGGTAATAGAGTGAGACTCTGTTTCAAACAAACAAACAAACAAAAACTATTCAGGATTATTTGTAAAAAATTCAGACAACTTATACATGTTTGAAGGCAAAGATTCTTCTTCCTACACACACCCCCACCCAATCTCATTTCCCTATGTAATTCCTGCCACAGTTGGCTGTGACTGCTCCTCTCCTGACCTTGTTCTGTGCATGTACAACATGTTATCTGTGTGCCCATGCCTGTGCACATGGCTCACATTTAGTTTTTGTGTTGTTTAGGTTTTTTTTTTTTTTTACCGGTGAGATAATCCTGCATTTCTACAAAATGTTTTTCCACTTAATATGTCTTGGAAGGTTTCTTGTATCAGTGCATGTATCTCTACTTCCTCTTTTTGTTTTTCTTTTTTTGAGATGGAGTCTCACTCTCACCCAGGCTGGAGTGCAGTGGTGCTATCTTGGCTCTCTGCAACCTCTGCCTCCCTGGGTTCAAGTGATTCTCCTGCCTCAGCCTCTCATGTAGCTGGGATTATAGGCACGCACCACCATACCCAGCTAACTTTTGTATTTTTGTAGACACAGGGTTTCGCCATGTAGGCCAGGCTGGTCTCGAGCTCCTGACCTCAGGTGATCCACCCACCTCAGCCTCCCAAAGTGTTGGAATTTCAGGCATGAGCCACCGTGCCCAGCCCACTTCCTCTTTTTAAATGTAACTGTTCCCCTTTCTGTGGCCATTTAGGTTGCTTCTAATTTCTTGCTGTCACACAAGGTCCTACAGTGAACGTGCTCCTCCATCTCTCCTGTGTCCACAGCATCCTCCTTTTCCTTTGGGGTCCTCTCCTTAGTGCTAAGGCCTGTACTAGCTCCCATTGTTCACGGTAAATAGACATGACTGTGGATCCCACCTCCAGCTAGGAAACAAGGCAATCATGTATTTATGAGCAGGAATCTTATGAATATCAAATACAATGAAATCTGGTTTTGACAGCAAAGTTTTATTTTCCAGATTAATATGTTTTAGAAAAAGATTGATGTAAGCAGTGGCTATCTCCATAATCATCTGTCATGCATGTTAAAACTTCTGCAAAACACGATGATTAATACTATTTGATTTCCACAATTGTGAACGCTGCTCGAGTGGGGTTGTTCTGTTACCACTAAGTGAAGTCAGCCTCGTGGTGACCCGGGAAGAGCTGTTGTGGCTGAAGACAGGAGTCCTTTTAGGAATGCTTTCTTTTTGTCACTAATTTGTTAAATGGCAAAATAAATTTCCAGGAAGATGATCCTTTTAGGATTAGCAAGTTTCCAAAAGAACAATTTCATTTGAATAAATCAGCTTTTAAGAAACAGCCAAATATTAAATAATTCTGTTCCTAGAAGTTGCAGCTTGAGACAATTATGATTCCATAATTCTACCACTCACACCCACACAATAAGAGATCTAAATATAAATATAAATTATAGGGAATGAGCAGATGGAAACAGGAGAGGATGGGGAATTAAGAATGTAGGAGAGAGAAATTGGCCACATTACCTGCTATGTCTGTCTTGGGGAGAAACAATTTAATTTTATAAGTATTGTTCAAAGATAAGAAAGGAAACTTACCAGATTTTGTTTCTATATGCCAATTTAATTCACTGATTCTTAGCAACGCAACGCATCACTTTCAGCACTCTACTGCATTTGATTACTTGACCCTAGATAATTTTATGTATATGTGTATATATATACGTATATATATATATATATACGTATATATATACGTATATATATATATATATACGTATATATATATATATTTTTTTTTTGAGACAGGGTCTTGCTCTGTTGCTCAGGCTGCAGTGCAGCATGACGATCTCGGCTCACAGCAACCTCCACCTCCTAGGCTCAGTCAATCCTCCTGCTTCAGCCTCCTGAGTAGATGGGATTACAGGTGCACACCACCATGCCTGGCTAATTTTTGTATTTTTTTTAGAGATGGGGTTTCACTATGTTGCCCAGGCTGGTCTTGAACTCCTGGGATCAAGCAATCCACTCACCTCAGCCTCCCAAAGTTCTGGGATTACAGATGTGAGCCACTGCACCCTGCCTGGATTTTATTTTTGAGCAGTTTTAGGTTTATAGAAAAATTGAAGGCCGGGAGCAGTGGCTCATGCCTGTAATTCCAGCACTTTGGGAGACTGAGGCAGGCGGATCATGAGATTGAGAGACTGAGACCATCCTGGCCAACATGGTGAAACCCTGTCTCTACTAAAAATACAAAAATTATCTGGACATGGTGGTGCATGCCTGTAGTCCCAGCTACTCAGGAGGCTGAGGCAGGAGACTCTCTTGAACCCAGGAGGTGGAGGCTGCAGTGAGCCGAGATCATGCCACTGCACTGCAGCCTGGTGACAGAGCGAGACTCCATCTCAAAAAAAAAAAAAAAGAAAAAAGAAAAAAAAATTGAGCTGAATGTACTGTACACAGGGCGCCCACATATTCCTCTGCACATCCCTCCTCTTTTTCACAGTTTTCCCTTTTATTCACATCCTGGATGAGTGTGGTTCATCCGTTAGCACTGATGAGCCAATACTGGTACCTTATTATTAACCTAAGTCCATAGTGTATATTGGGGGTCATTCTGTGTGTCATGCTTATTATGGGCCTGGACAAATGTATCCTGACATGTACCCAGCATTCTAGTATCATACAAATAGATTCATGCCCTGAAACCCCCTGTCCTCCACCGATCCATCCCTCCCTTCCTCCCCTGAGCCCTGGCAACCACTGATCTTTTTTTTTTTTTTGAGACAGGGTCTTGCTCTGTTGCCCAGGCTGGAGTGCAATGGCGTGATCTCAGCTTGCTATAACCTCCGCCTCCTGGGTTCAAGCAATTCTCCTGGCTCAGCCTCCCAAGTAGCTGGGATTACAGGCATGCGCCACCACACCTGGCTAATTTTTGTATTTTCAGTAGAGATGGGGTTTCACCGTGTTGACCAGGCTGGTCTTGAACTCCTGACCTGAGATGATCCACCCGCCTCGGCCTCCCAAAGTGTTGGGATTACAGGCGTGAGCCACTGTGCCGGGCCACACTGATCTTTTTATTGTCTCCAAGTTTCACCTTTTCTAGAAAGTCATAGTTGGAATCATGTAATATGCAGTCTTTTCATATTGGCTTCATTCACTTACCAACACGCATGTAACTTTCCTCCATACCTTTTTGTGGCTTGTTAGCCCTTTTTTTTTCCTCGTTGAATAATATTGCATTGTCTGGATGTGCCACAGTTGGTTTATTCTTAATTTTTAAAAAATACTTTGAGCTGGGCGCCGTTGCCCACTGCTGTAATTCCAGCACTTTGGGAGGCCGAGGCAGGCGGATCATGAGGTCAAGAGATCAAGATTATCCTGGCCAACATGGTGAAACCCTGTTTCTACTAGAAATACAAAAAGTAGCTGGATGTGGTGGTGCATGCCTGTACTCCAAGCTACTCGGGAGGCTGAGGCAGGAGAATCACTTGAACCTGGGAGGCGGAGTGAACAGTGAGCTGAGATTGTGCCACTGCACTCCAGCCTGGCAACAGAGTGAGACTCTGTTCCCTCCTCCAAAAAAAACAAAAAAAACCCCAAAAAACTTTGAACACAAAACTAGTACATAAATAAACTAGTATTGAAGTAAAAGCAGTAGTCAGATTTATTGTACTTATAATTTTTCATTTCATAAAATTTTAATTTTGGGTTTATTCCAGGCAATACAGAATTTTTAATTCTTCTGAAGAGATTTTGTCTCTTCATCCTTTATCCTTCCAGTAGAAATAGTACATAGGGACCAAATACCCAGGCTGAATAATTAATTGCCTTTCTTTTTTTTTTTTTTTTTTGAGATGGAGTATCACTCTGTCATCCAGGCTGGAGTGCAGTGGCACGATCTTAGCTCACTGCAACCTCCGCCTCCCAGGTTCAAGTGATTCTCCAGCCTCAGCCTCCTGAGTAGCTGGGAGTAAAGGTGCGTGCCACCACGCCTGGCTAATTTTTGTGTTTTTAGTAGAGATGAGGTTTCACCATTTTGGCCAGGCTGGTCTAGAACCCTCAACCTCAGGTGATCCACCCACCTCAGCCTCCCAAAGTGCTGGGATTACAGGCATGAAACAGGGCTCCCAGCCTATTTGCCTTTCTTATAAAGTTACGTAATGACTTCATTGTAACTTGTCTACTCTACATGCTTTTAGAAAGTAAATGGAATTTCACAACGTTAGGTGCTCACTGTGTGTCTGGTATTGAACAAAGTTTAGGTCCTGGGGAGTGGAAGAAAAGGAAGTTATTTCTGTGTATTGTTGAAGACTTTCTTTTCTAATGGAGATATAATTAACATGCCATAAAATTCACCCTTTAAATTTTTTTTTAAATTGTGGTAAAATACACGGAACATTAACGTTGCCATCTTAACCTTTTTTTCTCACACTGTCGCCCGGGCTGGAGTGCGATGGCGCGATCTCGGCTCACTGCAACCTCCGCCTCCCGGGTTCAAGTGATTCTCCTGCCTCAGCCTCCCAAGTAGCTGGGATTACAGGCATGCATCACCACACCCAGCTATTTTTTGTATTTCTAATAGAGACAGGATTTCACCATGTTGGCCAGGTTGGTCTCGAACTCCCGACTTCAGGTAATCCACCCGCCTCAGCCTCCCAAAGTGCTGGGATTACAGGCATGAGCCACCACGCCTGGCTGAGGACTTTCTTAAAGTGGTTCCTCTTCACTGAACTGTTGATGTGAAATCCTTCCCCTCCGGCGAGTTCCTGGAGCCCCAGCTCTGGGCTGAACACGCTGTAATGTCTTGCTGGCTTTGCCCTTGTCTTCCAGACCATGACCTGGTCGTTTGGATGGAACAGTTCTCTTCCTGTTTACTATATTCGAGAGGAAAGGCAGAGAGTTCTTCTGTATGTTTGTGCTCACACTGCGATCATCTACAACGTGTTCAGGAACAATCAATACCACCTTCAGGTATGCAGGGATTTCCTTCCTACAGGTGGGGGAGTTGTCTTTAACGTGCGTGTGGTATTTTGTTTTGTATCTCAAGGGCTGACTTCATTCTATCACTGTCGTATTTTCCCACTCTCCTTGGAACTAAAAGCAAGCCTGTCTTTAGAAACACATGGTATTGTTTATTGTCTCTCTGTTTCTAATCAGAATCAACTTACAAAACAGCAGTTGATATTAATTTTATAGTGAGAATTTAAAACATCTGTATTTTTTACACTTCTGCAAAAATGTGGACAGCGTAGATCATATCTCCACAGATATAACACAAAGGGCAGCTATTCAGCAGGGTGCCGACCTCACGGACACTTACACACATCTCTAGTTTTCAAAGGGCTTTCATCTTATAACTGTACCGAGAAGTGGGTATTCATATATCCATTTTACAGAAGAAGAAACTGAGGCTCAGAGTGTTTTAAGTGACTTGCCCAAGACTGTACTAGTAAACAATGACTCTACATCTCCTGTCTTGAAAGTGTTAAGTAGGTCAGTTGTCCTTTTATCCCTCCCTCCTCTCAGCAGCTTTGCTCATTTTCACCCCTCTCTGAGCCTCCCCCATTTGTCCTTCATGCCTGCCCTCCTCACAGCACTCTGCCTCCTTTGTTCCTGATATTTGGGACCCACTTCATTTTCATCATTTACCTTTCCAAGCATCCTATTCCTTGGTGTCTGACTTTCCACTCGTTGGCCTGGTCAACTGTTCCACATCACCCTTTCAGTTGACGTGTGTTGTTACAGGAGTGTCCTTAGCTGATGCCTAGATCAAAAACACCACGAGGTATTTACCAAGGACCCAGTCAGTACTCAGTGTTGTGCCAGGGACTCAAGATGTCTGGGTGCAACTTAAGGAATTCACTCTCTAGAAGTCCAGAAATACGCAGGCAGAAATCAGCAGGCAGCTCCCCTTGGAGCTTCATTGAATGCATGGCACTGAACACAGTGGTGATGGCAGAGAGAGAAGGAGAGATTGCTGTGGGCAGGCTCAGATAGTCAGGGGAAGCAGGATGCGCAGATGGGCTGGGGTGGAAGGAGGCAGGAGTCCAGCCTCACTAGGGCCAGAGGGCTGGGAGTGGCCTTGACCATCCATTCGTTTCACAAATAGTTATAGCTGCTATGTTTCACAGTATAGGTCTGTAGTAATGAACAAAACAGATGTATTCCCTGCTCTCATGGAGCTTACAGTCTAGAACAGAGACAGATGTTAAACAAGTGAACACATAAATGATTACAAATTGTAACCAGTGCTTGAAAGGAGATGTGAAAACGCTCTAAGGGAGAAAAATCAGGGTAAGAGAAGACTTAACTTTAGATTGAGTGGGCAGGGATTGAAGAGGTGCTGTTTCTGCTGAGACCTGGAGGATGCGAATGAGCCAGCCAAAGACAGTCTGGGGGAGAACATTCCAAACAGAGGGAGCAACAAGTGTTCAGGCCTGTGTGTGGGGCCTGGAAAGAAGGCTGGTGTGGCTGCTGCACCATGAGGGAGACAGAGAAGGAAGGAGGGAAGAGGGGCCATTTCCCAGCAGGGAGTGCTGCCATTTGTGTTCCCAGAAGATTCCTCTCTTGTGTGCATAAAAGGATTGTAAGAAGATAAGAGTGGAAGCAGAGGCCGAGCATGGTGGCTCATGCCTGTAATTTCAGCACAGGCTGTGGCCAAGGAGGCTGAGGTGGGTATATCGCTTGAGCCCAGGAGTTTGAGGCCAGCCTGGGCAACATGGCAAGACCCTTGTCTCTACAAAAAATGTAAAAATTAGCTGGGCACGGTGGCATGTGCCTGTAGTCCCAGCTACTTGGGAGGCCGAGGTGGGAGAATTGCTTGAGCCCAGGAGATCGAGGCTGCAGTGAGCCAAGATTGTGTTGATGCACTCTAGTCTGGGTGACAGAGTGAGACCCTGCCTCAAACAAACAAAAAGAGTGGGAGTAGAGAGACCAGTGAGGAACTTTTTGCCCCAGAGCTGCTCAGAGCCCTGAAGTGAGCAGTGTTCTAGAGAGAAGAGGCCGGCAGCGTGACTCAGAGTGGCTGGGGGAGGGGAGGACCCAGATGCTTATCCTCCACTTGGGTTGGGAGTTGCCGCTTGCCTTCACCTCTAGGAGCCACTGTTCATGTAGGGAACTTATCTTTCAGGTGTTTGGAGGGAGAGGAAGTTTGAAAATCACCCACTAGGAAGTGGAGAAACACCCAGGAAGGCCAGCGGGAACAGAATTTCCAGCCAGATGAGCGTTGAAAGGAGCTCAGATCTTTCTGTGGGTCCCCGGCCTTTGCTGATAGTGGCCAAGGCTGGGCCGCATCTTGGATGTTTCAAAGCGTTTTCTCTCCATTTCCATAGGGCCACGCCAATATTATCTCCTGCCTCTGCGTCAGTGAAGACAGGCGGTGGATCGCCACAGCAGACAAAGGGCCAGACTGCCTGGTGATTATATGGGACTCCTTCACAGGGTAGGCTTTGTGTAGCCACTTCTTTTTTCCCTGAATTTCTGTAGAGTATCTGCCACTGTGTGACAGTGACAGAATGAGCAATGCCAATGCCTAGAAATTTGATTTGTTGGTGTTCCACAGTAGACTGGCTTATGCTGACTCACACTAACCTAGCTCACACAAGCTCAAAGCATAACCCAGATGGCAAATCTGTCATTTACAATGAGAAACATTACTTCTACAAGGACAGATTTTTTAGTGGCTGGTCATGCTGCCTCTTCTGGGCAGTTCTTAATGGTTGCTACCAAGTGTTCGTGTCTATCGCTGCTCCTCATTCCATACATTTCTTGTTGGATATGTTCGATTTCGATCTGTTTGCCTGCCATGGTTTTAGGTATAGTAATGATGGGAGGCTTTCCAAAGCTGCTGTTTCTCTGCAGTCTCTCTCTAATTCTAACAACCCACCATTGCCTCCTTTCTTTTATAGTACAGACAGGGTCTCGCTCCATTGCCCACGCTGGAGTGCGTTGGCGCAATCATAGCTCATTGCAGCCATGAACTCCCAGGATCAAGAGATTCTCCTGCCTTGGCCTCCTGAGTAGCTGGGACCACAGGCGCATGCAACCACACCTGGCTAACTTACTTTTGTAGAGAGGAAGTCTTGCCATGTTGCCCTGGCTGGTTTTGAACTCCTGGCTTCAAGAGATCCTCCCATCTTGGACTCTCAAAGCACTGGGATTATAGGCATGAGCCACCTTGCCTAGCCTCTTTTTAAATATTTTATTTTATTGTATTATATTTTTGTAGAGATGGGGTCTTGCTTTGTTTCCAGGCTGGTCTTGAACTCCTGGGCTCAAGCCATCCTCCTGCCTCGGCCTCCCAAAGTGCTGGGATTACAGGCATGAGCCACCGCATCCGATCTCTCTTTCTCTCTTTTTTAAATTAACAGACTTTTATTTTTAGAACAGTTTTAGATTTACAGAAGAATTGGGAAGATAGTACTGAGGATTCCCATAAACCCCACACCCAGGTTCCCACATTAGTTACATCTTACATTAGTAGGATCAATTTGCTGTAATTCATGAACCAATATTGACACATTATTATTAACAGACATCCAGGATCCCACCCAGGAGACCACATTCGATTTAGCTGTGATGGCTCCTTAGGCTCTGCACGGCTATGGCCGTTTCTTAGACTTTCCTTGTTTTTGATGACTGACAGTTTTAAGGAGTACAGGTCAGGGATTTGGTAGGGTCTCCATCTATTGCACTGTGTCTGATGGTTTTCTCGTGATAAGCCTACCAGCCTTTTGACACACTCTGGTGTCTAAGAAATGAGTTGCAGTGACCTTCTTAACCTGGGGGTAAAAGGCAGGCTCACTTCGATCAAGCGTCAGATAAACCAGTCCAGGTGGTGAGGGGAGGTTGACAGCCCACGGACTCTCTGGCACTGGAGCTGGGTCCGGAAGGCCGGGGTTGTGTTCCCTCCTTGTATCTGCTTCTGTAACTCACTCTCCTCCTTCCCCGGCTGGAGGCAGACTGAATGGAGAGTCTCTCTGGTATCAAGGTTGTCATCCGGTATTGCCTTTCTTCCTAACTCATCAAATTCACCTTTTCTGGTCCCTTTTCTGATAGTGCATCCAACAAGGAAAGGTGGAATTTCCGTGGGCTTGGGCAGTGCTGCTCAAAGTGTGGTCTGCAGGCTGAGCTCATCTGTCAGCTGGTCCTGGGCTATGCTGAACAGAAAGTACAGAAAATGAGAGGGGGCCTTTGGGAACTTGTATAGCAATTTGTTCTTGCTATGGTATTTTTATTTTGTGAAAGTGTTTGACCTGGGCTGGGTGCAGTGGCTCATGCACTTTGGGAGCCTCCCAGCACTTTGGGAGGCTGAGGCAGGAGGATCACTTGAGGCCAGGAGTGGGCAACATAGTGAGACTCTGTCTCTACAAAAAATTAAAAGTTAGCCACATGTGGTGGTGCATGCCTGTAGTCCCAGCTACGCGGGAGGCTGAGGCGGGAAGATGGCTTGAGCTTAGGTGTTTGAGGCTGCAGTGAGCCATGATCGTGCCATTGCACTCCTGCCAGGGCGACAGAGCAAAACCCTGTCTCAAGGAAAAAAATATTTATTGGTCTGCAAAGGAATAAAGTTTTTAAAAATATCTTTCACCACAGATAGTTTGCAAAGTGCTGGGCAAGATGATGCCTAGGCAGTTGGGGGATACTGTGGGGCTGAACACGCCACCTTGTGTGACAGCCGTCAAGCAGGAGGCAGTCTTATCTGCCGAGGACATTGGGAATGGGGCTGCTAGTTTGGGCTGTGGGATGTGACATGCTGTAATCAATGAGAATGCAGTAGAGGTCCACCAAATGAAGGGAAGGAGCTGTAGGGTTTCAGGGAGGGGCCTGGTTGGGGACAAAAAGCATGAGCCTGCAGCAGATGGTGGGTGGGTGGTGATGCTTGTCCAGCCGTGCTGGGCAGGGTGGGAATAAGAACAGGGAATGTGACTGGTGGTGGCTTGCCTGGGTAGGATAATTGGAAGGGGAGAAGGGAAGGGGCCCAGGGGAATTCAGAGTGACATGAAAGAGCAGGTGGCAGGAGGCAGGTGTGAGTGTGGGCTCTGGCGTCCACCTGGGCTTCCATGCCCGGTCAGCCGTGGTCTGCTGTGTGACTTGGAGGCCCAGAGAAGAAAGTGACTTTCCCATTTGTGAAAAAAGAATAATGACATCTACTGTTTTTTACTTTCCTTGGGCTGCTGTAACAAATTACCTCAAACGATTTACTCTCTTGCAGTTCTGGAGGCCAGAAGTCTGAAACCAAGGTGTCGGCAGGGTTGGCTGCTTCTGGGGGCTGTGAGGGAGAATCTGTCCCAGGCCTCTCCCCTTGCTTCTGCTGGCTGCGGGTGACCCTTGGTGTCTTTGGCTTGTGGACGCATCCCTCCAATCTCTGCCGCCATCTTCCCATGACATTCCCACCATGCATCCATCTGTGTCTTCTTGAGGACACTGGGCATTAGATTTGGGGCCCACCCCAGTCCAGCACAACCTCATCTTAACTAACTATGTCCACAAAGGACCTGTGTCCAAATAAGGTCATATTCTGAGGTTCTGGGTGGGCCTGAGTTTGGAGGGACCACTTAGCCCATTAAACCCAATGCACAGGATGTTGTGAGGATCACTAGAGCGCAGCACCAGGCCATGATAGAGGATCCTAGATGGGTTTTCTTTCTTAACTCCTGGCCTGAGGCAGAGAGCAGTCAGATTTCACTGACAAGATTGTTAGGGCCTGGTTGGGTAGGTGGGTGGGGAGGGAAGAGTTCAACAAGTGAGTCCAGATGCACGAGGAGGTTAGGAAGAAGTTACGTTGAATGTTCTAGAGTGGGGGACACAGGAACTGCTCTCCCACAGGTGACCAGTGACCTCCAGGGGATCTCATTACCCAACCCTGATCCTCATCTGACTTGACTTCTCTGTGGCATCTAACACTTCATTTCCTGTGGCTTCTCTGATCTCACATCCCTACAATACATGGCCTTTGTGTCTGGCTTCTTTCACTTAGCATCGTGCTTGAAGGTTCATCCGTGGTGTGGCACGTGTCCTTTCTATGGCGGAATCACAGTACATTGTATGGATAGATCAAACAATGTATAGTCTTTCATCTGGTTTTTTGTTTTGTTTTTGTTTTTGTGAGACAGGGTCTCACTCTATCACCCAGGCGGGAGTGCAGTGGTGTGATCATGGCTCACTGCAGCCTTGGCCTCCGAGGCTCAAGTGATCCTCCCACCTCAGCTTCCTGAGTAGTTGGGACCATGGATACATGCCACTGAGCCTGGCTAATTTTTTTTTTTTTCTGGTAGAGACAGGGTCCTGCTATGTTGCCCAAGCTGGTCTCGAACTCCTAGGCACAAGTGATCCGTCTGCCTTGGCCTCCCGAAGTACTGGGATTACAACTGTAAGCCACTGTGCCCAGCCTCATCTGTTGTTGTTGTTGTTGTTGTTATTTTTGAGACAGGGTCTCGCTCTGTTGCCCAGGCTAGAGTGCAGTGGCACAATCTCAGCTCACTGCAACTTCTATCTCCTGGGCTCAGATGATCCTCCCATCTCAGCCTCCCAAGTAGCTGGGACCACAGGTGTACACCACCACACCCAGCTAATTTTTTTGTATTTTTTTTTTTAATAGATACAGGGTTTCACCATGTTACTCAGGCTGGTCTCGAATTCCTGGGCTCAAGTGATCCACCTGACTCAGCCTCCCAAAGTGCTGGGATTACAGGCGTGAGCCACCATGCCCGGCTCATCTGTTTAATTTGTAAAAAAATGATTTTAGTACATTTTAATAGAAAACTCTTAAATTTAATGAAAACCAGGCCGGGCATGGTGGCTCATGCCTGTAATCCCAGCACTTTGGGAGGCCGAGGCGGGTGGATCACTTGAGGTCAGGCATTCGAGACCAGCCTGGCCAACATGGTGAAACCCCGTCTCTACAAAAATACAAAATACAAAAAATTAGTCGGGCATAATGGTGCACTCCTGTAATCCCACCTACTCAGAAGGCTGAGACAGAATCGCTTGAACCCAGGCGGCGGAGGTTGCAGTGAGCTGAGATCGTGCCATTGCACTCCAATCTGGGCGACAGAGCGAGAATTCATCTAAAAAAAAAAAAATTAATGAAAACTGATACATTTTCATGGAAAGCACTGGCTGCCATCTCCGATCTTAGTCTTCTTTCTAGAGGTAATCAATTTGGTGTGTTTCCTTCCAAAACATTTGCTTTTGTTTTGAACACACGTATATGGATATCTTCATGTAGCTTGTCTCCACAACATTGTTGGTGTGATGTTTTCCCAGACAAATCTGATTGTGTTGCCACCCTGATTAAAACCCTTTAGAGACTGTCCATTGTCAAATCAACTTATGCTACAGGGGACACGCACCCTGCATTAGGGCCCTGCAGACACTTCCCCCAGAAAGTGAAATGCCCGCTGCCTGCACCCATAGCCGTCTGTGGCTGCTACACGCTCTCAGCTGCAAGTACTGGCACATCCAACTTAACCACAAGGGAAGGGTATTATCTCATGCAGTAGAAGCCTGCAGTCGGCCGGCAGAAGGGTCAGAGTCCTTCAGGTGTGTCTCATCTCTGAAGCCTTTGCTGACCAACACCTTCACCAGACAGAGCTGCCCCGTTATGATGTGGAGCCACTGTTTTTTCCTTATTTGTGAAACTCTCTCTCTACTAGACATGAAGCAACTTGAGGGCAGTGATTTTTTTTAAAAAATTTCACAGTAAAGCATATCTGTGGTTAATAATGCAAATGCTATGTTAATATGAATTTTATGATATCCCAAGTGATTACTTTGGGACCCAGAAAAGATTATTCAGAGGCTGTTTTGGTTTTAGGATTAATATTCATTTTATTAGTGATAAATTAAAAACCGTAGTTCTTCCTCCAGTTTTTCGCTCAGCTTAAAAATCTTACTCTGTTTATAAATCTAGCATATTTTTGCAATCACCTTTGAAGAGGCTTTGATTAATGTTTGGCCCCACTTACAAATTTGGTTATTAACTCCTTTTAAACATGTAAAACTGCATTTCAATATTTAAGAGATTTAGTTTCTTTACGTTTTTTAGTAGTCTGATTAACAAACAAATCCTTCATGGTACTTAAGTAATTACTGCAAATCTAGTAAATTAGACATAAATATGGTAAATCTTAAGTTTCCTTAAGTGTTCTAATATTGTTTATAAACCTATTACGATTTTAATTTAAAATCACAAGTCTAAATCAACTATATATTTTAAATTAGCATCACAAATCTAATCTGTTAGCAACTCTGGTATGTCAAATTCACTTAAACATTACAAATTCCTAAAAAATGAACAAATTCTCTTATCACAAATATGTTAATAATGCAGGTCTGACTGACTTCATCTTCTCTATATTCAATTCCAAGTATCTCCAGGGATGAGATACATTTTCTCACTAAGGACTTCACTGTGTTATTTCCAATCATTTTGGAATTGCCTTCCCAGGTGAATTTCTGGGGCTACTTCTCAGTAGGATGAAGTTTCTCCAGTGACAGAGAACCAGAGAAGTCCTCAGCTGGGACACAGACTTGATACCAGCCAGTTGGGACCCTAGCGTGACATACAGAGATGCTGAGGCCTGTTTATCTTCACTGTATCTAGGACTCCATAAACAAACAAACAAACAAACAAAAAAGAACCATGTGACCCGCATTCCTGGTTTAAGTCTTGCTACCACCTACTTTTCATTCCAGTGGGAATCAGCAGACCTCCCCCAACCCAACCATTACAGCTTCCATCTTCGCTTCCACTGCTTCTGTGCTTTGGCTGTCTTAGATACTTGCATGTCATCTAATTCTGGGTATTTCAAGGCTGTGTTGGAATCATACAGCTCTAAGGTCTTGTCAGTAACACAGTATGGAAATGTAAGAGCAAAAAATAAAAGTTCCTCCTCACCCAAACCCCATCTTCAGAGGAACCATTGCTTACAGTTTGGAGTCTATTCCTCCAGAGTTTTTTCAATACATACACACGCACACACACACACATGATTAGGATGATGCGATTGTTTTGCAGTGTGCTTTTTTCACAAATTTTGGTCACTTTCCCAATCTACCTCATTCTTTTTGAAGGCAGCAAAGTTTTTATTTTTATTTCTATTTTTTATTTTTATGTCTTTATTTTTTTTTGAGATGGAGTTTCACTTTTGTTCCCCGGCTGGAGTGCAATGGTGTAATCTTGGCTCACTGCAAACTCCGCCTCCTGGGTTCAAGTGATTCTCCTACCTCAGCTTCCCGAGTAGCTGGGATTATAGGTGCCTACCACCACACCTGGCTAATTTTTTGTATTTTTAGTAGAGACGGGGTTTCACCATGTTGGCCAGGCTGGTCTCGAACTCCTGACCTCAGGTGATCCACCTGCCTTGGCCTCCCAAAGTGCTGGAATTACAGGTGTGAGCCACCATGCTGGCCTTTTTTTTTTTTTTTTTTTTTGAGGCAAGATCTTGCTTTATCACCCAGGCTGGAGTGCGGTGGCGTGATCTTGGCTCACTGCAGCCTCAACCTCCTGGACTCAAGCGATACTCCCACCTCAGCCTCCCAAGTAGTTGGGCCCACAGGCACGTGCCACCACACCTGGCTAATTTTTCTATTTTTGGTAGAGATAGGGTTTTGCCATGTTGTCCAGGCTGATCTTGAACTCCTTAGCTCAAGCAATCCACCCTCCTCAGCCTCCCAAAGTGCTGGGATTACCAGTATGCAGCACTGTGCCCAGCCTAGTTTCTTATCATATGGTTATGCTATAATATCTTTTTAAATAATTCATGTATGGTATATTAAGGGACATTTGTGTTGTTTGATTTTTGCTATTAGAGCAGTACCATGATGACTGTGAATTTTCATTGACCTTTGTTTACTTTTTCCATGATTTCCCTAGGAAAAAGTCGTAAGGGTGGAGTTACTGGGCTGTAGGGTGTATGCATTGAAGGTTTTGATAGATACAGCCAAACTGCTTCTAGAAAAGTGCTGCTCCTTTGCATTCCCACCTGTGTAGGAGAGTGCCCGATTCCCTGAGAGCTGGGACGTTGTCCTAGTCATCTTTTCATATTTACATCCTTCCTGCCAGGCACAACCTGGCACAGAATCAGTGCCTGGTACCTAGTGAATGAGAACCTAGAGCTTGTGAAGAGGGCAAACAGCAGGCCCATTGCCTTGAGTTAGGCTTGACTATTATTGTTGTTGAGGTTAAATTCGCATAACATAAAACTGACCATTTTAAAGCATACGGTTCGGTGACATTTAATACATTTACACTCTTATGCAACCATCATCTCTATCCAGTTCCAAAACATTTTCACCGCCCCAGAAGGACACCCTGCATCCATTATCTGTCTCTGTGGGTTTGCCTATTCCGGCCGTTTCATATGAGTGGACTCATACACCACACGCCTTTCGTGCCTGGCTTCTTTCACTCAGCATCGCTTCCGACGCTCATCCATGTCATAGCATGCATCAGTGCTTCATTCCCTTTTATGACTCAGAAAGATTCCACTGTATGGATAGACCACATTTTGTTCTGTTTTGGAGAGGTTTGGGCTGAGCTCAGACCTGCCCTGGGACTCTCTGGGAAGCCAGGGAGACCTCAGCAAGTGTCGCCCCCCTTGTCCTGTTTTGCAGTATTCCTGTGCACACAATATTTGACAGCTGCCCTGAAGGGAATGGCATCATGGCCATGGCCATGACCCACGACGCCAAGTATCTGGCAACCATCTCAGATGCTGAAGTCCAGGTAAAGGCCCTGGCCCTTTGGGTCAGCATCAGCGAGCTGGCCGACCTGTGCAGCGTGTCCCCATGGGCAGCTCTGTTCAGGCTGGGCTGTGTGATGTCTGTGATATTCTCAAAAGACCAGACTCCACAGCACAGAGTCTGGGCCTCTGTCCTTAGTTACTTGAAGTTTTGGGGTCACCACAAGAGGTGTAAGTTACTTCAGCAGACTTCACAGACCTTCTCATGCCCCTCTCTCTACTGTCACCTACAGAAGGTATGCATCTGGAAGTGGACTTTGGCAGTGGAAACGCCAGCATGCACTCTCGAACTCCCCACAGAGTACGGTGTTCAGGTGAGTTCAGTTGGAGCCTGTAAACATCAACCTGAAGTTATACAGGTGCAAGGCCAGGCTGGGCGTGGTGGCTCACACCTGTAATCCCAGAACTTTGGGAGGCTGAGGTAGGTTATCACTTGAGGTCAGGAGTTCAAGGCCAGCCTGGCCAACACAGTGAAACCCTGTCTCTACTAAAAATACAAAAATTCCCTGGGTGTGGTGGCACATGCCTATAGTCCCAGCTACTTGGAAGACTGAGGCATGAGAATTTCTTGAACCTGGGAGGCAGAGGTTGCAGTGAGCCGAGACTGCGCCACTGCACTCCAGCCTCGGTGACAAAGTGAGACTCTGTCTCAAAAAAACAAAAACAAAGTTCTACAAATGCCAGGCCAAAACCTACTTTTTGTTTCAGTAGAGTTGTGTTATGTTGCAGTAGAGTGTTTTTGTTTGTTTGTTTTGTTTTTGTTTTTGTTTTGAGACAGAGTTTCGCTCTTGTTGCCCAGGCTGGAGTCTGGAGTGCAATGGCACGATCTCGGCTCAACACAACCTCTGCCTCCCAGGTTCAAGCGATTCTCCTGCCTCAGCCTCCCGAGTAGCTGGGATTACAGGCACGTGCCACCACGCCTGGCTAATTTTGTATTTTTTTTAGTAGAGACGGGTTTTCTCCATGTTGGTCAGGCTGGTCTTGAACTCCCGACCTCAGGTGATCTCCCCACCTTGTCCTCCCAAAATGTTGGGATTACAGGCATGAGCCACTGCACCTGGCCTCAGTAGAGCTTTTAAAACCCTTTCATTTCCTGATCTTGTTTTACTTGAATATAATAGCTAATATTTTTGAAGCACTTATGTTCCAGAGTCTGCTAAATTCTTTACTTACATTATCTCACATAATCCATGCAAACATGCTAGCAAAAAAGATATTAATATCTGTGGAATACTACCATTAATTATTAAATAATTTGTCTAAAATCACCCACCTGGCAGTCTTTCTTATTCTAGAAGTGTGCTCTTAACTACTTCAAACCTTGTAAAACTAACTCTGAGGAGTATAGGGAAGTTATCATTATTGCTCCCAACTTGCATGAGGTGACTTGCCAAGGACACCCAGAAAGTTTCTATCAGGTCTCCTTATTTCCTGAGTCACTGCTCCCTGCTTTTGTGACTTGTCTCATTCATCCTTGCATGCTTCATTTGTCATACATTTATTGAGTACCTGTTCTGTGCCAGGCACTGTGGTAAGTACATGCCTGACTTGCAGGATCTAAAATCCAAACAGAGGGTTTGGGTGACTAGACTCAGCCAGGGAAATATGGTTATGCAGCCATATGTCCATCTTCTTTCCTTTCCCCCCAACATTCCTCTTGCTCCTAAAAAATTTTTTCTTTCTCCTTAAGGTTGTGTTAACACAGTAGCCACCAACCATATGTGGCTATTTAGGATGGATTTTTCTATTGCTGCAAAAAACACCATTGGGGTTTTGATAGCGATAGTGTTGAATCTGTAGATCACTTTGGATGGTATCATCATTTTCACAGTGTTGTCTTCCAATCCATGAGCATGGGATGCCTTGCCGTTTATTTATGTCTTCTTTAATTTCTTTCAGGGGTGTTTTGTAATTTCCAGAGTTCAAGTCTTCACCTCCGGTTAAATTTATTCCTAAGGATTTTGTGGTTTTTTGATGCTATTATAAATGGATTTGTTTTCTTAATTTCTGTTTTAGATTGTTCATTGCTAGTGTATAAAAAGGCAGCTAATTTTTGTGTGTTGATTTTGTACCTTGCAACCTTGCTGAGTACACATGGTGATTTAAATTTAAAATGATTAAAATGAAAAAAAATCTTTTTTGAGACAGGGTCTCACTGCTGTCCAGTCTGGAGAGCAGTGGCGCGATCTCAGCTCACTGCAGCCTCTGCCTCCTGAGCTCAAGCAGTCCTCCTACCTTAGCCTCCTGAGTAGCTGGGACTACAGGTGCACACTATCATGCCCAGCTAATTTTTTAATTTTTTTCAGAGACAGAGTTTTGCCATGTTGGTCAGGCTGGTCTCCAACTCCTAGGCTCAAGCCATCCACCCGCCTCAGCCTCCCAAAGTGTTGGGATTACAGGCGTGAGCCACCACACCTGGCCCTCTTCTTCTTTTTGCTATGCTTTCTTCTTGGGTATTGTCATCTATTCCCAAGGCCATTTACTTCCAAGACATATCCTGAAATCTTTCCTCTCCTTTCCACCTCTGTTGCTACCATCCTAGTCCAGGCCACAGTCACCTCTACCTGCATTATCTGGCCCGCTGGTCTCTCTGTGTTCACTCTCGCTTCACTCTCTAACAGTCTTCCCACAGCAGTCAGACTGTTTTTTTTGTTGTTGTTGTTTTGTTTTCTTTTCTTTTCTTTTCTTTTCTTTTTTTTTGAGATGGAGTCTCATTCTGTTGCCCAGGCTGGAGTGCGGTGGCACGATCTCGGCTCACTGCAACCTCTGCCTCCTGGGTTCAAGCGATTCTCCTGCCTCAACCTCCTGGGTAGCTGGGACTACAGGCACGTGCCACCATGCCTGGCTAATTTTTTGTATTTTTAGTACAGATGGGGTTTCACCATGTTAGCCAGGATGGTCTCCATCTCCTGACCTCATGATCCGCCCGCCTTGGCCTCCCAAAGTGCTGGGATTACAGGTATAAGCCACCGTGCCCGGCCAGAGTGTTATTTTTATTTTTCATTTTTATTTATTTATTTTTGAGACAGAGTCTTGCTCTGTCACCTAGGCTGGAGTGCAGTGGCGCAATCTTGGCTCACCGCAAGCTTTGCCTCCTGGGTTCACGCCATTCTCCTGCCTCAACCACCTGAGTAGCTGGGACTACAGGCGCCCACCACCACGCCTGGCTAATTTTTTTGTATTTTTAATAGAGACGGAGTTTCACCGTGTTAGCCAGGATGGTCTCAATCTCCTGACCTTGTGATCTGTCTGCCTTGGCCTCCCAAAGTGCTGAGATTACAGGCGTGAGCCACCATGCCTGGCCATATTTTTAAATAATTAAAATATTACATCACTCCTGTACTTAAAATCCTTCAGTAACTTCTCATTGTCCTCAGAATAACATTAAAATTCCATGACATGTGGCCTCCAAGGTGTGATCTGATCCCTCCATCCATCTCCTAATGTCTACCATCCTGATTATTGTTTATCAGTTTGCATTTTCCAGAATTTCATGTACAATAAATGGACTCTGTTTGCAGAGAGCTTTGGTTTCTTCCACTCAGTTTTGTTGTTGCACGTATCAGTAGTGTATTCCTTTTTATTGTTGAATAGTAGTGCATTGAATAGGTGTGTAACTGTTTATTAATTCACTGTTAATGGACATTGGGTTGTTTCCTGGTTGTGGCTATTGAAAATAAAGCTGCTGTGAATGTTCATGGACAAGTCTTTATTTTTGAAGGAGATTTTCCTGTGGTATAGAATTCTAGAGTGGTAGTATTTTCTTTCAGCAGTTCATATCTTCAAGGATGTGATTCTGTTGTCTTCTGGTTTCTACCATTTCTGTTGAAAAGTCAGCTGTCGATCCCTATTTTGAATGTTGTGTGTCTCTCTCCTTGGCCCCCAGCTGATTTTACAGATTTTTCCCTTGGTTTTCAGCAGGGTTTTTGTTTTGTTTTGTTTTGTTCTGTTTTTGAGACAGGGTCTCACTCCATCACCTAGGCTGAAGTGCAGTGGCACAGTCACTGCTCATTGCAGCCTTGACCTCTTAGGCTCAAGTGATTTTCCCACCTCAGCCTCCCAGGTGGCACCATCACACCTGGCTAATTTTTTTTTTTTTTAGAGATGGGGTCTCGCTGTGTTGCCCAGGCTGGTCCCAAACTCCTGGGTTCAAGTGACCTTCCCACCTCAGTCTCCCAAGGTGCAGGGATTATAGGCATGAGCCACTGCTGCACCAGCCCCAGCAGCTTTTCAATGATGTGTCTATGTGGAAGTGGGTATGTTGTTGATTTTTGTAAAGCTTATCCTTTAGGATTTCTTGAACCTGAGATGTTATATCTCTTCTCAGTTTTGGAAAATTCTCAGCCATTACCTCTTTACACATTTCTTCTGCCACATTCTTTCTTTATTCTTCTTCTGGGGCTCCAATTACATATACGTTAGACCTTTTCTGGTCTTGTCCCACTGGTCTTTTATTTTCTTTTATGTATTTTCTATCCTTTCATCTGTTTCTGCTTCAGTCTGAATGTTTTCTACTATAATTTGTCTTCCTTTCCTGCTGACTAGTTCTTTCTTTGGCTATATCTAAATTTTTGTTAAACTGTCTATTAAGCATTTTAAATCATTTTTTCAGGTCTAGAATTTCCATTTGATTCTTTTTTAAGTAGAGCTATCTGCTGAGATTCCCCATCTTGTCCTCTACTTCCTGCATGTTAATCCTGTGATTGTCTAATAACCCCAATGCTCGGATCTCCTGTGGCTTCTTTCTGCTGATTGCTTTTTCCCCTTGGTTTTCAGTCATTTGGATGGGTCTTTTTTCTTTTCTTTTCTTTTCTTTTTTTTGAGATGGGGGTCTTGCTCTGTTGCCCAGGCTGGTCTTGAACTCCTGGCCTCAAGCGATCCTCCTGCAAAGTTCTGGGATTCCAGGCATACACCACAGCGCCTGGCCTGGATGTATCTCTTTAATATGCCTGGCTATTTTTTACTGAATGCCTGATGTTGTGTTTTTTAAAGTGTAGAAATAAATTTGAGGCTTGAGATGACTTCGTCCAAAGAAGACTGACTTCTGCTCCTTAAAGGCACTTAGCAGAGTGGTCAGCTTAATCTAATCAGAGCTTGAGGTCGTTTGAGGCTGATTTTCAGGCTTTGTGAAGTCTGCCTCATGCACTTGCTTTTGCCAGTTCCTTACCCTACCCAGGCTTTTGTGCTGTTCTGATATGAATTCTCAAACACTGGCATTAGTAGTTTACACCCCTGTGGTATGTAACATTCATAAAATGTTCAGAAAATGATAGGTAAGGAATAGGCGTGGAGACGGGGTGGAAATGGCAGAAATGGAACTTAAAAAGCTTTTTTCCAGCCTGTCCCTCAGTGCTGTCTCCTGCAGCCCTTCTCCCCAGGCTGTAGCCACCCACCTCCCATGCACATTTCAAACACATACCCCATGGCTCCCCAGGAAGAGCTTGCTTTGTTGTTCTTGCTGTGGCTGTTTGGTTTCTGTATTTAAAACTTTCCGTCACTTCCATAGTTTCTGCAGGGTTGGTTTTTGGGAAGGGAGCCAGCAGCCCATGCTATTCACCATCTTGGCAGGAATTAGAATCCCCTTCCAATATCTTGCATTCATTCCAAGATATTGTGTGGCCCTGTCAAATTTAGAAATGTATACGCAGCAGTCTTTATCTAAAAGGATACAGAATAAAGGTTATTGGTGAATACTGGTTTACTTTTGCTTGTTCCAATTTATTTTATTATTATTATTGTTATTATTTTAAATTGACCACTATCAGAAAAGCTTGTTATAGCCAGGCGCAGTGGCCCACACCTGTAATCCCAGCACTTTGGGAGGCTGAGGCAGGTGGATCGCTTGAGGTAGGGTTCAAAACCAGCCTGGCCAACATGGTGAAACCCCATCTCTACTAAAAATATAAAAATTAGCTGGGTGTGGGGGCACATGCTGGTAGTCCCAACTACTCAGGAGGCTGAGGCAGGAGAATTACTTGAACCCAGGAGATAGAGGCTGCAGTGAGCTGAGATGGCGCCACTGCACTCCAGCCTAGGCGACAGAGCAAGACTCTGGCTCAAAAAAAAAAAAAGAAAAGCTTATTCTAATTTATAGATGATGAATTATAATAGATCAAACTGGAAAGGGAACACATTTGACACTGTTTATTTTAATCACCAGTATTTAAATGATATTCCTATTTTTTTTTACGAAATGCGGTATCTTTTCTGTTTTATATTCCTACTCATTTGTTTTAATTAAAATTATTATTTAATTTTAACATTCAGCTTAACCAGAAACAGAAAATTTATCATTAATGTATTTTCATACTTTATATTTCAGAACTACGTTACTTTTAACCCAACAAATAATAAAGAATTGGTGAGCAATAGTAAAACACGGGCAATATATTATGCATGGGTAAGCAGAAATATTTTGATTTGTTTTAAATGTGGGTAGAAGTATGTGTTCATTCTTTGAGTACAAATGTTTCAGTAATGTAACAATATAGTATCTCTACTTAGGAAGCAATGAATATATATTAAAATGTTTTTATTTAACTGTAGTATTTAGTCCTATTAGAAATTAGCATATTAAATCAAAAGCAAATAATCCAATTTTATTTATTAAATTTTATTGAAGTAATGAGGCAAATGTTTATTTGAATTTATTTAACAAGACTAAAATACAAGTTTTATGGTTTTTTTGGAGATGAGGTCTCACTATGTTGCCCAGGCTGGCCTCAAATTCCTGGGCTCAAGTGATCTTCCCGCTTAATCCTCTCAAGTAGCTGGGATTAGAGGGGTGAGCCGGCCACACCTGGCTCTAAAATACAGCAGGTTTTTTTTTTTTTTTTTTTTGAGACCTTGGTCTTTTTTCCCTTTTAGAAAGGAATTAGCAAACAGATTAGTGATACATATACTGACACAGGGCAAAATCATGAGAATAAAAAACATTGAGGCTGAGCACAGTGGCTCATGACTGTACTTCCAGCACCATGGGAGGCCAAGGCAGGAGGATCACTTGAGGCCAGGAGTTTAAGACTAGCCTGAGCAACATAACAAGACCTCATCTCTACAAAAAATTATTTAAAAAAATTTAACAGTGCATGGTGATGCATGCCTGTAGTCCCAGCTGCTCAGAAGGCTGAGGCTGGAGGATTGCTTGAGCCCAGGAGTTTGAGACTGCAATGAGCTGTGATGGTGATGGTGCCACTGCACTATAGCCTGGGCAACAGAGTGAGACTCTGTCTCAACAAAACAAAACACAACAAAACAAAAAACGTTTCAAGTTAAACATGGAATAGCTATGTGACTCAGCAATTCCAAGGTAAGATGTAAAAGAATTGAAAAGAAGCATTCAAACAAATACTTCTACACAAATGTTCACAGCAGCAGCAGCAGCACTATTTGTAATAACCAAAAGGTAGAAACAAGCCAAGTGTTCATCAACTGATGAGTAGGTAAACAAAATGTGGTCTATCCATACAATGGAATGTTATTGTATGAAGTGCTGATACATGCTGTGACATGGATCAGCCTTGAAAGTATGATGCTAAATGAAAGACACCAGACACGAAAGTCACGTGTTGTATGATGCCATTTCTATGGAATGTCCAGCATAGGCAAGTCCACAGATACAGAGTAAACTGGTGGTTTTCAAGGCCTGGAGAGAGACGGAGTGGCTGCTTAATAGGTAGGAGATTTCCTTTTGGGGTTATGAAAATGTCTTGGATCTAGATGGTTGCTCAGCATTGTGAATGTATGAAACACCGCTGAATTGCACACTTTAACATGGTTATGATTAATTTTATGTTAAGTGGATTTTACCTCAATAAAAAATTGTAGAACAAAACCAAAACACATTGAGTCACTGATTGTGAGTGATAGTCATTATTTAAGATATTTATTATAGCTTTATTTTATTTTATTTTTGAGATGGGGTCTCACTCTGTCATCCAGGCTGCAGTGCAGTGGTGCGATCTCAGCTCACTGCAACCTCTGCCTCTCAGGTTCAAGCAATTCTCCTGCCTCAGCTTCCTGGGTAGCTGGGATTACAGGAACCTGCCACCACACCTGGCTAATTTTTGTATTTTTAGTAGAGACGGGGTTTCTCCATGTTGGCCAGGCTTGTCTCAAACTCCTAACCTCAAGTGATCTGCCCGCCTCAGCCTCCCAAAGTGCTGAGATTATAGGCGTGAGCCACCGTGCCCAGCCGATTGTGACTTTACATAGTACTTAATGCAAATTCGAATTCTCTATTAATAAGCCTTTAAAACTTTAATAAATACCTTAAGGTCGGCCGCAGTGGCTCACGCCTGTAATCCCAACACTTTGGGAGGCTGAGGTGGGCGGATCACCTGAGGTCAGGAGTTCGAGACCAGCCTGGCCAACATGGCAAAACCCCATCTCTACTAAAAAAAAAAAAAAATTAGCTGGGCATGGTAGTGCGCTCCTGTAATCCCAGCTACTCAGGAGGCTGAGGCAGGAGAATTGCTTGAACCCAGGAGGCGGAGTTTGCCGTGAGCTGAGATCGCGCCACTGCACTCCAGGCTGGGCGATAGATGTGTTTCTGCTTGAAGACACCTTATTTAATATAGAACTCCATCTCAAGAAAAAAAAAGTCATAATCATTTGTGGCATTTTTTATATTTTTTATGTATTTGCTTTTCTTTCAGAATGTTTTTAGATATTTCCCAAGACAGCAAGTTCTCTTACCTGTAGAAACTGCAAATTTCTGACCTTGTTTAGATGTATTTGTTTTGCTTTTATTATTAATGCCGTTCTTCCTTTGGAAACTGGGTCTTTTTGAGTAGTGATTATTTTTTCCTCTTATCAGTATGAAGAGAGGGATACACTGGCTCACAGTGCCCCACTTTTAACTGAAAAAGTGAGTATGCCTATTGCATTTTTGTCCATCAGATTTTGTGGAGAATAAATATTTATGTGCAAGCTTAGCTGCTTCGGGCTACTCTTTGTACATCTTGATATTAAGCTACTGGGAAATAATTTGAAAAATTTTACTTGGGTCCTGTATACATATTGAATTGTCAGTTGAAAATCATGTAAGTATTGTTAAAAATAATTTTTTTTTTTGAGACGGAGTCTTGCTCTGTCGCCCAGGCTGGCGTGCAGTGGCGTGATCTTGGCTCACTGCAAGCTCTGCCTCCCGGGTTCACGCCATTCTTCTGCCTCAGCCTCCCGAGTAGCTGGGACTACAGGCGCCTGCCACCACGCCCGGCTAATTTTTTGTATTTTTTTTTAGTAGAGACGGGGTTTCACTGTGTTAGCCAGGATGGTCTTGATCTCCTGACCTTATGATCCACCTACCTCAGCCTCCCAAAGTGCTGGGATTACAGGCGTGAGCCACTGCACCTGGCCCTAATAAAATGTTATACAAAGAGTTATTGCTGTGAGAAAATATAAAAACGTGATGGCTTTTAGAATGTGTATGTGCATATTGACAAGGAATGAAAGTTGTGGGGGTGCAGTGGCTCTCATCTGTAATCCCAACACTTTGGGAGACTGAGGTGAGAGGATCACTTGAGCTCAGGAGTTTGAGACCAGCCTGGGCAACACAGGCTAGACTTCGTTTCTACTAAAAAAAAAAAAAAAAAAAAAAAAAAAAAAATTGCCAGCCAGGGTGGTATGAGTCTGTGGTCCCAGCTACTCGGGAGGCTGAGGTGGGAGGATCACTTGAGCCCAGGTGGTCAAGGCTACAGTGAGCTGTGTTTGTGCCACTGCATTCCAGCCTGGGCAACAGAACAAGACCCTGTATATAAAAAAAAAAAAAATGAATGAAACAGTGTAAGTAAAGTCGTTGAACATGAGTGGATCCCTTATAAAGCTGCTCAGTTTCAGAATAATACATGATATTAGGTATTTAGATGTTTGAGAGCCAATAAGAGGGAGGTGAACCAGATGTTGAGAAAACATTTTATCTTGCCTGCTTGCCGCAAGCTCTTGTGTCTGAGGTGGAACTTGAGTCGTCTCCTGTAGCATTTTCTGCATTTGCTGCCCATGTAACCTGCTCTCAGGGAGCACCTGATGATGAGTTTTCTGCATACTTGCTTCTCTCTCGGTATGATTTGTAGAAATTTATTTAAGAGGGCATGCCAAAAGACAAAAACAAAAAATAAAAAGTTGAGATGGATGGGCACAATGAGATTATTCTGTCTGCAGACTTGTTTTTCATAAATGAAAGTACTAAAAAATACCATCAGTTCTCATTATTGTTGGTAGTTATGTTATATAAAGTCTCTGTAAACACCAAATTAGCAGATACTTAACTATTGCTCTTAAGGGAAATATAGGGGTAGGTTTCTGTGAGCCTCTGGTCACATTTTCACCAATTGATCAATACATAAGCTTGTTTTATGTGTATTTCTATTTAAAGACACTTTATTTAATATATAACATTGATTCATTAACATTGAACTCATGGCCAACAGCACTATAACTCATGACTTGAACAAAACTCATCTAACCTACATATTTTCTCCATAAAGCACATCACAGCATTCTTTTGCTTAGGAACACTAGCCAGCACTTCAGCACTATGTTTCAGGGTCAATTTAAATACTAAAATCACCAAGAAAAATGCAAACAACCAAAAATGCAAACAACATGGCACTAAATAGACCATGAAAAGGACACTTGTTTATAGTCAGAGCTGAGACAAGAAGGCGGAGCATTGCCCTGCCTGCCCTCAACTGGAAATGTGCATGTTGAGTGAGTAAAATTATTTGTCACACTGCACATGCACTTCTGCAAATGACCGTGAGAGTGCTGCAAGTATTGATTTTGGGATTACAAATCAATTCTTAAAGTAGGTAAATTCGCAAATACAGAATCCACAAATAATGAGCCATTTGAAATGATAAAAATGTATTGAAACAGTGCTGCTCTTAGAAAGAACTTGGTGCTCTTGTTTGACTAATCATTATTTTACTATTCCTCTTGTGTTCAAGTCAGAAGAGGTAAACCTTAGGATCTTCTCTGTATTATTAGAGAATCGGGCAGCATAGAGAATAGGGCATTTCTATGTACAGTGCTTAAATATTTTCTACTGATGGGAAAATACCTTATGATAAAAGGAGGCTGGGATAATTATTTTATGCTATTTTATAACCAGAGCATGCTTTGACTCACAACAGGCATTAGTTTCTTCACCAGTCTCTGAAACCTCCATAAGAGAAGTTTAACAGGTATAAACAGTGATTAACCACTCTCTCGTTTGCTTTAAACAAACAATGTAATTGAACAGAGTACATAACCCTTCACTTGCTCTTAGCAAACTTCCAGAGGTTCAGAACTGCCTGGACCATGGCAATTCATGGGAGACGGTTTTAGTGATTGTTTTCTTTTTCTTTCTCTTTTTCTCACTATATTTCAGCATAGCATTATAAAATATCGTATTGATAAATGCTTTGTTTTATATTTATTACCAACAGTAACTATAACCTTTCTTTTGAAACAGACCTTCAACAAGCTTGTGGGAAAGTTTAGCCAGTCCATCTTTCACTTGAATTTAACACAAATACTCTCAGCCACAATGGAAGGGAAGCTGGTTGTCTGGGACATACACCGCCCACCCTCATCTGCCTCCACCTTTTTGGGCTTTCCCTATATCAAGCCTTGTAAATTGGTTCATTTGCAGAAAGAGGGTATCACGGTACTTACCACAATTGATAGGTAATTTTAACTTAATTAAAAGATAACTATGGATAATTATAAAAATATTTTAAAATTGTTATGGGAGGTTGGGCACAGTGGCTTACACCTCTAATTTCAGTTCTTTGGGAGGCTGAGGTGGGAGGATCACATGAGGCCAGAAGTTCAAGACCAGCCTGGGCAACATAGTGAGACCCTATCTCTACCAAAAAACAAAGAGAGAGAGATGGGAGGATTGCTTGAGCCCAGGAGTTCGAGGCTGCAATGAGCTATCATTGCCACTGTGCTCCAGACTGGGTGTTAGAGTGAGACCCTCCTGTCTTAAAAAAAAAAAAAAAAAAAAAAAAAAAAAAAACCTCTTTTGGATGTATATGCATATTTTGTATAGCATAAAGTATTCTGGGGAGAATCATAATGAACTGGGAACATTGGTTGCCTCTGAGGAAAAGAACTGAGAACTAAGATCAGGGATGGGGGTGGATTTACTTCTTTTTATAGTTCCATTTATACTAATTGGATTTTTAAAAAAATCATGAGTATGCATTATGTTTAAAAAATCCCTTTGTGTCGATGAAACAAAAAGGAACTAGATTTTTTCTTCTGTGCTAATTGGATGGATTTTGCACCCAACATTTTACATGCATTAAATGTAAGAAAATAATTTGAATAGCTGTATTATTTTTGTCTGATTACAAGATAACATTTACAGCTGGGAGCGGTGGCTCACGCCTGTAATCCCAGCATTTTGGGAGGCCGAGGCGGGTGGCCTCAGGAGTTTGAGACCAGCCTGGCCAACATGGTGAAACCCTGTCTCTACTAAAAATACAAAAATTAGGCAGGTGTGGTGGTGTGCGGCTGTAATCCCAGCATCTTGGGAAGCTGAGGCATGAGAATCACTTGAACCCAGGAGGCAGAGGTTGCAGTGAGCCAAGATCTCACCACTGCACTCCAGTCTGGGCGACAGAGTGAGACTCGGTCTCAAAACAAAACAAAAATAATATTTACCCATTGTGAGAAGATCAAATGCATCAAAACTCTGTCTTAATTAAGACAGAGTTCTCATTTCAGCTGGGTCCCTTCCTTGCTGAGTGACCTTGAGCAAGGAACTTAACCTTGTTGAGCCTCTATTTCTTCATCTGTAAAATGGGCATAACAGTACTATTTCTCTCAGAGTGGTTTTATGAGGATTTCACGAGATATGGATGCACATGCTTGGTGCAGGGGAACCCTAGGTAAATGGTGGCCATCGTCAGTGTGTGAGAGAAGTTCCCGAAGGTGTGGAGAAAATTGCCTAGTGATGGGGACGCTACCCATATGGTTAGAGTCACTGGGCCATCTGCTTTCAAAATGCCCATTTGCTTCCATTCGCCTTTCTTTCGATGCAGGGGAACAATGAGGTCTTGACATGGTTTTACAAAGAGAAATGCAAATTGTCACCCTCACTCAGTGGAGCGAGAAGATAGGAGAACTGCAGTTGGCCATGCAATCAACCTTTAATCGGTTGGGGTTTAGGATCCAGTGGAGACCAGGCCTGGGTTCTCCAAGTTAATAAAACCCAGTCAGGACCTGGGAGTCCAAGAAGGAAAAGGTCTCTGGAAATACTTGGTCAGTATTGCTGCTTCTGTCCAGCAGAGGGCAGGGACAGATGTTCAAGCCAATTAGCCCACCTGCCTTGCTTATTAATCAGAAACCTCATTTAACCACTCTGCATATGTAAGAGAAAAATCCTCCTCATCTGCCCCCCGTGATTAGAATTATGTCAAAGTCTTTTTTAAAAAGCCCATTTGGGATGGATCCAAGGACTGGAAATGAAAGCCATTTTGTCACGTGGCACTGCCTTCTGCCGTGATGACTGGACAGGGTTTTATGATCACACTAACAGTAGTGCCTTCCTGTAAAGTGGCTAGTGTCCCATTGCCAGCCTGCATGATTTCAGAGGGCTGGTGAAGCGATTCTCTCCATTGTCATCTGTAGTTATATGGGGAGTGTAAATCCTTGTCCACCTCCATTGCGTATGGCTGATCTTGGAGGGCAGGGAAGAACTAGCAGAGAGCATGGACTTTGCTTTAGATATACCTGGGTTCCTTGCATAGTCAAGCCACATGGCCCTGATAAAATTGCCAGGTATAAGTATGTCCCATGCAATATATGGGATGTACTTACACTAAATTTTTTGTTTGTTTGTCTGTTTTGTTTTTTGAGACGGAGTTTTGTGCTTGTCACCCAGGCTGGAGTGCAATGATGCAATCTCGGCTCACTGCAAGCTCCGCCTTCCATGTTCAAGCGATTCTCCTGCCTCAGCCTCCCGAGTAGCTGGGATTACAGGTGCACACCACCACACCTGACTAATTTTTGTATTTTTAGTAGAGGCGGGGTTTCACCATGTTGGCCAGACTGGTCTCGAACTCCTGACCTCAGGTGATCCACCCGACTTGGCCTCCCAAAGTGCTGGGACTACAGACATGAGCCACCACACCCAGCTACACTAAATTTTTTTAATGCAAATTTTCAAAGTAACTGGGTATCTGTATTGTTACCTGCTAAATCTGGCAACACAATGCCCTGAGCAAATTTCTTAACTCTCTGAAAGTTAGTTTCCTAGATGTAAATTGGGATAACAGTAAAATCATTCTCGTTGGGAGTATTAAATTAAGTTTTTGCAATGCCCCAGAATCCAGAGCCTGACATATAATTAGGTATTATATAGATGCTACTTGTTATTATTGCTATTTGCAAAACTGATGTTATTCTCCATTTCAGCTACATTGTCACAGGTGACATTAAGGGGAACATTAAGTTCTATGATCACACCCTGTCTATTGTTAACTGGTACAGTCACTTGAAACTGGGCGCCATAAGAACTCTGTCCTTTTCAAAGACCCCAGCAACTCCTCCTACTGAAAAATCAAACTATCCTCCTGACTGCACTTTAAAAGGTGACCTTTTTGTCTTAAGGTAAGTTGTTAATGAATCTAGTCATTAGAATGGTTGAAAAATGATCACTGTCTTCTTTAGTTTGCATACAGTGGGAGGTTCGTGTTGTTCCTGGGATATCTCCCTGGCTGATTGTGATAACCACTGGATCATTTAAAAAATTAATGAAACATAAGGCCGGGCGTGGTGGCTCACGCCTGTAATCCCAGCACTTTGGGAGGCCAAGGCGGGTGGATCACGAGGTCAGGAGATCGAGACCATCCTGGCTAACATGGTGAAACCCCGTCTCTATTAAAAATACAAAAAATTAGCCGGGCGTGGTGACGGGTGCCTGTAGTCCCAGCTACTCGGGAGGCTGAGGCAGGAGAATGGTGTGAACCCGGGAGACGGAGCTTGCAGTGAGCTGAGATAGCGCCACTCTACTCCAGCCTGGGCGACAGAGCGAGACTCTGTCTCAAAAAAAAAAAAAAAAAAAATTAATGAAACATGACTTTAATATTAAGACTCTTTAGTAACTGGAAGCTGTAAAGTCCTGATCCCTGATCTCTCACCTCTGTTGAGTCTGGAGTCTTTTGCTGCAGGTTGGTCTCTTTTCTCTAAGCTGAGCTTGTCCTAGCCACTGCAGTTAAAGGCACTGGATAATTAATAGCCATAACATTTCAAGACCGAATTATCTGTGAGTCTGCTTAATTACCCTTGCAGTAGTTACAGGCACATCTGTATGTGTGCACCAAACTCCATATTTGCATACACAAATGAATATTTGCATGTGCAGATTAGCTAATTGTACAACTGACTGTCCATCTGCATACTTAATGACTCAATTTACATGGAGAAAAGTGGGCTTTTTCACTTGCAAATGGAGGCTGTTGGGTATTGGTGGTATATTTTTGGAAATGTTGGGTTAATAATGTCACTAAATTACAGACGACAGAGGCGTTTTATGTGCAATTAGAAGCAGAATAGCTGGCATGCCCCATTCCCTGCAAACACTGATATTGTTTGGTCTCTCCTTGGCAAACAGGAATTTTATCATTGGAACATCTGATGCCGCGGTGTACCACTTAACAACAGATGGGACCAAACTTGAGAAGTTATTTGTAGAGCCCAAGGATGCCATTTGTGCCATCTCCTGCCACCCATATCAACCCCTCATTGCCATCGGGAGCATCTGTGGGATGATCAAAGTGTGGAATTATGAAAACAAACAATATCTTTTCAGCAGGGTTTTTGAGAAGGGGCTTGGAGTCCAGAGTCTGACCTACAACCCCGAAGGTATTTTCATCTTATCAGCCTACCATCGGTTCCACATGGACAGCCCTGAAAGGGATGGATGCACCTGGGCTGGCATAGCTCCAGGAAGTCTCCCCGACTCCAGCCCCCAGCAGGCTGGATGAGGCGCCTTCTCTCTGGGGCTCCCGTGGTGTTCTGGGCCTATCTGTGCGTCTCTGCGCGCTCACCCCAGCAGGCTGGATGAGGCGCCTTCTCTCTGGGGCTCCCGCGGTGTCCTGGGCCTATCTGTGCGTCTCTGCGCGCTCACCCCAGGAGATCACGCGTTTCGGTTCATTTCTCCGCACGGGAGCTTTGTTGTGTTAGTTGCTGTCTTCTCCGCACCCAGAACAAAGCCTGGCACAGACTCAACATCTCTTGAATGAATGTAATCCTTTTCCATCGTTCTCTGGCTTGTCATTTCAGGAGCCCTTCTTGGAGCTGGCTTTACAGAGGGGACAGTTTACATTCTTGATGCAATGTCTTTAGAAAATGAAAGCCCAGAGCCTTTCAAATATTCCAGAACCAGTGTGACTCATATAAGCTTTTCCCATGACTCCCAGTATATGGCAACTGCTGTAAGTATTTTCATGGACAACCCATCCAGTGGCTTAGCAATTTTATTTGAAACCAAAAGAGGCCAGACATAGTAGCTAACACCTGTAATCCCAATGATTTGGGAGGCCGAGGTGGGAGGATCATTGGAGGACAGGAATTCAAGACCAGCCTAGGAAACACAGCAGGACCCCACTGCTACAAAAACACTTTTTAAAAATTAGCCAGGCCTTGTGGCACACATCTGTAGCCCCAGTTATCCAGGAGGCTGAGGCGGGAGGACCCCTGCGGGCCAGGAGTTTGAGGTTACAGTGAGCTATAAGGCAGGTATGTTGGTCTGCCTTTATGTTGGGAGGGAAAAGCAGTGGTCTTCGCTAAACTCCTGTCCCTTCCGGCGCTCTCCATCCCCACACTGGTGCGGCCACTCCTCCGGTTTGTGTACACAACGCTTCTGAAGCCAAAGCTGTCTCAGCATACTGTGGGTGCACACAGTCCAGCTTCTGTGTCCCCTCAGGCCAGGCTCTCCCACTCCAACTGGGTTCACTTGCAGCCTTCATACCTTTCAAAAACACATAGCTTTTTTATTATATGTAGCTGGACAAAGAAAAGGGAGGACGAAGGCACAAAGAGTCAGGCTTTTGGCTTTCCACAGACAGCGAGGGGGCACCTGGAAAGGAGTGTAAAACCATAGTTTCACGTTCATACTTTCTTCCCCGCTACCTTTTCAGTTTTCTGCTTTTAACTTTAATTTTCTTATCTGTAAAATGGGCATTAGGCCAGGTGTAGCTTATACCTGTAATCCCAGCACTTTGGGAGGTCGAGGCAGTCAGATTGCTTGAGGCAGGAGTTCGAGACCAGCCTGGGCAACATGGTGAGACACCCCCCATCTCTACAAAAACTAATGAAAAAAAACTAGCCAGGTATGGTGGCATGTGCCTGTAGTCCTAGCTACTTAGGAGGCTGAGGCTGGAGGATCTTTTGAGCCCAGGAGACTGAGACTGCAGTGAGCCGTGATCAGGCCACTGCACTCTAGCCTGGGCAACAGATCAAGACTCTTGTCTCAAAAAAAACCCAAAAAAACTAAACTAAAACTAAAATGGATATTGTTTTACTACTTGCTTGAATAGACTAAGATTATTTTTGAAAAAAATATTCTTAGTATTTTTTTTTTTGATAGGGTCCTGCTCTGTTGTACAGGCTGAAGTGCAACAGATCTTGGCTCGCTGCAACCTCCTCCTCCCAGGTTCAAGCAATTCTTGTGTCAGCCTCCCAAGTAGCTGGAATTATAGGCATGTGCCACCACGCCCAGCTAATTTTTGTATTTTTAGTAGAGATGGGGTTTTGCCATATTGGCCAGGCTGGTCTCAAACTCCCGACCTCAGGTGATCCACCCGCCTCGGCCTCCCAAAGTGCTGGGATTACAGGCGTGAGCCACCGCGCCTGGCCCATAATGATGATTCTTAATTTACTAAACGTAAAATGGGATAACTCCTTCTCTTTTGCTCATCTTCAGGATAGAAGTTTTACTGTGGCTGTTTACATGCTGGTGGTCAGAAATGGACAGAGGGTCTGGGAGTACTTAGCAAGACTTCGCTCTCATCGCAAAAGCATTCGAAGTCTCCTGTTTGGGGTTTACCTGGACAGCAATGAGCCTAGACTGCTGAGCCTTGGGACAGACAGGCTCTTGGTGAGCTGTTTAGTTTTCGTTGACCTGGTCGCCAAGACTGTGTCTCACTCTTGTGACATCCCTGGCATCTTGCATAGAGCCAGGCCCACAGTACGTGTGTTTGTTGGAGAAAATGAATGCACAGTGAAGGATCACAAACCTCTCCAGGTTGGCATTTTGCCTTAACATGGCTGGGACACCACCTGGGGACTCCTGTGCTGAACGAGGAGGCTTCCCGGGCAGCAACAAGTTAGAAGGCAAGGAGCGGGGAGTTCCCCATAGCTTGGAAAGCAGCCGCCCTTGCCTCCCAGTGTGCACGGGGAGGGCTGACACTCACTAACACTGTCTTCATGTCCATCAGTTGGGGCCAGGCTGCTACCTAAATGTGAAAACTAGGAGAGGTTGTGAGATAAGAGGAAAAGGTAGGGATGGGCAAACGCAATATTACAGAGTCAGGTGAAATGGATTCAACCAGTCATTGTATCTGTCTGTTTTTCCTTCCTCCCTCCCTCCCTCCTTTCTTCTCCCCCTCTCTCCCTCCCTCCCTTCCTTCCTTCCCTTTCTTCTTCCCTCCCTCCCCCGCCCCTCCCTTCTTTCTCTCCCCTTCCTTCCTTTATTCAGTTTCTCCATCCATTCATCCATCTGTCCATCCATCCATCCATCCGTCCATCCACCCATCCATCCATCCATTCTGCCCTGCCCACGGAAGCATACCTGTATGGGCCCAGTTCAGTGGCTACTGATTTGTGACTGCCAAGTGTTGGGCTGAGATTTAGATATGAATTAGTTCCTAAGATAATAAGTGACACAGTATAACAGAACTGTAAGACGTCAGGTGTGGGAATCAGCTGGATCTAAATTTGAATTTTTGAATTTTTACTCTGCCACTTTTTAGCTATGTGACCTTGGACAAGCCACTCTGAACATCCTTGAACATCTGTTTTCTCATCTGTAAAATGGGCAGAACAGTACCCCTTTGCAGGGAAGTTCTGAGGATGACATGACAGCTGTTTTTAGAGCACTCAGCTCATTGTCTTCCAGGTAGTGAATTCTCAGTACTGATGACTTAGTCAGTGTCAGGTCTAGGCAAGTCTTCTCTTAGGAGACCTGATACCGTCTCCCCCAGAACAGCACTGTTGGCTGATAATTATAAAGGCTGTCACCCAAGAGCTTGGGGTTCCTTAGCTGAGCCTTTAATTTGGCTTGGTCCTCATGTGTGTCCATCTGGGCTCCTCTGCAGATAGAGTATGATCTTCTCAGGAGCTACAAAGACCACCTGGAAGTCCTGGACATTCACCACACCGACCAGGGCTGCTATCCCACCTGCATGGTCTGGTACCCACCACTCACCAGGGAACTCTTCCTGCTTATTTGCAACAGTGGCTACAAAGTGAAGCTTTTTAATGCTACTACCAAAATGTGCAGGTAAGCACCCGGAGCTTCCCATTGCAGGGGGCGTGGATCAAGTTCTCTGCCCCCAACCTGTTTCAGGTCTCCACATAGGGACCTGCAGGCAGCTTGGCTACTATTATCATCCTCTTTGCTTTGCAGAGGAGGAGACTGAGGCACAGATAACGTAAGTAATTCTCACCAAGGTCATGTGGCCCTGTGTGGAGGTGAGATGTGCAGAATCCAGGAAGGACACAGACCCTGGGGCCCTGGGAAAGTTGCTAATGCTATCTCCTATTCTCCTCTCATTAAGAAAAACATAGTTTTACCTGGCTACTAACAATTGTTTGATTTTTTCTTACTCTTGGGTCTCAAAGGAGTTTTAACTTTAATTGCTAGCCCTCCTTTGTTTACACCCTGCGTGAGCCAGGTACCGTTTTAGGTGCTGAAGATGATGAAAACAGAACAGTTTCCATCACTGTGGAGTTTACATGTTGGCGGGGGCAGGTGATGCAATGGCGTGAACAAGTAGCAAGGTAGTAGGTATGTGGTAATCAGGTCTGTGCAAAGAAGAAAAAAAAAAAAAGGAAAAGGAAAAGGCAGGATAAAAAGGTGGGGAGGCAGGGAAGGCCTTGGAGAGCAGGGGACATCTGAGCATCCAGACAGAGACTTGAAGAAAGTGAGGGGGAAGCGAGGGGCTGCTGTGCGGTTGGAGGAAAGACAGTGGATCAGCAAGGGCCAATGAGTGAAGGTGGGAGGCGTCTGGGGTTTGGGAAATGCCGCGAAGGCTGGTGAGGCCAGAGTGGAATGGGCAAGGAGGGGGCATGGGAGAGCAGGTCAGAGGTACGGGCTGGTGCCAGGCACACGGCACCCTGGAGACTCTGGTTCCTTCCCGGGTAAGGCGAGAGCTAGTGGAGGGTTTTGAGCAGGGGAGTGACATGTTCTGATTGATGCTTTAGAATGATGTCTGGCTTCTGTACAGAGAGCAGACTCTGGGGCGCAAAGGTAGAAGCAAGATTCGGGAAACTGGTGTGAGAGCTGATGGCGGCTTGGCCCTGAGGGCAGAAAAGAGGGGTCAGATTCTGGATATATCCTGCCGGCAAAGCGAACAGCGTTTGCTAATGGAGGGAACAGGAGGTGTGAGAGAAGACACCTCTCGAAGTCAGAAGAATGGACTGGACCTTTAAAGAGATGAGGAGGACAAGGGAAAGATAGCTTTGAGATAAACCAGGGGTCAGACTGGACAAGGCAAGCTTGAGATGCCTGCTTGGCATTCAGGTGGGAACCCACGAATCAGACTCTGGATTGTGGAGGTCCCGGGAGAGGCTGGGCTGGAGTCAGGAACACAGGATGGTTGAAGGCACGAGACGGGGAGGACACCAGCCGGGGAGCAGGGCGTCCGCTGCTGGGGAGCAGGGAGTCCACAGCCAGGGAGCAGGGCATCTGCAGCCCAGCATCCTAGAGTGGCATCTCCTCCCTCCTGATGCCATCCTGCACATGCACGTGGGCCCCTGTGCTTTGGCCCCTGTGAGCCCTCACAAGAAACACTGACGATTGTGCCTCGAGTACAGCAGGGCCTGCACTGTCATCCCATTCCCTCATCCACAGCCCTGCTAACTATTCTCCCACCGAGCTTCAGGAGGCTGTGTGACTTGTCCAAGGTCAAACAGGGCAGGACTTGACCCTTGACCCTAGCCCTGACCCCATCCTCTACTCAGCGCTGTGGGGCCTCGACACAGCCCTGGCTTTGGGATCTTACCTGGTCAGCCCTGGAGGGGAGCTTCTGCCTTTGGTTTGGCTGTGTCTTGGGTATGGCTGGAAAGAAGGATGGAGGCAGGAGAAGTTCGAAGGGAGAATGTTTCAGTGATCCACCACGACCACCACCACTGCCACTGCCACCACCACCAGGAGAAGGAAGTCAGGGAACTGGCAGCAGCTGGCTCAGGCTTGAAGACTATCATGGTTTTGAAATGTATCTCAGATAAGACAGGTCCTCAAAAGGCCAGGACCACCCGGGATTTGTTGTTGTTGTTGTTGTTGTTGTTGTTGTTGTAAACAGTTCTTTCCCAGAAGGCACAAGAAAAAATGACTGAGAAATGCCATGTTTTATGGTAGAGAGAAAAATCCAGGACAGTTTCCTTAAACGATTAAAACACTGGAAAGCATGTGTAAAGAGGAGCTTTAGAAAGATTTCAGAATCATTGTGCATAGTTTTTAATGAAAACATACTTTTTGGACAAAGAATATCTCTCAGATATGCGCAGTCCTAAGACACTGAATTGGCAGAGCTGGAGAATGAGGGCTGGCAGACCTCGGGCCTGAAGTTCCTGCTAACAGTCATTCACTGGAGGAAAGAGGCAGGAGGGACTTTTAGACACAAAGTTGGGAGCTTCTGCCTGTTGATGATCAATCTGAAATTAGCATAAAGCATCTTAAAAATTTTTATCAAGGTGATACTCACGTAACATAAAATGAACCATTTGAAAGTGAACAGTTCAGCCGGGCGTGGTGGCTCACGCCCCAGCATTTGGGAGGGGCCGAGGCAGGTGGATCACCTGAGGTCAGGAGTTCGAGACCAGCCTGGCCAACATGGTGAAACCCTGTCTCTACTAAAAATACAAAAATTAGCCGGGCGTGGTGGCATGCACCTGTAATCCCAGCTACGTGGGAGACTGAAGCAGGAAATCTCATGAACCCGGGAGGTGGAAGTTGCAGTGAGGCGGGATTTTACTAGCCACTTTACTCCAGCCTGGGCGACAGAGCTAGACTCTGTCTTAAAAAAAATAAAATAAAATAAAATAAAGAAAGTGAACAGTTCCATGGCATTTAGTACTCATGGTGCTGTGCAACCCCCACTGTAGCTTCAGAGCATTTCCATCATTCCAGAATAAAAGCCCTTGCATAAAGCATCTTGTAAGCTGTAGGAATAAGAAAGCCTCATAACCATGGCTTAATTGGGAAGGAATTGTCTTTTTGTGATAAATCCAAAAGAATGTAAAAATGCATTTAAAAAAGATTTGAAAGAACATGAAAAGGCAGTTCACAGGAAAAGGCCAATAAACCTATGAGCAGATGCTCACTAGTATGTCAAAGATGCAAATGAAAACAAGATATCATTTTTTCACCAATCAGATTAGCAAAGATAAAAATGATTGATAGTGCTTAGCATTGGCAAGAGGCTAGGAAAACGGGCACTCTCATCCGCTTCTGGGGGCGGGTGTGAATCAGTGTAACCTTTTGGGAAAGCAATTTGTCACCCTCTATTAAATTTTATCATATCTTCTGACTTCTAGGAATGTAGCCCACAGAAGTACTCACACAGTATGCCAAGACATAAGTAAACGGATGTCTTGTTTGAAAATATTTTTAAAAATGGAAACAATCCAAATGCCCATTAATAGGGGATGAGTTAAACAATGGTTTGTCAGTACACTGGAACACGATGCTGCTTTTAGAAAAGAAAAAAAAAGGAAGAGTAAGACAGCTCTCTGTGTAATGACGTGGAAATATCTCAAAGATGTAAAATGAGATAAAGCAAATTACCAATGAAGCATGAATAGCATAATTCTATTTTTATATAAAATTATAATTACAAAAGAAATTCTTGAGTCATATACACCAAATTATTACTCATGATTATCTTGGGATAGGGTGCAGCAATGTGGAGATATAGATTTTCTCCTTCTTCTTCTTCTTTTTTTTTTTTTTTTTGAGGCAGGGTCTCACTCTGTTGCCCAGGCTGGAGTGCAGTGGCATGATCTCAGCTCACTGCAGCCTCGACCTCCCAGGCTCAAACAATGCTCCCACCTTAGCCTCAGGCCACCAAGCCAGGCTAATTTTTCATAGAGACAGGAAACTACTATGTTGCCCAGGCTGGACTCGAACTCCTAACCCCAAGCAATCCTCCCACCTTAGCCTCCCAAAGTGCTGGGATTATGGGAATGAGCCACTGCGTTCTGCCCATGACCAGAGTCTTAAAACCTATGTTGAGATTTATGGAATTTTAAAAACTCTTCCCTTCCCTCCCCTCCCCTCCCCTCCCCTTCCCTCCCCTCCCCTCCCCTCTCCTTCCCTCCCCTTCCCTCCCCTCCCCTTCCCTCCCCTCCCCTCCCCTTCCCTCCCCTCCCCCTCCCCCTCCCCTTCTTCTTCCTTTCGATGGAGTCTTGCTCTGTCACCCAGGATGGAGTGCAGTAGCGTGATTTCACCTCATTACAACCTCCACCTCCTAGGTTCAAGCGATTCTCATGCCTCAGCCTCCTGAGTAGCTGGGACTACAGGCGCGCACCACTATGCCTGGCTAATTTTTTTTTTTTTTTTTTTTTTTTAGTAGAGGTGGTGTTTCACCATGTTGGCCAGGCTGGTCTTGAAACTCCTGACCTCAGTTGATCCACCTGCCTCGGCCTCCCAAAGTACTGGGATTACAGGCGTGAGCCACCATGCCCCATCCATGACCAAAGAGTCTTTTTTTTTTTTTTTTGAGATGGAGTCTCACTTTGTCACCTAGGCTGGAGTACAGTGGCGTAATCTCAGCTCACTGCAGCCTCCACCTCCCAGTTTCAAGCGATTCTCCTGCCTCAGCCTCCTGAGTAGCTGGGATTGCAGGCACCTGCCACCACGCCTGGCTAATTTTTGTATTTTTAGTAGAGACGGGGTTTCACCATATTGGCCAGGCTGGTCTCAAACTCCTGACCTTGTGATCCGCCTGCCTTGGCCTCCCGAAGTGCTGGGATTACAGGTGTGAGCCACTGCGCCTGGCCCGACCAAAGAATCTTAAAACCTATGTTGAGATTTGTGGAATTTTAAAAACTCTTTCTCTTTTTGCCTTCAGAAAGACGCTTCTGGGGCCAGCTTATGGTTCCCCTATTGAGCAGACACAAGTCCTCCCAGTGAGAAGCATGGCGGAGCTACAGAAACGCTACTTGGTGTTTATTAACAGAGACAAGGTAACAGCGCTCTCTTCTCCAGTTCTGGGAGTTGACTCTGTGTGTCATGAGCAGCAGTCATTACTGAAGATCACGAGACTCAGAGAGTTCTGGGTTTACAGCCAAGCCCAACTGCTTCCACCCCAGTCAGCTGTGATACTGAAAATTGCCCTTGATGAGTTAGGAAGACTCTTGGGAGACATTTCTGAGCAGAGTTACTGCATTTTCTATATTCCCAGTGAAGATACATGGGCCACCAAAGGATTTTTCCTTCTTATTTATTTACATGGAAAAACTCTTGTAAAAATATGCAAATTAGTTACACTTTGTTGTACATTTAATGAATAATCTGCGTTGAAAAGTGTAAAGTCGGGCCAGGTGAGGTGGCTCACGCCTGTAATCCCAGCACTTTGGGAGGCCAAGGCGGGTGGATCACGAGGTCAGGAGATGGAGACCATCCTGGCTAACACGGTGAAACCCCGTCTCTACTAAAAATACAAAAAATGAGCCGGGCGTGGTGGTGGGCGCCTGTAGTCCCAGCTACTCAGGAGGCTGAGGCAGGAGAATGGCATGAACCCGGGAGGCGGAGTTTGCAGTAAGCCGAGATCGCGCCACTGCAGTCCAG
Source organism: Homo sapiens (assembly GCF_000001405.40). Classification (NCBI taxonomy): domain Eukaryota; kingdom Metazoa; phylum Chordata; class Mammalia; order Primates; family Hominidae; genus Homo; species Homo sapiens. The sequence goes on from NC_000012.12 coordinate 121,967,674, forward strand.
CCTGGACGACAGAGTGAGACTCCGTCAAAAAAAAGAAAAGTGTAAAGTCATAGGTTGTGAGATGTATTCTGGAAAACCCTGGACAACTGACCATGAAGGCAGGGAGGAAAGCTTCCCTTCTGTGTACCTGTTAGAGCTGTGCAAGGGGCCCCCTACCAGGGCTGGTGTGTGTGGATGCCCAGCTACATTAAATGTGGCTCTCACACTCAGAGATGGGTCCAGACACACAGGTCCTTCTGGCACACAGATCTGGAGGTGACATGTGAACGTGCCAGGCCTCTCTCGGGCCCAGCTACCTGAGTCTGAATATCCAATTATGTGTTCCTTTCTAGGTGGGACTTCAGATCTTACCAGTTGACGGCAATCCACATAAGACATCTGCTATTGTTTGCCACCCGAACGGGGTGGCCGGCATGGCCGTTTCCTATGATGGCTGCTACGCCTTCACTGCGGGAGGGCACGATCGCTCGGTGGTGCAGTGGAAAATCACCTTAAGGTACACGATGGGGCGAGAAGGAAGGTATCAAGTGTAAACTCCTTTTCACTCAGCAACAGTGATAGACACTGAACCCTACTGCGTGCCAGGCACTGTGCTAGGATGTCACAGGGCCTGGCCTTCAGGTTGCTCCCCGGTGGCATTGCTCACATTACTCTGCAGACAGGAGTTGCTGTCCTGTCCCATGGACCAATGGTGTTTGCAGTTCAGGCGATGTGACAGCACCTTGGGCTCACCCCTGCTCCCTAAAATGCTTCTCCCTCTGCTCCACATATCCACACCTGCTAGAAAGATCTAGGCCGACCCTCCAAAGCATATACTACGGAAATAGTAAGAGGATCATTTCAAGTGGTATTTTCGGCTCCTCTTCTCACCCTCCCTGCCCTGAATGGAGAACCTCTGCCTGAGGCGAGGCTGGAGAATTCTAGAGTTGAACATTGGAGAGTATGTGGACTTTGAGGTGAAAGGGATAATATGAGTTTGAATATGGGCCCACCCTCTACTGGCTATGGGGCCTAGGGCAAGCTTCTTAACGTCCCTGATCTTTAGATTCCTTGCATGCAAAATGAGGGTGATAGCATGTGAAATGGGGGTGATAATAGGAACTTCTGTAGGATCCCTGTAAAGATCAGGTAGTTTAATAGGGGAAAAGCACCTAGTACAGAGCAAAGTACTCGGCAAGTGAATGATTTCCTTTCGTCTCTTCTTCCTGTAAGGGCATTTGCTTATGAGCTCAGAATCTTCCCTAATAAAGAGGGGACAAGCACCCACACTGTCCTCTCATCTACCCAAATCCGGCATGCTGCCGCAGGGCAGAGTCAACCATGTGGCAGCCGGTTCCTGTTCCTGACCACTTCTCCAAGCCCCTGCGCTGCCTGTGGCTCGGCTGGGCCTCTCTCGGTAGTGTGACGTTGAGGAGCAAAAACAGCTCAGAGGCACCTTCCTTCCTCGGAAAACAAACCTGATTCCTGGCTGCCAGCACAGTGTACCCCCTGCCATCTGCCAAATGCACATCTTTCTTTTTATGGCAGATATTGAAGCTTCTACTCTTAACCTGAATATGAGCAAAAATAGCCGGTTAAATCTGCTTTGGAACCACGGTGGTTTGAGATTGCACTTGCAGCTCTGACTTCCACCCCACCTTCACCTGAGAGAGCAGATCTTGGGAACTTGAGGATTTAGGAGCTGGAGGTGAACTCTCCTATTGAAAAGGGATCATGGCCTCAGAATGGCTGCCTGGTTCCTTGCTCCCTGGCTTGTTGCCTGGAACCATGGGGGCAAGCCACACCCTGTGGGGACAAGCAGAACCTTCCCTTCTATTTGTTGTTGTTGTTGAGACAGGGTCTGGCTCAGTCGCTCAGGCTGTAGTACAGAGGTGTGATCATGGCTCACTGCAGCCTCGAACTCCTGGGCTCAAACAATTCTCCTGCCTCAGCCTCCTGAGTAGCTGGGACCACAGGCATATGCCAATGTGCCTGGCTAACTTTAAAAAAATTTTTTTTGTCGATACAGAGTCACACCAAGCCTAGGCTGGTCTTGAACTCATGGGCTCAAGCCTTGGGCACCTAAAGTGTTGGGATTACAGATGTGAGCCACTGCACCCAGCTAGAACCTTCCTTCTGAAATGTTTGTCTTCTTCTCAGTCGTCGTGGGATCTGGAATGGTAGAAATTTAAGAAGAAGAAAAAAAGGCCTCTGCTTTCCAATAGCTTTCGCCTGGCCAGAGTCCAGGCTTCTGAGAATTTCAATTTAATCTGTGGTGGGGACAAAGGATCATTATAAACTAATTATCACTTCATTGCTGCTTCTGGTGACTTAATATGATCAGCACTTCACTAATGGAGAGAAATGTAAAAAACCTAAACAAGTAAACAAACAGAATTTCCTACTAGAGTTACTGATGATGAGTTGTAGGGGAGATAAAGATGATAAATCCCCTCACATTCGATCATTTCAGTCAGTGCACCCCTTGGCCCCAACTGCTACCATCACAGTCTATGGCGCTTCTGCCCCGGGAGAGCCCCTTCCATCCCCTCTCTCAGGGTTCATTCCGCACGCCCCTTCTTCTCCTGCTCCGTGCTAGCATGCACCCTTTCTCTTCTCCTTGTCTGGCATCTGTTTCCAAATCCTGCATTACTTTTTTGTGCTCATCCTCCCTGCCTCCTGTCATCCTGCTGCCCTGCTCAGCCAAGAGCAGAGAGACCCCGATTCGAATCCTAGCTAATCACTACCTGCTTGCTGGATGACGCCAGGCAAGTCCCTTCACTTCTCGGAGCCTCAGTTCCTCCAACTCTTAAATGGGACTGCTACCACCAAGTTCAGACCATTCCTCCTCCTCCTCATCCAGGGAGCGTTTACAGAGCACCTACTGTGTGCTTGCCACAGGGCTGAGCTTTAGCTCCTTTCCAGAAGTACTGTATGGATTGCTGGGTACAGAGCAGGTTTTCAATAAGTGTCATTTCCCTTTTGTGCCCTAATGACCTCTTTTCTGTTGCAAGTGTTAGAAACACAATTTAGGCAAAAGGGAATGTATGAGAAGGTCGTTGGGATCGCATGTAGCTACACCACAAGAAGGTCACGGACAGCGGCACACTTGGTGCTCACAGCACTTGCTGTCTACTTGGCCCTGCTGTTGGCTTCATTCTCTGCAGAACTGGGTTTCCTTACTCAGCAGGAAGATGGCTGCTGACAGTTCCCAAATTTCACAAATTATAGCTCTCACCACAGAGAGAGGGAGTCTCTTTCCCAGCTTGTGTTGGAGAAATGCCAGTACAGCCCCCTGGCCCCTCTGGGGTCAGTTGACGGTGGCCAGGAGGTAGGGGATGTAGGGGAGCTCTGAACACCAGAGCCGGGAGCTGCAGGCTGTTCTCAGAGGACCAGGTGCTCTTGCTAGCCTTTCCCCTCAGGGGCTCCTGCTGGGGACAGGCTCCTCTGTGTCACTTCTGGCCTTTACCTGGCTCTGCTCCAGAGCCACATGGCTAAAAGTGGCCTTGCTGCTCACTGAGCTTGTTGGGATTGGGCCTGGGCCTGGCCTGGAGGCCACAGAGAGGGAGCCCTCTCAGCTGGACACTTGCCTCCATGGCAAGTGCTGAGAAGTGGGGAAGACCCTTGCTGGAGGGGCCCTTGCTGGAGGGTCTTGCTGGAGGGGCCCTCAGGCACCCCTGGAGAATACCCAGGTTCCTCAGACCTTAAGCCAGTCCGTGGGCTTGTGCATGCCTCAGTGAGAGGACCCAGGACAGTGCATGGCAGACTCTTCCTAAGAAAGGTGTAGGAGTGTGCTGATACCCATTTCCATGGCCGTAATAATCCCAACCACTTGTGCTGAGTTTTCTCAGGGCCGGGGCCTGCACTGAGTGAGTTCCATGTATCATCTGATTTCATCCTGACAGCCATCCTGGGAGCCAGGCACCAATATTATCCCCATCAGACACATCAAGAAGCTAACTCCAAGGGGTCTGATGACTGCCCAAGCAATGGAGGAGGCAGTGGAGCTGGGATTCACAGCCAGGGCTTTCTAAGTCCACCCCACACCTTAACAAACATTCATTACAGGAGGAAAATAAAGGACTTTTGTCTCCAATCTTTGTGATATGGTTTGGCTCTGTGTTCCTACCCAAATCTCATCTTGAATTGTACTCCGATAATTCCCGTGTATGGTGGGAGGGACCTGGTGGGAGATGGTTGGATGGTGGGGGAGCAGGGGGTGGTTTCCCCCATGTTGTTCTCGTGGTAGTGAATAAGTCTCACAAGATCTGATGGTTTGATAAGGGGAAACCTGTTTCACTTGGCTCTCATTCTCTCTTGCCACTGCCATGTGAGACGTGCCTTTCACCTTCCGCCATGATTGTGAGGCCTCCCCAGCCACATGAAACTGTAACAATAAACCTCTTTCTTTTGTAAATTGTGCAGTCTCAGTTATGTCTTTATCAGCAGCATGAAAATGGACTAATATAGTACATTGGTACCAGTAGAATGGGGCACTGCTGAAAAGATATCTGAAAATGTCAAAGTGACTTTGGAACTGGGTAACAGGCAGAGGTTGGAACAGTTTGGAGGGCTCAGAAGAAGACAGGAAGATGTGGGAAGGTTTGGAACTTCCTAGAGACTTGTTGAATGGCTTTAGCCAAAAGCCTGATAGTGATATGGACAATAAGGTTCAGGCTGAGGTGGTCTCAGATGGAGATGAGGAACTTGTTGGGAACTGGAGCAAAAGTGATTCTGTTATGTTTTAGCAAAGAGACTGGTGGCATTTTGCCCCTGCCCTAGAGATTTGTGGAACTTTGAACTTGAGAGAGATGATTTAAGATATCTGGTAGAGTAATTTTTTTTTTTTTTTTGAGATGGAGTCTCACTCTTGTCACCCAGGCTGGAGTGCAATGGCACGATCTTGGCTCACTGCAACCTCCACCTCCCGGGTTCAAGTGATTCTCCTGCCTCAGCCTCCTGAGTAGCTGGGACCACAGGTGTGTGCCACCATGCCTGGCTAATTTTTTGTATTTTTAGTAGAGAAAGGGTTTCACCGTGTTAGCCAGGATGGTCTTGATCTCCTGACCTCGTGATCCACCTGCCTCGGCCTCCCAAAGTGCTGGGATTACAGGCATGAGCTACCGCGCCTGGCCTCTGGCGGAAGAAATTTCTAAGCAGCAAAGCATTCGAGAGGTGACTTGGGTGCTGTTAAAGGCATTCAGTTTTATAAAGAAAGCAGAGCATAAAAGTTTGGAAAATTTGCAGCCTGACTATGTGATAGAAAAGAAAAACCCATTTTCTGAGGAGAAATTCAACCCAACTGTAGAAAGTTGCCTATGTAACCAATAGCTGAATGTTAATCTGCAAGACAATGGGGAAAATGTCTCCAGGGCATGTCAGACATCTTCTTGGCAGCCCCTCCCATCACAGTCCTGGAGGCCTAGGAGAAAATGGTTTCTTGGGACAAGCCCAGGATCCTCATGCTGTGTGCTGCCTAGGGACTTGGTGCCCGGCATCCCAGCCACTCCAGTCATGGCTGAAAGGGGCCAACATAGAGCTCAGGCTGTGGCTTCAGAGGGTGGAAGCCCCAAGCCTTGGCAGCTTTCATGACGTGTTGAGCCTGCCAGTCCACAGAAGTCAAGAATTGGGGTTTGGGAACCTCTGCCTAGATTTCAGAAGGTGTATGGAAACACCTTGATGCCCAGGCAGAAGTTTGTTGCAGGGGCGGGGCCCTCATGGAGCACCTCTGCTAGAGCAGTGTGGAAGGGAAATGTGGGGTCAGAGCCCCCACACAGAGTCTCTACTGGGGCACTGCCTAGTGGAGCTGTGAGAAGAGGGCCACCATCCTCCAGACCTCAGGATGGTAGATCCACTGACAGCTTGCACTGTTTGCCTGGAAAAGCCATAGACACTAATGCCAGCCCATGAAAGCAGCCAGGAGGGAGGCTGTACCCTGTAAAGCCACAGGGATGGAGCTGCCCAAGACCATGGGAACCCACCTCTTGCATCAGCGTGACCTGGATATAAGACATGGAGTCAAAGGAGATCATTTTGGAGCTTTAAGATTTGACTGCCCTCCTGGATTTCAGACTTGCATGAGGCCTGTAGCCCCTTTGTTTCGGCCAATTCCTCCCATTTGGAATGGCCGTATTTACCCAATTTTGGTACCTCCATTCTATCTAGGAAGTAATTAACTTGCTTTTGATTTTACAGGCAGAAGGGACTTGCCTGTCTCAGATAAGACTTTGGATGTGGACTTTTGAGTTAATGTGAAATGAGTTACGATTTTGGGGGACTATTGGGAAGGCATGATTGGTTTTGAAATGTAAGGACATGAGATTTGGGAGGGGTCAGAGGCGGAATGATATGGTTTGGCTGTGTCTCCACCCAAATCTCATCTTGAATTGTACTCCCATAATTCCCATGTGTTGTGGGAGGGACCTGGTGGGAGATGGTTGGATTGTGGGGGCAGTTTCCCCCATGCTGTTCCCATGGTAGTGAATAAGTCTCATGAGATCTGATGGTTTGATAAGGGGAAACCTGATTCACTTGGTCTCTCATTCTCTCTCTTGCCACTGCCATGTGAGACATGCCTTTCACCTTGCGCCATAATTGTGAGTCCTCCCCAGCCATGTGAAACCGTAAGTCCAATAAACCTCTTTCTTTTGTAAATTGCCCAGTCTCGGGTATGTTTTTATCAGCAGCATGAAAACAGACTAGAATACCGTGTCTGCGTTTATTTATTAATTCTTACAACAATGCTGTGAGGCAGAATCGTCTCATTTTATAGTGGAGGACACTGATGCCAGGGGGGTTAAGTCACCTCCCCAGAATCACACAGCTTGCCAGGGGTAGAGCCGGGACTTGCACACATGTCCGTGTGACTCCACACTCTGGACACTTCCCCACTTCCCCACTGTGGTCTACATGAGGTGTGCTTGATGTCGCAGCAAAAAGGCTAATCACCCGATTAGCAGTAATCCAGTTAGTGGATTATTAGAATGATTTCTGATGATTAGCCTTTTGTAGGAGGCAAAGTTGGTCTCATACAAAAGTAGGTTTTCTTACCATTGAAAGGGCCTATTTTTGGAAAGTCTGACCTTGAGTTAGAGAGCAGAGGGTTATTTTTATCTGACTGGCATGGGTCCCTGTGGTCTCCTGAGTTTTTATGGAAGCAATTAGTGTTGGCAGTTCACTTGTACAATATCCCATTCTTTTGACTCTGATCGTTCGTGGATCTAAAGTTACGGGTAAGGCTGCTCTGTCTGGGAGGATTGTGGTTTCAGAACACAGGATGCCTCCCCCACCCCCAGGAGAGACATGTTCCCCAAAGATTGCAGACAAATTGCCAAGCACCTGCCCTGTCATCATCAAGAGAATATCACCATAATTAAGGCAGATGCCCTCTACCTCTGAGTTCCACGCTTGAAATGGAATTTTCTGGTTTGGGCTTCATTTTAAAGGACCTTTTCTTAACAAGTGTGTAGAGACCCTAACTGTATCTGTGCTGTGATACCCTTCAGAGGGCCGCAGTGCTGTGCGGACCACCTTCTGAGCCATGCTCATGCTTGAGCGCTTTCTAATAGAGACATTTCTGTTGTTGTTCCAGTGTCCTGGAGGCAGCGGTTTCTCTTGGGGGTGAAGACTTGACCCCATTCTATGGTCTGCTGTCTGGTGGCCGGGAAGGAAAATTCTACAGGGTAATTGTCCCTAGAGTAAACACCTCCTGGTAACATCTAGTTAAGTTTGTAAAGCAAATGTGCCCAGGGTTAACCTTGCTTTATTCCAAAGCTTTGTTCCCCCATTCAGCTTAAAAGGTACTTTCTAGAAAATGTCCTTGAAGTGTTCATGGATGCTTCAGACTTAAGCCTAAATGTGTGTTGTGTTTCCGTTGTATTCCTACATAGGAGCTAGAAGACTACTTCTACTATTCTCAGCTCCGCAGTCAAGGCATCGACACAATGGAGACCAGAAAGGTGTCAGAACACATTTGCCTGTCAGAGCTTCCTTTTGTCATGAGAGCAATTGGCTTTTACCCATCTGAAGAGAAGGTAGGGAGAACGAAAACAAGAGCAGCAACGGGATGTGCTATTTATAAAAAACAACCTCTGGGAACAATCATTATAGGTCAAAGCAAAAATTGCACATTTTTCTTGCATAAATGGATCAGAAAGATGGTTCTGGGCATTTCAGATGCACTCCTGAGTAACTGCCTTATGGTAGAGATATGCTGTTTCTGAAAGGCGCACTCCTCATGGAAGTTTGATGTTGGTTGGAGCATGGGTCTTGCAACCATGGTGTTGAATTGGACGGACTGGGGCTGCCGTCTCAGCCCTGACCCTTGCTAGGTGAGGACCAGCCTCGTAGGATTTTTTTCTTTTTTTTTTTTTTTGAGGTGGAGTCTCCCTCTGTCACGCAGGTTGGACTGCAGTGGCACAATTTTGGCTCACTGCAACCTCCACCTCCTAGGTTCAAGCGGTTCTCCTGGCTCAGCCTTCCGAGTAGCTGGGATTACAGACACCCACCACCACGCCCCGCTAATTTTTGTATTTTTAGTAGAGACGAGGCTTCACGATGTTGGTCAGACTGGTCTCAAACTCCTGACCTCAAGTGATCTGCCCGCCTCGGCCTCCCAAAGTGCTGTCATTACAGGCATGAGCGACCACTCCCGGCCAGCCTTATAGGATTTGAGGAGGGGATTGATGCCTACGCAGCCCTGGGCACGGTGCTGGGTGCACAGGAAGAGCTCAGTGAATGGAGGGAGTTATTATCCTTGTTAGTCTCGCTGTCTAGTTGCTCTTAACCTAGCAGGTGTTAATGGGGCACCTTTGGAAGCTGGGTGCTTGTCTGGACTGTGGAGCACGGAGGGTGCAGCCGTCCCTCATGACCGTGCTGCAGAAGCACCCCTAGATGCAAGAAGCCCCAAGCAGAGTCAAGAAGCATCTCAGGGAAATGTTCCTCATGTAAACTGTTGTTTAAAGTGCAGGTAAGCCGGTTGTGGCAGCTCACGCCTATAATCCAAACACTTTGGGATGCCAAGTTGGGGAGGATCACTTGAGCCCAGGAGTTTGAGAGCAGCCAGGGTAACATAGAGAGATCCTATCTATACCCATCCCCCCCAAAAAATTGCCCGGTGTGGTGGCCCATGCTTGTGGTCCCAGCTGCTCAGGAGGCCATGGCAGGAGGATCACTTGAGCCCCAGAGGTGGAGGCTTCAGTGCCCGTGATTGTGCCACTGCACTCCAGCCTGGGAGACAGAGCGAGACCCTGTCTCAAAAAAATTAATAAATAAATAAAGTACAATTTATTGTATTTCTTCTGACTTTTATTAATATTTTCCTGTTTTATACATATTTATATAATCATATATATAATCATGCATCATTTAATGTTGGGGAGATGTTCTGAGAACTGTGTCATTAAGCAACATCGTTATTGTGTGAACATCATAGAGTGTCCTTATACAAACACAGATGGCAGAGCCTACTACACGCCTGGGCCGTATGGTAGAGCCTGTTGCTCCTAGGCTATAAACCTGAACAGCATGCGGCTGTACTGCATATTGTAGTCAGTGGTAACACAGTGGTATTTGTGTATCTAAGCATATCTAAATGAAGAAAAGGTACAGTAAAAATATAGTATTATGACCGTATGGAACCACCATCATATATGCAATCTGTCATTGCAATATTATTAAGTGCAGTGTGACTGTATAGATGTATATAGTTTTAAAAAACTAATTGGCCTTGGCGCAGTGGCTCACGCCTGTAATCCCAGCACTTTGGGAGGCTTAGGTGGGTGGATCACCTGAGGTCAAGAGTTTGAGACCAGCCTGGCTAACATGGTGAAGCCCTGTCTCTACTAAAAAATACAAAAATTAGCTGGGCATGGTGGCGCACGCCTGTAGTCCCAGCTACTTGGGAGGCTGAGGCAAGAGAATCGCTTGAACCCAGGAGGCGGAGGTTGCAGTGAGCCAAGATCACACCACAGCACTCCAGCCTGGGCGACAGAGCGAAACTCTCCTCAAAAAATAAAAAACTGGCCGGGTGTGGTGGCTCAGACCTGTAATCCCAGCACTTTGGGAGGCCAAGGCGGGCGGATCACGAGGTCAGAAGATCGAGACCATCCTGGCTAACACGGTGAAACCCCATCTCTATGAAAAATACAAAAAAAAAATTAGCCGGGCGTGGTGGTGGGCGCCTGTAGTCCCAGCTATTCAGGAGGCTGAGGGAGGAGAATGGCGTGAACCCGGGAGGCGGAGCTTGTAGTGAGCCGAGATTGCGCCACTGCACTCCAGCCTGGGTGACAGAGCGAGACTCCATCTCAGAAAAATAAAAATAAATAAATAAATAAAAATAAAATAAAATAAAAACAAACAAAAAAACTAATTGATACCACATGGAATATGTGTTTGTATGCTATATTTTCCCTTAATAGTGTATCATAAGTATTTTCCATTATATTAAAAATTCTCCAAGGCCGGGCGCGGTGGCTCACGCCTGTAATCCCAGCACTTTGGGAGGCCGAGGCGGGTGGATCACGAGGTCAGGAGATCGAGACCATCCTGGCTAACACGGTGAAACCCCGTCTCTACTAAAAAAATACAAAAAATAAGCCGAGCGTGGTGGCGGGTGCCTATAGTCCCAGCTACTCAGGAGGCTGAGGCAGGAGAATGGCGTGAACCCGGGAGGCGGAGCTTACAGTGAGCCGAGATCGTGCCACTGCACTCCAGCCTGGGCGACAGAGCAAGACTCTGTCTCAAAAAAAAAAAAAAAAAAAAAAAAAAAATTATCCGAAAACATGCTTTTTAAAGGATATATTTTAATTTTTTAACTTTTTCTAATTTAGAAAATAGAATTATAAAGAAGAAAATAGAAATTACTCAGAGATCATCACTGTTATTATTTTGGTAGATATCCTATCATTTTATATATGGACATAGATATATCTATATTTTTAAACAAGGAATTGAGATTATATGGTATATATATGTATATACCTATATATATCAACATTATACAGAGGATGCGTGTGCATATACATATGTATCGACATTCTCAGTAACTTGTTTTGTGAGCAAGGTGGTAAAAATTCCTTGGCAACATGCTTTTAAAGGCTGCAAACTTAATTGGACCACTCTCCAGTTGATAGCCGTGTGAGTTGTCTAAAGTAGCTGGTGTCAGAGACACAGCTGTGTGGAGCATCTCTGTGCATGGTTTTTGCACACTTCTCTCATTATTTTCCTGGGTCATAGTGCAAGAAGTAGAATTACTGGGTCAGAGAATATGAAATTGCAGACCCTATTGCTAACCTACTTTCCATAAATGTAGCATTTTACGTGCCCATCTTCAGGAATCCACAAGTCCTGAAACCCAGCTAAGACTCAGTGTTCATGTTGGCTGAGAACACTTGAGCAATATAAACTGTGGTCCCAGTCCCTGCTCTCGGCTTCAGTGGCCTACCCAGAATCACCTGTTTTGTGTGCTCCAGGTACACAAAACTCATTTCTCGAGAAATTAGTTATCAGAGCCCTTTAATCCCTTCTGAGTCTTGAACGAGGACCTTAAAATCACCAGGTACTGTTGTAAGCTCCTCTAAAGGTCTTTGGCTGATGTGCATTTTGTCATAGCACATTGCTAGAAACATAAGCAACTCTGAGAAAGTTCGTACAGCCCACGTGGTGTTCCAGAGAGTGGCATTTTCCAAAGAGTGTTCCCTAGAACATGGCTTCCCAAACTGGGAAGCTGCATCGGAGCATTTACTGACTATTCAGCTCCTGGGCCCTGCCCAGGTCCAGCCAATCGGAATCTCCAAGCACAGGCTTGGGATTCTCTACATCTCCTGGGGGTGCTCACTGCGGAGCCGCCGACATTTGAAGAGAGGGAGGGGCTCAACACACTGAGTGAGATCATTAGTCAGCTTTCTTCTTCTTTTTTTTTTTTTTTTTTTGAGACAGCATCTTGCTCTGTCACGCAGGCTGGAGTGCAGTGGTGTGATCTCAGTTTACTGCAATCTCCGCCTCCCAGGTTCAAGCGATTCTCCTGCCTCAGCCTCCCGAGTAACTGGGATTACAGGCATGCACCACCATGCCTGGCTAATTTTTGTATTTTTTAGTAGAGACAGGATTTCACCATGTTGGCCAGGCTGGTCTCGAACTCCTGACCTCAAGTGATCCACCTGCATCAGCCTCTCAAAGTGCTGGGATTACAGGCGTGAGCCACCGTGCCCGGCCTCAGCCTTATTCTTTGGTTACAAGTTACGGAAACCTAAGTCGACCCATTTTCTGGTTCACAGAATTCCAGGTCCAGAGGGAGTGGGGATGTGCAGTGTAACCTAAGCCAGGCCCTCATCCATGTCGCTGGGAAGGGTCTCTCTCTTTAGGCCTCGCTTTCTGCTGTGTTGTCTCCCTCCGTGTCCGGCCCCCAGTCCACATCCAGTGGGATTCAATGCCACAGGCAGGAGCCTGTCCCCTTCCCAGAGCTGCAGACATTGTCACTGTCATCACTGCCATCAGGCATGTGCCACTCAGGTTGGCCAGGCGTGGGCACTCTCCTTCTTGGAGTGTGGGGTGGGCTCAGTCCCCTTTAACCATGGGGACTATGACCAGATGACAGCTAAGACGTGGGCAGGTGTCTCAGCCTCTTCATGCTTCAGCTTCCTCATCTACAAAATGAGTGCAGCAGTCGCACCCAGGACCACTCTGAGCAGGTGGCGTGGCTTCCACGGAATTCTGAGCAAGGCAAAAAGTGGGCCCCTCTTCATTCTCACTTCCTTCTTTTTTTTTTTTTTTTTGGAGACAGGGTCTCACTGTGTCACCTGGTCCTCCAGCCTCAGCCCTCCAAGTAGCTGGGACTACAGGAGCGTGCCACCATGCTCTGCTAATTTTTCAATTTTGGTAGAGATGGGGTTTCTCCATGTTGGCCAGACGGGTCTCAAACTCCTGAGCTCGAGCCATCCACCCTCCTTAGCCTCCCACAGTGCTGGGATTCTAGGCATGAGCCACCGCTCCCTGACCTCATTTCCTTCTCATTTTACATTAGAAATGTTGCCTCAGATGTCTCACTGTTCCCACGGCCGCTGCACTTCATCTGCATGGTTCTGTCTGTGGTTCTGCTTCTTCTGTTTTTAGTCCAACGTTTAACCAAATACCCACCTCCTCTGGGTGATTGGTTGGCCTAACACTTGGTACTTCAAGATGGAGAAAGGGAAGAAGCACATCTTGGTGCAAACTAGCTGGCCTGGCTGCAGTTCCCAGCCTCCTTGGCGAGCCATCCCAGCGGTGGTCTGAACGCCGGAGTCTGCTCTGTAGATGAGGCTGGAGCAGGCTGCGCTCTCGTAGGGGTGTCGTGAGGACTAGAGAGCGAGGGTCTGTGCGGTGCCCAGCGCACAGAGGTGCTTACTCAGTGGGGGGCTCTTCCCTCAGTATTTCCTGTTGAGTCAGCATGTTCCTCTTAAGAGGCGATGGGATCGCCCCTCATTTTCTTATTTTTAATTTTATTTTGTAAAATTCCAAGCAAACACAAAAACAGAGAAAAGAATAAAATGAACTCTTGGCCAGTCACGGTGGCTCACACCTGTAGTCCTAGCACTTTGGGAGGCTGAGGCAGGAGGATCGCTTTAGTAAGCCCAGGAGTTCAAGACCAACCTAGGCAATATAGGGAGACCCTGTCTCTACAAAAAATAAAAAAAAAATAGCTGTAGTGGCATGTGCCTATGGTCCCAGCTTCTCGGGAGGCTGAGGTGGGAGAATTGCTTGGGCCTGTGAGGTCAAGGATGCAGTGAGCCGTGATCACGCCACTGCACACACACACCCCACACTCCTGCATATCCATCAGTCAACTTCAGCTTCAGCAATTCTCAGCTCCCGTTTGGTCCAGACCCACTGACCTGCTCCCGCCCCATGGGTTATTCTGAAGCAAGTTCCAGGCACCCTTGCCTCACAAGGAGGCCTTTCAAACCCAGGTGCCCCTTCCTCAGCCAGGGAGAGGTTCTCCTTCACAAGGCCTGCAGGCACCTGAGGTTCACACTTCTATGAAAGTCACCAAAATGCCATCGTGGGCCGTGCCTCTCGCAGTTCCTGTGGGTGAGGAGTATTCCGGCAGCTCTCTGATGCCTGCAGGTCAGTGCTAACCATGGAGGCCACATTGTGGAGGCTCCAGGGTCAGGCAGCTCTGGGTTTGAATCCTGACTGTGACCACGTGCCAGTTACGACTTGGTCAAGTTTCAGAACCTCTCCATGCCTCAGTTTCCTCATCTACAAAATAAACATAATAGTAGTACCTACCTCCAGAATTATTGTGAAGATTAACTGAGTATCCGTTTCGTACAGTACACGGCACACGTTAAATGTTTAAAAATGTCATCTGATATTTTTGTCTTTGTCATGATATCCCCATCTGTGGATCCGTGATTCCAGAAGCCCTTTATGAGAATGTTTCTCTGACCTTGTGCTTCTTTGTGTATAATACCCTTTCCAAAATCTAAAAGTTTATATTTTCTTGATTTTCTGGTAAAGATACTTTACATAAATGTCCAAACGCCATCAAATTGATGGCAGTCTTCTCACTTGTTCAGGATTTTTTTTTTTTTAAGAGGCAGTGTCTCACTCTGTCGCCCAGGCTGGAGTGCAGTGGTGTGATCACAGCTCACTGCAGCCTCGACTTCCTGGGCTCAAGTGATCCCTCTGCCCCAGCCTCTCTAGTAGCTGATATTATAGGCGCACATCACCACATCATTCAGGATTCTTGATTTTTTTTTTTTTTTGAGACGGAGTTTCACTCTTGTTGCCCAGGCTGGAGTGCAATGGCGCCATCTCAGTTCACCGCACCTCCACCTCTCGGGTTCAAGCAATTCTCCTGCCTCAGCCTCCTGAGTAGCTAGGATGATAGGCATGCGCCATCTTGCCTGGCTAATTTTGTATTTTTAGTAGAGACGGGGTTTCTCCATGTTGGTCAGGCTGGTCTCAAACTCCCGACTTCATGTGATCCACTCACCTCGGCCTCCCAAAGTGCTGGGATTACAGGTGTGAGCCACTGTGCCCAGCCAGGATTCTTGAGTTTAATCCCTGGGCTGTCCTGCTTTGTTGGTGAGGTGTTTAGCCCTGGCAACCAGTGCCCACGTGTCGCACAAAATACTTGAGAAAGAGGGTGGGCACAGAGCAACCCGCTTGTCTCTGCTTCCTATAGAAATAAGGAAGTCCTGCATATGCCTGGAGTCCCGGCTGCTTGAGAGGCTGAGGCAGGAGGATCACTTGAGGCCAAGAGTTCCAGACCAACCTAGGCAACATAGCGAGACCCCGATCTCTAAAAAATTTTAAAAATTGGGCTAGGCACAGTGGCTCACAATCCCAGCATTTTGGGAGGCCAAGGCAGAGGGATTGCTTGAGCCTAGGAGTTCAAGACCAGTCTGGGCAACATAAGGAGACCCGTCTCTGCTAATAAACAATTAGCTGGGTGTGGTGGCGTGCACTTGTAGTCCCAGATACTTGGAGGGCTGAGGTGGGAAGGATCGAAGGATCGCTTGCGCACAGGAGATCAAGACTGTAGTGAGCTGTGATTGTGCCATTGCACTCCAGACTGGACAGCAGAGTGAGGCCCTGTCTCAAAAAAAAATTAGTTGGGGATAGTGGTGTGCAACCGGAGTCCCAGCTACCCTGGAGGCTGAGGCAGGAGGATTGCTTGATCCCAGGTGCTGTAGGCTGCAGCATGCTATGATCATGCCTGTGAATAGCTACTGTCCTCCAGCCTGGGCACCATAGCTCTCCAAAAAAAAAAAAAAAAGGTAAGGAAGTGTCTAATTATTAAAGATGTACTCATTTGTTCTATCATTGGCAAAAAATAATAAAGCTTAAACAACTTATCAAAATCTTGCTGATGAAGAAAAGGTATCCGGAAAAAAATGTTAGTTGGTAACAAATGTTACAAAGTAACAAACATTGACAATTACTTAAAAACATAAAGACAGAAATAAAAACGGAGGTTGTAAGGTTTGCACTGGATGTTGTATGTTCTCCCGGCTGACCCCACCACTTCCCAAAAGGAGAGTTTCGGTGCCGCACTCAGTGAGGGCCCCGCTCACCCTTGGATTACAGGGCTTTTTATCTACTTTAAAAAAAAAAAAACGTTTCCTCTTTGGAGATGTTTTCTGAAGGCTCCAGGTGTGCCCCACATCAGTGAGCAGACTTGATTAGCTGATGAGTTAGTTTATATCTGAAGCTACACCGGGAGAAGTTTCTGACCTTTTGTTTTCAAGTCAGATTTATAGTGATTAAAAAAAATCTTTTCAGGGCTTTGAAACTAACCCAGGCTTTACCGTGGTTAATGAAACATTTCCTACTGAGATGTAGCCGCTCCCCCTCCTTCAGGAAGTTGCATGGAGTATACGCCTCACTACTGGAGTGTGTTCACACTTGGTTACAGAAAAGACGCAGATGCAGGGTTTAAACCAGCGGCCCAAAGACTATACATTATTGATATCTTTCTTACGTCATTACAACTGTCTTGGGGATTTGAAGCTAGTTAGTGTGGTACACTGAAGCCAAATTACACAAGAATATAACCCTCCCCAAAGAATTCCTAGCCATTCCCTTCTTTCGCAGAAAGCTGTGCTCAGGAGCAAAACACAGCCAAAGTGGTCATGGTGGGCTGCTCCTAGAAATCATTATTTATTTATTTATTTATTTATTTTTTGAGACTAAGTCTGTCTCCCAGGCTGGAGTGCAGTGGCTCAATTTCAGCTCACTGCACTCACTGCAACCTCTGCCTCCCAGGTTCAAGCGATTCTCCTGCCTCAGCCTCCCGAGTATCTGAGACTACAGGCGCCCACCACCACACCCAGCTAATTTTTTGTATTTTCAGTAGAAACGGGGTTTCACGGTGTTAGCCAGGAAGGTCTCAATCTCCTGACCTCCTGATCCGCCTGCCTTGGCCTCCCAAAGTGCTGGGATTACAAGGTGTGAGCCACGGCGCCCGGCCTAGAAATCATTTTTAAATGAAAGATCTGCAGCATGTATAATGTTATCAAAGGAACCATAGCTTAGGTGTCATCGTTTCTACAGATGATTTCACATACAAGGCAGTTCCATCCTCTATCTTTATAAATGTGTCTTTTCCTCCAGGATGTTGGACTGTCCACGTTGGGATGGGGCCCAGCATATCATTCGTTTCCTGCTTACTTGCAACTTCACTTCTTTTTAGCTTGCAGAGTGTTGTATAATCTTGACAGGTTTGGGCAGGGAATTAACATTGGTGCAACCACCTAGTTCTGTAAACTTAAGTCTAATCCTGTAGAGACGTATGTGCCCAGCAAGTGCCCACATGGTGGACGCTTGGCAAATGTTGATGGAATGAGTGAATGAATCAATGATGCTCATTGGTCATATTCGACAGCAGAGACAGTGAGGAAGACACAATCCCTGACATTATTATTTGATCTCAGTGTAATTCTTAGTAACCCTAATGTGTTTGATATATTCAGGAGCTTGGGCATAGCTTAGGAGCATTTAGAAAGGAATTAAATAGTCACTTAACTTTTTATTTTATTTGCTATTTATTTTTTGCTTAACTTTAAAAATGTATATATCTTTTGACTCAACAAATGTACTTTTAAGAGTGTATCCTGGCCAGGCGCGGAGGCTCACGCCTGTAATCCCAGCACTTTGGGAGGCCGAGGTGGGAGGATCACCTGAGGTCAGGAGTTCGAGACCAGTTTGGCCAACATGGCCAAACCCCGTCTCTACTAAAAATACAAAAATTAGCTGGGCATGGTGGTGCATGCCTGTAATCCCAGCAACTCCAGAGGGTGAGGCAGGAGAATCGCTTGAACCCAGGAGGCAGAGGTTGCAGTGAGCTGAAATGGTGCCACCATACTCTCCAGCCTGGGCGACAGAGCAAGACTCCATCTCAAAAAAAAAAAAAAAAAAAGGGAGTGTATCCTACAGAAAAACTCACCCAAGTTTATAATGATGTACATATGGAAGGAATAATTTTAAATATATAATATATATAAATATTGAGATGGAGTCTCACTACGTTGCCCAGGCTGGTCTCAAACTCCTGGGCTTAGGCAAGCCTCTTGCTTTAGCCTTCCTAGTTGCTGGGACTACAGGCCCTCCAAACCTGTACTTGACCTGAAGGGACAATTGTTGTCACATAGTCTATTGTGTTGAAAATCAAAACAACACTGATATCCATTGATAGGAGATGAGATTAATAAAATAAGGCACACCTACAAGTGAGATTGGCCTGGTACTGTGTCTCTTCACCTGTATTCCCAGCACTTTATGAGGCCAAAGTGGAAGGACCGCTTGTCCTTGGGAATTCAAGACCAGCCTGAGCAGCGTAGTGAGACCTTGTCTCTACAAATTATTATTATTTTTTTGAGAGAGTCTTGCTGTTTTGCCCAGGCTGGTAGGCAATGGCGTGATCTCGGCTCACTGCAACCTCCACCTCCTGGATTCAAGCAATTCTTCTGTCTCAGCCTCCCGAGTAGCTGGAATTACCCGCAGTGCCACCATGCCCAGCTAATTTTTTGTATCTTTAGTAGAGATGGGGTTTCGCCATGTTGGCCAGGCTGGTCTCGAACTCCTCACCTCAGATGATCCTCCCACCTTGGCCTCCCAAAGTGCTGGGATTATAGGCATGAGCCACCATGGCTGGCCACGAATTTTTTTTTTTTTTTTTTGGAGACCGAGTCTCCCTCTGTCACCCAGGCTGCAGCGCAGTGGCACGATCTCAGCTCACTGCAAGCTCCGCCTCCTGGGTTCACACCATTCTCCTGCCTCAGCCTCCTGAGTAGCTGGGACTACAGGCACCCGCCACCACGCCTGGCTAATTTTTTTTTTGTATTTTTAGTAGAGACGGGGTTTCACCGTCTCTACAGTGATCAGAGGATCACTGACCTCGTGATCCTCCCACCTCGGCCTCCCAAAGTGCTGGGATTACAGATGTGAGCCACCGCGCCCAGCCGAATTTTTTTTTTTTTAATTGCTGGATGTAGTGGCTCACGCCTGAAGTCCCAGCTACTCAGGAGGCTGAGGTGGGAGGATCACATGAGCCCAGAGGTCAAGGCTGCAGTGAGCCATGATTGCACCATTGCTCTCCAGTATGGGCAACACAGTGAGACTCTGTCTCAAAGAAAAAGAAAAAAAAAAAAAAGCCCATCTAGGGGTTCTATAAATAAAAGGCCGTTTCATTCAGTGGCATCTGCCCTCCTTAGGAGACAGTTGTGGCTATAAATTTGGGGAGACCTCGGACATACATTTCTGTACTATTTAAGTTCTCCTAACTATAAACATGCAGCTTGTGTTGCTTTTGTATTCAGAACAAAAACGAGAAAGATAAACAAGCAAATCCCCCCAAAGCCCTGTGTGCTAATCTTCATGGCTAAAGCAGGGTCCCAGCTGGGATGGAGGTCTGTAGCCAAGTGGTTCAGCCTCACCCATAACGAGGGGGGTAATTTGAGCCAAGAAGCACAGGGACAATTTCTGTTCTGATAAAGACCCCGAGGGAATTTGGAAATTTGCACTTTGAAGAGAAGCCCTCAGTATGTTGGGTCTTGCCCTGAAACGTAAATATCAGCAGGCATTTCCATCCTGAAGGTAATAGAAGTGGCCCAGTGTTCTAGGGGAGGCCTTCCTGGCCAACAGAGAGTCCGTGGCCAGGCCCCTGCCCAGCGAGAGGTGGGCTTCCTGCAGAAAGATCAGAGCAAGACAAAACTATTTCTGCTTTTCACATGTAAAGCATTTAAAGAAATAAATCTTGGATTACTATGCAGCCATTAAAAAGAATGCAGGCGATAGAGTCCAGGCCTGGTGGTTCATACCCGTAATCCCAGCAGTTTGGGAGGCTGAGGTGGGCGCATCACCTGAGGTCAGGAGTTCGAGACCACCCTGGCCAACATGGTGAAGCCCTGTCTCTACTAAAAATACAAAAATTAGCCAGGCATGGTGGCGCACACCTGTAATCCCAGCTACTCGGGAGGCTGAGGCAGGAGAATCGCTTGAACCCGGGAGGCGGAGGTTGCAGTGAGCTAAGATGGCACCATTGCACTCCAGCCTGGGCAAGAAAAGCGAGACTCCGTCTCAAAAAAAAAAAAAAAAAAGAATACAGGTAATAGTAATGCATAATACCATTCTGGGAAAGTGAGGCCTAGAGAGAGAAGAAAGATTGTATAGTCACTTAGCTACCGAGGGCACAGCCAGGGTTTGAACCAAGCTGGCTGACCCCCAACTCCAGGTTCTGTTCCTACGTATGTATGAGTTGGTACAAAGAAGGAAGAAAACCCTAAAAATTCTGGCATCCAACACTGGTTATTGCTGCAGGACGGGGAATTTCAGGGCATTTTATTATTATTTTTCTTTATATCTCCATTGTTAGAATTTTTCATAACAAGCATGTTTCACTCTTGACTGGTTTTATGATATAAAAGGGTAGATCACAATGATGGTGGAAGATATATTTTAAAAATATTTTAAATATTTTTAAATATTTTTAAAAATATTTCAAAAATATTAAATTAATGTTCTTAGAATCGAAATGTTGTTACTTGCCATTGCCATGGCTTCTCCATATTATTTATTTTCTTTTCTTAAAAAAAACTTTATTGAGATATACCACATACCACGTAATTCACCTGTTTAGAGGATGCAGTTCATTGGTTTTTAGAATGTCCACCGAGTAGTGCAGACATCACCACCACGTAATCCTAGAACATGTTTATCATCCCAAAAAGAAACCCCAGACCCATGAGCACTCACTTCCCATTTCTCCTTCAACCACCGATGTGCTTTCTGTCTCTATGGATTGGCCTATCTTGGCATTTCATATAAATGGAGTCATGAAATATGTGGTCTTTTGGGTCCAGCTTCTTTCACTCACTCAGCATCATGTTTTCCAGGTTCATCCAGGTTGTAGCTTGTCTCAGTCCTTCATTCTTTTCTTTATGATTGAGTAACATTCTATTCGTTCATGTAGATATGCCACATTTTATGTATCCATTCACGAACAGATGGACATTTACGTTTTCCCATTTTCTTGGCTATTATGGATAAGGCTGCTGTGAACATTCGTGTGCAAGTTTTTTGTTGTTGTTGGATTTTTTTTTCTTTTTTTTCTCTTTTTTTTTTTTTTGAGATGAAATCTCCCTCTGGCTGGAGTGCAATGGCGCGATCTCGGCTCACTGCAGCCTCTGCCTCCCAAGTTCAAGTGATTCTCCCACCTCAGCCTCCCGAGTACCTGGGACTACAGGTGCCCGCCCCCACGCCCAGCTAATTTTTGTATTTTTAGTAGAGATGGGGTTTCACCATGTTGGCCAGGCTGGTCTTGAACTCCTGACCTCAAATGATCCACCCAACTTGGCCTCCCAAAGTGCTGGGATCCCAGATGTGAGCCACGGTGCCCGGCCCACATCACTTCTTCACTTGAGCTAGGAACCATCTGGGGCTTTAGGGTGCATGAGGCAGGATCAGGATTTTAGAGAGCTGTGGACACAGAATTAGCAAATCCTTGATTGTGGGTTTGGTACAAGGTGCAAGACTTGTCATTCAGCTAGGACTGTCTCTTTCAGACCTTTGAAAACATTCACTGGGAAGGGAAGAGTCCCTGGAGGTGTTTGA
This sequence comes from Homo sapiens, assembly GCF_000001405.40. Classification (NCBI taxonomy): domain Eukaryota; kingdom Metazoa; phylum Chordata; class Mammalia; order Primates; family Hominidae; genus Homo; species Homo sapiens. The sequence goes on from NC_000012.12 coordinate 121,989,247, forward strand.
GACCTGGGCTCTGATGCAGGGCAGGGTGACAGTCACTCTAAAGGGCCCTGTGAATGGGTGTTGTTCACATGGAGTAGAAGACAGTGGGCAAGAGCACCAGGCCAGGCCTTGGCTGCTGTCACCTGAGACTGCGTCCAGAGGGCAGAACTGTGCATGCATGCCCCACTCCTGGAAAAAGAGGCAGTCGCCATCCAGATCTAGTTCCTGGAGGGAGGTATGGAGCAGTTGGGGTCACAGTGTTGCATGAATCGCAGAGGGGGCGCTCACAGGGGTCTCCAGATGTGGCCATGCAGTGACGCTGCCCAGCCCTTACGCCCCCTCCTCAGCCCACTACTCCCTGCCCCGGGTCAGCGAGGAGATGCAGGGGGTGACCAGGGGAGGGTATGAGTGAAGATGATGAGTGGGAACAAGACACTGTGCCCCATTAGTTGAGAATGTTCTAGAGGGTATTGTGCGTTGGGAAGAGGGCGTGGGGAAGAGGGTGAGTGCTCCCAGTCCTACTGGTCCATGAAACCATTAGAAAAGCAAACCTGCCCCCACCAGGAGCCTGCTTATAAAAACAAGGAATGGCCCCAGTTCAAATATATCGTGTTCCTCTCCATTTAATAGGGAGGTTGTAAAACTTAATTATAGAACATAATTCTAAGGACATCAATGGCTTCCTGAGGCTGACAGCAGGGATCACAGACCCAAAGGCCTGCGTCATCAATGACAGAGGCAGAAATAAGATGCTCTCGGGTGAGGGGACTCCAGCCCACCACCAAGAGGCCACCCTCATGTCTTGGGGCCTGGAGCAGTCGGGGCAACAGAGGCCCAGATGCTGTATGTCTAAATGTTTAAAAGTTACCAATCAAGCAACAAGCTGATAAATAAATATTCCCCCTTGACAGTTCAACCTTCAACATGAGCTGATTCAAAGTTCACACCCGAATGGGCAGCATGCAGGGCCAAGCCAAGCTGGGCCTGCCCCATGTGTCCTCCCAGCTCTGACCCCATCCCTGGCCACTGTGTGCATGGCATTCAGGAGGTGGACCCTTCTCTATACTCTCCAAACAGCAGCCCCGGGGCACCCTTCAGGCCTATGGGTGGGCAACACCAGGGGCACAGGTTGGCCTCAGGAGGGTGAGATCCCCATGGGCCCCGGAAGTGGGCTTAGGTTATGTAGGGGAGAGAAGCCTCGGGTTCAGGTACCCAGAGTGTGGTCTAGAATTGGGTGCATGGGCTCGGGGTGGGCACCTCCTCTGCACCCTCCTCCTCATGCTTGTTTCCCAGCATACAGTGTCTTCCTCTGACCTCCTACTGGCCAAACCCTTCATGGCTCTGCAGTAGGCCCACCTCTTCCAGGAAGCCTTCCCGAAGCCCACCTGGCTGAGAGCTCCTCCAACCTTTGATGATGTTCTCCTGCATCTTGGCACTGAATCTTCTAGAGCCACGGTAGCCAACCTTTTAAAATCAGTTGAGGGCACTTAAAAAAATACATCAGTATTTTTACACCTGATTTTTACACCTGGGCCCCAGCCTTGTGCAACAGAACCTAGGGGTGGAGTCTAAGCATGGACAGTTTTTAAAGCCCCAGGCAGCCAGGGCTGAGGACCTTGGCGATGGAGCCTGTTAGTTCGCTTTCCTTGTGTATATCGTCTCTTGAGCATCTCTTCACATGGCCCAGACCTTAATAGACACTGAATAAATATTTGCTGACCCCAGTGACTAAGATTGAAAACCAGAATGCAGAACTGTTCTAGTAATAATTGAGAGACTTGTATTTCATTGGCTTTGCACTAAACCAAATGCTCAGTAACTACTAGTAAATCGAGTAAAATTAACTAGGGCACTAAATGATTATTCTAAGCTTCTTGTGAGTTTCAAGAGAATTCTTTTTGTGGCCTCACTTGTGTCCACATTATTTACTTCATCATTCATTCATTCATCCATTCATCCATCTATCTATCCATTCAGTAAACATTTCTCTGAGCCTCTATAATGTGCCAGGCTCTGAACTAAGCTGCCGGGGAAATAGAGATGAAAGCTCTGGCTACAGCTTAATGGGGAAAACAGATGTGAGCCCAAAGAATTAGAGCGTGCACCGCAGCTGCCACCCATTATTACTCTCTACTGAAAGTCACAAGCTTGGGGCTGATTCATTTTGGCACCAGTATCACCTCCGTGAACCCCTGTGGTCTAAGAGCAGCAGTATTCAAAGTGTGGTCCCCAGACCAACAGGATTGACTTCACGTGACCTAGGGACTTACAAGAAATGCAAATGGTCAGACCCTATCCCAGACTCAGAAACCCCCCAGGTGGGACCAGCAGTCTGTTTGAACAAGACCTCCCGGTCATTGTGAAGCCTGACATGTCAGCGAGCCTTTGCCTTCCAGCCATGTTTCTCAAGCTTGGCTACGCATTCAAATCATTCGAATGAGAAGCTTCCAAAAATTTGGTCCCCAGACCAATTAAATCAGGATCTCAGCTGGTTGTGGTGGCTCATTCCTGTAATCCCAGCAATTTGGGAGGCCGAGGCAGGCAGATCACTTGAAGTCAAGAGTTTGAGACCAGCCTGGCCAACAGTAGGAACCCTGTTGCTACTAAAAATACAAAAATTAGCCAGCTGTGGTGGCGCGCGCCTGTAGTCCCAGCTACTTGGGAGGCTGAGGCAGGAGAATTGGTTGGACTCAGGAGGTGGAGGTTGCTGTGATCCGAGATCACGCCACTGGACTCCTGCCTGGGCGACAGAGTGAGACTATCATCTAAAAAAAAAAATCAGGTTCTCAGGGAATAGGATCTGGGCCTCAGAACTGTTTAAGCTCTCCAGGTGAATGGAATAAAGCCCCGCCTTAGCAGGCGTGAGAATGCCAATCAAAGGCCAGGCTGACTGACAACCACCAGTGCGTCTGGGCCGCTCAGCTAGGACTCCTGCTTCTCTCAAGCCATCTTCACACGGGGGCGTTCAGAACAAGCTCTGCGTTCTATTTCCAGCTCCGAGGTTCCTCTCCCAAGCATGAACTTTGTTCAGACAAGTAGCAGAACCTGCCTTTTCAACGAACACTTGCGAAGTCGGCTCAGGAAGGAAATGTCAGTGATGCCGAAGCTGCCAACTCCGTGCTTGTTGAGTAGTGATTCTTGATCAGTCATACGGGAAGAGAGAGTAAGAGGTGAATCACATGCTGAGTGGTTTGTGCTGTGAATGTTTGCTGAGCTCTTTGGAACTCTCTGGGTATGAGTAACTCAGGCCCTTATGAATTCCTTTTGTCGTCTTAGTCTCCTGTTCTGAACTGAGTTAAATCATATATTACATTGGTAATTTATATATATTTATATATATTATTTCTTTTTTTTTTCTTTTTCAGACAGGGTCTTACTCCTCACTCCTGTTGCCCAGGCTGGAGTGCAGTGGCACAATCACGGCTCAGTGCAGCCTCCACCTCCCGGGCTCAGGTGATCCTCCCATCTCAGCCTCCCAAGTAGCTGGGACTACAGGCACATGCGCCACCACGCCAAGCTAATTTGTTGTCTTTTTTGTAGAGACAGGATTTCACAGCCCAGGCTGTCTCAAGCTCCTAAAACGATCTACCCACTCCAGCCTCCTAAAGTGCTGGGATTACAGGCGTAAGCCACCCCACCCAGCCAAATTATAATTTATCTTATGTTATGATTACATGTATTGTAATTAGCAAGTGCATAGAAAAATATAATCACAAGAGCTCTCCCTCTCCCTCTCCCACTCCCTCTCCCTCTCCGTCTCCCTCTCCCTCTCCCTCTCCCCACGGTCTCCCTCTCATGCGGAGCCGAAGCTGGACTGTACTGCTGCCATCTCGGCTCACTGCAACCTCCCTGCCTGATTCTCCTGCCTCAGCCTGCCGAGTGCCTGCGATTGCAGGCACGCGCCGCCACGCCTGACTGGTTTTGGTGGAGACCGGGTTTCGCTGTGTTGGCCGGGCCGGTCTCCAGCCCCTAACCGCGAGTGATCCGCCAACCTCGGCCTCCCGAGGTGCCGGGATTGCAGACGGAGTCTCGTTCACTCAGTGCTCAATGGTGCCCAGGCTGGAGTGCAGTGGCGTGATCTCGGCTCACTACAACCTACACCTCCCAGCCGCCTGCCTTGGCCTCCCAAAGTGCCGAGATTGCAGCCTCTGCCCGGCCGCCACCCCGTCTGGGAAGTGAGGAGTGTCTCTGCCTGGCCGCCCATCGTCGGGGATGTGAGGAGCCCCTCTGCCTGGCTGCCCAGTCTGGAAAGTGAGGAGCGTCTCCACCCGGCCGCCATCCCATCTAGGAAGTGAGGAGCGCCTCTTCCCAGCCGCCATCACATCTAGGAAGTGAGGAGCGTCTCTGCCCGGCCGCCCATCGTCTGAGATGTGGGGAGCGCCTCTGCCCCGCCGCCCCATCTGGGATGTGAGGAGTGCCTCTGCCCGGCCGAGACCCCGTCTGGGAGGTGAGGAGCGTCTCTGCCCGGCCGCCCCGTCTGAGAAGTGAGGAGACCCTCTGCCTGGCAACCACCCCGTCTGAGAAGTGAGGAGCCCCTCTGCCCGGCCAGCACCCCGTCCGGGAGGGAGGTGGGGGGGTCAGCCCCCCGCCCGGCCAGCCGCCCCGTCCGGGAGGGAGGTGGGGGGGGTCAGCCCCCCCGCCCGGCCAGCCGCCCCGTCCGGGAGGTGAGGGGCGCCTCTGCCCGGCCGCCCCTACTGGGAAGTGAGGAGCCCCTCTGCCCGGCCAGCACCCCGTCCGGGAGGGAGGTGGGGGGGTCAGCCCCCCGCCCGGCCAGCCGCCCCGTCCGGGAGGGAGGTGGGGGGGGGGTCAGCCCCCCCGCCTGGCCAGCCGCCCCATCCGGGAGGTGAGGGGCGCCTCTGCCCGGCGGCCCCTACTGGGAAGTGAGGAGCCCCTCTGCCCGGCCAGCCGCCCCGTCCGGGAGGGAGGTGGGGGGGGTCAGCCCCCCCGCCCGGCCAGCCGCCCCGTCCGGGAGGTGAGGGGCGCCTCTGCCCGGCCGCCCCTACTGGGAAGTGAGGAGCCCCTCTGCCCGGCCAGCCGCCCCGTCCGGGAGGGAGGTGGGGGGGTCAGCCCCCCCGCTCGGCCAGCCGCCCCGTCCGGGAGGGAGGTGGGGGGGGTCAGCCCCCCTGCCCGGCCAGCCGCCCCGTCCGGGAGGTGAGGGGCGCCTCTGCCCGGCCGCCCCTACTGGGAAGTGAGGAGCCCCTCTGCCCGGCCACCACCCCGTCTGGGACGTGTGCCCAACAGCTCATTGAGAACGGGCCAGGATGACAATGGCGGCTTTGTGGAATAGAAAGGCGGGAAAGGTGGGGAAAAGATTGAGAAATCGGATGGTTGCCGTGTCTGTGTAGAAAGAAGTAGACATGGGAGACTTTTCATTTTGTTCTGCACTAAGAAAAATTCCTCTGCCTTGGGATCCTGTTGATCTGTGACCTTACCCCCAACCCTGTGCTCTCTGAAACATGTGCTGTGTCCACTCAGGGTTAAATGGATTAAGGGCGGTGCAAGATGTGCTTTGTTAAACAGATGCTTGAAGGCAGCATGCTCGTTAAGAGTCATCACCAATCCCTAATCTCAAGTAATCAGGGACACAAACACTGCGGAAGGCCGCAGGGTCCTCTGCCTAGGAAAACCAGAGACCTTTGTTCACTTGTTTATCTGCTGACCTTCCCTCCACTATTGTCCCATGACCCTGCCAAATCCCCCTCTGTGAGAAACACCCAAGAATTATCAATAAAAAAATAAATTAAAAAAAAAATAATAATCACAAGAATAATTACTGTCTGTTGAATGCTTGCTATGTGTTAGGCATTATGTTAAGCACTTTACGTACATAGTCTCAATAAGCTTCAGAAAAGCCCAATGCATACGTATTACTGTATTCCCTGCTTTTTCAAGATGAGGAAACTGAGGAGAAGGAATGTGAGTAACTCACTCAAGGTCATATAGACAGAAAATGGCAGAGCCAGAGTTTGAACCTAGGTCTATCATCAAAGATTGCTCTTTTAGCCCCAACCTCTACTGCCTCATGGTAAATAGTAGCATTCCTATGTAGTAATACTGTCAAAATTATATAGTGCAATATGCAAATAATTGCTACTGGATAGTGTTTTTTCCTACATAAAATTATACATGATTTAACAAGCAATTGTACATAGTATAAACTCAGTAAATGCTGTATATGAAACAGTGTTACCATTTACAGCTACTTTTATAATATCAATTATGTATCAATTACAGTTAATTTGTATCTGTAACCAATAATGTTATTTCAACATTCCTGGAATCTTGCCTTTTTTTTTTGAGACAGGTTCTCACTCTGGCCCAAGCTGGAGTGCAGTGGCACAATCAGGGCTCACTGCAGCCTTGGCTTTCTGGGCTCAAGCCATCCTCCTGCATGAGCCCCCCAGTAGCTAGGACTGCCACCACACCTGTTTTTAGATTTTAGTGGAGATGAGGTCTCATTATGTTGCCCAGGCTGGTCTCAAACTCCTGAGCTCAAGCCATCCTCCCACCCTGGCCTCCCAAAGTGCTGGGATTATAGGCATGAGCCACCATGCCTGACCTGGAATGTTGCATTGAGAATATGTGGCATCTCTGAAACTACTAGGTGATTACTTAGATACAGCGTTAAAGGAAAAAAGCAGGATGTAAAATTATACATATGATACCAGTTTTGTAAAAAATATGCATGTGTATTTTATATGCATAGAAAAAATAGGAAGGAAGTGCCCCAAATCTCACCGAAATTGTGATTGGATGGTTGGATTACAAGAGATTTTTATTTTTTTCTTGATACTTGAGGCCAGACCAAGATGTGAGGGTGAAGGGTACTTGAGATAGGTTGGTAGCTTGGCAGTGCTGCAAACTGGTGTCCTCTGAATTTTTGTTCCACATTTTTTAAGTGGGACATGGAGAAATTGGTTACCGATTGATAAGTAATGTGTACAAATAGAGATTAAATTCCTGGTTCATTCCCACAGACCAAAGTAGAATGCCTGTTCTTTGGCAGGAGCAGGGAGGAGAGGAAGCAAATTGGTTCCCACTTCTCTGTTGCTCTTATTCTTTCTTTGTAAAATTCCAAACCCCACAGTTTATTGGGAAACATCCTAGGTTAAAATGTAAATGCTAAAATAAGTTACTAATTCCTAGCCCTTTCACTGGTATAATTGGGGTTTCTGCATTTCAGCTGACTGCTACATGCACGGTACAAAAATACTGCACAGAGAGAGGCTGACGGCAGTGAGGAACAGTTTTGTTTGTTTCTTTATTTATTATATTTCTCTCTTCCTCGTGTTTTGCCAGTGACATAAGGCGTCCTGTGAGGAGTCCTGTGTTAACTGGCCCCGCATTTCCACTTAAACCTAGGCATGTCAGCACCCTTTTCTCATTCGAGAAAAATTAGAAAATACACAAACTTTCCAAATGAGAAGGGGAAAATTTTTTAAATTATTATTTTTTTAAGCTGCAAAGAATGAACGTCTAAAAGATCTCATGGGCTTGGGCTCTGTAGGAGTTGGCAGTAGTAACACCATCACCCGATCATCTGCTGGTGGCCAAAAGGAAAGCCCTTATCAAAAAGGTATTTAGGAGCCTGGAGTCACAGCTTTTATCTCTGATGGGAAGCTGTGCACACTCTAAAGTGAGGTGGCCTGGTGCAGCCCCACTGGAGGGTGTTTTTAAGTTCTTGCAGTGACAAGTTGTCACATTTTCTTTTTGCTTCATCCAGATGCATGAATCAAAGCAACTGAAGTCTGAAAGGGAATGAAATGCCATGAGCCAGTATCTGTAACCTGCGGGTGACAACTCGAGAGCAACAAGTGACTGGGTTTAAGATGATCTCCTTTTAAAGGCGTCTTTAAAGCAAAAGGAAGCATGTGTGTTAGGGATCCACGCGCATGTGATGAACCACATAGAGCAGTGAAGTGGTGCAAATGGAAAATTCAGTAGCCAGTACATGGGGCGAGGAGGTAGTGAGATGGCACGAGGGAACAGCACATGCGTGAATGCAAAGGCGTACGCCACAACACCCGGCTCATTTTTGTATTTTTTGTAGAGACAGAGTTTCACCAGGTTGTGCAGGCTGGTCTCTAGTTCCTGGGTTCAAGCAGTTCTCCTGTCCCAGCCTCCCAAAATGCTGAGATGGCAAGGTGTGAGTCACCGTTCCTGACCATCATCTCTCAAAAAAAAAAAAAAAAAAAAGGCATGCATGATGGCTCACTCCTGCATCCCTACACTTTGGGAGGCAGCTGTGCTGCAGCCTGGGTGATAGAGCGAGATTCTGTCTCTTAAAGAAAAAAAATTTAAGTCTTCCAATCCCTGAATATGGAAAGTCTTTCCATTTACTTATGTTTTCTTTAGTTTTTTTTTTTTTTACAATATTTTGTAGCTTTTAGAGCACAAATCTTGCATTTTTGTTAAATTGATTCCTAAGTACTTTATTCTTCTTAATCCTATTATAATTGGAATTGTTTTATTAATTTATTATAATTATTGTGCTGTTCACTGCTAGTGTGTAAAGAAATACAATAGTTTGTTTTTTTTTTTTTGAGTTAGAGTTTTGCACTTGTCACCCAGGCTGGAGTGTAATGGCGCCATCTCAGCTCACTACAGCCTCCACCTCCCCAGTTCAAGCGATTCTCCTGCCTCAGCCCCCCGAGTAGCTGGGACTATAGGCATACGCTACCACGCCGGGCTAATTTCGTATTTTTAGTGGAGACAGATTTTCACCGTGTTGGCCAGGCTGGTCTTGAACTCCTGACCTCAGGTGATCTACCCACCTTGGCCTCCCAGAGTGCTGGAATTACAAGCCTGAGCCACCATGCCCGGCCTCAATTGATTTTTTTTTTAAGACAGGGTCTCACTTTGTGTCCCAGGCTGGAGTGCAGTGGCATGATCATGGGCTCACTGCAGCCTCGAACTTGTGGGCTCAAGCAGTCCTCCCACCTCAGCCCCCTGAGTAGCTGGAACCATAGGTGCATGCCACATGCCTGATTAATTTTTTGTTTTCTGTAGAAGCAGGGTCTTTTAATATGTTGCCCAAGCTGGTCTCGAACTCCTGGCCTCAAGCAATCCTCCAGCCTCAGCCTCCCAAAGTGATGGGATTACAGGGGTGAGCCACTGCACCTGGCCTATAATTGATGTTTATATTATTGATCTTATACCCTGCAACCTTGCTGAAGTTGTTTACCAGTTCTAATAGTTTTTAGTGTAATATATATATATATATATATATATATATATATATATATATATATATATATATATATGATTGTGTTATCTGCAAATAGAGATAGTTTTGCTTCTCCCATTCAATTCTGGGTGCCTTTTATCTTCTTTTCCTGCCTAATTTCCCTGGCTAGAACCTCCAGGACAGTGTGGAATGGAAGTGGTGCCAGGTGGCTCATGCCTGTAATCCCAGCACATTGGGAGACCAAGGTGGGCAGATTGCTTGAGCCCAGGAGTTTGAGACCAGCCTGGGCAACATGGTGAAACCCCGTCTCTAAAAAAAAATACAAAAATTAGCCAGGCATGGTCAAGCATGCCTATAGTCCCAGGAACTCTGGAGGCTGAGGTGAGAGGATCGCCTGAACCTGAGAGGTCAAGGCTACAGTGAGCAGAGGTTGCCTCACTGCACTCCAGTCTGGGTCAAAGAGTGAGACCCTGTATCAAAAAAAAAAAAAAAAAAAAAAAAAAAAAGGGGGAAGTGGTGAGAGTGGACATCCTTGTCTTTTTTTCTGATCTTAGGAGGAGAAAGCATTTAGTCCTTCATCATTAAGTATGATGTTAGCTGTGGGTTTTTCACACATGCCCGTTATTGGGTTGAGGAAGCTTCTTTCTATTCCTAGTTTGTTGAGTGTTTTTACCATGTAAAGTTGTTAGATTTTGTTAAATGCTTTTTTTCTATGTCTGTTTAGATGATCATGTGGTTTCTGTCCTTTATTCTGTTAATAATAATGTATTATATTAATTGAGGTTGACATGTTAAACCAACCTTGCATTCTTGGGATAAATCCCACTTGATCATGGTGCACAATCATTTTGTATGCTCCTGGATTTAATTTCTTGTATTTTCTGGAGGATTTTTCCATCTAAAATAATTGGAAAGTATTCCTTTTTCCTCTATTTTTGTGCAGTTTGTGGAAAATTAGTATTCTTTTTTTTTCCCCCCGCCGAGACAGAGTTTCACTCTGTTGCCCAGGCTGGAGTGCAGTGGCACGTTCTTGGCTCACTGTAACCTCAACTTCCAGGGTTCAAGTGATTCTCATACTGTGCCAGGCTAATTTTTGTATTTTTAGTAGAGACAGGGTTTCACCATGTTGGCCAGGCTGGTCTCAAACTCCTGGCCTCAAGTGATCCTTTGGCCACGGCCTCCCAAAGTGCTAGGATTACAGGCATGAGCCGCTGCACCAGCCCTACTGTCCAATTTTTAGAAATCTATCCTGGTGCCTTTTCTATTTACTGTGGTCTTTTTTTTTTCCCCATCTTTCCCCTAGATTGATGATATATTTAACGAAATCAAATTTGGTGAATATGTGGACACTGGAAAGCTAATCGACAAGATCAACTTACCAGATTTCCTAAAAGTGTACCTTAACCACAAGCCACCTTTTGGTAACACCATGAGTGGCATCCACAAGAGCTTTGAGGTGCTCGGTTATACCAACTCCAAAGGGAAAAAGGCCATTCGAAGAGAGGACTTCCTGAGACTGCTCGTTACTAAAGGTAAGCACATACATCAGGATGTCTGGTAACATCCTGGGGCCATTCCCAGTGTAGAGAACTGAGTTTGGGGAGCCAGCCCCTGTGGAGCTCCATCTTTCATGAAAGAGGTGATTTGACCAGATTTGAGCCATGAGGGGTCTGGCTGACCCACCTGCATCCCTGGCAAGTACGAAGTAATGGGAGGGACCCGGAGCTAGAAAGCAAAAGAATGTGATTCGTGTTGCAACTACCTGAGCCTCAGCAAGACTCGGCATCCTCACTTGTAAAATGGGAATAAAAATGCCAGCTGATCCATCTCCCTGGGCTGTCATAAGATTTGGGTTGGGGCCGGGCGCAGTGGCTCATGCCTGTAATCCCAGCACTTTGGGAGGCCGAGGCGGGCGGATTGCTTGAGGTCAGAAGTTCAAGACCAGCCTGGCCAACACAGTGAAACCCCATCTCTACTAAAAATACAAAAATTAGCCGGGTATGGTGGCACACGCCTGTAATCCCAGCTACTTGGGAGGCTGAGGCAGGAGAATTGCTTGAACCCGGGAGGTGGAGGTTGCAGTGAGCCAAGATCACGCCACTGCAGTTCAGGCTGGGTGACAGAGCGAGACTGTCAAAAAAAAAAAAAAGAAAGAAAAAAAGAAAAGAAAAGAAAACAAATATTTGGATTGCATTTGTGAAATGCAACCACACCAAAGTAAACTTTTTAATTTTTACCTACTATGTTTCTCATTATTGTACATGAGGATGTCAAGTAAACTCTCTTGGGATGACAGTTTCATCTTAGTCCAAGTGGGTGGTTCTGAGAGGAGGGAATTTGAAATGAAGCAGAGCCTGGTCCCCGCAGCATGCTGTCCTATTTCTCTATGCCAGCCCCATGTATGTTCCTTGCCTGGAGGACCCTGTTTAACACCATTAGGAAGCATATGTGACAGTACCATGGGACTCTAGATCATTTTTGTGTCTAAAGAAAAGGGGCTGGGCGCAGTGGCTCACACCTGTAATCCCAGCAGTTTCAGAGGCTGAGGCAGGAAGATCACTTGAGCCCAGGAGTTCGAGACCAGCCTGGCCCAACATAGCAAGACTTCATCTCCACCAGAAAAGTTTTTATTGTTTTTGTTGCTTTTTTTTTTTTTTTTTTTGAGACAGAGTCTCGCTCTGTTGCCCAGGCTGAACTGCAGTGGCACGATCTCAGTTCACTGCAACCTCCAACTCCAGGGTTCAAGCAATTCTCCTGTCTCAGCCTCCCGAGTAGCTGGGATTACAGGCCGCGCCACCACACCCGGCTAATTTTTGTATTTTTAGTAGAGATGGGGTTTCACCATGTTGGCCAGGCTGGTCTCGAACTCCTGACCTCAAGTGATACGCCCACCTTGGCCTCTGCAAGTGCTGGGATTACAGGCATGAGCCACCACGCCCAGCCTAAATTTTTTTTTCAATTGAGTAAAAGAAAAAAAAATAGTGGGATAATTCTCTTTAAGACCTCTGAATAATAACGCTAAGCCCTGACAGTATGCTTAGCCTCAAGAGTTAAACAATCACCTTCTCACTCTTTGACACACAGGTGAGCATATGACGGAGGAGGAGATGTTGGATTGCTTTGCTTCACTGTTTGGCCTGAATCCCGAGGGATGGAAATCCGAGCCTGCAACCTGCTCCGTCAAAGGTACCCCAGCTGGCTTTGTCTGGGCATGTAGCTGTGGCTCACTGATTTGTTGTAGACTTCAGTACATTTATTTCTCCTGATCGGTGCAAGCCACTCTCCCTAAGACTGCACATAACAAAGCATGTCTGTTGGGAATCCCACATGAATAAGTTATGAAAAGAACAGTGAGTGGTGGCTTTTGTTCCCGCGCTCTGTCCGTCCTTTTGTTTCTTCTGGGCTTATTTTCCCTTTGTTCCACTGACCTGTCATCTTGCCGGCTTGGGTGGGTGAATATTGGCCACCCGTAGAGGATCCAGTTTGACAGCTGTTTCAGGAGAATAGGTATGTAAAGAGAGACTTGGGGGCCAGGCACCATGGCTCACGCCTGTAATTCCAGCACTTTGGGAGGCCAAGGCAGGAGAATCGCTTGAGGTTCAGAATTTGAGACTGGCCTGGGCAACATAGCGAGATCCCATCTCTACAAAAAAAAAACCAGGCTGGGCGCAGTGGCTCACGCCTGTAATCCCAATGCTTTGGGAGGCCGAGGAGGGTGGATCACATGAGGTCAGGAGTTCAAGACCAGCCTGACCAACATGGTGAAATCCCATCTCTACTAAAAATACGAAAATTAGCCAAGCATGGTGGCACACACCTGTAATCCCAGTTACTTGGGAGGCTGGGGCAGGAGAATCGCTTGAATCCAGGAGGTGGAGGTTGCAGTGAGCCGAGATCACACCATTGCACTCTAGCCTGGGTGACAAGAGCAAAACTCCGTCTCTAAATTAATTAATTAATTAAAGCAAAACAAAACAATTAGCTGGGCATAGCGGTGTATGCTTTTAGTCCCAGCTACTCAGGAGGCTTAAGTGGGAGGATGACTTGGGCCCAGGTGTTCACGGCTGCGGTGAGTGAGGATTGTGCCACTGTACTCCAGCCTGGGCAACAGAGTGAGAGCCTGTCTCAATTAAAAAAGAGAGAGAGAGAGAGAAAGATTTGGAGAAGGAGAGAGCATCAACTTGGTGGGCAGTACAAGCCCAGCTACAAGCTGCCAAAACTTTCAGGTTTTTAAAGATCATCCTCCTGTCCCTTCCTGCTATAGCCTAAGTATTTTTCACCTTTTCGTGCACTGGACCTGAAGTTAGGGCCGTGACTTTCAGCTCAGGAGGAACCAATCTAAACGGCTCTTCTAGGCTCACTGGTACAGGAGCAACTCTGCTGACAAGCCCGGGGATGGTCAGATCCCACCACCATCACCAAGACTGAGGAGGGTGCAAAGACCCCTCACCCATTCCCCTTTTCCCTCTCCTTTTATTGTCCATTCCCCACATCAAATTAAACAAAGTCCCTGAACTCAGATAATTTCAGACTCCAGTAGCTAACAGGTCATTCCCAACCTGCAAGCTCTCCCTACCCCATTCCTTTATGTGCTTCAGATCTCAGAATGTACCTTTCCTGATTGTTATATATTTCTGCTGTGTTCCCAGGCATCTTGAAACAGAAAAATCAATCATACCATGTGGTTAAGGCTTTCCAGTAAGGTTTGCAGAGATTTGGTTAACAGCGTTCTGTTCCGTAAAGGAGAGATTTTTAAGCAATTTCCACCCAGAGTTTTTCAAGGAATCAAAGCCAAATCACAGCACAAAGCCCCTCTTGTTTTTGTTTAGTAGCATTTCCTTGTGTTTTTGGAAAATCCTCCTGAGTTAGAAACATAGTCATTGAGGCCAGATGCGGTAGCTGTAATCCCAGCGCTTTGGGAGTCTGAGGTGGGAGGATCACTTGAAGCCAGCAGTTTGAGATCAGCCTGGGTAACATAGCGAGACCCCATCTCTACAAAAAAATTTTAAAATAAGCTGGGCGTGGTGGCGTGTGCCTGTAGTCCCAGCTACTTGGGAGGCTGAGGTGGGAGGATCACTTGACCCCAGGAGTTCAAGGCTGCAGTGAGCTATGATCGTGTCACTGCACTCCAGCCTGGGCAACAGAGCAAGGCCCTGTCTCAAACCCCTCCCCTCACCCAAAAAAGAAAGAAACATAATCATCATGAAGGCATTTGGTGTTCTTTTCTTGTTTTGGCTAGGTTCAGAAATTTGCCTTGAAGAAGAACTTCCAGACGAAATCACTGCAGAAATATTCGCGACTGAAATTCTTGGCTTAACCATTTCAGAAGATTCCGGCCAGGATGGTCAGTGAAGTTACCAGGAATGTTTAAAGCACAAAGGACTTTGGGTGTGTGTGCATGCACATGTGTGTGTTTTCCATGAGGCACTGCTTTTTATGCATTTCCCTCCCCCCTCTCATCTTTAGAACATTTAGACATTAAAGCAAGTTTCTGGTGAGCAATGGAATTCACAAAGTTGGACATTCCACTGTTTCTGAAATAGAAAAGTGGGCGGAGGCGAGAAAAACCCTGGCAGCTGGATGTACATGGTGGCTGGATCTCTGGGTCTCTGGTGATGCTGCCTGGATGGGGTTTGCACGGGATATGGAGGGGGCGTGGTCTCAGGGGGCAGAGGGGTCCTCAGCCAGCAGCAGGCCTCCCTCGCGACACATGTGGTCCAGGGAAATGATGGTCCATGGCCTCATTCCCTTTCCCTGCAGGGCCACCTGGACCCTCCGCCCAGTGTGGCCCAGTGTGGATCACCCCTGCCTGTTGTGGGGCTGGGGTGGGGGTGCCGGGTGCGCCGGGCTCCTGAGAGTCCCAGATTGTGGCTTCTTATCAGCAAAACACCCAAGTGGTGGTGTGTGACCGTTATAAAGAGCATCATTAGCCATGCTTAACCCCGGTGGCAGCTGCCAGGAGAATGCAGAAGCCCCTCTGAGCGCCCCCGAGCCTGTTCACGCTGCACCTGCGCCAGAAACCACAGAGCAGCCCCGCCCAGCAGAGGCCGGGGCCTCCCTCGCACCCACACTCACCAGTGTGGTGGCTTGGCCGCCTCACACTCTGCTGGGCCGCAAAACATGTAGTAGGCAAAAATAGGGGCCGGTTCCCCAGCTCTGGGACGTTCAGGGGGCGTTACTAAGTTTATAGCAGTATTTTGGCCTTGAAAATAGCATAGCATTGTAGTGTGAACAGATGAGAGTTAGTCTGACTTTGGAGTTTTGTCATCCGTTCTGAGGCCTCATTCAGGCAAAGGTGCCAGATGTCATTCTCCAACACACTCCGTCCAACACACCCCCTAGACCAGCTTCTTCCTCAGAGAAACTAGCATCTGAGATAACATTTCTGATCCACTTAAAGTGCCTTTCTCGGAAGGAACATTCCGTGGCAGAGAAACAGAATAACAACCACATCCTTACTCATGCACGAAGCCCCCTCCACTACGTGGGGTCCAGCTGGAAATCTGGCATGGTGAGAATCTTTGGAACGCCCCGGAACGTGGAACGGAACTGTCTACCCCAAACCAGGCTGTGTCACTGTGACCTTGGGGCAGACAGCACGGGCCAAGGTTCTGCCGGTGCCAGCTTGTCAGATCATGTCACCAGGGCTTTGCAACCTAATTTACATTTTGTTCTTTTTAAAAAACATGAAAAGAAAAACAAGCTTTATGAATCAATTTTGCAGCTGCTGAGGGCTTAGGAGATCTAGTATCAAGCCAGTTAAAAAGTTCCTGGGGACATTTTAGGGAACAAGAAACTCTCAAGTGACTTGTTCTCTTCAAAAAATAACTCGGAATTGGATGCAGTCTCTCACCAACCGGGGGCTTCATTCATTGAATCTGGCGCCCTCTGATTTGGTTCTGATTGATGGCATGTATTGGAATTGTCTTGAGCAGAACCGACCTGTGGTCAGTTGGACCCACTATGGCAGGTTCATTAAGCTGGGACACTGCCTAGCGCAGGCAGATGCTCTTTCTCTCTGCCCATCCGGCTTCAGCATCTCCTTTGGACTCAGAGAGCGGGGAGGTGGAGGTCCTGGTTATGGATCATGGTTACGGTTATGTTCACTGAGGAGACCAAAATCACCATGGACAGCAGGATTGGCACGAATGGCATCCCACCCCACACCCAGCCCAGCCTGGCAGGGGGACCCTTCTTACCTGGGAACCTCTTTCTGCAGGTGTTTGTGGGTTGTTTGGTTTTTCGTTTTTGAGATGGAGTCTGGCTCTGCCACCCAGGCTGGAGTGCAGTGGTGCGATCTCAGCTCACTGCAACCTCCGCCTCTTGGGTTCAAGCAATTTTTGTGCCTCAGCCTCCTAAGTAGCTGGGATTACAGGCATGTGCCACCAGCCACCATGCCTGGCTAATTTTTTTTTTTTTTTTTTTTTTTGAGACAGAGTCTCGCTCTGTCGCACAGGCTGGAGTGCAGTGGTGCAGTCTCGGCTCACTGCAACCTTCACCAGAGAAACTAGCATCTGAGATAACTCAGATTATGTCCCAGGTTCAAGTGATTCTCCTGCCTCAGCCTCCCAGGATACAGCTGGGATTACAGGCACACACCACCATGCCTGGCTAATTTTTCTATTTTCAGTAGAGATGGGATTTCACCGCGTTGGCCAGGCTGGTCTCGAACTCCTGACCTCAGGTGATCCACCTGCCTTGGCCTCCCAAAGTTCTGGGATTACAGATGTGAGCCACCGCCCTGGCCAAGGTGCTTGGGTTTTGTTGTCTCCCAACTTCCTTGACAAAAGCAGGGCACAGCCAATTGCCCCTTTCAGCTCCAGGAGGGCCTCTTCACCTCTCATCAGGGCAGGCCCAGCCTGTTGGCCTCAAAGATGAGAAAAGGGAGGACCCAGTGGCCCGGTCCCATCAGCAGGAAAGAGGATACAGTGCAGAGAGCTCAGGCTTCCAGCAGTAGGGTGGCAAGGCAGCGACAACAGGAAGGGATGGCAAAGAAGACAGCGTCGCGGAGCTTGCTCATGCATCACACTTAGGGACTAAATGCTGAACACCAAAAACACTGTGATGCTCCTTTGCAGAAAGATTCCTGTGCGTTTCACACGGGGCTTGTGGCCGGCTGACTCTTACATCCCGGTTTGTGAGTTCTGGATCAGGAACCACCAAGAGCCTCCCCGGCGCCAGCTCTCTGCTCCAGACCCGGTCCCACCTGCAGGTGAGGGCCTCGCACGCACAGCGTCTGCGCTGGGAGCCCATGGACTTGCCGCGCTCCTGTTCAGCTTCTGCAACTTTCTAGCCACCTGTGCGCCCTTGGGTGTGGCTAAGCTCTTAGACCTCAGTTTCCTCCCGGAGCAACTCCTGCGGTGGTGGTGCGGATGAGAAGAGATGGTGCAAGTAAAGCGTTATTGGCACAGGGTAGAGCTCCAAATATGACAGCAGCTATTATTATCACAGCAGAAACTGTGCCCGAGAATCAGGAAGACATTTGGTGCAAATTAACCTCTCCCAAACCCAGAGTTTGAGCAAGAGTTAGCGTTTGCTCAAATAGGGGTCTCTCCTAGTTTTGACGATGAGCTCTCAACAAGTATTTGTGGAATGATGGAATGAATGAATTTGAAGCCTCCCTGCTCTTTTCTTTTTTTTTTTTTTTGCCGCTCTGTCACCCAGGCTGCAGTGCAGTGGCACAATCTCGGCTCATTGCAACCTCCGCCTCCCAGGTTCAAGTGATTCTCCTGCCTCAGCCTTCCAAGTGGCTGGGATTACAGGCCTGCGGCACCACACCTGGCTAATTTTTGTATTTTTAGTAGAGATGGGGTTTCACCATGTTGGCCAGGCTGGTCTCAAACTCCTGACCTCAGGTGATCCACCCACCTCGGCCTCCCAAAGTGTTGAGATTACAGGCGTGAGCCACTGTGCCTAGCCACTCCATGCTCTTTTCATAGCTGACTTAGCTTTGGAATGAAGGCCAATGGCAGGTCCTTATAGGGCCCTCATCAGGCTGGGCAAACCTCCCCTGTCAAGGGCCAGGGAGTAAATATTGAGGCTCTTGGGGCCAAAGGGCCTCCGTAGTGACTTCCCAATCCTGCCATTGTAGTGCAAAAGCCCCCAGGGACAACACAGAAAAGAATGCCCGTGGCTGCCTCCCAGCCCCACTTCACCTATGGACACTGACATTTGGATTTCATGATAATTTCCACATATCATGGACTATTATTTGTCTTTTGTTTTTTTTTCAACCATTTAAAAATGTGAAACCCATTCTTAGCTCGGAGACCTGCAAACACAGGCAGCAGCCTAGATTTGTCCCACAGGGTGTAGCTCACCACCCCCGACTCTGCCTCGTAGGCCAAGGGTACTCATTCCAGCAGATTTCCACAAATACTACAAATCTGTACCAAACACCTGACCGGCACTCTTCAAAAAATGTCAAAGTCATGACAGACAAGGAAAGATGGAGAAACTCTCACAGACCAGAAGAGACGGAACCATGACAACTAAATGCAGTGTGGACACCTGGATCCGTTCCTGAAACAGAAAAAGGACATCAGTGGAAAAACTGGTGAAATCCAGCTAAAGTCTGTGGTTTAGTTAACAGTGTTGCACCAATATTAATTTCTGAGTTTTGGGCGGTGCGCAGTGGCTTACACCTGTAATCCCAGCACTTTGGGCAGCCGAGCTGGGAGGATCACTTGAGCCCAGGAGTTCAAAATCTGCCTGGGCAACATAGGGAGACCCCGTCTCTACAAAACATTTTTTTAAAATTAGCTGGACATGGTGGAGCATGCCTGTGGTCTCAGCTAGTCAGGAGGCTGAGGCCAGAGGATCACTTGAGCCTGGGAGGTTGAGGCCGTAGTGAGCCGTGATCGTGCCACTGCACTCCAGCCTGGGTGACAGAGTGAGATCCTATCTCAAAACAAAATTTCTGAGTTTTGCTCAGTGTATCACAGTTGTGTAAGATGTTCACATTAGGGAAACTGGGTGAAGGGTCTAGGGATCATGGCACTATCTTGGCAAGCCTAAAATTATTTCAACATAAAGTTTTTATTTATTTTTATTTTTATTTTTATTTTTTGAGATGGAGTCTCGCTCTGTCACCTAGGCTGGAGTGCAGTGGCGTGATCTTGGCTCACTGCAACCTCCGCCTCCCGGGTTCTTGCCATTCTCCTGCCTCAGCCAGCTGGGACTACAGACGCCTGCCACTATGCCCGGCTAATTTTTTATATTTTTAGTAGAGATGGGGTTTCACCATGTTAGCCAGGATGGTCTCGATCTCTTGACCTCATGATCCGCCAGCTTCGGCCTCCCAAAGTGCTGGGATTACAGGCGTGAGCCACCGCGCCCGGCCATAAAGTTTTTAAAAAATGAAATCTGTACCACCTTTCTGACTCAGTCACCCCTGAATTATTTCCACTATCTGCTCTGTGCTTTCAATTCTTGAGCAGATTCTCCTGCCGGCGCCACAGCACCTGGTCCCCTCACTGGCTGCCTGGCCTGTGCAGACCTGGCCTTCTGCTGTGCTTCGAGGTGATGCAAACAAAAAGGTCTTTTTTTAAACATCTGTGTCCTCAAGCTGTGGCTGCCTGAGACACTGGTGTTTTCGGCTTGAGCATGTTCTTTAGGGATTTGGCCAGCAGTTCCCTTGCGGGCAGCTATTTCCAAATTGACTGTAATAAATAGATGCCAGGCGCTGGGAGTTGACAGTAGTTGCCACCCTGCTCATATGTCATGTAACCGCCCTCTGCTAGCTTAGCTGGAAGGAATATTAAAAAAAAAAAAAGAAAAGCCGGTTGATCCAACACTGTTCAGCGGCAGCGAGATGCTGACTGGTGGGACAGTGAGCTGCGGGTCTCGGTGCCCCGAAGCTGGTGTTCTCCCGAGTGCACTGATGCCAAGGCGGACTCACATTTATCAGTGCCCAGGCGTGAGGCATCAGCCCCAGGAAAGTCGTCCAGCACTGGCATCACTGCCCTCCCTGAGAGTGTGAAATTGCAAGTGATGCCGTGAGGCAAGGGTGGGGGCGTCAATACTGAAGCTGCCCCGCCTCAAAAGGGCTTGGACCATGGCTGGGCACGGTGGCTCACGCCTGTAATCCCAGCACTTTGGGAGGCCGAGGCGGGCGGATCACGAGGTCAGGAGATCGAGCCCATCCTAGCCAACACGGTGAAACCCCATCTCTACTAAAAAAAAAAAAAATACAAAAAATTTAGCAGGGCGTGGTAGCAGGCACCTGTAGTCCCAGCTACTCGGGAGGCTGAGGCAGGAGAATGGCATCAACCTGAGAGGCGGAGCTTGCAGTGAGCCGAGATCGCGCCACTGCACTCCAGCCTGGGCGACAGAGCGAGACTCTGTCTCAAAAAACAAAAACAACAAAAAAAGGGCTCGGACCATCGTCTGAGGCCCCCTCCCCATGTCCTCTTGTTGTTTTGATTGGAAGTCATAAAACACATCAGTGTAAATATAGTATTTATTTTTGCATATCTTTTTAAAGCTGCATATCTTTAAAGCTGGTGGAGTTTTTTGAGGGGAGCAAGTTTCATGACCACAGCAAGGGCAGGCTCCAGTGAGCACTTCACGCCACCTGGATGTGCTGCAGACTGCACCACCCCCAGCCCACCGGCCAGACTGGCTGCCCTGGAGAAGGCTTAGTGGGTAGTCCCCTGGGCCTGGACCACGGCTGTCCCTGCACCCGCGAGGGGATGGGGGGAGTGGGGCACATGCCTCCTGGATGCGAGGGTGGCTGCCGTCCCCCCTCCCCTGGAAGCATCTCATTTCTTCCTTTATAATCTGAGCGAGATGGGGCTGGAAGAAGTGGCTGTAGCCCCAGCACTTTAGGAGGCCAAAGTGGGCAGATCACCTGAAGTCAGAAGTTTGAGATCAGCCTGACCAACATGGCAAAACCCCGTCTCTATTAAAAATACAAAAATTAGCCGGTTGTGGTGGCGCGCTCCTGTAATCCCAGCTACTTGGGAGGCTGAGACAGGTTAATCGCTTGAACCTGGGAAGCAAAGATTGCAGTGAGCCGAGATGGCGCCACTGCACTCCAGCCTGGGTGACAGAGCCAGACTTCATCTAAAAAGAAGAAAAAAAAAACCTGAGAGAGATGGACTTCATTTATTACCCACTCACGAATTCAACAAACGCTGACTGTGTGCTGGGCCCTGTGTGAGGGCTGCCTATCTGGAGTGAACAAGAGAGTGGCTGTTGTCTTTAGGGGGCTCATGTTAAACAAACACATTAATGTAAACTTGCAAACGGTGCTCAGAGCTACGAGGGAAAAGCCCGGCCCCTGTGAGAGGGAATCCCTAGAGGGGGGCAGGTTTAGATGAAGTGGTCAGAGAGGGGAGAATGTTCCAGAGGGAGCCAAGTGAGCCAAAGCTGGGAGCTGCGGAAGAGCCAGATGCATTCAGTGAACCAAAGCTTTCCATGGTCAACCCTGGGGAATGCTGCAGGCTCAAGACAAGGCATCTAGAATGACCTCTAGTGTTCCTTTACCACTGCCAGTGTATGATTCTTCCTCATGAGCCTGAGTAGGAATGTTTCATATGGGAAGTGGGTAGGTGGCGGGGTGCAGCAGCTCACACCTGTAATCCCAGCACTTTGGGAGGCTGAGGTGGGAAGATTGCTCGAAGCCAGGAGTTCAATACCAGCCTGGGCAACACAGCAAGACCCCGACTCTATTAAATTTAAAAAGGAAAAAATGAAGTGGGTAGGAAGAATGGAGGCTGGTCAAGTGTTCCAAGTGGAAGATCTGGCCACTTCTCATTTCTTCATATTCCAGGGTCCTGATGTGGGATAGGCGGTCACTCAGAGGGTCCCAGGAAAGACTAGCCCCAAAGTCAGTGTGTTCCTTCCTATGACACCAGCCACAGATTGAATGGCTCACAGTGGGTTTCAGCCCCACCTACTTTAAGTCCTTAAGTTGGCACTTTTTCATCCTTTTGAGATTTCCAGGGATTTCAAGTTTTTAAAAATGAAATCAGCTGGGCAACATGGCTCATGCCTGTAATCCCAACACTTTGGGAGGTCAAGGCAGGAGGATCGTTTTGGCCTAGGAGTTTGAGACCAGCCTGGGCAATATGGTGAAACCCCATTTTTATTAAAAATACAAAATTTAGGCTAGGCCCAGTGGATCACACCTGTAATCCCAGCACTTTGGGAGGTCAAGGTGGGCGGATCACCTGAGGTCAGAAGTTTGAGACCAGCCTGGCCAACATGGTGAAACCCCATCTTTACTAAAAATACAAAAATTAGCAGGACATGTTAGCACGCACCTGTAATCCCAGCTACTCAAGCAGCTGAGGCAGGAGAATTGCTTGAACTCAGGAGGTGGAGGTTGGTGAGCCAAGATTGTGCCACTGCACTCCAGCCTGGGGGACAGAGCAAGACTCCATCTCAAAAAAATAAATAAATAAAAACAAAATTTAGCTGGGCATGGTGGCACAAGGCTGTGGTCCCAGCTACTCCAGAGGCTGAGGTGGGAGGATCACTTCAGCCTGGAGAAGTTGAGGTGCAGTGAGCTGTTTTGCACCCCTGCACTTCAGCCTGGGCAGCAGAGTGAGACTCTGTCTCAAAGAAGGAGAAGGAGAGAGGGACAGCTTCAATTTGGTGTCAATCATGATCTTTGGTTTGCAGTAATAGAAATTGACTCTGCTTAGCTTAAGTGGAAAAGGACTTGATTTCAAAGCTACCAGGCAACTCACAGAATCAATGGAGACACTGGAGAAGCAAGCCCTGGAGATGAGTGGGAACCAAAGGATGCCAGGACGTCCCAGTGGTGCTGCCACCCCTGAGCACTTGATCCTCCAATCTCGTTAAGATTTCCAATGGCCACGTCTGCTGTGAGTCATTTCTCCATTGTCCCTACCTTCCTCAAACCTCAAAGTCAAAATCAATCCCACAGTAAGATCCCGCTTGACCTCCACTAGGATAGCTAAAAATTTAAAAAGACAATAACAAGTGCTGGCGAGGATGCGGAGCAGTTGCCACATTGCCGGTGGAAGTGTAAAAGGGTGCAGCTGCTTTGGAAAGTAGCTTGGCAGTTCCTCAAAATGTTAAATATAGAATTACCATATGACCCAGCAATTCCCTTCCTAGGTATGTGGCCAAGAGAAGGGAAAATATACATCCACACATAAAGACCATTATGTACATTAGTGTTCACAGCAACATGAATCATAGTAGCTAAAAGGTAAGGTAAGACCAGGCACGATGGCTCATGCCACAGATCACAGATCCCAGCACTTTGGGATGCGAGGGTGGGAGAATTACTTGAATCCAGTAGTTCGAAACTTTGAGACCAGCCTGGGCAAGTGAGACCTCATCTCTTGAAAAAAACAAAACAAAACAAAACAAAACAAAACCAAGGCAGGGCATGGTGGCTCACGCCCGTAATCCCAGCACTTTGGGAGGCAGAGGCAGGTGGATCACCTAAGATCAGGTGTTTGAGACCAGCCCGGCCAACATGGTGAAACCCCATCTCTACTAAAAATACAAAAATTAGCTGGGCATGGTGGCTCGTGCCTGTAATCCCAGATACTTGGAAGGCTGAGGCATGAGAATGGCTTGAACTCGGGAGGCGGAGGTTTCAGTGAGTTGAGATCATGCCATTGCACTCCAGCCTGGGCGACAGAGCGAGACTCCATCTCAAAAAAAAAAAAAAAAGAAAAACAAAAGGTAGAAACAACCCCATAACCATCAACAAAAGAATGAAAAAACAAATTGTGGTATATCTATACAGTGGAATATTATTTAGCTATAAGAAGAAATTATGTATTAATGCATGCTACCGGATAGATGATCTTTGAGAACATGCTGAGCAAAAGAAGCCAGACCTAAAAGGCCACATATTGTATGACTCAATTCATGTGAAACATCCTTAATTTACGTGAAACCATATAGACTAGTGGTTACCAGGGACCGTGGGGAGGGGACAGAGAGTGACTGTTTAATGTGACTGTTTAATGGGTACAGGGTTTCTTTTATGGATGATGAAATGTTCTAAAATTGATTGTGGTGACAGTTGCACAACTCCGTGAATATACTAAAACCCACTGAATTATACACTTTAAAAGGGTGAATTTTATGCTGCATGAATTATATCTTAATAGAACCATTATTTTAAAAAATCAACCGGCTAGACCATCCACCATCCACACCTAAGGTTGGAACCCATTCCCAGGACTTAACTGGGCCCCCAGTGAAGAGAGAGACAGACCCCCTTTAGCTCCGGTAGCGGGGTGGGGAGGGGCTGCCTCCACCCACAAAGGCTCACCCAGAACTAGGAGGGTGTTCAGATGCTGAACAGGTGGAATCACTCCACATGTGGAGAGTACAGGGGAAGAAGTCTGGGCAGCCTTCTAGATCCCTGACCTAAGAATGTACCGAGCCTGTGTGTAGAAGGATCCCAACTTTATTCCAAGCCACTGGGTCATCCAGACTTTCTGCATTTAGAAAATGCTAATAATTTGGGACCTCACTGAGTTCCACCAGCTGCGTGTTGCTGAATGCTTATCAACCAGCTCTGGGTGGGGAAGAGGGGAGGGGCCTGACGTATAGCACTTGCCAATTTCCATAGTGTAAATATTCCCATTAGAGCTGATTTCAAACTATCAGCATTATGACATGTGTGGAGTCCGGAAGCCCCGGTTCCCCAATCGGGAGAGCTGAGTTCTGGCCACAACTCTGCTAAGTGGCTGGGCAGCTATTGAATTGTAGCTTTCTTTTCTGTAAAAGGAGGGAGGTGGCCTTGATGGTCTTTGTCGTGCTTTGCTTCATCGCCTTTCTGTTCCTGTGTCAGAGGAATGGAGTATATTTCATTCTGTGGTTGGAGCTTTCTCCTTAAAGCTTTGCCTCTTTGCTAGGCCTGGCTAATGACCTGCTCCCTAAACACCAGAGCACCTCTGTTTATGAAACCACAGGCTGCTGCTGCCGCTGCAAGTTGCTAGGCTGCAGAGACTCACCGAGGCTGGGCCTGCACGCGCCTCACAATTACACATCTCTGTTCCAGAGATGGAAACCTCCTCCACCCCGCAGTGGTGAACGAGCCTCCACCCCGCAGTGGTGAACGAGCCTCCACCCCGGAGGAACAGCAGCAGGAGTGGATGGAGACTTGAATTTAGAAAGCAGGGAAAGGGGAATCGTTTGACTTCAGTCCCTAGCGAGGGTCATTACATAGTAATGATGTTTAATCATTATGATGATTATAATGATGACGTGAACAATCGTACAGGTCCTCTAACAAATATAGTCATGTGTCGCTTAACGACGAGGATATGTCCTGAGAAATGCATTGCTGGGCAATTTTTTTCCTGTTTTTTTAAGAGAGTCTCATTCTGTCACTCAGGCTGCAGGGCAGTAGCACGATCACAGCTCACTGCTGCCTTGAACTCCTGGGCTCAAGCGATCCTTCCACCTCAGCTGGCTGAGTAACTGGGACTACAGGGGTGCACCACCACACCTGGCTGATTTTTTTTTCATTTTTTTGTAAAGACTAAGTCTCGCTATGTTGCCCAGACTGGGCTTGAACTCCTGGCCTCAAGTGGTCCTCCCACTTTGGCCTCCAAAGTGCTGGGAGTACAGGTGTGAGCCAGCCATGGTGCCCAGCCCAGACAATTTCATCAGTGTGCAAACATCACGGAGTGTGATTTCACAAACCCAGATGGTGTCACCTACTGTAAACCTAGGCTGTATGGTACAGCCTACTGCTCCTAAGCTACAAACCTGTACGGCCTGGGAATCCTATACTGTACCGTACTGAATTCTGCAGGCAATTGTAACACAAAGGTAAGGGTTTGTGTATCTAAACATTTCTAAGCATAGAAAAGGTACAGCAAAAATACAGTGTAAAACATAAAAAATGGTCCATCTGCACAGGCACTTACCGTGAATGGATCTTGCAGGCTAGAAGTTGCTCTGGGTGAGTCAGTGAGTGGTGAGAGAATGTGAAGACCCAGGACATTACTATCCACTACTATAGGCTTTACAAACATGGTACACTTATGCTGCATTAGATTTATTTTAAAAATACAGTTACAGCCAGGCGCGGTGGCTCATGCCTGTAATCCCAGCACTTTGGGAGGCTGAGACGGGTGGATCACCTGAGGTCAGGAGTTCAAGACCAGCCTGACCAACATGGTGAAACCCCATCTCTACCAAAAATACAAAAATTAGCCGGTGTGGTGGCGGGTGCCTGTAATCCCAGCTACTTGGGAGGCTGAGGCAGGAGAATTGCTTGAACCAGAGAGGCGGAGGTTGCAGTGAGCCATGATCATGCCATTGCACTCCAGCCTGGGCAACAAGAGCGAAACTGTATCTCAAAATATAAAAATAAAAATAAAAAAATAAAGTTAGGCTGGGCATAGTGGCTCACAAGTGTAATCCCAGCACTTTGGGAGGCTGAGGCAGGAAGATCCTTTGAGCCCAGGAGTTTGAGACCAGTCTGGGCAAAAAAGTGAGACCCCCCCCGCCTTACAATAAAGAAAAAAAAAAGCGTGGTGGCACACACCTGTAGTCCCGGCCTCCTCAGGAGGCTGAGGATGGCTTCAGCCCAGAAGGTCAAAGCTGCAGTGAATAATGATCCTGCCACTGCACTCCACCTGGGCAATAGAGTGAGACCCTGTCTCAAAAAAATAAATAAATAAAAAATAGCTGGGCATGGTGGCCCACATCTGTGGTCCCAGCCACTTGGGAGGCTGAGGTAGGAGGATCACTTGAGCCTGGGAGGGGGAGGCTGCAGTGAGCCATGATCCTGCCACTGCACTCCAGCCTGGGCAGAGTGAGACCCTGTCTCTAAATAAATAATGTAATTGCGGGAGCAAGACCCCGTCTCTAAATCAATGAATGAAAGTAATTGCACTATGACGTGAGGATGGATCCAATGTCATCAGCTCCGTTACAATTTTCTGGGACCACCATCGTATATGCAGTTGTTGACTGGAACGTTGCTATGTGGCACACGTCCGTCCTTTCTGATGCAGCACTTACCGCGTGGTGACACTGCTCTAAGTGCTTGACAGATAGTGTGCATAATTCTCTTTTTATTTTGTTTTTTGAGATGGAGACTCGCTCTGTCGCCCAGGCTGGAGTGCAGTGGTGCGATCTCGGCTCACTGCAAGCTCCACCTCCTGGGTTTATGCCATTCTCCTGCCTCAGCCTCCCGAGTAGCTGGGACTACAGGCGCCCGCCACCACACCCGGATAATTTTTTGTATTTTTAGTAGAGACAGGGTTTCACCATGTTAGCCAGGATGGTTTCGATCTCCTGACCTCGTGATCCGCCCGCCTCGGCCTCCCAAAGTGCTGGGATTACAGGCATGAGCCACCGCGCCTGGTCTAGCGCGCGTAATTTTCATAAGAACCCTATGAAATGGGTGTAGTTATTTTCATCCCCATTTTACAGATGAGGCACAGAGAGGTTAGGACATTTGACACAGCCATAACTAACTCACTCACTCCTGTGACCCTGGAATCCCTCTTTTACTCTTTTTTTTTTTTCTTTTCTTTGAGATGGAGTCTCGCTCTGTTACTCAGGCTGGAGTGCAGTGGTGTGATCTGGGCTCACTGAGACCTCCATCTCCCGAGTTCAAGTGATTCTCCTGCCTCAGCCTCCTGAGTAGCTGGGATTACAGGCACCTGCCACCACACCCGGGTAATTTTTGTATTTTTAGTAAAGATGGGGTTTCGCCATGTTGGCCAGGCTGGTCTTGAACTTCTCACCTCAGGTGATCTGCCTGCCCGCCTCAGTCTCCCAAAGTGCTAGGATTACAAGCGTGAGCCACTGTACCCGGCCTCTCTTTTACTCTTTTAACATAACTAGAATAATAGTAAACATTTGTAGAGAGCTTGACTTCCAGTTTCTAGTAAACAATTATTCAGACTAACTCTCGAAGTAACTAAAAATGCTAGGAAAAATACTTGAAAATATCCTAAAAGCCACTACATGCTGACTGTAAGAAAGAAGATAGTGAGAAATTAGGCCAAAATTGAAGGAAAAAAACTGAAATGTAATCTGGCAAGGAAGCCACTTTTACTTTTGCCAGCTTAGCATATTTGAACTTGACCATGAATGATTTTATGGGGCAAGAGGCCAGAAAATTAGGCTGGGTGCGGTGGCTCACGCCTGTAATCCCAGCACTTTGGAAGGCTGAGGCGGGCGGATCATGAGGTCAGGAGATCGAAACCATCCTGGCTAACATGGTGAAACCCTGTCTCTGCTAAAAATACAAAAAAAAAAAAATTAGCTGGGCGTGGTGGCGGGCGTCTATAGTCCCAGCTACTCAGGAGGTTGAGGCAAGAGAATGGTGTGAACCCAGAAGGCGGAGCTTGCAGTGAGCCGAGATTGTGCCACTGCACTCCAGCCTGGGCAACAGAGCGAGACTCCGTTTCAAAAAAAAAAAAAAAAAAAAAGGCTGGGCGCGGTGGCTCATGCCTGTAATCCCAGCACTTTGGGAGGCTGAGGTGGGCAGATCACGAGGTCGGGAGATCGAGACCATCCTGGCTAACACGGTGAAACCCCGTCTCTACTAAAAATACAAAAAATTAGCCAGGCGTGGTGGCGGGCGCCTGTAGTCCCAGCTACTTGGGAGGTTGAGGCAGGAAAATGGTGTGAACCCAGGAGGCGGAGCTTGCAGTGAGCTGAGATCACGTCACTGCACTCTAGCCTAGGTGACAGAGCAAGACTCCGTCTCAATCAAAAAAAGGCCAGAAAATTAAAATCCACGACTCACACTAAGCGGGAGTCCTTTCCCACGATAATCTGGGCCCTGTCGGACTCCACCAATGGTATGCTGGTAAATGTTCAACCACCAGCTCTGGCTGGGGCTGGGGAAGGAGGGTCCTGATGTATAAATCATTTGCCGATTTCCATGGTGTAAATACTCCCTCCACAGCTGATTCCAAACTCTCAGCATGAGGTCACTAAACACAGAGCTGGGAAGCAGAAGCCTGTAAACCATCTGCAGCACATCCCTGGCTCCACCCTCAGACTACAAGAAGTCAACCAGTCTTGCACAACTATGCGGCCAGGATTCGCATCACCTGAGTGGTCGGGGGCTCACAAACCCTGAACTAGGATTGAGGTCACCCCAGACTAGCAGTGACCTGAGGGGCCTGGCAGAAGCAAATATAAATTATTTCTAGGGGGAGGCCTCAAATTATCCCTATGAATAAATTTTAAAATAGTGTCCAGCATGGTCAAAGAGAACCAGGCATATAACAAGGAACTATGACACCATGAGCAAGACCTAGCAGAAACAGACTCTTGGAGACTTCAAATACTAGAATCATCAGACACAGGCTGTAAAACTACTGTGCTTTGTTGAAAGAAAGAAGTGTAAAAATACCTGCAGGAGACAGGAAACTACTAAAAGTGACATACTAGATTTACAAAGGACATTTGAAGAAAGCTTTATGGTTTTATTGGGGATCAAAATCACAAATACTTTCAGGGGCCAGACAGGTAACACAAATGAGTAAAGTGGCTATGAGTGCACTGGTGACCCAGATAACTCTGTCTGAAAGATACAGACAGAGCTCTCTGCTCTAGCCGATGGGTGCCATGTGGCACTGAGGGTCCAGTTTGCAGATCTGCTGGTTCTAGAGAAGCTGGGTATTTTTTTTTTTCCTTCCTTCCTTCCTCCCTCCCTCCTTCCCTCTTTTTCTTCCTTCTTCCTTCCCTCCCTCTCTCCTTCTCCTCATCCCTCTCTCTTTTCTTCTTTCTTTCTTTCGTTCTTTCTTTTCTCTCTCTCTCTCTCTCTCTCTCTTTCTTTGCTTCATGCAGTGGCATGATCTTGGCTCACTGCAGCCTCTACGTTCTGGGCTCAAGCCATCTTCCCCACCTCAGCCTCCTGAGCAGCTGGGGCTGCAGATGCGCACAACCACACCTGGCTATTTTTTGAATTTTTTGTAGAGATGGGGTTTCACCATGTTGCCCAGGCTGGTCTCAAACTCCTGGCCTCTAGCAGTCCACCCACCTCGGCCTCCCAAAGTGCTGGAATCACAGATGTGAGCCACCGCGCCCAGCCTAGATTTCTTTTTATTATGATCAAATACACATAAAATTGACCATTGTAACCATTTAAAAGTGTACAATTCAGCGTCATTAAGTACATTCACATTGTTCTGCAACCATCACCACTATCTCATTCCAGAACTTTCCTATCACTCCGAAAGGAAACCCCACATCCGTTAGCAGTCACTCCTGCTCTCCCTCCCCCTTGCCTCTGGCAACCACCAATCTGATATCTGTCTTTATGGATTCGCCTAGTTGTAGATATCTCCCGCAAATGGACTTACGCATATTTATCCTTTTGTGACTGGCTTCTTTCACTTAGCGTGTTTCAAGGTTCACCCATGTTGTAGCATGTATTCATTCCCTTTTATGGCTGAATAATATTCCATTGTGTGGATAGACACATTTATCTGTTCCTCAGTCACTATTTGAATTCTGACATAATATTTTCCTATTTTAAATTTTAAGATACATTTTTTTAAAGTTTCATGTGGCCCAAAGCACATACCTATTGATCTCACATATCTCTGTGAGATCTGTTTTATGACCTGCTGTTGCATATTTTCCCAGAAAATTCTCGGAACGATTCTCTGAAGTCCTTCTTTCTCTTTCTCTTTTTTTTCTTTTTCTTTCTCTCTTTCTTTTTTTGTTTTGTTTTGTTTTATTTTGTTTTGTTTTGTTTTTTTGAGATTCAGTTTTGCTCTGTTGCCCAGGCTGGAGTGCAATGGCATGATCATTGCACCTCTGCCTCCCAGGTTCAAGCATTTTCCTGCCTCAGCCTCCCGCGTAGCTCAGATTACAGGCCTGCACCACCACGCCCAGCTAATTTTTGTATTTTTAGTAGAGACAGGGTTTCTCCATGTTGGCCAGGCTGGTCTCGAACTCCTGACCTCGTGATCTGCCCACTTCGGCCTCCAAAGTGCTGGGATTACAGGCATGAACCACCGCGCCCGGCCTTTTTTTTTTTTCTGAGACAGGGTCTCACTCTGTCTCCCAGGCTGGAGTGCAGTGGCTGGATCTCTGCTCACTGCAACCTCCGTCTCCCAGGTTCAAGCGAGTCTCCTGCCTCAGACTCCCGAGTAGCTGCGATTACAGGAGCCCACCACCGCGCCCGGCTAATTTTTGTATTTTTAGTAGAGACGGGGTTTCACCCACCATGTTGGCCAGGCTGGTATCGAACTCTTAACCTCAAGTGATCCACCCGCCTCGGCCTCCCAAAGTGCTGGTATTACAGGCATGAGCCACCGCGCCCGGCCAGTATTTGTTCTTTTCTTCATTTTTCACGTCAGGAGACTGCGTTTCAGAATAGTAAAAACAAATGCCTAGGAAAAGGCCTGCGGTCTCTCCATTTCCACAGTAGCGTGTTCCCCAAAGACCAAACCCTCAGGGGAAACGTCTAGAATGAGTAACAACTTAAGGCTGCAACCTTAAACTTTCCCAGGACTCAGTTTCCCCAGCTGTGAAATGGCTGCTGTCGGGCTGTCATCTCCAGGCCCGGGGCGCTGACATTTGGGCCACTCTCGGTCTCCCTCTTCATTCTGGGCGCGCATTAGCTCTGGTCCGGCCGGTTCCGCTGCAGCTGAACAGCAAGATGCGGCACCCAGGTTACCCTGATCATCGCAGATTTCTCCCCGGGGCTCTGTTCTGAGGCCTCAAAAGTGCTCCTTGTAGATGGGACCAGGGGTCATTTGGGCAGTAGCAGCGCCTGGTCTCAGTCTGGTACTGAAGTCAGGAATGGCTTAAGGTGAAATCGTGGTCCTCTGGTGAAGCTCAGCGAAGACCCCCTCGCCTTGTTTATGACAAGAGAACTTCTGGGGGCGGGAGGAAGAGTCCCTGTTACGATGCTGATCATCATTGAGCTTTTGCTGAGCAGAAAACTCTTTAGTACTCAAGGTCGAGAGTCTCTGGTGGTCTGCCTGGCACCAGGCACCTTCCTACAACCCTAGTTTTCCAAAAGGACAAAGCCTGGGGCAGGCGACGTCCTAGCTCGCATTTGAACAGGGCCGCGGGCCAGCAGAGATGCGCGATGCCCAACTCTTTCCAAGAGCACCTCGCGTCCCGAACCGGTGCCTTCAACTCGGAGAAGTCAAGAGACCCGCAAGAAACTTGCACGACTGCACCCGCCGCCGCGCTCTGGGGGCTGGGCAGGGGCAGCTGGGCTGGCTCCCGGGGAACGCGACCCCCCCGCGCCCCGCAGACCGGCTGTCTCCCATGGACCCCTCGGCACCTGCAGCCTCCGAGGAAGGGTCAGCGCGCGTGTCCGCACGCCCGCCCCCACCGCGCGCCCAGAGCCGGGGGTCGCCGTGCGCCCTTCGCCACCTCCCCAGGAGGGCGTCCGGGGCGTCCCCTCTGGGGGCGCAGGAGGCCCGGGGGCGCTGCCCGGTGGCCGCGGCGCCCGGAGGCCGCACTGCCGGCGGCGGCGGCGGCGCGGCTCCCCCTGCTCTGTGCAGCTGCCGCCCGGCGCTTGCGCACTGGGCCAGGCGCGCGGCGGCCCCGGGCTTTGTGTGTGTGTGTATGTGTGTGTGTGTGTGTGTGTGTGTGTGAGTGTGTGCGTGTGAGAGTGCGAGTGTCTGTGCGCGAGTGAGTGAGCGGCGGGCGGGCGCGAGTGTGGCCGCCGCGGAGCGCGAGCAGGACCCGGCGGGCGCGCTCCCCAGCCTCCGTCTCCCCGCCGGAACCATGTCGGGCAGGTCGGTTCGAGCCGAGACGAGGAGCCGGGCCAAAGATGATATCAAGAGGGTCATGGCGGCGATCGAGAAAGTGCGCAAATGGTAAGCGGAGGCGCCCGCCGCCAGCCGCCTCCCCGGCCGCCCCGAGCCCGAGCGCGGCTCCAGAGAGCCGCGGGGCGCAGCGCCCCGGCCGCCTGCCCCGGCCCAGCCCCGCCGCGGGCCCCGGGACTTGGCGAGGGCGGGCGGACGGGCGGGCGGCGCGCGAGCCGGGTCACCTGCGCCAGGCTGGGGCCGCGGCCGCTGCCCAGGTGCGCTCGCGCCTGTAGCCCACCTGGCGCGGCGGCCCGGAGGCGGCGGGCGCCGGGGCCAGGCGGTTGGAGCGGCGGGGCGGCCCCCGCCGCGGCGCTCGGCTCCCGGGAGGGGGGCTCGGGGCCGGCCCCAGAAGCCATTTCGTTTTGTGCAAGTCACATGAAAGCGGCTTCCCGCGCGCCGGGGCCGCGATGCCGGCGGCGGCGGGGAGAGCGCGAGCTCCATTGTGCAGGCTCCGAGCGGGCCGCCGCCGCCGTCTCCTCCCCGCGCACCCCGGCCCGCGCCCCGCCGCCCTCCGCCAGCCCCGGCCCGCCCGGCCGCCCGCTCCCGCCTCCCGGGCCCGGCGCCCTCGAGTCTGCGGAGTTTGCAGAGCGCGAGCCGTTTAAATTTAGCGCTTTGGGCTGCCTGGAGCGAGGGCTCTCGGCGACCAGGAAAGATGGGGGCGAGCGCTGGGAGCCAGCGGCCAGGGGCGCGGGGCGCCCACGTCCCACCCCGCTCTGCGCGGCGCCCCGGGCGGGGGGCTCGGGCCAGCCGATGTTTTTGGCCAGAAGCCGTTCGTCCTGGGCCGCGGCTGCCTCTCCACACCGGGAGCTCGTGTTTGTTTTGCGGAGGGAGCTGTTGTTTTTGTTCTCTGCACCGGGGAGAGGGGGACTTGGTGGCGGCCGCGCGTGGTTTTCGGGATCACATTAGCGTCCGCCCGGCGTGGCCCGGTCGACATTAAGGGGATCGAACCTTTCCGCGGCCTCGTCGGGGTCTGCTCGGAATCGGCCCCTGGGCCAGGCCCGAGGCGCAAGCAGATCGCCAGGTTGGGTCAGAGTTGTTGAAAACTCCCCGCTGCCTGATTTCAACTTTATTATTTTTTTCCCACGCCTTCACTGGGGTCCCGGAGGGAGAGGAGCCGCCGCAACGCTGGCTCTGAGTGTCAGCGCCCGCGGGCTCGTCTCGACCCTTTATTTCGAGCCTGGAAGCTGGGCAGGCCCTGTGGCAGGGGATGTTTACGTTTGGGGGTGTCGTTTCTCGAGTAGCGCCTCGGTCTCTAAAAGCCACTGGGGGCGAGCCTCCGGTGTGGCGGTGTCACAAGTTAGCTGTCCTTTCTGAGTCAAACCCAACAAAAAAGGCAAGAGGAAAATCAATAAAGTCCACGTGCTCCCCGGCCTCCTATGGAAAGGGCTGGCTGCGATGGCCGGATGCCCGGCCGTGGGCTGGGTTTGGCTCCAGTGGGACAAAGAATTTTCAGAACCGTGAGAAGGGGAGGCTTTCCAAAGTTGAGATCCAAGTCGTCGGTGTCTCGGGAGCTCCCCTGGTACACAGGGTGCCCGGTGCCCGACTGGAGCCATTTAAAAATGGCAGAAACAGCTGCAGGCCAACACACACACGCTGGAAAACAACCCGCAGCCCCCTCTACTGTGGGATTCCCCGCGGGAAGCCCGGAGTTGCTCCCCTCCTTGCCTCAGCCCCTGTGCAAAGAAAGAACTGGTGTCTGTGCCTGGGTCCCTTCTGTCGCCGGCCTGGAGGTTGGGAAACAGCCGGCAAGCCGCCTTTCTCTGCTCGAGGAGGCGTGGTGGGGCCTCCTACTCCAGGTTCCCGGCTGGACAGAGGCTCCTGCACCCTGACAGCTGCTCCCGCAGAGCGGCCAGCTGCTCTGCAGGGAGGGCAGATGGAGAGATGGGGCTTCCCACCCCGCGGGCCCCGGGGCGGCCGGCCTGGAGGCCTTCCAGCCCGCTGACCCCGCGGGGACCAGGCCTGTAGTTGGAGCTTGAGGGGCTGTACCTCTGCGCCTCCCTGGGTTTGGGGAAACAACACATCGTGTCCTCTGAAGACCTCAGGCTTTGGGATCTCATGGTCCAGCTTCCAGTTCACTTCGTTGCCGCGACCTTGGGCATATCATTGTCACTTCTCTAACCATGGTGACCCGGGGTTTTGTGCTTGGCTTCCAGGTCCCCTCGGGTTATTGAGGACGATTGAGGTCATGCCTCCGAGAGCACCGCGCCCTGGGCGCAGGAGGAGCTGTTGCTCAGTGTTGTCTGTGTTGTAAGGTGGACTTTGTAGAAACTTGGCTTTGAGGTTTTTTGTTTTTTTTTTTTTTTGGCCCCTTCTAAGCGAAAGCCTTGGACTTATTGCCCAGGTTTCTCTGGCCCCTGAGAAGCCATATCTCACCTTCCCCGCGCCTTCGGATTGGGTCTTAGACTCAGCCCATGAGACTGTGGGTTGTTTATTAATTGTGTGGTCACCAACCATGCATTTCACCACTGGTGGGGGGGTGGGGTTGCCAGGTTTAACCAGATAAAAATACAGCACACCCAGTTAAATTTGAATTTCAGATAAACAATGAAAGATTTTTTTAAAAATAAATGTTTTTGAGTATGTCTCATGCAATATTTGGGACACACTTATACTAAAACATTATCTAATTTATCTGAAATGCAAATTTAACAGGGCACCCTGTATTTTACCCAGAGGGAAGCCGAAGTGTTTGGCAGATCATTTGGCCCCATGAGCCTTGGGTGGGTTTCTCCTCAGCCCTAGTGACCCCTAAAATTACCCCCCCGACCCACCCACTGTCCCCTGATGCTTCCCCCACCCCCGGAAAAAGCTGTGGCCTCCCTCTCATTTGGGGCAGGCTGCCTCCTGTTCTCTTTTTCTGGTGTTTCAGCAAGGCAGGCCAGTGGAGGTGAGGTGACCAGAAGATGGCTAAAGGGAAAACAAAATGGTGGGCCTCTTTTTGGGAAACTGGGCCAGGGTTTGGGGGCCCTGTGCTGGTGGAGGAGAGAAGACCCCAGGGCGATGGTAGGAGACGAAAGCTTGGGCTGCAGCGTAAGCTTGGAGGCCCGCTGCGGTGGCTCACGCCTGTAATCCCAGAGCTTTGGGAGGCTGAGACAGGAGGATTGCTTGAGCCCAGGAGTTTGAGACCAGCCTGGGTCTCAAACCAAAAAAAAAGAAAAAGAAAAAAAAGAGCCGGGCGCGGTGGCTCACGCCTGTAATTTCAGCACTCTGGGAGGCCGGGCAGGCGGATCACGAGGTCAGGAGATCAAGACCATCCTGGCAAACATGGTGAAACCCCGTCTCTACTAAAAAAATACAAAAAAATTAGCCAGGCGTGGTGGCGGGCGCCTGTAGTCCCAGCTACTTGGGAGGCTGAGGCAGGAGAATGGCGGGAACCCAGGAGGTGGAGCTTGCAGTGAGCG
Organism: Homo sapiens; assembly: GCF_000001405.40. Taxonomy (NCBI): domain Eukaryota; kingdom Metazoa; phylum Chordata; class Mammalia; order Primates; family Hominidae; genus Homo; species Homo sapiens. The sequence goes on from NC_000012.12 coordinate 122,025,576, forward strand.
GAGATTGCGCCACCGCACTCCAGCCTGGGCAACAGAGCGAGACTCCATCTCAAAAAAAAAAAAGAAGAAGAAGAAAAAAGAAAAATTAGTCTGGACGCAGTGGCTCATGCCTGTAATCCCAGCACTTTGGGAGGCCGAGGCAGGCAGGTCACCTGAAGTCAGGAGTTGGAAACCAGCCTGGCCAACATGGTGAAACCCTGTCTCTACTAAAAATACAAAAAATTAGCTGGATGTGGTGGTACACGCCTGTAATCCCAGCTACTCTTAAGGCTGAGGCAGGAAAATTGCTTGAACCTGGGAGGCGCAGGTTGCAGTAAGCCGAGATCGCGCCACTGCACTCCAGCCTGAGCAACAGAGCAAGACTCCATCTCAAAAAAAAAAAAAAAAAAAAAAGAAGAAAGAAAAGAGAAAAGGCCGGGCACGTTGGCTCACACCTGTAATCCCAGCACTTTAGGAGGCCGAGGAGGGAGGATCACGAGGTCAGGAGATCGAGACCATCCTGGCTAACAGTGAAACCCCATCTCTACTAAAAATACAAAAAATTAGCCGGGAGTGGTGGCAGGCGCCTATAGTCCCACCTACTTGGGAGGATGAGGCAGGAGAATGGCATGAACCCACGAGGCAGAGCTTGCAGTGAGCCAAGATTGCACCACTGTACTCCAGCCTGGGCGACAGAGCGAGACTCCGTCTCAAAAAAAAAAAAAAAAAAAGAAAAAAATTAGACAGGCATGGTGACCCTCGTCTGTAATCCCAGCTACTCAGGAGGCTAAGCCTGGAGGATCACTTGAGCCCAGGAGGTTGAGGCTGCAGTGAGCTACGATTGTGCCACTGTACTCTAGCCTGGGTGACAGGGTGAGACCTTGTCTCAAAAAACAAACAAAAAAAGTAGGCTTAGGCCCAGGACCCCTTAGCACCTGGTCTGAGGGTTCCCTCAATGACTTGCTGTGAGGACTGAGAAAGGTCTGTGCCTGAAGAGCTCCCGTCTGTCCCAGGAGAGGTAGAGGTTTGGGCCTGAGGCCTCCCTCACCTCAGCTCCTCCAGAGGTTTCATCATGGAGACATTCCTACTGGGCACATGGCAGGTCAGGCAGACCTGGGCCTAGCTAGGGTGAGGCCAGCCATGGGCCAGGCCTCTTGAGGTGACAGGGACTAGCCATGAGGAGTGAGTACAAGGACAGGGAGTAGAGCTTTCCTGGAGGGAGTCAGCAGGGTCCCCTTGAGTGGTGGGTAACCCTAAGATGGTCTTGTTGGCTAACCCTTGGACCTGGACACAGGAGAACATTCGAAATTGGCCTTAGCCTGGAGAATCTGGGATGGATTCTTGTAGTTTATATAGGAGTCCGTGCTGGGGAGGAGCAGTTGGGGCTATATTCCTACTGCTGGGACCTCATTTTTTCCTTTCCTCCCAGAAGCTCAAGTGTAATGGGAAGGGAAAGGTGTTGAAGTCAGGGTAAGGTGACGGGGCCGCCAAGACAGGAGGCGCGGGGCACACCCAGGGCCAGCTTTGCAGCAAGTTGGGCTGCAGCCTGGTGGTTGTGGGGATTTCTGCACCTGGTGCTTACAGGTGTCAAGAGTGAGGGCATCTGAGGGGGGCCAGAGAGCCCATCTGGGGCAAGCTGTCGCTCCCTGGGGCATGTGGGCCCAGGTCATGTTTTCAAGAGTAGCCAGAAGTCTGGATTCTTATGCAAAGCCTGTTTTGTTGTTTGTTTGTTTGTTTGTTTGAAGTTTGGCAGCAGATTTAACATTTTTAAAGTACTGTGCAGGCCAAACAAAACACGCCTGTTGACTGGTTGTTTGCCATCCTAAATATAAAGTGGGGCCCATGTGTGGTGGCTCACACCTGTAATCCCAGCATTTTGGGAGGCCAAGGCAGGAAGATCACTTGAGCCCAGGAGGTCGAGGCTGCAGTGAGCAGTGATCGCACCACCGCACTCCAGCCTGGGCAACAGAGGGAGACCTTATCTCAAAAAAATAACAAATAGGCTGGGCACAGTGGCTTATACCTGTAATTCCAGCACTTTGGGAGGCCAAGGCGGGTGGGTCACCTGAGGTCAAGAGTTTGATGTCAGCCTGGCCAACATGGTGAAACCCGTCTCTACTAAAAATACAAAAATTAGCCGGGCGTGGTGGCATGTGCTTGTAGTCCCAGCTACTCAGGAGGCTGAGGCAGGAGAATCGCTTGAACCCGGGAGGCGGAGGTTGCAGTGAGCCGAGATTGTGCCACTGCACTCCAGCCTGGGCCACAGAGCAGGAGTCCGTCTCAAAAAAATAAAAAAAATAAAAAAATAAGAAAGTGATGAGTATAGCTTAATACCCTCATTGGGGAAGAGGAGCAACGCCCTTTTTTGGGGAGGGGTATGTGTTCTGTGGTGATGGTTTTGGGGGGCAATTGTGGGAAACCTCAGCTGCTCCGCTGAACCCGTGTGCCCACCCAGTGTGTCTGTGGCTGTGAAATCCCATGTCCTCCTGGGTGCTCACTTGGTGCCTTAAACTTGAGCTCCATGGCCCCTCCGGGTGGCTGCTTAGCTGAGCATAGGTCCAGCTCAGAGGTAGAATTCTTAATGTTCTTGCCTCTGTCCCAGAGTCCCCTCAATGTCCACACCTAGAAATACAGTTTCTCATCACTGGGGTAACTTGAGAACTCGGTGAAGAGGTTGCCAGTTGGGGCAAAGAGAGGCACGAAAGCCTGGCTGCATTCAGCTTGTAGCCTGCGGTGGCCTCGAGCCTCGCTGGGAAGCAGCTGCAAACTTGCATCTTGGCTGATTTGCGGCCGCAAAGCCCAGATCTCTGGCACACTTTCTGCCCTGAAAGGTGTCCTGTGTGTTACAAGTCAATTACTTTTTTTTTTTTTTCCCAAACACAATCAAACCTTGAATGGGTTGATTTACTGGGAAGCTGGTCCAGGGCTCATGAGTAATGAATGGCTTTGGCCAATCTGCATGGAGTCCTGGCAATTTGTCATTCTTCCTCCAGCTTCTGTTACCCTGGCGCTCCTTTAGAATGATTCTTGGTTTTCATGGCCAACAGAATAGCAGGAGGTGGTGTCTGGGGTCCGAGCCCAAATCTAATTCTCTTCTGCCACTTCCTGTCTGTGAGACCCCAAGCTAGTGGTATAACCTCTCTGGGCATCCTGTTTCTGCATCTGTAAAAAGGGTGACAATCGTCCCCCTCTTGTAGCCTGTTGGGAATCCCAGGGAGAGAGGGTGTGTAAGTAGAGTGCTTGGCGTGGAGCCTGGCATGTAATAGCCTGGGCACACAGTGGCTATTGTGATGGTTGCTCTAACAACTGAGGTTCTTCCCAGGAGCACTCGGTCTCTTCTGGACACCTTCTGATTGCTCAGAATTGAGGAGGGGAAAGGTGGGCATTGTGGTTTGTCTGCTCTGCCCACAGGAGGCAGGAGACGGGCCAGTGGACTTAGACACTCGTCTTTCCTGCATCGTTTCTGGGTGAAAAGGTGCAAGGAGGAGGGAGCAGAGAGGCTGGTCTCAACAGCTGTGCTGGGTGAAGGGTTCGAGTGCTGGCTCTGGGAGAATGAGTTCACCTTCACCGCCCTGTGCCTCGGTTTCTTTATCTGTCAAATGGGGAAGTTGCCATTTCCTGCCGGATGAGCCGGCACAGTCCTTGGTACATAGAAGGCGCTAGGAATGGCCACTGGTATAATAAGAAAAGCCGGGCCGTAGCGTCCTCTGATGGAACACGTGGGACCCGAGCGGGCAGGGTTTTTGGGGGTGAGGTGTCTGTGGTTTCGGCTGGCTGGGTTTGAGTATGCTCCGTCATCCCGCAACCCCCGTGGTGACAGGGTGGGAGTCCTGTAACCTGTCACACCAGCATGTGAGGGCCACATGCCCCACGAGGGGGTGATCTAAGGCTGAGTTTGGGCAGAGAGGCCAAAAAAAGGTGCCAGGCAGCTCACGGACAGAGGTGCTCGTGCCACACAGAATTCTCAGTTCTGGGAATTTTTGTCACCAAAATTGCTGAGGACTCGGGCAGCTACGTCGCCTGTACCAGGGGTGCGCCTGCCCCAACAGTGCCTGCTGGGCCCCTTAAATCCGCCAGCCTCCTAGCTGAGCCATCAGTGGCTCCTTGGTGGCCTCGCAGGTCTCCTGATCTGGCAGAGTCTTGATTTAGGAGCCTCGGTTCCAACCCCAGCCCTGCTTCTGGGAGGCTCTCCTGAGCCTCAGTCCCCTCAGGGGTGTGGCTGCTGGGTCTTCGTGGCGGTAAGGGACAAGTCGGAGTGCAGGGGGTCAAGGACAGGAGGTGGCTGGCTGTAGCAATAATCGGAAAAATGACAGTGGCTCGGAGCAGAGTGGTGGTGGTGGAGGAGAGGGTGGGCATTGTTATCTCGAATGAAAACCAGTCCTGTTTGCTTCTGTGGCTTGTAAGTTTCTCCTCATCCATAAACCTGCCTCTCACAGTGGGGGGTCTGGACTCCGTCCTTCAGGCGTTTGTAATGCAGCTGGGGTGACCTTGCAGACAGGGTCACTAGGAGCCCTGAATCAGGGGTGCAGTTCCCCTCCCACCTGGCTGCACCCACACATTCAGGCTGTGTAACCTCCTTTCGGGCCGAGGTCACCACTCCCTGGCTCTCCTTGGCCGCCACGAAGGGCATTCTTCCGGCAGAGTGTGGGCGGCTCCCCGGCTTGCCTGCTCATGCCTCCCCTGACCTCAGACGCATCGCCCAGAGGGCAGGAGGAGCCCCGGGGTGTCCTTGGTGACGACTCCACCCCCCATGAGAGGAATCGGCCTGCTGGCCTGAAGCCCTCTCTGCTGCCCAGACAGGCGCGGGTGGCCCAGTCCACTGGCTGCGTGGCATTGGCAGTGACACAGGAGGAACCTGGGCCCGACTCGTGCCACCCATAGGAGTCCTTGTAATGGCAGCCCCACCCTCAGCCTTTTTGGCGACAGCCTGGAGAGGGCAACCACCCTATGTGGTGTAACGGGTGGAGAAACCAGGCTTAGATGGGTGATGTGGCCTGCCCAGGGCCTCCCGCTAGTGAGGGTGGAGCTGGGATTCCAACCCTCATCTGTGTGATCTGGAGCTTGCTCTCAGCCCCAAGGGAGTGTGGCCTGTGTCCCCCAGGGATGAAGAGTCCCCGGTAACAGGCTCTTCCTCATCCTCCTCAGGGAGAAGAAATGGGTGACCGTTGGTGACACATCCCTACGAATCTACAAATGGGTCCCTGTGACGGAGCCCAAGGTTGATGACGTGAGTATGGAGGGCTGGTCCCCTGGGGTGGGCCACCCATTCGTGCTCCTCCCACCATGGGGAGGGAGATTGTCCACTGCTACCCACCGTGCTGGGGCTCTGGGACCAAGAGCCCCTGGGAGTAGAAGGACCCAGATTAGACCTGGGGAGGCTGCTGTACCAGTCCCCACCCCTCCCACTCCAGCCCCAGAGTCTGGCCCTCAGAGCGGTGGACGGGGGGATCCCGCAAGCTGTGTCTTCTTCTTCTTCTTCTTCTTCTTTTTGATACAGAGTCTCACTCTGCCGCCCAGGCTGGAGTGCAGTGGTGTGATCTTGGCTCACTGCATCCTCTGCCTCGTGAGTTCAAGCGATTCTCCAGCCTCAGCCTCCCGAGTAGCTGGGATTACAGGTGCACACCACCACACCCAGCCAATTTTTTCGTATTTTTAGTAGAGACGCAGTTTCACCGTGTTGGCCAGGCTCGTCTTGAACTCCTGACCTCGGGTGATCCACCTGCCTGGGCCTCCCAAAGTGCTGGAGTTAAGGCGTGAACCAGTGCGCCCGGCCTGCAAGTTGTGTCTTCTGGGCCGAGCGCCCCCCCCAGGGCTTGGCACTGTGTTTTGGGGCAGGTGTGGTGGTGCCCACAGTTAGGCACGTTCTCCCCACCTTTGTGGTTCTGTTCCTGAGCCTCTGACCATCTGCCAGGCCCTGGGCTGATGCCTCACATGTGGCATCTCCGTTATTTTTCCTACTCAGCCTGTGGAGTTGATCTTTTTAACCTCTCCTCTGTACAAGTGAGGGCACAGGCTCAGAGAGGTGAAGCCACTTCACATGGCTCACCTCAGAGCTGTGAATGGAGCTCAGGTCTGTCTGACTCCAAAGCGCAGGTTCTCTCTGCGCTTGGAGAGGCTTCTGGTGAGTGGAGCTGCTGGTGACAGGGGTCCCCGGTGCTAGGAAAGCCTGGTGTAGGGATGCGGGGCTCCAGGAGGGCTCCAGGAGGGGTGGCGCCATCCCGACTTCCACCACTAGAGGGAATGCGAGGCGCTGTCCTGTGATGGCTGGCAACTGCCCCGAGCAGACAGTGCTCTCCCAACTTCGTGGTTCCCAGGCCAGTTACCTCCAGAGACCCCTCTCATTTCCATCCCAAATCAAGAACAGTCTGCCCCATAGGCCTTTGCCTGGGCCATTCCCCCCTGCCTGGACTGCCTTCCGTATTTACTCAAACTCAGTCCTTCTACCTGGGAAGATGGCGCAGACTAACCCACATGGCTGCGGCCACTCCTGGGAGTGACGTAAAGTCATGATTGGTAGGTTTGGGGTGGGGGAAGCATGTGGGGGTCCAGCTTCCTCCAAAAAGACAGGGGCTAAGTTTCTCGCCCCCATCTTCAGTTATCTGCCCGGCAAGTCTTGGGTCTCTGGGCAGGGCTGTGGCTCCATTCTTCACCCCGTGATCACATGCTCACCCCTGAACTTGGGCCTTTGTTGTCCCTTCTGGTTCTAGCCTGGGCTCCCGGAATCACCAGGGCTGCTTTCCCCAAAGGGACTGAGCCTTGGTCTCTCTCCGCATCTCCCAGGGAAGAGCAGGGCAAGCTCCTCGAAGGCAGTTCCTGGCTCCGGCCCATGTCTGTGCCTTGCCCGCCATTAGGTGTAGAAATGCTGGTTGCATTTGAGAAGATGTGGTCCCTGCTCTCAAGGAATTTCTAATCTCGTTTGGGGAAGATAATTATAGAATAGCATGAAACAGATATCAGGGAAGTGCCAAATGGAATATGATCAAGGGGAAAACGTAAGCCCTGGGCCATCGGGAAGGACCGGGCAGCTCTAGGCTTCAAGGGACCGTTTGATTTGGAGGCAGACAGACCAGCCCCGATTAACCTGTGATGTTAGGCAGGTGACCCCACATTGCTGGGCCTTAGTTCCCTCTTTTGTGTAATGGAGCAGTAACATCCAAATCGCGGTTTCTGCAACAGAGCAAAAGCAATATATCACCACGGAGAATACTTAGCACTGTGCCGGCTGTGCAGACGGTGCCGAGAAATGCAAATTCCCTCTTCATCTGTGAGCCATGATGTGCCATGTGCCACTCCCCCACCCCCTTTCCCTCTAGGGCGATGGTTCTCGGCCTGGCTGAGCACCTTCAGAAGATGCAGATTCCTGGGCCCATCACCAGCCGCTGAGTCTCTGCAGGTTGAGGCTGGGAATCTGCCTTGTGGAGGGAGAGCTTTTTATTGTTTTAAACACTCAGTATCTATATGGTTATATCCATTTGTTACTTTAGAACTCTTGAAAATTTCATCCTTTTAAATAGGTAAAATATGTTACAAAATTCAAATTCAAAACAATTTTTTGATTAAGACAATTTACATATCATAGAAGTCACTTTTTTTTTTTTTTTAAGAGACAGGGTCTCTGTTGCCCAGTCTGGAGTGCAATGGCAGGATCATAGCTCACTGCAGCCTCGACCTCCTGGGCTCAAGCAATCCTTCTATCTCTGCCTCCTGAGTAGCTGAGACTGCAGGCATGCATACCTGGCTAATTTATTTATTATTTTTATTTATTCATTTATTTTTTTGAGACAGAGTCTCACTCTGTTGCCAGACTGGAGTGCAGTGGTGCAATCTTGGCTCACTGCAACCTCCACCTCCCGGGTTCAAGCAATTCTTCTGCCTCAGCCTCCCAAGTAGATAGGACTACAGGCGCGCGCCACCACGTCCAGCTAATTTTTGTATTTTTAATAGAGACGGGGTTTCACCATGTTAGCCAGGATGGTCTTGAGTTCTTGACATCATGATCCGCCCGCCTCGGCCTCCCAAAGTGCTGGGATTACCGGCGTGAGCCACCACGCCCAGCCACACACCTGGCTTATTTATTTATTTAATAGAGACAGGGTCTGGCTGTGTTGCTCAGGCTGGTCTCAAACTCCTGGCCCCAAGCCATCCTCCTGCCTGAGCCTCCCAAAGTGCTGGGATTACAGGCGTGAGCCACCATGCCTGGCCAGAAGTCACTGTTTTATTCAGTTCAGTTAGTGTATTCACAAAGTTGTGCACCTGTCACCACTGTAATTCCAGAACATTTTCATCACCCTAAAAAAGGAACTCATACCCATTAGCAGTCACTTCCCATTCCCCTCGCCTGCCCCGGTAACCACCAGTCCACTTTTTGTCTGTTTGGATTTGTGTATCTTCCGATGTTACTCTTTTACTGCATATCTTTTATAAATCTGCCTCTCATCCCTGCATGCACCCCCCATCCCCACCCCAGTTCTCGCCCCTGGAGGCAACCAGTGTTGCCAGGTTTTGTTTATCCTTCTAAAGGGAGACTTCGCTCGCAAACATGCATGTAAATACACGCATGCACATACAGAGCATGCACACACACACACATCCTTTGCTTACCACTGGTGGTGAGGCTCACGTATCCTGCATCTTTCATATATATATATATATATATATATATATATATATATATATATATATATATATATCTTGGCGATATTGACATATGTTAAGTGTTAGTATTCTGCAGATCACCCCATGTTAGTCTGTGAAGAACCACCTTATTCCCTGTAATTGTTGCATCCGATTTCATTGAATGAATGTACCACGATTGATTTAACGAGTCTCCTACAGTTCAGCCAAGGTTGTTTCTAACATGATTCCTTTCGTAAAAAAAAAAAAAAAAAAAAAATTGAATGGCCGGGCACAGTGGCTCACACCTGTAATCCCAGGACTTTGGGAGGCTGAGGCAGGCAGATCACGAGGTCAGGAGTTCGAGACCAGCCTGGCCAATATATTGGTGAAACCCGTCTCTACTAAAAATACAAAAATTAGCCGGGTGTGGTGGCAGGCACCTGTAGCTCCAGCTATTTGGGAGGCTGAGGCAGAAGAATCGCTTGAATCTGGGAGTTGGAGTTGGAGCTTGCAGTGAGCCATGATCACGCCACTGCACTCTAGCCTGGGTGACAGAACGAGACTCTGTCTCAAAAAAAAAAAAAAGAAAAAAGGAATGGCACGAAAAGCATCCCCATCCTCCCTCCTTTCTCCCGGGGTCCTCCCTCCTTTCTCCCGGGGTCTTCCTTCCTAACTCCTCTTGCGCTTTTGTGCTGGAGGTCAGTGGAGTACACTTTGAGAAAGGCTGCCCCAGGGGGCCTGCAGCTGGTGGAAGTGAGTGACCTCTGGGTCACCTGGCATTACTTTGTACCTGGGCTGATGGTAGCCTCTTCCCCAGATACTCTCCCTAAAAGAGGAGGCAGGTCCTGCCAGCCAGGGTGTTTCCACACTGCTGCTGACAGCCCCAGAAACAGGCAGGCTTATTTTCCAGGGTGCCGGAGCTGGGCCAGCCTCAGAACCCTCCCCACTGTGGGGCTCTCTGATTCCACAGTGGGCGAGACCCAGAGGCCAGTCCCTAATAGGACGTGTTCAAATGTGGGCCCAGGAAAACCTCCAGAGGCCTGGGGGCTCCAGGAGGCTTCAATGGAATAAAATATTCACACCACTCCCCAGGGGCTCTGAGCACGTGTGCGCACACACATGATCTGGTGACTTGGTTTCTGCTCCATTTTCCCCTGCAGAAAAACAAGAATAAGAAAAAAGGCAAGGACGAGAAGTGTGGCTCAGAGGTGACCACTCCGGAGAACAGTTCCTCCCCAGGGATGATGGACATGCATGGTGAGTGCCCATGGCCTGCCAGCCTCTCCTGCCCAGCCCGGGGCCTTGGCCAAGCACTCGGTCATGTTTTTGTTTCTCCAGCAGGTTTGTTCACATTCCAGGCAAGGGGTAGGAGGGCTGGGCAGGGCCCGGCGGCCTCTGTGCCAAGGAGAAGAGTCAGCGGAGGAGAGGATGTTTCTTTTCCCAGCGTACCAAGCCAAGAGACATAAACTAAGCCAGAGACATAGAAATTAGACCCTCTCCTCACCCAGGGACAAGAACCCCGCAGGAGATGTTTCTCTCAGCCTCGTGTGTCCAGGAAGATTGTTTGGGCGTATGTTTCTTCGCCCCCTCATATAAATTATATAAATGGCTGTGTTTCCCATTTTGCTTTGGCTGCTGGGAATCTCCAAACTGGATTTTGTTTGTTTGTTTTGTTTTGTTTTGTTTTTGAGATGGAGTTTTGCTCTGTTGACCAGGCCAGAGTGCGGTGGCGTGGTCTTGGCTCACTGCAATCTATGCCTCCTGGGTTCAAGCAATTCTCCTGCCTCAGCCTCCCAAGCAGCTGGGATTACAGCCATGCACCACCATCCCTGACCGATTTTTGTATTTTTTAGTAAGACGGGGTTCCACCATGTTGGCAAGGCTGGTCTCAAACTCCTCGCCTCAAGTGATCTGCCCGCCACGGCCTCCCAAAGTGCTGGGATTACAGGCATGAACCACCGTGCCCGGCCTCCAAACTGGATTTCTGATTTCATGTTAATCCCACCAGGACCTTGGGAACTGCCCTTCCACGTCTACACCTAACTTCCTTTGCTGTTTAATTTCAAATGTTGTAACTTAGCCGGGTACAGGAAACACGCACCTGTAGTCCTGGCTCCTTGGGAGGCTGAGGTGGGAGGGTCGCTTGAGCCCAGGAGTTCAAGGCTGCAGTGAGCTATGATTGCACCTGAGAGTAGCTGCTGCACTCCAGCCTGGGCAATACAGTGAGACCCCATCTCTTCAAAAGGCAAAAAAACCCAAAAAAGTTGTAATCTAGGTCCATCAACCAAATCCAGATGGTGCTGTCTGCCATTGTTTCCTGTTGGCGGTGTCTGTTTCTGTTTTGACCTTTTTATTTGAGAGGAAACGTGCAAATGATGTGTGTATGACTCCATGAAATGTTCCCAAACTGCACACACCCACGTAACCACCCAGGTCAAAACACAGAACGTTCCGAGCTAGTCCCCAGTGTCCCCCGCAGGTCCTCACGGTTTTCTCCATCCACCCAAGGAAAATGCCCTCAGAGATTCAAACCTAAAGCTCCTTTTTTTTTTTTAAGGCAGAGTCTCGCTCCTGTCACCCAGGCTGGAGTGCAGTGGTGCGATCTCAGCTCACCGCAACCTCCGCCTCCTGGGTTCAAGCAATTCTTCTGCCTCAGCCTCCTGAGTAGCTGGGATTACAGGCACGTGCTACCATGCCTGGCTAATTTTTTTGTATTTTAGTAGATACGAGGTTTCACCATGTTGCCCAGGCTGGTCTCGAACTCCTGGTCTCGAACGCCCGCCTTGGCCTCCCAAAGTGCTAGGATTTACAGGTGTGAGCCACCGCACCCGTCCCTAAAGCTTCATAAAAATTAAGTTGGTTTTCCGTGTTTGGAAATCAGGAAATCTCCGTCCTGCCATCCCTTGAGAAATCAGATCTGGCAGCCCCGTGGCTGTGTGCTCCCTCGAGGCAAGGGCTGCCTGGAACTGCCTGAAGCCAGAGCCGCCTTCCCTTAGCAAGAGTGTGGCGCCTCCAGGCCCACCTGGCTCACCCACTGCCTCTTTGTCACCTGCCTGGCCTGCTAGGACAAGAGCCTGCAACCCCTGCCTTTTTCTATCTCTTGACCCCAATTTCAACGTCTTTGTACTTTTGACCACTGGAAGCTTTGGTACAGCCAGGTAGTAGTAGACAAATAACTAAAAAAGGAACTGGAAGGGAATATTGGTTTGCTGGAGTTTCTGATCTCTCCAGACCCAGGGCTGTCTTGTTCTGGGGAAGGAAGGCCAGCGAACTTCCCCACGTGCTCAAATCGACCTGTCTGGAAAACACAGTCACCAGCTCCAAGGGCAGGGGGACTGGCAGGTTTCTGAACGGGCTTTAGAAAAGCACAGTGGCGGTGGCTCATGCCTGTAATCCTAGCACTTTGGGAGGCTGAGGCAGGCAAATCACAAGGTCAGGAGTTCGAGACCAGCCTGGCCAACATGGTGAAACCCTGTCTCTACTAAAAATACAAACAATGGGTGCGGTGGCTCACGCTTGTAATCCCAGCACTTTGGGAGGCTGAGGTGGGCGGATCACCTGAGGTTGGGAGTTCGAGACTAGCCTGACCAACATGGAGAAGCCCTGTCTCTACTAAAAAATTTACAAAATTAGCCAGGCGTGGGGGCGCGTGCCTGTAATCCCAGCTAGTCGGGAGGCTGAGGCAGGAGAATCGCTTGAACTCAGGAGGCAGAGGTTGCGGTGAGCGGAGATTGCGCCATTGCACTCCAGCCTGGGCAACAAGAGTGAAACTATCTCAAAAAAGAAAAAAGATACAAAAAATTAGCTGGGTGTAGTGGCGGGCACCTGTAATCCCAGCTGCTCAGGAGGCTGAGGCAGGAGAATCGCTTGAACCTAGGAGGCAGAAGCTGCAGTGAGCCGAGATCGCACCACTGCACTCCAGCCCAGGCAACAGGGTGAGACTCCGTCTCAAAAAAAGAAAAAAGAAACGCACAGTGGGAGCCAGGCACAGTGGCTCACGCCTGTAATCCCAGCACTTTGGGAGGCTGGTGTGGGCGGGTCACTTGAGGCCAGGAGTTCAAGACCAGCCTGGCCAACATGGCAAAACCCCATCTCTACTAAAAATATAAAAATTAGCTGGGCATGATGGCGTGTGCCTGTAATCCCAGCTACTCAGGAGGCTGAGGCAAGAAAATCGCTTGAATCTGGGAGGCGGAGGCTGCAGTGAGCTAAGATCAGGCCACTGCACTCCAGCCTGGGCAAAGGAGCGAGACTCTGCCTCAAAAAAAAAAAAAAAAAAAAAAAAAAAAGAGCAGTGGGGCTTTGTTGCTGGTTAATGTGTCAAGAAAGCCCCCCCAACCAGCCATACAATCATAGTTGGGTTATGTTTCATTTTCAGAAATAGATATGTGAGCTGGGATGTGGCCTGTCTCAGTGGCATTCCTTAGCATCCCCTTTCCCTCTGGGGACTGGGGAGACCCCACGCCCGACTCAGGACTGAGGTTGGATTACAGACGCAGAATTACACCAGAGGGCCTTTTCGAGCTGAGGCCAGGACCCCACCTGGGTTCACATCCTAACTCTCCCTGCACCTTCCCCTGGCTGTGTGATCTTGGGCTATTTGTTTAACCTCTAGCTTTGGGGTTTGTTTAGTTTTAATCTGTAGAATGGGGATGGTAATGCCTACTTCATAAACTCACTGTGAGGATTAAATTAAATAATCTCTTAAAAACCTTGGCATGGGACCAAGCACAGTGGCTCACACCTGTAATCCCAGCACTTTGGGAGGCCGAGTTAGGAGGATCACTTGAGCCCAGGAGTTTGAGACCAGCCTGGGCAACACAGGGAGACCTCATCTCTACAAAAAAAACAATAGGTGGTTCGTATCTATAGTCCCAGCATTCTGGGAGGCCAAGGCGGGCAGATCATGAGGTTGGGAGATCGAGACCATCCTGGCTAACACGGTGAAACCCCATCTCTACTAAAAATACAAAAAAATTAGCCAGGCGTGGTGGCTGGTGCCTGTAGTCCCAGCTACTCGGGAGGCTGAGGCAAGAGAATGGCGTGAACCTGGGAGGTGGAGCTTTCAGTGAGCCAAGATCACGCCACTGCACTACAGCCTGGGCGACAGAGCAAGACTCAGTCTAAAAAAAAATAGATTAAAAAAAAAAATAATAATAATAATAAATTTAAATTAGCAGGTTGTGGTGATGCGCACCTATAGTCACAGCTACTCTGGAGGCTGAGGATCATTTGAACCTGGGAGTTGGAGGCTGCAGTGAACAGTAATTGCACCACTGCATTCCACTCTGGGCAACAGAGCAAGACCCCATCTCTTAAATATATATATATATATAATATATATATTATATATATTATATAATATAATATATAATATAATTATAGTAAATATTTTATTTTGGGCCAGGTGTGGTGGCTCATGCCTGTCATCCCAGCACTTTAGGAGGCCGAGATGGGAGGATCATTTGAAGTCAGGAGTTGGAGACCAGCCTGGTCTCTATGGTAAAATCCCATCTCTACTAAAAATACAAAAATTATTGGGTGTGGTGGCACACGCCTGTAATCCCAGCTACTTGGGAGGCTGAGGCAGGAGAATCACTTGAACCTGGAGGCAAAGGTTGCAGTGAGCTGAGATCATGCCACTGCATTCCAGCCTGGGCGACAGAGCAAGACTCCATAAAAAAAAAAAATTATTTTACTGTATTCAAAAATAGAGACAGGGTCTTGCTATGTTGCCCAGGCTGTTTCCAAACTCCTGAGTTCAAGCAATCCTCCTCCCTCAACCTCCCAAAGTGCTGGGAGTATAGGCATGATCCACTGTGCCCAGCCTATAATAAAAATTTTAAAAACCTTGGCATGTTAACAGCTCACATTTATGAAACCGTCACAATGTGCCAAGTATTGTGCTAAGCCCGTTACATCATTGCCTCATTTGAGTCTAATAACCAACCGCATTTTACAGATGGAGAAACTAAGGCCCAGTGAGGTGAAGTAACATGCATGGTTAGCAAGTTCATAACTTCCAGTGCCATTGATGGCATTTGAGGTTGGTTCTTTGAAGACAGAATCCAGGTTTGTGGCTGGCCGTGGTGGCTCACACCCATAATCCTAGGACTTTGGGAGGCCAAGTTGTGAGGATCGTTTAAGGTCAGGAGTTGGAGAGCAGCCTGGCCAAACAATGGTGAAACCCCATCTCTACTAAAAATACAAAAATTAGCCGGGCATGGTGGTGGGCACCTGTAATCCCAGCTACTCGGGAGGCTGAGGCAGGAAAATCCCTTGAATCGGGAAGGGGAGGTTGCAGTGAGCCAAGATTGCACCACTGCACTCCAGCCTGGGCAAGAGAGTGAGGCCGTGTCTCCAAAAAAAAAAAAAAAAAACCAAAAGATCCAGATTTGTGACCTGGATAAACTCTCCAGAAAAATCTAGGATGCTGAACAAACCAGGTCCCCAGACACAGGTGCCCTGTTGACTTTCTGATTTTCATTTTAGTGCACGTGCAGCCGAAAGCCAGTCAGACTGCAGAGTGTGTAAATGGGAAGGTCAGGGAAAGGTGTGGGCCGGGCAAGTTTTCTGGAAGGCTTCAAGTGGGAGGATGGGTACAGCAGGGGATGAAGGAGAGGGCGGTGCCCCGGGCCCTTTAGTCCACAAGACTCAGCTGAAGTTAGCCCAAGTATCAGGGTCACGCTGTTACCAGGCTACCAGGCTAGACCAGACGTTAAACATTAGTGCTCATTGTCATTCATTAACAGAGCCTCAGGAACCTACGGGGCCAGCCTCTTGCGCGTGTGCTTGCCATAGGAAGGAAGTCTAGTTTTTCTCAAGGGAGAAATCGGGGAGCACACATCCTTCTTTTTTTTTTTTAAGTCCCAGAATTCACAAGAGGATGCTTTTGTGTAACGAGCACCCCAGAGTACAGTTAAAATCAGATCCAGGTTACCCGTGTGGGGCCGCCTGACTGCCTGGTGCTTCCTCGGCAGGTTGAGGTAGAGGAGGGGCGTGGGGCTGGGAGTTGGGCAGATGGGTCCGGCAAGTGGCTCTGCTGCTCCCAGCCTCAGTTTCCCCCTCCGGAAAGTGAAGGTGGTAACGGTGCCTTTCCAACGGGTTGTGGGGAGGATTCCACGAGGTGTCCATAAATGCTTCTGCCCAGTGCCTGGCATGGTGGCAGGTGCCCAGGTCTGTTGGGGTGTCTCTGTCTCTTTCTCATGTTTACAAAAGTGGCCATCGCCCCGGGTGCAGCATGGCCCCCAGAAAGGCTGCTTTGGTTTTGAAACCTCCACTTGGGTCTCTGCTGTTTAAAACGACTCTCCTAGGTTGGGCACAGTGGCTCAGGCCTATGATCTCAGTGCTTTGGGAGGCCAAGACAGGAGGATCACTTGAGCCCAGGGGTCCAAGACAGCCTGGGCAACATAGTGAGACCCCATCTCTACAAAAAACTTAAAAATTAGCCAGATGCAGTGGCACATGCCTGTGGCCCCAGCTACTCAGGAGGCAGAGGCAGGAGGATGGCTTGAGCCTAGGAGTTCGAGGCTGCAGTGAGCTATGATTGTGCTGCTGTACTCCAGCCTGGGCAACAGAGCAAGACCCTGTCTCTAAAAATAAAAAATACATAAATGGCTGGGTGTGGTGGCTTACTCCTGTAATCCCAGCACTTTGGGAGGTTGAAGCGGGCAGATCACCTGAGGTCAGGAGTTCAAGAGCAAGCCTGACCAACATGGCGAAACCCCGTCTCTACTAAAAAATAATAAAAACAAAAGTTAACTGGGCATGTTGGTGCATGCCTGTAATCCCAGCTACCTGGGAGGCTGAGGCATGAGAATCGCTTGAACCAGGAGGTGGAGATTATAGTGAGCCGAGATCGCGCCACCGCACTCCAGCCTGGGTGACAGACTCCATCTCAAAAAAATAAATAGAGTGACTCTGTGCCTGAGAAGGGGGTGCAGGACAAGGGGAGGTGCAGCCCGGGCCCCAGCTCTGCCCCCAGCCCAACTGTAAATGCCATTGCCCAATTACCCCTTCTCTTTCTTCTTTGTATTGTGAAGGGTTTTGTTGTCAAGAACAGTAGAGAGAGGAATACGATCCCCCTGTACACTCCACCTTGATTTTCATGAACACGGTGCCACATTTGTCTCATCTATTTTTTCAATGTGTTAGATTTTTGTAATTAAAATATAATTCACATATAAAAAATACACAGCTAGTGGCCGGGTGTGATGGCTCACACCTGTAATCCCAGCACTTTGGTAGGCTGAGGTGGGCAGATCACCTGAGGCCAAGAGTTCGAGACCAGGCTGGCCAACATGGAGAAACCCGTCTCTACTAAAAAATACAAAACTCAGCCAGGTATGGTGGCAGGCGCCTGTAATCTACTTGGGAGGCTGAGGCAGGAGTATTGCTTGAACCCAGGAGGTGGAGGTTGCAGCGAGCCCAGATCGCGCCATTGCACTCCAATTTGGGCGACAGAGCAAGACTCCATCTCAAAAAAAAAAAAAAAAAGTGTAAAAGTTCAGGGAGTCCTGACAGTGGCCGGCAGCCTGCACTGAAGTATTTTCTGGTAAATTTCCCTGCCTCATGACATTCAAGTCTGCACCTAAACGTCATAGCATGCATTGCTGAAAATATGACGTTTCTACATACCCACTGTCCCATGATCACTTCTAACTAAATTAACAACAGTTCCTTAATAGCTTTTAAAACCCAGACCATATTCAAATTCCCCAATTGTTCCAAAGTGTTACAGCTGGCACGTTTGAAACAGGATCCAAATCATTTCCATACATCATATTTAGTCGAGTCTCCTAGCTTTCTTTATTCTAAAGTCATCTCCCCTCCCCCAACTTTTTTTTTTTTTTAAATATGATACTGACTTTAAGGGAGTGGACCACGTGTCCCGTGGAATATGCCACCTCCCGCTGTCTCTCTCTCCCTTTTATTTCCTATCAAGTGGAACTCAGCTCCAGGCTGGATGCAGTCAGACAGAACGCCTTGGCAATCCCGCCTCACGGACCATGCCGTGTCTTCTGTATCGCTTCCCTGCCAGACACACAAGACGTCTGGTTTCTACACCCAGAATGAGGCCTCAAATGTCCCCCCAGGATTTTAAATATGTTAGGCCACCATCCCCAGCTGGCTGCCTCCAGACGCAGGGTACAGTTGGCTCAGTGTGGGGAAGGTCAGGCCAGTGCCGGAATTCTTTGCCTCTCTGGACACATGGGATGGCTGTGGTGCTTGGGTGGGTGGGTGGGTGGGGGTCAGGGGGCGGGAGTGAGCTCAGGGGTCCCAGGAGGAGGCGTATCCAGTATCCAGACCCCTACCACACGGCCGGGTGCAGTGGCTCAACGCCTGTAATCCCACCACTTTGGGAGGCCGAGGCAGGAGGATTACCTGAGGTCAGGAGTTCGAGACGGGTCTGGCCAACATGGTGAAACCCCATCTCTACTAAAAATACAAAATTAGCCAGGCGTGGTGGCAAGTACCTGTAATCCCAGCTACTCGGGAGGTGGAGGCAGTGAGCCAAGATTGCACCACGGTCCTCCAGCCTGGTTGACAGAGCGAGATCCGTCTCAAAAAAAAAAAAAACGGTAACCAGACCCCTCCCCGGGAGAGCTGCCATGGGGTTCCGGGCATTGAGGCACAGGGATGCTGAGCCCTCTGACCTACCCGTCCTTGGCAGCTGTGGGATTTCATCCTGTGGTTCTGTTCCCACCCCCTACAGACGATAACAGCAACCAGAGCTCCATCGCAGATGCCTCCCCCATCAAACAGGAGAACAGCAGCAACTCCAGCCCCGCTCCAGAGCCCAACTCGGCTGTGCCCAGCGACGGCACCGAGGCCAAGGTGGATGAGGCCCAGGCTGATGGGAAGGAGCACCCAGGAGCTGAAGGTATGTGGCCTCTGGAGGTGGGGCTCTGACGGCCTCCCTGTAACCGGCCTTCAGGCAGTCTGTGGCTAGGTGTTCCAGGAGGCCCTGTCATGTGCCAGCCCCAGCAAGGAGACAGTAAAGAGAGGTGACACCTGGAGTACATGGTCTCGTGGGGGAATTAAAAAAATCAGACAGGCCAGGTGCAGTGGCTCATGCCTGTAATCCCTGCACTTTAGGAGGCCAAGGTGTGAGGACTGCTTGAGCCTAGGAGTTCAAGACCAGCCTGGGCAACATAGCAAGACCTCATCTCTACCAAAAAAAAAAAAATAGCCAAGTGTGGTGGCACACACCTGTGATCCAGCTACTCAGGAGGCCGAGGTCGGAGGATCACTTGAGCACAGGAGGTCAAGACTACTACAGTGAGCCAT
This sequence comes from Homo sapiens, assembly GCF_000001405.40. Taxonomy (NCBI): domain Eukaryota; kingdom Metazoa; phylum Chordata; class Mammalia; order Primates; family Hominidae; genus Homo; species Homo sapiens. The sequence continues at coordinate 122,044,461 of NC_000012.12, forward strand.
GATCATGCCTCCGCACTCCAGCCTGGGTGACAATAAGACCCTGTCTCAATAATAAGTAAATAAATAAAAATCAAACAATTGGCCAGGCATGGTGGCTCACACCTATAATCCTAATGCTTTGGAAGGCTGAAGCAGGAGGATCACTTGAGGCCAAGAGTTTGAGACCAGCCTGGATAGCATAGCAAGACCCTGTCTCTACAAAAAAATGCTTTAAGATGAGCTGGGCATGGTGGCATGTGCCTGTGGTCCCAGCTACTCAAGAGGCTGAGGCGGGAGTATCCCTTGAGCTCAGGAGTTGGAGGCTGCAGTGAGCCGTGATCACACAACTGAACTCCAGCCTGGGTGACAGAGTGAGACCCTGGCTCAAAATATAATTATATTAATAAATTTTAAATGTATTTAAAAATCAGACAACCTAGTATTAGGAAGATAAGTGTGGCAGAGAATTATAAAGTAGGAAAGGGGTGGGGGGTCTTGCTGAATGACCTGGAGAGTTGCAGTTTTAAATGGGGTGGTCGGGGCGGCCTTTGAATAAGACAAGGCTCAAACTGGGCGACTGAGCAAGCCATGTGGGGATCTGGGAGGAGAGCAGTGTGGGCAGAGGTAAGAGTGAGTGAGGAGCTGGAAAATAAGATGGGCACCAGGCGCGGTGGCTCACGCCTGTAATCCCAGCACTTTGGGAGGCCGAGGCAGGCGGATCACTTGAGGTCAGGAGTTCAAGACCAGCCTGGCCAACACGGTGAAACCCTGTCTCTACTAAAAATACAAAAATTAGCAGAGTGTGGTGGCATGTGCCTGTAATTCCAGCTAGTCAGGAGGCTGAGGCAAGAGAATCACTTGAACCCAGGAGGCGGAGGTTGCAGTGAGCCGAAATTGTGCCATTGCACTCCAGTCTGGGCGATAGAGCAAGACTCTGTCTCAGAAAAATTTTAAAAAGTTAATAATAATACGGGGTCAGACAGCAGGCAGCGCCTCAGGTGTGGGGGGCTCGTAAGGCCACTGCCTGGCCTGGGTTTTCATGGTAAGACGGGAGCCACTGGGGGCTTGGGTGACATGATCTGAAGGATTAAGAACAGATGATGGGGTGATTGTGTGAGAGTGTGTGTGTGATTGTGTGAATGTGTACACAAATATTTGTGTGTGTTTATTTTGAGTCTCTACAGAAAAATTAAAAGAATGGCATAATACTGTCCTATATATCCACCTGCTGAACTTGGCAATTGTTGGCTTTTGGGTTTCTTTTGCTTTGTATTTTTTCTGGGACCATTTGAAAGTAAGTTATAGATCTCAGGACATTTCATCCCTAAACATGTCAGCACGTGTCTTTTAAAAATAAAGACATTCTGGGCTGGGCACAGTAGCTTATGCTTATAATCTCAGCACTTTGGGAGGCTGAGGCAGGAGGATCTTTTGAGCCCAGGAGTTCAAGACCACCCTAGGCAAGAAGACGAAACCCCGTCTCTACAAAAAATATAAAAATGAGCCCGGCATGGTGGCATGCGCCTGTAGTCCCAGGAGGATCGACTGAACCTGAGAGGTCGAGGCTGCAGTGAGCCATGATTGCACCACTCCAGCCTGGGTAACAGGGTGAGACCTTGCTAAAAAAAAAAAAAAAAAAAAAAAGGCATTCTCTTACAGATTTACAAATACCGTTACTGCATCTAAGAAAATGAGCAGCATTCCGGATGGTCTAACATGGAGGTATATTTTGAAGGTGAGGGGAGAGCCTGTGTTGGGCAGTACATAGGGGTGAGTGCGGACCTGAGGGCAACTCTGGGCACCTGGAGGGACAGCAGTGGCTGAGCGGGTCTGGGGAGGGCAGGCCAGGTCTGGAGCGCCTTGCACACCCATGAGGAGCTGGCGAGCATGGAATGTGGAATGGCAAATGTGACCAGCCTGCAGCTAGGGCCACCCCAGGGCTCAGGGCGTGTGTGTCCTGGGAGCAGCCAGTGTGGTTCTAGGAGAAAGGCTGTCCCCTGCTGCAGAGCTGATCCGCACCCCTGTGCAAGGAGGCTCTGGGCTGGCGCCAGGGCCCCAGTCATAGCTGCACTCTGCTTCCTGCACCCCAAGAACCCATAGGTCAGCAGGGGAGACAGACACTGGAACGAAGGACTCATTGGCAGAGATGCAGACAGACTCTATCCAGCCCGTGGTGTGAGAATCTGGCTATACAGAACCCTGCAGTATCATTTTTTAAATTTGAATGTGATGTCAAAATTTAAAAATTGAGCTTAAAACAGGATTGATTTCTAGCTTCTTTTGAAGAATCAGCTTTGACAATACCGGGCCTGCTCTTCCCTGGGGCAGTTACCAGCTGAAGCAGAAGAGACCCTTCCCTGTTGTCTCTAAACCAAGGCCAAAGGGCGCTTGCCTTGTGTTACCTCATGGCCACTGTTGTTTTTCTTATTGTAGATTTTAAAAGGAAAATTAAGATATTTCTTGGGTTTTTTTTTTTTTTTTCCAGACGGAGTCTTGCTCTGTCGCCCAGGCTGGAGTGCAATGACGTGATCTCGGCTCACTGCAACCTCCGCCTCCCAGGTTCAAGTGATTCTCTTGCCTCAGACTCGTGAGTAGCTGGGTTTACAGGCGTGCACCACCACGCCCGGCTAATTTTTGTATTTTTAGTAGAGATGGGGTTTCACCATGTTGGCCAGGCTGTTCTCAATCTCCTGACCTCGGGATCCACCCACCTCGGCCTCCTAAAGTGCTGGGATTACAGGTGTGAACCACCACGCCTGGACTATTTCTTGGTTTTTGTTTGTTTGTTTGAAATGGGGTCTTGGCCGGGCGCAGTGGCTCATGCCTGTAATCCCCGCACTTTGGGAGGCTGAGGCGGGCGGATCACAAGGTCAGGAGATTGAGACCATCCTGGCTAACATGGTGAAACCCCGTCTCTACTAAAAATACAAAAAAATTATCCGGGCATGGTATTGGGCGCCTGTAGTCCCGGCTACTCGGGAGGCTGAGGCAGGAGAATGGTGTGAACTCGGGAGGCGGAGCTTGTGTTGAGCCGAGATCGCACCACTGCACTCCAGCCTGGGCGACAGAGCGAGAATCCGTCTCAGAAAAAAAAAAAGAAAAAAAGAAATGGGATCTCACTGTTGCCCAGGCTGGAGTGCAGTGGTACAATCTCCGCTCACTGCAGCCTTGAACTGCTGGGCTCAGGTGATCCTCCTGCCTCAGTCTCCCAAGTAACTGGGACTACAGACATGCACCACCATGCCCTGGTAATGTTTATAGTTTTTTGTACAGACGGGGTGTTGCTATGTTGCCCAGGCTGGTCTTGAACTTCTGGGCTCCAGTGATCCTCCCACTTTGGCCTCCCAAAGTGCTGAGATTACAGATGTGAACCACCACACCCAGCCAAGATGTTTCTTGAAGCTATTTCTCTATCAGAAGTGGAGGTGGAAAAGTGGAAAAGAAAAAGGCTGGAGAAGGCTTTTTTTTTTTTTTTTTTTTTGAGACGGAGTTTCGCTCTTGTTGCCCAGGCTGGAGTGCAATGGTGCAACCTTGGTTCACCACAACCTCCACCTCCCGCGTTCAAGCGATTCTCCTGCCTCAGCCTCCAGAGTAGCTGGGATTACAGGCATGCACCCCCACACCCGGCTAACTTTTTATTTTTAGTAGCGACAGGGTTTCTCCATGTTGGTCAGGCTGGTCTTGAACTCCCAACCTCAGGTGATCCGCCCGCCTCGGCCTCCCAAAGTGCTGGGATTATAGGCGTGAGCCACTGCGCCTAGGCTGAGAAAGCTATTTTTTTTTTTTAAGAAAACTGGGAAAGTACATATTTGAAGAGAGTATTTCTTAACATTTTATTTGTGAAGCTTATCTATGTCTGAATCCAACAGCCCACTTGACTCATTTGTGGTATTGCCTGGCCCCTCATGGGGCTTTTGAGTTCATAGTCACCGCTGTGATGGACACAGTTAAAAAGGGATTGGAGGGGCCTCCAGGAATGCTTCTTGGAGGAGTTGCTGTCTTGACCTGGTATTAGAAAGGAGGCAGGCTGGCCGGGTGCAGTGGCTCATGGCTGTAATCCTAGCACTTTGGGAGGTCGAGGTGGGTGAATCGCTTGAGCTCAGGAGCTCGAGACCAGCCTGAGCAACGTGGTGAAACCCTGTCTTTACAAAAAATTTTAAAATTAGCTGGATGTGGTAGTACATGCCTGTGGTCCCAGCTACTTGGGAGGCTGAGGCGAAGATCACTTGAGCCCAGGAGTTTGAGACCAGCCTGGGCAACATGGTGAAATCCCATCTCTACAAAAAATACAAAAATTAGGCCGGGCACAGTGGGTCACACCTGTAATCCCAGCACTTTGGGAGGCTGAGGTGGGCAGATCACCTGAGGTCAGGAGTTCGAGACCAGCCTGCCCAGCATGGCAAAACACTGTTTCTACTAAAAATACAAAAAATTAGCTGGGTGTGGTGGCGAGCACCTGTAATCCCAGCTACTCGGGAAGCTGAGGCAGGAGAATTGCTTGAACCCAGGAGGCGGAGGTTTTAGTGAGCCGAGATCATGCCACTGCACTCCAGCCTGGGCAATGAGAGTGAAACGTGTAAAAAAAAAAAAAAAAAAATATATATATATATATATACATATACACACACACAAAAAAAAATACATAAAACTATAGGCATGTGCCTGTAGTCCCAGCTGCTCAGGATACTAAGGTAGGAAGATTGCTTGAGCCTGGGAGGTGGAGGTTGCAGTGAGCATGGTCCTCCCACTGCACTCCAGCCTGGATGACAGAGCATGACCCTGTCTTAAAAAAAAAAAAAAAAAGAGAAGAAAAAGAAGAAGAAAGTAAGAAAGTGTGGTGTGGCAGGACCACAGAGCTCAAAATAGGGAGTGTTGGGAAAGAAAGCTGGAAATAACAGGAATTTGGAAGGCCTCCCTCGCTCAATGGGATAAGCAATTGGGTCTTCAAATATGCTGGAGAGGCCGGGCGTGGTGGCTCATACCTGTATTCCCAGCACTTTGGGAGGCCGAGGCAGGTGGATCACCTGAGGTCAGGAGTTTGAGACCAGCCTGGCCAACATAGTGAAACCCCATCTCTACTAAAAATACAAAAAATAGCCCGGTGTGGTGGTGCATACTTGTAATGCCAGTTTCTTGGGAGGCTGAGACAGGAGACTAGCTTGAACCCAGGAGGCAGAGATTGCAGGTTCATGCCATTCTCCATATCAACTATAATACTTCCCGTTCAAGTCTGTGACTGTGCCATAATTTATGTGAACAGTCCCTTAGTGATGGTCACTTAGGTGTTCCCGTCTTTTGTTTTGCACATGCAGTCCTGCGGGGGGTCTGGTACCCTCATCTCTCTTCACTTTTGCCCAGGTGCAGGTGGCTCTGCAGGCTGCGTCCCTGGAAGTGGAACCGTTTAGTCAGAGGCTGCATATGCACTCAGAATGTCACAGGTTCTGCCTGGCTTTTCCCCCCGAGAAGTCATGGGTAGGATGACACCACTAGCACAGGGGTTCTCAGCCTCAGCACCCCTGGCATTTGGAGACGGATCATTCTTTTTGTTTTTCTGAGACGGAGTCTCGCTGTGTCACCCAGGGCGGAGTGCAGTGATGCAATCTGGGCTCATTGCAACCTCTCTGCCTCCCGGGTTCAACTGATTCTTCTGCCTCAGCCTCACGAGTAGCTGGGACTACAGGCGTGCATTTGCCATCACACCTGGTTCATTTTTGTATTTTTAGCAGAGACAGGGTTTCACCATGTTGGCCAGGCTGGTCTCAAACTCCTGACCTCAGGTGATCCACCCGCCTCAGCCTCCAAAGTGTTGGGATTACAGGCGTGAGCCACCACAACCAGTCTTGGATCCTTCTTTATTGTGGGGGGGGGGCCATCCTGTGCATTGTGGGACATTGAGCAGCATCTCTGGCCTCCACCAAAATGTTTCCAGTTGTTAACCAATGTCCCCAGGATAGGGGCAGGGGTAAAATCACCCCCTGCTGAGAGCCAGTGCCCTAGCGGCTTTGCCATAGCCTTCGCTGCGTACAGTATGTGTCGTCCCCTCTCATCTCCCCTCATGGCCCCCGTGATCCCAGCATGCCCACCAGGCTTCCCTGGAAGGTGGTTCTGCAGGTAGAAGGCAGAGGGGGTGAGACGGGGGCTGTGGTCACATACAGGGGGACACTCACCAGCTGTGTGGGCCTGGGCAGGAACATCACCTCCACACACCCTCCTACTTCCTTGTTTGTAAAATGGGATGACCAGCTACTCGGGAGGCTAAGGTGGGAGGATCACTTGAGCCTGGGAGGTGGAGGCTGCAGTGAGCCATGATCGTGCCACTGCACTCCAGCTTGGGCGACAGAGCGAGACCCTGTCTCAGCAGAAAATAAAATGGGATAAACAGAAGCTGCCTCCCTCGCCGGGAGCGAAGGGGGCGAGAACGCCAGCAAAGTGCTCGGCCTGGAGCTGGGGCTTAGGAGGAGGGTCTGGGAGCTGCAGGGTTGCCTTGTCCACCCTTCTGTCGGGGGAGCGATTGCGGGGTTCCCAAGGACGGACATGGGCTTCGTGTGCAGCCGCGTTCCTGCTTCTTTCCCATCCTGGTTTCTTTCTGGCCGTGGCCTTGTTTCTCCCACGTTGGGGGTGTGTGTCTCCTTTGCTCTAGAAGCCCGATTTGAGCTCCGCAGCAGGAATTATGTTTTGAGTTAGTGTGTCCAGTTGGTTGCTACTTTCTCGCCACTACCACCAGATGCTAAATTGGTGGGACGCAGGTGGGACCTCCACCAGGGTCCTCTCTGGCCACCCCAGGCCCCTGGGCCTGCACGGCTGCCCTGCACTGCTCAGCCAGGATCCACCTGCCTGCTGCCCGAGCTGCCCGTGGGAAGGGCACAAGGACAGACCCGTGTGGCCTTCCCAGGTGGGTGCGTGCTGTCTGCCGGGATGGGGCAGGTCGGCCACCAGCTGTTGACCTTGCTTTGAACTTGTTTACTGCTGTGTGAGTTCAGGGAATGACATAATTCCTGTCCAAGCTCCCTGGACTAAATTTAGGTCCCAGGAAAATAATTTTCCCTGGGTGAGTTCCAGCACCGCAGCGCCCAGAGAATCGGCTGCTGCCCTGAGCTCCTGAATGCTCTGTGGGTTCCAAGGCCAGTTCCCACCAAGCTCTAGGGCCTGGCTCTCAGGAGAGGCCTCTGCCGGGCACCTCTCTGCCCAGCACGGGTCAGCGTGAGTCTCTGGGTGACTGGCCACCTTCATGATTTCTAAGCCTACATCTGGGGCACCCACCTCCCCCACCACTCTGCAGAGCCTGCTGTGCCCGGCAGAAAAGGAGCTGTGGTCAGATCCAAAGCCACAGATGGGCAACTTTTCTAGTAAAAACTTTAAATATTTATGTTAAAGCAAACATTTATTATGAAATAGAGTATAACAATAACATGATTTCTCTCTCTCTCTTTTTTTTTTTTTTTTTTTTTTTTTGAGACAAAGTCTCACTCTGTCACCCAGGCTGGAGTGCAGTGGTGCGATTTTCCGCTCACTGCAACCTCCGCCTCCTGGGGTCAAGCGATTCTCCTGCCTCAGCCACCCGAGTAGCTGAGATTACAGGCACCTGCCATCACACCCAGCTACTTTTTATATTTTTAGTAGAGACGGGGTTTCACCATGTTGGCCAGGCTGGTCTTGAACTCTTGACCTCAAGTGATCTGCCTGCCTTGGTCTCCCAAAATGCTGGGATTACAGGTGTGAGCCACCACGCCTGGCCTGGCCTGGCCCCTCTCTTTTAAAAAAAAAAAATAAATAAACTAGAGATGAGATTTCACTATATTTCCCAGGCTGTTCACAAACTCCTGAGCTCAAGCTATCTTCCCACCTTGGCCTTCCAAAGTGTTGGGAGTACAGGTGTGAGCAACTACACCTGGGTGATTTTTCTTTTTATTGAGATGAAATTCACATAAAATTAACCAGGTTAAGTGAATAATTCACTGACAGTACACTCACAAGGTTGTGCAACCACCACTTCTATCTGGTTCCAAAACATTTTAATCACCCCAGAAAGAAACCTTGCACCCAGCCGCAATCATTCTCCACTTCTCCCTTCCCCAGCAACACTGGGTCCCTGCCCAGGGCAACCACGAAACTTTCTGTCTCCATGGGTTTGCCTATTCTGGACTTTTCATATAAATGGAATCATATACTCTGTGGCCTTTTGTGTCTGACTTCTCACTCAGCATAATGTTTTCTTTCTTTTTGTTTTTTTATTGTTTTGTTTTTTGTTTTGTTTTGTTTTGGAGACAGAGTCTCACTCTGTCACCCAGGCTGGAGTGCAGTGGCATGATCTTGTCTCACTGGAACCTCCGCCTCCTGGGTTTATGGGATTCTCCTGCCTCAGCCTCCCAAGTAGCTGGGATTACAGGCGCGCGACACCACGCCTGGCTTACTTTTGTATTTTTTTAGTCGGGGGGGGGGGGGGGTTTGCCATGTTGGCCAGGCTGGTCTCAAACTCCTGACCTCAGCCGATCCACCCACCTTAGCCTCCCAAAGTGCTGGGATTACAGGCGTGAGCCACCGTGCCTAGCCTGTTTTTGTTGTTGTTGTCGTTTTTTGAGACAGTCTTACTCTGTCGCCCAGGCTGGAGTGCCGTGGCATGATCTCGGCTCCCAATCCAGGAGGTGGTCCTGGGTTCAAACGATTCTCCTGCCTCAGCCTCCGAGTAACTGGGATTACAGGCGTGCACCACCATGCCTGGCTAATTTTTGTATTTTTAGTAGAGACGGGGTTTCACCATGTTGGCCAGGCTGGTCTTGAACTCCTGACTTCAAGTGATCCGCCTGCCTTGGCCTCCCAAAGTGGTGGGATTATAGGCGTGAGCCGCCGCGCCCGGCCAGGGCTCCTAGTCTGAGAAGTAAGTGTCAACCCTGCTCAGACTCCCTGGGAAGGAGGGTCTTGCTGTCCCGTTCCCCCGCCCTCTGTGTCCCGGCCTGTCCCAGGCCCTGCACTGTCTCCTTCTTCTTCCCATCTTGCCTGCTTGCTTTTAAACTTAAGCATGGGTTATTTTCCCCTTTGTTATTACTCTGCCTCAGAAACCCCAGCAGGGAAGTCTTGGTCGCACAGGCATTCTCTAGGATTCGTTTCGTGTGTGCTTTTTAACATCAGGGTACCATGGTGTCCGGGCCTCGGGTAGGATTTTTGCTGCCCCTTCACGAGTGTCTGGCTCTGTGTCCAGTAAGCTTTAGGAAAAACCGCTGCCGCCACTGCCTCCTCCCAAGCTGCACCCACCCCCCCGCCCCATCCAGCCTGCACCTTCCTTCTGCTAAAGAAAACTTGGGGTGGAGCAGCAGGAAGACAGGCATGAGAAATCACCCGAATAACTGGGTTCATTCTACTGGCGATTCCTTGATGGAATGGTGTGCGGCCATCTTGTAAGCTGTGATATTTAAAGAACCTTTAAAGACATGAAGAATTCCTCCGAAATACCACATGACCCCCATTTGGGAAGAGGAGAAAATTTGTACGCATGGAGGGAGGGGAAACTGGAAAGACGGGAATTAATCCTCTAAAACATTAGTGGGGTGGTCCCTGGGTGGTGACAGGTGATTTTTAACTTTATTTTTTCTGTACTTTTCTGTTTCCTGCAATGGTCAGTCATTGCTCTGGCAATCGGAAAAATACCCTTATTATTGTTATTATTTTGAGACGGAGTTTCGCTCTGTCACCCAAGCTTTAGTGCAGTGGCGCGATCTCGGCTCACTGCAACCTCCGCCTCCCGGGTTCACGCCATCCTCCTGCCTCAGCCTCCCGAGTAGGTGGGACTACAGGCGCCCGCCGCCACCACGCCCGGCTAATTTTTTGTATTTTTAGTAGAGACGGGGTTTCACCGTGTTAGCCAGGATGGTCTCGATCTCCTGACCTCGTGATCCGCCAGCCTCGGCCTCCCAAAGTGCTGGGATTACAGGCCTGAGCCACCGTGCCCGGCCAAATACCCATATTATTAAGAGAAATGTTTACAAAAGGTTAGGACGAAGCCACCTTGGCTGCGGGAGAGAGGAATTGACAGCCATGATTGTTGGTGCGCACTGCGGCCGCCAGGGGGTGCTGGGTGCACGCAGCACAGAGACTGCAGCCTCCTCCAGTCGCCTCCCAGGGCCCTCAGCAGCTAAGTGTGCAGGAGAGGGTTGCAGACGCCAGGGTCCGTGTGTGACCTGGCTGCTGGAAACAGCGCCACTGAAAAATCAACAGGAGACTCCCCAGCCCTCCAGCCCCCCAGCTCATTGTAGCCTTCAAAGACCACTGGCCCCAAAACTACCCGATTCAAGGTATTTTCAGTATTTGGCCCCACCGGCCCCGCCTCTCACGTGTCTGAAAACAGCTCCTGTCGTCTTGCTCTTCCCTCAGATGCTTCTGATGAGCAGAATTCACAGTCCTCGATGGAACATTCGATGAACAGCTCAGAGAAAGTAGATCGGCAGCCGTCTGGAGACTCGGGTCTGGCCGCAGAGACGTCTGCAATCTCTCAGGTACCTCGCTCGAGGTCTCAGAGGGGCAGCCAGATCGGCCGGGAGCCCATTGGGTTGTCGGGGGTACGTTGAAAGGTGTTTCGTCATTGTGTTTTGTTGTTTTGTCGTTGGACCATTGGAACTGTCATTTGTCCATTGGGCTATGTCCATGAACACAGTCCTGGGCTCTGCCTTGGGCTCTGGGGCCGAGGGATAATGAGACTTGTGGCCTCTGCCCTCAAGGAGCCTCTGGGTCGGAGGAGGATGAAGGGACCTTGAACCCAGCCTCGGCTGCTACGTTTTGTCTGTTCAGGTTCACACAGGCATTGCCTCATCTCAGTGATCCCCAGATCGGTGACCTTTAGAGCTGGGAAGACAAGACTTCAGAAACCTAAGTGGTGGGGCCTCCGACGGAGCGGTGCTGCTGGCCCCACTTGCACTGCATGGGCCCCTCTCCAGGGCATCACTCTGTGTTGGAATCTGGTCTGAATGAGTCAGCACAGGTGCAGTGGGGCCCGGTGGTTAGGAGCAAACCTCCCAGAGTCGGGCCCAAGTTTGAATCCCAGCTCCCAAAATGGGATCACGGAACTGTCTTAGGGCCACCGTGAGGATTCGATGGGAGAACTTGGGTAAAACACTTAGCATGGAGCGGACACAAGATGCAGAGGTGTCATTGGCCATGACCACTATTAGGATTTTTCACTGTAAATCCTCTAGACTTTTTTTCCTTCGAGACAGAGTCTCACTTTGTCACCCAGGCTGGAGTGCAGTGGCATGATCCCGGCTCACTCCAACCTCCACCTCCTGGATTCAAGCAATTCTCCTGCCTCAGCCTCCCAAGTAGGTGGGATTACAGGTGCCTACCACTCTGCCTGGCTGATTTTTGTATTTTTAGTAGAGATGGGTTTCACCATGTTGGCCAGGCTGGTCTCAAATTCCTGACCTCAAATGATCCACTCCCTCAGCCTCTCAAAGTGCTGGGATTACAGGCGTGAGCCACTGCGCCTGGCAACTTCAAAATCTTTAAACCCTTTGATTGGCAGGTCCCTTTCCAGAACCTCACCCCATGGAACCCCCTCCACATGCCCTAGCTCTAAGGGGCTGCTTAGGGAAATCTGGGGTCTTGTCTGAGACAGACTAGGGCGCAGCCATCTAGAAGAGCATGGTTGTGCCTTCCAGGTTCTGATAAACATTCTTGCAGCGTGCAGTGAGAAAAGCAAGCTGCAGATCCGCAGGCGTAGCATGAGCCCATCTGGTTAAAAACAGTAGAAACCAAAGCCTGGTGATTTATATTAAGACCAAAGTTGTCGGCTGGGATCTCTGGGCCTCTTGATCTCAGAGAAGAAAAGCTCAGCTTGAAACTTTGATCCATACCCTGAGAGTATCCAATGCTCCCCCGCAGTACCTGGAAATGCCAGGAGTCCCCCATTCTCACATCGCCCCCACTACCCCACACTCTTGCTTCCAGGAGACCCAGACCTAAAATTGGGCCTCTTCCACCATTTTCACAGGCACACCGACACACATATTGTCCACAGAGCTAGGTGTGTGAGTGACATGGAGGATGTACTCCAGTAAAGCAGACAGCCTGACATTTCAAGCAATACGTTTTTGGCCGGGTGCAGTGGCTCACATTTGTAAGCCCAGCACTTTGGGAGGCTGAGGCAGGTGGATCACTTGAGGCCAGGAGTTCGAGACCAGCCTGGGCAACATAGCAAGACCCCGTCTCTCCAACAAAAAGAAAAAGAAAATTAGCCAGGCATGGTGGTGCGCTCCTATAGTCCCAGCTACTCTGGAGGCTGAGGCGGGAGGATTGCTTGAGCCTGAGAGTTCAAGGCTGCAGTGGGCTATGATCCTACCATTGCCCTCCAGCCTGGGTGACAGAGCAAGACCCTGTCTCAAAAAAATAAATACAGAAAAAAGGAGAGAAAGGACAGAAAGGTAGCCTTCCTGACTCCCTGCGATCCCTGCTCCCAGGGTCCCCCAGAAGGGGCTCATGTCACTGTCTCTGCAAGTCCATCGCATGTCCTACTCGAGGCCTCTCCTCTGCAACATTTATCTCTGAGAACCCACCATGGACCAGGGGCTATACCTAATCCCTGCCTGCCACAGTGGGGCTGACAATGGGCTCAGGATAAGCAGACACAAGTAGGTCACAGAGTCCCACTAAGTGCCGTGAGAGAGTGAAACAGGGTGACGTGAAGAAGCAGAACAGGCCATGGGTAGAGGGTGCTGTGGCTGGCGTCAGCAGGGAGGGGCTGGCTGTGAGCCGGACATGAAGGGGGCCCAGGCTGGGACGGTGAGCTCTCCAGGCAGGGGCAGACCAAGGTGCAGAGACCTCAAGACAGGAGCCAGCTTGAAGAACGAAAGAGAGGCCAGGGTGGCCGGGGAGGCCAGAACCTGGTGGGTGAGGAAGAGAATGGTCTGATGAGGGAAGAAGTGGGCCAGGCTTGTCACTAGGGCCTTCTTGGTCCTGGTGAGGAACTGGGTTTGTTCAGAAGTCAGTAGGAAAGTTGTGGAATGCTTTGTATTTGTAAGTTGTGGTTTCTATTGGAGGAAGGTTGCTGGGGCCATCCTGTTGGCCACAAGCAGGCTGCTCCATCAGCCAGGCCAGAGGCCGGGTTGGAGGGGGGGTGCGGGCGGAGAGGTGGCTTCAGGGGGTGTCCAGGCCTGGGTCTTTCTCCCAGGCTGATGGGGAGCACCAGTTAGGATGGCTGCGGTCAGGAGTTTGGTCTCAGGTGACAGGTTAGGTTTGAGAGGCCCAAGACAATTGTGTGATGGATGAGTGAGTGTTAAACCTTTTCTGGTGTCCTGGGTTTCATGGGAATTCAGTGACAACTACAGACCCTTTCCCCCAGAATAACACACACACATATGTGTATACCCAGCAAATGCTGAGAGTCCAGCCCAGACCAGGCACTGTGCCCAGCCCTGCAGGAGCAGGAGTCTACATGGCAGAGTGGGTCTGGGCCTCTGGGAGATGGCCTAGAACTTGCAGAGATTGCCAGGCATCATGGCTCACACCTGTAATCCAAGCAGTTTGGGAGGCTGAGGCAGGAGGATCCCTTGAGCCCGGGAGTTCAAGACCAGCCTGGGCAGCATAGCAAGACCCCATCTCTACAAAAAACTTAAAAAAAAAAAATCATCCGGGCATGGTGGCACATGCATATAGTCCCAGCTACTCAGGAGGCTGAGGCAGGGGGATCCTCTGAGACCAGGAAGTCGAGGCTGCAGTGAGCTATGATGACCACTACACCCCAGCCTGAGCAGCAAAGCAAGACTCTGTCTCTAAAAAAAATTATAAAAAGAACTTGGAAAAGCTGGTGCGGTGGCTCACGCCTGTAATCCTAGCACTCTGGGAAGGTGAGGCGGGCAGATCACCTGAGGTCAGGAGTTTGAGACCAGCCTGGCCAACATGGTGAAACATGGAGACATGGTGAAACCCTGTCTCTACCAAAAATACAAAAAATTAGCCAGGCATGGTGGTGTGCACCTGTAATCCCAGCACTCTGGGAGGCCGAGGTGGGCAGATAACCTGAGGTCAGGAGTTTGAGACCAGCCTGGCCCACATGGTGAAACCCCGTCTCTACTAAAAATACAAAAATTAGCCGGGCATGGTGGCGCGTGCCTGTAATCACAGCTACTTGGGAGGCTGAGGCAGGAGAATCACTTGAACCCAGGAGGCGGAGGTTGCAGTGAGCCAAGATTGCCCCACTGCACTCCAGCCTGGCAACAGAGTGAGACTCCATCTCAACAACAAAAACAAGAACTTGGAAAGGTGAACTTGAAACAATAATCACAAGTAATCACCCTAGCAATGAATCATAGATGGGAAGATTGATAACAGCAACTTCTGGTCCAGTCTGAATGAGTGGGGAGAGCCTAGGGTCCAAGGCAGCAGTGTAGGAAATGCTCCCGAGTTACCAGCCATTGGCATGTGATAGGGTCAGGCAGGGGCCAGGGGACACCGCGCTCCATAGCTCCAGGAAGAGTTTGGGTGTGAGGGTCTCCATAGGTCCTCAAACTCTCTGGAGTCCACGCTTGGGCCTCGGGTCTGGAACTGCTGGTCTGAACCACAAAGCCGCCCCCGCTCGGTTCCTTCCTTGGCTGACCTTCGGCCTCACGCCTGGCCTAACTTGCTCTCCTGGCCCATTAACCTGTGTTCCCCTTTTCTCCTCTCCCCAAGGATTTGGAAGGAGTGCCACCCTCTAAAAAGATGAAACTGGAGGCCTCTCAACAAAACTCCGAAGAGATGTAGACGATGCTTTAAAGCCTCCGATCCATGTTCCATGGAAGGTACATCAGCAATTAATTCTAGAGCAACTTTGCCCCAGCGATTCCTCTTGGGTGCGAACAGAACTACTAACGTTTCAAGTTTACCAAGTGCAAATCCAAGAAGACCCAGAACGGCGTCACTTCTCAGACACTGAAGAACTCTGCTGTGAAGCAAAACACTCAAACCTTTAAGGGACTGTCCTTGGGGAGGCAGGCGGGGCTGACAGCTCAGGAGTGTCTGCACACTGTCTCGGAAGCCAGGATTCCATTTGTGTTGCTGCTGTATTTTCCCCCCACTTCTCTATGTAACGATATAAGCTATCGGAGGGTGGTACCGATCAGGAACGCTTTTTGGCGGGGCTTTCCACTGTTCAACCGATTCCTTCCGCTTTCTTTTTTTGTGCCTTGTGCCCTTGAGGTGACCTCTGGCATGTATCCTGGTGGTTCTTACATCCCCCTCTGCAAAGTGCCCTCTTGGTTTGGTTCGGGCGGCGGCTGCCACCCTACTCACCGCTCTCCTCCCTGCCCCAGGACTTCATCGGAGCAGGCAGGGTGGAGCGAAGGAGCTCCTTAGCCCACCTGGTTTGCAGGTGCAGGGGGACCTTAGGCACGCCCCAAGCACCAGGCACCAGGGCCCAAGGACGCGCAGGTGTTGGGGCACAGTCCCCAAGGGCTCGGCCCCTTGGATCAGGCTGGGCACTCGCTGTGCTCTCCCCTCCTTGGGGCGTTTAGGACTGGGCGTCTCCAAGCCCACCATGGCCCAGATGGACGTGCAAAGCCCTTGGAATTTTCTGGCACTTCCTCTCTATTGCCCCCACCACCACCACCCCCATCACTGCTTTCTCCCAGACCTCCGAATACGAAATGGCTTCTCTGGCTGACTGCAAGGCTGTCTCCTTAAGGCACTGAGTGGGCCGGGGAGGCTGGGAGCCGGCGGCAGGATTAGCTGGTGCTGAACTTTCTCTCATAGGACGTCGCTTGGATTTCAAATCCACGGTCACCTGCTGCCCTTTGCCTCCCCCGACGCCCCAGCCTGTGCCCCGGAGAGGCAGGATCGCAGTGGTCAGAATCCACGTGCTTTCCTATTCTCAGGCTGTTCTGACTCTGAGCCAACAGCTGGACCGTGTCTCATCCCCAGAACATGCCGTCTGTCCCCACCGGGGAGTGGGCCTTGATGGCCGGGCCTCGAAGGCCACAAACAAGGCGTCGAGGAATTGGAAAGATTTGCACACCCTCCAGAAAGGAGAGACGCAATCTCCCCTCCCTCCCATCCCCCACCTTCGCTGGAACAGCTTCCTCTCACTGAACGGAGACGCCCCCTTGGACGAACTGCCTAATCGTTTGGTTCTGAGGCCTGGTTTGCTCTTAATTAATATATGAACTCCTCAGACCTTAAACCTTTTCCTAAGCTTTCTTTACTGCACTGGAGTTCTGACTCCCTTTGAGTTGTGTGTTACTGGGGGTGGGGTGGGGTCATGGGTTTTGTTGTTTTTGGGGGCTAATTGGTGCATATTCAGGTACCACCTTTGACGTGTGGCTCTTTCTCCTGACCATCATGGGAAGTGTCTGCTGGATTCCATTTTCTAAGAGTTTCTGAGGGTGAGGCTCTTATTTTTTTTTTTAAGGGATCCTGTCTATTTCCTGCACTTCGAGAAGAATCAAAATGTTCCTGAATTTCAAATACCTCATGCAAAATGTCTCCTGAAATAAGGGAAAAAAAAAAAACCACAACTTTGAAAATCTTAATGTTGAAGTTAGCAATGCCGAAAGGTTTCTGTCTTAAAAAAAAAAATCCTTGTACTTATCAATTTTGCCCCTTAGGCAGTCAGTTTTGTTGAGAACTGTGTCCTGCATCCTGGCGCAGAACCTACCTGATGCGGTTCCTCTCCACGCATCTCGAGGCGGCGTTACCTCCAGATTCCGTAGAGTTAGAGTCACATTTTTCTTTGCAGCGAAACTCCATCTTGGTGAGAGATGAATTTGGATATTTATTTCCTTCTCTGTTTTTGGGAAACGAGAGGCTACAACCAAGACAGCTGAAGGAGAATGAAACACACACATCCACAGAAACAGAGAGGCGTAGGTGGCCCTGCCGTTGACCGCAGCCTCTCTGGACAGGCAAGGGGAGTTGGCGCAGGTGAGGACTCAGACGACGTCCACCGTCCCAAGGCTGTCACTAGTATTTCTCTGAAGTGCCTGAAGGTAGGAATGGGCCGGCGATTGGGACCAGCTGGGCCCCACCACGGCCACGCCAGGCAAAGCGCCAGCAGCCCTGCACTCCACGCTGGCCAAGAAGGCCTTCCACGCAGAATGACAAGACTGCAAAAATCCGATGTGCTTCCTTCCCTGGCGCAGTCGCTCCTCGAGCCGCTGCCCCCCACCCACCCTGCACCCCTCGCCCTCCCCCCACCACAGAATCTAAGACCTTTCAGCTTCGAGCCAGGGGGCGGGGGATCCCGAGCAAAAGCCTTCCGTGGACATCAGGCCCCGTGGCCTCAAGGGCTCCCAGGGCAAACCTAATTCCCCCCAAAACGTGAAGTCGGGGAAGCTGCGGCTACACATTCCACAAAGTGCTGGCACTTACACCCACAACCCGGAAGGCTGTGGACCGATTCCTCTAGGGTGGTGACCTCCCATTAGCAAACGGTGTCATGGTTTGGAATGTTCATTATCGCCAAGAACCTGGTTAGAGGCATAAAGACCTTTTTTCACCGTTACCTAATTTTTTCCCCTTTCAAGAATTTTTTTTTTTTTTGGTGTGTTGTACAGCAGTATAATTTTTCACTTATTTATTCCATCAGTAGATATGGTTTGTACAATGTACAATTGTTTCATTTCAGAAAATAAAAATTTCAAATCATGAATACCTTGTGGTTTTGTCTCATTTTAAGTAAGGTCAGATCGATGGTGACGGTGTCCCTCTCCAGCTGCTCCGGCCTCTCTTGCTTGGCCGTGTGGCCCTGATTCTACAAGACACACAAGTTCCTTGCACACAGGAGCTGTTGCCTTCCATAGTCATAAGAGCTGCCATTATTAAGCACCAGCTGGATGCCAGGCAAGCCACTAGTTGCTCCTTTCTGTGGGCAGGTATTGTTGGCCACCTTGTGCAGGTGAGAAAACAGCAGGACAGTCCCCTGCAGGGCTCTCATGCCGGGTCAGGCCCCCAGGTTGAAAGCCACACCTGAGGCCAGGCGTGGTGGCTCATGCTTGTAATCCCAGCACTTTGGGAGGCCGAGAAGGGCGATCACCTGAGGTCAGGAGTTCGAGACCAGCCTGGGCAACATGGCGAAACCCCGTGTCTACTAAAAATAGAAAAATTAGCCAGGTGTGGTGGCACACACCTTTAATCCCAACTAGTTGGGAGGCCAAGGCAGGAGAATGGCTTGAACCTGGGAGGCAGAGGTTGCAGTGAGCTGAGATCACGCCACTGCACTCCAGCCTGGGTGCAACAGAGTGAGATTCTGTCTCAAAAAAAAAAAAGCCACACCTGATCCGCCTACCCCGAGACCTGGGTTCCAGCAGGGACATGTTTTCAGCTTCCCTGTCTCTGAGGGGACTCTGGATTGTGGTAGGGACTCAGGGGCGTTAGTGCATGGGTGGACTGCAACCTCGGCTTGACTTGTCCTAACAGCCTCTAGTGACTTACATGGTTGGGCTGGAACCAGACCTTTCCCAGGGCTGTGACCCTTTCAGCCCAGACTCCTTCCCCCACGCTGACTTCCCCACCTCTGTCCAGCGTCACCTGGCCCTTGGGTCAGCCCCTAAAGAGAGCTGGCAGGGGTGGGGGTGTTGTGTCAGCGGGTCTAGGCCAAGCTGCACTGCGTGGACCGGCTGCAGGCAGATGCTCTCTCCTGTTTGTTCTGTCTGACTCTCCTTCCTACCCGTTCCTTTTTAACATGTTCCAGTGTTTTTACCAGAATTGGCTGCTCAGCTAAATAAACTCCTGATATGGAAAGTTCAGCCTGACAAAACACAAATCATAGAGGCCTTGTTTGCTTAAGGAAAAAAAATGCCTGAGCTGGCACACGTTCCCGCGCTTCCTTTCTGCCCTCCCTGCGTGTCTGTTCCCAGCTCTCACTCTCTGGATCGGTCCCTCCCTCCTCTCTCTAAGGCTTCTGCCCTTTCCCCCTGCCTCCCTTGTCTCCACCCGCCTAGATCACTGTCTCACAGTCATTCTGTGGAACTTCCTCTGTGTCTCTCACTGGAGCCGCCTAACTTCCTCTCCCACCTCCCTTCATCAAGGAGCAGTCTCATGCCCAGGAGCTAGAAATGTAGGCTTTGCCGGCATTGGTTGAGCTGTGCTGGGCCCTAGGCAGCGATGACTCAAACTTGACCCTTAACCCCCAGGCAGGTAAGTGAGCCGCAGTGCTTTACGATGCCGACCACAGTTTGGAATTAGGGGATACAGACATTCTGATGGCAAGGGTCAGGGAATCTCCTAGGACACTGGAGGAATACCAGGCCTGGGGCTAAGCAGCTCGTTTTTCCTTTTTGACACAAAGGAGGGGCTGGAGGCTTCTGAGCCAAGGCTCTGCTGGACTAGGGATGGTGTTGCCAATGAATAGCATGGATTGGAAAAGACCAGACTGGAAGTGGGAGCCGGGCAACTAGGGAACTGGAACAATAGGCCAAGCGGGGGGCCAGCGGTTGGCAACAGGGCCCATGTGGCCCCAGGCAATGTGAAGGCGGTCAGTAGGCAGGGAGGTGGGGTGGGAAAGGGATCAGCTGGGGGAGGTAGGCAGAAAAGGCTCAGGTCCAAGTTCCAGGCCATGCTAAGGCAACAAGTGTCACAGAGGTCCGTGGTGGGGCCGAGGATGGACTGCAGACCCTAAAGGCCAAGTCCAACTTCCCTCTATCGCTCCTCTGGGTGAAGAATGCATGTTTCCTCCAGAGTCTCAGATTAGATAGACATCCTTTGACCTTGTCTATCCAGTTCTGTTTCCCTCTTCTTCCCATAGGGGTCTCCCTCCCTCCCCGTCCTTAAGTGGGGCGGGCACTTAGCCCAGGGTGGTGATATGACCCAGTCCTATCCAATCACCATGGTCCCGCCTCCTGGCTACCACAATTGGCTCAGGGATGAGCACGTGGCCCATAGCAGCCCAGTGAGAGTCAGCCCTGGGTGGGAACTGGTGGGAAAGAATTCTGCTGGAGCATCTGGAGTTGCTCAAATGGAGTGGCTGTGGCCATCTTTCCTTACACGTGGGGAGGAATCAGCCTGAGAATGAAACCATCACAGGAAAGGGCTGAAAGACGGTGAGTGTGTGCTTTCTAAGGGCAGCATTTGGGCCTTGGCCCCAGCCGGCCCTGAAGCCAGCACAACCCCCGGAACGTCTCAATTTGTGAGCCAATAAATGCCCTTGATGGTTTAGGCAAGTTTTCACTGGGTCTTACCCGACGTGAGCCCCCACTCCTCCATATGGACCTGTTTTGGACCAATGAGGCATCCTCTTCTGTAGTCCTCAACACGCGGAGCTCCACCACTCCTGAGCAGTGTGACCTCAGGCAAGTATCTTAACCTCTCTGGGTCCCTGTTTCCTCATCTGTATAATGAGGACAATAATAATGCCTACCAGGGTTGTTGTGAGGATTAAATGAATACGTGTAAAGCGCTCAAGGCAGGCCCAGGCACACAGTGAATCTCAAATGTTAACTGCTATTTTATAGTTATTATCCTCGCGCACCTCTAGCTTTAGAAGACCAGTTCCGAGAGCAGGAGGCACAGGGAAGGGAAGAATGGCCCTCCCCTGGTTGCCTTGGGTTTGCCCTCAGTTACACTTTGCTCTCTGAAGACCCACCTCTTCCCCAAGTGATTGACACTGGAGTCATCCGCACAGCATGCTCCAGATGCGGCACAGCCTGAGTCAGGCCTTGTGGGATGCGCCCACCCGGGAACAGGAAGGAGAGACGTGCCTGACTGAGCAGAGGGCTGGAGGTCAGACAACACGTCCCTGCCCTGGGCACTGGCTGCTCAGTCATTAAAACAGACCCAAATAGCTTCTGGCCAGGGGCTCAAAGGAACAGCCTGTTAGAGACTCAGTTTTCCAGTCTCTCTTCACTGTTGTTCTCTCTCCACAGGTGGGGTTGGGGAGAGGCCTCGGGATGGCAAGGACCAGGGTCTGCGGCCAAGCCTGTGGGTCCTGTCTCCCTCTAGGATGCCCCTGGGACACTGGTACCCATGGATGCACTGGGTGACTTGAGGTCAATGGCTTTCTCTCTCCAGACCTAGGCAGAAAAAGCAATCTGCTTTGCATCAGAGAACCTCAAGAGGCTCTTAATCCTGCTCTTTTCTCCCTCTGGGCTCCCTCCGTGATGAGCTCATCTGACCTCCTGGCAACCCCGAAGGGTGGTTTAGAGCAGGGAATCAGCCTCCCGATTTACAGAAAGGATAACTCAGGCCAGGGAAGCGACTTGGACAGGGTCCTGCAGGGACTCAGTGAAGGAGGCTTCGGAACCCAGCCTGTCTTCCAGCAGGCCAGGAATCAGCAAATCTGGCTACCTGTTTTTTTATTTTTATTTATTTATTTATTTTGAGACAAAGTCTCGCTCTTGTCATCCAGGCTGGAGTGCAATGGCATGATCTCGGCTCACTGCAACCTCCGCCTCTGGGGCTCAAGCGATTCTCCTGCCTCAGCCTCCTGAGTAGCTGGGATTACAGGTGCCTGCCACCACGCCCAGCTAATTTTTGTATTTTTAGTAGAGATGGGGTTTCACCATGTTGGCCAGGCTGGTCTTGAACTCCTGACCTCAGGTGATCTGCCCGCCTTGGCCTCCCAAAGTGCCGGGATTACAGGCCTGAGCCACTATGCCCAGCCCACCTGATTTTTTTAAAATAAAGTTTTATTGGAACAAGCCATGCTTATTCATTTACATATTGTTCCTGGCTGCTTTCACCATGCAACAACAGAGTTGAATACAGATGCTCTTCAATTTACAGTGGGGTTACTTCCCAGTAAGCCCATAAATTGGCCTGTGGTCCCAGCTAACTTGAAAGGCTGAGTGGGAGAATCACTTGAGCCTGGGAGGTCAAGGCTGCAGTGAACCCTGATGGCGCCACTGCACTCCAGCCTGGGTGACAGAGTGAGACCCTGAGTGAGGGTCCCAAGTAGCTGGAAGCCTACAGGTGCATTCCGCCATGCGCGGCCCTTTTTTTTTTTTTTTTTTTTTTTTGGTAGAGACTGGATTTTACCATGTTGCCCAGGCTGCTGTTGAACTCCTGGCTTCAAGTGATCCTCCTACCTTGGCCTCTGTAAGCATTTACAGGGATTACAGGCATGAGCCACTGTGCCCAGCCCTGAATATTTAATCAACATGTAAGGGTGTAGCTCAATGATTTTTCACCCACTGAACACACCTGCATGACTTGCATCTGCATCAATAAACAGAATATCACTAATCCCCAGTCCCCTTCTTATCCCTGTCTAGTCACTACCCCTCGAAGTGTGGCCGACACCCTGACTTCTACCTGCACCGATTTCTTTGGCTTATTTTTTAGCTTTACATACACAGAATGATGTAGTGTGTGCTCTTGTGTGTCTAGCTTCTTTCACTCAACATGGTATTTGTGAGATTCAGTACTGCTGTGTGAGACTGTATGTCATTCATTCTCATTGCTGGAGAATATTCCGTGGGATGAGTGTACCACAATGTGCTTATCCATTCTTTGGACATTTGAGATATTTCCAGCCAGGGTGGTGGGGAGAATTATGAATTCTGGAGGATCGCTTGAGGCCAGGATTTCAAGACCAGCCTGGGCAACATAGCCAAACCCCATCCCAAAAAAAATTTAAAAATTAGCCAAGCATGTGATACACACCTTTAGTCCCAGCTACCCAGGAGGCTGAGGTGTGAGGATCGCTTGAGCCCAGGAGTTGGAGAGTGCAGTAAGCCAAAATTGTGCCACTGCACTCCAGCCTGGGCAACAGAGCAAGATCTTATCTAAAAAAAAAACGAAACAAAAAAATGGCCTGGCAAAATCTTTGTGACTTTGGTTAGCGAAAGCTTTTTGCTAAACGTTTGCCTAACCCCCTCCCCACCGAACAAAAAAAAAACTTCTTTTTGCCTGTAAATCCATCACTTTGGGAGGCTGAGGCAGGCAGATCACTTGAGGTCAGGAGTTTGAGAACCAGCCTGGGCAACATGGTGAAACTCTGTCTCTACCAAAATACAAAAGTTAGCCGAGTGGCCGGGCATGGTACACCTGTGATCCCAGCACTTTGGGAGGCCAAGGTGGGTGGATCATCTGAGGTCAGGACTTTGAGACCAGCCTGGCCAACATGGTGAAACCCCATCTCTACTAAAAGTACAAAAAATTAGCCAGGAGTGGTGGTGGGCGCCTGTAATCCCAGCTATTTAGGAGGCTGAGGCAGGTGAATTGCTTGAACTTGGGAGGCGGAGGTTGTAGTTAGCTGAGATTGCTCCACTGCACTCCAGCCTGGGCAAAAAGAGTGAGACTCTGTCTCAAAAAAAAAAAAGTTAGGGCCAGGCATGGTGGTGCGCACCTGTAATCCCAACTATTCAGGAGGCTGAGGCCCCAGAATCACTTGAACCCAGGAGATGGCGGTTGCAGTGAGGCGAGATTGCGTCACTGCACTCTAGCCTGGGTGATGAAGTGAGATTCTGCCTCAAAAAAAAAAAAAAAAAAATTCCAAACCCACACCCATCTATTTCTTCACCCTTCTGTGCCTCAGTTTTCTTATGTGTAAGATAAAGGTAACTGTCCCTGACCTGCCCACCTCCCAGGGTTGTGTGGGAACCAGTTAGATCTGGACCTTTGAGGAAGGCTGTACAAACTGTTGAGGGCTTTTCAGCCATGAAACTCTTCTGCCCGTACCCCATAAATACAATTAGGTGCTTGCTGCAGAGGCATCGGGGGTCTCTGGCCAGAGGTGACATCTGAAGCAATCGGGATCCTGTTTGGTTTTGCCACATCCGACCTGCCGCCCAGCTGGGGCAAGACAGCCACGCGCGGCGGATGCACCGGCCCTGAACTCTTTCTCGAGTAGTCCCCAGAGGTAGCTGCTGCCTTTCAGTTTCTGCACTTGTTTATTTTCAAAGGGACGTTGCCAGACCACGAGGCCACCCTGCCCTTTCATGGTTTGTTTTATGCAGATTTCAGGAAGAGAGAGAAGAGGTAAAGAGACCAGAAACAAAGTCTTCTGCAAGCAAAGAACTGCAACAGGCCCCAGCTGTTAGGTTTGAGGGGCGTATGGGGCAGGCGACTGAACTGCAGAGTTGGAGCCAGAGGTACCATTGCTGACCCCTGAGCCCAGGAGCCTTGAGAATACTGACAGTGTTAATAATAACTGCAATCATCCAACATATGATGCTAGAATAACTGGACATCTGTGTGCAAAAATATTAAACCTATACCTTGCACCTTATCACAAAATTCACTCAAAATAGATCATAGACCAAAATGTGAAACATAAAACTAAGACTTCCAGGGGAAAACAGGAGAAAATCTTTGTGACTTTGGGGTTAGGCAAAGCTTTTTGCTAAAGACATTGATAAGAGATTGAAAAAACAAGCAGATTGCCAGATGATCTTTGCAAAACATGTATCTGATAAAAGACTTGTAGCCAGAACATATAAAGAACTCTCTTTTTTTCTTCGTTGTTCTTTTTTTTTTTTTTTTGAGATGGAGTCTCACTTTGTCGCCCAAGCTAGAGTGCAGTGGGGCAATCTCAGCTCACTGCACCCTCTGCCTCCTGGGTTCAAGCAATTCTCCTGCCTCAGCCTCCCAAGTAGCTGGGATTATAGGGCATGCGCCACCATGCCCAGCTAATTTTTTTTTTTTTTTTTGAGACGGAATCTCGCTCTTATTGCCAGGCTGGAGTGCAGTGGTGCGATCTTGGCTCACTGCAACCTCCAACTCCCTGGTTCAAGCGATTCTCCTGCCTCAGCCTCCCGAGAACCTGGGATTACAGGCACACTCCACCACGCCCAGCTAATTTTTATATTTTTGGTAGAGATGGGGTTTTGCCATATTGGCCAGGCTGGTCTCGAACTCCTGACCTCAAGCAATCCGCCCATCTCGGCCTCCCAAAGTGCTGGGATTACAGGTGTGAGTCACCACACCCAGCCTCTTTTTCCTTTTCTTTCTTTCTTTTTTTTTTTTTGAGACAGGGCCTTGCTCTGAGCTGGAGTGCAGTGGTGTGATCACGGCTCACTGCAGCCTCAACCTCCCGGGCTCAGGTGATCCACCCACCTCAGTCCCCCAGGTAGCTGTGATCATGCCACTGCACTCCAGCCTGGGCGACAGAGCAAGACCCTATCTCTAAATTTTAAAAAAGTGCAAAAATCTGGATGTAAATATTTACACTGGTCTTATTCATAACCACCAAAAACTAGAAACAACTAAAATGGCTTCAACTGGTAAATGTATAAACACGCAGTGGTACGTTCATAAAATGAAATACTATGCAGCAATAAAAAGGAATGAGCTACAGATACATGCAGCAGCAGGGCAGAATCTCAGATGTATTATGCTAAGTGAGAGAAGCCACACTCAAGGCTACTTTTTGAAGGATTCTGTTCCGGAAAAGGCAAAACAATGGGAACAAGAAACAGATGGGTAGTTGCCAGGGACTAGAATGCAGAGAGGGACTGACTACAAAGGGCAAGTGGGAACTGGGGGTGACGATGGGTACTGGAACTGGTGTGTGTGTGTGTGTGTGTGTGTTTGTGTTTGTATACGTGTCTATGTATGTATATGCGTGTGTGTATATTTTTTAAGAGACAAGGTCTTGTTCTGTCATCCAGTCTGGAGTGTAATGGCACGATCATAGCTCACTGCAGCCTCGAACTTCTGGGCTCAAGGGATTCTCCTGCCTCAGCTGCCCGAGTGGCTGGGACCACAGGCTCATGCCACCATGCCTGGCTAATTTTTAATTTTTTTGTACCAACAGGATCTTGCCATCTTGCCCAAGTTGGTTTCCAACTCCTGGGCTCCAGCGATCCTCCCCCCTCAGCCTCCCAAAGTGCTGGGATTACAAGTGTGAGCCACTGTGCCTGTCCTGTCCTATATCTTTTTTTTTTTTTTTTGACAGAGTCTCACTCTGTCGCCCAGGCTGGAGTGCAGTGGTGCAATCTTGGCTCACTGCAACCTCCGTGTCCCAGGTTAAAGCAATTCTGCCTCAGCCTCCCAAGTAGCTGGGATTACAAGCTCATGCCACCACGCCCAGCTAATTCGTGTATTTCACCATGTTGGCCAGGCTGGTCTTGAACTCCTGACCTCAAATGATCCACATGCCTCAGCCTCCCAAAGTGCTGGGATTACAGGCATGAGCCACCGCGCCCGGCCCTGTCTTATATCTTGATTGCGGTAGTGTTCACTTGACTGTATATGTTTGTCAAAACTCCTGGAACTGTACATTAAAAAGAACTTTTCCAGGTGCAGTGGCTCATGCCTGTAAACCCAGCACTTTGGGAGGCTGAGGCAGGCGGATCATTTGAGGTCTGGAGTTCAAGACCAGCCTGGCCAACAGGGCGAAAACCCGTCTCTACTAAAAATACAAAAATTAGCCGGGCATGGTGGCATGTGCCTATAGTCCCAGCTACTCGGGAGGCTGAGGCAGGAGAATCGCTTGAACCCAGGAGGTGGACGTTGCAGTGAGCTGAGATTGTGCCACTGCACTCCAGCCTGGGCAACAGAGTGGGATTCTGTCTCAAAATAAATAAATACATAAATGAATAAAGAGGACAGTCAGACTGTGCACAGTGGCTCATGCTTGTAATCCCAGCACTTTGGGAGCCCAAGGCAGGAGGATCCCTTGAGCCCAGGAATTCTTTTTTTTTTTTTTTTTTTTTTTCTTGAGGCAGAGTCTAATTCTGTCGCCAGCCAGGTTGGAGTGCAGTGGTGATCTCGGCTCACTGCAATCTCCGACTCCCAGGTTCAAGCGATTCTCCTGCCTCAGCCTCCCGAGTAGCTGAGATTACAAGCGTGTGCCATCACGCCCGACTAATTTTTGTATTTTTAGTAGAGACGGGGTTTCACCATGTTGGCCAGGATGGTCTTGATCTCCTGACCTTGTGATCCGCCCGCCTCGGCGTCCCAAAGTGCTGGGATTACAGGCGTGAGCCACTGCACCCGGCCAGAGCCCAGGAATTCAAGACCAGCCTGGGCAACATAGGGAGACCATGTCTCTATAAAAAAATTAAATAATATAAAAATAAAGAGGATAGTTGCTCCTGAGCTCCAGCTGCTGACACGTGGAAATAAGGGCCCGGTATTGTCAGGTGTTCTGATAGTACAGGAAAATCCTAACTTTTCTTTTTTGAGACAGAGTGTTGCTCTGTCACCCAGGCTGAAGTATAATGGCGTGATCTCAGCTCACTGCAACCTCCGCCTCCCGGGTTCAAGCGATTCTCCTGTCTCAGCCTGCCGAGTAGCTGGGACTACAGGCATGGGCCACCACGCCCGGCTAATTTTTGTATTTTTAGTAGAGACGGGGTTTCACCATGTTGTCCAGGCTGATCAACTTCTGACCTCAAATGATCCACCCACCTTGGCCTCCCAAAGTGCTGGGATTATAGGCGTGAGCCACCGGCGCCCAGCCAATCCTAACATTCTAATGTCTATAATATGAAATGTCATGATTTTTACAATGTTAGCAAATCATTCAAAATTTTAGTAAACTGTCTAGATGTTAGTTTTTACTATGGTAAAAACATCGGCCAGGCGCGGTGGCTCATGCCTCTAATCCCAGCACTTTGGGAGGCCGAGGCGGGCGGATCACAAGGTCAAGAGATCGAGACCATCCTGGCTAACACAGTGAAACCCCGTCTCCACTAAAAATACAGAAAACTAGCCAGGTGTGGTGGCAGGCGCTTGTAATCCCAGCTACGGGAGGCTGAGGCAGGAGAATGGTGCGAACCCGGGAGGCGGAGGTTGCAGTGAGCCGAGATTGGGCCACTGCACTCCAGCCTGGACGACAGAGCAGACTCCATCTCAAAAAAAAAAAAAATGGTCACCCCTTTTGCTCCTAAATCACCCTCAAAGTAAAAGAGAACAAGAAACAGAAGCAGAAATCCATATTTAGTGAAATAAGACAACACCTGTAGCTCCAAACCTGTAGAAGCAGATCCCAGAGAAAAGCAGGCCAGTTCTCTCCTGGAATCCCAGAAAGTCCCAGGAATTGGAGGCTTCAGTGCTGCAGTAGGGAGGGGACTAAAAACAAAGTCTGTATATGGAGCAGTAAGACCTCCGGGTTCTCATCCCCCATCCTGTGTGCTCTCGGGTGACTAGCCCTCTCCCTCTCCAGGTTTAGCTTCTGGAGAAATTAAATCAAAGAGGCTCTAGAACTGGGGATGGCAGGCATTGAGTGCAGGGAGTGAGTTGCCAGAGGCTGAGAGCAGAGAGATTTAGTGGCAGTGGGCAGAGCAAACAGCAAAATGACTGCCCTCTTCCCTGGCCTTGCTCCAGAAACTGAGCAGCCAGACATACACACTCCCAGAAGGCAGTTGGAGGTCCCCCCGGGCAATCAGAACCACCCACAGAGAAGACCTCCAGATACTGACATTTAGAAGCCTCTGACCAAAGAGCTGCCTGGCCACCCACTGGCTTACTCGCTGACAGGCCATGCTCCTGCCGTACACACCGATCCTATCAGTCATCCTCATGGGCTCCTTTCCAGACTTCTGAGGAAAGCTTCCAACATGAAGAGGGAGTTCAAAACAAACAGAGAGAGAGAGAGAGAGAGAGAGAAAAGAAATATAAACAATGCAGGGAGCAAAAGATAACTTCAAATAAACTCAAAATATTCTTCTGGGAGAGATGAGACAATATTGCATACATAAAACAAGAAGAGGATGCTATCACTAAATTTTAAAAAAAAGTAACAGAAAGTAAGAAAGACCTCTAAGAAATGTTTCTGAAATGAGGTATAATTTTTTTTTTTTTGAGAGGGAGTCTTACTCTGTCACCCAGGCTGGAGCGCAGTGGCGTGATCTCAGCTCACTGCAACCTCCGTCTCCCAGGTTCAAGCGATTCTCGTGCCTCAGTGCCCCGAGTAGCTGGAATTACAGGTACACACCACCACGCCTGGCTAATTTTTGTATTTTTAGTAGAGGCGGGGTTTACACCATGTTGGCCAGGCTGGTGTCAAACTCCTGACCTCAGGTGATCCACCTGCCTTGGCTTCCCAAAGTGCTAGGATTACAGGCGTGAGCCACTGGACCTGGCGAAAACTCTTTTTTTAATCATAACTTTAAAAACCCAGTTTTAAGTTTTATTTTTTGTGCTACACTGTTTCTTGTGTTCCATATCGTTCTCGTACTTGAATTTCATTTTTGTCTTCTTGGAGAGAACAACCTCTAGTAGTAATTCTTTCTAATGTGGCCAATGGATGAAAAGACTATTTTACCTTCTATCCTCTAAAATTTATTGAGGTGACAATATAAGGAGCTCAAACAACTCTACAGGAAAAAAAATCTAATCATCTGATTTAAAATGGGCAAAAGAACTGAATAGACATTTATCAAAAGAAGACATACAAATGGCAAACAGGTATATGAAAAGATGCTCAACATCACTGATCATCAGAGTAATGCAAATCAAAACTACAACGAGGCCAGGTGTGACGGCTCACACCTGTAATCCCAGCACTCTGGGAGGGTGAGGTGGGAGGATCACTTAAGCCCAGGAGTTCAAGACCAGCCTGGGCAACATGGGGAGACCCAGTCTCTACAAAAAATTAATAAATTGGCCAGGTGTAATGGCACATACCTGTAGTCCAAGCTACTCTGGAGGCTGAAGTGGGAGGATCACTTGAGTCCAGGAGGTAAAGGATGCAGTAAGCCTTGATTGTATTACTGCACTCCAGCCTGGGCAACACAGTAAGACCCTGTCTCAAAACAAACAAACAAAACAACAACACACTAAATGAGAAATCATCTGTATTAGTCCATTTTCACACTACTGATAAAGGCATACCCGAGACTGAGCAACTTACAAAAGAAAGAGGTTTAAGGGACTCACAGTTCCATGTGGCTGGGGAGGCCTCACAATCATGGTGGAAGGTGAAAGACACATCTCACATGGCCGCAGACAAGAGAAGAGAGCTTGTGCAGGGAAACTCCCCTTTTTAAAAATCATCAGATCTCATGAGACTTATTCACTATCACTAGAACAGCACAGGAAAGGCCTGCCCCCCATGATTCAATTACCTCCACCGGGTCCCTCCCACAACACATGGGAATTCAAGATGAGATTTGGGTGGGGACACCCAAATCATATCATCATCTCACCCCAGTTAAACCATATCATCATCTCACTCCAGTTAATGCAGCTCTTGGCTGGGCACAGTGGCTTGTGTCTGTAATCCCGGCACTTTGGGAGGCCAAGGTAAGCAGACAATTTAAGTTCAGGAGTTCCAGAGCAGCCTGGTGAACATAGTGAAACCCTGTCTTTACTAAAAATACAAAATTTAGCTGGGCATGGTGGCGGGCCCCTGTAATCCCAGCTACTCTGGAGGATGAGGCAGGAGAATTGCTTGAACTGAGAGGAGGTTCATAAAATAAAAATAAAGGCTGTGTTTGTATCGCTGGGAAATTTTCTTTTATTGCTGCTTTGGTTATTTCCTCTCTTGTTTACTTCTTTCTTTCTGTAACTATCTAGATGGATCCTCCATGTCACAACTTCTCTTTTCCTTTTGGCAGTTTTCTGGGAGAAACCCTCAGTTTGTTTATTTATTTTGAGATGGAGTTCGCTCTTGTTGCCCAGGCTGGAGTGCAATGGCGTGATCTCGGCTCACCAAAACCTCTGCCTCTTGGGTTCAAGTGATTCTCCTGCCTCAGCTTCCTGAGTAGCTGGGATTACAGGCATGCGCCACCATGCCTGGCTAATTTTGCATTTTTAGTAGAGACGGGGTTTCACCATGTTGGCCAGGCTGGTCTGAAACTCCCGACCTCAGGTGATCTGCCCACCTCAGCCTCCCAAAGTGCTGGGATTACAGGCATGAGCTACCGTGCCTGGCCTGTGTATTTTTGGAGACAGAGTCTTGCTCTGTTGCCCAGGCTGGAGGGCAGTGGTGCAAACTCTGCCTCCCGGGTTCAAGCGATTCTCGTGCGTCACCTCCCAAGTAGCTGGGGCTAGAGGCATGTGCCACCATGTCTGGTTACTTTTTATATAAACCTTCAGTTTAATCTTTTAGCTTACTGCTGTGTTTTTCAGCTTTATTCACTTTGCTTTTTTTCTATATTTTCGTTTCAACTCAACTTTTAAAAAATCATACTTGTATATTTGTATATTTATATTTATTTTCCAAGACCTCATTTGCCTCTTTTTCATAATGGGCTATTATTGCTCCATGGTACAGAATCTTCTGTTCTTTCCTAAACTATTAGTTATTTTTAAAATATTTGTTAACTTTCTCCCCCTTGCTAGTTCTCAGGTACCCGCTTTCTCCCAGAGTGCTGGCTTTCCTTAATTATTTGCTGACTTGTGCTGGTGTGTAACCCTTCATACTTAGGTATTTCTATTTGTCTGACTGCTGATTTGATTCCAATCCAGTGTTTCTTCTGATTCGTGGAGAAGAGACGACAACGCTGTGAGGCTCTGGTTTTGGTGGCTTGTCTGGGTGTGGGAGCTCCTTGTCATCATGGGATTTTTAGCTCCCTGGGTCGCCATCCTACATGGCCACTCTCCTGCCGATGCTGCCCGCTACTCAGCAGGAGGGGAAGTCGAGACCACCTCCTTAACCTTACAGACATTGATTGTGAGCTTGGAGCACCTTCCGTGACTGGACCACCCATGCAGTGGTCCTTTGCTTTTTGCATTTTTAACTGCAATTTTCCCCAAGAGTCTTCCCTAATACAGTCTCTTAGGAATTGACGGTGGGATTAAACAAGGCATGTTTCTGCACTGAATATGGTCTATGGGTTGCCACTTTGCAACCTCAGCTTTAAGGCTTATTTCCTCCCAGGAAACTGATGTTAACTTTTTAAGTTAAAAATGTGTATATAAGTAATACATGTTTATTTTGGAAATTAGAAAATACAGGCCAGGTGTGGTGGCTCATGCCTGTAATCCCAGCATTTTGGGAGGTTGAGGCAGGAGGATTGCCTGAGCCCAGGAGTTTGAGACCAGCCTGGGCAACATAGGGAAATTCCATCTCTACAAAAAAATTAAACATTAGCTGGGTGTGGTGGTGCCCACCTGTGGTCACAGCTACTCGGGAGACTGAGGTGGGAGGATAGCTTGGGCAGGGGAGGTTGAGGCTACAGTGAGCCACGATCACACCAATGTGACACAGTGAGACCCTGTCTCAAAAAAAAAAAAAAAGAAAGAAAATATAGGTAAACACAAAGACAAAAAAGCAGGGCATGGTGGCTCACACCTGTAATTCTAGCACCTTGGGAGGCTGAGGCAGGAGGATCACTTGAGGTCAGGAACTCGAGACGAGACCAGGCTGGGCAGCATGGCGAGACCCCATCTCTATAAAAAGTACAAAAATTAGCAGGGCACGGTGGTGTGCACCTGTGGTCCTGCTACTTGGGAAGTTGAGGTGGGAGGATCACCTGAGCCCTGGAGGTTGAGGGTGCTGTGAGCCATGATGGCACCACTCCACTCCAGTCCAGGTGAAAGAGCCAGATCCTGTCTCAAAAAAAAAAAAAAAAAAAAGTGGCTGGGCATGTAAACTTACCAAGGACCAAGGAGACAAGTCTTGAGAGAAAGGAAGGCAACTCAAAGGATGGACTTTTAAACACTTGTAACCAGCATTGGGAACAGTAGTAGGTTGAAGAGGGAAATCTAGAACTCATGCCTGAAAACTGCCAGTCATCCAGCCCATTTTTCCATACAGACATTTGGAAATAAGTTAATGGAGCCATTTTGGTGAGAGCCCTCTGTTCCCTTCAGGAGGCCTTTGTCAGGAAGAGGGTGGGGCAGGGGACTCACCCCCCACTCAAATCTGGAACTGAAACCAGCTTCAAAGCCGAGTGCAGAGCCAGCGCGGTGGCTCATGCCTGTCATCCCAGCACTTTGGGAGTCCAAGGCAGGCCTCACTTGAGGTCAGGAGTTCCAGACCGGCCTGGCCAACATGGTGATTGCACCACTGCGCTACAGCCTTGGGTGACAGAGCAAGACTCTGTCTCAAAAAACAAAACAACAATAAAACAAAGCAGAGTGCAGGAGTGGCTGTGGACTCTGGACGCCCTGCTAGGATTAGGATGGGTGTTCCTGGCTCATGGGCCTCACTGGCTCTTCTGATGCCCTGCCACCCCCACCCCAGACTGGCTTTGAGCCCCGGAAACCTTGACAGCTTTCTAGAGGTGTCTGTCAGTTAGGTTGTGCCACGCGAAGTTGCCGTTTCTGCAGGTCAAATAGTGGTGGACTATTGGCAATTTCTAGGCACCTCTGGTCTGGTTGATCCAAATCCTCCAACCTGTGGCACATTTATTTAGCGCTCATTTTGTGCCAGCCTGCCTGCTAAGCAACTTATAGCCATTTTTATTTGTATTTATTTTTCTTTTTGAGACAGGGCCTCGCTCTGTCGCCCAGGCTAGAGTGCAATGGCGCAATCTCGGCTCACTGCAACCTCCACCTCCCGGATTCAAGCGATTCTCCTGCCTCAGCCTCCCGAGTAGCTGGGATTACAGGGGTGCACCACTACGACCGGCTAATTTTTGTTATTTTTAGTAGAGACAGGGTTTCACCGTGTTGGCCTGGCTGGTCTTGAACTTCTGGCCTCAAGTGATCCACCCGCCTCGGCCTCCAAAAGTGCTAGGATTACAGGCATGAGCCACCGCGCCCCACTATAGCCATTTTTAAACTGTCCCAAGTTTCTGAGGAAACGGAATTGTTCACCATTTGACAGAGAAGAAAACTCTGGCTCAGATACTCCCCTTTTAGAATTGTTTCGGGGGCTGGCTCGTCCGTCAAACTTTAAAAAAATAACAACAGCATGCTGAGTTGAAGTTAAAAGAGCTGGGGTCTGGAGGTCGCTGGGCTCAGGGGCGCTGCCACTCAACAGCTGCGCCGAGCTGGGGACGCGCAGGGGAAGCAAGTTCCCAGCTCTGTGGACTCCAGGTCTGAGAAAAATCCTGTCGGTATTCAGCCACCCAGTGTTCCCATCAATACGATGAGAATAATGAGGACAATAGCCACCACGTCCGGCAAACTCAGGCGTGAGCTGCGAGGACTCGGTACCGCCCGGCAGGGAAAAAGCAGGGCCTGGAGGCCGAGGAGCCCCACCCGCACCCACCACGTGGAGCCGGCCGGGCCTGCGGCGAAGCCACAGGGCGACTCCCGGGGCGCGGAGCGGGGCGGGGGCGGGACTAGCACGGCCCCACTCTGCCGACGCCTCTCCCAGGTCGCGACACCGGCGAGCCGCTCCGCCCGGCCACCGTGTCCCTCAGCACCCACGGACGCCGGGAGAGGAGGAGGTGGCGAGGGGCACGGCCGGGAGGCGTGGCCTCCGCTTCCCCTTTTTTTTTTTTTTTGGTCCGCCTAGCTAAGGAAAGGTTCCCCTGCGCCTTTAAGAGGCCGACGCGGGCAGCCGATTGGCCCAGACGCCTCGGTGACGTCACGCCGGGGCCGGAGCCCTCCCCCTCCCGCCGCGCCGCGCGCTCGCGGACAGTCGGCGCGCGGGCCGGGCCGGGCCGGCGCCCCTCTGCCTCGCGCGCTTGTCGCGTTGCCCCGGGCTCCGGGGGATGCCCCCGGCCGAGCCCTTCTCATGGCCGCCGACGTCTTCATGTGCTCCCCGCGCCGGCCTCGCAGCCGGGGCCGCCAGGTGCTGCTCAAGCCCCAGGTGTCCGAGGACGACGACGACTCGGACACGGATGAGCCGTCCCCGCCGCCCGCCTCCGGCGCGGCCACCCCGGCCCGGGCCCACGCGAGCGCCGCGCCACCGCCGCCTCGGGCCGGGCCGGGCCGCGAGGAACCTCCGCGCCGCCAGCAGATCATCCACAGCGGCCACTTCATGGTGTCGTCGCCGCACCGAGAGCACCCGCCCAAGAAGGGCTACGATTTCGACACGGTCAACAAACAGACGTGCCAGACCTACAGCTTCGGCAAGACTAGCTCCTGCCACCTGTCCATCGACGCCTCGCTCACCAAGCTCTTCGAGTGCATGACTTTGGCCTACAGGTAGGGACCCCCGCGACCCCCTGAGGCCCCGGCCGGAGGCCCTTGTTTGACAAAACAAGCGTGGAGGGAAGGGCCGCCTGGCAACCCCGTGGCTTCATGCATTCCCTTTGGGTCTTCCTCCTTCGGGAGGGTTTATGGATCTGGGGTTCCCCGCGTTGCCAGAGGAGCCGGGGTCCTGGCCTCTTCCCCTGCCAGCAGTGCCGGGGTCCTTTCGGGTTCACGTTCCCCATCCAGGCCCTCCCCTCCAGTGTCCTGGGACCACCGATGTTGGACGAGGAAGAGGTATAAACACTGGCTGCATCTTGTGTTACCCGACTCTATCGACTCCTTCCTCCAAACGCTTTGTGTGTTTCCCCCATATCCAGCAGCGGTCAGGACCACCTGTTCGGGGTGACTGGAGGCTGGCTCTGCTGTTTAATGGTTGTGTAACACCTCGGAGCCTGTTTCCTCCTTTATAAAAGGGGAATGACTGTAGTGTCTGCCTCCAAGGGGCTGTTGTGGGGATGGAGTGAGATAGGTAAATTGCTTATTCCAGTGCTTGGCCAGAGTTAGGTGTCCCTGCACCTGGAGGCTGGCCCCCTTACAACCTCATCGGGAGGCCCGCCCCCATCTCGGGAGGGCTTTGGGTGCCTCCTAAGAAGACTTTTGGTGCCACAGCTGTTGGAGGTGCAGTCTGTCCTTCTGGCAAGTTGGAGGGTTTTCTGGCCGGTCCTGAAACATTATATGAGGGAGATGTCATTGTTGAGGGCAGACATCCCAGACACCGTTCTGACATGTGGATTCGGCTCTGGGCAGAGATTCCTCTTTTCCAAGTCACAGAAAATGCCTGGCCCTCAAAGATTAAAGCGCTTTTTCACTCTCTCTCCCTTTCCCACTATGAATATTAGGTATTTGCTGCAGGTAACTTTTTTGTCTGCGCAACAGAACTTCTTTGGACTGGCAGCAGCGGCCTTGAGCAGCTTGGCCCTGCAGAAAGCTCATGATGGGATCTCTGCTGAGTTAAGCTTATTGCATTAGGAACTGGACTAGCGGGGGCTGTCTTAGGTCTGCTCTGGAGGCATCGCGGGAGAAGTTTCCTAGGAGACTCCATAAACAGCGTAATAAAAGAGCAGGAATATCTTGCCCCCTCTCACCTCACCTTTTTAAGAGAGCTGTGAGCCCCAAGCATATCCAGGTTTAAATGTTATGCTTTTACCTGAAGTTAAAATATTAGATACTTAGCCCTGGATGGCACCCCCCTCACCGCCGCGGTCCCTGGAATAAACGATTAGTCAACTTGTTCTTTGTTATGTTCCTGAAACACCCCTATTTCCTCTCTTGAAGGTTTCCCTGATGATCTGTTCCCGTAGCTCCTCCTCCCATCCCCCTTACCCGGCACATTGGTCAGTCTCTGCTGATTCTCTGGTCTTGCCAGTTTGAGCTGGCACTGAGCCTGTAAAGATGTTCTGCTTTTTAAAAAACAAATGGTGTTGAGGCTGCAGCCCTGTGCGCCCTCCAGTCTCTGATTTTGAGCAGTTCCATTGGAATCAAACCCGACTGGATCGCAGCATATGCTATGCCTCGAGAGAGCCTTTTCAAACAAAGCTCGAGGTGAAAGACTGGAATGTATCTTATTAAGAAAACTTAATCCTCTTCTTTATTTTAATATAAACTTCTACATATACAGGGAGAGAATGGATGAGTCACGGGGGGCATGGACTGGAAAGGTCTCACCTAAGTAAGCTCTGCTAAATGAAAACTAAATCAGTCTCCCCTTTGCACTCTTGTTTGGATAACCTAAAGGCTTATTAAACAACACCAAATAATTTTAGTAATGGCATTTTTTTTTTCATTTCTCTCAAAAATATTTTGGCAGCTGGCCGTTGCTCAGTTAACTTTCTTGATTGCAAAATGCACCATCAGTTTGGTGCAAGAAGCTTATCTTGCTCTCTTGGCTCTCTCACTTTCGCTGCTTTTCCCTGTGCCTAAGGTCTCCTGCTGCCTAAGGTCGGCCACCTAAGGTCTACCACCACAGGCCCTCGGATGGGATCTGTCCAGTCATTTCTCATGAAGATGCCCTTTGTCTGTCTGTGTGAGGCTGGTTTGTCCAGTGCTGAGTTTAGTTGGCAGTGTAGAACTTTGGTATGGATGACAGACAAATGACTCAAAACCAGTTGTCTGGGCTGTAGTCTGTGGCACAGAAAGAAACTAGAGGAAGGTGAGTTTCTGACCCCAGCTCTCCTAGTGAGAACTGCTACCTGGCTTTCAGGGAAGGAAGGTTGAGATCGGAGGCAACGCGGGGCGTGGTGGCTCATGCCTGTAGTCCCAGCACTTTGGGAGGCCGAGGTGGGGGATTGCTTGAGCCCAGGAGTTCAAGATCAGCCTGGGCAATGTAGCAAGATCCCCATCTCTAAAAAAGAAAAAGAAAGAAAGAAAAAAAGGGATTGGGGGCAGGGCAGAAAGAAGACTTAACCTCAGAGCCTGTCTGGCTTCCATCCTGGTGGGGTTCATGCCTTCCCTGCCGGCTGTCTGGGTCCTCCCCTCCTGCCCGAGCTGAGAAAGGCCAGCTGGGTCTCCTCTTCTGTGTGACTGTTTCTGGCCTAGGTTCTTTCTAACTTCAACTTCCTGTCTGTCCTCTGGCCTCTTCGTTCTAGCTGTCTAACTCTCCGTGGTACACTCTGCTTTTTGTTGTTGTTGTTTGATTTCCTGTTAGCTGCTGCCTCCCAGCTGTTTCCAGATGAGGTTCAACAGCTCTCTGGGGAGGAACTAAGTGCAGGGGAAGTTGTGGTTATTTTTTACCGAGTCCTGAGAAGTGGCCTAGGGATTCTGACTGTGATCCATTCCTGAACTGGCAGGGCTTCACCTCCTGAAGGGTCTTTGCCCGGGGCTGACTTTGGGTGTGGAACAGGGTGTTTGAGGACTTGGATATGAGTGTGCCCAGGGCCTGCTGGGTAGGGAACCGTGCAGATGGGATTCCTTGTCCTTCTCACTCAGTTTTGCTGAGAAGCCCTGTGGCGAAGGGTCTTGATTTGGTCCAGAAACATGTGCTCAATTATTGGGACATTTTGGAGAGAAGGGGTTGCCTTTCCCCGAGGCAAACCAGGTGTTAATGATGGAAAAAATCCTTATTTTTCCTTAGACTTATCTGAAGTCTAAGAATGCTATTCAATGGGAAAGATAAAATTTCCCTGCAAGGTGGAAGTGAGGATCAGCAGAGATAACCTCTGGGAATGGAGCTGGGAATGGGGCTAGTGCCTGGCAAGTAACACACAAGAGGAGGGTTTAACGGGCTCCGCATAGCAAGTGGGTTATGGCAGAATTTTAGTTCTGCATCTGCATTCATCTGACATTTATGAGGAGCCCGTGTCTTATCTATGAACTGAAGGAAATAGTGTATCTAACCAGGGTCTTAGCTGAGCTTTCAAATGCCTGCTTGACAAATACTAAATAGAAGCATTCTTGATTTGGCCGGGTGCTTTCTGAGGCTCTACAATGGAGCTATGTACTGTAGAACATAGTTCATGGTTCTTGCCCTCTTGACACTGTAAGGAATGTCACACATGTATATCCTTCACACAGAATTTCCTTTTTTTGAGATAGGATCTCGCTCTGTTTCCCAGTCTGGAGGATAGTGATGTGATCACAGCTCACTGCAGCCTTGACCTCCCAGGCTCAAGCAGTCCTCTTGTCTCAGCCTCTTGAGTAGCTGGGACTGCGGGCACGCACTACTATGCCTGGCTAATTTTTTATTTTTTGTAGATATGGGGTGTTGCTATGCTTCTCAGGATGGTCTTGAACTCCTGGCCTTAAGCAGTCCTTCCACCTCAGCCTTCCAAAATGATGAGATTCTAGGAGTGAGCTATTGTGCCCAGCCCCCACCTACAGATTCTGAACACTTCTAGTGTGTACCTTTTTGTGGTTGGTTTTGGTTCCATTTCTTTGCCTTTTTAGAAACTCCTTATTTCAGGGAGCGTTGGTATGAATATTTCCGGTGGTGGGGGGAAGAGATAGTCTTTTTCTGTATTTAGAGATAAGCAGTTTCTGGAAAATAGGTTTCTGTTTAAGAAGTGGGTGTTTGGAGAGACTTAAATTAGGGCTTGTAAGATAGCCTTGGGATGTAAGTTTCTAAAAAGTGGCCCCCTCCACGAATGCTTTGTATAGTAACCCTTCATTCTTTTTTTTTTTTGAGACGGAGTTTCGCTCATGTTGCCCAGTCTGGAGTGCAATGGTGCGATCTCGGCTCACTGCAACCTCTGCCTCCTGAGTTCAAGTGATTCTCCTGCCTCAGCCTCCCAAGTAGCAAGGATTACAGGCATGCACCACCATGCCCGACTAATTTTGTATTTTTAGTAGAGATGGGGTTTCTCCATGTTGGTCAGGCTGGTCTCGAACTCCCAACCTCAGGTGATCTGCCTGCCTCAGCCTCCCAAAATGCTGGGATTACAGGCGTGAGCCACCGGGCCCGGCTAACCCTTCATTCTTGATCAAAGCGGGAATCTGTGCCAGACTTAAGGAGTAGCAAGGGCTAAAGGTTAGAGCACTGTGTCCTCCAAACTTTGAATTTTCAGTAGAGGTACTGTCTAATGCTAAGCACAGTTAACCAGTTGTAAATGGAAACCTTTCATGCAAATACTAAATTGGTTTTTCTCTTTTGCAGTCATACGGAAGATAAGCAGTGTTTCTTCTCCTGCGTTCTTCAGTCTTTAACCATTAGATGGTGCGCCGTTGCAGGGTGTGCACTGAGGTGGGAGCCGGGGCTGCAGAGATGAAAAAACACAGTCTCTCTCCTCAAGGGGCTCACAGGCTAGGCGTGGGGACAGATAGTTATAGAACAGTTAGTAAGGGCTGTGATAACTGTGACCTCTTGTGACACTACCGGGAAGGATATCTCAGCCAGATTGTGTGTGTGTGTGTGTGTGTGTGTGTGTGTGTGTGTGTGTGTGTGTGTTGACATGACCAGGAGCAGTGCGGATGGTTTTCCTGACATCAGGCTTCAATGTGTATCTCCCCTTTCGCTGTTAACTCTCAAAGATTACCAATTACATTACCCAACAGGAAGCCCCAGTGCTCCCCGCTTTAGCGGTGTGGGACCAAACTTCCATTGCTTGTAGACGCTGGTTGGTTCATTGCCCACATGCTGGAAGGGGAGGAAGGAGAGGAAGGGGAGGAAGACCTGGGGAAAGAGTCCAGGTGACGAGGTTAGAGGAGAGGATGGAGGGAGGTTATTTTCCGGGTGGAAGAAGAAAAGAGAATTCACACAGACTGAACATTTATTATGTTCCACATTCTCCTTCCATGACCTTTTTTTTTGTTTGTTTGAGACGGAGTTTCGCTCTTGTCACCCAGGCTGGAGTGCAGTGGCGTGATCTTGGCTCACTGCAACCTCTGCCTCCCAGGTTCAAGCGATTCTCCTGCCTCAGCTTTCCAAGTAGCTGGGATTACAGGTATGCATCACCATGCCCAGCTAAGTTTTTGTATCTTTAGTAGAGACAGGATTTTGCCATGTTGGCCAGGCTGGTCTCAAACTCCTGACCTCAAGTGATCGGCCAGTCTCGGCCTCCCAAAGTGCTGAGGTTACAGGCGTGAGCCACTGTGCCCGGCCTCTTAACGTGATCTTAAGCAACTCACACAACAACCCTGTCAGGTAGGTGGTGGTGGAATCCTCATTTTAAAAAATAAATAAGTAAATAAAAAATAAAAAACCAAAGCTCAGACGTTAATTAGCTGTGTTACCGAGAGGTTACACAACTTGTCCACGGAAAAGTGTCTTGAGGAGAAAAGTGACCTACCTTATCTGCCCACAAAAGCCCGGCTTCTGTTAGAGGAGAGTGCAAATGCCAGTTCCTCTCCAGAGCGGGAAACCCAGATGGGGAAGGTGGATGCCTCGGTCCACTCCATGTCTCTCTGTGGCTGCCCTCCCTGCTGGCGAAACCCTGTGCTTCCCAGAGTGCATGAACATCGCATCCCCCTGGAAGGCACCCTGATGTCATTCGGCCTGTGTCATTATGTGATCCCGGCTTACCAGAATCCCTGCTGTCTTCACCTTTGACTTCCGCGCTAAGCCTAACAGCTTCGGCACATCCTAGGAGATTAAGAATCATCTGATGGATTGAAAGGGACACTCAGGGACCTGGAAGCCAACTTTATAATCTGTAGTGAATTTTTTTTTTTTTTTTGAGATGGAGTCTCGCTCTGTCGCCCAGGCTGGAGTGCAATGGCGCGATCTGGGCTCACTGCAACCTCCGCCTCCTGGGTTCAAGTGATTCTCCTGCCTCAGCCTCCTGAGTAGCTGGGATTACAGGCACATGCCACCATGCCCGGCTAATTTTTGTATTTTTGGTAGAGATGGGGTTTCATCATGTTGGTCAGGCTGTTTTTTTGTTTGTTTGTTTTTCTTTTCTCACTTGCAAGCTAACAAGTTAAGTGAATTGTGTTTATCTTGAGCTCTGCAGAGACAAACACAACCTTTGTGGAATGGTGCTTTAGGGGACATTGGCGTGGAGTGGGACAACAAGATAAGTGCTTTTGCTGGATGGTGTTCGTATCGTGGCTTGCTTGGACAGGTGTGGTGGGCAGATTAATGGCCCCCCGAAGATGTGCACATCCTCATCCACAGAACCTGTGACTGTGCTAGGTCATATGGCAAAGGCGAATTAAGGTTACAGATGGAATCAAGGTTGCTGGTCTACTGACCTTAACATAGGGAGATTATCTGGATTATCTGAGTGAGCCTGGTGTAATCACAGGGGTCCTTAAAATTAAGAGGGAATCAAAGAGAGAACCAGAGAGTGAGCAGCAGAGGAAGGATGTCAGCTGCTGTTGGCAGCTTTGAAGATGGAGGAAAGCCACGGGATTGGGAATATGGGCCCCTCAGAGCTGGAAAAGGCGAGGGGACGGGTTCTCCCCCAGAGCTTCTGGGAAGAACGCAGCCCTGCTGAATCTTGTGAGACCCAAATCAGACCTCTGACCTCTAGAACTGTAAAATCATAAAGTCTGTTGTTCTAAGCCACTAAGTTTGCGGTAATTTGTTACAGTGACAACAGGAAACTCATCTTCACTCTTCTCCCACCACAGGAGAGCAGAGGAGCCCACCCCGGGCTTAAGATTGAGCTATGCCGTGGGTCCTCGGCACCAGCGAGGGGATCTAGTGATAGGAGGGCCCTGGTTATAAAAGGAAAGGTCTGTAAAGTGGATCCTTGTTCCCTGGTATAATTTCTATAATAGAAGTGTTGTAGAAAGTTAATTTTCCTTTTTTTAAAGGATTTATGTGATGGCTGATGAGAGCCTGAGCTCTCATTCCCTAGAATCAAATTACTTCTTGGGTAGAAAATGTGCAGTCCAGATAGCCAGTGTCTTAGGTGATTACTTTCTGTATTTTGTTGGAGTTCTGTTGTCTGTGATTAGAATTCAGGCCACAGGGTGTGTGTTTTTGGCAGAGTTCTCTAGCCGCGTGGATCAGGGACCCTCGTGCTGGCCTGTGGAATGGGGTGCTGGTCACCTCATGCTAATTCCAGGACTTCGAGGACTGGCCGATTTCAGTGGAGACTGGTCCTGGGTTCCAGGCAGTGCTAGGTCCCCCGCGGGGGAGATGCTCTTCTTCACTGTCCGGCCAGACGCCTTGAAGAGACTGACTCTCACAGGCCAGCCCTGCCGTCTTTGCAGCCCTGCTTCTTGTGCTGCCGCCGGCTGTCACCCACCACCCTGTTTCTTTTCTGGTACAAAGCTCTGCCCCTGGGAGCTTCTGGATCCGCCCAGCTTGAGCCTGCCAGGGCCTGTGTCTCACATATGGACCTTGCTATGAGCTTCCTGGGACCATCAACACTCTTGGCGGTTGTCTAATTGAATTAGCCCCATGAGGGCTAATTGAGAG
This sequence comes from Homo sapiens, assembly GCF_000001405.40. Taxonomy (NCBI): domain Eukaryota; kingdom Metazoa; phylum Chordata; class Mammalia; order Primates; family Hominidae; genus Homo; species Homo sapiens. The sequence continues at coordinate 122,087,116 of NC_000012.12, forward strand.
GGAGCCTGGCTGGCCGGGCCCCAGAGCATGAGGCTGGCTATGATCTGGGTTTGGCCGCCCCAGCACAAATGCTTTTTCCCTCCAGAAGTATTAATCAGGCACACCCTGTTGTGTGCAGGCACGGTTCTAGCCCTTGGGGATACAGTGGTAAGCAAGGCGGGTTAGTCCTCTCCCCTCATGGGACTTCCATGCTAGTGGGGGGATTGTCAGCACATCAGGTCTTATATTGTGAGTGCAGGCAAGAATAGAAAGAAGATGAAGGCTAGAGAGTACTGGGGCTGGGGAGGGTGGGTGGCTACTTTAGGCTGGGTAGAGAAGTCCTCTGGGGGAGGTGACCTTTCTGGGTGAACTCTGAAACCTAAGTGTCAAGTAGGAGCCAGGCACGATGGTCGTTCCAGGTGCGGGAAGAGGCCCAGGCAGAGGCCTTCGCTGGAGTGAGCTTGGCGCATTGCAAGGTTAGAAAGAAGGCTAGCTTGGTCAGAATGTAGAGGGCAGGAGTGAGTGGCAGGAGGTAAGATAGAAGAGGCAAGGGGCCTTGTGGGCCAGGGTAGGAAGTTAGGAGATGGTTTTGGTGGCACTGGGGAGTACTGGTTTATCTCCACAGGGCGGCTGGGGCCAGTCTACAGGAGACGGGTCTAGGGAGGGTGAGAGCAGGAGCGAGGCTACCAGTTGGGCGGTTGTGGAGCTCCAGCCTCAGACTAGGACGGTAGCAGCGAGGTGGTGAGGAGCTGTATTCAGGGTGGTTTTTGGACTTGCTGGTGAATTGGACCTGGCAGATGAAAGGAAGAAAGGAATCAACAGTGACTCTGAGGTTTGGCCTGAGCAGCTGGGGCCATTACTGAAATGAAGAAGGCTGGGCAAGGAGCGGTCAGCTGTGAAGCTGGGGTATGTCACGCTGAGGACACCACAGTGCACAAAGCTCGGCTGCCTGGGGGCTGCCCTGACAGCCAGAGCCGTGGGCGGGCAGCTTCCCTGAGAAGGGCTGAGGGCTGTCAGTGTGGTGGACATCACAGCCGCCTACTTTGCCCTACCCAGGTGCCCTAGGTTTCTTCTTGCTCCCCTGCCCCTCCCCCTCTGCTGTCCCTCTCCAGGGGAGGCTTTGGAGTTTGGAGCTTGCGTTCTGAGTGGCGTGGAATATGCATCTCCTGCGGGCTGTTTCTGCTCAGCTGAGTCTGGTGGTGCTGGAGAAATACTGTCTGCTTTGAATACCCTAGAGACCTCTCCAAGCCCAGCATTGTTGATGTATTTGGGAGCTGACTGCACCATCAGAAAAATCTTCTAGAAGGAGGCAGTAGAGAAGGGGTGATTTTGGTAGCTCCAGAAGGGGCTCCAGCATCTGGAGAAAGAATTCTAGGAAGAGGATTCCATGTCATCCGCCTTTAAGTCTCGGAAGTAAGCATGAAGAATCCCAGTGGTGAGGAGGAAAGGCTGAGGAGTCAGAAAAAGCTCCTACAAGAAGATGGAACAGCTCCTACAAAGAGGTGGCTGTGGGTAGAAGCAGCCGCCTGGGGCAGTTTTCAGGCTTTGGAGAAGGAAAGCAGCTTCTCTGTTGAGGAATATTCTGCAAGTAGGTGATCCACTTTGAAAGCTGGTTACTATTCCTTCCTTCTAGGCCTGTCGGTGGGGAAGGAGGGCAGCCGTGTTTGCTCTGCTCCCATGAGGCAAATTCGGTCACCAAAACAAAAAAACAGCTTCTTATGTAGAAAGCAGGGGAATTAGCCTAGTTTTCGGATATTCACCCAGTATTCTAGCTTTTTAAAGAACAGCCTGAAGAGGCTGGGTGCAGTGGCTCATGTGTGTAACCTCAGCACTATGGGAGGTTGAGGCGGGAGGACTGCCTGAGCCCAGGAGTTTGAGACCAGCCTGGTCAATGTAGTGAGACCCCCATCTCTACAAAAAAAAAAAAAAAAAAAAAAATTAGCTGGGTGTGGTGGTGCCTGTCTGTAATCCCAGCTGCTGGGGAGGCTGGGGCAAAAGGATCCCTTGAGCCCAGGAAGTGGAGGCAGCAGAGCTATAATCATACCACTGCACTCCAGCCTGGATGACAGAGCAAGACCCTGTCTCAAACAAGCAAACAAACAAATAGAACAGCCTGAAGAACCTCTTCATATGGTTACATGGTCACATGGTAACCAGCCCGTTCACAATGGGCTGCCTCATTTTAAGACTGGCAGTTGGGACCTGCCCAGATAGCTTGATACTGAGCTTTTTAAAGAAAGTGAATCAATAAATTCCTTTTATTTATTAAAAGGAAACGCTTTCAATGCATTCTTAAAACAGTATATAATTATCCTAGCTTGGTGTTTTAAACAACTGTTTTCTAGTTGAGTAGCAGGGTCTTTTAAATTGCCTCTTTTGTCTTTAAATTATCAAGCAGATCTTTCTCTGCCTTGAAGCAGAAAACTCTTTCATCCGTTTGTAGTCAGGCTTTTTTCTTTTTAACACAACTTTCTGTAAGTGTAATTTACATAGCATAAAATGGACCCATTGTAAGTGTAAGGTTCAGTGATTTTTTTTTTTAGTTGTGCAGTCATTGTCACAGCCCAGTGCTGGGACATTCCATCACCTCAGTAAGATCCCCAGAGTACATCCATGTTGTAGCACACATCAGGTGTTTAGTGCATTTTAATGCTGAATAGTCTTCAGTTTTTTGGATGTACCACATTTTGTTTTCTTGACATGTTTTTGAGGAGACACCTAGTACCTTTGTTATTCGGGTATTGACTTCCCATTTCCTGTAATAAGGCTCTTATAGAATCAGCTAGGAACTTCCTTACAGGATGAGAAGAAGGAAATGGCTGTGAGGTATGTGGAAAGATGATGGGATTGGAAGCCACAAGACAGTGGTGCGACTGGTTAGCATCTGCCCCTTAGCTCCTTAAGTCTTGGTGCCCATGAGGGTGGAGGATGCAAGAGAGAGAGGGTTAGACTGGAGTCATGGTTACCAACCTTACTCTTCTTCCATGGCTTTCTTTTTTGAAAGATATTACCTTAGGAACAAAGCGCATTCAGTAATTTAAAAAGAAACAAATTACCAGTATATGCCACAACATGGATGAATCTCAGAAACATTATGTTGAATGAAATAAGCCTTACCCAGCCGGGTGTGGTGACTCACGCCTGTAATCCCAACACTTTGCGAGGCCGAGGCAGGCAGATCATTTGAGGTCAGGAGTTCGAGACCAGCCTGGCCAACATGGCGAAACCCTGTCTCTACCGAAAATACAAAAAAATTAGCTGGTGTGGTGGCACATGCCTGTAATCCCAGCTACTCGGGAGGCTGAGGCAGGAGACTCTCTTGAAACCGAGAGGCAGAGGTTACAGTGAGCCAAGATCCCACCACTGCCCTCCATCCTGGGCAACAGAGCGAGACTCTGTCTCAAAAAAAAAAAACAAAACAAAACACATAACAAAATAAGATGGATTAATGGATGGAGAAATGGCTTAGTAGTTATAATTGTAAGAATTCAGGTGGTGGGTACTTGAGTATTCATTGTACAGTTCTTTCAACTTTCCCTGTATGTTTGATAATTTTCTTAATAAAATGTTAGGAAAATTGCATTTATTTGAAGGATGACCATCATGGCTTTATCATGAGCAAGTAAATACTTTTAAAAACATTGATCTACCTGAAGCTATCTTCCCAGAAATAAAAAATATTGAAAACAACTTTTGCAATGAAGTACTGATGCATGCTGCAACATGGAAGAACCTTGGAAACGCTGCACTAGGTGAAAGAAGCCAGACACAAAAGACCACGTATGTGATCTGTTGATGCGAAAGGCCTAGAGTAGCAAACTCATAGACACAGAAAGCAGAGCAGTGGCTGCCAAGGGCTGGGGAAAGGGAAAATGGATAGTCACTGCTAATGGGTTGTTTTTTTTTTGAGGCTGTGATGAAAATGTTCTAAAATTAGGGTGGCGATGGTTACATAACTCTGAATATACTGAAAACCACTGAACACTTTTAAAGGGTCACTTTGATGGTGTGTAAATTATGTCTCAATAAGCTGTTATTGTTTAAAAAATATTGAAAACAGTTCTGACTTTCAACATTATCTTTAGGAATCTGACTTGGGAAGTGCAAGATCAGATGATCTTGGAGATCTTAACTATGTCAGTGTCTAGAAATTCCATGATTCTTTATCTTTACTGTGTACAGTAAGTGGAGGAGTGTTTGGGAAAGTGACCTCCTTGGAGCATTCCTTCTAGACTGAAGATGACGTGGGAATTGGTTTCTTCAGCTTGCACCAGAGCTTGCCAAATCACTCTCTGTAAAGTTAGTTTGTTAAGACCTTTACGGCCGGGTGCAGTGGCTCAGGCCTGTAGTCCCAGCACTTTGGGAGGCCAAGGCAGGTGCATTGCTTGAGCTCAGGAGTTTGAGACCAGCCTTAGCAACATGGCAAAACCTTGTGTCTGTTTAAAAAAACAACAAAACAAAAAAAGACTTTTTCTTCTTTTATCTGGGTCAAGGGTCACAAACTTAAATGCTCACAAGGGCCAGGAAATAGGATATCTGTAAGGCTAAAAAGACCTTTTCTGTTATTTATTTTCCTCCTTTTCATAAAGTCATGGTTATGGAGAAATCTCTGTTTGTTATGAAAACCGTAAGCATCAACTGCAGTTGACTTGGTCTCAATGACAGGCGGTAGGGAGTAGTGGAGACTGTGGTGGTGAACTAGAGTGTTTGCTGAAAGAGCAGCCATCACTTAACTTCAGGTGATTCTTGCCATGTGGGAATGTGAGCCTAGTGTTATGAGATTCGACATATTTGAAAAACTGGAGGAAATCTGGATTTAAGGTCTGAATTCAGCTATTAGGTATTCTGGGGTTGTGAGTTTAATCTAGATTGAATCTGGTTTAGAAGTGAGTCTTGGCCTAAGCGATGAAGGCGGTGTGCTGTTTGCCACAGAACGGCTCTGGCACAAGAAATATTTTTTTTCCCCTTTCTTTTTCTTTCTTTTTCTTTTCTTTTCTTTTCTTTTTTCTTTTCTTTTCTTTGAGACAGGATCTCTCCCTGTCACCCAGACTGGAGTGCAGTGGCGCGATCTCAGCTCATTGCAACCTCCACATCCTGGGCTCAAACTGTCCTCCTGCCTCAGCCTCCCAAGTAGCTGGGACTACAAGGCATGCAGCACCATGCCTGGCTAATTTTTGTATTTTTTGTAGAGACAGGGTTTTGCCATGTTGCTCAGGTTGGTCTTGAACTCCCAAGCTCTAGCAACTCATCTGCCATGGCCTCCCAAAGTGCTGGGATTACAGGTGTGAACCACTGAGCCCAGTCAAGGTAGTTTTTTTTAGGTGTTCTTACACTACGTCTACCTTCTTGGCCCTGCTCTGTTTAAAGTCACAGGACCATAATCTTCTGAATACCAAATCTAAGACTGCCTGGTACACCCCAGAGGTATGCATGTGCCTAGGAGACGGTTAGTTACTCTGAGTTATGAGGAGCTGGGGTGATGATTTTAAGTATTCTTGTTCTGGGAATGGAGGGTATATTCTCCATTTTGTGAAATTCTTGGACTATAGGTTACATTCCATTTTAAGCTATCACCCCTCAGCATCACCACCATACTTGACTAAGGTGGGACTGTTTGCATAGGGTAATTTTGGGATGGGGGAAAGGGACAATACTTTGAACTCTATAAACGGTTGATTTGGCTGGAGTTGAAACAAAATTACAACATTAAGTTAGACTGAGGAGGGCTCTGTCTTGACTCTTGTTTAGTTTCCGACCTGCACATTTTATGTTATGTTACCTATCTTCGGCTTTGCTTCCCCAGTGTGTGTGTTGTTGTGTGTGATGTGTGTGGGGTGTGGTGTGTGTGGTATGTTTGTGTGGTGGGGTGTGTGGTGTGGGTATGTATGTGTTGTGTGTGTTGTGTGTATGTGTGGTGTGGTCTGTGTATATGTATGTGTGGTGTGTGTGTATGGTGTGTGTGGTGTGCATGTGTTGGTGTGTTTGCTGTGTGTGTTGGTGTGTGGTGTGTGTGTTGGTGTGTGGGATGTGTGTGGGGTCTGTTGATGTGTGTGTTGGCGTGTAGGGTATGTAGTGTGTGTAGTGTGTGGGGGTGGATGTCTGTGTGTGGTGTGTGTTGGTGTGTGGTGTGTGTAGTGTATGGTATGTGTTGGTGTGTGTGCAGTGYGGGTGTGGGGTGTGCATTTGTGCTGTCTGTATGTAGTGTGTGTGTGGTGTGGGTGCGTGGAATGTGTTTGCAGTGTCTGTGTATTGTGTGTGTTGGTGTGTGGTGTGTGTTGGTGTGTGTGGTGTGTGGGTGGTTATGTGTGTGGTGTGTGTTGGTGTGTTATATGTGGGGTGTGTGTGTTGTATGTGTGGGGTGTGTGTATGTTTGCGGTGTGTTTGGTGTGTGGTGTGTGTGTGCGGTGTCTGTGTTGGTGTGTGTGGAGGGTGTGTGTGTTGGTTTGGGGGGTGTGTTTGCGGTGCCTGTGGCATGGGTGTAGTGTGTGTGTTGGTGTGTATGGTGTGTGTTTGTGGTGTGTGTGTGGTGTGTGTGTTGGTGTGTGGTGTGTTGGTGTGTGTGTTGATATGTGTGTGTGGTGTATGTGTGCGGTGTTGGTGTGTGGGGTGTGTTGGTGTGGGGGGTGTGTTTGCGGTGCCTGTGTGGTGTGTGTGGTGTGGGTGTAGTGTGTGTGTGGTGTGTGTATTTGCAGTGTCTGTGTGTGTCGGTGTGTGTCGTGTGTTGGTGTGTGTGTCAGTGTGTGTGGGGTGTGTGTTTGCAGTGTCTGGTGTGTGGGGTGTGTTGGTGTGTGTTGGCATGTGTGTGTGGTGTGTGTGTGTTTGCGGTGTCTGGTGTGGTGGTGTGTGGGGTGTGTTGGTGTGTGTGTTGGCATGTGTGTGTGGTGTGTGTGTGTTTGCGGTGTCTGGTGTGGTGTGTGTGCAGGGTGTGGGTGTATTTGCGCTATCTGTGTGGTGTGTGTGGTGGGTTTGCGGTGTCTGGTGTGGTGTGTTGGTGTGTGTGGTGGTGTGTGTGTGGTGTGTTGTGTGTGTTGGTATGTGTGTGGGGTGTGTGGGATGTGTATGTTTGCAGTGTCTGTGTGTGGTGTTGGTGTGTGTTGTGTGTGTTGGTGTGTGGAGTGTGTGGGTGTGTGTATGTGGTGTCTGGTGTGGTATTGGTGTGTGTGTTGGTGTGTGGGTGTGTGCGATGTCTGTGTGTGGTGTGATGGTGTGTGTGGTGTGTGGTGTGTTGGTGTGTGTGTGGTGTGTATGGGTGTGTGTATGTTTGCGGTGGGTGTATGTTTGCAGTGTCTGTGTGGTGTTGGTGTGTGGTGTGTGTGGTGTGTGTGGGGTGTGGGTGTGTGTATGCGGTGTCTGGTGTGGTATTGGTGTGTGTGTGTTGGTGTGTGGGTGTGTGTTTGCAATGTCTGTGTGTGTGGTGTGTTGGTGTGTGTGTTGTGTGTGGTGTGTTGGTGTGTGGGTGTGTTTGCAGTGTGTGTTGGTGTGTGGTGTGTTGGTGTGTGTGTTGGTGTTGTGTGTGTGGTGTATGTTTTCGGTGTCTGTGGTGTTGGTGTGTGTGGTGTGTTGGTGTGTGTGCAGGTGTGTGTGCGATGTCTGTTGTGTGTTGTGTGTGTGGTGTGTTGTATGTGTGGTGTGTTGGCATGTGTGTGGTATGTGTGGGTGTGTGTATGCGGTGTCTGTGGTGTTGGTGTGGGGTGTGTGTTATGTGTGTGGTGTGTTGGTGTGTGTGTTGGTGTGTGTGGGGTGTGGGTGTGTTTGCAGTGTTTCTATGGTGTGGTGTTGGTGTGTGTGGTACGTATGGGGAGTGTGTGGGTATGTGTGTGCATTGTCTGGTGTTGGTGTGTGATTGTGTGGTGTATTGGTGTGTGTTGGTGTGTTTGTGGGGTGTGGGGGTATGTGTGTGCGGTGTCTGTGTGGTGTGGTGTTGGTGTGTTGTGTGTGTGGGGTGTGTGGGAATGTGTGTGGTGTCTGTGGGGTGGTGTTGGTGTATGTTGTGTGTGGTGTGTTGGTATGTGTTGGTGTGTGTGGGGTGTGGGTATGTGTGTGGTGTCTGTGTGCGGTGTGGTGGTGTGTGTGGTGAGTGCGGTGTGGTGGTGTGTGTGGTGTGTGGTGTGTTGGTGTGTGTGTTGGTTTGTGTGTGGGATGTGTGGGTATGTGTGTGCAGTGTCTGTGTGGTGTGTTGGTGTGTGTGGTATGTTGTGTGTGTGGGGGGGTGTGTGTTTGCAGTACACACTCACACATGCACACTTAGTGCTTGTGCGGCCGCCTTGCACAGGTTCCTTAGGATTCCTGGCTCTGGCTTTTGGATCTGATTTGGAAAGGTGTTGGCAAGTAGCTTTATGGTTCTTAAGTGCCTTAGCATAGGCCTCGAATCCAGATTCAAATAGCGTTTGTATTTATCCGCCACACAGTGCTTCCTCTGCAGAGACATGTTTGCTGAAAAGTTGGGGAGTTCTTTAAAGCTTAGGACCTTACTTTTTGGAATTTGTCCACATCTTTCAGGCCTCCTTCCAGATTTTACTCATTGTTATTTCTCTATGTTCATAGTATAGTTTTTTTTTTACATTTTAAAATTAAAGTTAACCTTTTCTTTTCAAGTTGCATTTCAAATTATCATAGAAAATCAGAAATATAGGTAAAGCTAAAAGAAAGAAATAAAAATTACAACACCCAGAGATAACTTGTCAGTTCTCTAGTGTTTATCCTTATAGACCTTATTTTTTATTTTTATTTTTTGCATGGTGAGTATATATATATTTTCCTTATTTTTATTTTTATTATTATTTTTTTTTGAGACAGAATCTCGCTCTGTCGCCAGGCTGGAGTGCAGTGGCGCGATCTCAGCTCACTGCAACCTCCGCCTCCCTGGTTCAAGTGATTCTTCTCCCTCAGCCTCCCGAGTAGCTGGGACTACAGGCTTGGGCCACCACGTATTTTTTCCATTTAATAGAGTGTGAACATCCCTCCAAGCCACAAAATATCCATCTGCAATTTTTTATTTTTTAAAGATAGGTCTCACTTTGTTGCCTAGGCTGGGCTGCAAATGTGTGATCATAGCTCACTGCAGCCTTGAACTCCTGGGCTCAAGCAATCGTCCCGCCTCAGCCTCCCGAGTAGCTGGGACCACAGGTGTGCACCGCCACACCCGGCTTCTGCAGTGTTTCTTAGTGGCTGGATAGTATTTCATTGTATGGATGTACTACTATTTATTTTCTCTCTCTCTGTTGATCACCGAGAATATTTCGCTGGTGTTTTTGATAACGCCTCCCATGTTTCTAGGCCCCTGTTCCATTCATCTCTGTTTTCATAGCCCTGGTTGGCTACTTTCTCTGAAAATGTCTGCTTCCTCCTCCTTCCTGATAGGAGCCTTTACCCTGGGAAGCTTTCAAGTCTCTAAAAATGGCAGCAATTCTTATCACCACTTTAGGCACCCCTCCTTGTCCCACTGTCCCACCCTCCCAGGACAGGTGTGTCTAGGGGAATGGTGGTCAGCAGGCGCGGAGCTGAACGGTGGCCTGTTTATTCTGAGTCCGGGAGTGGAAGCTCCTGCGCTTTCACATTTGTCCAGCAGCCTGCTGTGGGGCAGGGGTAGAACGCACAGTCAGCAGCATGCCCGCAGGACTGATGCCGCAGCTTGCATGCCTTGTGGTGCTCTGCTGACAGACCCCCGAGGCTGTGACCGCGGTGTCCCCGAGGTGACTCCTGCCCTTGGCTGTTTGTTGTGCCTGAGGTAGGGAGAGCAAGGCTCTGTGAAAGTTGTGATTCCAGGTGTGAGTCCCCCCAGCTGGCGTGAGCTCTCACGTGGAACTGGAATGCTGCGGGTACATGTCCCTGCAAGTTACAAAACTGGGGAATGACTTGGTACATGGAAGGAAGAGCTGACTCAACGCTCTGAAAAATGATTTAAGTATTTTTTGTCAGATTGAGTCCGGAGATGCCGCTGTCTGGCTTGGCAGCCTTGCTTCTCAGCTGCTCGCTTGTGGTGCTTCCGTGGGCCTGTCTGTCCTAACACTTGCATTGTCAGAAGAGTGCTCGGCAGAGGAGCTTTTGGCCGAAGGCATGAGGACTTTGGTTATGGGTGTTTTTTTTGGGCGGACAGGGTCTCGCTCTGTCACCCAGGCTGGAGTGCAATGGTGTGATCACAGCTCACTGCAGCGTTGAACCCCTGTGCTTAAGCAGTCCTGTCACCCTGGCCTCACTACAGGTGTGAGCCACTGCACCCAGCCTTAATTTTAAAACATAACCAGGGCCAGGTTTGGTGGCTCACGCCTGTAATCACAGCACTTTGGGAGGCTGACGTGGGAGGATCACTTGAACCCAGGAGTTCCATATCATCCTGGGCAACATAACGAGACCCTATTTTTACAAAAACTAAAAAATTAGCCAGGTGTGGTGGCTCACACCTGTAGTCCCAGCTGCTCAGGAGGCTGAGGCGGGAGGATCTCTTGAGACCAGAAGTTGGAGGCTGCTGAACTATGATCACTGCACTCCCGCCTGGGTGACAGAGTGAGACCCTGCCTCTAAAAAAAAAAAAAAGTAATTAATTAATTAAAATTGCTCAGGCCCAGCTGTGTGAAGGCCGGTGTCCCCACACTGCCCACCATCCCCCTGCTGTGTTCTTGCTGAGAGTTCCTTACTGAGGGCTCCATTTCCTGGCCCGGTGGAATGCCTGCTCCCAGCTCCCTACTCTCCCAGGCTGCTCCCTTATCTATTGGGCCAGTCTCTGTTTCCCTTTAGTTTTGGAATCCATGGGTTCCCCCTCCCCACAAGAAACCTTGGCAGAAGGCTTTGTCCATAGGGAAGCAAAGAACCCAGTTAGCAGCTCAGCTCTGGCCTGGCCTTGGCCTTGACCTTTCACAGTACTGTGAGCCAGCAGGTAGGTAAGCTCACTGGTGCTATGCACGGCCTCCTTCAGATCCTTCTCAGGGCAGCCTACCAGAGACTGTATTTGCAGAGGAGCTGGCAGGGCCTGTGTGGAGCCAGCTGCGCTGCGCCTGATAAGTTTGTTTGCTTATCTTTGTTTGTGTGCTTGTTGCTGGCTCCTTGGAGCTATGGGTGTGTTTGTGGGGTGTTGGAGATGACTGACCCTGATTGGTAAAATAGGGATGAAGCGAGCAGGGCAGGGTGTGGTGTGAGAAATAATGTCATCTATTCTTCCGGTGCCCCCCACTTCTTCCCCACAGAGAGATTTTCCTTCTGTTCCCTGTCCTAGAGGGCCCTGGGGCAGCAGCTTTTAGGTTCTTGGAAAGATGGGGAGCAGCCACCCCCGCTGAGCAACTCAGATTGAGGTTGGGGTGTGCTGCCCTCCCAGACGACTGGAAGATTGACACAGCAGCGCTCTTTCAGTTCTTTGTTCTTTGTTGGCTGGGATCACTGGAAATATATCAGTGAGACTTAAATGTGTCCTGGGAGCTTGAGCTGCCCAGTAGGCGACCCATGGCTGCAGAACAGCCAGCTCCAGCAATGTGTCATCCTGGAAGGGCAGCTGGCCTGCCTTCTGTCAGGTCACATGGGTTGGCTGATGTTGGTTTCTGTGTAATTTTTTTCCTCCTTTTTAACATGGTGCCTCAAAGTCACGGGGACTTGAGGGTAGAAATTAGGAGGGAAGGGCAGGTTTTTCAGCTGGCTCTTGGGCTGTGCTTGACAAAGCCATCATTGTTTTGAATAAAGTGCCAGTTGGTGTGGTTTGCGTCGCTCCGGTGCTCTGAAATTGGCTTCTCTTCTTCCACCTCTGCTGCTGATCCTGGGGGTGGGCTGGGAGGAGGACCACTGGTTCCAGAGAAGAAACCACTTCCCTTTGCCTCCCTGCTCAGCAGGAGCAGCGGGAACAGCGTCTTAGGACAGTGAGTTAACTACTGCAGAGCAGCTGGGCGTGGTGGCTCACGCCTGTAATCCCAGCACTTTGGGAGGTCAAGGCGGGAGGATCACTTGAGCCCAGGAGTGTAAGACCAGCCTGGGCAACATAGCAAGATCTTCTACAAAAATTATTTAAAAAATTAGCCAGTCATGGTGGCATGTGCCCGTGGCCCCAGCTACTTGGGAGGCTGAAGTAGGAGGATGGCGTCAGCTGGGGAGTTTGAGGCTGCAGTGAACCATGATCGTGCCACTGCACTTCAGCTGGCCTAGGCAACAGAGCAAGGCCATGTCTCCAAAAAAACCAAAACAAACCAAAACAAAACCCCAAAACAAACAAACACAAAAACCAAACTATTGCAAAGCAGATTGCTGTCTCTTGGTCCAGAGGGCATCCTGGACCCCAGCTGTTGGCAGCCAGCGGGCATCCTGGACCCCAGCTGTTGCAGCCAGCCTTGCCTCTTGGTAATGCCCTGGGGGCATTGCCCTTCCAGGCATCGTGCTGCGCACTGGTGGCCCCAGCCTCACTTGGCCCTAGCCTGTTCCAGACATGAGACCGCCTGCTGTGGTCAGGTTCCCCACCTGCTGTCCCTGCAGCCCGGGCTGATTTCCCCAATGACCTTTTTGGTCTGATGTCTGTCCCTATCATGTGTATGATGCCTCAGGCTACAAATAACCAGCAAGAGAGAACAGTTCCTCTGCTGAACTCCCTCAGGGGGAGGAGCAGAGCCTCAGGGCTTTGGCTTTCTGATGCCAACTTAGGTTGCATTGTCCTACCTCTGCGCCTCCTTGGTTTCCTATTTGTGTGGCTATATGAGGAATAGTCCTCATATCCAAATATATTTGTGGAAATCCCAGCCCTGAAGGAGTTTAGGGCATTAGGAGAACTCCCTTGGTGGGTGGGAGGGTGGAGGCGGCTCACATGGAAAGGTGTTTGTAGTGAGAAGATGGAGACTACATTTCCTCCCCAAGTCAGGAACTTCGTTTCTCTGCATTTGAATCAATAGCTCTCCAAGTGCAGTGTGGTTATACCCCGACATTTGAAGAGCCAGGAAGGAGGAAATGCAGAGTGCAAAAACATGTCAGGTCTCTGCCCCAGACAGCCAAGTTCAAGTGTTTTTTTTTTCTCAAAGATGGAGCTGCAGTGCAGGAGGAGTGTAGACCTGGTGAACAGAGCTGGGTGGTCAGGTGGCAAGATGAAATGACCTTATCTACAGGGTTAGTTATTCAGACTGACTTGGGAAGCACCTCTGTGGTACCATTTGAGGAGCACAGAAGAATCTGTGAATGGATCTAAAATGACTTCTTTAGGTCAGTCCTTTGAGTTTTATGGGATTAAGGTTGGCTTGCTATTAAAATGTGTTTGTAAAAATACCTAATTTGCCCCTCTCTTAAGGAATAGAGCTTCCTTTGATATTAACCAGTTTTCTAGATCACTGTTTATTTTGTTTAATCATCTCTTTTACAAAATTAACCATTTTTAATGGGAAGTAGAAATCTGTCTCAAATGCATACTCATTTTTGCTGCTTTCTTGAACATATTGAACATAACTTTTGATTATTTAGAAACATATTTTTGAATATTATTTATTGCATTATTGTGGTAATCTTTCATTGTTAAGGTATATTGAATTCTCTGTTCAACAGTCCCAGACTTTCTCATGAGTTAGGTTTTCAACTTGAATGATCATCTCCTCTAGGCTTTTGGCTGTCACTTGCTCAGCAGTGAGTTTCCCTTTTTGTCTGGTGTCTCCCATTTTCTATTGGTTTGCATAACTTGTTAAATTGAGTGTAAAACAAGGGTAATTAACTTAGTGAGGGTTTAGAGACTCTCCTCTGAGTCAAGTGCACAGACCTTTGTTATCTATCTTGAATTACTTTTACTTACTTCTGGATAACTAAATTAAGCTCCAGATAATTGTGAGATAATGGTATACATACAGACTCCTTTTACAGAATACTCCGAAGCCATTATTAGCCAGTTATTAGCCAGTTACATCAGTGAATGTTGTTCACCAGATTAACTTGTATGTGTAATAGAAATTATCTGCAAATCTTGTGAAAGGGCAAAGATCCTCAACTCTTCAAAAAATTATAATATATTCTCATTTTTGAAATCTGGCAAATAAGTAAACTCAATCAACAGGGCAGACTATGTCCCCGGGCTAACTGAATTTTACTTTTTGCCAATTATGAGATGGACATTCACTTCTTCCCCTTTGCCAAGAGGAAATCATTCTGTGGAGGTTCTTTTCCTTCCTCCTCCCTCATCACATAGAGGTGTATGCTCATGGTCAAATGCAGGATTCAGACATTTTGGAAAGACAGGAAGAAAAGAGCCCTGGAAAGCTGCTCTTAGAGTTACACCCTGTTGTTTTGTCACTTTGCTTTTTTTTCTTTTTTTTTTTCCTGTGCCCATGTAGGTAAAAATAGACCTGCAGCATCATTTTCAGTTGTCTTTTGAAGAACAAAAGTTTTTAATTTTGAGAAAGTCTAATATATGTCTTTTTTTTTCTTTTCATGCTTTTTGTGTTGTATTTAAGAAATCTTTGCCAATCCAAGGCCTGTAAGATTTTTCTCCTGTATTCTCTTCAAGAAGTTATTTATTTATTTATTTATTTATTTTTTTCTTTTTTTTTCTTTTTTTTTTTTTTGAGACGGAGTCTCGCTCTGTCGCCCAGGCTGGAGTGCAGTGGCGGGATCTCGGCTCACTGCAAGCTCCGCCTCCCAGGTTCACGCCATTCTCCTGCCGCAGCCTCCCGAGTAGCTGGGATTACAGGCCCATGCCACCATGCCCAGCTACTTTTTGTATTTTTAGTAAAGACAGGGTTTCACCATGTTAGTCAGGCTGGTCTCGAACTCCTGACCTTGTGATCCACCCACCTTGGCCTCCCAAAGTGCTGGGATTACAGGCGTGAGCCACCGCGCCCGGCCTTCTCTTCAAGAAGTTTTATAGTTTTAGCTTTTACATTTAGGATGTGAACCATTTTGAGTTAATATTTGTATATGGTGTGAGGTAAGGGTTGTGATTCAGTTAAATAGTCCTTTGATGACTATCCTTGTTTATAGCTCTTCTCATTATACTTCTTAAATTATTTCCTTGAGATATATTCTCAAAAGTGAAACTACAAGATCAAAGTAGGTATTCACACTGAAGTCTGATATACATTGCAAGAGTAGTTTTCAAAAGTTGTATTAATTAGAAAAGACAGCCCCTAGAATGGGAGAACATATTGGCAAATTATATATCTATTAAAAGATGTATATTTAGAATATATAAAGAATTCTACAAATTAAAAAAAACACAAATAACCCAATTTAAAAATGGACAGAGGACTTGAATAGACATTTTTCCAAAGAAGATACACAAATGGCCAATAAACATGTGAAAAGATGTTTAATACCATTAATCGTTAGGGAAATGCGCTCAAAACCACAGTAAGAGGCTACTTCACAGCATTAGCCTGTGGAAAGTGTGGGAGAGCATCGAGATCCATTCCCTCTGTGTGCTGGTGGGAATGTACAATGGTGCAGCTGCTGTGGAAAACAGTCTGGCAACTCCCCAACACATTAAACATGGAGTTACCATGTGACCTAGCAATTCCCTTCCTAAGAATCTCCCCAAGAGAAATGAAAATATAGTTCCTACAAAAACTTGTACACAGATGTTCACAGAAGTATTAATCATAACAGCCAAAAGTTGGAAATAGTCTAAATGTCCACCAGCTGATGAATGGATTAAACAATGTGATATATCTGTGGATAGGAATATTATTCAGTGGCAAACAGGAATGGAATGCTGACACATGCTACAACATGGATGAGCCTTGAAAACATGACACAGAGTGAAACAAGTCAATCCCAAATGGTTACATACTATATGATTCCACTTATGTGAAATATGAAACGTCCAGAATATGCATTCATGTAGAGACAGAAAGTGGATCAATAGTTGTTTAGGGTCGAAGTGGAATAACTAAAGAGTGTGGGCATTTCTTTTAAATGCTCTAAAGTTGTGATGGCAGTTGCATAGCTCTCTGAATATATGAAACACGATTGAATTGTACACTATTTTTTGAGACAGGGTCTCGCTCTGTCACCCAGGCTGAAGTGCAGCGGCATGATCACGGCTCTCTGCAGCCTCGACCTCCCAGGCTCAAGGCATTTTCCCGCCTTGGCTTCCCAAGTAGCTGGGACTACAGGTGTACGCCACCATGCCTGGCTAATTTTATATGTATGTATGTATGTATGTATGTATTTATTTATTTATTTATTTATTTATTTATTTATTTATTTTTGAGGCAGAGTTTCACTCTTCTACCCAGGCTGGAGTGTGGTGGTGCAGTTTTGGCTCACTGCAACCTCCACCTTCTGGTTTCAAGCGATTCTCTTGCTTCAATCTCCTAAGTAGCTGGGATTAGAGGCGCCCGCCACCATGCCCGGCTAATTTTTGTATTTTTAGTAGACACGGGATTTACCATGTTGGCCAGGCTGATCTTGAATTCCTGACCTTGTAATCCACCTGCCTTGGCCTCCCAAAGTGCTGAGATTACAGGCATGAACCATTGCACCTGGCCTTTTTTTTTTTTTTTTTGAGACAGAGTCTCGCTGTGTCACCCAGGCTGGAGTTCAGTGGCACGATCTCGGCTCACTGCAACCTCTGCCTCTCTGGTTGAAGCAGTTCTCTGCCTCAGCCTCCCAAGTAGCTGGGATTACAGGTGCCCACCACCACACCTGGCTAATTTTTGTATTTTTTTTTTTTTTTTAGTAGAGACAGGGTTTCACCATCTTGGTCAGGCTCGTCTTGAACTCCTGACTTTATGATCCTCCCGCCTTGGCCTCCCAAAGTGCTGGGATTACAGGTGTGAGCCACTGTGCCCGGCCTAATTTTGTTTGTTTTTTTTTTTTTTTGTAGAGACAGGGTTTTGCTGTGTTGTCCAGGCTGGTCTCTAACTTCTGGGCTCATGTGATCCTTCCGCCTTGGTCTCCCAAAGTGCGGAGATTACAAGTGTAAGCTACCGTGCCTGGCCAAATTGTACACTTCAAATGAGTGAACTGTGTGGTATGTGAACTATATTCCAATAAAGCTGTTACAGAAAGCATGTGGTACCAATTAATAGTCCCACTAGTGTTATTTAAGAGGGTCCAACTCCTTACATTATCCCCAACCCTTGGGTATCATTAC
Organism: Homo sapiens; assembly: GCF_000001405.40. NCBI lineage: Eukaryota > Metazoa > Chordata > Mammalia > Primates > Hominidae > Homo > Homo sapiens. The sequence goes on from NC_000012.12 coordinate 122,104,130, forward strand.
TATAATTTAAAAACTTCAATCAGCTCTATTAAGGTATAATATGTAAACAATAAAATTCACCCTTACAAGTGTACTGATTTATAGTTTTGGCAAATGTATGCACACATGTGACCACTGCAATCAATATACAGAACATTTCCATGACCCCAGAAGGTTCCCTCGCGCCCTTCCCAGGCATCCTCTCCTTCCCTATCTGCGCACTATCACTGTGAATCAGATTAGTCTTTCCGTGTGTTTTGTATAAATAGAATCAGACAGTTTGTATCCTTGTGTCTCGCTTCCTTTGTTCGGCATGTTTTTAAGACTTATCCATGTTGCTGTCTGCACCTGTAGTTAATATTCTGTCGTATAGATATAGCAGTGCGTTTTCTCCATTCATGTGTTGGTAGATGTATTTGATTTATCTTCAGTTTTCTTGTTTTTGGCTTTACCATAATTACCTTTTCTTTTTTTTTTTTTTTTTTTTTTGAGACGGAGTCTCACTGTCTCGCCCAGGCTGGAGTGCAATGGTGCGATCTTGGCTCACTGCAACGTCTGCCTCCCGGGTTCAAGCAATTCTCCTGCCTCAGCCTCTCGAGTAGCTGGGACTATAGGTGCCCGCCACCACGCCCAGCTAATTTTTTTGTATTTTTAGTGGAGATGGGGTTTCACCACTTTAGCCAGGATGGTCTTGATCTCCTGACCTTGTGATCTGCCCACCTCGGCGTCTCAAAGTGCTAGGATTACAGGCATGAGCCACCACACCCGGCCAGCCTTTTTTCTTGTAGAAGAATCCTTCTGCCTTCCCCCCGTGGCTCTGACCTTTTGAAGGGACTGGCCCAGTTGTCTTGAAGTCCGTCCCACAGTCTGCATTTGTCGTTTCCTGGTGAACATGTTTCCTTGCTCCCCGTGTTTCCTCTAAACCACTAAATCACGTGAGTCCTGAAAGGCTTTGTTAGATTTAGGTGAAACATTTTTGGTGGGTGCCTCATGGGCGATCACATCAAAGGTCCATACTGTCAGGTGGGCCCACTGTTGGTGGTGCTAAATTGGGCCATTTGGTTCAGACCTTGACAGCCACATCCTTTTTATCTCTGCAGTTAGTCACTGGGGAAGCTTCACTGATTGTGGAGCTCCTTACACCTTAAGGACTAAGCTTTTTTCCTAATGCCTCTCTCAGTTTGACACTTACCTTCTAACTTTGCTTATTGATTTTTTTTTTATTTAGAAGAGATTTTTCACGGGTTTTTTTTTTGGAGACGGAGTTTCGCTCTTGTTGCCCAGGCTGGAGTGCAGTGTTGAGATCTCAGCTCACCACAACTTCTGCCTCCCAGGATCAAGAGATTCTCCTGCCTCAGCCTCCTGAGTAGCTGGGATTACAGCCGTGCCCGGCTAATTTTGTATTTTTAGTGGAGATGGGGTTTCTCTGTGTTGGTCAGGCTGGTCTAGAACTCCCGACCTCAGGTGATCTGCCTGACTCGGCCTCCCAAAGTGCTGGGATTACAGGAGTGAGCCACCGCGCTCGGCTGATTTTTCACTTTTATGTGGTCAAAACACCCATGGTACAAAAGAGGTATCTCTCAAAAACTTCCCTTTTAGAGGCGGAGCTTGCAGTGAGCCGAGATTGTGCCACTGCAGTCCGGCCTGGGCTAAAGAGCGGGACTCCGTCTCAAAAAAAAAAAAAACTTCCCTTTTATAAGCCCTTTCCCCCCCTTCTTTTCCTCCTCTCTCTCTTGTTCCCTTCTTTCTCTGTCTGCTTTACTTTAGAACCTGATGTGACAAATTAGCTTTGATTCCTATTCTGTCATCGTTTTGGACTATAGGTTCAGACTATAGGTTCACACTTAAGTGTGAGATGTTGGCCAACTGGCATTTCCATCGCTTCACTTGCTCTTCTTTTTCAAGGATTTGCCTGTTGCCCAGGCCAGCCCCTGGCTGGGAAAAGTAGCAGCAAGGTTGGGACTTTGATCCTAGGCTCTGCACTGTGGGTGGTGTTATCTCAACTTATCCTCTGTCTTCAAAGCTGCAGACCCATTTATGGTGGTGATGGAGAAGGGAGGGAAGAGCATGGGCCAGAAGCCAAAGCTGCTCGTTTCTGGAGAAGGCCTCCTGATTCCCTCTGCCTGAAACCCTTTTCTCTCCCTTCTTTCCCTGGTTAACTCCTGCCCGTCCTTGGAGACTCCGCTCAGGCATCCTAATTAAGGAAAACACCACTGGGTGCCCCTCCATTGCACTTCCATACACTCCACACATGCCTTTGCTCACTCAAAGGAAGACCTTTCTGTCTTCTGCATTAGCTCGTGAGGTCCTGAGGGCAGAGCCAGGGATGGCATTGTCACTGTGTTGTCACTGTCTGTGCAGAGCCTGACACATCGGGCTTTTGGTAAGTGTTGCTGGGATGTTCCACTCCCTGGCCTGCAGAGGGTTTCTGTATGGTGTGGATGCATTTGATTCCTGGTGGTGAAAGCAAGATGGAATCGCAGGTTCTTTTTTTTTTTTTTTTTTTTTTTTGAGATGGAGTCTCACTCTGTCATCCAGGCTGGAGTGCAGTGGCGCGATCTCGGCTCACTGCAACCTCCGCCTCCCGGGTTCAAGTGATCCTCCTGCCGTAGCCTCCTGAGTAGCTGGGACTACAGGCCTGCACCTCCAAGCCTGGCTAATTTTTGTATTTTTAGTAGAGATGGGGTTTTACTATGTTGGCCAGGCTGGTCTCAAACTCCTGACCTCAGGTGATACACCCACCTTGGCCTCCCGAAGTGCTGTGATTACAGGTGTGAGCCACAGCACCCGGCCTTCACTGCTCTTGATTCCCATAGATTCATGGAGCTGAAAGAGAGGTAGCAGCATCAGCTGCACCAGCTGCACTAGCTTCCGGGTGCAGGACTCCAACTGGGCCCACGCCTCTCCTCTGAGAGCACTGGCAGGGGTTCAACGTCACCAGCCCTCCTCCTTGTGTTCTCCTCTGTCTGTCGCCCTCTCCCAGGTTGTCCACTCTGTAGCTTGACTAAGAGGCACTTGATAAGGGTCACTGCTGTGAAGTGTGCCTGAGAGCTGATGGTGCAGGCAGTCATCAGGCCCTTGGTGGCATTTCCTCGTGGCGGGAGCTGGGGGTTCAGGTGACAGGACAGCTGTGAAACCCCCAGCTGCAATTCCTGTGTAAGGGCTAATAAAGACATTTCTGCCTGTGCTGTCGCTCTTGGTGGGATGCATTTGCATTTTCCTGGATGTACCTAATCTCACAGCTCTGGTGCTCTCCAGCTCCGCAGCACCTTTGTTCAGCATCCCCCCACAGTCGTTCCCCCTCTTCCCATCCAGAGTCACGGTGAGGCTTGGCCACAGTGGCCTAGAGGCTTTAATTGTGCGGTTCCCACAGCACAGTGAGTCAGACAGCCCTGAACGTCTTGGGAAGCATCAGCTGAATGTATGAATTCTTTTTACTGAGAACCTCCTGTGTTCCAGATAGAAAGTCAGTCTGCTCTAAATACCTGGCTTCATTTCATTCTTACCACAGCTCTGTGAAGTAGTTTTCTTTTTTTCCCAAAGAAAGTGAAGTTCTGAAAGGCCAGGTGTCTGTCCAAGGCTGCAGAGCTGGCAGGCAGTTGGACACTGACTGCCCTCTCCCGGCTCTCCTGTGGCTGGTGGTGACAGGGTGGTTAGAAAAGTGTCTTTTCCGAGTTGGCCCTGATTGAAAAGGGGGATTTGGGGGGACATTGTCCTCCCCCAGCTCTCCTGTGACCAGTGGTGACAGGGTGGTGATAAAAGCATCTTTCTGAGTTGGCCTTGATTGGAAGGTGGGGGGTTGCGGGGACACTGCCCTCTCTGGCTCTCCCCTGGCCGGCGGTGACTAGGTGGTAATAAAAGTATCTTTCCAAGCTGACCCTGATTGGAAGGTGCGCCATGTGTCCCCTGCGAAGGGCAGCCTGGCCTGTGATGCTGCTGATGGAGAAGATGAATTTTTATGACATTAAGACAGAATCAGGGCCGAAAGGGGTGGTTCACACCTGTAATCCCAGCACTTTGGGAGGCTGAGGCGGGTGAATCACGAGTTCAAGAGATCAAGACCATCCTGGCCAACACGGTGAAACCTCGTCTGTACTAAAAATACAAAAATTAGCCAGGTATGGTGGCGGGCATCTACAATCTCAGCTACTCAGGAGGCTGAGGCAGGAGAATGGCTTTAACCCAGGAGGCAGAGGTTGCAGTGAGCTGAGATAACACCACTGCAACTCTAGCCTGGCGACAGAGCGAGACTCCATCTCAAAAAAAAAAAAAAAAAAAAAGACAGAATTAGATTTCCTCAGTAAAATCTGGGATTTTGCCATCAGAGGAATCATATTATCATTCTTCCTTATGTCAGGAAAGGGTAGCAGGCCCTTGTACATAACACGAGGACTGAAACTTTATAGTCAAAAAATCAACATAAATGGTTGGCTTCAAGTTTTGTTCATAATTACTCTCTCCCTGCTCGACTCCTCCCCACCTCTAAATGCACGCTGGCCCCCAAAGATCTGCAGGAAGGAGAAGACACAAAATCTCCTTCCCATGTGGGTCACGCCCTTTCATTAGTCCGTGAGCTCCTGCAAGGCCTGTGTTTTGCTTTCACTTGTGTGTGGAGGGAACCAGCAGTACATCAGGGACTTCGGTTTTGAGAAATGAGTGCCCATCACTGTCTAGGCAGACTTCTTTTTCCTGCTCTGTAGTTTTTCTTAAATTATGTGTGTCTTACAAATTCTCATTCCATTTTAGTCTATTCTTCCAGGAGGCCTTCAAGCAGGGGTAAATGAAAGAGAGAGACATTAGTCACTCTGACCTTGACTTTTAGTGACTAAACCTGTGCTCACCCTCATGTGAAACTATAAAAAATATAATTTCCTTTTTAGGTGGCACAATCTCAGCTCACTGCAACCTCTGCCTTCCGGGCTCAAGTGATTCTCCTGCCTCAGCCTCCTGAGTAGCTGGGATTACAAGCGTGCACCACCACACCTGGCTAATTTTTGTATTTTTAGTAGAGATGGGGTTTCACCATGTTGGCCATGCTGGTCTCGAACTCCTGACCTGAAGTGTTCTGCCCACCTTGGCCTCCCAAAGTGCTGGGATTACAAGGCGTGAGCCACCACGCCCAGCTAATTTTTGTATTTTTAGTAGTGACGGGGTTGCACTGTGTTGGCTAGGCTGGTCTTGAACTCCTGACCTGAAGTGATCCGCCCGCCTTGGCCTCCCAAAGTGTTGGGATTATAGGCATGAGCCACTGTGCCCAACTACTTTTTGTATTCTTAGTAGTGATGGGGTTTTGCCATGTTGGCCAGGCTGGTCTCGAACTCCTGGCCTTAAGCGATCCACACTGGGATTACAGGTGTGAGCCACCGTGCCTGGCCCAAATTGTTGCTTTTCACAGACAGGAAAGAAATGTAGATATATGGAATGCTGACAAAGATGTAATCCGTTCATACGTCTCAGGAGAGACAGAAGGGCTGTTTGACCTCAGATGGGTTGGCTGAGGAGATTTGCAGCATGTCTGAAATACAAAAACTGTTTCTACAGCTTGCCTTCGATTTAGAGTAGGCTCCAACTCTTCTGCCCATCCCAAACTCCTTTGCTACTTGGAAGGTTAATAAGTTGACTAAAAAACACCCATGGGAAGAGGATGCAAAGGAGAGATTTAGGTTGACAACTGATTCTCAGTAGCAGATGGGAGAAAGCATCTTTAGCAGGCAAAGGGAAAATGGATTTTATTTTGGAATTTCTATTATGTGATGAGGGCAGTACAAAGTTGTTCGTATGCTTTTTTGAATCCTCTTCCTCAAATAAGCCAGAATCCTGTGGTTGCAGTGGGTGTTACAGGATCCAGCTATTCTTCCTTTTGCCGAATGGAAGTGGGTGTGACCCCAACGCATCCCTGCTCTGGGTGCCTCTCATTTTTATTCTTTAGGGCCAGGAACTCTCTTTCTGGGGAGGGATACAATTCCAGACCCTTAAAACTGAAAATAATTGGGAACAATCTTTACTGAATTATCTCTTGTCTCAAAAAGGGAAAAACCTATTTAAAGCCTATTTAGGTTTAGGGTCAGGTACGGTGGCTCACGTCTGTAATCTTAGCACATTAGGAGGCCGAGGCAGGAGGATTGCTTGAGGTCAGGAGTTCGAGATCAGCCTGGGCAGCATGGGGAGATGCTTATCTCTCTTTTTTTTATTTTTTGAGACAGAGTTTTGCTCTTGTTGCCCAGGCTGGAGTGCAATGGCGCGGTCTTGGGTCACTGCAACCTCCGCCTCCTGGGCTCAAGCAATTCTCCTGCCTCAGCCTCGTGAGTAGCTGGGATTACAGGTATGTGCCACCACGCCCGGCTAATTTTGTATTTTTAGTAGAGACAGGGTTTCTCCATGTTGGTCAGGCTGGTCTCAAACTCCCAACCTCAGGTGATCCACCCGCTTCGGCCTCCTAAAGTGCTGGGATTACAGGTGTGAGCCACTGCACCTGGCCTGGGAGACGCTTATCTTTACCAAAAAAATTAAAATTTAGCTGGGCATGGTGGTGCATGCCTGTAGTCCCAAATTCTTGGGAGGCTGAGGTGGGAGGATCACATGAACCCAGTAGTTCAAGGCTGCAGTGAGCTATGATCATGCCACTGCACTCCAGCCTGGGCAACAGAGCTAGATCCTGCTCTTCAAAAGAAAAAAAAATAAAAAAAGGGCTGGGCGCAGTGGCTCACGCCTGTAATCCCAGCACTTTGGGAGGCCAAGGTGGGCGGATCACGAGGTCAGGAGATCGAGACCATCCTGGCTAACATGGTGAAACCCCGTCTCTACTAAAAATACAAAAAATTAGCCGGGCGTGGTGGCGGGCGCCTGTAGTCCCAGCTACTCAGGAGGCTGAGGCAGGAGAATGGCGTGAACCCAGGAGGCGGAGCTTGCAGTGAGCCGAGATGGCGCCACTGCCCTCCAGCCTGGGTGACAGAGCAAGACTCTGTCTCAAAAAAAAAAAAAAAAAAGTCTATTTATAGGTCTTGGCTACCTGGCGAGTGTTACCTTATCCTTTTAAATGCATCAGACAGCTTCAGATTTCTTTGACTTGTAAGTAGGCTGTGTAGCTGGCAGTGCCTTGAAATGACTAATAGTGGTGATAATATCAAATTTGTTTTTTGTCAGTCTTCATAGGTGCTTAGAAACATTTGCAAGTATGATCTGTTTTTATTACATCTCTGGTAGCCAATTTCTAGAGTCTTGACTCCAGGTGTGTACTCTGGCTAGAGAATGCTGTTCCTTGATTTATTGCCTCTTTAAGCCAGGTGTCTGCAATTGGGTAGAGTTTTTCATTCTTTACATAAACATTTTACCTTGGTGAATATTTAAACCAACTACCAACTGAATTACCTTTTTATGAAGGTGCTAGGGAAAAGCTGTATTCTTTGGGGACAGTCATGCTTAGTACTGAATATAATGGAAACCTTTCCCTGCTGCCTGTGGCTTAGCCGTTTGGTCAGGGTGAGGGTGGCAGCTGCCATATCAGCTAGGTGGGGCTATGTCAAACACAATAAAATGAGGATAGTGCTTGTGTTTGAGTGGTATAACTGCGTGATTTGGTTTTGTTTTGCTGTTTTTTCTTTCTAAATTTCCTTTTTATATTATTTAGAAATGTTAGAAAAATATGATCAGAAATGTGAAGGAGGTTCATGAAGCAAATTATAGCAAACCAGATAGCTTTGGATTTCTCTTTTTAAGTAGGTTAAGTAGTGTAAGTAGAATAACATTCCTTAATTTGGTATGGTGATGGCCCAATTTGAAGTGGGGTGCTGCCTACATTAATTGATTTATTAAACATAATCCCAATCAACATATTAAAATAGTTTTCTTTTTTCTTTTAGAATAGTTTTATTTTGAGATTTGTCAACATGGTCATAAAGTTCACTTGAAAGAATAGTAGGCAAGAATTCTAAAATTGTTTTAAAAGATGATGGGTGCTAACCTTACTTAGATAGTAAAGTATAGCACAGAGTTGTGGTGATTAAATTAGTGTGATGGCAGCACAGGATTGGACACAGGTCAGTGGTGATGCAGGGCCCAGAACAAGCCCTGGTATAGGTGAAGATGCAACATATGTTCAGAGAAGTGTCGTAAGTCATTGTGGGAAGATGAGACAATGAGATAACTAGTTGGAATTTGTTTTTGTGAGCTGTGTAAAGAACTAAATTGATTTTCTCCCCAGATGAATCAGAGTTATGTAAAAAGTGAAATCATTAAAAATGTATGTACAGGCCGGGCGTGGTGGCTCACGCCTGTAATCCCAGCACTTTGGGAGGCCAAGGCAGGCGGATCACAAGGTCAGGAGGTCGAGACCATCCTGGCTAACACGGTGAAACCCCATCTCTACTAAAAATATATATATAAAAAAATAGCCGGACGTGGTGGTGGCGGGCGCCTGTAGTCCCAGCTACTCAGGAGGCTGAGGCAGGAGAGTGGCCTGAACCCAGGAGGCAGAGCTTGCAGTGAGCCAAGATCGTGCCACTGCACTCCAGCCTGGGCAACAGAGCGAGACTCCATCTCAAAAAAAAAAAAAAATGTGTGTACAAAACCCATAAGAAACAACATCCAGAAGTGGTCCCAAATATATGTATCTATGGGAAGGGGGTGTATGATGAAGATGGACCTTTAGTTTAATGGGGAAAGATGGATTATTTAGGAAATCTTACCTAAAGCAGGATCCCTACATCATCCCTGTACATTCATTCCACCAAATAAATCCTAGTTGGCTTTATTGAATTGAATGTAACAAGGGAAGCCGTGAAAGTTCTAGAAGGAAATAGGTAAGTGTTTTCAAAGTCTTAGGCTAGGAAAAGCCTTGTTAAGTACGACACAAAAAACAGAAGCATAAAAAAAGGACTTCTAAATTTTGACTATGTTAATGAAAATTAGTGTTTATCACAGCATTGTTTATTTGAAACAGCACGTCTGTTAATATAAATGTATGTCTGTGGGGAAATGGTTAAGTAGATTATGATAAATGTGTACAGTGAAATATTCTGTATATAAAAATAAAATAATATAAAACTTTATTGGCATAAGATGTCTGTGACATATAAGTGAAAAATGGGTTATAAAACAAACCTGTTCCTACCTATTTAAGCATTATGTTATTCATATATATATGGATTTTTTGGTTTTTTCTTTTTGTTTTGAGACAGGGTCTCACTCTGCCACGCAGGCTAGAGTACAGTGGTGAGTTCACAGTTCACTGCAGCCCTGCAGCTTCCACCTCCTGGACTCAGGTGCTCCTCCCACCTCAGCCTCCCGAGTAGCTGGGACTACAGGCATGTACCACCACACCTGGCTAATTTTTGTATCTTTTGTAGAGATATGGTTTCGCCATGCTGTCCAGGCTGGTCTCGCTCTTCTGGGTTCAAGCGATCCACCCACCTCAGCCTCCCAAAGTGCTGGGATTACAGATGTGAGCCACCACATCCAGCCTATTTATATATTTTTATCTTTATTTATATACATACATAGTCAGATGAATATGTATTGCCAAGACTTAAGGGCCAACTTCAGAGTTAGAACAGTCCATATAACTGCCTTCATTTCTTTTTTTTTTTTTTTTTTTTTGAGACGGAGTCTCGCTCTGTCGCCCAGGCTGGAGTACAGTGGTACGATCTCAGCTCAGTGCAAGCTCCGCCTCCCAGGTTCATGCCATTCTCCTGCGTCAGCCTCCCGAGGAGCTGGGAGTACAGGCACCCGCCAGCATGCCTGGCTAACTTTTTTGTATTTTTAGTAGAGACGGAGTTTCACTGTGTTAGCCAGGATGGTCTCGAACTCCTGACCTCGTGATCCGCCCGCCTCGGCCTCCCAAAGTGCTGGGATTACAGGCGTGAGCCACTGCACCCGGCCTTTTTTTTTTTTTTTTTTGAGACAGCATTTCACTCTTGTTGCCCAGGCTAGAGTGTAATGGCACAATCTTGGCTCACCGCGCAACCTCTGCCTCCCAGGTTCAAGTGATTCTCCTGCCTCAGCCTCCTAAGTAGCTGGGATTACAGGCATGTGCTACCACACCCGGCTAATTTTTGTATTTTTAGTAGACAGGGTTTCATCATGTTGGCCAGACTGTTATCAAACTCCTGACCTCAGGTGATCCACCCACCTCAGCCTCCCAAAGTGCTGGGATTACAGGCGTGAGCCACTGCGCCTGGCTGACTGCCTTCATTTCTAATACCAAATGCAAGTTGGGGAGTTCCCAAAACCACCCTCAGTTTCAATAATTCACTAGAAAAACAGAACGCACTGAAAAGTATTATATTCATGGTTGCAGTATATTATAAGGAAAGGATTCAAATTAAAATCAGCCAAGACGCAAGTTTTTACTGGACTTGATCCATTCTACCCCTGTGGTTGACCTTTAGTTTCTAGCCCCGCCCAGATGTCTGGCTAAGACCTTTAGTTAGCCTTTCCTCTGGAGGTTGGAACTGATACCCTGTGCTCCAGGCCCCCATTGTAAGTCAGATTGGTAACTGTTCTGTGGCCAAAGCCCCCAGGCAAACAAAGACACTCCCATCAGGCAGAACTAATTTCTAATTCCAGGGGCCTAGAATTCACCTCCCAGCAGCCCAGGGCAAAGGCTTGACCTCTCTTTGGGAAGGTGACTTCTTTTTTTTTTTTTTTTTTGGTGGGGGGGGACAGGGTCTCACTCTGTTGCCCAGACTGGAGTGCGGTGGCACGATCTCGGCTCACCTCAACCCCCACCTCCCGGGTTCAAGCGATTCTCCTGCTTCAGCCTCCTGAGTAGCTGGGATTACAGGTATGCGCCACTACTGCCCGGTTAATTTTTTTATTTTTAGTAGAGATGGGGTTTCATCATGTTGGCCAGGCTGGTCTTGAACTCCTGACCTCAAATGATCCACCTGCCTCAGCCTCCCAAAGTGCTGGGATTACAATCGTGAGCCACCGCACCCAGCCAGGAAGACTACTTCTTTGCTACACAATATTATCACCAAAATGTAACAGGTTATTTCTAGGTGGCGGAATTGAAGGTGAGTTTGCTTTTGTTCTTTGCACTTTTCCTTTTTGTTTGAATTTTCTTTTATTATGGATAGATATATATTTTAATCAATAAAACTACAAAAGCTTAAAAGATAAAAGTGAAAACTAAATCTCTGAACGGGTGGGAGGGCAGGCAGGGAAGCAGTACAAGAAATTCTAAAGAAAAACCAGTAGTGGCTGGGCGCGGTGTCTCACGCCTATAATCCCAGCACTTTGGGAGGCCGAGGCAGGTGGATCACCTGAGGTCGGGAGTTCAAGACCACCCTGGCTAACATGGTGAAACCCCGTCTCTACTAAAAATACAAAAAATTAGCTGGGCATGGTAGCGGGCACCTGTCATCCCAACTACTCAGGAGGCTGAGGAGGAGAACTGCTTGAACCTGGGAGGCAGAGGTTGCAGTGAGTGAAGATCGCACCATTGCACTCCAGCCTGGGCAACAAGAGCGAAACTCCTTCTCAAAAAAAAAAAAAAAAAGACCAGTAGAGATGACTACACAAATATGTAACCTACATTCAAAAGACATGCCATAAAAACAAGTAAAAGACAATGAAAATCCTAGGGGAAACATTTGCAGAAACATCACAAAGCATTAGTACCACTAATATTATAATATTGCGAATATAAAATAGCAAGGGAAACAATGGCTGACACCTGGGCACAGCTGTAATCCCAGTACTTCGGGAGGCTGAGGTGGGCAGATCACCTGAGGTCAGGAGTTCAAGACCAGCCTGGCCAACATGGCAAAACCCTGTCTCTACAAAAACACAAAAATTAGCCAGGCATGATGGCAGTACCTGTAATCCCAGCTACTTGGGAGGCTGAGGCAGGAGAATCACTTGAACCCGGGAGGTGGAGGTTGCAGTGAGCCAAGATCATGCTGCTGCAATCCAGCCTGGGTGACAGAGCGAGACTCCATCTGAAAACACACACACACACACACACACACACACACACACAACATTGACATTTCAATGACTGTAAATGACGTGTAGTCTGTTTACCAGTAATGTCCCAAAGCCAATTTCCCGGCTTTGACATTGTGCTCCAGCGATACAAGAGCCACCACTGGGGAAAGCTGGGTGAAGGGTACGTGGAGCTCTTTGTTCCATTTGTGTGACTTCCTGAGAGTCTATAATTACTTCAGAATAAGTTTTTTTTTAATTTTATTATTATTATACTTTAAGTTTTAGGGTACATGTGCACAACGTGCAGGTTTGTTACATATGTATACATGTGCCATGTTGGTTTTTAGAAAAGGCAAAGGGCATGGGCAAACAGCTCAGAAAATATGGGGCACATGGCTAACGCGCAGGTTTTTAATTATGAAATTTCATTAACAAATGATGCAAATTGAAGTGAAATACCAAGTTTGCCTCTTGCAAATCTGGTTTCATCTCCAGTCCGGAGGAGCACCTTGGGGTCTGATTGGGGTTTACTCTTCTGGCGAGGAAACCTAGGACTCTGGCTTTAAATGGTGCCCTGCCCAGGGGTCCCTGCCCCTGCCCCTGCCTGAAAGTCCACTTATGGCTTGAATCTGACAGGAAACTTAAGAACATGCCCAAGAAGCTCCTAAAACTCAGGAGCATGCCTCACCATGCCCAGCATTGACCACGTGCTGGGCCCAGGCCCTCATATCTGCTATGGCTGACCCAGCTGTCCAGTGTGGTGGATGTGGTCACTGTTTTGCAGAAGGTGGGCTGGGCCGGGCCAGCCTGGGTGACGAGGCCAGAAATGGAACCACTCTGCTTTCTTTGTTGGTTAGAAGTGGTCTAGACATGGTGGTGTCTGTCCTCTAGTGGAAGGCCTGGACACAGCCCATCCCAGGCAGGGTGAAGTCACCATTGCAGGCAGGCACATCTTGCCTGGTATCCACTCCCTCAAGTTGCCCTATTTTTGGGTGGTCATGGAAATGATTACTCCCTGCTTTTCACACAGAAAAGACAAACATACACCCTCACAAACAAGCTGGCACGCATGTGGGCGGAGCACCTGCAGGCACTCGAACACTCGCACACTGGAGTGTGCACCAGCCTTCCCGCCACAGCCCTCGGATCCTACTTCTCCAACAGGATGTTCTTTGAATGTAAGAAAAAAGATGCCAAGAGATCCACGAGGAGGATGGAGCAGGACCTGAAACCCCCTGGGGTTCCTCCATAGGAGACTCTCTGCTCGGGCAGGTGGCCCGACATGCACACTGCCCCTCCTGTCAAGCCATTGGCAGTGGCCCCTCCCGCGTGCCAGCTCCTCAATGAACCTTTGTTCGTCTGTAGCCTGTTAGCTTTGGCTGCTGGCAGCCTGTGGGACCAGGCCCACATCCCAGGACTAGCCGATAGAGACTGCCCTTTTGAAGCAAGTGAATTGGACTCCTGGAAGAGTCATTCCTCCACTCCCTCATTGAAACCACCTAATAACCGTGATCCTCATATCTGGATCTGGTGCACAGAATTGACTGATATATCTGTTTTTGTGATGAATTGCCTTCCGCAATTAACTAGAAGCCCTAGAATGTCTTGGACCTTGCCTGGTCTTTTTTCCTTGTTTATTTTGAAAAAGTAATACAGTAGTCCCCCCTTATCTGAGGGGGTGTGTTCTAAGACCCCAGTGGATGCCTGAAAGCTCAGATAGTGCCGAACCCTGTATACAGTACATTTTTTTCACATGTTAGCTCTATACTTGTGATAAAGCTTAATTTATAAGTTAGGCACAGTAAGAGATTAACAACAATAATAACATAGAGCAATTATGACAATCTACTATTCACAATTGCATGGATAGAAAATCTGTTTTTACCATAGATCTTAGCAACCTCAGCCTTGTTAAGTTGAGAACTTGCACCTTTTCACTTAATGAAAGCACTTTAAGGCTTCTCTAGGTCATATCTGAATTGCCAGCATCACTACTCTTATGCTTTGTGGCCATTATTAAGTAAAATAAGGGCTACCTGAACATAAGCACTGTGATACCACAACCATGGATCTGATCACTGAGATGGCTGCTAAGTGACTTAGCAGGTGGGTGGCAACTACAGTGTGGATCTGCTGGACAAAGGGATGAGTCATGTCCCAGGCGGGACAGAGCGGTACGGCGTGAGATTTTGCTATTCCAAATGGTGCACGGTTTAGGATTTATAGATTGTTTATTTCTGCAACTTTCCATGTAATATTTTCAGACAGCGGTTGATCATGGGTAAAGCACAATACCGCAGAAAAGGGAGGAATGCCGTACATTCCAGTGTTATATTTCAACAATACAAAACGGTGTTCAGTGAACACTCCTTCTCACTGGACCCCTTGCTTCTCCAGCTCATCTCTGCAAAGGGAAATCGCTGTGGCACTCTTACCTTTTCTTATGTATCCATCTTGGCTGTCTTTTCTCCTCCCTCCTCTCCTACATGTCTGTGTGGATATCTCTGAATATAAACGGTAGCCATACCAGGCCGGGCGCAGTGGCTCACGCCTATAATCCCAGCACTTTGGGAGGCCAAGGTGGGTGGATTGCTTGAGGTCAGGAGTTCGAGACCAGCCTGGCTAACATGGTGAAACCCTGTCTCTACTAAAAATACAAAAATTAGCTGGGCGTGGTGGTACACGCCTGTTATCCCAGCTACTCAGGAGGCTTAGGCAGGGGAATTGCTTGAACCCGGGAGGCGGAGGTTGCAGTGAGCTGAGATTGCCACTGCACTCCAACCTGGTGACAGAGTGAGACTCCCATCTCAAAAAAAAAAAAATAGATAATAAAAATAAAAAACACATGGGCTGGGCACGGTGGCTCGTGCCTGTAATCCCAGCACTTTGGGAGGTCGAAGCGGGCAGATCACGAGGTCAGGAGATCAAGACCATCCTGGCTAACATGGTGAAACCCCGTCTCTACTAAAAATACAAAAAATTAGCTGGGCATGGTGGCGGCGGGCATCTGTAGTCCCAGCTACTTGGAGGCTAAGGAAGGACAGTGGCGTGAACCTGGGAGGTGGAGCTTGCAGTGAGCCGAGATCGCGCCACTACAATCCAGCCTGGGCGACAGAGTGAGACTCTGTCTCAAAAAAACAAACAAAACAAAACAAAACAAAACAAACAAACAAAAAAACAGAAAAAAGAAAAACAAATGGTAGCCATACCATATATCTTGTACCTTGGTTTTATTTTTGTTTTTTCACTTAACAGTGCATCTTGTAGGTCTTCCCTATGTGTTACCACATAGAAATGTGTTATTTTAAAAATTACCCCGTAGTGTTCCACTGTGTAGATATGCCAGTTTTTTTGTTTTGTTTTGTTTTGTTTTTGAGATGAGCCTCGCTGTGTCGCCCAGGCTGGAGTGCAATGGCGCAATCTCAGCTCACTGCAAGCTCCGCCTTCCAGGTTCATGCCATTCTCCTGCCGCAGCCTCCCAAATAGCTGGGACTACAGGCACCTGCCACCACACCCGGCTAATTTTTTGTATTTTTAGTAGAGATGGGGTTTCACCGTGTTAGCCAGGATGGTCTCGATCTCCTGACCTTGTGATCCACCCTCCTCGGCCTCCCAAAGTGCTGGGATTACAGGCGTGAGCCACCGCGCCTGGCGATATGCCAGTTTTGACTGGTTCCCTGTGATGAATATCTAGGTTATTTCCAACCTTTTGCTGCCGCAAACAGTGCTGCAGTTTAATGTCCTTCTCTTCACGTCTTTGTGCCCATGTGAGGTGGATCTGTCGAATCACTTCCTAGGAGTGGGCTTGTGGGTCACAGGGATGTGCAGTTACAGTGTTGATGGGCAGTTGTCAGCTTGCCCTTCAAAAAGGCTCACAATTGTTTTTGCCCATCATTCTATCCCCAGCACCAGCTTAGTGACGAGAACTCTTCCCCACCAGAGCTCTAAACTGATTGGGAAGTAAAACGGAGGAATCACTTTGTAGCAGCGCTATTCGCTGTAGCCCAAAGGTGGATACGACCTGTGTCCTACTGATGATGGATAAACAGAATGTGGTCCATCTATACATGGAATATGATTCTGCCTTGAAAGTAATGAAGTTCTGAGAATATTTTTTTCTTTCTTTCCCCCTCCCCCCTTCTTCTCTCTTTCTCTCTTCCCTTCCTTCCCCTTCTCTTTCTTTTCTCTTTTCTTTTCTTCTTTTGAGACAGGGTCTTGCCCTGTCACCCAGGCTGGAGTGCAGTGGTACAATAGTGGCTCACTGCAGCCTTGACCTCCTGGGCTCGAGCAATCCTCCCATCTCAGTCTTCTGAGTAGCTAGGACCACAGGCACATGCCACCAAGCCCAGCTGATTTTCTGATTTTTTGTGGAGATGGTGGTCTCTCACTACGTTACCCAGACCAGTCTCAAACTCCTGGGCTCAAGCAGTTCTCCTGCCTTGGCCCCTCAAAGTGCTGGGATTACAAGTGGGGAACTAGGTAATGGTGCTGGTTATAAAACATTGTGAATGTTCTTAATGGCACTGAATCATCTACTTTAAAATGGTTAAAATGGTAAATTTTATATTTATTTTACTACAAGAAAAAGAGTCAGCAGATGGTGGCCAAAATATTACCTTTATTGTTGACCAAGCTGAGGATATGGCTTGTAAGAGAACCCTGGACTGACCTTCCACCTCCACCCCCTCTTCAGGAGCAGGGGAAGGAGGGAACGACCCCAGCCCAGGTTCTTCTTCAGCACTCATTGTACCTGTCCTGCAGCACTCACTGTGAGATGCCCCACTCTACCTGTCTGTCAGGGAGTAGGGAGGAAGCCAGGGATGTTTTGCTAAGGGGTGTCCCTCTAAGAAGCACCAGGAATGGTGAAGAAACGTTGTCCCATGACAAACAAATATGGTTGAATGAACAAATGAATGGGCTCCACCACTGTTCTGAGACCTATAACGATAGCCCCAGAGCCCTCTGCATGCTTGGTTTTTTTTTTTTTTTTTTGAAACGGTGTCTCACTCTGTCGCCAGGCTGGAATGCAGTGGTGCCATCTTGGCTCACTGCAACCTCCGCCTCCCAGGTTCAAGCGATTCCCCTGCCTCAGCCTCCCAAGTAGGTGGGACTACAGATGCATGCCACCATGCCCAGCTAATTTTTGTATTTTTAGTAGAGATGGAGTTTCACCATGTTGGCCAGGATGGTCTTGATCTCTTGACCTCATGATCTGCCTGCCTCGGCCTCCCAAAGTGCTGGAATTCCAGGCGCGAGCCACTGTGCCCAGCCTTTTTTTTTTTTTTTTTTTTTAAATTGAGATGGAGTCTTGCTCTGCTGCCCAGGCTGGAGTGCAGCGGCGAGGTCTCAGCCTCCTGAGTAGCTGGGATTACAGGCACGTGCCACCATGCCTGACTAATTTTTGTATTTTTAGTAGAGACAGGATTTCACCATGTTGGCCAGGCTGGTCTCGTGACCCTCCTGACCCTCGTGATCTGCCCACCTCGGCCTCCCAAAGTGCTGAGATTACAGGTGTGAGCCACCGTGCCCGGCCTCTGCCTGCTTTCTTTTGGAGAGAATGGTCTGAGCAGGAGTCAGGAGTTCGTCCCAGCCAGACCGAACAGAATTAGGGACCCCTGACCTGGCCATGCCCGGCCTGCCCTCTCTGCCTGCCCCTGTTCTTACTTCCAGCTTGGTCTGTGCAAGGCTTGCAATTTAATTTCCTTCCATTCCAAAGCAGTCTCTTGCCAGCCCTCTGAGGAATTCATAGTTTGCTAGTTTCATCCAAGAAAAGTTTTGAGAGAGACCTTTGTTGTACTGTGAATTTCCTGTTTCATGTCAAGAACCTGCCTTCTAGGAAGGGCAGCTGTGGCAGGGTGGTGTAAAGATTGTTCTTCATGGAAAATTTAGCATTCATTTAATAACTGCATATTTAAAACACCTCCCACGTGCCAGGCCCTGTGCTGGCGACCCTAGGCGATGGCCTTCCCACAGAGGGTGAGGAGAGGGCTAGCGAATGGGTGAGTGCAGTTGACCTCTGTTCTGATGGGCAGATGGCAGGGGCGGGTTCAGGAGGTGGAGGCCAGAGGAGGATTGCGTGTCTTGGGGGAAGCCAGTGGTCTTGCAGAAATGGTCAGAACATGTTTCTGGTCTGCTTTAAAGAAGGAATGGAGCATAATCCAAGTTAGACTAAGAGACAGCCCAGTCACCTTTGTCTGGAAGATGTTGAGCTGGCAGCATGAGTTAGGGGAGCAGAAGTCCCCCCAGTCACAGACGCTTTCTGGCGGTGCTTCCCTGGGGGCTCTGCCAGGGAGGGCTGCCCTCCACTGCTGCAGGCTCCCTTGTGGGCTTTGTAAAAAAAATTTTTAGACAGGGTCTCTCTCTGTCACCCAGGCTGAGGTGCAGTGGCACCATGATAGCTCACTGCACCCTCCAACTCCTGGGCTCCAGGGATCCTCCCACCTCAGCCTTCCAAGTAGCCAGGACCACAGGCACAGGCTACCACTCCCTGCTACTTTTTTCTTTTTCTTTTTCTTTTTTTTTTGAGACAGAGTCTTGCTCTGTCGTCCGGGCTGGAGTGCAGTGATGCGATCTCGGCTCACTGTACTCTCCGCCTCCCAGGTTCACGCCATTCTCCGGCCTCAGCCTCCCAAGTAGCTGGGAGTACAGGCGCCCGCCACCACGACGCCTGGCTAATTTTTTTTGTATTTTTAGTAGAGACGGGGGTTTCACCATGTTAGCCAGGATGGTCTCGATCTCTTGACCTCGTGATACACCCGCCTCGGCCTCCCAAAGTGGTGGGATTACAGGCGTGAGCTACCGTGCCCGGCCTTCTTTTCTTTTTCTTTTTTTTTTTTTAAAGAGACGAGGTCTTGTTATATTGCCCAGGCTGGTCTGGAACTCGTGAGCTCAAGTGATCCTCCCGCCTCAGCCCTCCAAGTGCTGGGATTACAGGCGTGAGCCACTGCACCTGGCCCATTGTGGGACTTTTAGAGCAGCTTTTCCTGAGTACCCTGTGAAGAAGGGTCCCCGTGGAGGTCTGCGTAGGAAATGTCCCTGCTCCTCTCCTTGAAGATTGACGGGGCACAGCCTAACAGCTCTGCCAGGCCCATCAGGAGCCTGCCCAGGGTTTCTGGGCATGAGTCGTCCAGGGTGTCCCTTCCTTTGTGACACCTGACGCATTCATTGCCACCTTGCCACCTTCTGAGGCATCACAGAACTTCACGCGTTGCCTCCTCAGATCTTGACTTGAAATTGCCTTGGGGGCGGGCTGGGGGTGCAGGCCGTCGACCCTTTCCGGCCCGCCGTGGCTGGTTTGTTTGGATTTTGAGTTGGACGCCCTTCTTTGTGTTTCTTGAGCGCCACCTGTTGGTCATAGAGATATTACCGAAACTCGGGGTGGAACGGTGATCCCAGTTGGGAGTTCTGGTCTCTGTGTTGCTGCTGAAGTCTGACTGTGTTTGACGTAAACACCCAAAGAAAAGGGAAACATTTCAGCTCACGGAGAGGAAGAAGAGGGGACCCTCAAACTAAACTTTGAGGTTTCTAGCCTGTAAGGCTAAATTTCCCTGCGTCTTGCCGCTCCCCTCATTGTGTGTGATTAAAGCTGTTGGTATGACACCCTCTGCCCTCCAGCTTTGTCTGCTGTACCCCCTGCCTTCAGACTCCCTTTTTTGGTTGGTTATTTTTGTTTGTTTGTTTTCTGAGACGGTCTTGCTCTTTCACTTAGGCTGGAGTGCATTGGTGCCATCATGGCTCACTGCAACCTCAAACACCTGGGCTCAAGCGACCTTCCTGCCTCAGTCTCCCCAGTAGCTAGGACTACAGACGCATGCCACCATGCCCTGTTCACACATTGAGGGCTTTTCACTGCCTCGATCAGGCTGAGTTCTGCTCACTGGGGCCACCACAGGCCAGGCAGAAGGAACTGTGTGGGCTTTGTCGAGCTGGCTTTCCCTATCCACTAGGCCTTTGCTTAAACGCCACTTCCTCCAGAAAGCCTCCCCTCACTGCTCTGGTCAGGTTGGCTATCCACCTTGTGCCCACAGCCATCTGCCCTTCAGGACGCTGAGCACAGAGGCATGACGTGTGCTCCCACCCAAGGCGTGCTGCATGAGGGGAACCTCCCCGCCTCAGCTGTCCCCCACCCTCAGCCGTCCCCCGCCCCAGCCGTCCCCCGCCCTCAGCTGTCCCCCTCCTCAGCCGTCCCCCCACCCTCAGCCGTCCCCCACCTCAGCCGCCCCCCCGCCCTCAGCCGTCCCCCACCTCAGCCGTCCCCCTGCCCTCAGCCGTCCCCCTCCTCAGCCGTCCCCCCACCCTCAGCCGTCCCCCTCCTCAGCCGTCCCCCGTCCTCAGCCGTCCCCCACCTCAGCCGCCCCCCCGCCCTCAGCCGTCCCCCACCTCAGCCGTCCCCCTCCTCAGCCGTCCCCCGCCCTCAGTCCTCGGCTCTTCACAGTGCAGAGCAGATGAGGCTTCTGCAGCTACGCAATCCCACCCTCAGGGCTGGCCTGGCACTCGGAGCTGACCTCTGCCCAGGTCTCTGTTCCTGGTGTTGGCAGAGGGCACCGGCGTCACCTTTTCCACCTGTGGAGAAAGAGGAACCACATGGCAATATGGCAAACATAAGAGAAAGGACTTCAGGGCGGGGGTTGTTAAAAACATCATACCCTTCAATATATGTACCTACTATGTACTCATAAAAATCAAAACAATTTTTTTTTTAATTATGCCTTTTGCCAGGCACGGTGGTGCATGCCTGTAATCCTACCACTTTTGGAGGCCGAGGTGGGAGGATCACTTGAGGTCAGGGGTTCAAAACCAGCCTGACGAACGTGGTAAAACCCTGTCTCTACTAAAAATACAAAAATTAGGCCGGGCTTGGTGGCTCACGCCTGTAATCCCAGCACTTTGGGAGGCCGAGGCAGGCAGATCAGCTGAGGTCAGGAGTTCCAGACCAGCCTGACCAACATGATGAAATCCCATCTCTACTAAAAATAGAAAATTAGCTGGGTGTGGTGGCGCATGCCTGTAATCCCAGCTATACAGGAGGCTGAGGCAGGAGAATCACTTGAACCCGGGAGGCAGAGGTTGCCGTGAGCTGAGGTCGCGCCATTGCACTCCAGCCTGGGCAACAAGAGCGAAACTCCATCTCCAAAAACAAACAAAAATTTGGCTGATGTGGTGGTGGGCACCTGTAGTCCCAGCTACTCGGTTGGCTGAGGCGGCAGAATCGCTTGAAGCCAGGAGGCGGAAGTTGCAGTGAGCCAAGATCTCGCCACTGCACTCCAGCCTGGGCAACAGAGCGAGACTCCATCTCAAAAAAAAAAAAAATTATTCCTTTCAGTAATAACTTAACCCTAGATCATTGAGATTGTTATTAATATCTTTGTGTTTGCTTTAGGGTTTACCAGTTGTGTGTGTGTCTAAACATGTATGTGTGTGTGTATTTTACTGTACCCAAATGTGCTTTCATTTAGTCCTTATTAACACACTCTAGAGGAGGAGGCGTCATTCTGATTTTACCCAGGGCACTGCTGTGGTAGGCAGCAGGTACGCCATGACACAGCAGTGGCTGTCTGATTCCGTAGCTGCCTGCTGTACCACCGGTGAGGCCAGGCCATCAGCATGGAGGTGGGTTAGATGAGCCTTTGAACTTGGGAGAGAAGGAAGGAAGGAAGGTGTGTGACTACTCTGAGTCCCTGACCCGTTGTGCAGAGGCTGCTGCTGTCTGCGTGTCTCTTGTGTGCTGAGAGGATGCACTGTGACATTTTTCTGGGGGAGTCATAACCTTCTGGCCTGTATTGCCCAAAGCCTGGGCTCCTTGGGGGTTTGGGTGGGGATAGGCACAAGGGTCCTGCCAGGGGCACAGCCAGGGCATCTGCCTTCCAGGGCAGGTTCCAGGTTCACAGAATGTTTGCTGCTCAGGCGCCTCCTGTGAAGACTGCAGCTACTGTTGGCAAATCTCGGCTTGCCACGTGGCCTTTCTGAGTGGGACTGGAGAAGGGGCAGGGCTGTGGCCTGTGGTCAGATCAAACCTCCACAGCCGCACTGTGATATGGACCAGAAATAGTGCCTTGCCCATCTCAAGCCATCTGAAAAAGAGAAACCCTATGCGGGCTGCCCAGAGATGGCTCCCGGCCTAGCACTTGGAAAACTGAGCTGCCCAAGACAGCTGTGCCACCAGGGAGGCTGGGTTTACAAGTGCTCTGGACTTATTGAATGAAGAATTGTTAATTGAGCCCCTACTATGTGCCAAGCCACCAAACGTCCTCCCTAGAGGAGCTGCAGTGTCAACAGGGAAAGGTGCTTGTGTGCAGACACTACTACATAAGAGCTCCCGTGAGACCGTCCCCGAGTGGAGGAGAGCAGAGGGGCCCTGAAGGAATCAGCAGCAGCCTGGGAGAGGCCAGGCCAGCTCAGAGGAGATGGTGTCGGGGGCAGCATCTTGAAGGATTAGGAGGTGGCTGAGTGGAGGGCCATCAAGAGTGAGGACCATGTCAGAGGCTCTGGGAGGCAGAATAGGCCCTGCCCTGCAGGCACTCAGGCCAGTGGGATGCTCGGGTACTTGGATTGTGAATGCCTCGTGGGGGCTGGTGGCAAAGCAGGCAGGCCACGACCAGGTCACAGGAGCCTGGTTTGCACTCTGTGGTCAACAGATTTCTTCTAATTTTTAGTTATGGAAAATTTGTAGGATATGCCAAAGTAGACGGAAGAATGTAGTGAACCCCACATGCTGCCACCGCACACACCAGTTGCTGTGTGACCCATGACTGCCCTTGGTCTGCCCCTCTCTGGAAACAAGAATGACTTTGAATCCAGGAAGGGAGGCTGGTCAAATGTGAATAACAATGAACAGCCCAAATGTAACCTTTGCTCCTCCTGGAGGGCACTCACTGCATGCCCAGTGTTCAGTTTGTTAGTCTGGTTCATGGAATCCTCCCAGCAGCCCTCTGCAGAGGTGTTTGGGTTAAAGTCCCTTCAACAGATATTGGTGGGTGGCTCCAAGGCTGCAAAACCCCCACGGCCAGTCCTGCCCTCCGCGCCCTGACAGTATCCCCACCATGCCCTGCCCTGTGTGGCTCTGAAGAAATCCCCCAGTGACCTGAATTCCATGAAGCCGGGTGTATGGCTGGGGGTGGATCAGTCAAGAGTTTGGTCCTGGAATGATCGGGTGGCACTTTGTAATTTCACTTCAATTTCAGAGTAACCACTGAGTCTCCCCGCTTTGCCTTGCCTTTCAGTGGGAAGTTGGTGTCTCCAAAGTGGAAGAATTTCAAGGGCCTGAAGCTACAGTGGAGAGACAAGATCCGGCTCAATAATGCCATCTGGCGGGCCTGGTACATGCAGTGTAAGTGCCGCCCAGCCTGGGCGCCGGTGGTGGTCAGAACTTCACGGCCTGGAGGCCTGGGCACCCAGGGACCAGAGTCTGCTCCTGGGACCTGGTGTTTCTAACAGAAGTTCAGTCTGTGCAGACAGGAAACCCAAGCCATCAGGCCCAGCAGAGGGGTGGCATCTGAAGAGTCAGGGAGCAGGTCTAGGAAGACTCAGGCATGGGCCTTCTCTCTCCAGCCCGAGTGTCATGGATCCGGTAGCTTCTCCGGGAGATGAGTGTGCTAGGGCAGGCTTGTGTTGGGCTGGTCTTTCTCTGAGAAGCCACACTGCCTCTCTGACTGAGGCGTTCGTTATTGACAGATTCCTCTCCTTTCACCTGGACTCCTTTATTTCCCTGAAATCTCCTTTTCCTAGGGAAGGAGAAGGAAAGGGTACCTGGGAATGTGGTCTGCCCTAGGGGAGGGGTGCAGCAGACAGGCTGGGGCTCCCTCAGGGGTCTGGATCATGGTGCTGACTCTCACCCTCTCTCTGCTCAGATCTGGAGAAGCGCAAGAATCCTGTGTGCCACTTTGTGACACCCCTGGACGGCTCTGTGGACGTAGACGAGCACCGCCGGCCGGAGGTACTTGGCAGTGACCAAGGGTGGCTGAGAGTGGAAACATACCAGCACCTCACCGGGAGTGGCTCACCGCGGGCTGGTCCTGTAGGAGAGGCTGCCGAGGGTAGTGCAGCGCCTGCCCTGCGCCATCCATGCCCTGGGGGCCAGGCCTGGGAGCTGGTGGCCTCTGGCAACCCCAGGCTGCAGAGCCTCCCCCTTCTCAGAGGGACTGGCCCAGGGACTGAGGGGGTTAATATCTTTCTGTTAATTTTTAAAGTGTGTGTCTATGTGTGATTATACATGCACAGGAAGTGTCTAGAGGAATATATAGAAGTGTCTTTATTAAGAGACTTCAGGAACCTCTGGGGAGTAGGATTAGGGCTGCCAGATGAGGGGGAGATGCTTTCTTCACTGCATACTCTTCTGTGTGGCTTTAATTTTGTCTAGGCATGTCTCACTGTTAACGATAAAGGGGGAATTTAGAAGGTAAGCTAATGAAAGACAGTTTTGAGACAGGTATAATCTGGTATTAGACAGTATCAAGGGATATCATTTTGTTGGGTATGGCAATATTGTAATCAGTTCTTTTTAACAGAAAAGCATCTTTGCTGTCGAGGACACACACACAGTGTTTGTAGGTGAGGTGATTTGGGCCTTGAGATCAGAAAGTGAGGCAACCCCAGGCATTGGGGCTCCTTATCTCTGGAGCTCGAAGGCTGTCATGCAAGGCATCCACACTGGCATCACGCGAAGGTTGGATGAGAGGCCCCTGGAGGGCACATTCCACCTGAAACTTCCTGGAATTGGCTGTTCATTTTTGCCCTTTGAATGTGGCAGAGGCTGTGGGGAAGGGGCATTTATGGGGGGGCTTGGGAATTGCTGCAGCGTTCCCCTGCTTCTTCCTCTGTGGAGCATTCTGCTCTCACCCTGTCCTCCTGGACAGAGCCTCAGGACCGTGCCCCCAAGGCCTTTGGCTACCTTAGGTCTTGAAATGACAGCGCATTGTTAGCTAGAGGGTCTGCTATAGCATGGAAGAAGTGGGACGTACTTTCTGAGTGATGTGGTAGCCACTGTGGGGTTTCCCGCTGGATTGCCTAAGGCCTGATTATAGTGCCGGATACTCAGTACACCAGTTGAGCTTTGCTAATCAAGCAGAGCCCCCTCTTCACTCTGCTCTCTGTCCCTGTCCTAGGCCATCACCACGGAAGGGAAGTACTGGAAGAGCCGCATCGAGATTGTGATCCGGGAGTATCACAAGTGGAGAACCTACTTCAAGAAAAGGGTATCTGGCTGGAGTGTTCAGGCAGCCCGCCTAGGGAGGGAGTGGGCAGAGTCCCTGGTTCAGGGCCCTGGCCGAGGCGGTAGGCTCCACAGCCGCCCCACCTGAACGTGGAGCGTCAAGCAGTAAATCTGGGGCCCAGCGTGCCAGACTAGCCTGGGCAATGGCCTGCCTCGGTCAGGTTGTCTTTGCTCTCAGTTTCCCCATCTGTGCACTGGGTGGAAGTCTCCTTTGTGCAGGCATCGGCCTGGGGATGGTGTGAGCAGGACCCCTACCTGCCTCCCTGAGAGTTCTGTATATTCTAGAGCCCTTGGGCCCTCCTAGGGCCATTGGTGACCGCCGTGTCCTGTCCCTTTGCCCACAGCTACAGCAGCACAAGGATGAGGACCTCTCCAGCCTGGTCCAGGTGGGTGAGCCTGGGAGCTCTGAGGACCCCCACTTTGACATGAGACAGCAGGGACTTCGGTGGCCCACCAGGGAGCCCTGCAAAAGGCGGCAGGCCATGGGCCCTCCCTGGAGTCTCAGGAATGGCTCAAGAAGCAGTCCAGCTCTCTCTCCTGGGTGGGCTGGAGGGAGCCGCTCTCCAAATGCCTCCACCCTGCTGCCTCACTTCCACTGAGCACCCCTTTGACGAATTTCCCCAGGTGACAGGCGTGGGAATTCTTCGTCCCACTGTTACTCTTTGATGCTTCCTCCCCTGTGTTGGTGTTGTGTTAGGACGATGACATGCTGTATTGGCACAAGCACGGGGATGGATGGAAGACCCCCGTCCCCATGGAGGAGGATCCCCTGCTGGACACAGACATGCTCATGTCGGAATTCAGCGACACCCTCTTCTCCACACTTTCTTCACACCAGCCGGTGGCCTGGCCCAATCCCCGGGAAATAGGTAACCCAAACCAGGGCCTTGGGCTTTGAACAGCCAGCCGCTTCCTTCTCTGCCAGGCCCCCTCTGGGCCAGGGTTCCTTCAGGGCCATCTCTGAGCTGCTGCACGTCACGGTTGGGGGCAGGCAGTAAGGAAGGGAAGGATGGCTGGCCTCATTTGACATCCAGGCCGCACGTACCGAGTGGGTGGGGTCTGCAGAGTGGGCCCACTGGGCAGCTGCCATTCCCGTAGTGCCATGGTGGGAGGACAGCAGCAGGGTCTAGTCTGAGTCATTGGCACATTTCAGATACCGTTCTCTTCACGGGGTACGTGTGCCGTGCCTAAGCCGAGGCGGCCGGGCCGTGACTCATGCTAAAGAAAATCAGAAGCACTCCCGGGTGTGACCGCTCACCTTGGTGGCATTCAGTCTTCCAGTTAACCTCTCAGGGAAGAGCCCAAAGATTGAAAATTAGAACAGTGTTCGGGGAGGTCTCTGTTCTCTCTTGAGCTCTTTACAGCTTCCTGGGGTGTCCATTCCCTGATACTCAATTTTACCTTCCTGGCAAAAACTTACTTTCCTGCCTTTTGAGGGTGCGGAATGGCCACAAACCCTGAGAAGGTAGAAATCCCAGCCAGCTCCTTGGAAGACTCTGGGATGTGAGCAGGGCCAGGAAGTTCTGTTCCAGGCCTTTTTTACGTTCCTGCAACATTGTCTGAGAAGACAAAATGGTTCCTCTCTCTGTGATTCTTGCAGCACATCTGGGAAATGCAGACATGATCCAGCCGGGACTGATTCCTTTGCAGCCTAACCTGGACTTCATGGACACCTTTGAGCCTTTCCAGGGTGAGGACCAGAGGCAGAGAGAGCACGGTTGCCTCCATCTCCCCCAGCCCAGCACAGAGCAGATCGCTGCCTTCCTTTAAGAGGCGAGACTTGGTAGAATGGGCAAGGGGGCGAGCAAAGAATTTTTTTTTAAACTGAACTGTTTTTTGTAGTAACTGCAAGGTCTGGGAAGTTTTTCTGGGACATTGTTCAGCAAGGAAATTGGCTCTGGATTTAGCCGTGACTGTAAGCAGTTCTCCCTCGAAGCAGCAGAGGGCACTGATGACACAGCCAGCTCCCTACCAAGGCCCTGCAGTTAGATGGGTCCTTGAGCACCTGCCATTGTGACAGCAGCAGAAACGTCAGGCCTGGGAGTGTTTCAGAGCCCAGGATAGTTGCCAACATGTGTGGTTCCAACCAGAGCCCCCTTTCTACAGAAAAAAAGGTGTCTCAGGGTAATACCCTCTGTCCATGGCATCCCCCTGGGCCATGTGGGGTTTAGGGGTTTAGTCCTTGATTTGTTTGAGTCTTTTTTTTTTTTTTTTTTTTTTTTTAGAGACAGGGTCTTGCACTGTCACCCAGGCTAGAGTGCAGTGGTTCAATCATGGTTCACTGCAGCCCTGAACTCCTGGGCTCAAGCGATCCTCCCACCTCAGCCTCCTGAGTACCTGGGACTACAGGCACACACCACCACACCCAGTTCATTTCTTCATTTTTTTGTAAAGACGGGGGTCTGCTATGTTGCCCAGGTGATCCTCCTGCCTCTGCTTCCCAAAGTGCTGGGATTACAGGTGTAAGCCATCACACCCAGCCTGTTTTAGTCTTTGTTATTTTGAGACAGAGCCTTGCTCTGTAGCCCACGCTGGAGTGCAGTGGCAAGAACACGGCTCACTGCACCCTCAACCTCCCTCCTGGACTTAAGCGATCCTTCCGCTTCAGCCTCCTGTGTAGTTGGGACCACTGGTGGCACCAACCAGGCATGGTGGTTGTGGTTGGCACCTTTTTTTTTTTTTTTTTTTTTTTTTTTTTGAGACGGGAATCTCGCTCTGTCATCAGGCTGGAGTGCAGTGGTGCGATCTTAGCTCACTGCAACCCCTGCCTCCTGGGTTCAAGCCATTCTCCTGCCTCAGCCTCCTGAGTAGCTGGGACTACAGGCATGTGCCACTACACCCAGCTAATTTTTGTATTTTTAGTAGAGATGGAGTTTCACCATGTTAGCCAGGATGGTCTTGATCTCTTGACCTCATGATCTGCCTACCTCGGCCTCCCAAAGTGCTGGGATTACAGGCATGAGCCACCGTGCCTGGCCCTGTTTGAGTCTTGATTCCAGCAAATGCTGGGCACACTGAGCTCAGAAGACCCCTGCTGTTGTTTTTCAGACCTCTTCTCTTCTAGCCGCTCCATTTTTGGCTCCATGCTACCTGCATCTGCCTCAGCACCTGTACCAGATCCCAACAACCCACCTGCACAGGTAGAGGAAGCTGGGGGATGGGTGGGGGAAGGGGCTGGCAGGCACAGGGCTGCTCATCAAAGGTTTGCTGCCAGAGCAAGGCTAATGGCATAGCCACACAGTCACCAGCAAAGCGCCAAGCAGTGCTAGACCAGCACTAATGTGCAGAGGCACGATTCCATCCCTCTTTTACAGCATCCTTCAGCACCCATGGGGTGGGAGACTCTTGGTCCAGGTGTGCTTCTGCCTGAGTGCCAGGTAACCTATGTGCAGCTAGCTCTGCTCCGACTAATTAACACAGAATTAGCTAGACAGAGAAGAAAAACATGGATTACTAATAAAAATAACTTCTGTATATTTCTTTCACGTTTTACTAAGCAATCCAAAAAGTTGCTTACAGGTGCTTGGGGCTACAGAGCTGAGTGAGGTACCATTCTTTGTCCTTACGGAGCCCTCATGCTTATGCCCATGACCAGTTAGACACTGGTAACCTGGCACCATCTTCAAACGGGCTCCGGGAAGAATTGCTACTGCAGAGACTGGGATCTGAACCATTGATTCCTCGTAGCTTTTCTTATTTAGGAAGAGGTGGCCTGATGACCAGTTGACACGTGAAATTGTCCTCGGGGATTCCCGAGCAGCTGCAATCCAGGCTGCCTCTGCTCAGTAATAGAAGATGGCAGAGACTTTGGGGAGACTCTGCTGGACTCCAGAAACAAGATATTCCCAGGCTGCTAGCCAGCTGTGTGAGGGCCGTTGCCTTATCTGAGCTCTGAGTTATTTAGTTTTTAATGGAAACAAGACCCCCGCAGACACGCAGGGAAACACAAATCCCTATCAGATCAGCAGCCATGGACGTGGAGACGTGGCCTTTGTCCCTCTGTCCCAGCGCCCGGCCTGTGTAGTTGGACTTGGCAGTGTGCAGCGCTAGAAAGGAATTGTCTGACCCCAGCATTGCTTCCTGGCTCCTTTCTTCCTTTTTCAGGAGAGCATCCTGCCGACCACAGCCCTCCCCACTGTGAGCCTTCCTGACAGCCTCATCGCGCCCCCTACCGCCCCATCCCTGGCTCACATGGATGAGCAGGGCTGTGAACACACCTCCCGGACTGAGGACCCGTTTATCCAGCCCACGGACTTCGGTCCCTCAGAGCCGCCACTGAGTGTCCCGCAGCCCTTCCTCCCTGTCTTCACCATGCCCCTGCTGTCTCCCAGCCCCGCCCCACCGCCCATCTCCCCCGTGTTACCATTAGTTCCTCCTCCTGCCACTGCCCTGAACCCCCCGGCTCCACCCACCTTCCATCAGCCACAGAAGTTTGCTGGAGTCAACAAAGCGCCGTCTGTCATCACCCACACGGCCTCTGCCACCCTCACCCACGATGCCCCCGCCACCACCTTTAGCCAGAGTCAGGGCCTTGTGATCACCACCCATCACCCTGCCCCGTCAGCGGCCCCTTGTGGGCTGGCACTGTCTCCTGTCACCCGGCCTCCCCAGCCACGGTTAACTTTTGTGCACCCCAAACCTGTATCCTTGACTGGGGGCAGGCCTAAGCAGCCCCACAAAATAGTGCCTGCTCCCAAACCAGAGCCCGTGTCCTTGGTGTTGAAGAATGCCCGTATCGCCCCAGGTGAGCCAGGCGGGGAGACTCAGTGCGGGGCTCCCCCCGACCCAGAGGGATGTTTTCCCATCCCAAAGGCTTTCAAACTTGTGACCACCACCACCACCCTGGTGTGCACGTGCATGCGCACACACATACACTTAAATGAAACAAAAGTGTCATGAAATAATACATGGCCATGATCTAGTCCGTTTTCTATGCTCTATCTTTTTTGTTTTTTTGTTTGGTTTTTTTTTTTTTGAGACAGTCTCTGTTGCCCAGGCTGGAGTGCAGTGGCATAATCTCGGCTCACTGCAACCGCCCCCTCCCGGGTTCAAGCGATTCTCCTTCGTCAGCCTCCCGAGTAGTTGGGATTACAGGTGTGCGCCACTATACTCGGCTAATTTTTGTTTGTTTGTTTGTTTTTTGAGATGGAGTCTCACTCTGTCGCCTAGCTGGAGTGCAGTGGTGTGATCTCGGCTCACTGCAACCTCCGCCTCCTGGGTTCAAGTGATTCTCCTGCCTCAGCCTCCCGAGTTAGCTGGGATTACAGGCGCCCATCACTACACCCAGCTAATTTTTTGTATTTTTAGTAGAGATGGGGTTTCACCATGTTGGCCAGGCTGGTCTCGAACTCCTGATCTCAGGCGATCTGCCCACCTTGGCCTCCCAAAGTGCTGGGATTACAGGTGTGAGCCCCCACACCCAGTCTCTATTCTCTTTTTTTTTTTTTTGAGACGGAGTTTCACTGTTATTGCCCAGGCTGGAGTGAGATGACATGATCTTGGCTCACTGCAACCTCTGCCTCCCGGGTTCAAGTGATTCTCCTGCCTCATCCTCCTGAGTAGCTGAGATTACAGGCATGTGCCACCACACCTGGCTAATTTTGTATCTTCAGTAGAGATGGGGTTTCACCACATTGGCCAGGCTGGTCTCGAACTCCTGACCTCTGGTGATCCACCTGCCTCGGCCTCCCAAGGTGCTGGGATTACAGATGTGAGCCATTGCACCCAGCCTCTCTATCTTTTTTTTAAAGTTAGTCACAACCTACAGTGTGAAAACATGGTCCTGGCCATCTCTTTCCTGGGTCTATAACATGTCTCCTTCAAGAAGTCACACAAATGGTTTTAGGTGCCTTGGTGGCTTTGTCTTCCTGTCCCCTGGGGTTGAGAACAAGCTGTCTCACTGGCAGAGAGGCAGCCTCTGCAGGGTGGGCCAGGCCCTGTGGCCCAGGGCTGCACCTGAACATCCTCCTTATCCTGGCAGCTGCCTTTTCAGGCCAACCACAAGCGGTGATCATGACGTCAGGGCCTCTGAAGAGAGAAGGGATGTTGGCCTCCACCGTGTCCCAGTCCAACGTGGTCATTGCGCCTGCTGCCATCGCCAGGGTGAGGAGGGCCCTAGGCAGACCTGCAGTGTCCTTCTCACCCCGGAGCACTCTGATCTTGGGCGGCCCTCACCTGAGACGACTGGTGTGCCGCCCTGCTGTATATCAGCAGTCAGGGGTGACCTGTCTCCCATGTCACTGCAGGCTCCTGGGGTCCCGGAGTTCCACAGCAGCATCCTGGTGACAGATCTCGGCCATGGCACGAGCAGCCCGCCTGCCCCCGTCTCCCGGCTCTTCCCAAGCACAGCGCAAGACCCCCTGGGGAAGGGCGAGCAGGTCCCGCTGCATGGGGGCAGCCCCCAGGTCACTGTCACAGGGCCCAGTGAGTGTTCACTCGGCGGGATGGTTGGGGCATCGCAAGGGAAGTAACTGGGCCTGCCGTAGACCATGGGGGGTGCTTGCTGGGTCCCCAGGACGGAGCCTGGGCTTAGGACACACAGTGAGGTCTTGTAGGCCTGCTGATAACACAGTCTGGGAACACGCTCTGTGGGTGGCAGGATGAAATGTGGTGGCACTGGCAGGGCAAAAAGTAGTGAACATGTGGCAGTGTAGGTGACCCGTGTGCTCGGGGAGTCCCTGCTGACTGCCCACGAAGGCCTGGTACTGAGCTGCTGATCTCACCCAGAGAAGGGATTGAGGAGCCCTGGGCTTCCTGTCTCTGGGAGCATCAGCCTGGGGTTGCTGTGGCCACAGAAGCCGTCCAGCCTCATCTGGGCACCAACGTGGCCTTCCCCAGCAGGTCTCAGCACTACAGGTCTGTGGCCCATGTCCACTCTTAGGCCATCCAGGGGCAAGATAGTCAGAGCAGGACTGATTTTGCCCAGGGACATCTGAGGAGCCAACAGGCCAGATCAGGGACAAATGGTGTGCCCGAGGCTGTGCTGCTGGTAGAGGGTGTGGGCAGATGGGGCCCCTTCCCTCAAATGCCTGCCATACCAGGAAGGGAAATGGAAATGGCCTCTTTTCTTAAATAAATGCATGGTGTAGGCCAGGCGCAGTGGCTCATGCCTGTACGCCCAGCACTTTGGGAGGCTAAGGCAGGTGGATCACTTGAGGTCAGGAGTTCGAGACCAGCCCAGCCAACATGGTGAAACCTTGTCCCTATCAAAAAATGCAAAAAAAAAAAAAAAAAAAAAAAGCAGGGCTTAGTGGCATGCACCTGTAGTCCCAGCTACTCAGGAGACCGAGATGGGAGAATCACTTGAATCCAGGAGGTGGAGGTTGAAGTGAGCTGAGATCGAGTCACTGCACTCCAGCCTGGGTGACAGAGCGAGACTCAATCTCAAACAAACAAAGGCATGGTGTAGCTGCTCCTGGAACTCTGAGCAAACAGTTGTCTCCCTCTTCCCTCAGGAAGACGCGAATGAGGGAGGGTCTCTGACTTAGTGGGCTCAGCCAGCAGGGGCCTTTTCCAAGGACAGGCTTTGGAGAGTAAGGACTCTTCAGTCTGGAAAGATAGAAACAAGAGAGTTGGGAGTCAGGCCCCTCAAATAATCGAGGGAGAGGTTAGGGCCAACCATTGCCTTGGTCTCCGGAGTCTCAGAACACAGAACTTAGAGCCTGCTGCACAGCCTCACGGGGAGTTTGGGGAAAATAATCCAGCAGAGAGGAAAGGAAGCGGAGGCATTTGTTACAGTAAAGCAGAATGGGCCGAGAAGGCCGAGTCCACCTGGGACTGAGCACGGTCACTCACTCCTCTAATCCTAGCACTTTGGGAGGCAGAGGCAGGTGGATCGCTTGAGCCCAGGAGATTGAGACCAGCCTAGACAATATAGTGAGACCTTGGCTCTATAAAAAATGTTTTTTAATTAAAAAATATAATAATAATAAAGAGCCCACCTGCGAAATATCTCGTAAAGCGACACCAGTGACTGGAACACGTCACACAGGGTTGCTCCATCGTGTTCTGTGTGGATTAAGGGTGTTTTTGTTGTTGTTATTAATTTAAGATTTTCAGGGAGTGAATAAGAATAATCTAAGGAAGCATGTGTGTGCAGTTGAAAGAACCAAGTGCAATACGTGGCTAGCAGCGAGCACCTCATAACCCTGCAGAGACCCCAGGCTGCCTCCTGGTGGCGTTGAGGGGCCAGGCCTCCGCCCCTCAGAGGAGTCTGTTCTTACCAGGTCGGGACTGCCCAAACTCAGGGCAGGCCTCTCCGTGTGCATCGGAGCAGAGCCCCAGTCCTCAATCTCCCCAGAACAACTGCTCAGGGAAATCCGACCCCAAAAATGTGGCTGCACTAAAGGTACCGCATGTCTCCTCTTGGTTCCCTTGGGAGGAGGGGAGAGGAGTGCAGGACATCAAGGATCTGTGTCTTGTCTGGAACGGAGACCTCAGACCCAGCCAGAGCTGCCCAGGCAGGGGTGGATCAGAAATGGGCTTCTCCTTGCCCCATGCCACGAACCAGCCCTGTGGGGATGGTGGGCCCCCTGGAGGCTTTTGGGTGAGCCCCAAGCCTGGGAGCCAACGCTGAGTCCACGTAGTGTGCAGGTACTGCTCAGGCTGCCCGCATCAGTTGCAGGAGGGGTGTGGCCACCACCAGAGCTGTGCTGTGGGGAGGAGGCAGGGCTGGGTGGGGAAGGCGGAGCTTGCAGCACCTGGGATGCACCGGTTCAGCCCTGCCGTTCCCAGCCCCAGCTGTGCACCATTCTGCAGAGCGGGTTTTCTGTGGTTCCCAGTCTTGTCCCTCCGGCTCCTCATTGGAGCCTTCAGCTTCTCGTCGTGCCCTCCTCCCACGTAGCTCTCTAGCCCTGGCCCTTGGGCACCCAGGATCAGCGTAGGGGGTGAGGAAGGGTGGACAGTGTGCCTGCAATGTGCCTGTCTTAGTGACCAGCGGGTTCTCCAGCAGAACCGGCAGATGAAGCACATCTCAGCTGAGCAGAAAAGGCGCTTCAACATCAAGATGTGCTTCGACATGCTCAACAGCCTCATCTCCAACAATTCCAAGCTGGTGAGTTGCCAAGAGCGTGGGCTGTGGCAGGGCAGGGGAGCTGGCAGGACGTGCTCCCTGCGTGGTCATTGCTGGTGGCAGGCCTGCTGGCTGTGGGTGCTGCCTCCAGCCACCTGCCCCTTCTGCAGACCAGTCACGCCATCACACTGCAGAAGACTGTGGAGTACATCACCAAGCTGCAGCAGGAGAGAGGCCAGATGCAGGAGGAGGCCCGGCGGCTGCGGGAGGAGATCGAGGAGCTCAATGCCACCATCATGTGAGCTTCTGGGCCTTGGGGCTCCAACCAGGCACCCCATCCCGATGCAGGGCCTGCCTCAGAGGTGGTGGGACCCTGTGGCCTCATCACTGGTCAGTGCCTCTTTGCTGCAGTAGTTCTGCTCTTTGTCAACCTCCTTCCACAGACCTCTCTTCTCTGTGCCTGGCTGTGGCCCGGCACTGGGCCAGCCCTGCCATCTTTTGTCCCAGGGTCCTTATTGGCCACTGGCTGCTCCACAGCTCCCACGGCTCCTGTCATTTCAGCTCCTGCCAGCAGCTGCTCCCTGCCACGGGAGTCCCCGTTACCCGGCGCCAGTTTGATCACATGAAAGACATGTTTGACGAATACGTGAAAACCCGGACCTTGCAGAATTGGAAGTTCTGGATTGTATCTTTGGGTTTTCTTTTTGCTCTTCCCGGCCCTCAGCCAATGCACTGAAGCCACAGACCGTGGCACTGTAGTTACTTTAGAAAGACTCTTTAAATGCCTGTCACCAAGCTCCTCACGACAGGCAGTGCTAGTGTCTATCTCGGGAGAGAGTGGTCCGGCCTGGCCTGCTGTGTGGGCTGGAGGTGCTGATGGGGCTTCAGGGTGCTTTGCAGGAAGGGCTAGGGAGGTAGAACGGTGGGCTTCGCTCTCTAGGTCCTTAAGAAATCAGGACAATGCTAGAGCCACTTGCAGAAGGTGCAGGGGAAGGAGGCATGGTTCCACACAGCCTGGCAGCCAGCTCGGTCCTCGAAGCCACAGGGAGGGTGAGTGCCACCCCTGCTGTGACAGGCGGAAACCAGGACTCCCTCCACTGAGTGGTAGAGCCCAATTTGAAGCCTAATGGAGCATGTCCACCTCTAGGGGCTCTCGTGCCAAGGCCACCTTGCACTCAGCCTTCCAGGTGGCAGCACGGCTCTCACGGGGAGTGGTTCCCGCCTGGTCACTCCCCACCCTGCCACCGCTCTGCCTCTGAGTAAACGGTCGGCACATGTGTTGGGTTGACCGTGGCATTGGGGCAAGGGTCTGACAGTCAGAGGTGACGGTCGTGCAGGAGGAGAGAATCCCAGCTGCAGCTATCGGGCAGGGCAGGGCGCAGCACCTGTGTGTGCTGGAAGGGACAGAGTGTTTTTGTTTGTTTCTTTTTTCCCCCTGAGACAGGGTCTCACTCTGTCACCCAGGCTGGAGTGCAGTGGTACAATCACAGTTCACTGCAGCCTCCACCTTCCCAGACTCAAGTGTTCCTCCTGCCTCAGCCTCCTGAGTGGCTGGAACTACAGGCTCATGCCACCACGCCCGGCTAATTTTTGTATTTTTAATGGAGATGGGGTTTCACCATTTTGGCCAGGCTGGCCCCAAACTCCTGACCTCAGGTGATCCCCCTGCCTTGGCCTCCCAAAGTGCTGGGATTACAGGCGTGAGCCACCGTGCCCGGCCATAAGAGGCAGTTTTTAATTGAAGAGATGACAGGCACCAGCTCTGATTCCTCTGTGTTGCTGTTTTACTGCCTGCCCTGGTCCTGATCCCTGTCATTAATAGAGCTGGGTGGCGTCTGGAATGAATCAGAGCTTCTTTGATGAAATGGCATACTCCCCATCATCAGGCCGAGGTGGAGGAACTGTGAGTGCCGTCCTGATCAAAGTCCGAGGGGAAACATGCCTCAGGCCTTCACTAAGATGGTCTAGGAGACTGGCATGCACTTTTGCATTTAACACAGAAGGCAAACGCCACTTTCAGGCAGATGGCTCCTGCCTTTATTTATTTATTTATTTATTTTGAGAACAGAGTCTTGCTCTGTCACCCAGGCTGGAGTGCAGTGGTGCAATCTCGGCTCACTGCAGCCTCCGCCTCCCGGGTTCAAGCGATTCTCCTGCCTCAGCCTCCCAAGTAGCTGGGATTATAGGCACCCACCACCACGCCCAGCTAATTTTTGTATTAGTAGAGATGGGGTTTCACCATGTTGGCCAGGCTGGTCTCAAACTCCTGACCTCAAGTGATTCACCCACCTCAGCCCCCCAAAGTGCTGGGATTATAGACGTGAGCCACCGCGCCCGGCTGGCTTCTGCCTTTCCACCTGCTCTGTGCCTTTGATGTTCCTGGCACTGTATGTAAGAACGATTTTGATCGCATGTTTGTGCTAGGACCTGTTCCAGACTAGAGACCTTCTGTGTCCCTGTCCCCTGCCTGCTCGGTGCTTGAGCGGCCCTGTTGTCCAGGTACAGTTAGAGCAGAGTGTTTTCATGAAGTGGAAGACACACCTTGCCTAGAGATCTCTCCCTCTTTTCCCCAGTGATCCATTCTCTGTGGGCAGATACTTTCCAGCCCCAGGGGAAAGGAGTACGCCAGTCCAACCACCTTCGGGTCTGCAGTCCCCAGCCCCTCTCCGTGCTTGCCTTTTCTTTAACCACACACTGCAGTTCAGCATCATCATCAAGCCGCTGTTTGAGTCGTTCAAGGGCATGGTGTCCACCAGCAGCCTGGAGGAGCTGCACCGGACGGCGCTCTCCTGGCTGGACCAGCACTGCTCCCTGCCCATCCTCAGGCCGAGTGAGTGGGGCAGTGCCAGGGTGGGGGGCTTCATGCTAGTCCTGGAGGGAGGACAGCCCCAGGCTGAGGACAGTATTAGCCAGACTCCACTGCAGGCAGCCAGGTGGGGCCGGGGCAGGGGCACAGTGCTGTCCAGGAGGTCCTCAGTCAGGAGCGCCCAGTGGGGGCAGGAGGCTCCTGCCCTTTTGTGTCTCCCAGCTTGTTCAGACCCAGCTTGCATGGATCTAGTGCCAACTATTTGCCAGGCCCTGTATCAGGTGCCTTCAGGTGTGTTTTCTTGTTTAATTCTTATAACAACAAGCAAAGATTATCCCATATGTTAAGGTTATAGAAGCTTAATATCAGAACAGCTGGCAGCCCCATGGCACCAGGAACAGCATAGGATGCTCCACCTACGGCAGCTCCTGGATTTGGGGAGGCTTCTGGAGGCAGAGGGGTGAGTGCCCAGGTCTCGGTGTCGGCCCCTGGCACTCCTCCCTGCAGTCCAGCATGGCTGCTGCTCGCCCCGTGCCTGAGCATTCCCACATGGGTTGTAGGTACAAAGCCGAGTGTGCGGTGTGTGGTGGGTCTGTGTCACTGCCTGTGTCTGACCCTTTCTGTCTTGCAGTGGTATTGAGCACGCTGCGGCAGCTGAGCACCTCCACCTCCATCCTCACAGACCCGGCACAGCTGCCAGAGCAGGCGTCCAAGGCTGTCACCAGGATTGGCAAGAGATTGGGAGAGTCCTAGCTGCTTAGCTGGCATGTGGCCGCATGAGATGCCAGGAGACCCTTCCCTGCCCATGGAGAGTAGGCTGCGCCCCCCAGCCCTTCCTGACGCTCAGCCTCGGGGCCTCTCTCCAACTCTGCCGGCCCACCGTGGCATCGGGAGGCCATGCTCAGGTCTGAAGCAGGTTTGGGGCCTGCTGACAGCAATAGCCCGCCTTTGGGAACCCCTTGCTGTGAACTCTCTCACTCAGTGACCTCAGTCACCAACCTCCTCTGCCCTCGGGGCAGCCCACACAAAAGGGAAGTGCTGGCCGTGCTGGTCCTGCCCTGCTGGTGGCCTGCCGGGCCTGGCGCCGGTGAGCGGAATCGATGGGATGAGGGTGACAGGGCCTGCTCCTGTCCTGAGGCCCAGCCTTGTCCCTCCTGCCACGTCCTGTCCACATGCATGCCTCTGCCTGATGCCCTGCTCCACTCTCTGGTCTGCCCGTGGGGCAGTTGGAAGGCGTCTTTCTTTCTCCCCTCAACTCTGACAGCACCCAGCCCTTGTGGATGGACTTGGGCTTCTATTCAGGCTTATGCATGGCAGGCTGCCAGGGGGAAGTGCCTTCTTCAGAGGTCCTCCAGGACACATGTGTGCAGAAACGGTGGATGTGGAACACACAGGACCAGAATGGAAGCGTGTGATGCACGGTGGCTGCTCTGGCTGAGAGGCCCTGCTGGGCATGTTTCATCTGTCCCCTTTTAGCTCCACCTGACATTGCAGGATCCATGGGGACTCAGCCCAGGGCCTTCTCGGATGTCACCTCACCGCTGTGGCCCTTCTGCCGTTCTTCTCCACTTGGCTCCAGCTGCAGCTGTTGACAGATCAAGCATGTCCTGTGGGAGCTTAGAACCCTGAAGTTCTAGTGTCTGAAAGATCAGACTCCACGTCCTGCTGTCAGCCTTGTCATCTTGTCTGATGTCTTTCAGCTGGGAGCCCCAAACCAGGACAGTTCTCGGACCAAAGATGCCCCCACACTCAAAAGTCTGTCCCGTCTTGTGTTTGGAGAAGGAAACAATGTTGGCAGGCAGCACTCTGTGGTGGTCAGCCCTCAGAGCTGTTTCTAGGCATCTCTCAGATCAGACAGCAAAGAATCTACCCAGATCTGGGCTGGGTGGAGGTGTGGCTGGGCTGGGGGCCATTCTGAGCCTGCAGTGAGAGTTTGGCCCAGCCTCAGTCCTTGCTCTTCTCTGGCTACCTCTGCAGGGAGCTGCAGGGGCAAGCACTCTCTCCAGCACTCAGGAAGCCCGGCCGAGGGTACCTCCTCGTGGAAAGAATGCACTTTAAAGCTCTGCTGAGGAGTTCGGAGCCCAGGCTTTCAGGCGACCTCTGCCCTCCCTGCCTCTCCTCACCCTCCCTCTCTTCCTGCAGGGCCTGGGAAGGGCTTTGAGGGAGCCTGGGAGCCATGTGAAGAGGGGCACGCCTGGGCTGTCCCACAGTTTAGATCCAGTTGGAGGTTCTCCCTGGCTCCTGCAGGCCTGCGGGGATCTCTCCCCACTTCAGGCCTCCGGCCAGCTGCCTGCCCTCTTGTCTGTGCTTCAGCCCTGCACAAAAGCAGCTTGGTGACACCACTCAGCCACCCAGAGTACGTGTTTACAGGCTTTCCAGATCACCTTCCTGTGGGGTGAACGTAATGAGGCGGGGCTGGTCCTTGGAATTTCCCCTGGAAAATGGTAACAGACTCCATCCTTGACCCGGGGATGAGCATGAAGGCATTGTCCCAAAGGCAGAGGCCACCGTGGTAGGAATTCCACCAAGGCCAGAAGGGAAAAAGGAAGAACCCACCGTGTCTGGCTGTGCGGGCCCTGGGGAGGGTCGTGAGTGCAGCCCCTCTCTACTTCTGTGCCTTTGTAAAACGTGTAGATAACCGCAGTGGTTGGCTGAGCCAAGAACTCTCCTAAATCAGTGGCTTTCTCCCCACCCCTTGCTGGGGAGTCATTTTTAAAAAAATCTGTGGGATATAAAATTGGCCTCCTGCTGCTTCAGCCTACCTCTCCCTCTGCTGACTTAATGTCGTGATTCTGTTTCTTCAGATATTTAAGGCTGTTAGGTTGTGTGAGCCTTGAAGTGTGTGTGTGTGTCCCAGCGACTGTCCACTGTCCAGGAGATGCATGTCTTTGTATTGGAGATATTTCTGTAACTCATTCTCTTGGTGCTCACGATTGCCATGGCCATAGGGCCACAGTGCCGTATCTGCTGCAGACATGATTGTTTCTTGTTCTAGAGGTTTTCTTGTTTTCGAATCTTGCCTGATGAATCCAGCCAGACCAAGGGGCCTAGATTTGACCTCTGTCCTGGGCTCCTGGGCCAGGTGCAGGAACATCTGAGGCCACTCTGCTGGCCACCTCCAGTGGGTGCTGACCACAGGATGGGCTTTGTTTACACTCATTTTCACCCTGATTCTTGCCCCCACTTTCATAAAAGAAACTTCAAAATGCTGACGCTTTGGAGAGTAAGAAAATCAATCTTGGCTGGGCACGGTGGCTCCTGCCTGTGATCCTAGCACTTTGGGAGGCTGAAGCTGAAGGATCACTTGAGCTCAGGAGTTGGAGACCAACCCTGGCAACATAACAAGACCCTGTCTCTACAAAAAAAAAAAAAAAAAAAAAAAATTTAGCCGTGTGTAGCAGTGAGTGCCTGTGGTCCCA
Organism: Homo sapiens; assembly: GCF_000001405.40. NCBI lineage: Eukaryota > Metazoa > Chordata > Mammalia > Primates > Hominidae > Homo > Homo sapiens. Next base: position 122,144,479 of record NC_000012.12, read on the forward strand.
GCTACTTGGGCCTGAGGCTGGAGGATTGCTTGAGCCTAGAAGTTGCAGTGAGCTATGATCATGCCACACTGTACTCCAGCCTGGATGACAGAGTGAAACCCTGCCTCTAAATAAAAGAAAATAGAGGCAGACTGTGGTGGCTCACGCCTGTAATCCCAGCACTTTGGTAGGCCAAGGCGGGTGGATCACCTGCAGTCAGGAGTTCACAACCAGCCTGACCAACATGGTGAAACCCTGTCTATACTAAAAATACAAAACATTAGCCACGTGTGGTGGTACACGCCTGTAATCCCAGCTACTCGGGAGGCTGAGTCAGGAGAATCACTTGAACCTGGGAGGCGGAGGTTGCAGTGAGCTGAGATTGTACCACTGCACTCCAGCCTGGGTGACAGAGCAAAACCCTATCTCAAAAAAAAAAAGAAGAAAAAAATAGAAAATCCAAAAAGAAAAACCAGAAGGCCTGCTGGCGTATAAATCCCTGGGCGGGTTTCTGATAAATTGCCCTGTGCTGTCAGCCCCTGCACTGCACTGCTGCCTTCCATGGTGGGTGGGAGACCCCAGAGCGGGGCAGGCGCCACTGAGGGCTTTTCTTGGAGTCGGCCAGCAGGCCACGCAGCATCCGGCACCCTGGGCGGGCTGGCTAGCTGCCTTCTTAGGACATCTCTACTTTGAAGGATTTTACCGCAGGAAGCAATAGCAGCGCTGGCCATTGGTGCTGATGACAGCATTGGGTCTGGTTGAGGGGAAGGGGCTGGAAAGCAGCAGACCCCCCCAGTGCTGCGCATGGTCCCGGAGCTGTCAGCCAGGGGAGTGGGGTCAGCCGTCAGCCAGCCCTCCCATTTCCCGCCCATGGGCCCTGACCACACTCCCTTTTCTAGAAGTCAATCCTAAGGTTTCTCTGCTCTGGCTAAGAGGATGTAAATTTGGATTCTTAGAGGGCATGGCACCCCCAGTCCCTGCCCAGATAAAGTAGCACAGTGGCAGGCAGCACCTCTGTCTGTTGCTGACGTTGGGGGGCTTACACACCCACCTCATCTCCGTGCACAGCCATGACTGGCCCTGCCGGCAGCTGGGGTGCAGGTAAGGGTCTCTCTCATAGAGGGGAGCTGCAGCTGAGAACTGGCGAGGCCCCTTCCTCCAAGGCCCTAGCTGGCCCCCGGGTGAACCTGAGGTGGCAGGTTCAGGTTTTCAAGATGGTGAGGTCTCGCTGTCTGCTGGACAGTACGTTAGGCTCTCAGAACTCATGGGTGTGGAGCTGGGCCTGTCCCGGGCCAGTGGACCCCTGTGTGTGGGGGATTTGGGGTGCTGTGGGCCTGGTTATGCACTGGCAGATGGACCTTGCTTTGGTCCAGCTCTTTTCCTTACCCTGGCTCTGACGTGGGAAGGCTTGGAGGGCCCGTCTCATCACCCCCGTTCGCCCTCAGCTGTCCCTTTCCCTTGTCGCCTGGCCGCTGCCTCGCCCGCCTGAGGCCTCCTAGCAGGCAGCCTGGGTGTGAGTTGAGCCTCTCTCTTTTCCCTCTGGTGGGAAAGTGGCCTTTCCCTCAACACCTGCTCCCCGGCCCCAGAGGAACCCACCTGTTTTGGAGCTCAGCTTGGCCCAGCGTTTCCTTGGGGAAGGGAAAGGAGGGCTGGACAGCACTGATCCGGGCAGGCAGCGTGTGCAGCAGTGGCCAGCCAGAGTGCCAAAGATGCACGGGGATGTGGTGTGTGGCTCCGGGCCCTCGACATCTCTGCTTTGGGGGATTTTTACCTTGTCTGCACACTTGTCAGGGGAGAGGGGACAGCAAGGTGGGAGGTTGAAGAGCTTTGAGGCTCAGCAGCATGTTTGTGGCATTCGGTGGACACCATGGCCTTGGGCGGCTGGACAGGTTTTTGTGATGTGAGGGACACGCATGGGGCACATGGTAAGCTTGGCAAGGGCTCCAGGAACGCTGACGAAGGGTTTTAGGACCCCCACCCCCATGCCTGTACCAGGGCTGGCCTCCAGAGCGGGTGAGGACAGAGCAGCTGTGGGCTTTTCATTCTGAGGTCTTGGCCCCCCTGGCCACCGCAAGGGACTCTTTGCTTGTCAGGGCTTGCAAAAACCAACCTTCGAGAAAGAAAAGGGAACTCTTCACGTTGAATGTTGACTTTGTGTGTATGCGTGTGTGTGTGTGTGTGTGCACGCGCGCGTGTGCGTGTTGACTTCATGGAATTTTGTTTTGTGAAATTCCCCTCCAATCGTGTCAGAATTTACCTCCATGCCCCAGTCACACTGTTGGTTCTGCGCTCTGAACCTGGGTGTAGCTCATTTGAAGGACTCTCTTCTGCGTTTCCTAACAGTTATTTGGTGGTCTCAAGAGTTGAGGTTGTGGAGGGTTGGGAGAAACTGAAGTTCTATACATTTCCATAGAGTTTACATCCTGCAGTTAAAAGGCAGGGAGGGCTCAGCCCGGGCCCCACAGCTCCAGGCCATCCCCTACGGGCTGCCCACAGTGCCCCCTTTTCTCTAGCCGAATCTTTTTCGAACAGCCCGGGAAAGGAAAACGGATTCACTTGCTGATTTTGTTCACGGCGGAAGCACCATGTTCCGTTCCTTTTTCAGGTTCAGTTTGTTGTGTAAATGGCGGTTTTTTCTGGTGTGAGCTTTGGTGATGGTGGCAGGGCTCCTTTGAAGAGATGGTTCCACCTCGTGGTCTGAAGAACAAACCAGAGAAGAGTCTGGTTTGGCCAGAGGCCCCCTCCGGTCCACGTCACCCTGAGTACACCCCTCTGATTGCTCTGCTGTCAAGAAGCACGTTTCCACCAGCTGTATTCAACACTACAATGCATTTTTTAAACTATATTTGCATCCAAGACAATAAAGACACCTTATTTTTTTTGAAAAGCCTGTGATGTGTGGCCTTAAATACTATCCTGTTGCAGCAGTGGAAGAGATGGGAAAATGAAGAGATCTGAGCATAGCGATGCCCTTGGCCAGCTCACTCCTTCTAACCTCGGGAGGTGTGATAAGCCTGGGATGGAGGCATTGGGTGGGGAAGAGGCCCAGGGTGGGAGGGCGATTCTAGAGGTGTGTCCAGAAAGTCGGTGCTCCTCTTCTAAAGACAGGCCTCCCCACAAAGGCTGATGAGAAAGGCCCAGTGTGGCGGGTTCTGCCTGTGGCCTCAGCAGGGGCTAGTGAGGCAGGCCACTGCTCCAGGCCGCACCCAGATGGACAGAACTCACTGGTGCCCCTATAAACCTCCCGTTTCCTCATCCGGGACTTGGGCAAAGAGCACCAGGCCTGCACGCTTGACAGTTTCACGTGAAATCACATGTGTCCAAGTGTTCAGTAGCCCGTGGAGCTCTGTGCTTAGAGAGTGCAGTCATCAGCACAGCCAGCACTGGCCCAGCTCTGCAAGATCCTCAGTCACAGTGGGAGCCTCCAGGCACTGTGGTTCCCCTCCTCGTTATTGACCCAATACCAGAGATGGGAAAGACTAGAAAGCTGGCCAGTAGAACTGTTCCTTTGTTCAGGTGCTGAGAAGGTTTGGCTCATCTTCGTTTAATGTAGCAGCTTTTCTCTGTCGTTTTCCTGGGCCCCGCGCCCACCCATCTGGCGCCCTGTGCCTGGACAGGGTGACCCAGCGAGAAGACACAGCCCCGCACAGAGCCATGGGGTTGCTTCACCAGATGACTGCCCAGATCTGGATCTCGATGTAGAATGCAGTGGGTTGATACACAAGCTCTTGTCTGATCAAACCCCCATACCTCCCCCGAGGAGACACAAAGCAAGCCTGGGCCTTGAGAGCCGGGGGTCCTAGAGGGAAAGGTGAGCGCCTCACAGACTCCTTTGGGCTGGAAGGAACTCGGTTTCCACTGAGCTCAGCAGCAGGGGTCTGTGTTAATGTTTTGAGCGCAGCTCCATACCTACCTGGGATCCTAAAAGATGGTAGGGGCATGATTGGAGGAGAAAGCAGAGTTTGGATGGGTTGGGGAGGGAGTAGCAGCGACAGGAGCAGGACAGGAGCAGGATCCAGAGGGAGCGAGGCCGGTGCCCTGGAGTCCTATTCCTTGATGTTCACTGGGCCCTGCTCAGGCTTAACATTTCCGGCTGCTGCAGGGGCACGTACAGCTCTGCACATTTCTCAAGGTGGTGGCGTGGTTAATTCCATTACAGACAAACCGGAGTCATGTCCGAGGTAGCGAGGCTACATGGGTCAGAGAAGCCTAACCGGGCTTTTCCCTCTTGTAAGTGGCCTCACCATCCACCACTCACCCAAGCCCAAATCCAGAGAATTATCCCTGATGTCCTTCCTCTCCCCTCCCAATACCAAGTCCTGCCAAGTTTCTCTTCTCAGTTTCTTCTAAATACACATCCGCTTCTCTCCATCCCTGCTGCCATCACCCCCATCCAAGTCACGTCATTGCCCAAGCAGCTCAAGTAGTGGCCTCATCCATCCTCCACATCATAGCACGAGCTTTAAAAAGCCCAAGTCTAGCCAGGTCACTCTTCTCTTCAGTCCTTCCAGCGCTTTCCAGATAAAGGCCCAGGCCCTCAGGGAAGCCCCTCCCCTGCTTTCTTTGCTGTTTTTTTCGTTTTCTGAACACACCAGGTTTGGTTTGGTTTTGCTGTTTACAGTTTTCCCAAGGTCTGTCTCCTCTGTCCCAGCCCTTCCCCATCTCCACTCTTTTCCTTCAGGTCTTTCCTTAAACATCAGATCCTCAGAAACCAGCCTTCATATTCCCTCCCCACCACACAGGTGCACGCACACATGGAGTCGGGCCTCGGAGCGGCTCTCAGGACACCGATCATGTTGAATTACTCAGTTTCTCTTCCCCACCAGATTCTGAGCCCACCAGGACGAGGGCCTGGTGCCGTACCTCGCACAGACCTGGCAGGAAGCAGATATCGAGACAGCCTGTGGATGAACTCTCCTGGAGCCCATCCTGCTCCAGCTGCCTCTGCCCACACCCTGGGACTGGTGGGGCAGGGGAGGAAAGGGGGATCAGAGGGGGTAGGTTGAGCGACAGTAGGCGTTGACTCTGAAGACTGCGTAGGTAATTTCAAAACTTCAACTTGAGTAATTGTAGCTATAAGACTAATCTCTAAATGGTGTGAAAAGCATTTCATCTTGATGTGGACTCGATTCTGTAGAACATGGTTTCCCTTATTTTCGGTAAAGATCTGAAATTAGATTTGTATAGGGTGGTGTGATTGAACTTATCCTGAAGTTTAATGCATGTACTTTCTACCTTTTTAGTTCAGAAAATCTTCAGTACACAGAAGTGGAGAATAGTATAATGAGCCCCTTCATCATAATGAATGACCACTATCCAGTTTAACAATGATCAACTCAGGGCCAATTTTGTTTTTTTCTAAGACCTCACGCCCACCTCCATTATTTTGAAGCACATTCCAGACACCATATGGATTTCATCTGTTAAGTATGCCTTTTTTTTTTCTTTTTGAGACAGGGTCTCACTCTGTTGCCCAGGCTGGAGTGCAATGGTGCAGTCTCAGCTCACTGTAACCTCTGCCTTCCTGGGTTCAAGCAATTCTCGTACCCCCTCCTCCCGAGTAGCTGGGACTACAGGTGCCTGCCACCAGGCTGGGCTAATTTTTATATTTTTAGTAGAGACAGAATTTCACCATGTTGGCCAGGCTGATCTTGAACTCCTGGCCTCAAGTGATCCACCCCCACCTCGGCCTTCCAAAGTGCTGGGATTACAGGCATGAGCCACGGCACCCGGCCGTAAGTATGCTTTTTAATACCATTTCCAGAATTGCATATATACCTGCAAAGTTGGTCATTTAAAAGTTCCCAAAGGCTTTGTGAAAAGCAACAAAATCACAGTTAATGAGAAATCTGGGGAATGGGGCATTCTGATTGATCAGATTTTCTGTTTCACTGAAAATCGTTAGCTAGAAAACCCTTATTGTGTAGAGGGGGGAAAAGCTTTTTAAGATAAGAGTCTACTTTCCTGCCTTAATGGGCTTGGTACAGTGAGCAGTCTAATCTCTTCATCTAGTCTGACTGATTTTCTCTCCTGGGGGAAGTACTGAACAGAGCTGGTTGGTTGCATTACAATTTTGCATTGGGGGTGGAGCCTGAATGATCAGGGGTTAGCGGTCCTCCCCAACTTGCCCCCCACACCTGTCCCATAGCCCTGACTCCAACGTGTTGGTGTCTCCCAAGTTCCCAGCGCCACCCATCAGTGGACTATAATGATGCTGTGTCAACTCTCCTGTATGTACTGAGATCTGTGTTTCTCTAGTTTCTGTCCCTCCTTTCCCTAATACTTGCTGTGTATTTACCGACTCTTCCTTTTTATTCTCTGACCAAGATGTGGGTACTGGCTAGGTGCGGCGGCTCACGCCTATAATCCCAGCACTTTGGGAGGCCAAGGCGGGCGGACCACTTGAGGTCAGGAGTTTGAGACCAGCCTGGCCAACATGGTGAAACCCCATCTCTACAAAAAATACAAAAAATTAGCCGGGTGTGGTGGCGGGCACCTGTAGTCCCAGCTACTCAGGAAGCTGAGGCAGGAGAATCGCTTGAACCCGGGAAGCGGAGGTTGCAGTGACCCGAGATTGAGCCACTGCATTCCAGCCTGGGCGACAGAGCGAGACTCCATCTCAAAAAAAAAAAAAAAAAAAAAAACCACCCACAAATTAGCCAGGCATGGTGACGCACATTTAATAATCCCAGCTACTTGGGAGGCTGGGGTGGGAGGATCGCTTGAACACAGGAGGCAGAGGTTGCAATGAGCCAAGATTGTGCCATTGCACTCCAGCCTGGGCAACAGAGCGAGATTCCATTTAAAAAAAAAAAAAAAGGGCCGGGCACCGTGGCTCCACCTATAATCTCAGCACTTTGGGAGGCTGAGGCGGGTGGATCACCTGAGGTCAGGAGTTCGAGACCAGACTGGCCAACATGGCGAAAGCTCATCTCTACTAAAAATACAAAAAATTGCTGGGCACGGTGGCTCACGCCTGTAATCCCAGCACTTTGAGAGGCCGAGGTGGGTGGCTCACCTGAGGTCAGGAGTTCAAGACCAGCTTGACCAACATGGAGAAACCCCATCTCTACTAAAAATACAAAATTTGCCAGGGTGGTGGTGCATGCCTGTAATCCCAGCTACTTGGGAGGCTGAGGCAGGAGAATCGCTTGAACCCGGGAGACGGAGGTTGCAGTGAGCCAAGATCACGCCATTGCACTCTAGCCTGGGCAAAAGGTGTGAAACTCCAACTCAAAAAAAAAAAAAAAAAAAAAAAGTAGCTGAGCATGGTGGCAGGTGCCTGTAATCCCAGCTACTTAGGGTGCTGAGGCAGCAGAATTGCTTGAAACTAGAGGCAGAGCTCGCAGTGAGCCAAGATCATGCCATTGCACTCCAGTCTGGGTGTCAGAGCGAGACTCTGCCTCAAAAAAAAAAACCAAATGTGTGTACTGAAGGTTGTATTTTAATGAGACTCAGAGAATACAACAGTGACTTTATTGCAAATACAATAAAATCTTTGTTGATACCTGTGATAGGTTGTGGTATTTGGCTTCTGAGCCAGGACTGAGCTGGATGAGCAGAGATGGACCAGCAAAGGGGTTGGGGCCAGGGCGAGGAGGCAGAAGCGACCTCCCATGCAGAGCCCTTTAGGGAAGGGCAAACTTCACAGAAACAGTGGCCAAATCTCACATCTGCAGAGGTTTTGTCTTTTCCTGGACATTCCCTTTGCTGCCCCCTGGGGCTTTCTCTTGTCAGTTATCTCTTCTGTCCCTTGCATTTTTCTCCTTTTTCATTGACTCATTCCTCTCTATTCACAAGTTTTCTCTTTCTCAAGTCCCTCTACCTCTAACTAACCTTACTTTCCATCTCTGTGCCCAAAACTTGCTCATCTGCAAACACTCTGCATCCTGATAAATGGCATTGACGTCTCCCCAAATGTTCCAGCCAGAAACTCAGACTTCACCCTAGCCTCTTCCTTTCCCTCTCTTCCCACGTTCAGCCTATTAGCAAGTCTCGCCAATAACACCTCCAAAATACAGACGGCCCTGACTTAGGATTCTTTTTTTTTTTTTGAGACAGAGTCTCACTCTGTAGCCCAGGCTGTAGTGCAGTGGCGTTATCTTAGCTCACTGCAACCTCCACCTCCTGGGTTCAAGCGATTCTCCTGCCTCAGCCTTCCTAGTAGCTGGGACTACAGGTGTACAGGTGCCCACCTCCATGCCCGGCTAAATTTTGTATTTTTAGTAGAGATGGGGTTTCACCATATTGGCCAGACTGGTCTTGAATTCCTGACCTCAAATGATCCACCCGCCTTGGCCTCCCAAAGTCCTAGGATTACAGGCGTGAGCCACCACACCCGGCGATTTAGGATTTTTTGACTTTAGGATGGTGTAAAAGCAATACGCACTCAGTAGAAACTGTACTTAAGATGTTGAATTTTGATCTTCTTCCAGGCTAGTGACGTGCCGTATGATCTCTTCGTGGTGCTGGGCAGTGGCAGTGAGCTGAATGAAGGCAGACAGCCAACACTCCTGCATCCTGGGCTGCCAGGCACTTTTGCCCAACTGTAGGCTGCTGTGAGTGTTCCGAGCCCTTTTAAGGCAGGCTGGGCTGAGCTATGATGTTCAGGAGGTTAGGTGTATTAAATGCATTTTTTACTTAACATTTTCAGCTTACAGTGGGTTTATTGGGACGTGACCCCATTGTAAGTCCATGAGCATCTGTAATCACAGACCCAGCCACCTCTCCCCATTCCCACTGCCATGACAATAACCCTCTTGCCTGGACAATTTGAATATTCATGTTGTTGTTGTTGTTGATGTTGTTTTGAGACACAGTTTCACTTTGTCACCCAGGCTGCAGTGCAGTGGCGCAATCTTGGCTCACAGCAACCTCCACCTCCCGAGTTCAAGCGATTCTCATGCCTCACCCTCCTGAGTATCTGGGATTACAGGTCTACGCCACCGCGCCTGGCTAATTTTTGTATTATTAGTAGAGATGGGGTTTTGCCATGTTGGCCAGGCTGGTCTTGAACTCCTGACGTCAAGTGATAAGCCCACTTTGGCCTCCCAAAGTGCTAGGATTACAGAAGTCGGCCACCCCGCCTGGCCCATGTTTTGCCTCTTGCTGCTTTCAGTCAATTCTCTATTCAGCTGGAATGGTGTTTTTAAAAGATGCTGCTTCAACTTCCAGGGGCTTCCCATTACATTTAGAATGAAATCCAAAGTCATCATTGTGAAGTGCTATTAGTCCCACGAGATTTGGGTCCTGAGTGACTGCCTGGGTGACAGCTGTCCTGTGCCTAGAAGTCTTCTTCTATGAAGTGTGGATAATAATCACACCTCGAATTTGCTGATTTTGTAGTCAGCACGTATAAAGGCAGCCGCTTTTCTTCCTCTTTTTCTTTTTTTTTTTGAATGGAGTCTCACTCTGTCGCCAGGCTGGAGTCTAGTGGCATGATCTCAGCTCACTGCAACCCCCACCTCCCAGGTTCAAGTGATTCTCCTGCCTCAGCCTCCCAAATAGCTGGTATTACAGGTGCACACCACCACACCCAGCTAATTTTTGTATTTTTAGTGGAGACAGGGTTTCACCATGTTGGCCAGGATGGTCTCGATCTCTTGACCTTGATCCCAAAGTGCTGGGATTACAGGTGTAAGCCACCGCGCCTGGCCCAGCAGCAACTTTTTTTTTTTTTTTTTTTTTGAGATGGAGTCTTGCTCTGTCGCCCAGGCTGGAGTGCAGTGACACGATCGCGGATCACTGCAAGCTCTGCCTCCCTAGTTCACGCGATTCTCTTGCCTCAGCCTCCCAAGTAGCTGGGATTACAGGCGCATGCCACCATGCCTGGCTAATTTTTTGTATTTTATTGGTAGAGACTGGCTTTCACTGTGCTGGCCAGGCTGGTCTCCAACTCCTGACCTCGTGATCTGCCCGCCTCGGCCTTCCAAAGTGCTGGGATTACAGGCATGAGCCACCATGCCCGGCTGCAACTTTCCTTATTCTTCATCTCTGTTTCCCCATTCCTGACAAAATGTCTCAGTTTATATCAAGGCCACCACGAAGACTGTCCAGCTCAGTCAGTAACACCCTGGCAGCATTTCTGAGTTTTCTTTTTTCACGGCAGCCTGCCTGTCCCTTCCCATTTGTCACATTTTGGGTGGTGAATTCTTTCTCCAAAATGTTGCTAACTGTGGTCCCATCCCATGCTGTGCACACAGCTGGTATAAGTCAGAATTCAGTTATCTCCTAACAGAACTCTCCCAGCGCTGATCAAAAAAGATCAGGAAACATCATCCTGCTTTCTAACACCCATCCCTTTTTCTTTTTTCTTTTTTTGTAGAGATGAGGTCTTCCTATGTTCCTCAGGCTGGTCTCAAACTCCTGAGCTCAATCAGCCCACCCACCTCAGCCTCTAAAAGCACTGGGATTACAGGTGTGAACCACCACACCTGGCCTTTCCCCATTCCTTTTTCTTTTCTTTTCTTTTCTTTTTTTTCTTTTTCTTTTTTTTTTCTTTTTGAGACGGAGTCTTGCTCTGTTGCCCAGGCTAGAGTGCAGTGGCACGATCTCGGCTCACTGCAACCTCCGTCTCCCGGGTTCAAGCTATTTCTGGCTAATTTTTGTATTTTTTTAGTAGACAGGGTTTCACCATGTTGACCAGGCTGGTCCCAAACTCCTGACCTCAAGTGATCCACCCTCCTCAGCCTCCCAAAGTGCTAGGATTACAGGTGGGAGCCACCGCGCCTGGCTTCTTCTCTTTTTTTTTGAGACGGAGTTTCACTCTTGTTGCTCAGGCTGGAGTGCAGTGGCGCAATCTCGACTCACTGCAACCTCTACCTCTAGGGTTCCAGTGATTCTCCTGCCTCAGCCTCCTGGGTAGCTGGGATTACAGGCACGAGCTACTATGCCCGTTTAATTATTTTTTTTTTTTTGTATTTTTAGTGGAGACAGGGTTTCACCATGTTGGCCAGGTTGGTCTCGAACTCCTGACCTCAGGTGATCCACCTGCCTCGGCCCCCCAAAGTGCTAGGATTACAGGCATAAGCCACCATGTCCAGCTCCCATTCCTGTTTCAAAACTCTGCCTCCCTCCTCTCCTGCCCTCAGCAGGAGCACTTCAGTTTATAAGTCTTCTAGGAGAAGTCCCCCCACCCCCGTCCATTGCTTGCATTCAGTGCAACGGTAACTTCAATCCCATTGCTTCCCGATTACGATTAGGATTACGCAGCCCAGGTCCCAGCAAGAGGAGCTCTCTGTGGCTACTCAACCGCACCCCACACTTCTTCCCTCTGTGCTGCCGTGCATTCCCCTCCCTGGAAGGCCCAGCGCTCTCTCTCCGCTGTGGCCTGGCCCAGCCCTCCCTGCTGTGCCCCCGGAACCACCGCCAGTGCTCCATTTCTGCTGCTGATATCAAGTGCGGTGTAGCTGTCAGTACCACATTTTATCTCTCCTTTTTCAGGACAAGGACCACATCTCATTTTATCTGTCATCTATCATAGCACACAGCTTCTATGTCCCAGGCACTTGGTAATCTCGCAATGTAAATCACATCTGCCGCTGCCTGCCAGTGTGAGCCCTAGGAGGTAGATGCTTTATAATACCCATGTTAGAGATAAGGAAATTGAGGCTTACAGGGTTATATCAGATATGCCCCAGGCGTGAGCCACTGCACCCGGCCTTATGTTATCCCATTTTCAACTTCAAAAAACTCTCCCTATAGAGATTGTTGTCCTCATTTTACACATGAGAAAACAGGTTTACCTTTCAACATAAGAACATTTAACAAACCAGGAGTAGATGGAGTAGAACTTCCCCAGCCTGATGAAGAGCATCTACAAAAAGTCCACAGCTAACATCATGTTTAATGTGAGAGACTGATGCTTGCCCCTAAGATCAGGAACAAGAAGTGGATATCTGCTCCTTCCCCGTCAATATTGTCAATATCAGTATTGTCCTGGAGGTTCTGGTTAGGGCAATTGGGCAAAACAGAGAAATATAAGACTTGGCCAGGCGCAGTGGCTCACGCCTATAATCCTAGCACTTTGGGAGGCCGAGGTGGGCAGATCATTTGAGCCCAGGAGTTCTAGACCAGACTGGGCAATAGTGAGACCTCGTCTCTACAAAAAATAAACAAAATTAGCTGGGTGTGGTGGTGCATGCCTGTTGTCCCAGCTACTTGGGAGGCTGAGGCAGGAGAATCTATTGAACCCAGAGGCAGAGATTACAGTGAGTCAAGATCGCGCCACTGCACTCCAGCCTGGGCAACGAGCGAAACTCCATCTCAAAAACAAACAAACAAACAAACAAAACACAAAAAAGAGGCCGGGCATAGTGGCTCACACCTGTAATCCCAACACTTTGGGACACTAAGGCCGGTGGATCACCTGAGGTCGGGAGTTCGAGACCAGTCTGGCCAACATGGTGAAACCCTATCTCTACAAAAAAAAAAAAAAAGGTAACTGAGTGTGGCGATGGGCATCTGTAATCCCAGCTACTCAGAAGGCTGAGGCAGGAGAATCGCTTGAACCAGGGAGGCAGAGGTTGCAGTGAGCTGAGATCGCTCCATTACACTCCAGCCTGAGTGACAAGAGCTAAACTCTGTCTCAAAAAAAAAAAAAAGAAGAAGAAAGAAAAAGAAATACAAGGCTTTCAGATTGGAAAGGAAGAAAAACCATTTGCAGATGATACGATGGTATGCGTAGAAAGTCCTAAAGGATGCACACAAGCCCTTTAGAGCGAGTGAATGGGATCAGCAAGGTTGCAGGACATGGGATCAGTATACAACAATCAGCTGTCTTTCTTTTTTTTTTTTTTGAGACGGAGTTTCGCTCTTGTCGCCCAGGCTGGAGTGCAATGGCGCACTCTCGGCTCACCGCAATCTCCGCCTCCCAGGTTCAAGCAATTCTTCTGCCTCAGCCTCCCAAGTAGCTGGGACTACAGGCATGTACCACCACGCCAGGCTAATTTTGTATTTTTAGTAGAGACAGGGTTTCTCCATGTTGAGGCTGGTCTTGAACTCCCGACCTCAGGTAATCCACCCGCCTTGGCCTCCCAAAGTGCTGGGACTACAGGTGTGAGCCACCGCGCCCGGCCAATCAGCTGTCTTTCTGTACACTGGCAAGAAATAGCCCAAAAATGAAATTAAGAAAACAATTTCATTTTCAATAGCATCAACGAAGACAAAATACTTAGGAATAAATTTAACCAAGGAGGTGCACTCAGTATCATACTGAAAGTTATACAACAGTGTTGAAGAACATTATTCAACCATACAAAGGAATGAAATACTGTTATGTACTACAAAGTGGAAGACCCTCAAAACCATTATGCTGAGTGAGAGGAGGCAGACACAGAAGGCCACATGTTGTGTGGTCCTATACAAATGAAATATCCAGGGCCAGGCGTGGTAGCTCACGCCTGTAATCCCAGCACTTTGGGAGGCCGAGGTAGGTGGATTGCTTGAGCCCAGGAGTTTGAGACCAGCCTGGGCAACTTGGCGAAACCCTGTCTCTACAAAAAAGTACAAAAATTAGCTACAAAAAAGTACAAAAATTGTAGTGGCACACGCCTGTAGTTCCAGCTACTTGGAAGGCTGTGATGGGAGGATCACTTGAGCCTGGGAGGTCAAGGCTAAGATTCAGTGAACCATGATTGCACCACTGCACTCCATCCTGGGTGACAGAGTGAGACCTGTCCCCCGCCCAAAAAAAATTAAAATTAAAATTAAAAAAAGAGAAATTGACCAGGCACGATAGCTCATGCCTGTAATCTCAGCACTTTGGGAGAGTGGATCACCTGAGGTCAGGAGCTTGAGATCAGCCTGGCCAACATAGTGAAACCCCATCTCTACTAAAAATTCAAAAGTTAGCCAAGCGTGGTGGCAGGCACCTGTAATCCCAGCTACTCGAGAGGCTGAGACAGGAGAATCACTTGAACCCAGGAAATGGACGTTGCAGTGAGCTGAGATTGCGCCACTGCACTCCAGCCTGGGCAATGGAGTGAGACTATCTCAAAAAAAAAAAAGTAGGCTGGTTGTGGTGGCTCACGTCTGTAATCCCAGCACTTCGGGAGGCCGAGGCGGGTGGATCACAAGGTCAGGAGATCAAGATCATCCTGGTTAACACGGTGGAACCCCGTCTCTACTAAAAATACAAAAAATTAGCCGGGCGTTGTGGCGGGTGCCTGTAGTCCCAGCTACTTGGGAGGCTGAGGCAGGAGAATGGCGTGAACCCGTGAGGCGGAGCTTGTAGTGAGCTGAGATAGCACCACTGCACTCCAGCCTGGGGTGTGTGATCCAGAGCTGGATTAAAAAAAAAAAAAAGAAAGTAAGAAGTAGTGTTGAAATGTCAGTTAAGGTATAGAGATATTGAAACCCTCATACATGGCTAATGGGAATGTGAAATGGTGCAGCCACCATGGAAAACAGCCAGGCATTTCTTCCAAAAGTTAAAAGTAGAGCTACCATGTGGCCCAGCAATTCCACTCCTGGGTATATACCCAAAATAAATGAAAACAGGGATACTTGCAGGTAAATGTTCGAAGCAGCAGCATTCACAAATGGCCAAATATAGAGACGACCCAAGTGTACTTGAAGTGATGAAAGAATAAACAAAATGTGATCTACCCACACAATGGACTGTTACTCAGCCGTCAGAAGGAATGACGTGCTGACACACGCTGCAACATGGATGAACCTTGAAAAAGGGAAGAAGTCAGACATAAGAGGACAAATACTATATGATTCTCTTCATGGGAAATTGTGGAGTAGGCTGGGCACGGTGGCTCACACTTGTAATCCTAGCACTTCGGGAGGCTAAGATGGGCAGATCACCTGAGGTCAGGCATTTGAGACCAGCTGGCCAACATGCTGAGACCCTGTCTCTACTAAAAATAGAAAAATTAGCCAGGCGTGGAGGTGGGCCCCTGTAATCCTAGCTACTCGGGAGGCTGAGGCAGAAGAGTCGCTTGAACCTGGGAGGCAGAGGTTGCAGTGAGCTAAGATCCCGCCATTGCACACCCCCCTGGGCGACAGAGCAAAACTGTCTCAAAAAAAAAAAAAAAAAATTGTGGAACAGGCAAATCCATCGAGACAGAAAGTAGATTAGTGGTTTCCAGACACTGGGGAGACTGAAAGCAAGTGGGTAGTGACTACTAATGGGGAGATAAGAATGTTCTGGAATTATATAGTGACGATAGGTGCACAACTCTGTGAATACACACACACACACACTGCTAAACTGTATAATTGTTTAATTGTAACTTTTAGAGATGAAGTTGTTTGTCTAAGGTTATGTCACATATAGTAAGTAAAGGACCAGAAACTGAATCCAAGAATAGCTGCTCTTAGCACTAATGCTGTTGGGGGAAAATGTTTCCAGGGCCATTGAATAGGAAATTAATAACGTTGGGATCTTGAAGAGCCTCAGAATTGTCATTCTAAGTATTCCTTCTCACTATAAAGTACTGTCATTTTGGGTAGTGCGTAAAAGGGCTGAGAGAAATAATATTGCATTGGTTTTACTGCAAAATTGGTTCTACAAGGAGTCACGCCAGGGGACTGCTTTGTCCATTCAGCGGGGAGATCCGAAGAGCAGATAAAGAGCTGGGGACAGTGGAGCTGAGCCTGGTGTCAGAGATGGTTGAGAAGAAACACCAATGTCACAAACCCACTGCTACAGTAAGACACCTGGGGGTGCTAAAGTCTTTTCTTACCTTATTACCAACACTTGGAAAAGCCTTCACACCTCTCCATTTCTCACCTTCTCTCCAAGTGCTATTTCTTTTTTAAAACTTGAAATCATGTTTATTTGACTGATTTCTAAAATAATACATACTAACTTTAGAAAATTTGGAAAATACATTAAAATATAAAGAAAATTCTTGGCCAGGCATGGTTGCTCATGCCTGTAATCCCAGCACTTTGGGAGACCGAGGTGGGTGGATCACCTGAGATCAGGAGTTTGAGACCAGCCTGGCCAACAAGGTGAAACCCCATCGCTACTAAAAATACAAAAATTAGCCTGGTGTGGTCGTGGGCACCTGTAATCCCCGCTACTCAGGAGGCTGAAGCAGGAGAATCGCTTGAGCCCAGGAGGCGGAGATTGCAGTGGGCTGAGATCGCACCACTGAGATCAAAAAGAAAAAACAAAAAAAGAAAAATTCTCCCCCTGCCCAAAGATTTTTTTTTTTTTTTGCCAGTCTTGCTTTCTGTCTATATGTAAGATAGGTGGACACACACACACACACAGACACTTTATTTTAAACTTATATTTTAGGTTCAGGGGTACATGTGAAGGTTTGTTACATAGCAACATGGTATGGTTAGGCTTTATGTCCCCACCCAAATCTCATCTGGAATTGTAATCCCCACGTGTCTAGCGAGAAGCCAGGTGGAGGTGATTGGATCACGGGGGCAGTTTTCCCCATGCTGTTCTCGTGATAATGAGTGAGTTCTCTCTGATGGTTTTATAAGGGGGCGCTTCTTCCTTTGCTCACCACTCTCTCTCGCCTGCGGCCATGTAAGAAGTGTCTCTTCCGCTTCTGTCATGGTTGTAAATTTTCTGAGGCCTCCCCAGCCCTGCAAAACTGTGAGTCAATTAAACCTCTTTTCTTTATAAAATAGCAAGTCTCGGATATGCCTTTTTTTTTTTTTTTTTTTTGGAGATGGAGTCTCGCTGTCTCTCCCAGTCTGGACTGCAGTGGCACGATCTCAGCTCACTGCAAGCTCCGCCTCCCGGGTTCACGCCATTCTCCTGCCTCAGCCTCCCGAGTAGCTGGGACTACAGGCGCCCGCCACCACGCCCAGCTAATTTTTTGTATTTTTAGTAGAGATGGGGCTTCACCATGTTAGCCAAGATGGTCTCAATCTCCTGACCTTGTGATCCACCTGCCTCGGCCTCCCAAAGTGCTGGGATTACAGGTGTGAGCCACTGTGCCTGGCCCCAGGTATGTCTTTATAGCAGTATGAAAATGAACTGCCAGGCGTGGTGGCTCATGCCTGTAACCTCAGCACTTTGGGAGGCCAAGGTGGGTGGATCACCTGAGGTCGGGAGTTCAAGACCAGCCTGACCAACATGGAGAAACCCTGTCTCTACTAAAAATATAAAATTAGCCGGGCGTGGCAGCACATGTAATCCCAGCTACTTGGGAGGCTGAGGCAGGAGAATCACTTGAACCCGGGAGGCAGAGGTTGCGGTGAGCTGAGATGGCGCCACTGCACTCCAGCCTGGGTGACAAGAGCGAAACTCTGTCTCAAAAAAAGAAAATGAACAAGTAAACTTGTGTCATGGGGGTTTATTTATACAGATTATTTCATCACTCAGGTATTAAGCCTAGTACCCAACAGTTATCTTCTCTGCCTGTTCCTCTCCCTCTTCCCCCCCACCCTCCTGCCCGCCTCCACCCTCCCCCTCCAGTAAACCCCAGTGTCTGTTGTTTCCTTCTTTGTGGTCATCGGTTCTCATCATCTAGCTCCCACTTATAAGTGAGAACGTGTGGTATTTCGTTTTCTGTTCTTGCGTTAGTTTGCTGAGGATGATGGCCTCCAACTCCATCCGTGTTCCCCCAACAGACATATTTTTTAACTCAATGGGGGATCGTCATAAATATATTTTATAACCTGCTTTTATAAATTAACGTCATACTTGAAGCATTTTACCCTGCCAGTAAACATTCTTTGATAAAATGACTTTGAGCGGCCACTGTTTGTTCATTGCCTTATTTTCAGTCATCGGGGTTGTATAGCAGCCGTGAAAGTGTGCCCCTCAGATTTCCCACTCTGGGAAGTATAATTGACCCAGGGCCCCCAGCTGCTGTGCCCGGAAATCCATCACCCAGCACATGGAGACCCCGCTTCCCGCAGGCTTCTCCCATCTAGAGACAGCATGGCAGGGATGCTGAGGCTGGCTCGTTCCTGGGAGACCCAGGCTTCTCTTAGGATTTTCCCACATTCGTGCTGAAGTCTCCCAGGATGGCACCGTAGGCTGAGACGCTGCCCCCAACCTCCTTTCCTTCCTTCATCCTGTCCTCCAGCAAGAGTCAGACCTGCCTGTGGTGGGACAGCTCCCTGAATCCCCTGCTCCCTCCTCTTTTCCCTCCCAGGCCTGGCTCTGATGAATCTCTTTATTTATTTAGTATTTTTTCAAGACAGAGTCTCACTCTGTCACCCAGGCTGGAGTGCAGTGGCGCCATCTCTGCTCACTGCAACCTCTGCCTCCCAGGTTCAAGCGATTCTCCTGCCTCAGCCTCCCGAGTAGCTGGGATTACAGGTGCCCGCCACCACGCCCGGCTAATTTTTATATTTTTAGTAGAGACGGGGTTTCACCATGTTGGCCAGCCTGGTGTTGAACTCCTGACCTCAGGTGATTCTCCCACTTCCACCTCCCAAAGTGTTGGGATTACAGGCATAAGCCACCACGCCTGGCCTTGATGAATGTCTTGCATGGCAAAGAATCCCATCTTGGTCCCTGCTTCTAGAGGACCTGGACTGACACAGGTCATCTCCACTTCGGTTTGCTTGTTTGGTTTTGGTGTTACCCTCAATGCTATTATGAGCATGTAAGTGTGCATATCCCATCCAAATCTAGGATTATTGCCTTAGGAAATTATGTGAGGCAGGAATTCCAGGAGAGGGTTACTGGGTGGAGACCGAATCCCTGTGTAAGGCTCTGATGCGTGTTTCAGAAGTGGCTGAGTGGGCCTTTCTCACCCTCAGGCTTTCTCACTTGTAAAGCTCTGCTGATGTGAAGGCATAAGAAACCTCCTGTTTATTTGCCTTTCTTGGTTACTTGTGAGGTTGAGCAGTTTCACATTTACTGCCTATTTAATTTCTGGCTTTATATGTAAGCATTTCTTTTTTGTTGTTGTTTTTTGTTTGTTTGTTTGTTTTGTTTTGTTTTGAGATGGAGTCTTGCTCTGTCGTCCAGGCTGGAGTGCAGTGGCGTGATCTCAGCACACTGCAACCTCCACCTCCCAGGTTCAAATGATTCTCATGCCTCAGCCTCCCGAGCAGCTGGGATTACAGGCGTGCACCACCACTCCCGCCCAAGCTTTTCTTTTGTTTTTCTCTCCCTTCTCCTCCTTCTTTTCTCATTTGTCTCTCTTTATCTGATCACCTCTTCTATTTGCTTTGTCTCTTTTTTTTTTTTTTTTTTTTTTTTTTGAGACAGAGTCTCACTCTGTCACCCAGGCTGGAGTGCAATGGTGTGATCTCGGCTCACTGCAGCCTCCACTACCTGGGTTCAAGTGATTCGTTTGCCTCAGCCTCCCAAGTAGCTGGGATTACAGGTACCCGCTGCCATGCCCAGCTAATTTTTGTATTTTTAGTAGAGACGGGGTTTCACCATGTTGGCCAGGATGGTCTTGATCTCCTGACCTCGTGATCCACCCGCCTCGGCCTCCCAAAGTGCTGGGATTACAGGCATGAGCCACTGCGCTCGGCCTTTTTTTAATTTTTGTTTTTTTGAGACAGAGTCCTGCTCAGTCACCCAGGCTGGAGTGTAGTGGCACGATCTCTCCTGACTGCAACCTCCGCCTCCCGGGCTCAAGCCATTCTCCTGCTTCAGCCTCCCAAGTAGCTGGGATTACAGGTGCCTGCCACCATGCCCGGCTAATTTTTGTATTTTTATTAGAGACGGAGTTTCACCATGTTGGCCAGGTTGGTCTTGAACCCCTGACCTTGTGATCCGCCGCCTCGGCCTCCTAAAGTGCTAGGATATTACAGGAGTGAGTCACCATGCCTGACGTTTTTTTTTTTTTTTGAGTCGGGTTTTGCTCAGTCGCCCAGGCTGGAGTGCAATGGCACGATCTCGGCTCACGCAACCTCCACCTCCTGGATTCAAGTGATTCTCCTGCCTCAGCCTCCTGAGTAGCTGGGGTTACAGGTACATACCATCAAGCCTGGCTAATTTTTGTATTTTTAGTAGAGACAGGGTTTCACCATGTTGACCAGGCTGGTCTTGGACTCCTGACCTTGTGATCTGCCCGCCTCGGCCTCCCAAAGTGCTGGGATATTACAGGAGTGAGCCACCGTGCCTGACGTTTTGTTTTTTTGTGTTTTTTTGAGACCGGTTTTGCTCAGTCGCCCAGGCTAGAGTGCAGTGGCATGATCTCGGCTCACTGCAACCTCCACCTCCCGGATTCAAACGATTCTCCCGCCTCAGCCTCCTGAGTAGCTGGGATTACAAGCACCCGCCATCAAGACTGGCTAATTTTTGTATTTTTAGTAGAGACAGGGTTTCACCATGTTGGCCAGGCTGGTCTTGAACTCCTGACAGCAAGTGATCCAACCGCGTTGGCCTTCCAAAGTGCTGGGATTACAGGCGTGAACCACTGTGCCCAGTCCTTTTTGCCTCTTTCTAGGTTTTGGCGGATTATCATCAACATAAATTCTAGTGACTTGAGAGTTTGTGCTAGTTGCGTTCCAGGTAACTTAGGAGTTATCACACTCACCCCTGCGGTGGGTTCTGTCCCATGCTGCGTCTTTCGGGAAAGGCAAATATGAGTTAGATTTTTTCCTCTTGCATATGTTGTGGGAGGTGATCTTGATTTACATACAAATGTCTGCCCCTAATCTCCTTCCCTATCTCCCTTTGACATTTTTCTTGTTTCTGAGAATCTGTGGGGAAAACAGGCATCAAGGCAAACATTTCCATACGGGTAGACCCCCTGCATCAGGCCTCAGGGTCTTGTGCCAAAAACAGCGAGCACCATGAATGGGAGCGCTGCCACAGGCTGCAGCCCAGGTGAACCTTCAAGACACCATGCTACGAGAAAGAAACAGCCACAAAAGACCACATGTTGTCTGATTCCATGTATGTGAAATGGCCAGACAGGCAAACCCATGGAGACGGGGAGTGGCTTAGTGGTTACCAGGGACGGAGGCCAGGGAAGGATGGGAAGCGTCTGCCCATGGGCACGAGGTTTATTTATTTATTTTTGCAGAGATGGGGTCTTGCTGTGTTTCCCAGGCTGGTCTCGAATTCCTGGGCTCAAGCGATCCTCCCACCTCGGACTCCCGAAGTGCTGGGATTACAGATGAGCCACCATTCCCAGCATAGTACAGAGTTTCTTTTGGGGATGATAAAAATGTCCTGGAATTAGATAGTGGTGATGTGGCACAACTGCGAATATCTTTAAAAACATCAAATTGTCGCTGGGTGTGCTGGCTCTTGCCTATAATCCCAGCACTTCAGGAGAGTGAGCTGAGAGGAAGGCATGAGCCCAGGAGTTCAAGACCAACCTGGGCAACATAGTGAGACCTCATCTGTATAAAAAAACAAAACAAACACAAAAGACATCCAATTGTAAACTGTATGTATGTATGTATGTATTTATTTATTGAGACAGTCTCGCTCTGTTGCCCAGGCTGGAGTACAGTGGCATGATCTCAGCTCACTGCAACCTCCATCTCCCAGGTTCAAGCAATTCACCTGCCTCACCCTCCTGAGTAGCTGGGATTATAGGCACAGGCCACCACGCCTGGCTAATTTGTGCATTTGTATTAGAGATGGGGTTTCCCCATGTTGGCCAGGCTGGTCATGAACTCCTGACCTCAAGTGATCCGCCTGCCTCGGCCTCCCAAAGTGCTAGGATTACAGATGTGAGCCACCACACCTGGCCCAATTATACACTTTAAATGGGCTAACTTTACAGTATATAAATTATATGTTTAAAAATGTTTAAAATACTGATTCCAGGCTGGGCGCGGTGGCTCATGCCTATAATCCCAGCCCTTTGGGAGGCTGAGGTGGGTGGATCACGTAAGGTCTGGAGTTTGAGACCAGCCTGGCCAACATGGTGAAACTCCATCTCTACTAAAAATAGAAAAATTAGCTGGTCATGGTGACACGCACCTGTAATTCCAGCTACTCAGGAGGCTGAGGGAGGTGAATTGCTTGAACCTGGGAGCCAGAAGCTGCAGTGAGCCGAGACTGCGCCACTGCATTCCAGCCTGGGTGACAGAGCAAGAGTCTGTTAAAAAAAAGAAAAAAAAAAAAAAAAACCTGATTCCAGGGCCCAGCCAAAACTACTAAATCAGAACCTCTGGGTGTAAGCCTAGGAATCTGCATTTCACCTCCCTCTCAGCAGTACCGGCTGTGTACTTTGTTTAGAAATCACTAAGCATTTCAAGACAGTGATGAGAACAGAGGGTGAAAACAAGCTCAGGGCCCTCTGAGCTCTGGGCCCCATGACTGAGTAGGTCACAGGCTCGTGAAGCTGGCCCTGCAGCCCAGAATGAAGCCTGCATGCTCTACCCAAAGGACGACGGAGCATTTGGTTAGCGGGTTTGCCTCTTCATCCAAGGACCTGGAAGGAGAGGAGAAATTAGCAACTTTAAAGGTTTCCTCTCCCTGTAAGAGCAGTGCGGTGGTTTTAGTGAGAAGAGTGCAGCGGAGTCCCCCGGCCCGTGGCTGAGTCATCTCCAGAACTGCGGGCTTTCAGTGACAGAAGGAGAAAGGCTGAGCCTGCGCTAGATCTGCGGGAGCTCCTTGGTCAATCCATCAATCCAATAGCATTAAATGACTCTTCTGGCAGATTGGATCAGAATGGGAATTCATTAAAGGAGACCAGGTGGTTCGCAGAATCGCTGTGAGCCTGTTGCTCATGGGAACCCGTCTGGGGTGGGGGGCACCAGGCGGCCACTGAGAGCTCAGCCCCTGTTCCTCCAGAGAGGGGATCTTGTTGCAATTGCCACCTCTCCGTGCAACGAAGCACCTGCCACCATCTCCGCTGCTTTGTGTCACCAGCGTCTGATTTGAAGTCTGATTGCATTGCCGCGGTCTCAGGCCCACAACCTAGCTAAGAGGGAGGCTGGGAAGACAAGTGTTGCATTTCAGTTTCTGCAGCAGACAGCAGGTCCCTCTGCCCACCAAACAACCCTTACCCAGAGTGGGCACATGTCAAGCTTTTATTCAACTCGGTGTTGAGGGAATCAGCGTAACACAGCTGATTCAAAGGAGGAGATGAGAGACTAGTATTGGTTTCTCATCTGTCTGTCTGTCTGTTGTCAGTGAAGATAAAGAATGCCAGAATCAAACAGCTCTGTTAGATGCGAAAGTGGTTCATGCCCTACAGTAAATACAACCATAACCTTTGGAGTCATCTTCTCTACTGGGTAGAGATCATTTGCATCTTATCTGTTTTCTCTAAGTTCAAAGACCCTGGGGCCTAATGAATAATATATAATACGTCAAACAAAGTTCCATTCTCTGAGAACAATGCCAAAGTTCCATTCTCCGAGAACAATGCCATCTAATAGAACTTCCTGCGGTAATGGAGATATTCTGTCTGTGCTATCCAATGAGGTCGCCACTAGCCACTGCAGCTGTCGAGCACGCAAGATGTGAGTGACACTGAGAAACTGAATTTTTTTAAAAAGTTTTTTTTTTTTTTGAAATGGAGTCTCACTCTGTTGCCCAGGCTGGAGTGCAGTGGTGCAATCTCCACTCACTGCAACCTCTGCCTCCCGGGTTCAAGCAATTCTCCTGCCTCAGCCTCCCTAGTAGCTGAAACTACAGGTGTGCACCACCACACCTGGCTAATTTTTGTATTTTTTAGTAGAGATGAGGTTTTACCATGTTGGCCAGGCTGGTCTCAACTCCTGACCTCAGGTGATCCACCAGCCTCAGCCTCCCAACGTGCTGGGATTACAGGTATGAGCCAACACACCTGGCAAAAAAAAATGTTTTAAGTAATTAAAAAAAAAATAGAAGTGGGAAGGCCGGGTGTGGTGGCTCACGCCTGTAATCCCAGCACTTTGGGAGGCCAAGGTGGGCGGATCACTCAAGGTCAGGAGTTTGAGACCAGCCTGGCCAACCTGGTGAAACCCCATCTCTACTAAAACTATAAAAATTAGCTGGGCGTGGTGGTGCATGCCTGTAATCCCAGCTACTTGGGAGGCTGAGGCAGGAGAATTGCTAGAACCTGGGACGTGGAGATTGTAATGAGCCGAGATTGCATCATTGCACTCTAACCTGGGCAACAAAGGCAAAACTCTGTCTCAAAAAAAAAAAAAAAGAGGTGGGTTCTCACCATGTTGGGATCTCGCCATGTTGCCCAGGCTGGTCTCGAGCTGATCACTCAAGTGATCCACCCACCTCAGCCTCCTAAAGGGCTGGGATTACAGGGGTGAGCCACAGCACCTGACCTATTTTAAGTAATTTTAGATTTATAGAAAATTTATAGACAGTACAGAGAGTTCCTATATACCCTTCACCCAGCTTCCCCTAAGTGGGAATTTGTTAAGTAACTGTGCACGTTTATAAAAACTAAGCGATTAACACTCATACAATATTAATCACTAAACTACCAACTGTCTGAATTTTCTCCATTTTTTTCACTAATGTCTGTTTTCTGGTCCAAGAGTCAGTCCAAGTTCCCACATTGTGCTTAGTGCTTGTATCTCCTTAGTCTTCAATCTGTGACCATTTCTTAGCCTTTCCTTGTTTTTCATGACCCTGACACTTTTGAAGAGTGCCAGTCAAGGATTTTGTGAATTGACCCTAGGTTGGGCTTGGCAGGTGTTTTCTCCTGATGGGACTGGGATGGTGGTTTTGGAAGATCACAGAGAAGTGAGGGAGGTACCTTCTCATTGTGTCATGTGAGGGGTGCGTGATACCCAAGCGTGGGCTCACTGGCCAGAGGTGGTGTCTGAGATGCATCTCCCCTGCCACCTTACCGTATTCCCTCTTGTGCTCTGTTCTTTAGAAGGGAGTCACCAAGTCCCACCCGCCTTCAAGATGAGGGAAGTTAAGCCCCACCTCCTGGAGGGAGGAATATCGAAGATTTGTGGACATATGTTAAAGCCACCACCATGGTTTGAAGGGAGATTCTTTGAGGCTATGCAGATTTCCTGTTTCTCCTTAAAGTTTCACCTGCTAACTTCAGCATTCTTCTGTGGATCCTGCCTGAGGCAGTTATTACTGTGGTGTTCTAATGATGATTTTCTATTTCCCTCATTCCTTCTATATTTATGATTTATTAATTAGAATTCTAGTTGGGCGCAGTGGCTCATTCCTGTAATTCCAGCACTTTGGGAGGCCGAGACAGGTGGATCACGAGGTCAGGAGATCGAGACCATCCTGGCTAACACGGTGAAACCCCGTCTCTACTAAAAATACAAAAAAATTAGCCGGGCGTGGTGGCGGGCGCCTGTAGTCCCAGCTATTCTGGAGGCTGAGGCAGTGGAATGGCGTGAACCCGGGAGGCAGAGGTTGCAGTGAGCCGAGATCGTGCCACTGCACTCCAGCCTGGGCGACAGAGCGAGACTCCGTCTCAAAAAAAAAAAAAAAAAAAAAAAAGAATTCTATAAGGAACATTTGAACCTTTTCCCTAATTTATTTATCTTGTCAACCATTTATTTTGTTGTTGTTTGTTGTTGTTGTTTTGAAACAAGGTCTCACTCTGTTGCCCAGGCTGGAGTATAGTGACGCCATCTTGGCTCACTGCAACCTCCACCTCCTAGGTTCAAGCAAGTGGTACCTCAGCCTCCCAAGTAGCTGGGATTACAGGCATGCACCACTACACTTGGCCAGTTTTTGTATTTTTTGTGGAGATGGGATTTCGCCATGTTGCCCAGCCTGGTCTCGAGCTCCTGACCTCAAGTGATGTTCCTGCCTCAGCCTCCCAAAGTGCTGGGATTACAGGTGTGAGACACCACGGCTGGCCCAACTATTTGTTTATATCAAAATGAACTTGTGGGTATTTACTTTATTCTTTGAAAGGACATAGGTCATCTTTTTGCCTTATTTCCCAGTTTTAGATAATTTTTCTAATATGTGTAAAGGTGTTCTGATGTAGGACAGTCAAAAAGAGAGATAGAAGTCCACCACACTGGATATTTTCTGGAAAGATCACCAAAACCTTGTCATTGGAAACTAGGATATCTGGGGGCTTAA
Source organism: Homo sapiens (assembly GCF_000001405.40). Classification (NCBI taxonomy): domain Eukaryota; kingdom Metazoa; phylum Chordata; class Mammalia; order Primates; family Hominidae; genus Homo; species Homo sapiens. The sequence goes on from NC_000012.12 coordinate 122,170,337, forward strand.
ATGCCTGCTACGGGGCCGGGCACGGTGGCTCACACCTGTAATCCCAGCACTTTGGGAGGCCAAGGCAGGCGGATCACAAGGTCAGGAGATCGAGACCATCCTGGCTAACACGGTGAAACCCCGTCTCTACTAAAAATACAAAAAATTAGCCGGGCGTGGTGGCGGGCGCCTGTAGTCCCAGCTACTTGGGAGGCTGAGGCAGGAGAATCGCTTGAACCTGGGAGGCGGAGCTTGCAGTGAGCCGAGATTGCACCACTGCACTCCAGCCTGGGTGACAGAGTGAGACTCTCCGAAGGAAAAAAAACAAAAAAGCCTGCTAGGGGCTGCAGTAGAAATACCTGTGAGAATAAAAATGAGAAGTCCAAGACTGAAGTGCGTGTCTCAGAGTCCTAACCACATCCCTCCTTACATATGGACTTGTGCAAACCACACCTCTTCGGTCCTCAGTTTCCCCCGAGATAAGATGAATATATAGGTGCTGGTAGACTCAAGATTAGTGGTTCTCAAACTTGAGGGTGTATTAGAATCCCCTGGAGGGCCCCATAAAGCCCAGATTTCTGTCTCCACCCACAGACCTTCCGATTCAGTAGGTCTGGGGTGAGACCCAATGATTGACATTTCTAAAATGTTGCCACGGGCTGCTGCTGCTGCTGCTGGGCCAGGGACCACGTTTTGAGTCCGGGTGATCTCTAAGAAGCCTTAACAGTTGTGGACTTAACATTGATTCAAATGACAAAATCTTTGGACCTGGCTAGGAAGAAGTCCCCTAGGCCCTGAAAACCCAGTGGGGAGTTGTGCAGAGGACACTGTAAGATTGCTGCATGCCGCGCCTGGCATTGACAGCCTGTGAGGCCCAACCACTGCCCGGGGAGGGTCAAAGCCTGAGTAAGGCAGAGAAGCTCAGGCTGGAAACTGGGCTCCACCCCTTAACAGCTGTGTGGCCTTGAGCAAGTGACTGACTGACTTCCTGCCTCAGTTTCCCTACCTATGAAAAGAGGATGGTGCTTAACATGACCTGGCATAAAGAAAATGCTCAATGAGTGTTTATTGCTGCTGAGGTCTTGCTTTGTCTCTGGAGTGAGTGGTGCTGTCCTAGCTCACTGCAGCCTCGAACTCCTGGGCTCAAGCAATCCTCCCACCTCAGCCTCCCAAGTAGCACACCACCATGTCTGGCTAATTTTTTTGTTTTGTTTTGGGTTGGTTTTTTTAGAGATGGGATCTTGCTATGTTGCCCAGGCTGGTCCGAAACTCTGGCCCCAAGCAGTCCTCCAGCCTTAGCTTCCCAAAGTGCTGGGATATCTGATCTGTGTTACAACCCTATGAGGCTGTGGCCATCACCATCGCCATTTCCAGACGAAACTAGCCACCGTGTACCACCAGGGTCATTATTTCTTTTCTCTTTCTTTTTTTTAAATAGAGATGGGGTCTCACTATGTTGCCCAGGCTGGTCTGGAACTCCTGGGCTCAAGTGATCCTCCTGCCTTTATCTCCCAAAGTGCTGGGATTGCAGGTGTGAGCCACAGTGCCTGGCTCAGGGTCATTATTTTTTATTGAGCCCGTCCAGTGGGAAGAAATGACAGTGGTAGAAGCGATACCTCTTTCTAGAGCATGTCCATCTGCCCTCTGCCACAACTCTACCCAGCTTGGAGTCCCATTTGCCAATGTCAAGCCCCTCACAAAATGTGTCACAGATTATGAGAAAAATTCAATATAATTTATTAAATAGATTCCGAGGGCTCCCCCAGGGAGCATTGACAACTCTTAGTACAATAAATATCAATAAATTAACATAGCTGCCACCTCCCACCCTCACGAGGGTATAATAAGTAAGACTTAAGCCTGCAGAAGAAAAGCATTCCATAAATACCAAGACTAATAACAATAACCTAATGTTTTTCAAGGTAATTCACAAATTCACATCTCAGCCCTCCCGGGACTAGCCCATATGAGGGGTCCCTGAGATTATTCATTGGAAAAATGTACTTAAGGAATCACGGCAGAGTTCCCACACTTAGCTGTCGGTCATCTTTTTAAGGCTCCTTAAGTTCCTGCCAATCCGAAAGGAAGAGATGGCCTTAAGTGGTGGCCTGTTGGGCTCCAGAGGTCAATGATTTTAGTGCGAGGTCCATGCACTCTGAAAACTGTTGAGAAATAGTCAGGATGAAGCGTTTACATTCATGGGTGTCTGTTGGCACAGAAATGTTTGTTTCTGGTGCATCTTGAAATATGAGTTTGTCGAGGTGCTCTATGATCTCATCAATAACAGATTTGTTGTCTAGCTGTCTGATTGTCTTGAGATATGCCCGGATGGCTGGGCTGTGGATGTTGTTTGGCGGCTGGGCGTCAGGGCTGAGACACGGCAGCGTGTAATTCTGGGACACGAGCACGCCCTTCTCTTCCTCCACCTGTGGAATGAGGAGAAATGGTCAGTGTTGGGTTTGCAATGACAGCTGCAAGTCTTAACAGTGAATGTTTGCATGCTTCCTCCGTAACCCGCCTCGTTGATATATTTATCTGATCAATGTCACAACCCTATGAGGCTGTGCCATCACCAACCCCATTTCCAGATGAAACTAGAGCTTAGGTGGCTGCAGTCCTGAAGCCTGTGCTCAGAACCACTGATCCATCCAGCTGAGGCCTCCCAGCCTTCCAGAACCCACTCTCACGTGCTCAGGGTGGTGGGAATTGCAGCACATCTGGCCTTCCATGGCAGCTCCCCGCCCTTTGGGACTCTGTGTTAAAGCCACGCACGCTCCACTTATAAAGGAGAGTGTTAGGCTTGTCCGGAAAGGCCTCCGAGATGCAGGCGAGAGTTTTCCCCAACAAACCAAGGAGTCCGGACCACTCCCTCCCTTCCTCTTTCTAAGTACTAACTAGAGTCAGACCAAATTGCCAGCAGCACCTCATCAACCTGAACTGCCCAGTCATCTTGGGTTGGTAACAACCTCTGCCTTTTATAAAAGCCAAGGCTAAGGTCTAAATACCAAGGCAGATGAGAAGAGTAATGCCAATTTTATGAATTGTTTCCAAGTTTGGGCATTTGTTTGTTTGATCAAAGCTATCTTGGCTGGGCACAGTGGCTCACGCCTGTAATCCCAGCACTTTGGGAGGCCAAGGCAGGCGGATCACTTGAGGTCAGGAGTTCAAGACCAGCCTGGCCAACGTGGAGAAACTCTGTCTCTACTAAAAATATGAAAATTAGCTGGGCGTGGTGGCGCATGCCTGTAGTCCCAGCTACTCGGGAGGCTGAGGCAGGAGAATCGCTTGAACCCAGGAAGCAGAGGTTGCAGTGAGCCAAGATTGCACCACTGCACTCCAGCCTGGGTGACAGAGTAAGACTCTGTCTCAAAAAAAAAAAAAAAGCCATCTTTGCCTGTCTAGTTTCCCCCATCCCTTCCTGGCATAGCTACAGCCCTGGTTTCAGGTCCGGAGAGAGGAGCCTCTTTGGAGGGCAATGGAAGGCATTTTTAAGAAATCGTTTAGAAAAGAAATCTCTAGGACACTCACATCTTTCAAAAGCATCTTCGAGAGGGACTGTAATTCCTCGACTATTTTCTGTACATCATCACTTGGTCGTAGTAAACGGACGGGCAACGTGTGGGAGGCCAGCCAGCCTCCCAGGCAGCAGAACAGAAAGAGCACAGACGTCGAGGGGCCTGGAGAGAGAACGATGCCGTGAGCGCATACATCACACACCCCTGCCCACCCTGGCTCCATCCCTGCAGCCCTGCTGAGCCAACCCTGGGGGTAGTGCTTCCAGAATCTTCCTGGTGAGATAAGATGATGCCCAAGACTCCGGAAGCACCAGGACCAGTGATACCTGAGTGAGAGGCCATGGCGAGAGAGAGCAAGGCCAGCTTCAGTGGGGGCTTCTGGAGCCAGATGTGTTCGCCATGGCTGCCTGGAGGTATATAAAGGGCCAGGGTGAGGAGAAAGAGCAGTCAGCGTCCCGCCCATGGCAAAACCATTTACTCAGCTTTTCTCCAGAAAACACTCAAAAGTTCTACTGGCCACGGCTGAGTGAAAGGGCTGAATGGAAATGCTGAGGTTACCCTCCAGGTGGGCAGATGCCTGACTCAGACACACACATACTTCACAAGAAGGCACATGAATGCATCTTTGCCATTCTTCTTGGAAGGAGCCTGTTGATTTGACTAGACAAAATTTTGAAGCCCAGGGTTGACAGACACGACCATACCACCAAGGAGCGGGTGACTTCCAGGAGTTCAAGGCCAGCGGCCACAGGGAATTTCTGGGGAGGAAATGCGAAGCCGGCATGAGATGTGCAGAATGCGGTATCTCTGGAAATTTCTGCAGCATATGCCCACGCCGGTGTGCAGGGACGGCCCCATAACTGCTGTGAATGTGGCGGGTCGAAGGCTTCATCTCAACTCCATGTGGCCTTGGACATCACTGGACTCTCCATCGTGCCTCTGCAATCTCAGGGCCCAGAACCAGAGACTGTGATCCAGAGTTATTGCTTGAAATCCTTGTTCATATCTTTTTTCTTTTTTTTTTTTTTGAGATGGAGTCTTGCTCTGTCACCCAGGCTGGAGTGCGGTGGCGTGATCACTGCAACCTCTGTCTCCTGGGCTCAAGCAATTCTCATGCCTCAGTCTCAGCCTCCCAAGTAGCTGGGACTACAGGCACGTGCCACCATGCCCAGCTAATTTTTGTATTTTTAGTAGAAATGGGGTTTCGCCATGTTGGTCAAGCTGGTCTCTAACTCCTGACCTCAGGTGATCTGCCTGCCTCGGCTTCCCAAAGTGCTGGAATTACAGGCATGAGCCACTGCGCCAGCCTAGAAACTTTATTGCTTTTCTTTCTTTCTTTCTTTCTTTCTTTTTTTTTGAGACAGAGTCTTGCTCTGTCGCCTGGGCTGGAGTGCAGTAGCGCAATCTCGGCTCACTGCAACCTCCACTTCCCAGGTTCAAGCAATTCTCTTGCCTCAGCCTCCTGAGTGGCTGGGATTACAGGCGCCCACCACCACGCACAGCTAATTTTTGTATTTTTAGTAGAGACGGGGTTCACTATGTTGGCCAGGCTGGTCTCAAACGCCTGACCTTGTGATCCACCTGCCTCCGCCTCTCAAAGTGCTGGGATTACAGGTGCGAGCCACCACTCTGGCCTTAGAAACTATTTCTAAGTTCATTAGCTTTCTTTTTCTTTCTTTTTTTTTTTTTTTGAGACAGGGTCTCATTCTGTCACCCAGGCCAGAGTGCAGTGGCATCATCACAACTCACGGCAGCCCCGATCCCCTGGGCTCAAGTGATCCTCCTACCTCAGCCTCCCAAATAGCTGGGACCACAGGCACAAATCACTATGCTAATTTTTTTTTTTCTTTTTTGAGACAGAGTTTCGCTCTTGTTGCCCAGGCTGGAGTGCAATAGCACGATCTCGGCTCACTGCAACCTCCGCCTCCTGGGTTCAAGCGATTCTCCTGCCTTAGCCTCCCGAGAAGCTGGGATTACAGGCACCCACCACCACGCCGGGCTAATTTTTGTATTTTTAGTAGAGACGGGGTTTCACCATGTTGGCCAGGCTGGCCTCTATCTCCTGACCTCAGGTGATCTGCCCGCCTCAGATTCCCAAACTGCTGGGATTATAGGCATGAGCGACTGCACCCGGCCTCCTTATTCATATTTTAGTGCCAGCTTTGATCAGGCCATTTTATAGGGTATCGGGAATAGCGGTGAAGAAGTTAGAGTTCCTGCCCTTGTGGGCCCGTCATTGCTGTGGGCTGCGGACAATAGCAACAACATTCATAAATAAGCTAGAAAGCACTGTGACGGTTGGAGAGTGACGGGCAGGATACTTTAAGTCAGGTGATCAGCAAAAGTCTCTCTGAGAGGTGACATTGAAGAAGAGACTGAAAGACAAGAAGGAGCCAGTTGTGGGAAGACCTGGGAGAAGAGTGTTCCAAGGCAACGGGACAGGAGTGCAAAATCCTCAGGTGAAAATGAGCTCGATGCTGTTCCTAGAACGGGAAGAGGGTCATGGCAGCCACAGTGACGCGAGAGGACAGGAGGGTAGTGGGGAGGTGGGCAGCGGCTCCATCACAGAGGCCTGAGGCTGGGACAAAGAGCCTGGGTTTTATTCCACATGTGACGAGGCAGTGCTGGGCGGCTTTCAGTAGGGAAACATAAGATCAGATGCACTTTATTTTTTTCTTTTCTTAATTGTTTTGTCTTTTGTTTTGTTTTTTTTTTTGGAGAGAAGATCTCAAGCGATCCTCCCACCTTGGCTTCCCAAAGTTCTGGGATTACAGGCATGAGTCACCATGCCTAGCCCTGATGAACTTTATTTATTAGTAGTAGTAGCATTTTTTTTTTTCTTAAGACAGAGTCTCACTTTGTCGCACAGGCAGGAGTGAAGTGGCGCAATCTCAGCTCACTGCAACCTCCACCTCCCCTGTTCAAGCAATTCTCGTGCCTCAGCCTCCTGAGTAGCTGGGATCACAGGCATGTACCACCATGCCTGGCTAATTCTTGTATTTTTAGTAGAGATGGAGTTTCACCATGTTGGGATGAGGTCAGTCTGGGCAGCCCACAGAACTCAAGGTGCACAGAGGGGACACAGCCAGGAAGCCCTCCCACCCATCATCCCAAGTCCCCCTGCCGCCAGCCACCACTGACTTTTTCTTTACTTCCCAAACTGCCACAATATGGCTTTCACCACCCCACTAATGTAATCAATATCCTCTAGCAGAGTCCATGGTAGGCATGACCTTCATCCACAGGTGTTTACTGCCATAATTATGTTGCATTGCATGGCAAAAGGGGTTTTGTGGATGTAGTCATGATTACTATTCAGTTTACCTAAAATAGAGAGATTTTCCTGCATTCCCTGGGCCTCCCCAATGCAATCCCATGAGCCCATAAAGCAGAAGAGGAAGTCAGAGAGATTACGAGCAAGAGAAGGGCTCACCTGCTGTTGCTGGCTTGAAGATGGTGGGGGGCAGCGTGGAAAGCACGAGAAGGAAATAATTTGGTCAATAACCACTGAGCTTGGAAGAGGATGCTGAGACCTAGATGAGAACCCTAGCCAGCCAGCACCTTTATTTCAGCTCAGTGAGTTCCTGAGCAAAGAATCTATCCATGGCATGCTAGACTTTGACCTACAAACTCTATGAGAGAGAAAGTGTGTGTGTGTGTGTGTGTGTGTGTGTGTGTGTGTGTGTGTTTAATAGAAAGGATCTTGCTCTCTCACCCAGGCTGGAGTGAAGTGGTGTGATCACGGCTCACTGCAGCCTTGACCTCCCAGACTCAAGCAGCCCTCTTACCCCAGCCTCCCAAGTAGTTGGGACTGTAGGCCTGCACCACCATGCCTGGCTAATTTTTCTATTTTTTGTAGCGATGGGATCTCACCATGTTGCCCAGGTTGGTGTTGAACTCCTGGGCTCAAGCAGTCCTGCCTCACCTTCCCAAAGTGCTGGGATCACAGGCGTGAGCCACTGCGCCTGGCCACCTTTGTGGTTTTATTTATTTATTTATTTATTTATTTATTTATTTATTATTTTGAGATGGAGTGTGGCTCTGTTGCCCAGGATGGAGTGCAGTGGCATGATCTTGGCTCACTGCAACCTCTGCCTCCTGGGTTCAAGAGATTCTCCTGTCTCAGCCTCCCAAGTAACTGGGATTACAGGTACGTGCCACCATGCCTGGTTAATTTTTGTATTTTTTGTAGAGACAGGGTTTTGCCATGTTGTCCAGGCTGGTCTTGAACTCCTGACCTCAAGTGATCCACCCACCTTGGCCTCCCAAGGTGCTAGGATTACAAGTGGGAGCCACCACGCCTGGCTGCATTTGTGGTTTTAAACTGCTGTTTGTGATATTTGTTATGGCAGCAATAGAGAACTAATACAGTACCCAGAGACCACATGTCAGCCTTACTGGGGTTTCAGCCTTCATTTTACATGACCCCTCTATAGCATGAAACATTGCCAACCACTTCCACCTTCTTGACAACCTCTCGTAACAACCTCTCCTGTAACAACGTCATCCTGATCCCTTTTGCCCCTCTCCCTAGCTCCACGGTGTCCACCCGTGATCTGGATTCCTCACACTTTACTGTCTGTCTCCTTCACACTCCAGACCTAAATGTCCACCTGAATGTCCCAGTGATACCTCAAAATCAACATGCCCAAAGGTGAGGGTGAGAAGAGGGTAATAGTGATAGTGGAGATGAAGAGGTGTGGATGGGTTGTAGAAATGTTTAGGAGGAAAAATACGTAAGAGGTGGCTTTCTTTTTTTTTTTTTTTTTTTTTTTTTTTGAGACATTGTCTTGCTCTGTCACCTGGCCTGGAGTGCAGTGGCATGATCTCGGCTCACCACAACCTCTGCCTCCCGGGTTCAAGCGATTGTCCTGCCTCAGCCTCTTGAGTAGCCGGGATTACAGGCGTGAGCCACCACTCTTGGCGTTTTTTTGTTTGTTTGTTTTTCTTGTATTTTTAGTAGAGATGGGGTTTTTTCATGTTGGCCAGGCTGGTCTTGAACTCCTGACCTTGTGATCCACCTGCCTCGGCCTCCCAAGGTGCTGGGATTATAGGCGTGAGCCATGGTGCCTGGCCAGGGTGGTGTTTGATTGGATATGGGGATGGTGGAGAGGGAAGAGTTGAGGACAACCTCTGGGTTTCTGGTTTGAGCAACTGGATAAATGATATTGGTACAAACGAAGAGGATCACAGGCCTCAGGCCTTTGGGGCTCGGGTGAGGTGATGAATTCTGGCTCTTTGCTTGTTGGTTGGCTGGTTTGGTTTGGTTTTCTTTTCTTTAAGAGGCAAGGTCTCAGTCTGTCACCTAGGCTAGAGTGCAGTGGTGTGATCACAGCTCACTGCAGCCTCAAACTCCCAGGCTCAAGAGATCCTTCCGCCTCAGCCTCCTGAGTAGCTGGGGTTATAGGCACACGGCATACCACCAGGCCTGGCTAACTTTTTAATTTTAACTTTTTGTAGAAATAAGATCCTCCTCTATTGCCTAGGCTGGTCTTAAACTCCGGGGCTCAAGCAATCCACTCACCTTGGCCTCCCAAAGTGCTGCGACTGTAGGTGCAAGCCACGTGCCCGGCCTGATTCAGCTTTTGACACAGTGAATGGGAAGTGTTATGGATGCTCAGCTGAAGACACACAGTAGGCTGTTGGACGTGTGGATCTGAAGCGTGTAGGAAGGAACTACAGATGTAAATGTGGGTGCCATCAAGGTATTGTGGCAGATAAAACTGTAAGCCAGTAAGAGATGAGCAGTGTGAGGTGTGGAAGTCGTGTGGAGCCCTGGGACATGCTTCCATTAACAGGACAAGGAGAAGATGATGATTTAATCTAGAACATGGAGAAGGCACTCTCAAGAGAAAAAGAAGGCTGGGTGCGGTGGCTCACACCTGTAATCCCAGCACTTTGGGAGGCCGAGGCGGGCGGATCACGAGGTCAAAAGGTCGAGACCATCCTGGCCAACATGGTGAAACCCTGTCTACTAAAAATACAAAAAAATTAGCTGGGTGTGGTGGCGCGTGTCTGTAGTCCCAGCTACTCAGGAGGCTGAGGCAGGAGAATTGCTTGAACCCAGAAGGTGGAGGTTGCGGTGAGCCGAGATTGCGCCACTGAACTCCAGCCTCGTGACAGAGTGAGACTCCGTCTCAAAAAAAAAAAAAAAAAAAGAGAGAGAGAAAGAAAAGTAACACCAGAAATACATGTTGTCATGGAATAAGATGAAAAGCAGTTTTTCAAGGAGGAAATGGTTGGCATCATCAAAAGCCATGAAGAGGTCAAATAAGATAAAGGCTGAGGAGATTCACTAGATTGGGCAACATGAGGTCACAGAAACTTTGCTGGGAGAGTTTGAATAAATTTTTGGTGTGGCAGTTATATTGTGGTGGTTTGGGAAGTGAGGAAAAAGTGAGCATAGGCCAGGGGCGAGTGGCTCACACCTGTAATCCCAGCACTTTGGGAGGCCAAGGCAGGTGGATCACTTGAGGTCAGGAGTTCGAGACCAGCCTGACCAGCATGGAGAAACCCTGTCTCTACTAAAAATACAAAAACTAGCTGGGCATGGTGGCGGGAGCCTGCAATCCCAGCTACTCAGAAGGCTGAGGCAGGAGAATTGCTTGAACCCAGGAGGCGGAGGTTGCAGTGAGCCAAGATTGCGCCACTGCACTCCAGCCTGGGCAACAGAGCAAAACTCCGTCTCAAAAGAAAAGAAAAAAAGAAAAAGTGAGTATAGACCACTGTGTCAAGAAGCTTGGATGAGAAGGAAGAGAAAAGAGACAGTGTTGGCTGCAGGGGGACTTGGGATGAAGGGTGGAAGGGCTTCCTGGCTGGGCCTCTTCTGTGTATCTTGGGCTCTGTGGTCTGCCCAGACCTGACCTCATTCCTGAGCTCTTACTCCTAACCAATGGCTGATTTGACACAGTAGACGCCCATTGGCATCTGGACCTTAACTTGTTCCAAACAGGATGCTTGATTTCCCCTCTCAGTCTTCTCTTCCTTCACTGCACATTGTCCATCTGTTGCTCCATCAAAATTGCAGGAGCCATATCTGTGATTCATCTCCTTGATTTATTTATATCACTATGGACTCATAGATATTTATTTTATTCTTTGAGAGCCAGGCATGGTGGCTCACGCCTGTGATCTCAGCACTTTGGGAGGCTGAGGTGGGTGGATCACTTGAGGTCAGGAATTCGAGACCAGCCTGGGCAACATGGCGAAACCCCATCTGTACTAAAAATACAAAAAAATTAGCCAGGCATGGTGATGCATGCCTGTAGTCCCAGCCACTCAGGAGGCTGAGGTGGGAGGACCGCTTCAGTTCAGGAGGTCCAGGCTTCAGTGACCTGTGATCACGCTACTGCACAGTAGCCTGGATAACAAAGGGAGACCCTGCCTCAAAAAAAAAAAAGGATATTTTCTTCTTTGAAAGGACATATGGTTGGCTGGGCCCGGTGGCTCATGCATGTAATCCCAGCACTTTGAGAGGCTGAGGTGGGCGGATGACGAGGTCAGGAGATCGAGACCATCCTGACTAACACGGTGAAACCCCGTCTCTACTAAAAATACAAAAAATTAGCCGGGCTTGGTGGCGGGCGCCTGTAGTCCCAGCTACTCAGGAGGCTGAGGCAGGAGAATGGCGTGAACCTGGCAGGCGGAGCTTGCAGTGAGCCGAGATTGCACCACTGCACTCCAGCCTGGACGGCAGAGGGAGACTCCGTCTCAAAAAAAAAAAAAGGAAAAGAAAGGACATATGGTCATCTTTTTGCCTTAACTCCCAGTTTTGGATAAATTTTTTTTTTTTTTTGAGACAGTCTCACTCTGTTGCCCAGGCTGGAGTGCAGTGATGTGATCTCGGCTCACTGCAACCTCCGCCTCCTGGGTTCAAGCAATTCTCCTGCCTCAGCCTCCGAAGTAGCTGGGACTATAGGCATGTGTCACCACGCCTGGCTAATTTTTGTATTTTTAGTAGAGACGGGGTTTCACCATGTTGATCAGGCTGGTCTCGAACTCCTGACCTCAGGTGATCCACCCACCTCAGCCTCCCAAAGTGCTGGGTTTACAGGGGTGAGCCATCGCGCCCAGCCTAATTTTTCTAATAACAGTAAAGTTGTCCCGATATCGTATAGTCAAAAAGAATGAGAGATGTTAATGTGTTCCTCCAAAATTCATTTGTCAGAACCTGATGCCCAGTGTGATAGTATTAAAACGTGGGGCCCTTTGGGAAGTGATTAAGTTTGGGGGCTCCTCAGGAATGGGATCAATGTCCTTATAAAAGAAGCTTCATGGCTGGGCGTGGTGGCTCACGCCTGTAATCCCAACACTTTGGGAGGCTGAGGCCAGTGGATTGCCTGAGCCCAGGAGTTTGAGACCAACCTGGGCAACATGGTGAAACTCCATCTCTACTAAAATACAAAAAATTAGGCTGGGTGCGGTGGCTCACGTATGTAATCCCAGCACTTGGGGAGACCGAGGTGGGTGGATCACCTGAGGTCAGGAGTTCGAGACCAGCCTGGCCAACATGGTGAAACCCCGTCTCTACTAAAAATACACATTAGCGGGGCGTTGTGGCAGGCGGTTGTAATCCCAGCTACTCGGGAGGCTGAGGCAGGAGAATCGGTTGAATCTGGGAGGCGGAGGTTGCAGTGAGCCGAGATCGCGCCATTGCACTCCAGCCTGGACAACAAGAGTGAAACTCGGTCTCAAAAAAAAAAAAAAAAAAAAAAAAGCCGGAAGTGGTCATGCGCGCCTGTAATCCCAGCTACTCGGGAGGCTGAGGCAGGAGAATCGCTTGAACCCGGGACACGGAGATTGCGGTGAGCTGAGATCTCGCCACTGGACTCCAGCCTGGGCGACAGAGCGAGACTCTGTCTCAATAAAATAAAATAAATAAAAAATTTAAAAAATGAGGTCTGGGTGATTAAACAGTTATACAGGTGGACAGTGATAAAATCCCTGACTCCAGGGTTAGAGAGACCACCCTGGAACCCACTGGCTGGTTGGAGTCGAGATGTTTGACCTTGGGCCCTCTTCTCCTTTCTCCATCTGTCAGATGGGTATAGGATGACTTTCCGTGGGGAGTGCTTGACAGGAGCTAAGAAACAGGTCAGCTATGGCGCTTACTGCCTGCGGGAGCTGCCGCACTTAGAACCACCAGCTGTTATCCCATTTTTATAGATGAGGGCAGAAGAGAAAACGCAGGTGGTTGGGGCCAGGCTGTCTGATCCGGATGGGGGACTTTTCCCTCGGGGCAGGTGAGAGCGCCTGGAGAGGCCCCTGCCCCCGCGCACGCGTCCTAGCGGTTGCCGGGCAACGCGGCCCGGGCCATGGAGGCGTCGTACGAGTCCGAGTCCGAGTCCGAGTCTGAGGCCGGGCCTGGGACTCAGCGGCCCGGGACCGGGACCGTGAGCGCGGCCGTGCGCGAGCACTTGCGGAAGCTGTGTCTGCGCGAGTTCCCGTGCGGTGCCGGCAGCTGGGTGCGGGCGCCGGGGCCGGAACTCTGGGGGCCTGGACCGGCTGCGGGGAGGCACGGGCCCGGGCGAGCGGAGCGGGCTGGTCCCTGGGGCCTGGGATCTGCGCATTCTGGGGGCCGCCGACATGGGGGCGGGTGGGGCTTGAGGGTGACGGTGGGGCCCGAGTCGCGGGCACTGCGCGGGGAGGAGAGCGGGGCCCGTCCTGAGCACATCAGCTGACCTGGGCTGGGGCCTCTCCCTGACTTGAAGACGTCAACACCCCAGATTTCTAGTGGGCAGGCTCCTTTTGGGGTGAAAAGCTTTTGTTTTGGGCAAAGAGTTCCACAACTTTTCCCAGCCTCCGAGCATTTAATAAGAGCCTGAGGCAGTGTGAGAGGTGGCTCAGCCTGAAGCCTGCGACCTTGAGTCCAGGAGAAGGGGTTACCCCCCATCCTGCCTCCCTGTCTCCAGAGTCCTAGACCCTTCCCTCCCGTGGCTTCAACCACGAGGGGCGCCCAGGTGTGGCCCAGGAAGGCTTACTGCCCAGGCTGGAGCATAGTGACGCGATGTCGACTTACTGCAACCTCCGCCTCCCAAGTAGCAGGGATTACAGGCACCTGCCACCATGCCCGGCTAATTATTGTATTTTTAGTAGAGACAGGATTTCACCATGTTGCCCAGGCTGGTCTCAAACTCCTGACCTCAAGTGATCCACCTGCCTTTTTAAAAGGAATGGCACCTTTTAATTATTTTGTATCTCACCTCATCTGTAGTTATATCCATGGCTAATAATCCATCAAAATTATTGATTATTCACTGTCTAGATTTTTTTTTTTTTTTTTGAGACGGAGTCTCGCTCTGTCACCCAGCCTGGAGTGCAGTGGCGTGATCTCGGCTCACTGCAACCTCCGCCTCCCGGGTTCAAACGATTCTCCTGCCTTAGCCTCCCGAGTAGCTGAGACTACAGTTGCGTGCCACCACGCCCGGCTAATTTTTTGTATTTTTAGTCGAGACGGGGTTTCACCGTGTTAGCCAGGATGGCCTCGATCTCTTGACCTCATGATCCGCCTGCCTCAGCCTCCCAAAGTGCTGGGATTACAGGCATGAGCCACCGCACCTGGCCTACTCTCTAGATTTCTAAACTCTATCCCTAATCGTCCAGTTTTATGATCTGTTCTGTTTTGAGAGTTTGGTGTCCTTAAGGGGGCTGTGTCACACCTACAGAAAATCCCTCCTCTGCCACTGCAGAATAAGTCGCGCTTTCTTCCTCAAACTTGGCGAACTTGGAGGGAGCTTGTCCCCAGAGAGGAGGATGTGGTGAGCCCCGGAGAGGAGACGGTGGAGGCCCTGCTGGGCCTGGTCCGCAGCCGCCACTCCCCCTGGGCTCTGCTGAACAACTCGAATGCAGAAGACAGTTTCCTGAGAGAATTGGCCATCCGGAACCCGCTGACGATCACAGACACCTTCTTCTACTCCTACTTCCGGTCCCTGCGGGTAATAGACAAGAAGGTCAGTGCTGGGCACGTGGTAGGTGATGTTAGGGTGGCCGCTCCCCTAAGGGAGGTTGTGGGGAGGGCACCCTTCCCCACAGCGCGTCAGGGATCCTGCTTTCAGGGCTGAAACGAAGGCCAGCCTGCCCTCCATCTGCTTCATCTCCCTGGCTTGTGTGCCAGGCAGGGCCGGCTACTCGGTCAGCCTTGCGTTTCTTCTTCCTTTACCCCTGGAAGCCATCATGGCACAGCTTCCACCCCTGAGTTCTGCAGTGGACCCTCCTGGGTCCTAGTAAAGGTTTTTTGAAGGGTCTGTGTTAGTTTTACTTCGTTTAAACCGTGGGGGTCAGGGTAGGGGAAGGTTGGTGTAGTTCTATTTTAATTTGTTACCAAAAAGCATTCTTTGTTTACATCAGTAGCAGAGCCCAGTCTCGGCATGGTGGCTCTCTGGTGCTTGTAATCTCAGCACTTTGGGAGGCTGAGGCAGGAGGATCGTGTGAGTCTAGGTGTTAGAGGCCCAGCCTGGGCAACATAGTGGGATCCCACCTCTGTAACATCTTTAAATTTAGCCAGGTATGGTGGTGCACGCCTGTAGCCCCAGCTACTCAGAGGCTTAGGCAGGAGAATCACTTGAGGTGGGGAGGTAGAGGCTGCAGTGATCATGATCGCACCGCTGCACTCCAGCCTGGGTGACAGAATGAGACCCTGTCTCAATCAATTAAGCAAGCAAGCAAACAAGAGTGAGACTCTGTCTCAATAAATAAATAAAGCCAGCAAGCCAGCCCAAAAATTGCCTGGAAACTTGGTCTCAGCCTTCCCAACCCTTGGCTTTCTTTTTCCAGAGCCACTGGGAAGTGACACGGCACTAGGGGACAAATAGGGTGACTGACTGGTAGCAGTTTGCCAGGGACTTTCAGTTTCAGTGCAGAAGGTTTCGTGTCCTGGACAGACTGGCACAGTTGGTGGCCCTGGAGAAGCGAGGCCCCGCTGGGAAGGGCCCTGATGTCTTTGAGGTCACAGGAACTGAGGAGTCACGGATGGGTCACTGCAGCTTCTGGTCGGACCCTGCTCTGGGTGATTCCTGGACACCTTGACTGACTTCAGTGCCCAGAGTTCACTGTGGCTCTGGGGTAGACAGAAAGGAGAGAGGTTCCTGCCCTCGCAGGTGGCTTATGGTCCAACAAAGGACACAGGTCATTGGCCTAGAAATCATGCACCACCTATGGTCAGAGGAAGGATGGAGGTTGGGAGAGGCTCTTGGATCCTGGCAGAGCGATGCAGTGCAGGAACGGCTTCCGGGGAGCAGGGGGTGGGAAGGGAGGGGAAGTAACTCTGATGGAGGAGCCGCTGTCTTCCTAATGTGGACATGGGTTCTGTGCCCGTGCTCCCTCTCCTGCTACAGCCCTCAGCTTCCTCTCCCCTCTTCCAGGTCACCCTGGTGGATAAAGACCTCCTGAAATTTCTAAAGCTGGAGGAGTTGGTACTGAGCGCCAATCGAATCAAGGAGGTGGATGCCACCAATCTGCCCCCCACACTCAAGGTGAAGGAGCCCCGGTCTGTGTTGAGTATTTGGGCCTCCGCTGCCCAGAGGCCTTGCCTTACCCTGCCCCACATAGTGTGGCCAGCATGGGTGGAGGGTAAGGCCCAGCTCCAGGCTTTTAAAATGTAGGTCACTTTCCTAGAAAAGTTCAACATAGAATAACCATATGACCCAGTGCTTCCATTCCTAGGTGTATCCATGAAGGAACTGAAGACAGGGATTTAGCCAGATTCTTGTACTCCAGAGTTCAGAGCTGCGTTACTCACAATAGCAGAAGGGTGGACACAACTCAAGGGTCTATAAACAGATGAATGGATAAACAAAAAAATGTGGACAGGCCAGGCGCGGTGGCTCACACCTGTAATCCCAGCACTTTGGGAGGCCGAGGCAGGTGGATCACCTGAGGTCAGGAGTTTGAGACCAGCCTGGCCAACATGGCGAAACCCCATCTCTACTAAAAATACAAAAATTAGCCGGGTGTGGTGGCATGCGCCTGTAGTCCCAGCTGCTTGGGAGGCTGAGACAGGAGAATTGCTTGAACCCAGGAGGCAAGGGTTGCAGTGAGCCGAGACTGTGCCACTGCACTCCAGTCTGGGCGACAGAGTGACTCCATCTCAAAGTGGTCTATCCATTCAATAGAATGCTATTCACTCATAGAAAGGAATGAAGTAGGCCTGAATCCCAGCACTCTGGGAGGCTGAGGTGGGCAGATTGCCTGTTCTCAGGAATTCAAAACCAGCCTGGGCAACATAGGAATATCCCCTCTACAAAAATACAAAAATTAGCCAGGCGTCGTGGCTGGTGCCTGTAATAGCAGCTACTCAGGAGGCTGAGGCAGGAGAATCGCTTGAACCCAGGAGGCGGAGGTTGCAGTGAGCCAAGATTGTGCCACTGCACTCCAGCCTGGGCAACAGAGCGAGACTCCACCTCAAAATAATAATAAATAAACAATAAATAAATAAAAATTAAAAAAACCCAAACCAACAAGCAAACAACAACAAAAAAAGGTGGGTGAGGCCGTGGATAAGAACTACAAGCAAGGAAGGTTAGCTTTGGATTTATTCCTTATCCATCTAGGAGCCCTTTTGGCCTCCCAGAGACGCATTCCTATGGGTTGAGAAGGTGCCAGATGTTATGCAGCTCCCCCACTGCCAATCCAGCATCACCCCCCATTCCAGATGTTGAAGTGTCTTTCACAAAAGGAAAAGAAACTTCCCAAGACCTGCTGCAGGAATCTTTTCTTCCTGGGTTTTTAAAAGGGAGTCGGGGTGGTGCCAGGGAGGCCAGGTGTGAGTAGTTTGTGATTCCTCTACTAAGTTTTGCGGGACAGAGGGGAGGGGCCTGATCCTCAGCGCTGACTTGGGGCCCCATCGTCCCGGGCCTTCCGTGTGGTCTCCCAGGTGCTGGAGCTCTACGGCAATGAGATCAGCAGCATGGAGTGTCTGTGTGCCCACCCACCCGCCGGCCTGCAGCACTTGGGGTTAGGCCACAACAAACTTCTAGGCCCCTTGGAAAGTCTCTACGTCACCGCTAATCACTGGTAACTCGGGAGCCCAGATGGAAAGTGAGAGGGAGGGATTAAGTATCAGGTTGGGGCGATTCTACCCCAGTGGCTTGAGAACTCAGCTTTGGTCTTTTTTGTAACTCCCAGTTGGCTGCTAAATCCAGACTTATGGTTTATTTCTCTGAATCCCCCTTCAGTGGGATTTTGTAAACAAAAAGCCCGGGGAAGGAGAACAAGAGGTAGTAGGTGTGAGTCAGAGCCTTTGCTTTGGTGCCGTATTTTAATTTTTTAATTTTTTTATCTTATTTTTTTATTTTTTTGAGACAGCATCTCGCTTTGTCGCCCAGGCTGGAGCGCATTGGCGCCATCTCTGCTCATTGCAAGCTCCGCCTGCCGGGTTCACGCCATTCTCCTGCCTCAGCCTCCCGAGTAGCTGGGACTACAGGCACCCGCCACCATGCCCGGCTAATTATTTTGTATTTTTAGTAGAGACGGGGTTTCACTGTGTTAGCCAGGATGGTCTCCATCTCCTGACCTCGTGATCCGCCCGTCTCGGCCTCCCAAAGTGCTGGGATTACAGGCGTGAGCCACTGTGCCCGGCCTAATTTTTTTATTTTAATTTTTTTATTTTAATTTTTTATTTTAATTTTTTTTTGAGATGGAGTTTCACTCTGTTGCCCAGGCTAGAGTGCTGTGCGTGATCTCGGCTCACTGCAACCTCCACCTCCCAGGGTCAAGCAATTCTCCTGCCTCAGCCTCCCAAGTAGCGGGTATTACAGGCACCCACCACCACACCTGGCTAATTTTTGTATTTTTAGTAGAGACGGGGTTTCACCATGTTGGCCAGGATGGTCTCGAACTCCTGACCTCAAGTGATCCACTTACTTTGGCCTCCCAAAGTGCTGGGATTACAGGCGTGAGCCACCGCACTTGGCCTGGTGCCGTATTTTAGAGGAGGGTTGCTCACCTTGGGCTCGTTGGCATCGGAACCCCATCACCCTTTGATGTGGGGCTGTCCTGGGCATGGTGGGATATTGAGCAGCATACCTGGCCTGCACCCGCAGATGCCAGGAGCACTTCCCCATTAGTTGTGACAAACAAAAATGTCTCCAGACAGTTTTTGTCTGAGCCTGATGTCCCCTGAGCAGCAAAATCCCCCCAAGCTGAGAACCACCACCCTGGAACCAAGCCCTAGCGCCAGCCGCTCCATCGCTATTGAAGGTTCAGGCTCATTAGGAGCCTGCAGATGGTTCAGCTCCCAGTTGATATTCAACTTGATCTCCTCAGTGGGTGAGCGGTAGAAAACTTAACATCCTGGACCTGAGGGGTAGGAGGGGATCAGAGACCACCCAGAAAAAGCCATCAAAGGAAGCTGGGAGAGGAAGGCTTTGCAAAACATGCTGTGAGAAGTCCCAGGACTTCAGCAGCCCAGCAAGGATGGAAGGGGTAGAACCACCTCCCCTCTCTCCTTCCCCCGAGGAACCTGGAGGGCATGCCCTTGGGGGGTCCAACCCTCTACATGCCTGGAGCGGGCGGACGCAGCAGGGAAGGGAAGCCCCCTCTCTGACCCTGGTTTCCTCTTCCTCCCCTTCTCTTCTGCTCTTAGGGGAAGAGTGAGGCTGGGATTGGGAGATGCTGTGCTGACAGCGGCCGCTTGTGTTTTTCTTCTGTTCTCAGAGCCGAGATCAATTTGCTTTCTAGTTTGTGGCAGCAGGAAAGTCACCCTGCCCCTGCCCTGTGTCTTGGTCTGGCCACAGGCCTTGGCCCGTGCTCTTTGCAGGCCCCTCCCAGGCCCCTTTCCTCCTGGGGTCCCGCCCCAGTCTGGCTTTGAGAAGCCATCTCCTGCTTCTAGACCGCCCAGCCCTCCAGCCTCTGGCTCCCTCCTCCCACTCCCCAGCATCAACCCCACTCCTGCCCTGTCCACTCCTGCCCTGTCCACAACTCCCCCACGGTGGCTGTCCCCTGCTGTGCCGTCCAGTCTGCCTGTACTATTTGTGCAGAGCCTCCTAGACGCACGCAGTGCGCGAGGCTCTGTGGAAGCTACTGAGAGGTTTGGCCAAGAAGAGAGGAGCCCCGTGAAGGGAGGTCGGTGGGGGCGTCTCTGTGACTCCAACTGTGAGGGTGGCAGTGCTACGGAGAGTGGAGATGAAGAGCCAGGCACTCGTTCCCGACCCGGGGTTAACTTGGGTCAAGGGTAGGACAGGGGTGCAGGCCGTGGATGGGCAGAATCCTTAGCCCCAGGCTCCCCGTCCGTTTTGGCCACAGGCTGCTTGCCCCCTGCTCACCTGGCTTCTTGACCCCCAGACGGTCCTGCTCACCTTCCAGGCCCAACCTCGTCTCCCTGGACCTGGGCTTCAACGACCTGACAGACCTGCAGAGCATGGTCACCAGCCTGAGGACCCTCCGGCACCTGCGACTCCTGGTGCTGCAGGGAAACCCACTGGCCTTGGTGCCCTACTACCGCGGCCTCACCATCGACAGCCTGGCCCAGCTCTGCGTGCTGGACGACATCACCGTGTCTCCCAATGAGAAGCATCTCTTCCGGGGGCTCAGCCTCAATGGCGGTGAGGGTACTGGCATGCAGGGAGGGGGTGGCATGTGACACCCCAGCCTGCGCCTGGCTGTGCCCCGCCCTCCTGGGTCCGTGTACCCGTCTGTCCTGCAACTCCCCATTTGACCCAGACCCTATTCAGGTATAGCCTCTCTTCTGGGTCAGAGCTTTCCACCAGGCTTTGATTCCTGTGATTGGGATTTGGAGACAGAAGTGATAGGGGGAGGCCGGGCGCGGTGGCTAACGCCTGTAATCCCAGCATTTTGGGAGGCTGAAGCAGACAGATCGCTTGAAGTCAGGAGTTTGAGACCAGCCTGGCCAACATGGTGAAACCTCGTCTGTACTAAAAATACAAAAATTAGCCAGGCATGGTGGCAAGTGCCTGTAATCCCAGCTACTCAGGAGGCTGAGGCACGAGAATCTTTTGAACCCGGGAGGTGGAGGCTGCAGTGAGCCGAGATGACACCAGTGTACTCTAGCCTAGGTGACAGAGCAAGACAAAAAAAAAAAAGGTGGTGTGGGAGGATCACTTGAGCCCAGGAGGTGGAGGCTGCAGTGAGCTATCATCTCACCACTGCACTCTAGCCTGGCGACAGAGCGAGACCCCGTCTCTAAAAAAAATAAAAAGTCAAAACAACCTGTGGGGACTTGGGACAGTTATTTCAATCAGCTTCTTCACCTCCCTGGTGGCTTGAGATCACCCCCTTGTGGTTCATGCCGCAAGGTGCACCGGAGGCTTCTCCAGGTCACTGTGACGTGCTAGATAATGCTAAGGTGACCTGCAGAGTAGCCCTTATCACTCCCATATACAGATCAGGAAAACAAGGCTGAAGAGGGGTATAATGACACCTGGATCACTCCAGGCCAGCTTGCCAGAGCTGTGACATGAACCTGACCGCCCCACCAAGGCTCAGCCCTGAGTGCTGGAGAGAATCTAGGGACCCGTGCCTTCCCAGCCCTCTTGCTTTCTATCTGCCAACTTCCATTCCATGGGCCCCCCTGTCCTGCCCATTCCTCCCTGCAGATCTCTTGGCACAGGAGGCGCAGTTTGTGGTGACCATCGGAAACATCAGAGGAGTCCTGGACACCTCTGTCTTAGACCCGGAACCCAGGCCCGAAGGCCCTTTCATCACTTACAACTATTACGTGACCTATGATTTTGTGAAAGATGAAGAAGGCGAAATGAATGAGTCCGCGGGCGTCCTGGCCGAGGTGTGCCCTGGTCTGTCCCTAGGAGTATGGGGGGCTCTTGTGAAGGCTGAACTGCTTTGTGGGCCCCAGGAAAATCCTTTTAATTAATTAATTAATTTATTTATTGAGGAGGAGTCTCGCTCTGTCACCCAGGCTGGAGTGCGATGGCGTAATCTCAGCTCACTGTAACCTCTGCCTCCTGGGTTCAAGCAATTCTCCTGCCTCAGATCCCCAGTAGCTGGAATTACAGGTCCCCACCACTAGGCCCAGCTAATTTTTGTATTTTTAGTAGAGATGAGATTTCACCTTGTTGACCAGGCTGGTCTGGAACTCCTGAGCTCAAGTGATCCTCGGCCTCCCAAAGTGCTGGGATTACAGGTGTGAGCCACCGCGCTGGCCAAGAAAGATTCTTAATGTGGAATCTGGTGATTCATGCAAGGACCTGGCTTCAGCTCAGCCTCTTTCTTGCAGCTAGAGCAATTTTCAACCATGCACACTCCCCTTGCCCCCTTAAAATCTGAGCCTAACAAGAGAGCCACCCGGCATTTCATAAGTCAGCCCCTTGTTCCCAGCCCCATTCTGCAATTTATTTCTTTTTTGTGTGTGTGTGTGATGGAGTCTCGCTCTGTCGCTCAGGCTGGAGTGCAGTGGCGCAATCTCGGCTGACTGCAACCTCTGCCTCTGGGTTCAAGTGATTCTCCTGCCTCAGCCTCCTGAGTAGCTGGGATTACAGGCTCGCGCCACCATACCTGGCTCATTTTTTGTATTTTTAGTAGAGATGGGGTTTCACCATGTTAGCCAGGATGGCCTGGATCTCCTGACCTCGTGATCCGCCTGCCTCGGCCTCCCAAAGTACTGGGATTACAGGCGTGAGCCACCGCGCCTAGCCCCATTCTGCAATTTCTACAACTCCTCCCATCTCCCTCCACATCAGAAGAAAACCCAAGGATACCATCCAACCAGGAGAAACCTGTCTCCTCCTCCCACATAGAAGTGGTTCTTGCTTTTACTCTTAATGTAGGTCTTTCAGAAAAGACAAAAGTGGGTTTCTAAGCGCCTTCCTGCCTCCTAGCGTGGTGTGTCTGCTCATGCGTGAACCTCATCCAGATGTCGGGAGCTGTGTTACAGACACCCCCGGCATCAGCTGAGCACATCCTGAAGACGGCAGCCTTGGACGAGTTTCTGTCTCTTCCTGCAGATCGTCAAGCCCTCTCCCAGCTTAGAATTATTAGTTGAGGAATCTCCTGAAGAGGTCGTGGAAGACGTCATCGAAGACATTGTTGAAGAGGTTACTGAAGAGGTCGAAGGGTCTCTGGAGTCTGAGGTGGAGGAGTCAGGAGAGTCGGAGCTGTCTGTCATCTCGGGGCCTTCGACCATCTTGCAGATGCCGAGGGCCTCTGCAGAAGAGCTGGCCAAGTTGAGGCTGCGTATAGATCCCCGGCTCTGCCCGTCCCCAGGGTAAGGATGGAAATCTGAACCAGGGCAAGTGGTCAGAGCAGTAGGGTCACGAGCCTAGACCACACTGCGACCTTCCATTAAAAGTCCTGAGGCTGGCGGGGCGCGGTGGCTCACGTCTGTAATCCCGGCACTTTGGGAGGCAGAGGCGGGCGGATCACGAGGTCAGGAGATCGAGACCATCCTGGCTAACATGGTGAAACCCCGTCTCTACTAAAAATACGAAAAAATTAGCCAGGCGTGGTGGCAGGCGCCTGTAGTCCCAGCTACTCGGGAGGCTGAGGCAGGAGAATGTCGTGAACCCAGGAGGCGGGGCTTGCAGTGAGCCGAGATCGTGCCACTGCGCTCCAGCCCGGCGACAGAGCGAGACTCCGTCTCATAAAAAAAAAAAAAAAAAAAAAAAAAAAAGGCCCACTAGACTGTTAGCTGTGCTGGCGGCATTTAGATTTCGTGTTCAGCCCTCTTCTCTGGAGGGTTCAACTTAGCTAAATCCTTCTACTCTAACCATCTACTCAAAGTACAACTGAGTCCCACTTCCCTGACCAGCCAAGATTTTCGGAATGATTGAATTTCTTTTTTGGCGGGGACAGTCTCACTCTGTCACCCAGGCTGGAGTGCAGTGGTGCGATCTCAGCTTACTGCATCCTCCATCTCCCGGATTCAAGCAATTCTTGTGCCTCAGCCTACAGTTGGGACTACAGGCATGTGCTACCATGCCCAGCTAATTTTTATAGTTTTAGTAAAGATGGGGTTTCACCATGTTGACCAGGCTGGTCTTGAGCTCCTGGTCTCAAGTGATCTGCCCGCCTCAGCCTCCCAAAGTGCTGGGATTACAGGCGTCAGCCATCGCGCCCAGCCTGAATTTCTTGAGTCGATCGAGACATGATAAATTAATAGCCCTTTTCATTTCAGCCCTTGGGTGTGAAAACCTTTTTTGGTTTAACATTTTAATCCATCTAAGATGTATTCTCACACATAAAGTGCTGTAAGGATCTTCCATCCTGTATACCATGTTCTTTCTTGCCAGTCTAGCTCCATTCCTTCTCTCTTTTTTGTGCTACTTTTGTTATGAAGATTGTAGAGTAATTGTTATAAATATTAATTTTATTATAAACATAAATATGTTACAGACCCAACAATACATTGTTATAATTACTGCTTTATATAATCCATGTCTTGCAGAGAAGAAAGGAGAGCACAAATATAAAGTTGTTTTTTTTTTTAAGCTTGTTAACCTTCTTAGTTACCATTTCTGGGGAACCATGAATTCATGTCTTCCTTTAGAATTGATTTACTGTTGTGGCTCATGCCTGTAATCCCAGCACTTTGGGAGGCTGAGGTGGACAGATCACCTCAGGAGGTCGAGACCCGCCTGACCAACATGGTGAAACACCATCTCTACTAAATACAAAAAATTAGCCAGGAGTGGTGACTAATCCCAGCTGTAATCCCAGCTACTTAGGCTGGGGCAGGAGAATTGCTTGAACCCAGGAGGCAGAGGTTGCGGTGAGCCAGGATTGCACCATTCCACTCCACCCTGGGCAATAAGAAAGAAGCTCCGTCTCAAAAAAAAAAAAAAGAAAAGAAAAGAAAAAAGGATTTACTTTCTGGTTTCATTCCCTCCCTCCCTCTTTCTTCCTTTCTCTCTTTTTTGTGGTGGGGTCTCTCGATGTTGACCAGGTTGGTCTTGAACTCCTGATCTCAAGCAATCCTACTGCCTCAGCCTCCCAAAGTGCTGCAATTACAGATGTGGGGCACTATGCCTGGGCTTGGTGTCATTTTCTTGCTCCAGTATGCTTCATTCTCACCCCCATTTCCTTCATGTTGTTATGGTCAAATATATTACATTTCTACATGTTATAGCCCAAACTACAATTTTATAGATGTTGTCTTATGCTATTGCATTTTATTCTAATTAGAACCAAGGACAAGAAATATATGACTATACTGTCTTTTGTATTTGCCTACATGATTACCTTTATTGGTGATCTTTGTTTTTTATGTGAATTTGAATTACCCTCTGGTGTTACTTCCTTTCAGCCTGAAGAACTTCCTTCAGGAAGTTAATGTATTCATGTATTCAACTTCTTTTCATGTTTCGTGTAAGGCAAATCTACTGGCAACAAAGTCAGTTTTTTCTTTCTCTTCATATGTCTTTATTTCACCTGCAATTTTCAAAGATAGTTTTGCTGGGTCTAGAATTGTTGGTTGACAGTTTTGGTGTTTTTCTTTTCCCCTGCTACCCCAGAACATTTTTTTTTTTTTGAGAGGGAGTCTCGCCCTGTTGCCCAGGGTGGAGTGCCGTGGCTGGATCTTGGCTCACTGCAACCTTTGCTTCCTGGGTTCAAGCAATTCTCCTGCCTCAGCCTCCCAAGTAGCTGGGATTACAGGCACCTACTACCATGCCCAGCTGATTTTTAGTTGAGGCGGGGTTTCACAGTGTTGGCCAGGCTGGTCTTGAACTCCTGAGCTCAAGTGGTCCATCCGCCTCAGCCTCCCAAAATGCTGAGATTACAGGTGTGAGCCACCATGCCTGGCCTACCCTAGAACTTTGAATATGTCGCCAGCCTGCCTACTGGCCTCCATTGTTTCTGATGAAAACTCAGCTGTTCATCTTATTGGGATTCCTTTGTCTGTCATGAGTCATTTTTCTCTTCCTGCTTTCAGGATTTTCACTTTGTCTTTCAGCATTTTTACTATGATGTCTCTGGGTATGGATGTGTTTGCATTTATCCTGCCTGGAGTTTGCCAAGCTTCTTCAATATATAGATGAACGTTTTAAATCAAATTTTGGAAGTTTTCAGCCGTTATCCTTCAAGTATTTTTCTCTGTTCCTTTTTCTATCTCCTCTCCTTCTAGCACTTCTATTATGTGTTCTTCTAGTAGCTCTTCAGAAAACCCAAGGGAAACCTGGAGTGTTTACCAGGGGCCCACCTCCTTGGAGGGCTTTGAACACAAATTTTTGTTCCCCTAGCGCCCATGAGGTTGCCTAAAGTTCTCTTTAGCTTCTCAGCCACCACTTTTGGATTTGGCTCTTGAGCATTAATGTGGCACTAAGCTCATTCTCTTTGACTGTTCCCCTTTGCCCTGATGTTGGCCCTGAAAATTCTCAGTGACTTGGCTCTTCAGCACCTTCAACAGATAATGTTAATATTGTGTCAAGCTGATATGACTGTTCTCAGCAGGAAGGTTTGTCCAGTATAGTCTAGTCTACCACGTCCTAAAACAGAATTTCCACATTGATTTTCTAAACATACATTTTATTTTTGCAGTCTAATAGATTTATTTTAAATTGTCTTAAGTTATATTCCTTAGTTTACTTGTAAGCCTTTATATTTTCCATACAATTATTTGCCATATGTAATTTCCCAAGTTCAACAATTAGCAAACGCCAGTCATCCACATACCATTTCCAGGTGCAGGTGTGATGCCAGGTATCGGGATTACAAACAACAAATCAGATGGAAAATGGTCTGTTCTAGAGGGCTGGGCACAGTGGCTCATGCCTGTAATCCCAGCAGTTTGGGAGGCCGAGGCAGGCAGATCACTTGAGGTCAGGAGTTTGAGATCAGTCTGGCCAACATGGTGAAACCCTGTATCTGCTAAAAATATAAAAAATTATCTGGGCATGGTGGCACATGCCTGTAATCCCAGCTACTCAGGAGGCCGAGGCAGAAGAATCACTGGAACCCGGAAGGTGGAGGTGGCAGTGAGCCGAGATTGCACCACTGCACTCCAGCCTGGGAAGACTCTGTCTCAAAAAAAAAAAAAAATCTGTTCTATTTGGGCACTTACCTTTTCATGAGGGAAATGAACAAACAGTAATTACATATGTTAATGTCACAAGTGGTACGTCAGAGGAAGTACAGGACAAATCTCTGCCCCTAGGATGGGCACATAGACTTAGAAAGTGTGGGAAACACATTCACCCATCCAAACCCAAAGAACAGACTCAGAGACACGAAGAACAGCGGAAATGAGACTTTTCATGGCAGTTTTGGAAGATCAGGTGTCTGGTAGGCAGGAACACTGGGGCAGTCACGACAGGTCATTTATCTCCTAGTGGGCAAGTCCCTCCCCCAGTTCCTCATTGGTCAAGTACTATGGGGTTACAATCTTCCTGGGTGTCGCCCAAGTATCATTATCCCCTAATAAGGTCATACCCCGTCTCCTTCCCCACTTAAGTTTTGCTCTTGTCGCCCAGGCTAGAGTACAGTGGTGTGATCTTGGCTCACTGCAACCTCTGGCTCCTGGGTTCAAGCAATTCTCCTGCCTTAGCCTCTGAAGTAGCTGGGATTACAGATGCATGTCACCACCCCTGGCCAATTTTTTTTTTGTATTTTTAGTAGAGACAGAGTTTCACTACGTTGGCCAGGCTGGTCTCAAACTTCTGACCTCAGGTGATCCACCCACCTTAGCCTCCCAAGTGCTGGGATTACAGGTGTGAGCCACCGCGCCTGGCCCCCTTTCATGGGCTGACCCCTCCTCTACATCCTGTTCGCTAAGTGTGACTTTCTAGGTGCCTGAGTCGTGAGGTTCGTCACGTCCGCAAGGTTGGCTGCCAGTACTCAGATTTTTTATGCCTTGAAAATGGACCATTTAAACTGTTTCTCACAGGAGGCATGGTAGAAAGAAGGTTAACTATGGAGGAAGGCAGGGATTGGCAAGAGATAGGGCTGCAGAGAGACAGAGAAAAAGACCCTTTCTCCCAAGGGGAAACTAGTAAGAAGTTTTCAAGCAGAGGAGTAATGAGATCAGGTTTCCATTTGAGGAAGATGACTGCAGTGGAGAAGATGACAGTGTGCAGACAGACTTTCAACTCTTCTACTCACTTCTCCGGTAGATTGTTGAGTGCTAACCTTTATATATTTGTATCATTCATGTACATATGTTATCACTGGTTTGGGGTTTTTTTTTCATGCCATTTTTTATTCAGGAGGGTCTAACATTTCTTTAACCTGAGAAGTACAATTTTTCTTTTTCTTTTTTCTTTTTTGAGATGGAGTTTCACTCTTGTTGCCCAGGCTGGAGTGCAGTGGTGTGCTCTCGGCTCACCACAACCTCCGCCTCCCGGGTTCAAGCGATTCTCCTGCCTCAGCCACTTGAGTAGCTGGAATTACAGGTGCCCACCACCATGCCCGGCTAATTTTTGTATTTTTAGTAGAGACAGGGTTTCACCGTGTTGGCCAGGAGAGTTCGAGACCAGAACTCCTGACCTTAAGTGATTCATCTGCCTCAGCCTCCCAGAATGCTGGGATGACAGGCATGAGCCACTGCGCCCGGCCGAGATATAGTTAATATATCATAACGTTCATGTTAAAGCGTATGAGTCGGTGGTTTTTAGTGTATTCACAGAGTTGCGCAACCATTACCACAGTCTAATTCCAGAACGTTTCCATCACCCCAGAAAGGTACCCATTAGGCGTCACCTTCGATTCCCCATCCCTCTAGTCCAAGGCAACCATTAAAGTACTTTCTGTCTCTGTGGATTTGCCTGTTCTGGATATTTCATATGGATGGAATCACAAAATACATAGCCTTTTGTGTCTGGCTTCTTTCACTGAGCATCATGTTTTCAAGGCTCATCTGTGGTCGGTGTAATAAGTATCAGTGCTTCATTCCTTTTTTTTTTTTTTTTTTTTTTTGAGATGGGGTTTCATTCTTGTCACCCAGGCTGGAGGGCAGTGGTGCGATCTCGGCTCACTGCAACCTCCACCTCCCAGGTTCAAGTGATTCTCCTGCCTCAGCTTCCCAAGTAGCTGGGCTTACAGGCTCCCGCCAGCACACCCGGCTAATTTTTCTGTATTTTTTAGTAGAGATGGGGTTTCACTATGTTGCCCAGGCTGGTTTTGAACTCCTGGCCTCAAGTGATCCGCCCACCTCGGCCTCCCAAAGTGCTGGGATTACAGGCATGAGCCACTGAGCCCGGCCCATATCACTATGTTTCAAACCAGTTATTATTGTCATATGTACTTTCACGATTTTTTTTTTTTTTTTGAGACAGAGTTGCTCTGTCAGCAGGCTGGAGTGCAGTGGCGCGATCTCGGCTCACTGCAACCTCCACCTCCCAGGTTCAACGTTCAACTTGGACATACTTTAAATTTGTTGGAGTATATTATTAATTCTCCTTCATGCTGTGATCCAATTGGTAGAACAATTTATGTTAAATCACTTCCTGAGTGGGATGCTGCTTCAGGGTTGCCATGGTGTTCTGAGACTTAGGAAACTCCAGTCCCCTCTGTGTTCTAGCCTGGGGCTAGGCTAGAATTGTTTCAGCTTTTTTTTTTTTTTTTTTTTTTGAGACGGAGTCTTGCTCTGTCACCCAGGCTGGAGTGTACTGTCGCGATCTCAGCTCACTGCAACCTCCACCTCCCAGGTTCAAGCGATTCTCCTCCCTCAGCCTCCTGAGTAGCTGGGACCACGGGCACATGCCACCACGCCTGGCTAATTTTTTGTATTTTTAGTAGAGACGGGGTTTCACTGTGTTAGCCAGCATGGTCTCGATCTCCTGACCTCGTGATCTGCCTGCCTCTGCCTCCCAAAGTGCTGGGATTACAGGCGTGAGTCACCCTGCCCGGCCTCTGCTTTTTTTTTTCTCCTGCAGGAGGGTCTCACTTTGTCGCCCGGGATCGAGTACAGTGGCATGAACATGGCTCACTGCAGCCTTGACTTCCTGGGCTCAAGCAATCCTCCTACCTCAGCCCCCAAAGTAGCTGGGACTGCAGCCATGTGCCACCACGCCCAGCTAATGTTTGTATTTTTTGTAGAAACGGGGTCTCGATATGTTGCCCAAGCTGCTCTCGAACTCCTTGGTTCAGGCGATCCTCCTGTCTCGGCTTCCCAAAGTGCTGGGATTAGAAGCCAGAGCCACCACGCTCAGCCCTTTGCTGAACTTTTAACAAACAACTCTTGCTGCCTTTCGGTTGGTTTCTTTCAGTTGCTCAGGGTGGTCCTGCCTCTGAAGGAGGGCTCCACTTGCCTTTCTTTTGCTGTCTCCTCTGTATCCACACCTTTCTGGCCTTCTGGTCCCCTTGCCCTGCCTGGTGGCAGCCGGACCTCACGTCTCATGCTGTTTGTGGGCTTCGATGCTCGTGGTCTCCTCGGATGTCCCCTCACAGTCCTGTCCCGGGTCCCTGGCCACAGCCCCTGGGTGACGGCACCCCCGTCTTCATCCCTCCCTCCCCAAGGACTGTCCTCTTCAGCACTGCCCACAAGCCCTGGGCTGAGGTCATCCCCTGCAGTTACGAGATGCAGCACTCTCTCAGGGACCTGGTCCCACTGAAGGCCTTCCTGCTGGCGGGGACCACCGTGACCATCGTGGAGGAGAAGGTGGGCAGGCGGAGGCAGTGCCCGGCCATCCACAGGCTGCACTTCTGTCCTTGTTCCTGTTCCCATCGGGCTGTCCCCCATGGGAGCCGCACTCCCTGGTTAGATGAGTTCTCAGCGCCATTCCAGAAAGGGTGAGGGAGAGGTGACCCCAGGCAGCCCGCCTGGGCCTCTGCTCACTCGAGGATTCTCTCCTGCCCCTAGATTCTCTCCTGGCCTGTGGTGCTACCTGCTGTTGACAGTCCCCTGTCTGCCAAGAAAGGAAAGGGGGAGAAAGACAAGAAAGGGAAGGAGAAAGACAGGACGGGGAAAGGAGAGAAAGAGCCGGCCAAGGTACCGGGCCTTGGTGCTGGGGAGGGCAGCCTGGCCACACCCTTGCTTCAACTTGTCCCACCCTCCTGTCCTCCCGTCGTCGCAGGAGTGGAAGGTGCTGAAGAAGAAGAAAGAGCCGCCCAAGGAGCTCCGGCAGGACCCCCCCATCCTCCAGGTGCTGGGCCGGGGCCTGGTGATCCTGGAGCCCCTGCTCGCCGGGGAGCCCCTGGTGTCCACCGTGTGCAACTTCGGCGTGGTCCGCACATTGACATCTGACAGGCTGACGTTGGCCAGGGTACAGCCGGGCCCTAGCCACATCCTCCACCTCTGCCTTCGCCCTCCCCATGGGAACCCCGCGGGCAAGCAAGGGCTGTGGGCCCAGGTCACGGGATGGGGAGGAGGTGGTGGGGAGGGCCTTTCCCTGGGGCATGCAGCTGGGCTGCTGGTGCTGCCGCCTGCACAGAGGGCGCCTCCGTGGACTTTGGCCCAGTCAGCAGCCTTCCCTTTGGGGATGGGCTGGGGCAGCCACCCTCACCAGGAGACCCCCGCCTTCCTGGACCTGTCAGAGCCTTGGAGGAGGTGGGGCCCCAGAGACACCCCTTCTCTAGTACCTCCCCTCTCCAGTAAGCATCTCGTTTTGTGGTTCTTTCTCTCAGGATTCAAAGAAGATTAAGAAAGTTGCCAAAAAAGGTGAGTGCCGATGGTGGTGACCAAAGGCAGGGATTGTCAGGAGGACCTGCTGAGGGCCAGCCCTGGGGGAGGCCAAAGGAACCAAAGGGTGGGGAATGGTAGCTTCTGGCCTGGGGAGAGGCCACATCCCCCCTTAGATCCAGTGTTATTATTTCTTCTCTGCAGCCCTCAGACCACAGGGCCTGTGTGGGTGGTGACCAGGGTGGGGAAGGCACCTGTGGTAGAGCCATAGCGGGGCAAGAGCTTGGAGCTGGGGCTGCCTGGGGCTCATCTGGTTCCGAGGTGTCTGCCTCCAGCTTCAGGCCATCGGCCCTTATTTGCTGTAAGAGGGGCCTGGGCTTGTCCTGTGGGGAGCTGGAGAAGCATCTGAAATGGGTGCGTCTCAGGTTTGAGGTTCAGAAAGAACAACCAACTGGGAGGGAGAGAAAGGAGACAGGGAGTGCCGTGGGAGGTGGCTGCAAAAAGCATGAGGCCCGATCATAGCAGAGCAACCCATCATACTGAAGCCGAAAAGTGGAAACAGGCCCAACATGGTGGCTCACGCCTGTAATCCCAGCACTTTGGCGTGCGGATCACCTGAGGTGAGGAGTTCGAGACCAGCCTAGCCAACATGGTGAAACCCCGTCTCTACTGAAAACACAAAAATTAGCCAGGTGCGGTGGTGGGTGCCTGTAATCCCAGCTACTCAGGAGACTGAGGCAGGAGAGTCGCTTGAACCTGGAAGGCAGAGGTGGCAGTGAGCTGAGATCGCGCCATTTCACGCCAGCCTGAAGAAGTAAACGTTGGAGGGCATATGCTGCTGGACTTCAAAACCCATGCCTATATGAACATGTGATTTGTGATACTTATCTGTGGGTTAAGATGGCCTTAAAAAGGTTTTTTTTTTTTTAATCTCTTTAATGTTTGGCTTAATTGAAGACAGCTGGATTCTTACAGCTACTTCTGCAGTCAACTGCTTGCAATATGTTGCTGTAATTGACGTGCACAAAGAAAATCCAACCTCAGGCCCATAATTGGAAAAGAGGGAGTATTTTAATAGACCTTAAAATAATATAATTTCTTTAATATTACACCAAATTTGACAAGTGGTAATTTCTTAAAGGTTGTTACAATGTGAAAACAATCTATATTGAATTTTTCATAATCAGATTAAAATTCATTAATCTAGTTTGCATTTTGAACGGATATTTTACCATGCAGTTTGTAACATGCATGAGTTACTTGTAAACTACAGGTTAACAGACTTATGCAGATATTCCAACAGTTGACACCTGTCACTATACATTTTCCAAAGATCACGTTCTTTACTATCACCACCCACATCATTAGAAAGGTCTTTGCGTATTGGAAAATTGGTAAATTCATGGTGGCAGATACAATGTTGTCTCATTTTTAGGGCAAATGTTATACATTTATTGAAATGCTTTCAGTTGTTTCCCCTGAAGTGCTATAATTACTTCATTTTTAAGAAAATATCTGCAGCTGGGCTCGGTAGTGTACGCCTGTGATCCTAGCACGTTGGGAGGCCTAGGCAGGCGGATCACTTGAGGTCAGGAGTTCGAGACCAGGCTGGCCAACATGGTGAAACCCCGTCTCTACTAAAACTACAAAAAATAGCCGGTCGTGGTGACAGGCGCCTGTAATCCCAGCTACTTGGAGGCTGACGCAGGAGAATCGCTTGAACCTGGGAGGCGGAGGTTGCAGTGAGCCGGGATCATGCCACCGCACTCCAGCCTGGGCGACGGAGCACGACACTGTCTCAAAGCAAAAAGCAGCCAGTCTTGCAACTCAAACAGCTGCGATTTATTAAATGATCTAATTAAATACAATTTAATTTTATTTCTTATTACTGTTAACACCCGAGGACCAAAACTGTGCTCCCGCTGGGACAGGGTCCAGGGCTTGCATATGGGATGGGTCAGGGCGGCCGAGAACGCCAGCCCATCCGTCTCCCGGGGCTCATGCTCGCACTTAAATTTTCTCAGAAAAGCCGAAAGCCGTGATTCCGATCTACGAAGGCGATTACCACCCTGAGCCCCTGACCGTAGAGGTGCAGATCCAGCTGAACCAGTGCCGCTCGGCGGAGGAGGCTCTGCGCATGTTCGCCGTGTAGGGCGTGGGCAGTAAAGGCTGTTCCCAGCACTCCCGCCTCCGCTTCTGTCCCGCCGCACGCGTCGGGGGGCGGGTGTGGCGCCGGCGTCCTGGGGAGGAGGAGCAGCCTCTGCCCGACCCGGCTCGTGCGGACCCCAGGACCGGGCGCGGGACGCGTGCGTCCAGCCTCCGGCGCTGCGGAGACCCGCGGCTGGGTCCGGGGAGGCCCCAAACCCGCCCCCGCCAGAACCCCGCCCCAAATTCCCACCTCCTCCAGAAGCCCCGCCCACTCCCGAGCCCCGAGAGCTCCGCGCACCTGGGCGCCATCCGCCCTGGCTCCGCTGCACGAGCTCCACGCCCGTACCCCGGCGTCACGCTCAGGTAGGTTGGGGGCCGGGACGCCGCTGCTGTGAGGGAGGCTGGGTCACCGTGCAGGGAGGGGCGTCGCCAGGGCGGCCGTGCCTTTGCACCCCGCGGCCCGCTCCCCGGTCCCCCAGGGTCCCCGCGAGGACGCCGGCCCCGCCCGGGTGCGGCGCGAGTCTGGCCTCGGCGGGCACGGCTCGGGGCCCACGGGCCGCTCGGCTTCGGTTCTCCAGGCTGGGGACAGAGGCTGGAGCCGGGCGCGGTAGACCCCGCCAGCCTGGGCCGCCCGCGCCCGACGCGCAGCGCTGCTGCCAACCCCGGCCCGGGGGTCCCCGCAGAGTGGGTCTCTGCTGCCGTCAGCCCTTCGGAGACTGTCGCGTTGAAAGAATGAACCAGAGTTCGCCCCCTGCCCGCGCCAGGGCGTTTTGGGTCACCGAGTCCTGTGGGGATCCGAGGCGGCTGCCGCCCAAGGCCGAGCGCAGCCTCAGGACCCGCGCCCCACCAGACGGGGTCGTGCGCTCCGCGGCGGGTGGAGAGCCGGGCTCTGGGGTCTCCGCGGCTCGGAGGGCGGCGGGGCGAGGCCGTGCGGCCAGCGCCTGGGGACGCCCGCGGCGGGACAGGGGCCACCCGGGCCGCGGCGCAGCCTGGGCTGAAACCTCCTGGGACGGAACCAAGCCACCTGCTGTGCGCCCTTCTCGGTGAATGGCACCGCCGCCCGCCCGGGCCTCTCGTCCACAGCCCGCGGTGCTCGCACACCTGAGACTCATCTCGCTTCGACCCCGCCGCCGCCGCCGCCCGGCATCCTGAGCACGGAGACAGTCTCCAGCTGCCGTTCATGCTTCCTCCCCAGCCTTCCGCAGCCCACCAGGGAAGGGGCGGTAGGAGTGGCCTTTTACCAAAGGTCAGATTCTTTCACCGCCTCTGCCAGACCCCCTTGTCCCCCACCCCCGCATAGATCTCCAGGGGGCTCAGAAAACTCTGGCCGGTGGCTCACGCCTGTAGTCCCAACGCTTTGGGAGGCCAAGGCGGGAGGATCGCTTGAGGCCAGGAGTTCCAGACCAGCCCAGGCAACAAAAGATACCACATCTCTACAAAAAATAAATTAGCCGGGCCCTGCACGCCTGTAGTCCCAGCTACTGGGGAGGCCGAGGCCGGAGGATCGCTTGAACCCAGGAGTTCCAGGCTGCAGTGAGCTATAATTGTGCCACTGCACTAGAGTCTGGGTGACAGAGACACTGTCTCAAAAAAAACCAACAAAACCCTTAGCTCTTTCACTAGCCGGGCTGGCCTCTTCCTACTGTAAACCTGCTGGGCCCCCGTCTCCCTTCTTTCTCCCCTCTCTCCTGCCCTGGAGCTGCCTGACTCTGCCCACGGCCTGCAGAGACCCCAGGTCTTCACGCAAGGTGCCATTCCTCACTCAGTTCTTGCTCAAACGTCCCTCCATCAAGGAGGGCTTTTTAGCTACCCTTGGCTATGGGATCCGTCCTCCGCGTCAGCCAATTCTCTGCATTAGACTGTAACTTCTCAACATACCTGGTTCCTATGCGTTTTGTGCTCCCCTCTGAGAGGGCAGCGACCCTGTCTTGCTTGCCACTGCATCCCTAGCACCTAGCAGTTGCTTTTCTGGTGACGGCGGCTGTGGCAGTGGCCAATGCGGCAGACTGGTCAGAAGTGAAGGGACAGGATGACTTGGCAGTGGAGGTCAAGGGGAGGGGACTGGGGCAGAGGGAGACACCAGAGGGACAAAAATGAGAAACTGAAGACAGGCTTTGCTACGTGGAGCTCGGGCAGGCCACACTGGTGGATTCTGTCTCCTCATCCTTCTTTTCAGGTCCCTGGGAGAAATCAGCACTTAGAACGTGGTGGGAAGGCGGGGCGGGGTGCCTCGGAAGCCATCCCTGATACAAGTCCCCAGCTTTCCTGCTTCCCCTCTTGTGGTGTGTGGCTTTGTCTCCCTCCCTCCCTCCTGGAAGCCCCGACCTCTGAGGCAGGTGTAAAGGGTGTGTGCTTTGGTGGCCACGGCCACCCTGTGGTGCTGGTTCTCCTCCGAGGGAAGCAGTGCACTCCTGGTCATCTTGGAGACGCCCAACACAGGACCCCACAGGCACCAAGCTTTTTTTGGGAAATGGTTTCACTTCCCACTTGAAAAGCCCTGAATGTCAGTTCCACACTTAGTGAATTTGATCCAAGCTAAACTGAGTCTGTGCCTAAAACTCATCAGGTGCTCGAGTTTCCTGGAAGAATGGCTGGGAACGTTTATGGTGTCAGCTGTAAAGTGGCTGCAAGTCCTTTTGGGAAAAACAGACCCAGGAGTCCTCAGATGATGGCAGAGGAGGGCAAGGGCTGGCAAAGCAGCTGTGCTTAGCCCATCCTCAGGGGAGGGAGGACTCTGGAAAGAGCCTGAGGATACGCTGAGAATAAAAAGTCCAGAGGCCAGCAGGGACTTAGCGGCTGGGGTGCAGGTTAACTCCTGCCCAACTCTTGGGGACAGGGACCCGGGGCTGGGCCCTGCTCAGGTGGCTCTCTCCTTGCAGGGACCGGCGATGCTCTGCAGGCTGTGCTGGCTGGTCTCGTACAGCTTGGCTGTGCTGTTGCTCGGCTGCCTGCTCTTCCTGAGGAAGGCGGCCAAGCCCGCAGGAGACCCCACGGCCCACCAGCCTTTCTGGGCTCCCCCAACACCCCGTCACAGCCGGTGTCCACCCAACCACACAGTGTCTAGCGCCTCTCTGTCCCTGCCTAGCCGTCACCGTCTCTTCTTGACCTATCGTCACTGCCGAAATTTCTCTATCTTGCTGGAGCCTTCAGGCTGTTCCAAGGATACCTTCTTGCTCCTGGCCATCAAGTCACAGCCTGGTCACGTGGAGCGACGTGCGGCTATCCGCAGCACGTGGGGCAGGGTGGGGGGATGGGCTAGGGGCCGGCAGCTGAAGCTGGTGTTCCTCCTAGGGGTGGCAGGATCCGCTCCCCCAGCCCAGCTGCTGGCCTATGAGAGTAGGGAGTTTGATGACATCCTCCAGTGGGACTTCACTGAGGACTTCTTCAACCTGACGCTCAAGGAGCTGCACCTGCAGCGCTGGGTGGTGGCTGCCTGCCCCCAGGCCCATTTCATGCTAAAGGGAGATGACGATGTCTTTGTCCACGTCCCCAACGTGTTAGAGTTCCTGGATGGCTGGGACCCAGCCCAGGACCTCCTGGTGGGAGATGTCATCCGCCAAGCCCTGCCCAACAGGAACACTAAGGTCAAATACTTCATCCCACCCTCAATGTACAGGGCCACCCACTACCCACCCTATGCTGGTGGGGGAGGATATGTCATGTCCAGAGCCACAGTGCGGCGCCTCCAGGCTATCATGGAAGATGCTGAACTCTTCCCCATTGATGATGTCTTTGTGGGTATGTGCCTGAGGCGGCTGGGGCTGAGCCCTATGCACCATGCTGGCTTCAAGACATTTGGAATCCGGCGGCCCCTGGACCCCTTAGACCCCTGCCTGTATAGGGGGCTCCTGCTGGTTCACCGCCTCAGCCCCCTCGAGATGTGGACCATGTGGGCACTGGTGACAGATGAGGGGCTCAAGTGTGCAGCTGGCCCCATACCCCAGCGCTGAAGGGTGGGTTGGGCAACAGCCTGAGAGTGGACTCAGTGTTGATTCTCTATCGTGATGCGAAATTGATGCCTGCTGCTCTACAGAAAATGCCAACTTGGTTTTTTAACTCCTCTCACCCTGTTAGCTCTGATTAAAAACACTGCAACCCAGCTAACTTGTCCAGCATATGTTGAATGGGAGCCAAAGTGTAGCAAATGCTGCCAGGAACCTGTCGGGGCATTCCGGGCGCTGCCTGGGGCGCTGCAGTCTGGGACCTCAAGGAAGGAGGCTGCATAGGACCCCAGGAGAGACGCATTTTCTCTTTCAGATGCAAACAAAATCTTACACTCTTCTCCTTTGGATACAATAGAGAAACGGAAAGAAAGGAAGGAACAAGAGGCCTGTGTTAAGTCCTGTTGATGTTAAGTCCTGTTGAGAGCACCAGGTAAACACTCTGCACCCCTTCTCTTAGTAGTAATAGGTTTTTCACTCCTTGGCCTCAGCTGTCCTCACAGGACAGTGGGGGCAGATCAGAGAACACATCAGAAATACATACAAAGAAATCGTACAAACTGGACAGGTTCCCCTCCCCCTGCCACAACTGGCATCCCAACAGAGGGAACAAGTACTAAATCATTTTTGACGACGTAAATAAGACTGAAAACAGGTTAAACAGTTGCTGAACTTAAGGGCATGACAAAAAGGACTCCTCTCTCTGACCCAGGTAGGCAAAATGCTTTGGGTGTGAGGTAAAAAAAATGGGTAAGAGCAGCTGTACAGAGTGGGGTGAAATGTTAAACAGGGTGCAGTGCCCAAGGGCTAAGAACCAGGTCCAGCGCAAGCCTGAGACCACAGGAGGCACTCACAGCTCACAAAGGCGTCTCGCCTGATTGGCCAGGGCAGGATCTGCCGCCTCTTCTCGGTGCACAGACAGTCATGCCAACCCTGGGCAGGGTGGCATCTGCCCCTGCTTTCCCCACTGAGTGGGGAGACAGGGCAGTGTGCTCAGGCCCTCAATCCTCACGCAGGTAGGCCTCCTGCTCCGACTCAGCCCGCTCCTCCCCTTCCTCCTGTGTTTTCTGACGGAGCTCTTCTATCTGTGCTTCTGCCAGCTTGGTTTCTGCTTTCCGGGAGAGCTGGTGCACCTCTTCCACCTGCAGTTTCACCAGCTGAATGTGATTCCTGGCGGTTATAGAGGCCTGATCTGCGCCTGCCAAAAGATGGGACAATCGGGTTGAGCAGCCGTGCAGGGCGCGGAAGGCTCATGTGGACGTTGGCCTGGGGGTGCTGTGGCTGTCATCTGAACCCCTCTTGGGGTCACTTTCCTTGACCTCCCTGTCTTCTCTCTCTGCAAAGAAACTTCCACCTCTATGTTCAGGTCTGGATTTAACTGACACTCTGTCAAAAACAGCATTTTTCTTCAGCTGTCAGCGGCCAACATCACAATTATTAAATGCAACTCTCACAATCATCTTTATAGCTACAGAGCTTTTAGTACAGACCTTTGATTAATTTTTTTAACTACACATCTTCCATTTCTTTTTGACAAAGAGATCATGAATAAAATTGTCAAAGATCCCTTTCATCACCTTGACTAATCTTTAAAGGTAAAGGAATGCATAGAAAAATATTTTTTTACTATAAATTTATGTAACAGCATAAAAGGTATTAAATATGTTTTATAATTTTTTCACTTAAACATGTTTTGAAGGCCGGGCGCAGTGGCTCACGCCTCTAATCTCAGAACTTTGGGAAGCCAAGGCAGGCAGATCACCTGAGGGTCAGAAGTTCGAGACCAGCCTGGCTAACATGGTGAACCCGTCTCTACCAAAAATACAAAAAAAAATTAGCCAGGCATGGTGGCGCATGCCTGTAATCCCAGCTACTTGGGAGGCTGAGGCAGGAGAATAGCTTGGACCCGGGAGGCGAAGGCTGAAGTGAGCCAAGATCGTGCCACTGCACTCCAGCCTGGGCGACAGACTCCGTCTCAAAAAAAAAAGAAAAAAAGAAAAAAGGCTGGGTGCAGTGGCTCGTGCCTGTAATCCTAGCACTTTGGGATGCCGAGGTGGGTGGACTGCCTGAGCTCAGGAGTTCAAGACCAGCCTGGGTAACACGGTGAAACCCCGTTTCTACTAAAATACAAAAAAAGTAGCTGGGTGTGGCAGAGTGCACCTGCAGTCTCAGCTACTTGGGAGCCTGAAGCAGGAGAATTGCTTGAACCTGGGAGGCGGAGGTTGCAGTGAGCTGAGATCGCGCCACTTCACTCCAGCCTAGGTGAGAGTGAAACTCGTCTCCCCCCCAAAAAAAAAAATGAGCTCTCTCATTTTACCTGCTGCTAGTTAGTGTATTTCACCATCTGGGTATATACATTTTATCAATTCGTCTGTAGAACATTTTGATCTTACTGCATTAACAAGAACCTTCAGGACAATGTTGACAGGTAGTGGAGAATGGCAGGCATCCTCCTCTTCTAACTTCGATGAAAACACTTCTGAAAGTCCACACAATTAAGTAGGATTACTTAACCTTTATTACATTAAGAAAATTATCTCTTCATAATTGTACTTAGATTCGAATCATAAATGGCTACTACACTGAAGATGTTTTGGGCATATGTTAAGTGGTTTTTCTCCTTTAATCTATGGATATATCATCTCAAACAGTGAATTATATTTGTTTGAGAAGGAGTCTCACTCTATAGTTTTTTACAGTGTTGAACTATCATTCTATTTTGAGGGTAAATGGCTACGTTTGATTTACGGCTACATTTTGAAGTGATACTGAGCTTTTCGTTTTGGTGCTGCCCTAGTCCAGTTTGGGATCGGGGCTATGCTGGCTTCATACAGTAGTAAGAGGAGGCTTGTCATTACTTTCTTTGCGCTGGTACACTTACAGTAACATAGGTATTATAGTTTTGGAAGATTTGATAAAACTCTCCCACGAAACATCCTAGGCCCTGGTGTCCATTTTGGGGACATCAAAATCTTCGAATACCATTTCTACCTTTTTTTTTTTTTTTTTTTTGAGATGGAGTCTCACTTATCACCCAGGCTGGAGTGCAGTGGCGCGATCTCGGCTCACTGTAAGCTCCACCTCCCGGGTTCACGCCATTCTCCTGCCTCAGCCTCCTGAGTAGCTGGGACTACAGGTGCCCACCACCATGCCTAATTTATTTATTTATTTTTTTTATTTTAGTAGAGACGGGGTTTCACCACGTTAGCCAGGATGGTCTTGATCTCCTGACCTCGTGATCCACCCGCCTTGGCCTCCCAAAGTGCTGGGATTACAGGCGTGAGCCACCGCGCCCAGGTGATATATCAACTTTTTAAATGATTTTGTTGTCTCTTCCTTTTGTCACCTGGTACAAAATTTACTGTGTGTCTTAGAAGAGTATGTAAATTTAGAGGGAGGGGGCAAAGTTTTATATTTAGTATATATACATTTGTTAGGTGTTTAAAAACCACTCTGCAAAACCAGCCTGGGAAACTTAGCAAAACTCTGTTTCTACTAAAAATAAAAAAATTAGCTGGGGCATGGTGGTGTGCACCTGTAATCCCAGCTACTGGGGAGGCTAAAGTGGGGAGGATCACTTGAGTCCAGGAGGTTGAGACTACAGCAAGCTATGATCTATGATCCCACCACAGCATTCCCGCATGGACCCTGTCTCTCTCACACACACAAATCTGATTTTCCTTTGTTTAGTTAAAAGTAAAAAAAAAAAAAAAAAAAAAAAAAAAAAAAAAAAATCACAGACGGGCACAGTGGCTCACGCCTGTAATCCCAGCACTTTGGGAGGCTGAGGCAGGTGGACTGCCTTAGCTCAGGAGTTCGAGACTAGCCTGGGCAACATGGTGAAACCCCATCTCTACCAAAAAATAAAAAAGATTAATCGGGCGTGGTGGTGACTGCCTGTGGTCCCAGCTACTCAGGAGGCTGAGACAGGATTGCTTGACCCTGGGAGGCAGAAGTAACGGTGAGCCAAGATCAAGGAACTGCACTCCAACCCGGGTGACAGAGTGAGACCCTGTCTCCAAAATAAAAAACAATCACACTGAGCTGGGTGCAGTGGCTCAGCTCACGCCTGTGATCCTAGCACTCTGGCAGGCCAAGACGGGAGGATCACTTGAGCCCATGAGTTCAAAATCAGCCTGGGGAACATAACAAGACACCAACTCTTAAAAAAAAAAAAGAAAATTAGTTGGGCTGCTTGGGACGCTGAAATGGGAAGATGGCTTGAGCCCAGGTCAAGGCTGCAGTAAGCTGTGATCATGCCATTACACTCCAGCCTGGGCAACAGAGCAAGACCCTGTCTCCAAAACAAATTCTGTTCTAATCCTTAATAGCTTTAATAGCTTTAATTTTTTTGGTTGTCTTGACCTGCAAGCGTGCTCAGAAAATTGAGTATTACACACATCTCAGATCTCCTTGTAATTCTATCAGTTTTTGCCTCATTAAGTACATTTCATGATTGATAATGTCTTAATGAATTGTTCTGTCCTACTGATTACTTTTTATCTTGAATTCTTTGATTTAGCTAGTTTTAGCTAAATTTTGGAACACAATCTAAACGTGTCATTTAATAAGTTTATTTTTACTGCAATCACTGATGTTTGAAATTATTCCTATAATTTTTTTTTTTTTTTTTTAAATTACAGATGGAGTTTTGCCATGTTGGCCAGGCTGGTCTCGAACTCTTGACCTCAGCTGATCCATCTGACTTGGCCTTCCAAAGTGCTGGGATCATAGGTGTGAACTACTGCACGTGGCCCAATTTTGTATTTTCTAATTGACGGGTTTTCTTTTTAAACCTTTCCTGCCTCAACTGGAGCTACCAAGTTTCCTCCCACTCCTACTAATTCTCTTTGCAGTGTTTAACAATGTCTAATGTCAATGTGCTTAGCATGTTTTCACTTTCCCAAATTTAAAAACTTGTTTTACACTCAGAACTTTTGAAAAAAAATCTTAGTAGCTTCTCTCAAAACTGATTTTTCCTTCTTCATAGTTCTTCCAGAAAGTGTATACAGGTGGTACTTTGAGTCTATGTCTGAGGATATCTTTTATTCTCACTTTTTGATGGTAGTTGGCTATACATAAAATCCTAGGTTATGGATTTATCGTCACCTCTAGTGTTGCGGAGAAGATGCCTGATGTTTGATTCTACTTCCTTTGTAGGTAATCTATTTTTTCTTAGTAGCTTTTGGGATTTTGCTCTGAATCTTTTTGTTATGCTGTTACTTTATTGTTCGCTTATTTATTTATTTTTGTTTTTTTTTTTGAGATGGAGTCTTGCTCTGTTGCCCAGGGTGGAGTGCAGTGGTGTGATCTCTGCTCACTGCAAGCTCTGCCTCCCAGGTTCACGCCATTCTCCTGCCTCAGCCTCCCGAGTAGCTGGGACTACAGGCACCCGCCACCACACATAGCTAATTTTTTTGTATTTTTAGTAGAGACGGGGTTTTACCATGTTAACCAGGATGGTCTTTATCTCCTGACCACATGATCCGCCCACCTCAGCCTCCTAAAGTGCTGGGATTACAGGCGTGAGCCACTGCGCCCGGCCATTTTTTTGTTTTTAAGACAGGGTCTTGCTTTGTCAACCAGGCTGGGGTACACTGGCCTGATCATGGCTCACTGCAGCCTCGACCTCCAGGGCCCAAGTGATCCTCTCACCTCAGCCTCCCAAGAAGCTGGGACTACAGGCGCCCATCACCATGCCTGGCTAATTTTTTTGTAGAGACAGGGTTTCATCGTGTTGTCAAGTCTGGTCTCGAACTCCTGAGCTCAAGTGATCCACCTGCTTAGGCATCCCGAAGTGCTGGGATTACAACAGGTATGAGCCACTGCACCTGGACCAGATTTTTGGTTAAAAAAGTGAAATCATAAGGCCGTGCACAGTGTCTCATGTCTGTAATCCCAGCAGTTTGAGAGGCCAAGGCGGGTGGATCACTTGAGCTCAGGAGTTCAAGACCAGCCTGGACAACATGGCAAAATCCTGTCTCTACCGGAAACATATAATCCCAGCTACCTGGGAGACTGACATGGTAGGATCGCTTGAGCCCAGAGGCTAAGGCTGTAGTAAGCAGTGAGCCATGATTGTGCCACTGTACTCCAGCCTGGTAACAGAGTAAGACCTTGTCTCAGGGAAAAAAAAAAAAAAAATTCCGTTTACAACTTTGTTAGCCCTTTCTATGAGTTCTAGGAAAATGTCTACTTTTCTCAAATAATGCTTATACATCCCCTCCTTTTCTCCTTCTAGATATTCTCCTTTTCTCCTTCTAGATATAAGCATATCCTCCTGTTCACTGCACCTAGAAATCCTCTGCCATGTTTGTGTGGCACAACTATAATGCTGCTTCCACACTTCCGTTGTTTCATTCTTGTTCCAAATCTCTGATCCCTCAGGATCACTACTTTTTCTCAGGATCACTACTTTTTCTGGGCCAAGCGCAGTGGCTCATGTCTGTAATCCCAGCACTTTGGGAGGCCGAGGCAGGCAGATCACCTGAGATCAGGAATTCAAGACCGGTCTGGCCAACATGGTGAAACTCCGTCTCTACTAAAAATAAAAAAATTAGCCAGGCATGGTGGCAGGCGC
Organism: Homo sapiens; assembly: GCF_000001405.40. NCBI lineage: Eukaryota > Metazoa > Chordata > Mammalia > Primates > Hominidae > Homo > Homo sapiens. The sequence goes on from NC_000012.12 coordinate 122,213,960, forward strand.
TTCCAAGCCCAACTACTCAGGAGGCAGAGGCAAGAGAATTGCTTGAAGCAGGGAGGTGGAGGTTGCAGTGAGCTGAGTTCACACCACTGCACTCCAGCCTGGGGGATGGAATGAGACTGTCTCAAAAAAACAAACAAACAAAAAAACTAACAACAACAAAAAAAACCTTCTAAAAGAATTATTTTTTGTTTTTCAGTATGATGACACAACACTTACCTTAAAAAATGTTTTATATCTTTTCTTTGAGATGGGGTCTCACTCTGTTGCACAGGCTGGAGTGCAATGATCTCACCTCACTGCAACCTCTGCCTCCCAGGCTCAAGTGATCCTCCTATCTTACCCTCCCAAGTAGCTGGGATTGCAGGTGTGAGCCACCACACCCAGCCCTTTGTATCATTTTTAAGATTTGATGATTGAGAACCCTAGCCTGCTAATCTTGACATCAGAAAACAAGAGTATGTTTTAATATAACAATTTCTTTTTTGAGACAGGGTCTAGCTCTTTTGCCTAGGATGGAGTGCACAGGCATGATCATAGCTCACTGCAGCCTTGAGCTCCTGGGTTCAAGCAATCCTCCCACCTCTGCCTCCCGAGTAGCTGGGACTACAGGCGAGCGCCAATACGCCCAGCTAATTTTTGTATTTTTGGTAGAGATGGGGTTTCACTGTGTTGCCCTTGAACTCCTGGGCTCCAGCAATCTGCCTGCCTTGGCTTCCCAAAGACACGCGTTGAGTCCCTGTGCCTGACTCATCCCAGTTTCTTTTTTTTTTCTTGAGACAGAGTCTTGCTCTGTCACCAAGGCTTGAGGTGCAGTGGAGCCATCTAGGCTCACTGCAGCCTCCACCCCCTGGGTTCAAGCCATTCTCCTGCACAGGCGTGTGCCACTACACCTGGCTAATTTTTGTATTTTTAGTAGAGACAGGGTTTCACCACGGTGGCCAGGGTAGTGTCAAACTCTTGACCTCAAGTGACCCACCTCAAGTGATCCGCCCTCCTTGGCCCCCCAAAGTGCTGGGATTATAGGCATGAGCCACTGCAACCAGTTTCTTAATAAGAACTAGTACTAAGCTATAACTTTGGTGAGCCGGCTGGGTGCGGTGGCTCGCACCTGTAATCCCAGCACTTTGAGAGGCTGAAGTGAGGAACAACATGACGAAACCTGCCTCTACTAAAAATACAAAAATTAGCCAGGCGTGGTGGTGCATGCTTGTAATCGGGAGGCTGAGGCAGGAAAATTGCTTGAACTGGAGAGGCAGAGGTTGCAGTGAGCTGAGAAAGTGCTACCACTGCAGCCTGGGCACCAAGAGTGAAACTCTGTCTCAAAAAAAAAAAAATTTGGCCGGACACAGTGGCTCATGCCTGTAATCCCAGCACTTTGGGAGGCCAAGGCGGGTGGATCACCTGAGGTCAGGAGTTCAAGACCAGCCTGGCCAACATGGCAAAACCCCTTCTCTATTAAAAATACAAAAACTATTCTCTATTAAAAATACAAAAACTAGCTGGGCGTGGTGGCGGGTGCCTGTAATCCCAGCTACTTGGGAGGCTGAGGCAGGAGAATCACTTGAACCCAGGAGGTGGAGGTTGCAGTGAGCCTAGATGGCGCCAGTGCACTCCAGCCTGGGTGACAGGAACAAAACTCCATTAAAAAAAATTTTTTTTTCTGTGAGCCTACCTACCTAGGTTGGGACCACTCAGGTAGGATGTTCTATGATGGGCACCTTGGGGCACCACGGTGCAAAGGACAAAGCACTGGCTGCTGGGAGAATAGGAGAAGCAGAGGCTTTGGAATTCGACCTACTTGGCTCCGTGGCTCATGCCTATAATCCCAGCACTTTGGGAGGCCAAGGTGGGTAGACTGCTTGAGCCTAGGATTTCGAGATTAGCCTGTGCAACATTGTAAAACCCCATCTCTATTTTATGAAGGAAAAAAAAAAAAAAAAAAAAAAGACCTACTCAGCTGAATCTCAGCTTGGCTGCTTACTCACCATACCGTGTCATCTTAGCCGAATGATCTGGCCCATCTGCCCTCTAGTTTCTTCACATATAAAAAGTGCCTACGAAATGCCTACCACAAAGCCTGACATAGACAAATAATTTGTCCTGGTTTTGCCACTGACTATGATTCCAGGTCTCATTTTCTCCATCTGTACAAAAAGGTTCACATAGATTACTCATCTCAAGTCTCAGCCAACGGTGTAATTCTATGATTGTTAATAAATTGTATTACCAAAAGAAGCTAAAACTATTTGGAAGCAATCCAATTTTCCAATGGTAATAGTTTTATCATTTTTCATTTTGAAGACATAACCTAGCTTCTACTGGTCTGGTCTGCAAGGGTATGCTCATTGTTTCTATTGTGCAAATAAAATGTAGGTTAATATGTAGGAAATGGGGAAAATTTCTCAAAGTGAGAGCCACTTAGACCATTTACTATAAAGCCCTCATTTTAGAAAACCAGATGAAAACTCAAATGGTACCTTCCTAGTTAAAAAATTAAAAAAAAAACCCAACACAAAACTTGAACCTACCAGTTTGATATGCAGCTTCTGCTGCCATCTCTGAAAGACCAACTGCAGTCATCCAAGTGGTTTCCAGCTTCAAGTACTCTTGGTGTTTTGAAGTCATCTATATAAATCAAGCAAAGTGCTTCAGACAGCATAAGAGGTCTAGCCCATTTAAATGGACTTAAAGTAGTAGATTTAGAGAACACTGATTATATTGATTAGACTTAATTCAATAATTTAGATACCACATGAGGTAGGTGCACTAACACAGAAATGCCTAGAACTTTCTGCTTACCTCAGCTCTGGCTCCTATGATCACCTGCCACACTTCATCTTCCTCCTCTGAATTCATTTTCCCAAGTAAACTTGTATATTGTCGGTAAAGAGAAGTTAAGGTATAAACAGCCTACAAATAGAGAATGAACAAGTCTGAGTAAAGTAAGTGAGACATATCAGAAGGAATAGAGAGATTTCCACCTCAAGGAAATTAAGTCCCATTACAGCAAACTGGCTCTTCCATCCTGCTGCCTCAATGAAATTGCACTATTATCCTATGAAGTAAAGGTATCAGGACATTAGTATCTCCATCTGTAAACTTCTGTGTTTTTAAAAGCTTGTCAGCAATTCAGACACAGAAAGAGAAAACAATGCAAGGGAAAACTTTAAAGGTTGAGGGGAAAAAAGCTGCTGGAAAATATATGTAAAACAAATGCACAAATGAGACTTCAATACTTTTGATTATCCATATACGCTAAAAAATTTTTATTGGCCGGGTGCAGTGGCTCATGCCTGTAATCCTAGCACTTTGGGAGGCTAAGACACGTGGATCACCTGAAGTCAGGAGTTCGAGACCAGCTTGGCCAACATGGCAAAACCCCGTCTCTACTAAAAATACAAAAAAATTAGCCGGGCATGGTGGCACACACCTGTAATCCCAGCTACTCAGGAGGCTGAGGAAGGAAAATCGCTTGAACCCAGGAGGCGGAGATTGCAGCGAGCTGACATCACTCCACTGCACTCCAGCCTGCGTAAGCAAGACTCCATCTCAAAAAAAAAAATTTATTATTTTTTACAAACAGGATGCTATGTCACCCAGACGGAAGTGCACTGGCATGTTCATAGCTCACTGTAATCTCAAACTCCTAGACTCAAGTGATCCTCCCACCTCAGCCCCTGGAGTAACTGGGACTACAGGCACACAACACACCATGCCTGGCTAAGTTTAAAATTTTTTTTCTGCTAGAGATGGGGCTTGCTACATTGACTGGGTTGGTCTTGAACTCCTGGCCCCAAGTGATCCTCCCGCCTTGGCCTCCCAAACTGCTGGGATTACAGATGTGAGCCACCACGCCTGGCCCATATACTCTCTTTTCTATTAGGTTAGATCAGTGGCTTTTAAATAATCCTCACAGAGCAACCTCTGTTGATGGACCACAGGCCCCTGTGCCCTTAACTGAACCATATCAGCTTCACTCCTGTTTTATATACTAGGCTGCCACATTTAAGATTTTTCTGTAAAAAAAAAAAAAAAGGTTCCTGGGAAAAGTCTAAAAACGAGTGATTTAGATCAGGGCTCAGCAAACTTTTTGAAGGGCCTGACAGTAAATATTTTGGGCTTTGTGGGCCTTACAGCCTCTGTTGAAACTACTCAAATCCTCAAAAACCGTTATTGACAACACATAAACAAATAGGCCTGGCTATGTTTCAATCAAATACCAACATGGGTATCAGACACAATTTGGTTGTGAGCCATTATTTGCTAAACCATGGTTTAGAAGATCAAGAGTTAAGAGGAGACATACCTTAGTATATTCAGTAATAGCTTCAATCAACGCATATGTGGTCTGAGAGAGAAAGGTAGAGGTGCTATCTGTTACCAAAGACACTGCTCTCCTCATCAATGCTTCACTACTAAGGGAATGAGGCTCTGATTTCTGAAAGACACAAACATTGTCACTCAACCTCTAAAGCTCAAACTGAGAACTTTTTCACCAATAGGCAAGCAAAAAACGTAATTGTCATGCTGCTTAGTGTTTTAGGCTGAAACTGCACTATATTTCTTTGGGTTATATTTTTTAAGGCCTTATTTTGGCAATTTAAGACAATATAGAGAAATAATTCCGGAGTATGCTTTCTACCAACTTTCATTCTCTGCTCCAAAAAGCAAATTATTTCTTTACATATAAAATAAATTGTGGCGGGGTACGGTGGCTCACACCTGTAATACCAGCACTTTGGGAGGCTGAGGCAGGCAGATCACGAGGTCAGGAGATTGAGACGATCCTGGCCAACATGGTGAAACCCCGTCTCTACTAAAAAAATACAAAAATTAGCTGGGCCGTAGTGGTGTGCGTCTTTAATCCCAGCTACTCGGGAGGCTGAGGCAGGAGAATCGACTGAACCCAGGAGGCAGAGGTTACAGTGAGCCGAGACTGCCACTGCACTCCAGCCTGGGTGACAGAGCAAGACTAAAAAAAAAAAAAAAAAAGTGCCGGGCACGGTGGCTCACGCCTGTAATCCCAGCACTTTGGGAGGCTGAGGCAGGCAGATCACGAGGTCAGGAGATTGAGACGATCCTGGCCAACATGGTGAAACCCCGTCTCTACTAAAAATACAAAAATTAGCTGGGCGTGGTGGCACACGCCTGTAGTCCCAGCTACTTGGGAGGCTGAGGCAGAAGAATCACTTGAACCCAGGAGGCAGAGGTTGCAGTGAGCCGAGATTGCACCACTGCGCTCCAGCCTGGTGACAGAGCGAGACTACATCTCAAAAAAAAAACAAAAAACCAAAAAAACCCCCAAAACTATTGATTATAACCAACAAATTGATAAGATTACAATTCATTCATTAACAGTGTTAGATACTTGAGACGCAAGTCTCAACAAGACATTCTCTGCCCTCAAACACAGGTGTAGGGGTAGAGAGAGCAGGATGATGGGCTAACAGAACTAGAAAAATGAACACAATCATGTATCATGGAAGCTGTGGGAGGAGTATGTATGAGCTACACTGGGGGCATGCAGAAGGGAGCAATCAGTTCTATGTTGAGTGCTAATAGCTTAGAAAAGGCTTCACAAGTTTGATGAGGATTAAGCTGAGTCTAATAAAGTGGGCCAGGCATGGTGGCTAACGCCTGTAATCCCAATAGTTTGGGAGGCCGAGGCGGGTGGATCACAAGGTCAAGAGATCGAGACCAGCCTGGCCAACATGGCGAAACCCCAACTCTACTAAAAATACAAAAAAAAAAAAATTAGCTGGGCATGGTGGTGGGCACCTGTAGTCCCAGCTACTTGAGAGGCTGAGGCAGGAGAATCGCTTGAACCCAGGAGGTGGAGGTTGCAGTGAGAGCCAAGATCGTGCCACTTCACTCCAGCCTGGGCGACAGAGCAAGACTCTTTCGCCAAAAAAAAAAAAAGTGGATGGGGGAGGGCAATTCTGAGCAGAATGAAGCAGTACAGTGTTGATGGGGGGACCTCGGTTATTTTATTTTTTTTTTTTGAGACAGAGTCTCACTCTATCACCCAGGCTGGAGTGCAGTGGTTCAATCTTGGCTCATTGCAACCTCCGCCTCCTGGGTTCAAGCGATTCTCCTGCCTCAGCTTCCCCAGTGGCTGGGATTTCAGGCACCTGCCACCACGCTTTGCTATTTTTTTGGTATATTTAGTAGAGATGGGGTTTCATCATGTTGCCCAGGCTGGTTTTGAACTCCTGACCTCAAGTGATACACATGCTTTGGCCTCCCAAAGTGCTGGGATTACAGGTGTGAGCCACCATGCCCACCCTGACCTCAGCTATTTTAAAAAAGGAAAGACTAATATAATTACCTTAAGAGTTAAGGGACTGTGGCCACCTGGACTAAATACTGGCAACTGTAATGACACATCCTCCCTGACTCTCTGCCTTTTTCCTCCTCAGCAAAGCACTCTTACACCTGTAATCCCAGCACTTTGGGAGGCTGAGGCGGGCAGATCACCTGAGATCAGGAGTTTGAGACAAGCCTGGCCAACATGGTGAAACCCCGTCTCTACTAAAAAGACACAAATTAGCTGGGCGTGGTGGCGGGTACCTGTAATCCCAGCTACTCGGGAGGCTGAGGCAGGAGAATTGCCTGAACCCAGGAGGTGGAGGTTGCAGTGAGCCGAGATCTTGCCATTGCACTCCAGCCTGGGTGGTAAGAGTGAAACTCGTCTCAAAACAAAACAAAACAAAACAAAAACAAAAACAAAAAATCAATCACTCTATGTTGTCTTGTTTTTGCTATTCAGAGTACAAACACTCAGAATCACTGCATGTTGAAAGAGGCAGTCAAGAAATATTTTTGATATGAACAAATCAAGAACTTTATATTTCAAATAATTAAGTATTCATTAGGCATCTTATACAGGACTACAAAAGGAAGAAAGACACCTCTGCTCACAAGAAGCTAATTTTGTCTCAATATTCTGATAAGTCTTCATAATGTGCTACATTTTATAATGTGTTTTCACTTGTTCCTCACAACAGTCCAGTTATTATCCTTTCTTATTTACAAGCAATGACATGGAAGCTCAGAATAGTTATGTAACTTTTCCAAAAAGTCACATCTAGACCTCAAACCAAATCTCACTTCAAAGTCTGTACCCTTCCCATTATGCTCTGATGACTCAGGAGGGTGCCAAAGGATTATCATCAAATATCAAAATATACAATATTAAGTGGCCAAAAAGGAGGAGATAGTTGTTGGACAGGAATAAGGAAAGGCTTTAAATAGAGGTGAGACTTGGTACTAAAGATACCTAGAATCAGAATGGCCACGCATCCTGGAGAATAGGTAACAATGAGGAAAATAATACTTTTGTTGCAGGGGATGTCCAGGGATCTAGCCTGGTTGGAGCTAAGAGAAATGAGACTCACTAGGGCCCTGGAGTGCAGGGAGACTTAGTTTAATTTTAGTTCTGAACGCCTCATGGAAAGCCACTGTAGGTTTTTCATTTCTCATTCTGTTGCCCAGGATGGAGTATAGTGTTGTGATCCCAGCTCACTGCAGCCTTGAACTCCTGAAATCAAATCATCCTCCTGCCTCCCAGGTAGCTAGGACTACCGACACACGCCACCACACCTAGCTAATTATTTTTTGTAGAGGGGTGGTCTCGCTATGTTTCTCAGGCTGGTCTCGAACTCTTGGCCTACAGTGATCCTCCCACCTCAGCCTCCAAAAGTACTGGGATTACAAGAGAGAGCCATCGTGCCTAGCTGACCACTGAGGGGTTTTGAAGAATGGAAGTGGCATTGCTGTACTAAATGACTAGAGACCCCAGTCATGTGGCCCAGAACTGAGGTTAACTGGGCTTAGAAAGTAATATAATAACTGAGAAAGGACAAACCTAAAAAAAAATCTTTTGAATGAAAAAAACAAAGGTTGTCCCAATTGTGGTCGAAAATAGCCTGGTATTCAAGTGAGGGGTTTTAGGGCTATGGATTCATCAGCATGCAGAGATGACAACTGAAGTGAGGCACAGTAAGGTGAGGGCTCATGAATGAGCCTCAGAAGATGCTGAAAATACTTGTAATACATGGAATTAATCTTCCTTTTGTGATGAACACACACGTTAAGTGGCAGGAATATTTTGCTGAAATGGAGCTTGCTGGTTTCCTCTCTAGCTCTTCCCCATAAAGCATATAAGCTATGATTTTTTTAAATGAAGTGCCACTTTTATATCAACTACTTAATTGACAGCTCCACCTAGATGTTTCCTAGACATCTTAGAAATGACATTTCCAAAAAATTTTTTTCCTTTCAAAACCCACTCCTCTCCATCCTACTAAATGGCATCGCCATTCATTCAGTTGCTAAGGCCTTTAAAAAATCTTGGAATCTGGCCAGGTGCAGTGGCTGACGCCTGTAATCCCAGCACTTTGGGAGGCCGAGGCAGGTGGATCACGAGGTCAGGAGATCGAGACCATCCTGGCTAACACGGTGAAACCCTGTCCCTACTACAAATACAAAAAAATTAGCAGGGTGTGGTGGCGGGCGCCTGTAGTCCCAGCTACTCGGGAGGCTGAGGCAGGAGAATGGTGTGAACCCAGGAGGCAGAGCTTCCTGGGCAACAGAGCGAGACTCCGTCTCCAAAAAAAAAAAAAAAAAAAAATTTTTGGAATCTAGAGCAGTGGTCCCCAACGTTTGTGGCACCAGGGACCGGCTCTGTTGAAGACAATTTTTTCATGGACTGGGTGGGGTGAGGATGGTTTCAGGATGAAACTGTTCCACCTCAGATCATGAGGCATTAGATTCTTACAAGAAGCACACAACCTAGATCCCTCGCACGTGTAGTTCACAATAGGTTTCGTGCTCCTATGAGAATCCCATGCCACTGCTGATCTGCCCAGAGGCAGAGCTCAGGCAGTAATGCTCACCTGCCCACCACTCACCTCCTGCTGTGCAGCTTGCTTCCTAACAGGCCACAGACCAGTACCAGCCCAGGGGTTGGGGACCCCTAATCTAGAGAATACACCCGACAACCAATCCATCAGCAACTCCTGCTAACTACGTTGAGCTAAATTCTCCCCACCTCTTCTGCTTGCCTGGTCCAAGCCAGTATCATTTCATGCCTAGATATAGCAACTAGTCTTCCTAGTTCCACACAGCAACCTTTTAACTTTTAAAATTTATGTCAGATCATAATAGTTCTGTGTTAAAAATCCTCTGTGACAGCCGGGCACGGTGGCTCAGGCCTGTAATCCCAGCACCTTGGGATGCCGAGGCGTGTGGATCGCCTGAGGTCAGGGGTTCGTGACCAGCCTCACAAGCATGGAGAAACCCCATCTCTACTAAAAATACAAAAACTAGCTGGGTGCGGTGGCACACCCCTGTAATCCCAGCTACCCGGAGGCTAAGGCATGAGAATTGCTTGAACCTGGGAGGCGGAGGTTGCAGTGAGCCAAGATTGTGCCATTGCACTGCAGCCTGGCAACAGAGTGAGACTCTGTCTTTAAAAAAAAAAAAAAAAAATATCTTCTGCGGCTTCTTTTTCAGAAAACCCAAAGCCTTACAACAATGGCCCACAAAATACAAAGGACACAATCTGATTATCAGTTAACTCTCTGGCTTCATCTATTACGGTCTCCCCCATTCGCCTCCAGACACATTAGCTCCATGCTCCTCAGACATACCAGGCATACTTCTGCTTCTAGGTCTTTGTCCTTCTGAGTTCCTTCTGCCTGGCAAGCTCCTCCCCGCACCAGATAGTATAATGGCTCTTTCAGAACATTCAGATCTCTACTTCGCCTTATCAGAGTAGCTTGACCACCTTTATCTAAAACAAAACTCCCTCCCAGAATTGCCTATTCACTTACCTCATTTGTTTTGTTTTGTTTTTGAGAAAAGGTCTTGCCCTGTCACCCAGGCTGGAGAGCAGTGGTGAGATCATAGCTCACTGCAGCCTCAAACTCCTGGGCTCAAGTGATCTTCCTGCCTCAGCCTCCTGAGTAGTTGCCACTAGAAGTGTGAGCCACCACACCCGGCTAAATTTTTCTGTTTTGTAGAGACAGAGTCTCCCTATGTTGACTAGGCTGGTCTCAAACTCCTGAGCTCAAGCCATCCTCCCACCTCAGCCTCCCAAAGCCCTGGGCATCAGCCACTGTGCCCGGCCCTGTTTTCTTCCCACCATTTATCACCAGCTGATATTTTATATTTTATCCTCTTTCATCTCCACAAAGCTTTTGTGAGAACAAGAATTTTTTGTTGTTCATTCTTACATTCTCAGTGTCTTGCACATAAAAGTTGCTCAATAAATTTCTGTTGAATCAAAGACTACTTTGTTGATAGACTGTAATATCCTCTTATTTCTCTCTACTCGCTTTATACAATTTGATGTGCTGTTCCTACCAAATGAGATAATCAAAATGAGAATATTAATATATCTGCTCAACTGTGAAAAGATGCCGGTACTGTGGGGGAAGGGATGGGAGCACTGGGAAAAACTATGGTAGCTTGTCTAATGCTTCACCGCCCACTTGAGACTTCAAGAGGACACGGTACACTAGATAAGAATCACTGCACACGACAGTACCTGTGCAATAGGAACCGCACACAGGGTTACTCCAAAGCCAATCGTCACAGTTTTGTGCCATGGTCTTATCAATTCTGAGAAACACCGCTTCTTAAAGTTAGCCACAACAGGAACACACAAACACTGTCTGTACCTGGAAGTAGAAGTCAGATTTCATAAGGCACGACCGCCAATCTGTAACAGGCTCTTGGATTTACTTGCAGGGGCTGTAAACTCAAACTCGAGCCAAGCAGGAACCTAAATGAGGATGCAGGACAGCTGAGGGGTTTTGAAATTTTCAACATACACCAAGTTTAAAATGTTGCCTCAGGCAGGGTGTTGGTGGCTCACGCCTGTAATCCTAGCACTTGGAAGGCCAAGGGCAAGGCGGGAGGATCACTTGAGCCCAGGAGTTCACGACCAGCCTGGGCAACATGGCTGGCAACATGACCCCGTGTCTATTAAAAAAAAATAAGTAAATAAAGGCCGAGGCGGGTGGATCACTTGAGGTCAGGAATTCGAAATCTGCCTGACCAACATGGTGAAACCCCATCTCTACTTAAAACACAAAAATTAGCCCGGAGTGGTGGCACGCTCCTGTAATCCCAGCTACTCGGGAGGCTGAGGCAGGAGAATCGCTTGAACCTGGGAGGCAGAGGTTGCAGTGAGCCGAGAGCGCCCCACTGCACTTCAGCCTGGGCAACAGAGCGAGACTGAGTCTCAAACAAAACAAAAAGAAAAAAAAAAATTAGCCGGGCGTGGTGGCGGGCGCCTGCAATCCCAGCTACTCGGGAGGCTGAGGCTGAGAATCGCTTGAAGCCGGGAGGCACAGGTTGCAGTGAGCTGAGATCTCGCCACTGCACTCCAGCCTGGGCGACAGAGGCAGATCTTGTCTCAAAAAAATTAAAATAAAATAAAATGTTGCCTTTAAACTTTTTAGAAACGGATGCCACAATAACCGCTCCTGCAGGCAGAATTTAGCTCTGGACCCCTGGCCTGGGTGCCAGTTGTGTGTGACGGTCCCGCTACAATCGCCCAGGAGCCTGCAGCGCTAGGTAGAGAGCCCTGCGCCAGCTCCCCCGGCCCCTTCTGCCCTCGGGAGGACGTCTTCAGACGCTCGTCTCCCTTCCCGGACTCCCCCCATGCCGTGTCCCTCCTCCTCTCCACGTCTCCTCAGGGACTTCGAGTGGCTGACGAGGGCTGGTCAGGAGGCGGAGCAGCCCCAAGAAGGCAGCCCGGGGTCTCGGGGACTCGTTTCTAGAAGATGGACGAACTGAAAAGGAAGCCGGGCTTGACCCAGGGGGCGGAGGCGGGGCTGTCCTCAGTCCTCCCGACCGGAGCGAGACGCCGCGACCCAGCTGGGCGGACGAGAGATGAGCGCGTAAGGAAGGCGGGCGCCGTGGGCCGGGCCACAGCGCTGTCCGCGTCGGTCCCTCCCTCTGGTCCTGTCCCCTCTACGCGGCCGCAGCGGTACCTGAAGAATGAAGTTACGCTGCGCGACAGCCAACTCTTCAGAGCCGCCATTGTGCAGCGCGCGGACGCCAGACGCACACGCCGGAAGTGACGCAGCTTCGTGAGCGCGGAGCGGGGCACGGCCTCCACCTGAGAGCGCCTCGCCCCATAGCCACGCCCCCACCCAAGGAAGCAGTCGGGATTGGGCAGGCAGGGGGAAAGGGGGCGAGGCTTAGGGCAAAGGCTGTAACGGCCGCGCAAGGCAACCAACCGCCGGAACTTCCGCGCGGGGCGGGGCATATGCAGGGCCTGAGGGCGCGGAGGTGGGTCCGGCGCGGAGCTGAGTCGGGCGCCGTGACGCTGGCGGGTGGGCGGGGACTCAGTTCGGGCCAGGGCTTGAAGGGAATTTCCTGGTGAGTTAGGGAGGCGGGGCCGGGCGGGAGGCGGGGCCGGGCGGGAGGCGGGGCCGGGCGCGGCGACGGCGCTGTCACTTCAGCACCAGGAAGTAAGTGGTCCAGCCGGCCAGCAGCAGCGCCCCGATGAGCACCGTGTAGCTGAGGAGCACGAAGGCGAGCAGCTCCCGCAGCAGCTGCAGCACGTGGACGGTGGACGAGGCCGGCATCGCGCTGCGCGGGAGCCCCAGGACGGTCGGCGGCCTGCCGGGCTGGCGCCGTCCCAGAGGGGCGGACGGGAACACACGAGGTCCTGGCCCTCGAAACAGCAAACGAAGGCCAGGAAGCCCACAGTGCCGACCTCCCCAACAGCCTCCTGGACGCTCGCTTCTCGGTTACACTGGAGAATCCTTCTCAACCCAAACTGCCCTCGTTCTTCGGCTCTGATCCGGGCTGAGGAGGCAGAAGCCCGGCTCTTCCCCGCGCCCCGCAGCTGCATGAGTTTTCCTCCCTGGCCCGCTCCTCCCACCACCTCCTGCATTTTTAATGCTGTGAGTGCCGCTAATGCGCTGGTGGAGTAAACCTTTCTTTTCCCGTCACTCAAGCTGCAGCCCCAGCTGCGGCCCTGGCTGGAAGGGGAAGGGGAGAGAGACCCATTTGGGCAGGAGGAAGGCACAGGCCCAAACCTGCTCTTCTGTGAGTCCCCTGGCCCCAAGGCTTGCCAGCAGCAGAGCTGGAGGATCTTTGCTTTGTGGTCCAGCATGCTTGCCTTCTGGCCAGCTGGGACTGCAGGGTGCCAGGTGGTGGGTGGGCATCAATCCGATCCTGGGCTCACCCCCGCCACCGTGCTCTGTGCATCTGCCCCAGCCCTGCTAACTTCCACCAGAGACGACATCAGACAGTAAGAACCCCACACCAGCTCATCAGACAGTAGGAACCCTACAACACCTCCAATGCTGCTTTGCCCAGCCACTCCCCACAGTGTCAGGCACTGGCTTCCTTCTCTCCCCACCTCACTTACTTGGCAAAGTTTCCACGAATCTTCCACCCTGAAGCTCCGCGGTTCTGTCTGCTCTGGTGCCCAAAGGTAGCTTGTGTGTATTCTGCGATCTCGGCAGAACTGAGATTTTCAAGCAGCGGCACTCAACAACTAGGTGTGGTCTAGAGACCAATTACAACCTCCGCGTGGTCCCCGAGCTCTCAGGGAGCTGCGCACAGGCGTTCCTAGCCCAGGCGGGGCGCTGGCAACCCTGCCCGCCCTCTGCCTGTGTCGCCACCACAGCCCACAGGGCTCAGATGTGGTTTCACAGACCCAGATGGGCTGAGCAGGCGGCACACTAGTGGGTATTTCAAGCCCCTTCTTGTTTTTTTCTGAACATTGTAAGGGGTTATGGGGTTATAGTGCGAACAGTTTCGTTTCTAACAAACACATTGAGAGCAGTCCCATCTCCTCCGAGTCTGGGCACCAGAAGAACCACTGGACAGTGTTCACTTGCGACCGCCCAACTACTAAAGCAAAAGCTGTTGTCTTAAAAAACATGCAAGTGCAAGCATGCACGGGTGTGAGAACCAAGCTTAAGTGACCGAGATCTCCTGAGTGCTTGATTCCGATTTACAAAGAGTTTTGCAGCTTACAGACTCATTATACAGATACTTTCCCAATGTGACACTTCCAATTTCACCTCCTCACAATGTGAGGCAAAAGGAGCCAGTGAGGATTTCTGCAAAGAACAGACACTTTCCCAGATGCAACAACAAAGGAAACGAAAGCATAAACTATGCTGCTTCTGATTATTTTGCTCGTTGCCGTAGTTTTTAGTTCAAGACTGTTTTCTGACCTTTGAAAAGAGCAGGCAGTGTGGACATCAACCCTTTTATCAACATCATCATCCAGAAGCAAATGGCTCCTTAATTTAATCAGGATCTCTTATTATCAAATTATTGCCTTGGCCACAGTGAGGCTGAAAACAGGAGCAGAACATTATCAAGCTGCTCAGGAAGCCAGTGAGTAGTAATTACTCCCCCAGAGAACTGGTCATCTTCCGTGTCCTACCTAGTGGCAACGGAGTACAGCTGAGATTTATACCCTCCTCCACACCAAAATAATGGATGAAACAGACAGGCTATTAAAAATAGGCCTGATTCTGTTCCCTTTTAACCCTCACATCCTTCAAATGGATGTCTCCAGGCAGTTAAGTGTTCTAGCCTTTGCGGCCCCTTGTTACCGCCTGATTTTGGGTGTTTTACAGCAACGGAGGAACTTAAGCAAAGAAACACTATGTGGCTTGAAATTCACACTAATCCATTTAGAAATAAAAGAATCTGAGAAATTTTAAATAATTGCCTTTTTCTTCTGTTGTCTGACAAAAAAGGTATCCTCTATTTTCTATAGGATGTCATCATTAAACCACGACTGAATATATCACAGTCTACAATAAATTCAGTCTAAAGAAGATCATCTATGTGATGTCTGCATTTTTTTGCCTCACCATCTTTATCATAGTCCCTCTTACTGTCTGCTTTAGACATCCAGTTCATTTTGATATTTTAAAAAGAGTATTTCAGCTGGTGTGGTGACTCACACCCATAATCCCAACACTTTGTGGGGCTGAGGCAGGAGGGCTGCTTAAAGCTAGGAGTTCGAGACCACCCTAGCCAACAGAAAATTAAAAAGATAATAAATTTAATGAAAAAGAAAAAAAGAATTATTTCTCTTGAGGCCAGGAGTTTGAGCAACAAAGACCCTGTCTCTAAAAGGAAGAAAAAAAAATTGCTGGGTGTGGTGGTGCTTTGCTATAGTCCCAGCTACTCGTGAGACTGAGGCAGGAGGACTGCTTGAGCCCAGAAGTTCAAGGCTGTGGTGAGCTATGATTGTGCCACTGCACTCCAGCCTGGGCAACAGAATAAGACCTCATCTCAAAAAAATAATTTCTTCTTGAATTAAACTCTGCTCAATACAAACACTTCCTCCTGGTGACAGGCTGGTCTTTAGTGTACAACTGAGAACAAGACCGACCAACACATCATGCTTAATCATAATCCATTTGCAGTGAGGGCAGATCTGAATCGAATAGAACTCACAATGAGACTGTCCCAGTTTTCTCTGAGAATTAAATGTGCTGTTTTAAATCATCCCTCTTTCAACCATTACTCTTTTGCTCCACAATTAACAAAATACTTAATTCTCTGTTGGTTAGAATTCAACACTCTATAGCAAGACACAAAACAGTGTCTGTGTAGACTTCTTTATTAAGGGGGCTGCTGGTGTAGAACTGTCTACCCAACTAGACAAAAGTCCAGACATGATGTAAACAATCCACTCTCCCCAACAATAAATGTACCGTTCACATATCCTTTCTCAGTAAGGGCATACTCTTTTGAGACAAAGACTGCTTCAAGTATTAAATGAACTTACACAAAGGCGTATAATATATAATTATCTACCATTTTCTATTTGCATACAAATGAAGCAATTGAAGTTTTTCAGTCTTCTGCTGAATGCATTTTTAGGAGCTGCCCTAACTATGCTCTGAGCAAGCAAGTATATAGAGTCTTGGGTGAGTGCAGACACATGAGACTACAACTGAGTATCTGTTCCCAGGACAGAATCCCCAGCCAGGGAGACTTGACCAGACTTGAATTGAGCCCCAGGAACCAAAAAATGGAGGGGCAGGGTGGATTCCATTCTCTAAAGCAGCTGATGACTGCCTGAGGTGGAAGGTATAAACTAATCTCCCTGGGATATAACAAGTATTTAAAAAAGGATTTTCTACAATGAAAATGGTTTTCTTTAAGACATTTCCAAATACTGAATATCAAGGCCAAATTAATTCCATGAGAAACTAATCTTTCAATTATTATCTCTGCCACTCTTCATTCTTTCATTAAAGAGATTTTTAAAAAAGTATACAGAATTTCTCTTTCATTAATAATATTTACCGTGCCCATCAGAACTCCACTAATGGGCCGGGCACGGTGGTTCACACCTGTAATCCCAGCACTTTGGGAGGCCGAGGTGGGCCAATCGCCTGAGGTCAGGAGTTTGAGACCAGCCTGGCCAATATGGTGAAACCCCATCTCTACTAAAAATACAAAAATTAGCCAGGTGTGGTGGTGCACATCTGTAATCCCAGCTACTCAGGAGGCTGAGGCATGAGAATCGTCTGAACCCGGGAAGTGGAGGTTGCAGTGAGCTGACATCGCACCACTGCACTCCAGTCTGAAAAGAGCGTGAGACTCTGTCTCAAACAAACAAAAACAAAACAAAACAAAAACCTCCACTAATGAAAAAGGTGGGGAAAAACAATGTGTGGTTACTAATCAACAACCAAAATCACACCTGGCTGGGACCCAGCAAAGCAGGGGACCAGCTAGTTTTGCTGGAGGCTTGGGCAAGGGCAGCAAAACTGCCAACCTGACTTGGTGCCCTTGGTGCCTTAACTCCTCCAGAAGCTAAGATGGAGGAGCAGAGGGGCAGAGAACACACGGATTTTCAACTTCTCCTCCAACACCCCTGCCCCCCACCACAGCCTGACAGTCTCCTGCAGGAGTAGCAGCAGCTGTGGCTGCTGGTCTCCAAGATCATCAAGAGATACACCTGGAGAAGGCTGAGGTCACCAGAGAGGGGGCTGAAACAGTGTTTTCAGCTGAGTACGGAGTGGCCACAGACTGCTAGAAAAGTACACGTGGCAGTTACCATGGAAACGAAGTGGCCAGATGCTGAAGAAGCAAGAGTTGCCCCTGCTCACTGTGGGACCAGTTGGATGTTGGGCCCTTGATGGACAGAAGAGAAAACGGAAACCTCAATGGAGGCACCCACCACTGCTGTGTCTGGAGTTAACGTGTGTGCTAAGAAACTGTCTTTGAATTACTTCAAAGGCTGAATTCTCAGAAGGTTGCTCCCCAATTATCACATTCTTCCATGTCAAAAGCCCCTGATAAGTATGGAACCTAAGGAGATGTAGCTGATCACATAGAGCATAAACTTTGTTTCTGGGCAAGAAGCTCCCCTAAACCTCTTGCTTTGTAAGAAGTAGAAGGAAGCAAACTTGCCTTAGTGATCAGTTGCGACAGTGACTGATGACCCTAAATATAATCTCCCACACTCTGCAGGAAAAAGAAATCTCAACTCAGTGATAAAATGATCTCCAGCTCCCAACACTTAACCACTGTCCTAGGCCTGATGCGCCTTGAAGAAATACAGCACTGGGGATTAGAGGATGAACTTTCTCTTTTTATTTTCAGTTTCACCTCCTCAGTCTCAGCTTTCTTATTTTAAGAGCTGGCCCCGTTTGTCTGGCTGAATGGATTATCTACCCCCACCATCCTTAATGTATTTCCAGAGGTCTCTAATGAAGACCCTGAGCTTAGAAAACTCAAAACCAGTGCTGCTTTTACTCAGGTTGATTTTCTTCTATTCTTCTTTCTTCAGCAGATTAGGGGCCAGGCACGGTGGCTCAGGCCTGTAATCCCAGCACTGTGGGAGGCCGAGGCAGGTGGATCACCTGAGGTCAGGAGTTTGAGACCAGCCTGGCCAACATGGTGAAACACCATGGCTACTAAAAATACAAAAATTAGCCGGGTGTGGTGGTGCATGCCTGTAGTCCCAGCTACTCAGGAGGCTGAGGCAGGAGAATTGCTTGAACCTAGGAGGTGGAGGTTGCAGTGAGGTGAGACCGTGCCACTGCACTCTAGTCTGGGTGACAGAGCAAGACTCCGTCTCAAAGGAAAAAAAAAAAGGGAATACAAAAGAGACGGAGAAAGCAGTAAACAGTAGTATAATTTAAGAAGCTGACCCCAGAATATATTCTGTATTCCCATGTTTCTTCTATGGGGTTTTACTTCCTTTCAGCAATTTCTTCAAAGAGGTAGTTTATTCTGCAGTACACTTGTTAAGTCTCCTCTGAACATCCTAGAAAGGTTTTTCCATCAGAGCCTCTATCCAACTGGTTCCATTCATTAGTTTAGTGGTGGCAATGACATATTCTGTACCTCCATCTTCCAACTGGGAGAGAAATCGCAGGGCAGCAATTTCAGCGAAGGTTACGCCCCCAAGGAAAAATATCAGAGTCACTCGGTTTTCTCCCGGTTGACCTAAAATTTAAACATTTCAGAATTAAAAACTATTTATTATTAATGCTTCTCTTCCCACCTCTTCAAACATTTTATCATTCATAAGAATAAACAAGTGCCTTCATCCAGACAGTTCATCTGAAACCTAAGAATACTGATTTTGATCTCAACATTTTTTTTTAACTTCTGAGATTCTCAACACAGAAGTTGAAAGCTGCTATCCCTCAGGGAATAATCCGATTCGAGTTCTTACTACATACATTAGCAACGAACAAAAGAGGTGTATTTAATTCTGACTCCTAAGTGCTTTACTATTTTACAAAGCAACTGTACAATACCTGAAAACCACACTAACAGTACATAATTATCTGTAGATGCTGGACTGGGACTTACGTTTCTTCTGCAGTCCTGTGGGCAGTGGCTGCCGCTCCTCAAAGTGGGGCCCTGGGAGGATGCGGAGGACCTCCTCGATGCTCCGCCAGCCAGGCCGGGAAAGCAGCTGGGCCAGCCGCACACTGAGCGGGGCATACCCACTGTACACATACGATATGTCCGTGGGGTTCTGTGAGATAATTAAAGAACAAAAACCCTATAGATACAGAGACTTAGAGCTACCTGACTGTGGCCTTTTGGGTAATCCAAAATTATTTGATTTGGATTTAAAGATATACAACCCCCACCCCTGCCATGCCTTGTTCTAATCCACCCTAGCTGGGCTCAATTTTTAGCAGCCAGAGCTTCAATTTTGACTGAAATCTTGAAAAGCCACTCAAAGCAGCTCTAGGTACAGAAGATGAAGAATTATTTGGTTTGGCATGAAACTTTTTTTTTTTTTTTGAGACAGAGTCTGGCTCTGTCACCCAGGCTGGAGTGCAGTGGCATAATTTCAGCTCACTGCAACCTCCGCCTCCCTAGTTCAAGCAATTCTCCTGCCTCAGGCTCCCAAAGAGCTGGGATTACAGGTGTGCACCACCACTCCTGGCTCATTGTTGTATTTTTAGTAGAGACAGGGTTTCACCATGTTGGCCAGGCTGGTCTTGAATTTCTGACCTCAGGTGATCCACCTGCCTCGGCCTCCCAAAGTGTTGGGATTACAGGCCTGAGCCACCGCGTCCAGCCAGCATGAAACATATTGGGGGGAACTTGGCACTCCCTAGCTGAGCAATGATGTGCAATAACCTTTGAACTTAGCAATTCTACTTTTAGGCATTAATCCTACAGAGGTGCTTGCAGAACAAAAGATAATAGACCAAAGTATAAACGTATTAACTGCAACACTGCATGTAACAGTAAAGACTGGAAACAACCTGAATTTCTATCAATAGCAATCTGTTAAATCATTAAATAAGGTATAGCCTCAAAACCACTATGTAGCAATTTAGAAAAATTAAAAAGAAGGGGAAGATCACAGAAGACCCTTCAAGATCCTTTGTTAAGTGGTGGGTGGGTCCAGAGTCAGAAAGGTCAGAACAGTGAAGACAGCTGAACTAATATGTACATGATAGACTCTAGACATTAAGGGTCTCTATTTTCCCACCGGGAAAAAATCATTTAATTTTGCTCCTGACAGAGGAGACTGTCTAGTTATGAGCTTTTGTTGCAAGAGGCGGCCTAATAAAGTTCCTTATGAAAAACCAAAAAAGACTGAAATTTAGAAACATTAGAATAAGTAATAAATGTAAAGCAAAGTGCACCCCACTTTGGAGACCAACAGTAGAGAATATGCACTCTTTATGTAAAAATGTATATGCACAGAATCTTTCTGGAAGGATAGATAAAAAACTGGCCACAGTGGCTGCCTCTGAGGGGAAACTGTGGAAGGAAACTCACTTGGCCCTGATGGCCCTGCTTTTGCATAGCTTTTTTTTTCCCTTTTTCTTTTTCTTTTTGAGATAGGGTCTCATTCTGTCGCCCATGCTGGAGTGCAGCAGTGCAATCTCAGCTCACTGTAGCCTCAACCTCCCAGGCTCAGCCTCCTGGGAGGCTCCCACCTCAGCCTTCTGAGTACAGTAGCTGGGCCTACAGATGCATGCTCCACCATGCCCTGATCACTTTTGTATTTTTTAGTAGAGACAGGGTTTCACCATGTTGGCCAGGCTGGTCTTGAACTCCTGACCTCAAGTGATCCTCCTGCCTTGGCCTCCCAAAGTGCTGGAATTACAGGTGTGAGCCACCGCGCCTGGCCATGGCTGGCTTGTTTATGAGTGCTGGACATCTCCACTGACTCCTCTAGACACTCTCCACCCTTCTCCGCAATGCTCTGTGCCCGGAGATGGACCTGTGCGTCCCACACCAACACACTCCAATGCCTTCTCTTTGGGTCTGACCAAGACAAAGCACCAGAGTGAACTGGAGAGTGGGCAGCAGTGTGAGGATGACGTTGTCACTGGCCAGCTTCCTCTGCTGGAGGTTGACCATACCCTCAGCCAGAGGCCCCTCACCCCTTACCTCACCAGATGGCCTCACCACAGCTCTTCTCTCCAGGTTCTAAGACAAGTTTCTAGAACACCCCCCTCTCCTTGTCCTTCAGGCCGTGGCTGGCAAGGGCTCCCCACTGCACTGCCTCTCCACTCTTCCCACATCTTTATTTATTTGAGACAGAGTCTTACTGTGTAGCCCAGCCTGGAGTGCAGTGGCACAAACATGGTTCACTGCAACCGCCTCCTGGGCTCAGTGATCCTCTAACCACAGCCCCTCGGACTAAAGGCTCATACTACCACTGGCCATTTTTTTTGTAGAGACAAGGTTTTGCCATGTTGCCCAGGCTGGTCTCGAACTCCTGGACTCAAGCGATCTGACCCTTCAGCCTCCCAATATACTGGGATTACAAGAATGAGCCACCGAGCCTGCCCCATAACTTTTTTTTTTTTTTTTTTGAGACAGAGTCTTGCTCTGTCGCCCAGGCTGGAGTGCAATGGCATGATCTGAGCTCACTACAACCTCCGCCTCCCAGGTTCAAGCAATTCTCCTGCCTCAGCCCCCCAAGTAGATGGGATTACAGGCACGCACCACAATGCTGGGCTAATTTTTGTATTTTTAGTAGAGATGGGGTTTCCCATGTTAGTCAGGCTGTTCTCAAACTCCTGAGCTCAAGTGATCTGCCCGCCTCGGCCTCCCAAAGTGCTGGGATTATAGGTGTGAGCCACCGCGCCCAGCCCACATCTTTATTAAACTCTCCAGAAACTCCCCAGTTTAAGAGCATTCTCTGTGTCCTTCTAGGATTCTGATGGATACAATACATGCATACATTACTTTTTCAAAAACATTAGAAAATTGTTTTCAGAAAGCAAGGCAGATGTGTAGGTTCAGAAGCATGTGTTGTCACCTGGACGATCTAACCAGTCCCTAAGCTGAGACGAGGTGGAGAAGTGTGGCTTACTTGCTCATTAACATCATCCATCCAGAGGCGTAATGTTTTCCGTATAGTTGGGTAATTGTTTCTGCCCCCCGTCTGCGGTTTCAGCAGGCCGGCCTTCTCCAGGTTGTGTAAGGTCAATATGTGCTCATAGCCGTATGTCTGCAAGGGAAGTCATTTGGCCTTGATGTCAGATCAGGAAAAGGATTTCTGCAATTTTCAAAGAAGGGCACTTCCAACAAATCAATTTGGTTTGTACTGCAGGACATGTTACCAAAGTCCAGCAATGTTAGTGGATGGGCACAGAGGACAGGGTGGAGGGATGAAACTTGTCCTAAAACTGCTTGCCTGTTACTATTAATTCAGCTCACTGTTTCAAAGAGAAATTTAAAATTTTTACTTTAAAGTCAGAATTTATGGACCCAATCTAAGCAAGCATCAAATAAATGATAGTATATTTTTATAAGGGATATAATTAGCTCTAAAAAAGAGTAAGGCATATGTATACATCCTGATAAGAAAGGTCTCCAGAATATATTAAAAAAAAAATAACATGTAGAGTAGGACATTATTTCTATTTTTAAAAAGTAGCCAAGGTCTGGGCATGCTGGCTCACACCTGTAATCCCAGTACTTTGGGAGGCCGAGGCGGGCCAATCACTTGAAGTCAGGAGTTTGAGACCAGCCTGGCCAACATGGTGAAACCCTGTCTCTACTAAAAATTAAAAAATTAGCTGGGCCTGGTGGCATGTACCTGTAATCCCAGCTACTCGGGAGGCTGAGGCAGGAGAATCGCTTGAACCCAGGAGGTTACAGTGAGCCAAGATTGTGCCACTGCACTCCACTCTGGGCAACAGGGTGAGATACTGTCTCAAAAAATAAATAAATTTTAAAAAGTAGCCAACACTTATAAAATACTTTCTATGAGCTGGGCACTGTTCTGGTCTAAGCACTTACATACATTAACTCAGTCATCCCGGCTCTAACCCCATGACGTAGGTATCATTACCTTCATTTTACAGAGATGTTTAAATAACCTGCCTAAAGTCACACAGCTAGTGAAGAGCAGAGCTGAAACCTGGATCCAGCCAGTCTTGCTCTGAAGTCTGTGTATGGAAACATTCTGTCTAAATGCAAAGAATGGAGTTTGGAAGGAAGCAAATCAGACTGCTGACACTGGTCACATCTGGGGAGGGAAACTGGGGTATGAGCAAGGTACAGGGGACGTTCACATTTTGCTCTGTGTACTTCTGCATTATTTGACTCTTACACAAGGATACATAACTTAAAAAAAGACAAAAACAAAAAATTAATGAGCACTCAATTTTAATAAAAATGTACTTAACTGTCACTGGTAACAGCAAATAAATACTACCTGAGTCATTTTCAAACAAAGGGGAGACTTTTCAAAAACAAGAGTGGCCTTTTCCTTATTATAAGTAACACAGGCTTAATTTAAGTAAACCTGCTAAGCAACTGTCATCAGAAATTTGCAGAAAGTTCTTTTCCTCCGTGGTATAACTGCGGAGTTAAGAACATGGGCGCTACACTCAAATTGCCTGGTTTACCACTGGCTGTGCCACTTACCAGCCAGGTAACCTTGGGTGAGTTACCTAAACTAGTCTGTGCCTCAGTTTTTCATCCATAAAACTGGGACGATAGCAGTCTCTAACTCACAAGGCTGTTGTGAATATTTGTTGTTGTTGTTATGGTAACTACAGTTAACAAGGAAGTATTGTGAAGATGAAACAAATGAATGCACATAAAGTTTTTCTTTTTTTTTTTTTTTTTTTTGAGACGGAGTCTCGCTCTGTCGCCCAGGCCGGACTGCGGACTGCAGTGGCGCAATCTCGGCTCACTGCAAGCTCCGCCTCCCGGGTTCACGCCATTCTCCTGCCTCAGCCTCCCGAGTAGCTGGGACTACAGGCGCCCGCCACCGCGCCCGGCTAATTTTTTGTATTTTTAGTAGAGTCAGGGTACAGAGCCACCGCGCCCGGCCTATAAAGTTTTTCCAATAGATCCTAGCACATAGTAAATGCTCAAGAAATGTTACCTATTATTATTATTTTTTACTTTTTGTAAACAAGCTATGTTGCCTAGGCTGGTTTTGGACTCCTGGGCTCAAGCAATCCTCCTAACTCAGCCTCCTGGGTAGCTGGGACTGCAGACACAGCCACCATGCCTGGTAAATTTTTGTATTTTTTTTGTAGAGACAGGGTCTTGCTATGTTGCCAGGCTGGTCTTGGCCTCCAGCGATCCTCCTGCCTCAGCCCCACAAAATATTGAGATAACAGAGGTGAGCCACTGTGCCCAGCCTGTTAGCTATTATTATCACACAAATACAATAAACAGTGATGGCTACCAAGACCAATTCCTCTAGGTGTTAAAAAATTTATACAACAGTCGTTACAAGATACCAAAATGGCAGCTTTGTAATTTTTATTTTTTTTAATTTTAAATTTTTTATTATTATTTTTTGAGACAGAGTCTCACTCTGTTGCCCAGGCTGGAGTGCAGGGGCATGATCTTGACACACTGTAACCTCCGCCTCCTGCGTTCAAGCGATTCTCCTGCCTGATCCTCTCAAATAGCTGGGACTACAGGTGCATGCTACCATGCCTGGCTAATTTTTGTATTTTTAATAGAGATGGGGGTTTCACCATGTTGGCCAGGCTGGTCTCAAACTCCTAACCTCAAGTGATCCACCTGCTTTGGCCTCCCAAAGTGCTGGGATTACAGGCGTAAGCCACTGTGCCCGGCCCATGAAGTATTTTTTAAAAAGATGCTGTCCCCCTTGGCAAATTAATAATTTAAAAATATACTCACCTGGAGAATCTCTCTTTTGTAATAATCCAAAACTTTTTGTTTGAGCCCACTATTACACACGGATTGGAGGCAAACTAGTCTTAACACCTTGATCAACGAGTGCTTTTGGGCGATACAATCCTCAATGTAATTGTTGACCTGGAAATAAAGTAGCATACATATACATATACATTTACATATACATACACACACACACACACACACACACACACACACACACAATACATGGTTTAGGAACTTAACTTGATGTTTATTATTATTTTTCAAAGTCCAATAAAGGAGATACGTGGGAAAATGAGTTATTTTTCCACAGTCCCTAACCCTTCCCCGAAATAGCTCTGCTAGCCCCAGCCACACACACACCCTGGCCACCACACACACACACACACCCCACACACACATACATACATACACACACACACACACACACACACACCCCCCAGTGATCAGGCCAAGTCACTGGAGCCCAAGGCCGCTGAGAATACAATTGGTCACTCCATATGCCTGTCTGGACACGTCTGTCTCTAAGGACACGCTTCTGAGAGGCTACCAGATGTCTACTCCATTTCAATAGTATCAACAACTAATCTAGCAAAAAGTATCAGTAATTGTTTTATGTTAGGAATTTTCATAAAGTGAATAATTTAAAATTTGTTAATAGAGCTATTTAAAGGAGTTATATAAGAAACTCTTTCAAAAGAGCAAATACCTTATCTAATACAGTCTTAAAAAGATTTGATTTTAGGGGCCAGGTCTCATGTTGCCATGTATGGCAGAAAGTGTCTTGCACAGAATAATGTTAAATATCTGTTACTTGATAAAATCTACACTTGCACATTTTGCATTTGCTCTTAAAAATATTTAAGTGGCCGGGCGCAGTGACTCACGCCTGTAATCCCAACAGTTTGGGAGGCCAAGGTGGGCGGATCACAAGGTCGGAGATCGAGACCATCCTGGCTAACATGGTGAAACCCCGTCTCTATTAAAAATACAAAAAATTAGCCAGGTGTGGTGGTGAGCGCCTGTAGTCCCAGCTACTCGGGAGGCTGAGGCAGAATGGCGTCAACCCGGGAGGCGGAGCTTGCAGTGAGCAGAGATGGCGCCACTGCACTCCAGCCTGGGCAACAGAGCAAGCTGGGTGACACACAGTGAGACTCCGTCTCAAAAAAAAAAAAAAAAAAAAAAAAAAAAAAGGCAAGGCATGGGAATCAAAGCAATTGGTTTTCTGGCTATAATCTGAGGTTTAATAAGCTTTCAATTACTTGTTAAAGAGGTTTTTTTGTCCACATACCTTATCAGTGTCTATTCCAGACATAAACTCCTGTTCCACGGTTAATTTATCAAAAAAGTCTTCAGAAGCTAAAATGAAATTAGCAAATTTGCAACTTAGAAATTAAATGTTAATTTACTTGAGTGGCATGCTTTTATACACAGAGCACGATTCAGAAACTAGACATGTGGCTGGGCACGGTGGCTCACACCTGTAATCTCAGCACTGTAGGGGGCCGAGGTGGGTGGATCACTTCAGGCCAGGAGTTCAAGACCAGCCTGACCAACATGGCCAAACCCCATCTCTACCAAAAACACAAAAATTAGCTGGGTATGGTGGCACACACCCGTAGTCCCAGCTACTCGGGAGGCTAAGGCACAAGAATCACTTGAGGCGGGGAGGCGGAGGTTACAGTGAGCCAAGATCACACCATTGCTCTCCAGCCTGGGCAACAGAGCGAGACTCTGTCTCAAAAGAAAAGAAACCAGACATCATGCAAAAAAGCAAGCAAGCAATAAGTTCAAGTCATCACCTGAAGAAAATCTTTTAGGAAACATGGAAAACGCTAGGCCTCTGCACTCCTAAGTTACACTAGATACAGTCGACAAGTGCACTCTTTTGTATCCTTAGGATTTCAGTACAGACCCCAGAATGAGCGTCAGTATGAATGAAAGCTAATTTCTCAAGAACATTTCATTTTCATCATTAGGTTCAACCCAATTTCAACTGGTTTCCACTCCTATGAACAGGGAAACAAAGGACTGATTTTCCGATAACTGTGATTTACTTAAGATTCGAAGTATACTTCATAAAACAATCTCCTACTCAGCTTTTACAGCCCTGTGTTGTAACAAACAAACAAACTCATGTCTGCTTTAATAGATGTCTTCTGAGCTCTTTCAAAATACTCAACATATACTCTTTGTACCAATTCTGCACAGAATATTCAAGGGAAGAACATGCGCCAATAAGTAATCCTTCAAAAAAGGAAAAAAGCTGCTGGCCGCGGTGGCTCATGCCTGTAATCCCAGCACTTTGGGAGCCAAGGCAGGCGGATCACCTGAGGTTGGGAGTTTGAGACCAGCCTGACCAACATGGTGAAACACCATCTCTAGTAAAAATAGAAAATAAGCCAGGCGTGGTGGCAAGTACCTGTAATCCCAGCTACTTGGGAGGCTGAGGCAGGAGAATCACTTGAACCCGGGAGGCAGAGGTTGCGGTGAGCCAAGATTGTGCCATTGCACTGCAGCCTGGGCAACAAGAGTGAAACTCCGTCTCAAAAAAAAAAAAAAAAGAAAAAAAGCTAGACTAAAAAAATTAACCATCTCAGATTATGATGGCAAACTTATGGATAATTTTTTTCTCTTATCTACATTCCAAATATTTTTCATATAAATGATAATGAAAAAATTTGAGTTAAAAAATGGACCCTTCCTCTCTTTCTCTTTTTCTTTCTTTCGTTATTTCGAGATGGAGTCCTGCTCTGTCGCCCAGGCCGGAGTGCAGTGGTGCAATCTTGGCTCACTGCAACCTCTGCCTCCCGGTTCAAGCAATTCTCCTGCCTCAGTCTCCTGAGTAGCTGGGATTACAGGTGCCCGCCACCACACCTGGCTAATTTTTGTATTTTTAGTACAGATGGTGTTCCACTATGTTGGCCAGGCTGGTCTCGAATGCCTGACCTCAGGCGATCCACCTGCCTCGGCCTCCCAAAGTGGTGGGATTACAGACATGAGCCACCTCGCCCAGTCTTTTTTTTTTTTAATGGAGTCTCGCTCAACCAGGCTGGAGTGCAGTGGCGTGATTTCAGCTCACTGTAACCTTTGCCTCCAGGGTTCATGTGATTCTCATGCCTCAACCTCCTGAGTAGCTGTAACTACAGGCATGTGCCACCATGCCCAGCTAATTTTTGTATTTTTAGTAGAGACAGGGTTTCGCCATGTTGCCCAGGCTGGTCTTCAATTCCTGGACTCAAGTGATCTGCCTGCCTCAGCCTCCCGAAGTGCTGGGGTTACAGATGTGAGCCATCATGCCTGGCCAACAAATGGAACATTCTTTTTGTTTTGTTTTTCGAGATGGAGTCTCACTCTGTCACCCAGGCTGGAGTGCAGTGGCGTGATGTCGGCTCACTGCAACCTCCGCCTTCCAGGTTCAAGCAATTCTCCTGCCTCAGCCTCCCAGGTAGCTGGGACTACAGATGCATACCACTGTGCCTGGCTAATTTTTGTATTTGTAGTAGACATGGGGTTTCATCATGTTGGCCAGGCTGGTCTCAAACTCCTGACCTCAAGTGATCTGCCCGTCTTGGCCTCCCGAAGTGCTGGGATTACAGGCATGAGCCACCATGCCCCGCCTGGAATATCCTTAACTATTAACATATGTATACTTCATTAACACTGAGAAGAACACGTGGTATTAAGACAGAGCTGACTCTCCCGAAGAGGCATTGTGGTGTTGATGACCTAGGTGTCAAACGTTGTATGTGCAAGTAGCCCCAGACTGAAACAATCATTACAAAGGATACTCACTAGTGACATCTTTGATCAATTCTGCAATTGAGGTATGGTTTGCAAGCGAGCCCCTTGCTGCCTGCATGTGGGGCAACTGGGAAACAAACTGCTTGATCTCCCCCACGGTCTTAGCATTGTGTCTTTCCTGAAATAAACAAGAGAGCAGTGCCTCAAGCAGGGAAGATAGTTTATTTATTTTATTTTTTTGAGAAGGACTCTCGCTTTGTTGCCCAGGCTGGAGTGCAGTGGCGCAATCTCGGCTCACTGCAACCTCCGCCTCCCAGGTTCAAGTGATTCTCATGCCTCAGCCTCCCGAGTAGCTGGGATTACAGGTGCCCACCACCATGCCCAAACTAATTTTTGTATTTTTAGTAGAGACAGGGTTTCACCATATTGGTCAGGCTGGTCTCGAACTCCTGACCTCAGGTGATCCACCCACCTTGGCCTCCCAAAGTGTTAGGATTACAGGCGTGAGCCACCACGCCTGGCCGATATTTTAAGTGCTTTGTTTTTTGTATTGTTCAGAGGATGTTTCATTTATATTAATGAGAAAGGAAGAATGGAATACAAATAAATCATTACATTACATAAAAAAAGAGAAAAGAAAAGTATATATATGACTGAAATAATAGAGGTCATGGTGCCTGTCTCCTGAATTAGCACTTCTTTAAAGAAGCAAATGCCTCAGAGTCTGTCTTCCAATGTACCAGCTTAAACACTGTGTCAGTATTTTGTGGACATCTGAGTATTGGTGAAAGATAGTACTATATAAACCATACAAATTTCTGAGTAAAAAACTAAGACAAAAAATTATGTTTAGAGGGTACCATAAAGAGGAAAAGTTTCCTGTGTAACAGAAAAAAATCCATTTTTTCTGTTGACCCTCAGTCTTTTATTTGATGTTGAGACAGGGTCTCTGTCGCCCAGGCTGGAGTGCAGTGGTGTCATCACAGCTCACTGCAGCCTCCGCCTCCTAGGCTCCTACCTCAGCCTCCCAAGGAGCTGGGATTACAGGCACACGCCACTGCCCAGCTAGTTAAAAAAAAAAAAAGTTTTGTAGAGACAGTGTCTTGCTGTGTTGCCCAGGCTGGTCTAGGACTTCTGGGCTCAAGCGATCCTCCTGCCTCAGCCTCCGACAGTGCCGGGATGACAGGCGTGAGCCACTGTGCCTGGCCTGAACCTTAGTCTTGAGTATAGTCTATGAACAAAGCGAACATAGCTTGGTGATGATAATATTTTTTGGCAAAATTTAATAACTTAAACCAAAAGTAACTTCAGAAATATGAAAATCAATTAATGAACATAATTCCTGAGAAAGATAAAATCTGGAATTACATGGCCTAGTTCCAAGCCAGCCTGGGCAACGCAGGAAGTCCCCATCTCTACAGAAAAAAAAACAACAAAAAACTCTGCCAGGCATGATGGCATGTGCCTGTGGTCCCAGCTACTCGGGAGGCTGAGGTGGGAGGATTGCTTGAGCCTGGGAGGTAGCAGCTCAGTAAGCCATGATTGTACCACTACACCCATCCTGGGAGACAAAGCGAGACCCTGTCAAAAAAAAATCTAGAACTACATACTCAGTGAAAAATTCATTTTCAAAAACTTCCCATTTATGTTTCCAAAGTTGAAATATTCAGACTTTATGATCTTGTTGAATTCCCATGTTTCAAAAAGGAGCCTGAGCAAGAATAAACTAGTGAACGGGCAAGAGGAGGCAGGAAGGTGATAATGAAGCCACCAATTTCAAAGCTCGGGGTTGCTGGGGATTTCAGTCTCATTATCACCTGCCACACGTGCTGACTTCCCCTGCCGCAGTCACACTGGCTAAACTTGAGTTTTCAGCATGAACCACAAGTTCTATTATAGAGGATTCTTTATTTGTAGTACAGATGGCTTCCTCTTAGGCAAGGTAGGAAATAATTTAAGACGATAAAGCAAATGTTTATGATGGAAGTCTGTAAACTGCACACACTTGCGCCTCCACCTACCCTCCACACAAAAAGAACTTTACGCAACGCGGGTCTGAGAAAGTTTAAAATGAAAACCTCGGATCTTCCAATACTGAATCTGCAGTTACTGAAGATGAGAAAAGTTGCATTGAAGCCTGGTTTAATGGCTACATATTTTTGGAGCTCTTATTCCCCTCAGGGGTGGGCATCTACCTGAGGCCTAGAGTTGCAGAATGACACCCAAAACTTGCCTCACCTCGAATGCTGCAGAGATGATCTTTGCTTTCTTGCTGAGCACAGAGCCAACTGCGTTGAAGTTCTTATCTCGGATCTCAGCATAGAGCTCCTCTGCAGAATTCAGCTGCAGCTTCTTTGCTTCCGTGGGGAGGTCCTTACCACCATCGCCCTGTTTCTTAGGTGCAAATTTCTCTGGAGGTAATTTCACATAACCTGAGCAGCAGTGGAAGGGAATAAGCACCTGTGTGCAATGACTGGAAGAACCAATCCGGTAACCAAGCACAAAACAGAATTTCCAACTCAGGAGAAAATGGAAGACGGCAAACGACACATAGCTCTGAGCTTTTGATTTTCCATGATCAAAGTACAGGAAGTAGTGACTCTAATACTGATACCACAGTTCTCATTATCTTTGGGGCACCTATATAAACCACATGCAGCAATGTCCACTTCCTAAACTTATTCAGGGATTAGGTCACTTTTCCACTCAGAAAACTTTCAAGGATCTCCCCATTGACTTTTAGTATTTTTTCAAACTGTAGATCATGTTCCATTAGTGGATCATGAAATCAAGCTGGTGGGTTGCAAGTAGCATCTTAAAACCAAAACCAAACGAAACCAAAACAAAACAACAGTACCAAAAACAGCACAGAGTAGAAAATACAAAAGCTTATCACACGCTGTTAGAGAAGCTAGTGGTGGCTTCGTTTTATTTTTTTTTTAAATAAAACTTTTGTTTCAGTTTAACATGCACATGCATACATGTGTGTATATACTGGCTCATGATATAAAATACATTTCTTACTGTGGATTGGAATCCAAAATAGTTTAAAAGCCATCCTAGAACAAGAATTAGAAACTACGGTCTGAGGACCAAACTCTGTTCACGTTCTGTTTTTTTTTTTTTTTTTGAGACGGAGTTTCACTCTTGTCACCCAGGCTGGAGTGCAATGGCACGATCTCGGCTCACTGCAACCTCCACCTCCTGGGTTCAAATGATTCTCCTGCCTCAGCCTCCTGAGTAGCTCAGATTATAGGCACCCACCACCATGCCCGGCTAATTTTCTTGTATTTTTAGTAGAGACAGGGTTTCACCATGTTGGCCAGGCTGGTCTTGAACTCTTGTCTTCAGGTGAGCCACCCTCCTGGGCCTCCCAAAGTGCTGGATTACAGGTGTGAGCCACCATGCCCAGCCCACTTTCTGTTTTTGCAAATAAAGTTTTATTGGCACATGGCCACAGCTATTCTTTTTGTATTGTCTATGGCTACTTTCACATGACAATGACAGAGACAAGGAGGTTCCTCTGTATGACCTGCACTTTGTAACAAGCAAAAGCCTAAAATACTTACTATCTGGGTCTTTATAGAAAAAGCTGTACACCCTGATCTAGAATAAGCTTCCAAATTCCTTAGCATGGTATCCACTTCCTCTGCGAAGTAGCCTTAATCTCCTTCTCCCTACTCTGCTCCTGCCAAGCCAAGTGAGTCCCTATTTTCCTGGAACACCCCACATGTGCTCATGAACTACGGATGGCATGGAGCTGGTGTAACTCTGCAGTAAAGCAATTTGGCAACATGTACCAAGTGCCTTTCACCCCAAAAATCCTGCATCAGGGAATCCAGGGAAAGAAAATAATCTGATATATGAAAAAAATCTTATGTAGGCTGGGCACAGTGGCTCACGCCTGTAATCCCAGCACTTTGAGAGGCTTAGGTGGGAGGATCTCTCTCTCTCTCTTATTTTATTTATTTATTTATTTATTTATTTAAGAGGGAGTCTCGCTCTCTCGCCCAGGCTGGAGTGCAGTGGCGTGATCTCAGCTCACTACAACCTCCACCTCCCGGGTTCAAGCGATTCTCCTGCCTCAGCCTCCTGAGTAGCTAGGATTACAGGCGCCCGCCACCACACCCGACTAATTTTTGTACTTTTAGTAGAGACGGGTTTCACCATGTTGGCCAGGCTGGTCTCGAACTCCTGACCTCAGATGATCCGCTCACCTCAACCTCCCAAAGTGCTGGGATTACAGACATGAGCCAGTGTGTCCAGCCACTTTTTGGTTTTTTAATTGAGACACAGTCTCAGTCTGTCACCCAGACTGGAGTGCAGTGGCACGATCTCGGCTCACTGCAACCTCCACCTCCCAGGTTCAAGCAATTCTCCTGCCTCAGCCTCCCAAGTAGCTGGGATTATAGCCACCCGCCACCATACCTGGCTAATTTTTTTTTGTATTTAGTAGAAATGGGGTTTCACTATGTTGGTCAGGCTGGTCTCGAACTCCTGACCTCAGGTGATTGGCCCGCCTTGGCCTCCCACAGTGCTAGGATTACAGGCATAAGCCACCATGCCTGCCCTATACTGTGGATTTTAATGTAACGATTACAGTATGCATACACTAGGAAAATGCTCATTAGCATACCAAATCAAAACTCAGGTTTGAAACTATTTGTACAACCTGATTCCATTTTTTGTTAACTACAATAAACTACACAAGGGGAAAAAAAGACTAGGAAATAATACCACAATATTAACAGTGGTTGTCCCAAGGTTTGGGGCCACAGGGCTGTTGGGGTAAGGTTGGAGGATAATAACGGATCTATGTTTTCTTCTATTTTTCCAATTTTTTTCCTAATCAATGTTTGACTTACATTACGAAAAAACTTGCTACAAGGAGGCTGGGAATTTATACATATTTTTTCTCTTCTTGGAAAATCCCTTCCCACATACCTCCCACCCCTCCTATACAGCTGTCCCTGGGCCAACTCCCAGGCCGCCTCTCCCCCCACCATTCCCCATCCTGAACTTCAGAGCTCTTCTTTCATGCCTTCCTGGGTGCTACATGCTCTGGGACCACCCTGTTTCTTTGATTTCCACCCACAACCCAGCATAGGGCTCTCCTGAAATAAATTCCTCTGTCAATAAATAGAGTTTTAAAAAGTATTAAAGGTGCCATTTTTTTGACAAACAATAATAATAAGACTTTTTACAATCTTATCACTAAAGACCTTCCATACGTGTGGAAACGCCTCCTCATGCATGTCTCTCTCTCCGTCACCCACGTCATTCATTCATCCATTCTTGTGGTAAATTGCACATAATATAAAAATTACTACTTTGTTTTACAGTGAATGATCCAGTAGCATTTAGTACATATACAACATGGTAGGACCACAGCCAGTATCTAGTTCCACACTTTTTTATCCCAAAGGGAAACCCTGTAGCCAATAAGTGGTGACTCCCCATCCCCTTCCTGTAGTCCTGGCAACCACGAGTCCGTTTCCCTCTGAATTGCAGGCCCTTCCTCTCTTCCTTCCTTTCTTTCTTTTTAAATATTTAAAAAAATTTTCACCTATTTTATTATTTTTTTGAGACAAAGTCTCACTCTGTCACCCGGGCTGGAGTGCAGCCGTGCGATCTTGGCTCACTGCAAGCTCCACCTCCTAAGTTCAAGCGATTCTCGTGCCTCAGCCTCCTGAGTAGCTGGTACTACAGGCATGCGCCACCAAATCCAGCTGTGTGTGTGTGTGTGTGTGTGTGTATTTTTAGTAGTGATGGGGTTTCACCACGTTGGTCAGCCTGGTCTCAAACTTCTGATCTCACGTGATCTGCCTGCCTTGGCCTCCCAAAGTGCTGGGGTTACAGGAGTGAGCCACCGCGCCTGGCCTCATCTTTCTTACACATCCCTCTCCTCAGGCCTTCCCTTGGCTCCCTGTGACTTCATTCAGGATGGCAATAGAGGCCGGGGACTATGCAGACGAGGGAAGAAGGCCAGGCTGAGACAGGTGTAGGGGTCTGTGGTGAGGCAGGGAGCTCTAGACACTCTGGGTCCTGGCCACCAGTGGGAGCATGGCCTCTTGCCAGTGCTTCCAATATTTTTCGTCATGGCCTAATTCAGGATTATTACTTAAAATGTATCACATTCTAAAGCTGACAGAAATAAATATCATGTGGGCCAAAACCAGCCAAACCAAACATACTTGTGATCTACCTAATCACCCACCAAGGCCAGGCACTAACCAGCCATCCACATCTTCCATAGAGTGGCCTCGACCTTCTGTACCAGCCGTTTTTCTAAAATATTTCTCCAGCCATGCACTCCACTCAACCACGTTGCTTGGCTCGTCATGACTCTGTGTATGATGCCGACTGCCCCTGCCCCAGGATCTCCAACTAAACTCTCCACGTCTTTCCAACCAGCACAAACGCCACTGCTTCTGCCGCCTTCGTCAACTACTGCCGGCTGCAAGGATGTGTGCGTCGCAAATGCCAGTGCCCTCTGAGGGAGACCCTTGGCCTCTGCTCACAGGGGACAAGGACCGGCCTGGGCACTAAAATTCTGGCCAACTCTTGTGTCACCGACAACTGCAATTTGCTCAGATGTCACTGAATCCTAGTGTCTGAAAGTCAGAGGTCAGTATTTTTATTGTTTCAAGGGTTCTCTGATTTCTATGTAAAGGAAGCAGCTTTCTAAAAACTGACCCTTTGGAGGCATGGTCTGATTATTCCACCTCCAGTTATTTCCAGTTTTTACGGTATTCTTAGTTATTTTTTATAAATATATTATAAATATAGTTTGGAATACACATACATATGCAGACACATATATAACAACCTCTAATTGAAATAGGCATGGCTACGCAGTTTTTCATGTTCCACATTTATTATTTTGATGGTTCCAAATATTTTCTTTTTTTTTGAGACAGTCTCACTCTGTCGCCAGGCTGGAGTGCAGTGGCGCTCTCTCGGCTCACTGCAACCTCCTCCTCCCGGGTTCAAGCAATTCCTCCATATCAGCCTCCCAAGTAGCTGGGGCTACAGGCATGTGCCACCACACTCAGCTAATTTTTTGTATTTTTAGTAGAGACGGGCATCTCACCATGTTTGCCAGACTGGTCTTGAACACCTGACCTCAAGTGATCTGCCCGCCTTGGCTTCCCAAAGAGCTGGAATTACAAGTGTGAGCCACCACACCCAGGTGGTTCCATAATATTTCATAATGTACTCAACCACTGAGATTGTTTGGAAAATTCTGGTAAGAAAATGGAAATCGAAATTCTTATGCAAACCTCACTGATCCTCTTTTTTGGAATGATTCCTCAAGGCACATTCTTAGGCTTTGGGTTTTCTTTGGCCAAGGGTTAGAAAAGTTTTATGTGTTGCTAAATTGCTTACAAAAAGGTCTGTATTAATCTACACTCTGAATCATTAAAATCGGATCTCTGACTTTAAATTATGCTTAAGTGTGCAATATACAAACAGTAGCCTCCACAAAGGATATTCTTCTCATATTACCTATTAGTGAAAACAGATGTCATGTACTTACTGTTCTGAATGCCATAAATTTCATCAATGAGTCCTTCATATGTCAGCTGAGTGGCAAGAGGTGTTAATAAATCCACATTCCGATCAAGCAACAAGAGATTATCAAAAACAGGAAATATTGAATTCTGGCTTCCTGTAAACTCTCTCTTCATCCTGATCATCATATTGGCCACTTGCTGGAAACAAAACATTGGATGAGGTGGGGCCCCCCTGGGAACAAGCAGATTTTAAAATTTGTCTAAAACCAGAAAGACAATCAAAAAAGTAAAAAAGGAGAAAAACTGGAAGAGTGCATTGCTTAGAAATAAGCAGCTCTAGAAAAGCACCTTGCTGTTGGCACCCATCCCGACACTTGCACCAAGGCAGCTGCCATTTGCCAATGAGGCATAAAATCAGGTCAGTCTATTCTTGTGATTCGCAGTAGTTATGTTCTATGAAGTCACTGCAAACACTAAATTAGCGAAGATGGAACCACTGTTCCTAGGAGAAACGCAGACTTAGGTTCCTGGGAGCCTCTGGTCTCAACGTTTCTGTCAATTGATCAATACGTAACCCAGTTTTATATGTGTTTCTGCTTAAAGATGCCTGACTTAACATAATTGTTGATCACTCACACTGAACTGACAGCCAGCAGCTCTGTGACTCGTGCCTGAACGAAGCGTCTCTGACACACGTAATGTCTCCGCCAGGCACACCACAGCCTTCTTGTGCACAAGACACCCGACTGCACCTCAGTCCTACATTTGCAGGCCATTTTAAACAGTGAAATCACCAAAAAAAGTACACACGTGTGGAAAATATGACAGTGAGACTGTGAAAAGTACACTTGTTTGCAGTCTGAGAGCTGAAATGGGAAGGTGGAGTGTCAGCTGCCTCAGTTGGGAACATGCGCAGTGGTTACTCAAACTGTCACCACTGTGCACGCCGACAAAAGCACCATGAGTACTGACTTGGAGGGTTATAAGTGCATTTTAATCAGTAGGCAAATTCATGAGTACAGTATTCATAAATAATTAAGATCAACTGAATTTGTTTGTAAGGAGCTTCCCGTTCCTCCTCCCTTTTGGGGTGTGAAGGGCCCTCCTTTACCACCACAAAGCAGCCGGTTCTCACCCGAGCGCATTCTCCTTTCCCAAAGATCTGGGGGATCGTTCCATACAGAGCTTGCAGGGTCATCAGCCCCTTGGCTGCGTGGTACAGGCTCGTCTGGTCACCCTCCAGGTAGCACTCCTGTGAGGGAAAAGGCCAATTATTGCCAGGCCATGGGGGCCTCCCAGGGGCCCATCTCTGTTCCTGGGGCTGGGGTGCAGCGACAGACAATAAAATCATTTCCAGTTATTTCACACTGTGCCAGGAAAATTGGGGACTCAAGTTCATTTTCCAAAACTGCTGCCTGTCAGACCAGGCGCTGAGGCTGGCAGCCCCAGGGTGGGTGCAGCCGTGGAAGCACCTCTCCTGGGCAGAGCCGGGGCTTCTGGGAGAAAACTGTTCACCCAGCATGCCAGCTCTTCTGAATCAGCTCTTAAATAAAAGACGGAAGAATACAGACTTACACTGAACGATGGGTTCCCATTCACTGGTGAGAGTAAACTCTGGTAGGACATGCTGGGAGAGCGACATGCTAATACCCAGAAATGCAAAAGACCACAGGACGAATACTTTATTGTTTTCAAAAAGGATGAGGCAGATTTTCATGACAACTGACAACTGAAGGCCACAATCTGTTGAGTATGATCTCATTTTATAAAAAATATATATTTTTGCATTGAAAAAAGGACCTCCAACTCAGCAAACTATCACAAGGACAAAAAAACAAACACCGCATGTTCTCACTCATAGGTGGGAATTGAACAATGAGAACACTTGGACACAGGAAGGGGAACATCACACACCAGGGCCTGTCGTGGGGTGGGGGAAGGGGGGAGGGATAGCATTAGGAGATATACCTAATGTAAATGATGAGTTAATGGGTGCAGCACACCAACATGGCACATGTATACATATGTAACAAACCTGCATGTTGTGCACATGTACCCTAGAACTTAAAGTATAAAAAAAAAAAAAAGAAAAAAGAATCTCCAAAATACACACAAAACCACCTGGGAAGGCTAGGTGCAGTGGCTCATGGCTGTAATCACAGCACTTTGGGAGGCTGAGATAGGAGGATTGCTTGAGCTCTTGAGTTTGAGACCAGACTGGGCAACATAGTGAGACCCTGTATCTATAAAAAATTAAATAATTAGCCAGGGATAGTAGCATGCATCTGTATCTGAGCTACTCAGGAGGGTAAGGCAGGAGGATCACCGGAGCCCAGGGATTTGAGGCTGCAATGAGCTATGTTCGCACCGCCACACTCCCCTCTGGGCAACAGAGCAAGACCCCATCTCTTTTTTTATTTTTATTTTTATTTTTTTTTTGAGATGGAGTCTCGCTCTGTCGCCCTGGCTGGAGTGCAGTGGCGCGATCTCGGCTCACTGCAAGCTCCACCTACTGGGTTCACACCATTCTCCTGCCTCAGCCTCCCAAGTAGCTGGGACTACAGGCGCCCGCCACCACGCCTGGCTAATTTTTTTGTATTTCTTAGTAGAGACGGGGTTTCACCATGTTAGCCCTGATGGTCTCGATCTCCTGACCTCGTGATCCGCCCACCTCGGCCTCCCAAAGTGCTGGGATTACAGGCGTGAGCCACCGCGCCCAGCCGACCCCATCTCTTTAAAAAAAAAAGAGAGAGAGAAAAAAACCACCTGTGAGGTGAGAGGAGGGAAGCAGTCACTTTTGATACAGGTGGATCAAAACACAGGTTCTAGACTCAGATTGCCTTGTTCTGAATCCAACTGTGTCACTTACTAGCTGTGCCCTGGGCCAGTTAGAGAATCTCTTTGTGCCTCAATTTATTCATATGTAGAAGGGAGTATAGTCCACATAGGGCAAGTATTAAATGAGAAAAATACATGTAAAGCATTTAATCCCAGTACCTGAAACATACAGCAAATGCTCAGTAACAGTTAGCTTTTATTTGGAATTATTTAGGTTTTTTTACAACCATTATCCACTCATAAGTCAATATGGTACATTTTATCAATTCCCTCCACCCCTACCAACCCAACATGTCCCTGCTGTCCACAGCCAGAACTGAGGGGGCCCTGAGGGTCCAGGGCCTGAGGAAGAGAGAGCGGGGTTGTCACTTGTCAGGCCCTCTGCCCCAGGGAGGAAGGATGGCAGACATGGTGGGGAGCGTTTGGTTATTATTGAGAGTGTCGCCGGACTACTCTTTCAAGTGTGGTATATTTTAACGTTTCCCTGAATATGGCAGACCATCGAGAATATGTCAAAAGACACGCTTTTTGGCAAAACCACTTAAAACTCCAGATCAGATGAACGTTCAAGGGCAAAAGACATTGAGGGCTGGGTGCGGTGGCTCACGCCTGTAATCCCAGCACTTTGGGAGGCTGAGCGGGGAGGATCATGAGGTCGGGAGTTCTAGACCAGCCTGACCAAAATGGTGAAACCCCTTCTCTACTAAAAATACAAAAATTAGCCAGGTGTGGTGGCATGTGCCTGTAATCCCAGCTACTCAGGTGACTGAGGCAGCAGAATCACTTGAACTCAGGAGGTGGAGGTTGCAGTGAGCTGAGATTGTGCCACTGCACTCCAGCCGGGGCAACAGAGCAAGACTGTCTCAAAAAAAAAAAAAAAAAAGACATTAAGGAACTCCTCTCCAAATAGCATTCATATTTTACTTAATTTTTTTAAGTTGTACTACTACAAAGACATCTCTTTTACAATATTTTTTAAAAGATGTAAAAGTTAACAACAGATTTTAATCTTGGTTGTTTTTCCTTTTTTGAGACAGAGTCTTGCTCTATCACCCAGGCTGGAGTGCAGTCGGGCAACCTCAGCTCACTGCAACCTACACCTCCCGAGTTCAAGTGATTCTCCTGCCTCAGCCTCCTGAGTAGCTGGGATCATAGGTGCCCACCACCATGCCTGGCTAAGTTTTTGTGTTTTTAATAGAGATGGGGTTTCACCACGTTGCCGAGGCTGGTCTCGAACCCCTAACCTCAGGTGATCCGTCTGCCTTGGCCGCCCAAAGTGCCACCACACCCAGCCCAATACCCTTAACATTTAAATGCGCATTTTTTTAACCCCAAAGTCTCACATACCCACACAGCAGAATACCTTGCAGAATACCATACAAGAGGCAGGTTTTATATATGCTGATTTTTATATATACGCGTAAAGGCCACAGTACCTTAAGCAATGTTATTGAGCATTTGACTGGGCAGAACTCTAATTCCCACATTTTACACAGAACAATGACATAGATGGTCACAACTGTAACTCAAAACACAGAGAGATCTAGATGTACCTCCTGAAGCCAATCACAGAAATACGATTAACGTCATCTCCACCAAAAATCGGGGCTGACTTTAACATTAGGCTCTTAGGTCGAAGCTCTTAGCTGTGCCATCCGGATAAAGTCCTTTCTTTTTCTTTCTGCCACTTCCTCTAACTCCCCCAATCCACCCCCCCGCCTTTTTTTTTTTTTTTGAGATAGGCTCTCGCTCTGTTGCCCAGGCTGGAGTACAGTGGTGCAATCTTGGCTCACTGCAACCCCTGCCTCCTGGGCTCAAGTGATTCTCCTGCCTCAGTCTGCGAAGTAGCTGGGATTACAGGCATGCACCACCACACCCAGCTAATTTTAATTTTGTTTTATTTTTAGTAGAGATGGAGTTTTGCTATGTTGCCCAGCCTGGTCTCGAACTACTGACCATAGATGATCCGCCCACCTCAGCCTCCCAAAGTGCTGGCAGGTAGGAGCCACCATGTCCGGCCAAAACAGCATCTTAGGTGAATATACAAAGCCAAAGGCTTGAAATTGTCAGTAGAAAATAGTTCTGGCCAGGCGCGGTGGCTCACGCCTGTAATCCCAGCACTTTGGGAGGCTGAGGCGGTGGATCGCCTGAGGTCAGGAGTTCGAGACCAGCTTGGGCCACATGGTGAAACCCTGTCTCTACCAAAAACACAAAAAATTAGCCAGTGTGGTGGCTGGCGCCTGTAGTCCCAGCTACTCAGGAGGCTGAGGCAGGAGAATCACTTGAACCCAGGAGGTGGAGGCTGCAATGAGACGAGATGGCACCAACGCACTCCAGCCTAGGCGGCAGAGTGAAACTCAGTTTCAAGGAAAAAAAAAAAAAAAAGAAAATAGTTCTGCCCTTTCTTACAAATCATAAGTAAAATAAACAGGTTATTTCTCCTCTGCACAGATTTTGTCACTCCAAGAGAGTTTGCTTCGGCTGCTACCAATTCCCATTAAATACACAAATATGGATTAATTAAAAATGAGTATACCATCACAGGTATGTGATAAAGCACATATAGAAAACTGTTAATCCAGAAGATAAGTGGTGGATAGACAGGTGTTCACTGTACAATTCAATTTTTTGGTATATTGAAATTTTCCTATAAAATGTTAGAAGGAAATCTATATTACCATCAGGTAGGATTTCGTGTAAGCAAACCACTAGGGAACAAGGTACAAAAGAGCCAAGAGGGTTGGGCGCAATGGCCCACGCCTGTAATCCCAGCACTCTGGGAGGCCGAGATGAGCAGATCATGAGGTCAGGAGTTCGAGACCAGCCTGGCCAACATGGTGAAACCCCGTCTCTACTAAAAATACAAAAAATTAGCCAGGTGCAGTGGCGGGCACCTGTAATTCCAACTACTCGGGAGGCTGAGGCAGGAGAATCGCTTGAACCTGGGAGGCGGAGGTTGCAGTGAGCCGAGATTGCGCCACACAGCACTCCAGCCTGGGGAACAAGAGTGAGACTCCGTCTCAAAAAAAAAAAAAAAAAAAAAAAAAGCCAAGAAAGTCCCCTGGTTATAGGATTAGTCGGTGGTGCCACTGACTTCTACTGCCCCAGATTAACTTTTTTATTTTTCGCTTTTTCTGTGGCCGGGTCTCACTCTGTCACCCAGGCAGGAGTGCACTGGTGTGATCACAGCGCCCTGCAGCCTCAACCTCCTGGGCTCAAGTGATCCTTCTGCCTCAGCCTCCTGAGTTACTGGAATGACAGGTGCACATCACCACGTGTGGCTAGTTTTTTGTAAAGACAGGGCCTCACTCTGTTGCCCAGGCTGGTCTCGAACTCCTGGCCTTAAGTGATCCTCCCACCTTGGTCTCCCAAAGTGCTGGGATTACGGGCATGAACCACTGTGCCTGGCCTATTTTATTTTTTTAAATAAGTTTCATTTTTCCCCCTTTTGTGAAAACTGTCAACAAATTAACTCTTTTAACGAGGTGATCTCTGTAACAACACAATGGGGAAAAAAAGATTCCAATAATTTTATGTACTATACCAGCGGTTCCCTAAAGTTCTAGTCTCTACCTTCGAAGTATTTTATTGGTAAGAAGAAAAAAAGGCCAGGCACAGTGGCTCACACCTGCAGTCCCAGCAGTTTGGGAGGCTGAGGCAGGCAGATCTCTTGAGGTCAGGAGTTCGAGACCAGCCTGGCCAACATGGTGAAACCCCATCTCCACTACAAATACAAAAATTAGCCTGGCGTGGTGGCGCGTTCCTGTAATCCCAGCTACTCGGATAGCTAAGACGGGAGAATTGCTTGAACTGGGGAGGTGGAAGTTGCGGTGAGACGAGATTGTGCCACTGCATCCCAGCCTGGGTGACTGAGTGAGAATCTGTCTCAAAAACAATTAAAAAAAAAAAAGTTCTAGTCTCCAGAGCAGCAGCAGCGGCACCAGCAGCAGCAGCATCATAAACTCATAAATCAAAGAAACATGGGTAAGTGTGATTATGTTAAAAACATACACACAGCCAAAATTACCAGAAGCAATGTCAAAAGAAATGACAAAGGCGAACGCAGCCTACAAAGGGCGCATGTGCAGAGGGGCCTACAAACAGGCTCATTCTCGGCAGCACTGCCTCCAACAGCGTAGAGAGGAAAAAAATGCTCTCCAACAGAAAGCTGATTTAATACATTATGTACATCCAAACAATGGAACTCTATGCAGCTTCAAATGAGAATAAACAAGTATTGCCATACGTGGTAGAAAATGACTCAGAGATATTATTAAGAGAATAACGCAACATACCAAAGTATATATATCATATGCTACTACTTGTACAAAAGTGGGGAGGGATTATATACTATGAGCTGTAGCTGCATATAATATCCCCCCACCCCAAATTAAAAGAGAAATAGTGATTGCTTCTGGGATAAGGGGCAGTCTGAGAACTGGGGTAAAAAGTAGCTTCAGGCCAGGCACAGTGGCTCACGCCTGTAATTCCAGCACTTTCAGAGGCCGAGGCAGGTGGATCATCTGAGGTCAGGACATCGAGATCAGTCTGGGCAACATGGTAAAATCCCGTCTCTACTAAAAATACAAAAATTAGGCGGGCGTGGTGGTGGATGCCTGTAATCCCAGCTACTTGAGAGGCTGAGGCAAGAGAACTGCTTGAACCCAGAAGGCGGAGGTTGCAGTGAGTCGAGACTGTGCCACTGCACTCCAGCCTGGGCAACAGAGTGAGACTCTGCCTCAAAAAAAAAAAAAAAAAAAAAAAGGGCCGGGCGCAGGTGGAAGCTCAGGAGGCTGGACAACACGGTGAAACCCCGTCTCTACTAATACACAAAAAAATTAGCTGGGCGTGGTGGTGTGTGCCTGTAATCCTAGTTACTTGGGAGGCTGAGGCAGGAGAACTGCTTGAACCTGGGAGGTGAAGGTTGCAGTGAGCTGAGATTACACCAGTGCACTCCAGCCTGGGTGACAGTGTGAGACTCCATCTCAAAAAAAAAAAGATTTTCTTCTTTGTCTGCAGAGTGGAAGATTTATGAAGACTCAAAAAGCACAATCTAAAAGAACAAAAGTGATATATTTACCTGCTTTAGGGTGAAGGACTCACACTTCTGATTTCAAAGCTTATGGCAAAGCTACTGTAATCAAGACAGTGTAGTACTGGCATAAGGACGGACATACAGACATATAGATCAGTGAAACAGAACTAAAAGACCAAAAACAGACCCTTACATTTGTGGACAATTGATTTTTGACAAGGGTACCAAAACAATTCAATGAGGAAAATACAGTCTTTTCAACAAATAGTGCTGGAACAAATAGATATCCATGTGTAAAAAATGAAATTTGGACACCCACCTTGCATTACATACAGAATTAACTTAAAATGGGTTGAAGACCTAAACATAAGATGTAGAAAAATTATAAGCTGGGCGCGGTGGGTCACACCTGTAATCCCAGCACTTTGGGAGGCTGAGGCGGGAGGATTGCCTGAGCTCAGGAGTGTGAGACCAGCCTGGGCAACATAGTGAGACCTGTCTCTTTA
Organism: Homo sapiens; assembly: GCF_000001405.40. Taxonomy (NCBI): domain Eukaryota; kingdom Metazoa; phylum Chordata; class Mammalia; order Primates; family Hominidae; genus Homo; species Homo sapiens. The sequence goes on from NC_000012.12 coordinate 122,258,227, forward strand.
AAAAATAAAAAATTATAGAACTCTTAGAAGGAAACATCAGAGTGAATCTTTGTGATCCTGGGGTAGGCAATGGCTTCTCAGAGATGATACTGAAAGCACAAGTAACAAGAGAAAAACTGGATAAAAGAGACTTCACCAAAATTTAAAACTTTAGTGCATCGAACGACACCAATCTCACCAAGAAAGTGAAAAGAACTCACAGAACAAAAGAAAATACTTGGAAATCATGTATCTGAGGAGAGACTTGCATTTAGAATCTATTAAGAATTCTTACAATTCTGTAATAAAAATGACAGAACCCAATTTTAAAAATGGGCAAGTGATCTGAACAGACATTTGTTTAGCTGAAGACAAAGGCCAACAGGCACAAGAAAAGATGATCAACATCCTTAGTCATTATGGAAATGCAAATAAAAACTACAATGAGACACCACTTCATACTCAGTAGGATGACTAAATTCAAAGAATAACAGGCCAGGCATGGTGGCTCACGCCTGTAATCGCAGCACTTTGGGAGGCTGAGATAGGTGGATCACCTGAGGTCAGGAGTTCAAGACCAGCCTGACCAACATGGCGAAACCCCATCTCCACTAAAAATACAAAAACTAGCCAGGCGTGGTGGTGCATGCTTGTAATCCCATCTACTCAGGAAGCTGAGGCGGGAGAATTGCTTGAGCCTGGGAGGCCGAGGTTGCAGTGTGCCAAGATCGAGATCGCACCACTGTACTCCAGGCTGGGTGACAAAGTGACAATCCATCTCAAAAAAAAAAAAAAAAAAAAAGACAGAATAATAAGTCTGTCCATGTGGATATACAACTGGAACCCTCCCACACTGCTGCTGGGAGTACAAACGGTACAGCTTCAGTGCAAAAGAGTTTGGCAGCTCCTCCAAATGTTAAATGCAGAGTTACCACAACTCAGCAATTCTACTCCTAGGGGTGTGTGTGTGTGTATGTATGTGTGTATGTATGTATGTATGTATGTATGTATGTATGTATGTATGTATTTTTGAGACAGAGTTTCACTCTTGTTGCCCAGGCTGGAGTGCAATGGCGTGATCTCAGCTCACTGTAACCTCCACCTCCCAGGTTCAAGCAATTCTCCCGCCTCAGCCTCCCAAGTAGCTGGGATTACAGGCATGCGCCATCATGCCTGGCTAATTTTGTATTTTTAGTAGAGACGGGATTTCTCCATGTTGGTCAGGCTGGTCTTGAACTCCCAACCTCAAGTGATCCATCCACCTCAGCCTCCCAAAGTGCTAGGATCACAGGCGTGAGCCACCACGCCCAGTCTCTACTCCTAGGTATATCTAAGAGAAATGAAACCATACATCCACATAAAAACTTTTCACAATATTCACAGTATCGTGACAGCCAAAAAGTGGAAACAACCCATCAGGTGTCCATCAGCTGATGAATGATAATATCATTACAATGGAATACTATTCAGCAATAAGAAGGAATGAAGGCCTCGCGCAGGCTTCAACCTGGGTGAACCCTCAAAACATTACACTAAGTGAAGATGCCAGACACAAAGGACCATTTATGTATTATAGAATTTCATTTCTAAAAAATCTCCAGAATAAGTTCAAAACCAGCCTGGACAACATAATAAGACGCTGTCTCTCCAAAAAATAAAAATAGAAAAAAAAAGAAATTAAAAAAAAATTAGCCAGGTGTGGCGGCACATGCCTGTAGTTCCAGCTACTCAAAAGGCTGAGGCTGAAAATTCGTTCAAGCCTAGGAGGTCAAGGCTGCAGTGAGGTATTATCACGTCACTGCACTCCAACCTGGGCAAAAGAGTGAGACTCTATCTCAAAAAAAGAAGAAAAGGAAAACTCCAGAATAAGCGAATTCATACAGACTGAACTAGATTAGTGGCTGCCAGAGGCTGAGGGAAGGAAAGATAGCGACAGACTGCTACTGGGCATGGGGATTCTTTTCGGAATAGTTAAAATGTGCCATACTTAGAGAGTGGAGATAGTTGCACAACTTTGTAAATACACTAAAAACCACTGAATTTTGCACCTTAAAGGAGAGAATTTCATGGCATTGTGAGTTTTTTTTTTTGTTTTTTGTTTTTTGTTTTTTTGAGATAGAGTCTCCCTCTGTCGCCCAAGCTGGAGTGCAGTGGCGCAATCTCGGCTTACTGCAACCTCCACCTCCCGGGTTCAAGTGATTCTCCTGCCTCAGCCTCCTGAATAGCTGGGACCACAGGGACCCACCACCACACCCGGTTAATTTTGTATTTCTAGTAGAGACGGGGTTTCCCCATGTTTCCCAGGCTGGTCTCAAACTCCTGATCTCAGGTGATCCACCCGCCTCAGCCTCCTAAAGTGCTAGGATTACAGGCATGAGCCACTTACCTCAGCCAGTATTGTGAGTTATAATAAATAAAGCTAATATTTTAAAATTTTAAAATTTAACTACTTTTAATGGGAAGTGTCTACATGATAAAAGACATTATACACAAAGTTAAGCCAGGCGCGGTGGCTCACGCCTGTAATCCCAGCAGTTTGGGAGGCGGAGGCGGGCGGATCATGAAGCGGATCCTGGCCAAGCAACATGGTGAAACCTTGTCTCTACTAAAAATACAAAAATCAGCTAAGCATAGTGGCGCACACTTGTAATCCCAGCTACTCAGGAGGCTGAGGCAGAAGAATCCCTTGAACCCAAGAGGCGGAGGCTGCAGTGAGCTGAGATCGCGCCACTGCGCTCCAGCCCGGGCGACAGAGCGAGACTCCGTCTCAAAAAAACAAAACAAAACAAAAAAACAAAGTTAAAAGACAAGTCACAGACTGGGAAGATACTTGCAGCTTTTATAATCCATAATGATCAACATCCAGAATATACAAAGAATTACTCAAAAAGAAAAAACGGGCAAAGAAAATGAACAATTTGTTGAACAGAAAATCTTAAACATCAATAAACATATAAAATGGGACTCAGCTTCACAGTAATCAGTACTGTGGTATGCTCACACTCATAAACTGGGCAAAAATTAATGCCTGAAGTTAAGGAAATGCCAAACTTACTTTGAATGCACCCTCTGATTCCATGGATAAGAGATCCCCATCGAATGGAATGAGATCTAAGCTGTACTCCTCCCTGTGAATAAAGGATCCCAAGACACCCAGATCCTTCAACCGCTGTTCGCACAACAGGCTACGGCGTGGCACAAACAGAATATGAAAATCTCTCGTTGGGCCTCGTCTATCTTCACTGCAAAGGAAGCAACATTTGTTAGCTTATGAGCTCCTAAGAGTCATGGACCATTTTGCTTTTTTTATCCCCACTGCCTGGCACATAGCAGGCACTAAATAAATGCTGGCTAGATAAATCATATAAATACTGACTCTCAGGCCGGGTGCAGTGGCTCACACCTGTAATCTCAGCACTTTGGGAGGCCAAGGCGGGCGGATCAGTTGAGGTCAGGAGTTCGAGACCAGTCTGGTCAAGGTGGCAAAACCCCGTCTCTATAAAATATACAAAAATGGCTGGGCGCAGTGGCTCATGCCTGTAATCCCAGCACTTTGGGAGGCCGAGGCGAGCGGATCACGAGAACAGGAGGTGGAGACCAACCTGGCCAACACGAAGAAACCACGACTCTACTAAAAATACAAAAAATTAGCCGGGCATGGTGGCAGGCACCTGTAATCCCAGCTACTTGGGAGGCTGAGGCAGGAGAATCGCTTGAAACCGGGAGGCAGAGGTTGCAGTGAGCCGAGACCACGCCACTGCATTCCAGCCTGGGCAACACAGCGAGACTCCATCTCAAAATAAATAAATAAAAACTAAAACAAAAATATACAAAAATCAGCTGGGCATGGTGGTGTGTGCCTGTAATCTCAGCTACTTGGGAGGCTAAAGCAGGGGAATTGCTTGAACCCTGGAGGCAGAGGTTGCAGTGAGCAGAGATTCCACCACTGCACTCCAGCCTGGGCAACAGAGTGAGACTGTGTCTCAAAAAAATAACCAAAAACTGACTCAGACCCAACGTGTTACAGCTGTACCCACTCTCTCTCTCTTTCTTCCCCCTGACAGGAAAGCATCACTGAGTCCTGGCGAGTACATTTTAGCATTCTCTTAAACCATTTATGGGGCATTGAAGCTCTCAGGTTGATTGAAATAGGATATCTGTGTCTCAATAAAAACAAATGGTTCTTCAACCAAAGCAATGCAGCCACAAAGAGTCTTAAATTAAAATGAAAGATCACTTTTGACTCCCACTCCTACTCTCCTTGACAGAGAACTTCCAAAAATAGCCCATATGCTTTTAAGATTTTAGGGGCTGCAACAATCAATTGTACCACAGAGTGCAGACTCGGCTGGGAGCACTTCCTCTATAGACTGGATGCTATATTAAAATTTAATCAGCTTTTTTTTTTTTTTTGCTTATGAAATTCAAGTACATGCAGTATATTTAAAAATAACTGCTGGAGGTTTATTTTTTTAAACTAGGGCCCTTTTTACTGACACAGGTTTAAGCTTTTGGCTATCTTTAAAGAATGGGTAGCTTTTGGCTATCTTGAAAGAATGGGTAGATAGGATGATCCTCCTCTCCAACTGCTGACAACAACTTCCTAAGTTTCTCATCCTCTCTATTTTTAATTTTTGGGGGGTACATAGCAGGCGCATGTATTTATGGGGTCCATGAGATGTTTTGATGTGGGCATGCAATGTGAAATAAGCACATCACGGAGAATGGGGGGACACATCCTCTCAAGCACTTACTCTTTGAGTTACAAAACAATCCAATTACACTCTTTTTTTTTTTTTTTTTTTGAGACGGAGTCTCCCTCTGTTGCCCAGGCTGGAGTGCAGTGGCGCGATCTCAGCTCACTGCAACCTCTGCCTCCCGGGTTCAACAGACTATCATGCCTCAGTCTCCCGAGTAGCTGGGACTACAGGCACAGGCCACCAAACCTGGCTAATTTTTGTATTTTTAGTAGAGACGGGGTTTCACTATGTTGGCCAGGCTGGTCTCGAACCCCTGACCTCAAGTGATCCACCCGCCTTGGCCTCCCAAAATGCTGGGATTACAAGTGTGAGCCACCATGCCCAGTCTCACTTTTTAAGTTTAAAAATACGTAATTATTATTAACTATAGTCACCCTGTTGTGCTATCAAATAGTAGGTCTTATTCTATTTTTTGTTGTACCCATTAACTATCTCCACCTCCCCCCAGCCCCCATCTTCTCTTTTATATTCTTCCATGCCTATCTCAGTTTTCCAAAAGACCACCTTGCACTGGCAAGAGTGAGGGTCTTCCATGAGAAGGAGCTCATAAATTAAAAGCATTATAAGAACCAAACTCTTTTGGATCAAACACAAGCTCTGAGATACCTGAGCACGTTTTCAGCGATTATATCCATCAACTCTAGCCTGGGTCTGACAAAAAAAATTATATTCTTCACATCAGCTGCCGGCAAACGATTTCCTTTAAGTGTGAACATTTTTTCCACTTCATGTTCCTAGGCAAACACATACACAAAAGGTTAACAAGAAGACTGAAATTTACCTATAATTTTCAGACTCAGAAATCATAAATACCCCCAATCAAGTGCACATTAATATTTTAATATCAAAATTTAGATTCCCTCAAAGCCAAATACATAAAGGACAAAGTTTCAGTAGAAAGCCACTGTTACTGCATCAGCATTCAAATGACTCTTACATGATGATGAACTATCAAAGACACCAGGAAATGGTCACATAATATAATGCTAGAATCAGTATAGAATCACTGGCCAATGGATACAAAATGTTAATCGGGCACTAGTATTAGTGTTTATAAAGACCAAACAGCTTTGCAAACCAATGATTCAGGAAGAAATATAAAATCCTATTGTAACTGCTAAAGTACAGAATTATTAATCCCCTAACAAAACCCAAATAGCTCATTTACCTTCAATAGTGAATACTGTGCAATCAGGCCAAAGGGTCCAGTTAGGTATTCATCCCAAACTATTGCCTGTAAGAGGGGAGAAACATTCTCTTATTATAGTTAATATCAGGAATTTTAACAATACCAATAAAAAATAGCCTAACAGGAGGAGTATTTGCTTCAAATTCTGAGTTAAAAAATTTTATCCTAGTGTTACAAAATTAAAATAATAATAATACATAAAGGAGAAAAAAGAATTTAAAAATTTTTTGGGGTTTTGCTGTTATTTTGTTTCTGAGACGGAGTCTTGCTGTGTTGCCCAGGCTAGCGTGCAGTGGTGTGATATCAGCGTACTGCAACCTCTGCCTCCAGGGTTCAAGTGATTCTCCTGCCTCAGCTTCCTGAGTAGCTGGGATTATAGGCATGCACCACCATGCCTGGCCAATTTTTGTACTTTTTGTAGAGATGAGGTTTCACTATGTTGCCCAGGCTGGTCTTGAACTCCTGACCTACGGTGATCCACCCGCCTCGTTCTTCCAAAGTGGTGGGATTACAAGCATGAGCCACTGCACGCGGCCGAATAAAAAAAATTTAATTACCTCTGACCACATTCATATCCTTAGTCTAAAGAAAAATAGCATCCAGGGCAAGCGATGCTACTGTTGGTCCTGAGAAAGGAGTTAATCACTGTCCTGAACAGAAAGAAGGAATTTTAGTTGTTGTATATCTGTGTCATGGTATCATTAAATTGAGCCATATGGAAATTGTCAACTATACAAAATTAAAACCTACAATATAGGTATTACAAATCTTATTTTGGCAAAAGAGGATTTTTTTTCTTTTTTTTTTTTTTTTGAGATGGGGCAGTGGTGGAATCACAGCTCACTGCAGCCTCGATTTCCTGGGCTCAGGTGATCTTCCCATCTCAGCCTCTGGAGTAACTGGGACTACAGGTGTGTGCCACCACATCACGCTAATTTTTATTTTAGTAGAGATGAGATTTTGCCATGTCACCCAGGCTGGTCTCCAACTCTGGGCTCAAGCGAGCTGCCTGCCGTGGCCTCCCAAAGTACTGGGATTACACCGCACTTCCTATTCCACCACGCCTGGCCAAAAGAGAAAATCCTTAAAAGCTCAGTAAATTCAAGTAACTTTCCAAGGCCATATAGACCTTGGACCATACAGAGTGAAAGGGAGTGAGGACTCCAACCTAGGACTTTTTGACACCATGAGTCATTGCTTTGGGCCCCTATGAGTATTTCTACCGCTAAACTCCAGTATCATTTCTTTTTCTTATTTATTTAAATAATTGTACATTAACGTTTAGTTAAAAGAAATAATACAGAGCGAGCCCCTGTACACTTTGCTCAGTTTCCTCCAGGGGTAACATATTACAACCAGGATACTGACATTGATACAATCCATGATGTTATTCAGATTTCAGCATCCTTTTCTGAATTGAAACTGGGCCCCTATGATGTAGACTGCTTTCTTCTCTCAAAGGCTGCTAGCACCCACTTTACCTCTTGGGGTTCTGTTCTCTACAAGACTGAGGCTCCCCAGTTCGACTTTTCACAGTTGTACTGTCAGTAACTTAGGGTGACTGATAAACCCTAAGGGGATGAAGGAGAGGTGACACTGTTTAAAAGAAATCCTATAAAATCTCTGATCTAGTTCCTGACTCCCTTGTGAAAAGGGTGCTACTAGAGAAGTTATACTGTTTTAGGAGGCCAGGTTAAAAGCCCAAATGATTACAACTTCTCTCATAACACGCGTGAGCAGCAGGTTGCAAGGTGCAGGTGTTTCAAGAGAGCTTCTAAGGTACACGTATGATCCCTGTAATGAATGGACACTGGACCATCCACATTCTTGGACCGCTCACCCGTCCGGTGCCTCGGCAGGCAGCGGAGGAAACACCTGACGTAAACCAGCTCATCAGCTGCCGGGCTATCACAGTGGCTTACTCTGCTCTCACAAAACAGTCGCGGTGCCACTCCGGCTCCAGGCTGTACGCCCAGGGCCCCCCCCTTCATCGCTGCCTCCTGCACAGGGGTGCAGGTAAAAGGGCCCTGAGGCTCGCCTCCTTGGAAGCCCCAAGGACCTCATAAACCGCGAACTCAGGCGGTCAGGGAACGGATTAAACCAGGCCGGACCAGGGGAGGCGAGGGCGGTGTCGCTGCCTCCCGCCCCTCACCTTGCTTCCTGCGCACTTGTCCAGGAACTCGCGCAGCTCGCGACGCACCGCCTCGCGCAACACGTTTAGGTTCACTCGGCCGTAGGACAGATGAGCCGCCATCTTGCTCCACCACCCCCTGCCCCACAACGCCAACCGAGTCCGCCGGTTCCTACGGGAGGACCACGGACGCAGTCACGTGACCAAACGTCCACGTGACCGGTACGGCAGCGCACGCCAACCCGGAAACCGGAATCTGCTGGGTTCGGGTTCTACCTAGTCTGGCCCTAGTGTCCGCCTCTTTCTTCTACCCCGGTGGTTATTCAGATTCTCGCCAAGACCCAGAGCGCGTTTCAGAGTCTGGTCACTCCAGGAGTCGTCGGGCGCTGAAAAGCGATTTTAAAGATCTGGAGTAGACCGGGCGCGGTGGCTTACGCCTGTAATCCCAACACTTTAAGAGGCCGAGGTAGGAGTGATCGCTTCAGGCCGGGAGTTTGAGACCAGCCTGGGCAGACTTCGTCTCAAAAAAAAAAAAAAAAGACATTGACTCTCTCTTGTCCCTTTTAAAAATCGCGAATTTTTATTTGCAGCAAAGGTACTTGCTGCAAGATGATATCTTAAGGCTAAACTTGGATAGGAAAAAAAACTTTTTTTTTTTTGAGACAGTGTCTCGCCCTGTCGCCCAGGCTGGAGTGCAGTGACGTGATCATAGCTCACTGTAGCCTCCACCTCCCGGGCTCAAGTGATCTTCCCACCTCAGCCGCCAGAGTAGCTGGAACCACAGGTGCGCGCCGCCACCCACTGCTCAAATCTTAAATTATAGCAGTCAGAAGTTTCTTAGCTTTGCACTAATCAAGGCTGTTTTAATTTCTGAGCTAAAATGTATCAATATGGTGAGGAGTCGAGGGAATCTTGAGTGGACTTTTTTTTTTTTTTTTTTTTTTGGGTAATCCCTAACAGACTTTTACAGTGACATGACATTTCACACAAATAGTATTGCTTCTGGAATCCAGGTCCCACCATTTGCCTCAGTAAAATTCCATGTTACCTCTGAGTTGTAGTGAGGATCAATGAGGGTATGAATTTCATCGTGCAGTCCACGTGAGAGGCTTAACTGGGTGCCTGGAACTTAATTGCTCAATAAACTATTAATATTAGTAGGATATATGCGTTTTGATACTTTGGGGTGGAAATGGGCCTTTGGGATCTGGTCAAAGATGAAAATTTCCTTCTTTGAGTGCAAAGCTTCCTTTTTTTTTTTTTTTTTTTTTGAGACGGAATCTTGCTCTGTTGCCCAGGCTGGAGTGCAGTCGTGCCATCTTGGCTCACTGCAATCTCTGCCTCCTGGGTCAAGCGATTCTTCTGCCTCAGCCTCCCGAGTAGCTGGGACTACAGGCGCGTGCCACCACGCCCGGCTAATTTTTTGTATTTTTAGTAGAGATGGGGTTTCTCCATGTTGGCCAGGCTGGTCTCGAACTCCTGACCTCATGATCCGCCCGTCTCGGCCTCCCAGTGCTGGGATTACAGGTGTGAGCCACTGTGCCCGGCCTCCTCCAGCATCTTCTATACAGTTTACATTATGAAGCACTTATCATAGAGTCTGAACAAGCAGAGTGATATTTGTGGATGGTGCAGAAAAGCAGCCACTCAACCAAAAACTTCTGTTCTCAATTTGATTCCAGCAAGGACATTTAGATTTTAATAATTTAACACACATGGAGGCCGGGCACGGTGGCTCACGCCTGTAATCCCAGCACTTTGGGAGGCCGAGGCGGGTGGATCACGAGGTCAGGAGATCGAAACCATCCTGGCTAACACGGTGAAACCCTGTCTCTACTAAAAATACAGAAAATTAGCCGGGCATGGTGGCGGGCGCCTGTAGTCCCAGCTACTCGGGAGGCTGAGGCAGGAGAATGGCGTGAACCCGGGAGGCGAAGGTTGCAGTGAGCCGAGATCTCACCACTGCACTCCAGGCTGGGCGACAGAGCGAGACTCGTCTCAAAAACAAAAACAAAACACACATGGAAACGCTTCCATGCTTTAGTTCTCAACCTGGTTTTCAAGGTGGTTCTCAGCCTCAACAGAGATTTATTTTTTTATTTTTTTATTTTTATTATTTTTTTTTTTTGAGATGGAGTCTCGCCCTGTCGCCCAGGCTGGAGTGCAGTGGCGCGATCTCGGCTCACTGCAAGCTCCGCCTCCCGGGTTCACGCCATTTTCCTGCCTCAGTCTCCCCAGCAGCTGGGACTACAGGCGCCCGCCACCACGCCCGGCTTATTTTTTTTCTATTTTTAGTAGAGACGGGGTTTCACCGTGTTAGCCAAGATGGTCTTGATCTCCTGACCTTGTGATCCGCCCGCCTCGGCCTCCCAAAGTGCTGGGATTACAGGCGTGAGCCACCGCGCCCAGCTTTTTTTTTTTTTTTTTTTTAATAGAAATGGGGTTTCCCTATGTTGCCTAGGTTGGCCTCAAGCTCTTGGGTTCCAGCTATCATCTGGCCTCAGCCTCCAGAGTAACTGGGACTACAGATGCCTGCTACTGCTCCTGGCTGATAATACACAATTCTTTTTCTATATACAGACTCACAGCCAAGAGAATGCATCATGTTAACGCCTGTGAGAATAAAAGTTGTGTTCAGCAGGCCATGTCATGAGCTGTTAAATGAGGGTATAACTTACTCCAAGAGGTGAAATGCCCCAGGTTAGTGAAATCTCAAGGATGTGTGAGTGTAACTAAGACTAGGATGATAAACTATCCCCAAGCAGGATCAGGATGCTACAAAATGATGAAGTAACAACAGGTGCTTTTATAGACCAGGAGAGACAACTGCTATAGTTACCCTACAAATACTGCAGACTTGTTTAGAGTCTTTTAATCACCTAAGGTCAGTACCAAAGTTGAGAACTACTGTGTTTTAATGTATTATCTAGGTAGAAGTAATGTTCTTATTCAAGCAGTAACTGCTTTGGAAATACCTACCTATGGGTGAGTCCTTGGGTCCTGACGCTGGCTGCCTACTTGACAATGACTCCCAACCTTTCTTCAGTCTTCAGTACCTGAATACCGTCCTTCCCACCAACTTCCCCACCCCAGCTCTCTCACCACCCCTTTCCTAGCATACCTCATCCAGACTCTAAACATAACTGAATCTACAGGTTTTAAGACCCTTCTCCATATCCCACCCACTGTCCGGTTTCCATCCTTGGGTTCTTCCAAGATGTTTTATAAACATTTGTTTATAAAACAGATGTTAGGTGAGGCATGGTGGTGCACGCCTGTAATCCCAGCACTTTGGGAGGCTGAGATGGGCAGATCACCTGAGGTCAGGAGTTCAAGACCACCCTGGCCAACATGGTGAAAGCCTGTCTCTACTAATACAAAAACTTGCTGGGTATGGTGGCGCATGCCTGTAGTCCCAGCTACTCAGGAGGCTGAGGCAGGAGAATCGCTTGAATCTGGGAGGCAGAGGCTGGAGTGAGCCAAGATCGTGCCACTGCGCTCCAGCCTGGGCGACAGAGTGAAACTCTGTCTCAATAAATAATAGATAAATAAAAATTTAAAAAATTACCTGGGCATGGTGGCATGCGCCTGTGGTCCCAGCCATTCAGGTGGCTGAGGTGGAAGAATTGCTTGAGCACTGGAGGCGGAGGTTGCAGTGAGCCGAGATTGCACAACTGCACTCCAGCCTGAGTGACAGTGAGACCCTGCCTCAAAACAAGAGAAGCATGTTCAAAGGCATAGCACTCAATTGGTTCAGTATCATTTTTGTAAATATTATATGGACTTTTCAATTTGTAAGACTTCATGGACGAATAGATAGTTGGCACCACATGGTGCCACATTGATTTTTATCAGGTAATTATTTTTGTCAGGTAATGTGGGGTGATACAGTAATGGATAACAACTACAAGTACGTTATGCTAAATGGGTCATGAAACACTTTAAGAAGGACAGAAAGACATACCAAAAAAAAAATGAGAGACAGTGTCTCACTCTGTTGCCTAGGAGTGCAGTGGCACAATCATAGCTCACTGTAGCCTCTTAACTCCTGGGCTCAAGCAATTCTCCTGCCTCAACCTCCCCAGTAGCTGGGACTACAGGTGTGCACCACGCTTGGCTTTTTTTTTTTTTCGAGATGGAGTCTCACTCTTTCGCCCAGGCTGGACTGCAGTGGCACGATCTTGGCTCAATGCAAGCTCCGCCTCCTGGGTGCACGCCATTCTCCTGCCTCAGCCTCCCGAGTAGCTGGGACTACAGGTGCCCGCCACCGTGCCCGGGTAATTTTTTGTATTTTTAGTAGAGACAGGGTTTCACCGTGTTAGCCAGGATGGTCTCGATCTCCTGACCTCGTGATCCACCCGCCTCGGCCTCCCAAAGTGCTGGGATTAAAGGCGTGAGCCACCGCACCAGGCCTACCAATTTCTTAAAAACTTTAGTAACAAGACTGCAGTAGAAATTGCTATATGAATGTATAGGGTTTGCTCATTTGAAGTAAAACCATTATGACAAACCTGAGAATATCAATTTACTACCATTAGCAAAAAAGAATAACCATTTATTGGCTGGGTGAGCACTCCCAACACTTTAGGAGGCTGAAGTGGGAGGATCACTTGAACCCAGGAGTTCAAAACCAGCCCGGGCAACATAGGGAGACTCACTCTGTACAAAAAATTTAAAAATTAGCCAGGTGTTGTAATCCCAGCACTTTGGGTGGCCGAGGCAGGCGGATCACGAGGTCAGGAGATCGAGGCCATCCTGGCTAACACGGTGAAACCCTGTCTCTACTAAAAATACAAAAAACTAGCTGGGCATGGTGGCGGATGCCTATAGTCTCAGCTACTCGGGAGGCTGAGGCAGGAGAATGGCGTGAACCCAGGAGGTGGAGCTTGCAGTGAGCCGAGATCACACCACTGCACCCAGCCTGGGCGACAGAGTGAGACTCCGTCTCAAAAAAAAAAAAAAAAAAAAAAAAATTGGCCAGGTGTGGTGGCACTTGCCTGTAGTCCTAGCTGCTTTGGAGGCTGAGGTGAGAGGATTGCTTGAGCTCAGGAGTTGGAGGCTGCAGCAATCCATGATTGTGCCACTGTATTCCAGCCTGGGCAACAGAGTGAGACCCTGTCTCAAACAAAACAAAACCCACAAAACAAAAAAGAATAACCATTTATTAAAGTAGATACAGAACACTTGTTTGGCCAAATTTTAATACTGCTTTACATGTTTTCTGTTTGTGAAACAATTCGTATTACATTTATAACCAAAAATTTCAACTGGTACCAGATTGAATATTCACTGTCGAACACACAGTTGATAATCTTGAGGGGAAAATACATCAAAGGCATATATACAATTATAGAAGTTCTTATTGTACATGTAGCATGGAAGATACATTTTATGACTTTTTACATATTCTAGAAGACATTCAAATGAAGATAAATAGATTCAAACTGGTCGATAAACTGTTCAGGTGCTTTGAGGTCCTTCATTTTCTTTTTTGTGATAAGAAAATCCAGAATTATTAACGTTGAATTTCTCATCGTACATTCATCTAAAAACAGTAAAAAAACTTGTGAAGGGAGATTGTAGATTGGTTATTTAGGTGTTTTATACTGGCTTATTGTTAATTGACTGCTGGGGATACCTGCCAGAGAAGGAAAAAAAAATTGGAGAAAATTCCTCCAGTTATTTAAATCTGGTGAAGAAATAAAAGGAAAACAAACAAATGAAAATGGTTGCAAAGCCACAAGATGCTATGTCTGGCCTAGTCTGTTATGTCCTAATGATCATTTTAAGTGTTTTCTTTTTCAAAAAGGTAAATGTCCAAAAAGAAAGACACATTGTGTATGTTTTTTTCCCAAAATATAGATTTTTAAAAAATATATACATACAATATATAGAAGCTGAAATTATGCAAAACTAATAAACAAAACACCACAGTAGATTAAGTGGGTGCAGCATATAGATTATAAAATGTCCCCACAGCAGTTTGGGGGCTTGCCCCTCCCTTTACCTGCTTCATGATTTTATAATCACACCTAAGTATTATCAAGCCTGAAGTAAAGGCACTACTGATAACAGGTAGTGCAAAGAGCTCAGATATTTCTTTGAATAAGAATAAAATACTTTAAATGAGTAGATGAAAATGCAAAATGGCACATTTTTTCAACTCATTCCAGTGTCAAAGCTTAACCAAAAAATCTAAATATACAAATGCAGCCTGGAAATATCTTAGTGCAAATATGAAAAGTAACGGCATAATTTAAAGTTACTTAAATAAGGTATTGTGAGGGTAGGGGTTTTTCTACAAGGTCGGGGGGCCAATAAATGTAATGGCATCTGGTGCAATGTCTTCAAACGTAAAAATCAAGAAAACAAAATTCGAGGTGAAAACTCACCTACTAAATATTTATTATTCTAACTCATACGGGGAGACTAAAGGGCAATTTGTTGAAGATCAAAATATTTTCCTAGATTTGTTGACGGGGTTAAAAAATAACATGAGTTCTCCTGAAGTCTGCACACACAATGCTGGTGTTACGTTGTGTCAATGCGAGTGCGTCTGAGCAAGCCCAGTTCTCCACTGGAGGCTTCATCAGAAGGTTTCGTCGTCATTGCAGTTGGTGGCCCAGTGTCCAAACATCTCACAGATTTCACAGTATGGGCGTTCCTCACCCCGACTGCCATGGTGTGTGGAATGGGGAGGGTCCTCTGACATCTGTGCCTGGGTAGGACAATCCTCTGTGTCGTGGAGATCAAAGCAGTCACAAATGTCACAGAAGAGGCGAGGTTTCTTCTTGGACTGTTTCTCCTGATCATCACTACAAATGTTAATGTGTGAAATCAGAAAATTTATCAGAAGAAACTGAAGAGACAAGAACACTTGCAAAAAATTTAAAAATTAAGCAAGAACTAATTATGGCCAAGTCTGTGAGCTTCCAGTATAAGTAGTGCATTATCCCACATTTAAAGTATTTTTTTTATTTTTGAGATGGAGTCTCAGACTCTCACCCAGGCTGGAGTGCAGTGGCATGATCTTGGCTTACTGCAATCTCCACCTCCTAGGTGAAAGCAATTCTCCTGCCTCAGCCTCCCAAGTAGCTGGAATTACAGGTGCGTGCCACCCCACACAGTTACTTTTTTGTATTTTCAGTAGAGATGGGGTTTTGCCAAGTTAGCCAAGTTGGTCTTGAACTCCTGACCCCAGGTGATCTGCCCACCTCGGCCTCCCAAAGTGCTGGGATTACAGTCGTGGCCACCACGCCAGCCTCACATTTAAAATCTTCATGTCAAAGCATTTGTAGTCTCCTCTCACTCACTTGCCAGATTTATGGAAATCTATTTATGGCAAAGGAACCACAAAACATTTGTTTTTTTTTGTTGCGTCTTTTTACAATCCCCTAGAGAAGCTCACTTTAAAAACATATTTATTTTGATGAAACTAAGGTTCCAATCAGTATGGTTTTTTTTGAGACAGGGTCTTGCTCTGTCACCCAGGTTGGAGTACAGTGGCGCAATCTCGGCTCATTGCAACCTCCAGCTCCAAGGCTCAAGTAGTTCTCCTGCCTCAGCCTCCCAAGTAGCTGGGATTACAGGCATGCAACACTACGCCTGGCTAACTTTTGTATTTTTAGTAGAGACGAGGTTTCATCGTGTTGGCCAGGCTGGTCTCGAACTCCTGACCCTCAAGTGGTCCGCCCGCCTCGGCCTCCCAAAGTGCTGGGATTATAGCAATCAGTATGTCTTCATATGAAATACCTGTCATAATTGTTTAGGTCATCCCCGTTCCCATTCAGGGCTGCTTCTGACATCATCTCCACCTTCATCTTGAGGTCTTGATTCTTCCTTTGAAGGTCCACTATTACTGAATTTAGGAAATCAATCTGATTTGTTAAAAAAAAAATGTGTAAAATGTCAAGAATATATATAAGCTGGAGCATCAAGAAGTCATGAAGTTTATACCTTTAAGCTCTGGCGGCAAAGTGTGCAGAAGGGGCCAACAGCGGCTATTAGGAACCCATGCTTTTCACTCTCCCGGAGGACAGGCATGCTGAGATTGTGTGAGTAAAGAGCTGAACTTAAATGAGGCCATGTCTAGGTGGTAAGGCTATGGCAGTTTCTTTTACCCCCTCACACCTTTCAGATTTCTTCAAATGTTCATTACTGAGGAGATGCTATTTTATATTTTAAAAAAAAATTTAAATTACACTTCATTGAATGTTTCTAGGTATAACATGGGTAAACTTCATTTGTTTTGTTTTGTTTTTTTTTTTTTTTTGAGACGGAGTCTCGCTCTGTCGCCCAGGCTGGAGTGCAGTGGCAGGATCTCGGCTCACTGCAGCCTCTGTCTCCTGGGTTCAAGCAATTCTACTGTCTCAGCCTCCTGAATAGCTGGGATTACAGGCATGCACCACCATGCCTGGCTGATTTTTGTATTTTTAGTAGAGACGGGGTTTTGCCATGTTGGCCAGGATGGTCTCAAACTCCTGACCTCAGGTGATCCACCCGGCTTGGCCTCCCAAAGTGCTGGGAATACATGTGTGAGCCACGGTGCCAGGCCATGAATTAATTAATTATTTTATTTATTTATGAGATGGAGTCTTGCTCTGTTGCCCAGGCTGGAGTGCAGTGGCTCGATCTCGGCTCACTGCGACCTCTGCCTCCCGGGTTCAAGTGATTCTCCTGCCTCAGCCTCCCGAGTAGCTGGGACTATAGGCACGTGCCACCAAACCCAGCTAATTTTTGTATTTTTAATAGAGACGGGGTTTCATCATATTGTCCAGGATGGACTCAAACTCCTGACCTCGTGATCCGCCTGCCTCGGCCTCCCAAAGTGTTGGGATTACAGGCATGAGCCACTGTACCCAGCTGAAATTATTCCTAAACATCTAAATCTGTGGGTTGGTGGAGTGCTATTGATTCATGAAAAAATATAAGAAACATTTTTTTAAATAGGAGAAAAAAATCTTGCATTCTCCAGAAGTCATAATCTTATATTTCTGAATATATGGGCACAAGTTTGTTTTCATTCTACCACATAAAAAATATTGGCCAGGCGTGGTGGCTCACGCCTGTAATCCCAACACTTTGGGAGACAGAGGCAGGCGGATCATCTGAGGTCAGGAGTTCAAGACCAACCTGGCCAACATAGTGATACCCTGTCTCTAGTAAAAATACAAAAATTAGCTGGGTGTGGTGGCTTACGCCTGTAGTCCCAGCTACTCAGGAGGCTGAGGCTGGAAACTCGCTTGAACCCAGGAGGCGGACGTTGCAGTGAGCCATGACTACGCCACTGCAGTCCAGCCTGGGCAACAGAGCAAGACTCCATCTCAAAAAAGAAAAAAATACACACACACACACACGCGCACACACACACACACACACACACACACACAAAATGCATAAAAAGGTTAGTTCTTCCATTAAACTCTACAATCCATCCAGGACTTTTCTGTTCGGCAGATTTGAAAAAGTCACATGGAAATTTCCTTCAGACTCTCATTTATCAACTGACTGATAATGGTGGAGCAATAAGTAAACATGTCCTCAGGGAAAATGGAGAAGGCTAAAGCTCCCTCCCAACCTAGGAGAGACAGCCAGGCACGCCAACAAGGCGGTGTTCAGGTACCACCCAGAGGGAGAGTGCCCATGCCAAGAGCTGGGGCAGTGGGGACAACAAGATGGCCAACAGGAGGGACCGCTCTTATCCTGAACATTTCCTTTCAATCAAAGGGCATTTTGACTTAAAAACAAAAAATTTCTTCCTTCTACAAATAATGAAAAGTCTCATTTCTCTAAACTGAAAGATCCCACTTTACAATATTTAAAATATATATAGATATACACACACATATACATAAATATTTTACTTTTTAAAGAAATATTTGGTCTTTTTCTCCTGCTGGGGAGTTATGAACAAAGTTAGCAATCACTGCAGTCTTTCTCTGCAGCATATCCCAGCATCATGGAGGCCACCTCTGAAGGCAGACCTACTGAGTCTACCTTCACTTCTCAACGTGCATTTTCTAAGTCATTATCGTGTTAAGAGCTCCATTTCAGGAAGAAGAAAAAGCCACAAAATGGACATAAGTATAGTGGGAAACCACACACACACACACACACACACGTGTGCACGCAAATTAGGAAACATGAAACGAACCATTTGCTGATTGGAAGAAAAGTGTTGTCAGCAGCAGATGAAACAAACCGAAGCAGAAAGGAAGGGGGAAGAGAAGACACTGTTAGTTATTAAGCCCAGTAGACATACAAAGAGGACAATGCTAATCCATGGTAAGTTTGTACAGTGTTGAATCGTTTTGTGCCCCTCAAAGGAGGTGTCTGGCAACTAACATCTCAAGGTGAGTTTTTCTTTTATTTAAATATAAAATGTGGCTTTTGTACTTTTGAATTTTGAACATGACTAATACATACAAAGTATATTAAAATTAAAAGACAGATGTTTGTTGCTATATACAATTATATTTCCAAGTACAGAATAGTTTGCCTTTATATAATCCCTTTTTACAAATTTTTGTTTGTTTTGAGACAGGGCCTTGCTCTGTCACCCAGCTTGGAGTGCCCATGTTGCGCAGGCTGGTCTCGGGCTCCAGCGATCTGCCTACCTTGGCCTACCAAAGTGCTGGGATTGCAGGTGTGAGCTGCTGTGCCCGGGCCCCCCACCCCACCTTTTTTTTTTCTGAGACAGGTTCTTGCTTTGTCAGTCAGGCCTAAGTGCGGTGGCATGATCATGGCTCACTGCAGCCTCAACCTTCTGGACTCAAGTGATCCTCCTGCCTCAGCTTCTGGGGTAACTGGGACTATGGGAGCATGGCGCCATGCCTAACTAATTTTATTTTTTGTAGAGATGGGGTCTTGCCATTGTTGCTCAGGCTGGTCTCGATCTCCTGATCTCAAACAGTCCGCTTGCCACAGCCTTCCAAAAAGCTGGAATTATAGGCGTGAGCCACTGCACCTGGCCCAGGCCCTTAAAAACTTTTTTTTAATTAAGTAATTGTTTTGAGACAGGGTGTTGCTCTGTCACTCAGGCTGCAGGATTGTTTTTTGTTTTTTTTGTTTTTTTTTTTTTGTAGAGATGAGGTCTCGCTATGTCCAGGTTGGTCTCAAACTTTTGGGCTCAAGCAATCATCCCACCTTGGCCT
Source organism: Homo sapiens (assembly GCF_000001405.40). Lineage (NCBI taxonomy): Eukaryota > Metazoa > Chordata > Mammalia > Primates > Hominidae > Homo > Homo sapiens. Next base: position 122,277,439 of record NC_000012.12, read on the forward strand.
CCCAAAGTGCTGGAATTACAGGGATAAGCCACCATTCCTGGCCTAATCCCATTTTTAGTTTAAAACTAAAGTTGTTTTGTTAATTTTCGCTTTAAGAGACTGAGTTTTCAAGAAACCAGTCTTTTTAAGGTTCAGATGAGTAACAAACCCTTTGACAGAGCAATTCTACTTCTAGGAATTCATCCTGCAGAAATACTAATATATAAAATGATAGCTGCCCAAGATAATTCCTTACGGCATTGTTTATAATACACCCAAAGGATCAGAAACATCCCAGTGTCATTGTCAACCAATAGGGAACTGACTAAATTATAGTAAATCCACGTAATGGAACACTACATAGCTATAAAAAAAATAAGTGCAGAACCGTTTATGTAGTATGCCATTATTTATGTTAAAAAAAAAAAAGGGAGGGAAGACTGTATTAGTGCTGGCTTGTATACACACTTTAAAAAATCTCTGAAAAGGAAAGACACAAATAACAGTAATTAACTGTTTGCAGGGTTGGGAACTGAGCAGAAGAGAGAGAAGGTTTGGAGGAAGACATTTAATGTATATATTTTTAATTCTGTTTAATGTTTGGACTAGAGGAATGCATTACCAATTCAAAAGACTAAATGATACAAAAGGCATCAAATGAGAAGGAAAATAAACGAAAAGATTCAATGATTTTGAAAAACAGCAAGAAAGTAAAGCAATAAGGCAGGAACATTACCTGACTCTCCTGGGCTCTTTCATCCTCGTCTGCCTGAGTGTCTGTATTACCTTATATTTGAGGAAAAAAAAAAAAAAACAAGTGGAGGGAGAATATATGTATATTTTTAATCACAATCTAAACTGCAGTGAAAGGGCCTGTGTTCAAAACTCATTTTCCTGTGGACTTCCCAGATGCACCACTTTCAGCACATGTGGATGAGTTTGTGTCCCCTTGCGGGACCCTACAGGGTCTCACAGACACCAGCCTTGCCCTTCACGTGCTCTCCCTCAGGCCTGCTAACTCCTGGGTTAGAATGCCTGTCACGTCCATCTGAATGTACAGAGGCAATCCACCCTTCTTCACCAAAGGGACCACCTCTTCTCCTGCACTGTTATGTACTTTAAGACCCCCCAGTCTGGATGGCAGCAGGCAGCCATCATAGTAGGTTTGTGACAATATTGACAGACCACAAGAAGCCCCAGGAACGGGGATGGCAGGCACATGGGATTAGCCCTTGATTGATTAAGTGGTGGAAGAGCTAAGGAGAGTCAGGGTCAGGGCAGCATGAGAGCTGTCTTCGAAGAGCATCTCTACTAGAAAGGGCTCCTCGGGAGGACGCGGGGTGTACAGAGAAGCACTGGGCAGGCGCCCTTTACCTGAGGAGCTGCTGAGCTGCCTCTTGTTTTCTTTGAGTTGAAGCTCCAAGTTCTTTACCTTGAGCTCGAGCTTCACCTTATCAGACTCTAGAGTCTGAACAACTGAATGCAAGGACTTGGCAGAGGCGTTTTCTCCCCTGAGCACTGTGACCTGAAACACAGTTGTTTAGCTTAGGCTGAGGGTTTGAACGAAAGGAGGCCGCGTGAAAGCTCGTGCACCCTGGGTGGTACTCTACCTCATTTCTCAGTTTCTCCAGCTCGGCATCCTTTTCTGTGAGTAAGGCACTAGTTATACTGATGGATTTCTGCAAGGAAGCTTTCTCTTCATCTGCGTCTTTTATGAACTTGGATTCTCTAAAAGACCAAAGAGTTAAAAGTTCCACAAATCAACCGAAAGACTGGTCAGTGTACAACTGTTCTAGAACAAACACATAATTAATGTTAGTTAATGTAAAAAAAAAAATATAACAGGGAAGTTTTATAGGGAGTTAAGGCCATTATGCTCACAAAATTTTACTTGAAATTTTACTTACTGTGAGGGGAGAAAAAGTTTACCTATGCATAGACATGCCAGAGTCTGCATGTGATTGTATCCATTTGAACTTAAAGAAACAAGTTAATAAATTTGGAAGAGGTAGAATTAAAAAAAAAAAAAACGGTTGCACCCTCCCCAATATTCTACTAAAATCTAACCCCAAGTTGAAGTTTGTTAATTCTTGAATAAATTATTACCAAGCAATAACGACAATTAAAATACACACATGCAAAGCAGTTATACAGATGTCATGCAGAGCAGCTTTATGCTGGAAATATCAATTGGTTCTCACTAATTTCAGTAACTTTTGTAGCAAGTTCCAAGAATGGGTGTTTAAGATGTTATGGGCCAAAACAGTAGTAAAGATTATTATTATTACTCAAACTGAAGGATTATTACTTTCCAGCCATAGACTCTGAAGAGGACATTAAATTAGCTCATAGAAATTAATGGTAATTACATAAAGGCTAGAACAGAAAATGTTAAAATGGTTTTCTCAGGTGCAGAATGAAAGCATGGGGAGCCTGGAAGGAGAAATTCAGAGCGCCTGGTTTATGTTCTCGGCCTGACTCAGCACTTGGTTATCAGCAGAGGGCGGGGATGAGGCCTTTAATGAGAGGGTTGTGGGAGTGAGAAGAGAAAGGGAAAGACGAAGGAGGAACAGGGAGGAACGCAGGACACAGTGAAAACAGCCCAAAGAGCAGGCTAGCATGTGTTTACATATGTGTACCTATTTAAAGTTGTGTGTTTTTTTTATTTTTTTTTTTGACAGAGTCTCGCTCTGTTGCCCAGGCTGGAGTCCAGTGGTGCGATCTCTGCTCACTGCAACCTCCGCCTCCTGGGTTCAAGCGATTCTCCTGCCTCAGCCTCCTGAGTAGCTGGGATTACAGGCGCCTGCCACCACGCCCAGCTAATTTTTGTATTTTTAGTAGAGATGGGGTTTCACCATGTTGGTCACCAGGCTGGTCTCAAACTCCTGACCTCAAGTGATCCGCCCACCTCAGCCTCACAAAGTGCTGGGATTACAGGCGTGAGCCGGCCATACTGAAAGTTTTGTTATAAAAACTACATGCATTTCAAAATGCCAAGGTCATTAAATACAAGAAAAGGCTGAGAAACTGTCACATATAGAGAAGACGAAGGAGATATGACAACTAACTGCAAGGCGGGATCCTAGTTTGGATGCTGTAACACAAAAGGACATTAGTGAGCAAACTGGTGAAATCTGAATGAAGTCCCTTGTTTCAGCTGAGAGTATGCTGCTCATGGGAGTTTCTCAGTTTTGATGAGTGTGCCGGGGCTGTGTAGGATGTTCAATTAGGGGCCTCTGGGGGAAGGTCTGTGAGAACTGGATGCACTACTTTTGCAACTCTTCTGGAAATCTAAAATTATTTTAAAATAAAAAGTTTTTTAAATGACATGCAGTGTGAAACACGAGAGGAAAATGACAAAAATACTTTAGGAAAAACAAAACTGGAGAAAAGTTTCCTAGGCTAGGCCACAGGCCATATGACCTAAGACACTACATTACCACAGTCACCAGTGAGTGGTCATAACCTTAACAAGAAGCCAAATCACACCTGGTTCTATTCCAAGGAACTGGGAAAATGCAGAGGATGTACTGGTTGTCTGTTTTGGAACCAACTGGAGGAACAGAAAACTGAGGCCCAGGTTAGAAACGGCAGAATGTATGTCTGGTTAGTGAGACCCAAGATATCCGGCACACAAGTTACAGAAATCTCATGACTTATGGCAAATTGAAACTCTACACAAAGATGAAAATATAAGTGTTGTATTTATCTCATTGTGTGGCTTACACTTACACTCCAGAATGAGAAGTAGTAAGAAAAGAATCTGAGACAGAAATTTCTTGAATTAAAAACCCCAGCATTACTCACGCACTGGCAACGGGTGGGCATCAGTGCGGGTAAATTACTAAGCTAGTAACCTTGTTAGGACATAGGCTCTTGCTTAGGTTAAAACAGCAACTTAAATGAAAGGAATGTACAGGTGCTTTTTGCCACCTGGGAAGTAAAAATATCTGATGTCACCCAAAGATGCAATAAAGCCTGGGTTTCAGCCAGGCGCGGTGTCTCATCCATGTCATCCCAGCATTCTGGGAGGCCAAGGCAGGAGGATCGCTTGAGGCCAGGAGTTCGAGACCAGCCTGGTTGACACAGTGAGACCCCCGTCTCTACAGAAACTTACAAAAAAAAAAAATTAGCTAGGCATGGCAGCGCATGCTTGTTGTCCCAGCTACTAGGGAAGCTGAGGCGGGAGGATGGCTTGAGGCGGGAGGATGGCTTGAGCCCAGGAGCTTGAGGTTGTAGTGAGCTGTGATAGTGTCACTGCACTCCAGCCTGGGCAACAGAGCAAGACCCCGTCTGAAAAAAAAAATCCTGGGTTTCTTATGTTTCTATTAAATGCATTTAGTAGTTGATTCTGTTAAAAAAAAAATGATTTCCAGAGCTTCACTTGCTATAAATCCAACTCAAATTTGAAAAAATGTAATTTTAAATGTTTTTACTAAAAAAAACCAGGATTTTGGGTTATCAAGAAGAGATTTAGATTTCCCTATAATCAGGACTCTATTTGGCCAAGATCCCACAGATGCTTAGTGCTGGGGAGGGATAAACAAACCTCCAGCTGGCAGAAGGAAAAAGGGACAGGTGCCCTTCTCTGGGGCCACCAAACAAACTCTGCTCATCATCACACACACACACAACCTCTCAGCCTGGCTGCTTTCTAAGGAGATCGCTGCCAGAATGCTTCTTATACAAGTTACCAACACGTGCATGGTTAAGAAAGAAATTTGACTTGTGATTTATACACCAAATGACAGGATAAGTAGACTCTGGCAGCTCATCTTTGTGACCTATTGTCATTGCTAGCTTCTTAGGCCATCTCTAAGCTCCAATTCCACTATGCAAACCACCAGGAGGGACTACATTAAACCATTGTCTATGCCAACATTACTGACGTCTGAGTCACAAATCGTATTAAGCCATTAGCTGGAATGACTTGGTATTACCAAAAAAAATCAAGAAGGGAAAATAAACATAACATGAAAGAAGGGATAGAGGGAACAGAAATCTTTCTCTCTCCATCTCCCAAGGGAACATTTTACCCAGATTCTTTCCTTACTACTTATATAAGAAACAAATTCCAGTAATGAAGCAAATACCTTAAAGTGTTACTGGGCAAGCTTTAAAAATGCAAGATAACAAGAACCAAATATTAGAACCATGAAGAGAAACGCAAATACAGTAAGGAGACTAAATTTGCACTGAAGTTCTTTGCTGTATATAGATATAAAAAGGAAATATATGTGTGTGTTTGTGTGTGTATATATATATGTATATATATATACTGCTGAGAATATTTTACAAAACAAAAGCAAGACACAGAGGGACAAAGGCAGCCAAAAAATATATACAACAATTTGGTTTACTAAAAATATATGAAATTTATTTATTATAACGTGGATAGACTTTCTTTAGTCTTACCATTAAAGACACACAGATATAGCAAAGGAAGCAAGAGTAGGAAAGGGAAAAGAGAGGGGTGAAATGAGCATTGGTAAGTAGCGCAAGCTCGGAGACAGTCAGACAGTTAGCAACCCACAGTGAGCCGGATGAGCTGAAGTAGCACGGGACCTCCTCAGAATTTGGGGGCTTTATTGTCAAACCAGTTTTTACTCCTAACAGAAATCCTGCACTGGCACTGACAGGATGAATTCTGACTCCAAAATCCATGCCTCGCGCCTTTGGCTTTGGAGCCCCTTCTTTGACACTAAAAAGCCTAGAGAATGGAGCAACCAAACCGGCTCCCAAATCTGCATCAGGCTTCAGAGGCACAGATGAACAAACTCCCCCAGTTCTGGCAATTAGAGCAATGCAAGGCATACCCTGCTTTACCCATTAGACTCTTAGAGCCTGTTTTAAAAGGCTTACCCAACTTGAGAGTTTTTCAAAGAAATGATTACATTTTTATGCTTGGGGAAAAATTTTTTACTACATACTGCTTGCAACTCAATGTTTAAAGTTACAAAAAAACAAAAAACAAAAAGAAAAAAAACCCCACAGCAAATAAAGAAGGATTCCACTAATTCCTTTCTTTTTCTTTCTTTCTTTTCTTTTTTTTTTTTTTTGAGATGGAATCTCGCTCTGTTGCCCAGGCTGGAGTGCAGTGGTGCGATCTCGGCTCACTGTAACCTCCGCCTCCTGAGTTCAAGCAACTCTGCTGCCTCAGACTCCTGAGTAGCTGAGATTCCAGGCACCCGCCACCACACCCAGCTAATTTTTGTATTTTTAGTAGAGATGGGGTTTCACCATGTTGGCCAGGCTGGTCTTGAACTCCTGACCTCAGGTGATCCTCCCAAAGCACTGGGATTACAGGCGTGACCCACCGCACCCAGCCGGATTCTAATTTCTTCATGATAACCAGTTTAATCCTACAGTTGGGAGTAAGTTCTGCACTTGAATATCATGACTATTTGGCCATAGTGATTCTATTACTATCTTAACTATGTACGTTTAATGATCACTTCTGAATTCAAGTGTTGACTAAGCTCTCAGTTCTTGCATGACCAACTACATTTCAAATACTCACAATGTAAGTATTTGCAAGGCTTTTTAAATTAATAGTATATTAAGTTCTTTTTGGTACTCAATGGTTGACACATTTATTTAACCATTACACGCATAGGCCTACATATGAATCCTTTATCAATCTGAGTTTTAGAAGGCAATGAAGGGCCCCAACTATTATCTAAAATCCATTTACATTCAGGTTTCTAAAACAGAAATAACTTTCCATAAGGGTTAATTAACAAACAAACAAAAAACACTTCTACACATGAGAAACTAGGAGTGAAATTTTCACTCCCAGAAAAAGTCATCTTTATCTATAATTTCTGATGAAAATTAAGAGTGATTTTCAAGAGACATCCTCCTAAACATTGAGGACATAAAACAGGAACAGAGAGAAGTAGGAGAGAGAACTTCACGGCCCCAAAATTTGTTTCATCTTTTTTTTTTTTTTGAGATGGAGTTTTGCTCTTGTTGCCCAGGCTGGAGTGCAATGGCGCGATCTCGGCGCACTGCAACCTCTGCATCCCGGGTTGAAGCGATTCTCCTGCCTCAGCCTCCTGAGTAGCTGGGACTACAGATGCCCGCCACCGTGCCCGGCTATTTTTGTATTTTTAGTAGAGACGGGGTTTCACCATGTTGGCCAGGCTGGTCTCAAACTCCTGACCTCAGGTGATCCACCTGCCTCGGCCTCCCAAAGTGTTGGGATTACAGGCATGAGCCACTGCACCTGGTCATGTTCCATCTTTTTAAGCCATGAAAAGCGTCCCATGCCTAACCATATTTTGAAAGGCATGTAATTTACTTAAAGTTACATGATAAGGACTTCATCATTAAGTACATCATCTCTTTTTTAAAAAGATACACATAAATAATAAATAAATAAAAAGCTTAAAAATTCACTCAGAAGAGAACCAGCATAAAAAATCTGATGATCTGAGTCTTTAGCCTACACCTGTCTTTTATTAGTCCTGAGTCCTTGGCCAACTTGCCTAACTTTTTGAGCTTTAGTTTCATCATTTTATGTATTTATTTTATTTTAGAGACAGGGTCTCACTATGTTGCCCAGGCTAGAGTACAGCAGCTCTTCTCAGGCATGATCAGAGTGCACTACAGCACTGAATACCTGGGCTCAAGTGATCCTCTCACCTCAGCCTCCTGAGTAGCTGGGACTACAGGCATGTGCCACCATGTCCAGCTAATTTCATCATTTAAAAATGCAAGCTCCACCATTATATTTCACTGGGTTGTTTTGAGATTAGATCAATTTGTGAATTATGACGTGCTACATAAATGTAGGGAGATACCAGTCCTTTTTTTTTTTTTTTTTGAGACGGAGTCTTGCTCTGTCACCAGGCTGGAGTGCAGTGGCACGATCTCGGCTCACTACAACCTCCACCTCCCGGGTTCAGGCAATTCTCCCGCTTCAGCCTCCTGAGTAGCTAGGACTGCAGGCACATGCCACCATGCCCAGCTAATTTTTGTATTTTTAGTAGAGACGGGGTTTCACCTTTCACCATGTTAGCCAGGATGGTCTCAATCTCTTGACTTTGTGATCCACCCACCTCGGCCTCCCAAAGTGCTGGGATTACAGGTGTAAGCCACGGTGCCCGGCCTAATTTTTGTATTGCCAGGCTGGTCTTGAACTTCTGACCTCAAGTGATCCACCTGCCTTGGCCTCCCAAAGTGCTGGGATTACAGGCGTGAGCCACCGCACCCGACCTTTTTTTTTTTTTTTTTAAATGGAGACATAGTCTCACTATGTTGCCCAGGCTGGTCTTGAACTCTTGTGCTCAACTGATCCTCCCTTTTTGGCCTCCCAAAGTGCTGGGGTTACAGGCATGAACCACCGTGCCAGGCCACAGCTCCCTTGCCAGAATGCTGCAGGAACAAGCCCTATTTATTTTTTCACGTGTCCTTGATAACTCCTTACATAAGGGTTTTTTTTTTAAAAAAGAAACAAAAATCTTATTTATGTAAAATTAAATACCCCGAGGCCCACAGAGACAGAATTGTGGCTATAAACAGGGACGAGGTTTAGGCATGGCAAACTAGGCATCACTTTTCAAGTTCCCTGGAGAACATCTGGCTGGGCTGGGAATCATTGGTTATGCTATTCTTTAAGGTTTGTTTTTAGTTTTAGTTTTGTTTCTAATAAGCAAAAAAGCACATCACTGTTGTGATACGCACCTATTTAGTATTCTGCAGCAACTGCTGGATAGGCTGTTGTTCTCAGCAGTAGCACCCACTAAACCTGCTTGGCACCGTGTAAAGCACAGACATTCTCTAAATAAAAACCGCACATTTTAAAAGAGCAGACAGGCCAGGCGCAGTGGCTCACGACTGTAATCCCAACACTTTGGGAGGCTGAGGCAAGTGGATCACGAGGTCAGGAGTTAGAGACAAGCCTGGCCAAGATGGTGAAACCCTATCTCTACTAAAACTACAAAAATTAGCCAGGCATGGTGGTGCACGCCTGTAATACCAGTTACTTGGGAGGCTGAGGCAGGAGAATTGCTTGAACCTGGGAGGTGGGGAGGTTGCAGTGAGAGCCAAGATCGCGCCACTGCACTCCAGCCTGGGTGATAGAGCAAGACTCTGTCTTAAAAAAAAAAAAAAAAAAAAAAAAAAAAAAAAGTAGACAAAGACTTATCAGGGGCACGGCAGTGGTGAAACACACGCGCATTCTGAGTATAAACACCACCTTAGTGAAATTTCACTAAATATTTCTAAATTTAAAAAAAGGAAAGGCAGCCTGGGCAACATAACAAGACCTTGTCACTATAAAAAAAAATTTTTAAAGCCGGGTGCGGTGGCTCACGCCTGTAATCCCAGCACTTTGGGAGGCTGAGGCAGGCGGATCACGACGTCAGGAGATAGAGACCATCCTGGCTAACACGGTGAAACCCCATCTCTACTAAAAATACAAAAATTTAGCCGGGTGTGGTGTCATGCACCTGTAATCCCAGCTACTCAGGAGGGGGAGGCAGGAGAATCGCTTGAACCCAGGAGGCGGAGGTTGCAGTGAGCCGAGATCGCACCACTGCACTCCAGCCTGGGCGACAGAGCGAGAGTCTGCCTCAAAAAACAAACAAACAAACAAAAAATTAGCCAGGTGTGATCACGCATGCCTGTAGTCCCAGCCACTTGGGAGGCTGAGAGGTCGGAAGATCAATTGAGCCCAGGAGATTGAGGCTGCCGTAAGCCATGATTGAGCCATTGCACTCCAACTGGGGAGACACAGCAAGATCATGTCTGAAAAAAATAAATTAAAAAAAGAAAAAAGAAAATGCATCCCTGGACCAAGGCCTAACGTCCTTTAGAATGTGGCTTACGGAATCCAAATAGCTAAATCTAAATAAATAAAGCCCTCAACTCCTAAGCAACTGCTACGCTGGCAGAGGAGACAGTGCTGCGTAAAACATACGCTTCAGTAGGTCGGTGGGGAAACCTCCTCTGCCCTGACGAGTGGGAATAATACTTCACAAGAGCATGGAGAAATTACTGGTTATGCTATTCTTTAAGGTTTGTTTTTATTTTTAGTTTTGTTTTTAACAAGCGAAAAAGCACATCACTGTTGTAATATGCACCCATTCTGCAGCACCCACTGGACAGGCTGTGGTTCTCGGCAGTAGCACCCCCTAAACCTGCTTGGACCGTGTAGCACAGACATTCTCTAAACAAAAACTGCACGTTTTAGAAGAGCAAAGACTTATCAGCTTATAGAAGCATGAAGCTTCTACACAATTATTTCTGTGAGCTATGTTCTTCCTTATTGGAAAGTACTGAAAAAGTTATCCTAGTTTTTAATTTGAGTATCATTTGACTATCATGGGAGAGTAAGTAAGAAAGCCTTTTAAAGCAAATAGAAACACTTAAAATCACATTACCCATTATTAGTGAACATTAAAATTTTCATATAATTGAAATCAGTATTTATATCCAGATCAATAACTGTATGTAAGATTCTAGTATGTTTAGTTACTGAAACTAGGAGGTAACAGTGGTGTAACATGAGACAATCTGATTTTAGATCACTTCTGAGTGAAAGCAACTGAACATGGCTTATGAACTATTTTTGTTTTAGTAATAGTGAAACTTCTGCAAATGGATTCTCTTTTTCTTTTTTTTTTTTGAGACGGAGTCTCTCACTGTTGCCCAGGCTGGAGTGCAGTGGCGCGATCTCGGCTCACTGCAACCTCCGCTTCCCAGGTTCAAGTGATTCTCCTGCCTCAGCCTCCCAAGTAGTTGAGATTACAGGCACCTGCCACTATGCCTGGCTAATTTTTTGTATTTTTAGTTGAGATGGGGATTCACTATGTTGGTCAGGCTGGTGTCGAACTCGTGATCCGCCAGCCTTGGCCTCCCAAAGTGCTGGGATTACAGGTGTGAGCTATCACACCTAGCCCTGCAAATGGATTTTCATATTTTGTCAGTTACAAGTACCAAACTATCACAATGCCATTTTCTGAATCTAAGAAGGTCACTTGTTTTCTACTATAAGTTACCACACATATCATGTTCTGACATCTTATTAAACACACACACATACAACAATAAACAGAAAGCTTACCTTTTTTTCATTTCTAACAACTGATTATTGAGCACAGATCTTTCTTCTTCCAGCTAGGAAAAAAACACAAAAAACTTCAGTTCATAACCAGGCCACAGAAAGGCATATTTCTCATCCCACATGTACATCCCCCAGGCTCCAGGACAGCTAAAGCCATTGGCTTTCCTCAACAGCAATGAAGAGGGACAAGTGGTCACTCTATCACAGGATGTGTAGTTATTAATATATAAATCACTTACGACCTCAGTAACTCCCCCTCCTCAGGGACCTGAGAGTTAAACATATTAAACAATCACACCTTGAACACAACGAAGCACATCTTTTTTTTTTTTTTTTTTTTTTTTTGAGACGGAGTGTCGCTCTGTCGCCCAGGCTGGAGTGCAGTGGCGTGATCTCGGCTCACTGCAAGCTCCGCCTCCCGGGTTCACGCCATTCTCCTGCCTCAGCCTCCCGAGTAGCTGGGACTACAGGCGCCCGCCACAACGCCCGGCTAATTTTTTGTATTTTTTAGTAGAGACGGGTTTTCACCGTCTTAGCCAGGATGGTCTCGATCTCCTGACCTTGTGATCCGCCCGCCTCAGCCTCCCAAAGTGCTGGGATTACAGGCGTGAGCCACCGCGCCTGGCCCAAAGCACATCTTAAGCATTCAAAAATGTTAATTGGCCAGGCGCGGTGGCTCACACCTGTAATCTCAGCACTTTGGTGGGGCAAGATGGGCGGATCAGGAGTTCGAGCCCAGCCTGGCCAACATGGTGAAAGCCCATCTCTACTAAAAATGTAAAAATTAGCCAGGTGTGGTGTGTGCCTACAATCCCAGCTACTCAGGAGGCTGAGGCAGGAGAATCGCTTGAACCCAGGAGGCAGAGGTTGCAGTGAGCCAAGATTGAACCACTGCACTCCAGCCTGGGTGACAGAGTGAGACTCCATCTAAAAAAAAAAAATTGTTAAATGATTGAGTAAAGCTCCACTGCTAACATTCTAGTTCCTTTACTTAAACCGCAGAAGTCAAGTGTCACTAAATTGCAGAGGACTAGGTACAGGCTACATACTCTCTGTGGGCCTCAATGTACTCACATCCATCAATTCAACACACATTCATTGAATGGTTAGTATATTCAAGCATTATTCAAGCATTTGTTTCTCATGTATAAAACAAAGAGGTTACAAAAGAATTTCCAGTGGTTCTTTATTATCTCATGAAGGATAAAAAACAAAAGATTCAGGTAGTTAATCTTGTGAAGGAGGAATCATCTCTACCTCCAACCTGCACTACCCAGTTTGGCCAAATACCACCAGTTTCAACTCACACTGTTAATGTTTTTTTTTTTTTTTCTTTTTTGATACAGAGTCTTGCTCTGTTGCCCAGCTGGAGTGCAGTGGTGCAATCTCGGCTCACTGCAACCTCTGCCTCCCAGGTTCAAGTGATTCTCCTGCTTCAGTCTCCCAAATAGCTGGGATTACAGGTGCCTACCACCATGCCCAGCTAATGTTTGTATTTTTAGTAGACAGGGTTTCGCCATGTTGGCCAGGCTGCACACTGTTAATTTTTTTAAAAGGGTCAAAAAGCTCTTATATTTTTTTAAATAAAAAGATAACACCAAAGATTATGTAATGGCTTCCAACAGCCTAGAATTTAAGTTACTAGCTCACTCTAAGTAGTTATAGTCATTATTAATTATTACTTATGTTCATGCTTTGCTATGAGGTCTTATTTTAAAAATTCTTAAATATACATTATGTTCTGAACATAAATATCCCTTTACCATGAAATCTGTAAATGTTAACATAGTTTTATAGACTCTTTGATGTCCTAGCCCATTAAGATGTATGTTTTTGCTGCATGACTAATTCACAGAAATATTTAGAAATTTTTAGAATGAAAGGAAGAAAAAAGAGTGGGAGGCAAACTTTAAAAAATGAAATGAGAAAGAGAACATCTGGAGAGTGGGATATGGAGATGAGAAGGGTTTTCATTTTGGTCTTTATGCCCTTTGTACAGTTTATATTTATTCTTTAAAGAAGGAATCTGTTTTAGTTTTATAATTTAAAAGTTAAAAAAATCAATACTTAAAACTGGAAAATTTTTACAATGAATATATAAATGGACAAAGAGCATGGCAGACAATTCACAAAACAAAATAAAAATCATTAGTGAATATTTGAAAAATCATTCAACCCTACAAAAACACAATACGCAAAGATTCTCCCTCTTTCTTAGAGGGTCCATGTGCCTGAATTTCCAAGGAAGAGATGTTTGATATTTATCATACTGATCTTTATAGAAAACAATGTTTTTTCTTCTTCTGGTCCAGGATTATTACCCAATCTAGGAGATAGCAAGCTGCATCTAGCAGTTTTATTTCTTTTTTCTTTTTTTTATTTTTTTTTATTTTTTTTAGTTTTTTAAGTTTTTTTTAGTTTTTTTTTTAGTTTTACTCTTGTTGCCCAGGCTGGAGTGCAATGGCCCTACCTCAGCTCACTGCAACCTCAGCCTCCTGGGTTAATGTGATTCTCCTGCCTCAGCCTCCTAAGTAGCTGGGATTACAGGCGCTGCCACCATGCCTGGATCATTTTTTGTATTTTTAGTAGAGGTGGGGTTTCACCATGTTGGCCAGGCTGGTCTCAAACTCCTGACCTCAGGTGATCCACCCGCCTCAGCCACCCGAAGTGTTGGGATTACAGGTGTCAGCTTCTGCGCCCGACCCTTTTCTTTTTTTTTGAGACAGAGTCTCACTCTGTCACCTAGGCTGGAGTGCAGTGGCGCGATCTTGGCTCACTGCAACCTCTGCCTCCCAGGTTCAAGCGATTCTCCTGTCTCAGCCTCCCAAAGAGTGGGGATTACAGATGTGTGCTACCATGCCCAGCTAACTTTTCTATTTTTAGTAGAGACGGGGTTTCATCATGTTGGCCAGGCTGGTCTCGAACTCCTGACCTCAGGTGATCCACCCGCCATGGCATCCCAAAATGCTGGGATTACAGGTGTGAGCTATCACGCCCGGCCAGTTCCTCATTCTTTCCTTGTCTTTTATGGCCTTGACAGTTTTGAAGAGTATAAGCCAGTTATTTTCTAGAACGTCAGTTTGGATTCGTCTGATGTTTCCATGTCATTAGAGTCAAATCATGTACTTTTTGGCAGGAACACCACAGAAGTAATCCTGTGTCCTTCTCAGCAGATGATATCAGGAGGTACACACTGTTGATTTTTGGTGAGGTTAACTTCGGTCACTTGGTTAAGGAGGAAGTATCTTCCATGTTTCTCCACTGGAAAGATACTATTTTTTTCATTGTAATTAATATGTATTTTTGGGGGATACGTTTTGAAACTACGTAAATATCCTGTTATTCAACAAACTTTTACCTACTTGTTTTAGCACAGATTGATGATTCTTGCCTGAACAAATTATTACCATGCTGGTTACCATATGATGATTGTATGACTCTGTCATTCCAACCATTAAATATTAGTTGGCCTTCTACCATGAGAAAGGGCTTTCATTTTCCATTCATTCATTCATTCATTCAAGACAGAGTCTCGCTCTGTCACCCAGGCTGGAGTGCAGGGACAAAATCTCGGCTCACTGCAACCTCCGCTTCCCAGGTTCAAGCAATTCTCGTGCCTCAGCCTCCCAAGTAGCTGGGATTACAGGCATGTGTCACCACGCCAGGCTAATTTTTTGTATTTTTTTTTTTTTTTAGTAGAGATGGAGTTTCACTATATTGGTCAGGCTGGTCTCGAACTCCTGGCCTCAAGCGATCTGCCCATCTTGGCCTCCCAAAGTACTGGGATTACAGGTGTGAGCCACTACTCCTGGCTTCCATTTATTTATTAATACCTGTTTAGATTCATGGTTTCCTGTTATTCAGTCGGTTATAATCTATTATATCTCTATTTATTTTGATGCTCGAATTATCTCACATTTGGTCAGTGGGAGCTTCTTCAAGATGGCTCTGATGTCCTCTCCACTAATCTCTATTATTCTTTGAGCGCTTCCTTGCTTTTTGGTACACAAAATATTCCAAGCTCACCTTATACTCTTTCCGTCCCAGCCCTGGCATCAGCCATTTCTCTATGCACTTCTGACTCCTTTAGTGAAGAGTATTTAGAAAACAAGCTCTAGGCATTAGTTGTGCTCATTGGTACTGGGTTTTGTTACTTCTAAGCCCTGTCAGTGGAGTTGACCAAAACTTAAAACTTCTACTCTTCAAAAGATATTGTTAAGAAAGTATAAAGATGGCCGGGCACGGTGGCTCAAGCCTGTAATCCCAGCACTTTGGGAGGCCGAGGCGGGCGGATCACGAGGTCAGGAGATCGAGACCATCCTGGCTAACATGGTGAAACCCCGTCTCTACTAAAAATATAAAAAATTAGCCGGGCGCGGTGGTGGGCGCCTGTAGTCCCAGCTACTCGGGAGGCTGAGGCAGGAGAATGGCATGAACCCGGGAGGCGGAGCTTGCAGTGGGCCGAGATAGCACCACTGCAGTCCAGCCTGGGCAAAAGAGCAAGACTCTGTCTCAAAAAAAAAAAAAAAAAAAAGGCAAAGAAAGTATAAAGACAATCCACAGATGGGGAGAAAACATTCGCAAAACACAACCCAATAAAGAACTTGTATCTAGAATATAGTAAGAACTTTCATAATGCAATAATATGTAGACACAAAAACAAAATGAAAAATGACCGAAAGATGTGAATGGACATTTTACCAAAGAAGAGAGACAGATGGTTAGTAAGCACAGGAAATGATACTCAGCATCATCAGTCATCAGGAGAACGCAAACTGAAACCACACTGAGATACACTCCACATGCCACCTGGGCACCCAAGCCCTCCATCCCAGTGGTTCCCTAGTTGGCAAATAGATTAATGTTTAAAAAGACAAAACAAAACAAAAACCCCTAGGTGCTGAGAAGTATGTGGGATAACCGGAAACCTCATAAATTGCTGGTGAGAATGTAAAATAGTACTAATTTTGGAAAATGGTTTGAGAATTTCTTTTTCTTTTTTTTTTTGAGACGGAGTTTCGCTCTTGTTGCCCACGCTGGATTGCAATGGCGCAATCTCGGCTCACTGCAACCTGTGCCTCCTGGGTTCAAGCGATTCTCCTGCCTCAGCCTCCTGAGTAGCTGGGATTATAGGCATGTGCCACCACGCTCGGCTAATTTTCTATTTTTAGTAGAGACAGGTTTTCTCCACGTTGATCAGGCTGGTCTCGAACTCCTGACCTCAGGTGATCCGCCCGCCTCGGCCTCCCAAAGTGCTGGGATTACAGGCGTGAGTTACCGTGCCCGGCCTGAGAATTTGTTTTTTTTTTTGTTTTTTGTTTTTTGTTTTTTTTTGAGACAGAGTCTTGCTCTGTTGCCCAGGCTGGAGTGCAGCGGCGCAATCTCGGCTCACTGCAAGCTCTGCCTCCCAGGTTCACACCATTCTCCTGCCTCAGCCTCCCGGAGAATTTCTTAAAAAGGTAAACATACACTTACCATACTAGCAATTCCACTCTTAGGTGTTTACCCATGATAAATGAAAACATATGCCCCTGGCCTCTTCACGAATTCAAAACAACTTTACTCAAAATACCCCCAAACCTGTAATCCCAGCACTTTGGGAGGCCGAGGCGGGCGGATCACAAGGTCAGGAGATCCAGACCATCCTGACTAACATGGTGAAACCCTGTCTCTACTAAAAATACAAAAAAATTAGCCGGGTGTGGTGGTGGGTGCCTGTAGTCCCAGCTACTTGGGAGGCTGAGGCAGGAGAATGGCGTGAACCTGGGAGAAGGAGCTTGCAGTGAGCTGAGATGGCGCCACTGCACTCCAGCCTGGGTAAGAGTGCAAGACTCTGTCTCAAAAAAAAAAAAAAACAAAAAAAAAAACCCCAAACTGGAACAACCCACTGTCCAAATGGATAAAGCAACTATGATATAATCCCAAACTGCTGATATACATAACAACATGGATAGACCTCCAAAGGAATATGCTAAGTGAAATAAATCAGAGTGACCGGGCACAGTGGCTCACACCTGTAATCTCAGCACTCTGGGAGGCCAAGGCAGGATGACCACTTGAGCCCAGGAGTTCGAGACCAGCCTGGGTAACATAGTGAGACCTTGTCTCTATAAAAAGATCAAAAAATTAATCAAATGTGACACAGACGCCTGTAGTCCTAGCTACTCAGGAGGCTGAAGTGGGAGGCTACAATGAGTCAAGACTGCACCACAGCACTCCAGCCTGGGTGACAGAGTGAGACCCTGTCTCAAATAATAATAATAAAATAGATAAAAATAGGGCCGGGTGCAGTGCCTCACGTCTGTAATCTCAGCACTTTGGGAGGCAAGGTAGGCAGATCATGAGGTCAGGAGATAGAGACTCCATCCTGCCTAACTAACATGGTGAAACTCCGTCTCTACTAAAAATACAAAAAATTAGCTGGGCGTGGTGGCATGCACCTCTATAATCCCAGCTACTCAGAAGGCTAAGACAGGAGAATTGCTTGAACCCAGGAGGCAGAGGTTTCAGTGAGCCAAGATTGTGCCATTGCACTCCAGCCTGGGAGACAGAGCGAGACTCCATCTCAAAAAAAAAAAGAAAAATAATAATTAAAAATCAATAAATTAAAATTAAAAATAGAAAAAGATTTTCTCTTTGGGAGGCTGAGATGGGCGGCAAATCATTTGAGGTTGGAGTCCAAGACCAGCCGGCCAACACGATAAAACCCCATCTCTACTAAAAACACAAAAATGAGCCAGGTGTGGTGGCGTGTACTTGTGATCCCAGCTACTCAGGAGGCTGAGGCAGGAGAATCGCTTGAACCCAGGAGGCAGAGGTTGCAGTAAGCCAAGATCGCACCACTGCACTCCAGCCTGGGGAACAGAGTGAGACTCCGTTTCAAAAAATTAAAAAGAAACTAGATACATAAGGCTATATAATGTTTTGAATTTCCCAAATTTCCTTATGTATAATGTCTAATGTTTTCTACTGTGGTAAGGGAAAATAGTTTGAAATATTTCACCTTTTTAAATTGACTGAAAATCATTTTATGGTCTAACACATAACCTGTCCTGGAGAATGCTCCCTGTGCACTTGAGAAGTGTGTGTCTTCTGCTGCTGTTGGATGGAGCAATCTGCAGATGACTGTTAGGTCCTGTTGATTTAGAGTGTTATTCAAGTCTTCTGTTTCCTTCTTCATCTCTGCATAGTTGTTCTACCCATCACTGAAATGGGGTACTGAAGCCTTCAGCTATAATTGTTGAATTTTCAATTTCTCTTTTTAATTCTGTCAGTTTTTGCTTCATGTATTTCGGGACTCTGTTATTAGGTACATCTATGTTTAAAATTGTTATATCTTTCTGATGGATTGACATTTTTTCGTTGTTCTCTGTCTCTAGTAACAATTTTTGCCTTAAAATCCATTTTGTCTGATAGTAGTATAGTTTCTCCAGCTTGCTTTTGGTTACTGTTTGCATAGTATGTCTTGTTCCATCCTTTTACTTTCAACCTATTTGTGGCTTTGAATATAAATTGCATCTCTTATAGACAGCATATAGTTAGATCATGTTATTTTAAAAATCCATTCTGCTAGTCTCTGCCATTTATTCAGAGTGTTCAATCCATTTATATTTACTGTGTTTATGAATAAGGTTACATACTGTTTTGATTCCATTTATGTGACCTACTAAAAAAGGTAAAACTATTGGATCAGAAAAGAGTTTTCAGGGAGTGAGAATGAACTGACTATAAAGGAGGATAAGAGAACCTTTTGGGGTGAAGGAAATCTTGATTGTGGGGTCAGTTTTATGACCATATATATTTGTCAAAATTCACCCAACTATACACCTATGAAGGGTAAATTTTATTTGATGTAAATTAGACCTTAATAAACATGACTTTGAGAAAAAGAAAGCAAGTTGGAGTAATATGTACAATATGGCTTTTGTAGAAAACAAAAACAATGTGTGCATATATGCATTTGCATATGCTGGTATATACACGAGGAACACCAAGGAAAAATATACCATTTATAATGTAGCTTCAATGAAATGGCAATGAAGAGGAGTAATAACTTTTAAATTACACATATTTGTATTGTTTCATATTACAAATGTATTATATTTCTAATTTAAAAATAACATTACAATTTAAAATAAATAATTCTTATTTCTTTGGAAATAAAAAAATTATAGATGAAATGACAGGGTATCTAGGATTTAGGATTTGCTTCAAAACACTCAGGGTAGAGCTGAGTGCGGTGGCTCATGCCTGTGGTCCCAGCTACTCAGGAAGCTGAGGCAGGAGGATTCCTTGAGCCTTATAGCTGGAGGTTTCAGTAAGCTATGATCATGCCACTGCACGCTAGCCTGGGTGACAAAGTGAGACTACCTCAAAAAAAAAAAAAAAAAAAAAACATGCAGGGCAAACAAGGTAGAGAGGATGAATGGGAGTACAGCGTAGACGAGTGGCCAAGAGTTAATTGCTAATGAAATTTTATACACAGAGATTCATTGTACTGCTCACTCTGCTTCTGTGTATGCTTGAAACTTTTCATAATAAAAGGTTAAAAAAGAACATGGATATGTAAAGGGGAAAAAAGGGAGAGTTAAAGAAAAATATTTCAGAGAACAATGTTACAGTGAAAGTGATGCACAAATAATCATAGTTCGGGGAACACTGGACTGGAAAATCTCCAAGAGCTCATGTATGCATAACCCTATTTTGTAAATAAACATGGTGGGTACTTGGTTTTATGTCTGTCAGCTACGCTAAGAAAAATAGTAGCTCGGGTGAAATGAAGGACATTAGAAGTCCATAGTCATGACATACACAACTTCTGCTTTGTAGGCTCAGTAAAACCACTTGAACAAAAAATCTCCGGAGAGGAGAAGCGCCTCTCTGTTTATTGTGATCTCCCCTATTTTTGGAACACAGGCACACAGTAGGCACTCAATAACCACGCACTGTGTGAACGAATGTGTCATAGTCAGTATGCTGGTGCTCTCAATGGGTATGAGTTAGTAGTGGTACTCAGAAGCCAGGATTCTCACAGAATGAAGAACTTTCTGCTCAACTGAGGTGTTCACATTTGGGCTATTTTAGTCTCTTCTCGAACCAAGCAAGTGTTCTGAGGTCCAAAATAGCAGCTCTACCTTGACAGCACAAAACCCATTCCCTGTGTCTGAGAAATTCTAGTCTCGCCTCCCACACACCGACTTCTGCTCCTGGAAGTGCAGAAGGTAATGGGAAAAAACGGAAGAGGAAGCCTCAGTCATTTTTGCATGGCAAAGCCCTTTCAGAGAAGAAGGGAGTGGCGCAGACACAGTGATCGGCTGCACAGATCCCCCTTTTCTAGGCGAGCCGTGTTGCCCAGCTTCTGGGACAGCTTAGCTGGTGGCCCCATCAGGGATCACCACAACTACGGAGCCACTTCCGGCAGGGTCATGTCGCCCTCCCAGCATGGATCACATCCAGTGACTGATCCATGTGGGATTACCGAAAGACTGGCCATCTCCGTCCAGTTTGGGACGAATCTGCATGGCCACTCCAGCTCCAGAGCTCCCCACGGCATTGGTCAAGGCTGTTGCTGGGCCTGCATCATGGCTCAGTTTCTCCAACTGCCTGATCCTGTTTCTTTCTCCTCCTTTCCATCGGAGCTGCCCCGAGAGCATACTTCGGTAAGTATCATCACACTAAACTCTCTCTTGGCCTGTTTCCCAGGGAACTCAACCTGCAACAGTACGCATTATGCTACCAACTAAAGTTCTGTATTATGCAGGAAAGACCACATGCCTTAGGACTGGTTTAAGTTGATATGAATATGTACATGAATTATGTAAGAATATTTACATCTTCACACTGGGCATGGCGGCTCAAGCCTGTAATTGCAGCACTTTGGGAGGCCGAGGCGGGTGGATCACCTGAGGTCGAGTTCAAACGTGGCCAACGTGGCCAAACTCCGTCTCCACTAAAAATAAAAAAAAATTAGCTGGGCGTGGTGGTGGGCGTCTGTAGTCCCAGCTACTAGGGAGGCTGAGGCAGAAGAACTGCTTGAACCCATGAGGCAGAGGTTGCTGAGATTATGCCATCGCACTCCAGCCTGGGTGACAGAGCAGCACTCTGTCTCAAAAAAAAAAAAAAAAAAGAATATTTACATCTTCAAATACATTCACATTGTCCTTTATCAAAGAATGATATTGGGGCTGGGTGGTGGCACATGCCTGTCTGTAATCCCAGCATTTTGGGAGGATGAGCCAGGTGGATCACTTGAAGTCAGGAGTTCAAGACCAGCCTGGTCAACATAGCAAAACCCTGTCTCTACTAAAAATACAAAAATTAGCTGTGTGTGGTGGTGCACGCCAGTAGTCTCAGCTACTGGGGAGGCTGAGGGAGGAGAATCGCGTGAACCCAGGAGACGGAGGTTGCAATGGGCTGAGATCGCGCCACTGCACTCCAGCCTGGCAACAGGGTGAGACTCCGTCTCAAAAAGAAAAAGAAGAATGATATCAATGGTGTGGCTACAGGGCGGGGGTATCGTGACTGCCTGAAGCCAATACATACAAGTAGTTCTTCACAGAGAGTGCACGTGTCACCTTAATCTTTACTTTTTACTCCTGGGTGCTGAAAAGACAACAGCTACTCTTCCCTTAATACTGCTTGTATCTTTAGTGCAGCCGAAGTGCATCTTCTGTTCAGATGTAAACACCCTTAACTATGCAGAGGCAGAGTGGAAAAGACCTACACCCTTTGGCCTAGACTCTGGCAGTCATTTCCAGGATGGATAACTTCTCTGTGCCAGGCAATGGCTTTCTACAAAACCCCTCAAAAGCCAGAGAGGTTAAGAGGATTCTAGAGAAGTCTAGAGGAAGGTCTCAAACAAGAAACTTAAAAGATACGAAAGAGAATATACAGGCTGTAAAAAGACTTTCAGGAACTGCACATACCCCTTGGACCATTTCCTAAACGTAATAATGCTTGAATGCACGTGATTGCGCCAAAGGATGATTCCCACAGAACCTAAACAAATCAGACGTTTGGCTTTAGTGATTCCCTAAGTTGCAGATATAATTTTTTTAAATAATTACTTTATTATTGTTGTTAAAATGATACATGCTGTTTTTGTTTTTAAAGAATAAATTCAGCAAAAAAAAAAAAAAAAAAAAGATGCCGGGCGCGGTGGCTCATGCCTGCAATCCCAGCACTTTGGGAGGCCGAGGCAAGCAGATCATGAGGTCAGGAGATCGAGACCATCCTGGCTAGCACGGTGAAACCCCGTCTCTACTAAAAATACAAAAAATTAGCCGGGCGTGGTGGCAGGTGCCTGTAGTCCCAGCTACTCGGGAAGCTGAGGCAGGAGAATGGCGTGAACCCGGGAGGCGGAGCTTGCAGTGAGCTGAGATCGTGCCACTGCACTCCAGCCTGGGCGACAGAGCAAGACTCTGTCTCAAAAAAAAAAAGAAGGAAACATATTTCCCCAATTCTTCCACTTAGAAATAACCACAACTAGGCTGGGTGTGATAGCTCATGCCTGTAATCCCAGCACTTTGGGAGGCTAAGGCCAGAGGATCGCTTGAGTCCAAGAGTTTGAGATCAGCCTGGGCATCATAGCGAGACCCTTCTCTACCAAAAACAAACAAACCAACCTGAAAAATTAGCCAGGCATAGTGGTATGTGCCTGTGGTCCCAACTACCTGGGAGGCTGAGGTGGAAGGATGGCTTGAGCCAGGGCAGTAGAGACTGCAGTGAGCTGTGATTATGTCACTGTACTCCAGCCTGGGTGGCAGAGAAAGACATCATCGAAAATAAAAGAAAAAAAAGACCATAACATTAGCTGAATGACATGCCAGACATCTCCATATATATACACAATGAGAAGGACAGAGAGGGGGAAAAAAGCAAATTTAATTTTACTTTAACAGGAGAGAGAATAAATCGAAGTAAACAAAATAAATTGGCTGAGAGCAAAAAAATGTTATTTACCACAAGATATATGTGATTCTAAGACATCCCAATAGTTTCATACATTTGTTTTGTAAAATTTAAGTAAAATATGTTCTTAAAATGTAAGAGGTTTATTTCATTTTCTTAGGTATAAATTAATTCTTTTTTTGTTTTGAGACGGTCTCGCTCTGTCACCCAGGCTGGAGTGCAGTGGCGCGATCTCAGCTCACTGCAACCTCCGCCTCCTGGGTTCAAGTGATTTTCCTGCCTCAGCCTCCTGAGTAGCCGCCCGTATTGAACATCTCTGTGATATAAAAGATGAAGAAGTTTGTACACTTCCACTTTCTTTCAGTCCTACCCCTCAAATTTTGTTAGTCACATTCTCTCTATATTTTTTTCTACTTTTTTTCCTTTTTCTTTTTACCTTGCAAATGTTTTACACTTGCATTCACCAAATGATCAAAATTAACATCACCAATAATGGGACAAAGGAACATCACATGCCTCCTGGCAGGACACAGTATCACTTATATAGTCTTCCTACTAAAAATGCATAACCTGAATATCATCAGGAAGAAGCATCAGACAAACTCAAAATAAGAGAGTTTATGCAGCTTAACTAACTGGCCCTGTTCTCATAAAAAATGTCAATGTCATGAAAGACAAAAACAGAGGAATCGTTCCAGATTAAAGATGACTAAAGAGACACGACAACTCAGTGAAAAGAATGCATGATCTTGGACTGAATCCTGAATTAAAAAAACAATGCTGTAAAGGACGTTACTGGGACAACTGCCTGAACAGGAATAGGGTCTGTACGTTAGGTAATACTGTTGTATCGAGGTTAAACTCCCTGAATTTCATGACTGCACTGTTTATATAAAAATAGTAGAATATATGAGCATTATTTGTTCTATTCTTACAACTTTTCACAAAGTTTGAAACAATTTCCAAATGAAATATTAAAAACTTAGTCTGGGTCGGGCGCGGCGGCTCATGCCTATAATCCCAGTACTTTGGGAGGCCGAGGCGAGTCCTGACCTTCAGGAGGTCAGGATTTTGAGACAAGCCTGGCCAATATGGCGAAACCCCATCTCTACTAAAAATACAAAAATTAGCTGGGCGTGGTAGCGCATGCCTATATTTCCAGGTACTCAGGAGGCTGAGGCAGGAGAATCACTTGAACCCGGGAGGCGGAGGTTGCAGTGAGCCGAGACTGCAGCACTGCACTCCAGCCTGGGCGACAGAATCAGACTCTGTCTCAAAATAACAAAGAACCCCACAACATTAGTATGTGCCCATAAACCCCACAGCTGTGTGCTTAGCTCTCTGTTTACTTGGATTTAACGCTCATGACCAGTCCTTGTGTCCGCTTCTCTTTTGCTAAGGCCTTTATTTTGATTCATGTCTTGCTTGGCTCAAATTTATCATCAAGTGGCTCCTTTTCAGAAGGACTCACAAACACCACAGCTTCTAAGTCCTTTCATGTTTGGAAACATGTGCCTGCTGTCTCACCTGAATAGTCATTGTCTGGAGACGATGCTCTTGGCCATATTTCCTGTCCCTCAGAACAGTGGATGTGGTGCAGCAGAGTTTTTTTTGCATTGAATGTATCTGCAGTTGGGTTGGTTTTTTTAAGTTTTTATAAGAAATTTGATTTTTCCGCCTGGGCACTTAGAATTATTATTTTTTATTATTATTATTATTTTGAGACAGTTTCACTCTTGTTGCCCAGGCTGAAGTGTAATGGCGCTATCTCAGCTCACCGCAACCTCTGCCTCCTGGGTTCAGGCGATTCTCCTGCCTCAGCCTCCCAAGTAGCAGGGATTACAGGCATGCGCCACCATGCCTGGCTATTTTTTTTCTTTTTTAGTAGAGATGGAGTTTCTCCATGTTGGTGAGGCTGGTCTTGAACTCCTGACCTCAGGTGATTTGCCTGCCTCGGCCTCCCAGTGCTGGGATTACAGGCATGAACCACCATGCCCACCATAGAATTATTTCTGTATTGTTGAATTTCAGTAATCACCAGGGTATTTTTTTTGGGGTGTCTATTATTTTGGACCAATTTTTCCCAATGGGTCCCCCTACTGGGTTTCCATACAACCCACTCTCTTTTCTTTTTGCGGATTCAGTTCTTCCTTTACTTGGGGAAATTTCCTTATCGTATCTCCTAATACTTACACACACGCACACACACATATATTTGAGACAGAATCTTGCTCTGTCCCCCAGGCTGGTATGCAGTGGTGTGGTCTCGGCTCACTGCAACCTCCACCTCCTGGGTTCAAGCTATTCTCCCATGTCAGTATCCAAGTAACTGGGATTACAGGCAGGCACCACCACGCCTGGCTAATTTTTGTATTTTTAGTAGAGACAGGGTTTCGCCATGTTAGCCAGGCTGGTTTCAAACTCCTGACCTCAAGTGATCTGCCCACCTCGGCCTCACACAGTCCTAGAATTACAGGCTTGAGCCACCGTGCCCAGCCTAAATATAGATACATTTTTGAGACAGGGTCTTGCTATGTTGCCCAGGCTGGTCTTGAACTCCTAAGCTCAAACAGTCTCCTGGCTTGGCCTCCCAAATTGCTGGGATTACAGGCATGAGCCACTGCATCTGGCCCTTTCCTTTATATTTTAAGAAATGCTTATAAGGCTGCTTCCTGTTTATGATTTATTTAGTAGTCTTGATCTGGTGTGGTTTGGTCTTCAATTTGTTTCCTTAATTCTTCAATCTCCCTGTTAAACTTGTGTCATTTTATCATCTTCTCTTTGAACAGTTGTTTTGTTTTATTCAAATAACTTGAGTTTTACATAACACAAAGCACTATTTTCCCTGGGTAACAGCTTCTCTTGGCCTGAATTCCTGTCTCTCTCTGGCTCTTGATGTTCCGTTCTTTCTCTTTTCCCTCTTAGGGTGCAGAATGTGTACACTTCATCTTATTCTCGATGGCTCTACCTAGACCTTCCCTTGGCTCACATATACCGTGAGTTTCCCCCAACACCCTTCCTACCTTATCTGAGGCCTTTATCTTTAACCCCACGTTACAGCTAAAAGTTAAGCACTGTAATTGACACATTTCTGTAGCCAGAGGTTTCTGGATAGAGTCAAGGTTGGGATAGTTGAGGCTACACATAGACTCCGTTGGTGATCTCTTTCCTGAGATTTTTCTTCAGTGTTCTATGCACATCACTCACTCTACCTGAACACAGGTAATCTCATTCCCACAGGAGAACATCCTCAGCCTTGGGGCACGCATCCCCAGTCAGCTCTTTCCACAGTGCTCCTACTGCTTCTGCTACCTTCCCTTCCTAGAGACTGGAACACAGCCTCTCCTGTGATTGGAGGTGGTTATGTGATACGATCATAGAAATGTGAACTTTCTTCCCCAAATTAGAAGACAGAGCCATGTGAGAAGCCCTTTGCATTTCCCTGCCTTGTCCTCCCCCTGATTCCATCCAGAAAGCTCTGCGATGCTTGAGGTACAATAGCCAACCGGGGATCAGACGGACAAGAACTACACGCCTAGCAGAGCAGCAAGCAGGAAGGAAGGGCCAGCTCCGTGCAGACGTTCCTGAGGGGGTACCCGCCCGGACTGCCTACTGCGGACTTATTATCACTTGAGAAAAATACCCACAGTGCCCTGTGCCTGTCAGCTGCAGTTTGTTGGCTGGACTAGCTACAGAAAATGACCACTGGCAGTTTTTCCCACCGTTGGTAAAATCCTGCGGTGGTGCAAAGGGGCATTGAGCCTCAGAAATTTTTCCTTTACTTTTCCCAGGCTGTCTACTCACTTCTTCAGTCTAATTTTTTCCAAACTAGACTGGGCACAGGGATGGAGAGAATTCAAGTACAAATTCTCAGGATTTTGCTGTTCACCGTCCTTTCCACTTACCACTGGGGACAAAGTGTCAGAGTCAAACCACAATTTTGTTTCCTTTCTTGGTTGCCAATTTACTTTTTATTTTTTGAGACGGAGTCTTGCTCTGTCGCCCAGGCTGGAGTCCAGTGGTACGATCTCGACTAACTGCAACCTCTGCCTCCCGGGTTCAAGTGATTCTCCTGCCTCAGTCTCCCGAGTAGCCAGAATTACAGGCATGCACCACCATGCCCGGCTAATTTTTGTATTTGTTATTAGAGATGGGGTTTCACCATGTTTCTCAGCTAGTCTCGAACTCCTGACCTCAGGTGATCTGTCTGCCTCAGCCTCCTAAAGGGCTGGGATTACAGGCGTGAGCCTCCACGTCCAGCCTTGGGTGCCAATTTAAAAGTTTATAGCATGAAGTTGACTGGCTTTGTTGGCTTCTGCTGGACACATTTTTTAATACAGAAAAACTGTGTTCATAGCATTGGGTACTGAAGGGAGACAGAGTCTGTGATCCAGCTTCAATCAGCCCTAGTTGCCCAGAAGTCCCCTGAGCCCAGATTAAAATTATGATGGCTGATAACCACCATTTTTCCAAACTAATACACAATAAGCTAAAAATAGCTTTCCCTTTCTAAGCATTCATGTCTGGGAATTCAGGCTCATTTAAATGGCAGGTGACTATTCATGATCAATTTAGATGCTAACCCCAATTTTTTTGTATAATACATCTGCTATAACCTCTGTCAGGAAAAACTGTTCATGAAATACAGTTATTGAGTCATTTAATCCCTGTCCGGTTTCCATAAGCAAACTGTAACCTCATTCTACAAATAGCCAGGGGGAGAATCAGCTCTGTTCCCATAGTGATAGCTCACTGTATTTGCTATCTTTACAAGGTGGAACACATGTGAGGTTTGGAAATGATAAATCAGACATATCAAAAGTGACTACCTAAGGTGACTATTTCTATAGAAGAATCAACATTATTTTTAGAATTCCCTATGAAAAGAAAATAGGGGTAGACTATACCTATAGTCCCAGCTACTGGGGAGCCTGAGGCTGAAGGATCCCTTGAGCCCAGGAGGTTGAGGCTGCAGTGAGCTATGATAGTGCCACTGCTCTCCAGCCCAGGCTACAAAGTGAGACTCTGTCTCTTAAAAAAGAAACGAATGCTCTGTATAGTTTCCATTAATCTTAAACTATATGACCTTGCCTGAATTTACACTGTATGCTTCTACCAGCCACACAAAGAGCAAATGCCCCACTAAGTTGGTGATCAGGTTTTCGGCCACCACAACTCTGCAACAAAAGCTACTGCGATGGTTAATACTGAGTGTCAACTCGATTGGATTGAGGATGCAAAGTACTGATCCTGGGTATGTCTGTGAGGGTGTTGCTAAAGGAAATTTCACATCTGAGTCAGTGGGCTGAGAAAGGCTGCCCACCTTTCATCTAGGTGGGCACAACGTAATCAGCTGCCAGCTTGACCAGAATAAAAAGCAGTCAGATGGCTGAGCGCAGTGGCTCATGCCTGTAATCCCAGCACTTTGGGAGGCTGAGGTGGACGGATTGCCTAAGCTCAGGAGTTCGAGATTACCCTGGGCAACATGATGAAACCCAGTCTCTACTAAAATACAATAAATTAGCCAGGCCTGGTGGCACGCGCCTGTAGTCCCAGCTGCTAGGAAGGCTGAGGCATGAGAATCACTTAAGCCCAGGAGGCCAAGTGATCGAGCCACTGCACTCCAGCTTGGACTACAGAGTGAGACTCCATCTAAAAAAAAAAAAAAAGCAAGCAGAAGAACGTGAAAAGACTAGACTGGTTTAGCCTCCCAGCCTACATTTTTCTCCCATGCTGGAAGCTTCCTGCCCTAGAACATTGGACTTCAAGTTCTTCAGCTTTGGGACTCGAACTGGCTTCCTTGGTCCTCAGCTTGCAGATGGCCTCGTGTGGGACCTTGTGATTGTGTGAGTTAACAGTCCTTAATAAACTCCCCTTGATATCTATCTATCCTACTAGTTCTGTCCCTCTAGAGAACCCCGACTAATTCAGCTATGAAGCTGGAAGTAAAGTGAATCATCTAAAAAATGGAAAGAGCAGTCACAAAGTCCTCTGTCTTCTTCTGTAAAACAGAAACTGGGGCCCTGGCTAAAAACAAGATACTCACCAAACACCCATGCATTCATTCAAACCTACACGTCGTGCTCTATGATTCCTACTTTCTCACTGTCTGTGGGAGAAGCAGAAGCACACGATCCTGACCAAAATGCTGGGTTCTAAGGTCAGGGCACTGCAGAGCCCGCACCTGACCACAAAGGGGCAGCAGCTTGCTCTGCTCAAGATCAGAGGCCATGACCTTTAACATGGGCCTTTAACAATGAGGACATGATCACCAAGTGAGAAAGGAGACAAGAAAAGATGCAAAAGCAGACCTGTGAATGGCAAGATTCTGGGATGCACTGGGTTTTCTAAGCAAAATAAATATTTGAGGCAGAAAAAAAAAGTACCAGTAGGGTTCAGAAGCCATTTTTAGAGCAATGTTTGACCGCACCTACCCCATTTCTAGCTCACAGCTTTTTAAAATCTTGAACAATAATCATGAAGTAAGCAGAAAAAAGTTTTATTCTCAGAATAGAACAGCAGCTGGACAAACAGGCTTTCAAACACAATTTCAAATCTCAGCTCCTCCACTGCCTATCTGTGTATCCTTGGTAAGTTCACTTTTTTTTTTTTTTTTTTTTTTTTTTTTTGAGACAGAGTCTCACTCTGTCGCCCAGGCTGGAGTGCAGTGGCACGATCTCGGCTCACTGTAACCTCCACCTCCCAGATTCAAGCAATTCTCTCCCTCAGTATCCCGAGTAGCTGGGATTACAGGCGCCCGCCACCATGCCTGGTTAATTTTTGTATTTTTAGTAGAGATGGGGTTTCACCATCTTGGCCAGGCCGGTCTCGAACTCCTGACCTCATGATCCACCCGCCTCGGCCTCCCAAAATGCTGAGATTACAGGTGTGAGTCACTGTGCCCAGCCATTAGTTCACTTTTGAGCCTGTTTCCTGTCTAAAAATAATCCTACTATCTCTGAGGTAGGTTGTGATGATTCCATGAAATAATGGTAAAGCAATCAGCTCAGTTCAACAAATTATGGTGCTTCTAAATAAAGGAATCAGGAGAGAACCTAGGTCGTGGGTCAGTACTTACCTTTCCCAAGTCAATCTAGTCTCCACTGTCTCGATTTTAGAATGAAAAAGCAAATTTTTCTGTAGTACTACAACTAAAATTATTTTTTTTAAATAGCATTTCTGCCAAATACTGTAGCTCTGTAATACATTTCTAACACAGCTGATCAATAGTCTGACTTAACTGGAGAAAGCAACTAAGTGAAATTTTATAGAATTCTTGGAGATGATACAATAAAAGAGTAACAGAGCCCGATGAATTAATCGGTCTTCATTAAACTAAGGTGGCTTCTAAGTTACTTTAAACGGGTGGCTCACTCCACTCTTTTGAAATATATATACCATGGAAAGAATGGTCTATAATCTTTCTTGGTAATCAATGTTTTTCACAATCTCCATCATGAAAGCCTATCACATTTTAATTCACATACACATTATTTCTCCTTCTGAGTTACATACAGAAAACTACCAGTGGCTTAAGAATCCACCCATTCTTTAAAAGTAAGTCACTTCTTAGCCATTCCTGTAGGCATTACTTTCTAA
Source organism: Homo sapiens (assembly GCF_000001405.40). NCBI lineage: Eukaryota > Metazoa > Chordata > Mammalia > Primates > Hominidae > Homo > Homo sapiens. Next base: position 122,307,998 of record NC_000012.12, read on the forward strand.
CACTCTGCAAAGTGCCTGATTTTTACATTTTTTAATCACAAAACCTTTTCAGTAGGAAGCTAATTGAAATCTCTACTGCAAAAGAGAACAGAGCTGCTAGGATGGAGAGGAGCCCAAGTCAGGCAAAGAAACTGTGGGAAATTCTAAACAAGGAAGCATGATGTCTCCTGAATCCCTTCTGGTTCTGAGTGACAGAGACAAGAACTGTAATCATCAGTCCAGTTAAGGTCACAGCATAAGTCAAGAGGATGATCTCTGTAAGTTCCTCCTATTTATGGAACCCACTCTCTCTACCAGAGATGTTCAATGAAATGACAGGAGATGGCAATAGACTCAGCACTTAGCCAAAGTCCTTCTCTTCCAAGTCCCTGTGGACACACTGATGCTGGAGATGCCAAATGCTGTAGGTGTTTTAGCTTGTGCCAGGAAAAAAGAACCCCTGCTGGTCAATGGGCTTCCATTCTTCATGACCTCCAGTTTCTCACAAACTCATCAAAGGAGAGTGCAGTGACCCTAGTTAAGTCAACACACTGATACTCTCCTTGGCCCCCATCAGAAGATGACATCTCTTGACACTAGTCGCCAAATGATGCTGAACAAATTACTATCATCTTTGTGCTTCCGTTTCCCCTTTTACAAATGGGGATAATAATAGTGCTATTGCTTAGAATTATGGCAAGGACTGCGATGACAGCTAGCACTTATTTGTGCCTGTCACATAGCAAGAGCCCATAAATGTTAGCTACTATCACCAACAGCATCATCATCATCTTGGAGTCTGAAGAGATGTGGCATTTCTTCCACAAAAGCAACAATGAAGATTTTAAAGTCTAAAGTTAACTCTCCAAAAAGTGCTTTCACCACAAATTGCACCATGTCAATGGGTACTCAGTACAACTACCCCAAACTAATCCATCCCAAGTAAGAATTAATGTTTGCAACACACAACGGGAAAAAAAATTTTTTCCCCTTGGAGTACAAAACAAGAATGAATGACTACACAGCAAAAGTCTCTTAAAAATGTAATTTTAAGCTGCTGCTCTGAAGTCAGATGTGACTCACAATTCAGCACTTTGATTCAACTGTTAGAGAAGAATAAAAGGCAGATATAGCTTCCTTTAAAATCAGTTTTGTTGCCATGTTTAATCAACTTCTATAAGAAACCTTTGTAATTTAAATATAGAAGTAAATAGGTTGTGGTTTGCTTATAGTTCATGCCAGTTGTAACATATATTCTATATTTACCAATGCACACAAGTGTACATGTATGCACAGTTTCATTAGAAAAGGCTTAAGCATGTTTTTTAATTTAAACAAAAGCAGAGTTCTATTTAAAATCAGCTGCCAACACTTACACCAAATCTATATTCTTGGAATCTGTTTCTTCAAAATCAATTTTGATGAAAGTGAAAAAAATCTTAAGAGAAAAATAATTTTGTAATCCAAGTAGTAGTAGGGTGAAGATACTGTCCCCTTCCATTTAAATGTTGAGCTACAAGATTGTCTAATAAAGATAGTATTTTCTACTTGCTTGCAAGTTCCAGTGTTCTGTGTGTTTTTTAAAGGACCTGTCAAATCTCTCCTACCCTAAATCCTACAGCAGCACGTTTGAAAACAAGGAGACACATAGCACAGGTAACTTGGAATTCCATTTGGAATGACCCCACCACACTGAGCAGACCTCCGAGTGGCCTCTGAGCGTGCTGCCAACAGCAGCAGCACCCAGCATGGCACAGCTGGAACCCCTCGCCAAAGGACACTGACCTTTTGATGACTTGTGACTTCGTCCCTGCTTCTCCCCAGCTCCTCAGCAAGTTTAACGTTCTCTTCTTGCAACGCTGAAAGCTGCTGGGACTTCTGAGCTGCTGCCTGCTTTAGGGTTTCTCTGCAAGGACAGTGAGTGCAGGGTTACCATAGAAACAAGACAGGCAAGGAAACTGTGGGAGACAACCAGCTTCACAGCACTGAAGAAAATATATCTGGGTCACGTGCCTGATAGGATCTATAATAACAGCAGACAGTATTATCTACATGCAGAAGGGGTTAAATGGCCATAACCTCCCAAAAGGAGGGCTGCCACCCACAATTATTACATTTTTCAGAACCTAATAAACCCTATGCCCACCCTCCCACCACCCAAACTTACCCCATAAAAAAGGAATTTTGCTATAAAATAAATGACAAATGAGATGGTCAGTACAGCCCTCCTGTCTTTAGGAATATTTCCATTAGATGATTTTACTAAAACCCACTTCGTTGATAAAGTGATTTAATTTGCTGCCAAGGCACTCTGTTCTAACTGCACAGATCTATAATTTGTTTTTTTCTGGAAGAAATAAAAATCCAATGGTCCCATTTACCAGTATCTGTCAGAGTCAAGTGCTGATGTAAATCTGAGTATATTTTTAGGACAACTAGAGGCGGAATGCCCCAAGGAAATATAGTTTCCTAATTACATAACAGGTGTTTTATTTTATAGTAGTCTTTCCACAATGCTAATTTATAATTGAAAGAAGCAAATAAAAATATAATACAGACTGCTAACTTATACCGTGAATATCAGCATAGAAAAAATGAACAGGATAGGTATATTTATTAAACATCTTCTTGTTCTTAAAATAATCCAAAACATACATCCTAAACATTATCCTTTATACATGAATATGCACAATATTTGATCACTAAATCTTAGTTTTATGCTATAGAGGGTTTTGATGGAATTGTGAATTTTAAGTACATCTGTGTTGGTTAAACTCCATTTAGCAAGCTGTCATACATGGCTGAATTCTGAATCAAGTCATCTGGGTATGAATCCATCTGCTGATGCATGAACACATCTATTTTTAACTTCAATTGTCTAATGGGTGGCAGTTCTCGGCACATTCGATTTTCTCAATTTTTAATTCTCCATCCACCTATAATATGCACACTGGGATGACCTCAGGAAGACTTAGGGAAATAAATCCACACAAAAATTCTCTTAGCACACTAAATTAGGCTTTTTACAGAGATGTTTATTTAGCAATTGAAGATAAACTGAGAAGGAATTTTAGCCTCAGCTAGTCACTCACAAAAGAGATGCATATATATGAATCTCTCTCTATATATGTATATATGTATATACATGCACATACACACATATCACAGTGAAAGTTCATCTGTCCAAAGTCCATCAATCTTTGACAAATCAAATTTCCTTATGGTAAAATTACCATAAGCTAAACATATTTCCCAGGTGGTCACTGCCTTCATGAGTGGCTACATGGTGTCTGCATGTGTGTGGCCTGTCAAAGTGCTACGCTTATACTCCTGTTCCTTCTCTCTCAAGCCCACAGGAAGGAAAATAAAAACGACACATCAAGGAAGTAATCTAAAAGTGGCCAAAGTATCCTAAAGCATTGACCTATAAAAACAAAATTATTATTATTATTATTTTTTTTTTTTTGAGACAGAGTCTCGCTCTGTCGCCCAGGCTGGAGTGCAGTGGCACGAACTCGGCTCACTGCAAGCTCCACCTCCCAGGTTCACGCCATTCTCCTGCCTCAGCCTCCTGAGTAACTGGGACTACAGGTGTCCGCCACCGCGCCCAGCCAATTTTTGTATTTTTAGTAGAGACGGGGTTTCATCATGTTGGCCAGGATGGTCTGGATCTCTTGACCTCGTGATCTGCCCGCCTCGGCCTCCCAAAGTGCTGGGATTACAGGCATGAGCCACCGCGCCCGGCCAAAATTATTGTTTTAAAATTTACAAAATGCTTCCATGTCCATTTTCTCATTTAATCCTCAAAGCCCAAGGAGGCTCATGTCATTTATGTTTTAATGAGAAGACTGAAGCTCCGGGAAGTAAACAGATTTGCCCCAAATCATAAAGCCAGAAAGCAGCAAAACCACAAGAACAGGAGCTACAGCTGGCAGATGACTTCAGTCGTGGTTCAGATATAGAGCACTTTGTTTTTTCTTTAGTGGGTAGTGGGTGAATCCATTTCATAGAGGAAAGAGGCTCCAATAACCCAAATTCTGGAAATACTCAAGGAATGATTTTCAAAATAGCTACAAAAATATTTCTAATGGTTTTTAAAGAAGCTACTTTTCTTTCTACATGACAAGATACCTTGACACAGAAGAGACTAGGTTTAAAACTAAAGACAAACATTGTTAATATTGTAAACATTTTACTTATGAATCCATCATAAATCTATTATCATGCTAAATGTATTGTACATTTACTACTGTGCCAGGTTAGTAAAGACAAAAATTAGATTACTTATGCCCTTTTTTCCCTAAGATCCAAAATTATACACCACAAGAAACTGTTTCATTGTTATCTACAACTGAAAATAGGAGCTGGCTAACCGAAATCAAGCAAGAGCTTTCCTAAAAGCAGCCTTGTAAGTGGCACACAGGAAAAGAACAGTTACAAGTGCTGGTTTCCAGGGGCAAGGGCAATATTCTAGAGGGAGGGGTTCCTATTAGAACCCTTGTGGTGGCTGAGCGTAGTGGCTCAAGCCTGTAATCCCAGCACTTTGGGAGGCTGAGGCAGGCGGATCACTTGAGGCCAGGAGTTCGAGACCAGCCTGGCCAACATGGCAAAACCCCATCTCTACTAAAAATACAAAAATTAGTTGGGCGTGGTGGTGCATGTCTGTGATCCCAGCTACTTGGGAGGCTGGGGTGGCATGATGAATTAAACCCGGGAGGTGGTGGCTGCAGTGAGCTGAGACTGCTGCCACTGTACTCTAGCTAGGGCAACAGAGTGACACCCTGTCTCAAAAAAATAAGAAACCCTGTGTCTATATTGGTGCCCCTTTTTCTCCAGGAACCACAGTCCTATTAGGTGAAGAGAAACACCAAAAAAGCTCCAGAGGACACGCAAAACCCCATACACGTTAAACCACGGAAGAAGTAAGCAGCTGCTCATTCTCCAGCTTTGAGCTCTGAGGAATAAGACTAAGGAATAGCAAAGTGACTGCTTTGTTTTGAGAAGCACTGTTCCCATTACACAGTCCTCTTACCGCAGAAGGCCCTGGAAATCTGACCACAAAGCCACCAGTCATCAGGGGCAGGGGCTTTTTCAACCTACTCCCCATACCTCCTGTGCCAGCTTCCATGGAACGCTACCAGCGTGTCTCCCACTGTTCCTCCCTCCCGTTAACAGTCCCAGCCATATTGTGCCAAGTCACTGACAGGAAGATGTGATTCCCTCAGGTCTGTTGGGGCAGAAAAATAGTAGAAAATCCAAAGCAGCCCAGGCTCTTTCTGCCCTGGGATCCGGTCCCTCCCCACCTGAATGTGTTCAGGGATCAGAGGTCTGGGGAGTACAGCACCAGGAACAGCTCAGCACAGGCTGGGGTTAGCGTGACAGCAGCTGGAGCCACAATCTCAGCTAAGCTTTTATTAGTCAACGGAATAATTCGAAGGAGGGGGTCACAAAAACAATTTATGTCACCTGGCCGGGCGTGGTGGCTCATGCCTATAATCCCAGTACTTTGGGAGGCCGAGGCAGGCGGATCACCTGAGGTTGGTAGTTCGAGACCAGCCTGATCAACATGGAGAAACCCCGTCTCTACTAAAAATACAAAATTAGCTGGGCACGGTGGTACATGCCTGTAATCCCAGCTACTGAGGCAGGAGAACCACTTGAACCCAGGAGGTGGAGGTTACAGTGAGCCAAGATCATGCCACTGCACTCCATCCTGGGCAACAAGAGCAAAACTCCATTTCAAAACAACAACAACAACAAAAAAAAACTATGTCTTCATAAGGGTGAAACCAACACCACACTGAGGGTAGGTGACGTGACAGGATTCAGTGAGGACTCTGAACATTAAAGGTGATCTCACTGGAATACTAGTAATGACCGCAACAAAAGACTCCTAAGAGCCAGGTGCAGTGGCTCCCGCCTGTAATCCCAGCACTTTGGGAGGTCAAGGCGGGCAGATCATTTGAGGCCAGGAGTTCAAGACCAGCCTGGCCAACATGGTGAAACCCCATCTCTACTAAAAATACAAAAAAATGGCCAGGCGCAGTGGCTCACAGCTGTAATCCCAGCACTTTGGGAGGCTGAGGCAGGCGGATCACAAGGTCAGGCGTTCGAGTACAGCCTGGCGAATATGGTGAAACCCTGTTTCTACTAAAAATACAAAAATTAGATGGGTGTGGTGGCAGGCATCTGTAATCCCAGCTGCTCGGGAGGCTGAGGCAGGAGAATCGCTTCAACCCGGGAGGCGGAGGTTGCAGTGAGCCGAGACTGCACCACTGCACTCTAGCCTGGGCTAAAGGGTGAGACTCCATCTCAAAAAAAAAAAAAAAAAAAAGTACAAAAAAATTAGCTGGGCATGGCGACGCGCGCCTGTAATCTCAGCTACTTGGGAGGTTGAGGCACGAAAACTGCTTGAACCCAGGAGGCAGAGGTCGTGGTGAGCAGAGATCACACTACTACACTCCAGTCTGGGGAACAGAGACTCTGTCTCAGAAACAAACAAACAAATAAAAACAACAAAAGACTCGTAAGTAGTACTGCAGGAAAATGGAATTTTATCTAAACCCCAAGAACCCTCTTGGCCAGGTCCACTTGGCCCTGCCCCTCCATCACCTAGTAGGACCCAGGGAGCTTGGCGGTGGGATTATGGCAGTGCAGGTTGGAGAGGGAGTCTCTCGTGGCAGTTCACATTCTCTCTCACCAGCTGCCCATGGGACACAATGCAGGAATTCAACCTGGTGCCCCAAAGCCCTTCAGGTTTGCAAAATGACTCGTGTCACCAAGAAAAGAAATCCTAATCTGTACCTGCACCCTGCTTCCTGAATGAATAGAACTAAACTGTCACATTACAACAAATGACTTTGTTTTTCCTGTCATGGTGACCCATCTTCTATTTGTGTCACTTGATGTTGGCAGGCCAAGGAAATTGAAGCCTCCCCTGATGACCATAATCACAATTGTAAATTTATAAATCTGCATAAATGAAATTGTTGGAACTGTTTAAACATAATCCCATCATCTAGAGACCCGCCATTTAAACTAGGACTGAGGAAGAAAATCACCGACATCACAAGCTGTGCATCCCCTCGCAGGAGCAGCTCAGATCACTCCCAGGAAAATTTTAAAACTCCCCGAAGAACCACACATGTGCTAGCTTAATCCAAGCTCAATCAACAAATAGTATTGAGGATGATGACTTAAAACAGCAGTTTGGAACTGATGTTTTTGTTTTTGCTTGAATCTCATCTATGTATTAGGATTGGAAATAAAAGACACAAACCCTTGAAGGGCAGGGACCGTATATACTCACCTTTTTATCCTTCCTACCTTAACTGTACCTACCATGAAAGACAAAGACACACTCCAATGTTCACCAGGTGAATTAGCTTTAGGGTTTTAGGTTAATACGGTTGATACAGTGTCATTAACAGAATAGAAGACCAAATGAAATCTACACCGTAACTATCCTTTAAAATGTCTGAAAATGCCAATCTCTAATAACTACACTAGCCAAACTTGAAAGGCAAGAACTGAGTTAGCATCAACAAAGGAAGTATGAACAGTCTGTCTGCCTGAAACCACGTAACAAATTGATGTGTAAACCTTAATTTTACAGTCTTCCAAAATGCTGGTCATTTCATTTCCATGCCAGACGGTTTGATTCCTTTTCTTTTTTTTTTTTTGAGATGGAGTCTCGCTCTGTCACCCAGGCTGGAGTGCAGTGGCTCGATCTCGGCTCACTGCAAACTCCGCCTCCCGGGTTCACGCCATTCTCCTGCCTTAGCCTCCTGAGTAGCTGAGACTACAGGCGTCCGCCACCACGCCCGGCTAATTTCTTTGTATTTTTAGTAGAGACGGGGTTTCACCGTGTTAGCCAGGATGGTCTCAATCTCCTGACTTCGTGCTCCACCCACCTCAGCCTCCCAAAGTGCTGGGATTACAGGCATGAACCACCGTGCCTGGTCTATTACTCTTAAAATTGAAATACTGAAAATGTAGAAAGTGACATGCTATTTGATTTTTTTCCCCCTATAAAAAGAGTTTTGAGGGACTTGCTAATGAAGGGTCTGACATTTCCAAATGTTAAGATTGGCTGGCCAGGCGCAGTGGTTCATGCCTATAATCCCAGAACTTTGGGAGGCTGAGGAGGGAGGATCACTTGAGGTCGGAAGTTCAAGACCAAATGTTAAGACTGGCTGTTCTGATTCTACTCGTACTTTCAAGGCTTTCGAGTCACTTCTTTTTTTTTTTTTGAGACAGGATCTCACTCTGTCACCCAGGCTGGAGTGCAGTGGCACGATTATGGCTCACTGCAGCCTCAACCTGCTGGGCTCAAGCGATCCTCCCACCTCAGCCTCCTGAGTAATTGGCAAATAGGCACACACCACCATACCCAACTAATTTTTGTACTTTTTGTAGAAACAGGGTTTTGCTGTGTTGCCCAGGCTGGTCTCAAACTCCCAGGCTCAAGTGATCTACCCACCTCAGCCTCCCAGTGATGGGATTACAGGCACGTGCCACCACACCCACCCCAAAGTCACATCTGAATCCCCAACTGAACTCATCAGCCAGTACACATTTCATTCTGATCCTTTAACTTAGCTGTGGCTCTGACCTCACGGTGGTTACTGATGTTGCTTCTGGGGTATGCAATAGAGTCTGCATACGTTTACTTTATGTACTTCTCAAATAATTTTTAAGTAATTAGCATTGTGTTCACATTTTCAATTTAAAATAAATTCCATATTTTTTTCTCAAAGGATAGAAACTTACATTTCTTTCCTAAATTCTTCCATTTTTTGATTCTCTACAGTCAGGAGTTCTTTTGATTTGTTCAGCTCTTCCACATTTTTCAAGTTGTTTTCTTTAAGTGTGTCCAACTTAAAGACCAAGAGAAAAAAACTTGATGAAATTATTTCATTTTCCAGTGACATGAATGAACAAATTATTCATGAAAATGTGTACTGAAAAGACAGATGAAATTAGTCACTCGCAAAAAAAAAAAGTCTCCTGGGTGAAGAGATTACAGATGACAAGTCTATTACAAACTGCAAACCTCCTCCTTACATTTAGTCTGATATATATATATCCTGTACACCTGGCCAAAAGGTCAAACTAGATTGCTACACAGAAGTAAAGTTTTCTTTTATCTTGTGTACAATTATCAGCACTTATCACTGAACTTGCTATTCAAATATGATTAAAAACAAGAAATAAAATGCAAAGCAATGACATCAGCAAGGATTATTCTTTGTAATGAAAAGAAACCCTTTTCTTTCCCCAAAGATTAGTGATTTAGGATACGATATTTTTCAATGTCAGTACCAGATTTACATAGTCCTCATTACAAAAATTATTTATTTGAATCAAAATTATTTGTAGACTGGAAAAAAATTTAGTTACCCATCTGAACTTGAACCTGAAGAGGAAAAAGCCATGTCGTGGGACTGAAGGGCACTTACACCCACCTGGCTCCATCATTGGCCCACGGGGATGCAGCCAGCTGAGGGCCTGGCTCTTGGTGGAAAGCCAGAGCTGTCACTGGGATGAGTGGGGATATGACTGATCATAGGCTGTGGCAGGTGGTTGGAGCTCTAGGTGCAGAGCCACCACCAAGGATGGTAGCTCATGTGGGCCTCCATTCCTCAAGGTGGCTCCTGGGGCCATGCTGGCTTTCTGGGCCTTGAGAAGTTGTCTCCTACAGCCAGAAAAGGGAGCTATCTCCTTTTGCCATGCCACATGCCACCAGTCAGGAGTCCTAGAAAATGTCTTGCTAGTTTTACAACTACCATCTTCCTTTTAACACCTAACATTCCAGATTAACAGAACAAGAAAAATAAAATATCACAATGGGTCCGAAAATATGGTTCATCCAACCCTGAATTCTGGCTATAACAAAGACACCAAGGGATCTGTTATAGAACGACACAGTTCCCCCTGGTTCCACTGCTGCAGGTTAGACACATTCCCTAAAATCCTCTCATTTACTTCAGCTTCTAATTTTGATTAACAGCTATGATTTTTTAATGCTTTTATACTTTTAGTTTAAGTCATCTTCTCTTAGGATTGTCAGTTCTATAAATGTACTTCCTTCTATGTGAAGTGTTGTTATTTATCATATCATTACCTCCAAATGTTCATCTCCTTTGAAAAGTTGATCCTTGACCTCCACAATGAGGAGGCCTGGTCTTTACAGTGGCTCCTCAGTTTGGCCACTGCCTCCCCCTTGCTTTCCTTCCTTAATGTCTTACCTGCCTATTACTTTTAAAAGTATCTGGGCTGGGCGTGGTGGCTCATGCCTGTAATCCCAGCCCTTTGGGAGGCCAAGGTGGGAGGATCACGAGGTCAGGAGTTCCAGAACAGCCTGGCCAACATGGCAAAACTCCGTCCCTACTTAAAATACAAAAATTAGCCAGGCGTGGTAGTGGGCACCTGTAATCCCAGCTACTCGGGAGGCTGAGGCAGGAGAATCACTTGAACCCAGGAGGTGGAGGTTGCAGTGAGCCGAGATCATGCCATTGCACAACAGCCTGGGCAACAAGAGCAAGACTCCATCTCAAAACAACAACAACAAAACAAAACAAAAAAAGCAACAACAACAAAAAAGCATCTGAAGTTCCACAGGACTTCACATAACCATTTTGGTGCCTCAGTCGGCTTAGGATTTAGATAACAGCTTTCCAAATGAAGAAAGGGTTGGTATGAGCTAGGAGGGTGGGAGCAGGGAAATCCAAAGAGGAGGAGAAATGCCACAGAAGGAGAAATGCTACTTGTGGACAGAATCAAAATATCTTGACGCCACATATTTGTCCCTGCTCCAAAAGTGACTCATTCAAGATGACACAAAAGGAAATCAGTACTGAATTGGGCCAAGAAAAGGCCTACATCAGACTCAGGGCTGAGGAAGAAAACTTAGTGGCTCAAAGTTGGGAAAGAGAAGAGAAAAAACAATGTGTGTGATGTAAGATCAAGGATACAAAAGCTAGAGCAGGCCATCAGTACCTCCTCTCACTAGTGCCATCAGTAAACAGTCACCTTAGCCACACTATTAGGATTTTTTCCTCAATTTGTAAAGTTGATCCTAATAAGTAATGAAGTGATACACTTTATTTAAGATTATCGTGGCTCTGGCATGCATTTCAAACCTGTGTAAAGTCACACACTTCAAAAACATAAGCAATCCTGAGTCAGTGACCAAACATTCTACCAAGTTGGTAAGCTGTTCTTTGTATAAAAAGCTATTTAAATCTGATTACTTCATTCTGTAGTTTTGCATTTGTTTGCTTGGTGTCCTCCAAGGAGGCCAGAGTCTCAGTCTTCTCTTTGGTCATCTGTTCCATTATCTGCATGGCATCTTCCGCTGTTTGAGCAGCCTAAATACAAGGAAACACTGTGAGAAATGAGGACAGCCCTCGCCAACACCGTTAGGTGAGGATCGGGCTGTGCTGTTCAGGCAGCACTCAGTGTCTGTGTGGGTAAGGGAGGCACACAGAGAGGGTGAATCAGTCACAATCCAGTGCTGAAACAGACGGACCAGGACAGGAAAGGTCTTTACTCTGAAGTAGAATATGCAGACCCTTTCCTGCCATTTTTCAATGTCAATTGTTATGCAATTTGCATGTAAACATACATCTTCCAGTGAAAGTTCCAAATGACACTGGCAAGCATGCTCCCTTCATTCTGACTTATGTTTGAGAGACCGTTCGGAGGTAACAATGAATAACATCCTTATATAGCTGAATTTCTTGGAATCATATTTATTATTATAAGTTTAAAATACCATCCTTGCTATTTCAAATCTGGGGCTTTCAAAGTCACTCAAATTTAGGCTGAGAATTTTTCAAATAAATATAAAAATTATTTGGGCACTTCTAACATAAGGCTCAAGTGTTTAACGAGAAGCATTTAATGCAAGTTGTGGGTAATGAATAAAAACACGGCTGTGAATAAAAAGATGCATATGGAGACAAATTCTTAGCTGTTAACTATCAAAATTAATTATAAAAAGTTAGATATAGGCCGGGCGCAGTGGCTCACGCCTGTAATCCCAGCACTTTGGGAGGCCGAGGCAGGCGGATCACGAGGTCAAGATATTGAGACCATCCTGGCCAACATAGTGAAACCCCGTCTCTAATAAAAATACAAAAAACTAGCTGGCCGTGGTGGCGGGTGCCTGTAGCTACTTGGGAGGTGGGGCAGGAGAATGGTGTGAACCTGGGAGGCGGAGGTTGCAGTGAGCTGAGATTGCGCCACTGCACTCCAGCCTGGCGACACAGCGAGACTCCGTCTCAAAAAAAAAAAAAAAAGTTAGATGTAAAAATAACCATAAAAATAAATGAAAATATAGCTAGGCATGGTAGCATGTGCCTACAGTCCCAGCTACTCAGGGAGCTGAGACGGGAGGATTGCTTGAGCCCAGGAGGTGGAAAGTAGCCTGGGAAACACAGCAAGATTCCCACCTCTAAAAAAATAAATTAATTAACAGGCCAGGCGCAGTGGCTCATGCCTGTAATCCTAGCACTTTGGGAGGCCGAGGCAGGCAGATCACAAGGTCAGGAGTCAATATGGTGAAACCCAGTCCCTACTAAAAATACAAAGCTTAGCCGGGTGTGGCAGCACGCACCTGTAGTCCCAGCTACTCAAGAGGGTGAGGCAGGAGAATCGCTTGAACCCGGGAGGCAGAGGTTGCAGTGAGCCAAGGTCACACCACTGTACTCCAACCTGGGTGACAGAGCGAGACTCTTTTTTTTTTTTTTAGGCAGTCTCATTCTGTCACCAGGCTGGAGCGCAGTGGTGCAATCTCAGCTCACTGCAACCTCCGCCTCCCTGGTTCAAGTGATTCTCCTGCCTCAGCCTCCTGAGTAGCTGGAACTACAGGCCCACATCACCACACCGGGCTAATTTTTGTATTTTTAGTAGAGACGGGGTTTCACCATGTTGGCCAGGATGGTCTTGATCTTCTGATCTCGTGATCCGCCTGCAACAGCCTCCCAAAGTGCTGGGATTACAGGTGTAAGCCACCGCACCCGGTGAGACTCTGTCTTAAATAAATAAATAAATAAATAAATAAATAAATAAATAAAGTCCTTTAGGCACTTGTTTATAATTTATTGGTCTAATAAAGTTTATGAAAATTCTGCATTTTTCCCTATCCAATTATCAGCCATGAAGATTTCAATGGAATCTTCCAACTCCAAATGGACAGACACAATGAAATAGTTAAAAGCCAAACAGAAGACTATATTTCAATATGTGCCAATTTATTGCTTTTTTTTTTTTTCCCTTGAGACAGAGTTTTTCACTCTTGTTGCCCAGGCTGGAGTGCAATGGCGCAAGCTCGGCTCACTGCAACCTCCATCTCCTGGATTCAAGTGATTCTACTGCCTCAGCCTCCTGAGTAGCTGGGATTATAAGCGCACGCCACCACGCCTGGCGAATTTTTGTATTTTTAGTAGAGACAGGGTTTCACCATGTTGGTTAGGCTGGTCTCGAACTCCTGACCTCAGGTGATCCACCTGCCTCAGCCCCCGTGAGCCACCACACCTGGCTGTTCTTTTTTTTTAGATGGGGTCTCGCTCTGTCAACCAGGCTGGAGTGCAATGGCATGATCTCGGTTTCCTGCAACTTCTGCCTCCTGGGCTCAAGCAATCCTCTCATCTCAGCCTCCTGAGCAGCTGGGACGATAGGCATGTGTCACCATGCCCAGCTAATTACTGTATTTTTTGTAGAGACAGGGTTTTGCCATGTTGCCCAGGCTGGTCTCGAACTCCTAGACTGAAGCCATCTGTCCACCTCAGCCTCCCAAAGTGCTGGGATTACAGGCGTGAGCCACTGCGCCCAGCCGAATTTCACTATTGCTCTTAAGCTTTTTCATAAAGTTTCTCCTTAGATTAAAAAATAAATCCTTTTTATTCACAGTTTGCAATTTTTTTCAAATGGGGAGAGACTACTACAGTGAGATACTTAGTAAAGAATCCCCCTTTCAGACTGTAACGAACAGCTTGAGACATATAAGCAACTGACTTAATGAGGTGGATTTCCATAAGCAGAAATGAAGAAAGATGACCTACACCACTTGAGTTAGTGCACAGTGTTAGTAAGCAGTCTGGGTGCTCAATACTTGACCCTCTCACTTTACCGTAAATGACTGAAGAGTCTCGAGCTCTCTAATTTTAAGAGTAAGCTTGTTCTTGTCTTTTCTCAAAGTACGGTTTTCATTTTGAGATTCTAGGAGATTGGCTGAAATATGGCTGTTGGTTTTGGCCAACTGGCTGATCTCTTTCTGAAGGATGAAGTAGCTTTCTGCCAGGGTTTCCTTCTCCTTCAGGAGCTCATCCTTTTCCAGCATCATTTCGCTCTTCTCAGCCAGGAGGTTCTGGTTGTCTTGCATCACCTGGGCTTTTTCGGCCAGGGTCACCTCATGGTTCCGCTGAAGGTCATCCAGAATCTTGGTGAGGCAGCTGTGCAGTTCCTGCAGCTCTGCCTTGGATTTGGACAAGGCAGCAAAATCACTTTTCAGAGTCTTTATATGGGCAGCAAGTTGAGCTGCTTCTGCAGTCAACAGTTCCTTCTCCTCGATTATCTCTGCCAGTTCTTGCTCTGATTTGCTCTTCTCTTGAAGTAGCACAAACTTCTCGGACTGCAGCTCCTCGATACACACTCTTAACTCCTCCACCTCCTGCTCCAGGAGCACCATCCTCCCGTGAAGTTGATTGTTTTCGTACAAGGATGACTCGCTCTCCTTTGCTCTGGCTTCCTGTTCCAGGATTAAGGACTGCTGCATTTCCTGGATCTCCTTGCTTAATTTGTGACACTCTTCTTGCAGGTTCAAGCCATCTCTCAGCAAAATGTTCTTCTCGGAACAACACGTGTTAAGTTGAGCATCCAAACTCTCCTTTGCTTGCAATATGTGAGTGTGTTCTTTTTCCAGATTCTTTTTGGTATTTTGAGCCTCTTTCAGCATCAAAGAGAGGTCGCACTTGCTGGCCACTAGTTCTTGGTTTTCCTTTTTTCTCTCTTGAAGCTCCTTCTTCAGAGCATCAATATTACCGAGGAGTTTCATATTCTCTTGCACAACTAAACTTCTGTTTGCAGACTCTTGATCACATTGCCTTTTGAGGTCTCCTATGGCTTTGATGGAATTCTCTCTCTCTGCAAGTAAAGCTCCATTTTGCGTTTCCAGTGAGGATTTTTCTTTCAAGAGACTATCCTGCTGCTTTTTAAGTTCAGTCATTTTCTGAGAAGCCATCTCCTTCTCGGAAGTCAGGTAAGTGATCTTCTCATTCAGGCTCATCTCAGTATGGGCAGCCTCTTCTAAGCATTTGTGGAGTTTTTCAGTGATTATTCTATTTTCACTTAAAAGTTCCTCTTTCTCAGCCAAGAGCCTTCTCTCGGAGGCAGCCAAGGTTTCTTTCTCATGCAGAAGCTGGATGCACTCGGAGTCCGTGACCGCCCGCCTGGCCTTAATTTCCTCCAAGAGCTTCGTGAGGCTTGTGTTTGCGGCCTCGAGTTGCACGGTCTCCAGCTCTGCCTTCCTCAGGGCCTTGCTGGCATCATCCAGCTGTGCGCGGAGCCCACTGGCTTCTGAGCGGAGCAGCTGTTTGACCTGGAGAGCGGCCTGGAGGCTGGCATTCAGCTTTTCCTGATCTTGAAGCAGCATGTCCGTCTCTAACTGCAGATTTCTGTTGTTCTGAAGAACATTATCTCGTTCTACCTTTAAGGCTATGCACGTGTTATCGAGATTGGACAATTTCTCTAAAGCTGACTTTTTCTCAGCTGTGAGATCTTCAGTCTCCTGTACCAAAGCTTTCTGATCTTTGACTAGCTCCTCATAAGACCTTTGAAGCTTCTGAATGATGTCATCCTTATCTTTGGCCAAGATGAAGTTTTCGGTAATAAGTTTCTTGATCTGGTCCTCCAGGTGATCTTTTTCTTCCTGGTCCTTCTCAGTCTTAGCAATCAAAGTATCTTTGCTGAGCTGGAGCTCTTCAATGAGTGCCTGCATGCTCACCTTGGAAGCTTGCAAAGAGTCATTTTCCACATTTATCTTCAAGAGTTCTTCCTGTACAACATTGATTTCTTTAAGCAATTTCTCTCTCTCAACAGCCAAAGCTTCTTTATTGAGATGTTCCTGCTCATAATACTTTTCGGCATCTTGCTTTTCTTCTAAGAATTTCTCCTTTTCTAAATTAAGAGTTTCATTCACTGACCACAGTTTCTGCTGGTCTCCCTGAAGTAAAGCTATTTTGGCCTCCAATTCTACAAGCTTGGATAAAAGTGAACCGTTTTCTAACTTTAAATCATTTCCCTCCTGAGAAAGAAGCTGCTTCTCTGATTTCAGACCCCTCAGCTCTTCTGACATTAGTTCAATTTCTTTTTTGGCTGATGTTAACAAATAAGTTAGCGACTACAGAAACAAAAGATGGAAAGAATGGAAACAAAAATGAAATCAAGCAGACAAATGCAAGCCCAAATAACTTAATGTAACCTAAATGATAAAAACTTTACAATTTCTACAATAAACTTTATAGAAACTATCTGAATAACAAGGGAAAGAAACTAAACAGAGCCCATAAAAAGGTAAGTCAAAAGTGTAGTTTTGCAAAGTGCTTCTGTATCTGTTAGCTTATTTTATCTTTGAAACAACTTGTGAAATTATTCCCAGTAGCTACCTAGAAGATAAAAATAGTAGCTTGATTTTAATATCAGGGCATAAGATTCTTTCCTGCCATTCCAATTATCAAATTACTTTGAAAGCAGAAAGGATTCATAGAACAATTTTTAAAAATACAATTAAAAGAAGTACAAAAACTCAGTATATTTTAATGAAAAAAGGAAGGGGCATAACAAGGGAAAATAAACTACTGCCTTCCAAACTCACCACAGGACCTTACTTAAGGGTAGCTGAGGGGCTGAGAGTGATTTAGTCCCAATATCACATATAACTTAAAAACTACAGCCTAATTTCTAGGCTTTGCTGACTAAAAGGAATAGTTTTTTTTTTTTATTTACTGAATTATAAGATAATTTGACCACAGTGTCTATACCAGTGCTATCCAGAACTTTCTGCAATGATATAATTTTTTTTTTTTTTTTTTGAGACTGAGTCTCGCTCTATCTATTGCCCAGGCTGGAGTGCAATGGTGCGATCTTGGCTCACTGCAACCTCCGCCTCTGGGTTCAAGCTATTCTCATGCCTCAGCCTCCCAAGTAGCTGGGATTACAAGGCTCCGCCACCGTGCCCGGCTAATTTTTGTATTTTTAGTAGAGACGGGGTTTCACCATGTTGGCCAGGCTGGTCTCAAACTCCTGACCCCAAGTGATCCACCCACCTAGGCCTCCCGAAGTGCTGGGATTACAGGCATGAGCCACCACGCCCAGCTGATATAAATGTTCTTATTTGCACTCCCATCATGGTGACCATATGACTACTGAGCACCTGAAATGTGGTGAGTGCAACTGAGGAGCTAAATTTTTAATTAAAATGTAACAAATTTAAATTTATTTATTTATTTATTTATTTTGGAGGCAGAGTCTCACTCTGTGGCCCAGGCTGGAGGGAAGTGGCGCGATCTCGGCTCACTGCAACCTCTGCCTCCCAGTTTCAAGCGATCCTCTTTTAAGCATATACAAAAATAGAGAAAATAATGTAGACCGCATATATTCCCATATTAAGGTTTTTATTTTTATTTATTTTTTGAGACAGTCTCACTCTGTCACCCAGGCCAGAGTGCAGTGGCACCATCTCAGCTCACTGCAGCCTCCGCCTCCCAGGCTCAAAGGATTCTCCTGCCTCAGCCTCCTGAGTAGCTGGGACTACAGGTGTGTGCCACCACACCCAATTAATTTTTTGTATTTGTAGTAGAGACGGTCTCACGATGTTGTCCAGGGTGGTCTCAAACTCCTGTGCTCAGGCAATCTGCCCACCTTGGCCTCCCAAAGTGCTAGGATTACAGGCGTGAGCCACCAGAACTGGCTACAAATTTACATTTGAATGGCCTCACATGGCTGGTGGCTACTACATTAGGCAGCACAGCTATAGCCCACTGGCTCTTAAAAGTAGGGAATAGGAGGCTTCATGGGTTCCAGGAACCTTGTTGAGTGCACACGTAAACTTTCCTGAAAAAATATCTGTAGATTTCATTAGATTATTCCAAAGAGTCTGGGACTGATTACGATCCACTGAAATTAGATACTAGACACGTTTGGAGGGGAACAGTCCTGGCATTTTTAACTCAATGACTCTTGCACAAAACCAACCAACAAAATCAGTGAGACTGGCCAGGAATGGTGGCTCATGCCTGCAATCCCAGCACCTTGTGAGACTGGCCAGGAATGGTGGCTCACGCCTGCAACCCCAGCGCCTTGTGAGACTGGCCAGGAATGGTGGCTCACGCCTGCAACCCCAGCGCCTTGTGAGACTGGCCAGGAACGATGAATCACGCCTGC
Organism: Homo sapiens; assembly: GCF_000001405.40. Classification (NCBI taxonomy): domain Eukaryota; kingdom Metazoa; phylum Chordata; class Mammalia; order Primates; family Hominidae; genus Homo; species Homo sapiens. Next base: position 122,326,424 of record NC_000012.12, read on the forward strand.
AATCCCAGCACCTTGGGAAGCTGAAGCAGGTGGATCGCTTGCATCCAGGGGTTCGAGACCAGCCTGAGCAACATAGCGAGACTCTGTCTCTACAAAAAATAAAAAATTAGCCAGGTGTAGTGGCACGTGCTTTTAGTCTCAGCTACTTGGGAAGCTGAGGCAAGGGGATCACTTGAGCCCGAGAGGTTGAGGCTGCAGTGAGCCATGACTGTGCCGCTGCACTCAGCCTGGGTGACAGAGTGAGACCTTGTCTCAAAAAAACAAACAACAACCGAGGAGACCTTACATCAGCTTCTGCGATGCTGTGGTTTGCTCAGGCTGAAACATTTTAAAGGAAATACAAAAAAAAAACTGAAGTCTGCACAGATAAAGGAAACCACAAAGACAAAAGATCTGGGAATTGTATCTAGTGTTAAATGGCTCATAAAACTGGAGGTATTTCACAGAAAGAAGAGAAATCCTCAACTATCAGCATGTAGAAGAGGGAGAATATGGGCCTCCCAGATGACATGCACGGCACACACATACCATGTCATGTCCACTTAGTTAGCAAGAGGCTTTTCATGAGATTGGTTTCAAGTCCTATATATGCTCTTTTATCATTTCTTTCTACTAAACTCCTATAAACACATTAAAAATAAAGAAAGGTGAATATTTACTTTCCTTTGAGCAATAGAAGGTTAAACAGTGGGCAAGGTTGAACTTCGTGAAGTTACCAGAGTCACAAAATGTACTGGGCAGGCCAGGCATGGTGGCTCACACCTGTAATCCCAACACTTTAAGAGGCCAAGATGGGAGGACTGCTTGAGCCCAGGAGTTTGAGACCAGCCTGGGCAACACAGCAAGACCCCATTCTCTACAAAAAAAAGAAAAAATATATATTGGGCACAGATACAATCCTAAAACCATAAAATGAAATCCAACATATCAAATTCTGCTCTATCTACTAACAAGGTGTTTCCTCCCTGCCCTTGAATCCAGCTTCCTTGTCAATAAGCTCACAGTACCTTCCTGGGGACACATAAAGCCCTCTGTGGAGTTCTCAATTCTAACTCTTCCTAGAAGAGCTCTGTTCCTCCAACCAGGCTCTCTCTAGTCCTGATTCCTTGCTTGCTTACTTCATGTGACCTCTGCCTCTTGCTTTATCGCAACATCTCTCCAAACCCTAGTGCAAGGCAGCAACAAGCACGGCCAAGATTAGAGGAACAAGCAGGCAAGCAGAGCTCAGGCAACGAAAGAACCTTTGTGACCTCTGGGAAACAAGCAGCACAGGGGTGATGGCTACACAGTCCATTCCAGGAAAGACTGGCAGGAAACACCGTCCGAGAAGGAACAGCAGCTGGCACAAAACACTTGAAGCCATAGGAAATGTAATGTACCACCCTGCCACGCACTCAGAAGGGTAACGTCTGTAGAGGCCACCTTAACTTTTCCCACTGGCTGCTGCTTTCTAAGCACCCTTCCTGCCTCGACACAGAGCTCAGGCAAGCTACAACACAAGGAAATTCTCTCGCGTCACGTACTTTGGCTTTGTCGGCTTGCTTTCTCAGCTCCTCCAGCTCCTGCAGCAAGCCACTGTTCTCCTCCCGTGCGCCCTTCAGCTTGTCCTCTGTGTCCAGCAGCGTCTTCTGGAGGTTCTGTAGGATTTCTTCATGCTTGGTTTTTGTCTCAGAAGTGGCTCTCTCATACCTGGCTTTCAGCTCCTGACACTGGTTGTGGCTTGTTTCCATTTTCTTTTCCTGCAGAGACCCCGAATGAGGGAATGAGTCATCTGCCCATGCGTGTACTATCCCTTGCCTTCCTTGCCAGCCAACAGGCCCACTGAGTATCTCCTTACCAGGTCCGACAATTTCCTCTCCAATTCTTTCTTTTCTTCCTCATGCTTTTTAGCTGCTTCTTGCTGGCTCTGTTCAGCTTTGACAGTCATGTCCTCAATACTTTTTTGCAGAAAACTTGCATTTTCATTAGCCTTTGTAAGTTTTAGCTGTAATTCTTCTACATCTCTAGAAAAAGTTTCAATATAAGGTGTCAGATTTTTCATAAGAATGTTTTAAATTTAAGTTATATTAAAATATACTATTAATAATTGTAATTATTTTCAAAAGTTATGTGTAATTAATAACATCAGAACTAGGCAAGAAATTTTGTTTTGTTTTGTTTTGTTTTGTTTTGTTTTGGGGGGGCGGAGTCTCGCTCTGTCGCACAGGCTGGAGTGCAGTGGCATGATCTCCGCTCACTGCAAGCTCCGCCTCCCGGGTTCATGCCATTCTGCCTCAGCCTCCCCAGTAGCTGGGACTACAGGCACCTGCCAGCACGCCTGGCTACTTTTTTGTATTTTTAGTAGAGACAGGGTTTCACCGTGTTAGCCAGGATGGTCTCGATCTCCTGGCCTCGTGATTCGCCTGCCTCGGCCTCCCAAAGTGTTAGGATTACAGGCGTGAGCCACCATGCCTGGGCACAAGAAATTTTAAAATGCTTTGCCTAAATAATCATTTTACCAGTTATGATAGTCACAAATACATTATTTAGAGTAATAACTACTGTAATTGGGAAGGTTTACTATTTTATGTCAATAAATTAATAAGGAAAAATGAGTGAAAAATAAACTTATTAAAGGAAACGAGACCAGGCAGTGGTGGCTTATGCCTATGATCCCAGCACCCTGGGAGGCTGAGATGAGATCATTTAAGTTCAGGAGTTCAAGACCAGCCTGGTCAACATGGCGAAACCCCGTCTCTACTAAAAATACAAAAATTAGCCAGGTGTGGTGGCGCATGCCTACAATCCCAGCTACTCAGGAGGCTGAGGCAGGAGAACTGCTTGAGTCGGGTAGACAGAGGTTGCAGTGAGCCAAGATCGCATCACTGCAGTCCAGCCTGGGCAACAAAGCAAGACTCTGCCTCAATTAAAAATAAATAAAGGAGGCCAGGCACGGTGGCTCACACCTATAATCCCAGCACTTTGGGAGGCCGATGGGGGGGCGGATCACGAGGTTAGGAGATTAAGACCATCCTGGCTAACACAGTGAAACCCTCTCTCTAATAAAAATACAAAAAATTAGCCGGGCATGGTGGTGGGCACCTGTAGTCCCAGCTACTCTGGAGGCTGAGGCAAGAGAATGGCGTGAACCTGGGAGGTGGAGCTTGCAGTGAGCCGAGATCGCGCCACTGCACTCCAGCCTGGGCGACAGAGCGAGACTCTGTCTCAAAAAAAAAAATTAATTAATTAACTTAAATAAATAAATAAATAAATAAAGGAAATGAATGTTTCAAAATTTTAGCAGACTAGATTACTAAAAATTCACTCTAGTGCTTCTGGAGGACAGCAGATACAAAAATGACAATAAATAACTTGAAGTTCTACTTTAAAGAGACCATGTGGTTGAACAAAAATATGTATATAAAACATGGGGGGCCGGGTGCGTTGGCTCACGCCTGTAATCCCTGCACTTTGGGAGGCAGAGGTGGGAGGATCACCTGAGGTCAGGAGTTCGAGACCAGCCTGACCAACATAGAGAAACCCCATCTCTACTAAAAATACAAAATTAGCTGGGCGTGGTGGCGCATGCCTGTAATCCCAGCTACTCAGGAGGCTGAGACAGGAGAATCACTTGAACCCAGAAGGTGGAGGTTGCGGTGACCCAAGATCACACCATCGCACTCCAGCCTGGGCAACAAGAGCAAAGCTCCGTCTCAAAAAAAAACAAAAAACAAAAAACACGGGATGTTGATCAAGAAAACAGACTATTAGATGAATCACAGATGCAAGAGGGAAACTTGGGGGGCACTTCTGAATTTTATAGCCACAAAATACCTACAAAAATGGAGCTTCTTGAAGGCACTGAGCCACCACTACCTGTGTAGCAGCAGCACCTCAAGGCAAGTTTGACCAAAGTTGCCCAACCAAGGCCTGACCACCACTCAGCACCGATGAAATTGTGTGGGGGTGAAAGGCTGGATGTCTTAATAAATAGAACTTTGCAGGTATTAACACTTTTAAGAAGTAGAAGTCTAATGCCTACAGACTTAATTTATAAATGTTTGCCTTATAAATTCTTTGATTTTTATATGACAGCTATTAAAAGAAAAAGATCAAAGCAACAAGAATTCCAGAATAAAGACAAAAACAGATATTAAGATAGAGGAAACTTCAGCACTGAAGAAGTATAATGCAGTTTTTTTTTTTTTTTTTTTTGAGATGGAGTCTCGCACTGTTGCCTGGGCTGGAGTGCAATGGTGCGATCTGAGCTCACGGCACCCTCTGCCTCCCAGGTTCAAATGATTCTCCTGCCTCAGCCTCCTGAGTAGCTGGGAATCCAGGCACCTGCCACCACGCTCAGCTCATTTTTTGTATTTTTTTAGTAGAGACAGGGTTTCACTATGTTGGCCAGGCTGTTCTTGAACTCCTGACCTCGTGATCCGCCTGCCTCAGCCTCCCAAAGTGCTGGCATGACAGGCCTGAGCCACCACGCCCGGCCTACAATGTAGTTATTAAGAGCAGGAGGGGCTCTGGGACCAGACTGCCCAGATCTGAAACCTCAGGCTTCACCCCAGTAAGCCTCAGTTTCGCTCCCTCCCTTCCTTTTTATTATTTATTTATTTTTTTTTTGAGACGGAGTTTCACTCTTGTTGCCCAGGCTGGAGTGCAATGGCACTATCTCAGCTCACCGCAACCTCCACCTCCCGGGTCCAACTGATTCTCCTGCCTCAGCCTCCTGAGTAGCTGGGATTACAGGAATGCGCCACCATACCCGGCTAATTTTGTATCTTTAGTAGAGACGGGGTTTTCCATGTTGGTCAGGCTGTTCTTGAACTCCCAACCTCAGGTGATCCGCCTACCTCGGCCTCCCAAAGTGCAGGGAGATTACAGACATGAGCTACATACAGTGCCTGGCCTTATTCATTTTTTTGAGACGGAGTCTAGCTTTGTCACCAAGGCTGGAGTGCGGCAGCATGATCCTGGCTCATTGCAACCTCCGCCTCCTGGGTTCAAGCGATTCTCCTGCCTCAGCCTCCCAAGTAGCTGAGATTACGGGTGCACACCACCATGCCTGGCTAATTTTTGTATTTTTAGTAGCGATAGGGTTTCATCATGTTGGCCCAGCTGGTCTTGAACTGCTGACCTCAGGCGATCTGCCCGCCTCAGCCTCCCAAAGTGCCTGGCCTCTTTTTCTTTTAAATGGGAATAATGCTAAACTCACTTCGTAGGATAATAAGAATTAGAAAGCTGTTAGCACAGTGCATGGCCCATAGTAATAGATAATATGTGTTTCCTATTAAAATAAGTTCAGGCCAGGTACGGTGACTCATGCCTGTAATTCCAGCACTTTGGGCGGCCAAGGCGGCCAGATCGCCTGAGGTCAGGAGTTTGAGACCACCCTGGCCAACATGGTGAAAACTCATCTTTACTATAAATACAAAAATCAGCCGGGTGTGGTGGCACGTGCCTGTAGTCCCAGCTACTAGGGAGGCTTAGGCAGGAGAATCGCTTGAACCTGGGAGGTGAAGGCTGCAGTGAGCCGAGATCACGCCACTGCATTCCAGCCTGGACCACAGAATGAGACTCTATCTCAAAAAAAAATAGTTAAAAATATTTTTAAAGGTTGGGCACGGTGGCTCATGCCTGTAATCCCAGCACTTTGGGAGGCCAAGGCCCTGAGGTCAGGAGTTCGAGACCAGCCTGACCAACATGGAGAAACCCTGTCTCTACTAAAAATACAAAATTAGCCAGGCATGGTGGTGCAAGCCTGTAATCTCAGCTACTCGGGAGGCTGAAGCAGGAGAATTGCTTGAACCCAGGAGGCGGAGGTTGTGGTGAGCTGAGATCGCACCATTGCACTCCAGACTGGGCAAGAAGAGCAAAACTCCGTCTCAAAAAAAAAAAAAAAGCGTATATGTATATATACATCTATATACACATCTATATATAAACACATCTATATATATTTTTAACTGCCTGTAAAATATATTATTGTCATTGGTAAACTACTACCTTTTCTTTTTTCTTATTTCTTTTTAGATGGAGCGTCTCTCTATTGCCCAGGCTAGAGTGCAGTGGCACAATCTCAGCTCACTGCAACCTCCACCTCCTGGGTTTCAAGTGATTCTCTCATCTCAGCCTCCCCAGTAGCTGGGATTACAGGCTTGCACCACCACGCCTGGCTAATTTTGTATTTTTAGTGGAGACAAGGTTTCGCCATGTTGGCCAGGTTGGCCTCGAACTCCTGACCTCAAGTGATCCGCCCACCTCGGCCTCTCAAAGTGCTGGGATTACAGGCATGAGCCACCGCACCCGGCCTTATTATCTTTTCTTTACAAGTCACCAAAAGGTCTATAAATAGTATTGTATTCCTTAATTCTGTTGTTCTTGACAAGTAAGATAGGTAAAATCCATTTTAGAAGGTTAAATAGTTGATTCAAGGACACAATGAGGTAATAACAGAAAAGAACAGAGACGGGAAACTTTAAAACGTAACAATCCTAAACATTTTGTCTCCCCTCCCACCTAGAGCTTGCCGCAGAGCCTAACCTAAGGTCAGCACTCTTTTCAACAGTCACATATACCTTTCTTTCAGACGTAATTCATCGTTCATTTTTGTCAGCTGAGAAGAGTTATCTCCTGACATCTTCATTATTTCTGCAATGTCATTTTCCAGTTTTTCCTTTGCCTTTATCAGCTGCTCTTCTCTCTCATCTTTCTCTCTAAATTTTGCCTCCATATCTAAATATATAGAGAAAAAAAGAATAGCACGGCTGTGTTATATCAACAAAAACTGACTGAGTGTATTCTTGCTCTGGTAATATTTTCACACAGCAATTCTTGTCCTCATAAAAATCACATTCTAGTGAAGAAGGCACACAATAAGCAAGATAACGAAAATAAATCATATAATTAATAGCGGTAAGTGCTAAGAGGAAGGAAAATAAATGCAGGCAAAGGAGCTGGGAAGGAGGTTAGAATCTCAGATGGGGCTTCCCTGAGGTGCTGACATTTCAGGGAAAACCTGAAGGAAGTGAGGGAATGGGGAAAAGCAAGTGCACAGGCTCTGAGAAAGGAACACCCACCACGTCTGAGCACCACAAGGAGGCTGAAGTGGTTGGAGTGGAATGAACAGGGGAAGGGGGTCCCAGATGAAATCCGAGAGATAATAGGGCCTGATCGTGTAAGGATCACGGCTTTCCCTGAGTGGGATGGGAGTCACTGGATGACCTTGAGGAGAGGAGCGACATGATCTGACTTCGTATTAAAAGGATTGCTGTGGCTGCTGTGTTGAGAACAGACCGAAGCCGGCACAGGCAGCAGCAGTGAGCCCCAAGGGTCAGCTGTCAGGGTAGCTCAGATGAAAGATGGCCGTTGGCTTGGAGCAAGGATAGCAGTGGGAGTGGTGAGATGTGGTAGATTCTGGCTCTTGTGAAAACAGAGCAAAGAGGACTTGCTGGAGGTTACAGATCTCAAACAAGTATTTCATCACATTGTTATATCACCATGATGAGTGAAGAGGCTATGCCTGAATAGTACATTTGTTATGTAACATACTACAACTGTCTCGAATACGGGAAAGCCTACTGTATTTAATGTTTAGTCACCAGAGATGTCTTCTTACCTGCTAAGTTTTCTCTCAGCTTCTCCAAGTCAGAAGACAGCATGTTAAACTGTTCCTCCTTTTGGTGTAACTTATTTACAGTTTCTATTTAGGATAAAAGTTAGAAGTTTAATATGTTTCATATTTAATAAGCTATCTGGAGCTTGGCTGTCTTACAACCCAGTCAAATATTATGCTCAAGAGATCTGAGAACACAGGAATACTAAAAAGTCCCCTTACAAATCACATGGCTGTGTCCAGCCTGAAAGAAGCAGGTCTGCCGCTGTCTCTGGCCTCCCTGAATCAGTACTTCAGACAGGCATCAGGCCCTTTCCACTCATCTCTCTTTCCTCCTTCCAGTTAAAACTCAATAAAGCTATCAATGATGAAAGCATAAATAACACTCTTCCCAGGAATACTTACATTTTAATACAGAACAAGCCTTAAGCTAAAAGAAGAAAAAATTGGGAGTTTGAGGCTTCAGGAAACCAATGGAAGCCAGTCTTTCTGAGCACGGCAGGAACTTCCAGGAGAGTGAAATTAGGCTACGAGCAGTGTAACTCTGTGCACTCCACAGGTCAGCTCCAGTATGAAAGAATGATATTTTTTAAAGCAATCTGCACACGCTCTGGTAAGACATACCTTGCATACTTCTCTGAACAGAGACTGCCTCCTCTGAAGCTTCAGCAAACTTTTCTTTCTAAAGAAAAAGAATGAGAGATTCTGAACAGAAAGATTTCAAATTGTAAAGACAAGAAGTTTCTATCAATTATAACTACGATACTGTCTACTTTTTGTTGCTGGTCTTGTTTTATTAAAACTAATACACCTCAAACATATGACACCAATTACTACATGTGGGTCATAAACATGTGCATGTATACACACAAAAGAGTGCAGTTTGCATGTGTGTGTATGGACATGTGGGAAGGCAGGTTCACCAGCATGCCCATGTAGGCATGTTCGTACTTAGGTAAGTACATGCATGTGCGTGTATACATAGGGTGCACGTGCATGCTTCATGTTGCCACCTCTCAAACAGCAGACCTTCTCTTCAGAAATCTGTGTGAAATGGTGAACAAAGCTCTGAAGTTTGTTATTTCTGAGAGTAATCTAATATCTTGAATCTAGGTCTGTGTCGCTACTTTTGAAACTGAAAAGGCCCATAAGTCACTTACAGTTCAAGGTCTTTTCTAAACATGACAATAGGCCAAGCTAAAAATCACTCTCCTGGTTGTCCTGAGATGAACTTCGAGCTAGCTACATCAAGAAGGTTGTTACATGAGTATTTCTAACTAGATAGGATTATGAAAAGATGGTGCAGGGGCCACAGTGCATCCAAGCCCACAGGCTGCCCCCTGTGCCATCCCACAGCCAGACTCAAGGTGGCATGTCTTGTCCTAAGATATACGGAAGGATACTCTAACTTAGGGGGAAAAAAAAAAAGGCAAGGCATCCTAAAAGCTTGGGAGGAGGGCAGAGAAGCAATGAACTCAAAACATTTTCTTAAAGGACACCAGGCTGGGCGCAGTAGCTCACGCCTATAATCCCAGCACTTTGGGAGGCCGAGGAGGGCAGATCACTTGAGGTCAGTCGTTCAAGACCAGCCTGGCCAACATGGAGAAACCCCATCTCTACTAAAAATACAAAAATTAGCCAGTCGTGGTAACAGGCGCCTGTAATCCCAGCTACTCAAGAGGCTGAGGCAGGAGAATTTCTTGAACCTGGGAGGCAGAGGCTGCAGTGAGCCGAGATCGCGCCACTGCACTCCAACCTGGGCAACAGAACAAGACTCTGTCTCAAAAAAAAAAAAAAGATCACACACGTTAATTCACACTGTTAATAGCACAGAAGTGTAATGAACAGCGAAGAGGAAGGGATGTGGAGGACCTGGGACAGCTGACCCTGCGTGGCACATATACCTCGTCTAGTTTCTCCATAAGCCTCTGGCTTTTCTTTCCATGGCATGTGGGTGGGTACCACTGGCACTACTCATGAGTATCAGCCTTGTTTAAACTCGGGTTTTCAGTGCAGGAGGCAAGTAGGAAGGAACAGAGTTGAGAAAAGGTAAAAAATATACATATGCCATACAACTTGAGATTAAGGAAAGAGAAAACATATAAAAGGGAAGGTAATTTTCTGAGATGGAATAAACTGAGTTAGATTTATTTTAATTTATTTAATTAGACAGCAAGCATCCTGCCTCGCCAACAGAGGGCGCCTACGGCCCAGTACAGCTACTGCCCTGATAATCACAGTTTAGGGGCCTCATTCAATATGAAGGGGCCTCATTCAATATGAAACCTAACTGTGTTCGATGTATAACTTGGAAGGGCTCTGTGTTTAGTAAAACTAAGTAGTCAATAACATTTCAAAGCAGTGCGTTACCAAAGGCGAAGGGATAGATTAAAAAAAAAAAAAAAAAAAAGTAATACCTACCTTTGTTGTTTGGGTTTGATCCGATTCCCCTCAAAGGACAATATTTATCAGCCAATAACTAATACACTCAAGTTGAATCAACACTTAGAAAGAGAAAGGAAACAGCTACAATATTTCTTACTGGAGGATTTTTTAAAACAGGAAATGGCCAGAAACCCTGAGATTCAGATTCCCAACAGGTACTTACCAAAATCTGAAGTTCTTTTTCCAAAGTCTCTTTCACTTGACTGACTTCACTCAAATTTTCCTGAAGGTTAGTAAGCTTTAGCTCTCTCCCCTGGAGCTCTCTGGTAATGCTACTAGCCTAACACACAGTGTTACATGGTATAGAAGCAAATGAACAAAAGGAAAACAAAAGAGAATGAGAAGAAAAAAATAAACAAATGTAAAAAACTTATGAGAAACATAAAACAAAACTGAAAGGAATACAAATTTGGTGTTGGTTTTTAATTCTAAGAAGTCAATGACTTTTCAAACAATCAGTTCTATGATATGATTTCCTAATGGCTATTTTTGTGTTTTTTTTTTTTTCTCTTTCTTTCTGACACAGGGTCTCCCCTGTCACCCAGGCTAGAGTGCAGTGGTGTGATCATGGCTCACTGCAGCCTTAGAACTCCTGAGTTCAAGTGATCTTCCAGCACCAGCCTCCTAAGCAGCGGAGATTACAGGCACGTGCCACTACAGCTAATGTTTAAAAAATTTTTTTACAGATGGGGTCTCTGGCTGGGCTCGGTGGCTAATGCCTGTAATCCCAACACTTTGGGAGGCTGAGGCAAGTGGATCATTTGAGGTCAGGAGTTCAACACCAGCCTGGCCAATATGGTGAAACCCTATCTCTACTAAAAATACAAAAATTAACTGGGCATGGTGGCACGCTCCTGTAATCCCGCTACTTGGGAGGCTGAGGCAGAAGAATCGCTTGAGCCTGGGAGGCGGAGGTTGGGTGAGCCGAGACCAGACCACTGCACTCCAGTCTGGGTGACACAGTGGGACTCTGCCTCAAAAAAAAAAAAAAAAGAAAGAAAAGAGAGATGGGGTCTCACCATGCTGCCCAGGCTGGTCTCAAACTCCTAGACCCAAGCAATCCTCTTATTTTGGACTCTCAAAGTGCTGGGATTAGAGGCATGAGCCACTGTGCCCAGAGACTATTTTTAAATAGTCAAAATAGACTATTTTTCTATACTTCATTGTAACTTGGAGTATCAGCATGATCTAAAGCAGAAGGTGTGGATGCTTACTTTCTAAATGAGCTACTTGAGCAATTTCATTTCCTAGACTTTAAAAACCTTGGCTGGTCACGGTGGCTCACGCCTGTAATCCCAGCACTTTGGGAGGCAGAGGTGGGCGGATCACGAAGTCAGGAGATCGAGGCCATCCTGGCCAACATGGTGAAACCCCATCTCTACTAAAAATATAAAAAATTAGCCAGGCGTGGTGGCACGCACCTGTAGTCCCAGCTACTCAGGAGGCTGAGGCAGGAGAATCGCTTGAACCTGGGAGGTGGAGGCTACAGTGAGCCGAGATCATGCCACTGCACTCCAGCCTGGGCCACAGAGCGAGACTCTGTCTCAAAAAAAAAAAAAACAAAACCAAAACCAAAAAACCTTAAGGCCAGGCACAGTGGCTCACACCTGTTATCCCAGCACATTGGGAGGCCGAGGTCAGCAGATCTCAGCTGAGGTCAGGAGTTCAAGACCAGCCCGGCCAACGTGGTGAAATCCTGTCTCTACTAAAAATACAAAAATTAGCCAGGCGTGGTGGCACACACCTGTGATCCCAGCTACTGGGGAAGCTGAAGCAGGAGAATCCCTTGAGCCTGGGAGGCGGAGGCTGCAGTGAGGGTGACAGAACGAGACTCTGTCTTAAAAAATAAATAAATAAAAACAAAAACCTTAAGATGCGAATATATGTGGTCTACATTATTTTCTCTATTTGTGTATATGCTTAAAGTAGTTTGACATTTAAATAAAATTTAAAAATCCACTGGACAGGCAAGGTGCAGTGGCTGAAGCCTATAATCCCAGCACTTTGGGAGGCCGAGGTCAGTGGATCACTTGAGGTCAGGAGTTCGAGACCACCCTGGCCAACATGGTGAAACCCTCTCTCTATTAAAAATACAAAAATGAGCCAGGCATGATGGCGGGCGCCTGTAATCCTGGCTACTCGGGAGGCTGAGGCAGGAGAATCGCTTGAACCTGGGAGGTGGAGGTTGCAGTGACTCGAGATTGTGCCACTGCACTCCAGCCTGCGCAACAGAGTGAGACTGTCTCAAAAAAACAGAACAAAACAAAACAAAAAAATCCACTGGACAATAGTCATTAGAACTTGGCTTTCATGAAATCTTGATGTTAAAAAGTAAACTAGCATTAGCTAAATATTATCTTCTAATTAATTTTTGTGTTTTGATTAGTATTTCGGAACCACATGAGGAGATTTGAGAAAAATTTCCTGTAACCAGTTTGTCATCTTCGACTATGGTTAGTTAGCAATTTTTTGCTGTTTGTCAGTCCTCACCTCACCCCATTTAACCATCACAACCCTTCCTTCTTTGCCAATAGAGCAGCTTCTCCCACAAAAAAGTTCAGAACATTGAGCATCAATACCAGTGCCTCAACTAGTGGCAGGACTGGGAAACAATTCCTCGAACCACCTTTAAAGATAAAGATGACATTTAACAAGGCTAGTTAGTAAGGAATGCAGCTGGCGAATGTTTCACGTAATTTCCTAAGCCTTGACCACATGCACACTTGTTCAGTATTTCCCCCAGAAAAGGAGGGGACAGATCATGTTCTCATTATGCCACAGAAAAAAACTCCAATGAGATTTCTGCCATGCAAAGGGCTCCAAGCTCTTACCCTTAATTTTGCTGTGAATGTTATTTATCACAGCATGGGTTTTTTTTTGTTTTTTGGAGATGGAGTCTTGCTCTGTCGCCCAGGATGGGGTACAGTGGCACGATCTCAGCTCACTGCCACCTCCACCTCCCGGGTTCAAGCAATTCTTGTGCCTCAGCCTCCTGAGTAGCTGGGACTACAGACGCACACCACCACACCTGGCTAATTTTTGTATTTTTAGTAGACAGGGGCCAGGCTGGACTCAAACTCCTGACCTCAACTGATCCGCCTGCCTCAGCCTCCCAAAGCACTGGGATTACAGGCATGAGCCACCTTGCCCGGCCAACATGTTAATTTATAATAGTCAAGAAGCACTGAATTCAGTCTGTTTTTATACATAACCCTATAGATAAGCAATTACAGTCATGCATTGCTTAAGAACCAGGATATCTTATGAGAAATGCATCATTAGGCATTTCATTGTTGTGGGGACATCACAGGGTGCACTTACACACACCTAGAAGGTATAGTCTACTACACACCTGGGCTACGTGGCACAGCCTATTGTTCCTATACTATAAACCTGTATAAAATGTTACTGTACTGAATGTTGTAGGCAACTGTAACACAATGCTAAGTATTTGTGTATCAAAGCATATTTAAACATACAAAAGGTAAAGATACCATATTACAATCTTATGGAACCGCCTTTGTTTATGTGGTCCATTGTTGATTGAAACATCATTATGTGGCACCTGACTATATGTGGTTAGAAGAGGAGGAGATGATCTTTTAAGCTTTTTTTTTTTTTTTCCTTTAGACAGAGTCTTGCTCTGTCTCCCAGGCTGGAGTGCAGTGGAATAATCTCAGGTCACTGCAACCTCCGCCTCCCGGGTTGTTCAAGTGATTCTCCTGCCTCAGCCTCCTGGGTAGCTGGGATTACAGGTGTCCGCCACCATGCCAGGCTAATTTTGTATTTTTAGTAGAGATGGGGTTTCACTATGTTGGCCAGGCTGATCTCGAACTCCTGACCTCAGGTGATCACCTGCCTCAGCCTCCCAAAGTGCTGGGATTACAGGCGTGAGCCACTGCGCCTGGCCGATCTTTTGAGTTTCTGTTCATTCATTCATCTTAACACCATAGTGTTAGGGCATTCTTTATTTTAAACAGATTATAGACTGGAGCTAAGCTTAAATTAGAAGTCACAGCATAGCCCAGAGATAAATAGATCAGGTACCCAGATAACAGGCAACCAAAATAAATTCACATGGTTGAGCCATTATTTTCTCTAATCTCCTCAGATGAAACCATACTTGAGATACTCAGAACATACTACACTATACTCAACTGGGGACATCAAGCAATTTAATTAAATCAGCAATTTGGAAGATGAATGATCTCAACTCAAAAGTAACATAATGCAAAACAAGAATAACAAATGGAAAAGAAAAGAATGGAGGATGTCAATACAAACCTTGCTACTTTCAGCATTCTTTTCAATCTCTAAATGTTTAATCTGTTTCTCAGCTGCCTCAAGCTGCTGTCTAAGTTTCTTCATTTCCGATTTACCTTCGGAACTGGCTTTCCGAAGTGCATCAAGATCCAAGAGCTTTTCTTCAGTAGCCTTGAGCTGTGATGTAAAATTATCAATAACCTTGGTTTGTTCATTGCATTTGGCTTGCAGTACCTCTAGCTCCTTTACCTTTATTTCAGCTTCCTGTAATTTGTTTAACGTGTCTTCCATTTCTACGAGATGCTGGTCTTCTGCTTTGTCCAGTTTCGACCTGATGGCTTCCAGACTGTTTTCCTTTTCTTTAATAACTTTCATCAGTTTAGCCCTCAAGGCTTCCATCTCTTTAGCATGGGCAGCCCGTTCAGAGTCTTGTTGATTCTGCAAATTTTCTATTTCGTGTTGGTAATCTAGTCTCATTTTCTCTATTTGTGTTTTTAGTTCAGCAAATTCTGCCGTCTCTGTTCCAAGCCCTTTGCTGAAAGATACCTTCAGTTCTTCCATCGCCTGCTGGTGGGATGCGATGGCAGTCTCCAGTTTGGACTTCCATAGAGCTATCACATCTGAGTTCTCTTTGTTGGCATGCTCCAGCTTGCTTTTCAATGACTCGTTCTCTTTGGAAAGCTTTTCCGTGGCGGTATACAGAGCCTTTATCTCCTTCTGATGAGTTTCTTCCCGGGCTCCAAAATGCTCCTTCAGAGAAGTTATTTCTCTCTGGTGGTCAGTACGGGTGACTTCTAACTTTTCTTGCAAAGAGCTTATCTCTTGCAAAAGGGAAAGTGACATGTCCACATCCCCAGCAGGCTTATTGGACTCTAGCCTTCTTCGGAGCTCAGCTACTTCCTGTACTCTCAATGCTAGGTCTTTCTCCAGTTCCATTATACGTGACTTTTCTGAAACTGTAGCCACCTATTAACAGCAGTCCAAAGAAAAAAAGATCATTTAAATAACAAGTCATTGACTATTTTCTTTTCTTTTTTTTTTTTTTTTTTTTTTTTTTTTTTTTTTTTTTGAGATGGAGTTTCGCTCTTCTTACCCAGGCTGGAGTACAATGGTGCGATCTCAGCTCACTGCAACCTCCACCTCCTGGGTTCAGGCGATTCTCCTGCCTCAGCCTCCTGAGTAGCTAGGATTACAGGCATGCGCCACCACACCCAGCTAATTTTTGCATTTTTAGTAGAGATGGGGTTTCACCATGTTGGTTAGGCTGGTCTCAAACTCCTGACCTCAGGTGATCCACTCGCCCCGGCCTCCCAAAGTGCTGGGATTACAGGCATGAGCCACTGCACCTGGCCTGATTATTTTCTTTAACACTGAAGATATTTAATAACTACCCCATCTCAGGCAGCAAACTATTATGAACGTTTATAGGTTAATATATATTTCTAACTGTGATAATGGCTTAAGTCCAACTTTAGTATCTCCAATTCTAAAGAAGCTTAAATCAGATAAATATCCATTAACTGATAAGTTAACAGAAACAGTAACTTTCAAAGTTCACAGATATAACTGCCTCCTGAAAGAAAACATTTCCTTATTTTGCCAGTTTGTCCTACCCCACTTCATCCAGGTTGCATAAATGCTTATCCATTTCATGGAGGTGATCTTATAGAACTGTGCCATCCGGAACAGTAGCTGTTGGCCACACGTGGCTATTGAGCACTTGAGATGTGGCTCATCTGAAGTGAGGTGTGGTATAAGTGCAAAATACACATCAGATTTTGAAGACTTAGAAGAAAAGGATCACAAAATGTCTTGTGGGCCAAGTGCAGTGGCTCACGCCTGTAATCCCACCACTTTGGGAGGCCGAGGCAGAAGGATCACTTGAGGCCAGGAGTTCAAGATCAGTCTCGGCAACACAGCAAGACCCCGTCTTTGCAAAAAATAAAAAATTAGCCAGGCATGGTGGTGTCGCCTGTGGTAACAGGTACTTGGGAGGCTAAGACGGGAGGATTGCTTGAGTCTAGGAGGTTGAGGCTATAGTGAGTAATTGTGCCATTGTACTCCAGCCTGGGAGACAGAGCACGACTCTGTCTCTAAAAAAAAAAAAAAACAAACTGAAATTATATTTTAAAATGTTTAAAATATCTTAATAATTTTATTTTGATTAATATTTTGAATATATCAGTTACATAAAATATATTATTAAAACTAATTTAACTTGTGACTTACAAAAAAGTAATGTGGGTACCAGAAAATTATAAATTGTACATGTGTGGCTTACATTATACTTCTATTGGACAGCACTTGCATAAAAGGTCTAAAATTACCTATCAAATGTTTCAATGAATAACACATCACCTGTAGAATGAAAGCCTCAATTGAAGAATGAAGAATTAATTTACTAAACTTTTTTTTTTTTTTTTTTTGAGATGGAGTTTTGCTTTCGTTGCCCAGTGCAATGGCGCGATCCCAGCTCACTGCAACCTCCACCTCCCAGGTTCAAGCGATTCTCCTGCCTCAGCCTTCCAAGTAGCTGGGATTACAGGCATGTGCCACCAGACCTGGCTAATTTTGCATTTTTAGTAGAGACGGGGTTTCACTATGTTGGTCAGGCTGGTCTCGAACTCCTGACCTCCAGTGATCCACCCACCTTGGCCTCCCAAAGTGCTGGGATTACAGGCGTGAGCCACCACGCCTGGCCTACTGATCATTTTATTAAAACACAAAGTAAGAATGATTACTTACCTGCAATAATACACAAGAATCTTACACAAAATCCCCTTTTTAGATATGATAATTCTATCAGCATTTTGATGTAAACATCTTCTTCCCCTAACCCCCTAACCCAGTGGTTCTCAGACATTAGTACGCACATGAATCACCTGGAATGTACATCTAACCTGCAAGTTTCTACCTATTCCCATGTACTTCGATTCTATTTGAGCTCCGGGATAGTACCCAAGAATCTTCTTCCTTTAAATAAATACCCCAGGGCTAGAAAAACACTTTCTTAACCTGTGCCCTTTCATTGCTAGAAAATTACTTCCCTCTGCTACCTGCTATGCAGTCCATTTAGTACATAGGATGTGTGGAAAATAGCTTCCATCACAAAAATTCTTGGACTAATCTGGGAAATGAAAGGGAACAAAATAATTTTAAAACAGCAGTGAGTCCCATATTTCAAGGATCAAAACTCCTGTGATTGGCTGGGTGAGGTGGTACATGCCTATATACCTAGCACTTTGGGAGGCCAAGGCAAGAGGATCACTTGTGGCCAGGAGTTCAAGATCAGCCTGGGCAACACAGCGAGAACTCCATCTCTACAAAAAAATGTTAAATATTCTTCTGAATTTAAGACTCCTCTCCCACACTGCCTTTCTTTGAGACAGAAAATAACAGATATGTTTTCTTTCATTTCCTCTGTCCACCCTACAGGCTGTGACACCAATAAAGATTAAAATGCCCATAAGAGAAGAGGAAAAGAAAGCACTGAGTCTCCAAAACTGCATAATCAAAGTAAATAAAATTAAATATTTCAGAGCTGACTATAATTGCTGTGCTTCGTGGTTATAGACTCATCAGGTTAAAGATGTTAATTCATTTACACATGATTTTCTGGGGAAGGAAGAGTCCAAGAGTTTGTTACGTCAAAATAACATACAAAACATTAATAAACCCATCAGGATCTGGCAGAATTTGCTAAATAAAAGAAAAAAAAACACAAAACACTAATAAACCCCATTGCTGCAAGGTCTGTAGCATAAATACATTAAACCCAATAGGGCAATGGTTCTTAGTTACAACAAAACAGTCAAGTAGAGAAAAATGCCAAGTAAAAAATAAGTAAAAATAATAAATACCAATGTGATTTTACTTTCCGTGGCATTTCCCTATAAAGTACAGCAATTTATTTTTCATTTCCCAAAATCTGCCCTAATTCAAAACTATGTGGTATGTCTGCTTCTCCCACTAGTTTGAGACCATGAATTAAGTCAGAAATTATTTCTTATTCTTCCTAACATCTCTACAGCACCAAGCACACTGTTTGGAAACTGGATTTATTGGCTAGAAAGTATTCTAAAGCACTTCCTAAAAAGTAACATAGGTGATATGAAACTTACATGGGTAGCTGGTTATCTTAACACTTGGGAACCCAAGAGTGAGGATCAACAGAAGACATACTTCGTTATGGAAAGATATAAGCTTTACACTGAAATACTTGGATAAACCATGGTGTAACTGAATGCCTTATCTAGAGCAGGAAAAAAAACATCAAAATTGTTTGCTGACAAAACTAAGATACGGGAGAGGAGTTTACATGTTTTAAAAAAATATATTACTTCAAAAGCCATCACACTAAAGGAACTCAATCTCATTAGTCCATTGTATTTCCCGGATCAATTATTTGGCTCTCAGTTAATGAGGAAACAGCACCAAATTGCCACTTTTTTTTTTTTTTTTGAAACAGGGTCTTGCTCTATTGCCCAGGCTGGAGTGCAGAGACATGAACATGGCTCACTGCAAGCCTCGACCTCCTGGGCTCAAGAGATCCTTCCACCTCAGCCTGCCATGTAGCCACCACACCCAGCTAATTTTTTTTTTTATTTTTTGTAGAAGCAGGGTATCACCACCTTGCCCAGGCTGGTCTTGAATTCTTGGACTCAGGTGATCCTCCTGCCTTGGCCTCCCAAAGTGCTGGGATTACAGGCATGAAACACCATGCCTGGCCCACTCTTTTTTTGTTTTCTTACCAAATACACAGGAGAAATCTTTAGTTCAGAGGCCGATAGTTCCTTCTTCTTAAAAAATAAAAACACATGATTTAGAAAAGAAAAATTGTCTAGATTTTTAGATCAGTCAATTAATTCTCAACAAGAGAAATTTCTACAAACACTAGAAATTTTTTTAAAAATCAGGATAGCAAATTTGATTAGAGACAGAGTAATTTTTGGAATTCTAAAGTTAAGAATCTGGGCAATTTAGTCACTGACAGACAAATTCATGATTTAAAAGGGTATGTGACTACATATCTTACATGTAAGTGACTATTTCTTTTTCTTTTTTTTTTTTTGAGACAGAGTTTCGCTCTTGTTGCCCAGGCTGGAGTGCAATGGCGTGATCTCGGCTCACCGCAACCTCTGCCTCCCAGGTTCAAGTGATTCTCCTGCCTCAGCCTCCCTAGTAGCTGGGATTACAGGCATGTGTCACCACGCCCGGATAATTTTAGTATTTTTAGTAGAGATGGGGTTTCTCCATGTTGGCCAGGCTGGTCTCAAACTCCCAACCTCAGGTGATCCACCCACCTCAGCCTCCCAAAGTGCTGGGATTACAGGCATGAGCCACCGCGCCTGGCCATTTCTTAATCTTTACGCACAAAACAACTTCCATAATAGACGGACTCCATCCTGTGGTGCTTAAGAGCACAGACTCTGGGGCCAAATGTCCTAGATGCAAATCCTGCCTCCATTATTACTATTTGCTGTTTTATCTTAGGCAAGTTATTTAACTTCTCTGCGCCTCAGTGTTCTTGTCTGTAAAATGGGGACACTAATATTCCCTACCTCCTAGGGTTGTGTTGAGACTGAATACCTGCAAAGCACTTAGAATAGTGTCTGGCATGAAGTATGCACTATATAGGTGCTTTAATATATAAATAAACTAAAACCTGAGTAATGTCCTGGCTCCAAGGGCTAAGCACAATGAGCTCAGGGCAGGAAGAAGCCATTCTGTTCCCAACATGCATTTCCCTCCTCACCACTGAGGGTTTTTTTGTTTTGTTTTGTTTTTTCCAGACAGAGTCTCACTCTGTCACCCAGGCTGGGGTGCAGTGGCACGATCTCAGCTCATTGCAAACTCCATTTCCTGGATTCAAGCAATCCTCCTGCCTCAGCCTCCCATGTACCTGAGATTACAGGCATGCGCCACCAGGCCCAGCCAATTTTTGTATTTTCAGTAAAGACAGGGTTTCACCATGTTGGCCAGGCTGGTCTCAAACTCCTGACCTCAAGTAATCTGCCTGCCTCAGCCTCCCAAAGTGCTGGGATAAGAAGCAAGAGCCACTGCGCCCAGTGTCCACTGAGGTTTCAATCCCCCGAGCGACAGGAAGGAGGGAGATGCAGAGATCAGCCTTCCAAGATAAAAAGGTAACTGGGGTGAAAGTTTTTAACTCTCATGAAACACAGCCCATGTTTCCATTTCCTTCTCCAAGAGGCCAGGGAAGAAGGCAGGAAGAGAGCTAAAGTAAAACAACAATAACAAAAAATTATTTAGAAAGCCTAGTAACTAGATATTTGAGAACAAGAGGACAATTGACTGCTTGTGGCCAACTGGAGAAATATATTTCATGGTATTAATATAAATAACTTCAAATACAGTTATATCCATTCATTTATTCAGTTGTAAAGTTTCTGATCCTGATTTGGTTGGGTTACCAAAGGAATGAGTCTTTACTTTTGACAAAAGACGAGATATAAAACACCTGTTCCTACTCATCAGTCTCAGCTCACAAACACCTGAATGGTACCAAGACCAAACTCAGGTTGAACCACTGGGTCAAGGCTCAGGCCAACTATAAAGCATGTCACCTGAGGTGTCCACCCTTCACATGCATGGGTCTGCTTCATTAAATAGTGAAAACCATTACCCTAGTGTCTTCTAACTCCCTCTGGAGTTTGTCAGCTTTGGTCTTTTCAAAGAGCAGGCTCTGTTCAAGCTCCTTAATGCGGGCATGCTCCAGTTTGGTCTGCGTCTGTTAGTAAAAAGGAAGAGGAAGAGAACACAACAGTGCCACCATGACATGCCAGCACGAGAGGAGAGACAGCGGCATGCAGGCTGAGCCACCAGTACCTTCTGCCAAAGGGTGAACCAAAGGGGAATGGAGAAGGGAAGAGGTGGAGGTGAGATGAGGTGGGCAGTGAGGATGAATACCAGGGACAAAGGATGGTGGTGGGCAGGGGGCATGGGCTAGTCTGTTCAGAAAGAAAAAATGGAAAACACATGAGGCCAGATGAAGTGTCAGAGGCATGCAGCCAAATATAAGTAATATTGATAAGTGAAGTTTATCAGCACCAATTAGAATAGTTAATATCCCTCCCTCTAAACTATCATTATCCCTCCGCCCCACAAAGGCTACTTGACATTAATGTGTATGTAACTGACTCGATAACTTCACAAGGTATATTGACCCTCAGAATGATGGTCACTATCACCTAAATATGGCAAAGGTATTATAAATCTTAAACTGTTCAATAAGTCCTTAGAGCAGATTCTTGCACCTTAGCATATAACTTGACGTAAATAAGGGTCAAATAAAAACCTCAGTAGAAGGAATCTATTCCTTCTCTAGCTCCAACTAGAGCTAAGAAATCATGCTAGCAGCCTCTGCAGAAATGGGTGAGAAGGGTCTGAGTTAAGAGTCTTAGCAACATTCCTACATGTGATGGGGAAGAGGCCATGGAAGCTCTAGTTTCCTTCCAGCAGTGGATGTCCCAAAGGCTATTGGGCTCCAGGGAGGGAAAAAAGGACTCAGAATTACAAAGAGAAAATTTAGTAATAATTATCCTCTATAGTCTCCATCTCTGAAGGAGTCCAATTGAGAGGCTCAAGAGAGGAGGAAAGTTTACCTCAAACTGGTAAGGGGTTTATTATTTTTACCTTAAGATGAAGTTGTTTTTATTAGCTCAGACATAAAAACGCAACTCAACACAAAGGCATGAGTTTGAGCTCTCTCAAAAAGAGCTGGTGGGTTCCTAAGGTGATTCAAAACCTGTGATCTCAGATACTCTGCTCTCCCCACCATTACGCACTTGGATGTAGCCTGATAGGGAACCCAGAGGATAATCTCTAACAGGTTTAAGTGCAGCAGAATCTTAATTTGAAATAATCTAGGTCCAAATGTACCTCTTCCCACCCCCACCTCTCTTACACAAGAGGTTATCAGTTATCAGAATCAGTGACTGACAAGGCCCACACCCGCAGGGCTGCTCTCAGCAACTGTCAGTTACGTGCAGTAATTTAAATACTTTGTGGTACTAATTGACCTATCAGTCTGGACAATTATGGGCAATGAAAAAATGACAACAGACTCTAAACAAAGTGACACAAAGTGCAGAGCTTCAGTAGAGGGGGGAATGTAAAAGTGAAGATTGCAAACGTCTTCACTCATTCCAGTGGGACTCGGGGACCTCAATACATTCAAGAGGTCACTTTGCTTGTAAACCAGGTATCGACAAACCATGATGAGATATTTAAAAGGTGAACAAAAAAATTTTTTTTAATTCATCACCTGCTTCAGCTCTGTATACTCCACAAAAATAATGAAATACAATTCAAGCCCTAACTGTCTGGATAATCCCCTTGGTCTGTATGTGCCTTGGATGGACACTGTTCAATTTCCCTGCTTTTATAAGAAAAGAATCTAATCCTTATCTACATAATTGGGGTCACAGCCTCAGGAGCTGAAATCCAAAACTACAGTAGTAGGAAAAAGAAAAGGCAATAGAACCTTTCTTCTCTTGACACAGTTAAGTGTCCTCTGGGTAAAAGGTCACTATTTCCAGATAAAAAGCAAATACACATTTAATGTGATCTCCTCCCCATTCAGAGATCTTTCAGATAAGCGTAGCCAACGCCTCCTTACTGATGGGTCTATATACACATTATCTGGGACTCTACAGTGCCTCAGCCTCCGTAGTAGCTGGGATTACAGGCATGCGCCACCACACCTGGCTAATTTTTGTATTTCAGTAGAGACTGGGTTTCACCATGTTGGCCAGGCTGGTCTCGAACTGGCTGGTCTCAAACTCCTGACCTTGAGTGATCAATCAGCAGCAAGGGAACTAGTGATCCACTTCCATGCCACAGCACACAGTAAAAATGTGACACTGAACAGGACAACCCTTCTTGTAAAATCATTCCTTTCTTAGAATAAGAACACAGAGTATCCCAAGAGGAAAGTCCTGGGACAGGGGATTGAGAAGGAAAGCAAAGGCTTTGCGAGAAGCGCACAGGAAAGGCAGGGGGGAAATCCCATGCAGACTGACACCGGGGGCAGCGGGAGCCTGTTTCGGAAGGAGAGAAGAGACCCAGATCACTGAAGTAGCTTCACAAAAAGGAACCCTTCAGAACGAAGACCTTTTAAAAAATTCAGTCTTGTGTTTTTTTGTTTTTTTTGTTTTTTTTGTTTTTTTTTGAGATGGAGTTTTGTTCTTGTTGTCCAGGCTGGAGTGCAGTGGCATGATCTCCTGTCACTGCAACCTCTGCCTCCTGGGTTCAAGCGATTCTCCTGCCTCAGCCTCCCTAGTAGCTGGGATTACAGGTGCGTGCCACCATATTCGGCTAATTTTTGTATTTTTAGTAGAGACAGGGTTTCACCATGTTGGCCAGGCTGGTCTCAAACTCCTAACCTTAGGTGTTCTGCCCGCCTCAACCTCCCAAAGTGCTGGGATTACAGGTGTGAGCCACAGTGCCTGGCCAAAAGTTTAGTCTTGAGTTGTCTATTTCAGCTGCCAGGAGGTGGTAGGAAGTAATGTCATTCTTTAATTTCCGTCTTATGTGGCAGTAAATCAAGGCAAAACGTTTTCAGGTTCTTTACAACCAGCAGCACAGCTGGCAGGGTACACCAGGAAGCAGGGCTCTGGAGACCACATAGCAAGGACTTGTACTGGGTGTTTGAACTTGGAGGAAGAAAAATAAAACACCTGCATACCTAGTAATGCTACAGCTAGAAAACTCTCACTTCGGTAATAACAATTTAAAACATGCTATTGTCTTCATTGACAAACGCTTGCCTCTAGTTTTGCAACTAAGGAAAATATTGTAGAAACAAACAGAAGTTTAAATGTCTCATCAGCTGCACTGGCAGGCACTGGCCAGTGGCGGGGGCACACTGAAAAGGCAGCCAGTCAGCTCCGGGACAGCAGCCAGCCTCACAATCCCCTTTCCTCTCATGGGAAGCAAAATTAGACAACTTGGAAACTTCCCCAGAATTCCCACAACTCCACATCTAGAATGCCTTATGCTCCAGCCAGATATCATCTCTTTTGGAATAATTCCACTAAAATTAGAAGACATTATGAATTAGGTGAAGAAGGCCAGGTCTCCAGACAAAAAACATTTTTCCCCCCTTTCTGGCAAAATTCTTTATAAAGCAAACGTTGGCCTATTCATTAAACACATGAATGTGTGGAGCTTAGTCATTACATACAATTTCTTCAGGATATAAATGTAATTGCTTTGAAAGCCACATGCACAGAAACATTAAGGTCAATGTCCCAAGGTCAGATTATGCAGTTAGTGTTTGAGTATATCAATAAGCATTTTAATCTGTGATCAATCTTTGTTAACAAGGGAAATATCCACACAGTTAAGTGCCCTCTTACATTCTCAGGATCTTCAGAAATCTGGCTCTTTTGCTATCAGTAAAAAAATAAAAAAAATTAAACAACAACAAAAAAGAGATTCCAATAAAGCTTCAATATGTGTTAGGGTTTCAAGATAACTTTATTTGATTAATTTCAAGTAAGTTTATCAGACAGACTATACAACCCAGTGCTGATGTAAATTATTTTAACTGGACCCTCCTGAAGACACCATGGGCTATATTTCACATGAATTAGATGATGACATGAAACTTCTAATGAGACTTTGGGGTGTTTTTAAATGGATGAGAACAACACAAAAATTGACTAAAGGAATGTGGCTGTATATGAAATGAGTGAAGAAGATATCTATTAAATTGTTAATGAACCATTAAATTCTGGGCCCCATAAAACTAGAACCCAGAAAATGCCCCCCTTGCTCTTTGTTAACTGTAAAGATACATTTATTTTCAAAGAAATCAGAGTTGCTGTTTGGAAGGGCCCCTCAAATTTAAGCATGGTGTGGGCAGCCAGCAGACTCTAAAATTGTAGCAAAACTGCATATTTGGGAAACGCACAGTTAAGTGCAATTTTTACTAAAATATTGTAGATTAAAGAACTACAAATCTGGAAAATTTGAAAAACTGAATGATTTACATTTGTCATATATCTAGCAATGGCTTGAAACCATCAAAACCATTTAATTCTGGTGTCTAATTTAAAAACTAATATGAATAAATTGTTAAAAAGGGATGAGAAACCTGACACTAAAGGAAAATCCATGAATTCTACAAATGCCATGAAAGTAAAAGAAGTTGAAATATAAAGTGTTCTTAGTTTTTGCTCTGCTAATTACTTTTTTAAAAAAATTAACAATTACAACATATTCCTTTTATAGGGTTATAAAAGGATTTATCCTGCTCAACTGGAAAGCAAAGCTGAGATAAAGCAAAAAACTTTGTTGTGGACTTTTTTTTTTTTTTTTGGAGACAAAGTCTCGACCCATCCCCCAAGCTGGAGTGCAGTGGCACGATCTCGGCTCACTGCAACCTCCACCTCCTGGGTTCAAGCGATTCTCCTGCCTCAGCCTCCCAAGTAGCTGGGATTACAGGCACCCGCCACCACGCCCGGCTAATTTTGTATTTTTAGTAGAGACGGGGTCTCACCACGTTAGCCAGGCTGGTTTCGAACTCCTGACCTCGGGTGATCCACCTACCTCGGCCTCCCAAAGTGCTGGGATTACAGGCGTGAACCACCGCACCCGGCCTGTTATGGACTACTATGACAAAATTTAAAATGCCTTTTCTAATCATCAGACGAACACCATTAAGTCTCACTTAGGACTGCTTTAAATTGAGGACACACTGCCAGATTTATGACTTGATGAGATCCAATTCATGGTTTTGCATTTTGAAGCATGAGAAAGAAGTAGTGCAAGTTCCACTCTGCTAGGAAGTGGGCCACACACTCACAGGCTCAAGTACCGGCACCGTCACCACAAAGCCACCCCCAGAACCTTCCCCCGCCACTTCCTCAGCTGGCTGTTCTGGCCGCTCATTTCAATTGGTGCATTATTTCGCCCGTGTTCTGAATACTGATACCCATAAAAGCTGTAAGAGAGCTGGAGGGGTTTTACCTCAAGATCACCTTTGGTAATTGATTCTTCTTCAACCCGGAACTGAAGGTCCTCAACCTTCCTGTGGAATAAAACCCAAACAAAACACTTAAGAAACTAAGTAACACACAGCCTTTAAAAAAACAAAACAAACAAACAAAAAAACACGTTGGGCATGGTAGGCCACTCCTATAATCCCAGCAATTTGGGAGGTGGAGGCAGGAGGATCGCTTGAGGCCAGGAGTTTGAGACCAGCTGGGGCAACATAGTGAGACCCAGTCCTTATATTTAAAAAAAAAAAAAAAAATCTATCATCACTACCCTGGTGAATTCAAGCAGACAGCCACCAGAAATGCCTTAGAGACATAGCAAGTTTAAAAATGCATCTTTGCACTTTGGGAGGGCAAGGTGGGAGAATGGCTTAAAGCCAGGAGTTTAAGAGCGGCCTGAGCAACATGACGAGACCTCATCTCCACCAAAAAATTAAGAAATTAGCCAGGTGTGGCAGCGTGCACCCGTGTCAACTACTTGGGCAGCTGAGGTGGGAGGATTGCTTGAGCCCAGGTAGTCAAGGCTGCAGTGAGTTATGATCGTATGACTGCACTCCAGGCTGCACAACTGAGTGAGACCTTGTCTCAAAAAGAAAAAATAAAATAAGCCACCTGTAATCCTAGCATTTTGTGAAGCTAAGGTGGACAGACTGCTTGAGTTCAGTTTGAGACCAGCCTGGTCAATATGGCAAAACCCCATCTCTACAAAAATTAGCCAGGCATGTTGGCATGTGCCTGTGTCCTAGCTACTTGGGAAGCTGGGGTAGGAGGATCACTTGAGCCAGGGATGTCACAGCTGCAGTGAGCCATGATCACACCAGTGCACTCCAGCCTGAGTGACAGAGTGAGACCCTGTCTCAAAAGATAATAAATAATGTTTTCTTTTTTTTTTTTGAGACGGAGTCTTGCTCTGTCACCCAGACTGGAGTGCAGTGGCGCGATCTCGGCTCACTGCCACCTCTGCCACCCGGGTTCAAGCAATTCTCCTGCCTCAGCCTCCCAAGTAGCTGGGATTACAGGCGCCCGCCAACAGGCCTGGCTAATTTTTGTATTTTTAGTAGAGACGGGGTTTCACCATGTTGGTCACGTTGGTCTCGAACTTCTGACCTCAAGTGATCCACCCGCCTCAGCCTCCCAAAGTGCTGGGATTACAGGCGTGAGTCACTGCGCCCAATCAGGCCATGTCTAAATGATTCCAAACTTATTGAAAAAAGTCAAATCAAAGCAGACGCTCTTCACACAGTATGGCAGAGTTCACCTTCTGCTGGACACATAGTCATTCCTTTGGTTCTAAGGGTTGATACCAACATGATTATTAATAGGAAATTTTCTTCTGAGGTCATTGAAAATGAAAAGGCTGCTGGGCGCGGTGGCTCACACCTGTAATCCCAGCACTTTGGGAGGCTGAGGCAGATGGATCTCCTGAGCTCAGGAGTTCGAGACCAGCCTAGGCAACATGGTGAAACTCCATCTCTACTAAAATACAAAAAATTAGCCAGGCGTGGTGGCACATTCCTGTGGTCCCAGCTACTTGGGAGGCTGAGGCAGGAGAATTGCTTGAACCTGGGAGGCAGAGGTTGTAGTGAGCTGAGATTGCACCACTGCACTGCAGCCTGGGCAACAGAGCTAGACTCTGTCTCAAAAACAAAAAAAAAGGGGGAAAGGCCACACTTGCACCAGGAAACAGTCTGGGGTCACCTTTTCTCCTCTTCAAGCTGGTTGAGAAGCTCCACCTTCTCCCTGTCAGCAGCTTCCACCATTGTTCGCAGCTGGTCCATTTTGGCTTCCAATTCCAGGACATGCTGGGGAAGGCAAGAATGTCGGTAAATGGACTATTTCTGACCCAGATACAGACCCAGTGATACTTCTCCAAAGAGCTGTGGGTCACCATGGTGGGTGGGCGTTACTCTAAAACCTTATGTTAAAAAGCTTTCTCTATTTTAATAGGTTATTCTCAACAGCTTTCCTGGAAGATAGATGATGAAAGTGATAAAGAACAATGTTAAAACACCTCTCATCTTTTTTGAAGCTGAAACACATATTAAGAGTAATCCACAAACAGCAGCTATAATCAATCATTGGTAAGGCCCTAGTAACCAAGCTGGCCTAACACAGACAGGCCAAAAGACCCGGACACAAAGACCAAACACTAAGGTCGAATCAAGAACAAAACTTCATCTCTGTGATCATGGAAACTGGCACCCCAGACTGTAGCTTTCAAACAAGCACAGCAAAGAAATGTACACCCATTTCTTGTGCTCTCAAGTCTAGCTCCTCGGTGCCAAGCACCGGGCATGCTTCTCGGCTCCTCAGTGGCTTTAGAAACCATCACCATCTCCGCAACAAGGTCCAGACTTCACCTGGTCATGTCCGTCCCGGGCCAGAGCTAGCTCCTGCTCTATCTCCCCCACGTGGCTCGTGGCCTTGGCCACCTCCGCCCTCTCCAGATCCCGTTCCGCCAGCAGCTGCTCAATGTGCTGCTGCTTCTCCTTCAGGGCCTCCTGGAGGGCAGTGGTACCGGAGATCTTCCTGGCGTAACGGGAGGAGGTTTCAGTCAACTGTAAAGGAAAGTTAGAGAAATGAAGGGCGATGATGCTGTCAGAAAAGCGAGGGAGGCGCGATGCATGCATGGCGGGCATCTGCTCGGCAAAGCAAGGGCGCTGCTCCAGCTGGCAGGCTGGCCAGGATTAGGAAAGGCTTCCTCAAAAACACAAGACAGTGTGTGCCTTCTGTCTATAAATCTCACAAAGAATACATCAACGTAAAGAGATCAGCCAGGTGCGGTGGCTCATGCCTGTAATCCTAGCACTTCAGGAGGCCAAGGCGGGTGGATCACTTGAGGCCAGGAGTTTGAGACCTGGCCAAGATGATGAGACCCCATCTCTACTAAAAATACAAAAATTAGCTGGAGTGCAGTGGTGCGATCTCAGCTGACTGCAACCTCCACCTCCTGGATTCAAGTGATTCTCCTGCTTCAGCCTCCCAAGTAGCTGGGATCACAGGCGTGCACCACTACCGCCCAGCTAATTTTTATATTTTTAGTAGAGACGGGGTTTTGCCATGTTCGCCAGGCTGTTCTCGAACTCTAAAGTGCTAAGGTTACAGGTGTGAGCCACCGCGCCAAAGGCCATCTGCTCAGCCACTGCTGGCTCCAGATCAAGTCAGCCTTGACTTCATCTTCTGCAGTCAGAGCTGCTGCAGCTGTCGCCTGAAAGCTCTTCTCTTCATCGGTTTCCCTAGGCCCTTACTGCAAGATGCACAGGATGCAGACTTACAGCGAGGATCTTTCCTCAATTAATAACTCGGCAACTTGAGAACTACAAAAGAATCAACCTTTTGTTCTTGAAATTACTTAAACATACCAGGAAGAAACTCCTGTTGTCTTTTTTAACCATTTGACCTTGACCTTCCAATTTCATTATATAGCTAAATTATACCTTCTCTTGCTAATATTTCTTCCTGAATACATTAAATGTGTGGTTCCCAAACCATGTGCAGAGATGCCCCAGGGTGCTGAGCAAACTCACCAGTGCACTGTAGGATGTTTTAAAATTTCAAGAGAAACACAGCGACATCTGCTGGACTCTGTGCAAACTACTAGTTTGAGGCAATTCAGTCTCATTAGATTGTCCTACAGTCCTTTCAATAACATCATGTACTTTCAAAGCTGGGTTTTGGCTATTCCCATGACGAAAATGAAAGTATGATGCAAAAATCAACATGCACAGGAAATGAGGTTGGTGATGAGAAATCAGATTCCAAGGCTTGACTAGATGTGTAGAGCCCAACAGCAGCGCACACAGTAACATGAAGTCATTCTGGTTATTAAAGAATGAATTGGGTCCCTCTCCCTCTCTCCCTCTCCCTCTCTCCCTCTCCCTCTCCCCACGGTCTCCCTCTCCCTCTCTTTCCATGGTCTCCCTCTGATGCCGAGCCGAAGCTGGACTGTACTGCTGCCATCTCGGCTCACTGCAGCCTCCCTGCCTGATTCTCCTGCCTCAGCCTGCCGAGTGCCTGCGATTGCAGGCGCGCGCCGCCACGCCTGACTGGTTTTCGTATTTTTTTGGTGGAGACGGGGTTTCGCTGTGTTGGCCGGGCTGGTCTCCAGCTCCTAACTGCGAGTGATCCGCCAGCCTCGGCCTCCCGAGGTGCCGAGATTGCAGACGGAGTCTGGTTCACTCAGTGCTCAATGGTACCCAGGCTGGAGTGCAGTAGCGTGATCTCGGCTCGCTACAACCTCCACCTCCCAGCCGCCTGCCTTGGCCTCCCAAAGTGCCGAGACTGCAGCCTCTGCCCAGCCGCCACCCCGTCTGGGAAGTGAGGAGCCCCTCTGCCTGGCTGCCCAGTCTGGAAAGTGAGGAGCGTCTCTGCCCGGCCGCCATCTCATCTAGAAGTGAGGAGCGCCTCTTCCCGGCCGCCGTCCCATCTAGGAAGTGAGGAGCGTCTCTGCCCGGCCGCCCATCGTCTGAGATGTGGGGAGCGCCTCTGCCCCGCTGCCCCATCTGGGATGTGAGGAGCGCCTCTACCTGGCCGCGACCCTGTCTGGGAGGTGAGGAGCGTCTCTGCCCGGCCGCCCCGTCTGAGAAGAGAGGAGACCCTCCGCCTGGCAACCGCCCCGTCTGAGAAGTGAGGAGCCCCTCCGCCCGGCAGCCGCCCTGTCTGAGAAGTGAAGAGCCCCTCCGCCCGGCAGCCACCCCGTCTGGGAAGTGAGGAGCGTCTCCGCCCGGCAGCCACCCCATCCAGGAGGGAGGTGGGGGGGGTCAGCCCGCCACCCGGCCAGCCGCCCCGTCCGGGAGGGAGGTGGGGGGGGTCAGCCCCCCCCGCCCGGCCAGCCGCCCCGTCCGGAAGGTGAGGGGCGCCTCTGCCCGGCCACCCCTACTGGGAAGTGAGGAGCCCCTCTGCCCGGCCAGCCGCCCCGTCCGGGAGGGAGATGGGGGGGTCAGTCCCCTGCCCAGCCAGCCGCCCCGTCCGGGAGGTGAGGGGCGCCTCTGCCCGGCCGCCCCTACTGGGAAGTGAGGAGCCCCTCTGCCCGGCTAGCCGCCCCATCCGGGAGGGAGGTGGGGGGGGTCAGCCCCCCGCCCGGCCAGCCGCCCCGCCTGGGAGGTGAGGGGCGCCTCTGCTCGGCCGCCCCTACTGGGAAGTGAGGAGCCCCTCTGCCCGGCCACCACCCCGTCTGGGAGGTGTACCCAACAGCTCATTGAGAACGGGCCATGATGACAATGGCGGTTTTGTGGAATAGAAAGGGGGGAAAGGTGGGGAAAAGATTGAGAAATCGAATGGTTGCCATGTCTGTGTAGAAAGAGGTAGACATGGGAGACTTTTCATTTTGCTCTGTACTAAGAAAAATTCTTCTGCCTTGGGATCCTGTTGATCTGTGACCTTACCCCCAACCCTGTGCTCTCTGAAACATGTGCTGTGTCCACTCAGGGTTAAATGGATTAAGGGCGGTGCAAGATGTGCTTTGTTAAACAGATGCTTGAAGGCAGCATGCTCGTTAAGAGTCATCACCACTCCCTAATCTCAAGTACCCAGGGACACAAACACTGCGGAAGGCCGCAGGGTCCTCTGCCTAGGAAAACCAGAGACCTTTGTTTACTTGTTTATCTGCTGACCTTCCCTCCACTATTGTCCTATGACCCTGCCAAATCCCCCTCTGCGAGAAACACCCAAGAATGAACAATTAAAAAAAAAAAAAGAAAAAAGAAAAAAAAAACCACTTGTTGAAATATTGAGTTAGATATGGAAGGGGGCAGTATGGCATAATGACTTAAGGTCCAGTTTCTGTATACAAGTCTTAGCTCCATCACTTCTTAGCTATTTTACCTTCAGTGAGCTACCTGACTTCAGTTGAGCCTCAGTTTTCTCATCTGTAAATTGGGTATATATTTCATAGGATTGTTTGATAAAATGTAAGATAAAATGAGATAACTTTGTAAAATGCTTATTACATTGTCTGGCACATGGTATTTCCTCAATAAATAGTTGACTTTAAAAAAAAAAAAAAAAAAGAATGAATTGGCCAGGTGTGGTGGCTCACGCCTCATGCCTGTAATCCCAGCACTTTGGGAAGCAGAGGCGGGCAGATCACCTGAGGTCAGGTGTTCGAGACTGGCCTGGCCAACATGGTGAAACCTCGTCTCTACTAAAAATACAAAAATTAGCCGGGCATGGTGGCGTGTGCCTATAATCCCAGCTACTTGGGAGGCTGAGGCAGGAAAATCGCTTGAACCCGGGAGACAAGAGGTTGCAGTGCGCTGAGATCGTGCCACTGCACTCTAACCTGGGCAACAGCAAGACTCCATCTCAAAAAAATAAAAAATAAAAATAAAAACAAATAAAGAATGAATTAAATTTTTTTCAATTTTTGTTTTTCTAAAACAGAAATACATTTCTGAGCAAAGTAACTGAAATGACACTTTCAATTTCTCTATCTTTGTCATACTATTTTATGGTGATTTTTGGCTTAGAAACCATAAAGACACAAAAATAAGCTGTCTCACAGGTACAGAAACTCACGTCTCTTTTGTCAATTTTCACTGAATGAGGTGAGCTAAGAGGTACAAGAACTGGTCCAAAAAGTAAGAGGAGAGATTGGCGGGAGCAGGGAGAGCTTGCTATTTCCCAAAGAAATGGACACAATTAAAAGGTAATAAAAATTACTCAAGAAAGAATTCCTAATCCAGAATAGACCCTCCCATGGAATTGTTCCTAGAACAGCAAAGGAGGCAAGCTGTCCCTATCAGAGTTTCTGACCCACATTAAACAAAGCTCTGTCTGAACACAGGGGTTTGGGGCTCTTCTCCATTTCATTGTTCTTGTCATGCTTTTCTCATAAAAGTAATTTTTCTGTTGAAGATGCAGGCTTCCTCTTTATGCGCAAATGGAAATGCTCTGAGCAGTACTTATTCTACCTGAACATAGAGGAAGGAAGCCTAGATGGCTGGCAGAGGAGCACAGCCCCACGTGAAGATTTCAGCACCTGTCCCTTCTCTGCCCGACGACAATGGAAGAGCAGGCACCGTGAGATCCTGGGCTAACCACCTCCTCCCCGCAGCACAACGCAACATCCTAGCTCCTGGTCTGCGGTTCCCCACCACCCAGCGGAGACCTGAACTCAGTCTGAGGAAAGTCTGATGCCGCCATTTCTAACTTAAACAGTATTTGCCCCACTTCTAGGTAATAAACTTATGGGCAGGGCTTTGACCCTAATAAAATAACACCTTAATAAACAGAATGAGGTGTTGCCTATTTTAATGCTAGTGATTCTATTTTTACTGCTCTAAACAGGAAAAAGAGGGAGAGAGGGAAAGGGACCAGGAGAAGAAGAGGAAAGAAGAGAGTAATCAAAACAGGCTTTCCTAGTATCCTCTTCCAGCTCCAAGAGTTCCCTTTAGTGTCCTCTGGCTCAAGTCAGGGACACTTCACACACTAACTGCTTCCAGTAGGTCAGGTTGTATTAACATTAAAATCCTATTAACACACCTTTTCTCAAAACACTTCACTTCCTAAAATTATTTGAAGTCAAAGAGAAAGAGAGGCTGGGAGCAGTGGCTCACGCCTGTAAATCCCAACACTTTGGAAGTCCAGGGCAAGAGGATCGCTTGAGCCTAAGAATTCGAGACCAGCCTGGGCAACACAGTGGGTCCCTCTCTCTACAAAAAAAAAAAAAAAAAAAAAATTAAATTAACCAGGCGTGGTGGTGTGCACCAGTAGTCCCAACTACTGGGGAGGCTGAGGCAGCAGGACTGCTTGAGCCTGGGACGTTGAGGCTGGGTGACAAAGTGAGACCCTGACTCAAAAGAAAAAATAAAAAAAAGAGAGAGAGGGAGAGACAGATCTATGGACTTGAAGAAAAGGATCTCTCCAATGTTCCTATCATTTTGTCCTAAAATAATTTCATAGAAAATAATTTGACCCCTGTGTTAGACTAGGCAGTAGTTATACAGATTCACCAAGAACACATGCATTTTTAAGCTTTTAAGAATCTGAAAGGGACTATTAAAAGCACTTTCTGATTTCAAAAAACGCATTCTTGCTGGAGTTACATTTTTCAAAACTTACTTGCAAAGACTTTCACAGCAAAAGCTGTGAGCAACATTCAGCACAAGGACAAGCAAAGCAGCAAAGCAGCAAAGCAGGGGCACTGACCACGGGCCTTAATCCTGCCTGGGAAGTGGAGGCAGGTAGTGAGAAAGGGGCCTTACTAGTCCTGTCCGACTGGGCCTGCTGCTCACAGAGGAGGCCACTGAGCTCATGGAGCTGAGGGAAGAGGCAGAAGGGCTGCGCTTCAGGCTGGCGGACGTGGTCGCCATCACTCGCCTCACTGCGTTGGCCTTGGCTTTGGCTGGTGTAGTGGAAGGGAAGCCAATCTTGGTAACTTTGTGGACAGGAGCGAACAAGCCATATTTGGGTTGACACTGAAAATACCTTTAGAGAACAATAAGAACAATAACAAAAAACAACTTAATCACAAGAAATAATAACTATAACCAAAAGGTTCTCCCAACTCCTAACTTACGGTTGGATTCCTGGAAATTCTACAGCTAAGCTGGGGTTACACACCAGCACGTAGCAGTCACATGTATGTAGGCTAACAACCTCAGTGATGGTTTAGAACACACACTGGTGACAATATGATACACAGAGTCAGAATTGCTCACCTGTTGCTGAGATTCTGCATAAAGGAAATAAATATTTTCACAACCTGATAAATGTACAGCAGAGGAGTTTAGCAATAGAACAAGCCCATTT
Source organism: Homo sapiens (assembly GCF_000001405.40). Taxonomy (NCBI): domain Eukaryota; kingdom Metazoa; phylum Chordata; class Mammalia; order Primates; family Hominidae; genus Homo; species Homo sapiens. The sequence goes on from NC_000012.12 coordinate 122,361,506, forward strand.
AATAAAACCGTGCCAAACAAAGGGAAAGGAAATCAAACAGGCACCTAACTTTGGCAGATCCATTAAAGTAAACATGAAGAGTTGGACGTGGTGGCTCACGCCTGTAATCCCAGCACTGTGGGAGGCCGAGGCGGCAGATCACTTGAGCCCAGGAGTTCAAGACCAGCCAGGGCAATATGGACAGACCCCGTCTCTACAAAAAATACAAAAACTAGCCAGGCATGGTGGTGCAGGAGGCTCTCTTGAGCCCAAGAGGTCAAGGCTGAAGTAACCCGAGATTGCACCACTGTAGTCCAGCCTGGGTGACGGGGTGGACTCTGTCTCAAAACAAACAAATAAAAAACTCAAGTGATGGGCGCACCAAAATCTCAGATATCACTACAAAAGAAGTTATTCATATAACCAAACACCATCTGTTCCCCAAAAACCTATTGAAATAAGTAAAATGTATAATTTTTTTTTTTTTGAGACAAAGTCTCAGTCTGTTGCCCAGGCTGGAGTGCAGCGGCGCAATCTCAGCTCACCACAACCTCCGCCTCCCAGGTTCAAGCGATTCTCCTGCCTCAGCCTCCCGAGTAGCTGGGACTACAGGCACACGCCACCCTGCCTGGCTGATTTTTGTATTTTTAGTAGAGACAGGGTTTCAATATGTTGGCCAGGATGGTCTCGAACTCCTGATCTCGTGATCTGCCCACCTTGGCCTCCCAAAGTGCTGGGATTACAGGCGTGAGCCACCATGCCCCGCCCAAAAAATATATACTTTTTTTAATTAAAAAAAAAAATCTACCCAAACTTAACTGTAGAGAAATATAAATACAAAATGGCTAACATACAGGAAAAATCTAGTTAAAAAAAAGAGGCCAGGCGCCGTGGCTCACGCCTGTAATAGAACTTCCAGAGGCCAAGGTGGGCGGATCATGAGGTCAGGAGATCGAGACCATCCTGTCCAACATGGTGAAACCCAGTCTCTACTAAAAATACAAAAATTATCTGGGCGTGGTGGTGTGTGTCTGTAATCCCAGCTACTCGGGAGGCTGAAGCAGGAGAATCGCTTGAACCTGAGAGTCAGAGGTTGCGGTGAGCCAAGATTGTGCCACTGCACTTCAGCCTGGCAACAGAGCAAGACTCCATCTCAAAAAAAAAAAAAAAAAAAAAAAAAAAAAAAGTTCATTGAAAATTTTTAATATCTGTTTCAATAAAAATATGATAAAAAAAAAAAAAAAAGATAAAGTACTCTGCAAGTATAGCATTGAGAAGACCCAGAAAAAACAAAACGGCATTGGAGGGAAAAAAAAAAAGTAAACATGGAGAAATATTAACTATTAATGTCTATTTTCAGACTGACATGGGCAATGCCATGACTCTAAAGGATTACAGTGTTTTAATATGAAGAAAAGATGGCTTCATAATCATTGCAGTTCCAAGAGAGCTTTATCTCTATGAGTCATAATTACTGTATCTGGTAGATAAAGCCCTTTTCTCTATAATTAATTTGCTTATAACCAATTTGTCTGTTTTATAAGTAAAATGTTAACTACCACATTTTAATAATCAAGTGATGCATTAATGTACTGTATACTACTAATAATGCATCATAGACAACACCTGTGCCTTCAAAACATTTTGAAAAGAAAAGTGGGAAATTCCTTCTGCATCTGTGTGCATTACTGTACTCCCATCCTGTGTCTGGGAGGCAAGAACGGGGTTATCCAGGCTGGACGCGGTGGCTCACACCTGTAATACCAGCACTTTGGGAGACCAAGACAGGTGGATCACTTGTGCCCAGGAGTTTGAGACCAGCCTGGGCAACACCCCGTCTCTACTAAAAATACAAAAATTAGCCAGGCATTGTGGCGTGCGCCTGTAATTTCAGCTACTTGGGAGGCTGAGGCAGGAGAATTGCTTGAATCCAGAAGGGGGAGGTTGCATGCACTGAGCCGAGATGGCGCCACTGCACTCCAGCCCGGCCAACAGACAGAGGCCCTGTCTCAAAAAAAAAAAAAAAAGAATGGGGTTATCCTTACGATGGAAGAGGTCCGCTTGGCGGTCTGTTCTCCTGCCGCAGGATGGAATTCTCATCAAATATGAAGACACATTTTGCAGTTCTTTTCCCTAATAAAGGTGGCTACCTTCTGCCCCCGCCCCCTCCCCAGACGCCCAGGTATTCTTTCAGAAGTCAACTCCTATCAAAAGGGAGAGAAGCCAGACAGATAACATGGTATTTCCTATTTTGAAAAATAAACAGAATGCTTGTTCAGAATCTACTCAGACATACTACATGTATTACTAAGGAGACAGTCAAAAAGAACAGCCCCAATTTTAGTGTGGGGAAAAAAAATTAGCAGATGGGTCTTAGGAAATAAAAGTGCCACTCTTCCAAACACAACTTTCCATGTTATGATACACGCTTGGTGAGACTGGCCTGAGCATCGTCACGTACAAGAGTGACACAAGATGTTGCACAACGCCAAACAAACCTTGTTCCAGCAACAGCGCCATCATTCTTCCCAAGTGGCTCATCTAACTCCACGCCACACCACTCCCCCTTGGCAAAGTCGGTCTCCCCAAGAAACCGGACTACACCAGCCTTAGTGCCACCAACCTGGAAGAAGAGAAGGTTAAAATAAAGAGATGAACATCACTCTATAGCTTAATCGTTTGTGGTCCCTACTAGTAACTAGGTACTACATTCCATCATTTCCACCAGCAACTTCTTTGCTTTAGCTTCTCTTTGACTCTAAGAGTTCTCTTGAAGGAAGTCTGGCAAAGAAACTTACCTGGCTGACTTATATTACCAGAGTGATTTGATGCCTAATATGTTGCAATAATGAGACAGCCAATCTAATATGCAGTCATTAAGGCTGTTCACCAAGTTCATTATTGCTTTTCTTAGAAAATACTTTTTTTTTTTTTTTTGAGACAGGGTCTCACTCTGTCATCCAGGCTAGAGTGCAGTGGCACCATCATGGCTCACTGCAACCTTGACCTCCCGGGCTAGGGGATCTTCCCACCTCAACCTCCTGGGTAGCTGAAACTACAGGTGCACACCACCAAACAGGCTATTTTTTTTTGTATTTTTTGTGGAGACAGGGTTTTGCCATGTTGCCCAGGCTGGTCTTGAACTCCTGGGCTCAAGTGATCTGCCCACCTCAGCTTCCCAAAGTGTTGGGATTACAGGCGTGAGCCACCACTCTTGGACCTCACTTTATTTTTCTAACAGAAATGTTCCTGCTTCGCCTTTCGGCCGGAACCGCCATCTTCCAGTAATTCGCCAAAATGACGAACACAAAGCGAAAGAGGAGAGGCACCCGATATATGTTCTCTAGGCCTTTTAGAAAAAATGGAGTTGCTCCTTTGGCCACATATATGCAAATCTATAAGAAAGGTGATATTGCAGCCATAAAAAATGATGAGTTCATGTCCTTTGTAGGGACATGGATGAAATTGGGAATCATCATTCTCAGTAAACTATCGCAAGGACAAAAAACCAAACACCGCATGTTCTCACTCATAGGTGGGAATTGAACAATGAGAACACATGGACACAGTAAGGGGAACATCACACTCTGGGGACTGTTGTGGGGTGGGGGGAGAGGAGAGGGATAGCATTAGGAGATATACCTAATGCTAAATGACGAGTTAATGGGTGCAGCACACCAGCATGGCACATGTATACATATGTAACTAACCTGCACAATGTGCACATGTACCCTAAAACTTAAAGTATAATAATAATAAAATAAAAATAAAAAAAAGAAAGGTGATATTGTAGACATCAAAGGAATGCGTACTGTTCAAAAAGGAATGCCCCACAAGTGTTACCATGGCAAAAGTGGAAGTCTACAATGTTACCCAGCATGCTGTTGGCATTGTTGTAAACAAACAAGGGCAAGATTCTTGCCAAGAGAAATAATGTGCGTATGGAGCACATTAAGCACTCTAAGAGCCAAGATAGCTTCCTGAAACGCGTGAAGGAAAATGATCAGAAAAAGAAAGAAGCCAAAGAGCAAGGGACCTGGGTTCAACTCAAGCGCCAGCCTGCTCCACCCAGAGAAGCACACTTTGTGAGAACCAATGGGAAGGAGCCTGAGCTGCTGGAACCTATTCCCTATGAATTCATGGCATAATAGATGTTAAAAAATAAAATAAAATAAAGGACCTCTGGGCTATTTAAAAAAAAAAAAAAAGAAAGAACTGCTCCTGCTTCAAAACAAACTTGTGGCTGGGCACAGTGGTTCATGCCTGTAATCTCAGCACTTTGGGAGGCCCAGGCAGGAGAACTGCTCGAGCCCAGGAGTTCGAGACCAGGCTGGACAACATAAGGAAGACCCTGTCTGTACAAATAATAAAAAAAATTAGCCGGGCATAGTGGTGTGCGCCTGTGGTCCCACTCCTCAGGAAGCTGAGGTGGGAGGATTGCTTGAGCCCAAGGGTTTGAGGCTGCAGTGAGCCACAGTTGTACCACTGCACTCCAGCCTGGGTGACAGAGTGAGACTCCACCTCAAAAAAATAAAAAAGTAAATAGGCCAGGCACGATGGCTCACGCCTCCCAGCACTTTGGGAGGCCAAGGTGGGTGGATCACCTGAGGTTGGGAGTTTGAGAGCAGCCTGGCCAACATGGTAAAAACCTGTCTCTACTAAAAATACAAAAATCAGCTGGGTGTGGTGGCTCACGCCTGTAGTCCCAGCTACTTGGGAGGCTGAGGCACAAGAATAACTTGCACCCGGGAAGCGGAGGTTGCAATGATCCAAGATCACACCACTGCACTCCAGCCTAGGCGACAGGGAGAGACTCTGTCTCAAAAAAAAAAAAAAGTACTTCAAAAAATAATTGGCCCAGTGTGGAAGTTCACACCTATAATCCCAGCACTTTGGGAGGCTGAGGTGGGAGGATCGCTGGAGTCCCCAAGGCTGCAGTGAGCCATGATCACACCACTGCACTACAGCCTGGGCAATAGAACAAGAAACTGTTTCAAAAAATAATAATTGACTCTTGCTATTTTCCACAGTGAGGCTCTCTGTTTCTTCACAACTATTAAAATTATCCTTCCTAGGCTGGGTGCGGTGGCTCAGGTCTGTAATTCCAACACTTTGGGAGGCCAAGGCAGGCGGATCACTTGAGGCCAGGAGTTCGAGACCAGCTTGGCCAACATGGTGAAACTCCATCTCTACTAAAGATACAAAAATTAGCTGGATGCAGTGGCACATGCCTATAATCCCAGCTACTCAAGTGGCTGAGGCACAAGAGTTGCTTGAACCAAGGAGGCAGAGGTTGCAGTGAGCCAAGACTGTGCCAATGTACTCCAGCCTGGGTGACAGAGTGAGACCTTGTCTCAAAAAAAAGAGTACTAGTTCTAGACTTGACACATTTGACCTTTTAGTACTCGTTAGTACTAACACACAAATCATCACCTATATAAAATTGGTCTCACTGCAGTTGAGTCAAAAGAAAATAAAGTCGGCCTCAATTTTCTCCTTCCTCCCACACCACACCATTCAGAGCAGCAGTCCAGCCAGCATCATGTGAGCAGGACACAGCACATTAGTTAAAGATGATGCAACCTCTTCAGACAATGTGTTAAATTCTTTGGGGATGAGTCGAAGTCACTGTCATGACAATTGCTTTTCCAAGAGGCATCTAATAGGCTATAGTCAACAATTCTCCAAGCAAACTACAAGCTTCATTCAGATCAGCTTTGTAAAAAGTAATCACAAATAACAAATTAGCAACTATTTCTCTAAATGCAGGTAATATACATGTATCCTGAAAAAAAAATTATGTCACAAAATTTGTCTGAAATGAATGATTACTAGTTCCTAGAACAAAAAGTTTTCTTATATTCTTTCTCCCACCAAACATGGAACTCTTCACTCATTTAACAGAAAATGTATTTTTCTTTTCCCTGTAAAAAATCAGTAGTTATTCTATGGAGACAGAAAGTCAGGTGAAGTCCTAAAATCATCAAATGTTTTTCTACTTAATCATTCTACAATCAAAAAACGTGTTTACGCATTTCAACGGGACTTTACAAAGTTAGGTTTTATTTCTCATGTGTTCCAGACAATGCAGAAAAGTCTAGTACATGCACGTACAGGAAACAGAAGCATTAAATAATGCATTGACAATAAACAGAAGGCACTATTATCAAATCATATCTAAGAAATCTATGTTCTAAGACAAATATCTAAGTTATTAAAGAAAAACATTTTCAATATTGAAACAAAAAACAAGGCCAGGTGCAGTGGCTCATGCCTGTAATCCCACCATTTTGGGAGGCCAAGGCAGGAGGATCATCTGAGGCCAGGAGTTTGAGACTGGCCTGGGCAACACAGTGAGACTCCATCTCTACAAAAATTTAAAAATTAGCCAGGCATGGTGGCATGTGCCTGTGATCCCAGCTACTGAGGCTGCAAGTGAGCTATGATCATGACACTGCACTCCAGCCTGGACAAGACAGTGAGACCCTGTCTCAAAAACAAACAAAAAAACTAAAAGATAGATTCCCATGGCAAACACAAACAAGCCCAATTCGTTCTCTTTACTCTCAGAATGTTAGCATGTAACTCCTAATACTGTGGTAAAAGTCACTACTGAAGACAGAATTAATTTAAACTAGAAACGCAAAAAAAACCCTAGATACTATTTTTATGCTTTAGCAAACCTCAGATTTTTAAGTTCTCATTTATTTATTCAATATATATTTCTTGAGTGTTTGGATCCTTAAAAAACAAGGATAAACAGAATACAGCGTTGGCCATTGAGGGAGACAGACAAGAAGATTCAGACAAGAAATTCCTGTAAAAAGTGTTAAGTACATCAAGAGATTTCTACAAAATGCTGTGGGAACAGAAACAAATACCCTTCCTGTACGCTCCTGTAAAAAATAAAAACACTGATAAATTCCTGTTGGGTTAATGAGTGGGTGTCTACAAACAGGAAACAGAAACAATCCTCTCTGGACTCTCTCATCTCTTCATTATCCAGTTCTCGGCAAGCCATTTAATCTCACAGTGCCTGAGTGCATAAAGCTATAAAATGTCTCAAGAGCAGTAATGAGGGGTTGTTTCACAGGAATTTTGTGAGCAGTCTTGTAAGGTGGCTTCTTATCTGCCATATTCCAAGATAAACAGCTTATTTTAAAAAGTAAACATGGAGGCCAGGTGGGGTGACTCATGTCTGCAATCCTAGCTCTTTGGGAGGCCGAGGCAGGCAGATCACTTGAGGTCAGGAGTTTGAGACAGGCCTGAAATTCTGTCTCTACTAAAAATACAAAAATTAGTCGGGCATGGTGGCAAGCACCTGTAATCCCAGCTACTCGGGAGGTTGAGGCGGGAAAATCACTTCAACCCCAGAGGTGGAGGTTGCAGTGACCCAAGATCACACCACTGCACTTCAATAAAAAAAAAATAAAATAAAATAAACATGGTTAGCTGGTATTTGCCAAATACAAATGTAAGCCTCACTTAAAACTTAATTGCCTGTGACATGAAAGAGCCAAAGCACGGTACTTTTTTTTTTTTCCTTCTTTTTGAGACGGAGTTTCGCTCTGTCGTCCAGGCTGGAGTGCAGTGGCATGATCTCAGCTCACTACAACCTCTGCCTCCCGGGTTCCAGAGATTTTCCTGCCTCAGCCTCCCAAGCAGCTGGGATTACAGGCATGTGCCACCACGCCCGGCTAATATTTTTGTATTTTTAGTAGAGACAGGGTTTCACCATGTTGGCCAGGCTAGTCTCCAACTCCTGACCTCAACTGATTCCACCCACCTTGACCTCCCAAAATGCTAGGATTACAGACGTGAGCCACCACGTCTGGCCACTTTTGATTACCTCAAGTAATATAATTACCTCCAGTGAAGGGCCAGTTCACCTTCCAGCAACTCTCCTACAGAGAAGGGTAAAATCTTCACTGGTCCTAAGTCGACCTCTGCTTGCCCTACTTTACTCTCTCCTTCATGGGTATAAAGTGACGACTGTATTCAAAACCCTCTGATTCTCTCCACACTATTTAATGAGCTCCTACTATGTGCCAGGCCCTGTCCTAAGTGTTGTGGGTGTGACAGTGAATGAGACAGAAAGTTTCCGTGCTTTCATGGAGGTTAAATTCTGGGCAGGGAGAAATGGACAATAAGCAAGTAAAAAAATGAAAGATAATTTTCAACTGGTGAAGAGGGCTATGAAAAAAATAAAACAGGGTAGTGTGACACTGCCATAGAAGGTGTCTTTAGTTGGGGTGGCCAAGGAAGGGATGCCTGAGGAGGTAACACTTGAGCATGACTTAAGTGACCACGAGGCACCGGGCACAAAACATCCCAAGCAGAAGAAACAACAAATTCTAAAGTGGGAATGAGTCTGGGTGTTTAGAAACAGCAAAGGGGGCCAGGCATGGTGGCTCACACCTGTAATTCCAGCACTTTGGGAGGCCAAGGCAGACAGATCATTTGAGGACAGGAATTCGAGACCAGCCTGGGCAACATGGCGAAACCCTGTCTCTACTAAAAATACAAAAATTAGCCAGCTGTGGTGGCTCACGCCTGTAGTCCCAGCTACTCAGGAGGCTGGGGCGCGACAATTGCTTGAGCCCTGTAGGCAGAGGGTGCAATGAGCCGAAATGGCGCTGCTGCACTTCAGCCTGGGCAACAGAGCAAAACCTATCTCAAAAAAAAAAAAAAAGAAGAAGAAGAAAGAAAAGAAACAGCAAAGGGGCCAGTGTAGCTGAAGCAGAGTGAGAAAGGGGTGTGAGAAGGACAAGAGGTCGGGAGGGTGGGCAGGGTCCAGAGAACAAGGGGCACTGCAAGTCCAAGGAAGGAGTTTCGATTTTTATTTTAATGCCATGAGGAGCCCCTTTAGATCACGATGTGTTGGTCTTCGTTGGTGCCATATCTACAACACCTGGAACAACTTCCGGTGCATAGCAGACGCTCAGGATATTTTCTGAATGAATTGCAGAGCATTAAACACAGCCTTTATAAAGCCATCATATTTTCTCTAGGCTAAATAAACAGTCCCAGTTACTTTATTCCTTTTATGATATCATTTTGAGTCTCCCAATCTCTAACAGGTGACATTAAATAAATCCCCTTAAAAAGAAATATGACAAGAGCAGATGACATATAACAGATACCCTCTTGTAAGTCTAACTCCCTAGAACTAACAGGTAAACAAAAGATGCACAATTATGAATAGACGCTTTGGCTAAAAGATGATGTTTTACTTGACTTGCACTTTATGTCTCGGAACTACTTAATCTCCGCTTCTGAAAGGCATCTGAGCTTCCACAGGATCCAGGACCCCAAGAATATCAAGACACAGGAAAGGGTAATGCATGCCTGTAATCCCAGCTACATGGGAGGCTGGGACAAGAGAATCGCCTGAACCTGGGAGGCAGAGGTTGCAGTGAGCCGAGATCATGCCACTGCACTCCAGCCTGGGCAACAGAGCAGGACTCTGTCTCAAAAAAAAAAAAGAAAAAAAAAAAAATCACCTCTTCTAACCCTGGGGGTTGATAAAATGCAGAATATTTATTCACCAGAAGCAGTCTTTTATATGGCACCCACTTGACCAAAATATTAGCAAAGTTTGCTTTTTAAATCTACAAAAGATCATAAGCTACCAAGTGTCTGAGGCTCAAGATATTTTTGTGATTATGCTTAGAGAATTCACAGGGACAATAAAGTTGTTAAAAGTTAGGAGATGTGATCCAGTAATAAGACAACACTGGCACTCAGTACTCAGGCCTGTGTGGCCAAACCTCCCTCTCCCCAAGTCCCAAAGCAGTGGCATGGGCTCCTCAACACAGAAAAGCTCCAAACTCCCAAGCCCCAAGAGCCTATACAAAGTTCTCAAGTCTAGACAGACACCAAATTTGGCACCTTTGGGGTTAGGATATTGGCTCAGGTTTAGAAAAAGAAACCACCGCCCAATTACTGAGCACCATAGAAAACGCTCCAAACATTGTGAAAATCAAAGCCAACGTTGCAGGCAGACTGGGCACTATTAAAAAGAGTTTAGGCAAAGGAACAGCATCACCAAATTGACATTTTAATTGATCTCTCTGTAATTGTGCAAAGAATAGAGGTGAGGAGAGACAAGGCAAGTGGCATGGACGGTGCCATGCAAGTCCAGGTAAAGATGATGATGGCCTGACCCAAAGCAGTCAGGGCACAGGGCACAGGACACAGGCGAGGAGGATGGACAGTGAGACCAGAGGCATGGGATCTGACAGGCAGGTGGACGGTTTCCTGTGTTTCCAAGCCTCAAAAGGAAAACTGGGGAACCCTCTCAAAACTGAAAGCAAGGAGCAGGAAGAGCACTGACAACGATGACCTGCTAAAATGTGACCCCACTGAGTCTGCTGTGTGCAAACAGGAAAAAGCTGCTTAACGCAGCTTCTCTGCAGCAGCATAAGGGGCCATGTATTTCCCTCCTGGACAACCCTAAAAGGTTACACTAGGTGAAGTTTAGAACTGGGAAACTGAAAAATGAAAAAAAAACTTGGCCGGGCACAGTGGCTCACGCCTGTAATCCCAGAACTTTGGGAGGCCAAGGTGGGCGGATCACTTGAGGTCAGGAGTTCGAGACCATACTGGCCAACATGGTGAAACCCTGTCTCTATGGGGAAAAAAAAAAAATACAGTCTGGGTGTGGTGGCTCACACCTGTAATCCCAATGCTTTGGGAGGCCGAGGCGAGCAGATCACCTGAGGTCAGGAGTTCAAGACCAGCCTGACCAACATGGAAAAACCCCGTCTCTACTAAAAATACAAAATTAGCCAGGCGTGGTGGCACATCCAGATAATCCCAGCTACTCAGGAGGCTGAGACAGGAGAATCACTTGAACCCGGGAGGCGGAGGTTGCAGTGAGATTGCGCCATTGCACTCCAGCCTGGGCGACAAGAGTGAAACCTGGTCTAAAGAAAAAAAAAAAAAATTAGTCGGGTGTGGTGGTGGGTGCCTGTAATCCCAGCTACGCTACTTGGGAAGCTGAGGCAGGAGAATCGCTTGAACTCACGGGGCAGAGGATGCAGTGAACTGAGATCATGCCACTGCACTCCAGCTGGGCAAAAGAGCGAGATTCCATCTTGATTAAAAAAAAAAAAACAAAACTAAAATCAGAAAAAATAATTATTCAAATCTGCAGCAAACCTCATCGCAAAGGAATTAAGCTAAGTAAAATCCATTGTGTTAGAAACGATCTCAAGATTCAGCCAAAAGGGGCTTTTAACTAAATGTGACTATCTGGCATCTTCTCAATTGTGGACCACACAAAACAGCAAATCCTGCCACTAACTACTCCATCAGCAATCTAGGCAAATGGATTTCAGGTAAAGAACAACTTCCCCAGAGCATAAACTCCCACCCAAAAAGAGCCCAAGAATTCCCCAAGTAGACAATGAAGAAACACTCAATGTAAATGCAAGGTCACAACCAGGCTCATAGGTTTGAGGTTCTAAGTCACCGATAAGAGGATTGAGAAAAACAGAAAAAATCGAATTATTAGGTGCAGCGTATACTGCTCGGAAGATGGGTGCACCAAAATCTCACAAAACACCACTAAAGAACTCACTCACGTAAGCAAACACCACTGGTTCCCCAATAACCTACGGTAATAAAAAAAATTTAATTAAAAAAGTTAATAAGGGCCGGGCGTGGTGGCTCACGCCTGTAATCGCAGCACTTTGGGAGGCAGAGGCAGGTGGATTGCCTGAGCTCAGGAGTTCAAGACTAGCTTGGGCAACATGACAAAACCCCATCTCTACTAAAAATACAAAGAATTAGCCAGGTGTGGTGGCGCACGTCTGTAGTCCCAGCTCCGGAGGCTGAGGCACGAGAATCGCTTGAACCCGGCAGGCAGAGGTTGCAGTGAGCCAAGATTGCGCCACTGCACTCCAACCTAGGGGGACAGAGTGAGACTCTGTCTCAAAAAAAAGAAAAAAAAAAAGTTAATATGGTAAATGAATCTAAAAAAAGAGCTTTAATTAACTTAATAAACAAGGTGAAAAAAAGCACCAGTAAGACTGAAAAAAAAAAAAACTTACCAGGAAGGACATACTTGTATACTGTTTGTGGAAACAAAAATAAAGGCTTTTTGGATTGCAATTTGGCAATATCTATTAACAATTTTAAATTATTTATACCCCTTGACTCAAATTTCATTTCTAGGGGAAAAATGGGTGCAATCTAAATGTGTATGATTAAATTAGGTATAGTACATCCAAAGAGTATAATATGAAACAGCAGCTTACTGTTTTAAATTAAGACCTGTATTTGCTTCCATACAAGTGCCCCAAATCTACAGTCTACAATCTACGAAAGCATATTATGAAAATGGCTTATATGTAATAAGACCTCACTATGTGTGTGTTTCACTTCTACATATTATAGACAAACCTCACAAAAATAATGTTCAGCAAATGAAGACAGACACAAAAAAAGCACATACTGGATAAATTATAGTTATTTAAGGTTCAAACACAAGCAAAACAAATCTTGTAAATATTTTTTTTAATTCTCAGGAAGATATTTTTCCCCTTTCACAGTATCAAAGACCTGTATAACAAGTGTTGAGCTCGTGCCTGTAATCCTAGCACTTTGGGAGGCCAAGGAGAGCGGATCACGAGGTCAGGAGTTTGAGAACAGCCTGGCCAATATGGTGAAACCCTGTCTCTATTAAAAATACAAAAATTAGGCTGGGCGTGGTAGCTCACGCCTGTAACCCCAACACTTTGGGAGGCGGAGGCAGGCAGATCACAAGGTCAGGAGATCGAGACCATCCTGGCTAACACAGTGAAACCCCGTCTCTACTAAAAATACAAAAAAAAAAAAAAAAAAATAGCGGCCGGGCGCAGTGGCTCACACCTGTAATCCCAGCAGTTTGGGAGGCCGAGGCAGGCAGATCACGAGGTCAAGAGATCGAGACCATCCTGGCTAACATGGTGAAACCCCGTCTCTACTAAAAATACCAAAAAAAAAAATTAGCAGCCAGGCGCGGTGGCTCACACCTGTAATCCCAGCACTTTGGGAGGCCGAGTCGGGTGGATCACGAGGTCAGGGGTTTGAGACTAGCCTGACCAACATGGTGAAACCCTGTCTCTACTAAAAATACAAAAAGTAGCTGGGCATGGTGGTGGGCGCCTGTAATCCCAGCTACTCAGGAGGCTGAGGCAGGAGAACTGCTTGAACCCAGGAGGCGGAGGTTACAGTGAGCCAAGATCGCGCCACTGCACTCTAGCCTGGGCAACAGAGCGAGACTCTGTCTCCAAAAATAAAAAAAAAGAGTGTTGAGAACAAGAAAATTCTACTCTAAGATTCTTAGTGTAAGAGCCCTGGGGAGTAGCTCACAGAAAGATAAAGCTTGTCAGTTCAAATCTAAAAAGCTGACAAGTCACCTCCTCATATATGGTCATGAGCTAAAAATTCAGCACAGAACATGCAGTCCAAGGCATGGAGACAACCACGTTGAAACACAACAGCTGGGCGTCAGTCAAATTGTCCAAGAACCTGACATCACATCCTAGAAATATCAAATATAATCTAAATGCAGCACTGTAGCCTTGCTTATGGAGGTTAGGAAACAAAGTTGTTAAATATCTCACTGAGGTCCCAAAGGCAAAGCAGGGACTTAGTTTGTCTTCTTAGCACTATGATACGCTGCCCCTCTTTAAAAAAAAAATCACTAAATTCTGAGGTTCTAGAATGTAGAGCATGTAGACCTTACACCTTGTGTTTCTGCTTATTAGTCAAACAGTAGCTACTGTACATTTCCTTCCTCTTCCTAAATCTAAACCTTATCATTTGAAAGGCCCTGAAATTCTTTTTTTTTTTTTTTCTTTGACATAGAGTCTCACTCTGTTGCCCAGGCTAGAGTGCAGTGGCGCAAACTCAGTTCACTGCAACCTCCCCATCCTGGGTTCAACCAATTCTCCTGCCTCAGCTTCCCAAGTAGCTGGGATTACAGGTGTGTGCCACTGAGCTCAGCTAATTTTTGTATTTTTAGTAGAGACGGGGTTTCACCATGTTGACCAGGCTGGTCTTGAACTCCTGACCTTAGGTGATATGCCTGCCTCGGCCTCCAAAACTGCTGGTATTATAGGCATGAGCCACTGCACCTGGCCTTGGCCCAGAAATTCTTGAGTAACATCCTCTGATGCCTTGAGTTTTCCAAGCCATTTAAGGTAGCAGAATCTTATACACACCCATATAATTTCACTAAACCAAAAATTAAAAATCAGAAGGGGAAAAAAAATCCAATTTTTATAAACACATCTAAGTTCACTTCTGAGCTTATTTTGTCAATAAAGTTACTCTTTTTTTTTTTTTTTTTGAAACAGGGTCTTGCTGGAGTGCCATGACATAATCATAGTTCCCTGCAGCTTCCATCTCCCAGGCTCAGCCTCCTGAGTAGCTGGGACTACAGGCGTGAGACCCCATGTCCGGCTTATTTTAATTTTGTTTTATATGGAGTCTTGCTTTGTTGCCCAGGCTGGAGTGTAGTGACGCGATCTTGGCTCACTGCAACCTCCACCTCCTGGGTTTAAGTGATTCTCCTGCCTAAACCTCCAAGTAGCTTGGATTACAGGTGCCTGCCACCATGCCTGTCTAATTTTTGTATTTTTAGTAGAGACGGGGTGTCGCCATGTTGGCCAGGCTGGTCTTGAACTCCTGACCTCAAGTGATCCACCCGCTTAGCCTCCCAAACTACTGGGATTACAGGAATGAGCCACCCCGCCCGGCCAATTATTTTATTTTTTATAGAGACAGGGTCTCACTTTGTTGCCCAGGTTCAAGTGATCCTCCCACCTTGGCCTCCCAAAATGCTGGGATTACAGGCGTAAGCCACCGTACCTAGCCACGGTTACCTTACTATTTACAAGTTCCTTGTTAGTATAGTGGTGAGTGTTTCTGCCTGTCATGTGGAGACTGGAGTTTGAGTCCCCAACAGGGAGCCATATAATATTAAGAAAAAAAATTTTTTTTTTCTTTGAGACAGAGTCTCGCTCTGTCTCCTAGGCTGGAGTGCGGTGGCGCAATCTCGGCTCACTGCAAGCTCCGCCTCCTGGGTTCAGGCCATTCTCTTGCCTCAGCCTCCCGAGTAGCTGGGACTACAGGCGCATGCCACCATGCCCGGCTAATTTTTTTTGTATTTTTTTAGTAGAGATGGGGTTTCACCGCATTAGCCAGGATGGTCTTGATCTCCTGACCTCGTGATCCACCCACCTGGGACTCCCAAAGTGCTGGGATTACAGGCATGAGCCACGGCACCTGGCCAAGAAAATTTTTAATAATAAAAGTAAATATTTAGAAATTATAAACTCAATATTCTTTTAGCTAAACTGCTAGATACAACTAGAATAGTTCACTGCTCTTTCTAGACACAAACTGCACAGCCAGTTTCTAATTTGTTGCGTAGTTACCCATAAACTGAACTGATTAATTTCTCTATAAAAGAGTGGTCATCCCTCCAGAACAGACTCTGAGCCAAGGAGTATCCTATGTGTGTATTTCTGGCATTTTTTTTTTTTTTTTGAGACAGAGTCTCACTCTCTCGCCCAGGCTGGAGTGTAGTGGCGCAATCTCGGCTCACTGCAACCTCCACCTCCCAGGTTCAGGCAATTCTCTGCCTCAGCCTCCTGAGTAGCTGGGATTACAGGCGCCCCCACCAATCCCAGCTAATTTTTTTGTATTTTTAGTAGAGACAGGGTTTCACCATCTTGGCCAGGCTGGTCTTGAACTCCTGACCTCGTGATCCACCCGCCTCAGCCTCCCAAAGTGCTGGGATTATAGGTGTGAGCCACCGCGCCCAGCCCTGATGTGTGTGTATTTCAACCACTCACTGGTGTTTATATCTCAGTTCAATGAAATGACCTCAGAATGTTTCTCTACTCACCAATACTCTGTCTCCGATTTTGAGCTCTCTTTCTCCTTTCTTGATTGAGCCAGCCTCTGAAAGGTTGGAGATAGATTCACTGGCAGTTTTTGTAAGGTTGCTGATCGGAGGCGTAGCTGAAGGTTCCTTTGCTGCTGGCTGTGATGGTTTCTGAGGGATGTTTGAAGGGGTGGAGGGGGAGGAAGACACCATGCTGGCCGTAGAAGTGCACAGCGGTGAAGTAGCTCGGGAGGCGGGCGTTGTCTGCAGGCCATTAGCTTCATCTTCTGCTTGCACCTTCCTTGTTAACTTTGAAGGTCGGGTAAATATGCCCTTTAAAGGTTCACACTGGAAATACCGAACTCCTGCCACCGAACCATCGTTCTTGCCTATGGGTTCATCTAAAACAATTCCAGCCCACTGGCCTGGTGCAAACTGGGTTTCTCCAAGAAACTGGATAAATCCAGGCTTATTTCCATTCACCCAAACTCGCTCCCCAACTCGAAAGTCATCCACAAATTCCTCCTGAGTCTCAGATGATGGAGTGCTTGATGCTTTTTCACTGGATATGGTTTTTTCTACTGGAGCTACAACTGAAAACAAAAGATCATAAGAGATTCGATTTAATTTTCAAGCAGACAACCTCTAACTTAAAGAAAAACTAGAGAAAGCCAACAGCCCACAGGAGTAGCCCAGAACTCTTAGAAAGGTGTTTTAAAGTGTGGTTTTTTGTTCTTTTGAGACAGTCTCGCTCTGTCGCCCAGGCTAGAATGCAGTGGTGTGATCTCGGCTCACTGCAACCTCCACCTTCCGGGTACAAGTGATTCTCCTCCTTCAGCCTCCTGAGTAGCTAGGATTACAGATGTGCACCACCATATCTGGCTAATTTTTGTATTTTTAGTAGAGACGGGGTCTCACCACGTTGGCCAGGCTGGTCTCAAACTCCTGACCTCAGGTGAACCTCCCGCCTCAGCCTCCCAAAGTGTTAGGATTACAGGCATGAGCCACTGTGCCTCACCAAAGTGTTTTTGTTTGTTTTGTGCTGTTTTGTTTTAAACAAGGAAGCCAAGAATAACTGATCCTTCACTACCATCTTCAATGCTGCTAAACTCCGCAAACTGGTAGTTGAGGTTTATTCCTTTATTTGCAATTAAGATTAGAAAAAGTCAAAGTAAGAAAAAAATAAAATCAGTCCTTTTTCCAGGCCTATATTCATAATTGGTCTGATTTCATTATTTGCTACACCCGCCACCCTGCACATCATGAGCAAATATCCATTCACATTCACTAAATAGCACTACTCCACAATTGAGTAGTCAATCGAAGCTGATAAAAACTAGGACTATTCCAGGCACAGTGGCTCACGCCTGTAATCCCACTTCTTTGAGAGGCTGAGGTGGGTGGATCATTTGAGGTCTGGAGTTTGAGACCAGCCCAGTCAACATGATGAAACCCCATTCCTACTAAAAAATATAGGGCCGGGTGCAGTGGCTCACACCTGTAATCCCAGCACTTTGGGAGGCCGAGGCGGGCAGATCACCTGAGGTCGGGAGTTTGAGACCAGCCTGACCAATGTGGAGAAACCCCATCTCTACTAAAAATACAAAATTAGCCGGGCATGGTGGAGCGCGCCTGTAGTCCCAGCTACTCGGGAGGCTGAGGCAGGAGAATCGCTTGCACCTGGGAGGCAGAGGTTGCAGTGAGCCGAAATCATGTCACTGCACTCTTGCCTGGGCAACAAGAGTGAAACTCCGTCTCAAAAAACAAAACAAAACCAAAAAAAAACAAAAATTAGCCAGGCATAGTGGTGGGTGCCATTAATCCCAGCTACTCTGGAGGCTGAGGCAGGAGAATCGCTTGAACCTGGGAGGTGGAGGTTGCAGTGAGCCGAGATTGAGCCACTGCATTCCAGCCTTGATAACAGAACAATACAGCATCTCAAAAAAAAAAAAAAACAAAAACCAGGCCTGGCATGGTGGCTCATGCCTGTAATCCCAGCACTTTGGGAAGCCAAGGCAGGCAGATAACCTGAGGTCAGGAGTTCAAGACCAGCCTGGGCAACATGGTGAAACCCCATCTCTACTAAAAATACAAAATTTAGCCAGACGTGGTGGAGCGCGCCTGTAATCCCAGCTACTTGGGACGCTGAGAGCCATGACAGTACCACTGCCCTCCAGCCTGGGCGACAGAGTGAAACCTTGTCTCAAAAACAAAGAAGCAAACAAAAAACCCTACAAAAATTCATTAAGCTCTCCACATATAAAATTTTACGTCTTTCAATTAAAAATTCTTTCAGGCCAGGCATGGTGGCTCACACCTATAATCCAGCACTTTGGGAGGCTGTGGTAGGCAGATAACTTGAGGTCAGGAGTTCAAGACCAGCCTGGCCAACATGGTGAAACCCCATCTCCACTAAAAATACAAAAATAAGCTGGGTATGGTGGCATGTGTCTGTAATCCCAGCTACTGGGGAGGCTGAGGCAGGAGAATCGCTTGAACCCCGGAGGTGGAGGTTGCAGTGAGCCGAGATTGTGCCACTGCACTCCAGCCTGGGGAATAGAGCAAGACTCCATCTTTAAAAAAAAAAAAAAAAAATGCAAGGCACAGTGGCTCACGCCTGTAATCTCAGCACTTTGGGAGGCCGAGGTGGGTGGATCACGAGGTCAGGAGATCGAGACCAGCCTGGCCAATATGGTGAAACCCCATCTCTACTAATAATACAAAAATTAGCTGAGCGTGGTAGTATGCGCCTATATTCCCAGCTACTTGGGAGGCTGAGGCAGGAGAATCGCTTGAACCCAGGAGGCGGAGCCTGCAGTGAGCCAAGATTGCGCCACTGCACTCCAGCCTGGGTGACAGAGTTAGATTCCATCTCAAAAAAAAAAAAAAATCTTTCAAATATTTTCAAGAATATGAACAGATATAAAATAATGTTTTAAAATTAAAAAGCAAATTGAAGTCTCCATATAGGATAAGGAAAGGAAAAGCGTAAAGTATTACCAGCCGTAGGTGTCTTCAGAGCTGTGCTTCCAGGCTTCAGGATCTTGGTGGGGGCCTTAAGCCCACTTGGCTTTAGCATACTCATTTTCTTTGTATGTCAGAGCTGTTTCTCCTTTGCCTGTTGCCACTATCTTTCCCCAACCATTGATACAACTGTGGGTTCTATAGTGAAGTCAGTCTCTGGATTAAATCTGCAAAGAGAAAGAAATAAAAAGATTTTATAATCTACAGGAGCAAGTAGGAACAACAGGTAGCTTTCATAGACTAAAGCTTTCCTTTCATTTGACAATAATCCATCTCCAGGCTGAACCTAGGAACCTAGAAGACTCTGGTTATTAAACACATGAAAATGCTGCTGAAATGGATTTAAAGGCAATTTACTATCCTCAAGACAAGCAGTTAGCCAGGTGCCATGACCCACTCCTCACATCTGTAATCCCAGCACTTTGGGAGGCTAAGATAGGAGGACTGTTTGAGGCCAGGAGTTCGAGACCAGCCTGATCAATATAGCAAGACCCTGTCTCTACAAAAATAAAAATAAAAATAAATTAGCCATGAGGCTGAGGGGGAAGGATTTCATGAGCCCAGGAGTTTGAGGCTGCAGTGAGCCATGATCGATCACACCACTGTACTCCAGCCTGGGTGACAGAGCAAGACCCCAACTCAAAACAAACAAACAAAAAACACAAAAACAAAAATAAGCAATTAAGACAAACAAAGTGTTTGCTTTGTTTTATATATCTAATGTTCTTAGCTCAGTACAGTTCCTAAAACCCACACAATCCATAAAAGAGGGTTCAGAAAAATCTACACCAAACAATGCGGGGAGAAAAAGGAAGCTTTCAGTTTTTTACTTTCATTTCTATATTGCTTAAGTTTTACTACAACAAGCCTGTATTAGCTATATTTTTTAAATCCACAGAATTATGCAATTTACAATATAAAACTATATATATGTTAAACTACAGGAAGATTAAAACTATGTAAGAAAAAGCCCTACCTGGGAAGTGATGAGGGAAAATTACCTTGTTTCTATCTAGAAAAAAACAATATACTGCTGGTTTACTCAAGACCAGATATGAATCTATGACTTTTGGACTAAGGTAAAATAGTATCCTGTCATATTCTCTTCACCTCCATAGAAAGTGAATTGAAATTACCTTGGGGTTTTGGAATATAGGGAAATATTTTCAGACATAATACCTAAAAACAGAACAATTCAAAGAGAAAAATGCTGCCATTTAATGACTCTGTCAAATGACAATGTTCTGCATTTTTCTCTGCGAGCAGAGCTTGGATGATGAAGCACAGACCTCACTTTCTCATCTTGTCTCCCTCACAGCCAACGCCAGCCACTGGCAAAGAATCTGGCCAGGGATGACAAAGGTACATGCAGCCCACTCCAGCGGATGGAACAGTGCCCTCCCCCAAAGACATGTCCCCCAGCACCTGTGAAAGTGATCTTATTTGGAAAAAGCATCTTTGCAGATATAATTAAGAATCTTGAGATAAGATCATCCTGGATTACCTTGGTAGGCCCAAAACCCAATGAAAAGCATCCCTATAAGAAGAAGTGACCAGGTGCACTGGCTCACGCCTGTAATCCCAACACTTTGGGACGCCAAGGTGGACGGATCACTTGAGGTCAGGAGTCCAAGGCCAGCCTGGTGAACCTGGTGAAACCTCGTCTCTCCTAAAAATACAAAAATTATGGCCGGGCGTGGTGGCTCACACCTGTAATCCCAGCACTTTGAGAGGCCGAGGCAGGCAGATCACCTGAGGTTGGGGGTTTGAGACCAGCCTGACCAACATGGAGAAACTCTGTCTCTACTAAAAATATAAAATTAGCCGGGCATGGTGGTGCATGCCTATAATCCCAGCTACTCGAGAGGCTGCAGCAGGAGAACTGCTTGAACCCGGGAGGCAGAGGTTGTAGTGAGCCCAGGTTGTGCCATTGCACTCCCGCCTGGGCAACGAGAGCAAAACTCCGTCTCAAAAAAAAAAAAAATTAGCCAGGCGTTGTGGCGCGTGCCTCCTGTAGTCCCAGTTACTTGGAAGGCTGAGGCACGAGAATCCCTTGATCCCAGAAGATGAAGGTTGTAGTGAGCCTAGGCAACTGAGCGAGACACCACCTCGAAAAAGAAAAAAAAAAAGATGAGAACACATAGAAAGAAGGCCACGTGAAAACAGAGGCAGAGGTCAGGCATGGTGGTACACACCTGTAATCCCAGGTACTCAGGTGGCAGGAGAATTGGCTGAACCCAGGAGGCAGAGGCTGCAGTGAGCCGAGATCGTGCACTGCACTCCACCCTAGGTGGTAGAGTGAGACTATGTCTCAATAAATAAATAAATAAATAAATAAATAAGTGTGGTTTGGGAGAAGATTCTGAAGGACAGAGTAAGAACTGGCATTTACCTGAAGACAGAAGTCACTATCCTGATTATGAATATAAAATTCCCAAGCTCCTCACCGCCATTACCACCATCACCACTGCCATCAGTGATGAGGGAAAGAGATCCGGGTGGGAGTCCCTACGCTAAGGCCGTAGTTCTGATTCACAGTCAGGTTTGAAACCACCTGCTTTACTGTCAGACTCTCACCACACAGCTTGCAAGTTTCAAGCAGAGTTATTTGTTCCTGCTGCTGCCTCAGACAGATAGAAGGGATTGGCCAAGTCTCCTCTAGACTCAGCCAACAACGACCATGTCTACGTCCATAAAATTTGAGAAGGATGCAAACAGGCTAAGTGTAGAAATTCCCTAGGGCCTTCCCTACTCTTCACCCTGGGCCAACCTCATAGAGTGACAAGGGCCAGGTAGAACTGACAGAGAACAGACGGAGCAGGCACTGTGGTTCTGGAAAACCTTTTACGGTGACAAAATGAAAGAACAAAATGCTCCTTAAATTATTTCACTTGCACACAACAGGGAGCTGTTGGGCTCACGTCAAGCACTCCCTAAAGAGGAATTTTGAAAACGGCCACAAGACCTAACAAGGGAACTTTCAAATCTTGCAGCTCAGTATCATAAACTCACAAAAATCTGACCATCTTCAAGCCTCCGCCTAAAACACAGAAGCATGTGGTTATTACAAACCAAAGACTAATCATAAGCTCTGTCTAGGGCTCTGTTGTCCAATCCTCATGCCTCTGGTTGTCGGTCCATCTGTGTTCCTTGAATCCTAACGCGGAGAACTGTGACCAAGGTTTAATGAAGGAGAAAAATCTAGTCTGTCTCAATAAAAGAATTAGCAGCAACAACGCCAGTGTTGATTTTTTAAATCTTCCAATTTATAATTTCTTTTTCATGCATTATTAATGACTGGCATGTCAGGCTTGCTTCAAAAAAACAAAAGATCAAAGTCTTTGTCATGGTACCCACAACATGCAGTGATCAAGAGGCAACATCTCTGTATAATGTTTCAAGGTCAGTGAATGTCACATTGAAACTAATCAATTCCAAAAAATGTGCAAAACAAAAAAAAAAAGACATTGTTGCCTCACTAATAAGCTGAGCATATTTGAATTTTTGACACTTGTGCTCAATGAATCAGGAGATTTGGACCTAAAATAAGACAAACTACCCTTCTCCCCCACCCTCCCAACATGTAAGGACCATAACACATAGAACATTATAATTCAGAAATAATTTTTATGTGAATTACTATCCCATTTGAGCATTACAATACTATGAATTAGCCACTATTATTACCTCTTTTTTACAAATGAAGAAATGCTGCAGAAATTAAGAAATTAACAGATGTGTTTCCTCACTTGTTCATCACCTGTCTCCTAAGGTCATTCTGCTCAGTGGCACAGATGCGAACACAGGTATTGTGATTCCAAAGTTCATCTCTTTTCACTAAATTTAATATTAAAACTTAGGAGATAGCACTCATCAAGATGAAAAACATCAGTTCTGCTACTACAAGAATGACCTACATATGTATGGCATCAAGAGCTCACATAGCACAAATACAAAACTGCCTGTGTATCAGGCTTCAGCTGTGAAGGTAGGTGTGCAATTACCATTAGTCCAATCAGGAATAAAGAGAATGACGATCTACAAGGTTAAGTGACCTTTCCAAGGTCAAAGAAGTGGTGGCACTCGAAGGCCGGGCGCAGTGGCTCATACCTATAATCCCAGCACTTTGGAAGGCTGAGGTGGGCGGATCACCTGAGGTCAGGAGTTCGAAACCAGCCTGGCCAACATGGTGAAACCCCGCCTCTACTAAAAATAAAAAATTAGCCGGGCATGGTGGCGGGCGCTTGTAATCCCAGCTACTCAGGAGGCTGAGGTGGGAGAATCGCTTGAACCCAGGAGGCGGAGGTTACAGTGGGCCGAGATCGCGCCACTGCACTCCGGCCTGGGTGACAGAGCAAGACTCCATCTCAAAAAATAAAAAAAAAAAATAAAGCGAAATCATTCTCTCCAGTTTCTTTTTTTTTTTTTTCTCTTCTAACACATTTCTGTTCAGGCACAGGCACAAAGAAGATACCTAAATTCAACCATAATCAAAATTTGCCAGTTAAGTTAAAACTGGAAGGGAAACAAGTGAGTTGATGGTAATTTTTTTTTTTTTTTTTGAGACAGTCTCGCTCTGTCGCCAGTCTGGAGTGCAGTGGCGCAATCTCAGCTCTCTGCGACCTCTGCCTCCCAGGTTCAAGCGATTCTCCTGCCTCAGACTCATGAGTAGCTGGGACTACAGGCGCCCACCACCACGCCCAGCTAAATTTTGTATTTTTAGTAGAGACGGGGTTTCACCATATTGGCCAGGATGGTCTCAATCTCTTGACCTTGTGATCCACTAGCCTTGGCCTCCTAAAGTGTTGGGGTTACAGGCGTGAGACACCGCACACGGCCGATGGTAATTTTTAAAGGGTGTTTGAAAAGTGTCACTAAAATGGGACAGGACATCTGAGATGGGTAAAAAGGGACATGAAGGCAAAGTAGCGCTGACAGTGAAAAGGAGTGACGGCAACGGATGAAGGGCTGCTGCAGCGACGACACTGGATGCTCAGATGTGCATGCAAATCTCCCCAGGATCTTGTGAAACTGCAGCTTCAGCTTTCTTACACTCCCAGGGGATATTAATGCTGCCATTTTGAGGACCCTCCACCTCTATGAATAGCAAGGGGTCAAAGGATAGGAGGTGGTGGTTAGAGTGAGAAGATTCATCCCTTTGACCACAGGATGGAACTCAGAGGCCTGAGTATTGAAAGGACTGCTGGTAGGACTGCCCATGTCTATATTTGGAGGAGGAGGTGTTGACAGTAAGAAGGAAGGAAAAGTGAAAAGGAATGAAAGGAAGAGAATGAAGTCAGTGGATGTCGGCTGCAGGAGGGGTAACAGGTGGCAGCGCTTGAAAGGATCTTGAATGTTTGAAGGATGGAGAAATAGTAACATATCAGCAGGAAACAACATGGTCAGCTACCCCATGTACCTTCCCCTGAGGAGCCCCCTTCAGAGGGGTGAAGAGCAGTATCTTCAGAGGCCATCCAAGTTTTAGCATAACAAGGAGGGAAAGAGAATGCAGAGAAGAGGCTGGTGATAGACAAGTTTCATGTTCACAACTTGAATTGCAGAGGTCAAGAGTTTAAAGAGTTTGGGATGGAAAGAAATCAAGAATTGGGCTCGGCCGGGAGCACTGGTTCACACCTGTAATCCCAGCACTTTTGGAGGCCAAGGCAGGCGGTTCACCTGAGGTCAGGAGTTCGAGACCAGCCTGGCCAACATGGCAAAACCCCATCTCTACTAAAAATACAAAAATTAGCCGGATGTGGTGTTGCACGCCTGTAGTCCCAGTTACTTGGGAGGCTGAGTTAGGAGGACCGCTTGAACCCAGGAGACAGAGGTTGCAGTGAGCCGAGATCACACCACTGCACTCCAGCCTGGGCAAGTGCAAGACTCCATCTCAAAAAAAGAAAAGAAAAAAAGAAAATACATCAAAATGAAGAAATGTTAAGTATGTGTTGCCAAACTAAAAAGAAGTATAGTCCAAAAAGTCTAGAAAAAGGAAGCTATGAAGAAAACGTCTATTGACTAATGGGAAAAGGTTCTCTTGAAAAGAGACAGTGAGTCCGTGGAGCAGGTACACCATTGTTATGGAAAAGGTTTGTCAGGATCACAAAGCTGGATAAAAATAGGCATTTGGATAGTCAAGTCAGTGTTCCAAAATTCTATGCTCAGATTACAGTTTAGATTTTCAACAGTGACCAAAGAGAATAGTGTCTTTTTGGCATTTCTCTGATTATAAATACACGGTTATTTTTTATAAACTACAATCTCTCAATTTGTGTGATTCAAGAATCTAATCTTTGAGTAAACGATTTTTTTAAAAAATGAGATTCTGGCTGGCACAGTGGTTCACATCTGTAATCCCAAGACTTTGAGAAGCCGAGGCAGGAGGATCGTTTAAGCCAAAGAGTTTGAGACCAGCCCTGGGCAATATGTCTCAAAAAAAAAAAAAAAAAGAGAGAGAGATTCTGAGCTTACAAAGCTGACGGTAAGATCATCCTGCCAATCGTGACTTGGTTTTTTTAAGATAGGGTCTTGCCCTGTTGCTCAAGCTGGAGTGCAGTAGCACGATCACAGTTCACTGCAGCCTCTAACTCCCAAGCTCAAGTGATTCTCCCACCTTCGCCTCCCATGTATCTAGTACTACAGGTACATGCCACCACACCCAGCTAATTTTTAAATATGTTTGTAGAGATGGGGTTTCTCCACATTGCCCAGAATGGTCTTGAACTCCTGGGCCCAAGGGATCCTCCCGCCTCAGCCTCCCAAAGCACTGGGATTACAGGCGTGCACCACCGTGCCCAGCCTCTGACTTTCATTACTATAATACAGTGGTTCTCAAAGTGTGGTCGGTGCACTCCCAGGGAACCTTTGAGACTCTTTTAGAGAATCAAAACTATTTTCATAATAATACTAAGACATCATTTGCCTTTTTCACTATGTTGACACTTGCACTGATGGTACAAAAGCAATGGTGGATAAGAACTGTACATGCTGTTTCAAGGCAATGGAACCAAACTGCACTATTCTTTTCTGTATTTTACATCACAAGTGCTTGTGGAGGCGGGGGGGAGGACTACTGTCACTTAAGAGTGTGATGAAGCATTTCATAAAGGAGATAAATAATTTTGTTAAATTTCAACCCTTGAATACATGCCTTTTCATATATATATATATATATATATATATATATATATATATATATATTTTTTTTTTTTTTTTTTTTTTTTTTAGAAACAAGGTCTTGCTCTGACACCCAGACAGGAGTGCAGTGGCACGATCACAGCTCACTGTAGCCTCAACCTCCTGGACTCAAGCCATCCTCCCGAGCAGCTGAGACTACAGGCACACACCACCATGCTTGGCCAAATTTTTATTTTTTTGTAGAAGTGCGGTCTGCTATGTTGCCCAGGCTGGACTGGAACTCCTGGGCTCAAGCGATCCTCCTGCTTCAGTCTCCCAAAGTGCTGGGATTAAAGGCGTGAACCACTGCACCTGGCCTATTATTATTTCTAATGAATTAATATTTTTAAATATTCTCAAGTTTTAATTTCTAATATGGTAAATATTAACAGCTATAACATACATAAACAAAAGCTCTTTAGAGATCTCATTCGTTTTTAAGAATGTCAGAGGGCTGGGTGTGGTGACACAGTTCAAACTTGTGTTATTCAAGAGTCAACTATACATAAAACATGCATTTCTATAAAGCAGTCATCAGAAGCACTGGTTCTACAGCAGAGGTTCTCAAAATGTACAGAATCGGCATCACATGAAAGTTTGTTAGAAATGCAAATCCCAAACCTACTGAAACAAACTCTGAGGGTAGGCCAGCTATTTTTTTTTTTTTTTTGAGATGGAGTCTCACTCTGCCGCCCAGGCTGGAGCGCAGTGGCGCGATCTCGGCTCACTGCAAGCTCCGCCTCCCGGGTTCAGGCCATTCTCCTGCCTCAGCCTCCCAAGTAGCTGGGACTACAGGCACCTGCAACCACGCCCGGCTAATTTTTTGTATTTTTAGTAGAGACGGGGTTTCACCGTGTTAGCCAGGATGGTCTCCATCTCCTGACCTCATGATCTGCCTGCCTCGGCCTCCTAAAGTGCTGGGATTACAGGCGTGAGCCACCACCCGGCCAACTATCTGTATTTTAACAAGCCTTCAGGCTATTTGGATGCTGAAGTTTATTATTGTTGCTGTTGTTTCAGAGACAAGGTCTTGTTTTATCACCCAGATTAGAGTGCAGTGACACAATGGTAGCTCACCGCACCCTTTGAATTCTGGGCTCAAGTGATTCACGAACCCCAACCTCCTGAGTAGCTGGGACTACAGGCGTGTGCGACCAAGTCCAGGTAATTGTTTTTTATTTCTTTTTTGTAGAGACTGGGTCTCACTGTGCTGCCCAGGCTGGTTTTAAACTCCTAGGCTCAAGTAATCCTACTGCCTCGGCCTCCCAAAGTGCTGGGGTCATAGGCATGAACAACTGCACCCAGCCCAGATGCTAAAGTTTGAGAACCACTGCTAAGTTATTCATCAAGAAGTAATCTGAGGTTCAACTTCTCAATGATATGGACATAAATCACCTACACAACTGACTTCCCCAACACCTCTACAGCAGCTTCCCCTCCTCCATGTTTTCAAGGCTGGGGGTCCCCTTTGCTTCGAATGTCCTTTCCAAGTCTTGTGGTCTTCAGGTGCTGAAACTTGGCTCAAGGGCAAACTCAGGCATTCATCTGCCCCACAAAACTTACTCCAGTCCTTGCAATGAAAATCTGTTCATCCTTCCACTACCCATGGCAAGTCTGTGCCCCTGCAATAGCCCCTTGCACACTTGGCCATGTGTGTAGCTCACAGATTCCACCACACTAGAAATCTCTCAAGGGAAGAAACTGTATTTTAGTCACCTTTATGTTTTACCCAGCACTTTATAAACAATGTTTACTAAATAAAATGAATGAGAAAAATAGTCTGAAGTATTTAAATGACTCTACAAACCAGCTGAGGTATATCCAATACCAAACCAAAATTACAGCTGGTGCTTGCTACAGATGACACAAAACTATATGACAGACATCTAAGCCCAAAGAATTTATAAAGGGCCGGGTGCGGTGGCTCACGCCTGTAATCCCAGCACTTTGGGAGGCCAAAGCCGGCGGATCACTTGAGGTTAGGTGTTCGAGACCAACCTGGCCAACATGGCGAAACCCCGTCTCTACTAAACATACAAAAATTAGCCGGGCGTGGTGGTGCATGCCTGTAGGCCCAGCTACTTAGGAGGCTGAGGCATGAGAATTGCTTAAACCCAGAAGGCAGAGGTTGCAGTGAGTCGAGATCGCACCACTGCATTCCAGCCAGGAGAGCAGAATGAGATCCTGTCTCAAAAAAAAAAAAAAAAAAAAAAAAAGAATTTATAATGTAGTTGGGGAGAGATACAGTTTGGATATCTGTCTTCTGCTAAATCTCATGTTGAACTGTCAACACCAGTGCTGGAGGGGGGGCCCGGTGGGAGGTGTTTGGGTCATGGGGGCGGATCCCTCATGGCTAGGTGCTGTCTTTTTGACAGTGAGTTCTTGCAGGGTGGGTCATTTAAAAGTGTGTGGCACTTCCTCTCCCTCATTCTCTTTCTCGCTTCTGGAACAGGTGCCATGTGACGCGCCTGTTCCCCCTTTGCCTTCCACCATGATTAGAAGCTTCCTGAGGCCTCCCCAGAAACAGATGCTGCTATGCTTCCTCTCCAGGCTGCACAACTGTGAGCCAATTCAATCTCTTTTCTAATAAATTACACAGTCTCAGATATATATATATATATATATATATAATATATATATACACACATATATATACACACATATATACACACACATATATATACACATATATACACACACATATATATATACATATATATATATATATATATATATGTATATATATATATATTATTTTTTTTTTAAACGGAGTCTCGCTCTGCACCCAGGCTGAAGTGCAGTGGCACAATCTCGGCTCACTGCAACCTCCACCTCCTGGGTTCAAACGATTCTCCTATCTCAGCCTCTCCAGTAGCTGGGACTACAGGTATGCGCCACCACGCCCAGCTAATTTTTGCATTTTTAGTAGAGATGGAGTTTGGACATGTTGGCTAGTCTGGTCTGGAACTCCTGGCCTCAAGTGATCCGCCCACCTCGGCCTCCCAAAGTGTTGGGATTACAGGTGTGAGCCACTGCACCTGGCATCATTTGCTTTTAAAAGTCATGTAATCTTGCTTTCCAAACTATAATGTGACAAAATATACCTACACATTAACCCCTAGAATCCACTGTTGAAACCATTGACTGACACCACGGCTAGACCATTTTTTTTCAAGTCAAGAACCATTTGTATAATGTTTATCTCTCTTCTGCCAGATGAGGTATGAAAAAAAAAAAAGAATAAAATGTTTATCTCTAGAACTTAAGTCACTTCCAAAGAGTCAAAAACAGCTACTGCTTTGCTTGTACTCCCTCGAATATGAGAAGCAGGGAGATCTACTTCAAAGCCCCAACTACGCACCAGGGAGTAGGGCTCCATGAACAGATTGCTCAGCCATACAATCACTTCTCTTCCTGCTCATAAAAGGTTTACACTTCCGGCTCGGTGTGGTGGCTCACACTTGTAATCCCAACACTTGGGAGGCCGGGACAGGCAGATCACTTGAGGTTGGCAGTTTGAGACCAGCCTGGCCAACATAGCGAAACCCCGTCTCTACTAAAAATACAAAAATTAGCCAGATGTGGTGGCGGGCACCTGTAATCCCAGCTACTTAGGAGGCTGAGGCAGGAGGAATGCTTGAATCCAGGAGGCAGGATCTGCAGTGAGCTAAGACCATGTCACTGCACTCCAGCCCGGGTGACAAAGCAAGACTCCGTCTAACAAAAAGAAGAACAAGGCCAGGTGCAGTGGCTCACGCCTGTAATCCCAGCACTTTGGGAGGCTGAGGCAGGTGGATCACCTGAGGTCAGGAGTTCAAGACCAGCCTGGCCAACATGGTGACACCCCATCTCTACTAAAAATACAAAAATTAGCTGGGCATAGTGGCGGGTGCCTGTAATCCCAGCTACTCGGGAGGCTGAGGCAGGAAAATCGCTTGAACCCAGGAGGCGGAGGGTGCAGTGAGCTGAGATCGCGCCATCGTACTCCAGCCTGGGGCACAGAAGCGAGACTTCGTCTCAAAAAGAAAATAATAAATAAAATAGTAATAAGAACTTCATGTCAGCTTTAGGACATGAAAAATAAATGACATTTGGGATGTCAAATTTAGTATTCCTGAAAGTAGGACTATTCTTCCTCCCAACAACACAAAAATGTGTTCTACCCTTCATAAAGTCAAGATTTAGTATTTAGCGCGTTAGATACTGTCATAGCCTCAATGCCTGGAAAACACCAGCACCTGGGGGATGTTTCAAATAGTTGGAACACCATTTGAATGCACCACCACCAGTCCATACAAGAATCACAAATGTTAGTTGTATCACTAATTCTAAGAATCCAAGCTCCTCATTTTCCTCTCAGATATCACTTCTTATCACTACACATTATTTGAACAGTAAATTACATAAAAATCTGTCTTCCAAGCCAGGCACAGTGGTTCACACCTGTAATCCTAGCACGTTAGGGGGCTGAGGTGAGAGGATTGCTTAAGTCCAGGAGTTTGAGACCAGCCTGGGCAACACAGTGAGACCCCCATCTCTACAAAAAAATACAAATTAACTGTGTGTGGTGGATCACGCCTATAGAGCGAGCTACTCAGGAGGCCGAGGCAGGAGAACGGCTTGAGCCCATGAGGCCAAGACTGCAGTGACCTATGATTACACGACTGCACTCCAGCCTGGGCAATAGAACGAGCCCCATCTCTAAAAACAAAACAAAAGAAAGAAGGAAATCTGAGGTTGGGTATACATACAGTTCAAGACCATAGCCTTCTCAAAACATAAAAATATGCTTTCTGTATTTATTCCTTTTAATAAGCAATCCCCTATAACCTGCCTCATTAAGGTAAGAATATTCAAAATATCCACATAAGGAAAAAATTGACTTGTGGTAGAAGAGAGTGAGTGAGTTACCAGGATCTTGAATGAAAACAAAACAGGGCCCCAGCAATGAATCCCAAAGTTTGGTGGTGAAGTTAGTGCTGTACAACACTTCACGCAAAGCACAGAGGGCAGTCACTGTTCCAGGAGCCCCAGAAAACCACCATGGCAAGCCGGCTCGAGAATCACTCCCACTCTAATGCCCGCTACCACTCAGACACATCTCAGTAACTACCCTTCCGTGAAAGAGATCTTGCAAGGTGAATGTGAATTCAAAGGTTAAAGATTCACTTCTATTCTCCCTAATAAGAATACATACTAAAAGCACAAAAATTGTTTTTTGGTTTTTTTTTGAGACAGGGTTTCATTCCTGTTGCCCAGGCTGGAGTGCAGTGGCCCACTCTCAGTTCACTACAACTTCCACCTCCCAGGCTCAAGCAATCCTCCTGCCTCAGCCTCCCGAGTAACTGGGACTACAGGCACACACCACCACCCCCGGCTAATTTTTGTATTTTTAGTAGAGACAGGGTTTCGCTATGTTGGCCAGGCTGGTCTTGAACTCCTGACCTCAAGTGATCCACCCACCTCGGCCTCCCAAAGTGCTGGGATTACAGGTGTGAACCACCACACCCAGCCAGAAATGTTTTTAATAATGAAACTTGATCTAAAGAAGTTATATATTGTCCCTGTGGCTAAAATTCACTGCAGATTGGCAATCTTGTTTTTTTTTTTTTTTTAGATGGAGTCTCACTCTGTCACCTAGGCTGGAGTACAGTGGCATCTCGCCTTACTGCAACCTCTGCCTCCTGGGTTCAAGGGATTCTCCTGCCTCAACCTCCCAAGTAGTTGGGATTACAGGCGTGTGCCACCATGCCCAGCTAATTTTTTGTATTTTTAGTAGAGACGAGGTTTCACCATATTGGCCAGGAGGGTCTCGATTTCCTGACCTCAAGTGATCTGCCCGCCTCGGCCTCCCAGAGTGCTGGGATTACAGGCATGTGCCACCATGCCCAGCCAGACTGGCAATTTCAAGTTCTTACAACTTATGTGTACAGGATGGCTCATTTCTACAAAGCTATCTTAAAGACAACCCAGTTAAAGAGAGACATTTGAAAGGGCATACACCTAGTGGACCCATAAAGGGCTCTTAGTCTCTAAGAAAGTGTTTTAAGAGTCTAGATCTTGGCTGGGCACGGTGGCTCCCACCTGTAATCCCAGCACTTTGGGAAGCTGAGGCAGACAGATCACCTGAGGTCAGTAGTTCGAGACCAGCCTGGACAACAAGGTGAAACCCCCATCTCTACTAAACTACAAAAATTAGCCGGGTGTGGTGGTGCGCACCAGTAGTCCCAGCTATTCAGCAGGCTAAGCCAGGAGAATCACTTGAACCTGGGAGGCAGAAGTTGTGGTTAGCTGAGATCAGACCACTGCACTCCAGCCTGGGTGACAGAGTGAGATTCTGTCTCCAAAAAAAAAAAAAAAAAAGATTCTAGGTTTTATGTATTTAAGAAAATAGGGACATGTGACTGTTTCGGAGGGGGAAAAACAGAGAACACACAGGGCAATGCTTTTAAAAGCACAGTCTACTTCAAAAAACAGGATGTGATGTCTCTCTGACACTGACATGCTTTATGGGTGCAAAGCAATAAGAAAATTATTATTTGGGAGGTGGTGCATCATCTCTCCACTTAAACTCACAGTCAAACTTAGAAAAAAGTTCCATTGTTTACGTACTGCATTACTTAAATAAAAGATGAAAAGGGGCCGGGCGTGGTGGCTCACGCCTGTAATCCCAGTACTTTGGGAGACTGAGGCGGGCGGATCACTTGAGGTGAGTTTGAGACCAGCCTGGCCAACATGGTGAAACCCCGTCTCTACTAAAAATACAAAAAAATCAGCTGGGCGTGGTGGCACGTGCCTATAATCCCAGTTACTCTGGAGGCTCAGGCACGAGAATCGTTTGAAGCCGGGAAGCGGAGGTTGCAGTGAGCCAAGATTTCGCCACTGCACTCCAGCCTGGGCAACACAGTGAGACGCTGTCTCAAAAAAAAAAAAAAAAAAAAAAAAGATGGAAAGGGACAATTTATCAAGTGTTTGCACCCAGAATACAGAAACACAGGGTTTTCTAAGTTTTTATTTACTTAAAGGGACAATCCTTTAGGCCAGGCACAGTGGCTCATGCCTGTAATCCCAGCATTTTGGGAGGCCGAGGTGGACGGATCACGAGATCAGGAGATCGAGACCATCCTGGCCAACATGGTGGAACCGCATCTCTACTAAAAATACAAAAATTAGCTGGGTGTGGTGGTGCGCGCCTGTAATCCCAGCTCCCAGGAGGCGGAGGTTGCAGTGAGCCGAGATTGCATCACTGCACTCCAGTCTGGCGACAGCATGAGACTCCGGCTCAAAAATAAAAAAAAAGAAGGACAATCCTTTAAAAAGTTAATATTAACCCTCAGAGACTAGCTTTCTGAATATCTGTACGAACCAACACCTTTTCTTCCAACTCCAACTGAAACAGGTATAAACAGCACAAGGCAAAATAATCAAAAACAGATGGTGACAACTTCTCGATTGTGATGCATCTGAATTGAGACCTCTGGGTCATAAAGAATTTCTGCCACTGATAACCTAGTCTAATCATTTCAAACTGTTACTTTTTCACAGAAGAAAAAACTTTATGTTTATTTGCAGAAAAAATGGATAGTAAATTCCGTAGCAAATAGAGCTACTGACTAATCACGTACACACAGTAAAAACACTTTCTATTCAACTGTGGAGTTTTCTGCCTTTAAAAGTCCTGCCAGAGGATACTCACAATAATTTTCTCATCATTATACGATCTCTTTCAGCAAAATAAAGAGGGCCTGGTGTCAATGTCTTTACTTTTTATCTATAAGAAGTTGAAGAAAATCAACACAAATCTAGAATATGAAAATAGTACCTCATGGTGTCTGTAGAATCGGGGCAGGCATCAGCTCATATCCTGCCAGAAGCTGG
This sequence comes from Homo sapiens, assembly GCF_000001405.40. Lineage (NCBI taxonomy): Eukaryota > Metazoa > Chordata > Mammalia > Primates > Hominidae > Homo > Homo sapiens. The sequence goes on from NC_000012.12 coordinate 122,395,446, forward strand.
GCAAACATTTTGAACAGCCTGGCTATGAGGTCATGACAATGACCTCACAAACAGGAATTCTCATGTTAGTCGCCCTCTGGGCTGAAGCCTCACCACTTTAAAGGAATCTGGAGCTGATGACTCAAGAAATGTCCTTCCTCCTAAGAAATTATCCTCCCATCTGAGATTAGCAGCATCTAATCTCAGTTTTCTCCACTGCTGACCAGCATCAGCAACACAGGTAAGCAGAGACAAGCAAGTCCACCTAAATAGCTGAACACCAGTCATGTACGCATATCTGTATTACCTGCAAACTTCTGGTACGCAAGTTTTTATTTTGGTTCGGTTCCAAACACTTTTTCTTAGTATTCTTTACTGGAGGATTGGGCTACATTTAAGCATCCCCGCCAGGCGTGGTGGCTCACGCCTGTAATCGCAGTACTTTGGGAGGCCAAGGCAGGCTGATCATGAGGTCAAGAGATAGAGACAACCCTGGCCAACATGGTGAAACCCCGTCTCTACTAATACAAAAATTAGCTGGGCATGGTGGTGCGTGCGTGTAGTCCCAGCTACTTGGGAGACTGAGGCAGGAGAATCTCTTGAACCTGGGAGGTGGAGGTTGCAGTGAGCCGAGATCGTGCCACTGCACTCCTGCCTGGCGATAGAGCAAGACTCCATCTCAAAAAAAAAAAAAGAAAAAGGAAAGAAAAAAGAATCCTGATAACTGAGTAGAAAATAAATCATAAACTTAAAATGTTACCCTTGCCATCCTAATAAACTATTGAGTTCACCAGCCCCAATATTTACCCTGTTTACTAAGGAGAAGTGGAGATTAAGATGTCTAAGTCATTTTGAAAATGCCAGAAGAATAAAGCCTCGGGACAGCTCCGGAATAGCCCTGTGTATCTTTGTGAGGAAAAGGCAAAATGGCCAGGCTGTTGTTTCCTCCCTCTTAAGAGTTTTGAAGTTTGCAAGCCAGCACAGAGTAAGAATTAGTGACATTTTATTATTTCTAAGTGCTTAAAAATTCTGAAATTGAAGGGAACTGTAACAGGGACTCAGAACAATTATCTCAATGGAATCACTGGTAATTTTTATCTGTGTTTTCTTGGGTCTATAGAAATTTTATTTAATGAACAGGTATAATTAATTTCACAGGCAGAAAAAAAATTCTTTTGAGCCACAGTAAAACGGCTTCAACCGAAAGAGTGAAGAAACAGACTCTACTGAGCTGCTTTCTCCACAGAAACAAGAGTGCAGTACAGCCAAGCCAGGATGGAAGTGAATACATATGGAGAGGGGGAGAGGGTGGCTAGCTGTTCACCAAGACTTTTTTGTTGTTGTTTATTTTTTTTTTTTTGAGGCAGAGTCTTGCCCTGTTGCCCAGGTTGAACTGCAGTGATGCACTCATGGCTCATGGCAGCCTTGACCTCCCAGACTCCAGCCATCCTTCCACCTCAGCCTCCCAAGTAGCTGGGACTACAGGCAGACACCACCACACCCGGCAAATTTTTTTTTTTTTTTTTTTTTTTTTTGTAGAGATGGGGTTTTACCATGTTGCCTAGGCTGGTCTTGAACTCCTGGGTGCAAGCGATCCACCAACCTTGGCCTCCCAAAGTGCTGGGATTACAGGCGTAAGCCACCGTGCCTGGCCTCTTTTTCTTCCTGGATTCACACCATATTTCCCAGCTCCCGCTACAGTTCAGTATGATCACGTGACTGAGTTCTAGCCAGTGGAATAAGTGTGTGAGGCATGTGCCACTCTAGGCCTAGCCCAGAGGAACCTACTGTGTACAATCCCCCATGCTCTTTGCCCTTCTGATGGCTTGATGGAGACAAGCCCAGCAACCTCGAAAGCATGTACTGAAGACAACAGAATCAAAAGATGGAAGAGTTCAGGCGTGTGGCTCATGCCTGTAATCCCAGCACTTTGGGAGACCAAAGTGGGTGGATCATCTGAGGTCAGGAGTTTGAGACCAGCCTGGGCAACATGGCAAAAACCTCTCTCTACAAAAAAATACAAAAATTAGCCGGGCATAGTGGTGCACGCCTGTAATCTCAGAGGTTGCAGTGAGCCAAGATCACACCACTGCCCTCCAGTCTGGGCGACAGAGCCAGACTCCATCTCCAAAAAAAAAAAAAAAAAAAAAAAAAAGGAAGAAAGAAGTCTAGACACCTGAATCACCTCTCCCCATTTTCCCATCAGTAAATATGTATCCTAAACTTTTCCAAAACTGAAAATCAACTTATCGGCCACGCATGGTGGCTCACACCTATAATCCCAGCACTTTGGGAGGCAGTCCGATCACAAGGTCAGGAGTTCGAGACCAGCCTGGCCAACATGGTGAAACCCCATCTTTACTAAAAAAAAAATATAAAAATTAGTCGAGAGTGGAGGCGCATGCCTGTAATCCCAGCTACTCAGTAGGCTGAGGCAGGATAATCGCTTGAAGCCAGGAGGCAGAGGTTGCAGTGAGCCAAGATTGTGCCACTGCACTCCAGCCTGGGCAACAGAGTGAGACGCCGTCTCAAAAAAAAACAAAAAAAAAAGAAAATTAACTTATCAGTTTCAGCCACTGAAATAAGTGGGCTTATATGGTATAGTGGCAAGCTTATTTTATGTAATACAGTGGCAAACAGATAAAAACTTTGCTTAGAGCTTTGAATCATCTTGGCCAAGTAAATTCCTCAAATAAATTAATTTTAAGGGACTGGGCTTGGTGGCTCATGCCTGTAATCGCAGCACTTCGGAAGGCCAAGGCAGCCGGATCACCAGAGGTCAGGAATTTGAGACCAGCCTGGCCAACATGGTGAAACCCTGTCTCTACTGAAAATACAAAAAAAAAAAAAAAAAATTAGCTGGTCGTGGTGGCAGGCGCCTGTAATACCAGCTACTTGGGAGGCTGAGGAGAATAGCTTGAACCCTGGAGGTGGAGGTTGCAGTGAGCCGAGATCACGCCACTGCACTCCAGCCTGGGCGACAGAATGAGACTCCACCTTAAAAAAAAAAAAAAAATTAATTTTAAGGACGAGCCTCTAAGATTGAAATGCTTTATATCACAAAAAGCATTATAATGTGAATAATTAAAGTACTATATTTTTATAAAAGCAGAGACATTTTACTCGTAAGAACAAAATATGTTTTTAAAACACACAAGTTTGCCCAGGCATGGTGGCTCACACCTATAATCCCAGCATTTTGGGAGGCCAAGGCAGGTGGATCACTTAAGTCCAGGAGTCTGAGAGCTGCCTGGGCAACATAGTGAAACCCCATCTCTAAAAAAAAAAAATTTTTTTTAATTAGCCGGGCATGGTGGCGCCTGCCTGGAATCCCAGCTACTTCGGAGACTGAGGTGGGAGGATCGCTTGAGCCCAGGAGATTGAGTCCAGCCTAGGCAATATTAGCAAGACTTTATCTCTAAAATCTTTTTTTAAAAAGTTTAAGAAAAAAAGACACTTATTATAGAAAATATATATTTTAATAAAATCTAATCCCCCTTCCTCCTGACCAGATATCCAAAAAAAAAAAAAAAAAACCTTAAGCAATTTACAGAAACAAGAGGTTCCACAAAACAAGCAGTTCCCAAAAACAAGAATGGTGAAAATTATGTTCATACAAAAAGCAGTAATATTCTTCATATTCTCATCTGATTTCTTAAGGTTATGTTTACTCCTATTTTTTAAATGTCATGGTTCAAATAAATAAAAAAGTATGAACAGAGAGCTGGACTAGGAAGTGAGACACCTAAATTCCACCCCAGTTGGATGACCCTGAACAACTCACATAACCCCTTCCCCGGCTCAGTATTCCCAACTTCAACCTGAGGACACTAATTAAATAAGATCTGTTTCTAACTCCATACCTTCACAGTTCTAGTCCTGTTTTGGGTATCAAATCCAAATCCTGTAAGCAAAAGGTCAAGGATTCAGAAGTGAAAGGAAAGACTGTGGCTCTAACTTTGCCAAAGTGAAAAGTACAGACCTCTGCCATCAGTGAAGAAAGAACCCAGATCTGATAAGAGCTTCAAACAGGCTCAGCACCTCCTGGCACACATAGAGCGGCATCACGTTGCCCCAAGAAAATCACATCTCTACACATCAGACCCTTTCCAGTCCATTTTGCCCCATCCACAAAATGAAAATGCCACTTTATTTACTAAATCTAAAAATTCTGTTGGGAGGCAAAGGAGAGTTGAAGAATTTGCAATGAATTTAACCTGCCAGGAGAGGGAGTTTAACACCAAGCTTCCAGAAACAGGCTGCGTGGTAGCTACAACGTCCAGAAACCCAGGTTTCAACGCGGCCCTGCTTCAAGACCCAAAGGAAATTCAGCACCAGGCGGGTGAAGTGACTTACCTGTGCACAGCTGCACTCGCAGACTTCGGAGCCCCCACCTAATTCTAAAATGCTGTATGTCCATGAACTTAATAACAGAAGGTCAGGGGAGAGACGTTCTGAGAGCAACGGAAATCTATCTTAAGATAAAGATGTTTCTGAGGCTGATTTTTCAAGTCAAACTTGAGAGAGAAATTCAAAGGCTATGTTCTCATATCATATTCCTGGGTTTGGGAGGTTCATTCACAGCTTAATCCTGTCCCCTGAAGTCACGGTTACGTAAGTATGCTGTGTCACTTGCTGTCCCCACCCCCAACACAGGAGATGCAGTGTAACCTGAGCTCCTCGGCTTGAGCCACTGAAAACACTTACACAACGCTGGGACCTTTCCAAATTGACTTGTTTCCCCTTAAGAAAGGGCAAGCTATTTGATTTTCTTCCTTCCACTTCATTCACATTCATATTTCTGTATATACAGAAGAGACTGAAAAAGATAAATAAGATTGAAGGGCATTTGCAAATTTTCTTCAATTCTTGAGTAAAACAAAAAAGTCAACTATCCAATGTCACGGAAAAGTAACCAAAAAAAAAAAAATTATGGGCCTGCTTAGCCCCAATTTAAAAACATCACATCTCCTGGCTGAACTGAGCTTAAGGTCCTTGGACGGGCTTCATTTCCCACGTACTGGCTGTTTCTAGAGCCAGGCCCCATACGCTACTGCCACGCGCAGCATACTGCCACACAGAAGGGCTTTGGGGGCACATGGGAAATGGCTCTCCAAGAACACAGGAGACACATCAGCAGTCTCTTCTGACTACTCTTCTTGCCCTCTCTTCCTTCTCTGGACTACTCCAGCTACTGGGCAGCTTCGATTACGGAATGATGACTCACACGCATTCCTGTCTTGTTTGCATATCATGCTATGACTAAGCTCCATGAGATTTGATTTGTCTTCGCATCCAACGAATCTAAAAAAGTTTGATACACAGTAAGAGTTCAAAAAAGTTCTCAAGTGAGTCAACAGCAAAACAAGAATCCATAAAATTATGCAAAATGATGCGATTTTCAAACTAAAGCATCAAGTAACTGTATCTTACACTCTAAACACTTGATAAACACAGAAGCATTACAGGGTTTCCCAACTCCGGATCCTTTTTTTTTTTTTTTTGAGACAGTGTTTCACTCTTGTCGCCCAGGCTGGAGTGCAGTGGCGCGATCTCGGCTCACTGCAACCTCCGCCTCTCGGGTTTAAGCAATTCTCATGCCTTAGCCTCCCAAGTAGCTGGGATTACAGGCACGTGCCACCATGCCTGGCTAATTTTGTATTTTTAGTAGAGACAAGGTTTTGCCATGTTGGTCAGGCTGGTCTCGAACTCCCGACCTCAGGTGATCCGCCCGTCTTGGCCTCCCAAAGTGCTGGGATTACAGACATGAGCCACCACGACTGGCCTGGATCCTTTTCTAAAAAGTGGGCCAATGAAGGGTGGGTATGGTGGTTCACACCTGTAATCCCAACACTTTGGGAGGCTGAGGTGGCAGGATGCTTTGAGCCCAGGAGTTCAATACCAGCCTGGGAAACTTGGTGAGACCTCATCTCTAATTATTAATGAACAAATTAATAAAAAGTAGGTCAATGGGCCGGGCACGGTAATCCTAGCACTTTGGGAGGCCAAGGCGGGCAGATCACTTGAGGTCAGGAATTCAAGACCAGCCTGACCAAAACGGCGAAGCCCCATCTCTACTAAAAATACAAAATCAGCCAGGCGGCGTGGTGGCACATGCCTGTAATCCCAGCTACTCAGGAGGCTGAGGCAGGAGAACTGCTTAAACCTGGGAGGCAGAGGTTGCGGTGAGCAGAGATGGCGCCATTGTACTCCAAGAAAGTAGGTCAATGAAGCTATGGGCAAACTGTTCAATTACTACCTACAATGAGTGCTATTTAACAGGTATGATCTCGGCTGGGCATGCTGGCTCATGCCTGTAATCCCAGCACTTTGGGAGGCCAAGGCGGGAGGATGACCTGAGGTCAGGAGTTCAAGACCAGCCTGACAGACATGGTGAAGCCAGTCTCCACTAACAATACAAAATTATCCAGGTGTGGTAGCACATGCCTGTAATCCCAGCTACTCGGGAGGCTGAGGCAGGAGAATCACTTGAACCTGGGAGGTGGGGGTTGCAGTGAGCCGAGATTTTGCCATTGCACTCCAGCCTGGGCAACAAGAGCAAAACTCCCGCTCAAAAAAAAAAAAAGTGTGAGTCTCAAATTAGATAATTACATTTGTTGACAGTATTATACTTTCTAGACCAGCACTGTCCAGTAGAAATACAATGCAGTACAAATGTATAATTCTGAATTTTCTAGTATCCATATTTTTAAAAATGAAAAAGAATCATGTGAAATTAATTTTCATGATATAGTTTATTTAGCCCAGTAGATTTAAAATATTATTTCAAAATGTAATCAAGGGCTGGGCACGGTGGCTCATGCCTGCCCAAGTGGAAGGATCACTTGAGTTCAGGATTTCAAGACAAGCCTGAGCAACATAGTGAGACTCCATCTCTACAAAATTTTTAAAAATTAGCTGGGTGTAGTGGCACACACCTGCATCCCAGCTACTCCAGAGGCAGAGATGGGACGACTGCTTGAGCCCAAGAGTTTAGTTAGAAGCTGCAGAGAGCTCTGGTCATGGCACTGCACTCCAGCCTGGGCAACAGAGCAAGACCTCATCTCCTGCCTGGGCGTGCTGGTTCATGCCTGTAATCCCAGCACTTTGGGAGACCGAAGCACATGGATCACTTGAGGTCAAGAGTTTGACAGCAGCCTGGCCAACATGGTGAAACCCCATCTCTACTAAAAATATAAAAATTAGTCGGATGTGGTGGTGGGCACCTATAATCCCACCTACTCCGGAGGCTGAGGCAGGAGAATTGCTTGAACCCAGGAGGCGGAGGTTGCAGTGAGCTGAGATAGCGCCACTGTACTCCAGCCTGGGTGGCAGCACTACATTCCAGCCTGGGTGACAGACCAAGACTCTGTCTCAAAAAACAAATATCACCTCGTCTCTAACAACAACAAATGTGATTAACGTAAAATTATTAACATTTTACATTCTTTTTTCATAATAGATCTTTGAAATCCAGAGTGTATTTTATACTTACAGCACACCTCAATTTGGACTCACCACATTTCACGTGCTCAATACGTGATTATGTGGCTCGTGGCTACTACATAGGACACCACCAGGCTAGAATACATACTGGAAGCAGAAAACAAGCAGCTCTCCTCTTGGCATCGATAGTAAAACTAACAAGCAGATAATACCCCAGGCCCCCCTGGATATGCAACATCCATCTTCTGTGCTCCATTACAACATGTATGTGAGGAAAAGGGCAGAGAAATGTAAAACTCCTGAATCTCGAGCCAGGAATAATTTAATTGTTCTTAGCATAGAAAAGGAAAAAATAGCACTTACAGTAAGAGGAACTTTAAAATATCTATTTGACAGGTGATACATAATGTATAAGGAAGCTCTGCTGGCAGCACAAGGCACTGCCCAGTAAAACCGAGAGCTCAGCACAAAGAGTTTGAAAACACACCCACATGAAACTCAAAGCAAAATACAGTACAGAGACTGAGCTACCGATGAAAAATTTAATAAGTATGTCTCAAAGCACATGAAAGGAACCTGTGGCTGGAGATTTAAGGCCAATACAGTAGGAGACATCATTTCTTGTTTTGTTTTTTTTTTTTTTTTTTTTGGTCTGTTTGTTTTTTTGGCACAGAGTCTTACTCTGGTACCCAGGCTGGAGTGCAGTGGCATGATCTCGACTCACTGCAACCTCTGCCTCCTGGGTTCAAGCGATTCTCCTGCCTCAGCCTCCTGAGTAGCTGGTATTACAGGCACCCGTCACCACACCCAGCTAATTTTTTTTTATTTTTAGTAGAGACAGGGTTTCACCATGTTGGCCAAGCTGGTCTTGAACTCCTGACCTCAGGTGAACCACCCACCTTGGCCTCCCAAAGTGTTGGGATTACCACATGAGCCACCGTGCCCAGCCGCATATAGCTGTTTCATTGGCCCATATTCTAACACCTGGGAAACTTGTTAGTCTTCCGAATAAGATACAGAACACTCCTTGTGCACATTTACACAGAGTGGTCCGATGACATGATGACACTGTGTGACTGCTCAGAATGTGTGCCCTAACAACAGTTCCGTGACTCAAAATCAAACCACAGGGCATGAAGGCAGGGAGCATGCACTCCAAGGTAGAATACCCGGTAAGCGCATGAGTGAGCGGTCTACGCGAGCTGAGGACAAGTGACAGACACCTAAGAGCATCGTTGACTCTGGCTTCCCAAAGCTTGGCCCTGAACACAGGGAAAATGTGTGTGACGCCACCAAACACAGTTTGGGGCGCAGGCCACAGAAGGGCCAATGTATCAAATCAGTGCACTAACAAGCGAGATTCACTGGACAGAATATAAAGCAGGGGCCTGGAGACACTGGTTTCAGTATCAACTAGTAGGCTGATTTAAAAGGTAACAGAATAGGCCGGGTGCAGTGGCTGACGCCTGTAATCCCAGTACTTTGGGAGGCCAAGGTGGGTAAATCACTTGAGGCTAGGAGTTCGAGACCTTCGGGCTGGCCAACATGGTGAAACCTGTCTCTACTAAAAATATAAAAATTAGCTAGAAGTGGTGGCACATTCCTGTAATCCCAGTTATTCAGGAGTCTGAGGCAGGAGAATCGCTTGAACCCGGGGAGGTGGAGGTTGCAGTGAGCCAAGATTGCGCCACAGCACTCCAGCCTGGGCAACAGAGCAAGACTCCATCTGAAAACAAAAAACAAAGGCCAGGTACAGTGGCTCACGCCTGTAATCCCAGCACTTTGGGAGGCCGAGGCAGGTGGATCACGAGGTCGGATCCATCAAGACCATCCTGGCTAACACAGTGAAACCCTGTCTCTAATAAAAATACAAAAAAAAAAAATTAGCCTGGCATGGTGGCGGGCGCCTGTAGTCCCAACAACTCAGGAGGCTGAGGCAGAATGGTGTGAACCCGGGAGGCGGAGGTTGCAGTGAGCCAAGATCGCGCCACTGCACTCCAGCCCGGGTGACAGAGCGAGACTCCATCTCAAAAAAAAAAAACAAAACAAAAAAAAACCAACATGGTGCCATGTGTTCACACTTCCATTCTTCCATTCAGTTCCACATATCCCCATCAAGTTCACTGCCTTGTCTATAGGACTGACTTAAACCACCTCTAGAGTCAGGTGTCAGAATAAGAGCATTCCATCATCTTCAAAAACACATGCCTTTCACATGAGATTACTTGTTTTATTGAATATTAAAGTCACTCAGCCTGTCCTTTTTTCCATTCCTGTCATGACTATTTATAAGCACCAATATTTCTTCACTGATCTGCATCCCCTGTGTAATCCCATGAGACGTTCTGTCACTGCTGCATGGCTCCTGTTGCCGTCATTGCCTAGATTCACAAGGGACGCGTTCTCGCAAGTACTATGGTCAAAAAAGTCAGAAGGATTCCAGGAGCCGTAACTCTAGGTTTTTTTTAGTCTTTTGTCACTTTACTGTGCTAGGACCACTAAGATCTATTTTCACTGATATTTCTCTAAGTATGTGGGTATTTATGTATGCTTCATACACGATATATTATATATAACTTTTTAAATAGGCCAGACTCAGCTTTAAAATTAACACAAAGATTAAAAAAGCAAATAGCAGCCAGGCGCGGTGGCTCACACCTGTAATCCCAGCACTTTGGGAGGCCAAGGCGGATAGATCACCTGAGGTGAAGAGTTCAAGACCAGCCTGGCCAACATGGCAAAACCCCATCTTTACTAAAATACAAAAATTAGCCAGGTGTGGTGGTACACACCTATAATCCCAGCTACTCGGGAGGCTGAGACAAGAGAATCACTTGAGCAAGGGAGGCAGAGGTTGCAGTGAGCAGAGATCATGCCACCACACTATCTCAAAAAAAAAAACAAAAAGGAAACAGCAGCCGGGTGTGGTTGCTCACGGCCGTAATCCCAGCACTTTGGGAGGACAAGGCGAGCGGATCACCTGAGGTCAGACGTTCAAGACCAGCCTGGCCAACTTGGTGAAACCCCCTCTCTACTAAAATGCAAAAATTAGCCGGGCATGGCGGCAGCTCCGGTAATCCCAGCTACTCAGAAGGCTGAGGCAGGAGAATCGCTTGAATCCGGGAGGCAGAGGTTGCAGTGAGCCTAGATGGCACCACTGCACTCCAGCCTGGGTGACAGAGCAAGACTCCATCTGGGGGATGGGGGGCGGGAAGCAAACAGCATATCTTTAAGGATAAAGTACGAAAGATGAGTAAATATTGTAATCACTGTTTATTTAAAAGGTCAATGCCGGCCAGCTCAGTGGCTCACGCCCATAATCCCAACACTTTGGGAGGCCAAGGTGGGCAGATAGTTTTGAGCTCAGGAGTTTGAGATCATCCTAGGAAACATGGCGAAACCCTGTCTCTGCAAAAAATACAAAAATTAGCCAGGCGTGGTGGTGCGTGCCTGTGGTCCCACAGAGTGAGACCTTGTCTCAAACAAGTAAAAATAAATGGATCAATGTGAAAAGCCCATTCAGACACTAAAGGACTGACACAAGTCAGTAAGTATCAGAAAATTAACTGGCCCCTTAATTCAAAAGGAGCTACAAGGAAGTTTTATTTCCAATTTCTAACTGAGACAAACCTTACAGAGCAATTTATAAAATTAGCCTGCTAACCTTAAGTGTTGATTTGAGAATATCACACAATAAGACACTGACAGTAAATACAAAGTTTATGGTATCTTTCCAAAGTCAAGAGTAGACATACCCCTTTGAAAAATTATTCTGTGCTTAAGAAAATTATATGTATTTAAAACTTAAGGTGTGTATGACATAGTACAGAATACAAGTTGTACCTAGAGAAGTTTTAAAAAGGAAGGACAGGATTAAAAACTAACCCAGGGAGAAGGTTGGGGCATAAGACAATGTTTTTTTTAGAGATGGAACTCTGAGCTCTGATGCAACTGCCTGCAATTATGAATGCCTTTGCACAGCTCAGTCTGAGTGCAGATTTATATTCCTACTACTTAGCACGCAGAAAATAAAGAGCCTCCCAATGTTCCTCCATCTGCAAAAAAAAAAAAAAATGTTTTAAGGGAACATGGAAAGCTGAATAATTTGAGTTATTTTGTTCATTTACACAAAATTCTACAAAATTCCTGTGACTTTGTAACTCTAACACATACCACTAGCTTAAGACACAGATCTTAAAAGGGGCTGAAATTACTAGGCCTCTCTAGTATCTCCCAGAAGAACTTACTTAATGGGTCGGCAGCAGTCAATTATACTAACGTGTAAAAAGAAGCAATGTGCTTAATATAGCATCATAAAATGTTAGAATCAGAAGAGACTGTAGCAATCTAGTTCAACTCTCTCATTTTACCAACAAGAAAACTGATTCTAAAAAGTGAAATCACTTGTCAAGGTCATACTTACTTAACAGTCTAGGACTAAAACCCCAATCTCCAGGCTCCTGACCCTAATGTAAACTGATGAATAAATGTTTCTAAATTATTATATACAGCAGTGAGATCAAAGAGTCAATCTCAAGGCAAGTTAAAACTGACCTCCCCAGCCAAGGTGGTTCACACCTGCAATCTCAGCACTTTGGGAGGCTGAGGCAGGAAGATCACTTGAGCCCAGGAGTTCAAAACCAGCCTGGGCAACACGGCAAAACTCCATCTCTACAAAAAATTAGCCAGGTATGGTGTCGCGTGCCTGCAGTCCAGGCTATCTGGGAGGCTGAAGGAGGATCACCTGAGCCCAGGAGATTGAAGCTGCAGTGAGCTGTGATTGTGCCACTGCACTCCAGCCTGGATGAGTTTTTTTTTTTTCTTGAGACAGAGTGAGAACACGTGCTACAAGGAGGGTTTTTGGTGAGACCCTGTCTCAAAAAAAAAAAAAAAAAAAAAAAAAGAATTGATTTCCCTTTCCATTCTTCACAAAGGAAAAAAGTTGGCATATTGTTGCCTGCCCCTTAAACAGTCAGACATGGCCCACACCAAAAGCAAAAGCATACCAAAACTGCTCTGAACAAGAAAAGGGTACAAAGACAACTCCTAGAAGAATCAAGGTCTTTCATATTGGATTGGGTTTTTTTCTTTTCATAAAAGCTTTCTTGCCTGTAATGCCAGCACTTTGGGAGGCCGAGGCAAATCACCTGAGGTCAGGAGTTCAAGACCAGCCTGACTAACATGGCGAAACCCCATCTCTACTAAAAATACAAAAATTAGCCAGGCATGGTGGCGGGCACCTGTAATCCCAGCTACTCAGGAGGCTGAGGCAGGACAATCACTTGAACCCGGGAGACGGAGGTTACAGAGCTCACACCATTGCACTCTGGCCTAGACGATAAGAATGATACTCCGTCTCAAAAAAAAAAAAAAAAAGGTTCTTGTTTTTATTTTGCAAATGAGCAAGTTTAATAGTTGCTATAGGTCTTGAGAGACAATGGACAAATAACCACATTTTTTTGAGACATTTCTTTATTTTTTATTATATATTTTTTTGAGATGGAGTCTCACTCTGTCGCCCAGGCTGGAGTGCAGTGGTGCAATCTCAGCTCACTGCAACCTCTACCTCCCAGGTTCACGCCATTCTTCTGCCTCAGCCTCCCGAGTAGCTGGGACTACAGGCGCCTGCCACCACACCAGGCTAATTTTTTGTATTTTTAGTGGAGACAGGGTTTCACCGTGTTAGCCAGGATGGTCTCGATCTCCTGACCTCGTGATCCACCCACCTCGGCCTCCCAAAGTGCTGGGATTACAGGTGTGAGCTACCGCGCCCAGCCTATTCTGTTTTTAAGAGACTATGTTGCCCAGGCTGGTCTTGAACTCCTGGGCTCAAGAGATCCTCCTGCCTCAGCCTCCCAAAGTGTTGGAATTAAAGGCATGAGCCACTGTGCCCGGCCTATAACCACGTTTCTATTTTCACAATACTACAGGGCACCTTGATATTTTTTTTATTGTTTATTATTTTTTTGAGATGGAGTCTCCACTCTGTCACCCAGGGTGGCACGATCTTGGCTCACTGCAACCTCCGCCTCCCAGGCTCAAGTGATTCTCCTGCGTCAGCCTCCCAAGTAGCCAGGATTACAGGTCTGCACAACCATGCCCGGCTAATCTTTATATTTTTGTAGAGACAGGGTTTCACCATGTTGGCCAGGCTGGTCTCAAACTCCTGGCCTCGGGTGATCCGCCCGCCTTGGCCTCCCAGAGTGCTGGGATTACAGGCATGAGTTACCACGCCCAGCCTATAATATTTTTCTTTTCTTTTTCTTTTTTTTTGAGATGGAGTCTTGCTCTGTTGCCCAGGCTGGAATACAGTGGCATGATCTCAGTTCACTGCAACCACTGCCACCCAGGTTCAAGCGATTCTTCCGCCTCAGCCTCTGGAGTAGCTGGGATTACAGGCATGCGCAACCACGCCCAGCTAATTTTTATATTTTTAGTAGAGACAGGGTTTCACCATGTTGGCTAGGCTGGTCTCAAACTCCTGGCCTCAAGTGATCTGCCCACCTTGGCTTCCCAAAGTGCTGGGATTACAGGCACGAGCCACCACGCCCAGCCTATATTTCAAGAGAAGCAGTCTACTAAATTTACTCACAAATCCATAAGATAGTTTCTGTACAACCACCTTAGATGCTGTAAGTGGAAACTAGGAATTGGTTTCATTTGGATTTTAATTTTTTTCAAGACAGAGTCTCACTCTGTTGCCCAGGTTGGAGTGCAGTGGCTCAATCTCAGCTCACTGCAACCTCTGCCTCCCAGGTTCAAGCGATTCTCCTGCATCAGCCTCCCGAGTAGCTGGGATTACAGGCCCCTGCCACCACCCCCAGCTAGTTTTTGTATTTTTAGTAGAGACAGGCTTTCACCATGTTGGCCAGGCTGGTCTCGAACTCCTGACCTCAGGTGATCTACCCACCTTGGCCTCCCAAAGTGCTAAGATGACAGGCGTGGGCCACCGCGCCCGGCCTCATTTGGATTTTAAAATCTAACTTCAGTGTTTGTTATTTTTATTTTTTTTTTTTTTGAGACTGAGTCTTGCTCTGTCACCCAGGCTGGAGTGCAGTGGTGAGATCTCGGCTCACTGAAAGCTCCGCCTCCTGGGTTCACGCCATTCTCCTGCCTCAGCCTCCCGAGTAGCTGGGACTACAGGCGCCTGTCACCATGCCTGGCTAATTTTTTGTATTTTTAGTAGAGACAGGGTTTTGCTATGTTGGCCAGGCTAGTCTTGAACTCCTGGCCTCAAGTGATCCACCCACCTCAGCCTCCCAAAGTGCTGGGATTACAGGCATGAGTCACCATGCCTAGCCTCATTTCTTGCTCTTAATCTGCAATCCATTAACAGCTACAGTTTCCTCGAGAGCAGGACACATGACTGTTTTACTCAACTTTCCCAGTGTCTGGGCTAGTACCTCCCTATAGTAGATGCTTAATAAATATCTGCTAAATATAGAAACTAAAAGATAAAGGCATTCTTTTGTATACCATTTTCATTCGAAATGGTAACATACCATTGTTCTATACTTTGCCTTTGTAAAGTTATATTTATTTATGTATACACACACACACATATATATACACACAGACACACACACACTTTTTTTTTTTTTTTTTTGAGATGGAGTCTCGCTCTGTCACTCAGGCTGGAGTGCAGTGGCGCAATCTCGGCTCACTGCAACCTCCACCTCCTGGGTTCAAGCGATTCTCCTGCCTCAGCCTCCCGAGTAGCTGGGATTACAGGCACGTGCCACCACACCCAGCTAATTTTCGTATTTTTAGTAGAGACAGGGTTTTGCCATGTTGGCCAGGCTGGTCTCGAACTCCTGACCTCAAGTGATCTGCCCACCTCAGCCTCCCAAAGTGCTGGGATTACAGGCGTGAGCCACCACATCCGGCCTTATAAGTAATATTTTGAAGGTAAAAAGAAAAAGATAACAGGTTTGTTTCTCCAAAGAAGCTATACAAACGGCCAATAAGCACATGAAAGGATGTTCAATATTACTAGCCACCAGGTAAATACAAATCAAAATCACGATGAGATACCACACTGCACACTCACTAGGATGACTATAATCAAAAAGACATAGAAGTGCTGGTGAGGATTTGGACAAGCTGAACCTCATTCATTGCTGGTGGTACAACCACTTTGGAAAACAGTATTGTACTGCCTCAAAAGGTAGAGTTCGCATATGACCCAGCAATTCTATAACATTCTTAGGTATAGGCCCAACATAAAAGCAAGCATATGTCTACACAAAAAATTAGACACAAGAGCCAGGCATAGTGGCTTACGCCTGTAATCCCAGCACTTTGGGAGGCTGAGGTGGGCGGATCACCTGAGGTCAGGAGTTTGAGACAAGCCCAGGCAACATGGCGAAACCCTGTCTCTACTAAAACTATAAAAATTAACTGGGTGTGGTGGCAGGCGCCTGTAATCCCAGCTATTGGGGAGGCTGAGGCAGGAGATTTGCTTCAACCCAGGAGGTGGAGGTTGCAATGAGCCGAGATCACGCCATTGCACTCCAGCCTGGGAGACAAGGGCGAAACTCCATCTCAAAAACAAAAACAAAAAATTTATACATGAATGCTCACAGCAGCAGTATTCATGAGACAAAAAGTAGAAACAATCCAAAGGTTCATCAAGTGATGAAGAGACACAATGTGGTATTGGGGTATATCTACACAACAGAATATTACTCAACCATAAAAAGGAATCAAGGGCAGATGCATGCCACAACATGGAGGAACCCTGAAAACACTATGTTAAGCGAAGGAAGCCAGTCATAATGTATGATTCCCTTTATAAGAAATGTCCAGAATAAACAAATCTGTAGAGACGAGAGTAGATTTGCCATGTTGCCCAGGCTGGCATCAAACTCCTGGCCTCCTGCCTAGGGCTGGGAAAGTTGGCAGAAATAAGGAGTGACTGCTAATGGATACATGATTTCTTCTGGGGATGACAAAAATATATTAAAACTTACTTTTCCAAATGGGAGAAAAGGAAAAAAAATGAAAATATAATAAAACTGATAATGGTGATGGGTGCATAACTGCGAATATACTAAAAAACCACTGAATTGTATACTTTAAGTTACTAAACTGTATGGCATATGAATTATATCTCAATAAAGCTGTTATTTTTTAAAAAACTGGTGTACTTAGCAGTTTTCCTACTTACTATCTACAACCAGTTATTTTCTTTTTTTTTTTTTTTTTTTTTTTTAAGAGACAGGCTCTCACTCTGACACCCAAGCTGGAGTGCAATGGCACAATCATGGCTTACTGCAGCCTCAACCTCCTGGGCTCAAGGAATCCTCCCACCTCAGCCTCCTGAGTAGCTGAGACCACAGGTACACAACCATCCCTGGCTAACTTTTGTTTTTGTAGAAATGGAGTTTTGCCATGTTGCCCTGAGCTCACGGGATCCATCCACTTCAGCCTCCCAAAGTGCTGGGATTACAGGGGTGAGCCACCACACCTGGCCAAAAAAATTTTTTAATAAGAAGACTGAGGCCAGGCGTGGTGGCTCACCCCTGTAATCCCAGCACTTTGGAAGGCTGAGGTGGGCGGATTTCATGAGGTCATCAGTTTGAGACCAGCCTGGCCAACATGGCGAAACCCCGTCTCTACTAAAAATACAAAAATTAGACGGGCAAGGTGGCACGTGTTTGTAATCTCAGCTACTCAAGAGGCTGAGGCAGGAGAATCATTTGAACTCGGTAGGCGGAGGTTGCAGTGAGTCAAGATCACGCCACTGCACTCCAGCCTGGGTGACAGAGCGAGACTCCGTCTCTAAAAAACAAAAAAAAACCAAAGTACATACTCTAAAGTATCAAAAAGATTCCTCTGGGCAGTAGCATCATGGATAATTTGTTTTTTTCTGTGTTTTTGTATCTATGCAAATTTTATAATTTATACAATTAACCTACATATTTTAAGAAGAGAACATTATGTTACTAAAATGTAAAGCCCATCTTAAAACTAATACATAAAGAAAAAAATAAACCTGAGACCCTAAAAAAAACTTCACTGGAAAACATTTTCTAAAATCTAAACTTGACTAGATTCTCAAGATGACAACCTAAGCAAGCTACGTATCCCTTTCAACAGAAACTAGTCACATGGTTTCATGTAATAAAGACACCCACTTTTCAGAAACCCAGGCAATAAGTTTTCTTTCACTTAGGCTATAAAAAAAATCACCCTGCTTATAAAGTTTATTTACGGTCTAGAAAGGAAAAGTCTAAATAGGTCCCTTCCTGCTTTAAGGTATTAGAACATAATGTCTCTAATAAAAAGTCATTATATGGGGTAAATCAGGAAGAGAGAGGAGGCAAGAGGTCAAAGGCCTTGATTAAAAGATTTTCAGGAAAACATCCCTACTGACTCTTATCTTTCCTGAGAAGAGGGGGAGAATATGCCAAATATTTCACTACAATACTTGAGTAAAAGAAGGGATTTTTAGAATCGGGGGGAAAAAGACTTATTATATTGCCTCCCTTTATACATCAAACCCAAGTTTTGGATGATTTGCACACCCTGAACATCTGGATCTTCTGGGCCTTAACTTCGGAGAAGATATTATAAATCAAGGACTCGGCAATTTTAAGTGTTAAAAAGGGGCAGAGTTAAACTGGGATCTATCCAAATCATACTTAGACATAAGTAAGCAAAGGAGCAAACAAACACCAAACTGCTTAATTCAAGTCGGAAGTATTTTAGAGCTTACGCTTATAGAAAACATTAGGGCAGCAAAATGTCTGCCTGTAGTCTCATTAGCATTCCTGCAAAGAGGTGGATGAGAATAAACTTCCCCAGGGTAAGAGACACCAAGGAGGGTTCCCAATAGGGATTCTGTAATATGACTACTTCCTCTTTTGAGAGATTTTGAAAGCATACTTTTAAGATTTTGTTGCTGAACCACAATAAATAGACAATTAAAAAGTAGACCCACCCATTGAGTTAGTGCTAGTGGAATATGTCCTTCTGGAAGTGCCATATGGAGATTAAAAGAAAAAAAAAAAAAGCTCTTTACTCATTGTGGCCAAGATTCCTTGGTACTTGGTGCCAGGGCCAGGATATTACCCCAGATGTCCTAGCCAAATTCAAGGTTGGCTAATTACACTCTGACAAACTACAAGCAACAAAAAAAGTCTCCCTCTGTTCCCTTGATTGAAACCTGAAGAGGTCACTCTTCCTTGAAATTGTTTTTATTTTTTAATTTTGATTGAATTGTACACTTTAATATGTGTACTTTGGTTTTGGGGGTTTGTTTTTTGTTTGTTTGTTTTTTTTGAGACAGGGTCTCACTCTGTTGTCCAGCTTGGAGTGCAGTGGCGTGAACACAGCTCACTGTAGCCTCCTGGGATCAGATTTCTTGGGTTTAAGAGATCCTCCTGCCTCAGCCTCCCAAGTAGGTGGGACTACAGGCATGTATCATCATATTCAGCTAGTTTTTTTAAGTTTTTGTAGAGACGGAAGTCTCAATGTGTTGCCCAGGCTGATCTCAAACTCCTGGACTCAAGCGATCCTCCTGCCTTACTCTCCCAAAGTGCTGGGATTATAGACATGAGCCACTGCACCTGGCCAAATATCTGTTTTGTTTTGTTGTTTCTTTTTTGAGACGGAGTTTCTATCTTTTTGCCCAGGCTGGAGTGCAATGGCGCAATCTCAGCTCACTGCAACCTCCACCTCAAAGGTTCAAGTGATTCTCCTGCCTCAGTCTCCCAAGTAGGTGGGATTACAGGCACCTGCCACCATGCCTGGTTAATTTTTTGTATTTTTAGAAGAGACGGGGTTTCACCATGTTGGCCAGGATGGTCTTGATCTCTTGACCTTGTGATGCACCCGCCTCGGCCTCCCAAAGTGCTGGGATTTACAGGCATGAGCCACCACGCCCAGCCCAAAATTCTTGTACAGTACCATCGGTCATTATGGTTTCCCTTAAGAGTGCATTGTAACTCAAATGCCAACTTAAAGCATACGGATTCTTTGAGTTCCGCCTATATGGGAAACACATTATGTATATTAAAAATGCTAAAAAAAAATTAGCTGGGCATGGTGGCGCATGCCTATAATCCCAGCTACTCAGGAGGCTGAGGCATGAGAATCCTCTGAACCCAGGAGGTGGAGGCTGCAGTGAGTCAAGATTACACCAGTACACTCCAGCCTCGGCGACGGAGTGAGACTCTGTCTCAAAAAATAATAATAATAAATAATTTTTTAAAAAAACATAAGACGCTGTTAATAGTTTAAAGCCTCCCTAAACAGCTATCTAAAAACTCGTATCTTGGCAAATACTGACGACTGACACTGCTTTCCAATTAAGATTGAAAAGTGGCTGGGCGCAGTGGCTCACGCCTGTAATCCCAGCACTTTGGGAGGCAGAGGCGGGCGGATCACGAGGTCAGGAGATCAAGACCATCCTGGCCAACACAGTGAAACCCCATCTCTACTAAAAATACAAAAAAATTAGCCGGGTGTGGTGGCGGGCGCCTGTAGTCCCAGCTACTCGGGAGGCTGAGGCAGGAGAATGCCGTGAACCTGGGAGGCGGAGCTTGCAGTGAGCCGAGATGGCGCCACTGCACTCCAGCCTGGGCGACAGAGTGAGACTCCATCTCAAAAAAAAAAAAAAAAAAAAGTGTTATCTAAAGTTTTCTATTAAACATAGATTTTGGCTAGGCACAGTGGCTCACGCCTGTAATCCCACCACTTTGGGAGGCCAAGGCGGGTGGATCACCTGAGGTCAGGAGTTTGAGACCAACCTGGCCAAAATGGTGAAACACTGTTTCTACTAAAAATGCAAAAATCAGCCGTGCGTGGTGGAGTGTGCCTGTAATCCCAGCTACTCAAGAGGCTGAGGCAGGAGAATTGCTTGAACCCGGGAGGCAGAGGTTGCAGTGAGCTAAGATCGTGCCACTGCACTCCAGCTTGAGTGACAGAGGGAGACTCCATCTCAAAAAAAAACCCATAGATTTTGAACTATAAAACTTTAAGACTAAAAAGGACGGCTTTGTTACAAGGTGCGCAATTCCAGGAAAAAGCTATATACACCAATATCAAGTTATCAGGCCTCCCAAAGTTAAGCAAGATCCTGGGCCTGGCACGGTGGCTCATGCCTGTAATCCCAGCACTGTGGGAGGCTGAGGTGGGTGCATCATGAGGTCAGGAGTTCAAGACCAGCCTGGCCAAGATGGTGAAACCCTGTCTCTACTAAAAACACAAAAACTATCTGGGCGTGGTGGCAGGCGCCTGTAATCCCAGCTACTCAGGAGGCTGAGGCAGAGAATCGCTTGAACCCGGGAGGCAGAGGTTGCAGTGAGCCAAGATAGCGCCACTGCTCTCCAGCCTGGGTGATAGAAAAAAAAAGTCCTGAACAGTCCTGAACAGATGGATAGAAATAGGAAAGTATACACTCAATAGCACATCTGAACATCAAGTACTGGGCTGGCCTTTGTGCCATTGCCAAGGTATTCTGTACATTACTTAAAATAACCTAAACTGGGCTCAATTTCTATTCACTAGCTGTGTGGACTTTTAGGCAAATTAGGGAAATTCTTTGAGCCTCATTTTCCCCCATATCTTTATCTTCATCAAAATCATTAATAACATGACATAGTCAGCACAGTAGTACAAGCCTACAGTCCCAGCTACTGGGGAGGTTGAGATGAGAGGATCACTTAAGCTCAGGAATTTGAGTCTAGCTTGGGCGATATAACAAGACCCCTTCTCAAAAAATTAATTAAAAATAACATGGTGGCCGAGAGCAGTGGCTCACACCTGTAATCCCAGCACTTTGGGAAGCTGCAGTGGGTAGATCACCTGAGGTCAGGAGTTCAAGAGCAGCCTGACAAACGCAGTGAAACCCCATCTCTACTAAAAATATAAAACTAGCCGGGTGTGGTGGTGTATGCCTGTAATCCCAGCTACTTGGGAGGCTGAGGCAGAAGAATTGCTTGAACCCAGGAGGCAGAGGTTGCAGTAAGCAGAGATCACGCCATTGCACTCCAGCCTGGGCAACAAGAGCGACACTCCATCTCAAAAAATAATTATAACAATAACATGGTGCCCAGGTGTGGTGGATCACACCGGTAATCCCAACAGTCTGGGTGGGAGGATCTCTTGAGGCCAAGAGTTCCAAAAAAAAATTTGCTGGGCCAGGCGCAGTGGCTCATGCCTGTAATCCCAGCACTCTGGAAGGCTGAGGCAGGCAGATCACCTGAGGGTCAGGAGTTAGATCAGCCTGGCCAACATGGTGAAACCCCGTCTCTACTAAAAATACAAAAATTAGCCAGGTGTGGTGGCATGTGCCTGTAATCCCAGCTACTTGGAGGCTGAGGCAGGAGAATCGCTTGAACCTGGGAGACGGAGGTTGCAGTGAGCTGGGATTGCTCCATTGCACTCCAGCCTGGGGGACAAAAACAAGATTTTGTCTTAAAAACAAAACAAAACAAAACAAAACTTACTGTGTGTGGTGGTACACACCTCCTAGCTACTTGGGAGGCTGAGGCAGGAGGACGGCTTGAGTCCAGGAGTCCAAGGCTATAGTGAGTTATAATTGTGCCACTGCACTCCAGCCTGGTGACCGAGTGAGACTCTGTCTCTAAAAAACAAAAGCAATTTTTTAAAAAGGCATAAAATTATTCTGCCTTTTTTTTTTTTTTTTTTTTGAAACGGAGTCTCGCTCTGTCGCCCAGGCTGGAGTGCAGTGGCGAGATCTCCGCTCACTGCAAGCTCCACCTCCTGGGTTCACACCATTCTCCTGCCTCAGCCTCCTGAGTAGCTGGGACTACAGGCACCCGCCACCAAGCCTGGCTAATTTTTTGTATTTTTAGTAGAGACGGGGTTTCACTGCGTTAGCCAGGATGGTCTCAATCTCCTGACCTCGTGATCCACCCACCTCGGCCTCCCAAGGTGCTGGGATTACAGGTGTGAGCTACCGCGCCCGGCCAAATTATTCTGTATTTTTAAATATTTCAACAAATACATATTTTAAGGACTACAGCCTAGAAAGTCTTCAATGTCCTGCCTCCTCCTTCCTTCTCCCTAGGATGTTTTTCTCTCTGGGCTCTACATTCCTTCACTTCCTTTCTGTCTCTACTCGAAAGTCACATTCCCAGCTAGGTCTCCTCTTGCTGCCCTATGTAAAATTTCCATTCTTCTAACTCTTACCCCTAGTACTTTATACTTTCCCTTCTCTGATTGTTTTTTCTTTGCCATGTGTCACCTAACATACAATAAATTTACTTTTTGTTTATTGTCTGCCTTCTCTACTTGAAGGGAAGTTCCAAGAGAATAACAGGGATTTCTGTCTTTTATTCACTGTTGTATCACCATCATCTAGAACAGCACCTGGCACACGGTACATGCTCAATAAATATTTGTTGCCTGAATACCAAATGAGATCTAATTACAGCCCACAGATAGGTATACCATAGCTCATCAAGCTGCCTTTAGGGATGCTGTCACAGTTCAAAAATACTGCAAAAGAGAACTATAGATTTGCCATAATAAACAACACTGTCTACTCTTCATATCAAAGAAAAACACACTTGACCTTCCATCTCATTTCTACAAGAAAAGGAAAGAAATTGATTATTTGGATAGTGGGGCTGGGCACGGTGGCTCATGCCTGTAATCCCAGCACTTTGGGAGGCCAAGTTAGGAGGATTGTTTGAGCCTAGGAGTTCAAGACCAGCTTGGGAAACATAGCAAGACCTCATCTCTACAGGAAAAAAAATTTTTTTAATTAGCCAGGCATGATAGCATGCACCTGTAGTCCTAGCTACTCAGGAGGCTGAAGTGGGAGGACTGCTTGAGCCCAGGAGGGAGTTCAAGGCTGTAGTGAACTACGATTGTGCCACTGCACTCCAGCCTGCGTGACAGAGCGAGACCCTGTGTCTAAAAAAATAAAATAAAATAAAAATACTGCAAAGGAGAACTACAGGCTTGCTATGACTAATAAACATTGTCTACTCTTCATATCAGAGAAAAACACATTTGACCTCTCAGAGAAGAAAGAAGCTGATTATTTGGATAGTGAAAAGTCATACAAAGTGAAAGTCTCGATTTAGTTAATATATAGACAAAATTCTCTTGTAATGTTAACAAATATTAAACCCTCTCCCTGTGACTTTACTATACTACCTTCTGTTTTTTCCTTTGGTTTGACTTCTATAAAATCAATCTGACATTTATGAACCTTATATTTTCAATTAACCAAGAAACAGATGGGCACGGTGGCTCACACCTGTAATCCCAACACTTTGGGAGGCCAAAGCAGGTGGATCACTTGAATTCAAGAGTTGGAGACCAGCCTGGCCAACATGGTGAAACCCCAGCTCTAGTAAAAATACAAACATTAGCCAGGCATGTGACAGATTCCTGTTGTCCCAGCTACTTGGGAGGCTGAGGTGGGAGAATCACTTGAACCAGGAGGCAAAGGTTGCAGTGAACCAAAATTGCACCACTACACTCTAGCCTGGGCAACAGAGTGAGACTCTGTCTCAAAAAAAAAAAAATTAATTAAAAAAAAATAAGAAACGTTTACTGAGTACATGGAACTCCACAGAATTCTGCAAGGGTCCCGAAATGTGAAGACCCTGGCCTTGATATATCTATTCAAGGAAGACCAGAAATCTACCTGTAAGTAATAACGAAGAACCAGGTGCCCAGTATGTGAAAGGTTCAAAGGTGCCTACCTTTGTATGGGCCATAAGAGAATCAACTCATCTCTTATACACCATCCACTGGCTTTCGAATCCCAGCAGACAGCACTTAAAAAGCAAGAATCGGCCGGGCACAGTGGCTCATGCCTGTAATCCCAGCACTTTGGGAGGCCGAGGTGAGAGGATCACTTGAGGTCAGGAGTTCGAGACCAGCCTGGCCAACATCGTGAAACCCTGTCTCTACTAAAAATACAAAAACTAGCCCGGTGCCGTGGTGTGTGCCTGTAATCCCAGCTACTCGGGAGGCTGAGGCAGGAGAATTGCTTGAGCCTGGGAAGCGGAGGTTGCACCACTGCACTCCAGCCTGGGCAACAGAGCGAGATGCGAGACTCTGTCTCAAAAAAAAAAAAAAAAAAAAGCAAGAATCAAACATGACTGAGTTAGTTCATGTCCCTTATGAGTCACATGGGATGTGACAGAGTGAATTTTAGCCACTAGGTAAAAAAAATTTTTTTTAAGATAAGGACATCAGGCCAGGCGTGGTGGCTCACACCTATAATCCCAGCACTTTGGGAGGCTGAGGCAGGCGGATCACCTGAGGTCAGGTGTGATCAGCCTGGCTGGCCAACGTGATGAAACTCCATCTCTACTAAAAAAATACAAAAAATTAGCCAGGCATGGTGGCAGGCACCTAAAATCCCAGCTACTCGGGAAGCTGAGGCAGGAGAATCGCTTGAACCCAGTAGGCAGAGGTTGCAGTGAGCCGAGATCACTCCATTGCACTCCAGCCTAGGCAACAAGAGTGAAATTCCATGTCAAAAAAAAAAAAAGAGATAAGGATATCAGATTCTAAACTCCTCAATAGGACAGAAACCAGATTAGCTTATGTCATGCTGAAGTGCAAGCTGGAGCTGAAGCAATGATTGAAAAAATAGGGAAGGGCAAAATCTTGATCTTCAGGCAAAATACCTACCCAGGGTCCCACCCGGTTTCAGTTTTCCCCTTTGAACTAGGTCTAGTGGGAAGATGTACTTAACTGCTTTCTCTGAACCTTAAAAATCGGGCACAAGCCTTTGGCCAAGCAATTACCCACTTCAACTTTGCTTTAATGTAGACCAGCCTTGGGGCCAGGTGCGGTAGTTCACACCTGTAATCCCAGCACTTTGGGAGCCCAAAGCAGGTGGATGACTTGAGCCCAGGAGTTCGAAATCAGCCTGGGCAACGTGGTGAAACCCCATCTCTACCACAGATACAAAAATTAGCCGGGCGTGGTGGCGGGCACCTGTAATTCCAGTACTCAGGAGGCTGAGGCACGAGAATCGCTTAAACCTGGGAGGCCGAGATTGCAGTGAGCTGAGATCACGCCACTGCACTCTGGCCGGGGGGACAGATTGAGGCTCCCTCTCATTGATTGATTGATTGATTGATGGATGGATAGACAGACAGACAGACTAGCCTTGCTTTTTGCCACAGATTCCCTATACTAATCGAATAACTAAGCACCTGAAGTCAGAATACCTGAGTTCACATGCTGGTAAAAGGTATTCTGACTTCAGGTGCTTAGCTGTATAACCCTGGTCAAGTTACTTGACCTTTCTATGACCCTCCTGCCGAATGCACATGACGACAGCACGCTCACTGGGTTAGGGTTGATTAAATGAAATAAAACACATAAAAAGCTAGCCCAGAGCCTGGCCACAAGATGCCTTCAATAAATGTTCATTGTTATAATTTACAGAGAAAAAAAGGCCCCAAGTCTGAGAAGCGACATGCCTGGGGATTCTTGCTAAAGGTTATCATTAAATCTAAAAGTCAAACAAACACATTCCTGACTCTGGGATACTCTCCTGATTCGTGGATACCATCGCTAACAGTAGTGACACAAATCAAATAATAAGAACAGCCAGAATCATAACCCTAATGACAGCAGTGGCCACAGCACTTAATACTTATAGAGCTGCTAGGGGCCACTGTCCTAAAAGAGGAAGAAGGCCAGGCTGCTGAATCACACACACACAATTACAGAATCTTCTCCACCCTTTGTTTTAAAAAACAGTTCACTGGCGCCCAAGTTTTGCTAAAAACAGGTATCTAAACCGATGACGGACAACGTGTAATTTCTTCATACCAAAGAGGTGGGGCTGTGCAGGGAGGAGGGGGTGGCGCTCGGCTCCTGCCAGATGGAAAAGCCACATGAAGTGGAGAAACAGCCGGATTCAGGATTCACCCCCGAATCAAAACCCGATTTTTGAAAGGCAGGACCTTCCAATTCGGGCAATCGCTAGGTTCTGCTTGTAAAATAACCTCTGAACAAGTGTCATCTGCCTTCCGCGCCAATCCCCTGCCGCGGTAGAAGGTTCGGATTACCGGGCAGCGGTGTGATTTCGGAAACCCGAGAGCGATCTGGCCACCTCCAGCCTTCCCCGGTCTCCGAGAATCACAGCCCCACTTGAGAGGAAAACAAAAGCCGGGGCAGCGGGGGAGGCCGGGCCAGGGTGCCCTCCATGCCGGATCGCGGGCGCCGGGCACCCGGGGCCTGAGGAATGCTCAGGTGACAGGCGCGGCGCCCGGGGCAACAGGTCCCGCCCGGCTTCGGCCTCCCGGGGTCCGGCCGATCCCACATCCGCCCCGGGGCCCAGGAGAGGGAGCGGGGCGCCAGGGAGAGAGCGGCGCCTGGGGCGGCGCAGGGGCAAGGAGTCCAAGCTCCATCTTGAGGCGGGCGGAGGAAGCGAAGGCCCGGCTCGGCGCTGACAGGGCCGCCACTTTTCCAGCTCCGGAGGAGCCCCCCAGGGACCCCCGGCCTCCGGCGCCGGCCACCCGAGACTCCCGCGGTCCCCTCCCGGACGGCTCCGGCGCGCGAGGCTCGGCCCCGCTCCCGGACGCCGGGCTTCGACCCCCGACCCGACCCTGGGCGGGCCCCGCAGGCCGGGAAGCCGGCAGGGGAGCAGGGGGTGCCGGGAAAGGGAGAGGGCCCGCGCCGCCCCCTGCTCACCTCCTCGGACGCCGCCGGTCGCCGCCACCTGTCCCACTGCAGCAGCAGCAGCCGCCGCGGCCGCCGCCTCCCGCCTCCCGGCTCGTCGGCTCGGGGCGGGGGAGAGCGTGACGCGCCGCCGCCGCCGCGGGGCCGGGCGGGCGCGCGCTGCCAGGAGAAGACGCCGCGCGGCTCCTCCCAGCGCTCCGCCGCCGCGCCCGCCCGGCCGGCCCGGCCGGCCCGGCCCCTCGAGTCCGCACCGGCCCTGCGGCCCGCGCCCGGCCCCGCGCCGCCCCGCCGCCTCTTTGTCTGCGCCCACCGCGGCCCCGGGAGGACCCTGGCCCCGGCGCGCCCGCCGCTCCGCCCTCGAACCCTCCCGAGCCCCGGCTTGGGGAGCAAGGTGCGAGGGAAAACCCACAGGCCTGCTCCGAGGGGCTTCTCGTCATTTCTGCAAAGTGTTCCCAGAATTTGCAAGTCACACCCAAGAGCCCCATTCAGCCTCGACCTCAGCCCGCTCTTTGGGGCTGATTCATTTGTTTGCCCTCCCCTTCCCGCCAGACAAGGGTGAGAAATCCTTTGAAACAGGCTGCAAGGCGCTTCCGAAGCAGGTTAAGTTGGGGATTGGGAAGGATCATCTCTGCCCTCGCCTCCCTCCAGGGAAAGACCCTGGATGAGGCGTCCCTGGAGAAAATGCTGAAAGGAACTGTAGAGCAGGTTAAGCTTGGGAAGAACTGTATCTGCTCCCCACTTCCCTCCGGGAACGACCGCGGGTTAAAAATCCTTTGAAACGATCCCAGGGTTTGCTCCGTTCGTTTGAGAAAAGCCCCTTTTATTCGCCCTGGCTGCTTGGACGGAAGCCCTGGTTAGTGTCCCATCCTCCTTCCCCCCTGGGATTTCCTTTAAAAGCTTTTGAAAGGGACAGGAGGGAAGGCTGCAACAGCCTGCTCGGGGCTGGGGTAGCAGAGGGCGGCCAGCATTTCACTCCCATGGACCATGGCAACCCCAGAAGCCTTACATCTCCAGGGAGGAATTTGCAGCTGTCGGGGAAGCCCAGGATTTTGTGGTGGATAAGGGGGCAGGGGCTTCCTCCTCCTTGCCAGTAGAAGAGAATAATCGGCGGGTGACCCCTCTAGCTGACCTTTATTCAAAGCACCGTGCTGCCTGGACCAGCAGGAAGAGGGAACTGCTCTGGTAATGCACGAAGTTCTGAACTATGTAAATTTGTCTCCTGGCCCCTCCTCTCCATTCATGTCTGAAATCCCTCGAAATGCTGTTACCTAATTCAACATCGCCCTAATTTACAGGCTGCAAGGTCAGGTGGTGGTGGTACTCCTGAAATCCCATATCCATATTCCTAATCTGAAAGGCGCGCCTCACCCCCTAATCTAAACAGTCTTCAGCTGTAATCAGCAAGCTGTGGAATCATAGATGTCATAGGATGAGGCACAGACCACTTCTAATGGGGGAGTTCAGCTAGGAACACTTATGGGCTTGTCTTTTCTTCTCTACTCAGTAGGCTGAGCCTGTCTTTATTAAAAATATTGTTTTGGGGCTGGGTGTGGTGGCTCACGCCTGTAATTCTAGCACTTTGAGAGACCCAGGTGGGTGGATCACCTGCAGACAGGAGTTCAAGACCAGCTTGGCCAACATGGTGAAACCCCGTCTCTAACAAAAAATACAAAAATTAACTGGGCATGGTGGTGCATGCCTGTAGTCCCAGCTACTCGGGAGGCTGAGACACGAGAATTGTTTGAACCCGGGAGGCGGAGGTTGCTGTGACCAGAGTTCAAGCCACTACACTCCAGCCTGGGTGCCGGAGGGAGACTCTGTCTCAAAAAATATATATATATATACACATGTATATATATATGTATATATATGTGTGTGTGTGTGTGTGTGTATATTTGCTTGTTCTCATGGGTTATTCTATGTCATTGTCATGTTCATCATTTGCTTATTTATTTATAATTATATCATTTTGTTCATCATGGAGTCTTGGCGTTAATTTTTTTTTTTTTTTTTTTTTTTGAGATGGAGTCTCACTCTGTCGCCCAGGCTGGAGTGCAGTGGTGCGATCTCGGCTCACCGCAAGCTCTGCCTCCCGGGTTCACGCCATTCTCCTGCCTCAGCCTCCCGAGTAGCTGGGACTACAGGTGCCCGCCACCACGCCCGGCTAATTTTTTGTATTTTTTTAGTACAGACAGGGTTTCACCGTGTTAGCCAGGATGGTCTCGATCTCCTGACCTCGTGATCCGCCTGCTTTGGGCTCCCAAAGTGCTGGGATTACAGACGTGAGCCACCGTGCCCGGCCATTAATTTTTATTTTTTAAAAAATATATCAGCCGGGCACAGCGGGCTGATCACGAGGTCAGGAGCTCGAGACCAGCCTGGCCAATATAGTGAAACCCCGTATCTACTAAAAATACAAAAATTAGCCGGGCATGGTGGCGCATGCCTGTAATCCCAGCTACTAGAGAGGCTGAGGCAGAAGAATTGCTTGAACCCAGGAGGCGGAGGTTGCAATAAGCCAAGATAGCACCACCGCACTGCAGCCTGGGCGACAGAGGGAGACTCTATCTCCAAAAAAAAAAAAAAAAAAAATTAGCATATCGCAATATTGTTTACCTTCACTGCCTCCTTCAATTGTGTGAGCAAGGCCTGGTCTCAGCCCTACTACCAGGGCATTGACAGGGCTCAGACCCCAGGTGGCCACTGTTAGGACTCAAAGTTCCTCCTTCAATATTTACATTCTGTTTTTAGATCTAGCCACTGTGCTTTTTTTTTTTTTTTTTTTTTAAGACTGAGTCTCGCTCTGTCGCCCAGTCTGGAGTGCAGTGGCACCATCTCGGCTCACTTCAACCTCCGCCTTGCAGGGCCAAGCTATTCTCCTGCCTCAGCCTTCCAAGTAGCTGGGACTACAGGCACGTACCACCATACCCAGCTAATTTTTTGTATTTTGGGTAGAGAGGGGGTTTCTCTGTGTTATCCAGGATGGTCTCAATCTCCTGACCTCGTGATCCGCCCACCTCGGCCTCCCAAAGTGCTAGGATTACAGGCATGAGCCACCGCGCCCGACTGCCACAGTGCTTTCTTAAATGCATGTCTTCTGTAAATATGAGAACAGCTCAATTGATGAGACATTGGGAGGTGGAAGGGATGTTGCAGAAGTAGAATGCAAAATAAGAGCTCTCAAGTCTTCATTTTACAAAGCGGGGAGGTAGGTAAATACCTAGGGTTTTGTTTTCTGTTTTTTTTTCCCCAAAAAATTAAGGTTTAATGATATCATTAACGTAACCAATAGGAATAATTAAAAATAGTGGCAGGATTGTGTGGAGAGGAGAGGTAGTCGTGCCTTAGTCATAACAGAAAGTCAATAGATAATGCCTACAGTTGATAAATAACACAAGTATATTTTTATGTATTTTTGTTTTTGTTTTCTTGAGATGAGGTCTCATTCCTGTCACCCAGGCTGGAGCGCAGTGCTGCAATCATGACTCCCTGCAGCCTCTACTTCCCGGGATCAGATGATCCTCCCACCTCAGCCTCCTAAGTAGCTGGGACTACAGGCATGCACAGCCATGCCCAGCTAATTGTTTGTATTTTTAGTAGAGATGGAGTTTTGCCATGTTGCCCAGGCTGGTCTCAAACTCCTGGGCTCAGGCAACCTGTCCCCCTCAGCCTCCCAAAGTGCTGGGATTACAGGCGTGAGCCACCGTGCCTGGCCCACAACAATATTTTTAGAGAGATGGAAGTTAACACCAGAAGAACTAAAAGCAAAAAATTAATAGTCTCTGGGGAACAGGGTTAAGACTAGGTAGGAGTGAGGTAGAAGAACTGAGAACTGTTGCTTTTCTTTTCTTTTGTTCTTTTGTTTTTTTGTTTTTGTTTGTTGTTGTTGTTTTGTTTTGTTTTGTTTTGTTTTGAGACAGGGTCTTGCTCTGTTGCCCAGACTAGAGTGCAGTGGTGCAATCATAGCTCACTACAACCTGGAGCTCCTGGGCTCGAGTGATCCTCCTACCTCAGCCTCCAGACTGGTTCAGACTACAGGCACGTGCCACCATGCCCAGCTAATTTTTTTTAATTTTTAGTAGAGCCAGAGTCTGTCTATGTTGCCCAGGTCTCAAAATCCTGGGCTCAAGCAATCCTCCCATCTTGGCCTCCCAAAGTGCTGGGATTACTGGCATGAGCCACCATGCCCAGACTGCTTTTAATTATAAACCTGAATGTATTTTATTTTTTAAAACCATGTGCAAGGCCAGGAGCAGTGGCTCACACCTATAATCCCAGCAATATGGGAGGCCAAGGTGGGAGGACTGCTTGAGCTGAGGAGTTGGAGACCCACCTGGGCAACATAGCAAGGCCCCATCTCTACCAAAAAAAAAATATAAAAAATTGGCCGGGCACAGTGACTCACACCTATAATCCCAGCACTTTGGGAGGCCGAGGCAGGTGGATTGCCTGAGCTCAGGAGTTTGAGACCAGCCTGGCCAACATGGCGAAACCCAGTCTCTACTAAAAATACAAAAATTAGCCAGCTATGGTGGCATGCACCTGTGGTTCCAGCTACTCAGGAGGCTGAGGGAGGAGAATCAGTTGAACCTAGAAGGCGGAGGTTGCATTGAGCTTGCGCCGCTGCACTCCAGCCTGGGCAATAGAGCGAGACTCCATCTCAATAAATAAATAAATAAATAAATAAATAAATAAATAAATAAGCAAGCTGGGTGTGGTGGTGTGCACCTGTAGTCCTAGCTACTCAGGAGGTAGAGGTGGGAGGATGGCTTGAGCCCAAGAAGTTGAGGCTGCAGTGAGCCGTGTTCCAGCCACTGCACTCCATCCAGGCTGGGTGACAGAGCAAAGCCCCATCTCAAACAAACAAAAAAACATTACTTTCATTTATTTGTTGTTGTTGTTGTTGTTGTTTTTAAACATGGAGATGAGGTCTCACTATGTTGCCAAGACTGATCTCTCCTTGGCTCAAAGGATCTTTCCGCCTTGGCCTCCCAAAATGTTGGGATCCCAGGTGTGAGCCACCACACCCAGCTCATTTTTTTTTTTTTGAGATGGAGTCGCGCTGTCACCAGGCTGGAGTGCGATGGCGCAATTTCAGCTCACTGCAACCTGCGGCTCCCAGGTTCAAGTGATTCTCCTGCCTCAGCCTCCTGAGTAACTGGGACTACAGTCACGCGCCACCACGCCCAGCTAATTTTTGTATTTTCAGTAGAGATACTGTCTCTATTTTCAATAGAGACAGTGTTTTGCCATGTTGGCCAGGCTGATCTCCTGACCTCAAGTGATCCATCCACCTTGGCCTCCCAAAGTGCTGGGATTACAGGTGTCAGCCACTGCACCCAGCCCCAATTTCTTTAAAAAAAGAACAAAAGAAGAAGAAGAAGGAATTAAGATCCTCAACCAAAATGAGTAGAGATTATTCTCCGTAAAATCATGGGTGTTGGTGGTTTTTTTCTCCCCAGCTCTTTAGCATTGATTCTGTGACAGGTTTCGGCAGTACAACAGGTTTGTTTTGTTTTATTATCTGTTTCCTTCCATCCCTACAAGAACGTGAATTTCCAGAGAGTGGGGAATTTTTTTTTTTTTTTGAGAATGAGTCTCTGTCGCTCAGGCTGGAGTGCAGTGGTGCAATCTTGGCTCACTGCAACCTCCGCCTCCTGGATTCAAGTGATTCTCCTGCCTCAGCCTCCCGAGTAGCTGGGATTACAGGCACCCACCACCATGCCCAGCTAATTTTTGTATTTTTAGTAGAGACGGGGTTTCACCATATTGGCCAGGCTGGTCTTGAACTCCTGACCTGTGATCCGCCTGTCTCAGCCTCCCAAAGTGCTGGGATTACAGGCGTGAGCCACTGGGCCCAGCGAGAGCAGGGATTGTTGACTCTTATTTCTTGCTGTGTCTGCATCCCTTGGATGCAGGGTCCACAGTAGATTAGCTTTTTGAAGGATGTGGTGTAAGACTCCTATATTCTAAATAACTAGAGACTTTTTTCCTTGTATTTTGTCTTCTTTTTTTTTAAAGAACAATAGGTGTTCATTACATAAAATTAAGGCAAGCAAAATGAAGGCAACAAAATAGCTACAATCCCACAGATCCTGAAAAAATTACTAATAAATATGTCTAAATTAATTCATTACAGTTTAGAGAGATTTTAAATCTCTCGCTAAGGGACTAATAGTTCTTATCACCATTCAAGGACAATACAGTAAAAAATAGTGGTTTGAAAATATTTCTTGTTTTGTTTTGTTTTGTTTTGTTTGAGACTGAGTTTCGCTCTTGTTGCCCAGGCTGGAGTGCAGTGGCATGATCTCGGCTCACTGCAACCTCCATCTCCCGGATTCAAGCGATTCTCCTGCCTCAGCCTCCCGAGTAGCTGGGATTACAGGCATGTGCCACAACGCCCAGCTAATTTTTTTTGTATTTTTAGTAGAGATGGGGTTTCACCATATTGGTCAGGCTGGTCTCAAACTCCTGACCTCAGATAATCTGCCCACCTCGGCCTCCCAAAGTGCTGGGATTACAGGTGTGAGCCACTGCACCCAGCCAAAAATATTTCATAAACTGCGCCTGTGATCCCAGCATTTAGGGAGGCCAAGGTGGGTGGATCACCTGAGGTCAGGTGTTCAAGACCAGCCTGGCCAACATGGTGAAACTCTATCTCTAAAAACACAAAACTTAGCCGGGCGTGGTGGTGGTGCATGCCTGTAATCCCAGCTACTTGGGAGGCTGAGGCGGAAGGATCGCTTGAACCCAGGAGTTGGAGGTTGGAGTCAGCCAGTGCACACCAGCCTGGGCAGCAGAGCAAGACCCTGTCTAAAAAAAAAAAAAAAAATTCATAAACTGCTATGAAGATGTAAGGATTTATAGGTTTTTACAACAGAAAATGATTTGATTTCAGGCACTAAGTGAAAAAAAAATTTTTTAAATAGAAAAATGAGACAAAAGCTGTCAAAATAAGCACACTTCTAAAATTAAAGATGTTTTAGCCAGGTGCAGTGGCTCACGCCTGTAATCCCAGCACTTTGGGAGGCAAAGATCCCTTGAGCCCAGGAGTTCAAAACCAGCCTGGGCAACATAGTAAAACCCTGTGTCTATTACTATAAATTTTTATAAAAAAGAAAAAAATGAAAGGTGTTATTTTTCCTTTCTCTTTTTTAAAGTTCCTGAACCATAGTAGATAGGTCACAATTAGGGATTTAACTCCTTACTATACATAATGGTGACCACAGTTAATAACATTATATACTTGAAAATTAGTAAGACAGTAGATTTTAAGTGTGCTCACTACACACAAAAAAATTAAGGGCCGGGCACAGTGGCTCATGCCTGTAATCCCAGCACTTTGGGAGGCCAAGGCGGGTGGATCATCTGAGGTCAAGAGTTCGAGACCAGCCTGACCAACATGGTGAAACCCCATCTCTACTGAAAATACAAAAATTAGCTGGGCGTGGTGGTGGGTGCCTGTAATCCCAACTACTTAGGAGGCTGAGGCAGGAGAATTGCTTGAACCCGGGAGGTAGAGGTTGCAGTGAGCCGAGATTGCGCCACTGCACTCCAGCCTTGGTAACAAGAATGAAACTCCATCTCAAAAAAAAAAAAAAAGTTAAGTATTTAAGGTAATACATATAGCTTGCTTTTTTTTTTTTTTTTTTTTTTGAGACAGTCTCTCGCTGTGTCGCCCAGGCTGTAGTGCAGTGGCCCAGTCTTGGCTCACTGCAACCGCCACCTCCTGGGTTCAAGTGATCCTCCCACCTCAGCCTCCCCAGTAGCTGGGATTACAGGCACCCACCACACCAGGCTAATTTTTCTATTTTCAGTAGAGATGGGGTTTTGCATGTCGCCCAGGCTGGTCTCTAACTCCTGACCTCAAGCAATCTGCCTGCCTTGGCCTCTCAAAGTGCTGAGATTATAGTCATGAGCCACTGTGCCTGGCTTATTTTTTAAATTACTTCTGCTTTTATTAATATTGCTTCAGAAATCAGAATCCAACTGATTAGCCCATTCAACAAAGATTTACTGAAATCCTGCTGAGTCCCAAGCACTATTCGAGGTACTGGGGCTATAGCAGTGAAGATCAAGTCCCTGTCCTCAAACTGTTGACTATTACTGGTCACAGGTTTACTAAATCAGCGTGGAGTAATCACTGTTCCCTGATCTCCCCTGGTTTTATGTCCAAGGTGGGTATAATATGCCAGACCACAACCCTTGTCAACATTTGGAAATGTTAACATTTCCAAAACATTTCCAAAGATAGGGAGCTAGTGCTAGTTCATTTCATAAAAAAGCGACTCAGCGGCTGGGTGCGGTGGCTCACGCCTGTAATCCCAGCACTTTGGGAGGCCGAGGCGGGTGGATTGCAAGGTCAGGAGTTCGACACCAGCCTGGCCACTATGGTGAAACCCCATCTCTACTAAAAATCCAAAAAAATTAGCTGGGCGTGGTGGTGCATGCCTGTAATCCCAGCTACTCGGGAGGCTGAGGCAGGAGAATTGCTTGAACCTGGGAGGTGGACGTTGCAGTGAGCTGATATTGCGCCACTGCACTCCAGCCTGGGTGACAGAGTGAGACTCCATCTGAAAAAAAAAAAGCAAAACTGTGAAAGAATGACAAGCTACTAAATTTTATATATATATAAAAATATATTTTTATTATAAATAATTATATATATAAGTAATATTTTATATGTGTATATATATATATATTTTTTGGACACAGGGTCTTGCTCTGTTGCCCAGGCTGGTGGTGCAATCATAACTCACTTCAGCCACAAACTCCCTACCTCTCGGCCTCCTAAACTGCTGAAATGACAGGCGCACCCCACACCCAGTGCCTATTAAATTTAAATTCATAAAACCACTTCTCAAAGAGAACCATCTTGTGACAACAAAGACTGCATTGTACACATTCAGTTAACAAAGAACAATATCAATAGGGCACCACACACCATGATGTAAACTGTATTTAGGGCCATCTAAATAGACTAGTACTTTGAGTGTGTGCAGTTTCACGATGAGGGGGGGTTGAACGAGATCTCTTTTAAACTTCCAACCACAAACATTTTTAAGATTCTGTGACTTTTATCAACTAAAGCAAAACATTTGTGAAATTTGCGTTTGATGCAGCAGTTCTTATCTAATTCAACAAATATTTGTTGAGTACATGGAAAGTTGATTCTATCTTCAGCAAAAATCAAGCAGACTTGGCCAGGCACGGTGGCTCATGCCTGTAATCCCAGCACTTTTGGAGGCCAAGGCGGGTGGATCACTTGAGGTCAGGAGTTTGAGAGCAGCCTGGTCAACAGGGTGAAACCCCATCTCTACTAAAAATACAAAAATTAGCTGGGCGTGTTGGCACGTGCCTGTAATCCCAGCTAATGGGGAGGCTGAGGCAGGAGAATTGCTTGAACCCGGGAGGCGGAGGTTGCAGTGAGCCGAGATCACATCATTGCATTCCAGCCTGGGCAAAGAAGCAAGACTCCACCTCAAAATAAAATAAAATAAAATAAAGGCTGGGTGCAGTGGCTCATCCCTGTAATCCCAGCACTTTGGGAGGCCTAAGCGGGTAGATCACCTGAGGTCAGGAGTTCAAGACCAGCCTGGCCAGGCCAGGCACGGTGGCTCACACTGTAATCCCAGCATTTTGCAAGGCCAAGGTGGGCAGATCACAAGGTCAGGAGTTCAAGACTAGCCTGGCCAATATGGTGAAACCCTGTCTCTACTAAAAATAAAAAAAAAATTAGCCAGGTGTGGCGGCACGTGTCTGTAGTCCCAGCTACTCAGGAGACTGAGGCAGGAGAATCACTTGAACCTGGGAGGCAGAGGTTGCAG
This sequence comes from Homo sapiens, assembly GCF_000001405.40. NCBI lineage: Eukaryota > Metazoa > Chordata > Mammalia > Primates > Hominidae > Homo > Homo sapiens. Next base: position 122,432,336 of record NC_000012.12, read on the forward strand.
TGAGCCAAGATTGCGCCATTGCACTCCAGCCTGGGCAACAGAGTGAGACTCCATCTCAAAAAAAAAAAGACCAAAGGCCGGGCGCAGTGGCTCACGCCTGTAATCCTAGCACTTTGGGAGGCCAAGTCGCGCAGATCACAAGGTCAGGAGATCGAGACCATCCTGGCTAACATGGTGAAACCCCATCTCTACTAAAAACAAAACAAAACAAAACAAAACAAAAAAAAGACCAGCTTGGCCACATGGTGAAACCCTGCCCTACTAAAATACAAAAATTAGCAGAGCGTGATGGCGGGTGCTTGAAATCCCAGCTACTAGGGAGGCTGAGACGGGAGAATCGCTTGAACCCAGGAGACGGTGGTTGCAGTGAGCCGAGATTGCACCACTGCACTCAGCCTGGGCGGCTGAGTAAGACTGTCTCAAAAGAAAAAGAAATCAAGCAGACTCAAATATATGTACACACATGTTCACAGTAGGAAAAAGTGGAAACAACCCAAATGTCCATCGATTGATGAACGAATAAACAAATTGTGGTCTCTCCGAGCAGTGGAACATTACTCAGCTGTTAAAAAAAAAAGAAGAGTACTGATGCATGATACATGCCAGGATGACCCTTGCAAACATTATGCTGAGTGAAAAAAGCCTGACACAACAGATCACCTACTGTATGATTCTTGGCCGGGTGCGGTGGCTCACACCTGTAATCCTAGCACTTTGGGAAGCCAAGGCAGGTGGATCACTTGAGGTCAGGAGTTCAAGACCAGCCTGGCCAAAATGGCAAAACCCCATCTCCACTAAAAAAAAAAAAAAAAAAAAATTAGCCAGGCATGGTGGCAGGCACCTGTAATCCCAGCTACTAGGGAGGCTGAGACATGCTTGAACCCAGGAAGCAGAAGTTGCGTGAGACAAGATTGCACCACTGTACTCCAGCCTGGACAACAGAGCAAGACTCTGTAACGAAAAAAAAAAAGAATCATACAATATATATATATTTTTTGAGATGTAGTCTCACTCTGACACCCAGACTGGAGTGCAATGGTGCGATCTCGGCTCACTGCAACCTCCGCCTTCCGGGTTCAAGTGATTTCTTCTATCTCAGCCTCCTGAATAGCTGGGACTACAGGCGTACACCACCATGCCCAGCTAATTTTTGTATTTTTAGTAGATACGGAGTTTCATCATGTCAGCCAGGCTGGTCTTGAAATCCTGACATCAAGTGATCCACCTGCCTTGGCCTCCCAAAGTGTTGGGATTATACACGTGAGCCACCGCGCCCAGCCACATATTGTATGATTCTTTACATGAAATGTCCAGAAGAGGTAAATCCGTAGAGCTGGCGGGCTGATTAATGGTTGTCAGGGGCTGCAGGAGGGGAGAGTTAGGAGCAACTGCTTAAGAGGTACACAGTCTCCTTTTGGAGCCAGGGACTCACGCCTGTAATCCCAGCACTTTGGGAGGCCAAGGCAGGCAGATCACCTGAGGTCAGGAGTTTGAGACCAGCCTGGCCAACATGGCAAAACCCCTTCTCTACTAAAAACACAAAAATTAGTTGGGTGTGGTGGCGCATGCCTGTAATCCCAGCTACTTGGGAGGCTGAGGTGGGAGAATCATTTGAACCCAGGAGGGGGAGGTTGCAGTGAGCCGAGATCTCGCCATTGCACTCCAGCCTGGGCAACAGAACAAGACTCCATCTCAAAAACAACAACAACAAAAAAAAATGCCAGGTGCTGTGCCTCACGCCTGTAATCCCAACACTTTGGGAGGTCAAGGTGGGCGGATCATGAGGTCAAGAGATTGAGACCATCCTGGCCAACATGGAGAAACCCCGTCTCTACTAAAAATGCAAAGATTAGCTGGGCATGGTGGCACACGCCTGTAGTCCCAGCTACTCAGGAGGCTGAGGCAGGAGAATCGCTTGAACTGGGGAGGTGGAGGTTGCAGTAAGCCGAGATCACCATTGCACTCCAGCCTGGCGACAGAGCAAGACTCTGCCTCAAAAAAAAAGAAAAAAAGGATCTCCTTTTGGGATGATGGAAATAATTTGGAACTAGAGGAAAGGTGGTAGTCACATAACATTGTGAATGTATAAATGCCACTGAATTGTTTATTTTATTTGTTTTTGTTTTTATTTTTATTTTTGTAGAGACAGGGTCTTCCTGCATGGCCCAGGCTGGTCTCAAACTCCTGGGCTCAAACAGTCCTCCTGCCTCAGCCTCCCAAAGTGCTGAGTTTATAGGCATGAGCCACCATGCCCAGACTAAATAACTGTGCTTTTTTTTTTTTTTTTTTTTTCTGAGATGGTCTCACTCTGTCGCCCAGGCTGGAGTGCAGTGGCTCGATCTCAGCTCACTGCAACCTCTGCCTCCCGGGTTCAAGTAATTCTCCTGTCTCAGTCCCCCAAGTAGCTGGGACTACAGGTGCACACCACTACACCAGGCTAATTTTTGTATATTTAGTAGAGACAGGGTTTCACCATGTCAGTCAGGCTGGTCTCAAACTCCTGACCTCAGGTGATCCACCCACCTTGGCCTCCCAAAGAGCTGGGGTTACAGGCATGAGCCACGACGCCTGGCCGAATTGTTTATTTTTAAATGGTTAACTTTATGTTATGTGAATCTCATATCAATAAAAAATAAACAAATAAAAGGAATAAACTATTCAAAAAAAAAGTCAAGTAGAGAATGCATGATAACCAGGTAGACGAGAGATTTTAGAGAAGAGATTTTTAAATTCGGAGGCAGTTTCAGCCAGGTGAAGTGGGTCACATTTGTAATCCCCACACTTTGGGAGGCTGAGGTAGGAGGATCACTTGAGTCCAGGAGTTTGAAACCAGCCTGGTCAACATAGCAAGACTTCGTCGATACAAAAAAGCTTCTTAAAAAATTAGATGGGTGTGGCTCACACCTGTATTCCCAGCTGCTCAAGAGGGTGAGGCATGAGAATCACCTTAGCCTGAGTTCACGGCTACAGTGAGCTATGATTGTGCTACTGCAGTCTGGTCTGGGTAACAGAGCAAGACCCTGTCCCTAAAAATAAATAAATAAATAAATAAATAAATAAATAAATAAACAGGAGTCAGTTTGAACTAAAGTTCTTCCCAACTCTAATATTTTATTATTGTACAGATTCAGCTCTTAGTGTTCAACTCTGACAACTGGATTAATCGCAGCCTTCCTACTCTATCATCTAACTGTACAAAGAGACCAAAATTAAATTTTGGCTAGAAATCTAAAAAAAAAAAAAAAATCATGTACAAGGAATATTCAGCCTCTGCCAGGCTATTTTATTTTATTTTATTTTATTTTATTTTATTTTATTTTATTTTGAGATAGAATCTCACTCTGTTGCCCAGGCTGGAATACAGTGGTGCGATCTTGGCTCACTTCAGCCTCCACCTCACGGGTTCAAACAATTCTCCTGCCCCAGCCTCCCAAGTAGCTGGGATTACAGGTGAATGCCACCACACCCAGCTAATTTTTGTATTTTTTAGTAGAGATAGAGTTTCACCATGTTACCCATGCTGGTCTCGAACTCCTGACCTCAAGTGATCAACCCGCCTCAGCCGCCAAAAGTGCTGGGATTACAGGCATGAGGCACTGCGCCAGGCCCTAAATTTTTATTCGTTTATTTATTTTGAGACAGAGTCTCACTCTGTTGCCTGGGCTGAAGTGCAGTGTGCAATCACAGCTCACTGCAGCCTCGACTTCCCAGGCCTACATGATCCTCCCACCTCAGCCTCCTGAGTAGCTGGGACTACAGGTGCATGCCACCACACGGGCTAGTTTTTGTATTTTTTGTGGAGACAGGATCTTGTTATGTTGCCCAGGCTGGTCTTGAACTCCTACGCTCAAGCAATCTGCATTCGTGGGCCTCCCAAAGTGCTGGGATTACAGGTGTGAACCATCCACCTGGATATTTTTCTTTTCTTTTCTTTCTTCAGACCAGACCTTGGTCTCAGACCGCCCAAGGGATTTGCCATGACTGGAAGGAAGGAGAGAGGGAAGGTAGGGTTGCTACCCAAGAAGAGCAAAAAAAAAAAAAAAAAAAAAAAAATAGGAATTGATATTCAGGTTTTGACATTCAAATGGGATTTTAAAAACAGTTTGAGATATAATTTACATACCCTACAATTCACCCATTTAAAGTGTGTAACTCGGGCCGGATGCGGTGGTTCACGCCTATAATCCCAGCACTTTGGGAGGCTGAGGCGGGCGGATCACCTGAGGTCAGGAGTTTGAGACCAGCCTGACCAACATGGAGAAACCCCATCTGTACTAAAAATATAAAATTAGCTGGGCATGGTGGCGCATGCCTGTAATCCCAGCTACTTGGGAGGCTGAGGCAGGAGAATCGCTTGAACCCAGGAGGCAGAAGTTGCAGTGAGCCGAGATGGCACCATTACACTACAGTCTGGGCAACAACAGGGAAACTCTGACTCAAAAAAATAAAAAAGTATGTAACTCAATGGGTTTTAATATAATACATTATGAATTTTTTAGATTGTGGTAAATTATATATAACGTAAACTTTTCCATTTTAATCTTTTTTTTTTTTTCCTGGGAGACGAGGGTCTTGCTTTGTTGCCCAGGCTGCTCTGGAACTCCCGCCTCAAGTGATCCTCCTCCTTTGATCTTCCAAAGTGCTGGGATTATGGGTGTGAGCCACTGCATCTGGCCCATTTTAACCATAAGTGTACAACTCAGTGACATTAATTGCATTTACAATATTGGTGCCACCCCAAATAGGATTTTGCAGAGAAAACAAAGTGGCTTGATATCTCAGCATGGTTAAGCAACAAAGAATTTTTTTAATTCCTTTATCTTTCATTTGTCATATCAAGGACCCTGAAGGCCAGAGTTTTTGCTATGATATACAGAAGAAACTCCTCTCTGACATTAAGACTTAGCCACTCCAGCCTGGGCGATGAGCGAGACCCTGTTCACACACACACACACACACACACACACACACACACACGGACTTAGCCAGCAGGCCAAAAATGGTAAGAAGGAAGATATAACATAGAAGAAATGAAAAAGAGCAGTGTCCTTCCAGGCACAGGAGTCAATGGGGAGAAAGGAAGAGGGACAGAGGTGAGGGAGGCAGATCTATTGACTGAGATCTGGGACAGGGAAGGGAGCCTGTGTCCCCACTCCATATTTGAGCATCTGGAAGAAAACCCTTGGGCAGGGTGGTGGCCCCATGCCAACATTTTTAAGATGCACGTGGCAAGGTCAGAAGTAAGGAAGATCCAATTTGTGCTCCGAGACTTTCCTTAGACACTCAGCAGCATGAATGCCTGGTTGAGAGCTTTGGGTGCCTACTCTGGGACCCATTCTGGCAGTATCATGGCAGAGATTCAGAGGAGTCAGCTGTGCCAGCGATTGGAGGGGAGGTTGACTCAGCAGGGAGGAGGCACGGAGTCCTGACTGAGCCAAGAAAGAGCATATGTTAGGAGCGGACTCCAACCACTCAGACACAGAACTGGGACGCCGCGTTACAGGACCCAGCTGTGGCTAACATTGCTAATTGCCTCCCCGAGATTCACTCCCCTTTTGTACCAAACAAACCTCTATTTTATGTGGCATGGCAATGTGCCCAACAATTTATGCTCACCTCCTCAGGCTTCCCCTAGGAAAGTCGGCTAGAGGTGCTTTTGGGAAAAAGTTTTTCCTCTCCTGATAAATGGGCACAGACATAGGTGTGCTGTCTGGGGCCAAAGCAGCCATGTTGTTACCCTGCAGTGATGAGGATGATGACAAAAGCCATCAGGCCAAGGTGGCAGAGCAGAAAGACTGAAAGAACAGGACTACTGTCTTGGGAAGAGCGCAATTTATCTGGAGCAAATACTTCAATAAGAACCAAATTAGGCTGGGCGCATGGCTTATGCCTGTAATCCTACCACTTTGGGAGGCCAAGGTGGCAATCCAGCTCAAAAAAAAAAAAAAAAAGAAATTAATGGCTAGCAGACTGATAAACAAAGGACTTTGTGAAGAAAATAGAAATAGCCGCTTGAAGATTTTTTTTTTTTTTTAGACAGAGTCTCACTCTGTTGCCCAGGCTGGAGTGTAGTGGCGCGTTCTCAGCTCACTGCAACCTCCGCCTCCCAGGCTCAAGCTATCCTCCCACCTCAGCCTCCTGAGTAGCAGGGACTATAGGTACACACCACCACACCCAGCTAATTTTTGAATTTTTTATAAAGACAGGGTTTCACCATGTTGCTCAGGCTGGTCTTGAACTCCTAGGGATCAAGCAATTCTCCCTCCTCAGCCTCCCAAAGTGCCAGGATTACAGGCATGGTGAGCCACCATCCCCAGCCAAGGTAGTTTATCTTACCATTATTTAACTTTCCTGCATCCCTGTGTAAACCTCAGGCTGAACATTGATGTCGAATGCATGAGTAATCCAATTTTTCTCCAGCATCTATCCTCTACCCTATCTGTTTTTGTTTTTGTTTTTGTTTGGTAGAGATAGGATCTTGCTTTGTTGCCTAGGTTGGTTTCAAACTCCTGGGTTCAAGTGATCCTCCTGCCTTGGCCTTCCAAAGTGCTGGGATTACAGGCATGAGCCACTGCACCAGCCCTCTACCTTGTCTCTCTTTCTTTGTTTTTTTTTTTTTTTTTTTGAGATGGAATCTCGCTCTGTTGTTTAGGCTGGAGTGCAGTGGCGCAATCTCAGCTCACTGCAACCTCCGCCTCCCAGGTAGGAGCTGGGATTACAAGTGCCTGCCAACACGCCTGGCTAATTTTTGTATTTTTAGTAGAGACAGGTTTTACCATGTTGGCCAGGCTGGTCTCAAACTCCTGACCTCAAGTGGTCCGCCCACCTCGGCCTCCCAAAGTGCTTGGGATTACAGGCGTGGGCCACCGCACCCAGCCTCTACCTTGTCTCTTAACTGACTCCTCATTAGCATGTAAATACATTCGAGCTCTTCTATCTTAAAAACAAAATAAAACTAAACAAAACTGTCCCTCAATAGATTTCCTAGACAAGCTTCTTGAGCTTTATGCCTGGTATCTCTGTTTCCCCTTAGCAATCTTTTGCCCCCATGGTTTAGCTGAAATTGCTATAGCCAACATTATTAACAGTCATATCATTTAGTGACCTTAGTGGTATGGCTATCATTGGTGACTTTGGTAGTAGTAGTTTCATCTGAGCAGTGGAGACAAGAATTTGACCCACCTGAGCTCTTAATAGCATTTTTTTCACTGTTGCCTAGTCTGTCTATGGCATATTGTAAAAAGTGAATGCGGCCGGGCGCAGTGGCTCACGCCTGTAATCCCAGCACTTTGGGAGGCCGAGGCGGACAGATTACCTGAGGTCGGAAGTTTCAGACCAGCCTGACCAACATGGAGAAAATACTAAAAATACAAAATTAGCCGGGCGTGTGGCACATGTCTGTAATCCCAGCTATTTGGGAGACTGAGGCCAGAGAATTGCTTGAACCTGGGAGGCAGAGGTTTCAGTGAGCCAATATCGCGCCATTGCACTCCAGCCTGGGCAACAAGAGCAAAACTCTGTCTCAAAACAAAAACAGGCCGGGCGCGGTGGCTCACGCCTGTAATCCCAGCACTTTGGGAGGCCGAGGCGGGCGGATCACGAGGTCAGGAGATCGAGACCATCCCGGCTAAAACGGTGAAACCCCGTCTCTACTAAAAATACAAAAAATTAGCCGGGCGTAGTGGCGGGCGCCTGTAGTCCCAGCTACTTGGGAGGCTGAGGCAGGAGAATGGCGTGAACCCGGGAGGCGGAGCTTGCAGTGAGCCGAGATCCCGCCACTGCACTCCAGCCTGGGCGACAGAGCGAGACTCCGTCTCAAAAAAAAAAAAAAAAAAAAAAAAAAAAAAAACGGTGAATACAATTATTCATGTCAAACTCTACAAGCAGAGCTGCCTGGATAACTGCAACTGACTGTAGATGCATCAGGGAACCCAGCAGAGACCAGAAGAACCACTCAACTAAGGACAGCCTAAATTTCCAACCCACAGAATTATGAGTGAAATAAATGGTTCCAGCTTTAAACTACTAAGTTTTGGGATAGGTTGTTACTCAGCCATAGCTAAATGATATGTCCTCTTTCCACATCCCCTTCTCAGCTATGTTTTCTGTAACACCATACTCTGCTATTTTCCTCTGTCTTCTCTGGCTGTTCCTTTTCAATCTCTTTGCAAATCTCTACCTACCCCTTAAAACTGACATTCCTCAGGGATCTCTTCTAGTTCCTCTTCTCTTCCTACTGGGTTCAAGTAATCCTTCTGCCTTGGTCTTCCAAAGTGCTGGGATTACAGCACTTTGGATAATCTCATCAGTTTACCCTCAATTACTATCCATAATATACAGAAACAATTCCTAATTTTTTTTTTTTTTTTTTGAGGCAGAGTCTCGCTTTGTCACCCAGGCTGGAGTGCAGTGGCGCAATCTTGGCTCACTGCAACCTCCGCCTCCCCGGTTCAGGAGATTCTCCTGCCTCAGCCTCCCGAGTAGCTGGGATTACAGGCATGTGCCACCACACCCAGCTAATTTTTGTATTTTTTTAGTAGAGATGGGGTTTCACAATGTCGGCCAGGATAGTCTCAATCTCCTGGCCTCATGATCCGCCCACCTCAGCCTTCCAAAATGCTGGGATTACAGGCGTGAGCCACTGTGCCTGGCCAAGTTTTCTATGTTTAGTAGAGATGGGGTTTCACCATGTTGGCCAGGCTTGTCTTAAACTCCTGACCTCAAGTGATCCACCCACCTTGGCCTCCCAAAGTGCTGGGATTACAGGCTTGAGCTGCTGTGCTCGGCCTGCTAAATCTTTATTTATGTATTTATTTATTTTGAGACGGAGTCTCGCTCTGTCACCCAGGCTGGAGTGCAGTGGCGCAATCTCGGCTCACTGCAAACTCCACCTCCCGGGTTCATGCCATTCTCCTGCCTCAGCCTCCCGAGTAGCTGGGACTACAAGCGCCCGCCACTACGCCCGGCTAATTTTTTGTATTTTTAGTAGAGACGGGGTTTCACCGCGTTAGCCAGGATGGTCTCAATCTCCTGACCTCGTGATCCACCCGCCTCGGCCTCCCAAAGTGCTGGGATTACAGGCTTGAGCCACTGCGCCCGGCCCCCAGCCTGCTAAATCTTTATATCCAGTCCAGAATTCTCTTTTTTTGTAAATTCAGATACAAAGTCTCACTGTGTTGCCCAGGCTGGAGTGCAGTGGCACAATCTCAGCTCACTGCAACCTCTGCCTCCTAGGTTCAAGTGATTCTGGTGTCTCAGCCTCCTGGCTATCTGAAATTATAGGTATGTGCCACCATGCCCCACTAATTTTTGCGTTTTTAGTAAAGATGGGGTTTTGTCATGATGGCCAGGCTGAGAGAGACATCAACTCTTAAAAAAAAAAAAAAAGAAAAGTGAAAAGAGAACAACAACAAAAAAATAGTTGAGCATGGTGGCATGCGCCTGTGGTCCCAGCTACTCGGGAGGTTGAGGTGGGAGGATCCCTTGAAACCAGGAGTTAAAAGGCTACAGTGAGCTATGATTGCACCACTTCACTCTAGCCTGGGTGACAGGGTGGGACTCCATCTTTTAAAAAAATTTTTGTTGTTGTTGTTTTTTTTTGAGATGGAGTCTCTCTCCATCACCCAGGCTGAAGCGCAGTAGTGCGATCTCAGCTCACTGCAACCTCCACCTCCGGGTTCAAGCGATTCTCCTGCCTTAGGCTCCCAAGTAGCTGGGACTACAGGTGTCTACCATCACTCCCAGCTAATTTTTTATTTTTAGTAGAGATGAGGGTTCATCATGTTGGCCAGTCTGGTCTCGAACTCCTGACCTCAGGTGAACCGCCCGCTTCAGCCTCCCAAAGTGCTGAGATTACAGGTGTGAGCCACCGCGCCCAGCCAGAATGTCTTTTCATTTATTTTTTATTTTATTTTATTTTATTTTGAGACGGAGTCTCGCTCTATCACCCAGGTTGGAGTGCAGTGGTGCGATTTCGGCTCACTGCAAGCTCCGCCTTCTGGGTTCACACCATTCTCCTGCCTCAGCCTCCTGAGTAGCTGGGACTACAGGCGCCCGCCACCACGCCCGGCTAATTTCTTTGTATTTTTAGTAGAGACGGGATTTCACCATGTTAGCCAGCATGGTCTCGATCTCCTGACCTCATGATCCGCCTGCCTCGGCCTCCCAAAGTGCTGGGATTACAGGTGTGAGCCACTGCGCCCGGCCGTCTTTTCATTTATTTAGGTCTTCTTCAATTTCTCTTAACACTATTTTTAGTTTTTCAGTGTATCACAGTACCCTCCTTTTTTTTTTTTTCTGTAATGCCTTTGAAAAAATTGGGCTGGTTGTGGTGGCTCATGCCTGTAATCCCAGCACTTTGGGAGGCCAAGGTGGTGGATTGCTTGAGCTTAGGAGTTTGAGACCAGCGTGGGCAAAATGGTGAAACCCCCCGTCTCTACTACAAAAAAAAAAAAATTGGCTGGACTTGGTGGTGCGTGCCTGTAACCCCAGCTACTCAGGAGGCTGAGGCAAGAGAATCATTTGAGCCCAGGAGGCAGAGGTTGCAGTGAGCCAAGATCGTCCCACTGCACTCCAGCCTGGGTGACAAAGCGAGACCCCATCTCAAAAAAAAAAAAAAAAAGAAAGAAAGAAAGAAAGAAAAAACTGGGCCAGTTGTCCTATAGAATGTTCTTCCTTCTGGATTTGTTATTTAACTTTTTTTTAATAGAGACGAGGTGGCGCACACAACCACACCTGGCTAATTTTTTTTTTTTTTTTTTAGTGGAGACAGAGTTTCACCATATTGGTCAGGCTGGTCTTGAACTCCTGACCTCGTGATCTGCCCGCCTCAGCCTCCTAAGGTGCTGGGATTTCAGGCATGAGCCACGCACCTGGCTTAACTTTTCTTTCTTCCTTTCTTCCTTCCTTTCTTTTCTTTTCTTTCTTCCTTTCTTCCTTTCTTTTCTTTTCTTTCTTTCTTTTTCTTTCTTCCTCTCTCTTTCTCTTTCTTTCTTTCTGTCTCTCTTTCTCTCTCCCTCTCCCTCCCTCCTTGCTTCCTTCCTTTCCTTCCTTTTCTTCCCTTCCTTCCTTTCTTCATTCCCTCCTTCCCTTTCTTTCTTCTTTCTTTCTTTCCTTCCTTCCTTCGTTCCCTCCTTCCCTCCTTCCCTCTTTCTTTCTTCTTTCTTTCTTTCTTTCTTTCTTTCTTTCTTTCTTTCTTTCTTTCTTTCTCTTTCTTTCTTTCTTTCCTTCCTTCCTTCCTTTCTTTCCTTCTTTCTTTCTTTTTCTTACTCTGTTGCCCTGGCTGGAGTGCATTGGCTTGATCTCGGCTCACTGCAACCTCCGCCTCCCAGGTTCAAGCGATTCTCCCGCCTCAACCACCCGAGTAGCTGGGAGTACAGGTATGCACTACCACGCCTGGCTAATTTTTGTATTTTCAGTAGAGACACAGTGTCACCATGTTGGCCAGGCTGGTCTCAAACTTCCGGCCTAAAGTGATCTGCCCGCCTCAGCCTCCCAAAGTGCTGGGGTTAGAGGCATGAGCCATCGTGCCCGGCCTTTTCTTCTATTTCTTATATTTTCTGCAAACTGGAAGTTAGCCGCCTCGTTTCAGATGAGGCAGAGAAATGAAGAGTTGGTGTCTCTGTGTTGCCCAGGCTGGTCTCGAACTCCTGGGCTCAGGCAATCCTCCCACTTTGGTTTTCCCGTCCCCAGCCATTACATCTTTTTATAGAGATGGGGTCTCACTATGTTGACCAGGCTGGTCTTGATCTCCTGGCCTCACGTGATCTTCCTGCCTCTGCCTCCCAAAGTGCTAGGATTACAGACGTGAGCCACTGCTCCCAGCCACAATGCAACAATAAAAAGACATATAGCCCAATTAAAAATGGGCAGAGGATGGCTAGGCATGGTTGGTTCACACCTGTAATCCCAGCACTTTGAGACGCCAAGGTAGGAGGATCACTTGAGTCCAGGAGTTTGAGATCAGCCTGGACAACATAGCAAGACCCCATTTATTTTTTTTTTAGACCCAGTCTCACTCTGTCGCCCAGGCTGGAGTGCAGTAGGGCAATCTCAGCTTACTGCAACCTCCACCTCCTGGGTTCAAGTGATTCCCCTGCCTCAGCCTCCTGAGTAGCTGGGGCTACAGGCACGTGCCACCGCGCCCAGCTAATTTGTATATTTTTAGTAGAGATGGGGTTTTGCCATATTGGCCAGGCCAGTCTTGAAATCCTGACCTCAGGTGATCCACCCGCCTTGGCCTCTCAAAGTGCTGGGATTACAGGCTTGAGCCACTGTCCCCAGCCCCCATTTCTTTTTCTTTTTCTGCTTTTTTTTTTTTTTTCCTGAGACAGAGTTTCGCTCTTATTGCCCAGGCTGGAGTGCAATGGCATGAGCTCAGCTCACCAAAACCTCCACCTCCCGAGTTCAATCGATTCTCCTGCCTCAGCCTCCCGAGTAGCTGGGATTACAGGCATGCGCCACCATGCCTGGCTAATGTTGTATTTTTAGTAGAGATGGGGTTTCTCCATGTTGGTCAGGCTGGTCTCAAACTCCTGACCTCAGGTGATCCACCCGCCTCGGCCTCCGGAAGTGCTGGGATTACAGGCGTCACCACGCCTGATCCCCAGCCCCCATTTGTTAAAAAAAAAAAAAAAAAAGGTAGAGAATTTGAATAGACATGTATCCAAAGAAGATATACAAATGGCCAATAAGCACATGGAAAGATGTTCAACATCAGTCACTGGGGAAATGCCCATCAAAATAACAGTGAGATGCCACTTCACCCCCACTAAGATAACTAAAATAAAAGGGACAGATAGTAACAAGTGGTGCCAAGAATGTAAAGGAATTAGAATCCTCATACATTGCTGGTAAGAATGTAAGATGGCACAGCTACTTTGAAAACAGTTTGTCAACTTGTCAAAATGTGAAACATAGAGTTCCCATATGACCCAGTAATTATCCTCATAGGTGTATTCCCAAGATAAATAAAAACATATATCCATACAAAAACTGGTACACGAATGTTCATAGCATTATTTATAAGAGTCAACAAGTAGAAACAACCCAAATGTCCATCAACTAATGAGTAGATAAACAAAATGTGTGACCGGGCGTGGTGGCTCATGCCTGTAATCCCAGCATTTTGGGAGGTCGAGGCGGGTGGATTGCTTGAGTCCAGGAGTTGGAGACTAGCCTGAGCAACATAGCAAAACCCTGTCTCTTCGAAAAATATAAAAAAATTAGCTGGGTGTGGTGGTGTTTGCCTATAGTCCCAGCTACTCAGGAGGCTGAGGTCGGAGGATCACCTGAGCCCAGGAGGTCAAGACTGTGGTGAGCCATGATTGTGCCACTGGATTCCAGCCTGGGCAACAGAGTGAGACTCTGTCTCAAAAAACAAACAAACAAAAAAGCAAAGGAACCGTGCATGGTGGCTCACGCCTGTAATCCCGGCACTTTGGGAGGCCAAGGCTGGCAGATCACCTGAGGTTGAGAGTTAAAGACCAGTGTGGCCAATGAAACCAGAGACTGATAAAACCCAGTCTCTACTAAAAATACAAAAAGTAGCTGGATATAATGTTGCACGCCTGTAATCCCAGCTACTAGGAAGGCTGAGGCAGAAGAATTGCTTGAACCCAGGAGACGGTGGTTGCAGTGAGCTGAGATCATGCCACTGCACTCCAGCCTGGGTGACAGAGCGAGACTTCGTCTCAAAAAAATAAAAATACAAATAAAAATAGCAATAGAGCATTATTATTATCATTCATCCATTGCTATGGTCTGAATATATCTCCCCAGAATTAATATGTTGAAATCCTAACCCCCAAGGTGATGATATTAACAGGTGGGGCTTTTTGAGAGGTGACTAAGTCGTGTCGGCAGAGCTATTATGAACTGAATTAGTTCCCTTATAAAAGACACCTCAGGGCTGGGCGCAGTGGCTCACACCTATAATCCCAGCACTTTGGGAGGCCAAGGTGGGTGGGTCATGAGGTCAGGAGCTTGAGACCATCCTGGCTAACACAGTGAAACCCCGTCTCTACTAAAAATACAAAAAATTAGCCACGTGTTGTGGTACTGTATGTAGTCCCAGCTACTCGGAAGGCTGAGGCAGGAGAATCATTTGAACCTGGGAGGCAGAGGTTGCAGTGAGCCAAGATTGCGCCACTGTGCTTCAGCCTGGGTGACAGAGCAAGACTCCGTCTCAAAAACAAAACAAAACAAAACAAGGCACCTCAAAGAGTTAATGAGACTTTTGCACTATGACGTCAGGACACAGTGAACAGGTGCCATCTATGAACCAGGAGATGGTCTTCAGCAGACACTGAATTTGCTGGCACCTTACCCTTGGACTTCCCAGCCTCTAGAACTCTGAGAAACACATTTTGTTTCTAAGCTATCCAACTTAACGGTATTTTTCTTTTCTTTCTTTTCTTTTCTTTTCGAGACACAGTCTTGCTCTGTCACCCAGAGTGGAATGCAGTGTCACGATCTCAACTCACTACAGCCTCCACCTCCTGGGTTCAAGCAATTCTCCCACCTCCGCCTCCCGAGTAGCTGGGATTACAGGTGCACCACCAAGCCCAGCTAATTTTTGTATTTTTAGTAGAGACAGGGTTTCACCATGTTGGCCAGGCTGGTCTCAAACTTCTGACCTCAGGTGATCCGCCCGACTCGGCCTTCCAAAGTGCTGGGCTTACAAGCGTGAGTCACCGCCTGGCATTTTTTATAGCAGCCTGAATGGACTAAGACAGCCATAAAAAAGAATGAAGTACTGATATATGCTATGACATGAAGGAACTTTGAAAACATGATGCTAAGTGAAAGAAGCCAGTCACAAAAGACCACAAAATGTATAATTCCACTGCTATTTTCCAGATAGGAAAATCATAGAGACAGAAAGCATATGAGTGGTTGCCAGGGACAGGGAAAAGAGGAAATGGGGAGTGACTGATAATGGATATGGGCTTTCTTTGGGGGATGATGAAATATTCTAAAATTGTTTGTGGTGATGGCTTTACAACTCTGGGAATAGACTAAAAACCACTGAATTGTACACTTTAAATGGCAAATTTTTAAATATGTGAATTCTATTTCTTTTCTTTTTTTCTTTTTTTTTTTTTTTTTGAGATGGAGTCTTGCTCTGTCACCAGGCTGGAGTGCAGTGGTGCGATCTCGGCTCACTGCAACCTCCGACCCTCTGGTTCAAGCAATTCTCCTGCCTCAGCCTCCCGAGTAGCTGGGATTACAGGCAAACAGTACTAAAAATACAGCTAATTTTTGTATTTTTAGTAGAGACGGGGTTTCACCATGTTGGCCAGGATGGTCTCGATCTCCTGACCTCGTGATCCACCCACCTCGGCCTCCCAAAGTGCCGGGATTACAGGCATGAGCCACCGTGCCTGGCCTTGTGAATTATATTTCAATAAAACTGTTATACAGTTTTGTATAGAGCTACCCATATATGAGTACATGTACAATGGGTGAGATCTACTGAACTCTATAGACCATACCAATGTCTACTTCTTTTTTGGATATTGTACTATATGGTTATATGTTAACATTCACGAGGCCAAGGAGAGGATGCCTGGGACTTTCCAGTATGTTGTTTTGCAACTGTCAGTAAATCAATGATTATTTCAGAATAGTAATTTAAAAAAAAAAAAGACCTGAGGCAAAATGGTTAGGTTGTTTTATTTATTTATTTATTTATTTATTTATTTATTTTGAGACAGAGTCTCACTCTGTCTCCCAGGCTGGAGTTCAGTGGCATGATCTTGGCTCACTGCAACCTCTGCCTCTCAGGTTCAAGTGATTCTCCTGCCTCAGCCTCCTGAGTAGCTGCAATTACAGGCGTGCACCACCACACCTGGCTAATTTTTTTTTTTTTTGAGATGGAGTCTCGCTCTGTTGCCCAGGTTGGAGTGCAGTGGCGTGATCTCGGCTCACTGCAACCTCCACCTCCTGGGTTCAAGCGATTCTCCTGCCTCAGCCTCCCTAGTAGCTGGGACTACAGGCGTGCGCCACCATGCCCAGCTAATTTTTGTATTTTTAGTAGAGATGGGGTTTCACCATGTTGGCCAGGCTGGTCTCGAACTCCTGACCTCAAGTGATCCGCCCACCTCAGCCTCCCAAAGTGCTGGGATTTCAGCCGTGAGCCACCGTGCCCGGCCTATTTTTATTTTTTAGAGACAAGGTCTCACTTTTTCACCCAGGCTAGAGTGCAATGGCATGACCATAGCTCACTGCAGCCTTGAAGTCCTGGGCTCAAGGGATCCTCCTGCCGCGGCCTCTCGAGTACCTAGGACTATTTGTGTGCACCACCATGCCAAGCTAATTTTTTTTCTTTAAAAACAAGAAACAGTATGTCTTTCTTTTGGCCAGGCTAATTTTTATTTTTATTGTTGTTAGAGATGAGGACTTGTTATGTTGCCCAGGCTACTCTCGAACTCCTGGACTCAAGTGATCCTCTCATGCCTCAGCCTCTCAAGTCACTGGGATTACAGGCATGAGCCAACCGCAGCCAGCTCTATCCCTTCTTCCTAAATACCTTTTCATGTGTTTTTTTTTTTTTTTTTTTTGTATATGTACCAAAGTTTGCAATTAATCATGAAGGGATTTATTTTTATTTTATTTTTAGATTTGAACTAGTTATATAAATTATAGAACTGGGACATGAATATGGTAATTAATTCAAATACAGAAGAGTAATAAAAATAAAACTCTTTTCTTTGGACCATGAATTTCTCATACTGCTCTCTATATTCCCTAGAATTTCCTAGCAATGGCTTATAATTGCCCCTTTTCCCCCCAAGTTGGCAGAAAAAACCATTTTTAATCTTAGACTTTTCAATTACTTGCATTATTTTTGGGGTCCCATATCTTCCTCTATTATTGGTTTTGTTTTGCTTTTTTCATTTTATATTCAAGAATTTCAGCTGGATGAGGTGGCCCATGCCTGAAATCTGAGCACTGTGGGAGGATTACTTGAGCCTAGGAGTTTGAAACCAGCCTAAGCAACATAGCAAGACCCTGTCTTTACAAAAAATAGTAAAAGATTAGCCGAGTGTGGTGGTGTGAACCTGTAGTCCCAGCTACTCAGGAGGCTGAGGTGGGAAAATTGCTTGAGCACAGGAGCTCAAGGCTGCAGTGAGCCATCCATGCCACTACACTCCAGCCTGGGCCACAGAGCAAAAAAAAAATTCTTCATAATGCATAGCTCAGAGTGGAATTGGTGAGTCATAAGGTATGCACATGTTTAACTTCACTGTATATTGCCCAATTACTCTCTAAATGGCAGTTCCAGTTCTACTACATTTCCAGCAGTAGAATTTAAGAATTCCCATTGCAAAGCCTAGCATGATGGCACGCACCTGTAGTTCCAGCTACTTGGGAGGCTGAAGCGAGTTGATACCTTGAGCCTAGGAGTTTGAGTCAAACCTGGGCAACACAGTGAGAATCCCTGTCTTCAAAAAAAAAAAAACAACAACAACAACAAAAACAAACCCATGCTCATTAACACTTGGTATTATTAGATATTTAAATATTTGTCCAGGCAGGGTGTGAGGCTCACATCTGTAATCCTAGTACTTGGGGAGGCCAAGCTGAGAGGATCACTTGAGGCTGGGAGTTCAAGACCAGCTTGAATAACACAGCAAGTTCCTCATCTCTGTTTTTAAAATTAAATATTTGTCCATCTAAAAGATTTGAAAGAATTGAGATGGCGTCTCAGTCTATCACCCAGGCTGGAATGCAATGGTACCATCTTAGCTCACTGCAACATCCTCTGAGAAGGTTCAAGCGATTCTCCTGCCTCATCCTCCCGAGTAGCTGGGATTACAGGCCCCCGCCATCATGCCCGGCTAATTTTTTTTTTTTTTGTATTTTTTGTTTTGAGACGGAGTCTTGCTCTGTCACCTAGGCTGGAGTGCAGTGGCGCAATCTCGGCTCATTGCAAGCTCCGCCTCCCGGGTTCACCCCATTATCCTGCCTCAGCCTCCCTAGTAGCTGGGACTACAGGCGCCCGCTACCACGCCCGGCTAATTTTTTGTATTTTTAGTAGAGACGGGGTTTCACCGTGTTAGCCGGGATGGTCTCGATCTCTTGACCTCGTGATCCGCCCGCCTCGGCCTCCCAAAGTGCTGGGATTACAGGCTTGAGCCACCGCGCCCGGCCTCTCTCATGGTTTTAATTTGCTTTTTGCTGATTACTGAGGAACTTGAGAATCTCTTTTTTTTTTTTTTTTTTTTGAGATCGAGTCTCACTCTATTGCCGAGGCTGGAGTGCAGTGGCACAATCTCAGCTCACTGGTTCAAGTGATTCTTTTGTCTCAGCCTCCCAAGTAGCTGGGACTACAGATGCCCACCACCACGCCTCACTAATTTTTTGTATTTTAGTAGAAACGGGGTTTCACCATGTTGCCCGAGCTGGTCTCAAACTTCTAAGCTCAGGCAATCTGCCCACCTCGGCCTCCCAAGGTGCTAGGATTACAGGTATAGGCCACCGTGTCCAGCCGACTTCATATCTTTGGCCCATTATTCTGTTGCATTGTCTATTTTTAAACTGATTGTAGTGGTTTTTAATATATTATGATTCTATATGTTCCAAATATTTTTTCCCATACGTGCCCTGTTTTTTTTTTGTTTTGTTTTGTTGTGTTTTTTAAATTTTTTTAAATGGTGCTTTTCAATTAATAGATGTTTTTAAAACTCTTAGGTCACAAAGTATTAGCCTATATTTTCCTATAAAATTTTTAAGGTTTTTGCTTTTATTCTCCTGGGATAGATTTTTTGTGTAATTTATGATGTGAGACAGCAAATCAAAATTATTTAAACTCATATATGTGGGTATTGCACCTAACCATATATATACATTCAGCCAGGCATGGTGGCTCACGCCTGGAATCCCAGCACTTTGGGAAGCCGAGGCGGGTGGATCACTTGAGGCCAGGACTTCAAGACCAGCCTGGCCCACATGGCGAAACCCCGTCTCTATAAAAAATACAAAAATTAGCCGGGTGTGGTAGCACCTGCCTGTAGTCCCAGCTACTTGGGAGGCTGAGGCAGAGAATTGCTTGGACCCAGGAGGCGGAGGTTGCAGTGAGCAGAGATCGCACCACTGCACTCCAGCCTGGGCAACAGAGCAAGACTCTGTCTCAAAAAAAAATTAACAAAGTATATATATATAAATATATGTATTCCAGTAACAATATAAAATGTAACATACATATATGTGTAATATAGTTTAGTTAACATGTATTACAAAGAAAAGTTAATATATTAAATAATACATGTTATATATTATCTATTACAACTTATCTTTTATATATACACACACACCCACACTCTTTAGTTAATACATATATTAGGGGAATATATAGATAGACCTCTAGATAGACCTCTTTCCATATCAGAAGATGTAGATTACCTTATATTAAAAAAATTTTTTTTGAGACAGAGTTTTGCTCTTGTTGCCCAGGCTGGAGTGCAGTGGTGCAACCTCTACTCACTGCAACCTCCACCTCCCAGGTTCAAGCAATTCTCCTGCCTCATCCTCCCGAGTAGCTGGGATTACAGGTATGCGGGATTACAGGATAATTTTGTATTTTTAGTAGAGACGGGGTTTCTCTATGTTGGCCAGGCTGGTCTCGAACTCCCAACCTCAGGTGATCCACCTGCCTCGGCCTCCCAAAGTGCTGAGATTATAGACATGAGCCACCACGCCTGGCCCCATATTTTAAATTATTTAATTTTTTTTTTCCCTAGAGATGAGTTCTTGCCATGTCGTTCAGGCTGGTCTTGAACTCCTAGGCTCAAGCGATCCTGCTGCCTCAGATTCCCAAAGTGCTGGGATTACAGGCGCGAGCCACTGTACCCAGCCTCCTCATTTTTTTAAACCATTGCGTTGTAAGATCATAGTGTGCTATGATTTCAACAGATTCCTACCAATAGACATTTAGGTTATTTTCAGTACTTGCTACTACACACATTGCCACAATAAACAGCCTTGGGTGCATATATAGTATACTCGTATTTCTTTTCTTCTTAAAAATGTTTTTTGTCTTACCAAGAAGCTTGAATCTGAAGCGCATACAGTGTGCTTTTACAAACATAGTTGTAGGATTAATGCTTAGATTAGAACCACTGAATCTAAAATATGTACATTTACATTTTTAAAAAAATTACCCTCCCAAAAAAGAGTGAGCCAATTTATATCCCCACCAATAATGTATGAGAATGCCTGTTCCCCTCTACTTTAACCTTTCTTAAATGTAAAACCAATCTTACTCCATCAAATACAGGCCATCAGAGCCTACCTGGAAACAGCTATGCATATGTTCCTGTCAGATAAAGCCATTTGAATCCCAAATGAAATTCCTAAAGCTAAAAGGAGATAAGGGTGCCTAAATCTGCTGGGACCAGTCAGATGTTGAGGTTTATGCTCTGCTGGTCAAAAATTACCTTACATTTTATTAGAGTTTACATCAGTTATCACGATTTCAGCAGCTGGTCTAACTCAGACTAGCGGAGACAATAAGGAGACTCATTAGCTCACAAAACAGGACGTTTGCAACACGGTTCAGCTTCAGGGCTGGTTGATGTAGTGGCTCAAGCCGCTAAATTTCTCAAGCACCCAAAATCTTTTCTTCTCTTTCTCTGCCATTTGCGGAGGTGGCTTCATCCTTCATTCAACCATCCTAAGGTAAGATGGTTGCCAGAGCAATGGATATGATATATGATACATTTCTGTCTCATGCGTTGTGTGAGGAGACCACCAAACAGGGTTTGTGTGTGCAGCAAGGCTGTTTATTTCACCTGGGTGCAGGCGGGCTGAGTCCGAAAAGAGAGTCAGCAAAGGGTGGCGTGATTACCACTAGTTCCTTTAGGTTTTGGGATAGGCGGTGGAGTTAGGAGCAATGTTTTGCAGGCAGGGGGTGGATCTCACAAAGTACATTCTCAAGGGTGGGGAGAATTACAAAGAACCTTCTTAAGGGTGGGGGAGATTATAAAGTACATTGATCAGTTAGGGTGGGGCAGAAACAAATCACAGTGGTGGAATGTCATCAGTTAAGGCTATTTTCACTTCTTTTGTGGATCTTCAGTTGCTTCAGGCCATCTGGATGTATTCGTGCAGCACAGGAGATATGATGGCTTAGTTTGGGCTCAGAGGCCTGACAATTTCCTATTCATGCTTTCTTGTGGTTTGCTTTGCTTTTGCTTTTGCTTTTGCTTTTTTTTTTTTTTTTTTTTTTTGAGACAGAGTCTCACTCTGTCTCCCCAGGCTGGAGTGCAGTGGTGCAATCTTGGCTCACTGCCACCTCTGCCTCCCAGGTTCAGGCGATTCTCCTACTTCAGCCTCCCTAGTAGCTGGGACTACAGGCCTGCGCCACCACACCTGGCTAATTTTGTATGTTTAGTAGAGACGGGGTTTCGCCCTTTAGGCCGGGCTGGTCTCGAACTCCTGAACTCAGGTGATCCGCCTGCCTCGGCCTCCCAAAGTGCTGGGATTACAGGTGTGAGCCACTGCTCCTGGCCTTTCCTATGGTTTTCTAAGTGTGCGTGTGCATGCACACACACACGTGCACGCACACACGCACCCTCTGGCATGCATCTCCTTGGCCCAGGTGGGCCCAGATGGGCCCAGGTCTGTCCACCCTGAATATACCATGATCAGGGTAAAGTGAGTATTGCACAGTCAACTATAACATTCACTACTGTGCTTCCATTTTCAAAGACTGAAGCAGAGACTACCAGAAGTCCCGCCCCCCTCAAAGCCATTCTACCCTCTTCCTGTATCTGATTCTTCCTGCCATGTGACATCCAGAATGAAGACATTTCCTAACTTCCTGTGTTATTAGGGATGGCCATGAAAATAAGTTCTGGCCAAGCTGAAGTAGCCCATGCAACCTCTTGGAAGTGTGTGTGTGTGTGTGTGTGTGTGTGTGTGTGTGTGTAAGAGATGGAGGCTTGCTCTGTTGCCCAGGCTAGAGTATAGTGGCATGATTACAGTTCACTGCAAACTTGAACTCCTGGGCTCAAGCGATCCTCCGGCCTCAGCCTTCGAGTAGTTACGATTACAGGGGTGAGCTACAGTGTCCAGTCCAGGCAGTTTTCTTAAAGGGAGAGGGCAAACATTTATCTTTCTTTTCTCCCTCCTGCTGATAGGATGTGATATTGTGACATAATAAGAAATAGGCCGGGCATGGTGGCTCACGCCTGTAATCCCAGCACTTTAGAAGGCCAAAGTGGGCAGATCACTTTCGGCCAGGAGTTTGAGAGCAGCCTGGCCAACACAGTGAAACGCCGTCTCTACTAAAAATACAAAAGTTAGCTGGGCATGGTGGCACATGCCTGTAATTCCAGCTACTCGGGAAGCTGAGAAGGAGAATCACTTGAACCCGCGAGGCGGAGGCTGCAGTGAGCCAAGATCGCACCACTGCCCTCCAGCCTGGGTGACAGAGCGAGACTCTGTGTCAAAAAAAAAAAAAAATAGAAATATACATTTTGATCTTTGTTGCCCCTGGCTTCTGGCCAGAGCTCCTAAAACCTTTGCAGTTTCTAAAGCAAAAAATGTTAGGAGCATCTTTCGTTCTACCATTTGGTCTTTGACCCTGTCTCCTAATACGAGCGCCTAATCCTTTGGAATTTTCTGGGTGACAGGAAGACCTATTGTTCTAATGAAGCCAAACTTGGTGGGCTCTTGGATAGCTTCAGGATGGGGGCTGGTCACCAGAATGACCAAACCATGATTAGCATCCTGAAACTTTCAGCCTCACCCTCCGTCTTCTGGGTGAGGGGAAAGGGCTGGAGATTAAGTTAATAATGGATCACGCCTGCATGAAGAAGTCTCCATAAAGGCAGAGTGTGGGGACTCAGTCTGTAAACCTAGCACTTTGGGAGGCTGAGGCAGGAGGATCACTTAAGCCTCTGGAAGTTGAGGCTGCAGTGAGTCGTGATCATGCCTCTGCACTCCAGCCTGAGTAGTGACAGAGCAAGATGCTGTCTCAAAAAAAAAAAAAAAAAAAAAAAAAAAAAGGCTGGGCGCAGTGGCTCACGCCTGTAATCCCAGCACTTTGGGAGGCCAAGGCAGGCGGATCACCGGGTCAGGAGATCAAGACCATCCTGGCTAACATGGTGAAACCCCATCTCTACTAAAAATACAAAGAAATTAGCCTGGTGTGGTGGTGGGCGCCTGTAGTCCCAGCTACTCCCAGGAGGCTGAGGCAGGAGAATGGCGTGAACCCAGAAGGCGGAGCTCGCAGTGAGCCGAGACTGCACTCCAGCCTGGGTGACACAGCGAGACTCCGTCTCAAAAAAAAAAAAAAAAAGAAAGAAAAAAGAAAAGAAAAAGAAAGAAGGAAAGGCCGGGCGCAGTGGCTCACGCCTGTAATCCCAGAACTTTGGGAGGCCGAGGCGGGCGGATCACGAGGTCAGGAGATCGAGACCATCCTGGCTAACATGGATAAACCCCGTCTCTACTTAAAAAAAAATACAAAAAATTAGCCAGGCGTGGTGGCGGGCGCCTGTAGTCCCAGCTTCTTGGGAGGCTGAGGCAGGAGAATGGTGTGAACCTGGGAGACAGAGCTTGCAGTGAGCCGAGATCGTGCCACTGCACTCCAGCCTGGGCGAAAGAGCGAGACTCCGTCTCAAGAAAGAAAGAAAGAAAGAAAGAAAATCTCCATAAAAATCTCTGAACTTGCAGGCTAGTAAACGCCCACATGCTGGGGGTGTGGCGCACCCCTGCTCCCCGGGGACAGAAGCTCCTGTATTCAGACGCTTCTGCACCTTGCCCTATGTACCTGTTCATCTGGCTGGCCAGGTATATCCTCTATCACATTCTCTATAATAAACTAGTAACTGAAAATGTTTCCTTGAGTTTTGTAAGCCATCATAGCAAATTATTGGACCTAGAAAAGGGGTCATGGGAGCCTCGATTTGTAGTCAAGTCAGACAGAAGTCTGAGTAAACTAGGGACCCACTACTTGAGATTGGCAACCGAAATGGGGGGAAGTCTTGTGATACTAAGCCTGTGGGGTCTGCTCTAAGCTCACGTCATTTGTGTCATAGTTGAATTGTGGAACCCCCAGTTGATGCCTGGAGAGTTGAAGAGGGGGTTGGTGTGGGAAAAACCCCACACATCTGGTGCTGGAAGTGTTGAGTGTTATAGAGAAAACCATTTGCTAGGCTGAGAGCAGTGGCTCACGCCTGTAATTCCAGCACTTTGGGAGGCTGAGGGAGGATCCTTTGGGAAGATTGCTTGAGCCCAGGAGTTCAAGATCAGTGGTAATATAGTGACACCCTGTCTCCACAAAAATAAAAATAAAAAAAAAGCCAGGTGTGGTGGTGTGCGCCTGTGGTCCCAGCTCCTCAGGAGACTGAGGTGGGAAGATCACCTGAGCCCAGGACGTCAAGGCTGCAGTGAGCTACGATCACACCACTGCACTCCAGCCTGGGTGACACAGCAAGACCATGTCTCAAAAAATACGACCAGGCGTGGTGGCTCACACCTGTAATCCCAGCACTTTGGGAGGCCAAGGCGGGCAGATTACTTGAGGTCAGGAGTTCGAGACCAGCCTGTGCAACATGGTAAAACCCTATCTCTACTAAAAATACAAAAATTAGCCAGGCATGGTGGTGCACACCTGTAGTCCCAGCTACTTGGGAGGTTGAGGTGGGAGGATCACCTGAACCTGAGGTGGGAGGTTGACGCTGCAGTGAGCTGTGATCAGGTCACTGCACTCGTGCCTGGGTGACCTAGGGAGATCCTGACTCAAAAAATAAAATAAATTTAAAAATACAGTTTTTTTTCCCCTATACACTGAAGTACAGGTGTAATGACTGGTCCTAGAACCATCATGTTGACCCCAGCAAGCGACCCTGTGCCACTTTTGGACCCCTGTTATGGGTTGGCTTGTGTGCCCTCCAAAGAGATATGTTAAAGTCCTGCCCCTGGGCCAGGTGCGGTGGCTCACGCCTGTAATCCCAGCACTTTGGGAGGCTGAGGTGGGCGGATCATCTGAGGTCAGGAGTTCAAGACCAGCCTGGCCAAATGGTGAAACCCTGTCTCTACTAACAATAACAAAAATTAGCCTGCCATAGTACCCAGCACCTGTAATCCCAAATACTCCGGAAGCTGAGGCAGGAAAATCCCTTGAACCTGGGAGGCAGAGGCTGCAGTGAGCCGCGATCGCACCTCTGCACTCCAGCAACAGAGCAAGACTTCATCTCAAAAAATAAAATAAAATAAAAAAGTCCTGCCTCCCAGCGCCTTGGAATGGGATCTTAGGAAACAGGGTCTTTACAGAAGTAATTGAGGAGGTCAGTGGGGGTAGGCCTGACTCCAATATGATGGGAACCTTCTGAAAAGGAAGTTTGGGCACAGACACGTGTGGACACACAGGACAGATGCCATAAAGGGAGAATCCATGGGAACAGGGAGGACGGGGTGCATATGCAATCTAATGAATGCCTGGGGACACCAGAAGCTGGGAGGGGAGCAAGGAACAGTTTCTCCCCTGGAGTCTTCAGAGGGACCAGGGCCCTGCTGACACCTTCACCTCAGACTTCAGCCCCACAACTGTGAGACAATACATTTCTCTTCTTCAAATCCACCCAGGTTTTTGGTAGTTTGTTATAGCAGACCTAGGAAACTAATAAAAACCACCTACTTTTGGTTTTTGTTTGTTTGTTTTTTGAGACAGTGTTTCACTCCCATCACCCAGGGTGGAGTGCAGTGGCGTGATCTCGGCTCACTACAACTTCCACTTCCTGGGCTCAAGTGATCCTTTTGCCTCAGCCTCCTGAGTAGCCGGGACTACACGCATGCACCACCATACCCAGCTAATTTTTTTTTTTTTTAAGTAGAGACAGGGTTTCACCATATTGGCCAGCCTGGTCTCAAACTCCTGACCTCAAGTGATCCACCTGCCTTAGCCTCCCAGTGTGCTGGGATCACAGGCATGCGTCACTGTGCCCGGCCGTGTGTGCGTGCATGTGTACGTGTGCGTGCATGTGTATGTGTGTGTGTGCGACAGGGTCTCGCTGTGTCACTCAGGCTGGAATGATATGGCACAATCAGGGCTCACTGCAGCCTCAACCTCTTGGGCTCAAGCAATCCTCCAACTTCAGTCTCCTGAGTATATGGGACTACAGGTGTGCAACACCACACATGGCTAATTTTATTTATTTATTTATTTATTTATTTATTTATTTATTTAATTTTTTTTTTTTTTGAGACAGGGTCTTGCTCTGTTGCCCAGGCTGGAGTATAATAGTGTGATCTTGGCTCACTGCAGCCTTGACCTCCCGGGCTCATGTGTGTGCCACCATGCCCAGCTAATCTTTGATTTTTTGTAGGGTTTCGCTATGCTGCCCAGGCTGATCTTGAACTCCTGGGCTCAAGCTGTCCTCCTGCCACGGCCTCCCAAAGTGCTAGGATCACACGCATGAACCTCCATGCCTGGCCCGAAGCTCTTTCATGTATTGATCGTTCTGATTCATCACACTAGTATTTATCACACATGGCAACTCTCTGGCTGCTGAGAATTTGTCCTTGGTTTCTGCTTGAGAAGCACTTCATTTAGAAGTTGCTTTAGGCCTAGCATGGTGGCTGGAAGGCCCAGGAAGGTGGATCACCTGAGGTCAGGAGTTGAGACCAGCCTGGCCAACATGGTAAAACCCCAACTCTACTAAAAATAAAAAAATTAGCCGGGTGTCTTGGAGGGCACCTGTAATTCCAGCTACTCCAGAGGCTGGGGCAGGAGAATCACTTGAGCCCAGGAGGCAGAGGCTGCAGTGAGTCGAGATCGTGCCATTGCACTCCATCCTGGGCAAGAGAGCAAGACTCTGTCTCAAAAAAAAAAAAAAAAAAGAAAAAGAAAAAAATTCCTTTAAGGGCTAGGTGCAATGGCTCACTCCTGTAATCCCAGTACTTTGGGAGACCAAGGCAGACAGATTGCTTGAGCCCAGGAGTTTGAGGCCAGCCTGGGCCACACAGCAAGACCTTGTTTCTACAAAAAAAATTTTTTTAATTAGCCAGGCATGGTGCCATGCACCTGTAGTCCAGCTACTCAGGAGGGAAGATAGCTTGAGCCCAGGAGTTTGAGAGTGTAGTGAGCTGTGATTGCGTCACTGCGCTCCAGCCTGGGCAGCAGAGCATGACCCTGTCTCTTAAATAAATAAATAGAAATAGAAATAGAGTCAGGCATGGTGGCACATGCCAGCCAGTAGTCCCAGCTACCCAGGACACTGATGTTGGAGGGGGGGTATCCCTTGAGCCCTGGAATTTGAGGCCAGCCTGGGCAATATAGCAAGACCTATCTCAAAAAGATAAAAATTCAAAATAGCAGTGACTTTAGGATTTAACTTTGCAGTAGCATGATAATAAACAGTATGTGGGCACTGAAATTACACAGCAGCACGTGGTTGTGTGGTAGTGCATCATGACCAGGAATAAGATCATGATGTCTGAGGCCGGGTGCAGTGGCACACGCCTGTAATCCCAGTAACTTTGGGAGGCTGAGGTGGGTGGATCACCTGAGGTCAGGAGTTCGAGACCAGCCTGGCCAACATGGCAAAATCCTGTCTCTACTACAAATACAAAAATTAGCTGGGTGTGGTGGTGCACGCCTGTAACCCCAGCTACTTGGGAGGCTGAGGTAGGAGAATCCCTTGAACCTGGGAGGCAGAGGTCGCAGTGAGCCGAGATTGCGTCACAACACTCTAGCCTGGGAAACAGAGCGAGACGCTGTCTCAAAAAAATAAATTAAAAAAAAGATCTTAATGTCTGATTTTTCATTATCATTGAAATGAAAGCAGAAAATATAAAAATTTATCAGGGCCAGGCACAGCAGCTCACGCTTGTAATCCCAGCACTTAGGGAGGCCAAGGTGGGCAATCACTTGAGGCCAGGAATTCCAGACCAGCCTGGGCAACGTGGCAAAATCCTGTCTTTACTGAAAAAAAAAAAAAAAAAATTAGCCGGGTGTGGTGGCGTGCACCCGTGATCCCAGCTACTCAGAGGCTGAGTTGGGAGGATCACTTGGGCCTGGGAGGTCGAGGCTGCAGTCAGCCAAGAGTTCACCACTGCTCTCTAGCCTGGACAACAGAGAGACCCCCCGTCTCAAAAAAAAATAATTATGTGGAGAACTTGTGGATTTCTGAGAGACAATTTGTCTGTAAACTCTGTGTTGAGAACTATTGCTATAGCATAGCCCTATATAGTAATATAGTATAGTAGAGTTTACTGTAGGGTTGACTGTACTCAGTGTCTGGCGAGATAAGGCCAATGTTGACTATGAAATGCTCATCTCATTCTGGAAGTCTCGGACTCCTCAGAGATCACAGAAAACAGGAAAAGATGAACATGGATGCAATTCTTTGGAAAAGATTCTGCCTGTCTGTAAGGATGAGAATCAGCTAACTGGGGCCTTCCACAAAGTCCCTCAAACTGGGTGGCTTAATCAGCAGAAATGTAGAAACATATTCTCTCAGTTCTCAGTTTTGTTTTGTTTTTTTGAGACAGAGTCTCACTCTGTTGCCCAGGCTGGAGTGCAATGGCACGACCTCAGCTCACTGCAACCTTGGCCTCCTAAAGTCCTGGGATTACAGGGGTGAGCCACTGAGCCCAGCCATATTCTCTCAGCTTTCAAGGCTAGAATTCCCAGGTTGGCTCCTTCTGGGCACTCTGAGGGACGGGCTGTTCCATGCCTCTCTCACAGCTTCTGGCATTCCTTGGCTCATAGATGCATCACTCCAGTCTCTGCCTCCATCTCCACATCGCTTTCTGCCTCCATCTCTCTGTGCCAGATTTCCCTCTTCTTATAAAGACATCAGTCTTATAAAGGCGCAGTGGCTCATGCCTGCAATCCTAGCACTTTGGGAGACTGAAGTGGGAGGATCTCTTGAGCCCAGGAGTTTGAGACTCACCCAGGCAGCAAGGCAAGACTCTGTCTCTATAAAAAATTTAAAAATTAGCTGGGCATGGTGGTGCTTACCTGTGGTCTCAGATACTTGGGAGGCTGAGACGGGAGGATCACTTGAGCCCAGGAGGTAGAGGCTGCAGTGAGCGATGTTTATGTCACTGTGCTCCAGCCTGGGCAGCAAAGGGAGATCCTGTCTTAAAAAAAAAAACTGGGCTGTAAAATCGAGCTTGTGTCTGTAATCCCAGCACTTTGGGAGGCTAAGGCGGGTGATCATCTGAGGTCAGGACTTCGAGACCAGCCTGGCCAACATGGTGAAACCCTGTGCTACTAAAAATACAAAAATTAGCCGGGCATGGTGGCAGGTGCCTGTAATCCCAGCTACTAGGGAGGCTGAGGCACAAGAATTGCTTGAACCTGAGAGGCAGAGGTTGCAGTGAGCCAAGATCGCATGACTGCACTCCAGCCTGGGCAACAAGAGCAAAACTCCGTGTCAAAAAAAAAAAAAAAATTGTCAGTCACTCTTATGTCCTAACAGAATGTATTCAGTATTCAATTAAAAGACATTTTGGTTCAAAAAAATTAAAATTTAAAAAATTAGCCTGACAACATGGTCAAACTCCATCTTTACAAAAAATAAAAAAATTAGCCTGGCATGGTGGTGTACACCTGTTGTCCCAGCTACTCAGGAGTCTGAAGTGGGAGGATCTCTTGAGCCTGGGAGGTGGAGGTTGCATTGAGCCAAGATTTTGCCACTGCACTCCAGCCTGAGCAACAGAGAGAGACCCTGTCTCAAAAAAAAATTATTTTTTAATTAAAAATCAATACAAGAAATGGTTGAAAAAGGAGAAAGCTACTGACCAATATTTTAATAAACATAGATACAAAATCCTCACCAAAATACTAGCAAACTGTATCCACCAATATATAAAAAGGATTAAACAATATGATCAAATGTGATAGAATACAAGGTTGGTTCAACATCTGAAAATCAATTAATGTAATACATTGAATCAATAGAATGGACAAAAACTGCATGATAATCTCAATACGGAAAATGTATTTGACAAAACTCAATACTCCTTCTTGATAAAAATACTCAACAAACTGGGAAATGAATACCACCCATTCCTACCATAACTGATGAATATTCAGTGGATCATTTATGTTTTGTGCCTGCAGTTATTTACCTATTCCTTTGTAAAACACACTTGGTCGCAATTTCTTCTAAAGAGCACAACAAGGCCTATCTTTATCTAAACATCCTAAAAACACTCAGGAGTGAGTCATTTACACAAAGCACATTAAATATACTGGCAATTTTACTCTGAGCATCAGAATAAAGAAGGAGCTTAGAAAATTGCTTCAGTTCAGGCCGGGTGCGGTGGCTCACGCCTGTAATCCCAGCACTTTGGGAGGCCGAGGCGGGCAGATCACGAGGTCAGGAGATTGAGACCATCCTGACTAACATGGTGAAACCGCATCTCTATTAAAAACACAAAAAATTAGCTGGGCATGGTGGCAGGTGCCTGTAGTCCCAGCTACTCGGGAGGCTGAGGCAGGAGAATGGCGTGAACCTGGGAGGCAGAGCTTGCAGTGAGCCGAGATCACGCCACTGCACTCCAGCCTGGGTGACAGAGCGAGACTCCATCTCAAAAAAAAAAAAAAAAAAAAAAAGAAAGAAAATTGCTTCAGTTCATCAAAAATGAAATGCAAGTTTGCAAGTTATGATGAAGGAAGCTCAAGTAAGGGCAAAACACAGACCAAGGAGTTGGAAGGATGGCTGGGTGCAGTGGCTCTGGCCTGTAATGCCAGCACTTTGGGAGGCTGAGGCAGAAGGATTGCTTGAGCCCAGGAGTTCAAGAGCAGCCTGGGCAACAAACTGAGACCCCATGTCTACAAAAATAAAAATGAGGCTGGGCGCAGTGGCTCACGCCTGTAATCCCAGCATTTTGGGAGGTCGAGGTGGGAGGATCACAAGGTCAGGAGATCCAGACCATCCTGGCTAACACGGTGAAACCCTGTCTCTACTAAAACTACAAAAAATTAGCCGGGCGTGGTGGCGGGCACCTGTAGTCCCAGCTACTCCGGAGGCTGAGGCAGGAGAATGACGCGAACACGGGAGGCGGAGCTTGCAGTGAGCTGAGATTGCACCACTGCACTCCAGCCTGGGCGACAGAGCAAGACTCCGTCTCAAAAAATAAAAATAATAAAATAAATAAATAAATAAAATAAAAATGAAAAAATTAGCCATGCATGGCAGCATGTGCCTTTAGCCCCAGCTCCTTGGGAGGCCGGGCAGGAGGATAGCGAGAGCCCAGGTGTTCGAGGCTATAGTGAGCTATGATCACATCACTGCACTGAAGCCTGGGCAACAGAGCAACACCCTTTCTCTAAAAAAAAAAAGAGTTGGAAGGAACCTTAGTGATCACTGAGTTCAAACTCTTACCCTGAGCACCAATCTACTTAGACCTCAGCCAATCTCTAAAAGGTAATATACAAGTAGGCTATTTTAACCTTTGAATCTAGTCACTTGCTCAACAAAATTTTTTTTTCTTAGGAGACAGGGTCTGTCTCTGACCCAGGCTGAAGTTCAATGTCACGATCACAGTCCACTGCAGCCTCGACCGTCCTCCTATCTCAGCCTTCCGAGCAGTTGGGACCACGGGTGTGTACCACCACACCAAGCTAATTTTGTTTATTTTTTGTAGAGACAGGTCTCGAACCTTGCTATGTTGCCAAGACTGGTCTCAAACTACTGGCCTCAACCTATCCTCTTGTCTTGGCCTCCCAAAGCATTGGGATTACAGGCGTGAGCCACCACATCCAGCCCTGCTGCAAGGTTCTTAACTGGGGGTCCACGGACCTTCTGGATAGAATTCAGGGAAATTTGACATTTCCTTCAATTATGACTGTAGGCAAACATTCTGTTTCTACCACATGCCTGCTATGCCTGTCCTAATCCTTGACTCTCTAAAGTCATGAACCCTATTAGATTTCAACTACCCTCATATAGTAGGTGTTCAGTATTCCTCCAAATGTTCTAAATAAAAACTTAGTAGAATGGGCCAGTACAATGAACAGAGTTGTAATTGGTTTGAAGAATCCAAGATCAGGACTGTGGTAGGAACAGAAGGAAACTTGTTCCAAGTCTGTGAGAAATTTGCCCCAGGTCCAATCCCACAACCTGTTCCAATCCAGTTTCATTTGTCATTCTCACTTATGACTAATGAATTTGCTTCCATGACGGAAAACATTAAGAAATCACTCTGGCATGAGGTCACCCTACAAAGGAGCAATCTCAGCTGCCCGGAATGTCAGCGTTCAGTAAGGGCCACACCCCTTGCCTTTTCAGTAATTCCTCCTATTACAAAATTCCAAATGCAGCCATATTGTTGATAGGAAATTTTGTTTAAAAAATACATTTCTTAGGCCGGGCGCGGTAGCTCGTGCCTGTAATCCCAGCACTTTGGGAGGCTGAGGTGGCGGATCACAAGGTCAGGAGTTCAAGACCAGCCTGGCCAACATGGTGAAACCCCATCTCTACTAAAAATACAAAAAAATTATCCAGGCATGGTGGCATGCACTTGCAGTCCCAGCTACTAGGGAGGCTGTGGCAGGAGAATCGCTTGAACCTGGGAGGCAGAGGTTGCAGTGAGCTGAGATTGCGCCACTGAGATTGCGCCACTGCACTCCAGCCTGGGTGACGGAGCGAGACTCCATCTCATAAATAAATAAATAAATAATTTTTTTGCGGAACGTGGTGGTTCGTGGTTATAATTCTGACACTGTGGGAGGCTAAGGCGGGTGGATCTCCTGAGCCCAGGAGTTAAAGACCAGCCTGGGTAATGTAGGGAGACCCCATCACAATGAAAATTATTAACATAAGCTAGGTGTGGTGACACATGCCTGTTGTCCCTGCTATTTAAGAGGTTGAGGTAGGAGGATTGTTTGAGCCCAGGAGGTCGAGTACCCTAGCCTGGACAACAGAGTGAAACCCTATCTCGAGAAAACACACACACACACACACAAATCCCACATTTCTTTTCTTTCTTTTTTTTTTTTTTTTTTTTTTTGAGATGGAGTCTCGCTCTGTTGCCCAGACTGGAGTGCAGTGGCGTGATCTTGGCTCACTGCAACCTGCGCCTCTCAGGTTCAAGCGATTCTCCTGCCTCAGCCTCCTGAGTAGCTGGGATTACTCCTTCTCAAATTAAAAAAAAAAAAATTTTAAGGGGGAAATAAGGCTGGGAGCAGTGGCTCACACCTGTAATCCCAGCACTTTGGGAGGCCGAAGTGGGTGGATCGCCTGAGGTCAGGAGTTCGAGACCAGCCTGGCCAACATGGCAAAACCCTGTCTCTACTAAAAATACAAAAATTAGCTAGGCATGGTGGTGGGCGCCTGTAATCCCGGCTACTCGGGAGGCTGAGGCACGAGGATAGCTTGAACTTGGGAGGCGGAGGTTGCAGTGAGCCAAGATCGCATCACTGCACTCCAGCTTGGGTGACGGAGTGAGACTCTGTCTCGGGAAAAAAAAAAAGCGGGGGTGAAATACATTTTATTTAGTTTTTGGTCTCATAAAGACAGGTACACAAGTATGGCACAGTGGCTCATGGCTGTAATCCCAGCACTTTGGGAAGAAAATATTATTAAAATAAAAGTTATTTTTACTTTTGTAGAGCGGGGCTTCACCATGTTGCCCAGGCTGTCCTGAACTCCTGAGCTCAAGCAGTCCTCCTGCTCCTGTGAGCCACTGTGCCTGGCCTGCACTTAACATTTTTTTTTTTTTTGAGAGGGAGTCTCACTCTGTCGCCCAGGCTGGAGTGGAGTGGCGCAATCTCAGCTCACTGCAAGCTCCGCCTCCCAGGTTCAAGCCATTCTCCTGCCTCAGTCTCCCGAGTAGCTGGAACTACAGGTGCCCGCCACCACGCCCGGCTAATTTTTGGTATTTTTAGTAGAGTCAGGGTTTCACCATGTTAGCCAGGATGGTCTCGATCTCCTGACCTCGTGATCCGCCCGCCTCGGCCTCCCAAGGTGCTGGGATTACAGGCGTGAGCCACCAAGCCCGGTGCACTTAACATTTTTAAAGGTAAACCTTTTAGTACTGTGGAAATGTGTGCATAGGATGCAGTCCTAGATGATGACGCCGGGCACGGTGGCTCACGCCTGTAATCCCAGCAATTTGGGAGGGAGAGGCGGGCAGATCACTTGAGGTCAGGAGTTCTAGACCAGCCTGGCCAACATGTTGAAACCTCATGACTACTAAAAATAAAAAAATTAGCCAGGCATGGTGGCGGGGGCCTGTAATCCCAGCTACTCAGGAGGCTGAGGCAGAATTGCTTGAATCAGGGAAAGGGAGGTTGCAGTGAGCTGAGACTGGGCCACTGCACTCCAACCTGGGTGACAGAGTGAGACTCCGTCTCAAAAGAAAAAAAAAAAAAAGAATTCAGGGCAAGTCCATAAAGTGAAAGGCAGTTTATTAGGAAAGAATGGCTGTTCCATAGGCAGAGCAGCCCCAGGGCTGCTGGTTGCCCATTTTTATGGTTATTTCTTGATGATATGCCAAACAAGGGGTGAATTATTCTTGCCTCCCCGTTTTAGACCATATAGGGTAACTTCCTAATGTCGCCATGGCATTTGTAAACTGTCATGGTACTGATGGGAGTCTAGCATTGAGGACAACCAGAGATCACTGTCGTGGCCATCGTGGTTTTGGTGGGTTTTAGCTGGCTACTTTACTGCAACCTGTTTTATCAGCAAGGTCTTTATGACACGTATCTTGTGCTGACCTCCTATCTCATCCTGTGACTTAGAATGCCTAATCATCTAGGAATGCAGCCCAGTAGGTCTCAGCCTCATTTTACCCAGCCTCTATACGAGATAGAGTCGCTCTGGTTTAAACGTCTCTGACACAAGCAACTTGCGTACTAAAGGTTGTTACAACACCCTTGCTGGTTTTGCCTGCTAATGATAATCCACAAATTCTAAAGATTTACCTAGAGAGGGCTGGGCACGGTGGCTCACTTTGTAATCCCAGCAATTTGGGAGGCCAAGGCGGGCGGATCACGAGGTCGGGAGATCGAGACCATCCTGGCTAACATGGTGAAACTCTGTCTCCTTTTTTTTTTTTTTTTTTTTTTTTTTTTGGAGACAGAGTCTCGCTCTGTCACCCAGGCTGGAGTGCGGTGGCGCTATCTCGGCTCACTGCAAGCTCCGCCTCCTGGGCTCACGCCATTCTCCTGCCTCAGCCTCCCAAGCAGCTGGGACGACAGGCGCCCGCCACCACGCCCGGCTAATTTTTTTTATTTTTAGTAGAGACGGGGTTTCACCGCGTTAGCCAGGATGGTCTCTATCTCCTGACCTTGTGATCCGCCCGCCTCGGCCTCCCAAAGTCACGCCTGGGACTACAGGTGTGAGCCACCGTGCCCGGCCAATGAAACCCTGTCTCTACCAAAAATACAAAAAATTAGCCGGGCGTGGTGGCGGGCGCCTGTAGTCCCAGCTACTTGGGAGGCAGAGGCAGGAGAATGGCATGAACCCGGGAGGCGGAGCTTGTAGTGAGCCGAGATTGCTCCACTGCACTCCAGCCTGGGCGACAGAGCGAGACTCCATCTCCAAAAAAAAAAAAAAAAAAAAAAAAAAAAAATTTACCTAGAGGGAAAAAAAGTAAAAAAACCCCAATTCAAGACAGAAAAAAGCAAAATGATTCCAGCCGAGAACTTGAAGAATAAAATCAACCAGGAGGACGCTTCATGTTAGTAGAAAGTGGACGGCATTTTCACCATGTAAGGAAATGTGACCTTTTGAAAAAAGAACGAGGTCGTTTTCTATTTTAATAAGGGCAGTTCCTTCTTTCCACTTACCTGCTTCTAGGAGACAACAACAAAGAGCTGGCCTTGTTTTAGCAACCTGCACTGCAGTTTACATTCCCTTTAACCCAAGACAAAGATTAAAGAGATATCCCCACCCCTGCTCCAAGTCAATCTTGAAGGACAAACGTCTGGTTCTTACCTCATCTACCCACACCTGGAACCTGTCATGGCATGGGCAAGTTGAAACAGTAACTTGTTCCTCCACCCAACAGTCTTGCAATACTCCAAAACAGCAAACAATACTTCTTTATTTTATTACTTTAATTAATTAATTTATTTTTTGAGACGGAGTATTGCTCTTGTTGCCCAGGCTGGAATGCAATGGTGGGATCTCGGCTCACCGCAACCTCTGCATCCCGACTTCAGATGATTCTCCTCCCTCAGCCTCTCGAGTAGCTGGGATTACAGGCATGTACCACCACGCCTGGCTAATTTTTTTTTTTTTTTTTTTAGTAGAGATGGGGTTTCTCCATGTTGGTCAGGCTGGTCTTGAACTCCCGACCTCAGGTGATCTGCCCGCCTCAGCCTCCCAGAGTGCTGGGATTACAGGCGTGAGCCAAAGCACCCGGCCAACAATATATTTTTAAAATGGGGCACCTGCCGGCCGGACGCGGTGGCTCATGCCTGTAATCCCAGCACTTTGGGAGGCCGAGGCGGGCAGATCACGGGGTCAGAAGATCGAGACCATCCTGGCTAACACAGTGAAACCCTGTCTCTACTAAAAATACAAAAAAAATAGCCGGGCGTGGTGGCGGGCGCCTGTAGTCCCCGCTAGTCGGGAGGCTGAGGCAGGAATATGTCATGAACCCGGGAGGCGGAGCTTGCAGTGAGCCAAGATAGCGCCACTGCACTCCAGCCTGGGCGACAGAGCGAGACTCCGTCTCAAAAATAAAATAAAATAAATAAAAATAATAAATAAATAAATAAATAGGGCACCCGCTCGAGGCAATTACTTCCTGCTTTATGCGCTCCCTCCCATAAATGGTCTCCTCTGTTCAGTTCATTCAGACTTCTGCTTTAGGAATTATCTTCTTAAAAAACCACTTGGAGGAGGGCGCTCTCCACTGAAAGATCTTTAGCAGACTCTTTTCCCTAATAAAATTCAGACCACAGAGCAAAGCAATCCAGAGTTCTTAGCATCAATGAATACGCCGCTCTTAATTTAAAACTTTTTTTTACCATTCTGCATTTCTTGAGCGTTCCTGCTTCTTCTTCACTGTTTTCTATACATTTCCGTTTTATTTATTTATTTATTTTTTGAGACGGAGTCTTGCTCTGTCACCCAGGCTGGAGTGCAGTGGCACAATCTCGGCTCACTGCAAGCTCCGCCTCCCTGGTTCATGCCGTTCTCCTGCCTCAGCCTCCTAAGTAGCTGGGACTACAGGCGCCCGCCACCATGCCCAGCCAATTTTTTTTGTATTTTTAGTAGAGACGAGGTTTCACCAAGTTAGCCAGGATGGTCTCGATCTCCTAACCTCGTGATCCACCCGCCTCGGCCTTCCAAAGTGCTGGGATTACAGGCGTGAGCCACCACATCCGGCCTTTCTATACATTTCAATGTGCATTTTTGTCTATGAATCCTCCTACCTACGCTTTAAGGATTAGTTCAATGGTTACCTATTTCCAGAAGTCTTCAAATACCCTCCAAATGAATAGTAAATCCAGTGGTCCGGAGAATTTGAAGTCAGTCCTCCACAGGTGATTCTCTCACCACCACAAAATGGCCCAAGTACCTTGCCTTCCTCTCATGGCTGCCAGCTGAATCGTATTGTAATTGAGAGGGAACCCTCTATTTTCTCCTGGTACTGGATAAGCTCCTTAAAGGCAGATTCCAGCACTTTTTTTCCCCCTCGAGACAGAGTCTCACTGTCGCCCAGGCTGGAGTGCAGTGGCCTGATCTCTGCTCTCTGCAGCCTCCGCCTCCCGGGTTCAAGTGATTTCTGTGCCTCAGCCTCCTGAGTGGCTGGGACTACAGGTATGCACCACCATACCTGGCTAATTTTTGTGTTTTTAGTAGAGATGGGGGTTTCACCATGTTGGCCAGGCTGGTCCCAAACCCCTGGCCTCAAGCAATATGCCTGCCTTGGCTTCCCAAAGTGCTGGGATTACAGGCATGAGCCACCGTGCTGGGCCACAGTATTTTTTCTTTTCTTTTCTTTTTTTTTTGAGATGGAGTCTTGCTCTGTCACCCAGGCTGGAGTGCAGTGGCACGATCTCGGCTCACTGAAAGCTCTGCCTCCTGGGTTCACGCCATTCTCCTGCCTCAGTCTCCCGAGTAGCTGGGACTACAGGCGCCCACCGCCACGCCCAGCTATTTAAAATTTTTTTTTTTTTTTAGTAGAGACAGGGTTTCACTGTGTTGGCCAGGATGGTCTCGATCTCCTGACCTCGTGATCCACCTTTTTAATGCGGAAAAGCACACTGAAGAACATTTATCAGAAGTATGTCCTCAGTAAGTGGCTGAACAGGCTGAGTGTGGTGGCTCACACCTGTAATCCCAGCTACTCTGGAGGCTGAGGCAGGAGAATCACTTGAACTTGGGAGGTGGAGGCTGTAGTGAGCTGTGATCATGCCACTGTACTCCAGCCTGGGTGACAGAGCGAGACCCTGTCCCCCACTCAACACCCCCCAAAAATTGAACAAATGAAATAGCCCATTTTTTGAGAATCAGTGCTTTTGGCTGGGCGCCCGGTGGCTCACACTTATAATCCCAGCACTGTGGGAGGCAAGAGGTGGGCAGATCACCTGAGGTCGGGAGTTCGAGACCAGCCTGACCAACATGAAGAAACCCCGTCTCTACTAAAAATACAAAATTAGCCGGGTGTGTGGCACATGACTGTAATCCCAGCTATTTGGGAGGCTGAGGCAGGAGAATCACTTGAACCCGGGAGGCGGAGCTTGCAGTGAGCCAAGATTGTGCCACTGCACTCCAGCCTCGGCAACAGAGCAAGACTCTGTATCAAAAAAAAAAAAAAAAAAAAAAAAAGAATCAGTGCTTTTGTAGAGCTTTTGACAAGGAGGCAGTACAGCAGTTAAGAGCACAGATACGGGGGTCAGAGAGATCTAGATTTAGATTTACTAGGTTGTGTATCAGCTGTGTGTTTTAGTATGTGTGTATTTAGCTGTGTGTATTTCCTCTCAACAATGAGGTTAACAATGCCTACCCAATGTGGTGACGGTGAAAATGGGGTAATGCACAAAAATACCTTAACACGATGTCTGGTAAATGGCAAAGAGATAACTATTAAGAGACCTCTGGTATTCACAGGTGACTCTACTAATGCAGTACTTCTTAAAGGGACATTTAAACAACTACTGCTCTGATTTAGGGAATAGTCAAGTCTTTAGTTGAACACTCACCTTAAGAACCACTTCTGGAATGTCGACAAGTTCCTTTAACCTCTCTCTGCCTCCCTTTCCTTACTTCCAAGTGGTGATAATAATTTGCCTGACAGAAATGCTGAGCGAGATCAGGTTAAAAACACTATGTAAACAACTGTAAAGGATTGCTTTTATTTTGAACTTAAGCTGAGGAAAAGAAGCCAAAAGTATTTTAAATTTTATTCTATTTCTAGCACATTCTGTGAGGGCTTTAAAAAGAAATTTCTCTCTTTATAATTTTCCTTTCCTTTATTCTTTACAGAACAGTAAATTCTGATTACTCAAGTTCTCAAAAATGAAAGCTATATCTGGAATGTTTCTATTTTGCTCCCCCTGTTGGCCTGAGAGCAGGATAACACTGCCTGAGACTAACAATTCAAGACGATCTAAACATTTATTTTCATGGACTTGACTAATATAAAGATGTAATGGCATTCCACAGAAAGACCTAAACCACAGTTTCAGCTCTATCTTATATATATACCTGACAATTAAAAGCAGTATGTTTATGTTTAATTTTTAATTTTTAACTATTAGGGTTCAAATCTAGAAAATTATTTTTATACAAAGGCTAGCTGCATGCCATTCATTTTTCAAAATAATTACTTTTCAAAAATTCTGCTGTTTCTATATTTAAGGCTGAAATCCACTGAAAACACCCAAACTTGCAATTCCTATCATTATTTTTGTTTTGCTACCACTGATTTTTACAATTTACCTTTTTTTTTTTTTTTTTTTGAGATGGAGTTTTGCTCTTGTTGCCCAGGCTGGAGTGCAATGGCGCGACCTCGGCTCACTGCAACCTCCCACTCCCAGGTTCAAGTGATTCTCCTGCCTCAGCCTCCCGAGTAGCTGGGATTACAGGCATGTACCACCACACCTGGCTAATTTTTGTATTTATGTAGAGATGGGGTTTTGCCATGTTGGCCAGGCTGGTCTCGAACTCCTGACCTCAGGTGATCCTTCCTCCTTGGCCTCCCAAAGTGCTAGGATTATAAGCATGAGCCACCACGCCTGGCCAACAATTTACTTTTAAACTTAAAAGTTATATGCACCGGCCAGGTGAGGTGGCTTACGCCTGTAATCCCAGCACTTTGGGAGGCTGGGCGGGCAGATCACCTGAAGTCAGGAGGTCAAGACCAGCCTGACCCGACGTGGAGAAACCCCATCTCTACTAAAAATACGAAGTTAGCTGGGCGTGGTGGCACATGCCTGTAATCCCAGCTACTCCGGAGGCTGAGGCAGGAGAATCGCTTAAACTCGGGAGGCGGAGGTTGCGGTGAGCCGAGATTGTGCCATTGCACTCCAGCCTGGGCAACAAGAGTGAAACCCTTGTCTCAAAAAAAAAAAAGGTTATATACACTGATTTTACCTGTGAATCACTTTTTTGTATTCAAAGTCTTAGATTATGTATATGAAAACTAATTTATTAAACCTCTGTACACAAAGATGAACATACCTGTATAGCAAGCATATATGAAGGATGAAGTTACAAAAAAGTAAAAGTATTACTAAAATTGACACATGTAAATCACTTACAAAAATACCCCAAATGGGATAAAGCTGCTCATCCCTGATTTTTCTCATTTGGTTGTAGGAGTTGAAACATGAATTTAAAATGGTAGAATTTTTTCTTTTAAAAAGTGATATATTAAACTTATATACAGGATAATTAGCAAAATGTAGAAAGGGAAAACAATGTACAAAAGACAGATAAAAACCATCACTCTCGACGGATAGTCACAATCCAAAAATAGTATAAACCTTAACAAACCCTCTCTAAACCAGGTCATATTCACATCTCCCCCCAAGTTTTGTCAGTGAGAATAAAATATACTGAACTAGTGAGCTCAGTCTTTCTTTAAAATAGGCTTGACTTTGGAACATGAACCTTGGATAGATTTTTAAACATGGGAGGGACAAACAGGAAAACCATTCTATCTATCCACTTAATTAGTACTAATTAACGGAACAAAGTTATTAAATAGCTCTCAGTGCTAAGTCAAGCCATTATTCAGAGGCCTTTTTGTTTTTCTGCTGGTTTCGGGGTGAGTTCTTTAACAAGCTTCTTATCCTGAGGTACATTCCAGTAGATTCTGCCATATTCTCAAATTCAAATGGCGTGATTCCAGTTGCAAATTTGCTCATGTCAGGTATAGGGCTATGAATTTTAGTGGCCGTTGAAGGACTGGTGTCTGCAGGAAAGAGCTTCTGGCTGCCCCCATTGCTGATGTCACAGTTTGGTACGACACTGCCATTATCAAGAAGGGCACCTTCAGTGTTTACCGGAGCCAACTCTGCTTTTTCCTTCTGACAAAGTGATGTCACCTCAGAGTCTGGACTGGAGGCATGTCCAGCTTCTGATTTCTTTGTAAAAATCTCTGGTACCTCAGGCTCATCCAGCGTCTGCTTTTCAGATGTTTTTCCCTCCGGGACAGGGAGGTCTAGCTCATTTGGACAAGGTGATGAGGCAACGGAATTGCCAGTTAAAGGTGTGTCCACAGGAACGTCGGAGTCGCTGTTTACGCTCTCGGCCTGCTCAAGAGCTGCCCAGATCCGCCTCTGCTGTTCTTCAAGTTCTTCTAGAGTCAGTGCGTCCTCATCCACAGCTCCAGATGCTGTTCTGGTCTGGGGTGAGTCACTGGGAGTCAGCGGCGGGGTGCCCTTTGGGAGTGGAGGGGTGAAGACGGGTGGAGGAGTTCCCCGGGGGAGTGGAGGAGTGTCAGGAGGTAATGGTGGTTGAAACTGAAAACTTTCGCTGCTCTGAGAACCATGTGGTACCTCCATATCTGAAGTAAGAAAGTTAAGAGATACTTTAGAACTTATAATAGCATTTGGTTTTACTAAAATTTGTTATTTGAACTCAGGTGTATCCAGTAATTCAATGGCCAAAAATAACTGGCTTAACATGAGGGAAATTCTGGATTCTCAGGTGCCATTACCACCACCTGGTATCCTCAGTCCACCTGAAAAGATCTGCAGGGATAGCTGTCAGGATCTTCTGGTGCTAAAGGCTATCCCTCGGGAGATCTGTTTCTGTGCTGTGTGCATCATTTTAGATTGAGGAAATGCGAGCAATTGCATGGAGACTTCAGAATTTCAAGGCAGTGCACTCTACCCAAAAATTTGTGGCAGAATGCAG
The DNA here is from genome assembly GCF_000001405.40 of Homo sapiens. Lineage (NCBI taxonomy): Eukaryota > Metazoa > Chordata > Mammalia > Primates > Hominidae > Homo > Homo sapiens. The sequence continues at coordinate 122,474,629 of NC_000012.12, forward strand.
TAGGAAATTTGACTGGAGGTGCAGGCTGGTTACTGAGTGGGTGGAAGGCTAATGGGGAGGAAGTGAGGGGCAAGGCAGGAGTACACCTTGGGTTATTTCCTAGCTCTTTTTTTTTTTTTTTTTTTTGAGACAGTCTTACTCTGCCACCCAGGCTGGAGTGCAGTGGCACAATCTTAGCTCACTGTATCCTCCGTCTCCTGGGTTCAAGCAATTCTCCTGCCTCAGCCTCCCGAGTAGCTGCAATTACAGTTGTGCACCACCACGCCTGGCAAATTTTTGTATTTTTAGTAGAGACAGGGTTTCACCATGTTGGCCAGGCTGGTCTCGAACTCCTGACCTCAGGTGATCCACCTGCCTTGGCCTCCCAAAATGCTGGGATTATAGGCATGAGCAACTGCACCTAGCCTAATTGCCCAATTTCCCAATTTTTTATTTTTGAGATGGAGTCTTGCTCTGTTGCCCAGGCTGGAGTGCAGTGGCATGATTTCAGCTGGCTGCAACCTCTGCCTCCCGGGTTCAAGCAGTTCTTCTGCCTCTGCCTCCCAAGTAGCTGGGATTACAGCGCACGCCAACATGCCCGGCTGTTTTGTATTTTTAGTAGAGATGGGGTTTCTCCATGTTGGCCAGGCTGGTTTCGAACTCCTGATCTCAAGTGATCCGCCCACCTCGGCCTCCCAAAGTGCTGAGATTACAGGCCTGAGCCACTGTGCCTGGCCCCCAATTGTTTTCTCTAATCTACACTGCTCGCCTGAACTGCAGGTTCACATATCTAACTGCCCACTGACCATCATCACCTACACGTTCCACAGATACAACCTGTCCAAAACAAATGATCTCTTCCTAAAATGAGGACTGTTTTCCCATCTGCTGTTCTCACAAATGGCACCACCAGTGGATCTGCTTGTCCTCTGAGAGTACTCTCTTTCCTTCCATCCATCCCCAGGTCTTTGGCTCTCTGGGGTGCATGCTCTCCTGCTGGCTGCCACAGCCGCTACCTTGCTTCAGGCCCATGACATTTGCCAGGAACATCAGAATCACCCTGACCTCTGGATTCATCTTCCTTGTGTCTGTCCTCCAAACCGCTGCCAGATTCATCACAAGTCTGGCCCTATAACCTTTCCCATCTCCATTGGAAACCATTCAGTGCCTGCCCAGACCCCACAGGATGAAGTCCAATCTTCCTCCATGGCCCTCTAGGATATAGTTTCCTTACTTCCATCATGTCACCTCCTATTGCCTGGCTCAAACTCCAGCTGTCACCCTGCTGCTGGCCTGATGTGCTGTGAAGTTTCACTATCCTGCATCTGCACTTCCCTCTGTCTCAAATGCCCTCCTCCTCATTTCCTTGGTAAATCCCTGCATTCATCCCTCAAGATGCAGTTCAAAGTTACCCTATGACTTCATTCAGCACAGATGCTGTTTTTCCTCTGTGCCACCATTACAGTCTGGAACTGCTCTGTGGCAGCAATATGTAATACTATCATTCTGTATATATCACTGTGGGCCACCACATTTATATGAAAATGATGTTTACACATCTGCAATCCCGAGGTGACAGAGAGTGGTAACTAGGGCAGCAATACTGTCTTATTAAGCTTTCTGCCTCAGGGTCTAGTAGGGGGTCTGAACTTTATTCTATAGACAATAAGATTTGTGAGAATAACAAACTCTCACTTAGAAGTCAACTCATGGCCCAGCACGGTGGCTCATGCCAGTAACATTGGGAGGCTGAGGCAGGCAGATTGCTTAAACTCAGGAGTTCAATATCAGCCTGGGCAACAAAATAAGACCTCGGTGTCTACAAAATATACAAAAATCAGCTGGGTTTGGTGGCATATGCCTATACTCCCAGCTACATGGGAGGCTGAGGTGGGAGGACTGCTTGATCCCAGGAGTCTGAGGCTGCACTGAGCCATGATCGCACCACTGCACTCCAGCCTGGGCAACCGAGCCAGATCCTGTCTCAAAAAAAAAAACAAAAAACAAAACAAAACAGAAATAGAGGAAAGAGCCCCTAGTACAAAACTGAAAATGCCTACACAGAAGTGTGTGACCCTGGTGACAGGGGTGCCACCACCACAAATCCCCAAACTTCAAAAAATGACAACCATGGGCCAGGCACGGTGGCTCACACCTATAATCCCAGCACTTTGGGAGGTGGAGGCGGGCAGATCACCTGAGGTCAGGAGCTCAAGACCAGCCTGGCTAACACGGAGAAACTCCATCTCTACTAAAAATACAAAATTAGCCAGGCGTGGTGGCGGGCACCTGTAATCCCAGCTACTTGGGAGGCTGAGGCAGGAGAATCGCTTGAACCTGAGAGGCGGAGGTTGCAGTGAGCCAAGATCACGCCACTGCACTCCAGCCTGGGAGACAGTGAAACTCTGTCTCGAAAAACAACCGAAAAAACAAAGAAAAACTTAGGGGAAATAATTTGAGGGCTTTGATTCTGAACTTTGAAGTCACTTGTGCAAAATAATTTGATGTGGGGCTTTAATCCCTTTGAACTTTAAGGGAATTTAATTCATGATCTTTTTTTTTTTTGAGATGGAGGCTCACACTTTCGCCAAGGCTGGAGTGCAGTGGCGTGATCTCGGCTCACTGCAACCTCCACCTCCCTGGTTCATGCCATTCTCCTGCCTCAGCCTCCCGAGTAGCTGGGACTACAGGCGCCCACCACCATGCCCAGCTAATTTTTTGTATTTTTAATAGAGACAGGGTTTCACCATGTTTGCCAGGATTGTCTTGATCTCCTTACCTTGTGACCCGCCTGCCTCAGCCTCCCAAAGTGCTGGGATTACAGGCGTGAGCCACCGCGCCCGGCTTAATTCATGGTCTTTAAATTCTCTCTGTGAATTTGAAAATGAAGACAGGGGCCGGGCACGGTGGCTCACGCCTGTAATCCCAGCACTTTGGGAGGCTGAGGTGGGTGGATCACAAGGTCAGGAGTTCGAGACCAGCCTGGTCAAGATGGTGAAACCCTGTCTCTACTAAAAAAAAAAAAGTACAAAAATTAGCTGGGCGTGGTGATGCATGCCTGTAATCCCAACTACTCGGGAGGCTGAGGCGGGAGAATACTTGAACCCGGGAGGCAGAGGTTGCGGTGAGCCGAGATCACGCCATTGTACTCCAGCCTGGGTGACAAGAGTGAGACTCCATCTCAAAAAAAAAAAAAAAAAAGAGAGAAATCAGAGCCATAGGATGAAACCTACCTGAATCGAGCTCCATGTCGGCGGGAGATCCCGCTGAGTTGCTTTCATTCTTCTGCTTCTTTGGACTACCTGGGCTAGAGTGAGATGAAGACCTCTTGTTGCCAGACTTCACACCTGGCTAAAAGAGCAACCAGACCAAACACAAGTTAAGCGGGGTAGATAATGAATTAAACTCCATCCCTTCACTTAAAATGATGTAGAAAAACAATCTGGAGTTAAGTCTAGGTAATTGGTGAATTTTGCCACTGTTTTCCTTTTGGTTTGTCAAGATAACAAAGCAAGAAAAGGCTGTAAGACGCTAATAAATTACACAATCTCGCAGACACAACAACATTTTATAGAGCACACCCTTAAAATCTATTTACCGCTTGGAAGTTAGAAGTAAGGTAATTGGCAAACACATCCTTCTGCTGACATGCCTGCATTGGTATGGAACCAAAGATCCTCCATTCCTAATGATGAAAAGAGAAGGAAAAAAAAAACACATGTATTTGGAAAATGTCATGTTTTGAGATTTTGCTCAAAGGAGGTACAGTGGAGATCTCAAATTACATTTTTCCTTCTTATGTTACTTTTCCTTTATTGGAAATTAAGGAAAATAATGTGTTGAAGGAAAACTAAACTTGCCTGCAAAATAATTAAGACTGAATACTAAAAGACTACCTGACACAATCACTTGGCCAAAAAAGGTTCTACATACTGCAAGCAGAAGATGTAGGCAGGAGTGACTGCTATGGGGCCTCCCAGGCTCCAGTCTCTCTCCCATCAAGCACTGGCACTGCTAACAGGGCCATTCATCGCCCAATTCTCCTAACACACTTACTCATGAGTTTTCTATCTTCTGCTCTTTCTCTTTCCAAATACAGCATCATCTTTAAAGATTCCACACAGCTTGTTTCTCTCTCATCTCCAATCGCACATTCAACAGTGGTTCTCGGTAAGAATCCCATGGAACTCTTGTGAAACATACAGGTTCTAGGTTTTGAATCAGTTAAGTCTAAGGGTGGGACTCAAGAATGTACATTTCTAACGAGTATTCCCAGGGGACTCTGAAGTAGACTGGAAGCTGGACTGGCTTCCAGAAGCACTGATGGTTTGTATCATGCACTTCCGCCCGTAATGAATTACACAGTCTTGCGTGATTGAGAACTTTCTATCTGCTCACTAGACTCTAACTTCAAGTCTTTGGCTGTTTCCCTACTGTCCAGTTCCTAAGAACACCAAGGATACACTTTTTATTTTTATATTTTTTGAGATGGAGTTTTGCTTTCATCACCCAGGCTAAAGTGCAATGGCACGATCTCGGCTCACTGCAACCTCCACCTCCTTGGTTCAAGTGATTCTTCTGCTTCAGCCTCCTGAGTAGCTGGGATTATAGGCGCCTGCCACCACGCTCAGCTAATTTTTATATTTTTAGTAGAGATAGGATTTTGCCATGTTGGCCAGGCTGGTCTCAAACTCCTGAGCTCCAGGTGATCCACCCGCCTTGGCTTCCCAAAGTGCTGGGATTACAGGCACGGGCCACTGCGCCGGCCAAGAATATGCTTTTTAAATAAAACAGTACAATAGTTCATTGTTGAATCCTGAGACCTAAGATGGAAGCTGGAAAAGAGTTAAGTATGGAAAAACCATTCATATAAAAAATGAGAAATTTTACTTTGAGGGGAAAAAAGGCAAGAATAATCAGGAAAAAGAGTGATAATATATTTAGATTTATTATAGATAGAAACTTATTTCCCAAGTTAATTCTGTAAAATTAATAATACTGTCTCAGAAAAATCCATATTGTTAAAAACTTTTAAAATGTTAGAGTACTTTTAGATTTAGATACTCTAACCAATCTATTTTGGCTCCCTTTCTGAGGGCACAAAATCAGAGAAAACTGCTGTTGATGAATATAAGACTTCAATTAAGATTCTAGAAAGATTCTATAAAAGAAATTAAAAATGTAAACAAGTAACAAATTTATTCCTTTAAATAGTAACTGCTATATAAGTTTGTAGGTGTATATGAATTAACTAATTATTTTTTGAGACAGGGTCTAGTGTGATCTCACCTCACTGTAACCTCTGCAATCCTCCCACCCCAGCCTCCCTAGTAGCCAGGACTACAGGCATGTGCCACCACCCTTGGCTAGTTTTTAAATTTTTTCATAGAGACAAGGTCTTGCTATGTTGCCCAGGCTGGTCTCGAACTCTGGGACTCAAGTGATCATCTTGCCTCGGACTCCCAAAGTGTTGGGATTACAGGTGTGAGCCACTATGCCTAGCCAACAAGTTAATATTTTGACCAATCTTTAACATAATAATATCACATCACATGATAATTTAAAAAAATCAATATACTTACGTCTGGAATTCCTCTGGGAGTAGATATATTAAAACCAGGATAGTTGACCAATTTTGAGAGATCGTAAGTGACACTTTTATTCTGTTGTATTTCTCCAACTTCTGTTTCCCCATCAGTGCCATCTATTACAGACCATAAAAAGTGTTAATATTGCTAAATGTCAATATATATCCCTCCCCAGACCAAAAGTACACCTGGAAAGTGCTTATAATCATGGCAACAGAATTAGTTTTGAAATGGCTTTCAATTTTCATTATAATTTTTCTAAATCATTAGGACAGAACTTTTTTTTTTTTTTTTTGAGAAAGGGTCTTGCTTTGTCACCAGGCTGGAGTGCAGTGGCACCATCTTGGCTCACTACAGCTTCTGCCTCTCAGGCTCAAGTGATCCTCCCACCTCAGCCTCCTAAATAGCTGGTACTACATGAACGCACAACCACACCAGGGTAGGCTGTGTATTTTTAGTAGAGACGGGGTTTCACGATGGTGCCCAGGCTGGTCTCAAACTCCTGAGCTCAAGAGATCCACCCACTGCCTCAGCCTCCCGAGTAGCTGGGATTACAGGCGCCTGCCACCACGCTTGGCTAATTTTTGTATTTTTAGTAGAGGCCGGGTTTCACCGTCTTGGCTAGGCTGGTCTTGAACTCCTGACCGCAACTGATCCACCCATCTCGGCCTCCAAAAATCCTGGGATTACAGCCATGAGCCACTGTGCCCGGCTGAAACCTGCTTTTTAAAAACTCAATACTGCACAAAGATTTTGCCATGTCAGCTCATACAGATTTATTCCACTCTTCATGTATGTTGCAGGGAGTCCACAGCTCAGAACTACCAATTTATTTAACCATTCTTTTTTAGGGCCTTAATGTTGTCGTAGATTTTTCACTATCATATTCAATGATACAAAAAGATTCTTGTATACATACAATTTCCTTTTCATATGTGTGAATATCTTTCTAGGGTAGGTATCTAGGAGAGAAGTTCTAGACTATTAGAGGTTTTCTGTATTTTACATTTTACAGGTCTCCTGGCATTTAGGATTTATGTCTGTTATTATTACTGACAAAGATAAGAGCTTATGAGGACTGGCTGGAGAGGTGATACTCTGGCCTAGACAGTACCTGAGCAAGCCCAGAAAACCATCAGATAATCTACAAACTCACTGAAATTTTATTCCTTCCTTGTAAAATTTACCAAGGAAACATCATCATGATATTTTTTAGTTAGCACACATTAAAGAAGCCGGCCATTCCTATCACATTTTGTTGTGATTCTTTAATTAAAAAAAAAAAGGAAACACTTAAGGTGACTTCTCTAACTTAAGATACTATACCTTTTCCATCATAGAGTGCAAGCCCCGAATTCTCCAATTCAGCCTCTTTGAGCCACCCTGGTGGGTACCCTAGCTGGCGCATCCGATAGATAAAAGGTGGAAGACTCTTGTCTGTCACACCTAGTGCATCTTGAAGTTCCTCACTAAGTAAAAATAAAGGAGGAAGAAAAATACTGAATTCTTATTTGCATGAAAACACATAGTATTCTGGTATTTTAAAACATTTCTTGCTTATATTACATACCATGACGTCTAACAAATATAAATTAAAATTTAAAGAAGTGTTTCTAAATGAATTAATGTATATTACCTAGGGCTTTGCCAGAGTACACTTATATCCTGATAATTAGCCCAAAGAGACACAGAACATTCCAAATGCTAGGGAAATAAAAATGACCTTCTATGGTAAAATGCCATTAGTACCTAATAACTCCTGGCTTGAATCTTCCAAATCTTTCTTCTACTTCTTCTGCGTGGTATCGCTGCTGGAAATTCTGATTGTTTGCTTCTCCACAGGCATCCATATACTCTTTTCTCTTTTCACTTATTCGAGCAGCATTCCGAGGCTACATCATGACACATTTGAAAAGAATGGTTTCATGCAACTCAGAAATATTTCAGAAATTAAATAAAAATACTTTTTTTTAGATCAAGTAAACAGATTATTTTAGTTTTAATGTATAACGAACAAGTGTAAAAGAGGGTGAATATTTTAGAAAAATACGTAAGGAAAGGAGCAGTCTATTTATTACCTATTATCATAAATTAAATCAAGTTTTTAGGATAAACTCTACAATTTAATTCTCATGTTTATTCATCTCAAATACAAAGAGTACTGTTTTAAATTATTTACTGAAAAAATTTAATGTCTTAAAATATGAACACAAATTTGAAAAGATTTCAAATTAAAGGACACTGTTTTAAATTATTTACTGAAAAAATTTAATGTCTTAAAATATGAACACAAATTTGAAAAGATTTCAAATTAAAGGACACAAGATTTCAAATTAAAGGAACAAAGAAAGTTCCTTCATGTCATACAATAACATAAATGTGTTGAAAACATTAGAAAGCTCTTGTTCAAAGACTTTTCTTAACATGAGAAAAATTTACCATTGGGCAATCTTTCATTTGGTGTTCTTCAGAACCACAATTGAAACAGTGAGGCTTTGGCCTATTTGGTCAAAAGACAAAGATTTTTATAATGTCAATAAAAATAGAAAAGCAAATCAATAAAATTCTATATGACAGCAAAGTGTATCAGAGAGACAAGAAAGCAAGTTGATCACAGATCACTAATATCTGCAACAAGAAGTACACTTTAATCTCCTTTATTTAGTGATTTAAATAGTACTATGCAGAGTCTTTTAACCAAGAACCCTTCTGTTCCTGACTGATCTGTTACCTCTTTTGAGTTTTTTCAGTGGTTAACAACGAAGAATCAAGGTGAACACATTGATCATATTTCCGTTAGGTAACATGGAAAGAAGGCAGATGGTTATAAGACTGCAATCAAATTGACAGCAACAATTATACCTTTCCACCCACCCAGGCACATTAGGTGAGAACCAATGAATTCCAGGAAGCAGATGATTCATTTAAACATTTAACATATATGTATGGATTAAAATTCTAGCTCAATCTGTAATTAACCTTAGAGTAAACCAGCAGTAAAGAACATGAACTTTTCAAGCCAAAAGTTTATGATTTTGGTTAAAAAAGTAAATAAGTAAAACAAAACAACTCCCCACACAAACCTTTTTGCCTTTACTTGTATTTCTTGCCCTTCTAGAGAAACAATGTGGCTGAAGACTTGATGGTACCTTTAGTGAATTTTATTAAGGAATAGTTATCATGGTCTGCAAAATTTGGAAATTGTTTTAAAGGTGAACTTAGTGGCAAGATGCATAAAAGATCTTCATTCACTATGTAGGATACTTGGGTATTTCCCATCCTTCGGAAAGCTGAGGGTTTTCATTTAGAAGCGGTTGCCCCAATTTATCAAGGCAAAAATTAGTAAAATACAGGACACTTCCTACAACCTGCAGAAAACAAGTCAAAAAATATTGCTATTTAAGCAGAAAAAAAGACATTAAATAATGTAAGATTATGATTAACTGTTTTAACAATTTATTTTTGGATGGAATTATTAGAAATAATAACTTCCTTGTTATTAAGGAGCCAGACTTTGATGTGTAAGTAGAAACTACATCGTCAGTTCCCTCTCTCTGCTAGATCAGTTTTTCCTCTGTATTGGATCATGACTATCAGCTGCATTCTCTACAGAATTCAAACAAAAAATGAAAACCTTGACTCTCATATTTCCCTCCAATGCCCCATTTCATTGCTTCTCTTTGCAAGACATGCAGACCCTTTAGTTATTGTTTCCATTTCCTTTCTTCCCATTTACTCTTTTCTTATCCCTCCAGTTCTTTTTGAAAAAATTCCATACAGACAAGTTGGAAAAGTGGTACAATGAATACCCAATGTATCCTTCACCTAAACAACTGTTAATAGTTTAACATTTTTGTCTGCCTCTCTCTCTCTTTACACATACACCGAACACACACACATACACTTTTTTGTTTGTTTTGAGATAGGGTCTCTGTTGCCCAGGCTGGAGTACAGTGGTGCAATCTTGGCTTACTGCAACCTCCACCTGCCAGGCTCAAACGATCCTCCCACCTCAGCCTCCTGAGAAGCTGGGACCACAAGCACGGTCAGCTATTTTTTTGCCCAGCTATTTTTTTGTATTTTTAGTAGAGGCAGTCTTGCCATGTTGCCCAGGCTGGTCTCAAACTCCTGAGCTTAAGCGATCCACCCGACTCAGCCTCCCAAAATGTTAGGATTACAGCCGTGAACCACTGCACCTGGCCTCACATATACTCTTTAATTTTTTTTTTTTTTTTGAGGCAGGGTCTTGCTCTGTTGTCCAGGCTGGAATGCAGTGGCATGATCTTGGCTCACTGTAACTTCAAAGTCCTGGGCTAAAATGATCCTCCTGCCTCAGTCTCCTGAGTAGTTGTGTCACTACACACAGCTAATTTTTTTTTTTGAGATGGGGTCTTGCTATGTTGTCCAGGCTGGTCTTAAACTCCTGGCCTCAAGCAATCCTCCCGCCTCAGCCTCCCAAAGTGCTGGGACTACAGGTGTTGAGCCACTGTGCCTGGCCTCCATTTTTTTAATGACACTGCCCTCTCTCTTGAACATTTCCAGTAATGCTTCTATACATATCACTGGGCTGAGCTCCTAACAATGGAGCTTCCCAATGACCTCCATGCAGCCAAATTCAATGAACAGTTCTCACTCTTCATCTTTCTTAACCTAGCTGTGACAATTGACACAATTCTTCCTTCCTCCTAAAAACATCTTCCTCCCTTGTCTTCTAGGACATGCTTCTCCGTTCTCTTCTTTCCTTGCTGACTGAGCCTCGCTCTTCTGTGCTAGACTCTTCTCATCCCTCTATCTTCCATGTATTAGAGTGCCCTAGGTCTCAGTCCTCCTCTCCACTTTCACTACTCAGGTGGTTCATCCTGACCCATGGTATGTAGTATAATATGTATGCTTACGACTTCTAAAGGTCAAGTTATTATTATTATTTTTTGAGACGGAGTTTCGCTCTTGTTGCCCAGGCTGGAGTGCCATGGCGCAATCTCAGCTCACTGCAACCTCCGGTTGAACCTCCTGGGTTCAAGCGATTCTCCTGCCTCAGCCTCTCAAGTAGCTGGGATTACAGGCATGCACCACCACACCCGGCTAATTTTGTATTTTTAGTAGAGACGGGGTTTCTTCATGTTGGTCAGGCTGGTCTCAAACTCTCGACCTCAGGTGATCTGCCCGCCTTGGCCTCCCAAAGTGCTGGGATTACTGGCATGAGCCACTGCGCCTGGCCTAAGTTATCACTTTTTAATTATTATTTTTTCACTGGGAGCATAGATTGAAGTTGCCCTGAATATATGTTCTCCTTTACGGTCAAGTTCTGATCAGTCCTAACCTCCAATTTTATATATGGAAGTGTCAACTTGACAGCTCTCAAGGGGCGTGTGAGTGGCATCTCAAACTCACCTGCTTAAAACTGCACTGGATTTCTAGCCCCCTCCAAACCTGCTCCTCCTCTAGTCTTCCCCATCAGAGAAAATATGACGACATCCTTTTTTTTTTTTTTCTGAGATGGAGTCTCGCTCTGTCGCCCAGGCTGGAGTGCAGTGGCGCGATCTCGGCTCACTGCAAGCTCTGCCTTCCAGGTTCATGCCATTCTCCCGCCTCAGCCTCATGAGTAGCTGGGACTACAGGCGCCCACCACCACGCCTGGCTAATTTTTTACGACGACATTCTTACTGGCACTCGGGCCAAAAACCTGAGTCACTCCGATGACTCTTTTGCTCTCATATTCTGCGTCCAATTCATCAACACATTTGATCAGCTCTACTTCCCCAGTACATCCACGTTCTAAGCACTTCTCAGCAGCACCACTCTCACTCCAGTCTCAGTACCAGTTTCTCTCACCTGAGTTGAATACAATAACTTCCTAACTGGTTTTCAGCTTCCACAGATAACCAGCTACAGACTATTTTCCACACAGAACCCAGCTCTTTTAAAAAGTCAATTCATGGCCAGGCGTGGTGGCTCATGCCTGTAATCCTAGCACTTTGGGAGGCCGCGGTGGGTGGATCACAAAGTCAGGAGTTTGAGACCAGCCTGACCAACATGGTGAAACCCCATCTCTACTAAAAATACAAAAATTAGCCAGGTGTGGTGGTGCACACCTGTGATCCCAGCTACTCAGGAGGCTGAGGCAGGAGAATTGCTTGAATCTGGGAGGGGGAGGTTGCAGTAAGCTGAGATTGTGCCATGGCACTCTAGCCTGGGTGACAGAGCGAGAGGCTGTCTCAAAAAAAAAAAAAAAAAAAAAAAAAAGTCAATTCATATCATGTTACATTTCTACTTAAAACCCTCTATCACTTCTCATCTTACAGTAAAATCTAAAGTCCTCATTACAGTCTGTTGCACAACCTACAGATTCAGACCACGTGCTCCAGACTCCAAGGGCCTGGCTTTTTTTTTGAGAGAGAGAGTCTCGCTCTGTTGCCCAGGCTGGAGTGAAGTGGCATGATCTCGGCTCACTGCAACCTCTGTCTCCCGGGTTCTAGCGATTCTCCTGCCTCAGCCCCCTGAGTAGCTGGGATTATGGGCTTCAGTCACCATACCCAGCTAATTTTTGTATTTTTAGTAGAGATGAGGTTTTGCCACGTTGGCCAGGCTGGTCTCCAACTCCTGACCTCAGGTGATCCACCTGCCTTGGCCTCCCAAAGTGCTGGGATTACAGATGTGAGCCGCCGTGCCAGGCCACGGGCCTGGTTTTAAGCCCTGCCCTGGCTTTGCCACTCACTAACCCACTGGCGAGTTACTTAGCTTTCCACCTGTTTCCTCATCTGTACAACTGAAGCCTAAGAGCACCTTCATGAGTAATACCTTTAATGAGCTTAGAACTTACATGCCAGGTAGTGCTCCTGCCTTGGGGCTTTCTACTTACCTTCCTACTGCCTGGAGTGCCCCATTCAAAGCACAGCCTTCACTTACTTCCTCAATGCATCCAAGGTTCGGTTCAGAGAGGCTGTCAGTCACTATACAAACCACCTACCCCACAGCTACTCTGCTTTCTCTGCTTTATTTTTCTTCAGGGCACTACCTTCCCTGACTACAATGTAATTCGATGAGAGCTGGGACTTTGCCCTTCTTTTCACTGCTGTCTCCCTGGAACCTAGAAGGATCCCTGGGACAAAACAGCATTCACTAAATATTTTCGTATTTTTTAAAGGTCTAAATTAATAAACAAAATTCCCAGTTTCTAGGCAAGTGCCACTTTCAATCCCAGAACCTTAGGGTCAGAAGGAAAATGAAAAACTACCTCATTCAAATTCAGAAATTTTTCTTTAAAGTGTCCGGATAACATCTCAGTCCCTATTTGACTCCAGTAATACTGAATTCACTTTTATGAATGAGAAGTGCCATTTCACTTGTTTTTTTTCTTTTTTCTTTTGAATGCCAGGTCATATCATTTTTCACATCTCTTATAGAAACTTGAACTTTCTAAAGGTTGAGTTGAAATGTACCTTCTTGTACTCAATTCAATCACTGGTCTTAATTCTGCCACTTGGCACTTTAAAGGGTGATTTAAAATAAGTTTTAGTCTTTTACAAATAACAACCTTTATCCTATTTGTAGAGATGCGACATCCTTTGTAAATTTTTCTTTCAATAAAGTCTGTGGGCTCTTCATCATCCCAGTAGGCCCATATCTCTTTCTTTTTTATATACACATATGTATCTATACATACATATATATATATATTTTGTTTGTTTGTTTGTTTTCTGAGACAGGGTCTTGCTCTGTCACCTAGACTGGAGTGCAGTGGCACAATCATGGCTCACTGCAGCCTTGACCTCAAGCAGTCCTCCCACTTCAGCCTCCTGAGTAGCTGGGACTACAGGTCCATGCCACCACACTTGGCTAATTTTTTTTTTTTTTGAGACAGAGTCTCACTCTGTTGTCCAGGCTGGAGTGCAGTGGCAAATCTCGGCTCACTGCAGCCTCAGTCTCTTGGGTTCAAAGCAATTTCCGTGACTCAGTCTCCCGAGTAGCTGGGACTACAGGTGTGCACCACCACACTTGGCTAATTTTTGTATTTTCAGTAGAGACAAGGTTTCGCCATGACAGCCAGGCTGGTCTCGAACTCCTGACCTCAAGTGATCCATCGGCCTCAGCCTCCCAAAGTCCTGGGATTACAGGTGTGAGCCACTTCGCCCAGCCACACTTGGCTAATTTCTTAAGAATTTTTCATAGAGATGAGTTCTGGCTATGTTGCCCAGGCTAGTCTGGAACTCCTGGACTCAGGTAATCCTTCCACCTTGGCCTCCCAGAACACTGGGGATTACAGATGTGAGCCACTGCACCCAGCCTAAAATTGTGGTATACTAATATGGGATAATACTACATAAACATGAAAACCAGTTTTCCTTCAATATTATAGAATCCACTATTACATTACCTTTTAAAATATTATATGCTGCGCTGGGCACAGTGGCTCACATCTGTAATCCCAACACTCTGGGAGGCCAAGGAGGGTGGATCACAAAGTCAGGAGTTCGAGACCAGCCTGGCCAACATGGTGAAACCCTGTCCCTACTAAAAATACAAAAATTAGCTGGGCGTGGTGGCGGGTGCCTGTAATCCCAGCTACTCGGGAAGCTGAGGCAGGAGAATTGCTTGAACCCGGGAGGCGGAGGTTGCAGTGAGCCGAGATTGCACCATTGCACTCCAGCCTGGACGACAGGGCAAGACTCCGTTTCAAAAAAAAAAAAAAAAAAATTATAAGCTGCAAAATCATACTACTACATTGTATTAACACTAACGAATTTTGCACAGGTATTGAAAGGCTGTAGCCTAAATGTAGGTCATCCCTGTTAACTTCTTCTGTTTTTCACCCACCATTTGAGACTGTCAACACTTTAAATTCCAAATTTGCCATCTGTTACATTAGCTATCTATCCCTCTCAGCTTTAGCCATGTATAAGTTCAACAAGCATGCTTTCTATATCTTCATCCAACTTCTTGAATAAACACAGTGGTTGGTCAATACAAAAACAAAGTTCTCCAAAGTATGTTTACTGTGCCCCAGGTCACAACGCAATCATTATTAAACAGCAAACTGAGGCTAAAGTCCAAACTGCTATTTACCACAAAAAGATGCTGTTATCAAGTGAAGACATATGACTATACTACTTTATCTTTTAAACGCCACCCAGTTGACATAGGATAGGAAACACCTATTGGCTGAATTCAAAACTGAAATGTCCAAACTTACACTGAAAGCTTCCTTGTTGTTTTTAATGGCACAGGACTCTTCCACTTTGTGGTCCTCCTCTAGCACAATACTGGATGGCTAATACAAAGAAAAACACATATTACAACCGGTAACCAATTTTTAACCAGTTTAAATGGAAGTTAGTAAGTTTAGAAATTAAGCTAAGAATGTTTATGAACGACATTTCATGTGGGAGAATGGAAGATGTAAAAGGAGAGCTTCTTCTGAAGCACTAGCATGCACTACAACTTCTTTTTTAACCAGTATTAATTATGCCGCTTTCAACACTTTAAACTGGCAAGGCAGATAACCAGAAAGATCAAAAATATATAGTTTTACATTACTGGTCAATATTGATAATATAACCCTCACAGACCTCAAGCCACTACAAAAGTTTCCTTGAATCAAAAATAATATTCAGTATGAATTTTATTGTTAAATGTATTTTGTTTGCTGAATCTTTAAAAATTGTACAGAATACATAAAAACCAAAGGCAATAAAAAACGTAATCAATCAGAACACTGTTCTCCAAAGCCTGAGGATAAACAGCTAAAGTTCCTTATTTGAGAAATACTACTTACCTTAATTTTTAATAAAAAAAAAAAAGACCCAGAAATCATAACTCTGATTCTCCTCTCTCTCTCTCTCTTTTTTTTAAAACATAAATGCGTGATCTAATATTCACATAGTAAAACTTCTCAGATTTCTTTGGGCACACAATTAATTTTCTAAAAACAAGTAGAGGGAAAAAAGGATAGTCCACAAGCCTGTTGGTTTTAGATAAAAGGAATCCATCTTTTATAAACCCCAGAAACTTAGATTTTTTTCTGGCCTAAAATTAATTTTCTACCCAAAACCACATGTCCAAGTCAGGCAATGTAAAAAGTCTGAGCCACAAGGTAAAAGAACGCTGTGTGGCTAAACCAGTCAGGCTTCGGAAAAGCAAGCCAGTAGAAGGAGAAGTGGTAAACGGTGTTAATCATTTTGGTTTTGATTCAAGAGGATCCTTGTGGCCCAATAATTGGCAGTGAAACGCATAACTTACTAATCTTAAAGTCTCTTAAATTTGAAATACCTGGGGCAAAAGATTAAAGGAAGTCTTTTCCACATCATTTTTCTGCTGTTCCTCAAATCTTTTTACTAAATTTGATACAAATTCCTCTATTTCTTGATGATATTGCCTGTGTAAGAGGACAAAATGGTCAGAACCCAGACAGAGTAAAACATTCAATAGACTGAAGTCTTATGCATTACTGTAAGATTTCAAGTGTGAATGTTGTTGTTTTTCAGAAGTTTAATAAATCACTGACTCTGTAATACTCAGGAACATATTCCTTAAGATAAATTACATATTATTGCCAAGTTAATGCAATAATTATGATAAAGTAACACAGTGATTGGCATAACAACTGCCAACCAGTTGTGCAAAGAATACACGGATTTTATTTAAAAATTCTGTGTACTTAATTTTTAAATAGATACTACATGTAAATGGTTCAAAATCCAAGAGAAGTAAAAGGGTTACATAATGAAAAGCTCCCTTCCTACCCTGTCTCTTGGCCATCTATTTCTGCAACACAAAGATAGTCCATATATTCAGGTCTTCCACATCCTCCTCCCAGAGATTCTTAATACGTACATAAGGAAACACCAATATAAATATGAAACTGGAAAAGATAAAATCAAAATGCAAAGCAAGAAAAAATACTGAGATCTGCTTTCCCCAGCCCTCCAGGTCAAGAACCAAGCTCATCATATATTCGGTAGTGCTCAGTTCAGGAGGTGTCAAAGGAGCCCAAGCCTTATTACCATGTAATCGGGGAGCCATAATGTCTCAGACTCAGTTTCCTTTTCACAGACTTGATGATTTTTTAGGTATCTTGTAGCTCTGACATTTTAAGATTTCTGTAGATGGGCAGATCACTTGAGGTCAGGAGTTCGAGACCAGCCTGGCCAACATGGCGAAACCCTGTCTCTACTAAAAATACAAAAATTAGCCAGGCCTGGTGGCAGGCACCTGTAATCCCAGCTACTTGGGAGACTGAGGCAAGAGAATCGCTTGAACCCAGTGGGTGGAGGTTGTAGTGAGCCAAGATCTTGCCATTGGACTCCAGCCTGGGCAAAAAGAGTGAAACTCCATCTCAAAAAAAAAAAAAAAAAAGCCAGGTGCGGTGCCTCATACCTGTAATCCCAGCACTTTGGGAGGCCGAGATGGGTGGATCACCTGAGGTCGGGAGTTTGAGACCAGCCTGACCAACATGGAGAAACCCCGTCTCTACTAAAAATACAAAATTAGCTGGGCATGGTGGTGCATGCCTGTAATCCCAGCTACGTGGGAGGCTGCGGCAGGAGAATCACTTGAACCTGGCAGGTGGAGGTTGTGTTGGGCCAAGATTGTGCCATTGCACTCCAGCCTGAGCAACAAGACCGGAACTCCATCTCAAAAAAAAAAAAAAAAAGATTTCTGCAGGTGAAACACTAGGTGAATGGTGCAGAAATGAGACCGTCATGAGCTAGAGGGTTACTGATTCTAACCTGGGCATGAGAGGGACACTAGTGCTACAGCCCAGTTGTGCCCAGCACCTTGCTGCTGTATTTAGCATCCAGCTTCCCAACCCTCAGAGCCTTGGGTTCCACTTCTGCTGGGATAGAGTAGGTTATGGACCTGACCTTGGTCAGCATTAAGAAGACAACAATATGACTAAGTGACTTTCGAGGGAGCAAGCAACTATGTGAAATGTCTATGACCATGCTCTGAAGGAGGGACAGAGCAAACCATTTTAGACCTTACACTCTGAGCAAACACTGCAGGAATGCGCAGGGTCACCCTAAACCCTGATGCTGATGGTTTGCAAAAGTCTAGTTTTGCTGTTAAAACAAATAATCAAGTGAGTAGGCTTTGAAGATGGCCAACATGGAAAACTCAGTTACCTGATTCAGAAAGAGAAATGGTGAACATCATTGTTATTGTTACAGTGATAGTGATGATTTTTATTAGAAGCTATTTATTGAGCTCTTAGAGGTGCTCATGTAGCTACCCCATAGGTAGTTACTATGACTATCCTGTTTTCCAGTGAAGTAACGGATGATGCAGCAAAGATCTGTGACCTTCCCAGGTTCACAGACATAGAAAGTAAGAGTCCAGATATTCAGGTCACTGTGACCCCAATGTCCTTGCTCTTAATCATGATTCCTTGTACTTTAACTCCAGGGGCATTTTAAGTAAAATAATAAAAATGATATGAGTACAAATGAAAACAGCATATTTATAGAGAAAATTGTTCCATAAACACATTATTATATTTAGGAAAGGGAAAAAATTACTTACTTTGAAATAGCATTGTTCATGAATAGAATCTGTAATATAGGTCCATCTAACTTAGTATCGTTCACCAATATTCCACTAAAACAGAAGTTAGAACATATTCTTAGAAGATATTTAAGTAAAACTTGCATACGTATATATAAACGCATAACTTTTATACTTTTTTTTTCCTTTTTTGACACAGGTTCTCACTCTGTCGCTCGTGCTGGAGTGCTGTGGTGAGATCTTGGATCACTGCAACCTCCGCCTCCCGAGATCAAGCAATCCCACCTCACCTTCCCAAGTAGCTGGGACCACAGGTGCATACCACCACATCCAGCAAATTTTTGTATGTTTTGTGGAGACAGGGTTTTGCCATGTTGGCCAGGCTGGTCTCGAACTCCTGAGCTCAAGGGATCCACCTGCCTCAGCCTCCCCAAGTGCTGGGATTATAGCTGTGAACCATCTCACCAGCCTTAAAATTCTTAAGTACCAAAAATCATATAGCATTTTCCACATATTGCAGTTTTCTCAAGAAAATTATACATTTTCACCAATTCTATCTACTTTAATAATTTTATACAGAGGTATCACTTTTTTTTTAATGTTTAACAAAAAATTAAGAACTGCAGTTAATCTTTCAGTTTTCAACCAAACAGTTTGTCTAATGGCCGATTTCCTTACAAATTAGGGGGAGGGAAGGACTAGGTAAACAAGCAGGTTACAAGAATATACTTCCTCTTTTTTTGGGATGGAGTCTCGCTCTGTTGCCCAGGCTGGATTGCAGTGGGGGCAATCTCGGCTCACTGCAGCCTCTGCCTCCCAGGTTCAAGCAATTCTCCTGCCTCAGCCTCCTGAGTAGCTGGGATTATAGGCGAGCGCCACCACGCCCAGCTAATTTTTGTATTTTTATTTTTATTTTAATTATTTATTTATTTGTGAGACGGAGTCTCACTCTGTTGCCCAGGCTGGAGTGCAGTGGTGTGATCTCAGCTCACTGCAAGCTCTGCTTCCCAGGTTCACACCATTCTCCTGCCTCAGCTTCCCAAGTAGCTGGGACTACAGGCGCCTGCGACCATGCCCAGCTAAGTTTTTTGTATTTTTAATAGGGACGGGGTTTCACCACGTTAGCTAGGATGGTCTCGATCTCCTGACCTCGTGATCTGCCCGCCTCGGCCTCCCAAAGTGCTGGGATTACAGGCGTGAGCCACCGCGCCCAGCCTGTGCCTGTATTTTTCTAAAGGAATCTAAATGAATTTGGCTTGGAAGTATATAGGAAAGAACACTTTATAAATAGACTCTTGGAGGGCAAAGCATATTGTACTAAATATCTCAAATCCAAGATTCTAAAGAAGAGATATAAAAAAGTATACTATTCCTGGATTTGACTTTCAAATACCGCAAAAAACAGAACTAGAATGCAGCCTAGAAACCTGTAATATATCCCATGGGTAGCCCGGGGCCAGCTGAATGTCTGATTCTTCCTCTTCTCACCTGCCTCATATTTCTTTTCCTGTACAGCATGTGAAATAAATGTCTCTATTTGGAATTGTCCATATCAAGTAAAGAAATAAAATAAGAGGCTGGGCGCAGTGGCTCATGCCTGTAATCCCAGCACTTTGGGAGGCAGAGGCGGGTGGATCACGAGGTCAGGAGTTCGAGACCAGCCTGGCCAACATGGTGCAACCCCGTTTCTACTAAAAAAAAAAAAAATACAAAAATTAGCCATGCGTGGTGGCACATGCCTGTAAACTCAGCTACTCGGGAGGCTGAGGTGGAGAATTGCTTAAACCCAGGAGGTGGAGGTTGCAGTGAGCCAAGATTGTGCCACTGCACTCCAGCCTGGGCAACACAGCGAGACTCTGTTTCAAAAAAAAAAAAAGGGCCAGGCACGGTGGCTCACGCCTGTAATCCCAGTACTTTGGGAGGCCGAGGCGGGTGGATCACAAGGTCAGGCGATGGAGACCATCCTGGCTAACACGGTGAAACCCCGACTCTACCAAAAATACAAAAAATTAGCCAGGCGTGGCGGCACGCGCCTGTAGTCCCAGCTACTCAGGAGGCTGAGGCAGGAGAATTGCTTGAACAGGGGAGGCGGAGGTTGCAGTGAGCTGAGATTGCACCACTGCACTCCAGCCGGGGTGACAGAGCAACACGCTCGGCCAACCAGGGATGTTTTTAAAAGTCACATGCAGCTGCATGGTTCCTAAAGTGAGTCCAGTTTGATGAACCAGCTATAAATATACTCAGTTGGAGAAATTTGAATATGGAGTTGGTAGGAGATATGATTAAGGAAGTCATTGCAGTTATTAGGTGTGATAATTGAGTGGTGGTTATGCATGAAAAAGTCTCTATTTTTAAAAATACACATTGAAATACTTGGGCTGAAATGTGCATGGGATTAGAAGGAGGCAATATGGCAAAAATATTAAATGTTAAATTAAGTGAGGAAAATATGGGTGCTAACCATACTGTTCTTTTCATTTTTTGTATATTTTCACAATAAAAGTAGAAGAAGGCCAGGGAAAGTAGCTCATGCCTGTAATCCTAGCACCTTGGGAGGCTGAGGATGGCAGATCACCTGAGGTCAGGAGCTGGAGACCAGCTTGGCCAACATGGTGAAACCCCATCTCTGCCAAAAAATACAAAAATTATCCAGGCGTGGTGGCACACACCAGTAGCCCCAGCTACTCGGGAGACCTAGGTGAAGGAATAGCTTGAACCCAGAAGTCAAAGGCTGCACTGAGTCAAGATCATGCCGCTGTACTCCAGCCTGGGCAACAGAGTGAGACTCTGGCTCTGTCTCAAAAACAAACAGAAAGTAAAACAAACAAACAAAACCCAACAAAATGTTTATTGATTAAATAAAGAGGAGAGGCCTGGGCACGATGGCTCATGCCCGTAATGCCAGCACTTTGGGAAGCCGAGGCGGGTGGATCATGAGGTCAGGAGTTCAAGACCAGCCTGACCAACATGGTGAAACCCCGTCTCTACTAAAAATACAGAAATTAGCTGGGCATAGTGGTGTGCACCTGTAATCCCAGCTGCTCGGGAGGCTGAGGCAGGAGAATCACTTGAACCTGGGAGGCAGAGGTTGCAGTGAGCCAAGATCGCACCACTGCACTACAGCCTGGGCGATAGAGTGACACTCTGTCTCAAAAAAAAAAAAAAAAAAAAAAAAAAAAAAAAAAAAAAAAGGAGAAACAGACTAAGCCCAGTGTAATCCCAGGACTTTGGGAGGCTGAGGCAGGAGGATCACTTGAGCCTAGGAGTTTGAAACCAGCCTGGCAATTTGGCAAAACCCCATCTCTAAGCTAAATACAAAAGTTAGCCAGGTGTGGTGGCATGTTCCTGTGGTTCCAGCTACTCAGGAGGCTGAGATGGGAGGATCACTTGAGCCTGGGAGGTTGAGGCTGCAGTGAGCAGTAACTGCACGACTGCAGTCCAGCCTAGACGACAGAGTGAGAAATTGTCTCAAAAAATTTAAAAAAAAACAAAAACCAGGAGAAACTTCTGATTATAACAGTTTCAAAAATAAGGACTAAATCAAAAGGCTTGAGAGCACAAATTTTATCTAAATAATTTAATTTGTCCTTTTTCCTTGGTTTTCTGTACAACACTTTATCAGCCTGACAATATGGAGGGCACCAATTCTAAGAAAACACTGATTTATTTCTTTTTCATGATACTAATCCTTTGTGCTTATAAACTGGCAAAGCCTATATGATGCGGTAATCGTTTGAACTCGGATAAAAATCACCCAATTTAAGATAAATATTAAATGTTTAAATGAATGACTCCATTAGAAAGTGTAAACTTATCTAAATAAAACATCTTTAACATATAAAAATTATGACTTTTATGAGGAATCCTAGTTATATTTAATATATTGAATACCTAATCAAAATTTAGTTTATTTTATTAAGCCTCCCATGTAGCTGAGACCAGAGGAACATGCCACCACATCCAGCTAATTTTTAAAAATTTTTTGTAGAGACAGAGTCTCACCATGTTGTCCAGACTGGTCTCCCACTTCTGGTCTCAAGCAGTCCTCCCAAAGTGCTGAGATTACAGGTGTGAGCCATTGTGCCCAGCCAAAAATGAGTTTAGATACACAAAGTTAGCTCACATAGAGAAAAAAGGGTGAGATATGAGGAAGTTAATTTGAAATATTGGCCGGGTGCGGTGGCTCCTGCCTGTAATCCCAGCACTTTGGGAAGCCGAGGCGGGCAGATCATGATGTCAGGAGATCAAGACCATCCTGGCCAACACGGTGAAACCCCATCTCTACTAAAAATACAAATAAATTAGCCGGGCCTGGTGGCAGGCACCTGTAGTCCCAGCTACTCAGGAGGCTGAGGCAGGAGAAAGCAGAATCGCTTGAACCCAGGAGGTGGAGGCTGCAGTGAGCCGAGGTCATGCCACTGCACTCCAGCCTGGGCGACAGAGCGAGACTCCATCTCAAAAAAAAAAAATCTGAAATATTTCTAAATTCTAAAATTTAAACCTGTAGTCACCACTGCAGCCAGTTATTCCAACTGGTGCCAGGGACTAAAAAGTTCATGTGAGGCCAGGTGCAGTGGCTCATGCCTGTTAATTCCAGCACTTTGGGAGGTTGAGGTGGACAGATCACTCGAGGCCAGGAGTTCGAGACCAGCCTGGCCAACATGGTGAAGCCCCATCTCTACTAAATATATAAAAATTAGCCGAGTGTGGTAGTGGGCACCTGTAATCCCAGCTATTCGGGAGGCTGAGGCAGGAGAATTGCTTGAACCCGGGAGGTGAAGGTTGCAGTGAGCTGAGATAGTACCACTGCAGTCTAGCCTGGGAAACAGAGTAACACTCTGTCTCAAAAAAATTAAAAAATATAATAAAAAAGTGCATGTGAAATTACATCATGGCACCTCCAAATTCTGAAAGCTTGAAAATATAATTTCTCATAATCTGTACTTTAACAAATACTTTAGATTAGTGACCTGTTAAATAAATATATATTTTGAGATACCAGTAATATCTCTGTTAAAGTTAGGTGCCTAGGCTGGGCATGGTGGCTCATCCCTGTAATTCCAGCACTTTGGGAGGCCTAGGCAGAAGGATCACTTCAGGCCAGGAGTTTGAGACCAGCTTGAGTAACACAGCAAGACCCTGACTCTATCAGAAAAAAAAAAAGTAGCTGGGTGTGGTGGTGTCTGCCTGTAGTCCCAGCTATTTGGGAGGCTGAGGCGGGAGGATCAAGGTTTCAGTGAGCTATAATTGCAACACTGTACACCAGCCTGAGTGACAGAGTGAGATCTTGTCTCAAACAAAAACAAAAACATAAAATCAGATGCCTAAATGCAAATCTACACACTTTATCTTTTTCAAAAGCACATTACTTTTTCTTCTAAAATGCTGATTCTTTCATTGTTCTATTTATGAACACATTTTAACTATGTAAATAAATCTTCAGCTAGAGTAATACTGTAATCTTTTTTTTTTTTTTTTTCAGACGGAGTTTCGCTCTTGTCACTCTCAGCTCACTGCAACCTCTACCTCCCGGGTTCAAGGGATTTTCCTGCCTTAGCCTCCCAAGTAGCTGGGATTACAGGCGCCCACCACGTCCAGCTTATTTTTGTAATTTTAGTAGAGACAGCGTTTCACCACGTTGCCCAGGCTGCTCTCGAACTGACCTCAGTTGATCCGCCCACCTCGGCCTCCCAAAGTGCTGGGATTACAGGCGTGAGCCACTGCCCCTGGCCCATTATACTATAATTTTTTTTTTTAGGTGCTGGAATTACAGGCATGAGCCACCAGACCCAGCCAATATTGTAATCTTAATTCTAACTTTCTAGAAATGTTTGTTAAATAGGAATAGCTAGGTTAACAACTTGCCTATTCTGAACATTAAGTAAACATTTTCTGGATTTTGTTTCATCCTTTCATCCAATAAATGAGCTTACAATTTTAATCCACTTATGAGAATTCAGACCTTATCCCCACAATTAAATAACTATTACTTTGATTTCTTCAGAGTATGCTAAACAAATAAAAATGATACAAAAATCCCATACACTTTTTACAACGAAATTCTGATTAAATATTAATATCAGGATAAATAATAAGGGACAACTATGGAGTAATTTCAAAAATCTCATACCTCGGTCGAGTCAGAATGTTCAATTTTCGTTTAAGTTCTTGATGTTATTATTTGTTAAGGAAGATAAGCCCTCATTTAACAATGCAAATCATAAAATTCAACTACTACTTCTCTCACTTTTGGTGTCAGAATATTATAAAGACAAAAGACCCACGGATATTTTGAGGATGACACACTTATTGAGCTTCTATTTTGTTGCAGGGGTAGGCTTTTGAAACCCAAAATTAAAGTACGGTTTTTATCCTTTCGAACATATATTCTAAGACACGATCCTGAAGTTCAACAGACTAACAAACTGAACCAAAACCATTATTGAAGCATCAGTGTTCCTGTCAAACCTTTCAACAACCACTATGTGATAAAGAGAATGCAGTATAACGAGCTGTTAACAACTTTAGAATTTGGAATAAATCTATGGATGTCCACTGTAGAATCCTTTCAACTTTTTTTTTTTTTTTTTGAGACACAGTCTCACCCTGTCGCCCAGGCTGGAGTGCAATGGTGTGATCTTGGCTCACTGCAACCTCCGCCTCCCAGGTTCAAGGGATTCTCCTGCCTCAGCCTCCTGAGTAGCTGGGATTACAAGCACGCGCCACCACGCCCGGCTAATTTTGTATTTTTAGTAGAGACGGGGTTTCACCATGTTGGCCAGGCTGACCTCCTGATCCTCATGATCCACCTGATCCTCATGATCCTCCTGACCTCATGATCCACCCGCCTCGGCCTCCCAAAGTGCTGGGATTACAGGCTTGAGCCACAGCGCCCGGCCTCAACTTTTTGTATTCTGAAAATTTTCCTCACAATGTGGAGGAAGACGACATTCTGAAAAAATAAATCGCGCTTCACAAACCTTAAAAACTGATATACTGACTGGGCGCCGTGGCGGGCGCCTGTAATCCCAGCTATTCGGGAGGCTGAGGCAGGAGAATCGCTTGAACCCGGGAGGCGGAGGTTGCAGTGAGCCGAGATCGCGCCACTGCACTCCAGCCTGGGCAACAGACTGAGACTCCATTCCCCGACCCCGTCCCCCTAAAAAAGCTAACATATCAGCCACTTTCAGTTCTCTACAAATTTTAAAAGGAAAACTACCCGAACCAAAGTTATCTATCTACCTATAAAACTCTACGAACGTAAAAAAAAACATACTAGCAAATCAAGAAAAATCTGCAATCTTGTAACTCAAGTCTAACAGAAACTTCTTTGGCGCGTTTTCCTCAAGGCGTTGCAAAGCATCTTCAGCACAGAAGCGAGCTCCGAGTGGAAGAACTCTAAAATTAATCCCCAATTTTAATCAAGCAATTAACCAATTATCTCAGCACACCCGGATTCCTTGAGGCCCCCAACTCTGCATTCTGGGACCACTAGCGTTTGCCCCGGTATAAAAACCGATCCCGCGTCTAAGCAGCCGGTATTTCATCACCTACAACTGTAACATGACGGCACAATTTGAGCGTGGCTGCGAAATATGAAACCTCACCACGACCTCAAACAGAGGGGGGCAATTAAGGGCTTGTGTACAATCTGTCAGGTGAGCAGCCTAAAATAACCCTAAACACGGCACCCGGGTGGGAGGCAGGAGTGGGTCTGGTCAGGAGACGGCCTCCCTGAGGGGAAGAGGTCTGCGCCGAGGCAGCCTGCGCGCCCCGAACCCTAGACTCTCGGTCCGCCGGCGGGTGACAGAAAGCACTTGGAATTCTGGCCCTCCTGGAACTTCCGCCCGCGCCCTCGCCCTCGCCCGGCGCTGCCCCGGCCCCACGCCTGGCGCTGCCCCGGCCCCACACCCGGGTGACAGGGCCCAGCGAGAGGAAAGGATATTCTCGGCGCGGAGCTGCTCGATGGTCTCCTCGCACTGCCGAAGCCGCTCCCGTAGCTCCGCGTCGCCGACCCCATTTTCGTCCTCCTCGTCGCCGTCGTCGTCCTTGAAGCGAGTGTGAACGGGCTTCGGAATCGACTCCTCTGGGTGGTCGAACGGCTCGAAGAGCTCTAGATCGCCAAAATACACCTCTGCGGCCATTTTGGGCTGTGGAAAAGATTCGAGAAGAGGCGGAGCCGGCCACCAGGGCTTGGGGAAGAAGGTTGGAAGGCGGCACCACTCTCTAGAGCTCTGGCCGCACGGAGCCACCCGCTAGGGTTTTCTCCAGACGCAGGCCGCGAAAGCTGCACACGGGGCGGGGCCAGTCGCTAGAGACTACAACTCCCGGAATGCAGCGGGGCCTATCGGGCTTGCGATTGCCCGGAGGACGGCATGCTGGGACGTGTGGTTTCTAAGCGACTGGTACTCATTGTCTGCATTGCATCCTGGGATTGGTGCTTTTTGAAATGTGAAGAAAGCTGGAGTAGGTCAGAATGCGCTAAAGCAATCTGGGGGCAGGGCGGGGTGGCTCACACCTGTAATACCAACTACTCGGGAGGCAGAGGTGGGAGGATCACGTGAGCCCAGGAGTTGGAGACCACCCTGGGCAACAGAGCGAGACCCAGACACTACAAAAAAATATAAAAATTAGCTGGGCGATTGTAGTCCCAAGTACTCGGCAAGCTGAGGCGGGAGGGTTTGAGCCCAAGAGGTCGAGGCTGCATTGAGCCCAGATGGCGCCACTGCACACCAGCCTGGGAGACAAAGCAAGACCCTGTCTCAAAAAGAAAAAGAAAAACAAAAACCAGTATGGGATGTTCCTGTTAGGCAACTAAGGGTGAAAAATCAGAGCACGACGCATAGCTTCTCACAGATTCTGGTGTGCGTGCCACACCAGAGAATAAGGAACTCCATAGCCTGAAAGGGAACTGAATAAAAATAAACATAAAAGAGAATAAGAAACTCCAGCTTTGCTACAGAGATGACTGTTGTAGATTAGTTTATTGAGCTTGCTTCGTTTTTAATGTAAGATTAGCTAGACTCAACTATTTGTCTGTTGAGGCTTTCTGTCATTCAATCACATTATTTACTTACACCTTCGATGGGCCAGGCACTTGTCTAGGACCTGAGTATGGTTACAAGAGTAACCACAATAGAGTAATTCCTCCTCTCACGAAGGCTGTAGTCCACAAAAAGCAACAAAAACCCCATAATTATAAATGTTCCTGTTCTTGGGTCGAGATGGTTGTTGATGGATATTGATCACACAAAGAAATGTGGGCCGGGGGCGGTGGCTCACATCTGCAACCCCAGCACTTTGGGAGGCCGAGGCAGGTGGATCACGAGGTCAGAAATTCAAGACGAGCATGACCAACATGGAGAAACCCTGTCTCTACTAAAAATACAAAAATTAGCCAGGCGTAGTGGCACACGCCTGTAATCCCAGCTACTCAGGAGGTTGAGGAAGGAGAATCGCTTGAACCCGGGAGGCAGAGGTTGCAGTGAGCCGAAATCGTGCCACTGCACTCCAGCTTGGGCGACAGAGCAAGACTCTGTCTCAAAAAAAAAAAAAAAAAAAAAAAGGTGAAAAACACAGGAAGTTATGAATATTTAACAAACACCCTAGTCTGTGGGAGTCAGTAAAGTGAGGAAGTGAGACTTTAAGGATCGGCAAAGTTGGGGGTGGGAGGATGGAAGAGTGTCTTAGGTGTAAGGACCACCATGTTGAGTGAAAAGGCAGAGTGGAGCAAGATGAGGTTGGAACACTGCTAGGTCAGTGCTCAAAGGCCCTTAAGGAAGCCTCTTTCCGTTTACAACATTGGGAAGTCACTTACACATTTTAACATTTTTTTTTTCTTTTTGTGGACAACAGGATCTCCCTATATTGCCCAGGTAGGTCTTGAACTTCTGAGCTAAAGCTATCCTCCTGCCTCTGCCTCCCTAAATACTGGGATTACAGGAATGACCCACTGTGCCTGGCCATTTAAATTTTTTTTTTTTGAAATTTTATTTTTTGAGACAGAGTCTCACTGTGTCACCCAGGCTGGAGTGCAGTGGCATGATCTCGGCTCACTGCAACCTCCGCCTCCCAGGTTTACTTTCACTGAAAAATCTGCATGAGGCCTGGCGTGGTGGCTCACGCCTGTAATCCCAGCACTTTGGGAGGCCCAGGCGGGTGGATCATGAGGTCAGGAGTTCAAGACCAGCCTGGCCAACATGGTGTAACCCGGGAGTTCAAGACCAGCCTAGCTGACATAGTGAAACCCCGTCTCTACGAAAAATACAAAAATTAGCCGGGCGTGGTGGCGGGTGCCTGTAATTCCAATTACTCAGGAGGCTGAGGCAGGAAAATTGCTTGAACCCAGGAGACAAAGGTTGCAGTGAGCTAGGATCATGCAACTGCACTCCAGCCTGGGCAAAAGAGTCTCTCACAAAAAAAAAAAAAAGAAAAAAAGAAAAAAAAATTCTGCATGTAAGTGGACCCTAAAGTTCAAACCCATGTGTTCAAGGGACAACTGTAATTTCATCTTTTAATTATTTGCATTTGGCTACTCAAAAAAGAAATTGAAATAAAATACTTAGGCCAGGCACTGTGGCTTCACACCTGAATCCCAGGTAGCACTTTGGGAGGCTGAGATGATGCAGATCATTTGAGGCCAAGAGTGGGAGACCAGCCTGGCCAACAGCCTGAGAACCCCATCTCAGGTACATTGTCATGGGCCTTTGGTGCCAGCTACTCAGGGGAGTGAGGTGGGAAGATCACTTGGACCAATATACATATACACACATATTTTATTGGACAGTGCTGCTCTAGATGAGCAAAGTACAGGCTGTATCACTCATCATGTATGGTCAGCTCCTAAAATAACTGTAGACACACAGGAAGCTTTTGCGTCCACACTGCCTTAGAAGGTCATGAACATTTTTAATAAGATTGATTTAAAAAGGCAGAGCTTAATTGAAAAATGTTGATGATCACGAAATGAAGGATCCATAGTGTCATTTCCTTAGAAGGCTTAGATTTGTCACTGAAACACGGTGAAAAGCCATTTTGCCATAGAATTTCTGTGCTCTGGGAAAATGAAAGGTTTATTAAAGTACATTAAAAATCTTACAATCTGGCTAGGTGAAGTGGATCACACCTGTAACCCCATCACTTTGGGAGCCCTGAGGTGGGAGGATTGCTTGAGGCCAGGAATTCAAGACCAACCTGGGCAACGTAACAAGACCTTGTCTTTATAAAAAATTAAAAACAAGCTAGGTGTGTTGGTGAGCACCTGTGGTCCCAGGTACTCAAGAGGCTGAGGTGGGAGGACTGCTTGAGCCTGGGGGAGCCTGCTGCAATGCACTGCACTCCAGCCTAGGACAGAAAGCAAAAAAAAAGAAAACACCCCATTACTTCATTTTCATGTATAAAAAAAATACCTAATGAGCAAGTTGGCAAGACTTAATTCCAGCTTTTAAAATAAGGCTGTCAATCTTATTCCTGTAGTCTTCCCTGATTGTAATGTGCTCTCATTCTGTGATGTTTTCCAAAGGATTTTTCAAAGGAAAGCCAAACCTTATTACTTTGCTGTAACTGAAGTAAATTAACTTCAAGTTTTGCAGGCCCCCCCCACCCCTTGGCTCCAGATTTATGTTCAATCTAGTAACAAAACATTTTCTAGGCTGGCTGCAGTGGCTCACGCCTATAATCCCGGCACTTTGGGAGGCTGAGGAGGGTGGATCACCTGAGGTCAGGAGTTCAGGACCAGCCTGGCCAACATGGTAAAACCCCACCTCTACTAAAAATACAAAAATTAGCTGGGTGCGGTGGTACGCCTGTAATCCCAGTTACATGGGAGGTGGAGGTGGGAGAATTGCTTGAACCTGGGGGGCAGAGGCTCTGGCAGTGAGCCGAGATTGTGCCACTGCACCCAGTTTAGGCAACAGAGCAAGATCCTGTCTCAAAAAAACAAACAAAAAAAATTTCTAATATTTTAATATTTTATAGTCTATGCTGGAGAAGACTTCAAAGGGATAATGAGCAAAAAGCATGCAAAGAACTTGTTATAAGGCACTTTATTAAAATAAAAGTGCTTACATCCCTTTAATGCATTAATCTATCTCCTGAATAACACATGTAATATTTGACAAATACTGAATACCAAGTCTGTCCCTTATAATAGGAAAACATACTATTTTAGTAAGTTTTCTCCTTCCACCTTTTACATTTTTGCTCACCACGGTATTGACTGTAGTATAGTTAACTGGCCTTAAAAAGGGTGGTGGGGAGGGGATTTCTAGCTAGTGTTTTCTAACAGCAATTGCCAAATGCTACAGAAACTATAAAACAAATTCAAAGAAACATCCCAGGTAACTTAAATTAACACCAGTTTTGAGAAAACCATTTTTATTATCATTACCACCCAGCTTATCTGTGCTGGATTATGTACCAAATGGCCAGATCTTCTAAAGAACATCTACATAACATTTCTTTCATGTTTCAAGAGATGAAAATAACTGTACAAGGTTAAGTACAAAAGTACACAAGACAGCGGACACGAAAAAATCCATGTATGAGATTTTATCCCCACCTGCAGCTTTTATATATTTGAAAAGTAGAATTCATGAACTAAAAAATATTATCCTTCTATAGTCCTGTCAAGTTTAATGGAAGTGGGTTTAACCTGATTACAACACTAACACCAGTATCACTGATCTGATATTTACAAAAATTTGTATTTTTCAATAAATTAAAGTCAATGCAACACCCATGCAAGCTAGAGTGCTAGCTGTTTGGTGAACAAGGACGTGACATCAGAACAAGAAGTCTATAAGTCCCAAACTTTACAAGTGTGATCATTTTCAAACTGCATCCATTCCTCGCATTGAAGATGTGAAACCCAAACCCATTCCTCTTTGTGTGTGGGTTTGTGATCTTGCCATTTCATACTGAGCATCTAAATTTCGAAATACTTCTTCCTGCTGCTTCAGAGTCTTGTAACTTTCTTCATCAACTGAGCTACATCCAGCTTCATCTTCACTCTAAAAATCAGACATAAAACATTACAATGAATTCAGATGGAGATAAATATTCTCTCACTTGACACTATTTTTTATGTATTTTTTTTTTTTGAGATGGAGTCTTGCTCTGTTGTCCCGTCTGGAGTGCAGTGGTGCCATCTCGGCTCACTGCAACCTCTGCCTCCTGGGTTTAAGTAATTCTTATGCCTCAGCCTCCCAAATAGCTGGGATTAGAGGCACATGCCACCACGCCCAGCTAATTTTTGTATTTTCAGTAGAGACGGGGTTTCACCACATTGGTCAGGCTGGTCTCGAACTCCTGACCTCAGGGATCCCCCCTGCCGCCTGCCCCCCGGCCTCCCGAAGTGTTGGGATTACAGGTGTGAACTAGGCTGACACTATTAAATTATACTTTTGGCCGGGTGCAGTGTGGCTCACGCCTGTAATCCCAGCACTTTGGGAGGCTGAGACGGGTGGATCACCTGAGGTCAGGATTTCGAGACTAGCCTGGCCAACATGGTGAAACCCCGTCTATACTAAAAACAAAAAACAAACAAACAAAAATATACTTTTGGGATATGTATTTGATCTCAATAACTTAATTTCCATTCATTATTGAACACCTCCAAAGGACAAGGCAATGTTCTTTCTAGGTCTGGAATATAGCAGGGTGTAACAAAAGTTAACTTCAGTTTAGTAGGTTGGAAAAAACATAATATGTAGAAGATGTCAGGGTATAAATGCCACAGAGGAAAGTAAAGTAGAAAATGGGGATGGAGGCTGGGCGCAGTGGCTCAGAACTGTGATCCAGGGCTTTGAGAGGCCGAGGTGGAAGGACTGCTTGAGCCTCGAAGTTTAAGGCTGCAGTGAGGTATGACTGCACCACTGTACTCCAGCCCAAGTGACAGAGCAAGCAGAGCAAAACCCCGTCTCTCTCTCTCTCTCCAAGTGTGTGTGTAGGGAGGACAGTGGGTAGGGGAGATGGAAATGTTTCAGAATGGGATTGCTTGTTATTTCACAAAAGGTGGTGGGAAAGAACTCAAAAACGCTGACACCTGAGTAAAGACCAGAACTAAGAAAATGAGGGAAGAACAGTGCAGGAGGGCTAATAGCTAATACAAAGATCCCCTGGCACATGTGAAACTCACCTTAATACCCATCAATTTCCTAAATTTGACATTTTGGTCCTTGTTTCCAAAATTCAATTTTTCCCATATTTCAGCAGATTGGGATTTGTCCTGTTAACAAACACTGAACTTTAAAATATGTAAAATTTAAATATTTTTTAGGACATGAAATCTCTCAACAATGTCTAAATTAAAAAAAAAAACACCATGGATAGCATTCAATCAATGTAAGTTTAATTATTTCAAGACTTAAGAAACCACAAAGCAAAGAAATACAAGCAAGAGGTTGGCGCCGTGCTTCACTCCTATAATCCCAGCACTTTGGAAGGCCGAGGTGGGCAAATCACCTGAGGTCAGGGGATCGAGACTAGCCTGGATGACTAGGTGAAACCCCGTCTCTACTAAAAATACAAAAAACTAGCCTGGCATGGTGGTGGGCACCTGTAGACCCAGGAGGGTCTCAGGAGTCTGAGGCAGGAGAATTGCTTGAACCTGGGAGGCAGAGGTTGCAGTGAGCTGAGATCACACCACTGCATTCCAGCCTGGGTGACAAGAGCAAGACTCTGTCTCAAAAATAATAAAAATAAAATAAAAAAATGGATTATTTTCCTGTCATAGACCTTTTTCAACATGCAATTTTTGCGACTGCATGTCATTTGCATTTAATGTCATTTGTCATTGCAAATAATGTCAAAAAAAAAAAAGTACCTCATAATCTATGAAAAATTCTAAACCAAGTAGCCTCTTTTCCTTACTACTTCTATGGTAATATTAGTTTTCTTTGAAAGCTTGACTTCAATCAATTATGTTTTATTTTAGTATTAATAACTGGCAAATAAGACTATCATAGCTTATTATAAGTTTTTTGAGACAGGGTCTCACCCAGGCTGAAGTGCAGTGGCGTGATTTTTTTTTTTTTTTTCCAGATGGAGTTTCGCTGGAAACTCACTGCAACCTCCGCCTCCCAGGATCAAGTGATTCTCCTGTTTCAGCCTCCCAAGTAGCTGGGATTACAGGTGCCCACCACCATGCCTGGCTAAGTGGCATGATCTTGGCTCACTGTATGTAGGCTCTGCATCCCAGGCTCAAGCGATTCTCCTGCCTCAGCCTCCCAAGCACCTGGGATTACAGGTGTGTGCCACCACACCCAGCTGATTTTTATCTTCTTTTCAGTAGAGACAGGGTTTTGCCATGTTGGCCAGGCTGGTCTTGGACTCCTTACCTCAACTGATCCGCTCACTTGGCATCCCAAAGTGCTGGGATTAAAGGCATAAGCCACCCGCGTCTGGCCACCCCAGGTTCTTACAAAGTTAAGCCGAAAGTAATATTTTTCAACCCAAATTTGTTTTTCTAAGCAATTACTAATTAGGAATAAACGACAGAAAAGCAGAATAAGAGAACTTACCCCTTCTTTCTTGCCCTGCCAAAGCATTTTCCTTTTTTTCTCTTGTTCAGCAAATTTCATTGGATTAACAGCGGCTGGGTTATAGTAGCTAGGAACAGCTATTCCTGTCTCTGCCAAAGCTTTAGCTTGCAGGGCTGCCATCTGAGCTGCCATGGCTATCTGAGGTGTTACTTGTGTTCCTGATGCCAACAGGGCAGCAACATTGAGAACAGAACCTCCAGTAGCTGCAGCTGCTTGAAGAGAATACAAAAATGGATTTTAAAACGATTTTAAAACATAAACCTCCTGATTTACATTAACGAACGATTTATAAAAAGCTATGAATGTGCAAAAAGGCAGGATTTTCACCAAATCCAAGGAAATGACTGAGTATTAGCTCACAAGTTTTTAGCAAACATTTATTGTGTTCATCAACGGACATATTTCTACATAAACCCTTGATATATAAACCATTTATTGCAAGGCGCAGTGGCTCACGCCTGTAATCCCAGCACTTTGGGAGGCTGAGGTGGGCGGATCACCTGAGGTTGGGAGTTCGAGACCAGCCTGACCAACATGGAGAAACCCCGTCTCTACCAAAAATACAAAATTAGCCGGGCGTGGTGGTACATGCCCGTAATCTCAGCTACTCGGGAGGCTGACGCAGGAGAATCACTTGAACCCAAAAGGCGAAGGTTGCAGTGAGTCGAGATCATGCCACTGCACTCCAGCCTGGGCAACAAGAGCGAAACTCCGTATCAAAACAAAAAAAAAACCCATTTATTTACTTTGAGGATAGAGAATTCTGCAAATAGTAAGAAAGTATGATTTCAGTGGAGATGAACTATAGTGTTTCTAAGGTATAATTACAAAACAATAAAACCTTGTATTTTTTTAAATTTATGAAATGTTCTCATGGACATTTCATTTGATGCTCACATCATATACTTGAAAAACAGTATGCAGCTAAGGCTGGGCGCAGTGGCTCACGTCTGTAATCCCAGCACTTTAGGAGGCCAAGACAGGCGGATCACAAGGTCAGGAGTTCGAGACCAGCCTGGCCAACATAGTGAAACCCCGTCTCAAATAAAAACTACAAAAAAATTAGCCAGGCGTGGTGGCAGGCGCCTATAAGCCCAGGTACTCAGGAGGCTGAGGCAGGAGAATCACTTGAACCCGAGAGGTGGAGGTTGTTGTGAGTCAGGATTGTGCCACTGTACTCCAGCACAGGCGACAGTATGAGCCTCCGTCTCAAAAAAAAAAACAAAAACAAAAACAAAAAAAAACCCAAAAACAACAACAGTATGCAGGTATTATGCTAAGTCCAAGTTCAATAAAGCCCTGGTATTTCCACTGTGATTGAGCAGTCCTCTGTAAAAAAAGACACCTCTGATTACCTATTTTTGTCAGTCCAGAATATAACCTTAAAAAGTACTTAAATTACCAACATTATGGGAACCAGAGTTACCAAAGAGAGTAATGATGTAGTAAAAATAAAATGGCTATTTGTAAACTTTTAGAGTTTCAAATAAGTGCCACTGTTTACCAAAAATGTAAAAAACAACAAAAAACCATCTTCCAGATTAAATTTCATACCAAATCAACAGTAAGCTCTTCGTGATAATTTTTTGTTTTTTGTTTTTGTTTTTTTCTTTTTCGTGAGACAGGGTCTCACTCTGTCACCCAGGCTAGAGTGCAATGGCGTGATGTTGGCTCACTGCAACCTCTACCTCCCGAGTTCAAGCCTCCTGAGTAGCTGGGACTATAGGCACACACAACCACGCCTGGCTAATTTTTGTATTTTTAGCAGAGATGGGGTTTTGCCATGTTGGCCAGGCTGGTCTTGAACTACTGACCTCAGGTGACCCACCTGCCTTGGCCTCCCAAAGTGCTGGGATTACAGAAGTGAGTCACTGAGCCAGGCCTGATAATTTTTGAAATCTGCAATGTTTGTTACGCATAAAAACTTGATTTCTTGAAAGAGAAATACATATTTCAGATCAGTTCACTTTCTTGCATAAACTACATTTCCAAAATCGTAAAAGACATCTGGGGCCGGGCGTGGTGGCTCATGCCTGTAATCCCAGCACTTCGGGAGGCCAAGAAGGACGATCACCAGGTCAAGAGATCGACACCATCCTGGTTCAACACGGTGAAACCCCGTCTCTACTAAAAATACAAAAATTAGCTAGATGTGGTGGTGCACACCTGTAGTCCCAGCTACAGGGGAGGCTGAGGCGGAGAATCGCTTAAATCCAAGAGGCAGAGGTTGCAGTAAGCTGAGATCACGCCACTGCACTCCAGCCTGGGCGATGGAGCGAGACTCCGTAACAACAACAACAAGATCTGTCATGATGACTAGTGTTACATAAACAAACATACTCATTACTAATTTATCAACAAAAATTATCCACATGGACCACATCAGAAACAAGCTACAAAACACTTAAGTGAGAACACTAAAATACACGTTTACAGTGTACTGATGGGAAGTAGGAATCATAGGTGATTTTCTTCCTATTATTTTCTATATTTTTCAATTTTTCTACAAAAAGCATGTCAAACTTAGGCTGGGTGCAGTGGCTCATGCCTGCAATCCCAGCACTTTGGGAGGCTGGGGCAGGAGGACTGCTTAAGCCCGAGATCAAGAATAGTCTTGGCAACATAGTGAAAGGTCCTCTCTACAAAAAATAAGAAAAAAATTAGCCATGCATGGTGATGTGGGACCTGCAGTCCCAGCTACTCGGTAGGCTGAGGTGGGAGGATCACTTGAGCCTGGGAGTTTGAGGCTACCATGCGCTATGCTGGAGCCACTGCACTCCAGTCAGAATGACAGAGCAAATCCCTGTGAAAAACAAAAAAGCTTGAAAGAGCTCAAATCGAGATGACTAAAAAAGAATGAAAAAAATTACCTGCAGCTATTTCTTGTTGTTTTTGTTTTTCAACCATTTCCTTTTCTCGCTGTTCTTGTAATTTCTTTGCCCTTTCCAACCTGCAAAATTAATTTCAATGAATTTAAAATAACACAATATAAAACCATTATGTATATATCTCTCTATATGTGCATGTACAGAGACAAGCCAACTTCCATAAAATTTTAAATTTTTAGCATCCCTCCACCGATAGCCGTATGTGAAGAAAAAGCAATCATTCTTAAGATGATATAAGCTACATTTGAAGAATACCACAACAGTGGTTTTAAACATTTTTGAATTGACTAGTCAGAAATGGGCATAGTTTTTATATGCAGTTCCAATTAACAAGTGAAAAAAATTACGTCTTGCAAGTAACATATTGAAAGCTGAGTAAATTTTAGAGCATGGTTAAGTAGTAAATAAATTTATAGAATTATCTAAATGTTTCTTGAGGGAGAAAAAGCCAGCCGATCAAGACATTCGGATAATTTTTTATATTGTACAGACCTTAGTAAAGTCTTCAATTTAATAAAAATCAAAAAGCCAAAACTAAAAGGTCAAGCAAACCTTGCCATTCTCTGTAATCTAATAAAATGGGAGGAAAACTTTTCTCAATTAGGAAATTACTTCTAGCAGTTGAACAAATTTATCATTTACAAAGGAACTAGTAACATGAAACACAAATTCATCCCAAAACAAAAATGAATTTTTTTTTGAGACAGTCTCACTCTGTTGCCCAGGCTGGAGTGCAATGGCACGACCTTGGCTCACTGCAACCTCCGCCTCCTGGGTTCAAGCGATTCTCCTGCCTCAGCCTCCTGTGTAGCCGGGATTACAGGTACACACCACCATGCCCAGCTAATGTTTGTATTTTTAGTAGAGATGGGGTTTCACCAATGTTGGTCAGCCTGGTCTCAAACTCCTGACCTTCTGATCCGCCCGCCTTGGCCTCCCGAAGTGCTGGCATTACAGGCGTGAGCCACCATGCCCAGCCCAAAAATGAATGCTTGTTCTCTCTACTCACTCTGTTGAATGAGTAGTGTGCATACATTAAATTCACTAATGAGTATGCACACTAAACAAGCTATATGTTAAGTTTACCCTTTCTATATAGCAAATAACAAGTAACATTATCTTCACAATGAATTCCTGAAAGAGGAACTCTTTTCTTCCTAAGGATTCCCTGATTTATCAATCAAGCCAAATGCCACTAACGCCCTCTGTAATGTGGTATAAAGGGGACAGGACTGACAAAACTTGTTTTTGTTTTGGGGCACTATGGGTAATACAATGCAGGGGTAGTAAATTGGATTTGCTTTAAGAATTGTTAAGTCGGCCCGGCGCCACGCCTCTCGCCTGTAATTCCAACACTATGGGAGGCTGAGGTGGGTGGATCACCTGAGGTCAGGAGTTAGAGTCCAGCTTGGTTATTAACATGGTGAAATCCCGCATCTACTAAAAATACAAAAAATTAGCAGGGCGTGGTGGTGGGCGCCTGTAATCTCAGCTACTTGGGGTGCTGAGGCAGGAGAATCGCTTGAACCCAGGAGGCAGGGGTTGCAGTAAGCTGAGATCACACCACTGCACTCCAGCCTAGGCAACAAGACTTCATCTCAAAAAAAAAAAAAGAGGAAAAGGAAAAAAAAAAATTGTTGAAATTTACATAAAAGAAATATAACAAGCTATAATTTTATTCCCTTTTATGAAGCACATATGCATGGAAGGCATAACATAGACTTGACTTTGTCCTTGAGAATAAAAGTTTGTAAATTAGCAGTAACAATAAAATGTAGGTCGCAGGCTTGGCAAGGTGGCTCATGCCTGTAATCCTAGCACTTTGGGAGGCCAAGGTGGGAAGACTGCTTGAGGCCAGCAGTTCGAGACCAGCTTGGCCAACATGGCAAAACCCGTCTCTATTAAAAAGAAAACAAAAATTAGCTGGGTGTGGTGATGCGCATCAGTAATCCCAGCTTCTTGGGAGGCTGAGGCACGAGAATTGCCTGAACCCAGAAGGCAGAGGTTGCAGTGAGCCAAGATCATGCTCCTGCACTCCAGCCTGGGCAACAGAGCAAGACTCCGTCTCAAAAATAAATAAATAAATAAATAAATAAATAAATAAATAAATAAATAAATAAAATAAAATAAAAATAAAAAATAAAAAAAGTAGGTCACAGATCTGAAATGTATTTCCTAAACAGTTTTAAATCCTGACCTTTAAGCCAAAAAAGAAACCAATATAAAAGGTCTATACATGGTAGTTTCTTAAGAAAAAAATTCTCCAGATTTCAAGGTAGTAAATAATCTCATATTCTGAAATTAAAGAACTACATTTAAAACTTTATCTGAAAGATCACCAAGTAATCTATATATCAATGACATTTTGGATGCTATTAACGGCTTCACTTTTAAAAAAATCCAAAAACACAAACAGAATAGACTTATGGCATTCAAGTAAATAAGAGCTTAAAAAATATTTGTCAGAGTTAATGAAATTACAATCTAGCATATACTAAATCCAATTTTATAGTAAATTATTTCCATACTAGTTTCAGAAAGAAGATACGTGTGACTACAACTGGTTGCATTAAAATGGCCATTGAAGATTTGGAATTAATACCATTCACTAAGGTGAATGGAAAGAAGGGGTGAGCTCACACTTTTGCTGCTGTTCAGCTGCAGTTTCTGTCAGGCTGGGTTCCCAGGGAAGCACATCAGGTTACACTGTGTTACCAGCCTGGGCAACATAGGGAGACCCCGTCTTCTCTACAAAAAATACAAAAATTAGCCAGGCATGCCTGTGGTCCCAACTACTTGAGAGGCTGAGGTGGGAGGATTGCTTGGGCCCAGGAATTCAAGTATGCAGTGAGCCGTCATCATGTGCCACTGCACTCCAGCCTGGGTGGGACCCTGTCTCAAAAAACAAAACACCTTAATTTTGTAACGAGAGAAAAAAAAATCAAAACCTAAAAAGTCTATTTTTCAAAATATGGGAAATACTGCAAACAAGTGCTTGGATTTTATTTTACTTTTTGCCTCTCTATGAGGCAGTTCTTTGAATAGTTTTGCAGATTTCAATATATAGTCGTGCTGTGTGTGGTTTCACCATTACTCATCTTTGAAACAGCAGAAAATTTATTTTTGTGTGTGTGTGTGTGTGTGTTTTTTTTTTTTGAGACTGAGTCTCGCTCTATCGCCCAGGCTGGAGTGCAGTGGTGCGATCTTGGCTTACTGCAACCTCTGCCTCATGGGTTCAAGCGATTCTCGTGCCTCAGCCTCCAGAGTAGCTGGGATTACAGGCGCCTGCCACCACGCCCAGCTAATTTTTGTATTTTTAGTAGAGATGGGGTTTCACCATGTTGGCCAGGCTGGTCTCCCAACTCCTGACCTCAAGTGATCCGCCCGCCTCGGCCTCCCAAAATGCCGGGATTACAGGTGTGACCGATTGCACCCGGCCGAAACAGCAGAAAATTAAAAAAAAAAAAAAAAAGTTCTCCCATAGTTACCAGGAATAAAACTTACAAGATCAAATAAATTAGCTTATAATGTATTATCTGTTAATTGCCATCTTCAAAATAATAATATTGACAAAATTTTACTTACTGTTTCAGGTATTTTGTCTATTTGAGGGAGAAAAACAAAAAGTAAAGGAAAAGTCATCTTAGATGAGAAAATAATAGTTCTTGAACCAGATTTAAGACTCAAAAAAAAAAAGTTTCAAATGCAAACTGAAAATATTTGGGAGTCTAAATTTGAGAAAAATGAAATCAGTTAAATCATGAAGGAAAAAACAGAAATTGTAGACATCTCAATCTTATAGTTGTGCAAATGTTTAGGATGAGAATTAAACTATTTACATAGTTCTAGATCACAAATATGCCACCATATTACTAAAGTATGTGAATCATTCTCTTACTGAAAGAATTCATCTTATCCACACAATTGAGCATTTATTTAAAGGCGAACTGGAACAAATGAATTAAGAAATATACACACCTTCTAGCTAAAGCTTCCTGTGCATCCATTGCTGTGTTTCTGCCTCTGAAGGGAGGTGGACTTGGAGTCCGGCTTAAACTTCTGCTAAATCTTCTCGGCTTTTCAATTCTCTTCTTTCTATCTCTGTAGTAAATCGTATTTCATATGTCAAATTATGGCCAAGTCATAACTATTTTGTTAATAAGAAATCAATTAGTTCAAACAAAAATCCCAACGATACAAAAACATTTAGTTTGAGATGCAAAAGATTTAAAACATCAGTGTTACAGCTGAACTCATTGGAAATAACATTTGTTTCCAACTCCCTCATCCCTTTTTAAGAGACAGGGTCTCACCATGTTGCCCAGGCTGGCCTCCAGTGATCCTCCTGCCTTAGCCTCCAGAGTACACAGGTCTACAAGCATGCCCCACCGCATCTGGCTGTTTCCAATCTTTTGCATAGTATATCCAATGTTGGAAAAGCTAGCCTTATACATTAGTCATTTTGTGCTCTTGTAGGTCAATATGTATACCACAGGAATCATTCCTACATATTTTCATCTACAGTGAATTTGTAGATGTTTTTCAAAAATAAAAAGTTATTAACCACTAAAAATTAGGTCTGGCTGGGTGCTGTGGCTCATGCCTGTAATCCCAGAACTTTGGGAAGCTCAGGCGGACAGATGACCTGAGGTCAGGAGTTCGAGACCTGCCTGGCCAACATGGTGAAACCCCGTCTCTACAAAAACACAAAATTTAGCCGTGCGTGATGCTGGGTGCCTGTAATCCCAGCTACTCGGGAGGCTGAGGCAGGAAAATCGCTTGAACCCAGGAGGCAGAGGTTGCAGTGAGCCAAGATTGTGCCATCGCACTCCAGCCTGGGCGACAGAGTGAGACTCTGTCTCAAAACAAACAAAAAAACTAGATGTCAGTGACCAAAAAAGCACTTAAAAAAAAATTTCTTAATTGGTAAGGTTCAAAGTAGTAAACTACTATAAACTAGAACCACTGAGTAAAAATTCATATTGATTTAAAGATCAAGTGATAAATCATAAAAACCAAGTTACTGTATTAAGTACAGGTCCCTTTTTAAATGTATGTTTCAATCTTTCATACACTGACCTAAGTTGCAATCAATTTACAAAAGTCAGTATACTACTGTCATATGTAAACAAGCAGAGAATAACGCATTCATTGAAGAATATTTATAATTAGTTTTCCTCCTGTGCTCTTTATTGTACACCTCCTATCTCAACAAAGCCTCCTCCCACCAATCAAGATAAATCTAAATTGTGTTCATTTACAAACAAAATCTGAGGTAGTTTGTACAATACAGTGGGTTAAGCACATGCATGGAATTTGCATTTAGATATATCTGAAACCTGCTCCTGGCTCTAGCACTTAATAATGATACTGTTTTGGAATTCTGGGGCAAATTTCTTAAACGTCTTTAAGCACGACACACTTACCTTTCAACATGGTTCTTCTGAGAACTAGATGAGCTAATAACATGCAAGGAGTTCTAGCATACAGCATATGGTAAGTATGCAAAAGGAGATTTTAGTTATTTGTGATAATAAAATTAATACAACAAATCCAGTGTTGAACACAACTGAATTTGTTTGTTACGACAGGATTCACTCCTGTCACCCAGACTGGAGTGCAACAGCATGATCTTGGCTCACTGCAACCTCTGCCTTCTGGGCTCAAGTGATTATCCCACCTCAGCCTCCCAAGTAGCTGGGATCATAGGTGTGGGTCATCACCCCAGGCTAATTTTCATATCTTTTGTAGACATGGGGTTTCACCATATTGCCCAGGCTGGTCTTGAACTCCTGGGCTCAAAAAATCTGCTCGCCTCGTTGTGATTACAGGTGTAAACCACGACACCTAGCCAACAACTGCATTTTAATAGGCCTATTCATACCTGCACTTCGCAAGAGATTTATCAATCACGAGAATACCTGTGAATGCTATTCAAGTGGTTAGGTGTGTTCTTCATACGTTAGGTAATGACTAAAATAATTTTACCATAATCTATAAATAGAATTGTGACTCACAATTTTAATACTCTCTTACTGAGGAAGATAAACAGACTCTCTGAGGGTCCTATTAAATTTTATTCAGGATGATGGTCACCTACCGACTCCTACTCCTTGTCCTACTCCTGCTTCTAGTCCTATGCCTGTGTCTTGATCTTGAGCGGGAACGAGACCTGATCCGCCGTTTTCTTTCCCTGCTTCTGGATCTCGATTTCTTCCTCTCTCTGCTTCTGGATCTCGATTTCTTCCGCTCCCTACTCCTGGATCGAGACTTCTTCCGCTCCCTGCTTCTACTACGATGGCGTCTGAAATTAAAGTGCACAAATTTGTAATTACTTAAAAGTTGTGTTGTTTCATTTATACACATCATGAATTAGTTACTTGTAGTAACGCAATAAAGACAAGCAAGTAACTGCACTATATTATTTACAGAAATAAGCGAGATTTTCAAAGGAAATACTAACTGAAAACGAACCCTTCATTTTGTTTGATAATTTGTCCTAGAACATAGTAAACCTATTAACATGTCAAAAGCGTTCAATGCATCCTACCCAAATTTAAGCTTCCGTTTAATACTCTTCCCACAGTAGTTACAAATCTTAATACTTTAGTTTATCTACTAAAAATTTTTGAGTCTGATACCACACACAACCCACAGAATTCTCCAAAAAAAACCCCACCAAAAACCATTCACAAATTTGAGCTGTGATCCAGTTTCTCAAAAATCTTTTTATCTATACTCCAACATTAAAAAAAATCTAGATTGCAGTTTAGCAGCAAACACCAACATCACCATCGATGATGCAAAAGGACTGTTTATCAGCTTAAACCACACAGTTTAACAATATGATTTTTTCAGTGCCAGACAGATTAAGTGGTTAAAAATCTCAGCTGGGCAGAGTGACTCACTCCTGAAATCCCAGCACTTCAGGAGGCCAAGGCCGTCACACTGCTTGAGCCCAGGGATTCGTGAATAGCCTGCACAACATGGCCAAAACCCGTCTCTACAAAAAAATACTAAGAGATTAGCTGGGTGTGGTGGCGCATGTCTGTGGTCTCAGCTGCTTGGGAGGCTTGAGGTCAGATCACTTGAGCCCTGGAGGACAAGAGGCTGCAGTGTGCTGAGAGCACACCACTGCACTCTAGTTAGGGCAACAGAGAGACCATCTCAAAAAAGAAAATCTAGGCTGGGCACGGTGGCTCACACCTGTAATCCCAGCACTTTGGGAGGCCGAGGTAGGTGGATCACCTGAGGTCAGGAGTTCGAGACCAGCCTGGCCAACATGGCGAAACCTCATCTCTACTAAAAATACAAAAACTAGCCAGGCATGGTAGCACATGCCTGTAATCCCAGCTACTTGGGAGGCTGAGAAAGGAGAATCACTTGAACCCAGGAGGCAGAGGTTGCAGTGAGCCGAGATCATGCCAC
Organism: Homo sapiens; assembly: GCF_000001405.40. Lineage (NCBI taxonomy): Eukaryota > Metazoa > Chordata > Mammalia > Primates > Hominidae > Homo > Homo sapiens. The sequence goes on from NC_000012.12 coordinate 122,518,555, forward strand.
TGCACTCCAGCCTGGGCAACACAGCAAGACTCCGTGTCAAAAAAAAAAAAGGGAAAAGAAATCTAGGCACTTGAGATTTAGTCATCCCTTACACCCCATTCTTGGAAACCATTTTTGCATGATGAGAAAGCAAAGCCCAAAGGCAAAAAACAAACAAAACCACAAACCCAAACAAACGAACAAGAAAAACTCCCTAATTATGATTTTTTTGGGTGTTGCTGGGTCAATGAGAAACTTTATGTAACTTGTTAGAAGGTACTACATTATAATACAACATGACTTACCTTTCACGAGACCTAGATCTTGAGTGACTTCTGCCTCTTGATGACTTTCTTTCTTTGCGTTTGTGCCTGTCCTCACCATTTTCAGATGAATTTAGTCGCTCTCTTCCTTTATCAGAAGAATGTTCTTTGTCATTATGTTCCTCAGACTTATGTTTCTTAGAGGATTTATCTTTGGATTCATGTCTTCTTCCCTGTTTTAAGAAGAAGTTGGTTCTTTCAGGAAAATAGTGCAACAAAGAGAGTTAGTATGGGTATCAGTAGACAAAAATGTTGTGATGCAACATTAGTAACCTTAGGAGTGTGTGGCAAATAAAAAAAAGATCTAGTTTCACATCACCCAAATGTTGCAGATGTAATTACTATTTTTTTTACTATAAACACCCAAAATGTAGTTCCTCCCCAAAATATTTTCAATACAACAGAAACAATGATTTTTAAAGTTGAAATATTGAAAAGCCATTATGCCAGACAAAAGAGGAATCCCTTATGTTTATCTAAAAGAATACAGACCATGTATATACATCAACTTCTAAATCCAGATTACATAATGTTAAGTTTAAGTAAGTAATGGAGATAATGACACAAAAAGTGCACCAGAAACGCATTTCAATTAGGTAGCTAAATATAATTATTACTAAGTACTAATATTTTCTATAATTTCAAATTATTTTACACAGAGATGCAGTGTCCCTTTTACAGTTATACTGCCTGCTACATCCTCTAAAAGACAGCTCTTGATTTTCCTCCCAATGTCTAAACTGTGAAGCAATCACTTTTCATCTTGCAGTATCCCAATAGGCTTAGAGGAGTATTACACTTCATGTACCTAGGGTAGAAATGGCAACTGTATGTTTCAATTTTAAAGAAACCAAACTAGGTATAACAATCCACATGCCATCACACAATACATACTGCCCCCACACTTTAAAAAGACCAAGGCCTTCACATGTGCATTCAGAGACTCAGCTCAAATTAACTGCATGATCAAGTCTCATCCTACCAAATACCAAAGTAGAAGTGCTACATACTACAGTTCCCTACAGGAAGATCTGTCAAATTCATCTTGTAGTGAAAGTTTAAAATCCTAGACATCTCTGAATCACTAAATTTTAATTCTGGAAGGAAACTAAGATCCTCTAACTTAATCCCCTTATTTTATGTATAACTAAGATCTAAAGTTACAAAGCTACATGGGTGAGCTGAACCTTCCCCATGTTTTTCTGATGCCCACGCTACCACTTTTCCACTGTAATAAGACACTACTGTCTCCCAAAAGGCCATAGCATGTTTCTTTCCACTCACGATTAATGTTTCTTAAAAATAAAACTTGGCCAATCATTTTGGAACATGCATGATGATTTATCTGAAAATGATCATAGTACATAATTTATTATTTGCAGAAAAATAAGAGACCTGGAGACACAATTAAATTTTAGTTTCATTGCCAGTTCTCTATAGGAGCTTAGAAAAGAAATTTTCCTTGGTTTTGCTATAACGAGGCAGACTGGAAAAGTCTTAAGTGGTTAAACTTCTAAAGGTTTTAAAGTTTATTTCAAACCAGTTTTTCAAACATAACATTACTATTAATTTAAAAAAAACATTAAAACCCTTAACTGATTTAAGATATATTTAAGGGAAATAGGAGTTTGAATGACTAATAGTTACCTTATCATGAAGTAGGCTTATTATTTTGCTATCTGAGTCTGCAGCGTCTTCAGTTCAGTCTCTTCGCGCATAAGCACGCTGAGTATGATTTATTATAGAAATGTTATCATGTGAGCTAAACAAAATAGTCATTTTCACAAAAACTCTCCTAAATTAAAAATTTAACAGAGCTTCCATTACGGGAAGAGGTGAAGTCCCTGCCCACTCTTGTTTTAGGAGTCCCTTACCCAGCCCCCACAAGACTCTTCTCCCTTTCTGGCTACTACTTCTACACTTCCTTATTGGCTCATTCTTTGTCTTCTCAGGTGGGTGAACAAGTAACTCCTTTGCAATACAGCTGCTGCCTTTCTTTTTCCTCAAGTTTTGGTGTCACCGCCACCTTTTCAGCTGTCCCTCACTCAAACCTTTATTTCAAAATTCAATACTACTATTAGGGAAACTGAACTAGTTTGCAAAAGAAAAGAGAACTCCTGTTATCGTTCATAAGGAAAAAGCAGCGCACAGATATCTAGGGTATTGCTATGTAAAGATGATTGCTGTTTAAAAATCCTGAGCAACTGTCAGGCACCAGGAGACTCGGGACCTCAGATTAATGGAAGCTCTGTGTGACAGGCCTAAAAAAACCAATCATATTCTTCATATGAAATTTTTATTGTGAATATTTTCACAATATAATAAAATTAAAGTTTTGAAGGTACTTTTCACATAAACATCTTCTTCAAAAATGATGAATCAAAATCATGCTTATTTTATAACCCAATAAACCTTTTAAATTTCAAGTTTTGTACTTACCTTGACAACGTCTTATATTCATACAAATCTTTCTACCAGACACTTTATAAGTATTTTAAAGTACCTATTCACTACAAAGTGTTAATTACCTCTTTGCTTCTGCTCCGGCTCCTGTGTTTTCTTCCTTCATTATCTGTGAATACACAAAAAAAATAATCACCATAAACAAAGTTGGAGAAACATTTCATCTTAAAAAACTCTTAATGCTGGAGAAAAATGACTCCCATTAGTCTTCTTCCAATGACTAATTTTTTCATGGCACGGGTGGGATTATTCTACATTAATACAACACACATGTGAAACAAATCAAGCAATCTGAGCAAACCAGGACATAAAGCAGCCTAGATACATCTTTTAAACGGTCATAGACTTTCAGTATTTTACATATATTCTGACCAGCCCATCTAGTTTCCTAGTCTACAGCAAATTCATAAGGGGGTTTAATAGAGAGAGGTAAGCCATTAAGAAAAATAAAAACTAAAGAAAATAAACAGGTTGAATTATATTTGATATGTTCCAACATGGTGAAACCCAGTCTCTACTAAAAATACAAAAATAAGCTAGGCGTGGTGGCGCACGCCTATAATCCCAGCTACTCAGGAGGCTGAGGCAGAAGAACTGCCTGAACCCAGCAGATGGAGGTTGCATTGGGCTGAGAGTGTGTCAATTTTTGTATTTTTGGTCCTGGCTCAGGTGATCTGCCTGCCTTGGCCTCCCAAAGTGCTGGCATTACAGGCTTGAGCCACCATGCCCAGCCAACAAACTAAATGTATGTGTCTTCTTATACAACAGGTCTACATATCTTATACAAATGCTGAGAGTTGTAACCACCTTTAAGAATTCATACCTGACTTTCGTTTTCTTTCTCTTGACCTTGATCGTGATCTTGAATAATGATGTTTTGAAGCTCTAGGAGAAACAGATACTTCTGACTGCTCTTTTTTCTTATCTCTATCTGGTGATGTCTTTTCTGGGGCTAGTCCATCTCGCTCTGTATCACTAGCCTAAAAGTTTAAAAACAAATGATTAAAGTTCTTAATTACATTTTAAATGTTTTCAATTTCTTAAAAGAGGGACAAAGGGAGGGAAGATAGCCCCCCACAATCAATAAATCAGAATGCCTGCTTTCCAAGTAACTAAATGTGCTTTGTACACTAATAAGGCTGAATGGCTTGAAATGACGAACCTGATACTAAAGCAAGACCTACATATTTAGACTGATGTATCTTTAATTTTCTAACGATGATTTGTATAACTTTTAAAACATGGGGTGGGGTGGGGGAGGAATAAGGGCTCCAAGTAGTTCTAATAAGCATTCAAGCAGAGAAAATAGTCCTTTTTAGATGTGTGAATGCATTTAGCTGACTTTACCAATACTTTTAAATTAGCATACATGTCAAACATCAAAAATGAGTTGTTAAAGCTTAAAGATACTCAAGACGATAAAATCTTAAAACAATGCCCTAAGAATATTATAAAATAATAAACAGAAAATTAACTTACCTAAGTGAGAACCTCATCTTAATGTCATTAACCCTCTTTAATGAAAACAGCCCCTTGGCACAGTGCTGCTGCAAAATATGGTCTGCCTCTCCTCACATGTGCTCTGGGCTATGAAAACATTAAGTTGTTTCTGCTTTAAAGCATTTTATAAGTAATTATTACAATATAAATTTTACAAGTTTCAACTAATGCAGAAGGTAGACAATGCTCGGCTATCTGACCAGAGAAGATAACATGAAAATAAAATAATTGATACACCTGGGGAATTGATTACTTAGGAAGGGTTGGCAAGCTATGGTCCTCATTCTGTTTCTGTATGGCCTTGAGCTAGGAATGGTTTTTTACGTTTTTTAAAACTATTTTAGGCATATTTAATAAATAACTTCAGTAAATAGCACTGTAAAGACTGAACTGTTAAAACTAAAGGCACTTAAAACGCCAGTGTTGTGGCTCATGCCTGTAATCCTAGCACTTTGGGAGGTTGAGGCAGGCGGATAACCTGAGGTCAGGAGTTTGAGACCAGCCTAGCCAACATGGTAAAACCCTGCTTCTACTAAAAACACAAAAATTAGCCAAGAGTGGTGGGGCGTGCCTGTAATCCCAGCAACTCAGGAGGTTGAGACAGGAGAATGGCTTGAACCCATGAGGCAGACGTTGAAGTGAGCTAAGATTGCGCCACTGCCCCTCCAGCCTGGGAAAGAATGTGACAGAGACTGCACATGGCCCACAAAGCCAAAAATATTTACCGTCTGGCCCTTTACAGAAACAGTTTATGGACTTTTCACGTATAACATCAAACGGAATCTGGATTGAATAAATAGGGAATCGATAGTCTTCAGCAGGAGGAATCACATTAGAGAACTTCCTCCTTTAGGAAAGTTAGTCCAGAAAATGAATACCAAATATCAAGTACAATAAATGGGGGTATTGTATTTTAACAAATTTTAAACAAGTATCAAGTACAATAAATGGGTGTATTGTACTTTAATAAATGAAGTTGTGAGAGGTCGAGTTACTTCAACAAGTATTTACTAAGGGTCAAAAATGTGCCAAAACCAATGCTAGACTTAGGGAATAAAATGATAAATTAAAAACAGAAAGGTTTTGCAGTTCAATTATGAGATGAAAGACATAAATTACGTGTTATTCCTCTAACAATGGCACAAAAAGAACAGTAAGAAATTAACTACCAGGGAGGCTCTCATGCCAGCATATTGTATATGTACTTATTTCTCCAGTCTGGGTGACTTCTGGAACCATAAAATTTTTATGCTGAAAGGTTTTCACCCCTTAGAATAGAGTTCAACTTTCTCGTTTCACAGATGAGATCCAGCAACATTAGCTGACTTGCTTAAAATGATACTGCATCTCCGTATCTTTACTGTTTACTACTAATAAATAATGCTGTATCATTAAGGATGATTCTGATTTTTCACAATGAATTCTGGACACTTTTTTTTTTCATCGTTATCCTTGAGGACTATTTCAGACTCATTTATTACTTGCTGAGTGTTTGTACAGCTTACACTTGGTAAACAGAAGTGATCTCGAAAATTTTAAGCACCGCTATTACTTCTCTCAGTTGCACGACACTTTTGCCAGAGACAGAATTCCTTAACTAGTGGCAAATCCCATTTACTTTTGCAGAGAACAAGACTAGAATCGAAAACAACCTTCTCATGGAAAATCTAGTGCTTAGCCTAGGCAGTTTTCAGGCAATGGTTTATCTAACTTTAACTTCATGCTTAACATCACAAAGCTGGACAACAGAGAAACCTCCCTGTGACATAGGCTAACTTAAACTTACATCATCAACCATTTTCATCTGTAAAATATACTACAGAGCAACAACAAAAACCATCTTAACACTAAACAAATAGGAATGATAGGTGGTCATTGAGGCCATGGAAAACTTTTATTTCCCTGAGGATATTTTATAGTAGCATAATACAGGTATCCAGGAAAAAAACCTACCAAAAACTGAGTATTAAAATTGCTCTGAAATTTTCTAAGCTTTAATTTAGTACTAATCTATGTGTACACATAAACGTTAACTGCAAAACAGCCTTCTATTCCAGCAGTGGCTCTACGAGGTAGCCACTTTGGTTTCTTATAATTTACATTTTGTTGCAAACTCTAATAACGGCTCGAAACATAGACAAATCTTTTTCCACTGCGAAGGAGGTAAGCACTGGATTGAATACTAGGTCACTTCTCTAGGGGACTGTCTTTTTATTGAACAAGGCACGGCATAAATAAATGTTTAAATTCACTTTTTAAAATACTAGAACCCGGCCGGGCGCGGTGGCTCACTCCTGTAATCCCAGCACTTTGGGAGGCCGAGGCGGGTGGATCATCTGAGGTCAGGAGTTCGAGACCAGCCTGGCCGACGTGGTGAAACCCCGTCTCTACCAAAAATATAAAAAAATTAGCCGGGTGTGGTGGTGGGCGCCTGTAATCCCAGCTACTCGGGAGTCTGAGGCAGGAGAATCGCTTGAACCCGGGAGGCGGAGGTTGCAGTGAGCCAAGATCGCGCCATCGCACTCCAGCCTGGGCGACAAGAGCAAAACTCCGTCTCGAAAAAATACAAAAAAACCTGCAACCCAAGAAAAATAGTATTACTCTTTAAGTATACTGAGGCCCAAAACACTAAACAAAGGAAGACAGTAAAAGAAACGGGTTTAAACTCAATCACCTAAATAATAGAGGGGTATGGGGGAAAAAGAAAATCATCTGCCTAATCCCAGGCATTCCAATCGTTAGGAAGAGCAAACTTTAAAACTATCACTATGTTTAAGAGTCATAATTATTATCGAAAATGATGTAATTTTTTAGTCAGTAAAAAGGAATGCAAAATCTTTACATTTTCCTTTTAACGGAATAAAAATGAGGTAAGCACAAAATAATGTGGATCCGTCAGAATTGGGTATCTTATACACACGCAGGCTTATTGTTCAGAATAGATAATTTACGAACTGTAGCTCCTCTGGGGTCAACGAAGAGTTTTTTTTTTTTTTTTTTTTTTTTTTTTTTTTTTTTTTGAGACGGAGTCTCGCTCTGTCACCCAGGCTGGAGTGCAGTGGCGGGATCTCGGTTCACTGCAAGCTCCGCCTCCCGGGTTCACGCCATTCTCCTGCCTCAGCCTCCCAAGTAGCTGGGACTACAGGCGTCCGCCACTACGCCCGGCTAATTTTTTTGTATTTTTAGTAGAGACAGGGTTTCACCGTTTTAGCCGGGATGGTCTCGATCTCCTGACCTCGTGATCCGCCCGCCTCGGCCTCCCAAAGTGCTGGGATTACAGGCGTGAGCCACCGCGCCCGGCCAACGAAGGGTTTAAATTTAAAGGAACAAGGTCAGTGACAAGACTTAACTGTAACGCTTCTCGGACTTCAAATTGATTACATCACGGGCCACTTCGGAAACCGCGCATCAGTCAGAATTGGTAGTTCCACAACCTTTTAAGTTGAATTTTCACTCCCTTTCAGCAATACCTTCCTAGCTCGTTAATACACAATAATAAGGTTTACACGGACGAACACTAATTGAAATTATGCAACTAGAAGCATCTCATTGAGCGTACAAAAAAAAAAATAGCTACAAGTCGCTCTCTTCTCCCACACTACCCTTTACAGACACTGCCTTTTTGACCCAATACTTTTCAGAGACCACTCCTGATCGTCTTTCTCTTCCCCAGCCCCTTTCTCCACCGCAAATTCTCAGGCCCTAAAAAAAACTTAGAATAAATCACTAGCCAGGGTGAATAAGCGAAAATGGAGGAAGTTCAGTGAGGCGAAAGGAACGTAGGGTTGGGGAAGAGAGGAGGAAAGTTCTGGAAAAAAAAAGGCACTCCCTGCGGCTCCCCACCCCCACCAACACCGCCTTACTTCCCCCTCCCTACAGCAGGCAGCCATGATGGCGGGCGCAGAAGAAGGCCGCGGCGCCATTTTGTCTACACACATACACACGAACAAGGTTCTGGGAGCCGTTCACCCACTGTTGGAACGTAGCAGAAAAATATCCCTGGCTTTAAACTCAGATTCGGTACCTACCGCCATAGTTCAGAGTCCCGGCCGCTAGAGCGGCGCCTCCACTTGTCGCTTTCAACAGTACCGGCCGCTCCGAAGCTTCGCCTCAGACTAAATCGCTCGCGCGAGAGACCCGGATGGCACAAAGGCGAGGAGGCCCGGCGCGTCGCACAGCTTGCTGGGAGAAAAAGGGGCGGTAACAAAAGTTTCTATAACAACGCAATTCGAGGCGGTGATTGGGTGTTCTTTCATAGGGGAGTGTAAAGACCGTGAAGAGGGCGGGGCCAAGAATACACCCCCGGAATGCGCAGTCGGGAGAACGGAATGGGCGGAACTCAGGGTGGGGCAACTTCCTATTTCGAGTCTAAAGTAATCTTGGTCTCTTCCGGCCGCCGTAAAGGGGTTGGGTTTAGTGTTCTCCCGCCAATTTAAGCCTGTGGCATGGAACCTAAAGACTAGAGGCGGTTGTGTGAGTCAGGAAGAGGGGCCAGATATCTGAGTGTTCCTCTTTAGTTTCTTCAATTGCAGGTGAGGACGGGGAGCTGCGCTGTGTAGGGAACTGGGGGTGGGTTCAGGACGAAGTAGCTGCAGCCTCTGCTCAGTTCCTGTTGTTTTCCCCTTGACGCTGGCAGGAGAGAGGTTGGAGTCGGTTTTTGCTGGCGGCGATGTCCAGCGGAGAGCGTTTAAGTATGGAGGCCTAACTGACAAGTGTTTCATCTTGCTCATTCTCTCGTATTCGCGAATCTGTTCTGCATTCCGCCGCCAGAGTGATCTCAAAATTATAAAATCAGACCACTCGTTTGCTGAGTTCCCCTTCTACCCCTTGTACTGAGAATAAAATTCAATCTTGAGGTCGAGGTTTTATTGGACTCCACTGCTCTCTCCCTCACTGTCTTCTGCTTTTGCTTTGACCCGGCAGCAGCATCAAACGCTTCCTACCCAGCCTCCGAGTCTTTGCACTCTGTTCCCTCTGCCTACGTCGCGTTCCGCCTAAGTTTTGCGTACTTCTTGTTATTCAGGTCTCAGCTCAGATGTCACCTCCTTCCCTTCCCAAACAAATCCTTCTTCAGCGACGCCTCACCTTATCCATTTAATCACTGTTTCCTTCAAATCATTTAGCACTTTTTGTAATTATTTGTGCAGTTGCTTTTTTGTGGAGGTAGCATAACAAGATACGTATTAACAATTTTATTTTTGTCCGTTTTTCCCGCAAAAACATAAACTTCATAATGGCAAAGACATTTTGTGTTCTGTTCAAGCTATATTCCCAGTTCCTAGAAAGGTGTCTGGCACATAGTAAATAGGTATTCAATAAACATTTGTTGAATAAGTAAATATGGCAGTTACGGGCGGTTTCTCTATTTCACAGATGTGGGAAATTGAGACCCATAAAGGTATTCATTCCAACCTGTCCCTCCTTCTTCATCTCCTCACTCCCACCCAAACACCAGCCACTGAAACTTCTCTATTCTCCAAACATGTTTTGTTTCTGTTCCCTTGCTTATGCTCTTAGGAAGAACTCTTTAAACATTTATAAAACTATGATCTTCAATTCTCAGCCCAATAACAAATTAGCTAACACCTAAAATTGAATGTTTGCCATCAACCAAGCATTGTTCTGTGAACATTTAAAACTCAAAACATTTGGAGGCTGAAGCAGAAGGATTGCTTGAGCCCAGGAGATCAAGGCCAGCCAGGGCAAAATAGTGAGACCCTCGTCTCTCAAAAAACCAGAAGTGAAAAATAGAAAACTCCTTCAGGTGGGTACAACTAAATTAGTCCCTTGGTATTGGTATCCATGGGAGATTGGTTCCAGGACCTCCCACAGATACCAAAACCCTAGGATGCTTAAGTCCCTGTCATTAAATGGCATAGTATTTGCATGTAGCCTAGGAACATCTGCCTGTATACTTTAAATCATCTCTTGATTTCTTATCTTGCGTAACAGTGTAAATGTGCTATGCCTGTAGGTGCAATCTAGGGATGTGGAACACATGGATATTGACGGCAAACTGTATATATATATTTTTTTTCCAAGACGGAGTTTCACTCTTGTTGCCCAAGCTGGAGTGCAAGTGGCACGATCTCGACTTACTGCAACCTCCGCCTCCCGGGTTCAAGCAATTCTACAGCCTCAGCCTCCTGAGTAGCTGGGATTACAGGCGCACACCACCACGCCCGGCTAATTTTTTGTGTTTTTAGTAGAGAGGGGGTTTCGTCATGTTGGCCAGGCTGGTCTCAAACTCCTGACCTCAGATAATCCACCTGCCTAAGCCTCCCAAAGTTCTGGGATTACAGGTGTGAGCCACCGCGCCGGCCTGGTCTGTATATTCCTATTTTATAAATTAGAGAATTGAGGAACAGAAAGATTAAGTGATCACCCAAGGACAGCTGCCTAGTCATTGTGAAAGAGCACCAAGTCAGAAATTGTTTCTACCTTGTGCTATACCTTTTATAGATATTGAAACATACTTCTAGTAGCACTTATGAAACCAATTGTAATTATTTGATTATCATTCCCTACCAGTCTTGATCCAAGGATTGTTTTTATCCTTAGTGTTCTTTTCCCACCCAGACTCCAGGTAATATGGTTTATGTAAACCTTTGCTTTTTGAGATGGGTAAACCTCATAAGGTTTCAAGCTTAGTCTTTGATCCAGAAACCTAATTCATTTTTTTCTCCTCCCCTTATCATTTTTATTTGTTGTATAATAATACTATGATAGCATCAATGGACTTTTTCTGAACTTCATCTGGAATCTTATCATCCTATGATATCCCTGACAATCTGGCATCTAAACCTACACTGTTTGCTGCTATTAAAGGTTTATTTCTAATGAAAGGTTTATTTCTAATGAAAACTTGGTATAATTAAAGGTTTATTTCTAATGAAAACTTGGTATAATTCCAAACTAGACACACAAAGTAATGGAAGCTCTAAGATACATTGGTAAGATCAGAATTGTTGGTTTGTGTGCATAAACCAATATGTTGTTCTCTGGTAACCATCATAGCTCTAGTTCCATTTATGTTATTGGCCCGAAGTGTTTAGTGGCCACAGCAATAACAAGAAGACTAAGATGTCTGTATATGTTAATGTTAGACTTTTGTTTTTGTTTTGTGAGTAAGCTTTATCATTTCCCAAGGAACCAGGTTCTATGCAACAAGATAATATGGTGTCTAATTTTATGTTGTTCAGGAAAGACAGTGGTTCCTGACTCAGGAAGACAGTCTCAGAAACATGTGGAATGATATTGAGCTGCTAACAAATGATGATACCGGAAGTGGGTACCTGAGTGTCGGTTCAAGAAAAGAACATGGAACTGCTTTATATCAAGTAGATTTGCTAGTGAAGATCTCTTCTGAAAAGGTAGTGATTATTACACTGACTGTTTCATTCACAGAATTTTTACTGAGTGCTTAGTAGGGCTAGTGGCCCACAGTAAATATTTTGTGAATGAACATAGCACTTCCTCAGGGAATCAAGATTCAATCTCAGATTGCTAGAAATTCACGTCTGAATACCCTCTGCATCATGTCAGGATCAGTATTTTCACAACTGAAGGATTCTTAGTTCCTCTTGATATTTCATGCATACAAAAATATGTGTAAGTTGATACAAAGGATATCTTTTTTTTTTTTTTTTGAGACAGATTCTTACTCTGTCACCCAGGCTGGAGTGCAGTGGTGTGATCACGGCTCACTGCAATCTCTGACTCCCAGATTCAAGTGATTCTCGTGCCTCAGCCTCCCAAGTAGCTGAGATTACAGTTGTGTGCCACCATGCTCAGCTAATTTTTTGTATTTTTGTAAAGATGGGGTTTCTCCATGTTGGCCAGGCTGGTCTTGAACTCCTGGCCTCAAGAAATCCACCCACCTCAGCCTCCCAAAGTGCTGGGATTACAGGTGTGAGCCATCACTCCCGGCATACAAAGAATATCTACGACTGACTTAGGAAATAAAATGTTACAAATAGAGTTGAAGGCTCTGAGGGTCCATCCCTGAATCTGTGTTCCTCCTGTTTCCTACCAGAGTCAAGCACCCTGCTGAGTATGAGGTTTATCCGTGCATTTCTTTCTACATTTTAACTTTCTTCTGTCAGTAATTGCACCATTCTTGCTTCATGCCTGAAACCTTATTCTTTGCATTCTATAGAAGGTACTATTAGCTGGGTGTGGTGGCATGCACATGTAGTCCCAGCTACTTGGGAGGCTGGTATTTAATTCTTTTTTTTTTTTAATAAAAGAAATTTTTTTTCACTCAAATGGAATCTGACAGATAAGGCAGGGCATCCACTGTGGACGTTATTCCTAAAGGGAATTAAATGTATGCTTTTGACTTTTTTTTTTAAACTGGCTGATGGGATTTTAAAAAGAAATCATTCTTTATGCAGCTTTAAGCTGGTGTCTGTGGAACTGTGCTGCTTTTTCTTGCTGTGGTGCTATCTCGGCTCGGCTCACTGCAACCTCTGCCTCCTGGGTTCAAAAAATTCTCCTGTCTCAATTTCCCAAGTAGCTGGGATTACAGGTGTGTGCCACCATGCTACTAAAAATTTTCGTATTTTTAGTAGAGATGGGGTTGCCCAGGCTGGTCTTGAACTCCTGGCCTCAAGTGATCCGCCTGCCTTGGCCTCCCAAAGTGCTGGGATTAAAGGCATGAGTCACTGTGCCTGATTTGTACCGCTTTAAATGTACCATGAATCATGTTAAAGGCAGTATAATCCAACAATAAGATAATTAGTATAAGATAAACATTAATTATGAGTAGTACAAATCTCATTGTATTTTTTGTCATTATTTATTAGAGGCAAAAATTTCAAGTGCAGCATTTCTTTTTTTTAAATTTTTTGAATCCTTCGAGACATCTGAAAGCACAGTTTCTATAATGAGGAAATGACGTCTATTTTTTAGTATTTTTGTTCGTTTGTTTGAGATGGAGTCTTGCTCTGTCGCCCAGGCTGGAGTACAGTGGCATGATCTCAGCTCACTGCAAGCTCTGCCTCCCAGGTTCACGCCATTCTCCTGCCTCAGCCTCTCAAGTAGCTGGGACTACAGGCGCCCGCCACTATGCCCAGCTAATTTTTTGTATTTTTAGTAGAGACGGGGTTTCACCATGTTAGCCAGGATGGTCTCGATCTCCTGACCTCGTGATCCGCCCGGCTCGGCCTCCCAAAGTGCTGGGATTACAGGCTTGAGCCACCGCACCCGGCCATTTGTTTTTTTTTTTTTTAAGAGAGACTCTCACTCTGTAGCCCAGGCTGGAGTACAGTGATGTGATATTGACTCATTACAACCTCCCACTCCTGGATTCAAGTGATTCTCCTGCCTCAGCCTCTGGAGTAGCTGGGATTATAGGCGCCTGCCACCACGCCTGGCTAATTTTTCTTTTTTTTTTTTTTTTTTTTTGAGACGAACTCTTGCTCTGTCACCAGGCTGGAGTGCAGTGGCGTGATCTTGGCTCATTGCAACCTCCGCCTCCTGGGTTCAAGCGATTCTTCTGCCTCACCCTCCCGAGTAACTGGGAATACAGACACGAGCCACCACACCCAGCTAATTTTTGTGTTTTTAGTAGAGATGAGGCTTCACCATGTTGAGCAGGATGGTCTCGATCTCTTGACCTTGTGATCCACCCACCTCGGCCTCCCAAAGTTCTGGGATTACAGGTGTGAATCACTGTGCCCGGGCTTTATTTTTTAATATTATCAGGAGCCTTAAAACGTGGAAGTGGCTCAGGCCTTTCTTGACCTCAAGGTTGCTGTTGAAAAATAATAGTGCATGTGTATAGAATCTTGGATTCTGGTAGGAACTAAAATTCTATCTATTATTAGCACGTGGCATACACTTACCAACATGTTTTGAACATCTGCTATGTTCTGAGCCCAATATTAGGAACTTGGACATAAGATGGCATCTTATTCATTCCTTTTAGGATCTTACCTTAAAGTTAGGCACACAGGACACAAACAATAAAAGATGCTTAGCTGTGCAAGTCAGTATATGCTAAATGCCAAATGAACAGTACAGACAGTAAATGAGTAGGAATTCAGTGGCTGGAGAGCTCATTGTCGGTTGGGCAGTTTAAGGAGCATTTCCTTAAGAAACTATGTGTGAGCCCGGTGTGGTGGCATGTCCTGTAGTCCCAGCTACTCAGGCTGAGGCAGGAGAATGGCGTGAGCCCAGGAGTTTGAGGCCAGCCTGGGCAACATAGGGAGACAACATCTCTAAAAAAAATAAAAATTAAAATAAACTACACTTGCTTTGGGCCTTAAGAAGGAGAACAGTCTAGAGAGAAGAGTCTAGAGAGAACAGTGTGGACAGATCCCTAGAAGATATAGTGCCGTTCCTTTTCTTTTTTTTTTTTTTGAGGCAGAGTCTTGCTCTGTTGCCCAGGCTGGAGTGCAGTGGTGTGATCTTGGCTCACTGCAACCTCTGCCTCTCGGGTTCAAGTGATTCTCGTGCCTCAGCCTCCCCAGTAGCTGGGATTACATGCGTCCGCCACCACGCCCGGCTAATTTTAGTGCCATTCCTTGTTGGCAGTGCCTTCATGTAACCTTTTACTAGTTGAAGAAGCAAGTAAAAAGATAAGAAGGAGGCTGGGCGCAGTGCCTCACATTTGTATTCCCGGCACTTTGGGTGGTTGGGATGGAAGGATCGTTTGAGTCCAGGAGTTCTAGACCAGCCTGGCCAACACAGTGAAAACCCCGTCTCTATAAAAGAAAAAGAAAATTAGCCAGGTGTGATGGTGTGCATGTGTAGTCCCAGCTACTTGGGTTGGGGAGGCACGAAGATCCCTTGAGCCCAGGTGTTTAAGGCTGCAGTGAGTTATGATGGCATCACTGCATTCCAACCTGAGCGACAGAGGGAGACCCTGTCTCAAAATAAAGAAAAAAATAAGGTAGAAGAGGGATCAGAATGTTGGGGAATTTTCAAGGATTACACCTGGAGAAGATGACTTTTGAAATAGTCATAAAATGAGGTGATTAGCTGTATTTTGTCAGGGAAGAATAGGACTGGTTAACATTTATTGAGCATATACTATGTGCAGGGCTCTCTCATAAGCCCTTTACGTGAATTCGTTTAATCTTTATTCAGGTGAACCTTGTAGGTATTATTATTGTTACTCTTTTACATGGAGTTAGTTGATGCATTTGCCTAAGATCACTTAGCTAGTAAGGGACTGAGCTTCCTCAACCACTAATCTGTCCCAGTGCTTCAAGACAGCTATGTGTGGGAGGCTCTTGGCAACAGAAACTGAATACTGGAGACTCTGATTTGGCTTGTCTACTGTTTTTAAAAATGTTGGCTTAGCTGCCAATATTTAAAAATCAGAACATTTCACATAAAGATCCAGCTTCTGTTGATGAATTGGGAGGTATGGCCATGCCAGTGCTGCATCCCCACCAGGCTTCCCACTGGCTGGTGTGAAGTAGACTCTATTCTTTCATGTCTGTGGGGGCATGGACCCTCCAGTTCACAGTTCACCACCGTTCCCCTGCCTAGCGTATCCACGACACCAAGACTTTATTCCAATCTTGATTAATTCATTATGTTAATACCTGGCTCCTGCAGCATAAAGTCAATCCTGAGGAAACAAGGACTTGAACATGAGAATCCTTTGCCCTTCCTGCTCATCCTGAACTGTTTTTCTACTTAGGATCCTGGATGGATTCAAGATATACCATACAAAGAAAAACTCGATGATTAATTAGATAGAGGGGCTAAAGAAAAAAAGCCTGTCAAGTTTTAAAGTGGGATATTTGGGAATTTGATGATACTATTGATAAGTATTATTAAACACATATAAAAATGTTTGAATTTTCATCATGCTTTTCTCTCCCACAGGCCTCATTAAATCCAAAGATACAGGCATGCAGCTTAAGTGATGGGTTTATTATTGTAGCCGACCAATCAGTGATATTGCTTGACAGTATTTGTAGATCACTTCAATTGCATCTTGTCTTTGGTAAGTATAATGTAGTGAATGAAGTAAGATAAATTGGAAGTCAAATACATCTGCTGCCAATTTCTGCTGGATTGCCTCCTCTTTACTCCATTATTTCTAAGATTTCAAATTAGACCAATTTCAAGTAATTAAGCTTGAGTGCTTAGTGCCTTATTTGCGTTGGGCACTAGAGTCAAAGGACACTGAGATGATCCCTTCTCTCAATACATCTGAGGGGAAATACACATGTAAAGCAACAACTTAGTTTACTTGCTTGTATTAGAATACTATGGAAAACATGAGCTCATTTGTGTTCAAATTCCTGAATCTTGTACAGAATTTCGGTATCATTAATGGGTATTTGCATATTTTTAGAATTAATAGCTCTCTAAAAATCCTTTAACATACTTATGAATTAATTCTTCATCGAGCTACAAGGCTTCAAGTACATGCAAATGTGGATTTGAGAGTGAATTAAAGCTGGGCGTGGTGGCTCATGCCTGCAATCCCAGCACTTTGGGAGGCTGAGGCCACCAGATCACTTGCGGTCAGGAGTTCAAGACCAGCCTGGCCAACATGGTGAAACCCCATTTCTACTAAAAATACAAAAATCACACCTGTAATCCTTGTACTTTGGAAGGCCCAGGTGGGTGGATTGCCTGAGCTCAGGGGTTTGAGACCAGCCTGGGCAACATGGTGAAATCCCGTTTTCTCTACTAATATACAAAAATTAGCTGGCCGTGCTGGTGTGCGCCTATAGTTCCAGCTACTCGGGAGGCTGAGGTAGGAGAATTGCTTGAACCTGGGAGGTGGAGGTTGCAGTGAGCCAAGATCACTCCACTACACTCCAGCCTGGGTGACAGAGCAAAACTCTGTCTCCAAAAACAACAACAACAACAAAAATTAGCTGGGCATGGTGGCATACACCTGTAATCCCAGCTACTCAGGAGTCTGAGGCAGGAGAATCGCTTGATCCCAGGAGGCAGAGGTTGCAGTGAGCCAAGATTATGCCACTATACTCTAGCCTGAGTGACAGAGTGACAGTCGTGTCTCAAAAACAAAAAAAAGAGTGAATTAAGGGGTAAGTCAGTGATTGTACTGAGCTTAGGCAAGAATATTATGAAAGTTTTTTTTTTTTTTTTTTGAGATGGAGTCTCTCTCGCTCTGTCACCCAGGCTGTAGTGCAGTGGCACAATCTCGGCTCACTGCAAGCTCTGCCTCCCGGGTTCACACCATTCTCCTGCCTCAGCCTCCTGAATAGCTGGGACTACAGGCGCCCACCACCATGCCTGGGCAATTTTTTGTATTTTTTTTTTTTTTTAGTAGAGACAGCATTTCACCATGTTAGCCAGGATGGTCTCGATCTCCTGACCTTGTGATCTGCCTGCCTCGGCCTCCCAAAGTGCTGGGATTATAGGCATGAGCCACGACACCCGACCCCGAAAGTTTTTTCTTTCTTGAGTAGAAATTTTTTTTTTTTTTGAGATGTAGTCTCGCACTGTCGCCTAGGCCGGAGTGTGGTGGCATGATGTCAGCTCACTGCAACCTCCGCCTCCAGGGTCCAAGCAATTCTCCTGCCTCAGCCTCCCAAGTATCTGGGACTACAGGCACCCATCACCACGCCCTGCTAATCTTTTTTTGTATTTTTAGAAGAAACAGGGTTTCACTATGTTGGCCAGGCTGGTCTCAACCTCATGATCTGCCCGCCTCGGCCTCCTGAAGTGTTGGGATTACAGACGTGAGCCACCGTGCCAGGCCTTTTTTTTTTTTTTCCCTGAGACAGTCTCGCTCTGTGGCCCAGGCTGGAGTGCAGTGGTGCTCTCTCAGCTCACTGCAACCTCCACCTCCCAGGTTCAAGAGATTCTTCTGCCTCAGCCTCCCAAGTAGCTGGGAGTACAGGCGCCTGCCACCATGCCTGGTAATTTTTGTATTTTTAGTAGGGTCAGGTTTCACCATGTTGGCCAGGCTGCTCTCAAATTCCTGACCTCAAATGATCCACCCACCTTGGCCTCCCAAAGTGCTGGGATTACAGGCGTGAGCCACTGCACCCGGCCATTAAATAGAAATTTTAAGAGAAAGATAGTTGTTGAAACTTTTACATAAGAACTTAGACAACTGAAAAGGAAACAGAACACATGCATTTTGGAACATATCTTGATTGCAACATGGAGGCAAGAAACTTGTGTTTTATGGAACCTTGACGTATTGACCCTGATTGGTCCACAAGATTCACAGTTTCTTCTATTAAGTGGTGGGATGAGTAACGATGATCCATTTGTGAAAAGACATTGTGGCGGAATAACTTGAGTTCGTAAGCCAGTTACATACTATTGTTTTTCTGTCTTGTCCCTTCCCTCTTTGCTTTGTTTTCTGTTACCTTGGCCTTCTTGCTTTTGCATGAATACAACAGGCACTTCCCACTCCATGATCTTTCCTTGAGCTGTGTCCACCATCTGAATGCTCGGAATGCTCTTCATCTTAGTCATTTGGCTAACTTCCTCACCTCTTTCAT
This sequence comes from Homo sapiens, assembly GCF_000001405.40. Lineage (NCBI taxonomy): Eukaryota > Metazoa > Chordata > Mammalia > Primates > Hominidae > Homo > Homo sapiens. Next base: position 122,537,276 of record NC_000012.12, read on the forward strand.
GTCTCCTGTGAGCTTTCTAATTAACACTGCAAAATGCACCATTCTTCTGAGCTCTCTTACCTGGCTCTACATTTTTTTCCCCAGAACATCTATCACCTTCTTACATGTCTCACAGTTTGTTTATTATGCTAATTGTTTATCAGCTATTTTTTTTTTTTTTTGAGACGGAGTCTGGCTCTGTTGCCTAGGCTGGAGTGCAGTGGCGTGATTTCAGCTCACTGCAGCCTCCACCTCCTGGGTTCAAGCGATTCTCCTGTCTCAGCCTCCTGAGTAGACTGGATTACAGGCACATGCCACCATGTCCGGCTAATTTTATATTTTTAGTAGAGACGGAGTTTCACCATGTTGGCCAGGCTGGTCTCGAACTCCTGACCTCAAGTGATCTGCCTGCTTCGGCCTCCCAAAGTGCTGGGGTTACAGGTGTGAGCCACCACGCCTGGTCATTTATCAGCTATTTCTGTCTTAGAATATGAGCTCTGTGACGGTGGTAATCTTTTGTTACTGTTCTCAGATATATGTAAAAGGCCTAGAACAAAGTTTACCATATAGTAAGTGCTCAGTAAATATTTCTTGACCAGCTGCATGCAGTGGCTCACATCTGTAACCTCAGCACTTTGGGAGGCAGAGATGGACAATCGCTTGAGCTCAGGAGTTCGAGACCAGTCTGGGTAACATGGCAAAACCTCGTCTGTACAAAAAATACCAAAAACTAGCTGGCCATAGTGGTGTGTACCTGTGGTCCCAGCTACCTGGGAGGCTGAGGTGGGAGAATTGCCTGACTGAGCCCAGGAAGTCTAGGGTGCAGTGAACTGGGGTGGTACCACTGCACTCCAGCCTGGGTAGCAGAGCGAGACGCTGTCTCAAAAACAAAACAAAACAAAAAATATTTGTTGACTGAATAAAAGTCAACAACATTCTTTTTTACTTTCATCACATCTGTTTTGCAGTATTTAGAAGTAACTTAAGTAATCGTTGGCTTTTTAATGAGAAAAATTTGTATTTTTTTTGTATTGAAAATAAAGATTTTCGAAGGAAGCTTGTAACTTTGATTTGAAATTTTCAGATACTGAAGTGGATGTAGTTGGCCTTTGTCAAGAAGGAAAGTTTCTTTTGGTTGGCGAGAGAAGTGGCAACCTACATCTTATTCATGTAACATCAAAACAAACACTACTCACTAATGTAAGATCTTGTTGTATTTTAATTTTCATTATTTAAATTCTAAATAATCTCTTAGACAACTAAAACTCTAGCAAACTATTACTTAACATGTGTTTTAAATTAAAGCAATGTTTTTTTGAACAATTAAGCTTTGAAGGTGTTACCACAGCTTGGATCCTGAGTTCTTGGCTCTCGTGTAAATAGAAATTAACACCAGGTCAAACAGAAATTTTCCCAGGGAATGTTTAGTAGGCTTGTGGCTCAAGGAATCTCAAGGAAACAGCGTATGGGAAAGGGATCCCAAGTGCTAGCTCCCCGAAGGGCTTAGCTCTTGTCATTTTGAGGAAGCTGAGGTGAAAAAGGGAGTGATTTGTAGGCATGTAGAGGCAGGGAACTTTTAGCGCCTGTGAATTTTGGTCGCATCCTTTTTCATGTGTTGTATATCTCACTAGCATGTTAAATCTCCATCCCTGGGTGTGATTTTTAGTATCATAATTAGGTTAAAATTAGGAAATACTTGGTGAAAGGCCAGGGTTGAAGTCCACCTTGTCTTCAGCTGGCTGGATCTGGTCAGGTGCTTAGCAGGACTGCTAGAATCCTGATTTAGTAACCTTGGAAGATGGTCAGGTTTTTATTAGGAATGCTAGAGTCCCACTTTAACAACTTTGGGAGAAGTAACTCCAGGAGACAAATGGTTAGGTTCTTGTATGGTTGGGAATTCAGCTTGGTCAGCTAACTCAGGAGCAGGCAGCTTTCTGCTGTTTGATTCCAGTCAGCTTGTTAAGGGAGGCAGGAAGGTAGAGGAGGGAATGCCCAGACATATGAAGCCTTTGGGGTCTTGGTTACCATGTCTCTTGCCTGCCAGGATTGAGTTTCTTCCCTATACTGAATGGTATTTTAAATTAAAAAAATGTTTTTTTGAAAAATTAAGCTTTGAAGGTGTTACCACAGCTTGGATCCCGAATTCTTGGCTCTCACATAAATAGAAATTAGCACCAGGTCAAACAAAAATTTTCTTAGGCCAGGTTTAGTAGGCTTGTGGCTCAAGGAATCGCAAGGGAGCAGTCTTGAAGGTATTTAGTACACTTGTCCAAAATAGTTTTCCATTTTAAAAGTAAGATGTTTAGAATATAGGCAGAATTATTGCTAATGATAATTGATAACTCTAGAGTTTAAAGAATAAAATCCTTGATTGTATTTTTCTATGTTTAATTTTATTATTTGAAATTAATTTGCATTTAGGCATTTGTTCAGAAAGCTAACGATGAAAATCGGCGGACTTACCAGAATCTTGTCATTGAGAAGGATGGTTCAAATGAAGGTAAGTTTTCCTGAATTTTTTTTTGAATGACTTTTTTTTTTTTTTTTAATGGAGTCTCCCTTTGTCGCCCAGGCTGGAGTGCAGTGGCGCAATCTCAGGTCACTGGAACCACCAGCTCCCAGGTTCAGGCGTCTCCTGCCTCAGCCTCCTGAGTAGCTGGGATTACAGGTGTGTGCCACCACGCCCGGCTAATTTTTGTATTTTTAATAGAGATGGAGTTTCACCATGTTGGCCAGGCTGGTCTCAAGCTCCTGACCTCAAGTGAGTGATCCACCTGCCTCGGCCTCCCAAAGTGCTGGGATTACAGGCGTGAGCCACTGCGCCCAGCCTGAATGACTTCTGACTAATATCCAATCAAAAATTCAAATTTGTGGTTAATAAATTATATAAAATCATTATTATGCTACCTACATTTTTTCTGTTTTTTTTTTTTTTGAGACGAAGTGTCCCTCTTGTCCCCCAGGCTGGAGTGCAATGGCACGACCTCGGCTCACTGAAACCTCTGCCTCCTGAGTTCAAACGATTCTCCTGCCTCAGCCTCCCGAGTAGCTGGGATTACAGGCACCTGCCACCACGCCTGGCTAATTTTTTGTTTTTAGTAGAGATGGGGTTTCACCATGTTGGCTAGGCTGGTCTTGAACTCCTGACCTCAGGTGATCTGCCCGCCTCAGGTGATCTGCCTGTGAGCCACTGTGCCTGGCCTTTTCTGTATTTTTTATACATTTTTTTCTATCAATGCAATTAATATTGTAAGAAACAATTTTTAAATTTTTGAAAAAAATTTTTAAAGCTCTTTTTAGATGTTTAAATATATACTTTTCCTAAATATAATATTCTGAACTTGTTTTTACAGTTTTGAGATTTCTATAGGTTACCAAGGAGACATTATATTCTTTTAAAATGTGTTTCTGGGCTTCAGTATATTATTATATTTTTACTTCAACAAGTGTTAACTGGGCCTTAGTTTATTTTGATATATCTGAGATTTTTTTTTCTGGCACATGAAGTTTGTTGTTTTAATAAAAGTTTCAAAAGAAGTTAACAATGTTTTTGCAAATAACCTACTAGTTCTTTGTAAATAAGTTTTATCTGTAACATTACTATAATATTTGATCATTAGAATTTAAATGAGCAGGCTGTGTGTGGTGGCTCACATCTGTAATTCTAGCACTTTAGGAGGCTGAGGTGGGAGCATTGCTTCAGTCTAGGAGCTCGAAACCAGCCTGGATAATATAGAGAGACCGCCACCTCTACAAAAAATAAAAAATTAGCCACATGTGTTGGTGTGTGTCTGTAGTCCCACTTTCTCAGGAGGCTGAGTTGGGAGGATCTCTTGGGCCTGCAGTGAGCTGCGATCGCTGCACTGCAGTGTCTGGCCTGCGAGTGCAGGCCATTGCACTCCAGCCTGGGAGATAGATTGAGACCCTGTCTCAAAAACAAAAAACAAAAAAAAAACCTTCAAATTGACATATTTTTAAGGTAGTTCCAGATACTGTTTGTTTGTGCTTGCCTGCCTGCCTGCCTGCCTGCCTGCCTTCCTTCCTTCCTTCCTTCCTTCCTTCCTTCCTTCCGTCCTTCCTCTGTCTCTCCCTCTCTTTTTTTTTTTTTCTGAGATGGAGTCTCACTCTGTCACCCAGGCTGGAGAGCAATGACGCAATTTCAGCTCACTGCAACCTCCACTACCCGGGTTCAAGCAATTCTCCTGCCTCAGCCTCCTGAGTAGCTGGGACTACAGGCACGCACCACCACAACCAGCTAATTTTTATATTTTTAGTAGAGACGGGGTTTCACCATGTTGGTCAGGCTGGTCTCGAGCTCCTGACCTCGTGATCTACCTGCCTTGGCCTCCCAAAGTGTTGGCATTACAGGCGTGAGCCACTGCGCCCCGCCTCTTTCTGTCTTTCTCTCTTTCTTCAAAAGCCACGTTCAAACAGACACTGGTTTAAATTTTATATCCATGTGCCTTTTAAAGTAACTGATTCCCAGCCGTGAGCAGTGGCTCAGGCCTGTAATCCCAGCACTTTGGGAGGCTGAGGCAAGCAGATCATGAGGTCAAGAGATCAAGACCATCCTGGCCAACATGGTGAAACCCTGTCTCTACTAAAAATACAAAAATTAGCTGGGCATGGTGGTGCACGCCTGTAGTCCCAGCTACTTGGGAGGCTGAGGCAGGAGAATTGCACCCTAGAGGCGGAGGTTGCAGGGAGCCGAGATCGCGCTGCTGCACTCCAGCCTAGCGACAGAATGAGACTCCATCTCAAAAAAAAGAAACTGATTCTGATTTTATTTCAATAGGTACCTATTATATGCTACTTCTTACATACAGTGGATTTTTTTGTATTACAAACCTTCAGCTTTTAAAAATTCAACAAGGTAAGTAATACATTATATTTTTATTATTGATTTGCAGCAATATTTACTAGTTTTATTAATGTAATAGTAAAATTTTAAGTACTCTCTTTAAGCTTATTTTATCTTACTTGTATTTAGTTATAATTGGGTATACTGTTAAGTATTCAGAATACAGTTATTCTCCTCTGTTAGAGCTGGAACAGTATCTGAATAAATGTAATTTTGATATGGCCTTCAAGGAGCTTAGTTTGGGGAGATAAGCTTCAACAGTTTAGTTGGGGAGACAAGACATATGCTAGCACAATAGTAAATACTTTTTAATGTGGTGGATGAACCTGGAAATGGAAATGACTATGTAGTGTTAATAGTGCAGAACAGGGCTGGCGTGGTGGCTCATGCCTGTAATCCTGGCACTTTGGGAGGCCAAGGCGGGCAGATCACCTGAGGTTGGGAGTGCAAGACCAGCCTGACCAACATGAAGAAACCCTGTCTCTACTAAAAATACAAAATTAGCCAGACAGGGTGGCAGGCGCCTGTAATCCCAGCTAGTCGGGAAGCTGAGGCAGGAGAATAATTTGAACCCAGGAGGCAGAGGTGCGGTGAGCTGAGATCACGCTGTTGCACTCCAGCCTGGGCAGCAAGAGCGAAACTCTGTCTCAAAAAAAAAAATATATAGTGCAGAACAATAATGTAAAATATGTTTTAAGCTAGTAGTCTGGACCATTTATCCCTCTAAGCCAAGTGAAATTATTTGAGGAATGGATTTGGAACAGGTATTTAACATTTTGTTTTATTTTATTATTTTTATTTATTTATTTATTTTTGAGATGGAGTCTTGCTCTGTCGCCCAGGCTGGAGTACAGTGGTATGATATCGGCTCACTGCAACCTCCGCTTCCCAGGTTCAAGTGATTCTTGTGCCTCAGTCTCCCAAGTAACTGGGATTACAGGTGCGCACCACCACACCTGGCTAATTTTTGTATTTTTACTAGAGGCGGGGTTTCACCATGTTGGCCAGGCTGGTCTCGAACTCCTCACGTCAAGTGATTTGCCCGTCTTGGCCTCCCAAAGTGCTGGGATTGTAGGCATGAGCCACTGCGCCCGGCCTAAGTGATATTTTTAAAATACTGACTTGCCAGGCCTGTGCTACGTCTTGGGTATATGACAAGATTGAAGATTTGTTTTCCATAGCTTCATGATGGAGCTAGAAACGTAAGAGCTATTCCAAACAGTGAGAAGCACAGGAGAGTTGGAGTAGGGAGAAGATCCCCTTAGTAGGAAGAGAGGTGGTAAGGGTAGGTATGGAGAGGTACTGGCTGGTGCCCTGAATCTAACATGTCACAGTTAGCGTATTTTGGTCAGGGGCAAAACTTAATTCTCACCAGTGTTCTTTGAACTAGATTGTATTTAATTTCACCTTGACACAAAACAGGTGACTTGTATTATTTTGTAGATTAATACTATACATTTAGCCTGCTTTCTTTTTTAATGCAGCAATTGAGAATGTAGACTTCAGTACAGCAAAAAAGGTAAGAAAATAAATCCATATTGTCCTCTTAAAAAAATTACATTTAATATTAATGTAGTAGAATGTTTCTGTATATAATTGGTCTACTTCTTGATATTTTAGAAATTATTATGATATAACATTTTAATAACATTTCTATTTAAAAATACATTTATGCCCGTAATCCCAGCACTTTGGGAGGCCAAGGGGGCGGATCACCTGAGGTCCGGAGTTCGAGACCAGCCTGACCAACTGGAGAAACCCCATCTCTACTAAAAAATACAAAATTAGCCGGGGGGTGGTGGCGCATGCCTGTACTCCCAGCTACTCAGGAGGCTGAGGCAGGGAATTACTTGAACTCGGGAGGCAGAGGTTGTGGTGAGCCGAGATTGCGCCATTGCACTCTAGCCTGGGCAACAAGAGCAAAACTCTGTCTCCAAAAAAAAAAAAAAAAATTTATAACTGATTGATATCAACTGATTTTAGTGATTTTATGGAGCATAAATATGTATTATATATATGACGTTGTTGTTTTTAATTTTGCAGTTACAAGGACAAATCAAGTCCAGTTTTATTTCTACTGAAAATTATCATACTCTTGGTTGTCTCAGTCTTGTGGCTGGAGATTTAGCAAGTGAAGTTCCTGTGATAATTGGGGTAATTGTTTTTATAAAGTTTTGTTTTTTGTTGCCTAAAGCATTTTCTCAGAAAAATGTTTTTGTTTTGGTTAAATTGCAAAATAATTTGTAACATATAACCGAAACAAGGAAATTATAAAATTAAGGTAATTAAAAATAACTCAATAAATAAATTTCTGTCTTGGAAAAAATATTGCATCTTTACTTTCCCTAGTCTTTACCTGAAAGTACAGCATTTTTTTCAATTATGAGAGCAGACAAAAACGATAGAAAACAAAACCAAAAAATTCCATTGTTACAGTACCTGTGACTTTGTCACTAATGGAAAAACAGCACATTATTGCAGCTGTCTTGAAATAAATATTTACACACCACTACTTCAAAATTATGGTCATCATAGTTTTTCTAATAGGAAGTGTAATTACTACTGGTGACATACTCACAGGGACTGCTGATTCTACTGCTTTTTGTTTTTTGGGGTTTTTGTGGCCTACATTCATAAGTGAAAGAAATTCTGTTTCAGATGGAGATTAGTGAAAATAAAGATGTAAATTTTTTGCCCATCCAGCTTCACAAATCCGTTGAATCTTGAAATAATTCAGGTTAAGAACCTTAGTGTTAGAGAATGGTCCTAAAGAGTAAAGTGTCTTTGATGTAATGCCTGCCTCCTAAGTGATTCTACGTTATTCTTAGTCTTGGCTAGCTAGGCTACTTGCAAGTTTTGTTATTAGTGAAATGGGAACGTGGACAAGGATGCACGTAGAAAAGCACAATTCATTCACAACCATTGGCATGTATACATTGCTGTATAATGTCTTATATCTCATGTTACATGTAAAAAGTAACATTTCATTATTGGTATGTCACTTCCAGTAACCCTGATCATAATTTCTTTAAATTTTGGGGGAAAATACCTAATGTTATATTCAAAGAATAGGCAGAAACTCAGTATAATTACGTTTACAACATTTTTACTTGCCAAATTTATATATTAAGAAGTAGTCAGCTGCGTGTCATGGCATGCTCCTATGGTCCCAGCTACTTGGGAAGCTGAGGCAGAAGAATTGCGTGAGCCCAGGAGTATCAGGCTGCAGTAGCTCTGATCACACCTGTGATCACCCCACTTCACTGCGGCCTGGCAACACAGTGAGATCCTGTCTCTAAAAAGAGAAGAAACAAAAAAGAGAGAAAAGAAGCAGTCATATTTCCACATTGAGCATATCTAATTTAACATTTCACCAGGGTTTCAAAGAATTTAAAATTAATATTTATAAATTTTTTTTCCAAATATCTGTGGTATTTTAATGAAAATACTTATCAAAGACTATATTTTAATCATAATCCTGGAAGAGGTCTTAAAAGTTCACTGCATGTCTTTAGTGCTAGTTGCCTAAATACGCTCATTAAATATTTATGTGAAGGCTGGCATGGTGGCTCATGCCTGTAATCCCAACACTTTGAGAGGCTGAGGTGGGAGGATTGCTTGCACCCAGGAGGTTGAGACCAGTCTCAGCAACATAGGGAGACCCTGTCTCTACAACAAATAGTAAATTAGCCGGGTGTGGTGATGCTCACCTGTAGTCCCAGCTACTGGGGAGGCTGAGGTGGGAGGATCGCTTGAGCCCAGGAGATTGAGGCTGCAGTGAGCTGTGATCACTGCCCTCCAGCCTGGGCAATGGAGTGAGACCCTGTCTCAAATTAAAAAAAAAAAAAAAATTGTAATAACCATGAATTCCAATAGTACACTGTTTTTTTCATTCTCTTCAGAAACCAAGAGAGGAACTGGAAGATGAAACCTAGTTAAGTTAGAATATGTAAATATATTTTAAAATTAGTAACCTATAAAACTTACATGTTTCTACTTTGAGGAAGGCTCAGGTCTAAGAATGAAATTTGCATTTTAAGTACTGTGTTCATTTTTCCAGGGAACCGGTAATTGTGCATTCTCAAAATGGGAACCAGATTCTTCCAAGAAAGGAATGACAGTTAAGAACCTTATTGATGCAGAGATTATTAAAGGTAAAATAAGTTAATGAAACTACTTTAGACAATTATTAGTGAGTTTTAATTTTTATGTCAGTGTACTTAGACTGACATATGGGTCATTTTACCCTACCACTCTTTGAAACAAGCCAGAATAGCTTGATGGTTGTTCACATACAGAACAGTTCTTGACATGTTACAGTTGTTACTCTTCATTTTGGGAGGTTTTACATTTTAGTAATCACCTAACAGAAATAGAGGCAGGAATAAAGGAAAATGGGACCTAGTAATTATGTAGTTCTGCCTTTCTGTGAATATGTTAGTTTTTTATTTAGATATATGAAATATTGAAATAAAATCCTGAGACATCTTATTTTCTCTTTTGTAGGTGCAAAGAAGTTCCAGCTGATAGACAATCTACTTTTTGTTCTTGATACTGATGTATGTTTCTTGTTTCTCCTTCAATGTTTTTACTTGATATGTTTTACAACAAAAATGTCAGACTTACAAAGGCAAGGGTTTTAGCTAGGGTGGATAACTATCTTGTGTACTGTGCTTTTTTTCAGTATATGTACCAAAAAGTTGATCCTGAAATGTAATTTTTTTTTTTTTTTTTGAGATAGAGTTTCGCTCTTGTTTCCCAGGCTGGAGTGCAATGGTGCGATCTCGGCTCACTGCAACCTCCACCTCCCGGGTTCAAGCGATTCTCCTGCCTCAGCCTCCTGAGTAGCTGGGATTACAGGCGCCCATCACCACGCCCGGCTAATTTTTTGTATTTTTAGTAGAGACGGGGTTTCACCATGTTGGCCAGGCTGGTCTCGAACTCCTGACCCCAGGTGGTCCACCCACCTTGGCCTCCCAAAGTGCTGGGATTACAGGTGTGAGCCACTGCGCCTGGTCTGAAATGTAAATTTTTAATCATTAAGAAGACACGTAGGCTAGGCGTGGTGGCTAGCCTACTAAAAATACAAAAAATACAAAAATACAAAAAATTAGCTGGGCGTGGTGGTGGGCGCCTGTAATCCCAGCTACTCAGGAATCTGAGGCAGGAGAATCGCTTGAACCTGGGAGGTGGAGGTTGCAGTGAGCCGAGATCGCACCATTGCACTCCAGCCTGGGCGACAAGAGCAAAACTCTGTCTCAAAAAAAAAGGACATGTAAATGAAATGTCTCTATTGCAGAACGTGCTGAGTTTATGGGATATTTACACTCTAACTCCTGTATGGAACTGGCCCTCTCTTCACGTAGAAGAGTTTCTTCTTACTACAGAAGCAGACTCTCCTTCATCAGTCACGTGGTATGTTATGACTATGGCTAGTAGTCATTTCCCTTCTGTTAGTACCAGGTATCTTGTCTGGTTTTGTTCAGGTCATTTATTATGTTTTACATTCTAAACAACACTGTGAAACAGTCTGACAGAGTAAAGACCGTTTGCAAAATTCACTGGGAACAGTTAGGCAATATGAACTTCCAAGTCATTTTGTTAGAAACTGTCAGTCTGGGCATAAACGTGCAGAAATGGAATACAGTGTCTATTACATTTTATTTTTTATGGAAGAGTGTTACTTTAGTTTATATCTTGTAATTGGCAAAGCCTACTTTTTTAATCAATAGATAATATTGTATGTTTTTGTTGTGTAAAAGTTTACTTGAATTATTTAAAGGTTCTTTTCTCTTTTAGGCAAGGAATTACAAATCTCAAATTAATAGCTCTGACAGCTTCAGCTAATAAGAAGGTATTGGAAAATTTTATTTTGTGCTTGCCTATATTATGTGTTAGAAAAAGCATTAGTGAATACAAAAGTAGATGTTAAATAGTACAGCATATTAGCTCTTAGTTCACACAGAAACTTGACAATCAGAAATAAACCTGCAGAACTCTTTTTAAAGTAAAAAGCTGTAAATCTTGACTCCATATTTTAAATGGAGCACTTCAGGAACCAAAAATGCCCATAGGAAAGTGTTTATTTTATTTTATTATTATTATTTTTTTGAGATGGGATCTTACCCTGTCCCCTGGGCTGTAGTGCTATGGCACAATCTCGGCTCACTGCAACCCCCCACCCCCTGGGTTCAAACGATTCTCCTGCCTCAGCCTCCCAAGTAGCTGGGATTACAGGTGCCTGCCGCCACACCCAGCTAATTTTTGTACTTTTAGTAGAGATGGGGTTTCACCATTTTGGCCAGGCCGGTCTCTATCTCCTGACCTGGTGATTTGCCTGCCTCTCGGCCTCCCGTAGTGCTGGGATTACAGGTGTGAGCCACTGCGCCCGGCCCAGGAAAGTGTTTATTAGAGTGACTCTTACGTAGTTCTGGCACTGAGGAATTACATTTCACCTTAAATACAAACTGTAGAATGGACTTCAGGTATATGTATGGATTTTCATTCAACAGAGTTGGAATATGGGGTAGAACATCATTTCATATGTAACATTTAAATCATATAGTAACAAGCTGGGTGCGTTGGCTCACACCTGTAATCCTAGCGCTTTGGGAGGCCAAGGCAGGTGGATCACCTGAGGTCAAGAGTTTGAGACCAGTCTGGACAACATGGTGAAACCCAGTCTCTACTAAAAATACAAAAATTAGCCGGGCTTGGTGGCGTGCACCTGTAATCCCAGTTACTCGAGAGGCTGAGACAGGAGAATAGCTGGAACCTGGGAGGCAGAGGTTGCGGTAAGCTGAGAGTGCACCAGTGTACTCCACCTGGGCAACAAAAGCGAAACTCCATCTCAAAAAAAGTAAAATAAAATAAGTCATACGGTAACAGACTTACTTATAAATGCTTATTTTTTGCATTTAGCTTTGTACTGTGTGTTTTATTTATTTATTTATTTAGAGACAGTCTCACTCTTTCACCCAGACAGGAGTGTGTGTAGTGGTGCAATCTCGGCTCACTGCAACCTCTTCCTCCCAGGTTCAAGCAATTCTGCCTCAGCCTCCCAAGTAGCTGGGATTACAGATGTGCACCACTATGTTCCAGCTAATTATTTTGGTATTTTTAGTAGAGACGGGGTTTCACCATGTTGGCTAGGCTGGTCTCCAACTCCTGACCTCAAGTGATCCGCCTGCCTCGGCCTCCCAAAGTGCTCCCATGTGTTTTTGGTTTTTTGTTTTTTATTTATTTTTATTTTTTGAGACAGTGTCGCTCTGTTGCCCAGGCCGGAGTGCAGTGGCACAATCTCGGCTCACTGCAACCTCCGTCTCCTGGGTTCCAGAGATTCTTCTGCCTCAGCCTCCCCAGTAGCTGTGATTATCCCAGTAGCTGTGATTACAGATGCACACCGCCACACCAGGCTAATTTTTTGTATTTTAGTAGACAGGGTTTCACTGTGTTGCCCAGGCTGGTCTGGAACTCCTGAGCTCAGGCAATCCGCCTGCCTCAGCCTCCCAAAGTGCTGGGATTATAGGCATGAGCCACCACGCCCAGCCGCTCCCATGTGTTTTAATCTGCTCTTAATTGTGAAGTGCTGTTTTGTACTTGCATGTTTAAATTGATCTGCTAAATTAATTGCTCTGCTATTTTTCTTAGATGAAAAACCTCATGGTTTATTCATTACCTACAATGGAAATACTATATTCTTTGGAAGTATCTAGTGTTTCTTCTCTGGTCCAAACAGGAATTAGCACAGTAAGTTTATTTGCATTTTAAAGTATTCTTTTAACTACTTTTTTCTTTATCTGGTATCTAATCAGGGATGATTAAAAGCCTTAATAATTAAGCTAAGCATTAGTGGAACCTAGTGGAAACCTGGATAAATTTCAGGTTTATAACTATATTTATTAATAGAGATCCTCAAATATACTTACTTGATAGTCTAAGGTTAGTCATCATATTAAAAAAAAAGTCAAAACATCAGTCATCTGCTTATTCTTCTTTCTTGTGTCTCTACAGGAAGTATAGATGATAATGGGAGATGGAGACTATTGCTGTTACATATTTATGTAACTAATTTACATATTTTAAAAATATTTTACCACATTTGTTTAATTTCTTTTTACACACACACTGTAGTTTTCCACATTTTGGAAATTACTTGTAGACATCATGCTGTCACGCCTAAATCTTCAGCAGGTATCTCCTAAAAATAAGGGCATTCTTCTACAATGCAATTATCATACTCAGAAAATGTAACTCAAATACAGTATTATTTATTATAAACTCTTCTAGATTTAAATTTTACCAATTGGGCCAATTACTTTAAAGCTATTTTTTTTTCTTATGATCTAATCAAGAATCACTCATCAAATTTAGGTCTCTGTGTTTTTGTTGTTGTTGTTGTTGTCGAGACAGGGTCTTGCTCTGTTGCCCAAGTTGTAGTACCGTCGCTCAATCATAGCTCACTACAGCCTCCAACTCCTGGGCTCAAGTGGTCCTCCTGCTTCAGCCTCCTGAGTAGCTGGGACTACAGGTGTGCACCACCAGGCCTGGCTAATTTTTACATTTTTTGTAGAGAGGTGGTCTCACTATGTTTCCTGGGCTAGACTCAAGCTCCTGAGCTCAAGTGAGCTTCCTGGCTCACCTCCCCAAATTGTTAATATTACATGTGTGAGCCATTGCATCTGGTCCATTTTTTGTCTTTTAAGACATTGACAGTTTTGAAGAGTCGCCACCCTGTGGTTTTGTAGACTGTTTCTCTATTTGGATTTGATTGTTTCATCATGATTAGATTCATGTTAAGCTTTTTTTGGCACAAATACTGCACAGGTAATATTGTTTTCTAACCACATCACGTTAAGAGGCTCATGGTATCCATTTGTCCTGTTATGGGTGATTTTAAATGTGATCATTTGGTTAAGGCAGTTCTGTCAGATTTCCCCATTTATAAAGTGTTTTTCCCTTAATAGAAAGTAACCTATGTGATATTATTTTGAGTCTATGGGATTTATATTTCCTAGCCATTTTTTCCCAGTGTTTTTTTTTTCCTTAAATTTTTGTGGGTACATAGTAGGTATTTATGGGATACCCAGTTGTTTTAAAGTCCATTGATGGATAATTCATGCCTGAACCAGTAGTTACTCTAGTAATTATAAAATGCATTGCTCTTATATTGGAATTTTAATCATGTTTTTTTGTTATTGTAGGATACCATATACCTTTTAGAAGGAGTTTGCAAAAATGATCCAAAGTAGGTCATGTTTTACCGTGTTAAGTAATAGCTATGTTAAATTTTACGTATTAATATTAAAAGACAAGCGCATTTATAGTTAAAATTTTTTCTAGATTGTCTGAAGACTCAGTCTCTGTGTTAGTACTCAGATGTCTTACGGAAGCTTTACCAGAAAACAGGTAACTTCTCATTTTTTTTTAAGCTTTATCCTTTAGTGAATAACTTAAATTCCCTGAATAATAAGCATTTAACAAAATTTCTCTTCCAACTTAACAGATTGAGTCGGTTACTTCACAAACACAGATTTGCTGAAGCTGAGAGTTTTGCCATTCAGTTTGGACTAGATGTTGAGGTAATCATTCATGTATTCATTTGTTCACCAAACAAGCATTTCGTCATGGGCTAGAGGCTGAGAGGACAGACATGTAATATATAATTGGAATTTAGTGTGATTAAGGCTGTAATTAAGATATGACTGAAGTTGATTAGAGATTCAGAGGAAAGAGTGACCCATAGTTGGGCAGAAAGATGTTACTGAGGAGGTCGTTTTCAGGTCAGGTCTTTTTTTTTTCTTTTTTCTTGAGATGGAGTCTTACTCTGTTGCCCAGGCTAGAGTGCAGTGGTACAATCTCAGCTCACTGCAACCTCCGCCTCCTGGGTTCAAGCGATTCTCCTGCCTCAGCCTACCGAGTAGCTGGGATTATAGGCATGCATCACCATGCCCGGTTAATTTTTGTATTTTTAGTAAAGATGGGGTTTCACCATTTTGGCCAGGCTGGCCTTGAACTCCTAACCTCCTCGTGATCTGCCTGTCTTGTTCTCCCAAAGTGCTGGGATTACAGGTGTGAGCCACTGCACCTGGCCTCAGGTCAGGTCTTGAAGGTGTTCCTGACAGACCAGGGAGGGGAAGGGATTCTGGGTACAAGGTCAGCATGGATAGAATGAGGGGGACTTGTGATGCTTCAGGAACTCCTGCTGATTAGGTGGGACTAGAATGTAGGTTATATGGGCAGCAGAGTAAAAGAAGATGATGATGATGCAGAAGTAGGGGCCTCTGTCACCCAGGCTGGAGTACAGTGGGGCGATCACAGCTTACCGCAGCCTTGACCTCCCAGGCTCAAGTGATCCTCCTGCTTCAGCTTCCCAAGTGGCTGGGACTATAGTTGCATACCACCATGCCCAACTAATTTTTAAATTTTTTGTAGAGACAAGGTTTTCCATGTTACCCAGGCTGGTCTTGAACTCCTGGGCTTAAGAGATCTGTCTACCTTGGCCTCCCAAAGTTTTGAGATTACAGTCCTAAGCCACCACTTGTGGCCAGGAGTGAGATTTGATTTTGCAGGTGATAGGAACCTGCTGACAGTTTTAAGCAGGAGAGTATCTTGATTAGGTTGTCATTTTAGAAAGACAAAGAATTTGGAGAAGGGTAAATACATTGGAACTAAGTACTTTTCTCTAGGAGACCTGAACCAGGGCAATGAAGTACAGATATAGGTGAGAGAGAAGGCTGATAAGAGAGGAATATAGGCCAGGTGCGGTGGCTCACTCCTTTAATTCCAGCACTTTGGGAGACAGAGACAGGCAGATAACCTGAGGTCAGGAGTTCAAGACCAGCCTGGGCAATATGGTGAAACCTAAAAATACTGTACTAACAATACAAAAATTAGCCAGGTGTGGTGGCACATGCCTGTAGTCCCACCTACTCGGGAGGCTGAAGCAGGAGAATCACTTGAACCCAGGAGGTGGAGGTTACAGTGAGCCAAGATCACACCACTGCATTCTATCCTGGGCAACACAGCAAGACTCTGTCTCAGGGAAAAAAAAAAAAAAAGAGGAATATAGTGGGTGGAATCAGCAGGACTTAGTGATCAAATGGAAGGAAGGGCAGGGGACTTGAGGTTGACTTGCTTTACTCTGGCTAAGCATACACATTGGGTGACGATGGCATGACCTGAAATGAGGAATATGTGTGGAAGAGCAGTTTAGGGATAAAAGATGAAAAGTTCTGCTTTATGAAAATTGGATGTGAGCTGAGCACAGTCGTGCATGCTGGTAGTCCTAGCTGCTCGGGAGGCTGAGGGAGGAAGATTCCTTGAGGTCAGGTGTTTGAGGCTATACTGCAATAAGATTGGCCTGTTAATAGCCACTGCACCCCAGCCTGGGCATCATAGTGAGCCTCTCATCTCTAAATTAAAATTAAAAAAAAAATGGATGTGAGGGGTCTGGTGAAATAGAGATGTCTAGTGGGAAGTTGAGGAGTGGCCTACACTGCTTCTAAGGGTCGGAGACACCAGTGTAATGGCTCAGATGACTCCAGCAAATGCAGAGAGTGAAAAGACATCTGAGGATGTGATGTGGGGGCAATAGCATATCAGGGATGGAGGAGGAAGGGCTGTACACATATTTGGGAAGAAATAAGGGAGAAAAACTGTAAGAATGTATGATTATGGAAGCCAAGGAAGCAGTAAGTTTTAAATGTACTGGGGAGTGATCAGCAGTTTCAACTACTACAGAGAAGATCAAGTATAAAAGCTGAAAGACATCTGGAGGATACAGCAATTAGGTCATTGATAATCCTTGAAAAGTCAGTTTTTGGGGAAGTAATAAGAGAGAAAGCCTTACTGTAGTTGGTTAAAGAATTAATATTTACTAAGTGGGTGCTTGCTACTCGTGCTTGTTTTAAAAAATATAACGGTTTTAAACATACAGAATACTTCCTTAAAAAAAAAAAAATATATATATATATATATATATATTTGTATTTTTTGTAGAGGCGGGGTTTCACCATGTTGGCCAGGCTGGTCTCGAACTCGTGACCGCAAGTAATCCACCTGCCTTAGCCTCCCAAGGTGCTGGGATTACAGGCATGAGCCACCATGCCTGGCCGAAAAATATATATTTATTTTTATATATATTTTGTAAACACAGGGTCTTGCTATGTTGCCCAGGCTGGTCTTAAACTCCTGACCTCAAGTGATCCTCCCTTCTCAGCCTCCCAAAGTGATGGGATTACAGGTGTGAGCCACCATACCCAGCAAGAATAATTCTGTGTATTGTTTAGAAATGTATACAAGTTAAGAGACAAAGTAATTAATGGAATTAGTACTAAATACAAGAATAATGTATACTTCTGGTTGGGAGGAAGAGGATGATGTATTTGGAAAGACAACAGTGGGATCTGAAACTATTGGTAACATCTGCTTTATTTTTAAAGCTAAAGGTGATGAGTACATTATTATTATAGTATTTATAATTTACATTATTACTTTTTTGAACATCTGAAAGATTTTAGAAGTAATGTTTAAAAAGAGACAGTGGAGCAAAAAAATCAAACCAAAACAGAAAATCTGTGAAAGAAATGAGGGGAATATTCATGAATTAAACTACTCTTTGTTATCATTTATAGTTTTCAGAACCAGAGAGTCCCTGTCAAAGTTGGTATTGTGTCCATAGGAAACAGAACCTGAAATTTGAGTATTTGTAACTCTAACCTTTAAAGAACTTTTAGTAGACTTAGAAAATTGGTTGTCTTTAAAAACCTGTTTCATGAGCTGGGTGGGCGTGGTGGTGTGCGCCTGTAGTCCCAGCTACTTGAGATGCTGAGGCAAGAGAATTGCTTGAGCCCGGGAGTTCCAGGCTGCAGTGAGCTATGATTACACCGCTGCATTTTAGCCTGAGTGACAGAGCGAGATCTTGTCTCTAAACAGACAAACAAAATCGACTCTGTAACTTTTGGACTGCATAATTTCAGACACGTTACTTAACCTTTCTTGGGTCTCAGTTTTCTTGTTTGTAAAATGGGGATATTAGTACTTACCCCATAGTGTCATGATGACATGTAAAAGTTTACTTCTTAGGTTATGATAATTTAAAAAGACAATTCATATAAATATCTTTCTTCGGTTGATAAATAATCATATATACTTGGCCGGGTGCAGTGGCTCACCTTTGTAATCCCACACTTTGGGAGGCCAAGGTGGGTGGATTACTTGAGGCCAGGAGTTTAAGACCAGCCTGGCCCACATAGCAAAACGCTGTCTGTACTAAAAATACAAATATTAGCTGGGCATGGCAGTGGATGCCTGTTGTCCCAGTTACTCGGGAGGCTG
This sequence comes from Homo sapiens, assembly GCF_000001405.40. Taxonomy (NCBI): domain Eukaryota; kingdom Metazoa; phylum Chordata; class Mammalia; order Primates; family Hominidae; genus Homo; species Homo sapiens. Next base: position 122,555,454 of record NC_000012.12, read on the forward strand.
AGGCAGATGAATCGCTTGAATCAGAAGGCGGAGGTTGCAGTGAGCTGAGGTTACACTTACTGCACTCCAGCCTGGGTGACAGAGCAAGACTCTGTCTCAAAAATAAAAAAGAAGGGCCGGGCGCGGTGGCTCACGCCTGTAATCCCAGCACCTTGGAAGGCCAGGGCGGGCAGATCACAAGGTCAGGAGATCGAGACCATCCTGGCTAACACGATGAAACTCCGTCTCTACTAAAAATACAAAAAATTATCCTGGTGTGGTGGCAGGCACCTGTAGTCCTAGCTACTTGGGATGTGGAGGCAGGAGAATCGCTTGAACCCGGGAGGCAGAGGTTGCAGTGAGCCGAGATCCTGCTACTGCACTCCAGCCTGGGCGACAGAGCGAGACTCTGTCTCATAAAAATAAATAAAAAGAAAAACAAGAATGATTGTATATACTTTCGATGTGCAATGTGGTGATTTTATACATTTACATTGTGCAATGATTAAATCAAGCTAATTAACATAACTATCACCTCACTTATCTTTTTTTGTGGTGAGAACATTTAAAACCTACTCTTTTAGCAATTTTTTTTTTTGAGATAGAGTGTTGTTTTGTCTCCCAAACTGGGGTGCAGTGGCGCGATTTTGGCTCACTACAACCTCCACCTACCTCCCAGGTTCGTGTGATTCTCATGCCTCAGCCTCTCGAGTAGCTAGGATTACAGACGCGCACCACCACGCCTGGCTAATTTTTTGTATTTTTAGTAGAGACGGGGTTTTGCCATGTTGCTCAAGCTGGTCTTGAACTTCTGAGCTCAGGTAATCCACCTGCCTCGGCCTCCCAAAATGCAAGGATTACAGGTGTGCGCCACCACGCCTGGCTCTTTTAGCAATTTTGAAATATACATTATTACTAACTACAGTCATCATAGACCTCTGAAACTCATTCCTCCTTCTAACTGAAGCTTTGCAGCCTTGAAACATCTCTGACACCTCTGTATCCTCCCGCCCCTTCCCCTGGGCTCTAGTTGTCACCATTCTACTCTCTACTTTTTTTTTTTTTTTTTTTGAGATGGAGTCTTTCTCTGTTGTGCAGTGGCACGATCTCTGCTCACTGCAAGCTCCGCCTCCCGGGTTCAAGGATTCTCCTGCCTCAGCCTCCCAGGTAGCTGGGATTACAGGCGCCCACTAACATGCACTGCTAAGTTTTGTATTTTTAGTAGAAACCATATTGGCCAGGCTGGTATCGAACTCCTGACCTCAAATAATCCTCCTGCCTCAGCCTCCCAAAGTGCTGGGATTACAGGCGTGAGCCACCGTGCCCGACCTCTACTCTCTACTTTTATGAGTTTGACTATTTTAAGATTTCACATGTAAGTGAGATCATATAGTGTTTTTTTTTTATTGTGTCTGACTTATCTCACTTACCATAATGTCCTTCAGGTTTATCTGTGTTGTTGTTGGAAATGACAAATTTTCCCTCTTTTTTTTTTTTTTTTTTTTTTTAAATAGGGTCTTACCATGTTGCCCAGGCTGGGCTCGAACTCCTGGGCTCAAATGGTTGTCCTGCCTCGGCCTCCTGAGCAGGCTGGCACTACATCTAGCTTCTAGACTGAACAATATTTTACTGTGCAAATATACCACATTTTATTTATTCACTTATCTGTTGATGGATATTTAGATTCCATATCTTAGCTCATATAAAGCTCTTAGTAAGTGTACTGCTTGACACGTTTAGTAAGGACTCAACAGAAATGGTTCCCATACCTGCTAATAATCTGGTTCACCTCTCAGATATCTGAATGTTACTTTCTTTAAATCTCATTCCTGGAGCGCATGAGGATTCACCTTTTTGAAGTAGTTTGTTTCACTCAGCTTACTCTGAGAATAAGCCATCCACAGGTATTATTGTACTTCAAATTGCTTGATGTGGCGTGTTTATATTACAGCTTGTTTACAAGGTCAAGTCAAATCATATATTGGAGAAACTGGCATTGAGTTCTGTGGATGCCAGTGAACAGACCGAATGGCAACAACTTGTAGACGACGCTAAGGAAAATCTACATAAGATCCAGGTATGTTTTTCTTGTCACATACTACAGTATTTAGATTGACGTGTTGATCAACATTAGGTTGCCTTACTGTGTCTGGCATTTGTGAAACAGGATGATGAATTTGTGGTGAATTACTGCCTGAAAGCTCAGTGGATAACCTATGAAACCACTCAAGAGATGCTGAATTATGCCAAAACCAGGGTAGGTTCGTTTTTTTGTATTTTGTTTTTTTGGGGCAGGGGAGAATTTGCTTTAATCTCTCATAATCCTGCCTCAAATATATCTTTTCCTCCTATCCGCTATGTGTATTATTAATAAAAAAGTTTTTATAATAGCTTAATGGAGATAATTCACATCCTATACAATTCACCTATTTAAAGTATACAGTTCAGTGGTTTTTAATATATTCCTTGAGTTGTGCAAGCATCATTATTGTCAATTTTAGAACTTTTAAATCTCCCCAAAAGAACCTCTATCCCAGACCGGACGTGGTGGCTCACGCCTTAATCCCAGCAATTTGTGAGGCTGAGGTGGGTGGATCACCTGAGGTCAGGAGCTGGAGACCAGCCTGGCCAACATGGTGAAACTCCGTCTCTACTAAAAATAAAAAAATTAGTTGGGCGTGGTGGCACGTGCCTGTAGTTCCAGCTATTAGGGAGGCTGAGGCACAAGAATCACTGGAATCCGGGAGGCAGAGGTTGCAGTGAGCTAAAATTGTTCCACTGCTCTTCAGCCTGGGTGACAGAGCAAGACTGTGTCTCAAAAAATAAAATTAAGGCTATGTGCGGTGGCTTACTCCTGTAATCCCAGCACTTTGGGAGGCCAAGGTGGGTGGATCACCTGAGGTCAGGAGTTGAAGACCAGCCTGGCCAATATGGTGAGACCTCATGTTGTCTCTACTAAAAATACAAAAATTAGCCGGGTGTGGTGTCACGCGCCTGTAGTCTCAACTGCTTGGGATGCTGAGGCAGGAGAATTGCTTGAACCTGGGAGGCGGAGGTTGCAGTGAGCTGAGATCACGCCACTGCACTTCAGCCTGGCGACAGAGCAAGACTCCGTCTCAAAAGAAAAAGAAAAAATATTAAATTAAAAGATAAAACTCTTAAATGGCTGGGTGAGGTGTCTCATGCCTGTAGTCCCAGTACTTAGGGAGGCAGAGGTGAGTGGGTCACCTGAGGTCAGGAGTTCACCAGCCTGGCCAATATGGTGAAACCCCATCTCTACTAAAAATATAAAAATGAGCTGGGTGTGGTGGTGCACTCCTGTAGTTCCAGCTACTTGGCAGGCTGAGGCATGAGAATTGCTTGAACCTGGTAGGCAGAGGTTAGGGTGAGCCAAAACTGCGCCACAGCAGCCTGGGCAACAGAGTGAGACTCTTATCAAAAAACAAAAGAAAACAAAACCTCTATGCCATTAATAGTCATTCCCCATTTGCCCCAGTCCCCCAGCTTCAGGAAACCACTAATTTACCTCCTGTCTCTCTAGATTTGCCTATTCTGAACGGTTCAAATAAATGGAATCATATATGTCTCCTTCATGTCTGGCTTCTTTCACTTAGCATAATATTTTCAGGGTTTGGGCTGGGCACGTTGTTTCACGCCTGTAATTCCAGCACTTTGGGAGGCCGAGGTGGGCAGATCACGAGGTCAGGAGATCGAGACCATTGTGACGAACATGGTGAAACCCCGTCTCTACTAAAATACAAAAAATACAAAAAATTATCCAGGCATGGTGGCACGCACCTGTAGTCCCAGGAGGCTGAGGGAAGGTAATCGCTTCAACCTGGGAGGTGGAGGTTGCTTTGAGCTGAGATCGCGCTTCCAGCCTGGCAACGGAGCAAGACTCTGTCCCAAAAAAAATAAAAATAAAAAAAAATCTTCAGGGTTCATCCATGCTGTAGCACATGTCAGTGCTGTATTTCTTTTTATTGGCACATAATATTCTATTTTATGGATATACCACGTTTTGTTTCTCCATTTATCAGTTGATGGACATTTGGGTTGTTTATACTTTTTTCCCCCAATTTTGTTTATATTTTGTTAAAAAATACATAACATGAAATTTACCATTTTCACCTTTTTAAAAAAAAATATTTTATTTTTGAGAGGGAGTCTCGCACTGTCACCCAGGCTGGAGTGCAGTGGTGTGATCTCGGCTCACTGCAACCTCCACCTCCTGGGTTCAAGTGATTCTCCTGCCTCAGCCTCTCAAGTAGCTGAGATTACAGGCTCCCGCTGCCACCACACCTGGCTAATTTTTGTATTTTAGTAGAGACGGAGTTTCACCATGTTGGTCAGGCTGGTCTTGAACTCCTGACCTCAAATGATCTGCCTGTTTTGGCCTCCCAAAGTGCCGCAATTATAGGCATGAGCCACTGCGCCCGGCCTATCTTAAGCATTTTTAAATTTAATGGTATTAAATACATTCATAATCACATTCGGCCATCGTCCATCTCCCCAACTCTTTTCATCGTTGTGAAACTGAAACTCTGCCCATTAAACACAGACTTCCCATTTCTCCGTCTCCCCAGCCCCTGGCAAACCATATGCTGTCTATGTATATAATTTTGACTACTCTAAGTACCTTATATTAAATGGAATCATTTAATCATTTAAGACAGTACTTGTCTTTTGTGACTGGCTTATTTCACTTAGCATAATATCCTCCAGGTTCATTCATGTTGTTGCAAATGACAGAATTTCTTTCTTTTTTGTTTATCCATGGTCCCTGACTCTGACCCTAACCCTGACTTCTTTAGTTATTTCCACATTTTTGCTGCTGTGAATAATTCTGCTATGAACATGGGTGTACAGATGTCTATTTGAGTCCCTCTTTCAGTTCTTTTGAGCATATACCCAGAAGTGGAAATGTTGGGTCATATGCTAATTCTGTTTTTTTGAGACAGAGTCTCACTTTGTCTCCCAGGCTAGAGTGCAATGGCGTGATCTTGGCTCACTGCAACCTCTGCCCACCCCCCAGGCTCAAGTGATTCTCTCGCCTCAGCCTCCCAAGTAGCTGGGATTACAGACATGTGCCTCCACGCCCAGCTAATTTTTGTATTTTTAGTAGAGATGGGGTTTCACCATGTTGGCCAGACTAGTCTTGAACCCTGACTTCAAGTGATCTGCCTGCCTTGGCCTCCCAAAATGCTGGGATTACAGGCGTGAGCCACCACACTGGGCCCTAATTCTCTTTTAAATTTTTTAAGGAACTACCATGTTTTCCATGGTGACTGTGCCATTTCACATTTCCAGCAACAGTGCATAAGTGTTCAGATTTCTCCACCTTTGCTAACACTTTTTGTTTTTGAGACAAGGTCTTGCTTTCACCCAGGCTGGAGTGCAGTTGTAATGCATTGCAGCCTCAAACTCCTGGGTTCAAGCAATCCTCCTGCCTCAGACTCTCAAAGTGTTGGGATTGGGCCAAGCACAGTGGCTGTAATCCCTCCACTAATGTATGTAAGGTGGGAAGGTATGTTTTGATACCGTTTGTATATATTAGTCTTATGCCAAAGAAATAATTTTTTAAAAAATGGATTCTTGGCTGGGTGCAGTGGCTCATGCCTATAATCCTAGCACTTTGGGAGGCCCAGGAGAGCAGAGCACTTGAGGTCAGGAGTTCAAGAGCAGCCTGGCCAGTAAGATGAAACCCCATCTCTACTAAAAATACAAAAATAATTAGCCAGGCCTGGTGGCGCATGCTTGTAATCCCAGCTACTTGGAAGGCTGAGGCAGGAGAATTACTTGAACCCAGAAGGTGGAGGTTGCAGTGAGCAGAGATTGGGCCACTGCACTCCAACCTGGGTGACAGAGCAAGACCCTATCTCAAAAAAAAAAATAATAATAATAATAAATAAAAAATGGATTCTTTTTCTGTCATAGACCTTTTTTGGCATGCAATTTTTGCAATTGCAAATAATGTCATTTTTGCAATGACCTATGAGTATTTTTGCTATTTATTTATTTATTTGTAATTTTTTTTTTGAAACGGAGTCTCATTCTGTACCCCAAGCTGGAGTGCAGTGGTGGGATCTCGGCTCATGGCAACCTCAGCCTCTCGGGCTCAAGGGATTCTCGTGCCTCAGGCTCCTTAGTAGCTGGGACTACAGGTGTGCGCAACAGTGCCTGGTTAATTTTTTATATTTTAGTAGAGACAGGGTTTCACCATGTTGCCCAGGGTCATCCTGAACTCCTGAGCTCAAGCAGTCCGCCCGCCTCAGCCTTCCAAAGTGCTAGGATTACAGGCGTGAGCCACTGCCCCCAGGCAAATGCATTATTTTAAAAAACATGTCAGTTCTTTATAGTTTACTATTCATTTCACACTTAAATGCAATTTATTTAAAAAAATTTTTTGTTATTTCACAGAAAATCCATCATTTAGGAAATAAACAGTAGATATTCTTCTAACTGTATTTCTTATTATTCTTACTTAGCTTTTGAAGAAAGAAGATAAAACTGCTCTCATTTATTCTGATGGCTTGAAAGAGGTAATTACACTAGATTTCTAGGTTAATATGTGGGTGAATATACCTTTATAATATGTTTTCCATTCAAAATAGACCCGTATTTTATCAAGAGCAAGTTATTTCAATACCTTACTTTTCTTATCTGCAAAATGGTAATATTAATAGGTACTTACTTTATAAGGTCATTTTGAGATCAAAGGAAATAATTCATATAAACTGTTGTACATAGTACCTGGTACCTGCTAAACATTCAAATGAAGATAAACTGCGATGTTGATTATGATGGTGCTAAAATACATGTGTGTGTGCATGTGAGCATATAAATATTCAAATTCTTAGTTCAAATTAAGTATTGTAATCCAGCTGGATTTTACCATAAGAATTTAGAAATCAGTGAAAAAACTGATTTTAAAGAGTTCCTACAATTAATGTGTATGTGCCTTTATAATTGGATGTAATTGGAAATGTTTTTCTTATCCCATGTTTTGTGTGTGTGTGTGTGTGTGTGTGTGTGTGTGTGTGTGTGTATGTGTGTGAAATAAAGGCAGTCCTATGGGAATTGAGTTGTGATGTGAGATAAATGTGAATGTGTATAGACATGTGAAATGTAATGATTCATTTTTAATGTTTTAATTTCAATATTGTTGCATATAAATTCAGATTATTAAATTATTTTTTCTTCAGGTGCTAAGAGCTCATGCAAAATTGACTACTTTTTATGGAGCATTTGGACCAGAAAAATTCAGGTGTGTACATTTTTGTTAAAACTTTTTAGGCCAGGCATGGTGTCTCACGCCTGTAATCCCAGCACTTTGGGAGGCTGAGGTGGGCAGATCACCCGAGATCAGGAGTTCGAGACCAGCCTGGCCAACATGGCAAAACCCCATCTCTACTAAAATACAAAAATTAGCCAGGCGTGGTGGCGTGCATCTGTAATCTCAGCTACTAGGGAGGCTGAGACAGGAGAGTCACTTGAACCCGGGAGGCAGAGGTTGCAGTGAGCCGAGATCGTGCCACTGCACCCCAGCCTGGGCGACAGAGCAAGACTCGGTCTCAAAAAAAAAAAAATTTTTTTTTTTAGATTATAAGTTACATAGAAATTTGGAATGTCATAACAGGTATAGCAGTCCTCTTGCTGAATTTGTGTTTCTATGAGGGGTGTTGAGTGATAGAAAATACTAGTTTTTCAGCAACAAAAACGGGCTGAACATCCTTGTTGTCATTTCTTCTTTTTTGAGACAGGGTCTCACTCTGTCACCCAGGTTCGAGTGCAGTGGTGCGATCATAGCTCACTGCAGCCTCAACTTTTTAGGCTTGGTAAAAATCTAACTATTCTGGATAAATCAAGTATTTGGTTCCTTATCTGCAAAGAAGTAAACTCTCTTAAAACCATTTCTAAGTTTCAATGTTATAAGATTATATAGATTTATATTGGTTCTGTAGCTGACATTACTATTTAACAGTAATAATTATGTCCTGTATAATACAAAACATTGTTTATATTGCAAGGCATTATAGAAACCTTTCATGTACAACAGCTGCTCCAAGACACCCGCTAACCCACAGCTCCCAGGTCATTCTCTGTGGGCTCAAGCAGCCGCTCCAAGGCAGCCACAATTATTTTTTTTTCCTAGTAGTAAATTTACCCAGGAATTTTTTCACTGCGCCACCCTAGCAGCGAGAAGGGCAGATCTCCATATGTGTAAGTCCATCTTTTCTATCCTATTGAGTAATAGCCATAAAAATTGGATTTACTTATATTTTACTTAGTGAAAATGTCACCTCTTTAGAATGATCTGGCTCTTCTTGTAACGCCAGTCGTGCCCATATGATGACTCTTCCACAGTTTTTTCAGCTTCAGCAGGAGGCAAAGACTTCAACAGAAGGAGACAGTCTTCACTCTATAAACAGGGTTTGAAAGGAAGAAAAAACAGCTGGTATTTGCAAAGGGCAGTGTGGCCTTACCTCTTTCTTTTCTATTTAAAGATAAAAATACATCATTTGGAAAAACATTATGGTTCAATGTTTTTTATATATTTTTTGAAACGGAGTCTCGCTCTATTGCCAAGGCTGGAGTCCAGCGATGCTATCTTGGCTCACTGCAACCTTTGCCTCTCAGTTTCAAGCAATTCTTGTGCCTCAGCCTCCCAAGTAACTGGGATTACAGGCACCCGCCACCACGCCTGGCTAATTTTTGTATTTTTAGTAGAGACGGTGTTTCACCATGTTGGCCAGGCTGGTCTCGAACTCTGACCTCAGGCAATCCACCCACCTCGGCTTCCCAAAGTGCTGGGATTACAGGTGTGAGCTACTGCACCTGGCCTTATGGTTTAATGTTTTAATAATCTGAAAATCCATTTCTGATGATAGCAACAATAAAATAAATTTAAAATATAATTCTAAGTAATGAAGATTTGTTTAATTCTTAGTCATTGCTATAATTATAGAATCGTATAAAAATAATGACATTTAAAAACACAATAAAAGAGAACCCACGCTCCATTCTAGAATTAAAGGGTCCTAAAACATATAAAACTGAGTCTGGCCCAGGTGCAGTGGCTCACGCCTGTAATCCCAACACTTTGGGATGCCAAGGATACCTGGTATCCTCCCTGGTGATCCTCCTACCTCAGCCTCCCAAGTAGCTTGGGACTACAGATGTGCACCACCACATCTGGCTAATTTTTTTAATTATTTTTTTAGAAATGCAGTCTCTCTGTGTTGTCCACGCCGGTCTTGAACTCCTGAGCTCAAGCGATCTGCCTGCCTCGGCCTCCCAAAGTGCTGGGATTACAGGCGTGAGGTACCACGCCCAGTGCTCATTTCTTTAACACAAATATTTTTACCTTTGATCATAGTCAGATTCTTACCATATCTTCTAATTGCTCATTTCCCTTCATTGTTAATTTATTCTGATAAATAGATTTAAAGTAAGTATACCTCTAATTTTAAGTAATGATATTTTGGTGCCACATGGAAGTATATCTGTGGATTCAATTTCTGGAGGTGCAGTTGCTAAGGCAAAAGGTTATTCATCCAAACTTGGCTTCCAAAGCACCTTTTCCAATAGAATGAGTAGGGGAGGGCCCATTTTCTCACTCATTCACCAACAGTATGTTATAGAACTTGTTTTTTTGCTAATCTGATGTATGCAAAAAAATTTTTTTTAAATATTACCACATGGATTTGATTTCCATTCTTAATTTTGGTTGAAATATTTACTTTCTCAAGGTGAAAAGCCTTTTGTTTTTCTCCTTACATCCTTGGTCCCTCTTTCTCTTGAGTTGTTTTTTTTTTTTAAAAAAAAAAAAACAGAGCTATTTCTGTGGTTTTATTATTGTTGTGTTTTTAGAGACAGGGTCTCCCATGTTGCCCAGGCTAGTCTCAAATTCCTGGGCTCAAGTGATCCTCCTGCCTCGGCCTCCCAAAGTGCTGGGATTACTGGCATGAGCCACCACGCCTGGACCGAGTTGTTCTTTTCAAAATTGACTTTAAAGTTCTTTGTGGGTATTTCAAATTTTCCTCTAATTTGGCATTTTTTTAATTGATTTTGTTATTATTATTTTTTTTTTTTACAAAAAATTCAGAAGTTTGTATTTTTATGTCTGTTTGGAAAAATATTACCCACCGCAAGATTAAAAATAAATTCTTGGCCGGGCACAGTGGTTTATACCTGTAATCCAAGCACTTTGGGAGGCTGAGGTAGGCGGATCGCTTCCCAGGAGTTCAAGACCAGCTTGGGCAACATAGTGAAACCCTGTCTCTACATAAAATACTAAAATTTGCCAGGCAACTTGGCCAGGTGCTTGTAGTCCTGGCTACTAAGGAAGCTGAGGTGGGAGGATCACCTGAGCCTGGGAGGTCGAGGCTGCAGTAAGCTGTGATTGTGCCACTGCACTCCAGCCTGGGTGACACAGTGAAACTCGCCTCAAAAAATAAATAAATAAATACTTTCTCTTGTATTTTTTCATTTTTAGAGTTTCTTTCTACGTTTCAATCTTTTTTTTTTTTTTTTTTGAGACAGAGTCTAGGAGTGTGGAGTGCAGTGGCATGATCTCGGCTCACTGCCACCTCCGCCTCCCAGATTCAAGTGATTCTCCTGCCTCAACCTCCTGAGGAGCTGGGATTACAGGCGTCTGCCACCACACCCAGCTAATTTTTGTACTTTTAGTAGAGATGGGGTTTCACTGTGTTGGCCAGGCTGGCCTCGAACTCCTGACCTCGTAATCTGCCCGCGTCAGCCTCCCAAAGTGCTGGGATTACAAGCGTGAGCCACTGCGCCCGGCCTAAATCTTTTTTTTTTTTTTCAATGAGACAGAGTCTTGCTCTTGTCGCCCAGGCTCGAGTGCGGTGGCTCGATCTTGACTCTGGCTCACTGCAGCCTCTGCCTCCCAGGTTCAAGTGATTCTCCTGCCCAGTAGCTGGGATTACAGGCACGTGCCACTGCACCTGGATAATTTTTTTTTTTTCTTTTAATACGGACTCTCACTTTGTTGCCCAGGCTGGAGTGCAGTGGCATGATCTCAGCTCACTGCAACTTCCGCCTCCTATATTCAAGTGATTCTCCTGCCTCAGCCTCCCGACTAGCTGGGATTACAGGCATGCAACACTACGTCTGGCTAATTTTTGTAGTTTTAGTAGAGATGGGGTTTCGTCATTTGGAGCAGACTGGTTTCAAACTCCTGACCTCAAGTGATCTGCCCGCCTTGGCCTCCCAAAGTGCTGGGTTACAGGAGTGAGCCACTGCACCCAGCCAACTTTTATATTTTTAGTTGAGACGGATTTTGCCATGTTGTCCAGGCTGGTTTTTTTTTTTTTTTTTTTTTGAGGTGGGGTCTCACTCTGTCACCCAGGCTGGAGTGCAGTGGCATGATCTCAGCTCACTGCAGCTTCAGCCTCCCAAGCTCTGCCACCCAAGTAGCTGGGATTACAGGTGAGCACCACCACACTCAGCTAATTTTTTGTAGAGCCTGGGTTTCACCATGTTTCTCAGGCTGGTTTCGAACTCCTGGGCTCAAGTGATCCTCCTGCTTGGCCACCGAAAGTGCTGGGAATATAGACATGAGCCACTGTGGCTGGCTGCCATCTTTTCTAAAGGATGTGGCGAGCTAGTGATTAAAAAAAACTTTTTTTTTTATTTGAGACAGTTTTGTTCTGTTGCCCAGGCTGGAGTGCAATGACATGATCTCGGCTCACTGCAACCTCTGCCTCCTGGGTTCAATCAATTCTGCCTCAGCCTCCCGAGTAGCTGGGATTACAGGCACCTGCCACCACACCGGCTATTTTTTGTATTTTTAATAGAGACAGGGTTTCACCATGTTGACTGGGTTGGTCTTGAATTTCTGACCTCAAGTGGTCCACCCACCTCGGCCTCCCAAAGTGCTGGGATTACAGGCGTGAGCCACCACGATCAGCTGATTTTTAAAAATGTTTAACCAGCTACCTTAATGAATTTCTTTATTATGCATAGTAATATTTCATTTGATCTTGTTTTTTCCAGGTATATAATTTTATATTCAAATAATGAAATTTTATCTTATCAATTCTGATTTTCTTTTTTCCTCGTCAAATTCATTATAGAACACTTACTTATTTAAAAAATAGGCTGGGCACGGTGGCTCATGCCTGTAATCGCAACACTTTGGGAGGCTGAAGTGGGTGGATCAGTTGAGGTCAGGGGTTTGAGACCATCTAGCCAACATGGTGAAACCCCATCTCTACTAAAAATACAAAAATTAGCCAGGCATGGTGGTGCATGCCTGTAATCCCAGCTGCTTGGGAGGCTGAGGCATGAGAATCTCTTGAACTCAGGAGACAAAGGTTGCAGTGAGCCGAGATTGTGCCACTTCACTGCAGCCTGGGTGACAGTGAGACTCCAGCTCAAAAAAATAAAGTAAAATAATATAAACATGCCTGTAATCCCATCTATTCAGGATGCTGAGGTGGCAGGATTGCTTGAGCCCAGGAATTCAAGTCCAGCCTGAGCACATAGTGAGATCCCATCTCAAAAAAACAAATAAAACAAACAAGAGTGAAAAATAGTTATTTCTACGTGTAGTGATTATCTGAGGAGGGTCCTATAGGAAGCTACATGGCTCTGAGGAAGATGTCGGGAGTTCTAGGGTCTGAGATAAGAAGGAAATGTACTTTGCATTGTGTGATCTTTGGAACTGGGTTTTTTTTAGTTTTTTGTTTTTACCTTTATGAAGAAGAAAACTAATTAAAATGCATTTAAAGATAATCCACTTAAAAGGTATAACCTTAATTTTTTTTAAAACTGACTTTTTTCCCTTCTTTGTCTATTCAGTGGCAGTTCTTGGATTGAATTTCTAAATAATGAAGATGATCTTAAAGATATTTTTTTACAGCTAAAAGAAGGAAACCTTGTTTGTGCACAGTATCTTTGGCTTCGACATCGGGTAACATGTTTTACATTTTTTCCTTAACAGCTTTATAGCTCCTGAGTTAGGTGATTGAATCAATGTTGGAGACTAACAAGGTGCAAGTCTGACTGGGTGATGGGATGTTTTTTGATTGGTTCTTAAAATATGACTTGCTTTTGTTTGTAAAGGGCAAGGGGATAAAAAAGACTTTCCCCATGGGCTGGGCGCGATGGCTCACGCCTATAATCCCAGCACTTTGGGAGGCCGAGGCGGGCTGATCACTGGAGGTTGGGAGTTCGAGACCAGCCTGGTCAACATGGTGAATCCGTGTCTCTACCAAAAATAAAAAAGTAGCCGGGCATGGTGGCACGTTCCTGTAGACCCAGCTACTCAGGAGGCTGAGGCAGGGGAATTTCTTTAACCCAGAAGGTGGAGGTTGCAGTGAGCCGAGATCACGCCACTGCACTCCAGCCTGGGTGACAGAGTGAGACTCCGTCCCAAAAAAAAGAAAAAAAAAAATTACTTTTCCCGGAGAAAATTGTCTTCTGATAATATTAAATCAGAAGAAGTACAGTGAATGTACAGTAGAACCTTATTTTATCCAATCATTAAGAATCTAGCTTCTTGGGAGCTAAATGATGAGAACACGTGGATGCATGGAGGGAAACACACACCGGGGCCTTTCAGAAGGTGGAGGGTGAAAGTATCAGGAAAAATAACTAATGATTAATAGGCTTAATAGCTGGGTGATGAAATAATCTGTACAACAAACCCCCTTGACAAAAGTTTACCTACACTTATACCACTGAACTTAAAAGTTAACCAAAAAAAGAGTCTAACTCCTAATCTTAGCTCTAAAGGCAACATGTTATCTGGTTTATTAGTGGGCTTTGTAATGTAGCATTGGTGAAGAAGATGTTGCTACTGCAGCTCAAATTGTGGTAAAAGATTGCCCCTTAAAATTGCTTGTCTCGATCCCTTTAAGGTTGGCCAAAGTTGGTATAGAACATTAGATCCATAAAGTCATAACTTGCCGTGATGCCCTTAATGGCTGCATTGCTTGTTTGAATTCCTAGTATCACCCCCAGTTAAGTTTTCCTTAGAATACTCTCTCTGCTGGTTCTTCTGCTACATGATAAACTATTTGGCACTCAGCGCCGTGACATTGCATACAGTATGCAGCTCCCAACTAGAATCATTTGCATAGTGTGAATCTCCTTTAGCACTCATTATTAAATCAGTAGGCTACTCCTTAAAATGACTTCCTAAAATATCTTTGTCAAACATTTGGAAGCCTTTGGTTTAAATTTGTCAGATCTTAATTTCTCGCTCCTTATAATTTAGGCAAACTTTGAAAGCAGATTTGATGTGAAAATGCTGGAGAGCTTGCTCAACTCAATGTCTGCATCAGTCTCTTTGCAAAAGCTGTGTCCATGGTTTAAAAATGATGTGATTCCATTTGTAAGAAGGACTGTGCCTGAAGGACAGGTGAGTTGTCTTCAGTATTTCCACTCTTGATGACTTTATTTCATTTTTTACATTAGATCATTGAGAATTAAGTCACGTTAACACCAGTTAACACCAGTTAGTTAAGCTAACACCTGTGTTAATTAAAGTGTCTCTTAAAAGACAACTGTGATTCAGAAGGAGATGTTATCATTTGCAACAATATAGATGGAACTGGAGATTATTATGTTAAGTGAAATAAGCCAGGCATGGAAAGACTAACATCACATGTTCTCACTTATTTGTGGGATCTAAAAATCAAAACAATTTAACTCACGGCCATAGAGAGTAGGAGGATGGTTACCAGAGGCTTGGAAGGGTTGTGGGGTGATGGGTGATGGGTGAGAGGTGGGGATGGTTAATGCATACAAAAAAATATATTTAGAAAGAATGAGCCTGGGTGCAGTGACTCACGCCTGTAATCCCATCACTTTGGGAGGCTGAGGTGGGTGAATCACCTGAGGTCAGAAGTTTGAGACCAGCCTGACCAACATGGTGAAACCCTGTGTCTACTAAAAATACAAAAATTAGCCGGGCATGGTGGCATGCCTGTAATCACAGCCACTCGGGAGTCTGAGGCAGTAGAATTGCTTGACCCAGGAGGTTGCAGTGAACCGAGATCGTGCCATTGCATGAGATCCAGCATGGGTGATGAGCGAAACCCTGTCTCAAAAAAAAAAAAAAGAAAGAATAAGACATACTATTTGATTATACAAGAGAGTCAATAATAACTTAATTCTATATTTAAAAATAACTAAAAGAGTGTAATTGGATTGTTTGTAACACAAAGGGGATGGATACCCCACTCTCCATGTTGTGATTATTTCACATTGCTTGCCTGTATCAATGCATCTCATGTACTCCACAAGTATGTACACCTACTACGTGCCCACACACAAGCAAAAAAGACAATCGTGGATAAGAGGTTTATGGACAAAATAAATATTTAAAGGAAAAAAAAGAAATCGTGGAGGTTTTTAGTTATGTCAGTGATTATCCATTAAGAATTTCATTTTTAAATAATCTATTTCAGATAATTCTTGCAAAATGGTTGGAACAAGCAGCCAGGAACCTTGAATTAACTGATAAGGTAATACTGATTTAATTAACAGTAAAAAGACATTTTGCACACTCCCAACAGCATAAAACATTGTTTTGAACTGTCTGTAATCTTTTTTAAAGGCAAATTGGCCAGAAAATGGACTTCAATTGGCAGAGATATTTTTTACAGCAGAAAAAACAGACGAGTTGGGATTGGCATCTTCCTGGCATTGGATTTCCTTGGTATGATGTGAGAATGGATTTTTAGTAATGAAACAGTCAGTTTACCTGAAAGGGTTTGTCTGCATGTATGTGAAGTATCTGGAAATATATCTACTTCTTAAATTTTCTGTTTTTTTGTGCCTTTTTTTTGTTTTGTGCCTTTCAAATCCATATGTAGGAAAATTTGCTTTTTCTTTCTTTCTGATTTGTGTTAAAACTTCAACCTATGTTTTTAATTTATTTATATATTTATTTATTTATTATTCATTTTTGAGACAAGGTCTCACTCTGTTGCCCCAGCTGGAATGCAGTGGTGCAACCATGGCTCACTGCACCCTCAACTTTTGGGCTCAAGTGATCCTCCCACCTCAGCCTCCTGAGTAGCTGGGACTACAGGTGCGCATCACCAGGCCCGACTGATTTTTGTATTTTTTGTAAAGAAGGGGTTTTGCCATGTTGCCCAGGTTGGTCTTGAACTCCCAGACCCAAGTGATCTACCCACCTGGGCTTCCCAAAGTGCTGGGATTATAGGTGTGAGCTACTGTGCCCAGCCCTCTCAACCTATTATTATTATTTTTTTTTGAGATGGAGTCTCACCCTGTTGCCCAGGCTGGAGTGCAGTGGTGCGATCTCAGCTCACTGCAACCACCCCCTCCCAGGTTCAAGCAATTCTCCTGCCTCAGCCTCCCGTGTAGCTGGGACTACAGGCACCCCCCACCACGCCTGGCTAATTTTTTTTATACTTTTAGTAGAGACGGGATTTCACCATGTTGGTCAGACTGATCTCAAATTCCTGACCTCAGATGATCTGCACTGCTCGGCCTCCCAAAGTGCTGGATTACAGGCATGAGCCACTGCTCCTGGCCCCCCTCCACCTGTTTTAATGAACAGTTTTTCTCTATTCAACCAACCAAAAGGGGAACTATATAAACATTCTGCTAAGTGGTATAATTGGGATTTTCTGCATTAGCAGCATTTCACAATCCTTTGAAAAATTAAATCTTGGCTGGGCACGATGGCTTACGCCTGTAATCCCAGCACTTTGGGAGGCCGAGATGGGCAGATCATTTGAGGTCAAGAGATTGAAATCAGCCTGATTAACATGGTGAAACCCCATCCCTAGTAAAAATACAAAAAAAATTAGCCAGGCATGGTGGTGGGTGCCTGTAGTCCTAGCTATTTGAGAGCCTGCGGCAGGAGAATCGCTTGAAACGGGGAGGCAGAGGTTGCAGTGAGCCGAGATTGTGCCACTGCACTCCTGCCTGGGTGACAGAGCATGACTCTGTCCCCCCCAAAAAAAAAGAAAAAAGGAAAAATTAAGTCTTGACAGTACATTAATATTAGTTTTCAAAGGTTGTGTCTGTCAAGTCACCTTTTCTATATAAGAGCTTTTTCCTCTTGCTGTAAAACATTATTTTTATCTTTTCCCTGTTAACTTTTATCAATATTGAAGGTTCTGTTCTTTTTATATAATTTTAGGAAATGTTATGCCTTTATATCTGGTTATGATATATAATCTCTATAGATAGATGGGACACTGAGCACTACCTAAATGATGCTGTGTACTAAGTATACTTGGGTTCTGAAAAAGTATTATACTAATATTCTTAATTTTTCTATTTTTTTAAGAGAAAATATCTTTCAGATTCTGATCTATACTAATTTGGTTAAAATACTACAAAATTTAGAGCATAAGTTGGTTTAAAGTTGCAGGTTTCCTCTTACGTGCATAACCAGGGTTAATTCTTATTTTATCTGAAATAATTCTGATTCTATTTTTCTCTCATACTTTTATTTTATATCGTTAACAACTTTAACACTTTTGTTTTAGAAAGATTATCAGAACACAGAGGAAGTATGTCAGCTAAGGACTTTGGTAAATAACTTGCGAGAGTTGATCACGTTGCATAGGAAGTACAACTGCAAATTAGCCCTCTCTGATTTTGAGAAGGTAAAGTCCAGGGTCATAAGAATTATTTTGTATATCAAGTTATGGGTAGAGTCTGTATTTATTCCATCTTTCTTTTGGCATCCAGGAAAATACAACCACCATAGTGTTCCGAATGTTTGATAAAGTGCTGGCCCCAGAGCTTATTCCCTCCATCTTAGAGAAGTTTATAAGAGTTTACATGAGAGAACATGACTTGCAAGAGGAGGAACTTCTCTTGCTGTACATAGAGGTAACTTTTCCTTTACATCTAGTCTTATTTCTTGGATCTATGCAGTGTAGCACTGTAGTAAATATTTAACTCTTTAAGGAATGTCATATGCTTTCTCAGTAGGACTCATGCAGCATATTGAATTGGTTAAAAATGTGGGTTAATTCTGCTACTAACCATCTTGAGCAAAGGGGGGATACATGAGGACTGTGAACCCGGAAAATCTGAGACAGTTCTCAGTTAATTTAGGGAGTTTATTTTGCCAAAGTTGAGGATACACCCATGACACAGCCTCAGGAAGTCCTGACGACATGTACCCAAGGTGGTCCGGGCACAGCTTGGTTTTATATATTTTAGGGAGAGACACGAGGCATCAGTCAGCATATGTAAGAAGTACATTGGTTCGATCTGGAAAGGTGGGACAACTTGAAGCAAAGGCAGGAAGACTCCAAGCGAGAGGGAGCTTCCAGGTCACAGATAGGTGATACAAAACATTAAAATTCTTTTGAGTTTCTGATTAGCCTTTCCAAAGGAGGCAATCAGATAATGCAGCTGTCTCAGTGAGCAGAGGGGTAACTTTGATAGAATGGGAGGCAAGTTTGCCCTAAGCAATTTCCAGCCTGAGTTTTCCTTAGTGATCTTGGGGGCCCAAGATATTTCCCTTTCACAGTACTTTCTTCAAAGGGCTATTGTGAGACCACAGGAGCATGAACTCAATAAATATTAGCAGTTATTTCTTGTGGATGTTATTAATGTGCTACAGTAATCTTATTTGTAGATTCTTCAAGAATGTTTCATTCTTAAATTTTCTATACCATATAAAACTAAAGGCTAATGTTTTGGCAGTTTTGTATTTTTAGACCATTGTTCAACATTTATGACTAATTAGAATTTTTAGGTTTTTTTTCTTTTAACACATCTATCAAGGCCATATAATATCTGTATCTAGCTGTATGTGGCATTTTTTTAATGAGAATTTTTAATTTTTAAAAAACATACATGTTTATCCCTTTTTAGGATTTACTGAATAGATGCAGCTCAAAGTCCACATCACTCTTTGAAACAGCATGGGAAGCAAAGGCCATGGCAGTAATAGCGTGTTTATCTGACACGGACGTAAGTAAATAGTGACCATTTGCGTTTCCCTTTTGAGCATTAAATCTTTTCTGAAAGCTTTTTTCTGTTCATAAAAGCGACATATATTTGTTTTTGTTTGAGATGGGTCTGGCTGTGTCGCCCAGGCTGGAATGCAGTGACATGATCATGGTTCACTGCAGCCTCAATCTCCCTGGCTCAAGCAATCCCCACCTCAGCCTCCTGAGTAGTTAGGACCATAGGCGTGTGCCACTACGCCCAGCTAATTTTTGTATTTTTTGTAGAGACAGGGTTTCCCAGGCTGGTCTTGAACACCTGGGCTCAAGTGATCTGCCTGCTTCATTCTCCTAAAGTGTCTGTTTTCTTTAATTACAGAAAATAAAAAGTGAATGTTTACTCATTTCCACCCCCAGGGGAACCTCCATGGACAGTTGTATGCATATCTTTGCAGGCTTTTCTGTGGTTATGCAAACATGGAGACTTTTCTTTTTCAGTTATTCGCTGCAATGTGAGACATTTGTTAATATATTGTAATATGCCTTTATTTTAACTTCACACTGTTATTGCCACTATAAAATAGAAATAAAATAATGAAAACTGTTTTTAAACCAGAGACTGAGGCTGGACACAGTGGCTCATGCCTGTAATCCCAGCACTTTTGGAAGCCAAGGCAGACAGATCACCTGAGCTCAGGAATTTGAGACCTGCCTGGGCAACATGGTGGAACCGCATCTCTACAGAAAATACAAAAATTAGCCAGGTGTGGTGGTGCTTGCCTGTAGTCCAAGCTACTTGGGAGCCTGAGGTGGGAGAATCGCTTGAACCCAGGAGGTGGAGGTTGCAGTGAGCTGAGATCGCGCCACTGCACTCCAGCCTGGGCAATGGGAACATGACCCTGCCTCAAAAAAACAAAAAAAACCCAGGGATTGTAGAGACCGTAGAAAGCAATAACGCTGTATGTCTTAGCTTACAGCAGAAAAAATACTCTTCTGAATTTTTCTGAATAGTCAAATTGTTCTCTATATGTGAAAACTGAAGAAATAAATGGTTTTCCAGTGAGTGGATGAAATATTCTCAAACTACCATGTGGTTGATGTAAGACCTGCTGATTAGACTGTGCTGTTCACTTGCATGCATCGTAAACCTGAGGGCTGTTCCTTGTCCATGCGTGCATCTTTTGTAGCTCATATTTGATGCCGTGCTCAAGATCATGTATGCGGCAGTGGTTCCTTGGAGTGCAGCTGTGGAGCAACTGGTGAAACAGCACCTGGAAATGGACCATCCCAAGTAAGATGACTGTCTACGAAACAATGTTGTTATGCTCTGGAGAAACATTGTGTTTTGAGTTGACGTTCATTTATGTTTCTATATTGTTTGCTGTGTCCCATAGTACTTCATAAAAAAGACAATCCATGTTAATATGGGTAAATTTGCTTTCAGAGTCAAGTTATTACAGGAAAGTTACAAACTAATGGAGATGAAAAAACTTTTACGAGGCTATGGAATAAGAGAGGTAAATCTCTTAAACAAGGAAATAATGGTAAGTACACTCTTCGAAGAGTCTTTTTTCTCTTTCATTTCTGGGGCAATATGGAAAGCTTAATGAGGAATTTATATTCTAGGAGGCTAATAGAGCTAGGTTTTTCCACTACATTTCTTTTGTTAGATATGATGTTAATAAGGTGTTCAGTTATTTATGAGAGTATTTATTCTTTTTGACATGGAGTTTCGCTCTTGCCGCCCAGGCTGGAGTGCAATGGCGCGATCTCGGCTCACCACAACCTCCGCCTTCTGGGTTCAAGTGATTTTCCTGCCTCAGCCTCCTGAGTAGCTGGGATTACAGGCATGCACTACCACGCTTGGCTAATTTTTTTTTTGTATTTTTAGTAGAGATGGGGTTTCTCCATGTTGGTCAGGCTGGTTGGTCTTGAGCTCCCGACCTCAGGTGATCTGCCTGCCTCGGCCTCCCATAGTGTTGGGATTACAGGCGTGAGCTACCGCTCCTGGGCTTTTTATGAGAGTATTAAAGACACCAAATAGGCCAGGTGCGGTGGCTCACACCCGTAATCCCAGCACTTTGGGAGGCCAAGGTGGGTGGATCATGAGGTCAAGAGATCAAGACCATTCTGGCCAACATGGTAAAACTCCGTCTCTGCTAAAAATGCAAAAAAATTAGCAGGGTGTGGTGGCATGTGCCTGTAGTCCCAGCTACTTGGGAGGCTGAGGGAGGAGAATCACTTGAACCTGGGAGGCAGAGGTTGCAGTGAGCCGAGATTGCGCCACTGCACTGTAGCCTGGCGACAGAGGGAGACTCTGTCTCAAAAAAAAGACACCAAATAGTAAATTAAGAAGCTGTAGAAGAAAGAAGACAGGACTGTGGAATGATCAGAATATAAATCATGTTTTAATCTTTCATACAATTTAGTTTTTTGCTGCATTATTTAAATTTTTTTGCCACTTTGCTCTTATAAGCAAGTGATTTCTTGGTTTTCTGTGAGTTCTATAACAAAGAAATGTTCATATTGTCTTTTGCAGAGAGTGGTTAGATACATTCTCAAACAAGATGTCCCATCTTCTTTAGAAGATGCTTTAAAGGTAGCCCAAGCGTTTATGTTATCTGATGATGAGATCTACAGTCTAAGAATTATTGACCTGATTGATAGAGAACAGGTTTGTAAGTTTTATGTTGTCATTTCATATGGCTTCTTTGTTTCTGTGTTGTTGTTGTTGTTTTTTGAGACAGGGTCTCGCTCCATTGCCCAGGCTGGAGTGCAGTGGCTGTGTTTCACCATGTTGGTCACGCTGGTCTCAAACTCTCAACCTGAAGTAATCCACCTGCCTTAGCCTCCCAAAGTGCTGAGATTACTGGTGTGAGCTACCATGCTTGGCCTGTTGTGTTTTTAAATGTCATTATTTTTATATGATTCTATAATCATAGCAATGCCTAGGAATTAACTCTTCAGTATCTAGGATCGTATTTTAAATTTATTTTATTGTTTGCTGTCATCAAAAATGGATTTTCAGCATCAGGATGGATAGCTGATGCATGCAGGGCTTAAAATGTGCATGACAGGTTGATGGGTACAGCAAACCACCATGGCACATGTAACAAGCCTGCACTTCCTGCACATGTACCCTGAAACTTAAAGTAAAATAAAATAAAAATGGATTTTCGGATTATTAAAACATTGAACCATAATCTGTTTTTCCAAATGATGTATTTTCATCTTTAAATAGAAAAGAAAGAGGTAAGGCCACACCGTCCTTTGCAAATACCAGCTGTTTTTTCTTCCTTTCAAACCCTGTTTATAGGGTGAAGACTGTCTCCTTCTGTTGAAGTCTTTGCCTCCTGCTGAAGCTGAGAAAACTGCAGAAAGAGTCATCATATGGGCACGACTGGCATTACAAGAAGAGCCAGATCATTCTAAAGAGGTGACATTTTCACTAAGTAAAATATAAGTAAATCCAATTTTTATGGCTATTAATCAATAGGATAGAAAAGATGGACTTACACATATGAAGATCTGCTCTTCTCACTGCTAGGGTGGCCTAGTGAAAAAATTCCTGGGTAAATTTACTACTAGGAGAAAAAAAACAATTGTGGCTGCCTTGGAGCGGCTGCTTGAGCCCACAGAGAATGACCTGGGAGCTGTGGGTTAGCAGGTGTCTTGGAGCAGCTGTTGTACACGAAAGGTTTCTATAAAGCGTTGCAATATAAACAATGTTTTGTGTTATATAGGACATAATTATTGTCAAATAGTAATGTCAGCTACAAAACCAATATAAATCTATATAATCTTATAACATTGAAACTTAGAAATGGTTTTAAGAGAGTTTACTTTTTTGCAGATGAGGAATACTTGGTTTTTCCAGAATAGCTGGATTCTTACTGATTTTTAATTTTTTCTCTTTTTTTAAATATTATATATAGGAGATGAGGTCTTGGTATGTTGCCCAGGCTGGTCTTGAACTCCTGAGTTTAAGTTCTCTTCTAGCCTTAGCCTCCCAAGTAGCTGGGATTACAGGCATGCACCACCATGCTCAATAGTTGGGTTTTTTTTTTCTTTTCTTTTCTTTTTTGAGACAAGAGTCTTGCTCTGTTGCTCAGGCTGGAGCACAGTGGCGCGATCTTAACTCACTGCAACCTCTGCCTCTCAGGTTGAAGCGATTCTCCTGCCTCAGCTGGGAGTAGCTGGGATTACAGGCGTCCGCCACCACACCTGGCTAATTTATGTATTTTTACTAGAGACGGGTTTCACCATGTTGGCCAGGCTGGTCTCAAACTCCTGACGCCAACTGATCTGCCTGCCTCGGCCTTCCAAAGTGCTAGGATTACAGGTGTGAGCCACCACACTTGGCCAATAGTTGGATTTTTAAACCCCTAAGGATAGATACCTCCCAACTTCTCTCAGTCCATTTCAGTAATGTTTTTTGCTGTTGGAAAATGAAGTTATTGTTGTTTTTAACACCTAATATTTGCTATGCAATAGGCATTAGGTTAAATAGCTACTTCTTGTTCATAACAAAGGTGTAAAGTAGTTCCTATTGTTGTCTCCTTATGTATTAAGTTCAAAAACCAAAATATGAAAGTAAATGACTTTTTTCCAAGGTTGTTAGAAAGGGGCAGAACCTCAGCTCAAACTGTCTAATACCATAGTCTGTATTCTTTTTTTTTTTTTTTTTTTTTTTTTTTTTTTTTTTTTTTTTTTTTTTTTTTTTTTTTGAGACGGAGTCTCGCTCTGTCGCCCAGGCTGGAGTGCAGTGGCGGGATCTCGGCTCACTGCAAGCTCCGCCTCCCGGGTTCACGCCATTCTCCTGCCTCAGCCTCCCAAGTAGCTGGGACTACAGGCGCCCGCCACTACGCCCGGCTAATTTTTTGTATTTTTAGTAGAGACGGGGTTTCACCGTTTTAGCCGGGATGGTCTCGATCTCCTGACCTCGTGATCCGCCTGCCTCGGCCTCCCAAAGTGCTGGGATTACAGGCGTGAGCCACCGCGCCCGGCCCGTAGTCTGTATTCTTAAGTACCAGTTTGAATTGCTCCCGTTATGAAAATATTTGAATTTTTTTATTGGCGAGGCACTTACTAAACATTTTACATACATCATGTCTTTTAATTAAAGCATCTCCTTTTTTTCCTTCTCTTAAAATTTTTTTAAATAATCACTGGAAGGTAGTGATTATTTATTAGACTTCTGTTCTCTAGGCCATTTTTTAGACTTCTATTCTTTTTAACTTTTCCAAATGTTTTTTCAAATAGTAAATAACTCTAAAAGCGAATAAGGATCTATTAATCATAATGTAGTTGAAAGGTTATTTGGGAGAGTTGCATATTCTTTGATATTTCTAAATCATATATCCAGGAGTTCATACTGGAGTTTTTCAGGTCTACCCTGTATAACGCTCATTAACCATCCATTTCTCAGCTGCCCAACTCCTCCACGATTGTTTTTTCTGCTTCTGTGGTTTTTGTGTATTTGTATATGTACTACTGAAGTGGTCAGAAAAGGAA
The DNA here is from genome assembly GCF_000001405.40 of Homo sapiens. Classification (NCBI taxonomy): domain Eukaryota; kingdom Metazoa; phylum Chordata; class Mammalia; order Primates; family Hominidae; genus Homo; species Homo sapiens. The sequence continues at coordinate 122,579,870 of NC_000012.12, forward strand.
GTAGATTTTATTTCGCTTTATTTATTTATTTTTAGGGCAAGGCCTGGAGAATGTCTGTAGCGAAGACATCCGTGGACATTCTTAAGATACTATGTGACATTCAGAAAGGTAGCTTTTACTTCTGTTTTCTCATCTCAGTTTTGTTCCAAAGCTCACCCTCTTCAGAAAGAGGCATCGAAGACAACTCTCACCGTACCCGCAGTTTTTCTGGTTCTGATTGTCTTTATTGATCTTACCCATTTTGCTTCATGAAAAGTCTTCCTTTATTCCTTTATCAGCAATTCAAGAACAGATGCATGCAAAATCAACCTATCATTTGTTTATATGCTCACTTACTATTTAGTGCTAGACTAGATTTCCTTAGCGTCTCGCACTCATTGCTCATTTTTCTCATTTATCAGTTGCTTATGATGGTGGGGAGAAGCCATTTGACTGGAAGTTAAATAAAACAGTGAAGAAAGTAACTTTCCAGGGAAAAAAAAGAAGCTACAATTTACTTCAGAAAAATAACTTTTTTGTAACACATAAACTTCTGTTTTCTACCTCCTGAAAGAATAATTAGATTTTTTTCAAATTAGATCTTTTGTACTTAGTTACTGTATATTATCATTTGAGAAGAACTACTGAAGACTTGAGATGAGAGAACCAAAGCTAATTAAAATTTCTTCTTTTTAAAATTCTGATAATATGAGAATTTGCATGTCTGCTATAACTTTTAAAAATTTAATTACAGACAATCTGCAGAAGAAGGACGAATGTGAAGAAATGTTGAAACTATTTAAAGAGGTTGCTAGCTTACAGGTAAACATATTGAGCCATGTTAAACATTATTACTTGACCAATCAGTGCATTTTTCCCTCCTTAAAGTTTTCTGTATGGCTGGGCGCAGTGGCTTACCCCTGTAATCCCAGCACTTTGGGAGGCCAAGGTGAGTGGATCACAAGGTCAGGAGATCGAGATCATCCTGGCTAACACGGTGAAACCCCGTCTCTACTAAAAATACAAAAAATTAGCCAGGCGTGGTGGCACTCACCTGTAGTCCCAGCTACTCGGGAGGCCGAGGCAGGAGAATTGCTTGAACCCGGGAGGCGGAGGTTGCAGTGAGCTGAGATAGCACCACTGGACTCCAGCCTGGGTGACAGATCGAGACTCCATCTCAAAAAAAAAAAAAAAAAGTTTTTTGCACTAGCCTTTAGGGACTGGAGATACTGGTTTTCCTTCTCTCTCTCTCTCTCTCAACAGCTGTATTGAGATGTAATTTACATACCATATAATTCATCCACTTAAAATATACAATTCAATGATTTTTTTGTTATGTTGTGTTATTAATTTTTTTTTTTTTTTTTGAGATGGAGTTTTGCTCTTGTTGCCCAGGCTGGAGTGCAATGGCGTGATCTCGGCTCACTGCAACCTCCACCTCCCAGGTTCAAGTGATTCTCTTGCCTCAGCCTTCCCAAGTAGCTGGGATTATAGGCATGTGCCACCAAGCCCGGCTAATTTTGTATTTTAAGTAGAGTTGGGGTTTCTCTGTGTGGGTCAGGCTGGTCTCAAACTCCTGACCTCAGGTGATCCGCCCACCTCGGCCTCCCAAAGTGCTGGGATTACAGGTGTGAGCCACCGCGCCTGGCCTTTTTTCTTTTTTTGAGACAAAGTCTCACTCTGTTGCCCAGGCTGGAGGGCTGTGGCATGATCTCAGCTTACTGCAGATTCTGCCTCCCAGGTTCAAGAGATTCTCCTGTCTCAGCCTCTTGAGTAGCTGAGACTCCAGGCATGTGCCACCACACCTAGCTAGTTTTTGTGTTTTTAATAGAGACGGGGTTTTGCCATGTTTGCCAGGCTGGTCTCAAACTCCTGGCCTCAAGCGATCTGCCCGCCTCAGCCTCCCAAAATACTGGGATTATAGGTGTGAGCCACCGTGCGTGGATGCATTATTAATTTTGTTAAAATACTTATAACAAAATGTTCCATGTTAACAGTTATTTAGTTTGTAATTCAGTGGTGTTAATTACATTCACAGTGTTGTGCAGCCATCACCTCTATCTACTTTTTCATGACCCTGAGCAGAAACTCCGTAGCCATGAAAAAATAACTCCCCTTTCCTCTCTTCTCGCAGCCCCTGGTTATCTCTACTTTCTGTCGCTGTGAATTTGCTTATTCTAGCTATTTCATATAAGTGGAATCATACAATTAAGCATGTAAAGGAGTCCTATGACCCAAAAATTTGAGACCAGCTGTAAATAGCTTTCTCTGTGAAAACCATCTGGAGGCCGGGTACAGTGGTTCATGCCTGTAATCCCAACGCTTTGGGAGAATGAGGCTAGAGGATCACTTGAGCTCATGAGTTTGAGACTACCCTAGGCAACATAGTGAGACCTCGTCTCTACTAAAAATAACAAAAATTAGCTGGGCGTGGTGATGCGTGCCTGCAGTCCCAGCTACTTTGGAGGCTGTAGCAAGAAGATGGTGTGAGACTAGAAGGTGGAGGCTGCAGGAGCTGTGTTTATACCACTGCACTCCAGCCTGGGCAACAGAGTGAAACCCTGCCTTAAAATGAATGAATGGATGGATGTAAACAACTGGGAACTACCTTGCTGAGGTGGGGAGGGGAGGAGGGCAAAGGTCGAAAAACTACGCATCAGGTACTATGCTGGGTGATGGGATCAGTTGTACCTCAAGCCTCAGCATCACACAATATACCCAGGTGAGAAGCCCAGACATGTACCCCTGAATCTAAAATAAAAGTTGAAATTATGAAAAAAAAAACTAATGAAAATGATTATTTTAAACAATAGATTAAACAGACTTGGGACTTTGTCTTGCTTACCTTTGCTACAGGAGAACTTTGAGGTCTTTCTTTCATTTGAAGATTATAGCAATAGTTCCCTGGTAGCAGATCTCCGTGAGCAGCACATTAAAGCTCACGAAGTTGCACAGGCGAAACACAAACCTGGGAGCACCCCAGAGCCCATAGCTGCTGAGGTGAGGAGCCCAAGCATGGAATCAAAGCTGCACAGACAGGCACTGGCCCTGCAGATGTCCAAACAAGAGCTGGAGGCAGAGCTGACCTTGAGAGCCTTAAAAGATGGGAACATCAAAACAGCACTGAAAAAATGCAGGTGACATTCCAGATCCCTGAATTGCATAGCTTCTCTGAAATTGCGGCTGGGCACGGTAACTCATACCTGTAATCCCAGCAATTTAGGAGGCCGAGGCAGGCGGATCACAAGGTCAGGAGATCAAGACCATCCTGGCTAACATGGTGAAACCCTGTCTCTACTAAAAATACAAAAAATTAGCCAGGCATGGTGGCATGTGCCTATAGTCCCAGCTACTGGGGAGGCTGAGGCAGGATCGTGGCGGGTTGCAGTGAGCCGAGATCACACCACTGCACTCCAGCCTGAGCTACAGAGCAAGACTCCGTCTCACAAAAAGAAAGAAAGTAACAACTGCCTGATTTCTTCAGTCATAAGGGTAGGGCCAGTGACACTCTTTTTTCACAGAAGCAATTCTTGATTTCTCACCTTCAGAGCATATTTTGGGCCTCAGTGTCAGAAAGTAGTAGCATAAAAGGCAAGTAAGCAATACTGCAGAGTTAGGTAACATAACCATTAAATTTAGGTTACTGTGCACTTCAGCATTTAATGGTATCCTTAGTCATTTGAAAAACAGGCTGGGGCCAGGTGTGGTGACTCACGCCTGTAATCCCAGTACTTTGGGAGGCTGAGGTGGGCAGATCACTTGAGGTCAGGAGTTCAAGACCAGCCTGGCCAACACAGTGAAACCCTGTCTCTACTAAAAATACAACTGTTAGTCGGGTGTGGTGGTGGGCACCTCTAATCCCACCTACTCGGGAGGCTGAGGCAGGAGAATCGCTTGAACCTGGGAGGTGGAGGTTGCAGTGAGCCCAGATCGTGCCATTGCACTCCAGCCTGGGCGACAGAGTGAGACTCAGTCTCAGAAAAAGAAAAACAGGCTGGGCACGGTGACTCACACCTGTAATCCCAGCAGTTTTGGAGGCCAAGGCAGGAGGATTACTTCAGCCCAGGAGTTTGAGACCAGCCTGGGCAACATAGTGAGAGCTCATCTCTACAAAAAAAATTTAAAAATTAGCCAAGTGTGGTGGCACACACCTGTAGTCTCAGCTACTTGGGAGGCTGAAGTGAGAAGATTGCTTGACCCTGGAGGTTGAGGCTGCAGTGAGCCATGATTGTGCCACTGCACTCCTGCCTAGGCGATAGGGCTAGAGCCTGTCTCAAAAAAACAAAAGAAAAACTACACTATATACCATGAGAACATTTAAAAGACATTTAATGTGTTGATGGTGGTGGTGATATATTAATCCAAGAAAGGCCATGCGTTCACTTTCAATGTGAGTATTCTAACTACCAATACTTTCTTTCTTCCAAAGCGACTTGTTTAAGTATCACTGCAATGCTGACACTGGGAAATTGCTATTTCTGACATGTCAGAAGCTTTGTCAGATGTTGGCTGATAATGTCCCAGTGACAGTGCCTGTGGGACTGAATCTTCCTTCCATGATACATGATCTAGCAAGCCAAGCTGCCACCATTTGCAGTCCAGGTGACAATATTTATAATATACGTAGTTTTATATTCTCTGGTTCATGTCATACTTGTCTCCCAAATGCTGTCTCTTTACAATTGGACATCACGGTAATCAGACTAGAGATAGTATCTGCATTTCACAAAGGGATGCTTATAATTGATTCTCTTTGAGGATTATTGTTTGAAAGTATTTCAAAATACTAACAATGTCATTTCTGACTGTTGACATTACTCACTTTTGTAGGATTATGAAATTCCTTGCCTCCCATATCTGATCTTATTTTCAAGTCAAGCTTGAGAAAAAATTTAACTTTTTAGGGTAGTCAAAGCTATATGGAACCTTTCTATCTACATTGTGGCCTTCCTTAGAATTTTAAATGGTAATTATTAAAAGGTTGTTTTCATTATCCTAAAGACATGAAATATGAGTTTAATGATTTTTCTCCATTTTGTTTCAGATTTTTTACTAGATGCTTTAGAACTATGTAAACATACTTTAATGGCTGTAGAGCTTTCCAGACAATGCCAAATGGATGACTGTGGAATCCTCATGAAAGTAAGTTACTTTTGAGTTTTTTCCCTTAAATCCTGGGCAACGCATTATGCACCTTTTTTTTTTTTCGGACAGGGTTTTGTTCTGTCACCCAGGCTGGAGTGCAGTGGCATGATCAAGGCTTACTGCAGTCTTGAACTGGGCTTAAGCAGTCCTCCCACCTCAGCCTTCTGAGTAGCTGGGACTATAAGTGTGTGCCACCACATCTGACTAATTAAAAAAAAATTTTTTTTTTGCAGAGACAGGGTCTCACCATCTTGTCTAGGCTGGTCTTCAATTCCTGGGCTCAAGTGATTCCCCCACCTCAGCCTCTCAAAGTGCTCGGATTACAGGCATGAGCCACTGCACCTGGGCCGTTTTTTAATCATTTGCAAAGTTTATGAAAATACTGAATCCACCTCTTATGTTTTCTTACCCTAGACCGGAAAACAACGTAAGGGCATGAGGCCACTTCTCTGTTCCAGTCACTTGATTGGCTTTAATTTGCACTATCTTTCAAAACATTGGGCCTCCAGCAAGGCCTCCCTCGACATTGTCCTTCTGTTAGAGTTTAACTTAAAATGAAATTTCTATAAGCCATAGACCAGAAGAAACAATGTGTTGTGCAGCGTACTGAGTTCTCTCTTTTTTGTATGATTTGGCACCTAGGCTTCTTTTGGGACACATAAAGATCCATATGAAGAGTGGTCTTACAGTGACTTCTTCAGTGAAGATGGAATTGTTCTTGAGTCACAGATGGTGCTTCCAGTGATTTATGAACTGATTTCATCTCTTGTGCCTCTAGCTGGTAAGTCTTATTTGTATCATTATTTTCTATGTGTTTCTGTCTTATGTAAATTTAAACTGTAGAGGTTTGGAGCTAGAACTACACACAGTAATGTGGGCGAACCTTATAAGCGTAATGTGGAGCTAAAGAAGCAGATACAAAAGAATAAATACTGTGTGATTTCATTTATGTAAAGTACAAACACAGGCTAGGACTAAGCTGGTGCTGTTTGAAGTCAGGGCAGTGGTTACCCTTGAGGGTGGGAAAGGGAAAGGAGGGAGCTGGGGAGCTGGCAATGTTTTGTTTCTTTTTTGTGTGTTTGTTTTGTTTTGTTTTGTTTTGTTTTTGAGACGGAGTCCTGCTCTGTCACTCAGGCTGGAGTGCAGTGGCATGATCTCAGCTCACTGCAACCTCTGCCTCCTGGGTTCAAGCAATTATCGTGCCTCAGCCTCCCAGGTAGCTGGAATTACAGGCTCATGCCACCACGCCTGGCTAATTTTGTATTTTTAGTAGAGATGGGGTTTCACCATGTTGGCCAGGCTGGTCTCAATCTCCTGACCTCAAGTGATCTGCCCGCCTCAGCCTTCCAAAGTGCAGGGATTACAGGCGTGAGCCACCGCGCCCGGCCGATGTTCTATTTCTTGATCTGGATGCTGCTTCTTCAGTTTGTGGACGTTTATCAGGTTATACACTTACCTGTGCATTTTCCTGTGTATATTTATTTTTAAAGCATCAGTTCGCTTTAGAACTTTTTTTATAATAGTGAAATATTTACACATCTGTGAGAGTATGTGCTGTGTGAGGGTTATTTATTTATTTATTAGTTGTATGAATTTAAGGGGTCCAAGTGCTATTTTGTTACATGGATATATTGCATAGTGATGAAGTCTGGGCTTTTAGTGTGGCCATCTATTTAGTGTTGTTTAATGTTTTATTATCTTTTGTAGAAAGCAAGAGATATCCCTTGGAGTCTACCAGTTTGCCATACTGCTCCCTTAATGAAGGTATTTGGCACAAGAAATATATAGCATTCTATTAATATTTATTTATTTATTTATTTATTTATTTTATTTTTTTGAGACAGAGTCTTGCTCTGTTGCCCAGGCTGGAGTGAAATGGCATGATTGGAGCTCACTGCAACCTCTCCACCTCCCGGGCTCAAGCAGTTCTCCTGCCTTAGCCTCCCAAGTAGCTGGGATTACAGGCGTGTGCCACCACGCCGAGCTAGTTCTTTTGTATTTTTAGTAGAGACAGGATTTCACCATGTTGGCCAGCCTGGTCTTGAACTCCTGACGTCAGGTGATCCACCCGCCTCAGCCTCCCAAAGTGCTGGGATTACAGGCGTGAGCCACCACGTCTGGCCTTAAGATTTCTTAATAGAAAGAAATGGTGGTGTGCTCCTGTAGTCCTGGTTACTTGGGAGGCTGAGGTGGGAGGATCTCTTGAGCCCAGGAGGTCAGGGCTGCAATGAGCTATGATGGCACTACTGTACTCCAGCCTGGGCAACAGAAGACCCTATCTCTAAAAAAACAAAAAATCGTAGTTCTAGAAATTTCTTGAAATTCTAAATATGAATGTGATTTAATATCCTTAATGTAATTGTTTAGTTATTATTTTTACATTGTTATTTGTTTAAAAGTTCAGTAGATTATGTGATTTGGCTTATAGTGTTAACTTCTATGAATTTGTTTATAAATTTTTATCTTTCAAATGGAGAAATGGTTTTTCTTCAGCTAAAATAGGCAAGTTACAATCAAAGGATCTCATTAACTAGTAGACTTAGTTATTTTCTGGTTTAAGTCAAGCCTCATGTTAACTTCTCATTAACTAACTGAGAACAAACTCCATGACTATTATCTGTATTGAAGAAGCAGGCTGTCCCTGAAAACAGTTTTCAATAATATGATCTTTCTTTGTTTAAAAAATCTAAATATTAAAATCCTTTATCACTCTGCAGGAGATGGCCTTGTTTTACCTGTTATAAATTCCATCTCTGCCCTGCTTCAGAATCTTCAGGAATCTAGCCAGTGGGAGCTAGCCCTAAGATTTGTGGTTGGTTCATTTGGTACCTGTCTTCAGCACTCTGTGTCAAACTTCATGAATGCCACTTTGAGTGAAAAGGTATAGTGTCAAGAACAAATACTTTGACTTGGGGTGAATATAGATGTAAAAGCGCTAACAGAGGAATTTGGAGTCCACGTTTTCCTATTGTCTTTGTAGCAAGGAAATTGGTAATTCGTCAGATTTAAGAACATTTGTTGAGCATCTCTAAGAATCTGGTGTGGGAATAAGGTGCCTGCACACATTTTCATACTCATTCTTTGCAACAGCCCTGAGAGTTTCCAGTTTACAAATGTGGAAGCTCAGCTCAGATTCAGGGAGGTGGAATAAGTTAACCAAGGTTTTATATTGTAGTGGTAAGTCTTCACACTCTAAGCTTAGTGCAGTGTCCACTATACCACATTTGGTCAAAATATCTGCTGTTTGTTTTGTTATCACCTAAATGGCCAAATTATTATAATTATTTCTGAGAGTATCATTGAGCATCATTGAAGAGATTCTAGAAGACAAACTAACTGTTGATAACTCGCTTATGAAACTGGGCCTCAGAGGGAGTTGTCTTCATTTCTACTACTCTGTTGATATGTATTAAATGCTGACTCTTTTTTAATGAACTGTATTGAGGTATAACTTTCAAAATTAAAATGCACATTTTAAGTATATCAACCAATGTACTCACCTTGTCACCAACACCACAGTGAAGACTTAGGGTATTTTTAATGCTTCCTCTTTGCTCCCTCCCAGTCAGTCCCCCACCCCTTTCTAGCACTATAGGTTAAATTCTGATACTTTTTGGATATAATGATGAATTTTCACCAAAGTTCCTTAATATTTGAAAAAATTTTCAGAATGTTATATAGAACTAGACCTAAATATTTTTTTCTTCTTTTCTAAAAGTTATTTGGAGAGACTACATTAGTTAAATCAAGGCATGTTGTTATGGAATTGAAAGAAAAAGCTGTTATATTTATCAGGGAAAATGCTACAACACTACTGCACAAAGTAAGTATTTGTTCTGGGTAAAAATTTTGTTTGTTTTTTTTTTGCCTTTTACCTCAGTTAATTGCATATGACTCAATAGTTTATGATTCAGTACAGTAGTATTTTACTATTCAAAAACTTCAAGAAACTGTCTTATAGCTAATCAATTATATTTTTATTATGGTAATTGACATGCTATAGAGCTTTTATGAAATAGTAGTCAATCTTGTCCACTGTCGTATCCTGATTTTGGTTACTTATATTTATATTTATTTATTTTTTAGAGATGAGGTTTTTCTCTGTCACCCAGGCTGGAGTGCAGTAGTATGATCATAGTTTGCTACAGCCTTGAACTTCTGGGTTCTAGTTATCCTCCTGCCTCAGCCTCCCAAGTCACTGAGATTATAGGCATGAGCAACTGTGCCCCACTCTGTAGTTATTTATTTTACAGATTAAAGCATTCCAATGATCCTTTCACTTATTTCTATTGCAGAAATCCTAATTTTCCATTACCCTTTATTTTTTAAAAGATTCTAATATTTTAAATATTAGATTTTTTATTAGATGTTTTTAAATATTAGAAATATTTAATGTTTCATCAACTGTATTTGGTGAAAATATAGTTGCATTAAGCATTTAATTTCATTTGTCAGATTACTTCTTTAAAAAAATTGTGTTTTTTTTTTTTTTTTGGAGACAGGGTCTCACTCTGTCACCTAGGCTATAGTGCAGAGGCACCATCATAGCTTACTGCAGCCTTGAACTCATGGGCTCAAGCAACCCTCCTGCTGCTCAGCCTCCTGAGTATCTGGGGCTGCTGGTGTTTTACCATGCCTGGCCAATTTGTAAAAATTTTTTGTAGAGACAGGTCTCACTGTGTTGCCCAGGCTGGTCTTGGACTCTTGGCCTCGAGCAATCCTTCCACCTTGGTCTCCTGAAATGCTGAAAGTACAGGCATGATATTGTGCCCGGGCCCCCCAATTTTTTTTTTTTTTTTTTTTTTTTTGAGACGGAGTCTCGCACTCTCATCCAGGCTGGAGTGCAGTGGCGCGATTTCGGCTCACTGCAAGCTCCGCCTCCCAGGTTCACGCCATTCTCCTGCCTCAGCCTCCTGAGTAGGTGGGACTACAGGTGCCCACCACCACGCCTGGCTAATTTTTGGTATTTTTAGTAGAGACCGGGTTTCACTGTGTTAGCCAGGATGGTCTTGATATCCTGACCCTTGTGATCCACCCTCCTCGGCCTCCCAAAGTGCTGGGATTATAGGCATGAACCACTGCACCTGGCCTAAAATTTTTTATTTGGAGATAATTTCAAAGTTTCAGGAAAATTTTAAGAATAGCACAAAGATCTTTGGTATACCGTTTACTGTTTCATCATTTTCTGGCATGCTCTTTCTCTATTTTTCTATTTATATATAAAATCATTTCATATTTTGTATATATTTTTTGTATTTAGGATTTAGTTACATACATTATAGCTCTTTACCCCTAAATATTTCAGTGCCCTATAGAACTTGTAGTTGCTTTCCTTACTCTTCAGATAGTCATAAAGGACATTAAACCTAAGCAAACACATTAGAACTATGTTACTATAACTTTTCATGAAACACTTCTTCTGTAGTGTCTATAATTCAATTTAGTGGTAAATAAACCTTGAGACACTGAATTCTGTTTTTTTTTCTTTAAAAAGTTTTTTTTAAGTATAAATTAAAATTATTCCTCTTTATTTGTATTTCTGCCCTTTGTGAACAAAGTTAATTCTGTTTTGATTGTGAAGAATTTGCTTCTTTTGCTGGTTTCTTCCTGTAGGTATTTAATTGTCGCTTGGTAGATCTTGACCTGGCGTTGGGTTACTGCACTCTCTTACCTCAAAAAGATGTGTTTGAAAATCTCTGGAAGCTCATAGATAAAGCATGGCAGAATTACGACAAAATCTTGGTATGTCCTAAGGAAGCACACCTTCAATTCTTGAAGTATTCAAGATTGGGGGGGAGAAATGAAGTTGGTTTTGCCACCTGTTCTTAAAGATTTAGTAGAAGAAATGTTGAGCTAACTCGTGATTTCTACCAGCTTCTGCTTGACTGGTGACATACTGTTGCCTGTATATGCAAGTTATGAGCATTGTTCAACCCAAAGAATTACAGTTTTTTAATTTCTTAAAATCTGTGTACACCCTTAGAACCTCAAATCTTATTTTGGTGTAGTTGAAACCCTAGACCCATGAATCAGTTTGTTTTTGTAGGATAAGTTTAACAGATAGAAAATTTCTCTTGGATATTGTGTTAAGGGATTTTCTTGCAAGATAACTAAAATTTGGCCTTTTATTATAAAGGAAAGCCAGGCTAAATGTATAGCATTATACGAAAACCTGAATTACCTAAATATTACGTAAGAAGTAACGACTGTGTACAAAATAATATGTAACATTCTACACGGTTGATCACAAAGTTATGATTTTTATTGTTGCGTTTCGTCTAAAAGGTGTTATAAGAATACATTCTACTTACGATTGAACTTTAATTCTCTTTTAATTTTTTAGGCAATATCTCTGGTGGGCTCTGAGCTGGCAAGTCTCTATCAGGAAATAGAAATGGGGCTTAAGTTCCGTGAACTCAGTACTGATGCCCAGTGGGGCATTCGTCTTGGTAAACTTGGTGTGAGTATTCTTTGTACTGCTGTCATCGATTCTGTTAATTACCCGGTTGGAAAATTTAAAACAAAGATTCTGTTGTTCTTTACTTTTGGGAGGAGAGTGTATGTGTACTGCCTCATACATTTTATTAACTACACACATAGGTGCTTTCAAAGAAATAAGGAACTTTTTGCCTCATTTCCTTTTTTCTGTATTTTTAAGGAAATTAAAAGGGGCCTGACATTTTCAGCTGCTTAACTTTCTCATTTATAGGTATATATCTAGTATCAATTGACATTTATGCTATTTCAGGCCTAGCCTTTAGCCTCATACTTTTGTTTTCTGCTGCTGTTATTTAAAGATAATATTAAAATGTATATACAGCTATATACCATGCTTCAAGAACTCCTAGTGAGAGGTGACAGTGTGCGGGCAGTCCTCACAGCCCTCGCTCGCTCTCGGCGCCTCCTCTGCCTGGGCTCCCACTTTGGCGGCACTTGAGGAGCCCTTCGGCCTGCCGCTGCACTGTGGGAGCCCCTTTTTGGGCTGGCCAAGGCCAGAGCCGGCTCCCTCAGCTTGCAGGGAGGTGTGGAGGGAGAGGCGCGAGCAGGAACCCGGGCTGCGCATGGCGCTTGCGGGCCAGCTGGAGTTCCGGGTGGATGTGGGCTTGGCGGGCCCTGCACTCGGAGCGGCCGGCCGGCCCTGCCGGCCCCGGGCAGTGAGGGGCTTAGCACCCGGGCCAGCGGCTGCGGAGGGTGTACTGGGTCCCCCAGCAGTACCAGCCCACGGGCGCTGTGCTCGCTTTCTCGCCGGGCCTTAGCTGCCTTCCCACGGGGCAGGCCTTGGGACTGCAGCCCGCCATGCCTGAGCCTTCCCCCGCCTCCGTGGGTTCCTGTGCAGCCCGAGCCTCCCCGACAAATGCCGCCCCATGCTCCACGGCGCCCAGTCCCATGGACCGCCCAAGGGCTGAGGAGTGTGAGCGCACGGCACGGGACTGGCAGGCAGCTCCACCTGCAGCCCTTGGTGCGGGATCCACTAGGTGAAGCCAGCTGGGCTCATGAGTCTGGTGGGGACGTGGAGATTCTTTATATCTAGCTCAGGGATTGTAAATACACCAATCAGCACCCTGTGTTTAGCTCAAGGTTTGTGAATGCACCAATCTACACTCTGTATCTAGCTGCTCTGGTGGGGCCTTGGAGAACCTGTGTGTCAAAACTCTGTATCTAACTAATCTGATGGGGACGTGGAGAACCTTTGTATCTAGCTCAGGGATTGTAAACGCACCAATCAGCGTCCTGTCAAAACAGGCCACTCGGCTCTACCAATCAGCAGGATGTGGGTGGGGCCAGATAAGAGAATAAAAGCAGGCTGCCCGAGTCAGCACTGGCAACCCGCTCGGGTCCCCTTCCACACTGTGCTTTGTTCTTTAGCTGTTTGCAATAATCTTGCTACTGCTCACTCTTTGGGTCCACGCTGTTTTTATGAGCTGTGAGACTCACATGAAGATCTGCAGCTTCTTTCCTGAGTGGAGACCACGAGCCCACCGAGAGGAAGGAACAACTCCAGACGCTCTGCCTTAAGAGCTGTAACACTCACTGCGAAGGTCTGCAGCTTCACTCCTGAGCCAGCGAGACCACGAACCCACCAGAAGGAAGAAACTCCCAACACATCTGAACATCAGAAGGAACAAACTCCAGACGCGCCACCTTAAGAGCTGTAACACTCACCTCGGGGGTCCGCGGCTTCATTCTTGAAGTCAGTGAGACCAAGAACCCACCAATTCCGGACACACTAGCAGAGGGGACGTAAATGGCCTTTATTTTTCTTTCTTTTTTTCTTTTTTTTTTTTTTTTGAGACAGAGTCTTGCTCTTTTGCCAGGCTGGAGTGCAGTGGGACGATCTCGGCTCACTGCAACATCCGCCTCCCAGGCTCAGGCAATTCCCCTGCCTCAGCCTCCCAAGTAGCTGGGACTACAGGCATGCACCACCACGCCCGGCTAATTTTTTGTATTTTAGTAGAGACAGGGTTTCACTGTATTGGCCAGGATGGTCTCCCATCTCTTGACCTCGTGATCCGCCCACGTCGGCCTCCCAAAGTGCTGGGATTACAGACATGAGCTACCGCGCCCAGCCTTGAGCTTTATTTTTGACATTGTAAAAGAACAGACAAGCAGGCAGGGCGCAATCTTGTCTTTGACAGGATCTCATTCTGTCACCCAGGCTGGAGTGCAGTGGCATTATCATGGCTCACTGCAGCCTTGACCTCTAGGGCCTAAGTGATCCTCCCAGCTTAGCCTCCTGAGTAGCTGGGACTACAGGCATGCACCACCATGCCCAGCTAATTGTTTTGTATTTTTTTGTAGAGACAAGGTTTCCATGTTGGCCAAGCTGGTCTCAAACTCCTGACCTCAAGTGATCCACCCGCCTCAGCCTCCCACAGTGCTGGGATTATAGGCATGAGCCAAAACCCTGTTTTCTTTACCAAAAATATAAGACATTTTATTTGCCAACAGTTGACTTATCAGAAAGGTAATCAGTACAGAAATGCTATATGTTTTGAAGCTTAATTCTTCTGCAGTAATGGAACTGGTGTTCTGTTGACATTAACAATCAAACTTTTCAGATGAAGAGGCAATGGTTAGGATGACTAAGAGGAGTTTCGGACCCATGTACACCTCAAATCTCAGAATGATGGCTGGGTTGGGTAGTGTGAGGTTGGAGGAGCTATAGACAAATGTTTCTTTTTGAAAAAGGATACTAAGAAGGCAAGTCATGATGTTGCCCTTACTCTGATACATTTCAGTGTAGAGGGTTTTTTTGCTTTGTTTTTTTCTTTTTATTTCTAGATTTCTTTTCAACCAGTTTTCAGGCAACATTTTCTCACCAAGAAAGACCTCATTAAAGCTCTTGTGGAGAATATAGATATGGACACAAGCCTCATTTTGGAATATTGCAGGTAATTCTTTAAACATTAACGGTATTTTTGCTGTTAACAAACTGGTAATTCTTTTGCAAGAACACAGTAATAACGATGATTATTTTATGAGGTCCATAGACCACTATTTTCTTTTGCTCATTCCCAAACTGAGTAAATATGAAATCAGATTAGAGTCTCTTATGATACCACCATTTAAATTCACCATTTAGTGTTTCCCAAACTTGTCTCCTGATAAGCACTGCTTAGGGCACTTGATTTCAAATGCAGGTTTCTGGGCCTCTCTGGCAGTTCTGACTCAGTGGGTCTGGACCAAGGCCTAGAAATCGCTGGTCTCTAATAGGAGCTCAGGTGATTCCTATGATCAGAAAAGTTGGAGAATATTCTTCTGAGTAATAAACTTCTAAATCAGGTTAACTAGGGAGCAAAGTAATCTTAAAAATTAATGAAAAGTATGATTTAGGGAGAATTTCTAATTTCCTATTAAAAATGTTTATAAAAGAATTTTTATTTTTATTTAACTTCTTTCTTTATTTGAGACGGAGTCTCCCTCTGTCACCCAGGCTGGAGTGCAGTGGCGTAATCTCAGCTCACCGCAGCCTCCACCTTCAAGCCATTCTCTGGCCTCAACCTCCCAAGTAGCTGGAATTACAGGCATGCACCACCACGCCTGGCTAATTTTTATATTTTTAATAGAGATGGGGTTTCACCATGTTGGCCAGGCTGGTCCCGAACTCCTGACCTCAAGTGATTCACCCGCCTCGGCCTCCCAAAGTACTGGGATTATAGGCGTGAGCCACTGCGCCTGAACAAGAATTTTTAGAACTAAGATAAAATGTGTTATTTATAGATTCCGCTGACTTTGATAAGTAGGGATAAATGATTTGTAATTTATATCTCAGATGTTTCTGTCTAGTAAATACAAGGACTCGTTTTCTGGTTTCAGAATGCTTTCAGATCTGTCACCTCATTTAATTTTTATAGTTCTTATTGCATATGTTGCCAGTTGATATATGAGAAAACAACATAGTATGTGACCTGCTCAAGGTCAAATTATTAATGACTGCTTCTAAAATATTATGGGTGCTATAACCTCCATCTGATTTGTAACAGATTAATGGAATCTGAGTTATTGAGAATGAAACTGCTTGGTGCATTTCCTGCACTGGGCAGGCATCTAGTTCTTTGTCTCTGTGGATAGTGGGGAAAGACCGTGGCTGTCACCATCTAGTACCTGTAAGTCAAGGACTATAGGCTGCGCATAGCTCGAAGGAGCACTGACTTAAAAGAGTAGTTTGAAATAACAAAACTATGTCATTCTTCAGTTTAGAGTGTTATAAATCCAGAATAGGGTATGCACACTCTTATCTTTTTTATTAATTTGAACTACTGCTAGATTCTTCTGTGATGTTTTATGGTGCAGGACACTTTTTTGAAATTTAAATAGCTATAATGTCAAGTTCATTTCATAATTATTCTACTTACGTGGCATTGATGATTTGTATTCATATGATAGTGACACTTCTGCCTCAGGCAGTGTATCTGAATAAATTTAGATAAACTTTAGAATATCAGAGAGTGACTTGAAAATGGTGGTACTTAAGCCTTTTATTGATATTTTAGTTATGCTGTATAGCAAATTAAACTATCACTGTGTTATTAATAGGGTCTAAAAAGGCATTTCAGTTGTCATTTTGTCTATAGTAACCAGATTCTTTTTTTTTTTTTTTTTTTTTGAGACGGAGTCTCGCTCTGTCACCCAGCCTGAAGTGCAGTGGTGCAATCTTGTCTCACTGCAACCTCCACCTCCTGGGCTCAAGCGATTCTCCTGCCTCAGCCTCTTGAGTAGTTGGGATTACAGGCGCATGCCACCATGCCGGGTTAATTATTTGTATTTTAGTAGAGACCGGGTTTCACCATGTTACCTAGGCTGGTCTTGAACTCCTGAGCTCAGGCAATCCACCCGTCTCGACCTCCCAAAGTGCTAGGATTACAGGCGTGAGCCACCATGCCTGGCCTAATTTTTGTATTTTTGGTAGAGATGGGGTTTCACCATATTGGTCAGGCTGGTCTCCAACTCCTGACCTCGTGATCCACCTGCCTCGGCCTCCCAAAGTGCTGGGATTACAGGCGTGAATCACGTGCCCAGCCTGATTTTTTTTATCTTTAAAAAAAAAAAACAAAACAGCTTTTTGGCCAGGTATGGTGGCTAACGCCTATAATCCCAACACTTTGAGGGGCCAAGGCAGGAGGATCGCTTGAGGCCAGGAGTTGGAGACCAGCCTTGGTGACATAGTGAGAGCCCCATCTCTACAAAGGTAAAAAAATTCACTGAAGTGTTGTGGCGCATGCTTGTAGTTCCAGCTACTTGAGAGGTTGAGGTGGGAGGATTACTTGAGCCCAGGAGGTTGAGACTGCAGTGAGCCTTGATCATGCCGCTGCACTTTAGCCTGGGGAACAGAATGAGACCCTGTCTCAAAGAAACAAAAAAAAATCCAATTTTTGTTTTGTTGATCCTTGGTATTGTTTTTGTTTCAATTTCATTTATTTCTGCTCTGATCTTTATTCTTTTCTTTTACTAATTTTGTTTGGTTTGCTCTTCCTTTTCTACTTCTTTAAGATGTATTGTTAGGTTGTTTATGAATTTTTTCTACTTTTTTGATGTGTAGGCACTTATAGATATAAACTGTTTTCAGCTTTTAATCATTACAAAGAGTTGCTGCAGAAGACATCCTTACTAACATGTATATTTTTCTTCTTAGGTGAAATTTGTAAATGTTGCATTTTTATACTAAAGAGCATAAATATTTTCAATTTTATTACAGATTTCTCTCCAATATTCTAACAGTTTACACACCCACCAGGAATAATACCTGATTTTTTTTTTTTTTTTTTTTTTTTTGAGATGGAGCCTTGCTCTGTTGCCCAAACTGGAGTGCAGTGGTGCGATCTTGGCTCACCGCAACCTCCACCTCCCGGGTTCAAGCAATTCTCCTGCCTCAGCTTCCCGAGTAGCTGGGACTACAGCCATGCGCCACCATGCCTGGCTAATTTTTGTATTTTTAGTAGAGATGGGGTTTCACTATGTTGGCCAGGCTGGTCTCAAACTCCTGACCTCGTGATCTGTTCACCTTGGCCTCCCAAAGTGCTGGGATTACAGGTGTGAGCCACTGCACCCGGCCTAATATCTGATTTTTAAAAGGCAATAATTAGCTTTGATGACAGGTAGTTTGTCTGATTTTGAGACTGGACAATGACAAGGTTAAATTTCAACAATGGAAGCATGTACCCAAGTGTTTTGTCAGATACTTTGCATGGAAATGCCTGCAGTTTGGGAGACTGGTGTGTATTGAATGCTTCTTTTAGCACATTTCAGTTGGACTGCGATGCAGTTCTTCAGCTCTTCATTGAAACGCTGCTCCACAACACAAATGCCGGCCAAGGCCAGGGAGATGCAAGCATGGACTCTGCAAAGCGGCGGCATCCCAAACTCCTGGCCAAAGCCCTTGAGATGGTTCCTTTACTGACGAGCACAAAAGATTTGGTCATCAGTCTTAGTGGAATACTACATAAGGTAGACACACAGTGAAATGAATCGGGTCATCTCAGCCATCCCTCCCACCCTTAATAATTAGATACATTAGTAACAAATTGGATGTATAAGTCTATATTTTTATCAACTTTTAATTTGAAATATTCTCTTGATTTCTATATTTTTAACACAGTTAAATACAATTTTCCCATTTTTCAAAATAGAAATAGCTTTTCTTCCCCAGATTTTTGAAAACCTTACACATTCTTTGAATTTATATGAGCTAGAGAGAAATGTATAAATCAAAACAAGCAATTTCCCTATAACTCCACTCCCTAGAGATGAAGATGTTAATAGTGTGGTGTAGTAACTATCTTAAACTAAATATACTCTTCTGTGACCCTCTTTTTTCACTTAACATATGGTCATTATATGTCATTACATACACATCTATCTCAAAAGAAACAATTTCTTTTTCATCTTTTTCATGGTCCTGCCGGAAATGTCTTTTTTCTTTTTCTTTTCTTTTTTTTTTTTTTTTTGAGACAAGGTCTTGCTCTGTTGCCCAGGCTGGAGTGCAGTGGTATGAATGTGACTCACTACAGCCTCTATGTCCTGGGCTCAAGTGATACTCCAGCCTCAGCCTCCCGAATAGCTGGAATTACAGGTGTGCACCATCATGCCTGGCTCATTTTTGTATTTTTAGTAGAGATGGAATTTCACCGTGTTGTCCAGGCTGGTTTCAAACTCCTGGCCTCAAGTGATCCTCCCACCTTGGCCTCCCAAAGTGCTAGGAATACAGAGGTGAGCCACGAGGCCCAGTGAACCGTCATTTTTGACAGATGCATAACTATTATTCCATTATATGGATAAAACATGCCGTATTTAACCAGGCTTTTATGGTTAGACATTTAAACTTTTTTTTTTTTATTTGAGATAGGGTCTCACTGTCACCCAGGCTGGAGTGCAGTGGTGTGAACATGGCTCATGGCAGCCTTGACCTCCTGGGCTCAAGTGATCCTTCTACCTCAGCCTCCCAGATAGCTGGAACTGTAGGTGCATGCTGCCATACCCCAGTAATTTTTTTAATTTTTAAAATTTTTTAAATTAAAAAAAAAATTTTTTTGTGCAGATGAATCTCACTGTGTTGTCTGGGTATGGCTGGGTAAATTTTATTATCATAAATTGTTATAATTAATATCTTCATACATATTTTTATACTTTTGTCTGATTTGTTTTTTAGTTTTTTTTAAGAGAAGGGGGTCTCACTATATTGCCCAGGTTGGCCTCTAACTCCTGGGCTCAAGTGATCGTCCTGTTCAGCCTCCTGAGTAGCTGGAACTACAGGGACTACACCTGGCTTCTGCTCAGTATTTGTTTAGGAGATCTTCTGATCTTCTGAGAATTGGAATGTTTGGTCAGGGGGTAGTTTAATGGAGAAATGAAGGTGAATGGCAGGGAAAAAAATTTTTTTTTTTTCTGAGATGGAGTTTTGCTCTTGTTGTCCAGGCTGGAGTCTAATGGCGCAGTCTCGGCTCGCTGTAGCCTCTGCCTCCTGGGTTCTCCTGCCTCAACCTTCCAACTAGCTGGGATTACAGGCATGCGCCACCACGTCCAGCTAATTTTTTATATTTAGCAGCAATAGGGTTTCATCATGTTGGTCAGGCTGGTCATGAACTCCTGACCTCAGGTGATCTACCTGCCTCAGCCTCCCAAAGTGCTGGAATTACAGGCATGAGCCACTGTGCCCAGCCTGGAAATAAAATTTTAAGCCTGAAATAAATATTTCAGTTTTATATTTTGCTTGCAATTCAGCCAAAAATTACATAGATTGCTCAAAATTTCTAGGTAACAATATTTCATCTTCCCACTTTGTTCAATGTTGTTTTTCACGCGACTTTTGTTGGCATTTAAAAAATAGGCCAGCCTGGGGAACATAGTAAGAATTTGTCACTACAAAAAATTTTTTTAATTAGTTAGGCCTAGTAGTACGTGCCTGCAGTCCCAGCTATTTGGGAAGCTGAAGAGGGGAGGATTGCTTGAGCCCAGGAGGTCAAGGCTGCAGTGAGTTGTGATTGCACCACTGCACTCCAGCCTGGGTGACAGAGCGAGACTCTGTGTCAAAAATAAAAAGGAAAAAAGTAATGGTGTGTGGGTAGAAAGAAAGAACAAAGAGAAGACTTCCTTTTTTTGTTTTTGTTTTTGTTGTTGTTGTTGTTTTGAGATGAAATCTCACCCTGTTGTCCAGGCTGGAGTGTAATGGCACGATCTTGGCTCACTGCAACCTCCGCCTCCTGGGTTCAAGCGATTCTCCTGCCTCTGCCTCCTGAGTAGTTGGGACTACAGGCACGCACTACCATGCCGGCTAATTTTTGTATTTTTAATAGAGACAAGATTTCGCCATGTTGGCCAGGCTGGTCTCAAATGCCTGACCTCAGGTGATCCACCTGCCTTAGCCTCCCAAAGTGTTGGGATTACAGGCATGAGCCACTGTACCCAGCCTGACTTCCTTTCTTTTTGTGTTAATATGTATATATGCCACACAATTAATTCTTGCACTATAGTATATAGTTAGAGCTAAAACAGAATCCTTTGAGAAACTTGCTTGGAGGCCCACAGTTTTACTCATGTCATTTCTAAGAAAAGGATCAGTTTCTTTCTGTTCCAATTTTCCCATCGTAAATGAAAGAAAGGGAACTTTAATTTCAAAATCTTATAAAATTTTGACCATACCCCTACCCTTTCTATGCTTTTAGTATCTTAAGAGCTTCCTTCTTTTTTTTTTTTGAGACATAGTCTGGTTCTTTTGTTCAGCCTGGAGAGCAGTGGCGTGATCTCAGCTCACTGCAACCTCCACCTCCCAGGTTCAAGCAATTCTCCTGCCTCCGCCTCCCAAGTAGCTGGGACTACAGGTGAATGCCACCACACCCAGCTAATTTTTGTATTTTTGGTAGAGATGGGGTTTCACCCTGTTGGCCAGGCTGGTCTTGAACTCTTGACCCCAGGTGATCCACCCGCCTTGGCCTCCCAAAGTGCTGGGATTACAGGCAAGAGCATCCTTCTTTATTAAAACAAGACTGCCTTGTGCAGCTTTTAAAAACAGCCTTTGATACCTTTTTTTAGCATGTATGTTTATCCTCACAGGTAATTTTAGAGGTGAGAAAATTGTAGCTCTTTATTTTTTTATTTTTATTATTTATTTTTGAGATGGAGTCTCGCTCTGTCACCCAGGCTGGAGTGCAGTGGCGCAATCTCAGCTCACTGCAAGCTCCGCCTCCCGGGTTCACACCATTCTCCTGCCTCAGCCTCCCGAGTAGCTGGGACTACAGGCGCCCACCACCACGCCCAGCTAATTTTTTTTTGTATTTTTAGTAGAGACGGGGTTTCACCGTGTTTGCCAGGATGGTCTCGATCTCCTGACCTCGTGATCCACCCGCCTCGGCCTCCCAAAGTGCTAGGATTACAGGCGTGAGCCACCGTGCCCGGCCGATTGTAGCTCATTTTTAAGGGAGTAATTAATTTAACAATGTAGTGCAGTGACATTTTTATATTTGTAATCTGTGCTGATTATTGTAATTGAATAAAATTTCAACATGGCAAAGTCTTATCAAGTTTTGATATATTTTTGTTTTTATACAGTTGGATCCTTATGACTATGAAATGATTGAAGTTGTCTTGAAAGTTATAGAACGAGCTGATGAAAAGATAACCAATATTAATATTAATCAGGTATAACAAATATATCAAAGATGTAAAAATCATCTTTCTGCTTTTATTTGGATCATAAATCATATCATTATCCAGGGCCTTTCCAAATTATCCATTGAATTCCCTTTAAACTCTGTGGTTTATTTTAGGTTTTTAAAAATCTTTACAAATCTTTAAAAAAAGAAAAAGATTTTCATGACATTCCTATTTTATCACTTATCTTCATCCTTTTTTTGCTGTTTTGAGGTGATTTAAATAACCTCTCCTGCTGTCGAAGAGTATGAAGTCACTACAGAACTAATTGTGAAGAATTAAGGAAACATTTGCCATGTAGGAAGTGAAAAAGGCCATGGGACTGAGAGTTAGGTCAGCTCTGTGTATTAATGGGTAGGTCCAAGACCTACTCAATTATGTCTCAGTACTTTCATTAACTTCTTCATCGTTTCTGAATTTTGGTCATAGTGGCTTTTATACTTTTTAATTTGATTTTAGAAATTAATATTTTAGAAATATTTTAATATTATGTTAATAAGACTTATTATATAAGAAAATATATCAATTCAAAAGATTATACAAAGTGTCCTAATATAAAATATAAACATAGGAAAGATAAGAGCGTAGAGAATTTAGATCTGTAGCCTCTATATTTAAAATGAAATCAAGTATTTTGAATTATATCTCAAATTATTTGAAGAGCAGATAACTGTCAAGCTCTTATTTACAAAACATCTACCAACAACAGGGCACCAGTGGTTTCTCCTCATAGGATTCCTTTAATCATTGTATATAAATTATAGTTTAGATGAATAATGTTAAAGAGAATACTAGAAAAGGTTTTGATCCTCTTTCTGAAAACAAGATGGTCTCAGGAATGGAAACTTTTGATGGTATACTATTAGATGATTTTATGACAGTTTAGGATTGGGTTACTCTTACTGGACAAAAGTTTTTTATTTTAATATAGGCATTGAGTATTCTGAAACATTTGAAGTCATACAGAAGAATTTCTCCTCCCGTGGATCTAGAATATCAGTATATGTTGGAACATGTCATAACTTTGCCATCAGCTGCCCAAACTAGACTGCCTTTTCACCTGATATTCTTTGGCACAGCACAGAACTTCTGGAAAATTCTCTGTATGTGTTCATTAACTTTTTATGAATTTTACTGGATAGCCAAATTTTTTTTCTTAAGCAAATCGTACTTTCCTTGTTTCCTTTCTAGCTACAGAACTCAGTGAAGAATCTTTCCCAACATTGCTCTTAATTTCGAAATTAATGAAGGTAATGGATTAAAACATTGTAAGACATTTCTGTATCCTGCAATTAATTCTGACCCCGTATAGAAGATTTTTCTGCTGCTTTCATGTAAAACCTTATATGTGAATATGTGCTTCAGCCATAACCTTCCTTTTCTTTGAAGTTCTCTCTGGACACTCTGTACGTGTCTACAGCAAAACACGTTTTCGAAAAAAAACTGAAGCCAAAGCTCCTGAAGTTAACACAAGCTAAATCCTCAACACTGATTAACAAGGAAATAACTAAGATCACGCAGACCATCGAATCCTGCTTACTCTCTATAGTCAACCCAGAGTGGGCTGTAGCTATTGCCATCAGCCTTGCCCAGGATATCCCTGAAGGTATGAGCTCTTCTTTTAAAATTGTAGTTAAAAAAAAAAAAAAAGTACTCTTTTTGCATCTTTAAGGAGAAGCAGGATGGTAGTTTTCAAATGTATTTGCTTGCTCTCTTAACTGTGGTGAATGCTGAAACGCTCAAGGGCAGTGGGCATGGGCAGGGAGGCAGGCAATTTCCAACTTGTCCTTGTGCCGCCTTTGGGGTGTGACCTTTGCTAGGAATAGGCAGTGATGGGTACTTTTAATATCCAATCACACTTTCTTTTTTTTTTTGAGATGGAGTCTTGCTCTGTCGCCAGGCTGGAGTGTAGTGGCATGATCTTGGCTCACCGCAACCTCCACCTCCCGGGTTCAAGTGATTCTCCTGCCTCAGTCCCCCGAGTAGCTGGGACTACAGGTGCGCGCCATCATGCCCGGCTAATTTTTGTATTTTTAGTAGAGATGGGGTTTCACCATGTTGGCCAGGATGATCTCGATCTCTTGACCTTGTGATCCGCCCGCCTCGGCCTCCCAAAGTGCTGGGATTACAGGCGTGAGCCACTGCACCTGGCCCAATCGCACTTTCAATGAGGAATCTTTAGATAGTCTCACATAACCAAACAGGTGCACAAGCATAGGCACTCACTGCTACATTTTTGGTTGTAACAAAAGTTGAAAGTGACTTTTTAAAAAATGCTCAGGTCAGGAACTGGTTAGAAAATAGGGTGTATTCATAGAACGAAATATTATGGGGCTGATTTGGAGAGATATCCAAGATATGAAGTGAGAACAGCAAATTATACTAGAATATGTATGGTATTACCCATTAGGGTTAAGATGCACATGCATGCATGTGTGAACACAGACTGACACACACACACAGAAAACTCCTAAAGGCATATAAGAATTTAGAGAATAGGAATGGAATCTGATGAGAGGGCCCCGGTGGGCTTTTTTTTTTTTTTTTTTTTTTTTAACAGAGTCTTGCTCTGTCGCCCAGTTTGGAGTGCAGTGGCGTGATCTTGGCTCACTGCAACCTCTGCCTCAGCCTCTCGAGTAGCTGGGACTACAGGCATGTGCCACCATGCCCAGCTAATTTTTGTATTTTCAGTAGAGACAGGGTTCTTCCGTGTTGGCCAGGGTGGTCTCAAACTCCTGACCTCAGGTGATCCACTTGCCTTGGCCTCCCAAAGTGCTGGGATTACAAATATGAGCCACTGTGCCCAGCCATGAGTATGCATTTTTGTAATTTTTAAAAAGTTGCTAATTTGACCAAAATACATTTTCTTGAAAAGATTAAGATTTGCCTGTAAATCTTTATTTATTTATTTATTTATTTATTTTAGGTTCCTTCAAGATATCTGCTTTGAAATTCTGCCTTTATTTAGCTGAGAGATGGCTACAGAATATCCCATCGCAGGTGTGTCTGAACTATCAGATTGGCGGCTTCTCTTCTTCCTAATTAAATTGTACTAGCTTAATTTACCTTCTCATGCTGCCCTGGTGCCTAAAATGGAGAAGGAAGACCAAGGCTTTATGTAGATGCTTAGGAACATAACTGAGGAAGGGGGGAGGGATTGTGATTGATAAAGATGGATGCTTGGCTTCAACTGAGGCTTACAAAGTAAGATTTTCTTTTTGCTTGGAATTGTTTAAAAGGACGAAAAACGTGAAAAAGCCGAGGCTTTGTTGAAGAAGCTTCATATCCAGTACCGGCGATCGGGCACAGAAGCTGTGCTCATAGCCCACAAGCTGAACACTGAGGAATATTTAAGAGTGATCGGAAAGCCAGCACATCTTATTGTCAGTCTCTACGAACATCCTAGCATCAATCAAAGAATTCAGAATTCATCTGGCACAGATTATCCTGGTGAGGACAAAACAATTTTTTTGTTGTCCAAGAAAAGCTATTATTTTGATTCTCAGTTTTATGTATATATGTACGTGTACATATATATTACTTACATATGCTTATATATGTATATACTTATATGTGTATGTATGTGCATATATACACATACACATATAAGTATTCAATATAAATATTTAAAACTTGAGTTTTTCTTTTCTTTATTTTGAATATCTTAGATATTCATGCAGCAGCTAAAGAAATAGCCGAAGTCAATGAAATTAATTTGGAAAAAGTCTGGGACATGTTGTTGGAAAAATGGCTATGCCCTTCAACAAAACCTGGTGAAGTAAGTACTTGCTGCCCAAGAGTATCTGTAGTTGAGTATGCACTGATGGCTTCTTCTCAAAGGCTAAATATTTATCCCACATGATACAGCCTTCTAATTAGGAGCGCAGACTCTTCAAAGAAGGAAGTTTCTTTGTTTGTTTTGTTTTTGAGATGGAGTCTTGCTTGTTGCCCAGGCTGGAGTGTAATGGCGCGGTCTCGGCTCACTGCAACCTCTGCCTCCTGGGTGCAAGTGATTCTCCTGCCTCAGCCTCCCGAGTAGCTGGGATTACAGGCGCCTGCTACCACACCCGGCTGATTTTTGTATTTTTGGTAGAGACGGGGTTTCACCATGTTGGTCAGACTAGCCTCGAACTCCTGACCTTGTGATCCTCCTGCCTCAGCCTCTCAAAGTGCTGGGATTACAGGCGTGAGCCACTGCACCTGGCCTCTTTTGTTTGTTTTTTAAAGACAGAGTTTCGCTCTGTCACCCTGGCAAGTGCAATGGCACAATCATGGCTTACTGCAGACTCGAATTCCTAGGCTCAAGCAGTCCTCCCCACCTCAGCCTCCCGAGTAGCTGGGACTACACGTGTGCATCACCATGTGTGGCTAATGTTTTGTTTTTTTTGTTTGTTTGTTTGTTTTGTAGAGACAGGGTCTCTCACTTTGTTGGCTAGGCGGGTCTCAAACTCCTGGCCTCAAGTGATCCTCCCGCCTCGATTTCCCAAAATGCTGGGATTACAGGCATAAGCCACTGTGCCTGTCTGGAACTTTTGTTCATTATAGTACCCTCTGTTATCTGATAAGTTTTAAAGAGATTGTTTACTTTTTTTTTTTTTTTTTTTTTTGGATACAGAGTCTTACTCTGTCATCCAGTCTGGAGTGCAGTGGCGTGATCTCAGCAACCTCTGCCGAGGTTCAAGAGATTCTCCCTCCTCAGCTTCCCGAGTAGCTGGGGTTACAGGTGTGCGCCACTATGGCCAGCTAATTTTTGTATTTTTAGTAGAGTTGGGGTTTCACCATGTTGGCCAAGCTGGTCTTGAACTCCCGACCTCAGGTGATCCGCCCGCCTTGGCCTCCCAAAGTGTTGGGATTACAGACATGAGCCACCACGCCTGGCCTGTGGTTGCTTACTTTTTGTTTAAATATTGTTTTGTAGCTGTTTTACCTTTCAGTTGATGATTTCAGATGCTGTCTTGTATGAAAGAAATGGCCTGTTCTTTTACTCAGATTCATGTGATTAACTTTTTGTTTTGAAATAATTTAAAATGTACACAAAAATGCAAAAATAGTAAAAAAAGAATTCCTATATACACCTTTCACCGAGATCCATGAATTTTTAACATTTTGCCATATTTGCTTCATCTCTCCTCTATAATTGATACTCTTACGATATTTTTCTGAACCATTGGAGAGTAAATTGCACGTGGCATGCCCCCTTACCCCCTGAATATTTTAAAGGTGTATTTCCCAAGAACAGGATTTTCTCTAATCCAACCATAATATAATTATCAAAATCAGAAATTTAATGGTGATATAATTGAATTTATGGTCCATTTTGCAGTTACACCAATTGTCCTAATAACGTTTTTTATATAAGCAGTTTTCTCCCCCAGGTCCAGGATCTTGTCTAGGACTATGCCTTGCATTTGTTGGTCATGTCTCTAGTCTGTTTTTGTTTTTTTGACACAGAGTCTGGCTCCATTGCTCAGGCTGGAGGGCAGTGGTACAATATTAGCTCACTGCAACCCCCACCTCCTGGGTTCAAGCGAGTCTCATGTCTCAGCCTCCCAAGTAGCTGGGATTACAGGCGCCCGCCACCATGCCCAGCTAATTTTTGTACTTTTAGTAGAGATGGGGTTTCACCATGTTGGCCGGGCTGGTCTCGAACTCCTGGCCTCATATGTTCCTTCCACCTTGGCCTCCCAAAGTGCTGGTATAACAGGCATGAGCCACCGTGCTTGGCCTCTAGTCTGTTTTAATCTGTAACAGTTCTGTGACTTTTTCTTGTCTTTTATGATATTGACATTTTTGAAGAGTGAAATCCAGCTGTTTCATAAGCTGCCCTCCAATTTGCGCTTGTCTAATACTGCCTCATGGTAATATTCAAATTACTTATTTTTAGCATCATACTGCATAAGTTGTGTTGTGCCCTCCTCAGGGTATGACATTTGGAGGCACATGAGGTCCCTTTGCCCTCACAGGTGATGTTAATTTAGGTAACTTGGTTACGGTGTTGTCTGTTTCTCTACTCCATAATTACTATTTTTCCTTTTGTAATTATTAGAGGAAATATTTTAGGATGATACAATATTCCATTCCTCTTCCAACTCCTTTCCTCTACCCCTGCACACCTGATTTATTGATGTTTTTGAAGAGCACAGGCCAGTTGGTTTATAAAATATTTCATTTTGGGTCTGCTAATGTTTCTTGTGATTTGATTCAGGTTATGTGCTTTTGGCAACAATACTGTATAGGTGATGTATTACTTTCAAAGGATCACACCAGGAAGCACATAATGTCAGTTTTTAAGAAATAGCATCATTAACAACTAAAATTTAAGATAGGATTCAGCAAATCCAGATCTTCTGTATCATTTCTTCTGAATTTTCAGGCAGAACTTGAGGTAGATTCTATAATTCCTATATCCACCTAGGCAGATATTCTTGGGGGAACAAAATCTATTTGTAAACAAATAGTGTAATATGACATTAGGGTTTTGTTTGTTTGTTTGAGATAGGGTCTCATTCAGCCACCCAGGCTAGAGCAGTGGCATGATCTCAGTTCACTACAGCCTCCGCCTCCCCGGCTCAAGTGATTGTCATGCCTCAGTCTCCAGAGTAGCTGGGACTGCAGGTGTCCCAGCTACTTTTAAAAAATTACCTGTGCCCGGCTAATTTTTTTAGTATTTTTACTAGAGATGGGTTTTCGCCATGTTGCCCAGGCTGATCTCGAACTCCTGAGCTTAGGTGATTCACCCACCTCGGCCTCCCAAAGTGCTGGGATTACAGGTGTGAACCACTGCACCTGGCCACCATTAGGTTTTTAATTAGCAATTTTTATATCATTTGGCATTTGATTCAACAAGGATTTTTAAAGTATTTACCAAGAGCATGGACTGTGCTTCAGTGGAAACAGGAGTTAGAAACATCTTGGCCACGTAGAATATGTGGTTGACTTTTAGAAACCAGCCTTTACAGATGTTTTAACTTACATGTAAGTTCAAGGTACACACTAAAAGTTCCTTGAGGCCAGAAACTGCATGTATACATAGCACCTAGTACAGTACTTTGTAAATCCCAACAGATATATACTGAATTAACAAATGGCTCATTTAAAATTCATGGAGTCTTTTCCTTTTACAAATTATCTAATACGGGGCTGGGCAAGGTAGCTCATGACTGTAATCTCAGCACTTTGGGAGGCTGAGGTGGGAGGATTGTTTGAGGCGAGGGGTTTGAGACCAGCCTGAGCAGCATAGTGAGACCCCCATCTCTACAAAAATTTAAAAAATTAGCCAGGTGCCATGGTGTGCACCTGTGGTCCCAGCTACTTAGGAGGCTGAGGCAAGAGGATTGCTTGAGCACAGGAGGTTGAGGCTGCACTGAGCCGTGGTTGTGCCACTGTACTCCAGCCTGAGTGACAGAGCAAGATCCTGTCTCCAAAAATAAAAATAAATAAAAATAAAAATCCAATGCATGTCAGCTCCAGGAGGACAGGAACATTTGCTTTATTTACTCAGGCAATCTATATACTTAGAATTGTGTCTATCATATAGTAAGTGCTCAGTGAATATTTGTTGAGTAAACAAATATGAGTAGACCCATCAGTTAAGCAAAAATCTTTTCATAATTTATGTTATAATTTTTCAATGTAAACATAATATCGTATATTAGGTTTTTTATCTAATAGATTTTCAGAGAGATGAATGTTTGTTTAGTCATAAACTTTTTCAGTTTTTGACCTTTTTTTCCTACCTTTTCAAAGAAACCATCAGAATTATTTGAACTTCAAGAAGATGAAGCCCTACGAAGGTACTCTTTTCCTTTACTTATATTCACCTATATCGTGATGCAAAATAGAAATCTTACCAGTACATTTTTCAGCAGTTGATTTTTTTAAAGGGCTTTCTTGATAAAACTCAGGTCAGAGTCTATGAGATGAATCAGTTCACTAATACGTGGCTAGGAGTCTGCAGTGGAAAACATCAGAGCCAGCCAAGATCTAGAATTTCTGAACTCCTGCGAGGGCGAGGGTTCCTAGCACACCTTTAGCTGAAAGGTGCCTCTCAAGCAGAAGAAAACTCTTTCTTAGCTAGGACTTTGGCCCCAGACCCTTTTATGTTCTCTTACCATGCTAAACTGGGTTGGTTCAGATATGGGCCACCAGATTCTTTTTGCTCTTCTAACCTACGACTGAGGCCTAGAAAGGCACATTGATTTTATCTAATGTGCTAGATCTGATTGGTTATGGCTTGTATTCTTGAGAAGACTCTATCTGGGCTCAAGTCAGAACGAATGTGGCAATCCATTAATGATGCCTGGCACAGGCATGGATAAGGGAGCATGGTGGTTCACATGCCAGCCAGCTTTTTGTCTTTCTAGCCTAAACCAAAAGTAAGCCAAGTGGCCTGGGGAGGCCCTATGTCCAGCCTCAGCCTTGGAGAGCTGATAGAAAAGATGTGGAAAGACAACCCCAAGAAACGGATTCCTTCTGGTTTGGAACAAGCAAAGCTGTCCTAATCACCCATACCATGCCCTCTTTCCCTCTGGACCCGCACCTTGGCCTCATTTAGTCTTTTAAGGGAAAGGCCACCTTTGTTCAAACAAGAAGTAGCTCCTGGTATGTCTACCTGAACTAGGCACGTGGAAGGTCTTGGAGGGAAGCGATTTAAAGAGGAGAGAAAAAGGAAATCCCAAAAGGCTACTTAATGCAAAATTCATAACGTGCTGCTTTTTCCACTAAAAGCTCTGCCCCACCCCTCCTCCAGCTGGCCTGATTCATCCTCCCTTCCCGGAGAGGGGCCAGCCTGCCCTGGGTCTAGAGGTTGAAATGGGCTGCTAACAAGGTCCTGCATACCAAACACAGAATTTCCCATGTGTAGCATTCAAGGGACTTTACAGCTACAGTTTGTATTAATTTCTTAAATAAAATTTAAGGGATCAGAGATTGACTAGCTATTCTATAGATGAGGAGGCTGAAGCCTGGCGTTTATTGTGTGTATTATCATCTTTAGCAATGAAAGAACTCAAGAAAAAGATTAAGCATTCTTTAAAGGGGGAAGCGCAAATGTCATTGACCCATTATCCTTCTGATCTGCCTTTGAGTTGTCTAATGACCGTTCCATGGATAGAAAGATAAGTCTGTTGTTTTGGTAATCCATCACTAAATTAAAAAATGACTGTAATTAAAATTTTTTTTCCAGAGTGCAGTATCTCCTCCTGTCTCGTCCAATTGATTATAGTTCAAGAATGCTGTTTGTATTTGCAACATCAACTACAACCGTAAGCTCTAGAAACTTAATCCAAACTCTTCTGTGCATCTCAGCTTAACATTTTTTTCCTGTTTATTTACCATGCTTGATTGCATTAACAGATGATTCAGATAATGCTCACGTACATATGTATTCAAAGTCTGTCTCATCTCCTAAGCAAGCATTGTCTTGCACCATGCTCCATTTAGTTCTGGTCTCTGTAACATCTGCTTAGCGTGCTGAATGGTGCACCTATTGACAGTTTCCACTGGCTGTCTGCATTCACAGTGGTTAACTCCCTGGTCAGTCCACATTCCTGAAGCCAGGAGCCAAACAAACTGTCCACAAACAAGTCTCCACCAAGGCCTAATCTGGCTGCATGCTCTGGTCAGACCACCCCTTCTGCCCACTAAATTCTAGCTAGATTGAACTTGCAATTTCCCCTAACGGCAATATGACCTTTAGCTTCAGGTTCTTGCCTATAGAAATGTCCTCTGAGGCAGTTGGAGCAGAGAGAGGAGAAGGGGATGGAGCCAGTAGGCAAATGATTCTCAGAGAAAAGGAAGAAAAGGAAGTCTGAGGTGCTGATTTTAAAGTCCGTGACAAAAAGGAAAAAGCCTCCCCTTATATTCTCTACATATAAAGACTTACGACCTAAAAATGGTATTCCATGAAAGGTGGCTAGTGCAGCTCACAGCTCAGCTGTGTACATGCTTTTCTTTGCAGTCTGCCTTATGTGTACTTCCCATTAATTAGTATTAGCATGTATTCAAATGGGAATTCACATTAGTATGATATACAGTAATCTTTCCGTATCTGTGGGAGGACTGGTTCCAGGACCCCCAAGGATACCAAAATCTGAGGACGCTCAAGTCTTTCATATAAAACGGTGTCATATTTGCATGTCACCTACATACATCCTCCTATATACCTTAAATCATCTCTAGGCTACTTATAACACAATGCCTGCAAATCACTTCGTCCCCATGGATTCAGTGTAGTACTTGGCATGCAGCAAATTCATGTTTGGTTTTTAGAACTTTGTGGATTTTTTTTTTTTCTTGAGTATTTTTGATCCACTGTTGGTTGATTCCACGAATACAGAACCCATGGAAATGGGGGCTGACTGTGGATTCAAAAGTTGAGGTTTAGTAAAATTAATTTTTACTACTTCATCAAGAACATTCTGGTTTTTTTTTGTGTTTTTTTTTTTTGAGATGGAGTCTTGCTCTGTCACCCAGGTCGGAGAGCAGTGGCACAATCTTGGCTCACTGCAACCTCCGCCTCCCGGGTTCAAGCAATTCTCCTGCCTCAGCCTCCCGAGTAGCTGGGATTACAGGCGCACGCCACCACGCCTGGCTAATTTTTGTATTTTTAGTAGAGACGGGGTTTCACCATGTTGGCCAGGCTGGTCTCGAACTCCTGACCTCAGGTGATCCACCCACCTCGGGCTCCCAAAGTGCTGGGATTACAGGCGTGAGCCACTGCACCCAGCCCATCAAGAACATTAAGTGAAATTTGTCTTTGGTTTTCTTTTTCTTTTTCTTTTTCTTTTTTTTTTTTTTGAGAGAGAGTCTCACTCTGTTGCCCAGGTTGGAGTAGTGCAGTGGCGCGATCTCAGCTCACTGCAACCTCCGCCTCCGGGTTCAAATGATTCTCCTGCCTCAGCCTCCTGAGTAGCTGGGATTACAGGCACGTGCTACCACACCCGGCTAATTTTTGTATTTTTAGTAGAGACGTGGGTTTCACCATGTTGGTCAGGCTGGTCTTGAACTCCTGACCTCATGATCCACCCGCCTCGGCCTCCCAAAGTGCTGGGATTACAGGCGTGAGCCACTGTGCCCGGCCACCTCTTTGGTTTTCAGTACTGCCAGGGCATGCCTGTAAATACAAGGGCTGCAACAACAGTTGGGGGCCCTCCCTCCATTCTGCCTGCAATTTCACCCACCATTGCTTTTGCACAGTCAGTGCAAATATCAACACAGTGTAAAGGCAAATAACATCTTAGTATCATGAAAACAGCTTTGACCCTTTCCCTCTTGAAGGAGTCTCAGGAATGCCCCTTCAGGGGTCCATGGACCACATGTTAAGAACCACTGTTACACACAGTGCGTTCCGTAACTGTAGAGATTGACTTTACATTTTAAAATAATGACGTTGTTTATGTTGCCTATGTTGAAACTCATTTACCCAACTACAATGTGCAGGTGTTCAACTCTCCAAACCTCTTTTGGTTTTTCAGACATTAGGTATGCATCAGTTAACTTTTGCCCATAGAACTCGAGCTCTTCAGTGTCTCTTCTATTTGGCTGACAAGGAAACTATAGAATCTCTCTTTAAAAAACCCATTGAAGAAGTGAAGTAAGTAGAAATGTTTAAATTGTATTAAGAAATAGGAAACAGATCATTTTTTGGAGCTGTACCTTTTAAGCCCTGAATTCAGAAGAGCATAGTAGAGTAGCTGTGTGAATACAGTTCTGTTGCCCTGAATATCCTTGACATTTTGGCAAAGGGAAAATAGGGCTTTGAGAACATCTTGTTTCCATCGTTTCTTGGAGACATTTAGAAACTGAATGTTTTATTTATCTTGTTCAAATTGATTTCTATCTAATGTTATTATATATTCAGTGAATATATTTGGAAGTCCAAAATGGACATTTAAAACAAACTGGCCTAATATTTCCATATGGTAGTTTTTATTTTAAATGTAAATGTGGCCTATGAGAATGATTCTTAGAAACGTTTCTGTTTTCCAGATCTTATTTGAGATGTATAACTTTTCTGGCATCATTTGAGACTTTGAATATCCCCATCACATATGAATTATTTTGCAGCAGTCCTAAAGAAGGAATGATTAAGGGTCTGTGGAAAAACCACAGCCACGAGTCCATGGTAGGTACACCTCACTGCCCCATTCCCAATTCCCTGCCCCTACTCAGAATCCTGAAAGAGAAAACCAGGAACAGTCTTTTTGTTGTTGTTGTTGTTGGGGACAGAGTTTTGCTCTGTTGCCCAGGCTGGAGTACAGTGGTGTGATCTCAGCTCACTGCAACCTCCATCTCCCGGGTTCAAGCCTCAGCCTCCCAAGTAGCTGGGATTATAGGCGCCCGCCCACCACACCTGGCTAATTTTTGTATTTTTAGTAGAGATGAGGTTTCACCATATTGGCCAGGCTGGTCTCGAACTCCTGACCTCAGGTGATCCACCCACCTGGGCCTCCCAAAGTACTGGGATTACAGGCATGAGCCACTGCACCCGACCCAGGAACAGTCTGTATCCCTGAGCAACTCTACTGCTCTGAGACCTTTCTACTCTCCTGTCACAGCGTGTGGATGGATAAGGCAGTGTGGAAGGTCCTTTTACCTCTTTTGCCTTAAAGTCCACCAGCTAAAGTCATCCCTGCCAACCAGAGAGAGCACTTTTATAATCTCTTCCACGGCTTATCTGTCCTTATCTGGACAGGGAGAGGAGACTGTCCGGTAGACAGAGGATGTCATTTCTCTTCCTCTTAGTTGCCTATGGGATTTAGCCTCTGAGTCAGTTGGAGGCTGGGGCAGGAAGGTTTTTTGGTCCAACAGGCAAACTTTTTCAATAGAAGAAAGAAAGGGGGAGACATCCGAGGTGGTGTCTGAGTCCATGACAGCAAGAAAAATAATCTTTTTTGTCATGTCTTTCATTAGAAAGATGGGGGTCTTCGATAGACATTCACAGATTAGAAGCATATTTTGTGGCCGGGCGCAGTGGCTCATGCCTGTAATCTCAGTACTTTGGGAGGCCGAGGCAGGTAGAGCACTTCAGGTCAGGAGTTCGAGACCAGCCTGCCCGACATGGTGAAACCCCGTCTCTACTAAAAATACAAAAATTATCCAGGCATGATGGCGGCCGCCTGTAATCCCAGCTACTCGGGAAGCTGAGGCAGGAGAATCGCTTGAACCCAGGAGGTGGAGGTTGTGGCGAGCTGAGATCATGCCACTGCACTCCAGCCTGGGCAACAGAGTGAGACTCCATCTCAAAAAAAAAAAAAGCAGCATATTTTGTATTAAGCTGCCCTACTTTTCCAAAGATGGCTTGATTTACTGGTGTCTTGGAATAGCATGATTTTTTTCTTTTTTTGGCTTCAGGCAGTAAGATTGGTGACTGAGCTGTGTTTAGAATACAAAATCTATGACCTGCAGCTTTGGAATGGACTCTTGCAAAAGCTTCTGGGCTTCAATATGGTAAGTAAGACTCAATGCCCTCGACTAAGTATATTTGAAAGCTTTTGCACAGCATCCCCTAAACATTTTGGATTGATACTTGTTATGGAACAGATTTATGCTGAAAACACAGTCACTCTCACTGAGCTCATGCCAAACTTAAAGAACTTGGTGTTAGACCAGAGAGTGCAAAATCCAAAATGACATAAATTTCATTGGAAACAAATGGAAGGTTCCCTAGCCTTTTTTGATATTTATGAACTTGTAAGTGAACTTCTCTGGCAGTTATCATGGAAGATAACGTTTTACCAGTACTTCTTCTGGAACTTTAACATCTGGTATTTCACATTGAAATTTTCCATTTTGGTGGTCTTTAGAACTTTTTTATTTTTAATTTTTTACAGATTCCTTATCTAAGGAAAGTTTTAAAAGCCATCTCCAGTATCCATTCTTTATGGCAGGTATGTAGTTTTTTAAAATAAATTTTATTGAATTTAGTCTTTATACTTTCTGGCCTTGTGACTGCTGGGGACACTGGATTAAGCAGTCAGCTCCTTCTTAAATAACAGAACTGAGCCAAGTACAGTGGCTCACTCCTGTAACCCCAACGCTTTGGGAGGCCAAGGTGGAAGGATCACTTGAGCCCAGGAGTTTGAGGCTGCAGTGAGCCGTGATTGCACCATTGCACTCCAGCTCCGGCCTGGGGAACAGAGCTAGATCCTTTCCCTAAAATAAAGAAAGAAGAAACAGAACTAATCAGCTGTAGGATGATTAAAGTTGTGCCCGGACCCGTTAATACTCAGCTCACATCACCTCCTGAAGATACTGTTTTCCTGAGTTTTCCAGGCCTCACGAGTCACATCTTTATTTATGCTCTCAAGACATTTTGGCTCCACTCTGACTTTTGTCACCATATAATTAGTTTTAATTATATGTTGGACTGCCCCTCACAGACTTTGAAGATCTTTCATGTCAGATACCCTGGCTTGTTCATCTTTTCTACATTTCACATAAGTTGTGTACCCATATAATCATAATATATATTACGCAGAAATATATAATTTATTCTTTGTTTGATAAATTAGAACAATATAGAAGTATGCTGAGTAAAACATGAAAATTCCCCCTTACTCTTTCCCTTCATAATTATCTCCCTAAGGGAACGACTGCTTACAATTTCCTATGTATTCTAGAGATTTCCTTTTTTTTTTTTTTGAGATGGAGTCTCGCTCTGTTGCCCAGGCTGGAGTGCAGTTGTGTGATCTCGGCTCATTGCAAGCTCCGCCTGCTGGGTTCACGCTATTCTCCTGCCTCAGCCTCCTGAGTAGCTGGGACTACAGGCGCATGCCGCCACGCCCTGCTAATTTTTGTATTTTTAATAGAGACGGGGTTTCACCGTGTTAGCCAGGATGGTCTCGATCTCCTGACCTTGTGATCCGCCTGCCTCGGCCTCCCAAAGTGCTGGGATTACAGGTGTGAGCCACCGCACCCGGCCGAGATTTCCTGTTTTACAGGCATGTATGCTATGTGTGTGCATATCTACAGTGTATATATGCATTTTTGCACACATAAATGCAATCACATTCTAAACAAAGTGTTGTTTTCACATAACAGTGGTCTCTGGAGATTGTTCCATATCAGCACATGTAGATCTATCTAATTGTTTTATTGAGATACAATTCACATGTAAAATTTATCCTTTTAAAATACACAATGAAGTAGTTTTTGGTATATGCACAGAGTTGTACAGCCTCACCATTATCTAATTCCAGAACATTTTCCTCACCCCAAAAAGAAAATTCATATCCATTAGCAATCATTCCCCATTCCCCACTCCCTCCAGCCCCCAGTGACCACTAATTTACTTTCTGTCCATGGATTTGCCTATTCTGGACATTTTGTATCAACAGAATCCCACACTATGTGGGATTTTGTGTCCGGCTTCTTTCACTCAGCATCCACATTGTAGCATGGATCAGAACTTCATTCGTCTTTATTGCCAAATAATGTTCCATTATATGGATATACCACTTTTATTTATCCATTTGCCAGTTGATAAAGATTTGAGTTTCTATTTTTGGTCATTATAAATAATGCTGCTATGAACATTTGTGTACAAGTTTTCACTGAACATGTTTTCATTTCTCCTGAGTATATACCTAGAAGTGGGCTTGTTGGGTCTTACAGTAACTCTATGTTTAGCCTTTTGAGGTATTTTATTATTTTTAATGCTTGATTATTCTCCAGAATATGTGGTAAAATATACCTGAAGTTACTTAACCACTCCTCTATTGATGGAAGTTTACATTTTCTTTCCTCTTTTTTTTCTTTAAATGTATAGAGATGGAGGTCTTGCTATGTTGCCTAGGCTGGTCTTAGAACTCCTGAGCTGAAACAATCCTCCTGCCTTGGCCTCCCAAAGTACTGGGATTACAGGTGTGAGCCACCGCGCCTGGCCAGTGTTCTTTCCTTATTCACCTTCTTGAAATTCTTTCTCTTGTCCCCTTCCTTCTTTCCTGTGGCCCTGGCACATAACCGGCTAAGGATTAATTTTCTTTTCTGAGTTGGGTTCTGACTTTTTGCCAAATGGAATAATGAATCAGCAAGGATTGTATAATGAGATCCTGAAAGATACAGTTATGAAGAACATTATGCTAGAACCTTAATCATCTCAAACAGGGAGATATCAGCTTATGATTTTAGTCATCTGGAATATAAACTATAAATGTACAGTTTTGTGACCATTTAACAGCGGCCTCTAGAGAGTGTTCCGTATCAGCGCATAGCGATTTATCTAATTTTTTTGTTGAGATACAATTCACTTGTAAAATTCATCCTTTTGAAAGTATACAATCAAGTAGTTTCTGCTATATTCATAAAATTGTACAACCATCACCATTATCTAATTTCAGAACATTTAGGCTGCAATTTAAAGAGAGTTCATAATACCTTTTTCGAGATGGAGTTTCGCTCTGTCACCCAGGCAACCTCCGCCTCCCGGGTTCAAGCGATTCTTGTGTCTCAGCCTCCCGAGTAGCTGGGATTACAAGCATGCACCACCATGCCTGGCTAATTTTTGTATTTTTAGTAGAGACGGGGTTTTGCCATATTGGCCAGGCTGGTTTCGAACTCCTGACCTCAAGTGATTCACCTGCTTCAGCCTTTCAAAGTGCTGGGATTATAGGTGTGAGCCACCGCGCCTGGCCTAGACTGCAAATTAAAGAGAGTTTGTAATATCCTTAACATGAATATCCCAAACGTGGACTTGTTTTCACAGG
Organism: Homo sapiens; assembly: GCF_000001405.40. Classification (NCBI taxonomy): domain Eukaryota; kingdom Metazoa; phylum Chordata; class Mammalia; order Primates; family Hominidae; genus Homo; species Homo sapiens. The sequence continues at coordinate 122,618,344 of NC_000012.12, forward strand.
TTCCCTACTTCAGCAAAGCGTGGCAGCGTGTGATACAGATACCACTGCTTTCAGGTATTTCGCTCTCTGAAACATTGGCTACAGCATTTTATAGTTGAGTGTGTGTATATCATGGTTGTTTTTTTGTTTTGTTTTCAGCCTCTTGTCCTTTAAGTCCTGATCAGCTGTCAGATTGTTCTGAGAGTCTCATCGCTGTCCTCGAGTAAGCAAAATATTTGTTCTACCAAAAAAAAAAAAAGTTTGTTGCTTATAAGATTCCCTTCTAATAGATATCTCTAATGAGTAATTCCTTTTTGTTAGGAAGTTAAGCATAACACGTGTTTGTTGTTGTTGTTGTTGTTTTGAGATGGAGTCTTGCTCTGTCATCCAGGCTGGAGTGCAGTGGCACAACCTCGGCTCACTGCACCCTCCACCTCCCAGATTCAAGCGATTCTCCTGCCTCAGCCTCCTGAGTAGCTGGGATTACAGGCACGTGCCACCATGCCCAGCTAATTTTTGTATTTTTAGTAGAGATGGAATTTCCAAAGTGTTGGGATTACAGGCATGAGCCATCCCGTGAGTAGCTGGGATTACAGGCATACGCCACGCACCACCACGCCCGGCTATTATTTGTAATTTTATTAGAGACAGCCTCCCAAATTGCTGGGATTACAGGTGTGAGGCACTGCGCCCAGCAACACTTGTTTTGTTTTTTGTTTTTTGTTTTTTGTTTTTGTTTTGTTTTTTGTTTTTGAGACGGAGTCTTGCTCTGTCACCCAGGCTGGAGTGCAGTGGTGCGACCTCAGCTCACTGCAAGCTCCGCCTCCCAGGTTCACGCCATTCTCCCACCTCAGCCTCCTGAGTTGCTGGGATTACAGGCACGTGCCACCATGCCAGGCTAATTTTTGTATTTTTAGTAGAGATGGAATTTCCAGAGTTTTGGGATTACAGGCATGAGCCATCCCGTGAGTAGCTGGGATTACAGGCATGCGTCATGCACCACCACGCCTGGCTAATATTTGTAGTTTTAGTAGAGACAGCCTCCCAAATTGCTGGGATTACAGATGTGAGGCACTGCGCCCAGCAACACTTGTTTTGTTTTGTTTTTGAGACGGAGTCTTGCTCTGTCACCCAGGCTGGAGTGCAGTGGCGCCATCTCGGCTCACTGTAAGCCCTGCTTCCCGGGTTCACGCCGTTCTCCCGCCTCAGCCTCCTGAGTAGCTGGGACTACAGGCGCCCACCACCATGCCCGGCTAATTGTTTGTATTTTTAATAGAGACGGGGTTTCTCCGTGTTAGCCAGGATGGTCTCGATCTCCTGACCTCATGATCCACCTGCCTCGGCCTCCCAAAGTGCTGGGATTACAGGCTTCAGCCACCGCGCCCGGCCAACACTTGTTTTTATACCAAAATATCTTGATTATTTTTACAATGTCTACTTCCCATGTGTTGTGCGACTAGTAAACTGAGCATTCTCTAAAATGAGTACCTACTGTATGAGCATAGAGTACTTTTGGTGACTACCCTAAATCATACAGCGTTGTCGCATATATTTTGAGTCTTCTGGCTGGGTGCGGCGACTCACACCTGTAATCCCAGCACTTCGGGAGTCTGAGGCGAGTGGATCACTTGAGGTCAGGAGTTCGAGACCAGCCTGGCCAACGTGGTGAAACCCCGTCTCTACTAAAAATATAAAAATGAGCTGGGCATGGTGGCGCATGCCTGTAATCCCAGCTACTCAGGAAGCTGAGGAGGGAGAATCACTTGAACCCGGGAGGTGTTGGTTGCAGTGAGCTAAGATCATGCCATCGTACTCCAGCCTGGGTGACAGAGCTAGACTGTTTCTCAAAAAAAAAAAAAAAAAAGGTTTTGAGTCTTCTGAGAATTTAGAAGCCTATCTTTAGGCATCTGTAGGCTTTCAGACATAATCATGATAGCAAACAGTAGTCCGTGTTCCCATGGGTAAATTCTTTTATTCTGTGTAGAGTGCTGTCAAAGACTTGTGTTACTCATTCCTAAGCATATGTCATGCACCAGCACTTTAGTGTTTAAAATTATTGAAAACTTGGACAGGCAGATGACTATGGAAAGCTAGAAAGGCCAATATAATCTAGTGAATCTGCCAGATTATTAACTAATTAATGTTCTCTCTCGAAGATGTCCAGTCTCAGGTGATCTTGACCTGATCGGAGTCGCCAGGCAGTATATCCAGTTAGAACTTCCGGCTTTTGCATTAGCTTGTCTGATGCTCATGCCCCACTCAGAGAAAAGACACCAGCAAATTAAGGTATCGTGCACATGATTCCTCTGGGCTGCCAAGGAAATAGAAGGTTTCATCTTGCATGTCCCTTGCAAAAGGTCGCATTTTCATTTCAGCAAACCTGTAAAGCATGAATACATCAGATATGTGTGAAGCTTGTATGGGGGCTTAGTGGGAGGTAAGACTGAAAGATAGATTAAGGTCCAGCTGAGGGCTGTCTTACAAGGGGTTTGGGCCTTATTGTCTATCAGTGGGGAAACAAGTGATTATTTTAGAACAGCAAACTGAAATGATGAAGGAATTATTTTAAAAGGAATAACCCATTAACCCATGTAGGCTTGGACAGAGGAGAGGACAAGAAGTGAAACAGTTGGGAAGATGTTGCATTTGAGTAGAATTTTATCCCACTTGATCTCTTCATAGCAACCTTGTGCATAGGCAGGGAAGGCTTGAGGGTTAAGTACCCATGATAGGGTCTGGTAATGAACTTGAACAAGACAAGAAGGCTACAAGGAAGGCAGCAGACTTAGCAATTGAATGTGGGAGATAGAAGAGGGGGAGAGTCAGATTTTATGTGTGGGTGCCCATCAGAAGGAGCCACAAGCATTTTGGGGATAGAACTTTTAAAAATAACTCTCATTTCCTTTATAATAGAGAACAAGTAGAACAAAGCATTTTGGAATGTTTTACAGTTATCTTCCCTGCAGGTAGATATACCAGTAGATAGAGATCTACATAAATGAACATACATGCATTCAGGCTTTTTCGTTTGTTTGTTTTTTGTGTTTTGTTTTTTGAGAGTCTCTGTCACCCAGGCTGGAGTCCAGTGGTGCAATCTCAGCTCACTGCAGCCTCCCTCCCGGGTTCAAGTGACTCCCAAGTAGCTGACGTTACGGGCTCCTGCCACCACGCCCGGCTAACTTTTGTATTTTTAGTAGAGACAGGGTTTTGCTATGTTGGCCAGGCAGGTCTCGAACTCCTGACCTGAGGCAATCCGCTGGCCTTGGCCTCCCAAAGTGTTGGGATTATAGGCATGAGCCACTGCGCCCAGCTGAACATGCATATTTTTTATTTGTCATTTGGCTTATTAATTACATTTTTAAAAGCCATCTGTTCTTGTCTTTGACTTTTTCCCCTCTTTTCATCATTCATACACTCATTCCTTGATGTCGTTCAGTGTTTCAGTATTTAAATAGATTTCTTTTGGCACTTAGAAGAGCAAAATACCTGATCAACGGCTCTTGCTGTTGGAATAAATAATAACAATTTTCTATTAATTCTGCTTTGATTTTTCTCTAGAATTTTCTGGGTTCCTGTGACCCTCAGGTTATTTTAAAGCAATTGGAAGAGCATATGAACACGGGCCAGCTAGCAGGATTTTCACATCAAGTAAGAGGCGATTTCATCTCCTTTTTGCTATGAAAATGTTGATACTAGAAGGTAGTCATTTTCCCAAACCAAGAGTAAGCTGAAAACTGCTATGTCTAGCTGTTTGTTTATGTATAGAATTATTTTGCTTTTACTAAAACCTCAGTAAATTTTTTAAGAGGCAGGGACCCTGAGCGTCTTGTTGACTGCTGTACTCCATGGAAAATTTGTAGCCTTAAGTGCTTTTAATTGAAAACAGATCTTCTTCCTCATAAAAAGTCTCAAAGTGCACAACAACAATTACTTTATTTATTGACTGATGCTGACAGGCCTCCTTTCCCTTTTTACCCCCTCAAAAAGGAGGCGCAGTCACAATGCAGTGCTAATTGGGCTTCCGATTGTCAGAAATGTTTTGATATTGAATAAAGGCTTGATACCTGTCATTCTATAGATTAGAAGTCTGATTCTAATAGATTAGAAGTCTGATCTTAATGATACCTGTCATTCTATAGATTAGAAGTCTGATTTTGAATAATATCATCAATAAGAAGGAGTTTGGGATTTTGGCAAAGACCAAATACTTTCAAATGTTGAAGATGCATGCGATGAATACCAACAATATCACTGAGCTAGTGAACTATTTGGCAAATGACTTAAGGTAAGTTAATTAAAAAAAAAAAAACTTACTGTGGAATTTCCTTAAAATCTATCTTTATAAGCTGGGCACGATGGCTCACGACTGTAATCCTAGCACTTTGGGAAGCTGAGGTGGGTGGATCACCTGAGGTTGAGAGTTCAAAACCAGCCTGACCAACATGGAGAAACCCTGTCTCTACTAAAAATACAAAATTAGCCGGGCATGGTGGCACATACCTGTAATCCCAGCTACTAGGGAGGATAAGGCAGGAGAATCTCTTCAACCCGGGAGGCAGAGGTTGCAGTGAGCCGAGATCGCACCATTGCACTCCAGCCTGGGCAACAGGAGCGAAACTCTGTCTCAAAAAAAAAAAAATCTATCTTTATGTTGGAGCAGAATGTCAACTGTAGAGCTATTTGGTTGTAATTAAAAGCTCAAAATATTACATCTCTCATTACTGCACATATCCAAAAGTTAATCATTTAATAACCCAATTTCTTGGAATATGACCTTAGAATCTGACAATTAAACAGGTCATCTGAACCCCCAAATCAAGTGTCTCACAGCCCTGTTCTAAATCCTACATTACAATTTTATGTCTAGACACTTGCTCAGAACATTAATGACTTTATGTAGCATCACTTTTGTTAAACCTGGTTATCTAATTTTCCAGCACCCACAAGTTTAGAAACAATAAGCTTCTTGGGATAGAGCTGGGGGTGGATATGGAAACTGAACGGGAGAAGGAAGAAGTGGGCTGACACTAAAGAAAGGGAAGTTCAAGACCGCAGTACACACCAGATCCATCCCTGCATGTGGTCTAGCCATGTTGGCGCTTGAGAGGTCTTTCTTTCTCATTACCACTCCATGGATTTCCATCTGCTTGTTTATCTCTTGTGATCCAGCCATAATTAGATATTGTCATTTTTGAGCAAGTATTTTTTGAGTTATAATTGATACATATAATAAGCTGGACATACTTGAAGTCTGCAATTTAGTAAATTTTGACATATGTATACCTATAAAGCCATCACCACAATCAAGAGAGTGAACATAATTCTCTGAAAGTTTCCTCATGCCCTCTGTGAAGTTGATTACATGAATTAGGTCATTCTTGTGATACCCAAATTCATCAGAGTCGAGGGGCCCAGGGGAAAAGCACTCAGAGTACAAAACATTGCTCCAAAAACATAATTCTGGCCGGGCGCAGTGGCTTACTCCTGTAATCCCAGCACTTTGGGAGGCCGAGGCGGGTGGATCACCTGAGGTTAGGAGTTCAAGACCAGCCTGGCCAACATGATGAAACCCTGTCTCTACTAAAAATACAAAAAGTTAGCCGAGCATGGTGGCGCATGCCTGTAATCCCAGCTACTCGGGAGGCTAAGGCAGGAGAATCGCTTGAACCCAGGAGGTGGAGGTTGCAGTGAGCCGAGATCGCACCATTGCACTCCAGCCTGTGCAACAAGAGTGAAACTCTGTCTCACAAAAAAGAAAAAAAAGAACAATGTGTAACATGTCTCTTTTTCATAAAACCTCTAACCTTCTCTTTGTTCTTTGGACAATCCAGAGACTACCCAGTCTATGTATATGCCCCAAATTGGAATTATTTCTTCCCAAATAAAACATTAAATTCAGAGATTGGTCTTTACATTTTAATTTTGACTTCAATGCCTCTTTTTCTTTTCTTTTCTTTTCTTTTTGAAATAGGGTCTTGCTTTGTCACCCAGGCTGGAGTGCAGTGGTACAAACGTGGCTCACTGCTGCCCCAACCTCCTGGGTTCAAGCGATCCTCCTACCTCAGTCTCCAGAGTAGCTGGGACTACAAGTGTGCAACACCACACCTGGCTAATTTTATATTTTTTGTAGAGACAGGGCTTTGCCATGTTGCCCAGGCTAGTCTCAAACTCCTGGACCCAAGCCATCTGTACATCTTGGCCTCCCTGAGTGCCGGGATTGTAGGCACAAGGCACTGTGCTTGGCCTAACACTTCTTTTTCTTTTTGATTTTGTAGTTTAGATGAAGCTTCAGTCTTGATAACTGAATATTCAAAGCACTGCGGGAAACCTGTGCCTCCAGACACTGCTCCCTGTGAAATTCTGAAGGTAAAGCTGATGGAAAGTTCTTAGGTTCTAACTTGACATTGTTTATATTCCTAGGGCCTTAAAATTGACAAGCCTTTTCTAGTGTTCTGGAGATAAATGTATTTTTATGTGTAACTGTAATTTTTATATTTTACTTTTTGTGTTAGAGAGTTCTAAACTAGAAATCAAGAGACCACAGTTCTAATCTCAGCCCTGCCACTGGGCAGCAAAGCCTAATGTGGGCTTAGTCTTCAGATCTGGACCCCATGGTCTCTCAGGTGCTTTCCAGCATTACCATTCCTCATAAGGTGGTGTTTTTAATATTGAAGCAGGTGAAAAACTGAATTCTAAAAGGTGTTGATTATTGTCATGCTTGGGTATTAATTGCTTTTTAAATTAATTATTATTCTTTAATTACCTAAAACGTATATTCACTGCAGAAAAAAAAGAAGTATGGCTGGGCACGGTGGCTCACACCTGTAATCCCAGCACTTTGGGAGGCCAAGGGGCAGATTACCTGAGGCCAGGAGTTCAAGACCAGCCTGGCCAACATGGTGAAACCCCGTCTCTACTAAAAATACAAAAATTAGCCAGGCGTGGTGGCACACGCCTGTAATCCCAGCTACTCGGGAGGCTGAGGCAGGAGAATTGCTTGAGCCCGGGATACGGAGGTTGCAGTGAGCTGAGGTCATGCCACTGCACCCCAACCTGGCTGACAGAGCAAGACTCTGTCTCCAAAAAAAAAATATATTAGCCTGGCATGGTGGTGGGAGCCTGTAATCCCAGCTACTAGGGAAGCTGAGGCAGGAGAATTGCTTGAACCCAGGAGTCAGAGGTTGCAGTGAGCCAAGATCACACCATTGTACCCCAGCCTGGGCGACAAGAGCAAAACTCATCTCAAAAAATCAAAACAAAACAAAACAAAAAAAAAAAACAAAGGAAAAAGAGAAATATGAAAGAGCCAAAAGAAAGAGAAAAATACTAAACTGATCTTCAAAATCTCACTACCCAGACATAGGATCACTGTTAACATTTTGCTGTACATTCTTCCAAATTTTTTGTATGTAAAATGTGCACATAATTTATTTTTACTCCCATTTTGAACTTAAGTGCCAGGTAAAATTTTTACTTTGATCATATTTTGGTAGCTTTATTTTTTATTTGCTGTTTTTCAGATCGGAATATTTTGGTAGCTTTAGTAAACCTAAGTATCGTGGCTTTTTTCTTCCTTTGGTCCAGATCAGGCATATTAGAATGAGCCCGCATTTTGTTACCGCCCATTAATAACTTACAGGGCTTACCTCCAGGTGGTTGTGCTCAATGCCATAAGATTACTTTTTTTTTCAGAAGGGGAGAGTATTGATTCGGGAGATAAATTTGTGGCGTTTAAAATCTGTTTCTCTCTAATCTAAAATGCCAAATAGTTTGATATGTAGATTTGTATCACTTCACTTAAGTTCTGTAGTTTATCTGACCATTTTCAATTTGAAAAACTAAGTGACTTATAAAAATCACTTCTGTGTTTCTTCCCATTTAGATGTTTCTTAGTGGATTATCGTAAATCACTGAACCTTTTTTTCAAGAAGGACAAGAATTTTGGAGTCTGCTATTAATGGACCATATTTATTACAGTTTTTAAATTGTACAATCTCTGTATTATAGCTATTTGTCTAACATTACCCCACATGTAATAAATAAAACAATATGAGCATAATTGCCCCATAAAGAACTCATGTCCTGAATTAATAAGTCTTTTCATTGCCAGTCACTTGTGCAATTTATAGAGACTATCAACTTTTTTGCACCATATATGAAGGAAACAAAGTGCAAAAAGTTTGCTCTCTCCCTTAAGAAAATTGAGTGCTTATAGCCTATGTCTTCCATATAAAAAAGTAAGAATATCAGTCTTTTTAATGTTATTCTAAGAAAATATTGGTATAATTTTAGTGGCAGAGTTTATCAGTCAGAAAAATAAAAGCCACTCTAGATATGCCAAGCAGAGAAGAATTTCATGCCAGGGATTGGCTATAAAGTTCTTCAAAAGACTGAAAGAACAGAAGGGAGGTAGAAGCGGGAGCCAGACAAAAGGGAAGAAGGGCTTTGCAGCCACAGATCAGGAGCTGCTCCGGCCCTTGGCTTGGAGCCCCGAGCCCACATTTGCCACTGAGCTGTCGGAGCTGCTGTGGCCACTGCAGTGCTCAGAAGCCCAGGAGTCTCTTTGCCAGTGCTGCTGACAACTTAACACTGCTGCTGTCCAGGCTGCCAAGCCCACCACCAAAAGAAGAAACATCTCTGCACTTTCTCCAAGCTTCTAATTTTTACCCCAGTGCCAAGAAATAGCAGAACCAAACTGGAAGCCACCTGGCTAGAAGTCTGGGAGGAGTGGTCCGCAACTGTAAACCCCCAGCACTGCAGCCGGTGGCCTAGAAAGGCGTGTGGAGCAAAAAGCCAGCACACAGAAGTGTTAATTACACCTGTTATTCTGACTTTGTAGTCCTTTGCCATACTTGCGAATAACTTAAGTGAATTTGATGTTACTGGAATTAGTTTGCCTTTATTTTGCCAGTTGAAAAAAAAGATTTCTAAAAAACTCAATGAAACATGATTCAACACAGGTTTCGAAGTAAAATAAGTCTGGATTTGAGTTCTAGTTCTATCACTTACTAGCTGTGTGGGCCTGAACAAGTTATTTAATTTCCCACAGAGAGAAACAGGGTGGTGTTGCTGTCACCCAGGCTGGAGTGTAGTGTTATGACCATAGCTCACTGCAACCCTGAACCCCTGTGCTTAAGGGATCCTCCTGCTTCAGCCTCCCGAGTATCTGGGACTACAGGCACACACCACCATGCTTTCCTGATTTTTAAATTTTTTTGTAGAGATAAGGTCTTGCTTTCTTGCCCAGGCTGGTCTTGAACTCTAGGCCTCAAGTAATCCTCCCACCTTGGCCTCCCTAAGTACTGGTATGACAGGCATGAGCCACCTTGCTTGGCCCAATTTCTCACCATCTTAATTCCCTCAAACTGAGGACAGTAAAAGTATCTACCTTCTAGTGGCAGGAGGTTTGAATCAGTTCGTATAAAGCATCTAGGCCAGGCACGGTGGCTCACGCCTATAATCCCAGCACTTTGGGAGACCATGGTGGGCAGATCATGAGGTCTGGAGATCGAGACCATCCTGGCTAACATGGTGAAACCCCATCTCTCCTAAAAATACAAAAAATTAGCCAGGCGTGGTGATGCATGCCTGTAATCCCAGCTTCTCAGGGGGCTGAGGTGGGAGAATCACTTGAACCCAGCAGGCAGAGGTTGCAGTGAGCAGAGATCATGCCACTGCACTCCAGCCTGGATGATAGGGCAAGGGCAAGACTCTGTCTAAAAAGAAAAAAAAAAAAAAAATGCGTCTAGCACAGTACCCGAGTGCCAAAAATGCTAGTTATTACGAGTATATAGGCTTCTATTTAGCTAATTGCAAGTTTTTAAATTGCAGTTTCAATAATAAAATTATTTTACACTTTGAAGGTGTTATACTGTTTCTCCACAATAATTAGTTTAAAAATGCAAGTTACTTAATTTGCAATGATATTTTAATGACGTTTGACCTATATTTAAAACATTGTCCAATAACTATTTACATAGGTCTTAGACAGACTTCTAAAGATCATATCATAACAAATAAGAATAGTTGGGCTGGCCGGGCATGGTGGCTCACTCCTGTAATCCCAGCACTTTGGGAGGCTGAGGCAGGTGGATCACCTGAGGTCAGGAGTTCGAGACCAGCCTGGCCAACATGGTGAAACCCCGTCTCTACTAAAAGTACAAAAAATAGCCAGGTGTGGTGGCAGGCACCTGTAATCCCAGCTACTTGGGAGGCTGAGGCAGGAGAATTGCTTGAACCCAGGAGGTGGATGCTTCAGTGAGCCAAGATCAAGCCACTATACTCCAGCCTGGGCAACAGAGTGAGACTCCATCTCAAAAAAAAAAAAAAAATAGCTGGGCTGGGCATGGTGGCTCATACCTGTAATCCCAGCACTTAGGGAGGACTAAGTTAGCGGATTGCTTAAGCCCAGGAGTTCGAGACCAGACTGGGCAACATAGTGAAACCTTGTCTCTACTAAAAACTAAAAAACAACAACAAAAAAATTGACCTGGCATGGTGGTGTGCGCCTGAAGTCACAGCTACTTGGGAGGCTGAAGTGGGAGGATGGCTTGAGGCCAGGAGGCAGAGATTGCAGTGAGCCAAGATTGTGCCACTGCACTCCAGCCTGGGTGACAGTGAACCCCTGTCTCAAAATAAAAATAATAATACAAATAAATACACCATAGAAAAAAATACAAAGGGCTTTTTTCCTCCCCACTAGAGATGGAGTCTTGCTCTATCACCCAGGCTGGAGTGCAGTGAAGCAATCATAGCTCACTGCAGCCTCAAACTCCTGAGCTCAAGCAATCCTGTTGCCTCAGCCTCTTGAGTAGCTGGGACCATACAGGTGCATGTCACCACACTCAGCCAATTTTTTTTTTTTTTTTTGTAGAGCTAGGACCTTGGTATGCTGCCCAGGCTGGTCTCAAACTCCTGGCCTCAGGCAATCTTCCTGAGTTGCTGGGATTAGAGATGTGAACCACTGTGCATGGCCCAAAGGGCTTTGGAACATGTGAAAAGAAAACCTCCCTAATGCTAATAAAAATGCAAATTAAAACTACCTTAGATTCCATTTTTTACTTGCCAGAATGGCAAAAATTAAAGTTTGATAACTGGACAAAATTATCAGAAAATTTATTCTCATATCTTGGTGGAAATTTAAATTTGTATAAGTTCTTTGGAGGACAATTTGACAATCTCTTCAAAATTACAAATATGCATACCTTTTGACCCAACTATTCCACTTCTAGGAACACACACTTGTAAGTTACTCACTATGCCATTATTCTCGGAGGAAACGTTTGGAAACAACCAAAGTACTCATCAGGAGGGGAATGTAGGCCTGGCATGATGGCTCACACCTGTTACCATAGGACTTTGGGAGGCCAAGGTGGAAGGATCACTTGAGGCCAGGAGTTTGAAACCAGTCTGGACAACATAGTAAGACCTCATCTCTACAAAGAAAAAAATTTTTTTAAAGAAGGGAATGGGCTAACTGCATGTGGCCATATACAGAATGAGGAAGTACTCAGTCCTTCTATACAAGTTTCTGGACAGACTGGCATCCTTTATTAGCCCCCCTAAAATGTGTTGGAAGACAAAATTTAGATAATGGAAGTACCTGCCTTGATTGATTGACTTAATGTAGACGGAGTCTCACTATGTTGCCCAAGCTGGCCTTGAACTCCTGAGCTCAAGCAGTCCTCCCACCTCAGCCTCCTGAGTAGCTGTCTATGATTTTATTTTTATTTATTTATTTACATATCATTTATTTATTTATTTTTGAGACAGAATCTCCTTCACCCAGGCTGAGTACAGTGGCAAAATTTTGGCTCACTGCAACCTCCGCCTTCTGGGTTCAAGTGCTTCTCGTGCCTCAGCATCTCAAGTAGCTGGGATTACAAACACACCACCATGCCTGGCTAATTTTTGTATTTTAGTAGAAACGGCATTTCACCACGTTGCCCAGGCTCATCTTGAACTCCTGAGTTCAAGCCATCTGTCCGCCTCAGCCTCCCAAAGTGCTGGGATTACAGACGTGAGCCACCGTGCCTAGCCTATGTTTAAATGAGGAAAACATGTTCTTGGCCCATCCAGAAACCCCAACCAGTCTTCCAGATACCACTAAAACAAAACATTTAACATGCCACCAACAGTTTGCAGAATAAAACCTGATTTTTTTAATGCCTGTAAATTCAATATTGGATAAGTTCATATCATAAAAAAACAAAATTAGACTGCCTATCCACATTCAATTTTCTTTCACCCCAATAAATGTATATTGTAATTGAACAGTGAAATAACTTGGCCGGACATGGTGGCTCACACCTGTGATCTCAGCACTTTGGGAGGCTGAGGTGAATGGATAACCTGAGGTCAGGAGTTTGAGACCAGCCTGGCCAACATGGTGAAACTCAGTTAAAATACAAAATTAGCCGGACGTGGTGGCGCACCTATAATCCCAGCTACTCGGAGGCTAAGGCAGGAGAATCACTTGAACCTGGGAGGCGGAGGTTGCAGTGAGCTGAGATTGCACCATTGCACTCCAGCCTGGGCAACAAAGTGAAACTCCATCTCAAAAAAAAAAAAAAAAAAAAGTCAAGAGGCATGATGCTCAGCCCCAAAAGAAAAATAAACAAAAAGATGCATGATGGTTGCAAAGAGCACTTATATATAAAATGAGGCACAACTTTATTTATTTATTTATTTATTTATTTTTAGACAGAGTCTTGCTCTGTCACCCAGGCTGGAATGCAGTGGGATGATCTCAGCTCACTGCAACCTCCACCTCCCAGGTTCAAGCGATTGTCCTGCCTCAGCCTCCCGAGTAGCTGGGATTACAGGCATGCGCCACCATACCCAGCTAAGTTTTGTATTTTCAGTAGAGACAGGGTTTCACCATGTTGGCCAGGCTGGTTTCAAACTGCGGACCTGAAGTGATCCACCCCGACTTCAGCCTCCCAAAGCCCTGGGATTATAGGTGTGAGCCAGTGCGCCTGGCTAAAATGATGCAAAACTTTAAATCACACAGCAGAACTTCTGCCATACTCAGTTGAGATAGTCAAAGCCCACCCAGAATCAAGGGGAGGAGGCATAGCCCCCCACATCATAGTGGAAGAAGCATAAGAATTTGTGGCCATTAAAAAAAAATTGGTTTTATTGTGGCAAAATACATATAATATTTACCATCTTCACCATTTTTAGGTGTACAGTTCAGTGGTATGTGGCCATTTTTTAAAAATCACAAAGTTTTTAAAAAGCAAGATGTGCGAAATAGTGTGTATAAATACACACAATCTATTTGTAGATCTTTCGATCTTCAAATGTGAAACACTTATAACAGCCACCTACTCCCGAGCTCCTCAGTTATGTCTTATCAAAACGTAAAGTGTTTTTCTCACTGATTGCACATTGAAGTATTAGCCCCAGAAGAGATATAAAAAGATTTTCTTTTTTTTTGAGACGGAGTCTTGCTCTGTCGCCCAGGCTGGAGTGCAGTGGTGCGATCTCGGCTCACTGCAAGCTCCACCTCCCGGGTTCATGCCATTCTCCCGCCTCAGCCTCCCAAGTAGCTGGGACTACAGGTGCCTGCCGCCATGCCCGGCTAATTTTTTGTTTTTGTATTTTTAGTAGAGATGGGGTTTCACCGTGTTAGCCGTGTTAACCAAGATGGTCTCAATCTCCTGACCTCGTGATCTGCCTGCCTTGGCCTCCCAAAGTGCTGGGATTACAGGCGTGGGCCACTGTGCCTGGCCCATAAAAACATTTTCTATGTATAATTTGCATATTTTGGAGTTTGTTTTGAAACAATGGCTACAAGTCCCCTGTAAAATTACCAGTCTACAAGAATACAGTTTAAGTGCCTAGTTTTGTTAAGTAGTGAATCTATTAGAAATCAACTGAAGGCCGGGCACGGTGGCTCACGCCTGTAATCCCAGCACTTTGGGAGGCCAAGGCGGGTGGATCACTTGAGGTCAGGAGTTCAAGACCAGCCTGGCCAACATAATGAAACCCTGTCTGTGCTAAAAATACAAAAATTAGCCGGGCGTGGTGGCAGCCGCCTGTAATCCCAGCTACTCAGGAGGCTGAGGCAGGAGAATTGCTTGAACCCAGGTGGCCTGGGCAACAGCAAGACTATCTCAAAAAAAAAAAAAAAAAAAAAAAAACAGTTGACTGTCAAGTCAATCCGAAAGAACCTGAGTACCGACTAGGCACATAGCACTATTCTAGGTTCTTTGGAGAATACTAGTAGAACACGCAGTCTTTGCAATTGCAATAAGAAGAATAAAAATTTACATAGGAGTAAATGCCAAGTCCCTGGTCTTTGTCTAATCGACAAACTTTGCTGTCTATTGGAATCTATGCTGCATATTCAGATGATGTGGGGATTTTTTTTTTTTAAGACAGAGTTTCACTCTTTTTGCCCAGGCTAGAGTGCAATGGCGTGATCTTGGCTAACTGCAACCTCTGCCTCCTGGGTTAAAGTGATTCTCCTGCCTCAGCTTCCTAGGTAGTGGTGATTACAGGCACTCACCACCATGCCCAGGTAATTTTTGTATTTTTAGTAAAGACGGAGTTTCATCACCATGTTGGTCAGGCTGGTCTCGGATTCTTGACCTCAGGTGATCCACCCACCTCGGCCTCCCAAAGTGCTGGGAGTACAGGTGTAAGCCACCATGCCCGGCCCACCTGGGGATATTTTTAAAATCCCAGTGCCCAGGTCACACCCATACCAGTTATATAAGACTCTGGGGTCTTGGAGTTAGGTTTTAGTAATTTTTTCAAACTTCCCAGGTGTTTTATACAAATCACCTGGGGAACTTCCTTAAATTTCAGATTTGGATTCACAGATCTGGGTTGGGGTCCAAATTCTGCAATTCTTTTATTTTTTTAACAGGATCTGGCTATGTTGCCCAGGCTGGAGTGCAGTGGCCATTCACAGGCCTCCCAGGTAGCTGGGCCTAGAGGCCTGTGCCCAGCCAGATTCTGCATTTCTAACAAGCATCAGGTGATACCAACCCTGCTTGTTCACTGATCACACTTAAAGTAACAAGGGTCTAGACTAGGGGTCAGCAAATAATGGCCCATGGTGACCAAATCATAATTTTTACCTTCTTAAAGGGTTTTAAAAAAAATCCAAACAATAGTAAAAGAATTGTGGCATTAGTTAAAATTCAGATGTCAGTGTTCATGAATAAAATTTTGTTAGGATGAAGCCAGGCTTGTTTGTTTACATATTATCTGGGGCTGCTTCACCCATCAGTGACAGGGTTGAGTAGTTTCAGTAGGGACTGATATGGTTTGGCTATATGTCCCCACCCAAATCTCATGTTGAATTGTAATCCCCAGTGCTGGGAGAGGGACCTGGTGGGAGATGATTGGATCATGGGGGCAGTTTATCCCTTGCTGATCTCACAATAGTGAGTTTTCACCAGATCTTTTTGCTTAAAAGTGTATACTCTTGCTGCTCTCCCTCTCCTGCTCCACCATGTGAGGAAGGTGTTTGCTTCCCCTTTGCCTTCTGCCATGATTGTAAGTTTCCTGAAGTCTCCCAGTCATGCTTCCTGTTAAGCCTGCGGAACTGTGAGTCCATTAAACCTTTTTTCTTCATAAATTTTCCAGTCTCAGGTGGGTCTTTATAGCAGTGTGAGAATGGACTATGCAGAGACCATACGGCTGGCAAAGCTAAAGTATTTCTTTATCTGGCTCTTGACAGATAAAGAAAAGTTGCTTCCCCTTGGTCTACAGAAGCACTGTCCAGTAGAAATATCATGCAAGTACATTTGATGCTTTAAATTTTCTAGTAGACACATTATGCTTTAAGGGTTAATTCCAGGCCTGCTGGAATTAATCTGATCTGTTTTGCTAAAGTTTTTGCAAGGCACTGTCCTGGTCAAGGCATGAAACACAGTGATTAAGGAAACATAGGGATTATAGTGCTGCCTTGTAGCCAGGGGTTTGAAGAGCTTGGGGGTGGTTTGTATCAGCCTGTCACCATTATTTATAACAATTAAATTGATTATTTGCTCCTGGTCTTGGTGAGACCAACTCCACTAAGAACGTCCTGCTATTGAGGCTAGTTGTGGCAGGAATATGCCTATGTGACAAGCAAAGTATGAGAAACACCTGAGATGCTATGTTGGACCCTGATTCCAAGATGCTGTATACACACATCACTGGTTCTTGCTCTGGGTGGGGATAGTGTGTCCAGCCACAGCCCTTACAAAAGGGAGGATTGTGGGAGACTGCGCCTAGTTCTCCAGAGCCTTTGCTCTGAAATACCGGTTGGCCGGGACACATATTCTTAATTTAATGCCATTGCTGTATTGAATCCTTTTCTTGTAATAAACGAGGTTTGTAAGCATTGTCATTTTGGGTCTTGTGACACTCCTTTAGGCACTGAACCCTGTTGAAACTGCCACTGTTAATGCACATATTGTAAAAAACAAAAAAAGATGAAAAAAATATATATATTGTCTGCCTCTGGTCCTTTATCCAGGATAATTTTAATAATATATTTTACTTGCCCCAGTAGCATATCCAAAATATGTTGACGTGTAATCAATATGAAAATATTATTAGATATTTTACACCTTTTTTTCACACTTAGTCTTCAAACTCTGGTGAGTGATTTAAATTTACAACATATCAGGCCAGGTGTGGTGGTTCATGCCTGTAATCCCAGCACTTTGGGAGGCCAAGGTGGAAGGATCGCCTGAATCCAGGAGTTCAAAATCAGCCTGGGCAATGTGGTGAGACCCCGTCTCAACAAAAAATACAAAAATTAGCTGGGTGTGGTCCTGCATGCCTATGGTCCCTGCAACTTGGGAGGCTGAGGCAGGAGGATCACTTGACCCTAGGAGGTCGAGGCTGCAGTGAGCTGTGATCATGCCACTGCACTCCAGCCCGAGTGATAGAGTGAGACCCTGTCTCAATAAATAAACAGCATAACTCAATTTGGGCTAGCGACATTTCAAGTATCTAATGGCCATATGTGGCTAGTGGCCACCGTATTGGCCAGTGCAGTAGAGACCAGGATGACCCATAGTTGTACATCCACTTTCCCTTCTTGAGCCCATTGCTACCCTTCCTGGGTCGTTGTTAATTCCAGTGTTCTTTAAACACGCAGTGCCCCCAGGCAACCACAAATCTCTACCAATCGATTGGAATTGTGTGTCAGAAGAAACTGGCTTACCCTCCTGGTGTAGACGGCTTAGCAAGAAGTCAGGGAAGTGCAAAATCAGATTGGACTCTTGGTCGAGGGATTTTCCCTGGAGGATGTGGTTGGAACACTCTAAAAGGGAGAAGAGCAAGAAAAGGCGCAAAGCTGGAACTGTGGGGCAGGGTGAGAGGAGGGAGAAAAGCACGTTGGCACCTTGACACCATAAACAGGTGGTATTTTTAGGCAGGGAAATAACAGAGTGAACTTGATGTTTTTAGGAAGATGAACTTGACAGCTGCGGGTAGGATGAATTGGCTAGAAGGATTGGAGGCACTCCCAGATGAAGAACTATTTAAATTGCCCAGGAAAAATTACATGCATTTATTTCTACTTTTTTTTGGTGCTTATCGCCCATCATTCCTTCTTTTTGAGATTTAAGTGTAAAGGGCTGTTTTGAGCAGCTCTGGATGTTGGTTACTCATTAATCTACTCATTAATCAGCAGAGATTTGTCCATGATGCTAGTTGTTCCATTTCCTTTAGGGGATAATAACCTTGTGTTATGAATTGCACCTTTATCAAATTAAGAGAAAATGAGAAAGCAGCTTTGTGATAACAACTTTGAGACCAACTAAAAGAAAATAGCTGACTGGGCGCAGTGCCTCACGCCTGTAATCCCAGCACTTTGGGAGGCCAAGGTGGGTGGATCGCTAAGTCAGGAGATTGAGTCCATCCTGGCTAACACGGTGAAACCCCGTCCCTACGAAAAAAAAAGAAATTAGCCGGGTGTGGTGGCAGGCGCCTATAGTCTCAGCTACTCGGGAGGCTGAGGCAGGAGAATGGCATGAACCCGAGAGGCAGAGCTTGCAGTGAGCCAAGATCACGCCACTGCACTCCATCCAGCCTGGGCGACAGACCAAGACTCCGTCTCAAAACAAACAAACAAACAAACAAAAAACTATTTGTAAAAATACTTTATGTGGTAGGAACAAAACTTATGTTCATGACGTACTTTTAAACAGAAGTTTTAAAATGGGC
Source organism: Homo sapiens (assembly GCF_000001405.40). Classification (NCBI taxonomy): domain Eukaryota; kingdom Metazoa; phylum Chordata; class Mammalia; order Primates; family Hominidae; genus Homo; species Homo sapiens. The sequence goes on from NC_000012.12 coordinate 122,636,503, forward strand.
CAGATGTGGTGGCTCACGTCTGTAATTCCAGCGCTTTGGGAGGCTGAGGCAGGAGGACTGCTTGAGCCCAGGAATTGGAGACCAGCCTGGCAAACATGGCGAGACCCTGTCTCTACAAATTGTTTTGTTTTGTTTTTTTTGAGATGAAGTCTTGCTCTGTCGCTCAGCGTGAAGTGCAGTGGCGCGTTCTCGGCTCACCGCAACCTCTGCCTCCCGGGTTCAAGCAATTCTCCTGCCTCAGCTTTAAATTAGCTGGGCGTGGCGAAGGCACGGTGGCTCACGCCTGTAATCCCAGCACTTTGGGAGGCCAAGGCGAGCGGATCACAAGGTCAGGAGATTGAGACCATCCTGGCTAACACGCCATGGTGGTGGGCGCCTGTAGTCCCAGCTACTCGGGAGGCTGAGGAGAAGCAGAGGTTGCAGTGAGCCGAGATCGCGCCACTGCACTCCAGCCTGGGCGACAGAAGCGACAGAGCAAGACTCCGTCTCAAAAAAAAAAAAAAAAAAATTAGCCGAGCATGGTGTTGTGCACCTGTAGTCCCAGCTACTTGGGAGGCTGAGGTGGGAGGATCGCTTAAGCCCAGGAGGTCAAGGCTTTAATGAGCTGTGATCATGCCACCACACTCCATCCGGGGCAACAGAGACCCTGTGCCAAAGAAAAAAAGATATGTATGGAAAACACAAACACTTAGGGTGTGATCAGTTCCTCTGGCAGGTTGCATTTTGTTTCTTATTTCTCTGCATCACATGGTTTTATAAAATCATGAGCCTACTGCAGGTACAATTTTTTACTTTGTATTCTTTTCTCTGCCACTATAAACTTTTTAAAATATTATTTTTAGTAATAGTGTTTTTATTTTTAATGATTTTTTATTTTTAATGAAAAGCCATGCAAGCTCAGGTTCTAATTCTGCTTCTGTGTATAGGTTTATGAGTCGGACTGAATTTTGTAATCTCCCTGAGTCCCTTTTCTTATCCATAAAATGGGGATAATATACCCGCTTCAGTGGTTTCTGTGAGGATCAGATGAGATGATAGATGTAGGCAATCCTCAGCCCACAGCAAATCCTCAAAACTCTTAGGTCACCCCCTGGAGCTATTCTGCACACTTAGACTGTGCTAATATATTTTCACTAAGCTTTTTCCATATTTGGAATTATTCCCTTAAGATACATTCCCAGGAACAGATTTGCCAGATCCAAGGGAATGAAGGGAACATTTTAAAGCCTCCAGTTGCAAATTGCCACACTGCATGCATTTCAAAAGGTCTTCCTCACAAATCCCCATTCCCACCAGCAGCGGATGCACGTCCACTTTACTATGTCCTCAAACCATGTTGCTCATCTGATAGGTTAAAACGGCATCTCACTGTTCACATTGGTGTTTCTTTATTTGTGTGATTGAACCTTAAGAGAACCAGTTAGAAGGCTGCAGTCGCAGATGGAGTCTGGAATTGTCCTCTTGGGCGTAAGCGTGCAAGGCCCAGAAGAGGTCAGGTGGTGGCACTAGAACTTAACAGATGTGATGGACTGTCACGCTTCTTTGACTCTGGAGCTAAGCTAAGAAGGAGTGTTTCCAATGCCCACATTGGTTTCTTGTTCAGAATAAAGTTCTGATACATAAAGGGTTAGCTTTCAACATGTTGGAGAAGTCACTTTTTTTGGATCATAACTGTTATTTGAATTTGTTATATTTATTTATTTAGAGACGGAGTCTCACTCTGTCGCCCAGGATGGAGTACAGTGGCGCGATATCAGCTCACTGCAACCTCTCCCTCCTAGGTTCAAATGATTCTCCTGCCTCAGCCTCCCGAGTAGCTGGGATTACAGGAGCCGGCCACCATGCCCAGCTAATTTTGTAATTTTTTTTAGTAGAGACAAGGTTTCACCATGTTGGCCAGGCTGGTCTTGAACTCCTGACCTCAAGTAATCCACCTGCCTTGCCCTCCCAAAGTGCTGGGATTACAGGTGTGAGCCACCTGTGCCCAGCCTGAATTTGTTTTAAAGTAAGATTAAATATACAGTTAGCCAGGATTGGAGCCAGGATGGGGGCCGGGAGTGGTGGCTCATGTCTATAATCCCAGAGCTTCGGGAGGCTGAGGTGGGAGGGTTGCTTGAGCCTAGGAGGTTGAGGCTATAGTGAGCTATGATCGCACCACTGCACTCCAGCCTGGGCGGCAGAGCGAGACCCTGTCTCTAAAAAAGAAAAAAGAACAGAAAAAACAGCAAGGTTCCTTCTTGTCATTGTTCTATTTATTATATTTCTATTAGCTGTGATTGCCATCATTATTTTTATTATTCTACCCTTGTCTCCATACAGTTATTTTCCATACTGTTGCCTAAGTATATTCTTAAAACATAAGCCGGATCTTGTCCGTGGCTGGCCTCAAACTTTTCACTGGCTTCTCATTTCACTAAGCATAAAACCCAAGTTGCAGAAAACACTTCCCTTCTGTTCGAATTAGAAGCAGGGGTCATCTCCAGGAAAATGGATTATAAAAAGCCCCTCCTTTGGGCAGATCTAACATAAAAAGACACCCCCTTGGGTAAGGTCAAAGTTTTTTAAAAGCGCTGGATTTAAAAGCTGGATTTCGTTTATGGCTCGGTGCTGCCTGCCTGTCCATACCGTGGCTTATAAGGTCGGTAAGATCTAGGCCCAGTCTGCCTTTCCAGCCTCAACCCCTGCCACTCCTGCCATATCTCAGACCAGCCTTCTCTCTAGCCTTACCCGACCAGCCCAGCTAGTCACCATCCCACATCCCCAGTCCCTTGCTGTGACGTCACTCTATTCACTGTCTTCCTGCTGCCATCCAGGGTTATCTTTATTTACTTGTTTATTGACTAGCTCACTGGAATATTGGCCGGGCGCGGTGGCTCACACCTGTAATCCCAGCACTTTGGGAGGCCGAGGCGGGTGGATCACCTCAGGTCGGGAGTTCGAGACCAGCCTGGCCAACATGGTGAAACACTGTCTCTACTAAAAATACCAAAACTAGCCGGGTGTGCTGGCGCACGCCTATAATCCCAGCTACTAGGGAGGCTGAGGCAGGAGAATTGTTTGAACCCGGGGGTCACAGGTTGCAGTGAGCTGAGATCATGCCACTTCACTCCAGCCTGGGCGAAAGAGCAAAACTCTGTCTCAAAAAAATATATATATTTCTACTAAAATAATATATGTTGAAAGATATTGGGAGTATGTGCTCAAAAGTTTCCACTGAGGAGCATGCAAAAAAACCTTGGGGTCACTGGTCTCTTCTTCCTGGGACACCAGCATTGCATGAAAAAGAAACTATTACCCTAAGCACGTCTTTATACTTATGTGGCTACCCCCATCTGGATAGAAACAATCAACAAAATTATTCAGTCTTATTCTCTTACTCAAAAATAACTTAAAAACTACCCAAGGGAGGGATCCAATGTGTTTATTTAAGCACAGATAATGTATTCCAAATCTCTGGGCCCAAGGAGAAACAGCAGAAAGAAGCTTGAATATCTTCTGTCTCACTGAGCCAGGTTTTCCATCACCACAAAGTGGAATGAGAACACCCCACTAATTCATTCTCTACTCCGAATAGAGAAAAAGAATTTGGCTGCTTCATTCCAAGCAAGAGATGGTGGAAGGAGGCCCTTGAGTCTTGAGGATTAAATAGAGCGTCTTCATGTATTTAGCGGTTGCTAACTTTCCCCATTTTTCTTATGTATAATGAGGCACTGCCATTTGTTCATGTGCTCATGAAGCATCCAAGGAAGAGATTTTACCCTGAAAACGCGTAGCTGAAATTCATTAATTTCATGACTACTTAAGAGTCTGCTATGTGCCAGGAACTGTTCTGGGGTTGGGGGATGCAAGATGAACACCATGATAAGGTCCCTCCTGATGGCATGGAGTTCTTTTTTTTTTTTTTTTTTTTTTTTTTTTTTTTTTTTTTGAGGCGGAGTATTGCTCTGTTGCTCAGGCAGAGTGCAATGGTGTGATCTCAGCTCGCTGCAACCTCCGCCTCCTGGATTCAAGTGACTTTCCCACCTTAGCCTCCCGATTAGCTGGGACTACAGGCTCCCACCACCATGCCCAGCTAAGTTTTTTTTGTTTTTTTTTTTTTTTGAGACAAGAGTCTCACTCTGTCACCCAGACTGGAGTGCAATGGCATGATTTCAGCTCACTGCAACCTCCGCCTCCTGGGTTCAAGCAATTCTCCAGCCTCAGCCTCCCGAGTAGCTGGGACTACAGGCACCTGCCACCACGCCCGGCTAATTTTTGTATTTTTAGTAGGGACAGGGTTTTGCTGTGTTGGCCAGGCTGGTCTTGAACTCCTGACCTCAGGTGATCCTCCTGCCTCGACCTCCCAAAATGCTGGGATTACAGGTGAGAGCCTCCGCACCCGGCCTGAACTGCTTTTTCTTTCTAAGTCTTAAAAACAAGAACAGAAACAACAACAACAAAAAAAAACAGCTTTCCTGAGATACAGATAACATATCATACAATTCACTCACTTAAAGTCTGCAATTCAAGCCAGGCAAGGTGGTTTATGCCTGTAATCCCAGCACTTTTTTTTTTTTTTTTTTTTTCCCTGAGGCAGAGTCTCGCTCTCGCCCAGGCTGGAGTGCAGTGGTGTGATCTCGGCTCACTGCAAGCTCTGCCTCCCAGGTTCACGCCATTCTCCTGCCTCAGCCTCCCAAGTAGCTGGGACTACAGGCGCCCGCTACCATGCCCGGCTAATTTTTTTGTATTTTTAGTAGAGACGGGGTTTCACCGTGTTAGCCAGGATGGTCTCGATCTCCTGACCTCATGATCTGCCCGCCTCGGCCTCCCAAAGTGCTGGGATTACAGGCGGCGTGAGCCACCGTGCCTGGCCTATCCCGGCACTTTTAGGAGACTGAGGTGGGAGAATTGCTTGACCCCAGGAGTTCGAGACCAGCCTGGGCAACAAAGTGAGACCCTGTCTCTACAAAAAATACAAAAATTGGCGAGGCACGGTGGCTTACGCCTGTAATTCCAACACATTGGGAGGCCGAGGCGGGTGGATTACCTGAGGTCAGGAGTTCAAGACCAGCCTGGCCAACATGGTGAAACCCTGTCTCTACTAAAAATACAAAAATTAGCTGGGCGTGGTTGGTGCATGCCTGTAATCCCAGCTAATCCAGAGGCTGAGGCAAGAGAATCGCTTGAACCTGGGAAGTGGGAGTCACAGTGAGCTGAGATCGTGCCACTGCACTCCAGCTTAGGCAACAGAGTGAGACTCCATATCAAAAAACAAAACAAAATAAAAATACAAAAATTAGCTGGGTGTGGTGGCAAGCATTTTTTTTTTTTTTTTTTTTTTTTTTTGAGATGGAGTCACTCTGTTGCCCAGGCTGGAGTGCAGTGGGGCGATCTGGGTTCACTGCAACCTCCACCTCCCAGGTTCAAGCGATTCTCCTGCCTTAGCCTCCCGAGTAGCTGGGATTACAGGCGCCCACCGCCATGCCCAGCTAATTTTTGTATTTTTAGTAGAGACAGGGTTTCACCATGTTGGACCAGGCTGGTCTCCAACTCCTGACCTCAGGTGATCCGCCCACCTCGGCCTCCCAAAGTGCTGGGATTACAGGGGTGGGCCACTGCCCTCGGCCTGTGGGATGCACTTACAGTCTCAGCTACTTGTGAGGCTGAGGCCAGAGGATTGCTTAAACCCGGGAGGTCAAGGCTGCAGTGAGTCATGATCTTGCCACTGTACTCCAGCCTGGGTTATAGAATGAGACTGTCTCTAAGTGAATAAATAAAGTTAGCAATTCAATAGTTTTTAGTATATTCACAGATACATATAACCATTATCACAATTTTAGGACAGTTTCATCACCTCTAAAAGAAACCCTTCAGCTGTTGTCCCCCAATCCCCCACCCCAATTCTCCCTAAGCAACCCCTTTTCTGCTTTCTGTGTCTTTGGATTTGCCTATTCTAGGCATTTCCTATAAATGGAACCGTACAATATATGGCCTTTGTGTCAGGGTTGTTTCACTTAACATTTTCGAGGTTCATCCATATTGTAGCAGGGATCAGAACTTCGTTCCTTTTTATGGGAGAGTAATGTTCCATTGTGTGGATAGACTGCATTTAGTTTATCCATTCATCCATTGAATAACATTTGGGTTTGCATAGGGGAAAAACAAACTGTTTTCTACCACTACACACTCAACACAGAACGCTTCTGTCACCAGATGCTAGGGGTTTTTTCCCACACCAGGCAGTTCACTTCTCTGCAGACACCGATTTGCACTATCTGCCTGGAGATAGCATGACATGCCACAGGTTACCAACCCAGTGCCACAAGACTGCCCCCGTTGGAGACGCCAATCACAAGTGGTGAGTTCCCAGGTTTTTCACAACTTTTGCTCAACTTGGCTACAAATCAGAGGTTCTCATGACCCCCTTTTTGGTTCTATAATTTGCTAGAGCAGCTCACAGAACCCAGGAAAACAGGTTACTTACTAGATTATTATAAAGGATATATTAATGGCCAGCAGTGGTGGCTCATGCCTGTAATCCCAGCACTTTGGGAGACCTACTAGACGGAAGGATCACTTGAGCCCAGAGTTCAAGACCAGCTTAGGCAACATAGTGAAACCCCATCTCTACAAAACAAAAAAGTTAGCCAGGCATGGTGGCATGCACCCGTAGTCCCAGCTTCATGGGAGGCTGAAGCGGGAGGATCACTTGAGCCTGGGAGGTCGAGGCTGCAGTGAGCCATGTTATGCCACTGTGTTCTAGCCCGGGCAACAGAGACGGACCCTGTCTCAAAAACAAAAAAACAAAAAACAGAGGATATATTAAAGGATTCAAATAAACAGTCAAATGAAGAGATAACATAGGGCGAGGTTTGGAAGGGCCCATGTGCAGGAGCGTCTGTCCCCATGGGGCTGGGTTGCACCATCTTGGCACATGGATCTACTGTAGTTCACTAGCCCCGAAGCGCTCTGCATCCTGTAGTTCAGGGATTTTTATGGAGGCTTCATCACGTGGGCATGATTGATTATTATAATAACTCAGTCTCCAGCTCCTCTTCCTTTCCCAGCAGATGGGGGATGAGCCTGGAAGCTTCAAGCTTCTAACCACAGTTTGGTCTTTCTGGTGACCAGCCCCCAACCAGGAACCCACAAAAAGTTGCCTCATTAGAACAAAAGATCCTCCTATTACCCAGGAAACCCCAAGGGATTAGGAGCTCTGTGCCAGGAGCTGAGGTCAAAGACCAGATATTAGAACAAAAGAGGCACCATGCTAACATGCTTGTTGCCCAGGAAATTACAAGGGTTTTAGCATCCCAGGAACTGGGGACTAAGACCAAATACATATTCTTCTGTCATAATATCATACAATTGCTTCTACCTTTGGCTATTATTAAAAATATTGATATTTCCTGTAGCCTTTTAACCACCTTGACAATTTTAGGGTGATTTTTAATTAACTTGCTTCAAAATAGATACACAGGTTCAACTCATCTTTAAAATGTCAGTTAAGGACTCTGTGAATTAGTACTGAAACGGGAAAGGCTTCCTTGTCGCAGGAAGTGTGATGGGGGAGTGGCTGGTTTCTTCCGTGCCCTGCTGCTCAAACCTCTAGAAGAGCATACAGACGGGCAGGCTGTGGGACTCCAACCCCACGGCAGCGTCTAGGGGTGAGTGTTTATAGCTGAAGCCCCAGTGGGCGTGTGTTACAGTGTGCTCTTTTAGTTTAGCCATCTATAGGCGGCTTGTGTTAACAAGCTGAATTAGGCCCCCTTATCACAAGGACAGAGGGATTTCTGTATCCCGGGGTTTCTTGCCTTGGTGTACTGGAAGAATCGGATCACACTGGGCTTGGCGAATGAGAGTGCAAGGTTTTATTGATAAGTAGCTCTCAGCAGATAGGGGAGCCAGAAAGGAGATGGTTTTCTTCGGGAGTCGGGCGGCTTCTTCGCAGCCCGGGCTCTCCTCCGACTGCCCAGGCCAAACTCCGCCTCATTCCCCCAGTCAATGGCCTGATGGCCTGTAGGCATGCCAGTGTCTGACTATGTGCTCTTCCGCCAGCGTGCTACCCTCGATGTCCTCTCGATGTCCAGCCACCTGTGTCTGCCTGCTAGGGTCTCGGGGTTTTATTTTATTTTATTTTATTTTGAGATGGAGTCTCGCTCTGTCGCCCAGGCTGGAGTGCAGTGGCGCGATCTCGGCTCACTGCAGGCTCCGCCTCCCGGGTTCAAGTCATTCTCCTGCCTCAGCCTCCTGAGTAGCTGGGACTACAGGCGCCCGCCACCACGCCCGGCTAATTTTTTATTTTTGTATTTTTAGTAGAGACGGGGTTTCACCGTGTTAGCCAGGATGGTCTTGATCTCCTGACCTCGTGATCCGTCCGCCTCAGCCTCCCAAAGTGCTGGGATTACAGGCATGAGCCACAGCGCCTGGCCGGTCTCGGGTTTTTATAGGCACAGGATGGGGGCATGGGGGGCCAGAGTAGTCATGGGAAATGCAACATTTGGGCGCGGAAGGCAGGAGTGCCTGTCCTTACCTAGGTCCGTAGGGGTGGAGCCCTAGCCAGTTACCACACCCTCCTTTACCCAGCATTTCCCTTCCCCCCTTCCATATCATTTAAAGGGACCACGCTCTTCCCCTCCCAGCACTCCCATATCAGTGCAACCACTATGGAGAAGTTTGGAGGTTCTTTAACAAACTTAAAATAGAGCTACCATATGATCCAGCAATCCCACTACTGAGTGTATACCTAGAAGAAAGGAAATCAGTATATGGAAGAGATAGCTGCACTCCATGTTTATTGCAGCCCTATTCACAATAGCTAAGACTTGAAGAGACCTAAGTGTCCATCAACAGATAAAGAAAATATGCTACATATACACAATGGAGTACTATTCAGCCATAAAAAAGAATAAGGTCCTGTCATTTGCAACAGCATGGATGAAACTGGAGGTCATTCTGTTAAATGAAATAAGCCAGGTACAGAAAGACAAACTTCACAAGCTCTCACTTATTTGTGAGAGCTAAAAATTGAAACAATCGAACTCATGGAGATAGAGAGTAGGATGGTTACTAGAGGCTGGGAAGGGTAGTGGAGTTGGGGGAGGAGGGGGACGTGGGGATGGCTAATGGGTACAGAAAATAGAAAGAATGGGCGGGGCACGGTGGCTCATGCCTGTAATCCCAGCACTTCAGGAGGCCGAGGCGGGTGGATCACCTGAGGTCAGGGGTTCAAGACCAGCCTGGCTAACATGGTGAAACCCCGTTTCTACTAAAAATACAAACAATTAGCTGAGCGTGGGGGCACGTGCCTGTAATCCCAGCTACTCGGGAGACTGAGGCAGGAGAATCGCTTGAACCCAGGAGGCAGAGGTTGCAGTGAGCTGAGATCACGCCATTGCACTCCAGCTTGGGCAACAAGAGTGAAACTCCGTCTCAAAAATAATAATAATAATAATAATAAAATAGAAAGAATGAATAAGACCTGGTATTGATAGCACAACAGAGTGACTATAGTCAACATAATTTAATTGTACATTTTAAAATAACTAAAAGAGTATAACTGAATTGTTTGTAACCCAAAGGATAAATGTTTAAGGTGATGGACACCCCATTCACCCTGATGAGATTATTACGCATGGCATGCCTGTGTCAAAATATCTCATGTATCCCATAAATATATACACCTACTATGTACCTAAAAGTTAAAAATTAAAAATTAACAACAAAAGGCTGGCACGGTGGCTCACAGCTATAATCCCAGCACTTTGGGAGGCTGAGGCAGGTGGATCACTTCAGGTCAGGAGTTTGAGACCAGCCTGGCCAACATGGTGAAACCCCATCTGTACTAAAAATACAAAAATTAGCTGGGCGTGGTGGCGCGTGCCTGTAATCCCAGCTACTGGGGAGGCTGAGGCAGGAGAATTGTTTGAACCTGGGAGGCGGAGATTGCAGTGAGCCAAGATTGCACCATTGCACTCCAACCTGGGCAACAGAGCAAGACTGTCTCAAAAATAAATAAATAAACAAAAATACAAATTAACAACAAAAAAAAAGACTCTCTGGTCAGACTTTTTCACTCCCTGTCTTGTATCCGGGATACAATTCTCTGCACGTTTCATGCTGTTTCAAGTCTTTGCTCCCCTTCCCTCTTTGCCTAACTAACTCCCACTCCCTCTTTATGACATGATAGTTACTTAATATCCAAGTTCCTGGAATTGCTTGAAACTGTCTCATTTAATATGAATATACATATATGTAGGAAGCATTAGGACATTCCTTATATTCAAAGAGCTAATGTAATGAATCAGGAGGAAATGTTATTACCTCAAAACCAAATGATTGTCAACTCATGTTTTCTGATGTTATTTAGGTAGGCTTGGTAACTTGGTTATATCTTAAAAGGGTACATTACTCATAACCCACATTATATTTCATACCTCAAAAGAAGAAGTGGTAATTTACAAAACTTCATCCCTCCCCCTTCCCCGTGGTGCCATGTGCTTGGCAGTTGGTGTTTTGGTCAGATCTAAGAAAAGTTTCATCATCAAGCAGTATGAACACATGTGCCGGTGAATCTCTGTCTCCCTTTTTTTTAATGACTCATAACCGGCCACAGGGTACCACATTTAGGGTGACAGCTCTACCATTCACGAGTTTGGCATGTAAACACAAGATCCCCACGTGCAGATCTATTGATGGGTGGTCTTTTCTCAGAAAGGTACATTCTTCTGGCTCGGTCTAGATTACCGGTGGGATTTTTCTATGTTTCATTTTTACTTCTGTGCTTTCGGAAGGACAAAGGGAAGCTGACAGCGAGGGTGAAATGAAAACGTAAGTGATAAGGGTTGTAAGAAACAATGAAAAAGATGTTTTTTGTTGGCTTTTTTTTTTTTTTGGAGATGGAGTCTCACTCTGTCCCCCAGGCTGGAGTGCAATGGCGTGATCTTGGCTCACTGCAACCTCCACCTCCCGGGTTCAAGCGATTCTCCTGCCTCAGCCTCCCAAGTAGCTGGAATTACAGGCATGTGCCACCACACACGGCTAATTTTTAGTAGAGACAGGGTTTCGCCATGTTGGCCAGGCTGTTCTTTAACTCCTGACCTCAAGTGATCCACCTGCTCTTGGCCTCCCAAAGTGCTGGGATTACAGGTGTCAGCCACCATGCCTCGCCAAAACAACAGAAGTTTATTTTCTCATAGTTCTGGAGGCCAGAAGTCAGCAATCAAGCTGCCAGCAGATCCACACTCTCTCCAAAGTCTCTAGGGGAGGATCCTTCTCTGTCTTTTCCAGGCATCCCCTGGCTCATGGCCACGTCACTCCAATCACTGCTTCTGTCTTCATGTGGACTTCTTCTCTGTCTGGCCTCTTCTGTCTCTTCTAAGGACACTGTCATTGCCCACCCTAATCCTATATGATCTCATCTTGATCCTTATCTTAATTCCATCTGCAAAGACCCCATTTCCAAATAAGGTCACCTTCTGAGGTTCCCGGAAGACATGAATTTAGCAGAGGGCACTCTTCAACCTTCAACCTACTACAACCTCCTTTCTCAATTTCCACTGCTTCTGCCTTTGGGTGAAGTATAGAATCCTTTAAATAACAGTGTGCTTTCTGTGTAGTTATTGATTAGAAATAATCTGGCCAGACACAGTCGCCCACGCCTGTAATCCCAGCACTTTGGGAAGCCAAGGTGGGAAGATTATGCGAGCCCAGGAGTTTAAGACCAGCCTGGGCAATATAATGATACCCCATCTCTAATAACAATGATGATGATAATAATAATAAATAGAAGTAATAATCATAAGTTTTACTGAAGTCAACTAACATACAGAAAAATACAGAAATTATAATAGACTTTCATGAAGTCATCATGCCCGTGTGACAACACTCAGATCAGGTAACAGAACATTCCCAGTATAGATTAGGAATCATATTATTTCCATGTTTTAGTTTTTAAAAATTATAGTAAAATAGGCCGGGCACGGTGGCTCACACCTGTAATTAATCCCAGCACTTTGGGAGGCCAAGGCAGGTGGATCACCTGAGGTCAGGAGTTCGAGACCAGCCTGGCCAACATGGCAAAACCCCGTCTCTACTAAAAATACAAAAATTAGCTGGGCATGGTGGCACATGTCTGTAATCCCAGCTACTAGGGAGGCTGAGGCAGGAGGATTGCTTGAACCTGGAGGCTGAGGTTGCAGTGAGCCGAGATTGTGCCACTGCATTCCAGCCTGGGCGAAAGAGTGAGACTGTCTCAAAAACAAAACTTATAGTAAAGTATACATAAAATTTGCCGTCTTAATAACTTCTAAGTGTTCAGTCCAGTGGCATTAAATACATTTATTTTCTTATACAATCATCACTACCATCCATCTCCAGTTCGATCTTGTGAAACTGAAACTTTGGACCCATTAAACACTGACTCCCCATTCTTCCTCACCCCAGCTCCCGGCAACCACCATCCTACTTTCTGTCTCTGGATTCAACTAATCTAAGGACCTCGTATAAGGGGAATCATGCAAGATTCGTCCTTTTGTGACTGGCTTATTTCACTCAGCATAATGTCCTCAATGATCATTCATGTTTGCAGTGTGAGCCAAAATGTCCTTCCCTTTCAATTTTGTTTATTTTATTTGTTTTTTCTGAGAGAAACTCACTCTGTTGCCCAGGCTGGAGTGCAGTGATGTGATCTCAGCTCGCTGTAGCCTTGACCTCTCAAGCTCAAGAGATCCTCCCACCTGAGCCTCCCAAGTAACTGGGGCCACAGGTGCACACCAGCATGCCTGGCTAATTTTCACATTTTTTTTGTAGAGACAGGTTTTTGCCATGTTGCCCAGGCTGGTCTCGAACTCCTGGACTCAAGCGATCTGCCTGCTTTAGTCTCCCAAAGTGCTAGGATTACAGCCACTGCACCTGGCCAGAATGTCCTTCCTTTTCTTTTCTTTCTTTCTTCCTTTTTTTTTTTTTGGAGACGGTGTTTCACTCTTATTGCCCAGGCTGGAGTGCAGTGGCATGATCTCGGCTCACTGCAACCTCTGCCTCCCGGGTTCACGTGATTCTCCTGCCTCAGCCTCCTGAGTAGCTGGGATTACAGGCATGCGCCACCACACCTGGCTAATTTTGTATTTTTAGTAGAGACGGGGTTTCTCCAAGTTGGTCAGGCTGGTCTTGAACTCCCGACCTCAGGTGATCCACCCGCCTTGGCCTCCCAAAATGCTGGGATTACAAGCGTGAGCCACCACGCCCAGCCGTCCTTCCTTTTCAAGGCTGAATAATACAGAAACCGTAGTTTTTTGAAAGGTGATCAAAACCTCCTTTGGATTTTTATGGGTAAGTCTTTAATAATTTTCATCCCTGAATATAATTAATAAACAACATGTGCTTTTATTTCCTTCCTGGTAACACACAGAACAATAATTAAAAATTTCCTTTTATTTATTTAATAAAGACAGTGTCTTCCTATGTTGCCCAGGCTGGTCTCAAACTACTGGGCTCAGTCTTAAAGTGCTGGGATTACAGGCATGAGCCACCGTGCCTGGCCAACAATCTGTGTTTCTTTAGTGTTTTCTTCCTTGATAGTCAAAGATGTTAGTTGTTTAGGTTTTTAAACGAGAACCTAGCCCTCTGCCTGGGGCCTTGAGGTTTTAGCAATGTTACTCAATCTCGTGTACTTTTTTTTTTTTGAGATGAAGTCTCCCTCTGTCGCCCAGGCTGGAGTGCAGTCGTGTGATCTCAGGCCCAATCGCAGCTCACTACAACCTCCGCCTCCTGGGTTCAAACGATTCTCCTGCCTCAGCCTCCTGAGTAGCTGGGATTACAGGCGCACACCACCACACCCAGCTAATTTTTTTGTATTTTTAGTAGAGACGGGGTTTCACCATGTTGGCCAGTCTGGTTTCGTGCCTGGCCAGTCTCATGTACATTTTAATTATCCCTGAATCTATAGAAAAGCTACAGAATCAACAGGTTTCCAAAGTGGATGCGAGCAGCTGGAAGAGAGATTCTCAATGGTCATTTCTTCCTCTTCTTTTTTTTTTGAGACGGAGTATTGCTCTGTTGCCCAGGCTGGAGTGCAGTGGCACAATGACAGCTCACTGCAAGCTCCACCTCCCAGGTTCACGCCATTCTGCTGCCTCAGCCTCCTGAGTAGCTGGGACTACAGGTGCCCGCCACCACGCCTGGCTAATTTTTTGTTTTTGTATTTTTAGTAGAGACGGGGTTTCACCGTGTTAGCCAGGATGGTCTTGATCTCCTGACCTCATGATCCGTCCGCCTGGGATTACAGGCTTGAGTTACCGAGCCCGGCCCATTTCTTCCTCTTTCCTCTTCCTTTCTTTGGCAGCTGAGTCACAGGCAGACCCCACAGGCCCCTGACAGTTGTTTAGATTTAGCTCTATGTCCTCATCCTGGCGGTCCCTCAGAAAGTCAGCAGGATTTTGTTTTGTTTCCTTTTATTTTAGCACACTTACTCATTGTTTTGGAAATATCTCACATTCCAGGTGATTTAAGACTTTTTTTTTTTTTTTTTTTTGATAAAGTATCTCGCTCTGTGGCCCAGGCTAGAATACAATGGCGCTATCTCGGCTCACGCTCACTGCAGCCTCCACCTCCCGGGTTCAAGCAACCCTCCCACCTCAGCCTCCAGAGTAGCTGGGAGTACAGGCATGCACCACCATGCTCGGCTAAGTTTTGCATTTTTAGTAGAGACGGAGTTTCTCCAATTTGACCAGGCTGCTCTTGAACTCCTGACCTCAGGTGATCCACCCGCCTCGGCCTCCCAAAGTGCTGGGATTACAGGCGTGTGCCCAGCCAACACCTGGCTAATTTTTGTATTTTTAGTAGAGATGGGTTTTTGCCATGTTGGCCAGGCTGGTCTCAAACTCCTGATCTCAGGTGATTTGCCCACCTTCGCCTCCCAAAGTGCTAGGATTACAGGCGTGAGCCACCACGCCTGTCCTTTTTTTTTTTTTTTTTTTCAAACAAGGCCTCTCTCTGTCACCCAGGCTGGATTATAGCATGGCAATCTTGGCTCACTCTAACGTTCATCTTCCAGGCTCAAACAGTCCTCCCACCTCAGCCTTCCAAGTCACTGGGACTACAGGTGCCTGCAACCATGCCCGGCTATTTTTGTATTTTTTGTAGAGACAGGGTTTCACCATGTTGCTGAGGCTGGTCTTGAACTCCTGGGCTCAAGCAGTCCACACGCCCCGGCCTCCAAAAGTGCTAGGATTACAGGCGTGATCCACCACACCCAGCTGATTTAAGGTGTCTTGACTAAACAACTCACCTCTTTCTAGATAAGACCCGCTGAATGTGAACTTCCAGCTGAGTAGGGAAAAAAAAAACAAAACTCCAAGATGTGAAGATAGAGAGGAATGTAATTTCATAGCCCTATTAGAAATTCTCAGAGAGATAAATCTGAATTCATCCTGGCTAATTTCCTTCAACCTTTATAAACAAGTATAACACCTTAATCAGCATAGGCACAGGACCTGTTTCCCTTAATCCATCAGCTGTGAAACAGGTTTTTATTGTAGGCGACTTAAGTCATTTATTTTCATAGTTTATACATTACACAATGACTTCGGTCCAAGTGCCAAGAAACAGAGCAAGATCAATTCCATCAACACTTGCAAAGTATTAATCCCTTATATGAGCCTTTTTATTTTTTTTTTTTTGAGACAGAGTCTTGCTCTTTCGCCCAGGCCGGACTGCAGTAGCACTATCTCGGCTCACTGCAAGCTCCGCCTCCCGGGTTCATGCCATTCTCCTGCCTCAGCCTCCCGAGTAGCTGGGACTACAGGCGCCCGCTACCACGCCCGGCTAATTTTTTGTATTTTTAGTAGAGACGGGGTTTCACCGTGTTAGCCAGGATGGTCTCGATCTCCTGACCTCGTGATCCGCCCGCCTCGGCCTCCCAAAGTGCTGGGATTACAGGCGTGAGCCACCGCGCCCGGCCAAAAAATTATTTATTATTATTATTGTTTAGAGACTGAGTCTCACTCCATTGCCCAGGCTGGAGTGCAGTGGCGTGATCTTGGCTCACTGCAACCTCCGCCTCCCGGGTTCAAGCAATTCTCCTGCCTCAGCCTCCCAAGTAGGTGGGATTACAGGCCCGCACTACCACGTCCGGCTAATTTTTGTATTTTCAGTAGAGACGGGGTTTCACCATGTTGGCCAGGCTGGTCTGGAACTCCTGACCTCAGGTGTTCCAAGGAGTTCCGCCCACCCCTTGGCCTCCCAAAGTGTTGGGATTAAAAGCGTGACCCACCACGCCCGGCACTTTATATTAGCCTTTAAACGCCCTCATCCAAAAAAGCCCACCCCAGCTACATTATCTTTTCTCAGAAACTTTTTTTTTTTTTTTTTTAAACAGACAAAGTCTTACTCTGTCTCCCAGGCTGGAGTGCAATGGCTCACTGCAGCCTCCACCTCCCGGGCTCAAGGGATCTTCTCACATCAGCCTCCCGAGTAGCTAGGACTACAGGCATGCACCACCATGCCCAGCTAATATTATTTTTTGTAGAGACAGGGTCTCACTATGTTGCCTAGGCTGGTCTGAAATTCCTGGCTTCAAGCGATCCTTCCACCTCGGCCTTCCAAAGCACTGGGATTACAGATGGGAGACACCGTGGCCAGCCTGAAACCTTTCTCCATGTGGAGTAGAGCAGGAAACGTAGGGGGCGGCCACACCAGGCCTTTTCAGAGCCATGGAAATGTGAGGGAAAGGCTGTGGAGGGAGCTTCTTTCCCCTGCCCCGCACACAACCTAGAGATGCAGAAAAGACAGTATGTGGCTTGCCCACAGCACAGAGCATTGCATCCTACACCGAGGAAGCATGGGCTGTCCACGGCGCTTGGTCATGTTTCAGGGTCAGAAGCTCTCAAATCCCCTGAGAGAAGCGACACAGACTTCAGTGGCATTGCCAGTGATTCCATCTCACCTCTAGTACTCAGGGCTGACAACTCTAATTACTTTATTCTATTTATTTTATTTTATTTTATTTTTTATTTTATGTATTTTATTTTTTTAATTTAATTTTATTTATTTTATTTTTGAGACCGAGTGTTGCTCTGTCTCGCAGGCTGGAGTACAGTGGCACAATCTTGGCTCACTGCAACCTCTGCCTCCCAGGTTCAAGTGATTCTCCTGCCTCAGCCTCCTGAGTAGCTGGGATTACAGGCGCTCACCACCACACCCGGCTAATTTTTGTTTTTTTTGTTTTTGTTTTTGAGATGAGGTTTCGCTCTTGTTACCCAGGCTGGAGTGCAATGGTGCGATCTCAGCTCACTGCAACCTCTGCCTCCTGGGTTCAAGCGATTCTCCTGCCTAAGCCTCTGGAGTAGCTGGGATTGCAGGCGCCCACCCCCATGCCTGCTGCCATGCCCAGCTAATTTTTGTATTTTTAGTAGAGACGGGGTTTCACCATGTTGGCCAGGATGCTCTCAAACTCCTGACCTCAGGTGATCCCCCTGCCTTGGCTTCCCAAAGTGCTGGGATTACAGGCATGAGCCATCGCTTCCAGCCTGTAATTATTTTAATATTGTACCTAAAGCCAGTCCGTCCTGTGTTTTGGAACACTAAGGCTGGTTAGAGATACCTGGAAATATGAGACCTGGGTTCATCTTGGGAATCACACACACACACACACACAAACACACACACACTCACAATCCTTTCCTAACCCTGAGAAGTAAATACTGTTGAGAATTCTTCATCATTAGTTATTTACCTACAAGATGAAAAAGCTCAGCTGGGCACAGTGGCTCACGCCTGTAATCCCAGCACTTTGGGAGGCCGAGGCGGGCAGATGGCTTGAGCCCAGGAGTTCATGATCAGCCTGGGCGACATAGCAAGACCCTGTCTCTACAAAAAAAAAAAAAAAAAAATTAGGCCGGGTGCATTGGCTCACGCCTGTAATCCCAGCACTTTGGGAGGCCGAGGCGGGCAGATCACGAGGTCAGGAGATCGAGACCATCCTGGCTAACATGGTGAAACCCCGTCTCTACTAAAAAAATACAAAACAATTAGCCAGGCGTGGTGGCAGGCGCCTGTGTTCCCAGCTACTTGGGAGGCTGAGGCAGGAGAATAGCGTGAACCCGGGATGCAGAGCTTGCAGTGAGCCGAGATCGCGCCACTGCATTCCAGCCTGGGCGATAGAGCAAGACTCTGTCTCAAAAAAAAAAAAAAAAAAAAATTAACCAGGTGTGGTGGTACATGCTACTCAGGAGGCTGAGGCGGGGAGTACGAGGCTGCAGGAAGCCATGATTGCGCCACTGCACTCCAGCCTGGGCTACGAAGACCCTCTCTCCCCTCCAACCAAAAAAAGATGAAAAAGCTCATTTCTTTCGCTTTTGCTGTAGCAACATGTTGTGTCATCATTTCTGTCCAGCGAGGGATACACAGGGATGTGAAAGGGCCACTGTCAGTCTAGGGATTCTTCTTCCCATTGGATAAAACTAACACCTTGGGTTTGCTTTTTCAGAACCTCGAAGTCTGTATCAGTTAGGGTGTTTTTGGCTACAAGTAATGGAAAACCCAGCTAGAAATGGCTTTAAGCAAAGACATCATTTATCGTCTTGCTTAATCAGAGGTCCAGAGTTCCCTGAACAGGCCAATGACATGGCCGAGCTCCGTCTACCATCTCATCCCCCATCCTCTACATGCTGATTTGCTCTTTGCTTGTCTCCTCACAATGCAAAAAGGCTGAGCCACTCCAAACCTTCTGGCCTTGCAAGAATTTTCAAATATCCTTTTTTTTTCAAATGAGGTGAAATTCACATAACATAAAACTAAACTTTTTATTTTTTAAAAAAAATTCATCTCCAGCCACGTCCTTTTGAAAAACTAATCATTTTAAAGTGAACAATTCTGACCGGGCGTGGTGGCTCACATCTGTAATCCCAGCACTTGTGGAGGCCAAGGCAGGCGAATTACTTGAGGTCAGGAGTTCGAGACAAGCCTGGCCAACATGGTGAAACCCCATCTCTACTAAAAATACAAAATAATTAGCTGGGTGTGGTGGCTCATGCCTGTAATCCCAGCACATTTTTTTTTTTTTTTTTTTTGAGACGTAGTTTCACTCTTGTTGCCCAGGCTGGAGTGCAATGGTGCGATCTCGGCTCACTGCAACCTCTGCCTCCTGGGTTTAAGCGATTCTCCTGCCTCAGCCTCCCGAGTAGTTGGGATTACAGGCATGTGCCACCATGCCTGGCTAATTTTGTATTTTTAGTAGAGATGGGGTTTCTCCATGTTGGTCAGGCTGGTCTGGAACTCCCAACCTCAGGTGATCTGCCCACCTCAGCCTCCCAAAGTGCTGGGATTACAGGTGTGAGCCACCGCGCCCGGCCAACCCCAGCACTTTGGGAGGCCAAGGCGGGCAAGTCATTTGAATCCAGAAGTTTGAGTCTAGCCTGGCCAACATGGTAAAACTCTGTTTCTACTAAAAAAAAAAATACAAAAAAATTAGCCGGGCATGGTGTCGGGTGCCTGTAATCCCAGCTACTCGGGAGGTTGAGGCAGGAGAATCACTTGAACCGGGGAGGTGGAGGTTGCAGTGAGCCAAGATCACGCCATTTCACTCCAGCCTGGGCAAAAGAGCAATAGTCTGTCCCAAAAAAAATAATAAAAATAAAATAAAGTGAAAAATTCTGTGGCATTTAGTACCTTCACCATGTTGTGCAGCCACCACCTGTATCTAGTTCCAAAACATTTTCTTCACACCCAAAGGAAACCCCATACCCATCAAAAACAATCCTCCCCATTCCCCGACTCTCAGCTCATCTGATTTCTAAGTATTTGCTTATTCCGGACATTTCATATAAATGGAGTCACACCATGCGGGGCCTTTTGCACCTGGCTTTTTTCACTTGACATCATGTTTTCAAAGTTCCTCCATGGGACAGCTTGTGTCAGTGCTTTATTCCATTTCATGACCAAATAATAATACATTCTGTCGTACACAGACACCATATTTTGTTCATTCATCAGTTGATGGGCTGTTGGGTTGCTTCCACCTTTTTGCTCTGGTGAATATTGCTGCTATGTACAGGCCTGTGCAAGTATTTGAGTAACCTGTTTTCAACTCTTTTGGGCATGTGACTAAAAGTGGGATTGCTGGGTCATATGATAATTCTATGTTTAATTTTTTGAGGAACTGCCAAACCAAAAGGTCCTTTTCAAAAGTGAAGAAAATCTTCTGAAAAGCATCCCCGGAAGACTTCCTCGACACCTTACTGGCCAGAATGATGTCACTTCTCCATGCCTACAGCGTGGTCTTGGCAAGGAGAGTGATATTACCAAGACTGGCTTAAACTGATCAAGACTCAGTTTCTGTACTGGATTGGCACCCAGTCACCTCTGAATGACACTGTCGCTTGGAGGAGGGTCATTTCTAGAAGGTGGTGACACAGCTAGGTGAGTTCTCTGTCGACCACCCCCTCCCCCAACATTATTAGAGCAATTTGTGTTTCATTCAAGGGCGTAATCTAGTCTGTTCCAGCAGCCAGGCAGCCTTCCCTTTAGGGGTTGTGTAGCTGTCTTTGTTCATTGGTGTGTTTATTCTGCAAACATCTGTCTTAATAAAGAAGTGTGGGAACAAGAGTCATGACCAACAGCAAGAGGATAAAGGCTGTGTGAAGTGGAAGCTCAAGAAATATCGGAGGAGGTGTCTGGCACAATGGTGCATGCCTATAATACCAGCACTTTGGGAGGCTGAGGCAGGAGGATCACTTGGATCAGGAGGTCAGGAGTTGGAGACCAGCCTGGGCAACATGGTGAGACCTCATCTCTATAAAAAATAAAAAATTAGATGAGTTTGGTGGTACGCACCAGTAGTCCCAGCTTCTTGGAAGGCTGAGTTGGAGAGATTGTCTGAGCCTGGGAGGTCAAGGCTGCAGTGAGCCATGATCACACCACTGCCTCCCAGCCTGGGTGACAGAGTGAGACCTTGTCTCTAAAAAATAAATAAATATAAAAAAAGAGAAATATCAGAAGAAGGATCCTGAATGGTATGGGGTGTGCTTTACCTTGTAACGCCCTTGCAGAGATGCTGGGAGTGTATTTCAAGACCCCCATTTGTGGCTGGGTATGGTGGCTCGTGCCTGTAATCCCAGCACTTTGGGAGGCCAAGGCATGCAGATCACCTGAGGTCAGGAGTTTGAGACCAGCCTGGCTAACATGGTGAAACGGCAAACCCCGTCTCTACTATAAAAATAATAATAATACAAAATTAGCTGGGCCTGGTGGTGCACTCCTGCTACTTGGGTGGCTGAGGCAGGAGAATCGCTTGAACTTGGGAGGCAGAGGTTGCAGTGAGCTGAGATCAGGCCACTGCACTCCACCCTGGGAAGCAGAGTGAGACTCTGTCACAAAAAAATAAAAATAAAATAAATAAAATAAAGCTGGGCACGGTGGCTCACGCCTGTAATCCCAGCACTTTGGGAGGCCGAGGTGGGTGGATCACCTGAGGTCAGGAGTTTGAGACCAGCCTGGCTAACATGGTGAAACCCCGTCTCTACTAAAATACAAAAAAGTAGCCAGGCATGGTGGCAGGCACCTGTAATCCCAGCTACTCGGGAGGCTGAGGCAGGAGAACCACTTGAACCCAGAAGGCAGAGGTTTCAGTGAGCTGAGATCGTGCCTCACACTCCAGCCTGGTCAACAAGAGCGAAACTCCGTCTCAAAAAAAAAAAGAAAGTCTCAAATAAGAGTTTTCTTTTCTCCTTGCTACTTGCCAGTTCTGTGAACTTGCATCTGTAAGATGGAAATAATATTATCTGCTCTAATATGTAATAAACAGGTGAGAACAATTTATATCCTTTGCAATCCATAAACTACTATTCATATTAAAATTTTAAGGTAAATTCTTACCTATTTAAAAAAAATTGGCCAGATGTGGTGGCTCACACCTGCAATCCCAGCACTTTGGGTGGCTGAGGTAGGCAGATCACTTAAGGCCAGGAGTTCGAGACCAGCCTGGCCAACATGGCAAAACCCCATCTCTACTAAAAATACAAAAATTAGCCGGGTCTGGTGGTGCACACCTGTAATCCCAGCTACTTGGGAAGCTGAGGCAGGAGAATCACTTGAACCCGGGAGGCAGAGGTTTCAGTGAGCCGAGATAGCGCCACTCTACTCCAGCTTGGGTGACAGAGTGAGATTCTATCTCAAAGAAAAAAAAATTGCAGCAGTTTAATGACACAGCAGCCACCTATCTTTAGGACATAGCTTATGGGAATAAGTACACAAGGACATAGAACAGCCTCACACTACTGAGTCCATCAACTGCAGAGTTCGTGCATTTATATTCTATAAAAAGCTCAAGCCTTTAAACAGTGTCTATTTTCTTTTGTTATGAGACATTTCATTTATTCTTTTTTTTTTTTTTTTTTGAGATGGAGTTTCACTCTTGTTGCCCAGGCTGGAGTGCAATGGTGCAATCTCGGCTCACCGCAACCTCTGCCTCCCGGGTTCAAGCGATTCTCCTGCCTCAGACTCCTGAGTAGCTGGGATTACAGGCACACGCCACCATGCCTGGCTAATTTTGTTGTTGTTTTTTTTTTTTTTTTTGAGACGGAGTGTTGCTCTGTCGCCCAGGCTGGAGTGCAGTGGTGCGATCTCGGCTCACTGCAAGCTCCGCCTCCCAGGTTCACGCCATTCTCCTGCCTCAGCCTCCCGAGTAGCTGGGACTACAGGTGCCCACCACCACGCCTGGCTAATTTTTTGTATTTTTAGTAGAGACGGGGTTTCACCATGTTAGCCAGGATGGAAATTTTGTATTTTTAGTGGAGATGGGGTTTCTCCATGTTGGTCAGGCTGGTCTTGAACTCCTGACCTCAGGTGATTTGCCCACCTGGCCCTCCCAAGTGCTGGGATTATAGGCCTGAGCCACCGCGCCCAGCCCATTTATTATTTTGATAAATATGTACTGAGTTCAAAAAAATAAAAGGAAAACTGACAGCTATTTGTGACAAGAAAGTATTTAAGGGAAATACTTATTATCTTCACATCGCCTTCTCTGGGTGTCAGACTGGGAAGCGTCACTGAGGTCCTTCAAGGAGCAAGCGAGGCCAGGCACAGATTCCAGGGACACCGCTAAAGCACAGTGAGAACTCATTTGTTTTTATCTTAATGTTTATAGGAAAAATAATGTTTGAGGGTAAATGATTGTTATCGGCCCACAAAGGGCAAAGAAAGGGCAGGCTGTACAAATCTAACCGCAGTTCCTCCTGTCAGTCTTTCTCAGCATTGCCAGAAGAGAAATCTGTGGCGCAAATACGGTGTCATGTGACCATTTGGCTTCAGTTGACTGGACCAGCTACTGTCATCCATGCCTGGAAAGTCATCCACAGGCTGGCCAGAAGCCCATGAAGTGACCTGGTACAAAAGCTTTGCTCAAAAGGACATGCTCTAGCTGAATGTAGTTTCCTATAGCTACTGAAACAGATCACCACACACTTAGTGGCTTAAAACCGCAGAGCTGGCCAGGCTCGGGGGCTCACACCTGTAATCCCAGTACTCTCGGAGGCCGAGGTGGGCAGATCACCTGAGGGCAGGAGTTTGAGACCAGCCTGGCCAACGTGGTGAAACCCCGTCTCTACTAAAAATATGAAAAATTAGCCGCGTGTGGTGGTGAGCGCCTGTAATCCCAGATATTCGGGAGGCTGAGGCAGGAGAATCACTTGAACCCGAGAGGCAGAAATTGCAGTGAGCTGAGATTGAGCCACTGCACTCCAGCCTGGGCGACAGAGCGAAACTCCATCTCAAAACAAACAAAAAACCACAGAATTTTATAAGTCCAAACACAAGGGGTCAGTTGGGCCACGCTCCCTCTAGAGGTTCTAGGAGAGAATCATTTCTTGCCTCTTCCAGCTCCTGGTGGCTCCAGGTTTTTGGATGGTAGCTGCATCACTCCCATCTCTGCCTTTATCCTCACATCACCTTCTCTGTGTGTCTCCTCTGTGTGTTTTATTTCTTTTCTTTTTTGAGACAGAGTCTCGCTCCGTTGCCCAGGCTGGAGTGCGGTGGCGGGATCTCAGCTCACTGCAACCTCCACCTCCCGGGTTCAAGCGATTCTCTTGCCTCAGCCTCCTGAGTAACTGGGATTACAGGCGCCCACCACCACACCCAGCTAACTTTTGTATTTTTAGTAGAGATGGGGTATCATCATGTTGGCTGAGCTCGTCTTGAACTCCTGACCTCAGGTGATCCTCCTGCCTTGGCTTCTCAAAATGCTGGGATTACAGGCATGAGCCACCATGCCTGGAGACCTCTGTGTATCTTATAAAGACACTTGTCATTGGATTTGGGGCCCATCCAGATAATCCAGGATGACCTCATCTTGAGATCTGAAATGTAATCATGGGCAAAGACCCTTTTTTCCCAGTGAAATCACATTCACAAGTAAGCTTCCTGGGGTTAGGATATGGACATGTCTTTTGGGGGAGCCACCCTTCAACTCCCTACAGTTGGCTAGTGACTACTGGACTCCTATCCCCCACCCACAGGGAACGGGCATTGCTGGACGGTGGCAACAATCCAGTGGGGTCTTCTCTTCATGGAAGTCTGAACTTGAAACATATAAGAAATTGACACTGCCACTGGAGTTGTGCAGAGGCCAGAAAGAGGACAGGTGGTAGATACTGTGGGTAAGGAAAAGCCAGGAGGTGAGCAGGAAACCAAGTCAGAAGTCAGAGGCACAGTCAACGAAGCAGTGCCACGAGGATGGTGCCAATGCCTGTGGTTGCCCAGCAACCACATTTCATCAATCTGAAGATGCACCTTTCCCCGCCCCCCGCCCCGCATTTTGGCATTTTGGAATGTGTCTAACAACAGACGATGTCTTATTTGCTGCTTTTGGTCGGGCGGCAGCCCTGAGGTTGCTGGGACTGCCCGCAGGTAGGTGAACTCCTAGAGCGTTGTGATCCCCACGGGCAGAGCAGGCGCTGGTGGCTTTGGGAACACCGCGGGACCCTTTTCACTCCTAAGAATCCGAGGGTCAGATGCGTTTGGCAACATTCTCACAGGAGGAGTCAGAGGAGGCTCTCCTGCATGATGGGTGAGCCGGCATAGGAATTGTGCCAAGGGCCATTAGATTTTGTAGAGACTCTGAACCCCCTGTCCAGAGGACAGGAGCTGAGGACAACAGCAGGCGAAAAACACAAACCTCAAAGTGCGTGCACTGGAAAGAGACCAGAAAGCCAGATTGAAAATGTGGAGGTGTTGCAGGAGTAAATCACCGGTTTCCCTTACATCATCCTCTTTACTTTATTTACTTATTTACAGACAGGGTCTCGAACTCCTGGGTTCAGCGATCTTCCTGCCTCGGTTTCCTGAGTAGCTGAGATTGCAGGTGCCTTTTTACTTACAAAAATTTTTTTAATTGAGAGATAGAAATTGTATATATTTATGGTGTACAGCATGGTGTTTTGAAATATGTATACATTATGGAATGGCTAAAATGAGCTAATTAACATATGCATTATCTCTCATGACTTTTTTTGTAGCGAGAACACCTAAAATCTACTCTTAACAATTTTCAAGGACACAATCCATTGTTGTTGACACTATTTATTCATTTATTATAGAAATGGGGTCTTACTATGTTGCCCAGTCTGATCTTGAACTCCTGGCCTCAAACGATTCTCCTGCCTTGGCTTTCCAAAGCCTCTGTGCCCAGCCATTGTTGACTATAGTCACCATGTTGTACAATGGATCTCTTGAATTTATTTCTCCTGTCTAACAGAACATTTGTACCCTTTGATCAACCTCTCCCCAACCCAGCCACCCACCTCCAGCTCCCGGTAACCACCATTCCACCCTCTGCTTCTATGAGTTCAACTTTTTTAGATTCATATATAAGGGAGATCATGCAGTATTTGTCTTTCTGCGTCTGGCTTACTTCACTTAACATAAAGTCACCCAGGTTCATTCAAGTTGTGGCAAATGACAGGATTTCCTTCTTTTTAAACGCTGAATAGTACTTCATTGTGTATACACCACATTTTCTTCATTTATCCACTGATTGACACCTAGGCTGATTCCATATCTTTTTTTTTTTTTTTTTTTTTTTGGAGACAGCATCTCTCTCTGTCACCCAGGCTGGAGTGCAGTGTCACAATTTTGGCTCACTGCAACCTCCACCTCCCGGGTTCAAGTAATTCTCCTGCCTCAGCCTCCCAAGTAGCTGGGATTACAGGTACCCGCCACCATGCCTGACTAATTTTTGTATTTTTAGTAAAGATGAGGTTTTTGCTATGTTGACCAGGCTGGTCTTGAACTCCTGACCTCAAGCAATCCTCTCACCTCGGCCTCCCAAACGTGAGCCACGGCGCCCGGCCAGCTCCTATATCTTGACTGTGGATAATGTCATGAAGAATGCTGCAATAGACATGGGTGTGCAGGTATCTCTTCAACATACTGATTTCATTTCCTTCAGATATGCATTCAGTAGTGAGCTTTCTAGATCATATGGTAGTACTATTTATAATTTTTTGAGGAACCCCCATGCTATTTCCCATAATATCTTTCTTTTCATATATACACAAGACTGATATAGGAAATAAAGAAACACTGGAGACTAAAAGAGTCAAATGAAATTTTGAAGCAATAAGAAAGAAGTATATTATAGTTAAATTGTGTGCATTTTCTTTCTTTCTTCTTTTTCTTCCTTTCTCATTCTTTCTCTTTCTTTCTTTCTGATGGACTCCCTCCCTTCCTTCCTTCCTTCTTTCCTTCCTTCCTTCCCTCCTTCCTTCCCTCCCTCCCTCCCTCCCTCCTTCCTTCCCTCCTTCCTTCCTCCCTTCCTTCCTTCCTTCTTTCCTTCCTTCCTTCCCTCCTTCCTTCCCTCCTTCCTTCCCTCCCTCCCTCCCTCCCTCCCTCCTTCCTTCCTTCCTTCCTTCCTTCCTTCCTTTGTCTCCCTCTGTCACCCAGGCTGGAGTGCAATGGCACAGTCCTGACTCACTGCAACTTCTGCCTCCCGGGTTCAAGCAATTCTCCTGTCTCAGCTTCCTGAGTAGCTGGGATTACAGGCGCGTGCCACCATGCCCGCCTAATTTTTGTATTTTTAGTAGAGATGGGGTTTCACCATGTTAGCCAGGCTGGTCTCAAACTTCTGACCACAGGTGACCCACCCCCCTCAGCCTCCCAAAGTGCTGGGATTACAGGCGTGAGCCACCGCGCCCGGCCTGTTTTTCTTTCTTCATAGTTTATGAAATAATGATACACAGCTTCTAAGAGATGGTATCTGAGACTTGATTAAAGACCGGTTCCAGTTCTTCATGAGGCTCCACAGTTTCCAGAGCATTCTTGCTTGCCCACGATTGCTTCTATAACTTCCATCACCTTGGTCACCTGAGTGTGCACTTGGCTTCTTGCATCCCTGAGGGCCCCAAGTAACCCACAAAATCAGACAAATGTTGGACAAGAAACAGTAATTAAACCCAAAGCTTTGCAGGCCGTGAGTGAACACCATTCCCCCAAACCCTGGATTAGAGAGAGACAAGGGGGCAATTTACCTCAAGGGCCAAGATCCCTTCCTTACCGTTTTTATTTATTTATTTATATTTATTTATTCATTTATTTATTTTTGAGACGGCGTCTCGCTCTGTCGCCCAGGCTGGAGTGCAGTGGCGTGATCTTGGCTCACTGCAACCTCTGCCTCCTGGGTTCAAGCGATTCTCCTGCCTCAGCCTCCCAAGTAGCTGGGACTACAGGCATGTGCCACTATACCCAGCTAAGTTTTTGATTTTTAGTACAGATGGGGTTTCACCATGTTGGCCAGGCTGGTCTCGAACTCCTGACCTCAGGCGATCCGCCCACCTTGGCTTCCCAAAGTGCTGGCATTACAGGCGTGAGCCACTGGGCCCGGCCTTAATTTTTGTATTTTTAGTAGAGACAGGGTTTCAACGTGTTGGCCAGGCTGGTCTCGAACTCTTTTTTTTTTATTTTCATTTTTTTTGAGATAGAGTCTTGCTCTGTCACTCAGGCTAGAGTGGAGGGGCGTAATCTCGACTCACTGCAACCTCCACCTCCCGGGTTCAAGCAATTCTTGTGCCTCAGGCCCGCAAGTAGCTAGGATTACAGGCACACGCCACTGTGCCCAGCTAATTTTTTGTATTTTTAGTAGCAACGGGGTTTCACTATGTTGGCCAAGTTGGTCTCAAACTCCTAAACTCAGATTGGTCTCGAACCCCTGGCCTCAAGTGATCCGCCCACCTCGGTCTCCCAGAGTGCTGGGATTACAGATGTGAGCCACTGTGGCTGGACCCCTCACTGTTTTAAAGACTTGAATTATTGAGGTATTTGCTTTAAAGGTAACAATCTTTACAGTGTTGAGATACAGACTAAGGCCGGGTGCAGTGGCTCATACCTGTAATCCCAGCACTTTGGGAGGTCAAAGTGGGAGGATTGCTTGAGCCCAGGAGTTCAAGACCAGCCTGGGTGGGCAACATGAGACTTCAACACTATAAATAATTAAAAATTAGCTGGGCATGGTGGTACATGCCTGTGGTCCCAGCTTCTCAGGAGGCTGAGGTGGGAGGATCACTTGAGCTCAGGCCATCGAGGCTGCAGTGAGCTGTGATCACGCCACCACACTGCAGCTGGGGTGACAGAACGAGACCTTGTCTCAAAAAAAAAAAAGAGAGAGATTACAGACTGGTCTTTAGCTCAGTGTTTCTCGACCTTTCTTTCTCATTATTGCCCCTCCCCACTTTGCCTTTTTAGATTTTTTTCCTTAGATTTCCCACCATGAATTTTTTTATTGTGAAAAGACATATATATATATATAACATAAAAGTCACCATTTTAAAGTGGTGTTAAGTACATTTATAATTTGGTGCAATTCTCACTCCACTTTCCCGTTCTAGAGCGTTGTCTTCACTCTAAACAGAAACCATTAAGCTGTCACTTCCCATTCTCCCCTCCCCGCCAGTCCCTAGTAACCACTAAGGTTACTGTCTACAGATTTTGCCTATTCTGGACATTTCATGTAAATAGAGTCATATAAAATGTGGCCTTTCGTTCCTTCCTTCCTTCCTTCCCTCATTCCCTCACTCCCTTCCTTCTTTCCTCTTTTCTTCTCTTTTCTCTTTTTCTTTTCTCTTTTCTTTTCTTTTCTTTTCTTTCTTTGTCTCTCTCTCTCTGTCTCTCTCTCTTTTTTTCAGTGCAGTGGCGTCAGCATAGCTCAGCGAAGCCTCGACCTCCCCAGGCTCAAGTGATCCTCCCACCTTAGCCTCCTGAGAAGCTGGGACTACAGGCATGCGTCGCCACGCCCGGCTAAGTTTCGTTTTTTTTTTTTATAGAGATGGGGTCTCGCTATGTAGCCCAGACTGGTCTCAAACTACTGGGCTCAAGCGATCCACCTGCCTCAGCCTCCCAAAGTGTTGGGATTGCAGGCATGAGCCACTGCACCTGGCTCGTGTCTTTCAGTCAGCATAATGTTTCAAGATTCATCCATGATGCAGCATTCCTTGTCTTCAGTACTGCATTCCTTTTCATGTCTGAATAGTATTCCTTTGTGTGGATAGACTGCCTTTTGTTTATCCATTCATCGGTTGATGGACATTTGGGGTTGGGTTACTTTCTGGCTATTGAGAATAGTACTTCTGTGAATATATGTATTCAAATTTTTGTTTGAACACTTGTTTTCAATCTTTTGAATATTTTCCTAGGAGTAGAATTGCCGGGTAACATGGCGATTCTGTGTTTAGCTTACTGAGAAGCTGCCAAACTATTTTCCACAGTGGCTGCATCATTGTATATTCCTGCCAGCAATGCACGAGGTTCCAGTTTCCCGATATCCTCGCCAACACCCTTCCTCCCATGCAGCTTGATTTTATTTTATTTTATTTTATTTATTTGGTTTTATTTCGAGACAGGGTCTCTCTCTGTTGCCCAGTTTGGAGTGCAATGGTGTAATCATGGCTCACTGTAGCCTCAAACTCCTGGCTCAAGCCATCCTCCTATGTCGGCCTCCTGAGTATGGGAAAACAGGTATGTATGACCACACCCAGCTGATTTTTAATTTTTATTTATTTATTTATTTGAGACAGGGTCTCACTCTGTTGCTCAGGCTGGAGTGTAGTGGTATGATCAAAACTCACTGCAGCCTCAAATTCCCAAGCTCAAGCAATCCTCCCACCTCAGCCCTCCAAGTTATTTTTTATTTTTATTTTTGTAGAGATGGGGTCTTGCTATGTTGCCCAGGTTGGTTTCAAACTCCTAGGTTCAAGCAGTCCTCCCACCTTAGCCTCCCCACTATACTTGGCCCCATGGAATTTTTTTTTTTTTTTTTTTTTTTTTTTTTTTTTTTGTGACAGAGTCTCACTCTGTCGCCTAGGCTGGAGTGCAGTGGCATGATCTTGGCTTACTGCAACCTCCCAGGTTCAAGGGATTCTCATGCCTCAGCCTCCCAAAGTAGCTGGGATTATAGGCATGTGCCACCACGCCGGGCTAATTTTTGTATTTGTAATAGAGACGGGGTTTTGTAATGTTGGCCAGCTGGTCTGGAATGCCTGACCTCGAGTGATCTGCCCACCTCGGCCTCCCAAAGTTCTGAGATTGTAGCCACGAGCCACCGCACCCAAATTTTAATTCCACAGGCCAGGTTCGGTGGCTCACACATGTAATCCGAGTACTTTGGGAGGTCAAGGCAGGCAGATCACCTAAGGTCAGGAGTTTGAGACCAGCCTGGCCAACATGGTGAAACCCCGTCTCTACTAAAAATAACAAAAATTAGCCGGACGTGTTGGTGTTCACCTGTAATCCCAGCTACTAGGGGGACTGAGGCAGGAGAATCACTTGAACATGGGAGGCAGAGGTTGCAGTGAGCCAAGATCATGCCACTGTGCTCCAGCTTGGGAGACAGAGTGAGACTCGACTCAAAAAAAAAAAAAAATTCCACAGATAGACTGTGTATTTGTTTATATACTGTGGTCCTTGGGAGGGCAAACCTTGTGTCTAATGGAAACACGTGCAGGGGACACAGACTCAGAAGACTATAGGAATTTATAAAATCACTGCTGGCTCACCAAAAACACAATAGCCAACCCTTCGGGCCAGTAGGCTACCAGATTAAAGACTCTGATTCATCTTATTTTGTTAAAATTTATATATAGACAGACAAATACAGAATCTTTTATTGGGTATGTTAATGTGTTCATATATCTATTTTTTTTTTTTGAGACGAAGTCTCACTCTGTTGCCCAGGCTGGAGGGCAGTGGCACGATCTCTGCTCACTGCAACCTCCACCTCCCAGTTCAAGTGATTCTCCTGCCTCAGCCTCCCGAGTAGCTGAGACCACAGGCACGCGCCACCATGCCCGGCTAATTTTTGTATTTTTAGTAGAGACAGTGTTTCACTATGTTGGCCATGCTGGTCTCAAACTCCTGACCTTGTGATCTGCCCGCCTCAGCCTCCTAAAGTGCTGGGATTACAGGCGTGAGCCACTGCTCCTGGCCTTTTTTTTTTTTTTTTTGTGAGATAAGGTCTCACTTTGTTACCCAGGCTAGAGTGCAGTGGCTCAATCTCAGCTCACTGCCCACCTCCCAGGCTCAAGCGATCCTCCCACCTCAGCCTCCTGAGTAGCTGGTACCACAAGCACACACCACCACACCTGGGGTAATCTTTTTTTTTTTTTTTTTTTTTTTGTAAAGATGGGTTTCACCATGTTTCCCAGGCTGATCTTGAACTCCTGGATTCAAGCTATTTGCCCACCTCGAACTCCTAAAGTACTAGGATTACAGGCTCGAGCCACTGCACCTGGCCCATATACCCAATTTTATTTTAGACTACTCCAGGCAAACTTAGTCCTGCAAACTTTACCTGTGCTGTAAATATTTCAGGCTTGCAAGTCATGCAGTCTCTGTCCCAACTACTCAACTCTGCCTTGTAGTGACAAAGAAGCCACAGATCATACGTAAATGAATGCAAATACTCTAGGGTGAGAGGACAGAGGCCCCTGGGGTGCACACTCTAAGGAGACACTCATCTCAGGTCCTGAAAGTGCAGGGGTGATGCTGAGAGTGAGCGAGTGGTTCAGCCTCTCCCTAGTCCTGGCCCTGTGAATAGCTATGTTCCAATAAAACTTTATTTATAAAAGACTTTATTTATTTTTTTAAAACTTTATTTATAAAAGGTGGCAGGCTAGTTTGGCCTGTGGGCTGTGGTTTGCCACCCCTGGTAAAGCTTTTTCTCATCTGACTCCTGGTTTTCCAGCTCAACCCACATAAGTCTCCCAACCCCTCCCTACAAGTAACAGATATTAACCCATAGGCGTTCTCTATGCTTTCCTGTGTCTGCATAAAGTCCTCTACATATAGATATTTTTTGTTTCATAAAAATGGGAGACAATGTACACATTTTTTGTATCATGCTTTTCACACTTCACAATAATTTGCGGAAACTTTGCCAGTCAGAGGCATTGATTTCTTTTTTTTTTTTTTTTTTTTTTTTTTGAGACAGTCTCTTGCTCAGTTGCCAGGCTAGAGTGCAGTGGCGTGATCTCAGCTCACTGCAACCTCCGCCTCCTGGGTTCAAGCAATTCTCCTGCCTCAGCCTCCTGAGTAGCTGAGACTACAGGCATGCACCACCACGCCCAGCTAATTTTTTTGTATTTTTAGTAGAGACGGGGTTTCACCATGTTGGCCAGGATGGTCTCGATCTCTTGACCTCATGATCCACCTGTCTTGGCCTCCCAAAGTGCTGGGATTACAGGCGGGAGCCACCACGCCCGGCCGGCATTGATTCCTTTTATATAGCTATATGATATTCCATAGGGTGGAAGTAGCATTATTCGTTATGCCTTTTCTTTTTGATGGGCGTTCACTTTGTGGTCAGTTTTCTGCCACATGCACACACACAAAAACAGTGCTCCAATACACATTCTTGTCCTTAAGTGTTGGTGTTTTTATTTCTTTGGATAGATTCTCAAGAGTGGGATTAGAAGATCAAAGGGTATGTTTAGTTTCCATTTTAACAGATGTTGCCAAATTGCTTTCCCAAATGACTACAAAACTTCATATCTGAGCATGCCCTTTTCTCCATATTCCTGCCAGCATTTGAGATTTTTTTTCTCGTTTTAGCTTGATGAATCAGTTTATTCTGAGGAATGTAGAGAGATGTCTCATTGCTGCTTTCATTCGCAAGTGTCTGACCCCTGTAAGTTTGAGGGTCTCTTCATACTGTTGGTTACCCATTTGGTTTTGCTCCTCCGCAAATGGTCTATTTATAGTCTAAGTCCATTTCTGTATTGGTTGATTCTCTTTTTCAGAACAATTTGTAAAAGCTCTTTATATAGTGTCCATTTGACTTTTGGCTTTCATCTACAAAGTGATTAAGAGGTTTGGTGCTGGGGCAGGCTGCCAAAGGTTACATCTTGACTGAGCCCTGACTGGCCACATGACCTCAGCAAATTATTTACCTTCATTATTTAACCTCTGTACTCAACTATAAAATAGTGATCATCATCATCATCATCACGGTAATTCCTCCTTCATAGTGCTGTTAGAGATGATGAGTTAATGTGTGTCAGGTACGTAGAATTCAGCCTGGCACACACTAAGTTCATCAATAGAAGTTGGTGACTATTATTTGTATTACAAATATTTTTTCAGCTCCATCATTTGAATTGGTTTTATTTCTGGTATCCCTTGTCACACAAAATGTTTCAGTGTTTATACGGTCAAATATATCCGTCTTTTTTTCCCCTAGCTTCTGAGTTCCCAGGCTTGGTAAGAAGGTCTCCTTGGGCCGGGCGCGGTGGCTCACGCCTGTAATCCCAGCACTTTGGGAGGCCGAGGCGGGCGGATCACGAGGTCAGGAGATCGAGACCATCCCGGCTAAAACGGTGAAACCCCGTCTCTACTAAAAATACAAAAAATTAGCCGGGCGTAGTGGCGGGCGCCTGTAGTCCCAGCTACTTGGGAGGCTGAGGCAGGAGAATGGCGTGAACCCGGGAGGCGGAGCTTGCAGTGAGCCGAGATCCCGCCACTGCACTCCAGCCTGGGCGACAGAGCGAGACTCCGTCTCAAAAAAAAAAAAAAAAGAAAAAAAAAAAGAAGGTCTCCTTGTTTCCTTCATGACTAATTTCCTCACTCTTAAAATGAGAAACATAGGACCTACTATTTTCCTCACTGAAGTACCCTGTCCTCTCAGCTCCTTGATCTCCCCTCCCCTCCCCTCCTTTCCTTAGCAGGGTTTCTCTCTGTTGTCGAGGCCAGAGTGCAGTGGCACGATCTCAGCTCACTGCAGCCTCAACCTCCCACACTCAAGCAACTTTCCTGCCTCAGCCTCCCAAGTAGCTGAGACCACAGGTGCGCACCACCACGCCTGGCTAATTTTTGTATTTTTTTTTTTTTTTTTTTGTAGAGACAGGGTTTCGCCATGTTGTCCAGGCTGGTTTCAAATTCCTGCCCTCAAACAATCCACCTGCCTCGGCCTCCCAAAGTGCTGGGATTACAGGCGTGAGCCACCGCGCCCAACCCTCCTTGATCTATTTCATCCCTAAAAGAAAAAAAATAAACTATTTTTCTCTACACTCACAACACTCCTGACACCCACTGGGGTTTCCACACCAAGCAGCACTCCAGTTCTCTTTGGACACTGACTGGGTGTCCTACAGTTCAAATCTGACACTGTTCAGCCTGGAGTTAGCATCAGATCCCACAAGCTAAAGGGCCCAGTTCACAAGACGGCTTCCATCCACTCCAGACCCCAATCACAAGTCCCAGCTTCCCACAGGTACTTTTTTTTTTCCTTTCCAACTTTTATTTTAGATTCAGAGGGTACATGTGCAGGTTTGTTCCATGGGTGAATCGCGTGTTGCTGATGTTTGGTGTACAGATTGTTTTGTCACAGGGGTAATGAGCACAGTATCTCATAGGTAGTTTTCCAATCTTCTCCCTCTGCCTCCGCTCCACCCTCCAATAGGCCCTGGTGTCTGTGTTTTTCTTTGTGTCCACGCGAACTCAAGGTTTAGCTCCCACTTATAAGTGAGAGCAGGTGGTGTTTGTTTTTCTGTTCCTGTGTTAGTTCACTTAGGATAATGGCCTCCAGCTCCATCCACATTGCTGCAAAGGACATGTTTTATTCAGTCTTTTTTTTTTTTTTTTTTTTTGAGATGGGGTCTCTTGTTACCCAGGCAGGAGTGCAATAGCTCAATCACAGCTCACTTCAGCCTCGACCTCCCTGGGCTGAAGCAATCCTCCCACCTCAGCTTTCCGAGTAGCTGGGACTACTGCGTGCACCACCATGCTTGACTAATTTTTTGTTTTTCATTTTTTTTTTTGTAGAGACGGGGGGTCTCACTATTTTTGCCCAAGCTGGTCTAGAACTCCTGGGCTCAAGTAATCCTTCCACCTCAGCTTTCCGAAGTGCTAAGATTACAAGCGTGAGCCACCATGTCTGGCCGATTGTGTTTTTTATGGCTGTGTAGTATTCCATGGTGTATATGTACCAGACTTTGTTTACCCAATACACCTGTACTTCCAACTGACCGGATATAAATCAAAAGTTCCCACAGTCCAATCCTCAGGTTCAGTAATTTGCTAGAATAGCTCACAAAACTCGGGAAAACACTTTACTTATATTTATTGGTTTGTCATAAAGAATGCAACTAAGAAACAGCTACGTGGAAAGAGATGCATGGAGGATATAGTATGGGGCGGGAGTGTGCAGAGCTTCCATGCGCCCTCCGATGTGTCCCTCTAGCACTTCATTGAGTTCACCAACTCAGAAGCTCTCTGAACTCTGTCCTCTAGGGACTTTGTGGAGACTTCATTATGGAGGTGTGACTGATTAAATCACTGGCCACTGGGCCCAGTGGCTCACGCCTGTAATCCCAGCACTTTGGGAGGTTGAGACAGATGGATCGCTTGAGCCCAGGAGTTCAAGACCAGCCTGGGCAACATGGTGAAACTGTGTCTCTACAAAAAATACAAAAATTAGCTGGTGGTGTGCAGCTATAGTCCTAGCTACATGGGAGGCTGAGGTGGGAGGATCGCTTCAACCTGGAGAAGTTGAGGCTGCAGTGACCCGTGATCATGCCACTGCACTCCAGCCTGGGTGACAGAGCAACACCTTGCCTCAAAATAAAACAAAACCATTGGCCATTGATGATTAAGTCAATCTCCAGCCCCTCTCCCCTCCCAGAGGTCAAGGGGTGGAGCTGATAGCTCCAATCCTGTGGCCATGCCTTGGTCTTTGCAGGGAGCAGCCCCTGTGCTAAAGCTGTCTGGGGACTCCAGCTACCAGTCATCTCATCAGCATATTAAAAGACAATCACCACACTCTGGGGATTTCAAGGGTCTTAAAAGCTCTTGTGTCAGGAACCAGAGACTAAGAATAAAAATAATCGCAAAGGATGTTCACCTATCCTCAGGAAATTGCAAGGGTTTTAGAGGCTCTGTGTTAGAAACCAAGGGCAGAGATCAAATATACATTTCTCCTGTCGCACTCCCCTTCTCCCTCACCCCAGTGAGATGACACCTTTAGAGCGCTTTCGCTTCCCCTCTCTTCCATTTCCCCTGCCCCCTGTTCCCTGAGAGACTCATGAAACACATCTATTCCCCACCCCACTTTCTGAGGTTTGGCTGAGATAATCTAGCATTTCTTATAATTTCCCTTATGGGATATCCGTTTGGTTTCAATAATCCTCTTTTCTAAGGGTCCTTCTCTATTACACAAATCCCCAGTCTATCCTGTTCCATTTTGAGTTAAAATGTCATCTGCCTATGTTCTTTTTTTTTTTTTTTTTTTTTTTTGAGATGGAGTCTCACTCTGTCACCCAGGCTGGAGTGCAGTGGCATGATCTTGGCTCATTGCAATCTCTGCCTCCCAGGTTCAAGAAATTCTCCTGCCTCAGCCTCCCAAGTAGCTGGGATTACACGTGTGCACCACCACACCCAACTAATTTTTGTATTTTTGGTAGAGACAGGTTTCGCCATGTTGGCCAGGCTGGTCTCAAACTCCTGACCTCAAGTGATTTGCCTGCCTCAGCCTCCCAAAGTGCTGGGATTACGGGTGTGAGCCACCGCGCCCAGCCCTGCCTATGTTTTGAACATGGTTTTCGCTCTCTTTCTTTTTCCCTTTGTTAAGTCTTCTTTTCAGGGCTATTTGCAGCTTGATCAGGTCTTTTCCAAGTAGTGCCATCAGATGGAGGGTGCGCCAGGGTTGTCTCTGAATTTTCTTTTTTTTGAGACCAGGGTCTTGCTCTGTTGCCCAGGCAGGAGTGTAATGGCGCAATCATGGCTCACTGCAGCCTCGACCTCCTGGACTCAAGCAATCCTCTCACTTCAGCCCCCAAGTAGCTGGGACTACAGGCACATACTACCACGCCTGGCAAATTTTTTGGTATTTTTTGTAGAGACAGGGTCTCACCATGTTGTCCAGGCTGGTCTCAAACTCCTGCACTCAAGTGATCCCTCCCACCTCAGCCTCCCAGGGTGTTGGGATTACAGACGAGAGCCACTACGCCTGCCTGATTTCTTGAGTATCTTTGAAAATCTACCTGTTGCTTCAATTGATGAAAAAAAAATTTTTTTTCTTTTTTTTTGAGATGGAGTCTGGTTCTATTGCCCAGGCTGGAGTGCAGTGGTGCAATCTCGGCTCACTGCGACCTCCACCTCCCGGGTTCAAGTGATTCTCCTGCCTCGGTCTCCTGAACAGCTGAGATTACAGGCACCTGCCACCACTCCCAGCTAATTTTCGTATTTTTAGTAGAGACGGCATTTCACCATGTTGGCCAGGCTGGTCTCGAATTCCTGATTTCAAGTGATCCATCTGCCTCGGCCTCCCAAAGTGCTGGGGTTACAGGCGTGAGCCATTGCGCCTGGCCAAAAAAAATGTTTTGAGAACAGAATAGAGGATTCTTGGATTGCTGTCCTTTCTCTCCCTTCTCTGTAGATAAGAAGTGTAGATTACTCTCATCTTTCAGTAATGCAGATGAAGTCTGATTCTAGTCTGAGATTTTTCTTTCGTATCTTCTTTCTCTGCTTGACACTTGTAAACTGTTGTTTTTTTTTTTAATCTTTCTGAATTTTTACCAGAATAGGCCTCCAGAAGAGTCTTCTCAGTGCAGCCAGGAACTCAGTGAGCTCTTTTAATCTGCAGTCTCAGGTCTTTATTAGTTTTGAGGAACTTTACTTCTATGATTTATCTGTTGCATCTTCTCATTTTAGAACTCCTATTATGTACATATTAGTTCTTCGGGAGGAAGGATATCCTCCCACCCTTCTTTTTTTTTGAGACGGAGTCTTGTTCTGTCACCCAGGCTGGAGTGCAGTGGCTCGATCTCAGCTCACTGCAAGCTCTGCCTCCCGGGTTCACGCCATTCTCCTGCCTCAGCCTCTCCAAGTAGCTGGGACTACAGGCACCCGCCACCACGCCCGGCTAATGTTTTGTATTTTTTAGTAGAGACGGGGTTTCACCGTGGTCTCAAACTCCTGACCTCGTGATCCGCCCGCCTCGGCCTCCCAAAGTGCTGGGATTACAAGTGTGAGCCACTGCGCCCGGCCTATCCTCCCACTCTTATATTTTCTCACAAGATCTCCATCTCTTTGTAATGTTGCTCTGTTTTGAGATCTTTCTTGTACTTTATCTCCCAGACTAATTTGAGTCTCAGTTGAGGCCCTACTGGCTTTTAATTCTTAATGGAATTTCTTAGAGCTAAAATAATCATGTATTTTAGCTCTAAAAGGTCATTTCTTTCTTTTTTTTCTTTTCTTTTTTTTTTTGAGACGGAGTTTCACTCTTACAGCCCAGGCTGGAGTGCAATGGTGCAATCTCGGCTTGCTGCAACCTCCGCCTCCCGGGTTCAAGCTATTCTCTTGCCTCAGCCTCCCAGGTAGCTGGGATTACAGGCATGCGCCACCATGCCCAGCTAATTTTTGTATTTTTAGTAGAGACTGGGTGTCACCATGTTGGCCAGGCTGGTCTTGACCTCAGGTGATCTGCCCGCCTCGGCCTCCCAAAGTGTTGGGATTACAGGCATGAGCCACTGTGCCCAGCATGAAAGGTCATTCCT
Source organism: Homo sapiens (assembly GCF_000001405.40). Taxonomy (NCBI): domain Eukaryota; kingdom Metazoa; phylum Chordata; class Mammalia; order Primates; family Hominidae; genus Homo; species Homo sapiens. The sequence continues at coordinate 122,675,505 of NC_000012.12, forward strand.
ATGCTGTATTTGGATTTCCTGAAGGTCTCTTGTTTATTACTGTTTTTAATTCAGAGATGCCCCTGTCTGCTTCAGCACTGTGGGTTCTCATTTCTCTGTGGGCTCCTGTGTCTGGGTGCTGGGGCCCCTTCAGTGGGTCGTTAATCCTCTTGGTCAGTCACTCGGTCAGTCAAATCCGGTTGTTGATGCTTTCCTACATGGGTAAATCCCCAGGTAGAAGTAGGTGGAACAGCCTCTGCTGCCATGGGCTTGGGACATAGTGTGTCCGGAATTGGTGGGTTCTTGGTCTTACTGACTTCAAGAATGAAGCCGCGGACCCTCGCGGTGAGTGTTACAGTTCTTAAAGGCAGCGTGTGCGGAGTTTGTTCCTTCTGATGTTCGGATGTCTTTGGAGTTTCTTCCTTCTGGTGGGTTCGTGGTCTCGCTGGCTCAGGAGTGAAGCAGCAGACCTTCGTGGTGTTACAGCTCTTAAGGTGCATGTCTGGAGTTGTTCGTTCCTCCCGGTGGGCTCGTGGTCTCTCTGGCTTCAGGAGTGAAACTGCAGACCTTCGTGGTGAGTGTTACAGCTTATATAGGCAGTGTGGACCCAAAGAGTGAGCAGTAGCAACATTTATTGCAAAGAGCAAAAGAACAAAGCTTCCACAAGGTGGAAGAGGACCCTAGCGGGTTGCCTTTGCTGCCGCTGGCAGCCTGCTTTTATTCTCTTATCTGGCCCCACCCACATCCTACTGATTGGTCCATTTTACAGAGAGCCGAGTGGTCTGTTTTGACAGGGTGCTGATTGGTGCGTTTACAATCCCTGAGCTAGACACAAAGGTTCTCCACATCCCCACCAGAGTAGCTAGATACGGAGTGTCCACACAAAGGTTCTCCAAGTCCCCGCCCAGAGTAGCTAGATAGAGAGTGTCCATTGGTGCATTCACAAACCATGAGCTAGACACAGGGTGCTGACTGGTGTGTTTACAAACCTTGAGCTAGATACAGAGTGCCGATTGGTGTATTTACAATCCCTTAGCTAGACATAAAGGTTCTCCAAGTCCCCACCAGACTCAGGAGCCCAGCTGGCTTCACCCAGTGGATCCTGCCCTGGAGCCGCAGGTGGAGCTGCCTGCCAGTCCGTGCTGTGCGCCTGCACTCCTCAGCCCTTGGGTGGTCAGTGGGACTGGGCGCCATGGAGCAGGGGGCCGTGCTCCTCAGGGAGGCTCGGGCCACGCAGGAGCCCACGGAGGGGGTTGGGGGAGGCTCAGGCATGACGGGCTGCAGGTCCCCAGCCCTGCCCCGCAGGAAGGCAGCTAAGGCCCGGCGAGAAATTGAGCACAGCAGCTGCTGGCCCAGGTGCTAAGGCCCTCACTGCCCGGGGCCTGAGCGGCCGACCGGCCGCTCCGAGTGCGGGGGCCCGCTGAGCCCACGCCCACCTGGAACTCGCGCTGGCCCGCAAGCACCGCGCGCAGCCCCGGTTCCCGCCCGCGCCCCTCCCTCCACACCTCCCCGCAAGCTGAGGGAGCGGGCTCCGGCCTTGGCCAGCCCAGAAAGGGGCTCCCACAGTGCAGCGGCGGGCTGAAGGGCTCCTCAAGTGCGGCCAAAGAGGGAGCCCAGGCAGAGGAGGCGCCGAGAGCGAGCAAGGGCTGTGAGGACTGCCAGCACGCTGTCACCTCTCAGTAGAAGCTGGTAGAATTCCCCTGGGGCTCAGAAAACAGTACCTCAAAATGAAGCCTTGATCTGCAGCCTCAGAAGCAAAAGCTTTTCCCTGACTCTCCCGTGTCCTCCTGCCTGGAAGTCCCGCTTTTCCCCCGAGGCCAGCCGTAGAAACTAGAATTCCTCTTTCCCAACGCCAGCCATAAAACCTAAAAATATGATTCTAATTTCCCCTCCATCTTTCTGTATCAAAACTGGCCATTGAAAAATGGCCCACCTTGTTTCACTGTAGCTCATAAGACCCCCATTCCACAGCAGGTCCTGCCCCATACCCTGAAGGAAGGAATGCTGTTCAGAGAGGCCAAGAAGAATCCAGGTGGACAGGCCTTGCCATCTCTTTACACTGATTGCTACTGAGTCCAGCCACGTTAGGTGATTTTTTTTTTAGACGGAGTCTTGCTCTGTTGCCCAGTCTGGAGTGCAGTGGCGTAACCTCTGCTCACTGCAACCTCCACCTCCCGGGTTCAAGAGATTCTGCTGCCTCAGCCTCCTGAGTAGCTGGGATTACAGGTGTGCACCACCATGACCGGCTAATTTTTGTATTTTTGTTAGACACAGAGTTTCACCATGTTGGCCAGGCTGGTCTCGAACTCCTGACCTCAGGTGATCCGCCCACCTCTGCCTCCCAAAGTGCTGGGATTACAGGCGTGAGCCACCACGCCCGACCTAGGTCATACTCTTTTTGTCCAGTTATATTTCTACACAGCTGTCCATAGTTTGTTAAATGTAAGCATAAAAATAGACAATTTCCCCTGTGTCTTTTGGTCTTTGTTCAAAAGGCTTCTCTATCTATACGCTAAATAAATTTATATGCCTTTTTTCCTATTAATTTGCCTTTTGTGAGTTGACTTTTCAGAGGACCTACATTTTGGTGTGGCGAGCAGGGTCACCAAAGCTGCTCTGCTCTTCCGGAAGCCACAGAAAAGGGAACCCAGGAACCAGATCAGCTGGCAAAAAGGTAAGAATTTCTTACCAGTTAGGGTCCCAGCCTCTCTCTCTGTGCAGTATCATTGGGTGAATGGTAAAACTCACTGTTTATCGCTTCTGCAAGGTTTTGATTAATGGGAGTAAAATATTTCTGGGTGGCTAGTCTTGATATCTGGTGTGCCTTTCCCTTCCTTCCTCCCTTGATCCCTCCCTCCCTCCCTCCCTCCCTTCCTTCCTTCCTTCCTTCCTTTTCTTTTTTTATTTTCAGAGTCTTGCTGTGTTGCCCAGGCTGGAGTGCAGTGGCACAATCTCCGCTCTCTGCAACCTCCCCTCCCAGGCTCAAGCAATTCTCATGCCTCAGCCTCCAGGGTAGCTGGGATTACAGGCTCATGCCACCATGCACAGCTAATTTTTTTTTTTTTTTTTGTATTTTTAGTAGAGGCAGGATTTCGCTATGTGGTCCAGGCTGGTCTCAAAACTCCTGGCCTCCAGTGAGCTGCCCACCTTGGCCCCCCAAAGTGTTGGGATTACAGGCGTGAGCCACCGTGCTCAGCCTGGTGTGCCTTTTCTTTTTCTTTTTTTTAGAGTCGAGGTCTCACTCTGTCACCAGGCTGAATTGGTGTGATCACAGCTCACTGCAGCCTCAAAATCCTGAGCTCAAGCAATCCTCCTGCCTCAGCCTCCCAAGTAGCTGGGACTACAGCCGTGTGCCACCGTGCCTGGCTAATTTTATTTTTGTTTCTTTGTAGAGATGAGATCTCCCTGTGTTGCCCAGGCTAGTCTAGATTAGAACTTCTGGGCTCAAGGGATCTTCTTGACTTGGCCTCTGAAAGAGCTGGGATTACAGGTATGAGCCACTGCACCCGGCCCCATGGTTTTTTGCTTGCTTTACTTATCTATTGGTACATAACAAATTAGCTCAAGATGTAATAGCCTAAGCCATCTCTGATGGTTTCTAGGAGTCAGGAATTCAGGTCTCTGCTATACATATCTGGGACCTCAGCTGGAGTCCCAAAGGCTGGGGCTGGGACCATCTGAAGGCACAGTCATGTACAGGTCAGCTGTCAGGATGGCTTCATAATTTGTGGTTTTCAGTGAACAGTGAAACACAGGGTTCTGGTTGAGAAACGATAAAGAATGTATTGGGGGTAGAGATGGAGAGTGATTAGTAATGGAAATGGAATGTAGTGATGTTTGCACAATTCTGTGAATATGCTGCAAACCATTGAATGGTTCACTTGCAATGGGTGAATTTTATAACATATGCGTTATATCTCAATAAAGCTGTTTACAGATTATGAAGAATTTCAAAATGGTGATGGCAGAGTATTTAAAAGGGCCAGGGGCTCTTCTTAGCACACGGCTCTGTGCCTGATACCAGGCCACACGTCTGTGAAGCTTGCCCACTGCTCTCAGCTGAGGGCCTAGTTCAAAGTCTCAACCAGAGCAGCCCCACGGGGTCTCCCCATGAGATCTGGGCTTCCGCCCAGCATGGCGGGCCAAAACAGAGAGAGAGAGACAGAGAAGCCAGTATCTTTTTTTTTGAAACAGGGTCTCACTCTGTCACCCAGGCTGGAGTACAATGGTATGATCATGACTCACTGTAGCCTTGAACTCCTGGGCTCAAGCGATCCTCCCACCTCAGCCTCCTGAGTAGCTGGGACCACAGGCACTCACCACCACGCCCGGCTAATTTTTTAATTTTTACTTTTCATAGAGGCAGGGTCTCCCTGTGTGGGCCAGGCTGGTCTTGAACTTCTGGGCTCAAGTGATCCTCCCACCTTGGCCTCCCAAAGTGCTGGGATTCCAGGCGTGAGCCCCAGTGTCTGGTCCCCTACCCCTTTTATGCCCAGCTTTTAAAGGCACATAACATCACTTCCACCACATTCTACTCATTAAAAGAAAGTCACTAAGTCTGGCCTGCATTCAAGGGGGAAGGAAATCAGACTCTGTCTTTTGAAGAGAGGAGTTTCAAAGAAATTATTGATATATTTGAAACTACCAAATTGGCCTTCATATCTAGGCTAAGTGATGTTTCATGGTCTCCTGCCTAGCACATAGGAGACAAAGCCCCATGTGAATTTTCTTGCCAGGCCCCAACAGAAACCAAGGCTGCATTTACACTGTGGGAACCAACTCTGGAAGAACAAGCAGGCTAAAACCAGTTGGGGAAGGAAGTCTTGTTTCAGGCTTTTTTCCCTCCCCTCTAAATTCCCCTTCTGTATTTTTTTTTTTTTTTTTTTTTTTTTTTGAGACAGAGTCTCGCTCTGTCGCCCAGGCTGGAGTGCAGTGGCACCAATCTCGGCTCACTGCAAGCTCCACCTCCCGGGTTCACGCCATTCTCCTGCTTCAGCCTCCCGAGTAGCTGGGACTACAGGCATCTGCCACCACACCCGGCTAATTTTTTGTATTTTTAGTAGAGACGGGGTTTCACTGTGTTAGCCAGGATGGTCTCGATCTCCTGACCTTGTGATCCGCCTGCCTCGGCCTCCCAAAGTGCTGGGATTACAGGCGTGAGCCACCACACCTGGCCCCACTTCCATAATTTTTCTAATCCTTTTGTGGCATTTCTTCATTTAAAAAAATAAATCATGATTCCAGAGATAGATCTACTGGTGTTTGCTGGGGGCGGGGAAGGGATGAATGGGGAATGAATGATTGCCAGTGGGCACAGCGTTTCTTTTTGGGGTGATGAAAAAGTTCTGAAATTAGATAGTCGTGGTGATTGTACAAGCTTGTGGATATAATAAAAATGAGTGAATAGTATACTTTAAAAGAGTGAATTTGGCTGGGCACAGTGGCTCACACCGGTAATCCCAGCACTTTGGGAGGCTGAGGTGGGAAGATTGCTTAAGCCTAGGAGTTTGAGACCAGACTGGGCAACATAGCGAGACCCTGTCTCAACAAAATTACAAAAATTAGTTGGGCATGGTGGCGTGTGCCTGTAATCCCAGCTACTCAGGAGGCTGTCTCAACAAAATTACAAAAATTAGTCAGGCGTGGTGGCGTGTGCCTGTAATCCCAGCTACTCAGGAGGCTGAGGCAGGAGAATCACTTGAGCCCGGGAGGCAGAGGCTGCAATGAGCCGTGATTGCACCACTGCACTCCAGCCTGGGTGACAGAGCATGACCCTGTTTCAAAAAAAAAAAAGTGAATGTATTGCTTCTTGGCCTCTTGGCTAAGATGAAGTGTAGTATTTGCTTTTAGTAGTTGTCTGCTATGGTCTGAATCTGTCCCCTCTTCCTCCCAAATTTGAAATCCTAACCCCTTAAATGATAGGATTAGGAGGCAGGGACTTTGAGAGGCGATCGGGTCATCAGGGTGCAGCCCTTAGGAATGGGAGTCATGCCCTAATCAAAGAGGCCCCCAGAGAGCTCCCTTCTCCCTTGTGCTGTGTGGGGACACAGAGAGGAAATCTATGCATCAGGTGGCAGGTCCTCACCATCCTCCTCGGACGCTGAATCTGCTGCCGCCTTGATCTTGGACTTCCAGCCTCCACAACCATGGGAAATGAACTGTTGTTTGTAAGCCATGCAGCCCATGGTACCGTGTCATGGCAGCCCTGGTGGACTAAGACAATGTCCTCGGCTGAATTGTGATTGAGAGCTCAATGGTACAGTCCAGGGGGAGCTTTGTGGTGTTTTGGTTTCTCAAAGAACCACTTGGATCGCTAGGACTCCGGTCTGCATTTGAAGCCATCTCCTGCCCAAGGACACCTGGTCACCATGGCCAGCATGCAGCCAGACACCAGGGACCTCCCTGTGGCCACCAGAATTGGTGGATCCATCACTCATGGGGTTTCTCAGGCTTTGCTTTCGCAATTAGTTGGTTCTCCTCAATTGCATTCTGTTTCCCTCTGTTGGTAATAGAGGACTGACCACAGGCAGTGGTGATGACAGGGGAAGTCTTGGCTTAGCTCTTAGTGAGAGAGACATGCAGGGCATTGGCAGAAGTTCGAATTGGTGAGCCCAGCCTGTCCCTCTCAGACGCCTCCAGGCGTGTGTCTAAGAGAAAGTCTCCTGCATGTAAGAAAGTATTCTACAGGCAAACATGACCTTTTGTTTTGTTTTGTTTTGTTTTGTTTTGTTTTGTTTTGTTTTGTTTTTCATTTTGAGACAGAGTCTCACTCTGTCACCCAGGCTGGAGTGCAGTGGTGCAATCTTGGCTCACTGCAACCTCTGCCTCCTGGGTTCAAGCAATTCTTGTGCTCAGCTTCCTACGTGGCTGGGATTACAGGCGTGCACCACCACTCCTGGCTAATTTTTGTATTTTTAGTAGAGACAGAGTTTCGCCATGTTGGCCAGGCTGGTCTTGAAATCCTGACCTCAAGCGATCCACCTGCCTCAGTCTCCCAAAGTGCTGGGATTACAGGCGTGAGCCACCATGCCCAGCCCCAATTTTGCTTAAGGAGGAATTTTATAGTAGGTGAATTAATATCTCAATGGAAAAAAAATACCAGAAGTTTCAAGAGCTGAAATAGTCATAGGCCTCTCTCACTTTCTTTGGGTTCTCAGAACCCACCCAAAGAGTGGTCAAGCTAAAATTTCAACCCAGAGACATCTGATTCCAAAGGCCATTTTTCTTCACCTCTGCCAGCCAGAGAGTGAATGGTCATGTAGCCTGGGAGTGAAAGCCATGCTGGGGGGTTTGAACTTTTTGTTGTCGTTGATGATTGAAGGGTTTTGAGGCAGAAAAGAAACATAATTCAGTTTTTGTTTTAGAAAGATGGAGCTGGGCATGGTAGCTCATGCCTGTAATCCCAGAACTTTGGGAGCCCAGGACAGGGAGGATCACTTGAAGCCAGGAGCATGAGACCAGCCTGGGCAATACCGGGAGATCCCATCTCTTAGAAAAAATAAAAAAAGCAAAGAAAGATAATTCTTAGGAGCTTTATGTGAATATTCTTTATTAGACATAATAACAGATAATATTGAGGAGAGTTTTTTTCTGGGTTGGCTACAATAATTTTTGCAGTTTTGTTTAAAAATTTTTTGATACAGGCTGGGCACAGTGGCTCACACCTGTAATCCCAGCACTTTGGGAAGCCGAGGCAGGTGGATCACTTGAGGTCAGGAGTTTGAGACCAGTGCCTGTAATCCCAGCTACTCGGGAGGCTGAAGCAGGAGAATCACTTGAACCTAGGAGGCGGAGGTTGCAGTGAGCCGGGATCATGCCACTGCACTCCAGCCTGGGTGACAAAGCAAGACTCCGTCTAAAAAAAATGTTTTTTGGCTGGGCGCGGTGGCTCACGCCTGTAATCCCAGCACTTTGGGAGGCCGAGGCGAGCAGATCACGAGATCAAGAGATCAAGACCATCCTGGCTAACGTGATGAAACCCCAGGTATCTCTACTAAAAACACAAAAATTATGGCCGGGTGCAGTGTCTCACGCCTGTAATCCCAGGATTTTGGGAGGCCGAGGTGGGCAGATTACCTGAGGTCAGGAGTTCGAGACCAGCCTGACCAACATGGATAAACCCGATTTCTACTAAAAATACAAAATTAGCTGGGTGTGGTGGCGCATACCTGTAATCCCAGCTACTCGGGAGGCTGAGGCAGGAGAATCGCTTGAACCTGGGATGCAGTGAGCCAACCAAGATGGCACCACTGCACTCCAGGCTGGTGACAGAGCGAGACTCTGTCTCAAAAGAAAAAAAAAATTTTTTTTGATACAGCTCACGAACAGCAAGGCAAAATAAAAAATAATTTTTAAAAAAAGTTCAACTTTTTTTTGCAGGGGAGATAGGGTCTCACTCTGTCTCCCAGGCCGGAGTGCAGTGGTGCAATCATAGCTCACTGTATCCTTGACCTCCTGGGCTCAAGCAATCCTCCCACCTCAGTCTCTCAAAGTGTCGAGATTACAGGCGTGAGCCTGGCCTGAAATCTTGACTAAAATATCAGTGTTCAGCCTCTATGGGAACCCTAGAGACCAGTGCGATTTTTTTTTTTTATCTCATTCACTTTTTAAATTTTTTAATTATTTTATTTCATTTCATTTCATTGAGACAGGGTCTCACTGTCACCCAGGCTGGAGTGCAATCATAGCTAACTGCAGCCTTGACCTACCTCCCCACCATCACCTCAAGCGATCCTCCCATCTCAACCCCTCAAGTAGTTGGGACCACAGATGTGCACCACTATGCCCAGCTAATTTTGTTTTATTTTCAGAAGAGACAAGATCTCACTATATTGCTCAGGCTGGTTTCAAATGCCTGAGCTCAAGGGATCCTCCTGCCTTGGCCTCCCAAAATGCTGGGATTACGAGCATGAGCCATCTCGCCTGGCCAAAAAGATTTTTTTTTTAGTGGATTTTGTGATTTGTTCCCATCATTAAACAAAAGGTCAGTGGAGAGAGAAGCAGCGGTTGGGCAATGTTTGCCTATGAAAAGTCCATCTGTCCTTATCTGTCCTTAATGTTATTCTACTTTATTCTAAAGTTGAATTTCTCTGCTGTGCAGCACAGCAGGCTTTATGTAAAATTCTATTCAAATTTATAGGCGATAAGTGGTTTTTAAATAAACACATAGGGTGTTCCAACTGAGCTCTGAAACCTCTGGCTGATGGATGCATTTAAGAAAGATGGTGAGATGCTGTAAGAGCCAGCCCAGGCCATAGCACAGTTCTACAGACTGAGGGGCTTAATCCACAGAAACGGAGTTTCCCACAGTTCTGAAGGCTCCAAGTCTGCAATAAGTTGTTGGCAGCGTGGTTTCTTCTGAGGCCTCTCTCCTTGGCTTGTAGATGGCCGTCTTCTCCCTGTGTCCTCACTTGGTCATCCCTCTGGGTGTGTCTGTGTCCTGACCCTCTCTTCTCATAAGGACATCAGCCATTCTGGATTAGGGCCCACCCTAATGACCTCAGTTTAATTCAGTTCCCCTTTAAAGTCCCTGCCTCCAAATACAGTCACATTCTGAGATGCTGGGGTTCTTCTTCATCTCTGTAATTTTATCTTTCTAAGAATATTATGTAAGTACAATTATATAGTATATAACTTCTTGAAATTGACCTTTTTTCCAGCCTGGGCAATATGGCGAAACCCCATCTCTACAAAAATGCTATGATGGTGCCACTGCACTCCAGCCTGGGTGACAGAGTGAGACCTTGTCTCAAAAAAAAAAAAAAAAAAAAAAAGCCTGTTTTTCTTCCCCCACTCAGCATAATTTTTATATTTATTTATTTATTTATTTATTTATTTATTTTTTGAGACAAGATCTCACTCTGTCACCCAGGCTAGAAGGCAGTGGTGCAATATCAGATCACTGCAACCTCTGCCTCCCAGGTTCAAGCGATTCTCCTGCCTCTGCCTCCCAAGTGGCTGGGATTACAGGCACCTGCCACCCCACCCAGCTAATTTTTTTGGTATTTTTAGTAGAGATGGGGTTTCACTATGTTGGACAGGCTGGTCTCAAACTCCTGACCTTTGGTGATCCGCCTGCCTCAGCCTCCCAAAGTACTGGGATTACAGGCGTGAGCCACCACACCTGGCATCCACTCAGCATAATTTAATGCTTTAAGATCCATCCAAGTATGGCCGGGCATGGTGGTGTAATCCCAGCACTTTGGAAGGGTTAGACGGGCAGATCACCCGGGTCAGAAGTTCGCAACCAGCCTGGCCAATGTGGTGAAACCCTGTCTACTAAAAATACAGAAAAATAGCCGGGCATGGTGGTGGATGCCTGTAATCCCAGTTACTCTGGAGGCTGAGGAAGGAGAATCACTTGAGCCCGGGAGGCAGAGTTAGTAGTGAGCTGAGATTGTGCCATTGCCCTCCAGCCTGGATGACAAGAGCAAGACTCCATCTCAAAAAAAAAAAAAAAAAAAAAGAAAATCCATCCAAGTTGTTGCCCGTATCAATCATTTATTTCTTTTTTATTGCTAAATAGGATCCCATGGTATGAACGTACTAGTTTAACTATTCACCCACTGAAGGACATTTGCAGAATCTTCTTTTAAAACTAAGCGATGCTGTGTGCAATTGCTCACTTACAAGTGATCTGCCTGCCTTTGTGGATTGCTTGAGCCCAGGAGTTCCAGACCAGTGTGGGCAACATGGCAAAACCCCTTCTCTACTAAAAATCTACAAAATTTGCCAGGCTTGGTGGTGTGCACCTGTAGTCCCAGCTACTCGGGAGGCTGAGGTGGGAGGATGGCCTGAGCCTGGGAGATTGAGGCTGAAGTGAGCTGTGATCTTGCCACTGCAGTCCAGCCTCGGTGACAGAGCCAGACCCTGTCTCAAAACAAACAAACAAACAAACAAAAACAAAAACTAAAGTGAAAGTGTTATAGATACAGCTGAAGCCTCCCTCCATTCCATTTCGCTCCCTGGGATTCCTCTGCAGAATTAATTTCTATCTTGAAGTTAGTAAACATTCTTCTTACCCATGATTTGTATGTGTTATTACATATTGATGTTTCCAGAAACAATGTATGGCTTTGTTTCACAAGTTTTAAGTATTTATAGAGATGTTACCAGATTGTATGTATCTTCCAGCAACTTGCTTTTTGCTCTAGATGTTATGCTCAAGTTTTAGTACTGTTGATACAAATAACTGTGGTTCATTTTTCTTCACTGCTATAGTGTATTCCATTGAGCAACTGAATCTGTTCCCCTACTAATGGATATTTAGGTTGTTTCTTGTTTTTTTACTATAACAATGTTCTCTCTCTCTCTCTCTCTCTTTCTTTCTTCGGAGTTTTGCTCTTGTCACCCAGGCTGGAGTGTAGTGACACATCTCGGCTCACTGCAACCTCCACCTCCTGGATTCAAGTGAGTCTCCTGCCTCAGCCTCCTGAGCAGCTGGGATTATAGGCGGGTGCCACCACGCCCAGCTAATTTTTGTATTTTTAGTAGAGAGGGGGTTTCGCCATGTTGGCCAGGCTGTCTGGTCTTGAATTCCTGACCTCAGGTGATCCACCCACCTCGGCCTCCCAAAGTGCTGGGATTACAGGCATGAGCCACTGCACCCAGCCACAGTGACTATCTTTGACCTGCCTCCTTATGAAGTGGTACCTTCTTTAGAAAGAGAAGAACGTTTAACAAGGAAGAAAAGGGCCAACCTGCAGCGAGATTTGGAGAAGGGAAACAGCATTTGCAGGACATCCACTCAACTCTAGGCTTCGTGCCAGGCGGCTTAAGTATATGATCACAGCCTCGGCTTGGGAGGGGCCTGAGGGCCTAATGAACAGCCTGGTACAGCCTGGTACAGCCTAGGACATCCTGGGAAGTTCTGGAAATACTGACTCCAAGCAGGTCAAGGTATTTGCTCTACTTTTTCCAGTTCAAGTTGCATATCTCTCACTTTGCATGTTCTCAGAACTTTAAAAGCAAAGACTGGAGTCAGACTGCCTGCATTTATTCACCGGGTTCAGTTCATCACTTACCAGTTGTATGAACTTGGACAAGTTACTCAAACTTTCTGGGCTTCAATTCCCTTATCTGTGAAGTCAGAAATAGCACCTAGCCCATAATGTTATTGAAATGATTAAATGAGATCATCTATGTAAAACACTTAGAGCTGTGTCTTACACACCATAGTGCAAATCTTAGATATAATAATTGATGATCGCTGGGTGCAGTGGCTCACACCTGTAATCCCAGCACTTTGAGCGGCCAAGGCAGGAGGATTGCTTGAGCCCAGGAGTTTGAGACCAGCCTGGACAACACAGTGAGATCCCATCTCTAAAAAAAAAAACATACAATAACAACAACAACAACAAAATCAATGAAATGAAATTAAACATTAAAAAATATATAATAATAATTGATGGTGATCAAATGATGATCATGTTGAATACAGCCTCTCTCCAACCGTGTGTACATCTTTGCATTCATGTTGCTTTACCAAAATCCAAACCAGGCAATATCATTTTCGTACTCCAGCATCATATAACTTTTTTTTTTAACTTTAATTTTTTTTTTTTTTTGAGATGGAGTTTTGCTCTTGTTGCCCAGCCTGGAGTGCAGTGGCACGATCTTGGCTCACTGCAACCTCTGCCTCCTGGGTTCAAGCAATTCTACCGCTTCAGCCTCCTGAGTAGCTGGGATTACAAGCATGTGCCACCACACCCGGCTAAGTTTGAATTTTTTTAGTATAGACGGGGTTTTACCATGTTGGTCAGGCTGGTCTTGCACTCCTGACCTCACGTAATCCACCTGCCTTGGCCTCCCAGAGTGCTGGGATTATAGGCGTGAGCCACTGTGCACAGCCTATGATGTATTTTGTTAGCATGCTGAAAAGAAACCAACTTTTTCAACCTGAGGACATCAGTTGGTCAGTTCACTTTCTCTTCTTTTCGGAGTTGCATTGAGAACATCCTGTACTGTTCCTAGCACCTGTTGATAGATGTAAATCCTTGTCTAGGTGTGGCCAGAGCTCCAGGTGTATCAATATTTGTTAACAGCTCAGAAGCACTTGGCTTTCATGGGACAGGGCCGTGGGATTGTGGACTATAGGCCAGGCCCTGATGTTTGAAATGCCACACACAAACTCCTTGTCCCTGAAGACACAGAGGGTAGCCAAATGTTAAATTTGAGCCCAAAGAGAATCCAGCACTGGTTGCAAAATACCCCTGTCTCTTTTGTCTCACAGAAGACAAGAAACAGTGAACAGAACTTCATGGCCCGGTATGAGCTTCAACCAAGCCTCCCAAGGAGTATTCCTTTGCCCTGAGCTTATTAAGCAATATATAAGTAACAGAGGGCTGGGCGCGGTGGCTCACACCTGTAAATCCCAGCACTATGGGAGGCCAAGGTGATTGGATCACGAGGTCAAGAGATCGAGACCATCCTGGCCAACATGGTGAAACCCCATCTCTACTAAAAAATACAAAAATTAGCTGGGCATGGTGGCGCGTGCCTGTAGTACCAGCTACTCAGTAGACTGAGGCAGGAGAATCATTTGAACCCAGGAGGCGGAAGGTGCAGTGAGTAGAGATCGCGCCACTGCACTCCAGCCTGGCGACAGAGAAAGACTCCATCTCAAAAATAAATAAATAAATAAATAAAGTAACAGAGACTTTAATTCTCCAGGAAGGCCTTCCAAAGGGCTCCAGAACACACATTTGGAGGTCCACAGATGAATGGGCCTGAGGCAGAGTGAACCCCATCGTTTCCTGAAAGTTGATTGATTGCCTCTCTGTTCTTTGGAGACCACAGTTTTGTAGCATGGCAGATTATTTATTTATTTATTTATTTTAATTTTTGAGACAGGGTCTGGCTCTGTCACCCAGGCTAAAGTGCGGTGGCTTGATCACAGCTCACTGAAGCCTCAACCTCCCAGGCTCAAGCAATCCTCCCACCTCAGCATCCCAAGCAGCTGGAACCACAGGTGCCTCCCACCACGCTTGGCTAATTTTTTTTTTTTTTGGTAGTGGAGGGATCTTGTTCTGTTGCCCAAGCTACTCCCAAACTCCGGGCCAGACTCAGTGGCTCATGCCTGTAATCTCAGAACTTTGGGAAGCCAAGGCAGTCAGATCTTTTGAGCCCAGGAGTTCAAGACCAGCCTGGGCAGCAAAGCAGAATCCCGTTTCTATAAAAAATACAAAAATTAGCCTAGCACAGTGGTATGCACCTGTAGTCCCAGCTACTTGGGAGGCTGTGGTGAGAGGATCGCTTGAGCCTGGGAGGCGGAGGTTACAGTGAGCTAAGATCATGCTACTGCACTCCAGCCTGGGTGTCAGAGTAAAACTGCATCTCAAGAAGAAAAAAAAAAAAGTGCCGAACTCCTGGCCTCAAGTGATCCTCCTGCCTCAGCCTCCCAAAGTGCTGGGATTACACATATGAGCCACCAGTAATTTTGAAAGCAAAAGAACTGAGATAGGCTCCACTGAAAGCCCAAATGTGCTCGTGAAATAGAGGGTGATCTAAAACATTATCCAAGGAGCACCTGACAGATAGCACGTCTTCGCACAAATAGTAGGTGAAAAAAATACCCTTGGCGTGGCCACCAAGGCCAAGATGGCCTTGAGACTCTGCCTTTCTAGGAATGCCCAGACCAAGGAGCCAAGCCACCCGTGCCCTGCACCTTCTGGGGCCTCCTGTGGTTTTGTGGACCTACTCCTGCACCCCCCTATCATCATGGTTCACCAGGCCCCACCCCACAGCCACCCAGTGCTCCTGCAAAAGGATAGGGACATTCACACCTGCCCAGCCACCCCAGGACCCCCTGGGCCCAAGCTTGGAGTGGCTGCAGAAACTGTGAGCCCCTCTGTTGTTAGGGAGGAGGTCCCTTTGCCTGTGGCTCCCAATAATAGCATGAAAACAAACGACAAATAAAATATCCTTTATGGCCGGGCACAGTGGCTCATGCCTGTAATCCCTTTATGGCCGGGCACAGTGGCTCATGGCTGTAATCACTTTGGGAGGCTGAGGCAGGCAGATCACCTGAGGTCAGGAGTTCGAGACCAGCCTGGCCAACATGGCAAAACTCCATCTGTACTAAAAATACGAAAATTAGCCAGGCGTGGTGGTGGGCACCCATAGTCCCAGCTACTCAGGAGGCTGAAGCAGGAGAATTGCTTGAACCCCGGAGGCAGAGGTTGCAGTGAGCTAAAATTGTGCCACTGGCCTCCAGCCTGGGTGACAGACCAAGACTCCATCTCAAAAAAAAAATAAAAAAAACCCTTTAAGCAGCTGCAGCGCGACTATCGCCTTCATGATCCTTCTAATGAAAGTGATATGGATCAATGGGTTCTCTCAGGTGAGAATCTGGGAGGCGCAGGCATTCAGAGCTTGAGACTCATTCATGGTTAGGAGCTGGGGGAAGGGCTGGGTTCTGGTCCTTAAGCCCAAGCCTGGCTTAATCCTCCTTTTCCATAAGAAATGCTGCCCCCTCTCCAGTTCCTTCCTCTTTCTGCTTGTTATTTTTTGCTCAAGCTCATCTGAAGTATGTTTCAAGTACTTGCATCCCTCAGGACCTTGAGTTAAGCAACCATACTAAGACATCGTGTCACTATAATGAGGGAAAAAAGTGGAATTTCCTTCTCAGGAAGTTTGTCAGTAACACAAACAGCCCCAGCCTCAGTCAACAAAGAATTTCATCAGAAATGCCCGGCGCGGTGGCTCACGCCTGTAATCCCAGCTCTTAGGGAGGCCGAGGCAGGTGGATCACGAGGTCAGGAGATTGAGACAATCCTGGCTAACAAGGTGAAACCCCGTCTCTACTAAAAATACAAAAAATTAGCCGGGCGCATGTAGTCCAAGCTACTCGGGAGACTGAGGCAGGAGAATGGTGTGAACCTGGGAGATGGAGCTGGCAGTGAGCCAAGACCACGCCACTGCACTCCAGCCTGGGCGGCAGAGCGAGACTCCATCTCAAAAAAAAAAAAAAAAAAAAAAAAAAAAAGAATTTCATCAGAATTTCAGTTCCAATTTGAAGACATTGCCAATCTGAACCAAAAGATGGGTGTGCAGACGGCAACCCATAGCCCTTGGCTGGTAAATGGTCAATTTCTAGTTATTGATGGCTCCACCAAACACCACCCCTGTCCAAGGCTCCTCAGATGATCAATTCCTCAGCTCAATCTCTGATTACAGAAGTAAAGTGGGGAAGGGGTCAGGTGGCTGACAGACCATCTGCAGAGAAAACTGTTATAGTTAGCAGCAAGGCCAGCGGATCGATAGATTGTAATCAGGAAGCATTTTGAAAATGAAACCAAACGTCATTTGAAGGATCTGCAATGTGTCTGTGCCTGAATATGGGATACCATTTAGATCCTTCTATAACCACCCAATAGGTCTCCTTGCCCACTACCTAGAGCTGATTTGTGAAGACAAGGGAATTGCAATAGAGAAAGTTTAATTCATGCAGAGCTAGCTGTATGGGAGACTGACATTTTATTATTACTCAAATCAGTCTCCTCAAAAACTCAAGGACTAGAGGGGAGGATTTGAGACAAGGTTTCTGTCACCCAGGCTGGAGTGCAGTGGCATGTTCACAGCTCACTGCAACCTTGACTTCCTGGGCTCAAGTGATCCTCCCACCTCAACCTCCTGAGTAGCTGGGACTACAGGTGCACACCACTGTGCCTAGCTAATTTTTGCATTTTTGTAGAGACGGGGTTTTGCCATGTTTCCAGGCTGGTCTCAAACTCCTGGACTCAAGCAATCTGCCTGTCTTGGCCTCCCAAAGTGCTGGAATTATAGACATGAGCCACTGTGCCCAGCTGGATCTGTTTTGTTTTTTGGTTTTTTTTTGAGATAGAGCCTTGCTTTGTCGCCTAAGCTGGAGTGCAGTGGCACAATCTCAGCTCACTGGAACCTCTGCCTCCCAGGTTCAAGTGATTCTCCTACCTTAGCCTCCCAAGTAGTTTGGACTACAGGCTTGTGCCACCACGCCTGGCTAATTTTTGTATTTTTGTAGAGATGGAGTTTCGCTATGTTGGCCAGGCTGGTCTCGAACTTCTCACCTCAGGTGATCCACCCGCCTCGGCCTCCCAAAGTGCTGGGATTACAGGCGTGAACCACTGTGCCCGGCCTGGATCTGGGTTTTTAAGGATAACTTGGCCGATAGCGGTTCAGAAAGTGGGGAGTGCTGATTGGTCAGGTTGGAGATGAAATCACAGGGAGTCAAAGATGTCCTCTTGTCCTGAATCAGTTCCTGGGTGAGGGCCACAAGACCAGATGAGCCAGTTTATCGATCCGGGTGGTGCCAGCTGATCCATCGAGTACAGGGTCTGCAAAATATCTCAAGCACTGATCTTACATCTAACAATAGTGACATTATCCTCAGGAGCAGTTTGAGGAGGTTCGGAATCTTGCAGCCAGAGGCTGCATGACTCTTAAACCATAATTGCTAATCTGTCCAATGTGTTAGTCCTGCTAAGGCAGTCTAGTCCCCCGGCAGGAAGGGGGTTTGTTTTGGGAAAGGGCTGTTAATGTCTTTTGTTTCAAAGTTAAACAATTTCCTCCCAAAGTGAGTTCGGCCTATGCCCCAGCAAGGAACAAGGACAGCTTGGAGTTCAGAAGCAAGATGGAGTCAGTCAGGTCAGATCTGTTTCACTATCATAATTTTCTCAGTTATAATTTTTGCAAAGGTTGTTTCAATCCCTCACTTTGGGTTTCATAACAACCTTATTCCCTTTTTTTTTTTTTAGACAGAGTCTCGCTCTGCTGCCAGGCTGAAGTGCAGTGGCACAAGCTCAGCTCACCGCAACCTCCAATTCCTGGTTCAAGCGTTTCTCCTGCCTCAGCCTCCCGAGTAGCTGGGATTACAGGCATGTGCCACCACGCCCGGCTAATTTGTGTATTTTTAGTAGAGACTGGTTTTCACCATGTTGGCCAGGATGGTCTTGATCTCCTGACCTCATGATCCACCCGCCTCGGCCTCCCAAAGTGCTGGGATTACAGGTGTGAGCCACTGCACCTGGACTGTAACAACCTTATTCTTCAGGTGTGAGCTGTGAGATGGAAAAAGGGCAAAGACTGCTTTAGCTCCTTTTTCCTGACAGGAGTGTAGTTAGGGCGGGTGTTGACCCCAAGGTAAGAGGAGTGGAATTGCTTTGCAGCTGTCTGCCTGGACTCATGGTGCCTGGTTGGGGTTTTGAGGCTTGCAGGAGTAAGGTGTTAGTATTCTTACCTAGAGTTTTAACATAGTGTTTAAATGAGTAGTTAACTATAAGGTATATAATGAGTCCTAGGTTAAGGAGTGAAAGTCCTAGCTTCAGAAGCCTTTGTAGAGCCCGGGCGTGGTGGTTCATGCCTGTAATCCCAGCACTTTGGGAGACCAAGGCAGGAGGATCGCTTGAGCCCAGGAGTTCAAGACTAGTCTAGGCAATAAAGTGAGACTTTGTCTATGAAAAAAAAGAAGAAAAAAAAAAAGAAGCCTTTGTAGAATTGATCTTAAGCTCTGAGGGATCCAGGTGAATAGCTCCAAGAACCAATCAGACATGGGTCATTAGCAGAGAGAGTTGGGTCAGAGGTTGTTGGACAAACATATCGGGATAGACAAGAATGAGTGAATTTCATTTTATTTTACTTTATTTTATTTGGTACTGCTCCTTGTGGATCAGGACTAACTCATTGGCAATGCACCTATAGTCAGCCAGGAAGGAGCAAATTTAAATACACTGTCCCATATATTATTAGTCAGTTTCCTAGTCCTGGGACTAGATCAGTTCAGTTAAACAGCTGTTTCCCATATCAGGAGGTGGCATTGCACATGGGCTAGGCCTCTATATGTGATGAAGACAAACAGATTTTTAATACGAGGCATTTCTTGTATTAAAATGGAGGAAATACAAGAAAAACAAAAGTTAATGTTGGGCACAATTTATCCAGATGTGAAACTCAAAATACCTTTAGTTATAGAGCAGGAAGGCAGTCGTAATCTGACATGTTTTTGCCTCCTATATTAAAAGAATAAACTTCAGCTTACAGGGTCTCAGGAAAAAAGGTAGTAGCAATTTTATTGAGTCCAAGTCAGAAAAGTGGAAGAAAAATGTGAAAGCATTAGTTTGGAAAACATTAGTTTGGAGCATTAGTTCATTAGCTTCAGGACAGCCATAGTTAAAGGTGCAGTCAACAAGAAAAACTGGTTATCTCTGTGACACACAACAATTTTTAAAATTTAGTTTAATTTTTTTGAAACAGGGTCTCACTCTGTCACGCAGGCTGGAGTGCAGTGGTGTGATCACAGCTCACTGCAGCCACAAAGAATTCAGGATTTAGTCCAAATTGCAGAAAATAACAAAAACTCAAGAACAGTGGACTAGAATCTAACAATGGGTGTACTATAGCTTTTGAAACATAGTTTTTCTCTCTTTAGTCCCCATTTTTATTAAAAACAAATAATAGTAGGACACATGTAATTGCAAAATAAGTCTTAGTCTTATTATACTTGGCCTGATTATTTGTATAACATACAGCAAGAATAATTATTTGCCATATAGGCTCTTTAAAATTGGCTTTGCTGGTCAGGCATGGTGGCTTACACCTGCAATCCCAGCACTTTGGGAGGCCAAGGTGGGAGAAACACTTGAGCCCAGGAGTTCAAGACCAGCCTGGGCAACATAGCGAGATCCCCGTCTCTACAAAAATTAGCCAGGTGTGGTGACGCGTGCCTGTAGTCCCAGCTACTTGGGAGGCTGAGGTGGGAGAATCGCCTGAGCCCGGATGACAGAGCAAGGCCGTGGCCCAAAAATAAATAAATAAATAAAAACAAAATTAGCTTTCCTGAAATTTCATTCCCTAAGGAATCTCACCTTATACTTTTTAAAGCCTTTAGCCCAGCCATGGATTTATCTATGCCTGCAAATACCTGTATGAGTTGGGAGAATTTTCCTCCTCTCAAGGTCCCAAGATAATTTGGGCTTCTGGGCCTGTCAGAAAGTGACATTCTTTACTTACGACAAGTCAGGAACCCTGTATAGAGACTGCATATACAAGGTATAAGGCCAGTTTTCTTGAAGAGCTTTTTTTTTTTTTGAGATGGAGTCTTACTCTTGTCGCCCAGGCTGGAGTGCAATGGCATGATCTCGGATCACTGCAACCTCTGCCTCCTGGGTTCAAGCGATTCTCCTGCCTCAGGCTCCTGAGTAGCTGGGATTACAGGCACCCGCCACCACGCCTGGCTAATTTTTGTATTGTTAGTAGAAACGGGGCTTCACCATGTTGGCCAGGCTGGTCTTGAACTTCCCGACCTCAGGTGATCTGCCCACCTCGACCTCCCAAAGTGCTGGAATTACAGCCACTGTGCCCAGTTATAAATCCCTTTTTCAATTAATCAAACCCTTGCAGAGGAGACAAACAATGATGTTTACCATTCACAGAGAGAGAGAGTGAGAGAGAGACAGAGAGAGAGAGACCAGAAGCCTGGCTTGTCAGAAGTTCTTACTCTCTTTGCTGGCATACCAGATTTCTGGGTTCCCTTTCCCTGCAGCTTCCAGAACAATGGAAAATCACCACGAGTCAGGCCTGTTGCGCTTCCGCTAACAGTTCCTTCAGGGTTCAGCAAATGTGACAGACCAGACAAACTAGGAGAGCCTGTTGGACTTCCATCAGCAATTCCTGTACATACACAAACACTCAAGTGAAAAAGACAAGCAGAAGGACTTGCAGACAGAGACTCCAGACCAAATCACAAACCAAGAATGTTCCTCCAAACAAGTCCCCTATTCTTGATCCAGTTAGAGCAGACACCCCCTTCAGAGAGGCCAGCAGGTCAGAAGGATGAGGTTGTTGGAAGCACCTAGAATACTCACCAAATCAGACACCCATGATGGGGCTACAGGAGCGGGACATCTCCCCAGGACTGTTTATTGCATTTGAATCCATGCACCATGAGTTGGCAACACCCTGCTGGTAGAGACGGTGCTACAGTTAGCCCCCAGTCCAAGAACTAAATTGCCACTTGGGCGGGCCTCCAGATCCATCGCTGGTGGAGGGCTAACAAACGTCAGGCAGGTATCCACAAGGATGGTCCCGGATGACTCCCCAGATTTGCAACCACCCAGTGGAGTTCTCCTTGTCCACTGCCTAGACAAAGCCAATTTATCAAGACAGGGGGCCGGGCCGATGGCTCACACCTGTAATCATAACATTTTGGGAAGCCAAGGCAGGCAGATCACCTGAGGTCAGAAGTTTGAGACCAGCCTGGCCAACATGATGAACACCCGTCTCTACTAAAAATACAAAATTAGCCGGACATGGTGGTGCATGCTTGTAATCCCTACTACTTGGGAGGGTGAGGCAGGAGAATAGCTTGAACCGGGGAGGTAGAGGTTGCAGTGAGCTGAGATCACGACATTGCACTCCAGCCTGTGAAACTCTGTCTCAAAAGAAAAAAAAAAAAAACAAGACAGGGGAATTGCAATAAAGTTTAATTCCTGCAGGGCCATCTGTACAAGAGACCAGAGTTTTATCATTATTCAAATCAGAGAATCCAGGATCAGAGTTTTTAAGGCTAATTTGGTGGGTAGGGGCTTGGGAAGTGGGGAATGCTGGTTGGCTGGGTTAGAAATGAAATCATAGGGGTCAAAGTGAATTTTCTTATTGTCTTCTGTTCCTGGGTGGGATGGCAGAACTGGTTGAGCCAGATTACTGGACTGGGTGGTGTCAGGGGGTGCATCAGAGTGCAGGGTTCTGCAAAATACCTCAAGCACTGATTTTAGGTTTTGCAACAGTGATGTTATTCCCAGGAGCAATTTGGGAAGGTTCAGAATCTTGCAGCCAGAGGTTGCGTGGCTTGTAAACCGTAATTTCTAATCTTATAGCTAATTTGTTAGTCCTGCAAAGGCAGTCTAGCCCTCAGGCAGGAAGGGGGTTCGTTTTGGGAAAGGGCTGTTATTGTCTTTGTTTCAAAGTTAACCTATAAACAAGTTCCTCCCAAAGTTAGTTTGGCCTATGCCCAGTACTGAACGAGGACAGCTTGGAGGTTAGAAGAAAGATGGAGTGAGGTTAGATCTATTTCACCATCATAATTTTCTCAGTTATAATTTTTGCAAAGGCGATTTCGCACTCACTTCAGGTAAGGCATTGTGGGGCAAATAAGAGAATGAACCTCGAAAGGGAAGGGAGCTCAAAGAATCAGAAATGAACATGATCTTGCTCCCCTGACTTTATGGATCTAGACTTAGAGATAATCTCTTGATGCTGGAAAGAGATTGTTGGGAAGAGCTGTGAGGAAGTTCTGGTCTACATACCAGAGAGTGAACTCATGAATCTTGTGACCCTAAGAACTAAGCCCCCAAAATAAACAGCTGCAAGACAGGTTTAAAGGCAGTAATGCAAAATAGATGCATATATGATTATAACCACCTTTTCCAATATATAGACACATAGACAGATCTACATACATAAATTCTGTCTTCCTCTTCCTCTCTCTCGTTTCACACACACACACAAACACACACACAGGAAATGTAGAAGATACTTTCCAATGGCTCAGCCTGAGTATCAGAGTGTCTCTTGCTTGCTTGCTTGCTTGCTTGCTTGCTTGCTTTTTTCTTCTTTTCTTCCTTTCTTTCTTACTTTCTTTTCTTTCTTTCTTTCTTTCTTTCTTTCTTTCTTTCTTTCTTTCTTTCTTTCTTTCTTTCTTTCTTTCTTTCATCTCTCTCTCTCTCTTTCTTTCTTCTTTTTTTTTTTTTTTGAGACAAGTTCTTACTCTGTCACCCTGGCTGGAGTGCAGTGGCCTGATCATAGCTCATGGCAGCCTCAAACTCCTGGGCTCAAGTGATCCTCCCACCACAGCCTCCCAAGTAGCTAGGACTGCATGTGTGTGCCACCATGCCTGGCTAAATATTTACATTTTTTGTACAGATGGAGTCTTGCTATGTTGCCCAGGCTGGTCTTGAACTCCTGGGCTCACATGATCCACCCGCTTTGGCCTCCAAAAGTGCTGAGGTTACAGGGGTGAGCCACTGTGCCCGGCCTGGTGTATATTCTTGTAGTCTGTTGTTCCACACACAAGTACACAGATACACGTATTTTAAAAGAAAATGGATATCATATTCTGTTTAGAAACTTTTTCATTTAAATATAGTATGATCTTCATCTCAAGTCTTTCATTACTTTTGTCTGAAAGAGGATCACAACCTCACTATATGGCAGGCCCCACGCTCATCATGCTGGCCACATTGTTCCTCACTATAGTCGGTTGAGTTCTGGTTCCCAACAGCTATGTTCACCCCAAACCTTAGAATACAACCTTATTTGGAATAAGGGTCTTTGTAGGTATAACTAAGGTAAAGATCTCAAGATGAGAGCATCCTGGATTAGGGTGGGTTATAAAGACAGGCATATTTATGGCCAGGCCTGCTGGATCACACCTGTAATCCCAACACTTTGGGAGGCTGAGGCAGGTGGATCACCTGAGGTCAGGAGTTCAAGACCAGCCTAGCCAACATGGCAAAACCCTGTCTCTACTAAAAATAGAAAAATTAGACAGGTGTGGGGGTGCATGCCTATAATCCCAGCTGTGTGAGAGGCTGAGGAAGGAGAACCGCTTGAGCCCGGGAGGCAGAGTTGCAGTGAGCCGAGATGAAGCCACTGCATTCCAGCCTGGGTGACAGAGCGAGACTCTGTCTCAAATACAGACCAAAAAAAAAAGAGAAGAAAAGACAGGTGTCTGTAAGAAGAGAGGACACAGAGGGGACCACCATGTGGTGACAGGGGCAGAGATTGGAGTGAAGCGTCTACAAGCCAAGGAAAGTCCAAGAGTGCCAGCAGTCTCCGAAAGCTCGGAGTGAGGCATGAAACATTTTCCCTTAGCCTCCAGATGGAACCAACCCTGCCAACACCTTGATTCTGCACTTCTAGCTTCTAGATCTGTGGGAGAATACATTTCTATTGTTCCAAGCCACCCAGCCACAGGAAATGAACACGCAGTCACCAACCTAATTCTCACCTCAGGGCCTTTGCACTTACCATTCCCTCTGCTTGGCGTGTCTTTCCCCCAGACTTTTGCATTGCTTTTCTGTTTAGTCATTCATGGCTCAGCTCAGGGTCAATGCCTCATAGAAGCCATCCCAGTCACCCCAGCCCCGGTTACTTTTTATCCCCATTGTCCCACTCCACCATAGTCATGACACCCATAGCCACCCCAAGGCTCCTTTTTATTCCTGCCTGTCTCCCCACTCCAAAAGTCAGCTCGATGAGAAGAGGACTGTGGCTGCCTTGTTTCTTGTTCTATCTCCACCACCCAGAACAGCGCCTGGCACACAGTTGGTGCTTAATACATAAAACTGATGGAATGAGGCTGGGCACAGTGGCTCACACCTGTAATCCCAGCACTTTGGGAGGCTGAGGCAGGTGGATCACCTGAGGTCAGGAGTTCAAGACCAGCCTGGGCAACATGGCGAGACCCCACCTCTACTAAAAATACAAAAATTAGCCAGGCATGGTGGTGCACACCTGTAATCCCAGCTACTGGGGGGGCTGAGGTAGGAGAATCACTTGAACCCAGGAGGCAGAGGCTGCAGTGAACCCAGATCACACCACTGCACTCCAGCCTAGATGACAGAGTGAGACTCGGTCTCAAAAAAAAAAAAAAAACAAAGAACTGATGGAATGCCTGAATCAGTGAATGAATGTGAGCTGTGGAGGTCCAAACACCCCAAACCACCTCATCCCTTGAACGAATCCGCGTTTCACAACGAGGCTCCCCACTGACTCATGCCTCCGAGGCTGGGGAATCCCTATTTTCCTCTGAGCTCATCCCTGACATCTCTTCCTCTTTAAGGTGATCCTTGCTTTTGGCTTTTTACCTGTACATTGCTTGGTGATACAGACAAGCCAACTGCTCTGAAAGCACAGAGGTAATTCCAGAGCATCCACCTTTCTTCATTTACTGTCATTCACCCAGAGCTGGGAGCCTGTCTCTAAATTCCTTATCTGTGTTCATGTCAGGAGGTTGAAGCAAGCCTCGTCTTGCCAAATAATCAAGGACTGACAGAGTTAGAAATGAAAGCGTAACAGAAACTTGGACTGATCACAGACTCAAACCAGTACATCTCCTTTCCTTCTCTGAATTGGGAACTGAAACCATTCCATAGGAAGCTCGCTCTTCCCCCTCCTATGGAAAAATATCTGCCTGGCTTGATTCCCTTTTTATATTATTTATTATTATTATTTGAGATGAAGTCTTGCTCTGTCCCCCAGGCTGGAGTGCAGGCACACCACCTCGGCTCACTGCAACCTCCGCCTCCTGGGTTCAAGCAATTCTTCTTCCCCCAGCCTTCCCAGTAGCTGGGACTACAAGCGGCCGCCACCATGCCTGGCTAATTTTTCTTGTATTTTTAGTAGAAGTGGGGTTTCGCCATGTTGTCCAGGCTGGTCTCAAACTCCTGACCTCAGGGTGATCTGCCCACCTCGGTCCCCTCAAAGTGCTGGGATTACAGGCATGAACCATTGCACCTGGCCTTGATTCCCTGTTTAATGCACAAATACTAAGAGCAATATTCACCAAACTCTAATAAAATGTAAGTGCTCTTGCGATCCTATCTGTACTATCCTTCCAAATTATTTTTAATCCCAGCTCTTTCTATCTTTGTTTAGACACAGGTGTAATTTCTGCTTAGTTGTTTCATGATGTAGCTCAGTGTCTGTGTCTCTTTCTTACTTTGCAGTGTGGAGTAGTTTTCTACCAGGACAGAGTTAACAACCCATAAAGGTCTCTGCTTAAGTAAGAAGTCCATTTCTGTGAACCATAACCCAGATATAGCAACGCCAGACTGTCTCCTATCAAAATTTATTGAAATGGTAGATTTTTGGTAAGTACAGAAACACAAGCGAAGGAACCAGGAGGAACGTGCACCCCTCTAACTGTGGGGCAGAGGCACATTTCCCTTTTAATGTTAAAAGCAAACAGAGGTGGGAAACAGCTTTCTATCCTGAAGCCGTTTTAACTGCCCAACCCTTAGATTACTATAAACAAGAGAGGAATGGATTGCATTAGTCGCTGGTTGAAAGCAGCAATGCCATTTCCTTTCCCATAATAACACTGTTTAGCTCAGTCCCTTCTGGGGCTAATCCCCTATTACACCCACCGGAAACACAGATATTAACCAAAGCGTGTGAGTCTCTTCCCTGAGTCCATTTCTGCTAAAGCTTGTCTGAAAGATGAATTGGTCCACGGAAGCCAGGTGACCTACTGGCTTGTTTAATGATGCCTGGGCTCCCTCCAGGAGCAACACAATTCCCTCCAATCTCAGCTCTCCTTATCCCTGCTAGAGCTCACAAGCAGGCTAGATATCACCCCAGGAGCTGAGCCCCCTCCAGTCTGAGGCAGATGTGGGAAGAAGGCCAACAAGTCACAAGTAGATCTCTGGCTCCAACTCTGCTCAGCAGAAATGCCTACAATTTGCCCATCTTCAGTCCTGCGAGCGTCAGAGATGAAGCAAAAGTTTCAGATGCCTAGAAGCTTTACTCTCTATTCCTCCAGGATTCCTGCGGTCACACCTTGCAACCAGTCTCCCACTCATCTGCCACCGTTTCCCTAAATCGCATTCTCTGAATCTGGAAGTTCCAGGAAACCTTAGGCCGAGTCCAGTGACATTACTCGATGCAACAGCCCAACTGTTTCTCCAGAGATCCTGGTTCTTGGTGACAATGTCCCTTCTTGGCATGGTTATTTAAGGAGAGGTTGGGCCCAGATAAGAGGGGCTCCATGGCTCACCGGAGTTGGCCATTAACGCCTCTGGAGCGCCTCTGGTTTTGTTGGGGTCCCCTGTGAGCTCGACGCTCGTGCTGCGGTTATTATCTGGCTCACCTGTCATCTTCCTCTGGAGGCAGCGGTTGATCAAAGTGGAGAAGAAGTTGGGAAAGGATGGGCTGGAGAAGTAGTACACCACGGGGTCCAGCATGCTGTTCATGTAGGTGAAGCTGAGAGTGATAAAGAACGCCAGGTCCACCGAGCGGTACACTTCACAATTCTGCGTGCCCGAAGTGTGCAGGAGCCAGAAGATGCGGATCCGCACAACCACGCTGGGAAGGAAGCAGATGACAAAGACGATGGCCACCACCATGATGAAGGTGATGGCTCTCTTGATCTTGGCATGCCGGTCCATTTGTCTCTGCCGCAGGCTCCAGATAATTCTGGCTGAGCAGAACAGGATGATGCCCAGGGGCAGGAAGAACTCCAGGAGGAACATGGCTTCGTGCCACTGGAAGGTATGGCAGATGCTGAAGCTGCTGCACAAATTTGCACCGCCATTCTGGATCGGCATCTTCTTCTTCAGGAGGTGGACTGTCAGGCCAATAGTGATGCCCCACAGAAGGCAAGAGATGATGGCTGCTGTCCGATTGGAGATCTTGTTCAGGGCGTGGTGGGGATGGACCACCCGGAAATACCTGTCTACCGCCACCACCGTGAGGAAGATGATGCTGCCCTGGCGGTTCATAGCCAACATGAAGAGCATCAGCCGGCAAGGGATGTCCCCAAACTTCCAGTCCCAACGCCTCACATAGTTGTCCATCAGGAAGGGCAGGCAGATGATCAGTAGAAAGTCAGCCACTGCCAGGTTGAACAGGAAAATCCGGCTGGATTTCCAGGACTTGAGGTGGAAACAGAAAATCCACAGGGCAAGGCCATTGCCCAGAAGCCCGAAGATAAACTCCAGCCCCAACACCGGCGGCAACACCTTGACAATGAAGTCATCTCGGAACACACAGCAGTTCTTCTTGTCTATTTCCAGAAAGTGATCCTGCAGATGGTGCCGATTCATGAGTGCGGCTAGTGAGTCCGATGGAGCGCCTCGCCTAGTGAATGCTCCAGCAAGGAGGTGTGTGTCTGTGTGGTGAACGTGTGGTTCCACGCCTGCCTTTATGTCATGTCAGGGTGTTGAAATAGATGACTGAATGGTTACCAGGAAACTACGAAATCTCTAAAAAAAAAAAAAAAAAAAAAAGCCAGCAAGGCTCTTATGCAACCTGCTGTTTGCATAAACAAGTAATAAGAATCCCCTGGGCAGACGGGAACCCACAAAATGTCTTAAATGTAAAGGATAAGTTTAGGCAAGCCGACTGTCATTCGAAAATCAGTGAAACATGAAGGACATCCCTTTGGAAGGCTGGGTGCTTGTATGCCAACTGAGTACTCAACGTTGCAGAATTAATTCACCGTCATCTGCTTGGCTGACATAATTAACAAAACAACAACAATAGCAATAACAATTTTTGGTGCCAAACAGTGAGGTTTTCCAGAAACACTAAGAATTAGCATGAAAAATTAACAGGCATATGACATAAACAGTAGCAGACATATGATTTCTTTTGGAAATGCTGAGAAGACAGTAGTTGCCTGTTTGATGAGGACAGACTGGTTGAATTTGACCACTTTTCCTATGCTACCTTTCTGTACAAACATGGAGTGCTTTTCCATATCAGAACTCTGCCATTCATCTCCAGTTAGGAAAAAAAAAATAGCCTGCTGGAGAGTGTAATATTTCATAAGACATTTGAAAACTTGAGCCCAGTTTCAGTGGCATGTTAACATAAGTTGGGTTTTTTGTTTGTTTATATTAGATTTTGATATGCTTCTGTGCTCAAGTGATTTATTTTTAAGTATGTGATTTCTTTTTTTTGCAAACTTTGAATTAATGAGAAAAAGGATTCATGAGGCTAGTCGTAAGCTGTAGCAAATCGGGTGTACTTTGTGCTACAAATTTGTTTTTCTGTGTCGCTCTGCATGAAGAGGGGTACCTTAGGATAGAGCATGGGGTTAGTACCCCATAAGCTGTCTGTTCTAGACAGCCCAGGAAACTGGTCAGTAAGAAAGTTGGTTGCAGGTCCCTGAAACAAACAAAAAACTGGATGAGGTCTCTAACTTGTTTTATGTCCTTGGGACCTTAGGATGTGATTTTTTTTTTTTGAGACAGAGTCTCACTCTGTCACCCAGGCTGGAGAACGGTGGAACAATCTCAGCTCACTGCAACCTCCGCCTCCCAGGTTCAAGCAATTCTTCTGCCTCAGCCTCCTGAGTATCTGGGACTACAGGCGTGCGCCACCACGCCCAGCTAATTTTTTGTATTTTTAGTAAAGACGAGGTTTCACTGTGTTGGCCAGGCTGGTCTCAAACTCCTGACCTTGTGATCCGTCTGCCTCGGCCTCCCAAAGTGCTGGGATTACAGGCGTGAGCCACCGCGCCTGGCCGTGATTTTTTTTAATGAACTTTATTTTTTGGGGCAGTGTTAGATTCACAGCAAAATGGAGCAGAAAGTACGGACGGTCCTGTGCACTCTGTCTCCACACACGCAAAACCTCCCCCACTAAGTATGTGATATTTTCAAAGCCCCCATTTTTGTAAAATTAAACTTAGAGTGACAGGACCTAAGAGGACATGGAACCCCGCCTTGTAGCGGGACACCATTGCACACATTGTTTCTCTGCTTGTCAGTGCGATTGGGTGTCATCCTATAGAATGTTTTCTCCCTTTAATATTTTGGTCTTATGAATTCTTCCATGCAGGAGGTTTCTAAATTGTGTTCCTTCTACTTTGAGTTATAAAATGTAAATTTCTTCCTTTTTTTTTTTTTTTCTGTTTTTTCTTTTGAGATGGAGTTTCGCTCTGTCGCCCAGGCTGGAGTGCAGTGGCATGATCTTGGCTCACTGCAACCTCTGCCTCCCGGGTTCATGCCATTCTCCTGCCTCAGCCTCCCAAGTAGCTGAGACTACAGGTGCAAGCCACCATGCCTGGCTAATTTTTGTATTTTTAGTAGAGATGGATTTCACCATTTTGGCCAGGCTGGTCTTGAACTCCTGACTTCAAGTGATCCTCCCGCCTTGGCATCCCAAAATGCTGGGATTGCAGGTGTGAACCATCGCTGCCACCATAAGATGTCAATTTATTTCTTTAGCTGCAAACGCAGGTTCAATAATAGGAGCTTATAGACTCTTCACAGTAAACTAGAGTCAGGATGACCTAATATTAGATTCCCATAGAACTACAAGTACTTGATGATGATCCAGGTGAGATGAAGACGATGATGAAGAAGATGATGGTGGCACCTACATTATAGAGAGCTTCCCATGTGCTGGAACCCATACTCAGTGCTTTTTTTTTTTTGAGACAAAGTCTCGCTCTTGCCTCACTGCAAGCTCCGCCTCCCGGGTTCACGCCATGCTGCCTCAGCCTCCCGAGTAGCTGGGACTACAGGCACCCACCACCATGCCCAGCTAATTTTTTATATTTTTAGTAGAGACGGGATTTCACCGTGTTAGCCAGGAGCTCAGTGCTTTTATAGTTGCTTGTTTCACCCTGACTGTAGCCCATGTGGAAGGTATTATTACTGATTCTGATTTCAAAATGAGGAAAGTGAAGCTCAGAGAGGATAAAATATTCAGGGCCACCCAGCTCATAAGAGCAGAGCATGGCCGGGCATGGTGGCTCACGCCTGTAATCCCAACACTTTGGGAGGCCGAGACGGGAGGATCACAAGGTCAGGAGATCCAGACCATCTTGGCCAATATGGTGAAACCCCGTCTCTACTAAAATTTACAAAAATTAGCTGGGTGTGGTGGCGGGCGCCTATAATCCCAACTACTTGGGAGGCTGAGGCAGGAGAATCGCTTGAACCAGGGAGTTGGAGGTTGCAGAGAACCGAGATTGTGCCACTGCACTGCAGCCTGGGTGACAGAGTGAGACTCCACCAAAAAAAAAAAAAAAAAAAAAAAAAGCCGGGCACGGTGGCTCACGCCTGTAATCCCAGCACTTTTGGAGGCTGAGGTGGGTGGATCACGAGGTCAGGAGTTTGATACCAGCCTGGTCAACATGGTGAAACCCCATCTCTACTAAAATACAAAATTTAGCTGGGTGTGGTGGCACATGCCTGTAATCCCAGATACTCAGGAGGCTGAGGCAGGAGAACTGCTTGAACTGGGACCCAGGAGGCGGAGGTTGCGGTGAGCCGAGATCACACCATTGCACTACAGCCTGGGCAACAAGAGGGAAACTCTGTCTCAAAAAAAAAAAAACAACAACAAACACAGGCGTGGTGGTTCATGCCTATAATCCCAGCACTTTGGGAGACCAAGGCAGGAGGATTGCTTGAGCCCAGGAGTTCAAGACTAGTCTAGGCAATAAAGTGAGACTTTGTCTATGGAAAAAAAAAAAAAAAGAAGAAGAAGCCTTTGTAGAATTGATCTTAAGCTCTGAGGGATCCAGGTGAATAGCTCCAAGAATCAGTCAGACATGGGTCACTAGCAGAGAGAGTTGGGTCAAAGGTTTTTGGACAAACATATTGGGATAGACAAGAATGAGTGAATTTCATTTTATTTTACTTTATTTTATTTGGTACTGCTCCTTGTGGATCAGGGCTAACTCATAGGCAATGCACCTATAGTCAGCCAGGAAGGAGCAAGTTTAAATACACTGTCCCATATATTATTAATCAGTTTCCTAGTCCTGGGACTAGATCAGTTCAGTTAAACAGCTGTTTCCCATATCAGGAGGTGGCATTGCACACGGGCTAGGCCTCTATACATGATGAAGACAAACAGATTTTTAATACGAGGCATTTCTATGGAAATATAAGAAAAACAAAAGTTAATGTTGGGCACAATTTATCCAGATGTGAAACTCAAAATACCTTTAGTTATAGAGCAGGAAGGCAGTGGTAATCTGACATGTTTTTGCCACCTATATTAAAAGAATAAGCTTCAGCTTACAGGGCCTCAGGAAAAAAGGTAGTAGCAATTTTATTGAGTCCAAGTCAGAAAAGTGGAAGAAAAATGTGAAAGCATTAGTTTGGAAAACATTAGTTTGGAGCATTAGTTAGGTAAGCTTCAGGACAGCCATAGTTAAAGGTGCAGTCAACAAGAAAAACTGGTTATCTCTGTGACACACAATTTTTAAAATCTGGTTTAATTTTTTTGAAACAGGGTCTCACTCTGTCACGCAGGCTGGAGTGCAGTGGTGTGATCACAGCTCACTGCAGCCACAAAGAATTCAGGATTTAGTCCAAATTGCAGAAAATAACAAAAACTCAAGAACAGTGGACAAGACTAGAATCTAACAATGGGTGTACTATAGCTTTTGAAACATAGTTTTTCTCTCTTTAGTCCCCATTTTTATTAAAAACAAATAGTAGTAGGACAAATGTAATTGCGAAATAAGTCTTAGTCTTATTATACTTGGCCTGATTATTTGTATAACGTACAGCAAGAATAATTATTTGCCATATAGGCTCTTTAAAATTGGCTTTGCTGGTCAGGCATGGTGGCTTACACCTGTAATCCCAGCACTTTGGGAGGCCAAGGTGGGAGAAACACTTGAGCCCAGGAGTTCAAGACCAGCCTGGGCAACATAGCGAGATCCCCGTCTCTACAAAAATTAGCCAGGTGTGGTGACGCGTGCCTGTAGTCTCAGCTACTTGGGAGGCTGAGGTGGGAGAATCGCCTGAGCCTGGATGACAGAGCAAGGCCATGGCCCAAAAATAAATAAATAAATAAAAACAAAATTAGCTTTGCTGAAATTTCATTCCCTAAGGAATCTCACCTTATACTTTTTAAAGCCTTTAGCCCAGCCATGGATTTATCTATGCCTGCAAATACCTGTATGAGTTGGGAGAATTTTCCTCCTCTCAAGGTCCCAAGATAATTTGGGCTTCTGGGCCTGTCAGAAAGTGACATTCTTTACTTATGACAAGTCAGGAACCCTGTACAGAGACTGCATATACAAGGTATAAGCCCAGTTTTCTTTTTTTCTTTTTTTTTTTTTATTGATCATTCTTGGGTGTTTCTCGCGGAGGGGGATTTGGCAGGGTCACAGGACAATAGTGGAGGGAAGGTCAGCAGATAAACAAGTGAACAAAGGTCTCTGGTTTTCCTAGGCAGAGGACCCTGCGGCCTTCCGCAGTGTTTGTGTCCCTGGGTACTTGAGATTAGGGAGTGGTGATGACTCTTAACGAGCGTGCTGCCTTCAAGCATCTGTTTAACAAAGCACATCTTGCACCGCCCTTAATCCATTCAACCCTGAGTGGACACAGCACATGTTTCAGAGAGCACAGGGTTGGGGGTAAGGTCACAGATCAACAGGATCCCAAGGCAGAAGAATTTTTCTTAGTACAGAACAAAATGAAAAGTCTCCCATGTCTACCTCTTTCTACACAGACACGGCAATCATCCGATTTCTCAATCTTTTCCCCACCTTTCCCGCCTTTCTATTCCACAAAACCGCCATTGTCATCATGGCCCGTTCTCAATGAGCGGTTGGGTACACCTCCCAGACGGGGTGGTGGCCGGGCAGAGGGGCTCCTCACTTCCCAGGAGGGGCGGCCGGGCAGAGGCGCCCCTCACCTCCCCGACGGGGCGGCTGGCTGGGCGGGGGGCCGACCCCCCCCACCTCCCTCCCGGACGGGGCGGCTGGCCAGGCAAGGCCAGTTTTCTTGAAGAGCTTTTTTTTTTTTTTTTTTTTTTGAGATAGCATCTCACTCTTGTCGCACAGGCTGGAGTGCAATGGCATGATCTCGGATCACTGCAACCTCTGCCTCCTGGGTTCAAGCGATTCTCCTGCCTCAGGCTCCTGAGTAGCTGGGATTACAGGCACCCGCCACCACGCCTGGCTAATTTTTGTATTTTTAGTAGAAACGGGGCTTCACCATGTTGGCCAGGCTGGTCTTGAACTTCCCGACCTCAGGTGATCTGCCCACCTCGACCTCCCAAAGTGCTGGAATTACAGCCACTGTGCCCAGTTATAAATCCTTTTTTCAATTAATCAAACCCTTGCAGAGGAGACAAACAATGATGTTTACCATTCACAGAGAGAGAGAGTGAGAGAGAGACAGAGAGAGAGAGACCAGAAGCCTGGCTTGTCAGAAGTTCTTACTCTCTTTGCTGGCATACCAGATTTCTGGGTTCCCTTTCCCTGCAGCTTCCAGAACAATGGAAAATCACCACGAGTCAGGCCTGTTGCGCTTCCGCTAACAGTTCCTTCAGGGTTCAGCAAATGTGACAGACCAGACAAACTAGGAGAGCCTGTTGGACTTCCATCAGCAATTCCTGTACATACACAAACACTCAAGTGAAAAAGACAAGCAGAAGGACTTGCAGACAGAGACTCCAGACCAAATCACAAACCAAGAATGTTCCTCCAAACAAGTCCCCTATTCTTGATCCAGTTAGAGCAGACACCCCCTTCAGAGAGGCCAGCAGGTCAGAAGGATGAGGTTGTTGGAAGCACCTAGAATACTCACCAAATCAGACACCCATGATGGGGCTACAGGAGCGGGACATCTCCCCAGGACTGTTTATTGCATTTGAATCCATGCACCATGAGTTGGCAACACCCTGCTGGTAGAGACGGTGCTACAGTTAGCCCCCAGTCCAAGAACTAAATTGCCACTTGGGCGGGCCTCCAGATCCATCGCTGGTGGAGGGCTAACAAACGTCAGGCAGGTATCCACAAGGATGGTCCCGGATGACTCCCCAGATTTGCAACCACCCAGTGGAGTTCTCCTTGTCCACTGCCTAGACAAAGCCAATTTATCAAGACGGGGCCAGGCCAGGTGGCTCACGCCTGTAATCATAACATTCCGGGAAGCCAAGGCAGGCAGATCACCTGAGGTCAGAAATTTGAGACCAGCCTGGCCAACATGATGAAAACCCATCTCTACTAAAAATACAAAATTAGCCGGACATGGTGGTGCATGCTTGTAATCCCTACTACTTGGGAGGGTGAGGCAGGAGAATAGCTTGAACCGGGGAGGTAGAGGTTACAGTGAGCTGAGATCACGACATTGCACTCCAGCCTGTGAAACTCTGTCTCAAAAGAAAAAAAAAAAAAAAAAAAAAACAAGACAGGGGAATTGCAATAAAGTTTAATTCCTGCAGGGCCATCTGTACAAGAGACCAGAGTTTTATCATTATTCAAATCAGAGAATCCGGGATCAGCGTTTTTAAGGCTAATTTGGCAGGTAGGGGCTTGGGAAGTGGGGAATGCTGATTGTCTGGGTTAGAGATGAAATCATAGGGGTCAAAGTGAGTTTTCTTACTGTCTTCTGTTCCTGGGTGGGATGGCAGAACTGGTTGAGCCAGATTACTGGACTGGGTGGTGTCAGGGGGTGCATCAGAGTGCAGGGTCTGCAAAATACCTCAAGCACTGATTTTAGGTTTTGCAACAGTGATGTTATTCCCAGGAGCAATTTGGGAAGGTTCAGAATCTTGCAGCCAGAGGCTGCATGGCTGGTAAACCGTAATTTCTAATCTTATAGCTAATTTGTTAGTCCTGCAAAGGCAGTCTAGCCCTCAGGCAGGAAGGGGGTTCGTTTTGGGAAAGGGCTGTTATTGTCTTTGTTTCAAAGTTAAACTATAAACAAGTTCCTCCCGAAGTTAGTATGGCCTATGCCCAGTACTGAACAAGGACAGCTTGGAGGTTAGAAGAAAGATGGAGTGAGGTTAGATCTATTTCACCATCATAATTTTCTCCGTTATAATTTTTGCAAAGGCGGTTTCACCCTCACTTCAGGTAAGGCATTGTGGGGCAAATAAGAGAATGAACCTCGAAAGGGAAGGGAGCTCAAAGAATCAGAAATGAACATGATCTTGCTCCTCTGATTTTATGGATCTAGACTTAGGGATAATCTCTTGATGCTGGAAAGAGATTGTTGGGAAGAGCTGTGAGGAAGTTCTGGTCTACATAGCAGAGAGTGAACTCATGAATCTGGTGACCCCAAGAACTAAGCCCCCAAAATAAACAGCTGCAAGACAGGTTTAAAGGCAGTAATGCAAAATAGATGCATATATGATTATAACCACCTTTTCCAATATATAGACACATAGACAGATCTACATACATAAATTCTGTCTTCCTCTTCCTCTTTCTCCTTTCACACACACACCCACACACACACACACACACACAGAGCAAATGTAGAAGATACTTTCCAATGGCTCAGCCTGAGTATCAGAATGTCTTTCTGTCTCTTTCTTTCTTTCTTTCTTTCTTCCTTTCTTTCCTTCTTTCTTTCTTTCCTTTTCTTCCTTCCTTCCTTCTCTCTCTCTTTCTTTCTTTTCCTTCCCTTCCGTCCTTCTTTCTTTCTTTTTTCTTTTCCTTCCCTTCCTTCCTTCTTTCTTTCTTTTTTCTTTTTTTTTTTGAGACAAGGTCTCACTCTGTCGCCCTGGCTGGAGTGCAGTGGCCTGATCATAGCTCACGGCAGCCTCAAACTCCTGGGCTCAAGTGATCCTCCCACCACAGCCTCCCAAGTAGCTAGGACTGCATGTGTGTGCCACCATGCCTGGCTAAATATTTATATTTTTTGTACAGATGGAGTCTTGCTATGTTGCCCAGGCTGGTCTTGAACTCCTGGGCTCACATGATCCACCCGCTTTGGCCTCCAAAAGTGCTGAGATTACAGGGGTGAGCCACTGTGCCCAGCCTGGTGTGTGTTCCTGTAGTCTGTTGTTCCATACACAAGTACACAGATACACGTATTTTAAAAGAAAATGGATATCATATTCTGTTTAGAAACTTTTTCATTTAAATATAGTATGATCTTCATCTCAAGTCTTTCATTACTTTTGTCTGAAAGGGGATCACGACCTCACTATATGGCAGGCCCCACGCTCATCGTGCTGGCCACATTGTTCCTCACTATAGTCGGTTGAGTTCTGGTTCCCAACAGCTATGTTCACCCCAAACCTTAGAATACAACCTTATTTGGAATAAGGGTCTTTGTAGGTATAACTAAGGTAAAGATCTCAAGATGAGAGCATCCTGGATTAGGGTGGGTTATAAAGACAGGCATATTTATGGCCGGGCCTGCTGGATCACACCTGTAATCCCAACACTTTGGGAGGCTGAGGCAGGTGGATCACCTGAGGTCAGGAGTTCAAGACCAGCCTAGCCAACATGGCAAAACCCTGTCTCTACTAAAAATAGAAAAATTAGACAGGTGTGGGGGTGCATGCCTATAATCCCAGCTACGTGAGAGGCTGAGACAGGAGAATCGGTTGAGCCCAGGAGGCAGAGTTGCAGTGAGCCGAGATGAAGCCACTGCATTCCAGCCTGGGTGACAGAGCGAGACTCTGTCTCAAATACAGACCAAAAAAAAAAAAAGAAAAGAAAAGAAAAGAAAAGAAAAGAAAAGACAGGTGTCTGTAAGAAGAGGAGAGGACACAGAGGGGACCACCATGTGGTGACAGGGGCAGAGATTGGAGTGAAGCGTCTACAAGCCAAGGAAAGTCCAAGAGTGCCAGCAGTCTCCGAAAGCTCGGAGTGAGGCATGAAACATTTTCCCTTAGCCTCCAGATGGAACCAACCCTGCCAACACCTTGATTCTGCACTTCTAGCTTCTAGATCTGTGGGAGAATACATTTCTATTGTTCCAAGCCACCCAGCCACAGGAAATGAACATGCAGTCACCAACCTAATTCTCACCTCAGGGCCTTTGCACTTACCATTCCCTCTGCTTGGCGTGTCTTTCCCCCAGACTTTTGCATTGCTTTTCTGTTTAGTCATTCATGGCTCAGCTCAGGGTCAATGCCTCATAGAAGCCATCCCAGTCACCCCAGCCCCGGTTACTTTTTATCCCCATTGTCCCACTCCACCATAGTCATGACACCCATAGCCACCCCAAGGCTCCTTTTTATTCCTGCCTGTCTCCCCACTCCAAAAGTCAGCTCGATGAGAAGAGGACTGTGGCTGCCTTGTTCCTTGTTCTATCTCCACCACCCAGAACAGCGCCTGGCACACAGTTGGCGCTTAATACATAAAACTGATGGAATGAGGCTGGGCACAGTGGCTCACACCTGTAATCCCAGCACTTTGGGAGGCTGAGGCAGGTGGATCACCTGAGGTCAGGAGTTGGAGACCAGCCTGGGCAACACAGCGAAAGCCCATCTCTACTAAAAATACAAAAATTAGCCAGGCATGGTGGTGCACACCTGTAATCCCAGCTACTGGGGAGGCTGAGGTAGGAGAATCACTTGAACCCAGGAGGCAGAGGCTGCAGTGAACCCAGATCACACCACTGCACTCCAGCCTAGATGACAGAGTGAGACTCGGTCTCAAAAAAAAAAAAAAAACAAAGAACTGATGGAATGCCTGAATCAGTGAATGAATGTGAGCTGTGGAGGTCCAAACACCCCAAACCACCTCATCCCTTGAACGAATCCGCGTTTCACAACGAGGCTCCCCACTGACTCATGCCTCCGAGGCTGGGGAATCCCTATTTTCCTCTGAGCTCATCCCTGACATCTCTTCCTCTTTAAGGTGATCCTTGCTTTTGGCTTTTTACCTGTACATTGCTTGGTGATACAGACAAGCCAACTGCTCTGAAAGCACAGAGGTAATTCCAGAGCATCCACCTTTCTTCATTTACTGTCATTCACCCAGAGCTGGGAGCCTGTCTCTAAATTCCTTATCTGTGTTCATGTCAGGAGGTTGAAGCAAGCCTCGTCTTGCCAAATAATCAAGGACTGACAGAGTTAGAAATGAAAGCGTAACAGAAACTTGGACTGATCACAGACTCAAACCAGTACATCTCCTTTCCTTCTCCGAATTGGGAACTGAAACCATTCCATAGGAAGCTCGCTCTTCCCCCTCCTATGGAAAAATATCTGCCTGGCTTGATTCCCTTTTTATATTATTTATTATTATTATTTGAGATGAAGTCTTGCTCTGTCCCCCAGGCTGGAGTGCAGGCACACCACCTCGGCTCACTGCAACCTCCGCCTCCCGGGTTCAAGCAATTCTTCTTCTCCCAGCCTTCCCAGTAGCTGGGACTACAAGCGGCCGCCACCATGCCTGGCTAATTTTTCTTGTATTTTTAGTAGAAGTGGGGTTTCACCATTTTGTCCAGGCTGGTCTCAAACTCCTTACTTCAGGTGATCTGCCCGCCTTGGCTCCCCCAAAGTGCTGGGATTACAGGCATGAACCATTGCACCTGGCCTTGATTCCCTTTTTAATGCACAAATATGAAGAGCAATATTCACCAAACTCTAATAAAATGTAAGTGCTCTTGCAATCCTATCTGTACTATCCTTCCAAATTATTTTTAATCCCAGCTCTTTCTATCTTTGTTTAGACACAGGTGTAATTTCTGCTTAGTTGTTTCATGATGTAGCTCAGTGTCTGTGTCTCTTTCTTACTTTGCAGTGTGGAGTAGTTTTCTACCAGGACAAAGTTAACAACCCATAAAGGTCTCTGCTTAAGTAAGAAGTCCATTTCTGTGAACCATAACCCAGATATAGCAACGCCAGACTGTCTCCTATCAAAATTTATTGAAATGGTAGATTTTTGGTAAGTACAGAAACACAAGCGAAGGAACCAGGAGGAACGTGCACCCCTCTACCCGTGGGGCAGAGGCACGTTTCCCTTTTAATGGTAAAAGCAAACAGGTGGGAAACAGCTTTCTATCCTGAAGCCGTTTTAACTGTTCAACCCTTAGATTACTATAAACAAGAGAGGAATGGATTGCATTAGTCGCTGGTTGAAAGCAGCAATGCCATTTCCTTTCCCATAATAACACTGTTTAGCTCAGTCCCTTCTGGGGCTAATCCCCTATTACACCCACCGGAAACACAGATACTAACCAAAGCATGTGAGTCTCTTCCCTGAGTCCATTTCTGCTAAAGATTGTCTGAAAGATGAATTGGTCCACGGAAGCCAGGTGACCTACTGGCTTGTTTAATGATGCCTGGGCTTCCTCCAGGAACAACACAATTCCCTCCAATCTCAGCTCTCCTTATCCCTGCTAGAGCTCACAAGCAGGCTAGATATCACCCCAGGAGCTGAGCCCCCTCCAGTCTGAGGCAGATGTGGGAAGAAGGCCAACAAGTCACAAGTAGATCTCTGGCTCCAACTCTGCTCAGCAGAAACGCCTACAATTTGCCCATCTTCAGTCCTGCGAGCGTCAGAGATGAAGCAAGTTTCAGATGCCTAGAAGCTTTACTCTCTGTTCCTCCAGGATTCCTGCGGTCACACCTTGCAACCAGTCTCCCACTCATCTGCCACAGTTTCCCTAAATCAGATTCTCTGAATCTGGAAGTTCCAGGAAATCTTAGGCCGAGTCCAGTGACATTACTCGATGCAACAGCCCAACTGTTTCTCCAGAGATGCTGGTTCTTGGTGACAATGTCCCTTCTTGGAAT
This sequence comes from Homo sapiens, assembly GCF_000001405.40. NCBI lineage: Eukaryota > Metazoa > Chordata > Mammalia > Primates > Hominidae > Homo > Homo sapiens. Next base: position 122,715,645 of record NC_000012.12, read on the forward strand.
GGTTATTTGAGGTTGGGCCCAGATAAGAGGGGCTCCATGGCTCACCGGAGTTGGCGATTAACGCCTCTGGAGCGCCTCTGGTTTTGTTGGGGTCCCCTGTGAGCTCGACGCTCGTGCTGCGGTTATTATCTGGCTCACCTGTTATCTTCCTCTGGAGGCAGCGGTTGATCAAAGTGGAGAAGAAGTTGGGAAAGGATGGGCTGGAGAAGTAGTACACCACGGGGTCCAGCATGCTGTTCATGTAGGTGAAGCTGAGAGTGATAAAGAACGCCAGGTCCACCGAGCGGTACACTTCACAATTCTGCGTGCCCGAAGTGTGCAGGAGCCAGAAGATGTGGATCCGCACAACCACGCTGGGAAGGAAGCAGATGACAAAGACGATGGCCACCACCATGATGAAGGTGATGGCTCTCTTGATCTTGGCATGCCGGTCCATTTGTCTCTGCCGCAGGCTCCAGATAATTCTGGCTGAGCAGAACAGGATGATGCCCAGGGGCAGGAAGAACTCCAGGAGGAACATAGCTTCGTGCCACCGGAAGGTATGGCAGATGCTGAAGCTGATGCACACATTTGCAGTGCCATTCTGGATCAGCAACTTCTTCTTCAGGAGGTGGACTGTTAGGCCAACAGTGATGCCCCACAGAAGGCAAGAGATGATGGCTGCTGTCCAATTGGAGATCTTGTTCAGGGCGTGGTGGGGATGGACCACCCGGAAATACCTGTCTACCGCCACCACCGTGAGGAATATGATGCTGCCCTGGCGGTTCATGGCAAACATGAAGAGCACCAGCCGGCAAGGGATGTCCCCAAACTTCCAGTCTGAACGCCGCACATAGTAGTCCATCACGAACGGCAGGCAGATGATCAGTAGAAAGTCAGCTACTGCCAGGTTGAACAGGAAAATCCGGCTGGATTTCCAGGACTTGAGGTGGAAACAGAAAATCCACAGGGCAAGGCCATTGCCCAGAAGCCCAAAGATAAACTCCAGCCCCAACACCGGCGGCAACACCTTGGCAATGAAGTCATCTCGGAACACACAGCAGTTCTTCTTGTCTATTTCCAGAAAGTGATCCTGCAGATGGTGCCGATTCATGAGTGCAGCTAGTGAGTCCGATGGAGCGCCTCGCCTAGTGAATGCTCCAGCAAAGTGGCGTGTGTCTGTATGGTGAACGTGTGGTTCCGTGCCTGCCTTTATGTCATGTCAGGGTGTTGAAATAGATGACTGAATGGTTATCAGGAAACTACGAAATCTCTAAAAAAAAAAAAAAAAAAGCCAGCAAGGCTCTTATGCAACCTGCTGTTTGCATAAACAAATAATAAAAATCCCCTGGGCATACAGGAACCCACCAAATGTCTTAAATGTAAAGGATAAGTTTAGGCAAGCTGACTGTCATTCGAAAATCAGTGAAACATGAAGGACATCCCTTTGGAAGGCTGGGTGCTTGTATGCCAACTGAGTACTCAACGTTGCAGAATTAATTCACCGTCATCTGCTTGGCTGACATAATTAACAAAACAACAACAATAGCAATAATAATTTTTGGTGCCAAACAGTGAGGTTTTCCAGAAACACTAAGAATTAGCATGAAAAATTAACAGGCATATGACATAAACAGTAGCAGGCATATGATTTCTTTTGGAAATGCTGAGAAGACAGTAGTTGCCTGTTTGATGAGGACAGACTGGTTGAATTTGACCACTTTTCCTATGCTACCTTTCTGTACAAACATGGAGTGCTTTTCCATATCAGAACTCTGCCATTCATCTCCAGTTAGGAAAAAAAAAAAAGCCTGCTGGAGAGTGTAATATTTCATAAGATGTTTGAAAACTTGAGCCCAGTTTCAGTGGCATGTTAAAATAAGTTGGGTTTTTTGTTTGTTTATATTAGATTTTGATATGCTTCTGTGCTCAAGTGATTTAAGTATGTGATTTCTTTTTTTTGCAAACTTTGAATTAATGAGAAAAGGATTCATGAGGCTAGTTGTAAGCTGTAGCAAATCGGGTGTACTTTGTGCTACAAATTTGTTTTTCTGTGTCGCTCTGCATGAAGAGGGGTACCTTAGGATAGAGCATGGGGTTAGTACCCCATAAGCTGTCTGTTCTAGACAGCCCAGGAAACTGGTCAGTAAGAAAGTTGGTTGCAGGTCCCTGAAACAAACAAAAAACTGGATGAGGTCTCTAACTTGTTTTATGTCCTTGGGACCTTAGGATGTGATTTTTTTTTTTTGAGACAGAGTCTCACTCTGTCACCCAGGCTGGAGAACGGTGGAACAATCTCAGCTCACTGCAACCTCCGCCTCCCAGGTTCAAGCAATTCTTCTGCCTCAGCCTCCTGAGTATCTGGGACTACAGGCGTGCGCCACCACGCCCAGCTAATTTTTTGTATTTTTAGTAAAGACGAGGTTTCACTGTGTTGGCCAGGCTGGTCTCGAACTCCTGACCTTGTGATCCACCCGCCTCGGTCTCCCAAAGTGCTGTGATTACAGGCGTGAGCCACTGCGCCTGGCCGTGATTTTTTTTTTTTAATGAACTTTATTTTTTAGGGCAGTTTTAGATTCACAGCAAAATTGAGCAGAAAGTACGGACGGTCCTGTGCACTCTGTCTCCACACACGCAAAACCTCCCCCACTAAGTATGTGATATTTTTAAAGCCCCCATTTTTGTAAAATTAAACTTAGAGTGACAGGACCTAAGAGGACATGGAACCCTGCCTTGTAGCGGGACACCATTGCACACATTGTTTCTCTGCTTGTCAGTGCGATTGGGTGTCATCCTATAGAATGTTTTCTCCCTTTAATATTTTGGTCTTATGAATTCTTCCATGCAGGAGACTTCTAAACTATGTTGCTTCTACTTTGAGTTATATAATGTAAATTTCTTCCTTTTTTTTTTTTTTTCTTTTGAGATGGAGTTTCACTCTATCGCCCAGGCTGGAGTGCAGTGGCTCACTGCAACCTCTGCCTCCTGGGTTCCAGTCATTCTCCTGCCTCAGCCTCCCAAGTAGCTGAGACTACAGGTGCCCGCCACCGTGCCTGGCTAATTTTTGTATTTTTTAATAGAGATGGATTTCACCATTTTGGCCAGGCTGGTCTTGAACTCCTGACTTCAAGTGATCCTCCCGCCTTGGCATCCCAAAGTGCTGGGCTTACAGGTGTGAACCATCACTGCCGGCCATAAGATGTCAATTTATTTCTTTAGCTGCAAACGCAGGTTCAATAATAGGAGCTTATAGAGTCTTCAAGTAAACTAGAGTTAGGATGACCTAATATTAGGTTCCCATAGAACTACAAGTACTTGATGATGATCCAGGTGAGATGAAGACAATGATGAAGATGATGGTGGCACCTACATTATAGAGAGCTTCCCATGTGCTGGAACCCATACTCAGTGCTTTTTTTTTTTTGAGACAAAGTCTCGCTCTCGCCTCACTGCAAGCCCCGCCTCCTGGGTTCACGCCATGCTGCCTCAGCCTCCCGAGTAGCTGGGACTACAGGCACCCGCCACCACGCCTAGCTAATTTTTTGTATTTTTAGTAGAGATGGGGTTTCACCATGTTAGCCAGGAGCTCAGTGCTTTTATAGTTGCTTGTTTCACTCTGACTGTAGCCCATGTGGAAGGTATTATTATTGATTCTGATTTCAAATGAGGAAAGTGAAGCTCAGAGAGGATAAAATATTCAGGGCCACCCAGCTCATAAGAGCAGAGCATGGCCGGGCGCGGTGGCTCACGCCTGTAATCCCAACACTTTGGGAGGCCGAGACGGGAGGATCACAAGGTCAGGAGATCCAGACCATCTTGGCCAATATGGTGAAACCCCGTCTCTACTAAAGTATACAAAAATTAGCTGGGCGTGGTGGCGGGCGCCTGTAATCCCAGCCACTTGGGAGGCTGAGGCAGGAGAATCGCTTGAACCAGGGAGTTGGAGGTTGCAGTGAACCAAGATTGTGCCACTGCACTGCAGCCTGGGTGACAGAGCGAGACTCCACCAAACAAACAAACAAACAAACAAAAAAACCCGGGCACAGTGGCTCACGCCTGTAATCCCAGCACTTTGGGAGGCTGAGGTGGGCGGATCACGAGGTCAGGAGTTTGATACCAGCCTGGTCAACATGGTGAAATCAGATCTCTACTAAAAATACAAAATTTAGCTGGGTGTGGTGGCGCGTGCCTGTAATCCCAGCTACTCAGTAGCGGAGGCAGGAGAACTGCTTGAACTGGGACCCAGGAGGCGGAGGTTGCGGTGAGCTGAGATGACGCCATTGCACTACAGCCTGGGCAACAAGAGTGAAACTCTGTTTAGAAAAAAAAAAAAAAAAAACAGAGGCCAGGCGCCGTGGCTCACGCCTGTAATCCAAGCACTTTGGGAGGCTGAGGCGGGCGGATCACGAGGTCAGGAGATCGAGACCATCCTGGCTAACACGGTGAAACCCTGTCTCTACTAAAAATACAAAAACAAAAAATTAGCCAGGCGTCGTGGCGGGCACCTGTAGTCCCAGCTACTTGGGAGGCTGAGGCAGGGGAATGGCATGAACCAGGGAGGCGGAGCTTGCAGTGAGCCTAGATCGTGCCAATGCACTCCAGCCTGGGTGACAGAGTGAGATCCTGTCTCAAAACTAAAAGAAAAAAAACAGCTGAGCTTGGATTTGAATCTGGCAGTGACTTCAAAGCCTGTGTCCCTAACCATCATGCTCACTGCCTCTTACTATGTTATTGCCTTGTCTGTAAGGTTGAAGATCTTGCTCAGGGCATGGTGGGGATGGAGGTCATGCTGTTCAGGCTTTAGTGAAATAATTGGTATTTGTTTCTTGTTCTTGCTGCCTGTGAATACCATGCTTCCTTCTTGGATGTATGTGGACACTTGTCAACAACATTCATAAAGTAATCCTAAGGGCCTTTATTAACTAAGAGTCAGAGAAGTCAGCAGTATTTATTTCTAGAAGCTGAAATTTGCAAGGGACTCTCCCTTTCTAAGTTTCACAATTTCATAATATTTTGTGTGTGTGTTTTTTTTTAAACAATAGTCATGGATAAAATTAGAAAAAAACAACCACAGGCCAGGCCTGGTGACTCACCCTTGTAATCCCAGCACTTCGGGAGGCCGAGGCAGGCAGATCATGAGGTCAGGAGTTCAGGACCAGCCTGGCCAATATGGTGAAACCTAGTCTCTACTAAAAATACAAAAATTAGCCGGGTGTGGTGGCAGGCACCTGTAGTCCCAGCTACTCAGGAGGCTGAGGCAGGTAGAATCGCTTGAACCCGGGAGGCGGAGGTTGCCGTGAGCCAAGATCACACCACTGCACTCCAGCCTGGGCAACAGAGTGAGAATCCATGTCAAAAAATAATAATAATATTAAAATAAAAATAAATAAAAGAACAACCACACATGTTAAGTTTGCAAAAGAACCTGGAGCCTGGATGTATGTTCTGGCTCTCTCATTAACTAGCTGTGAAACCCCTTAACCCCTCACCCGCTCATGAGGAATTAGATGATCTTCGAACTTCCTCCCAGCTCTCACACTACATGATTCTAAACCAAAGTCCGCGGCTACTCGGGCAGATTCTAAAGGGCAGCCTCGCTGGATTCTGGTGCCTCCGATGGAATTTCCGGTCTTCCCACTGCACAGTGAGCATGTTTTGTCTTGCTTGTTTCCTTCTTTCATGCATTTATTATTTTTTTCTTACAAGTGTATGAGTTGTACAGAAACTTGTTTAATGAATCATTTCAAGAGTGAAGGCAGTGATCCCTCCGCATTTCGTAGAAACTCCACTTAAAATTTATCACTCACCCAGTTGAATCTCCATGCCTGGTTATCTTATGACAACTTGAATGTGTACCACTAAACTGGATTGAATTATTGTAAAAATTAATAGTGACACGACTGCATTGTACTGAGAGATTTGCATATGTGATCTCCTTTAATCTTCACAAAAACCCTGTGACAGATGTATTATTATTGTCATTATCATCTCCATTTTACAGATTGAGAAACCGAGGCATCAGGAGGTTAAGTAACTATTTCGTGTCTTTGAACTAACCTGGGATTTTTGGTTTTATTTATTATTTAAATAGAGATAGGGTCTCACTGCATTGCCCAGGCTGGTCTCGAACCGTAGGCCCAGGTGATCTTCCAGCCTCGGCCTCCCAAAGTGCTGGCATTACAGGTGTGAGCCACCATGCCAGGCCATCGGATTTCTGTTTTAATTATCTATTGCTGCATTAAAAATTGCCACAAAACATAGCGGCTTAACACAACCTCCATTGTGTCATCTCTCATGGTTCTCTGTGTTGGCTGGCCTCAGCTGGGTGCTTCTCATTTGGGGATTCTCAGATGGCAGCCGGGCTAGAGTCATACGGATGCTTAAGAAGGACACTGGGACACTCAGGCTTCTCTCTGTCTCCACAGAACCTTGATGCCTCTCTACATGGCGTCCCTGTGGCCTCTCTGTGTGGCCCCTCTATGTGGCATCTACACACAGCCTCTTCACATCTTCTTTCCACGACATAGTCTGGACTTTGTACATGGACATACTTAGGGCTTCTGAAGGCACACAGGCAGACCTTCTCCATCCCTGGGCTTGGAAACCCCAGAACATCACCTCCACCACATTCAATCAGGCAAAACAAATCACAGAGCCAGTCCATATTCCACTGGGAGGTGCCACCTAAGGGTGGGAGTGCCAGGAGGTACAGCACATTGGGGCTATTCAGACTCACCACTACAGAATATAGATGACACTGAGTCAGGACCCTTGGCTAGCAGGAAATAAGGGGCCCCTGGGCCCCCAACGAAGGAGATGTAGTTGTAGAAGCTGGGAAGTAAGGGGGTAGAGAGGAAGCTGATCATACTGACTAGCAGAGACACATAGATACACACACACATTTCTTTTGAAAAAGGAGAAGAGCACTTCATGGTTTTGAAAAGTTTGGGTTTATTGTAAAAAACCTAAGGGCAAACCAGAATAACCAAATAATCTTGAAAAAGAAGAACTAAGTTGGAGAACTCTCCCTTTACTGTAAAGCTACAGTAGTCCAGTGTGATTCTGGCATAAGGATAGATATTACAGCTCAAGAGAGCAGGACTGAGAGTCCAGAAATAAACCCTTATATTCATGATCAGCTGATTTTCAACAAGGGTGCCAAGACAATGGGGGAAAGAAGAGTCTTTGTAATAAATGATGTTGGGACAACTAGGTCACCACAAGCAAAAGAACTGGACCCCTTTGCTACACGGTACACAGAAATTAACTCAACTTGGGTTACGACCTAAATGTAAGAGCTAAATCTAAAAAACTCTTAGAAGGAAATGTAAGAGGCCAGGCATGGTGGCTCACACCTGTAATCCCAGCACTTTGGGAGGCCAAGGTGGGTGGATCCGTTGAACTCAGGAGTTCAAGACCAGCCTGGGCAACACAGCAAGACCTGGTCTCTACAAAAAATACCAAAATTAGCTGGGCATGGTGGCACATGCCTGTGGTCCCAGCTACTTGGGAGGCTGAGGGAGGCAGATTGCTGGAGTCCAGGGGTTCAAGGTTACAATGAGCTGAGATCATGCCACTGCACCCCAGCCTGGGTGACAGAGCAACACCCTGTCTCAACAACAAAAAGAAAAACAAGATAGAGAGGAATCTGAAAGTCTATTCATGAATCTTCTGTCACGCTAAGGGTTAGAACAGACAACAGACCCTTCCCTCCTCGGCTGACCTCATGGCTTCACGTCTTACCGAGTGGTCGCAGCCCCAGCCTGGACTTTTCGTTCCTGCCCTATTGGTCTTCCTGCATTTCCCAAACACTTGGCTCTTTTTCACCTTTCTACATCTGCCTGGAATACCCTTCCCCACTGTGTCCCTGGTGGCTTCCTGTCCATCCTTCAGAGCCGAGTTTGCAAGCTACTTCCTCTGAGACGACTAAGACAGGAGTAAGGGCCCTGGATTCTCCTGCAGGACCCTGTGTGAAAGTGCCAAACACAGGGTCCCACAGGATAATTGTATTATTTTATTTTATTTTTGAGACAGAGTCTTGCTTGGTCGCCCAGGCTGGAGTGCAGTGGTGTGATCTCAGCTCACTACAACCTCTGCCTCCCAGGCTCAAGCGATTCTCCTGCCTCAGCCCCCTGAGTAGCTGGGATTATAGGCACACACCACCACACCCAGCTAATTTTCGTATTTTTAGTAGAGACGGGGTTTCACCATGTTGGCCAGGCTGGTCTTGAACTCCTGACCTCAAGTGATCTGCCCACCTCGGCCTCCCAAACAGCTGGGATTACAGATGTGAGCCACCACCCCTGGCCATATTTTATAATTTTTTATTTTCTAATTTTATTTTTTCCCTTGGTTTCTACAATGGGCCCCGTGGCTATGTTTTTCATTTATGTTTCTACTGTGTCCAGTATAGAGCTAGTGCTTCATTAATGTACCTTGAAATAGGAAATGAATGAATGAATCCTTATAAGGAATAAAATATTTACCCCCCTCCCTCTATGTCATTTTATAGTCCAATACACAGAAACCCGAATACAGATTTGGCTCATATGTGAGCCCATCTGTTTCATCTGTTTATTCTATTCCATCTCTCTCTAATATATAAATAATTATATATTTATATTATATAATGTACATATATAAATATGACATATAATATGGTAAATATGACGATAAACAACATGTCATATGTAAAAATTATATAGCAGAAATATATATAATAAATAAATAAATGTGTGTAAACTTACAGCCTCTGCTTCGTGGATGAGCTCAGAAGGGCCCTGTGCTACCATCTTCAAAATTCTTAATACTTTTTATTATTTAAAAAAAATTTTGGCCTGGCGCAGTGGCTCTCACCTGTAATCCCAGCACTTTGTGAGGCTGAGGTGGGTGGATCACGAGGTTAGGAGTTCAAGACCAGCCTGGCCAATATGGTGAAAACTTGTGTCTACTAAAAATATAAAAATATTAGCCTGCTGCGGTGGCATGCGCCTGTTGTCCCAGTTACTCAAGAGGCTGAGGCAGGAGAATCGCCTGAACCAGGGAGGGGGAGGTTGCAGTGGGCCAAGATGCGCCCCACTGCACTCCAGCCTGGACAACAGAGCGAGACTGTCTGAAAAAAAAATTTTTTTTAATTTAGTGGCATGATCGTAGCTCACTGAAGCCTCTACTTCTTGGTCTCAAGGGATCCTGTCACCTCAGCCTCTCAAGTAGCTAGGACTACAGTCACGCACCACCACACCTGGCTAATTTTTAAAATTTTTGTAGAGATGGAGTCTCACCATGTTGGCCAGAGTGGTGTCAAACTCTTGGCCTCAAGTGATCCTCCCGCCTCGACCTCCCAAAGCTCTGGAATTACAGGCATGAGCCACCTCGCTCAGCCATTAACACCTTTTGAACAAGGGACCCCACATTTTCATTTTTCACTGGGGCCTGCAAAGTAGGTCGCTGATCTTGAAGCCATTTATGCACTCGTTGTGATGATGGAGTCTTTCTTGAATCGTATCAGAAACCTCTGTGAATCAGAAGGCCTGGGAAGCCAACAGGTAGAGACCACGCCTCACAGTGCAGCCAAGTCTCCACCTTGAGAACAACTGGCTCAAGCCCTTGTGCCTCAGAGTTCTAATCCCCTCCAAGGAGCTGCTGCACTTTAGTAACCTTCAGATGCCATGTTAAACATTTTGGTTTTAATAAAGGGTAAGGAAATCCATTCCGAGAATAGACCAAAACTGAAAGTTTTACCATGGTTAGCACGAATAAAAGACACCTCTTGTTTTTTCCACATCATCCCTATAGACTTATAGCTCTTCCAGCTTTCATGTGACTTTTCCTGAAAGACTCTAAAAGGAGGAACAAGGAGGAAGGATCACTTGAACCCAGGAGTTTGAGAGGAGCCTCGGCAACATAATGAGACCCCATCTCTACAAAAATTACAGAAAAATTAGCTGGACATGGTGGAGTGTACCTGTGGCCCCAGCTACTAGGGAGGCTGAGGTGGGAGGATCGCTTGAGCCTGGAAGTCGAGGTTGCAGTGAGCCATGATCACACCACTGCACTCCAGCCTGGGCAACACAGTGAGACCCCATCTCACCAAAAAAAAAAAAAAAAGAGGGAGAACACATTTTCCTCTAAAACAATCATTTTCCTGTTTCAGATAGTTTAAACAAAGTGTTGTCAACAAAGCTATACTCCACTTCTTTACAATGTCCAAAGAAACTTCTTGCTAAGATGTATTTTTCGTCACATTCTGCGAACGTAAAAAGGGAAGCAAATTTAGAATCAAGACTGTATTTCAGTTTGGATTTGATTTTTCTTTTTGTTTGTGCTTGCTGTTTTTTTGGTGAGAACCTCTGCCTGCCTGCCTGCCATGCAGTTCTAGATATTTTAGCTTTTTTTCCTTGGAGGGCAAAATCCTAGGGGTCCTTTGACCTAGAGTCACACACAGGACACAGATTTGCTTTCAGAATCCATTTTTATTACAATGAAGGAACAAAGGAGCAACAGCCCAGGAGAGAATTCTAAGAATAGAACTAAAAGCAGAAGTGTGTGTTTTCGCAGATTCCTATCAGGAGGATGTATGACTAATGCTGGTAAGAATTCTTGCCTTTACTCTTCCCCAGGTAACTGAGGGGCGGGGGAATTCAGGCATGATAACAGAGGAACAACTTAAGCGCTCTAAACCCCAAAGGAAATGCTTTCTTGCCTCCATTTCTTTATATGTAAAACGTGTTAATATAAGAAGTCATAATATTGAGCACTTACTGCCAGGCGCTATGCTTAATGCTTTACATGCACTTAATCATTCATTCAACAAACATTTACTGAGCACCTGCTATGTGCAGGTCCTCTTCTAGGCATTGGGTATATAACAGTGAACAAAGTTCTGATGCCTCAGGAATGTACATTCATTTAAACTGCCCAATGACACACTGAGGTTGTATTACAGTATCCCTGTTTGACAGACGAGGAAAATGAAGCTACAAATGATTAAATAAAATCTGCCAGGCTGGGCGGGGTGCGGTGGCTTACACCTGTAATCCAAGCACTTTGGGAGGCCGAGGCAGGCGGATCACAAGTCAGGAGATCAAGACCATCCCGGCTAACACAATGAAACCCCGTCTGTACTAAAAATACAAAAAATTAGCCGGGCGTGGTGGTGGGGCGCCCGTAGTCCCAGCTACTCTGGAGGCTGAGGCAGGAGAATGGCGTGGACCCAGGAGGCAGAGCTTGCAGTGAGCTGAGATTGGGCCACTGTACTCCAGCCTGGGTGATAGAGCAAGACTCTGTCTCAAAAAAAAAAAAAAAAATATATATATATATAGATAGATAGATATCTATATATCTCTATATATATCTATATATATGCCAGGCTGGGAGCAGTGGCTCATGCTGGCAATCGCAATACTTTGGGAGGCCAAGGTGGGAGGATTGCTGGAGGCCAGGAGTTTGAGACCAGCTTGGGCAACACAGTGAGTGAGACCTCGTCTCTATAAAAAAAATTTAAAAATTAGCTGAGTGTGGTGGCTTATGCCTGTACTCCCAGCTATTCAGGAGGCTGAGGTGGGAGGAACACTTGAGCCCAGGAGTTTGAGGCTGCAGTGAGCTATGATCATGCCACTCACTGCACTCCAGCCTGGGCAACAGAGCAAGATTCAGTGTCTAAAAACACAAGCTGCCCTAAGATCACAGGCCTAGTAAATGCTTGAGCTGAGATTCAAACTTCGATGCTTCTAATGCTCTATAGCTCGTACTTTTCATCACTAGGCTGCACAGTGCCTCTGAAAAAAGGAATAATAGGGACAGCCTAGAGGGGTGTTTTGAGGCCAAAGAACTAGAAGTTGGCAAAGTTCTTTTTTTTTTTTGAGACGGCGTTTCACTCCTGTGGCCCAGTCTGGAGTGCAATGGCACGATGTCACCTCACCGCAACCTCCACCTCCTCGGTTCAAGTGATTCTCCTGCCTCAGCCTCCCGAATAGCTGGGATTATAGGCATGCGCCACCACACCAGGCTAATTTTGAATTTTTAGTAGAGACGAGGTTTCTCCATGTTGGTCAGGCTGGTCTAGAACTCCTGACCTCAGGTGATCCGCCTCAGTCTCCCAAAGTGCTGGGATCACAAGCGTGAGCCACCATGCCCAACCCCCAGAAGTTGGCAAGGTTCTTAAGTGGGTAGAGTATCCTGGGCATTTGAGAGAGTATAAATTAAGGAGTTGAGAACCATGTTCACCACTTTGTAGCTTGAGAAAGGAGCTAGAGTTGGCCTGGAATGTTTCCCCCTAATTCAGGGCAGGGGCAGCTTGTCATTTCGTAGAGTCCTCTGTTTCGAGGGGTCCAGGTACACATTTGGGAAACTCATGTGTATGAGGGAGTCTTGCAATAAGAGGACAAAACTGATGTTCACACAGAATCGGTCTAGAAACTGTATTCCGTGAAAGGATGAAAGCTCTTAACTTCTCTGTCCCCACCCCCCCAAAAAACTTTACTGTCACATAAGAGTTGACTAATGACCCTCCACTAAAAATTACACAGTATACTGCCTGCCACCAAATACGAATTCAGTAAATACTTGGAAAATAAGTGAATAATTTCAATTCACAGTCACATGACAAGTTGTCAAAAGCAATTATAAAAGCAATTGTATTGGACTCAGCACATCCCACTGGAGAAGCCAGGGCAAGGAAACAGATCCCTCAGCACCTTCTTTGAAATACAAAGATTTGAAGAAGGTCAGAGCAGATTGTTTTGTTGTTGTTCTTCTTGGGCTACCAGGAAGTCACAATGATGACAGACGTACAGATGTACATTTGGACAAAATGTACAGATGTACAAAGAAATGTAAAGATGAAAATTGATAGATCAATAGATCCCAATCTAAAGAGCCTCATTCGGCCTGAAATAAAGCATTGATTGACTGAGCCCGGTTTCTGTTTTCTGAGATAAGGAATGATTTAAGGTCAGAGGATAGGAAATGCTGCTAACTGCCCCATAGCCCCTAAGAGAGTGAACATGCCCCATTCAAACACATATACCCATTTACTTAGCCATTTAAAATGACACAGGGGAGGCCAGGCACGGTGGCTCACGCCTGTGATCCCACCACTTTGGGAGGCCAAGGCAGGCGGATCACCTGAGGTCAGGAGCTCGAGACCAGCCTGGCCAACATGGCAAAACCCTGTCTCTACTAAAAATACAAAAATTAGCCGGGTGTGTTGGCTGGCGCCTCTAATCCCAGCTACTCGGGAGGCTGAGGCAGGAGAATTGCTTGAACCCGGGAGGCAGAGGTTGCAGTGAGCCGAGACTGTGCCACTGCACTCCAGCCTGGGACACAGAGTGAGACTCTGTCTCAAAACAAAAACAAACAACGAAAATTACACAAGGGCTGTGCAGTTCCTAGCCCCCCTCCCAACACACACATGCTCCACTCCATGCACATTCTGTCCCCTGCCATTGTGATCAGATAAGAAAATGCAGCCAACTCACTTCAATCAACTGGAACCTCCCCAAAAGGTATAGTTGTGTGAATTTCATTTCCGACAGAATGAGAAGGATGCAGTTCATGTGCGAGAAGCCGTCTTGCAATAAGAAAGGGGGGTGGCATTTTCAAAGCCCCCGACCCCTTAGCACGAGTTAATTCTAAGTCACCACTCTATCTTCCTCAGTGTTGTTGGTCTGCTTGTTCAGTGCCACTCAACAATGTGGGGATCCCATTGCCCATCAGACTGGCTTTGGAAACTATTTGCCACACTGATGCAACTCCTGCGACCGAGGTTCGAAATTGGCATCTCTTCCGGCCTTTGTGTTTTTGAGTGTCCTGGCTGCTTGGGTTTCAGACTGCAGATTTTGAGCTTGTTGTAGAATTTGGGAAAGGAGGGGCTTGAAAAATAATACACCAGGGGATCCAGCATGCTGTTCATGTAGGTGAAGCTGAGGGTTATGTGCAGGGCCCCATGGACAGAGGGATCGCAGGCACTCGAGGGCACCGTCCAGAGGAAATAGAGTCTAGCAGACACGCTGGGCAGGTAGCATGTGATGAACACAATTGCCACCACCATGATGAACCGGGTCGCCTTCTTCATCCGAGCCTGTCTGGCCAGCTGCTGCCTCCGCCTCAGGCTCCAAACAATCTTGAAGGAGCAAAATAAGATGATGCCGAGGGGCATAAAGAACTCCAGCTGGAACATGATGTCATGCCAGCCATTGGCCGACTCCATGATGAAGCTCTCACAGGAGACGGCCGTCTCTTGCACGCAGAGATGGTTCTCCAGCAAAAGATACACTGTTCCCAGGATGACCAGGGCCCACAGGGTGCAGACGATGCCAGCCGCCACCCGGGTGGAGATAGTGTTCACCGCGTGGTGGGGGTGGACCACTTTGAAATACCTGTCCGCAGCCACCACCGTAAGGAACACGATGCTCCCGGCCCTGTTCATGGCCAACGTGAAGAGCCCCACTCGGCAGGGAATGTCCCCAAAAGCCCAGTGTCTACGTCTGAGGTAATAGTCTGTCCGAAAAGGCAGGCAGATCATAAGGAGGAAATCAGCCACGGCCAAATTGAAAAGGTAAACAGTGCTGGGCTTCCAGGTCTTCATGTGGAAGCAGAAACCACACAGGGCGACCCCATTGCCTAGTGCGCCCAGCACAAAGGCCACAATGAGCAGCGGCGGCATCACCTGGGAGATGGTGTCCCCCTCGATGCGGCAGCACGACCCGTTGTACATGGCGGGGACAGAGCAAGTGTCCGGGTGCAGAGCAGCCCAGGGAGTCCCCACAATGGCACAGATGCTTATCTGAGCGTTAGCACTCACCCAGCTGCTGCGTGTCTGACTTCATCACCCAGGATGCGGGTCCTGTGTGTGTGGGTTGGATGCTGCCACAGCAGCGAGAAGAGAAACTTCAGCCAGGAAATGAGAGACCCAGGGAGGTCCTTTCTCTGGAGCCCGTCTCACAAGCCGCCTGCCTCTGGGAGAGGCCAAGCCTGGAGCCGGATGAAGCTTGGAAATGCATGCAATTTTGCAAAAGTGGTCATTTCTGAGAGGCGGTAGGGTGGGGGGGTCCGATGAGATTGATGCCGTAGAGGAGCGATTGGGTCCAGCGCCAGAGTAATTTTCATTTTCAGCTTCGCTGTTCCTCCTCGGACTCCGTGCTGGAGAGCACACAAAGCTGCCCAGAAGGCAAGAAGAAAGCTTGTTTGTCCTCCCTCCTGGTGGAGAAATCCAAACATTTCCTGGAGTGGTTCTGGGCTCCTGCCTTTGCTTTCCTCCCGTAACCTTTGCCTGACTGCCTTGTCCTCTCCCTCATCCCACGGGGCACTCCCATGCGGTGCCAGAGAGGGGAGGCTTTGCTCTGCAGCTCCTCCGGGCCATTTCCTGTGCCGAAAAATACCGCGCTCAAAAATTGGAGGAGTCTGCGGAGAGAAAAGTTCTAATCACGATACTTGATGGATGTTAGAAAAATTCTTTGACGGGAGTCACCTTTCCCCCGCTCTATTCCCACCTCCCTGCCCTTTACATCCTTCCGTGAACCAAAGTGGCCAGTTGCACAACCACCAAGACCATGAAATAGATCTGAAGCCCACTTCTCATATGTCTGTCTCCACAAAACGGCCTCTTTGGGAGCCGGTTTCCCCCTCTGCTGGGAAGCAGAGCCTAGAACTTTTACAAAGATTTGGCCCTGAGTTTCCATTGGCTGTTGAATGAGCCAAACACCATGAGATGTACGTTTTTAATTTCAATTATGTGCTGAGCCCATCAATTAAAACTGCCCCCTGGGGGCGGAAGAGGATTGGAGGAGTTGATTAAGGAGTCCATCTCTAAAGCAATCATGAGTAACATTAGACTGCACAAAAAATTGGAGTCTTTGCTAAAATTTCCTGTCCTTTGGCTTTAAGGATTATTAATCTGCCCTGTGCCTTTCAGCTTCCAGTTTAGAAAATGGGGTGGAGGCCGGGCGCGGTGGCTCACGCTTGTAATCCAAGCACTTTGGTAGGCCCAGGCGGGCGGATCACCAGGTCAGGAGATGGAGACCATCCTGGCTAACACGGTAAAACCCCGTCTCTACTAAAAATACAAAAAAATGAGCCAGGCGTGGTGGCGGGCGCCTGTAGTCCCAGCTACTCGGGAGGCTGAGGCAGGAGAATGGCGTGAACCCGGGAGGCAGAGCTTGCAGGGAGCCAAGATTGCGCCACTGCACTCCAGTCTGGGTGACAGAACCAGACTCCGTCTAAAACAAACAAACAAACAAACAAACAAAACAACAAGAAAAAGAAAAAGAAAAAAGAAAGAAAGAAGAAAATGGGGTGGAGGCCAGTCGCGGTGGCTCACATCTATAATCCCAGCACTTTGGGAGGCCGAGGCAGGTGGATGACTTGAGGTCAGGAGTACAAGACCAGCCTTGCCAACATGGTGAAACCCCATCTCTACTAAAAATATACAAAAATCAGTCAGGTGTTGTGGCATGTGTCTGTAATCCCAGTTACTCAGGAGGCTGAGGCAGGAGAATCACTTGAACCCGGGAGGTGGAGGTTGCAGTGAGCCGAGATCGTGCCAATGAACTCCAGCCTGGGTGACAGAAAGAAACTCTGTCTCAAAAAAAAAAAATGGGGCGGAAAAGAGGGGGTGCATTGAAAGAATGTGTCTGTCTTCTAGATGCACACTGAAGCTAAATTCTTCCCACTGGATGCTGGACTCCAAATCTGTCCACCCACATTCTCCCCTGCCTCGCCCTAGCACAGACCGCAGTCACTTCCCACCTGAACTGTTGAAACAGTTTCCTAACTGGTTTCCCTTCCTCTCATCTATTTCCTGTAAGTCATCTTCTACACAATAATCTGATTTTTCTGAAGCACAGATATTATCATATACCTTTTTTCACTTAAAAATCTTCACTAGCTCCCTTCAATCTGCCAAGGGGCTAGAATGATGGCCTGTGGACCATATCTGGTTTAAAAACCAGCCTGGCTTGGCCGATATGTTTTTAAAACCTGGTGCAGTCCTATAAAAACCTGGATTTCTGTTGTCTCTTAGAACACTGGAAGATCTGGCCACACTGGACCGACACTCCCACATGGAAACAATCAGCTGGAGCTTAGAGTAGATGGAGTAGAGACAGAGAATGAGCCCCTGTAGACAGAGAATGAGCTTTACTGTTTGCCACAGTCCCCACCACTCCCTATTGCCTTACACCTGGTTGGCTTTCCTCATTGGCAAGCCTAGTCTCTGTGGGATTTTGAGTTTGTCACCTCTTGCTCTAGGTTGAAGGTCACATTCCTTGGATTGACGTACAAGGTCCTTCACAGTTGGTTCCCAACCTACCTTTCCAGTATGATTTTCCTGCCACTTTCCTCCTTCCACCCTACTCGCTAGTCTCATAACCTCTAATAAATAAAAACGTGTTCGTCAAACGTCTATATCTAGTTCCCCCACAAATTCAGGAGTTCTTTGAAGACAAACTTCATACTCTTGGCCTGGATGACTAACTCCTACTTTTCTCCTTCTTTCTTTCCTTCCGTCTTTCTTTCTTTCTTTCTTTCTTTTCTTTCTTTCTCTCTCTCTCTTTCTCTCTGTCTCTCTCTCTCTCCCTCTCTGCCTCCCTCCCTCTCTCTCTTTCTTTTTTTTTTGAGACAGAGTCTGGCTCTGTTGTCCAGGCTGGAGTGCAGTGGCTCTGTCTTGGCTCACTGTAGCCTCAACCTCCCAGGCTCAAGCCATCCTCTTACCTTAGCTTCCTGAGTGGCTGGGACTACAGGTGCATGCTACCATGCCCAGCTAATTTTTGTATTTTTTGTAGAGACGGGGTTTTGCCATGTTGTCCAGGTCTCAAACTCCGGGGCTCAAGTGATCCACCCACCTTGACCTCTCAAATGTGCTGACATTACAGGTGTAAGCCACCATGCCAAGCCTAACTCCTACTTTTCATGAGAGCTCATTGTAACCACTTTCACTCTGTGGGCCTTTGTGATTCTGTGATAAGGTGTTAACTAACAGGGGTAACCATGGTAGGTTGAAACACCCCAAGATGAGGTCAGAGGGGTAACCCTGAGTACTTCACATGCTTAGCCTGGATTTTTTAACAAATGGAAAATATTCTTCATTCTACATTCTCAGATACTGTCGGGATTCTTGTAAACACAAATACTTCCTTTTTTTTCCACATGACTAACACCTGCCTTTCTTTTCTAAATCCTTTGTCTTGTCAAATCACCTTCTTCTCTCTCTTTTTTTTTTTTCTTTTTGTGGCTGTAGAATTAGCTGTAAGGCAGAGGATTAAGGAAGAAAAAAATGGCATCTATTCCTCTGAAAGTCTACTGGTTTTTTTGGTTTGTATGTTTTGAGACAGAGTCTGGCTCTGTCGCTAAGGCTGGAGTGCAGTGGCACAAATGTAGCTCCTTTCAGCCTGTGCTTCCCAGGCTCAAGTGATCCTCCCACCTCAGCCTCACAAGTTGCTGGGACCACAGGCACGTGCCACCATGCCTGGCTAATTTTTGTATATTTTGTAGAGACAAGGTCTCACCATACTGGTCAGGCTGGTCCTGAACTCCTGGGTTCAAGCGATCTGCCTGCCTCAGCCTCTCAAAGTGCTGGGATTACAGGCGTGAGCCACCGCACCCACCCCAAAAGCCTACTGGTTTTTCACGTACAATCTGATCTTATTCTACCCCAGGGCTTCAAGAAGATGCTGTCTCTCTCTTCTTGGACTTCCTGCTCAAGATCATGCTGTGGTGCCCTATTCCTTTGTGCACCAAATTTAGATCTATCTAGGCTCATGCCTGTAATCCCAGTACTTTGGGAGGCAGATCACTTGCGATCAGGAGTTCGAGACCAGCCTGCCCAACATGGTGAAACCCCAACTCTACTAAAACTACAAAAATTAGCCGGTCGTGGCCGGGAGTGGTGGCTCACTCCTATAATCCCAGCACTTTGGGAGGCGGAGGTGGGTGGATCACCTGAGGTCAGGAGTTCGAGACCAGCCTGGCCAACATGGTGAAAACCCTGTCTCTACTAAAAATACCAAAACTAGCCGGGTGTGGTGGCAGGTGCCTGTAATCCCAGCTACTTGGGGGGCTGAGGCAGGAGAATCGCTTGAACCTGGGAGGCGGAGGTTGCAGTGGGCCGAGATAGCGCCATTGCACTCCAGCCTAGGGGACAAGAGTGAGACTTTGTCTCAAAAAAAAAAAAAATTAGCCAGTCATGGTGGTGCATGCCTGTAGTCCCAGCTATTCCAGAGGCCGAGTCACAAGAATCGCTTGAACCCAGGAGGTGGAGGTTGCAGTGAGCCAAGATTGCACCACTGCACTCCAGCCTGGGCCACAGAGTGAGAATCTGTCTCAGAAAAAAAAAAAAAAAAAAAACAAAACTGGCCAGGCAGTGGCTCACACCTGTAATCCCAGCACTATGGGAGGCCGAGGAGGGCAGATCACCTGGAATCAGGAGTTCAAGACCAGTCTGGCCAACATGGTAAAACTCCATCTCTATTAAAAATATAAAAATTAGCCAGTGTGGTGGCAAGCACCTGTAGTCCCAGCTACTCGCGAGAGTGAGGCAGGAGAATTGCTAGAAGCTTGGAGGCGGAGGTTGCAGTGAGCCGAGATCGCACCATTGCACTCCAGTCTGGAGGACAAGAGCAAGACTCCATCTAAAAAAATAAATAGGCTGGGCGCGGTGGCTCATGCCTGTAATCCCAGCACTTTGAGAGGTGAGGTGGGTGGATCACAAGGTCAGGAGTTCAAGACCAGCCTGACCAACACGGTGACACCCCATCTCTCCTAAAAATATGAAAATTAGCCAGGTGTGGTGGCGAGCACCTGTAATCCCAGCTACCTGGGAGGCTGAGGCAGGAGAATTGCTTGAACTGGGGAGGCAGAAGTTGCAGTGAGCTGAGATTGCAGCCACAGCACTCCAGCCTCGGTGACAGAATGAGACTCCGTCTCAAAAATAAATAAATAAATCTAAAAATTAATTCAAAATATATCCAAGATCTAGATGTAAAAGCTAAAACTATAAAACTCTTAGAAAACATAGGGGAAAAGCTTAATGACATTGACTAAGGCAATGATTTTTGGATATGATGCCAAAAACACAAGGAACAAAAGAAAAAATAGATAAATTGGACTCCACCAAAAGTAAAACCTTTGTGCCTCAAAGGACACTCACTATCAACAGACAAGGTGAGGTCAGGTGCAGTGGCTCACGCCTGTCATCCCAGCACTTTGGGAGGCCGAGGGAGGCAGATCACTTGAGGTCAGGAGTTTGAGGCTAGCCTGGCTAACATGGTGAAACCTCATCTCTACTAAAAATACAAAAATTAGCTGGGTCTGGTGGCACACATCTGTAGTCTCAGCTTCTTGGGAGGCTGAGGCAGGAGAATCCCTTGAACTTGGGAGGTAGAAGTTGCAGTAAGCTGAGATTGCACCACAGCACTCCAGCCTGGGTGACTGAGACTCCACATTAAAAATAAAAACAAAACAAACAAACAAAAAAATAGACAAGGTGATATGGTTTGGCTGTGTCCCCACCCAAATCTCATCTTGAATTGTAGCCCCCATAACTCCCACATGATGTGGGAGGGACCCAGTGGGAGGTAATTGAACCAGGGGGCAGGACTTTTCTGTGCTATTCTTGTGATAGTGAATAAGTCTCACAAGATCTGATGGTTTTGTAAAGGGGAGTTTCCCTGCACAAGCTCCTTTTTCTTGTCTGCTGCCATGTGAGATGTGCCTTTCAGCTTCCACCATGATTGTGAGGCCTCCCCAGCCACGTGGAACTGTGAGCCCATTAAACCTCTTTCTTTTGTAAATTGCTCAGTCTTGGATATGTCTTTATCAGCAGTGTGAAAGTGGACTAATATACAAGGCAATCCATGGGATGGGAGAAAGTATTTGCAAACCACATATATGTGATAAGGGATTAATATCCGAAATATACAAAGAGCTCTTACAAATCAAGTACAATATCAACAAAAAACAACCTAATTAAAAAATAGACCGGGCACAGTGGCTCACGCCTGTAATCCCAGCACTTTGGGAGGCTGAGACCAGTGGATCACAAGGTCAGGAGATTGAGACCATCCTGGCTAACATGGTGAAACTCCGTCTTTACTAAAAATATAAAAAATGAGCCAGGCATGGTGGCAGGTGCCTATAGTCCCAGCTACTCGGGAGGCTGAGGCAGGAGAATGGTATGAACCCGGGAGGTAGAGCTGGCAGTGAGCCGAAATTGAGTCACTGCACTCTAGCCTGGGTGACAGAGTGAGACTCTGTCTCAAAAAAATAAATAAATAAAATAAAACAAAAATAAAAATAAAGAAATTAGCTGGATGTGGTGGCACACACCTGTAGTCCCAGCTACTCAGGAGGCTGAGGCAGGAAAATTGCTTGAACCCCAGAGGCGGAGGCTGCAGTGAGCTAAGAATGTGCCACTGGACTCCAGCATGGGCAACAGAGTGAGACTCCATCACAAAAAAAAAAAAAAAAAAAAGAGAAAGAAAAAAAAGAAAAGAAGAAAAAGGCAAACGACTTGAATAGGCCTATCTCCAAAGATATACAAATGGCCAATAAACACATTTGCCACTAAGATACTCAATATTACTATTTCACTAGGGAAATCTAAATCAAAACCACAAGATACCACTTCACACACATTAGGATGGTTATTGGTTAAAAAAAAAGAAAAAAGGCTGGGTGCGGTGGCCCATGCTTGTAATCCCAGCACTTTGGGAGGCCGAGGCAGGCGGATCACGAGGTCAGGAGATCGAGACCATCCCAGCTAACACGGTGAAACCCTGTCTCTACTAAAAACACAAAAAAATGATCCAGGCATAGTGGTGGGCAACTGTAGTCCCAGCTACTCGGGAGGCTGAGGCAGGAGAATGGCATGAACCTGGGAGGCAGAGGTTGCAGTGAGCCGAGATCACACCACTGCACTCCAGCCTGGGCGACAGAGCGAGATTCTCTCTAAAAAACAAAACAAACAAACAAACAAAAAAACACAGAAAATAAGCATTGGCAAAATTGTGGAGAAACTGAAACCCTTGTGCATTGTTGGTGGGAATGCAAAATATGGAAAACAATGCGGCAGTTACTAAAAATATTGAGATCCAGCAATTCTACTTCTGGATATATGCCTGAAAGAATTGAAAGCAGGGACTTGAACAGGTATTTGTACACTCATGTTCATAGCAGTATGGTCACAATAGCCAAAAGGCAGAAGCAGCCCAGGAGTCCATCAGCTGATAAACAGATAAACAGAATGTGGTCTATACACACAATGGAACACTATTCTGACTTAAAAAGAAAGGAAAGGGCTGGGTGCGGTGGCTCATGCCTGTAATCCCAGCATCTTGGGAGGCTGAGGCAGGTGGATCTCTTGAGCCCAGGAGTTAGAGACCAGCCTGGACAACATGGCGAAACCCCAACTCTACCAAAAAAAAAAAAAAGAAAGAAAAAAAAGAAAAATGAGCTGGGTGTGGTGATACATGGCTGCCATCCCAGCACTTTGGGAGGCTGAGGTGGGCAGATCATTTGAGATCAGGAGTTTGAGACCAGCCTGGCCAACATGGTGAAACCCTGTCTCTATAAAAAATACAGAATTTAGCCAGGCGTGGTTGCAGGCACCTGCAATCCCAGCTACTCTGGAGGCTGAGGCAGGAGAATCACTTGAACCCGGGAGGTGGAGGTTGCAGGGAGCCAAGACTGTGCCACCACACACCAACCTGGGCAACAGAATGAGATCCTGTCTCAAAAAATATATATATTTATTGAAGCGACCTCTAAAGTGTTTTCTAGATGCTTCAGGACACCCAAAATGAGGAAGAGTTTATCTGTCACCTGGAGCTGAGTGTTGAGTCGGGGAAATAAGACAAGCACAGTAGTCCCCCCTTATCTGTGGGAAAGATGTTCCAAGACCCCAGTGGATGACTGAAACTGCAGACGGCACCGAGATCTATGTGCCCTGTGGGTTTTGGATCTGGGAACAGCTACTAAGTGACTACCAGGTCGGTAGCGTCTACAGTGTAGATACGCTGGGAAAGAGAGGATTCACATCCCGAGCAGGGATGGCGAGAGACTTCATCATGCTACTCAGAATGCTATGCCATTTAAAACTTGTGTTTGTTTCTGGAATTTTCCACTGAATATTTTTGTGCCATAGCTGACCACAGGTAACTGAAAGCCCCGGAAAGCAAAACCACAGATAAGGAAGGCCTAGGATACATAACAATAAAGTAAAACAAATAGAATACGTGGTTTAAAGTAATATTTTCCACAATGAATTAGACACACCACAGATGATATGTGAAATGATATTAGGTGATACAGAGTAATGTATACACATATTTTTATTTTATTTTATTTTATTTTATTTTTTGAGACGGAGTTTCACTCTTGTTGCCCAGGCTGGAGTGCAATGGCACGATCTCGGCTCACCGCAACCTCCGCCTCCCAGGTTCAAGCGATTCTCCTGCCTCAGCCTCCCTAGTAGCTGGGATTACAGGCATGTGCCACCACGCCCGGCTAATTTTGTATTTTTAGTAGAGATGGGGTTTCTCCATGTTGGTCAGGCTGGTCTCAAACTCCCGACCTCAAGTGATCCGCCCGCCTCAGCCTCCCAAAGTGCTGGGATTACAGGCGTGAGCCAGTGCGCCCGGCTTTTATTTTATTTTATGAGACACGGTCCCACTCTGTTGCCCATGCTGGGGTCACTGGCGTGATCTTGGCTCACTGCAGCCTTGACCTCCTGGGTTCAGGTGATTCTCCCACTTCCGCCTCCCGAGTAGCTGGAACTACAGGCATGCGCCAGCAGACTTGGCTAATTGGTTTTTTTAATTATTTTTTGTAGAGACAGGTCTTGCCCTTTGCCCAGGCTGGTCTCAAACTCCTGGACTCAGGCGATACTCCCACCTTGGTCTCCCAAAGAACTGCGATTACAGGTGTGAGTTACCACACCCAGCCACATATTTTAATTTCATAGGTATAACTTTATTTTAGGCCAGGTGTGGTGGCTCACGCTTGTAATTCCAGCACTTAGGTAATGCGAGGTGGGAGTATTGCCTGAGCTCAGGAGTTCGAGACCAGCCTGGGCAACATGGTGAAACCCCATCTCTACATCTCTACTAAAAATAGGAAAATCAGCTGGGTGTGGTGGTGGGTGCCTATAATCCCAGCTACTCGGGAGGCAAAGGCATGAGAATTGCTTGAACCTGGGAGGCGGAGGTTGCAGTGAGCCAAGATTGCACCACTGCACTCCAGCCCTGGCAACAGAGTGAGACTTCATCTCAAAAAAAGAAAAAAGAAAAGAAAAATTTCTAGAGGAATAAAAGAAGGAACAGACATTTCCAGACAAAGGGAAGAGCATGGGAGAAGTTAAGACTGGAGGGCGTCTAAGGAACATTTGAGGAGTTCGGAATTTGGAGTCCATATCAACCAACCACGAAGAGTGGGGCTGTTTTGCAGGGGACCTTGAATTCAGTGGCAGAAGGAGACAGAAGCAGGTGCCATTGTAAAGGACTGGGGGAAAGGCTGAAAGAGAGCAAAGGAAAGCCCATTGTAGTCATGTAGGAATTCTGCAGGTTCAGGGCCTTTGTATGCTGTTTTGTCTTTCTAGAGTTTTCCGTGGTGAACTGTCACGGTGATGTTATCAGGGAATGAGGCCCTGCAGATCACTGAAGCCCACTCCCTTAAGCAGCAACACGTTAAAAAAAAAAACAGTTTCTCATTCTCGTCCTCAGATTCCGCCTAAAAGGGAACTGTTAGTACCATCCTCCAAATAGTTCAAGCCATTGCCGTTAGTCCTGCTCCTTCCAGGCCCAACTAGAATCTGCAGTCTGCAGATCGTACATCATGCATGTCTCCACGCACATTTCTACCATTTTGACTGGCCTAAGGTCTGGGAGGAAAGCAACTGCCTCCTGATTGGTCCCCTGCCTCCTGTCTTGCTCCTCCTCCAGCTCATTCTCCAAAACTCAAATCTGATGATGTCACTTACCTTGCGCAACACTCCAATGCCTTCTCGTTGTCTTTAGCAGGGAATTCAAGATGGCAGGCAAGACACTACAGGAACTGGCCTCAACAGCTCCAGCAAGAGTCATAACTGCGATAGTCTGCAAAGGCCACCTTACAGGGAGCCCTGGAGACGCTCTTCCTTCCTCCTAGGGCTAACTGCTCTTTTGTAGGCCTCAGTCTAGACCAGCCTCTTCCAATAGAGCTTTCTACCGTGATGGAAATATTCTGTAATATGCATGCAGCCACTGAGCTCTGGAAATCGGGAATAGGAACTGAGTTTCTATTTCTTTTCTTTCTTTCTTTCTTTTTTTTTTTTTTATGAGACGGAGTCTTGCTCTGTCGCCCAGGCTGGAGTGCAGTGGCGCCATCTCGGCTCACTGCAAGCTCCGCCTCCCGGGTTCACGCCATTCTCCTGCCTCAGCCTCCCAAGTAGCCGTGACTACAGGTGCCCACCACCACGCCCGGCTAATTGTTTGTATTTTTAGTAGAAACGGGGTTTCACCGTGTTAGCCAGGATGGTCTCAATCTCCTGACCTCGTGATCCGTTCGCCTCGGCCTTCCAAAGTGCTGGGATTACAGGTGGGAGCCACCGCACCCGACCTTTTTTTTTTTTTGAGACAGAGTTTGGCTCTTGCTGCCCAGGCTGGAGGGCAATGGCATGATCTTGGGTCACCGCAAGCTCCGCCTCACGGATTCAAGTTATTCTCCTACCTCAGCCTCCCAAGTATCTGGGATTACAGGCATGCATCACCACGCCCGGCTAATTTTGTATGTTTGGTAGAGACAGGGTTTCTCCATGTTGGGCAGGCTGGTCTCAAATTCCCGACCTCAGGTGATCCGTCAGCCTTGGCCTCCCAAAGTGCTGGGATTACAGGCGTGAGCCACCAGGCCTGGCCTAAAATTAAGTAATATTAAAAACTCAGTTCCAGCCTGACGCAGTGGCTCACCCCTGTAATCCTAGCACTTTGGGAGGCCAAAACAGGCAGATCACCTGAGGTCGGGAGTTCGACACCAGCCTGGCCGACATAGTGAAACCCCATCTCTACTAAAAATATAAAAATTAGCCGGGTGTGGTGGCAGGCACCTGTAATCCCAGCTACTCGGGAGGCTGAGGCAGGAGAATCACTTGAAGCCAGGAGGCAGAGGTTGCAGTGAGCCGAGATAGCGCCATTGCACTCCAGCCTGGGCAACAAGAGTGAAACTCCATCTCAAAACAAACAAAAAAACAAACAAAAAATACACACACACACACACACACACACACACACACTATAATTTAATTTTGGTTAACTTAAAATGCACCAGCTTGGGCAACAAAGTGAGACCCCATCTCTATAACAACTAGGAAAATTTAGCTGGGTGTGGTGGCACACACCTGTAGTCCCAGCTACTTGGAAGGCTGAGCTGGGAGGATCACTTGAGCCTGAGAGGCCGAGGCTGCAGTGAGCCGTAATTGCGCCACTACACTCCAACCTGGGTGACACAGAAAGACCTTGTCTCAAAAAACTTTTTTTAATAAAATAAAATAAATAAATAAATAAAATGTAAAAGCCACAGATGGTTTGTGGCTAC
This sequence comes from Homo sapiens, assembly GCF_000001405.40. Classification (NCBI taxonomy): domain Eukaryota; kingdom Metazoa; phylum Chordata; class Mammalia; order Primates; family Hominidae; genus Homo; species Homo sapiens. Next base: position 122,742,183 of record NC_000012.12, read on the forward strand.
CATATCAGAAGTTTGGTAGACCTCACTTCCCCACAGCTCTGAAGCCTTCTGTGATTCTCTTTCTTTAGTCTGGGTCAAGCCCGCTTCTCTGGGCCATTTCGGCCATCCTCACACTTACCATGCAGCATTGTAATGATTTACATGTGTTTCTCCAGTACGTAGCCCAATGCCTGGCACCAAAGGGCTACTCGATAAGTATGTGTCAGATAAATAAATGAACCACCCAAGAAATGATTACAGACTCTTTTTTTGTTTTGTTTCATTTTTTTTGTTTTGTTTTGAGACAGACTCTCACTCTGTCACCCAGGCTGGAGTGCAGTGGTGCGGTCTCTGCTCACTGCAACCTCCACTTCCCGGGTTCAAGCAGTTCTCCTGGCTCAGCCTCCCGAGTAGCTGGGACTACAGGCACCCGCCACCATGCCTGGCTAATTGTTGTATTTTTAGTAGAGACGGGGTTTCACCATGTTGGCCAGGCTTGTCTCCAATTCCTGACCTCACGATCCACCTGCCTCGGCCTCCCAAAGTGCTGGGATTACAGGCGTGAGTCACAGTGCCCAGCTGTGATTCCAGACTTCTGGTAGCTTCCTTCTTCTCCTGGCTGTGAGGTGACACTACTGCACAGAAAGGGTGAATTGAAAGAACTTGGCGACACACCTGCCGGGCTGATCTGGCATGAGCTTGGGGACCTTAGGCTCTGTTGTGCCCCCTACTCTGATGCTTTATAAAGAAAGCAGTTTGGTTTATACGTGACCAGGGCAGGAAGTGAATATTCCTGCCTGGGTTCACCCAACAGGTGGTTGGGGGAAAAACTGTCTATGTGGTATAAATTCGAGGGCTCTGTTTCCCCAAAACTCCTTCCCCAGCCAGGACCCTGATTTTCTCATTGTATTAGCTTCCTGTTTCTCAGGGTGCTGGAGGCCAGAAGTCTGTAATCACAGTGTCAGCAGGACTGTGCATTCTCTAGGGGGACTAGTGAAGACTTTGTCCTTTCCCTTCCAGCCTCTGATTGGCTGTCAGCATTCCTCGGCTTGCGACCACATCCCTCCAGTATCTGCCTCTGTGTTCACATGGACTTCTCTCCCATGTGTCTCTCCTAAGGACATTTGTCATTGGATTTAGGGCACAGTAATCATGAATCATCTCATCGATCTAGGGATCTTTAACTTAATTAGATCTGCAAAGACCCTTTCTCCAAATACGGTCATATTCATAGTTTCTGGGGGACAGGATATGAACACAGATTTTCAAGGGAGGCCACTATTTAACCCACTACAGTGATTTTTTTTTTTTTTTTTAGACAGAGTCTCACTCTGTCTCCAAGGTGCTGGAGTGCAGTGGTACGATCACGGCTCACTGCAGCCTCTAACTCCTGGGCTCAAGCAATCCTCCCGCCTCAGCCTCCCGAATAGCTGGGACTACAGGTGCGTGACACCACACCTGGCTAGTTTTTGTAGATATGGGAGCTGGCTATGTTGCCAGGGCTAGTCTTGAACTCCTGGGCTTGAACTCCTGGGCTCAAGTGATCCTCCCACCTCAGCATCACAAAATGCTGATTACAGGCGTGAGCCACTGTGCCTGGCCTACAATTACTTTTATTTATTTATTTACTTATTTTTGAGACAGTCTCGTTCTGCTGCCCAGGCTGGAGTGCAGTGGTGCAATCTCGGCTCACTGCAGCCTCCACCTCCCGGGTTCAAGCAATTCTCCTGCCTCAGCCTCCTGAGTACTAGGAGTACAGGCATGTGCCAGCACACCTGGCTAATTTTTTTTTTTTTTTTTTTTTAGTAGAGACAGGGTTTCACTGTGTTAGCCAGGCAGGTCTCAAACCCCTGACCTCAAGTGATCCACCTGCCTTGGCCTCCCACACTGCTGGGATTACAGATGTGATCCACTGCGCCCGGCCTACAATGACTTTTCAACGTCAGTTTTTGAGTTCTAGAGTTCCTCTCTACCCAGCAATTTCAACATGCCTTCTCTGGAAGTGAGGAGGAATTACTGACCAAATTTAATGTTGAAGTGATTCATTGTATTTGTTTGTTTGTTTGATTCTGCCTGAAGGGGCTACAGCCCAGGAGAAGGCTGGGACCGAAAGGTTGAGGGGAGAGATGAGGATTGCCTCACACAGTGACCCAGGTGTCACGCGGACCAGACACGGGCTCTGATGGGGAAGTTCTTGCTATTTCAAAATGACTTTAAAATTGCAGTCTGGGCATAGTGGCTCATGCCTGTAACCCCTGCCCTCTGGGAGGCCAAGGTGGGTGAATGACTTTAGGTCAGGAGTTGGAGACCAGCCTGACCAACATGGTGAAACCCTTTCTCTCCTAAAAACACAAAAATCAGCTAGATATGGTGGTGCATGCCTGTAGGCCCAGCTACGTGGGAGGCTGAGGTGAGAGGATTGCTTGAATCGGGGAGGCAGAGGTTGCAGTGAGCCAAGATCACGCCATTGCACTCCAGCCTTGGTGACGGAGGGAGACCTTGTCTCAAAAAAAAAAAAAAAAAAGAGAGAAGAAAATTGCAAATAATAGTTTCTTCTATATATAAAATGCAAGAAAAATTAAAAAGGGGGAGCTATAGATTCAAAGAGATTGAAGAGATAGATCAACCAATTGTCCATACTGTGACTCAGTTAACTCCAAATGTTAAAAAGTTGGAGACATCGGCCAGGTGTGGTGGCTCACGCCTGTAATCCCAGCACTTTGGGAGGCCAAGATGGGTGGATCACGAGGTCAAGAGATCCAGACCATCCTGGCCAACATGGTAGAATCCCATCTCTACTAAAAATACAAAAATTAGCTGGATGTGGTGGTACGCACCTGTAGTCCCAGCTACTCAAGAGACTGAGGCAGGAGAATCACTTGAATCTGGGAGGCAGAGGCTACAGTGAGCTGAAATTGTGCCACTGCACTCCAGCCTGGGTGACAGAGCGAGACTCCGTCTCAAAGAAAAAAAAAAAAGTTGGACACATTCGTGGAAATGTGAACACTGACTGGCTAATTGTATACATTAAGGAATTACTGTTACTTATGTTAGGTGTGATACTGATATTTTGGTTATGTTTAAAGAAAGAGTCCTTATCTTTTACAAATAAATACTGAATATATGTAGATGAAATTATATAACATTTCAAACTTACTTCAAAGTAGTCTGGCAGGGAAGGGGAGTAGAAATAGAAAAAGAGAGGTTACAAGTTTTTGATTGTTGTAGTTGGATGGAGGGAACATGGGCATTCGTTGTCCTGTTCTCTCCGCTTGTATATATTTCTCATAATAAAAAGTTAAGGCCGGGCACGGTGGCTCACGCCTGTAATCTCAGCACTTCAGGAGACCAAGGCGGGTGGATCAGCTGCAATCAGGAGTTCAAAACCAGCCTGACCAACATGGTGAAACACCATCTCTATTAAAATTACAAAAAATTAGCCAGGCGTGATGGCGCACGCCTGTAATCCCAGTTACTTGGGAGGCTAAGGAAGGAGAATTGCTTGAATCCAGGAGGTGGAGGTTGCAGTGAGCCAAGATCGTGCCACTGCAATCCAGCCTGGGAGATGGAGCAAGACTCCGTCTCAAAAAAAAAAAAAAAAAAAAGTTAAGTAGGCCAGGCACAGTGGCTCATGCCTGTAATCCCAGCACTTTGGGAGGCCGAGGCAGGTGGATCACCTGAGGTCAGAAGTTCAAGACCAGCCTGGCCAACATGGTGAAACCCCATCTCTACACAAATACAAAAATTAGCCAGGCATGATGGCAGGTTCCTTTAATCCCAGCTACTTGGGAGGCTGAGGTAGGAGAATGGCTTGAACCCGGGAGGTGGAGGTTCCAGTGAGACAAGATTGTGCCACTGCTCTCTAGCCTGGGAGACACAGCGAGACCCCATCTCAAAAAAAGTTAAATAAAGTCTCGGTGTGGTGGCACATGCCTGTAGTGCCAGCTACTCAGGAGGCTGGAGTAGGAGGATCTTTTGAGCCAAGCAATTCAGGTCCAATCTAGACAACATATTGAGACTCTATCTCTAAAAATAACGTTTTTTTTGGTGGGGCCTGGTGGCTTGCACCTGTAATCCCAGCAGGCTGAGGTGGGAGGATTGCTAAAGCCCAAAAATTTGAGACCGGCCTGGGCATTAGAGTAAGACCTTGCCTCTAAAAGAAAAAAAATTATTAATTTCAATAAAAATAAAAATAAAATTTTAAAAAGAATGCCTGTAATAGTATTTTTTTTTTTTTTGAGATGGAGTTTCACTCTTGTTGCCCAGGCTGAAGTGCAGTGGTGCGATCTCAGCTCACTGCATCCTCCTCCTCCTGGGTTCAAGTGATTCTTAGGTCTCAGCCTCCCAGATATCCAGAATTGCAGGCGTCCACCACCACCACGCTGGGCTAATTTTTTGTATTTTTAGTAGAGATGGGGTTTCATAATGTTAACGGCTGGTCTTGAACTCCTGACCTCAGGTGATCCACCCACCTCAACCTCCCAAAGTGCTGGGATTACAGGCATGAGCCACCACGGGCCCAGCCACTAGAATAGTATTTTTTAAGTGAAAGAAAATTGAGAGTAACTGAAATGTTTACCAGTGGGGAATGAGATAAATAAATTATAGTGACTTCATTCAAAAAAAAATTTACACTTGTTAAATAAAATACATACTTGTTAGCCAGGCTCAGTGGCTCATGCCTGTAATCCCAGCACTTTGGGATACCAAGGCAGGTGGATCACCTGAGGTCAGGAGTTCGAGACCAGCCTGGCCAACATGGCGAAACCCTGTCTCTACTAAAAATACAAAAAATAGCCGGGCGTGGCGGCAAGCACCTGTAATTCCACCTACTTTGGAGGCTGAGGCTGGAGAATTGCTTGAACCCAGGAGGCAGAGGTTGCAGTGAGCCGATATCGTGCCACTGCACTCCAGCCTGGGCGATGAGAGCGAAACTCCGTCTCAAAAAAAAAGAAGCTATACTTATTAAAAAGAATAATAGCATTCACTTGTATAACATTTGCCTTTGGAAAGGCCCTGTTCTAAGCATTTCTGCTATGAGATGCAGAATTAAATGTACTAACCCAGAAAGATGTCCAAGATATGTCCTTAAGTGAATAAAAACGAACTACCACCTTGCAGCTTGTGTGGTATAATTCGATTTTTATAAATTAAAATATGATGTTTTTTATTTCCTTGTACGTTGTTGGTGGGAGAATAAAAAGTTCATTTGCTGTGGGAAACAGTCTGGCAGTTCCTCAAAAAGTTCAACATAGAATTGCCACACGACTCAGCAATTCCACTCCTAGGTATACACCCAAGAGAACTGAAAACAGAGACTCAAATACTCGTACATGGATATTCATAACAGCAGTCTTCCTATAGCCAAAAGGTGATGTGTTGGTTTAGTTTATGTGTTAACTTGGCTGGGCCATGGTGCCCAGATATTTGATTGAATACTATTCTAGATGAGGGTGTGTTTTAGATGAGATTAACATTTAAATGTGTGGCCTTTGAGTAAAGTAGGTTGCACTCCACAGTGTGGGTGTGCCTCACCTGATCAGTTGAAGGCCTTAGAAGAACAAAGACTGAGCTCGTCTGAGCAAGAAAGAATTCTGCCAGCAACATCAGTTCTTCCCAGGGCGTCCAGCCTGCTGGCCTACCCTTCAGATTTGGGACTTGCCATCCTCCATGATTGTGTGAATCAGTTCCTCAAAATAAATGTCTTTATAGAAACAGAAAATTCTATGGTCCTGTTTCTCTGGAGGATCTTGACTAGGACAAGTAGAAACAAGACAAATGGTCACCTGTGAATGAATGGATGAACACATTTGTGGTATATAAATACAATGGAAAATATTATTCAGCCATTAAAATGCTGAAGGGATGAAGTGCTTTTAATGGTTTAATGAATCCTTTTATAAAAAGGATGCGTCATGCTACAAAGTGTATCAGTCTCAAAATCATTATTCTGGTTGGGCACGTTGGCCCACACCTGTAATCCCAGCACTTTGAGAGGCTGAGGCGGGTGGATCACCTGAGGCCAGGAGTTTGAGACCAGCCTGCCCAACGTGGTGAAACCCTGTCTCTACTAAAAATACAAAAAATTAGCCGGTTGTGGTGGCGGGCACCTGTAATTCTAACTACTTGGGAGACTGAGGCAGGAGAGTCACTTGAACCTGGGAGGCAGAGGTTGCAGTGAGCTGAGATCACGCCATTGTAATCCAGCCTGGACAACATGAGCGAAACTGTGTCTCAAAAAAAAAAATTATTATTGTAAGTAAAAGAAGCCAGACACAAAAGGTCACATACAGTATGATTTCATTTATATAAAATACCCAGAATAGATAGATCATAAAGACAGGACTCAGGTTAGCGTTTGCCAGGGGAGAATGAGGAATGACTGCTTAATGATTTTGGGGTTTGCTTTTGGGGTGATGGAAATGTTTTGGAAGTAGATAGAGGTGGTGTTTGCACACCAGATGGAGATACTAAATGTCATTGAATTGCTCACTTTAAATGGTTAATTTTGTGTTATTGTGCTATTGTGTTATGTGAATTGCAACTCAATTTTAAAAATTATATATACATTTTAAAATCTGGAATACATTTTAAAATTTGTACTCTGGAGTTAAGCTGCCTGGTTTAAAGTTAATTCTCTCGCTGAGTAGCTGTGAGATCTTAGGCAAGCTATTTCACCTCTTTGTTTCCTCCTGTGTAAAACAGGAACAATATTACATCACTCTAATATGAAGGAAAAATGAGTTAATCTGTGTAAAGTGCTTATAACAGTGTATAACACAGAGGAGGTGCTATGTAAGTTGTAGCTACTATTATTATTATTTTTTTATTTTTATTTTTATTTTTTGAGACGGAGTCTTGCTCTGTCGCCCAGGCTGGAGTGCAGTGGCGTGATCTCGGCTCACTGCAAGCTCCGCCTCCCTGGTTCATGCCGTTCTCCTGCCTCAGCCTCCCGAGTAGCTGGGACTACAGGCGCCCGCCACTACGCCCGGCTCATTTTTTGTATTTTTATTAGAGACGGGGTTTCACCGTGTTAGCCAGGATGGTCTGGATCTCCCGACCTTGTGATCCGCCTGCCTCGGCCTCCCATGGTGCTGGGATTACAGGCTTCAGCCACCGCGCCCGCCCTATTACTATTATTATTATAATTATATGACCAAACTGTCACAGTACTCTGGGGAGAGAGAAACCTTCATTTTTTACTGTATATGCTTCTGTATGGTTTGAATATTTTGCAAGAAGCATGTAATATTTTTACAATAAAAGACTAAAATGCATTGTAGTAAGACTCTCAGAGTGTCTGGGAGCACAGAATTAGAGTCAAGCTGATCCTCTGCCAGTGCTTTTAGTCCACTGAGAATCGACCTGTGGCGGGTCATCCCAGCTTCAACCAGTGAGATGCGTTTATGCTGATACTTCTGATACTCTGGGTCCCTCATATGAGGGGGTCCTTGGTTTGACTAAGCAAAGACAGGTTTTGCTGCCTGACTTAACAAAGTGCTTATCTCATCCCGATAAAATTGTATCATCTTTTAAAATTAGTCCTCCTCTACATTGAATGTTTATGGGCCTCTTGTGACAGAACTGGTTGTGTCCCTTGTCAGTCCTGTGCTGCAAGAGCAAATGACCTTATTAAACGTCTACTTTTTGGAGAAGCAGAACAGGTTGCTTTTTATTAACTGCTGTGGTGCCGCTCCTCCCTCTTCATCTCAGTCCCCTAATCCTTCTCCCTTTGAGCAGGGCTTCTGGGATCAAGAGTGCAGATGATGGCCTATTTATGTGTTGTTTTTGTCTTCCCAGCATCCAGGCACTCTACTTGGGCATTAGCATCCTGATTTTCCTTGGGCAACAGATTCCGCCCTCTCCATCCATCTCCGAGGTTTGGAGGATTGGGGATTTGGTTCCACCCCTTGCCTCTAAAAATAGGCATGTGACCAGGTCTGGCCAATCAGATCATTCCATCCCTGTGGCCACTGTGACTGGCCCAGGGATGAGCACATGACTCAAAATGCTAATGAGACATTCACCTGAGTTGTTCCCTGGAACTGTTGGAAAAGATAAATATCTCTTTCTTCTGGGATGGTTAAACTAATAGAAAATAACGTAAGTAAGCAGTAGGAAGAAAACATAGGGATAGAGCCAACAGATGAAAAGAGATAGCAACCTTAAAAAAAAAAAACTTGTAAGCCGGGCGCGGTGGCTCACAACTGTAATCCCAGCACTTTGGGAGGCCAAGGCGGCCGGATCACGAGGTCAGGAGATCGAGACCATCCTGGCTAACACGGTGAAACCCCGTCTCTAATAAAAATACAAAAAATTAGCCCGGCGTGGTGGCAGGCGCCTGTAGTCCCAGCTACTCGGGAGGCTGAGGCAGGAGAATGGCGTGAACCCGGGAGGCGGAGCTTGCAGTGAGCCGAGATCGTGCCACTGCACTCCAGCCTGGGCAACAGAGCGAGACTCTGTCTCAAAAAAAAAAAAAAAAAAAAAAAAAAACTTGTAAATTTGACATAATTTCAAATGTACAGAAAATCTACAAGAATAGTATGAAGAAACTCCCATGTGTTTACCCAAAATCACCAAACATACACACTTCTCACATTTGTTTTAGAATTCTCTGAGAGCAAGAGTGAGAGAAAGGTTCTAGAATACGTTGTTTTATCTGCAGGATCCAACTATTCTTGAAACCAAGATCTATTCCTGAAGGGGTGGGTTGCCCCTCCACGCCTGTGGGCATTTCTCGTCAGGTGGAACGAGAGGCTTGGAAAAGAAAGAGACACAGAGACAAATTGTAGAGAAAGAAAAATGGGCCCAGGGGACCGGCGTTCAGCATACGGAGGACCCGTGCCCGCACCGGCCTCTAAGTTCCCTTAGTATTTATTGATCATTAGCAGGCATTTCCCGGACAGGGGGATGTGCCAGGATAATAGGGTATAATAGTAGAGAGAAGGTCAGCAGGAAAACATGTGAACAAATGTCTCTGCATCATAAACATGGTAAAGAAAAAAGTGCTGTGCTTTTGATGTGCATATACATAAACATCTCAATGCCTTAAAGAGCAGTATTGCTGCCAGTATGTCCCACCTCCAGCCCTAAGGCGGTTTTCCCCTATCTCAGTAGATGGAATATACAATCGGGCTTTACACCGAGACATTCCATTGCCCAGGGACGAGCAGGAGACAGATGCCTTCCTCTTATCTCAACTGCACAGAGGTGTTCCTTCCTCTTTTACTAATCCTCCTGAGCACAGACCCTTTACAGGTGTCGGGCTGTGGAATGGTCAGGTCTTTCCCTTCCCACGAGGCCATATTTCAGACTATCACATGAGGAGAAACCTTGGACAATACCTGGCTTTCCTAGGAAGAGGTCCCTGCGGCCTTCTGCAGTGTATTGTGTCTCTGGGTACTTGAGATTAGGGAGTGGTGATGATTCTTAAGGCGCATGCTGCCTTCAAGCATTTGTTTAACAAAGCACATCCTGCACAGCCCTTAATCCATTTAACCCTCAGTTGACACAGCACAGGTCTCAGGAAGCACAGGGTTGGTGGTAGGGTTACAGATTAACAGCATCTCAAGGCAGAAGAATTTTTCTTAGCACAGAACAAAATGGAGTCTCTTATGTCTACTTCTTTCTACACAGACACAGTAACAATCTGATCTTTCTTTTCCCCATATATTCCCATACTCTTACATTTTTCTTTTTTTCATTAAAAAAAATTGTAGGCCGGGCGCGGTGGCTCACGCCTGTAATCCCAGCACTTTGGGAGGCGGAGGCGGGAGGATCCCTTGAGTCCGGGAGTTCGAGACCAGCCTGGACAGCATAGGGAGATTCCCCCACCTCTATAAACAAATTAAAAATTAGCTGGGTGTGGTAACGCGCGCCTGTATTCCCAACTACTTGGGAGGTCGAGGCTGCAGTGAACCGTGTTTGTGCAACTGCACTCCATCCAGCCTAGGTGACAGAGTGAGACCCTGTCAAAACATAAAGAAAAGGATGAAGGAAGGGAGGGAGGAAGGAAGGAAGGGAGGGAGGAAGGAAGGAAAGAAGGAAGGAAGGGAGGGAGGGAGGGAAGGGGAAGAAAGAGACAGAAAGAAGAGAAAGAAGAAAGAAAAGAAAGAACAGAAAAGAAAGAAAAAAGAATTCCTTTAATTTAGTGTATGGTGTTAAAACGCAACCAAACGCTCCATCCGGCGAAGAGAGAGAGAAAAGAAGAGAGGAAGGAAAGAAGGAAGGGAGGGAGGGAGGGAGGGAGAACACCTTCCTTTAATTCAGTGCATGGTGTTAAAATGCGACCAAACGCTCTATCCGGCTGCAATCTCCCCGCACGGGAGTGATTTATGCAGTAGCTGGAGGTTAGTCAGGACTCCAGGATGCACCGCAGACACCGAGGCGATGATCCTCGGACTCATTAATAGGGAGTCATTTGTGACTCAGGTGCGCTCTCTGCGTCTGCAAGTCACGTTCCCTTCGGCACGCCCATCTCGAGGATTCATCCTCTCCAACGGGTGACGAGCACCGCCTGCCGGCGGCCCGCCTCTCGGCCTCTTGGCCACGCCCCCCACCGGAGGGCAAGGCGCACGCTCCGCAATTTTTCTCCGCCCCCGTCTTCCGGCTTCTCGCGACATCCGCCCAGCGGCGGCCGGAATCTCGCGATAAAGGCTCATTGTCTCGCGGGAGCGCTGCTGGCGGTCGGGCGCTCGGGCGGCCCTGGCCGGGGAGACGAGTTGCATGTGTTGGTTCAGCTGGCGATAGCGGCGGGAGCGGAGCCGGCGGGGCCTGTGCGACCGCCTGGGTAACGACCCCAAGTGCTTCTCCCGCTCCCGAGAAGCTCGTAGAGAGTGTGGGGGAAGCTGAGATGCTGCCTGGCGGAAGGGGGCCGGGCCGGGCCTCTCCACACCCCCGCCCACAAGGGCCCCTTCTGGCGTCCCCGGGGTTGCTCCTTCGCCTCAGACCTGGTCGCCCTTGTCCCCTCAGTGCTCTTACATTCTGCGCTCGTTTTCTCTCCTCATCCTTCTTACGCTCTGGTTACCCCGCCCCCTCCCATGCCCTTTTTAGACTCCCCAGGCCCCTCTCATGGCGTTTAGTTGCCCCCACACCCTGCACCCCGGGCTTCTCCGATGACCCACCCCTTGTTCCTAGGCACTTCCAGCCTCTCTCCATTCGGCGCCTTTGTAGCCCTTCTCTCACTGCAGTTTGCATCCCTCCCAGATCACCCTCAGACCTTTTTGCTCCGTGTCTGCCGTGGGTACTCACCCCATCTTTCCTTCCCCATTGCTTCCTGTTTTTCTCTAGTGAGTCCCTCTGCCCCATCCTTCATGGTCCATTTGCTGCTTGCTTCCCTGTAGACCTGTGGAGCAAGGAGATGTTGTGCCTGGGATTGCTCATATTTTATGAATCGAATGCAGCTTGTATCCCCCACTCAACAACAGACTTGAAACAGCTTTGGGGTGGGGAGGTTTCTGTTGAGAGGAACACTGCTCTTCTGGGGTCTTGATTCTAAAATAGTGAGGGTGTGTTATTTTCCTTGCTTACAGGTTTGTGAAATGGCTGCTGACATTTCTGAATCCAGCGGGGCTGACTGCAAAGGAGACCCAAGGAACAGTGCCAAGTTAGATGCCGATTACCCACTTCGAGTCCTTTATTGTGGAGGCAAGTGTTGGTAGCCACAGAATGACTTTTACTCACTATACTTTTATGCATTGTAATAACAGTTTGACATTTGGTAAGCTTTCTTCCCCATCCTTTTCATTTGGTGAGTTTGTACTGGGGGAGAGGAGTCCTGGGGAGGAGGAGGCATGAATTAACAGAGTTTCCCCACCTGGGTGATTTGTGTCTGGCTACTCTGCCTGAAGAAGCTTACAGTCCATTTGTAACAGGATGTGCAACTAGGTTATTTCAGCCTGAAGGTCCTCAAGGTGTATGCTAGTCTAGCTGTCAAAGGAGGGCTTCTTGGAAGATTATGAGTTAAGGATGGCAAGGACTGGATGAGAAGGTGGGGAACGGCGTCCCAGACAAAGCGCACGACTATGTAAGAAAAAGCTTGATGGCTGTCTGTGAAGAAGTGAGCAGCTTTGAGTTTGTCTGGTGTATCGTATAGGGAGGGTGGCCCGTTAAGGAGTGGGAGAAGGTGAGGTTGGAGTGTTGGGTGGTAGGACAGTGAGGAAAGTCTTCTTGGTTTGAATCATGATATATGTATTAGGTTTAATCAAGATCTTTTTCACTTTCGAGTGTTTTTCTTCATTTTCAATATAGAAATATTTGTGAATTGTAAATGCTGTATGTATTCGCATCTTGGAAACTTTCAGAAAAATCTGAAGATACAGGACAGTAAAAGGGCAAGTAAATATTTTTTCAGTAAATATTTCTCAGAACTTACTGTGTGCCTAGTGATGTTTTAGGTGCTGGGGCCTGAGTAGTGAATAAGTCAGAAGATCCTTGTTCACGTGGACCTTACATTCTGTGACTGCAGTAGAGACCACATCTGACATTTAAGTACCGTAGAAGGAGAAATGATATCTTTTTGCCATTAAAAGTAATGGCAAAAACTGCAGTTACTTTTGCACCAACCTAATCATTTTTTGAGCAGGAAAATAAAGTGACAAGAGATTAATATGCTGCATTATTTGGAGGAAATAGAACCCACAAATTTGAAGGCCACTTTCAGAAATCTAGGTTTGAGGTAAATAAGTGCCTTGCTGAGAGTGTAAGCAGTATAAAAGTGAATAAAGAGGGTTAATCAAAGAAAAGATACAATGTTTAATGGTGAAAAAGGAAAAAGATATTTCACAATTGAGAGAGTTGAAAAACCAGAACACCACTAAAAATGATGACTTTGAGAAAGATTAGATTTGGAGATAGATAATAGGCTGACTTGCAATACAGTGAATTTGAGTTTCTCCAAATGGAAGAATCCAAGTATGCTGCATTTGGCAGCAGAGAGAGACAGTATATGAGCTTTTCTAAGGGAGAAAGAGAGAAAAGCCAGAAAGATTCTTGGGGTGTACCTGGAACGAGGTGAACTGGGTAGATTTCACCACATAGAGAATTGCTTAGTTGGTGAGAAGTTTGGAAGCTTAGTGAAAATGTCAGTCTCTAGAAATCTTGTTTTATTTTTCTGTAATTATGAATTAAAACTAAGGGGCCGGGCGCAGTGGCTCACACTTGTAATCCCAGCACTTTGGGAGGCTGAGGCAGGCAGATCATGAGGTCAGGAGTTCAAGACCAGCCTGGCCAACATAGTGAAACCCCGTCTCTACTAAAAATACAAAAACTTAGCCAGGCCTGGTGGCAGGCACCTGTAATCCCAGCTACTTGGGAGGCTGAGGCAGGAGAATCACTTGAACCCGGGAGGCAGAGGTTGCAGTGAGCCGAGATCACGCCATTGCACTCCCACCCGGGCAACAGTGCGAGACCCCATCTCAAAAATAAAAAACAAAACTAAGGATGTGAGAAAAACTGATACATTTATTTTAACAAGATGCTCAGAATATAGATTCCTATTATATTTTTATATAATGATTACCTGTGAAACAACTCTTTAAATTTGGAAACCTATGTGAGTAAAGGATAAGATCTATTCCCTGTGACCTCAGAGGGTCAGTGAACTAGGACTAAAGTGGAAACTACTGAAAGGTGCCTTTCTACCTTGTCAACACTCTCCAGAACAGTACAGGCTTCCACTTAATGTAAAAACATTCTTATGCTTAATTGAAGAAACTAGTAGTGGAGATGGGATTAGACTGTACCTTTTAATTTCTAACATTACCATTTTGTAAAAGTAGTGGATTTTGTTAGCCAGCTTGGTAAGAAGGTATGATGACATTGTTAATAGAGTCCACATCATAATCAACAATTTACAAAGACTATAAACAATTTTTACCTAGTATCTCTGATGTATAAGGTCCTCGGCTAAGTTCTGTGGAGGCATATAAATTGGCAGAGGCCCTGTCTGTCTACATATAACTTAACAGGGAAGATGATGAATGCTGAAAGAAAGAGACAAGAAATAGGCCAGGCGCGGTGGCTCACACCTGTAATCCAAGCACTTTGGGAGGCCAAGGTGGGTGGATCAGCTGAGGTCAGGAGTTCAAGACCAGCCTGGCCAACATGGTGAAACCCTGTCTCTACTAAAAATACAAAAATTAGCTGGGCATAGTGGCAGGCGCCTGTAATCCCAGCTACTCGGGAGGCTGAGGCAGGAGAATCGCTTAAACCTGGGAGGCGGAGATTGCAGTGAGCCAAGATCGTGCCACTGCACTCAGCCTTTGAGAGCAAAACTCCATCCCAGAAAAAAAAGAAGAAAGAGACAAGAAATAAAGATTAAGGACTAATAGCTGCAGTGTCAGTACAGGAGGGGAGAGATTTGTAGGAAATTAGGGGAAGACTTCATAGAGGCAACCACAGCCAAATGGGGATTTGAAGGAAAGGTTGCATTCAGGCAGGCACAGAAGGGCTGAAGGTTGGACTTGCCAGGCAAAGGAGTGGAGGTAGGAAAGTATTTAATAGTGGGTAGTGTGGAGGGAGTTTCGAGTGTTACAGTTTGGTTGTATTGTGGAATTCATGAAGAGGGGCAGCCGGAAATTATGGCAACGTGGTTTGGGGCCAAGTTCTGGGGCACCTGATTTGTAGATAATTGTAAGTCATTGAAAGTTTTGGAGCAGTGAAGTTACATGAAGATGAATCTGGCAGCAAGATAACAATTGAGGGAGGCAGGCTTATTGGCCAGGCTATAATAAGACTTTAGACAAAATTAATGAGCATTTAAATGAGTGGCATAAGTGAGGAAGAGAGGTTGAAAAATAAATTATGGTAGGATGAACAGTATAAAGCAGTTAATCAGATTTGAGGACAAGGGAGATGGGAGAAATAAACTGGATGTAGTTTTGACAGACATTTAGTATTGCTGGAGTGCTTAGAGAAGAGGGAAAACCCTCCAATAGAATACCCAACTGATTAAAGAGAAAAATAGAAGCGATAGTGACATAGGCATTTTTCTTATCATTCCTTCCCCCTCCCTCCCTTTCCCCTTTTGCAAAAAGAAGGATGCAAATTAGAGAATTTGCTCTCAGCTAAAGTCTGGGGTTTCAGAGAGCAGCTCAAATTCATTTAGGAAACACGTTTTAAGCATCTGCTCTGTGGCAAGCATTGTGCTCCATATACAGAAATAAGACATAATTATCTCCTGGAAACTGAGCTTAACTGGGAAGACAAACATTTTAACAGGTGAGTTATAATGTACTAATTGTATACTAGAGGGGTGAGCAGACTGCAGTGAGAATAAAGAACCAACCAGTTCTACTTGGGAGAACTGAAAAAAGGGAAAGTTAAAGTATTGAGTGGATTTTATGTTTGTATATTTAATCTTCAAAATTGAAATATTACAGTTTTATTGATGATAAGCTTCTCAATTGTATAAGTGGTGGGGCCAGGATTAAAATCCAAGACAAGCCATTATAACATCAGCTTCAAGGAAACTTAGCAGAGTCTTGAAGGATGAATAGGTGTTTGCTGAAAAGAATGGCATGGATAGAAGTTCATTGTGGTTGGACCATGGGCTGGTAGGAGTTGAGTCTGGAGAAGTACGATAAGATGTTTGAAAAGTTCTTAATCTGGGAAGTGATGTGATTGGTTATATCTTTTTGGATAATAACTGTTTGGAAGGAAGGAGGAAGTGCCTGAAATGGGTTGAAACTGGCCACAGAAATCAAGTTTAGGAGACTTTATTTTTATTTTAATCTTTTCCACCCTCCTCCCCAAATTTAGAAGACTTTAAAGTATGAGATGATTGAGGCTTAGTGACACTGTGTGCAAAGTTAGTGATTTTGGTGACTGTTGACAGCGAAATTTGTAATTGAAAATATTGACTTTCAGGAAGCTGATTGTGGCTGTTCATTCTCTGTTATAGAAAGGCAGTTTTTGTTTGTTTGTTTTTCAGAAGGAGTCTCACTCTGTTGCCCAGACTGGAGTGTAATGGCGTGATCTCGGCTCACTGCAACCTCCGCCTCCAGGGTTCAAGTGATTCTCCTGGTTCAGCCTCCCGAGTAGCGGAGATTACAGGCGCCTGCCACCGTGCCTGGCTGATTTTTGTATTTTTAGTAGAGATGAGGTTTCACCATCTTGGCCAGGCTGGTCTTGAACTCCTGACCTTGTGATCCACCCGCCTCGGCCTCCCAAAGTGTTGGGATTACAGGCGTGAGCCACCAGACCCGGCCATTCTGATGTGTTCTTAAGACTAGATTTAGTTTATGATCTTGTGCCAAGACCACCACAGAAGTGCTGTTAATTTCAGTGCATTTTATCAAGAGGTACCTGGCTGTGGATTAGTCCCATTCCATGTTTCCATGTGGTGGTAACTTTGCTCATTTGGCCAGGCACAGTGGCTCACACCTTTAATTCCAACACTTTGGGAGGCCGAGGCAGGCAGATCATCTGAGCTCAGGAGTTTGAGACCAGCCTGGGCAACATAGTGAGACCCTGCCTCTACAAAAAATTAAATAAATTAGCCAGGTGTGGTGGCAAGTGCCTGTAGTTCCAGCTACTCGGAGGCTGTAGTGGAAGGAACACTTAAGCCCAGGAGTTCAAGGCTGCATGAGTTAAGATCACATCACTGCACTATAGCCTGGGTGACAAAGTGAGACTGTCTCTTTAACAAAAAAAAAGAAGCTGGAGTCTAGAGGCTTAATTTTTTATTTATTTATTTTTTTTTTGAGTTGGAGTCTTGCCCTGTTGCCCAGGCTGGAGTGCAGTGGCAGTCTCAGCTCACTGCAGCCTCTGCGTCCCAGGATCAAGCGATTCTCCTGCCTCAGCCTTCTGAGTAGCTGGGACTACAGGTGTGCGCCACCACACCCGGCTAATTTTTGTATTTTTAGTAGAGATGGGGTTTCACCATGTTGGCCAGGCTGGTCTTGAACTCCTGACCTCAGGTGATCCACCACCTCGGCCTCCCAAAGTGCTGGGATTGTAGACGTGAGCCACCACACCCGGCCTAGAGGCTTAATTAGATTCAAGTTAAACAGATTTTGGCAAGAAAGTTTCGTGGATGATGTTTCATTCATCATGTTGCATTGCATCAAGAGCTCATAATGTCAGATGTTTCACTATTAGTGATGCTAAGTTTGAAGGTGACGGCTAAATGTTTGCATTGAAAAGGTACAGTTTTCCCTTTCCAAATAAGTAAGTGATCTGTAAAGAGAAATTGACTTTTTTAAAGCAAATAATGGTGAACTTAAAGGAGCTCCCCCAATTTTTTTATTGCATTAGAATTTTGCTGAACCGGGCCAGGCACAGTGGCTCACACCTGTAATCACAGCACTTTGGGAGGCTGAGGCCAAGGCAGGCAGATCACTTGAGGCCAGGAGTTCAAGACCAGCCTGGCCAACATGGCAAAACCCTGTCTCTACTAAAAATACAAAAATTAGCTGGGTGTGGTGGTGCACACCTGTAATCCCAGCTACTCGGGAGGCTGAGCTACGAGAATCACTTGGACCCAGGAGGTAGAGGTTGCAGCCAGCTGAGATGGTGCCATTGCACTCCAGCCTGGGCAACAGAGCAAAACCCCAATTTTTTTTTTTTTCTGAACTAAATATTATTTGAAATAGTATACAAAATTTGTAGCTTTAGTATTTGCTGTGATGGTGTTTAACCAATAATTGTATAGTTATATCCTGAAAGTGTGGCTGAACAACTATGCCTAGTATTTGAACTTGAATTGTGAGGAATATAGGGCTGTAGCTAACCAGAGAGATCTTTGGTGGAAATAACCCTAAACTATAATAGACTAGACTGGACAAAACCAATGGATTCCAGTTTTCTTCTGCCACATACCACCTTTGTCATTGTATGAGCTGTTTAACTCTTTTAGTGCCCCATCTGTAAAATAGTGATTGTGTGGTAGCATGTTAGAATGTTAGTAGGGTGAGGTGAAGGCAGATCATTTTCAGCTGTCAGGTGCCACTAAGTTGCTTGTTTACTTTGTGTAACCTAAGTTAGTGGTTAATAGCATGAGCGTCAGAAACAGGCAGATTCAAATCCTGTTATCCAGATGCAAGTGGTTATGTACTCTAAGCCTCAGTTTCATCATCTGAATATAGATATGGTACTTATCTTACAAGGTTGTGATAACTAAACATAATAATGTATATAAGGCATAGCAAAACATTTGGCACATACTAGGTGCCCAGTGTGTAGTAATTGCTGTGACTACATGGTATACCACCTTCCTCTCCCTGAGAAATCTCAGGATATTGGACACACTGAACTACTCCATTCTAAACCTTAAACATAAAAACAAAAGGCCGGGCGCGGTGGCTCACTCCTGTAATCCCAGCACTTTGGGAGGCTGAGGCGGGCGGATCACAAGGTCAGGAGATCGAGACCATCCTAGCTAATACTGTGAAACCCCGTCTTTACTAAAAATACAAAAAATTAGCCGGGCGCGGTGGCGGGCACCTGTAGTCCCAGCTACTCTGGAGACTGAGGCAGGAGAATGGCGTGAACCCGGGAGGCGGAGCTTGCAGTGAGCCGAGATAGTGCTACTGCAGTCCGGCCTGGGTGAAAGAGCAAGACTCCGTCTCAAAAATAAATAAATAAAAACAAAATAAGCAGTTGACCCAGTATTAGAATTACGGTTAAAATTGGAAGCTTTTCCAGTTCTTCTAGTCCATTATTAGCCTGTACAGGCTCTAACACCAAATGACAGGATTGAACCAAGATTCCTTCTAGCTTTACACTTTCATGATCTTATGTAGCATAACATGAAAAAGCCTTGGCAACATAGCGAGATCCCGTCTCTACAAAAATAAAAAACTTACCTGTACATAGTGGCTCACGCTTATAGTCCCAGCTACTTGGGAGGCTGAAGCGGGAGGATTACTTGAGCTGAGGAGTTCGAGGCTGCAGTGAGCCATGGACACACCACTACACTCCAGCCTGAGTGACAGAGTGAGAGTGAGACCCTTACTCTAAAAAAAATAGGCCAGGTGCGGTGGCTCATGCCTGTAATCCCAGCACTTTGGGAGGCTGAGGCGGACGGATTACCTGAGGTCAGGAGTTTGAGACCAGTCTGGCCAACATGGTGAAACCCCGTCTCTACTAAAAATACAAAAATTAGCCGGGCGTGGTGGCACACGCCTGTAATCCCAGCTACTTGGGAGGCTGAGGCAGGAGAATTTCTTGAGCCCAGGAGACAGAAGTTGCAGTGAGCCGAGATCGTGCCTCTGCACTCCAGCCTGGCAGAAAGAGCAAGACTCTGTCTCAGAAAAAAAAAAAGGAAAAATATATTGCAAAAAGATGGTAGTAAAAATGCTGCTAAAGTTTATAAATGTGTCAGTATGAATAAAAAGTGGTGGCTGTTTTGGTAGAACCATCAAAAGAAATAACCAGGCTGGGAACAGTGCTTCACGCCTGTGATCCCAGCACTTTGGGAAGCTAAGATAGGTAGATCGCTTAAGCCCAGAAGTTTGAGACTAGCCTGGGCAACATGGTGAAACCTTGTCTCTACAAAAAATTAGCTGGGCATGGTGGTGTGCATCTGTAGTCCCATTTAGTTGGGAGACTGAGGTGGGAGGATCATTTGAGCCCCTGGAGGGGTGGAGGCTGCATTGAGCCATGATTGCACCACTGCACCCCAGCCTGGGCAACAGAGTGAGACCGTGTCTCAAAAGAAAAGAAATAACCAGTTTCCTTCAAACTCTGATGTATGGGAAATTGTTCGTGTCTTAGCTTAATTTTTTGACCCACTGAAATGGTTATGGTAAGACCTCATTATATACAAAATAGCATATTTTGATGTTCCATCAGCTGATGGAGACACTCTTTAGATGAAAAAGTCAAGATAGTATCATCTCAAATAACCATGTGCCTTTTACCCCAAAAACACTGAAGAGTAGCATTTGAAAAGTGGTATAGAAAACTTATAGGGAAAATGTAAAAATGAAGCATTTTCTCAAATATAAAAGTAAGGATAAGCCCTGTGTATGTGTGTACATATAGGTTTAACATTTCAAATCTTTTTTCTTTTTACTTCCTCAGTCTGTTCATTACCAACAGAGGTAAGTTCTTTAATTTTTTTTTTTACCTTATGTATTTGAAGTTATTCTTGGTTTTAAAGCTACCTTGAGAATTTTTTTTTATTTTTCATTTTTGATTATTTGATAGTAAAGCTTTAACCTTTTATAGAGAACTTTGATTTAGAGTAATTTTTTGGTCTTATATATTCTTTCCTAAATTTAGACCTTAAATCATACATGTGCATCTTTTGCACATGGCTGTGCAGTTTGGATTTTTGCATGGGACTTATGAATAGTCAGCTAATAAAATAAGAGTAACCTTAATGCCAAAATCTATACAAATGAGCAGAGGAAAGAAAGGGCAGTATAAATTATGTGTAAGACTTTCTAAGTCCAGCTCTATGAGCAAGTCATGAAAATGAGGCACTTATGTGCTCAAAGCAAGAAATAGAGGGAGAAGAAATAAATTGGTACTGTGAAGAGGTACCTAATCCTTCTTAATATCTAATTTTTTATGGGACATATCGTGGTTGAATACAGATTTCCTGTGGATAAGAAGTCAGATGGGAGTGGTTTGTTTTATTCTTTGTATTAACAAGTATAGGGGGTGATTTTTAATTACGACATATTGTTTGACTGAAAATGTTTTGTTGTGACTCAGTTCTTTTTTTTTCTCCTAGTACTGTGAATATATGCCTGATGTTGCTAAATGTAGACAATGGTTAGAGAAGAATTTTCCAAATGAATTTGCAAAACTTACTGTAGGTATGAACATTTTTTTTCTTGCATTAAACTTCTGTACCTGAGACAAATGCATGTATGGCATTATTCTAAAGATAGGAAAGTCCTCCTTTAGTAGGATATTACAGAATTAACATTTATCTGTTAGCTGTTTAAGTTCTCTCTGAGATAGGATAGGTCTGAATATCAACTTTCTTACATAAAAAAGTAAATGGGCCGGGCGCAGTGGCTCACACCTATAATCCTAGCAGTTTGGGAGGCTGAGGCAGGCGGATCACAAGGTCAGGAGATCAAGATCATCTTGGCTAACACAGTGAAACCCCATCTCTACTAAAAATGAAAAAAAAAAAAGGCGTGGTGGCAGGCACCTGTAGTCCCAGCTACTCAGGAGGGTGAGGCAGGAGAACGGCGTGAACCTGGGAGGCAGAGCTTGCCGTGAGCCGAGATCGTGCCACTGCACTCCAGCCTGGGTGACAGAGCAAGACTCCGTCTCAAAAAAAAAAAGTAAGTAAATGATTGGCTGGGCGCAGTGGTTCACGCCTGTAGTCCCAGCACTTTGGGAGGCTGAGGCGGGTGGATCACCTGTGGTCGGGAGTTCAAGACCAGCCTGATCAACATGGAGAAACCCTGTTTCTACTAAAAATACAAAGCTGGGCGTGGTGGCGCATGCCTGTAATCCTAGCTACTCGGGAGGCTGAGGCAGAAGAATCGCTTGAATCCGGGAGGCAGAGGTTGCAGTGAGCCGAGATGGCACCATTGCACGCCAGCCTGGGCAACAAGAGCAAAACTCTGTCTCAAAAAAACAAAATTAAAAAAAGTAAATGATTTAGGGGCAAATATATATTGATTTTTATTGTAAGTGTACTATATGCTACACACTGTTGCAGATTCTGAGGATAAGCCAATAAAAGATTTCCTACTCTTGTGGCAATTACATTCTAGAAAGGGAGACAGATTAAATAAGCAAAACATAGTATGTAGACAGTAATAAGCAGGAAAGGGGGAGATAAGAATTGGTGGGAAGGAATTTGAAATTTTAGGTAGTACCCAGGGAAGATTTTGCTGAAAAGGTGGCAGTTGATTATTTTGGAACTGAGGGAATGAGTCATTTGGGTATCTGGCAGAACATTTCTAGGCAGAGGACACAGCCTGAGGAGAGGCCCTGAGTAGAAGCTTTCCTAGTATATTCAGGAAACAGCAAGGAAGCCTTTGTGTCTGGAGCTTATTGAAGGACCGGAGAAGAGTTTGATATGAAGTCAGAGTAGACCACAACGGGTAGGGCATTGTGGGCTGTTTTGGCTTTTGCTCTTAGTTAGATGATGAGCTCTTGGAGGAGTTTAAGCAGAAGAGTGATAAGGTCTGACTTGTTTCAGCAGCATCACTTAGGCTGCTCTGCTAAGAATAGACCAAAGAGGCCGGGTGCAGTGGCTCACGCTGTAATCCCAGCACTTTGGGAGGCCGAGGCAGGCGGATCACAAGGTCAGGAGATCGAGACCATCCTGGCTAACACGGTGAAACCCTGTCTTTACTAAAAATACAAAAAATTAGCCGGGCGAGGTGGCGGGCGCCTGTAGTCCCAGCTACTTTGGGAGGCTGAGGCAGGAGAATGGCGTGAATCCGGGAGGCAGAGCTTGCAGTGAGCCGAGATCGCACCGCTGCACTCCAGCCTGGATAACAGAGGGAGACTCCGTCTCAAAAAAAATGGAGTTGCCATTGCCAGAGGTGGGAAGACTATGGAGGAACAGAATTCCTCAGTTTTCTCATATTGATGGCTTCTCTTGCAAGACTGGTAAAAATGAAGGCAGTAGCAAGAAGAAGAGAAAGCCTGGTCTGGGAACAGGCCTGCTCAGAGACACCCAGTGCTGCCCCACTCATTGCTCCTTGACTTTCAAGTGATTTCCCTGACACACAAACCCCTAACTTGGTAAGTCCATTTTGGCTGGTAGCTACTCCATCACTGTCAGTGGTTGAATAAGAACCCTCAAGTCTGGTTTTATATTCAGTCTACATGGTTGTCCCTGAACGGGACCTTCCTGGGATAGGATCATGTCTGAGCGGGTGGGGAGCTCTTCTCTAGATGTTAACAAAATTAGTAAGTTTAGATGCTAGAGCACTCCTGCAGAGCCCAAGTGTTCTATGCTCCTTTCCTGTGGCTAAAAATTTCAGCCCTCACATATCAAAAGACTGGGTTTTCTCTTCTGTTACCATACACTTACTATAATGACTTTAGAACTAGACTTGAATAGAAATCTAGCAGTGTAATCCATTGCTTTACAAATTTCATGCTCAGCTGTTGGTAAGATGCCTTATTTGTATATGAGGTTGCTCAAAGGTGATTTCTTTTTTTTTAACAGTGTGAGATGATGTTCATGCTTTTGTATTTCACTTTTATATCTAGAAAATTCACCCAAACAAGAAGCTGGAATTAGTGAGGGTCAAGGAACAGCAGGGGAAGAAGAGGAGAAGAAAAAACAGAAGAGAGGTAAGACCTAAATTCACATCTTGATTTGTACAGTCATACCGTCACTGCGATAGAAAATGTAAGTAATTAAAATGGTTCCCAAAGCTAGGCACAATGGTGGGCGCCTATAGTCACAGCTTCTTAGGGGGCTGAGGCAGGAGGATCACTTAAGCCCAGGAGTTCAAGGCTGTAGTATGCAATGATCGTTCCTCCACATAGCCACTGCACTCTATCCTGGGCAACATAGTGAGACCTCATCCCTTACAAAAAGGGGGAGGTTCCCAACATTAATACCATGTACCTGTTATTGTAATTCCCCATGTATATCATACAAAGGGGCACATACTAATAGGATCATGGTTGGATGTGGTATGATTTGGGCTGTGTCAGTAAATTGGACCTAGGAAAACATGCTTATTTGCCCTGTTTGTATGTAAAAAACAGCTAAAATTCCTGTGTCTTCTATTTAAGTAGAGTGAGGACATTTATATAAAAAATTTTATCTTCTCATTACTTCTGATAGCTCAGTTGAAAACTTTGTTTTACGGCTGTTGCATACACTTGACTCCTTCTCAAACCAACTCCTGGTGCTGTGGATCCTGTACCCACCTGTTTCATTTTCATTCATTATTCTCCCCTATGACTAAAATTCACTTATAAATATTTTTAGGACTTTGCATCTTCAAAAAAAAAAAAAACTCTCCCCAAAGCTCATGTCTTTCTTTACCTTATCCCTCTCCTTCCCTTAGCCAGATTTCTTTACTAAGGCCAGACTCACTATCCCCGCTTCTGTTCTGTGGTACACTGTTCACTCCTCAGTCCATCCTAACCTGACTTCCTGGCCACTGCAGCTCTTCCGATAAGGGTCAGCAGTGGCTTAGTTATTGCTAAATAATAAGCGCACATGCACTCCCTCTTTCCTGAAACATTGTCCCTCCTTGGTTTCTGTTCCTTCCTAGGTCTCCTATCACTCCTCCTTAGTCTTCTGTGCGGACTTCTGTTCCTTCTGCCCTTTAAAAGTTGGTATTTTCCAGGATTCTGTCCTAGGCCCACTTACTTCTCATTCTGCACGTTCTTGTTGGATGATTCTATCACATCCCTAACTTCTGCTGCCCAGTATGCACTTAAAATTCCCAAATCTGTATATCTGGATCTGGCCTGTGTCTCTAGCCTAGAAGTGTGCTTTATCCCAGAAGCACCTCAAACACTGCACTTTGGAAATTAAGCTTACTGAGTCTCGAGTCTCAAGTCCCAAACTGACTTCTTTTTCTCTATTTTGGTTAGTGACAACACTATTTATTCAGTCATGCAAACCAGAGCCCTGAGAACCATCTTACATTCTCTTTCTCCCTTTACTCAGTTCTTGCTTCTGTTCTTTCTCCTCCCTCCTCTCCTGCCTGTGGCCTAGTGGCCATTACTGTTGGCACTGCTTTACTTTCAATTTTTTGCCTGAACTAACGCAAGAGCCTCTGTAGGGGCCTTTCTATCAGTCTTACTCTTCACAGATCCACCGAAACACAGATCCAGTGACTGCTATGTATGTAATCTTTTGCTTTTCTGGCTCCATCTGCTACATATTCATAAGCATCCTTCAATCAAGACAAGTGAAGTTCCCAAATATAACGCCTTTTCTTATCTCTGTACTTGTTCCCTTTCCCTGGAATGTCCTTTCTTATGCCTCTCCAGCCTTTTTCCCTTTACCTGGACCTTTCCTTATTCTTCACAACTCCACCTAGATATTACTTCCTCTAGGAAACTTTCTGTGTCCTCTGGAAGCAGACTAAGTTGTTTCTCTGCAAAGCTATCATAAAGCCTTATTCATGATTCCTATTATTGTATGTATCAGGTTGCTGTAACTTCTTTTTTTACTCCCTTCACTAGACTGAGTCTCTGGAGGGCAGGGGCTATGTTCTGTTCACTTTTGTATCCTCGGCTCTTAGCCCAGTGCTAGGCACATAGTAGGTACTTAATAAATGTTTATTGAATGAATACTTGGATGTGTTTAGTAATTTTTGTATTAGAGAAAAAGAAACTTAAACCTTTTGAGAATTAATAAATTTAAAGACAGTATTCTCTTATGTCAAAAACAACTAAAGCTAAGCTCTTTCTTAATAAATAAAGGTGGAAGGGGTCAAATAAAACAAAAAAAGAAGACCGTACCACAAAAGGTTACTATAGCCAAAATTCCCAGAGCAAAGAAGAAATATGTGACAAGAGTATGTGGCCTTGCAACTTTTGGTGAGTTCAGGCTTAAGTATATTTAAAATGTGTGAACTATTTTCTCTCTCTGTCTCCCTCTATCTCTCTGTCTCTCTCTCTCTCACATACCATGAAAACTTCACAGGTCTGTTTTTTGCTAAGAAGATAAATTTTGCATTTCTAACTATAGCTTCAAAATCAAATTTTAGAGAAATGTCAAAATCTTTTGTAGAGGGGACTTTTTACTTTCTGGAATTCCTGCTTGGGCACATTTTATGTGGGATGAGGACGGCTGGGTAGGATTCTCTTTGAAACCAGCCAATGCTGCTCCTCTGTCCTCTGCAGGCATGGTGGCAAAAGGTTGCAAAATGGCTCATCCCCTCTGGGAATGACAGGAGAGGTTGAGGAAGGTGGCAGAACATCCTTCTTTAGAGCCCCTTAGTTCCTGGAAGCCTTGAATGAGTAGTGAAACTGGGTGAAAATGTAAACTATGATGCCTCTATGAGACAACACAGATTGAAAAACAATCAATAGGCTGGTCTGAGTACAGTGGTGTTTACAGCTAAATGATCACAACCACTTACATATTTCTTTGTTCCTTCTTTACTCCCACTGCTTCACTTGACTAGCCTTAAAAAAGAAAAAAGAGGCCAGGCGTGATGGCTCACACCTGTTATAATCCCAGCACTTTGGGAGGCTGACATGGGCGGATCACCTGAGGTAGGAGTTTGAGACCAGCCTGGCCAACATGGTGAAACCCCATCTCTACTAAAAATACAAAAATGAGCCAGACACGGTGGCACATGCCTGTAATCCCAGCTGTTCAGGAGGCTGAGTCAGGAGAATCGCTTGAATCTGGGAGACGGAGGTTGCAGTGAGCCAAGATCGAGCCACTGCACTCCAGTCTGGGCAACAGAGCAAGACTCCGTCTCAAAAAAAAAAATGAATAAAGTGTCCCTGGATTTATTTTGGTCTTAATATGAGTAAGGGGTAGTATAGATGATTCTGTTTTTATGTATTGAGCCTTTATTTGACCTTGAAAGTGTAAATTGCATTGTTAAGATCTCTGTGGTAGTTTGTATTGTTCTGAAAGGAATATAAAACCCATTAACAATCTGTTTTATGATTTTAAAATGCAGATTAAATTTCAAAATGGAAAAACATCTTTGCACAATTCCAATTACAGTTCTTGCTCTTTCTTTTTTTAAAAAAATAGAAATTGATCTTAAAGAAGCACAAAGATTTTTTGCTCAAAAATTCTCCTGTGGTGCCTCAGTAACAGGGGAGGATGAAATTATCATTCAGGGAGATTTTACAGATGACATAATTGATGTCATTCAGGAAAAATGGCCAGAGGTGAGTGCATGGAACACATACATCGCTAGAGATAAGTTTTTAAAGCAAATTGCTTCCATTTTTTCTTAATTGCAACCACAACTCATGAGATATAATTATTTGTGTTTTATAGGTAGATGATGACAGCATCGAAGATCTTGGAGAAGTAAAGAAGTGAATTTGAAAATTTGTCTGTATTTAATGGCCTGAACTGAGAGTTGATATGGCCAAAGGGAGAGAGGCCTTTTAAAATATATATATATATACACATATATATGTATATATACACATATATGTATGTATACACATATACACATGTATATATACATGTGTGTATGTATACATGTATATATATATACATACACATATATGTATACATATATACACATATATGTATACATATATACACATATGTATACATATATATATATTCTACAGTAAAACTGTAGACTGTCCTCGTCCTTGGCATTTTCACTGTTCTGTACAAGGCTGCTTGTTTTTTTATTGCCAAAGTCAAATAAACGGGAGACTGTCATGCTCATGCATGAATAGAATTTAGTCAAATAAAAAATTTTGGTCATTTGGTACTGACTTTCTCTCTCTCTCTCTCTCTCTTTTTTTTTTTTGACAGAGTCTCGCACTGTTGCCTGGGCTGGAATGCAGTGGTGCGATCTCGGCTCACTGCAACCTCCGCCTCCCGGGTTCAAGTGATTCTCCTGCCTCAGCCTCCCAAGTAGGTGGGATTACAGGCGCCCGCCACCACGCCCAGCTAATTTTTGTATTTTTAGTAGAGATGGGGTTTCACTATGTTGGCCAGGCTGGTCTCGAACTCCTGACCTCGTGATTGGCCCACCTCAGCCTCCCAAAGTGCTGGTATTACAGATGTGAGCCACCGCACCCAGCCTGAGTTTCTCTTTCTCTCTTTTTAACTTTATTTTTTGAAAAACCCGGTAGACTTTTTGTGGGGAGCATTTTTGTTGATAATTTTACTGATCTAAAGCTGAGTGATTTTTTAAAAGAATTTGAATTTGGCTTCCTCACCAGTAATATGTCTCCTTGCTTCTTTGATGTGATAGTTTTGAGATGGGTGAGAATCTAATAGATCTGTGGTTGAATTTGCTGTGTTGTTATGAAGTCCACCCTGTGGGCACAATAACATAACTGTTGGTAGGAGTTGTTTGAGCTATTCTGGAGATTATTTGGTAAAGTATACTAAAAGCCTTAAAACCATGTATGTGCGCTGTTTGAACCCGTAAGCCACTTCTTTGACATTAGAAGACATTAGAAGAAATAATCAGCCTTGCATAAAACTTATGGATGAAAGTATTCATCACAATATTATTTATAATAAAAAATTGCAAATGTTATAAATGAACAATTGGGAAATGGTTAAAGAAGTGATGGTGCATTGTGTGGTAGAATATTATGCATATGTTTAAAGAATCATATTTTCTAAGATTATTTGGAAGCATGTTTGGTAATGTCAAGTGGAGTACCCCAGATACATTTTAGACATTTATCGTCATCATCTGCTCTGAGTGGAAGGCCGTTCAGAGAGGCTAGAGGTTCTTATTCTGGCTATAAATTATGTGAGTAAAATTGTGCTAACCAGTTAAAAGTACTGTACACCCATGCTCAATATATAGTCCTGGAAATAGCAATTGAAACATGTCTTCTCACAAGAGAAAATGACAGTTTTAATGATGTATTTGATGAATTTAAACTTTAAGTCAGGTGCTGCAAATTGGAAAGAAGACTTGTGGTGTTTTAAGTTGCTGTGGACACTTTTAAGAAACTTAGAACCCATGGAACCCTTGTTTATCGCCATGCAAATTACAATCTTGAATGAGTGTTTTTTAAAAATAAAGTATTAGAAAAATGTGTAGTAAAGATGTAAAATTAAAAAATGGAATTCTCCATTAACTGTGGATTTTACTAAATAGAATTACTGGTGAAGCAGATTTATCCATCGAGACTATCTGGTATGCGTTATGTATGTAGTCTGTTGCTGCTGAAAGATGTCTGTGTGCCTGTATCAACATGTGACTTCATGTAAAGTTTCTTTGTGTTCACAGTTCTTAGCAAATGCAGTTACAATCCATAGATAGCCAGCAGTGGATGTTACTCCAGGAAAATGCAGGATTAAAATTGTCCTTGTGTATAACGTGTGAATCATTTTTTTAAACTGAAATTTAAAATGCAACATAGTTTAATCTCTGATTAAAATGTACTAATAGGGCCAAGCTGCTTTGATGCATGGCTATAATCCCAGCCGAGGTGGGAGGATCACTTGAGTCCAGGTTCAAGACTAGCCTGGGCAACATGGCAAGACCCTGTCCCTATAAAAAATACAAAAATTAGCCAGGCATGGTGGCGTGCGCCTGCAGTCCCAGCTACTTGGGAGGCTGAGTTGGGAGGATCACTTGAGCCTGGGAGGTTGAGGCTGCAGTGAACTGAGATCACGACACTGCACTCCAGCCTGGGCAACAGTAAAACCTGGTCTCCAAAAAAAAAAAAAAAAAGTACTAGTAGTTCAAAAATTGACTTTACACATTCTCACAGTCTACCATTTTTAGTAAAAAACATGAACCTTTAAGCAGCCTTATAAGAGATTTTCCATGATTAAGCTGGCAACTTTTAATGCAAATACTTTTTGCATATAGTTTGGTAAGTATTTCATTTTTTAAAAACAGATGCTGACAGTAAGTGATTTTAAACTTTTTATTACTACATAAAAGCCAGTCTGTGGTAGCTTTCTCACTCTTAGTTTAAAAGTTGATAAATTACTGTTTTAAAGATGAATTTTACCTTTTAGTTCCCTGTTCTCATTATTTACTAAATTCCTTTACCTAGGAAATCAAATAGGGAGACTGGGAAAAGTTCATTCAGAACTTCAGTTTGGATTAGACTGTGTGAGTATAAAATCAGATGCAGTGTAATTCTTGTAGCTTTCACCTCTGTCATATTTTTAAAGTTATGTATTCTCTTTAATTTTTTTTGTTGTTGTTGTTTTAATGAAAACCTGTGGGGAGCGAAGGTAAAAACTTGAGATTTTTAATTTGTACCTTGCCATCATAATCCTCTTACTATACTCAGTTACTATTTATGAACCATAATCAAAATGAGCCTAATTTCTTACTATTCTAGATACACACAATTTTATTCATTTTTGAGACAGAGTCTCGCTCTGTTGCCCAGGCTGGAACGCAGTGGCATGATCACAGCTCACTGCAGCCTTGATCTCCCAGCCTCAAGTGATCCTCCCACTTCAGCTTCTGGAGTGGCTGAGACCACAGGCACATGCCACCATACCCAGCTAATTTTTAAATTTTTTATAGAGATGGGGGGTCTCCCTATGTTGTCCAGGCTGGTCTCAAACTCCTGAGCTCAAGCTATCCTCCCACCTCAGCCTCCCAAAGTGCTGGGATTACAGGTGTGAACCACCACACCCAGCCTGTACATGTATTTTTACTTGAGTGTCACACATGGTTGCCTGGTGAACAATGGCACTCGAGGACTTTCTAGAAAAATATCAAGTCTTAACAATGGTGAAACCTAAGAAACGTGAATTAAAACACTCCTCACTTCAAAAATTGACATTCAACCCACATTCCTTTACATCTCATCACCACCAACTTACTGCAGTCATCTACTGCTAGACTGTTTTTAGCAAATACCCACCCAGAATTTGCTTTGTTGATTTATTTATTTATTTTTATTTTTTTGCATTTCTGTAATGATCAGGGAAGTAGACCACCTTTTTGTATTTATTGGCTATTTGGTTTTGGGTTTTGGTGGTAGTGGTGGTTGGTGTTTTTTTGTTTTTTTTTTTTTTTGATACGGAGTGTCCCTCTATTGCCTAGGCTGGAGTGAGGTGGCGCAGTCTTGGCTCACTGTAACCTCCATCTCCTGCATTCAAGCGATTCTCCTGCCTCAGCCTTCCGAGTAGCTGGGACTATGGGTGCGCACCACCACACGTGGCTAGTTTTTGTTTGTTTGTTTGTTTGTTTGATTTTTAGTAGAGACAGGGTTTCGTTGTATTGGCTAGGCTGGTCTCAAACTTCTAATCTCATGATCCATCCTCCTCGGCCTCTCAAAGTGCTGGGATTACAGGCGTGAGCCACCACGTCTGGCCTGATTTTTGTTTTTTTGAGTCAAGGTCTCACTCTCGATCGGACTGGAATGCAGTGGCATGATCACAGCTCATTGGAGCCGCCATCTCCCAGCTCAAGTCAGCCTCGTGAGTAGCTGAGACCACAGGAGTGCACCACCACGCCCAGTTTAAAAAAAAATTTATTTTTTGGCCAGGTGCGGTAGCTCACACCTGTAATCCCAGCACTTTGGGAGGCTGAAGTGGGTGGGTCAACTGAGGTCAGGAGTTCGCGACCAGCCTGGCCAAGGTAGTGAAACCCATCTCTACTAAAAATACAACAAAGGTGGCGTGGTGGCGGGCACCTGTAATCCCAGCTACTCGGGAGGCTGAGGCAGGAGATTTGCTTGAGGCCAGAGGCAGAGTTTGCAGTGAGCCGAGATTGTGCCATTGCACTCCAGCTCAGGCAACAAGAGCCAGACTCCATCTCAAAAAAAAAAAAAAAAAAAGTTTTTTAGAGGTGGGTGTCACCATGTTGCTCAGGCTGGTCTCAAACTCCTGAACGCAACAGATCCTCCTACATTGGCCTCCCAAAGTGCTGGGGTTACAGGCCACTGCGCCCAGCTTTCTTGATTTTAAATTCTAAGACATTGCTTTGGTCTCCCAAACATGAGCCTATCAGTAAAGCTTCAAAATAAGAAATCTTAATTTTGTTTTTCCATTTTCAGATTGTATTTTTTGAACACAAGGGCATGTTTTGGCATTTCATATTCAACCAAAAAGTAAAGTTGAAACCCTGTAAGACCGACCGTATTTAGTAATTGTGTTGCTGTCTGATGGGTTAAGCATTCAGGGATGGGCAGCCGGGGCTGAAGTGTGATAAGCCTTATTTTTTCCTAGTCCCGTTCCCACATCTTAGGAAGAGTGAAAGGGGGATGAAGAGGTGACTATGGAAGAACAGGTGAAAAAGCTTAGATTCAACCCAGAATATCGTAGATTTTGTCATGACAAAGTACCGTGGTTCTCCTCATTGCTTTTCAGGAGCTCCCAAGAGTAAATTTCCCCCTCTTCATCTGTGATTCTTGGTTTAAAGTATCAAAGGTGCTAGGGTAGCCCGCAACTGTTATCCCCGAGGGCTGGGCTCTGCCTCCACGCATTCGAGTGTCAGGTCCTGTTCTGGGAGCCAGCTACACAGGAGCGAGCACGGCCGAGCTCACGGTTATTAGGGGGAAGATGGAAGATAGGGAAGTGAGCAACTCAAATGTCATAAACCAGAGTGCTGGGGGCGGCGCAGCAGCCTTTATTGACTTCTTCATTCTCTGGGTAGTGGTGAACAGCCGGTTCTTTCAGGCCTTCCAGCGCCGGAGCCTCGGGCGTGGGCAAAAAGCGTCCATACGCAGCCTGAGCCACTTGGGAGCCCCCAGTTTCCGAGGCAGAAGAACAGTGCCCACCAGCGCAGCGGGGCTGCGGCCCGGAAACCCTGGCGGGGAGCCCCGAGCCCCGGCGGGCGCACGCCGCGTGGGCACCAGGCAGGCGGTTGGAGTACGGGGCGGGGGTCGGCCGAGGGCGCGGGGCCCCGGGGCTCCGGGCTCGCCCCCGCCGCTCGGGGCAGGCGCGCCGATGGCGTTTCTGAGGTGACGCCGCCCACACCGGGCTTCTCCGGGGGCGGAGGAAACACCTATGAACCCTCCGGCAGCCTTCCTTGCCGGGCGCCAGGTAAGCAGCGGTTCCGGGCGCGGCGGGGCGCCGCGGGAACGGTGCACATTGGTCGAAATCTATTGCTTCTCAAGAACGGTGTCTACTTAAAATGTGAAACAGGCCGGGCGCGGTGGCTCACGCCTGTAATCCCAGCGCTTTGGGAGGCGGAGGCGGGCGGATCACGAGGTCAGGAGATCGAGACCATCCTGGCTAACACAGTGAAACCCCGTCTCTACTAAAAATAAAAAAAAAAAAATTAGCCGGGCGTGGCGGCGGGCGCCTGTAATCCCAGCTACTCGGGAGGCTGAGGCAGGAGAATGGCGTGAACCCGGGAGGCAGAGCTTGCAGTGAGCCGAGATCGCGCCACTGCACTCCAGCCTGGGCGACAGAGCGAGACTCCGTCTCAAAAAAAAAAAAAAAAAAAAAAAGTGAAACAATACACTAGAGGAAAACGGCGTCACGACCGTTTCCTTAACCCAATAACACCTTGTTATTCAGCCCGGGCCACAGAGTAGCGCGTACCCGGTGCTTACTGTTTAAGGAGGACGATTGGCGTCTGGGGAGCTGCTTTCCCATTTACCTCTCAGGGTGTCCTTAATTTACACAACCTGGCGAGTAGAGGAAGGAGCTCTCACAACTCCACTGTACCAAAAAGTCTGGAAGTGGGCTTGCCCAAGGTTCGCGTCCATCAGTGTAAGACGACCTGCCTTTGTGTACTCGGCTTACTGCCTGTTTTCCTGGAGTGGAATATGTGCTCCTTGCCTGGAGGTCTGTGGCCCAGCCACTGGCGCTCAATAAATTATTTGTTGAGTGCATGAATGAAGGGCTAACCCAACACTGGAATTCAAGCCTTGGGACTTGAAATCCCTTGACTCCAAATTCCATTTTCCTTGTTAAGACTAGCAACTGTAATTTATTCATCATTCTTATTTATTTATTTTTGAGACAGGGTCTGGCTCTGTCCCCAGGGCTGGAGTACAGTGACGCAATGTCGGCTTACTGCAGCCTCTGCTTCCCGAGTTCAAGCAATCCTCCCGCCTCAGCCTCCCAAATAGCTGGGACTACAGGCTCCCACCACCATGCCGAGCTAATTTTTGTGTTTTTAGTAGAGACAGGGTTTCGCCATGTTGGCCAGGCTGGTCTCGAACTCCCGACCTCAGGTGATCTGCCCACCTCGGCCTTCCAAAGTGCTGGGATTACAGGCGTGAGCCACTGAGCCCAACCTCATTATTCTTGTTTATTTACAAATCTTACTTTTCAAAAAGCAGTAAGGAGGTACAAAGGGCCTCTGTTGAACCTTTAATTACTGTCTTTAAGGTGGAACTCTATTAAAGTAACACTTTTAGTTGTTTATTTCATAGGCAGGGACAGCACCATGATTTGAAATGTGGTTTACAGTGTTAATGAGAGCTGATGTTTGTTGAGTGATTACAACGGGCCAGGCTTTGTGCTCAGTACTTTACAGAGTTTGTCTTGTTTAATCTTCACCACTCCAAGATGTTAAAATGCAGTTGCTATCGTTTTACAGGTGAGGAAACTAATGCTTAGAGAAGTTAAGTAACTTGCCCAAGGTTATGTAGCCACTAAGTGGCTAATTCTGGGATCACAATTTGGTCAGGCCAACTTGTTAGATTTTAAAATGCTGTATACTTCAAAGAAATTATTGTATTAATAGATAATATTGTTAGATATAAAAATGGCATCATGGTTATATAGGAAATGTTCATTTTTAGAGATGCATTCTGAAGTATGTAAGGGTGAAATGGTATTTTTTAACCAATAATGAAAAGAAAAGGACATTGAAGCAGCCGCAGTGAAATCTCAATAATGGTAGAACCCAGGCACAGAGTATATGGGAGTTTATCGTACTATTGTCTTTGGGTACATGTGAAAGATTTCCTTACATAATTTATTTTTTAATGATGTATGTTGTATTTGGATCAGTTACAATATTAAATTGCCCTTAATAGATTGAGTATGTATAGATGCCTTAGATGTTGTAGTTGTCATGCATATTGAACACTGGAAGACTTAATTTTCTTTTTATAGACTAAAATTCCCATTGTTTAGTAAGGATCATTTACATTTAAACAGTAACTATTTCGTGATTTTGTTTGGTTTTTTTTGATAGAGTTTTGCTCTTGTTGCCCAGGCTAGAGTGCAATGGCACGATCTCGGCTCACTGCAACCTCTGCCTCCAGGGTTCAAGCAGTTCTCCTGCCTCAGCCTCTTGAGTAGCTGGGATTACAGGCGCATGCCACCACACTGAGCTAATTTTTGTATTTTTAGTAGAGATGGGGTTTTGCCACGTTGGCCAGGCTGGTCTCGAACTCCTGACCTCAGGTGATCGGCCCACCTTGACCTCCCAAAATGCTGGAATTACAGGCGTGAGCCACCACGCCTGGCCACTATTTCATGTTTACCTGTACTTGGTTACTCAAATTGCTGGGGCAAGGTAGGGGATAATGTTATTGACTGGCAGAGAAAAGGGTTGTTGGCAAAGGGGGAGAAAAAGTGCAGAAATAGGTTTATTTGTTTACCCAGTGGGTTTTAGAAACAGTCCCACTTTTTAGGCATGGTACGTATGGCATGACAGAAAATTGTAGAGAGGCAGAGTGCATGGTAGATTTTAACTTGAACATGTTTTAAGTATACATAATCTTTTGCTGCCATGTTATTAAAACTTAATTGAACTACTTAGAATTGGCCGCAAAAGAAGATATACTTATTTGGAAAATGGACTTTGGCTGATTTGTTATTGATTTCATTCTATTTTGATGTGAAACCGCTTTCTATGTTTAGAACATCGGGTCAGAAGTTGAGATTTCCACTATCGAGAAACAACGGAAGGAGCTGCAGTTGCTCATTGGAGAATTAAAAGATCGAGATAAAGAGCTCAATGACATGGTTGCAGTGCACCAGCAACAGCTTCTTTCATGGGAAGAGGATCGGCAGAAAGTGTTGACACTGGAAGAACGTTGCAGCAAATTAGAAGGTCAGAAATACATTCAGGGACAACAGTTATGCACTTCTGTGTGCTAACACATTGATGGGCTCATAGGGAAGATAGAGAGGAAGTAAAGACTGCAATCCCTGTTGTCCTCAAGTTTAGGCTCATTGGAGACAGGAGGACTTTATGAACAGCCACAATGGGACAGACACACACAAATAAAGTAGGACAAGCAAAGTATTTCAGTATAGAAAGGGGGCTGGATGGAGCTCCAGTCAACATGGGGTGAGCGCCAGTGGTGAAGTTGAAGTTTTGAGCAAGAGTATGAATGAAGATGCCATATGACTAGCCATTTCTCTTAAACTAAACTGAAAGATTTTAGGCTTTTGGTATTGAACTTGATCTTAAGTTCCTAAAATGGTCATCTTTTAAAGTTATAGCTGTCCGGCCAGGCACAGTGGCTCACACCTGTAATTCCAGCACTTTGGCGGATCACTTGAGCTCTGGAACTAGAGACCAGCCTGGCCAACATGGTGAAACCCCATTTCTACTAAAAATACAAAAAGTTAACTGGGCATGGTGATGCACACCTGTAATCTCAGCTACTCGGGAGGCAGAGGCACGAGAATCGCTTGAACCCAGGAGGCGGAGGTTGCAGTGAGCCAAGATTGCGCCACTGCACTCCAGCCTGTGGGACAGAACAAGACCCTGTCCCAAAAAAAAAAAAAAAAAATTATAGCTGTCTCAAAAATGGTTGCAAAAAGTTTATTTGACACCATATTTTAATTCTGTCATTCCTTTAGTGCTGCCCTAAATCTGAATGTTCCATTGACTCTAGATTGTTAGTAGAATGCATTAGAGGAGAAAACACTAGATCTGTATAATAGAAAGATAACCTTTTTTTACTTAACATTACTCAAAGGATTCTGTAAATGTGACAATCCAAATCTGTCATTTTTGGTGGGGTGCGGTGGCTCATGCCTGTAATCCCAGCACTTTGGGAGGCTGAGGCAGGCGGATCACTTGAGGTCAGGAGTTCAATACCAGCCCAGCCAACATGGTGTACCTCGTCTCTACTAGAAATACAAAAATTAGCGGGGCATGGTGGTGGGCGCCTGTAGTCCCAGCTACTCAGGAGGCTGAGGCAGGAGAATTGCTTGAACCTGGGAGGTGGAGGTTGCAGTGAGCCAAGATTGCGCCACTGCACTCCATCCTGGGCGACAGAGCGAGACTCCGTCAAAACAAAGAAAGAAACAAACAAAAAACCCAAATATATGATTTTTTCGTTTCTTTGATGACCATCTGATTTTACTCTGACCACACCCACACACGTATATACACACAGTGTTTAAAATGGTTGCTCATTAAATGCAGTATAACATCTTATAGCTCTTATATAGACATGTTAAAGAACAAAGATAACACATATAACATATATAACCCACATTATATGTAGCCATCAGTATTTGATTTTAAAATGAGCAAGATTTGAATAGGCACCTCATGGAAAGAGGAAAATTGAATGGCCAATAAATATATTAAAAGTTTCCTGTTCTCATTAGTAGTTAGGGAAATGCAAATGAAAACCAAATTGAGATACTATTTTACCTTTACCAGCCTGGCAGAAATTATCAGGTGTTGGTAAAGTATGGCACCAAGGGAAAGCTGAGACGCTGCTGGTGGGAGTCAGTTGTCACTGCTAGTGTGCAAAATCATTTGGCAGCATCTAGTGAAGCTGAAGGTGTGCATATCCTACAGCCCAGCAAAGCCACTTCTAGGAATATTCTCACCCTTTAATAGACACATGAATCACCTAAGGGTCTTGTTAAAATTTAGATTCTGATACAATAGGTCTGGGGCCCAAGGGTCTGCATTTCTAACAGGCATCCTAGGCGATGCCACTGCCGCTGCTGGTCCAGGGACCACATTTTGAGAAGCAAGGCTCTCAAGAAACTCTTGAAAATATGCACCCAGATGCATGTAAAAAGGCCTGGCGCTGTGGCTCACATCTGTAATCCTAGCACTTTGGGAGGCCGAGTCAGGCGAATCACCTGAGGTCAAGGGTTCGAGGCCAACCTGGCCAACATGGTGAAACCCTGTCTCTACTAAAAATACAAAAATTAGCAGGGTGTGCTGGCTCATGCCTGTAATCCCAGCTACTTGGGAGGCTAAGGCAGAAGAATTGCTTGAACTTGGGAGGTGGAGGTTGCAGTGAGCTGAGATCACACCACTGCACTCCAGCCTGGGCTACAGAGCGAGACTCTGTCTCAAAAAAAAAAAAAAAAAAAAAAAAAGATGCATGTAAAAGAATATTCAGAGCAGCATTGTTTATCATAGCTGCAAAGTGGAAATAACCTAAATGACCATCAATATTAGAAATAAGCTTTGGTAGGCCAGGTACGGTGGCTCACGCCTGTAATCCCAGCACTTTGGGAGGCTGAGGAGGATGAATCATGGGGTCAGGAGATCAAGACCATCCTGGCCAATATGGTGAAACCCCATCTCTACTAAAAATACAAAAAAATAGCCAGACATGGTGGTGCTCGCCCGTAATCCCAGCTACTTGGGAGGCTGAGGCAGAAGAATCGCTTGAACCCAGGAGGTGGAGGTTGCAGTAAGCCGAGATCGTGCCGTTGCCCTCCAGCCTGGGCAACAGAGGGAGGCTCCGTCTCAACGAAAAAAAAAAAAAAGAAGGCCGGGCATGGTGGCTCACGCCTGTAATCCCAGCACTTTGGGAGGCCGAGGTGGGCTGATCACGAGGTCAGGAGATCAAGACCATCCTGGCTAACACGGTGAAACCCCGTCTCTACTAAAAATACAAAAAAATTAGCCAGGCGTGGTGGCAGGCACCTGTAGTCCCAGCTACTCGGGAGGCTGAGGCAGGAGAATGGCGTGAACCCAGGAGGCAGAGCTTGCAGTGAGCCGAGATCGCACCACTGCACTCCAGCCTGGACAACAGAGCAAGACTCTGTCTCAAAAATAAAATAAAATAAAATAAAATAAAATAAAATAAAATAAAATAAAATAAAATAAAAAATAGAAATAAGCTTTGGCGTAATCATTCAGTGGAATATTACCTAGCAATGTTAGTGCACAAACACAAGTTACACACAACTGAGTGAATCTCAGAATCATTATCTTAAGCAAAAAAAGCAAACAGAAGAATTGTCAGAATATGATTCCATTTTTATATGGTTCAAATTAAGCTATAATTTTGAGGCATGCGGTCACTGGTAAAACTGTAATGGAAAGCAAGGAAGTGATTACTCTAAGATCAGGGTCATGGTTGGGAACGCGGAAACTGGAGTGATTATGTTCGGGAAGTGACCTCCAGAGGCTTCCAATTGCTCACAGTTCTGTTTCTTGATTAGGTGTGATATTGTGCATTTCATAATAAAAGGTTTTAAAAGAAGATTGTCTTTTTAAAAATTCTCTACCACATTTTTACCTTTTAACCACCCATTTTGAAAATAATGCCTTTTAAGCTGAAGGTGTGACTACAAATTATTGATGAACTTCCCTCAGGTGAACTACATAAAAGAACTGAAATAATCAGGTCACTCACGAAGAAGGTAAAAGCTCTTGAATCCAATCAAATGGAATGCCAAACAGCTCTCCAAAAGACCCAACTACAGCTTCAGGAAATGGCTCAAAAGGCAACGCATTCTTCTCTTCTCTCTGAAGACCTTGAGGTTGGGATTAGTTTTTGATAAGCTTCACTAGTCCAAATTCCCTTTGTGTTTCAGTTATTGAAAAATTAGATTTGACCGGGCACGGTGGCTCACTCCTGTAATGCCAACACTTTGGGAGGCCGAGGCAGGTGGATCACCTGAGGTCAGGAGTTCGAGACCAGCCTGGCCAGCGTGGAGAAACCCCATCTCTACTAAAAATACAAAATTAGCCGGGCGTGGTGGCACACGCCTGTAGTCCCAGCTACTCAGGAGGCTGAGGCAGGAGAATCG
Source organism: Homo sapiens (assembly GCF_000001405.40). Lineage (NCBI taxonomy): Eukaryota > Metazoa > Chordata > Mammalia > Primates > Hominidae > Homo > Homo sapiens. The sequence continues at coordinate 122,781,601 of NC_000012.12, forward strand.
TTTGAACCCGGGAGGTGGAGGTTGCGGTGAGCCAAGATCGCGCCATTGCACTCCAGTCCGGGCAACAAGAGCGAAACTCTGTCTCAAAAAAAAAAAGAAAAAAGAAAAATTAGATTTAAATGTTTCATTAAAAATGCATGTGAGGCTGGGCACAGTGGCTTGGTGGCTCATGCCTGTTATCCCAGCTCTTTGTTTGGGAGGCTGAGGTGGGAGGATTGCTTGAGCCCAGGAATTCACGACCAGGCTTGGCAACATGGCAAATGCCTGTCTCTATAAAAAGAAGAAATACAAAAATGAGCTGGGTGTGGGGGTGCACTGCTGTGGTCCCAGCTACTTGGGAGGCTGAGGCAGGAGGATCACTTGAGCCCAGGAGGTCAAGGCTGCAGTAAGCTGTGATTGTGCCACTACACCCCAGCCTGGGTGACAAAAAAAAAAAAAAAAAAGCGTATGTAAGCCAAGCACAGTGGTGTACGCCTGTAGTCCCAGCCTCTGGGGAGGCTGAGGCAGAAACATTGCTTGGGCCCAGGAGTCCAAGTCCAGCCTGGGCAACATAGTGAGACCTCATCTCAACAAAAAACAACAACAGCAAGCAACCAATGCAAAAATGCATACGTGTGTGTACGAAGGTATCTACACTCATCCACCCCTTGTAGTTTTGTGTTTCTCCTACAGTTTTGGTTAGCTGCACGGCATTATCCTGTCTTAGAGATTGAGCTTCAGTACAACGCTTTTTAACCGTTATGCCATTTGGTTTAGTAGCATCTACCATTTAATCAACAATGAGTTATTTTAGAAAGCTTTCCTCAAAGATGAGAGGGTATAATCAAGTTTTGGTAGCCTCAATGATGTTTTCTAAATTATTGTGTGTTTTTTTTGAGATGGAGTTTCACTCTTGTTGCCCAGGCTGAAGTGCAATGGCACGATCTCGGCTCACCATAACCTCTGCCTCCTGGGTTCAAACAATTCTCTTGCCTCACTCCCCCGAGTAGCTGGGATTACAGGCATGCACCACTATGCCCAGCTAATTTTGTATTTTTAGTAGAGACGGAGTTTCTCCATGTTGGCCAGGCTGGTCTCCAACGCCCGACCTCAGGTGATCCGCCCGCCTCAGCCTCCCAAAGTGCTGGGATTACAGGTGTGAGCCACTGTGCCCAGCCAATTATTGTGTCTTATCTCATAATGTTAGTGGCATATTGGGAATAAAAACTGTAAGACTGGTTTTTTGAGCCCGGCATGGTGGCTCACACCTATAATCCCAGCACTTTGGGAGGCCGAGGTGGGCGGTGACTTGAGGTCCAAAGTCTGAGATCAGCCTGGCCAACATGGTGAAACCCCGTCTCTACTAAAAATTCAAAAATTAACCAGGTGTGGTGGTGGGCACCTGTAGTCCCAACTACTCAGGAGGCTGAGGTAGGAGAGTCAATTGAACCTGAGAGGCAGAGGTTGCAGTGAGCCGAGATCGCACCACTGCACTCCAGCCTGGGGGAAAGAGCGAGACTCCTTGTCAAAAAAAAAGATGGATTTTTTTGGTTTTCTCTTCTAACTGGTCAGTCATCAGATATTTTTTGAGTTCATGCTTATAAGAGGTGCAGAAAGCCAGCTTGTTTATTTGTTATATCCTTCATTCTTTTTTTTTTTTTTTCCTGAGACGGAGTCTCGTTCTGTCGCCCAGGCTGGAGTGCAGTGGTGCCACCTCGGCTCACTGCAAGCTCCGCCTCCCGGGTTCACACTATTCTCCTGCCTCAGCCTCCCTAGTAGCTGGGACTACAGGCGCCCGCCACCACGCCCGGCTAATTTTTTGTATTTTAGTAGAGACGGGGTTTCACCGTGTTAGCCAGGATGGTTTCGATCTCCTGACCTCGTGATCTGCCCGCCTCGGCCTCCCAAAGTGCTGGGATTACAGGTGTGAGCCACCGCGCCTGGCCCCATTCTTTTATTTCTTAGTGATATTTCATATACGTCTTGGTAATATAATGAGTCTTTATTCATAATAGTATAGATTTTTATTTTATGGTTTTTAAAAGAATACTATTCTAGATAGTTTCTAGCTATAAAATAAGTAAAAACTATTCTAGAATATCTACTGATTATGTTGCATGAAAAAGTGGAAGAGATCTTTTTTAACTAATACACTTTATTTATTTAGTGCATTTTTAGGTTCACAGCAAAATTGAGCAGAAAGTAGAGAGAGTTCTCATACACACTCTGTATCCACACACCCAGCCTTCCCCACGATCGACCTCCACACCGGGGTGGTGCATTTCTTATAATTGGTGAATCTTCATGGATACCTCATTGTCACCTAAAGATTACAGTTAACATTAGGGGTCACTCTTTGTGTTTACATTCTATGGGGTTTTGACAGATGTGTAATGACACATATCCTCTACTATATTATAGTATGTACAGAATAGTTTCACTGTCCTAAAAATCCTCTGTGATCTACCCTTCATCCCTTCCTCCCCCTCACCCCTGGTCACACGAATCTTTTTACCGCCTCCATAGTTTTGCCTTTTCCACAATGTCATATGCTTGGAATCCTACAGTATATAGCCTTTTCAGATTGCCTTTTTTCACTTAGTAACACACATTTAAATTTCCTCCTAAAGATATCTTTTTAAAAGTCTAAATAGGCTGGGAGGCCGGGCGCGGTGGCTCATGCCTGTAATCCCAGTACCTTGGGAGGCCAAGGCGGGTGGATCACGAGGTCAGGAGTTCGAGACCAGCCTGACCAACATGGTGAAACCCCATCTCTACTAAAAATACAAAAATCAGCTGGGCATGGTGGCACGTGCCTGTAATCCCAGCTACTTGGGAGGCTGAGGCAGGAGAATCACTTGAACCCAGGAGGCAGAGGTTGTAGTGAGCCAAGACCACGCCACTGCACTCCAGCCTGGCAACAGAGCGAGACTCCGTCTCAAAAATAATGATAATAATAATAATAATTAGGCTGGGTGCAGTGGCTGATGCCTGTAATCTTAGCACTTTGGGAGGCCAAGGTGGGAGGATCGCTTAAGGCCAGGAGTTCAAGACCAGCCTGGGCAACATAGCGAGACCCTCTCTACAAAAAATACAAAAATAAAAATTAACTGGGCATAATGGTGAGAACCTGTAGTCCCAGCTACTCGGGACACTGAGGTGGGAGGACTGCTTGAGCCCAGGAGTTCAAGGTTACTATGAGCTATGAGTGCACCACTGCACTCCAGCCTGGGTGACAGAGTGAGGTCCTATCTCTTTAAAACAAAAACAAAAACAAAAGGCCAGGTGCAGTGGCTCGCCTGTAATCCCAGCACTTTGGGAGGTCAAGGCGGGCAGATCACCCGAAGTCAAGAGTTCGAGACCAGCCCGGCCAACGTGGCGAAACCCTGTTTCTACTAAAAATACAAAAATTAGCCAGGCGTAGTGTTGTGTGCCTGTAATCCCAGCTACTTCAGAGGCTGAAGCAGGAGAATCACTTGAATCCAGGAGGCAGAGGTTGCAGTGAGCCGAGGTCATCCCACCACTGCACTCCAGCCTGGGCGACAGAGTGAGACTCAGTCTCAAAAAATAAAAAGCCTGATGGTTATTTTTCTCAACTAGTAAATAGATTGTATACATAATAATTATATCCGACATAGCACTATGTGTTTTTTTAAATAATTGTTGAGTAGGAATACCCCAGTATGAAGTTCTTTCGACAAAGAATATTTTTTAAATTCACACAATTCACTAATGCTACTTTATTTCAACAAAGGAAATCTCTTACTAATACAGTTCTCATTCATTCATTTTCTTGCCTCTTCCCAACCTAAAATTACACATAAAAGATACTAGGAAATAGACATGTTTACAAGCATCACCAACATAATTCAATAGGGCAAATACAAGTACTGAGAGGATGGTAGAATTAATAGAGAAATATATATTTGTATTCCTTTTTGATGACTGCTTTCTTAGGCCACTTCATTACTAAAACAATGTAGGCTTTATTAGCCCACTCCATTACCAACTCTTTTTTGTTACTAACGAGTTAAACAAGGAAAAAACAAAATAGAGAAGTAAGCGCAGATTGTGGCTAGCAAGAGTAGTGAAAGCTTTAAAAGGACTCAAGCAGTATCATCTGTGTTGTTTTCTTGTAGGCTAGAAACGAAACTCTCAGCAACACGTTAGTGGAACTTTCTGCCCAGGTAGGACAGCTACAAGCTCGAGAACAAGCTCTTACGACAATGATAAAGCTAAAGGTAATCAAAAATAAGAATTCCTCCATTTGCCAGAGTGCTTGGTAGTTATATCCATATTCATTATCTTACCTAAGTCGCTAGGATCCCAGAAATGTGAAGCTACCAACGTTGCTCTTGTTTTTTAAAACGCCCATTTAGAAATGAGGGAAACAAGTTTAAAATGATGTTCCCAAGGCATGAAGAAAGGAGGCAGGACTCTGCTTCTGGTCTTCTGTCTCCAAGGCCCATTCTGTGGGCTGGCAGGTCTGAATTAACTTGTTTTCTCCCCGGGTATCCATTATTAGGTCTCATAGAGTTATGGGCCATTAGATTGCTTGAGAGGTTTTTTTTGTTTTGTTTTGTTTTGAGACGGAGTCTCGCTCTGTGGCCCAGGCTGGAGTGCAGTGGCTCCGTCTCAGCTCGCTGCAAGCTCCGCCTCCCAGGTTCACGCCATTCTCCTGCCTCAGCCTCTTGAGTAGCTGGGACTACAGGCGCCCGCCACCACACCCGGCTAATTTTTTTGTATTTTTAGTAGAGACGGGGTTTCACCGTGTTAGCCAGGATGGTCTCGATCTCCTGACCTCGTGATCCGCCCGCCTCGGCCTCCCAAAGTGCTGGGATTACAGGCGTGAGCCACCGCGCTCAGCCAGAGGTTTTTTTAATGGAGAGAAAAACCATCTGCAATCAAGCAGTTGATGTAGTCACTAACATGCAATATACAACGATACACACTCTCCTGCTGTTACACATGTCATTGACAATTGGTATTTAAGGGAACAATGTTGGTATAATGAAATGCTCACGCTAATAAATATGTGATTTTTCTCAGCACATTGTTTTCAAGTGATTGGGGCAAGTGCTGTTAAAATTAAAGAGAAAGGCCGGGCACGGTGGCTCACGCCTGTAATCCCAGCACTTTGGGAGGCCGAGGCGGGCAGATCACGAGGTCAGGAGATCGAGACCATCCTGGCTAACACGGTGAAACCCCGTCTCTACTAAAAATACAAAAAATTCCCCGGGCGAGGTGGCGGGCGCCTGTAGTCCCAGCTACTCGGGAGGCTGAGGCAGGAAAATGGCATGAACCTGGGAGGCGGAGCTTGCAGTGAGCCGAAATCGCGCCACTGCACTCCAGCCTGGGTGACAGCGAGACTCCGTCTCAAAAAAAAATTAAATTAAATTAAAGAGAAAATATTAAAATCTACAGTCATGTCTTTAGTCAAGTAGCAGACAGTTTAGTGGCTTCAACAACCTCTCTGGTTTCCATCATAGCAAACTCTGGCAAAGCTATAGGTATGTCTGAAGGTGCTGCCAAGGCATTTCCCCACCATTAAAACAGTGGGTGCGTTAGGAAGGCTGTGCTCCTGGAGGCCGGGTGCCGTGGCTCATGCCTATAATCCCAGCACTTTGGGAAGCTGAGGTGGGTGGATCGCTTGAGGTCAGGAGTTTGAGACTAGCCTAGCCAACATGGTGAAACCCCTGTCTTTACTAAAAATACAAAAAAATTAGCCGGGCATGGTGGCACACGCCTGTAATGCCAGCTACTCTGGAGGCTGGGGTGGGAGGATCCCCGGAAGCCGGGAGGTGGAGGTTGCAGTGAGCTGAGATTGCACCACTGCACTCCAGCTTGGGCGACAGAGCAAGACTCTGTCTCAAAAAAAAAAAAAAAAGAAGGTCGGTCGTGGTGGCTCACACCTGTAATCCCTACACTTTGGGAGGCTGAGCCAGGCAGATCACAAGGCCAAGAGATTGAGACCATCCTGGCTAACATGGTGAAACCTCATCTATTTTTAAAAATACAAAAATTAGCTGGGCATGATGGCACACGCCTGTAGTCCCAGCTACTCAGGAGGCTGAGGCAGGAGAATTGCTTGAACCCAGGAGGCAGAGGTTGTGGTAAGCCGAGATCACGCCACTGCACTCCAGCCTGGTGACAGAGCGAGACTTCATCTGGAAAAAAAAAAAAAAGGCTGTGTTTTCCTAGTCTTAGAGATTTTATTTGATGAAAATGGTTTCCATTAGAAGCAGATGCCCTCCAGGACATCCTTATCAAAGGAGCAAGTAGGAATCCCAGGTTTAAGGCTGAAAGGGATTGACTGTCGTGGGTGTCCTGGTGTTAATGGAACTGTGTTCCTGTACTTATTAGAACGGTTATTTTTTGCTACTGACCTGGTCACAAAGTTCCATGGGTTTTTGCATGGCCTGCCCCAACCCTATTATTCTATAAGTCCTAGTGTGAGATGTGCAGACAATGTGATTTTTCAGGAGTGCATTTATGATGCTGTAGCAGAAATGTTTAGACTTCAGTAGGGGTAAAACCTCTTAATAACAGTTATTCCAGGTGAGTGGGGGAGGGATAGAACTTTTACTTATTTTTATACTTTTAGGTGTTGTTTGAGTTGCTTTTCAAGAAGCAGATACCTTTTTTGGTAACTAAAACTGCCTCAACAATTAAGAGATTCTAATTTGGGAGATTTGGAATGATGTTGTTGTGGAGTCTGTCATGTTAACAAGCTGGAAAATGGGAGGGAATGATGGGCCATTAGACTTACCTGTATAATCCAGAGGACGATTTTCCCATCCAGGGGCCACCCACCCTCTTGCTGCTATTATAGTTTCTTAGGTAATGGAATGGTCTGGCTCTAACTTTTTGAGAGAGAGTAAGGGGTAGTGGTTCAGTACATAGTGTCTGAGGCAGCCAGCTAGGTTCAAATGGTGGCTCCACCACTAACTAGCTGTGTAACCGTGGGCAAGGAACGCAGCCTTTCTGTTGACTCATCTGTCACTTGGCAAGAACAATAGTACCACCCTCATAGAGTTACTGTAAAGATTAAATGAATTCATATGCGAAAAATGCTTAGAGTGGAACCTGGCACACGATAAGATCTTAGTGTTATCTTTTCTTCTTGGTTAATTGGAATTTAAGAATCTAGGATAACCATTTTCAAATTTGGTTTTTAGGACAAAGATATTATTGAGGCAGTTAATCACATTGCAGATTGTTCGGGTAAATTTAAAATGCTAGAGCATGCCCTACGTGATGCCAAGATGGCGGAGACTTGTATTGTGAAAGAAAAGCAAGATTATAAGCAGAAATTGAAGGCACTTAAGATTGAAGTCAACAAACTAAAAGGTAAGGAAGAGACCTACATTTAAGATACAAATGTATTATCTTGGGAATATAGTTTTTCATCTGGGTTCACTTAATCTTATGCTTGAGAGTAGATCAATTCCTGGCCTTAGACCCTAACGTGAAATATCCATTTCATTTATATAGGATTATGCTGCAATTTGTGTCTTATAAGATATATAACAGAGTTGGGGAAAACTGCAGAATGTATCATATTTTAAAGTAATCCTGCCTTAGTTGAGGTGGCTGTACCATTAGCTATCGCTAATACATGCTTTGTGGCAGACAACATCAGTATCTCAGTGGCAGACAGTCGTAGCATTTATTAAACCCACATGTCTAGAGGCAAATGGGGGAGTTGGCTGACTGTGGTTGGGCCTCACTGAGCTTCCCATCTGGGCAGTTTTGGCTCACACATTTCATCGTCTTGCTATCAGGCTAGCCTGGGCATTTCTTCCCATGGTGAGGGCAGAAACTTCTGATTCTGAAATTAGGAATTTTTATTTTTGCCGATTTATTTATTTTCGACAGAATCTCACTCTGTCACCCAGGCTGGAGTGCGGTGGTGCAATCTTGGTTCACCACTGCCTCCACCTCCTGGGTTCAAGCTATTCTCCTGTCTCAGCTTCCCGAGTAGCTGGGATTACAGGCACCTACCACCATGCCTGGCTAATTTTTGGATGTTTAGTAGAGACAGAGTTTTGCCATGTTGGCCAGACTAGTCTGGAACTCCCGACCTCAGGTGAATCCCTCTGCCTTGGCCTCCCAAAGTGCTGAGATCTACAGGCGTGAGCCAACACACCCAGCCGATCTTTGCTGATTTAACTTAAAAGATTCAGCATTCAAAAATGTTGTCCTTATGATGCCTTGACCTATGGTTAGCCATAGGTCTTATCTCCATTTGTAGCTTCAGCTAAAACCATAATCGTATTATCATCCCCTTGACAGCAGGAACAGACTCTGCTTCTCTTTTTCAGTGTACTGTTAATAGCATGGCACAAGGGCTACACTCTAGGTATTTGGTATTTATTGAATGTTTATATACACCGAGGTAAAATATTCAAGTAGAAAGAAGTCTGTTCTGTCAATATTTATATACTAAAAACATTTTATAAATTCAATATTAAAACTTTTTTTTTTTTGAGATAGTGTCTTGCTCTGCTGCCCAGGCTGGAGTGCAATGGCGTGATCTCAGCTCACTGCAACCTCCACCTCCTGGGTTCAAGCAATTCTCCTGCCTCAGCCTCCTGAGTAGCTGGGATTACAGGTGGGTGCCACCATGCCCGGCTAATTTTTGTATTTTTAGTAGAGACAGGGTTTCATCATGTTGGTCAGGCTGGTCTCAAACTCCTGAGCTTGTGATCCACCTGCCTCAGCCTCCCAAAAGTGCTGGGATTACAGGCATGAGCCACCACACCCAGCTTAAAACTTTTTTTTTAGAAAAGAAAAATAGTGGCTGGGCATGATGGCTCACATCTGTAATCCTAGCACTTTGGGAGGCCAAAGCAGGCAGATTGCTTGAGGCCAGGACTTCAAGAAGACCAGCCTGGATAACATGGCAGAACCCTGTCTCTACAAAAAATTAGCCAGGCATGGTGGTGTGATCCTGTAGTCCCAGCTACTCGAGAGGCAAAGTGAAAGGATTTCTTGATCCCAGGAGGTGGAGGTTGCAGTGAGCCAAGATTGGCCACTACACTTCAGCCTGGGCAACAGAGCAAGATCCTGCCTCAAAAAAATAAAAAAAAAGAAGAGGAATTTTTATAGAGCTCAATCTCCAGCCCTCCCTCCCCTTCCTGGAGGTCCACAAGTGGGACTGCAGGTTCCAGCCCTGTCTTCACTTGGTGTTTCTGGTGGCTGTCTGCATCCTGAGGCCACGTAGGAGCTCCACCCTGAGTCACCTCGTTAGCATGTAGTCTGGTGTAATCAACTGACTCTTCATGAATGACAAAAGATGCTTCTGTCACTTAGGAAATTCCACAAGTTTTAGGAGCTCTGTTCTCCAGGAACAGAGGACAAAAACCACATCTATTTCTTCTTATACCACAGACATACTCAAGGAACAGAAGGAAAGGAGGGAACGGCGGTGGGGAGATGGGCAGGTCAGGTCATGCTGGGCTCTGCAGTTTGTGGTAATGGATTTGGATTTCATCCTCAGTGCAGTAGCAAGGCTTCTCACTGAGAAATGACACGAGCAGATTTTTATTTTTAGTTTTATTTATTTATTTATTTTTGAGACAGAATTTCACTCTTGTCGCCCAGGCTGGAGTGCAATGGCGCGATCTCAGCTCACTGCAACCCCCGCCTGCCTCTCAAGCAATTCTCCTGCCTCAGCCTTCTGAGTAGCTGGGATTACAGTCGCCCACCACCACACCCAGCTAATTTTTGTATTTTTAGTAGAGACGGGGTTTTACCAGGTTGGCCAGGCTGGTTTCGAACTCCTGACCTCAGGTGATCCACCCGCCTCAGCCTCCCAAAGTGTTGGGATTACAGGTGTGAGCCACTGCACTTGGCCTTTATTTTTATTTTACTTTACTTTTTTTTGAGATGGAGTCTCACTCTGTTGTCCAGGTTGAGTGCAGTGGCGTGATCTCAGCTCACTGCAACCTCTGCCACCTGGATTCAAGCGATTTTCCTGCCTCAGGCTCCTGAGTAGCTGGGATTGCAGGTGTGTGCCACCACACCCAGCTAATTTTTGTATATTTAGTAGAGACGGGGTTTCACCATGTTGGCCAGGCTGGTCTCGAACTCCTGGCCTCAAGTGGTTTGTCCGCCTTGGCCTCCCAAAGTGCTGGGATTATAGGCGTGAGCCACTGCGCTGGGCAGATTTTGATTTTTAAAAGATTGCTCTGTGTACACTGGGCTGTCACAGGAGAGGCAAGGCTGGTGCAGGGAGGTCAGTCAGATGAGAGCAAGCGAAGCCTCCAACCAGGGGTCCTTGCCAGGTGTGGAGATGTTGGCTGTGAAACAGATTTTGTCTATAGATCCATCAGGACCGGAAGGAGCCGCTGAGGATGTGAGAGTTAGGCATAGTGTGTATATGAGGACTGGAACCTAGTATTTATTTGAGGACTTTCTTTTTCTTCTGTTGTGAAGAGGACCTCAATGAAAAGACGACAGAAAATAATGAGCAACGAGAAGAGATCATTCGCCTCAAGCAAGAGAAAAGTTGCCTGCACGATGAATTGCTTTTTACTGGTAAAACAGATGATCGAATGTATTTGTAACCTAGACTTGCAATGATGACAGGCTGAAGGAATTATACCTCTCCCAAAATGGTTTTTTTTTTTTTTTTTTTGAGACAGGGTCTTTTTTGAGACAGGGTCTTGCTCTGTCACCCAGGCTGGAGTGCAGTGGTGCAATCTCGTCTGACTGCAACTTCTGCCTCCCGGGCCCAAGCGATTCTCCTGCCTCAGCCTCCTTAGTAGCTGGGGTTACTGGTATGAGCCACCACGCCCGGCTAAATTTTGTATATTTAGTAGAGACGGGGTTTCACCACATTGGTCAGGCTGGTCTTCTTGAACTCCTAACCTCAAGTGATCTACGGGCCTTGGCCTTCCAAAGTGCTGAGATTGCAGGCGTGAGCCCGGCTTTTTTATTTTTATTTTTTTCTGAGACAGAGTCTCACTCTGTCGCCCAGGCTGGAATGCAGTGGCATGATCTCGGCTCACTGCAACCTCTGCCTCCCAGGTTCAAGCAGTTCTCCTGCCTCAGCCTCCCAAGTAGCTGGGATTACAGGCGCATGCTACCATGCCCGGCTAATTTTTATATTTTTAGTAGAGACGGGGTTTCACCATGTTGGCCAGGCTGATCTCGAACTCTGGCCTCAGATAATCCGCCCGCCTCAGCCTCGCAAAGTGCTGGGATTACAGGCATGAGCCATCACGCCAGGCCTTTTTGTTTGTTTTTAACACCCTTTGTGGGACCGATGGTGGACCAAGCAGCGAGTGTTAATGCTGCCATCCCGTTCCCAGTCACTATTTCCTCTTCTGTAAAATGAGCTATTCTCCCTTCCAGCTTAAGCGTGTGACTCTGCTTCTTACTAAAAACATAACATAGATGCTCCTTGACTTACAGGGTTACATTCTGATAAACCCCTCGCAAGTCAAAAATGCATTTAATGAAGCCAACCCAGCCACCAGCATAGCTCAGCCTAGCCTGCCTTAAACATGCACAGAACACTCGCATTAGCCTGCATTTGGACGAAATCATCTCACACAAAGGCTGTTTTATAATAAATTGTTGAATATATCATGTAATTTACTGAAAGCGAAAAACAGAATGGTTGTATGGGTGCTCAGAGTAGGGGTTTTTTAATGAATGTGTACCCCTAGTAAAAGGGGGACTGAGGGTAGGTATCAGTAGACCAAAAAGTGTTCATATGATTTTCTCTTCGGAACTTTACCTCTAAATCAATGACTTTCCTAACACAAACCACTGAAAAGAAAGCCCAGTAGAATCATCTTGGCTGGCAGGGATGTCAACAAGCTCTCTATGTCAGTCATTCTCAGTTGGGAGTGGAGAAGTAGGCCTTCACCAGTGGAAACTCTGAGATACTGGGGGTAGGTAAGGAATATGGCAGGGAATGGAATGCAGTTTGTCTGTAAATTAATGGGAAAAAATTGAGGCTCATCACAGCCTCAAACTCCTGGACTCAAGGAATCCTCCCGCCTTGGCCTTCCTAGTAGCCTGGCTAAATTTTTAATTTTTTTGCAGAGAAGGGGTCTCACTATGTTGCCCAGGCTGGTCTCTAGCTCCTGGGATCAAGCGATCCCCTTGCCTCGGCCTCTCAAAATGCTGGGATTACAGGTGCGAGCCACCATGCCCGACCTAAGAAGTTTTAAGTGAAATGGAATTCTTAATTTTAATCTCTTGTGATTAAAGATCGGGGTGAAAGTGTGGTATTCTGCCACTAGAGGTCACTATTTTCACCATTTCTAGGATTGCTGCATCTGCAAGTAGTGATAACCCGTTAACGCTGCTAAAGATATCACATATTTGTAGCTTTACAGTTGCATTCAAACAGTCCTTGGACCAGCATTTGTACGCCAGGTGCCCTGCGATATGCTCAGAAGCTCACAGGCCCACAGAATTCACTACTATACAAATGCTATGCATAAAATGCTATGGGAGGTCAAAGGAAAGAACAAAGCTTAAAGGATACGTTAGTCTCTTTTCTTTTTGATTAATCACTTTTTACCCATGCACTCTACTATGTATTACTAAGTAAAATACATGGAATTTGTTAGCTAATATTATAATAAATCGATTTTGTGAAATATTTTTATCATATACTAAGCAGATTTCTTTACCCAGGCTGGAGTGCAGTGGTACAATCGCAGCTCACTGCAGCCTCAAACTCTGAGGCTCAAGTGATCCTCCCACCTCAGCCTCCCAGGTAGGTGGGACCACAGGCACATGCCATCACACATGCCTAATTTTTAAATTTTTTGTATGGATGAGGTTCCACTATGTTGCCCAGTCTGGTCTGGAACTGCTGGGCTCAAGAGATCCTCCTACCTCTGCCTCCCAAAGCCCCAAAGCGTTGGGATTACAGGCATGAGCCACCATGCCTGTCATCCTAAATTGATTCCTTAAACATCTTCTTAACTAAAGACAATCTCACACCATTGTCTGAAAACAATTTTTGTATGTTTTATTCTTCTTTTTCAAAATATAGACAATTGATAGATTTGCATGTTTCAATTATAAAAGTGAACAAAGCCTACAAAAGAATTTATTTATTTAGTAGAGACAGGGTCTTGCTCTGTTGCCCAGCCTGGAGTGCAGTGGTGCAATCATAGCTCACTGCAGCCTCGACTGTCTGGGTTCAAGTGATCCTGCCACCTCAGCCTCCTGAGTTGCTGGGACTACAGGCATGTGTCATCACACCTAGCTAATTTTATTTTATTTTATTTATTTTTAGTAGAGGCAGGGTCTCGCTATGTGGCCCAGGCTGCTGGTCTTGAACTCCTAGCCTCAGATAATCCTCCTGCCTTGGCCTCCCAAAGTACTAAGATTATAGGCATGAGCCATCGTGCTTGGCTTAAGCCCAAAAAAGAATTTTTAAAGGGCATAACATGATAATATGCCGTCAAGTGCTATGGCTAAATGTCACGATTTTTTTTGTTTTTGTTTTTTTTCGGAGATGGAGTCTTGGTCTGTCGCCTAGGCTGGAGTGTAGTGGTGCGATCTTGTCTCACTTCAACTTCCGCCTCCTGGGTTCAAGCAATTCTCATGCCTCAGCCTCCGGAGTAGCTGGGACTGCAGGCACACGTCACGACACCTGGCTAATTTTTTGTACTTTAGTAGAGACGTGGTTTCATTGTGTTGCCCAGGCTGGTCTCGAACTCTTGAGCTCAGACAATCCACCCGCCTCGGCCTCCCAAAGTGTTAGGATTACAGGTGTGAGCCACCGCACCCAGTCAGATGTTACCATGTTTTATTTGAAGTTGGAAGATGTCTTAAAGTTTTACTTTTAAGTTTAAAACTTGTAGAAAATGCAGTTCTTTTTTTTTTTGAGACGGAGTCTCGCTGTCGCCCAGGCTGGAGTGCAGTGGTGTGTTCGCGGCTCACTGCAAGCTCAGCCTCCTGGGTTCATGCCATTCTCCTGCCTCAGCCTCCCGAGTAGCTGGGACTACAGGCGCCCGCCACCATGCCCAGCTAATTTTTTGTATTTTTTAGTAGAGATGGGGTTTCACCGTGTTAGCCAGGATGGTCTTGATTTCCTGACCTCATGATCTGCCCACCTTGGCCTCCCAAAGTGCTGGGATTACAGGCGTGTTCTTTTACATAGGCTGAGGGACATGTTTTGCTTGTACATAACTAGGAGTAAGGAGTTTGCAAAGAGAACAATGATACTAGTTTACATTTCTGTGGGTCCTGACAGTCCTGTAGGTGAGCTCTTATAGACTGAGTGTCTGCCTCAGGTCTCCCAGGCGGTAAAAGGCAGAGTCTTGATCAGAATTCAGCAGGTTCCAGGCGTCTAAGTCCCTTCCCATTGTTTTAGCTTAGGCTGCTTGTTCAGGCAGATAGCAGCAGAGAGTTCCTTACCTCTGTTTTCTGTGGCCAACTTGTGAAAATAGTCAGACCCAATCCACTTTGATCTCTCAGCTAAACCCAGCCATGGAGAAAACTATCTGGACTAGGGAAACATTTATATTTACATTGGCATTGCCTCTTATGCAAAAGTAGATTATTCTGAAATCAGAGATTAAGGCAACATTCAAATATACATATATTTTTTTTTTCTTTGACCACCTGCCCTCCCCCACCGCCCCCCGACAACCCCACTGGCCAACATTCAGATATATTTAAAATTACTCTGAGGGCCAGGTAAAGTAGTTGGCTTTTGTTTAGGGACCATGCTGTATCCAAAACAAGTATTTATTTATTTTTTTTAAGAGACAGTGTCTTGCTGTGTTGACTCAGGCTGGTCTCAAACTCCTGGGCTCAAGCAATCTTCCCACCTCAGCCTCCAAAGTAGCTGGAAATATAACAAAACAGGTTTATTTAAACATTAGGAAATATAACAAAACAGGTTTATTTAAACCCTGCTTGGATGCTGTTAACATGAAAGGCATGTAGAATTGAGACCCACGGAGTCAGATGCACTACGGATATCACTTCCACTGTTAAAATGTCTCAGTTTTGGCCGGGCATGGTGGCTCATGCCTGTAATCCCAGCATTTTGGGAGGCTGAGGCGGGTAGATCACATGAGGCCAGGAGTTCGAGACCAACCTGGCTAACATGGTGAAACACAGGAGTTCAAGACCAGCTTGGGCAACATAGTGAGACCCCCATCTCTATTTTTAAAAATATTTTATCTTTTAAAATTTTTAAATAAATAATTGAAGTAATATGTATTAAGTATAGAGATTTGGAAATCATCCTTATTCTATCTCCCCACAAAAGGAAAGACAAATAATCCCTGAATCTACAAATCACTTCTTCTTTTTTTTTTTTTTTTTTTAAGACAAAGTCCTCACTTTGTCATCCAGGCTGGAGTGCAGTGGCGCAATCTCTGCTCACTGCAACTTCCACCTCCCAGGTTCAAATGATTTTCCTGCCTCAGCCTCCCAAGTAGCTGGACCACAGGCAGGCACCACCACACCCGGCTAAATTTGTATTTTTAGTAGAAATGGGGTTTCACCATGTTGGCCAGGCCAGTCTCGAACTCTTGACCTCAAGTGGTCTACCCACCTCAGCCTCCCAAAGTGCTGCAATTACAGGTGTGAGCCACTTCGTTCAGCCCATTCTGCTATTTTTAAGTACAGGAACAACAACAACAAAAATGTTAGCTGAGCATTAAATTGTTGGAAATGGAGAGGTTTGTGTGGCTATAGCTGATGAAAAATGTTAATAATACTTGTTCTTAAATAGTAGAGAGAGAAAAGAGGAAAGATGAATTGCTTAATATTGCGAAGTCAAAGCAAGAACGCACAAATTCAGAACTGCACAATCTGAGACAGGTATGTCCCCAATCATCCTTCTCTGTCACATAAGAAATGTTTGTAAACAAATAGCAAATTAGGAAAAATGTATGCCCGTCGATTTTGTTTAATTGGTGATTTGGAATCCTAACTACATTAGTTGTATATCATGTTTATTTATTTTTATTATTATTATTTTTTTGAGACGGAGTCTCGCACTGTCAACCGGGCTGGGGTGCAATGGCCTGATCTCGGCTCACTGCAACCTCCACCTCCTAGTTACAAGCGATCCTCCTGCCTCAGCCTCCCAAGTAGCTGGGATTACATGTGCCCACCACCACGCCCAGCCAATTTTTTGTATTTTTAGTAGAGACAGGGTTTTACTGTGTTGGCCAGGCTGGTCTCGAACTCCTGACCTCATGACCCGCCCACCTCAGCCTCCCAAAGTGCTGGGATTACAGGCGTGAACCAGCGCACCCAGCCTGTATATCATGTTTAGTATAGCAAATAGGTCTTGCTTGTGGTGATCAAAGGCTGGGAGCCCAGCTATCCTAGCAAATCTTAGTGCTAACAAAGGAAAATTAAAAGCAGACATATTTAGCATATTTCTCTAGTAACTATCTGACCTGTTTTAGGATTTGTGAACTGTTTCAGGGAAAGTGCCAAATTGTTGGTTCAGTTTAGTTTTGTTATTACATTTCATGTTGATTTGTCAATATCTATGACAGATTTATGTAAAACAACAGAGTGATCTGCAGTTTCTTAATTTCAATGTGGAAAATTCTCAGGAATTAATACAGATGTATGACTCAAAGATGGAGGAATCAAAGGCTCTGGACTCCAGGTAATCTTAGCAAGATGCAATTAATATGATCTTGTATTATATTCCATCAGCCAGTATTTACTGCGCACTTACTGTTGGCCAGTACTGACTACTATTCCCCATATGGTAGGAAATAAATGTGGCCGGGCACGGTGCCTCACACCTGTAATCCCAGCACTTTGGGAGGCCAAGGCAGGTGGGTCACCTGAGGTCAGGAGTTCGAGACCAGCCTGGCCAACATGGTGAAACCCCATCTCTACTAAAAATACAAACATTAGCCAGGCATAGTGGCTCATGCCTGTAGTCCCAGCTACTTGCAAGGCTGAGGCACGAGAATCGCTTGAACCTGGGAGGTGGAGGTTGCAGTGAGCCGAGATCACGCCACTGCACTCCAGCCTGGTAACAGAGCAAGATTCTGTTTCAAAATAAATAAATAAATAAAAATATAAAAATTAGCTGGGCGTGTTCGCGGGTATATGTAATCCCAGCTACTTGGGAGGCTGAGGCAGGAGAATCACTTGAACCCCGGAGGTGGAGGTTGCAGTGAGCCGAGATCGCGCCATTGCACTCCAGCCTGCGTGACAAGAGCCAAACTCCGTCTCAAAAAATAAATAAATAGGCCTGGCGCGGTGGCTCATGCCTGTAATCCCAGCACTTTGGGAGGCCGAGGCAGGTGGATCACGAGGTCAGGAGATCGAGACCATCCTGGCTAACACGGTGAAGCCCCATCTGTACTAAAAATACAAAAAAATTAGCCAGGCATGGTGGCAGGCGCCTGTAGTCCCAGCTATTCGGCAGGCTGAGGCAGGAGGATTGCTGGAACCCGGGAGGCAGAGGTTGCAGTGAGCTGAGATTGCGCCACTGCACTTCAGCCTGGGTGACAGAGTGAGACTCCGTATGAAAAATAAATAAATAAATAATAAATAAATACAATAAATGTGTGTGAGCTAATAATGATTGTCATAATCCTCAGTCGCAGGAAGACCCAATCTAAGAATTTTAGTCATGATCCTGATTTAGCCACTGGATAGAAGTAAATTTATTTAACCTGATTTTCCCTTCTGTTGTGTAGAAGGCTTTGAGCTAGAATAGACACTACAGAGATGAATCATTCATTCATCCATCCATCCATCCATCCGTCCATCCATCCATCCAGCATTCAGTGTTTGGACACTAGGCTAGGACTTGGGCACATGTAGGTATATAGGGCATGGCACTCGCCCAAAAGAAGTAATGCCAAGGAATGCATTGATTACTGAGTAGGAGCCCCACTCCACCGAGGGTGATCTGTGCCCTTAACTGGATTTTCCTGCTTGCCTTATTAATAGGAAACATCTTCCCATCCCCACAACAAGCAGTGTGGGAATTAAATTGGTTTTGGTAAAATTAAAATATAAACATATAAAGTGTGGTTTAATTTAACAGGCATATAACTGTACCACAGCTCAACTTAGTCTACTTTTCTAAGCCAAAATTTTACAAGAAGTCTTTGAAAGGGAGAGGGATTAGGGAAGCTCCCCATGGCTGTTTGGAACCATGGAGGCTGGACTGGGTTGCAGCAGCGACTTTCCCTGGGAGAATGGAGTTGAGAGCAGCAGGGCTTAGTAGCTGCAGCACTGCAGGGATCACCCCAGGCGTGTGGCGTGTGGCTGGGGCCGCCCTGCTTTCCGCTGCACTTGCTTCACTTTCCTTTGGGGCCCTCTGCGAGGGGTTGTGGCCTGTGGCTCTGGGTCCTAGCTGCTGCCGCTGCCACCAGACACCAGACTAACTCAGAGCTCTCTTGCAGGCAGAAGCCCCTTACATACTGGCTCTTTCTTCTTTTTCCTTTTTTTGAGATGGGGTCTTGCTCTGTTGCCCAGGCTGGCATGCAGTGGTGCAACCTCAGCTCACTGCAACCTCCACCTCCTGGGTTCAAGCGATCCTCTCACCTCAGCCTTCCAAGTAAGTAGCTGGGCCCACAGGCATGCGCCACCATGCCCGGCTACTTTTTTTTTTTTTTTTTTTTTTTTGTACATATGGGGTTTCGTCGTGTTGCGAAGGCTGTCTTTCTCCTTTTTGACCTTCATTGCCTCTAGGAGGTACTAGATGAGTTGAGGTTATTCCTTAAAAGCTAAAAATAGGCTGGACGCCATGGCTCACACCTGTAATTGCAGTGCTTTCGGAAGCTAAGGCAGGAGGATTGCTTGAGGCCAGGAGTTCAAGAGCAGCCTAGGCAACATAGCAAGACCCTGTCTCTATAAAAAAAAAATTTTTTTTTTTTTTTTGAGATGGAGTTTCACTCTTGTCACCCAGACTGGAGTGCCAATGGCGCGATCTCAGCTCACTGCAACCTCCACCTCCCAGGTTCAAGCAATTCTCTTGCCTCAGCCTCCCAAGTAGCTGGGAATACAGGCCTGCGCCACCACGCCCGGCTAATTTTTGTATATTTAGTAGATGGGGTTTCTCCATGTTGGTCAGGCTGGGTCTCGAACTCCTGACCTCAGGTGATCCACCCGCCTCAGCCTCCCAAAGTACCGGGATTACAGGCGTGAGCCACTGCACCCGGCCTCAAAAAAAATTTTTTTTAAGCATAAAATAGTTTATAGCATTATGGAAAGAGAGAGTTGTATTTCCTAAGATATCAGAATGATGCAGATTAGAATACCTGAATACAAGTGACATGAAAAATTTTAAAGGAAGATTTATTAAAAGGTTTTGTCACATTTCTGCAGTATTCTTTTTTTCTCATGTAGACAGTAAGTGCAATAAGAGGAGGATGGAAAAGGGAATGTGGGCTTTGTGGTCAGAAAGGATTCCTGGAGAAGGTCGGGCTGGAATTGGGCTCTGAGGTTCAGACAAACGAGTCTCATTGGGATTTAGCTCTACTGAGTTTTGGGTGAAATGTTTAGAATGATAGCATCAAGTATATCTTATAACCTCCATTTTTTTTCTAATGCCACCATAGCAGAGACATGTGTTTATCAGACCTTGAAAATAACCACCCAAAAGTCGATATTAAGAGGGAAAAAAATCAGAAGTCACTGTTTAAGGACCAGAAATTTGAAGCCATGTTGGTTCAGCAAAATAGGTCAGACAAGAGCTCTTGCGATGAATGCAAAGAGAAGAAACAACAGATCGATACTGTGTTTGGGGAGAAAAGTGTAATTACGCTGTCATCCATATTCACCAAAGACTTAGTAGAGAAACACAACCTCCCTTGGTCTCTGGGAGGAAAAACCCAGATTGAACCCGAAAACAAAATTACATTGTGCAAGATCCACACAAAATCACCAAAATGTCATGGCACTGGGGTTCAGAACGAAGGAAAACAACCCTCAGAAACACCCACTTTATCTGATGAGAAGCAGTGGCATGATGTCAGTGTTTACCTGGGCCTGACCAACTGTCCAAGTTCAAAACATCCAGAAAAGCTGGATGTAGAATGTCAAGATCAGATGGAAAGGTCCGAAATCTCATGCTGCCAGAAAAATGAAGCCTGTCTGGGCGAAAGTGGCATGTGTGACTCCAAGTGCTGCCACCCGAGTAACTTCATAATTGAAGCCCCAGGCCACATGTCTGACGTGGAGTGGATGAGTATTTTCAAGCCTTCCAAAATGCAGAGAATTGTCCGCCTCAAATCTGGGTGCACCTGTTCAGAAAGCATCTGTGGCACACAACATGACTCCCCGGCAAGGTGAGTAACGTTCACATCTGTAAACACCCACGGAGCATGCATGCCAGTATTTGGAAATACAAAGGGTGATGGAAGCCACGCCATACCTACTATTAATCCAAAAGGCATGTTTGCTAACAGAAATCTTCCTTAGGACCAATGGTTCCCTCTTTTCATCACAGCATGGACTGTTGAGTCTTTAATTATAGAGGCTCTATTAGGTTCCAGGGATGTGTTTATACTGAGGACGGCTTCTGAGGCAAAGGTTTTGTTTAAAAACAAAACCAGTTGTTATGACTTGGGCAGATATGCTTTATTAAAAAGCAAACGGGTGGATCGCTGCACAGAGTGGAACGCCACCCTAGAGCATTCCTCACCCCAGAAGCCATTCTGAACTGACACGCTGACCATTTCTGGTCCAGATGGCATTACCTAGACCCCATATAAAAATGTCTCTTGGTGCA
This sequence comes from Homo sapiens, assembly GCF_000001405.40. NCBI lineage: Eukaryota > Metazoa > Chordata > Mammalia > Primates > Hominidae > Homo > Homo sapiens. Next base: position 122,802,296 of record NC_000012.12, read on the forward strand.
TTGTGGTGGCTCATGCCTGTAATTCTAGCACTTTGGGAGGCCAAGGCAGGAGGGTCACATGAGGCCAGGAGTTTGAGACCAGCATGGGCAATATAACGAGACCCTATCTCTACACTTTTTTTTTTTTTTTTTTTTGGAGATGGAGTCTAGCTTTGTCGCCCAGGCTGGAGTGCAGTGGCGCAGTCTTGGCTCACTGAAACCTCCGCCTCCTGGGTTCAAGCCATTCTCCTGCCTCAGCCTCCCAAGTAGCTGGGATTAAAGGCACACACCACCATGCCCAGCTAATTTTTATAAGTTTTGTAAAGATGGGGTCTCACCATATTGGCCAGGCTGGTCTTGAACTCCTGACTTCCAGTGGTCCACCCACCTTGGCCTCCCAAATTGCTGTGATTACAGGCATGAGCCACCACACTTGGCCTCTACACATTTTTAAAAAATTGTTTTTAAGTTAGCTGGGCATGGTGGTGTACACCTGTAGTCCCAGTACTTGGGAGGCTGAGGCAGGAGGACCACTTGAGTCCAGGAATTTGAGACTAGCCTGGTTAACATAGTGAGGCTCCATCTCTACAAAAAAAATTTTTTAATTTGCTGGGCATGGGTGGCAAACACGTGTAGTCCAAGCTACTTGGGAGGCTGAGGTGGGAGGATCACTTGAACTCAGGAGTTTGAGACTGCAGTGAGCTATGATGGTGCCACTGCACTCCAGCCTGGGCAACAAAGTGAGACTCTATTTCAAAAACATTTGTCATGGCTCTTTTTTTAAAAATTGAGATGAGGTGACACGATATTGCCCAGGCTGGTCTCGAACTCCTGGGCTTAAGCAATCTTTTCACCTGTGGGGATTACAGGTGTGAGCCACCGCATCCAGCATCTCTCAGCTCTTATCCAGGGTCACTTAGTATATTTACATATCCGACCGTGCCTGCCTTTGTGTTCATTCATTTCATATCTGTTTGAGACTTTACATTGCCCAGACTTTCTTAATTTTTGAAAATCATTCAGGAAAGAGGATACTTGTATTTAACAAGCTGGTAAGTTATTGGTTTTTTTAAGAGAAGAAAATTTAAGAGAATAAGGCATATGCTGCCTTATTCAGGCTTGTCTTATTGTTGGAATAGCTGAATCTTGTGTGTGAGTGTCGTCATAATAATGTCTGCTATTTTAAAATAAAGCATAGCTCTTTAATCTTAAATTACAGAAAGGATGAAGTTTCTATATTGAGAGGCGTATTTTAATCATTACATTGGCTTTTATAGGACTTTATGATTAAAGTTTATTTCTAGTGCTTAATTATTTGGAGTATCCTTTGGCTCTTTAATTGTATTTTGTTTATTTATTTCCTTTGGCCCTTTTAGAAACTTGAATTGTTTAAAAGTCATGCAGATAGTCATTCTGCCAGTTGCAAATTATTTTAAAAAGTCGGTCATCACGCTAAATGTCATCTATTCATATTTGGTCTTTAAAGATCTTTGGATAATTGCAAGTATCAGGGCACAATGCCTATTTTTCACTACTGAACAAGGACACTCATATATTAAGGGACAAGCTTATGTCAGATAGTTTTAAGAGCATAGAGGATTAAATTTAACGTATGAAATAAGTTCAGATTTACATTCAGAGTTTCCTTCAAGGCCCTTTTGACCTCACCGACTTAAAATGATTGAAGTGATTGCCTGTTCTGCCAGCAGAGACGGATGCCAAGATATCACATGACAAATATGTGATTAAGTAGAAAGATAATTATGTTTTTCTCTTTTTCCATAGATTATAAGAACTTGCGTACCTACTTTATTATCTAACTAAAATGTTCACATCTGTGCCAGCATTCCATTTGACAAACAGAGGTTTACCCGTGCAGGGAGAAACTGGGGGCAGCCTGTTCTCACTTCATTGTAGCTTACAGGGAAGGAAGCAGTTCTAGTGCCTCTGGTCTGTTCCAGAACAGCTTTTGCTGTCAAACTCAGGCGGATCACCTGAGGTCAGGAGGTCGAGACCGACCTGGCCAACATGGTGAAACCCTATCTCTACTAAAAATACAAAAATGAGCCGGACGTGGTGGCACACGCCTGTAGTCCCAGCTACTCGGGAGGCTGAGGCACAAGAATCACTTGAACCCAGGAGGTGGAGGTTGCAGTGACCCAAGATTATGCCACTGCACTGCAGCCTGGGCAACAGAATGGGACTCGGTCTCAAAAAAAAAGGTCATTGGCCAAGTGAGGTGGCTCATGCCTGTAATCCCAATACTTTGGGAGGCCAAAGCAAGGAGGATCTCTTGAGTTCAGGAGTTGAAGGCCATCCTGGGCAACAGCATGGCCCATCTCCAATAATAACAAAAATAAATAAATAAATAAAGCCATTAACAAAAATCAATCTCACAAACTGAAAACCTAAAATTTTCACAAGTATAACCTTATTCCATGTTGTTTTTTTTTTCTCTTTTTAGAGATAGGGTCTCGCTATCACCCAGGCTGGAGTGCAGTGGTATAATCATAGCTCACTGCAGCCTCTAACTCCTGGGCTCAGGTGATCCCACCTCAGCCTCCCAGGTAGCCAAGACTACGGGCACGAGTCACTGCACTTGGTTCCATTTTTTTTTTTTTTTTTTTGAGATGAAGTTTCACTCTTGTCGCCCAGCCTGGAGTGCAATGGCACGATCTCGGCTCACTGCAACCTCTGCCTCCCGGGTTCAAGCGATTCTCCTGCCTCAACCTCCAGAGTAGCTGAGATTACAGGCGCGCGCCACCATGCCCGGCTGATTTTTGTATTTTTAGTAGAGATGGAGTTTTACCATGTTGGCCAGGCTGGTCTCAAACTCCTGACCTCAGGTGGTCAGCTCTCCTCGGCCTCCCAAAGTATGGGGATTACAGGCATGAGTCACCGCAACTGGCCGGCTTTTTTTTTTTTTTTTTTTTTTGTGAGAATTAGTCTGTTTTAATTTTTCCCTCCCTTTTAGATGATCCTATCTTTAGAACTTTCATTTCATTGTATTTTTAGGGGGAACATTCTTTGTTCTATAGTTACCTTTACCTAATAATTTTGTCTTAATTCTTTTTTTTTTTTTTTTTTTGAGACAGAGTGTCTCTCTGTCACCAGGCTGGAATGCAGTGGTGCGATCTTGGCTCTCCGCAACCTCCGCCTCCTGGGTTCAAGCAATTCTCCTGCCTCAGCCTCCTGAGTAGCTGGGATTACAGGCACATGCCACCACACCCAGCTCTTTTTTTTTTTTTTTTTTTTTTTGAGGCGGAGTCTTGCTCTGTCGCCCAGGCTGGAGTGCAGTGGCGCGATCTCAGCTCCCTGCAAGCTCTGCCTCCCGGGTTCACGCCATTCTCCTGCCTCAGCCTTCCGAGTAGCTGGGACTACAGGCACCCGCCACCACACCTAGCTAATTTTTTGTATTTTTAGTAGAGACGGGGTTTCACCGTGTTAGGATGGTCTCGATTTCCTGACCTCCTGATCCGCCTGCCTCTGCCTCCCAAAGTGCTGGGATTACAGGTGTGAGCCACCGCTCCCGGCCACATCCAGCTAATTTTTGTGTTTTTAGTAGAGATGGGGTTTCACCATGTTGGCCAGGACAGTCCTGATCTCCTGACCTCGTGATCCACCCAGATCAGCCTCCCAAAGTGCTGGGATTATAGGCATGAGCTACCATGCCCAGCCTTATTTTAATTCTTATTTGCAAAAGGTATGCATTAACTTATAATATTCTATTCCAATCTATAATGTTCTACTCAAACTTGACCTGCTTCAATAACAAAAACACTTATTTGTCCTTTTAAGATACTTTTGAGTATAAGAGTGATCTATGTATGATATTGTTTTAAGATATTTGTTTTTGTTGGGTTTTCTTATTCTTAGTGAGCTAATTGCCATCCAAGATTCCCACTCTTTGGGTTCTTCAAAATCTGCCTTGAGAGAAGATGAGACGGAGTCCTCTTCCAATAAAAAGAACTCACCTACGAGTTTGTTAATCTACAAAGATGCACCAGCATTCAATGAAAAGGTTCGTATTTTGCTTAGACATCCCCAGCTTACTCAAGCCAGGCCTCTCACCAGCTTTTAATGCTTCTCTAGCAACCACTGTTAGCTTGCTTATTTTGGCTATTCCTCCGTTTTTTTTTTTTTTTTTTTAATTCTAGGATTTTAAGATGCTTTTAAGGCAATCCTTTTATTTATTTTATTATTTTGTGTTTTGTTCTGTTTCTTTGAGACAGGATACTCAGTCACCCAGGCTGTAGTGCAGTGGTGCAATCGTGGCTCACTGCAGCCTCAACCTACTGGGCTCAAGTGATCCTCCTGCCTCAGCCTTCCAAGTAGCTGCAACTACAGGCACATGCCACCACGCCCAGCTAATTTTCTCATTTTTTTGTAGAGACAGGGTCTCAATTTGTTGCCCAGTCTGGTCTTGAACACTTGGGCTCAAGTGATCTTCTTGCCTTGGCCTCCCAAAGTGTGCTGGGATTATAAGTGTGAATCACCGTGCTGGGACTATTTTTTTCTTTCGAGAAAAATTGTATTTTTTTTTTTTTTGGCAACTTGATATATGTTGGTTGTAAAAAAAAAAAGAAAGAAAAAAGAAAAAGAAAAACAAACCACAAGAACAATACAGAAATATAGATATCACCTAACTGCTTGGTCTCAGCTGCCCCTTCCTCCAAATACACAACCCCTGGCAGTGTCTAGAGAGACCCAGGTGACACGTTGGTGGGCTTGCTTACAGATTTCTCTATCTGCAGAGACATGCATACAGACTAATGTGTGGTAAATGGGATTTCATTATATGAGAAAATGTGTGGCAAGGTACAGTGCCTCGTGCCTGTAATTCCAACACTCTTGGGGGCCAAAGTGGAAGAATTGCTTAAGCCCAGGAATTCAGGATCAGCATGGGCAACATAGCAAGACCCTGCCTCTATTTTTTGTTTCAATAAAATTTTAAAAACATAAAAGAGGAAAACATCGCCAGGCGCAGTGGCTCACGCCTGTAATCCCAGCACTTTGGAAGGCCGGGGTGGGCAGATAACCTGAGGTCAGGAGTTCGAGACCAGCCTGACCAACATGGTGAAACCCCATCTCTACTAAAATAAAAAAATTAGCCAGGTGTAGTGGCGGGTGCCTGTAATCTCAGCTACTTGGGAGGCTGAGGCGGGAGAATCGCTTGAAACCAGGAGGCAGAGTTTGCAGTGAGCCGAGATTGCACCATTGCACTCCAGCCTGGCAACAGAGTGAGACTCTGTCTCAAAAAAAAAAAAAAAAAAAGGTAAACATCTGACATCTATGATTTACCAAGATACCAGGGTGGCAAATTGAAATCTTCATCCCACTAATGGGATTACAGGCACAAGGCACTGTACCTGGCCAGACATTTTCTTGTATAATAAAATCCCATTTACCACACATTAGTCTGTATGTGACAGACTAATAGTGACACATTCATTACACCCAAACCCCTTTGGAATTCTTCCTCTGCCCTGTGCGTCCCTCCCTATTCCCAGACAATCACTCACTAATCTGTCTTCTGTAACCCAGATTAGTTTGCCTTTTCTAGAATTTTATATAAATGCATTCAAACTTTTGTGTCCCTCTTGTTTCTTTCACTCAGTGTAATTATTTTGAGATTAACTTATGTGACTGTGTATATAAATAATTCCTTTTTGTTGCTGACAAGTATCCTATTGTGTGGATATATTAGGTTGATGCAAAAGTAAGTATGGTCTTTGTCATTAAAAGTAATGGTAGGCCATTAAAAGTAATCCCAACACTTTGGGAGGCCGAGGCAGGCGGATCACTTGAGGTCAGGCGTTCGAGACCAGCCTGGCCAGCATGGTGAAATCCCCTGTCTACTAAAAATACAAAAATGAGCCTGGTGTGCTGGTGTGTGCCTGTAATCCCAGCTACTCAGGATGCTGAGGCAGAAGAATTGCTTAAACCCGGGAGGCAGGGGTTGCAGTGAACCAAGATCGTGCTACTGGACTCCAGCCTGGGTGACAGAGCGAGATTCAATCTCAAAAAAAAAGTAATGGCAAAAACCGCAATTACTTTTGCACCAACCTATTACCACAGTGATTTAGCCATTCATTTGTCAGTGGACATTTGGGTTGTTTCTGGTGTGCTAGATAATACAAATAAAGCTGCTTGCATATTCATGTATCATAAGTCTTTGTATAGACACATTTTTTTTTCGTTTATCTAGGAATGGAATGCTAGCTAGCTCATATGGTAGGTGTATATTTAACCTTTTTTTTTCTTTTTTTAGAGACAGGGTCTCACTCTGTCGCCCAAGCTGGAGTGCAGTGATGCCATCCTGGCTTACTGCAATCTCAAACTCCTGGGCTCAAGTAATCCTCCCACTGCAGCCTCCCAATTAGCTGGGACTGTAGGCATGAACCATTATGCCCAGCTCATTTTTACATTTGTTGTGGAGATGTGGTCTTGTTATGTTGCCCAGGGTGGTCTCAAACTCCTTACCTCAAGCAATCCTCCTGCCTCAGCCTCCCAAAGTGCTGGGGTATATTTAACATTTTAAGGAACTGCAAGATGTTTTCCAAAGTGGTTATACCAGTTACATTCCCACCATCAGTGTGGTGCTGATGCTCCGGTCCCAGCTGCTCCAGATTCCAGTCAATACTTGCAATGGTCAATTTTTAAATTCCAGACATTCTAATAGGTATGAAGAGGTATCTCAGTGTGGTTTTAACTTTCATTCCCCTAATGACTAACAATGTTGTGCACCTTTTCACACGCTAAACCACCATCTATTTATAGCTTCGATTTCAACTGATAGAGAAGTTCTAGCCAGTTATTCAATCCCAAAGAGACGCTATTCTTTATGTCTGTGTAGAATATCCCTTCTTTAATTACTTCTCCAGATTTACCTCCTCTCTGCACTATGCGAACAAAACACTTATCAGGCCATCAGGCCGGGCGTGGTGGCTCATGCCTGTAATCCCAGCACTTTGGGAGGCTGAGGTGGGCAGATCACCTGAGGTCAGGAGTTGAAGACCAGCCTGGCCAACATGGTGAAACCCCATCTCTACTAAAAATACAAAAATTAGCCAGGTGTTGTAGCTCGTGCCTGTGGTCCCAGCCACTCAAGAGGTTGACGTGGAAGAATCACTTGAGCCCGGGAGGCGGAGGCTGCAGCAAGCTGAGATTGTGCCATTGCACTTCAGCCTGGGCGACAGAGCCAGACCCTGTCTTAAAAAATAATAATAGGCTGGGCGTGGTGGCTCATGCCTGTAATCCCAGCACTTTGGGAGGCTGAGGCGGGTGGATCACCTGAGGTCAGAAGTTCAAGACCAGCCTGGTCAACATGGTGAAACACCATCTGGCTATGGCGAGGTGCCAATGACTTTCTTCACAGAATTGGAAAAAAATACTTTAAAGTTCATATAGAACCAAAAAAGAGCTCGCATTGTCAAGTCAATCCTAAGCCAAAAGAACAAAGCTAGAGGCATCACGCTACCTGACTTCAAACTATACTACAAGGCTACAGTAACCAAAACAGCATGGTACTGGTACCAAAACAGAGATATAGACCAATGGAACAGAACAGAGCCCTCAGAAATAATACCACACATCTACAACTATCTGATCTTTGACAAACCTGACAAAAACAAGAAATGGGGAAAGGATTCCCTATTTAACAAATGGTGCTGGGAAAACTGGCTAGCCATATGCTGAAAGCTGAAACTGGATCCCTTCCTTACACCTTATATAAAAATTAATTCAAGATGGATTAAAGACTTAAATGTTAGACCTAAAACCATAAAAACCCTAGAAGAAAACCTAGGCAATACCATTCAGGACATAGGCATGGGCAAGGACTTCATGTCTAAAACACCAAAAGCAATGGCAACAAAAGCCAAAATCGGCAAATGGGTTCTAATTAAACTAAAGAGCTTCTGCACAGCAAAAGAAACTACCATCAGAGTGAACAGGCAACCTACAGAATGGGAGAAAATTTTTGCAATCTATTCATCTGACAAAAGGCTAATATCCAGAATCTACAATGAACTCCAACAAATTTACAAGAAAAAAACAAACAACCCCATCAACAAATGGGCGAAGGATATGAATAGACACTTCTCAAAAGAAGACATTTATGCAGCCAACAGACACATGAAAAAATGCTCATCATCACTGGTCATCAGAGAAATGCAAATCAAAACCACAATGAGATACCATCTCACACCAGTTAGAATGGCGATCATTAAAAAGTCAGGAAACAGCAGGTGCTGGAGAGGATGTGGAGAAATAGAAACACTTTTACACTGTTGGTGGGACTGTAAACCAGTTCAACCATTGTGGAAGACAGTGTGGCGATTACTCAGGGATCTAGAACTAGAAATACCATTTGACCCAGCCATCCCATTACTGGGTATATACCCAAAGGATTATAAATCATGCTGCTATAAAGACACGTGCACACGTATGTTTATTGTGGCACTATTCACAATAGCAAAGACCTGGAACCAACCCAAATGTCCAAAAATGATAGACTGGATTAAGAAAATGTGGCACATATACACCATGGAATACTATGCAGCCATAAAAAATGATGAGTTCGTGTCCTTTGTAGGGACATGGATGAAGCTGGAAACCATCATTCTCAGCAAACTATCACAAGGACAAAAAACCAAACACTGCATGTTCTCACTCATAGGTGGGAATTGAACAATGAGAACACTTGGACACAGGAAGGGGGACATCACACACTGGGGCCTGTTGTGGGGTGGGGGGAGGGGGGAGGGATAGCATTAAGAGATATACCTAATGTAAATGATGAGTTAATGGGTGCAGCACACCAACATGGCACATGTATACATATGTAACAAACCTGCACGTTATGCACATGTACCCTAGAACCTAAAGTATAATAATAAAAAATAAATAAATAAATAAAAAGAAATTAAGTTTCCTTTTTTTTTTTTTTTTTTCAGACGGAGTTTCACTCTTGTTGCCCAGGCTGGAGTGCAATGGCACGATCTCGGCTCACCGCAACCTCCGCCTCCCAGGTTCAAGCGATTCTCCTGCCTCAGCCTCCCTAGTAGCTGGGATTACAGGCATGTGCCACCACGCCCGGCTAATTTTGTATTTTTAGTAGAGACGGGGTTTCTCCATGTTGGTCAGGCTGGTCTCAAACTCCCAACCTCAGGTGATCTGCTCGCCTCAGCCTCCCAAAGTGCTGGGATTACAGGCGTGAGCCACCGTGCCCGGCTGAAATTAAGTTTTCTTAAAAAAAAAAAAAAATCAGGTGGTGGCTCATGCCTGTACTCGCAGCACTTTTGGAGGCTAAGGAAGGGGGATCACCTAAGGTCAGGAGATCGAGACCATCCTGACCAACATGGTGAAACCCCGTCTCTACGAAAAATACAAAAATTAGCTGGGCGTGGTGGCACATGCCTGTAGTCCCAGCTACTCGGGAGGCTGAAAGGCAGGAGAATTGCTTGAACCCGGGAGTTGGAGGTTGCAGTGAGCTGAGATCACGCCACTGCACTCCAGCCTGGCAACAGAGTGAGACTCCATCTGCAAAAAAAAAAAAAAAAAAAAAAAAAAAAAAAATTCAGTCTAGGCCCCTTTAAGAGCAATTGGCAGTGACTAATTTTCATGCCAAACTTCACATCCCAAAGTTGAAATTTAATAGGAATAAACGAAGGCACATACCCACATATTTTTCAAGGCTTATAAGCCTTTAATGTTGTCCTATTTTGCAAGTATTTTGACATGCTAAATACAGCATTGACAAGTTGGTTGAGGAGAGTTAACCAATGCCTAGGATTCTTTTATCGCATGGGTGTTACTTCATTAGCTGTAGTAAGTTCTGTTTAAGTCAAATTATTTAACTGAGTAGGTTCTAAGAAATAAAGGGGGCTGGGTGCAGTGGCTCACGCCTGTAATCCTAGCACTGTGGGAGTTCGAGGCGGATGGATCACTGGAGGTCAGAAGTTCAAGACCAGCCTGGCCAACATGGTGAAACCCTGTCTCTACTAAAAATACAAAATTAGCCAGGTGTGGTGGCGGGCAACTGTAGCCGCATCTACTCGGGAGGCTGAGGCAGGAGAATCACTTGAACCCGGGAGGTGGAGGTTGCAGTGAGCTGAGGTTACACTATTGCACTCCAGCCTAGGCAACAAGAGCAAAACTCCGTCTCAAAAAAAAAAAAAAGAGGCCGGGTGCGGTGGCTCACACTTGTAATCCCAGCACTTTGGGAGGCTGAGGCAGGCAGATCACGAGGTCAGGAGATTGAGACCATTCTGGCTAACGTGGTGAAACCCCGTCTCTACTAAAAAATACAAAAAAAAATTAGCCAGGCATGGTGGTGGGTGCCTGTAGTCCCAGCTACTTGGGAGGCTGAGGTGGGTGGAGCTTGAAGTGAGCCGAGATGATGCCACTGCACTCCAGCCTGGGTGACAGAGCGAGACTCCGTCTCAAAAAAAAAAAAAAAGAAAGAGAGAGAGAGGGAGGGAGAGAGAGAGAGAGAGAGAGAGAAAGAAAGAAAGAAAGAAAGAAAGAAAGAAAGAAAGAAAGAAAGAAAGAAAAGGAATGAATTTAGTTATTCTTATTCTACTATTTGATGTCCAGCTTTGCTTTGTAACACCTAAAGACAAAGAAATATTCACAGGTGATCGGGTGTAGTGGCTCACGCCTATAACCCCAGCACTTTGGGAGGCCGAGGCAGGAGGGTAACTTGAGGCCAGGAGTTCAAGACCAGCCTGGGCAACATAGTGAGATCCCACCTCTACCAAAAAAAAAATTGCTCGGTGTGGTTGCACACACCTATGGTCCCAGCTTTTCAGGAGGCTGAGGCAGGAGGATCACTCGAGCCCAGGAGCTTGAGGCAATCAGCTGTGATTGTGCCACTGCACTTCAGCCTGGGCGTCAGAGCAAGAGAAAGAAAAAAGAAAACAATATTCCTAGGTAGTTAGCATTTGTGTTTGTAAACCTAAGCATTTAAAGGTGCCTCTTAATTTCCTGTAGGCTTCAATTGTGTTACCCTCCCAGGATGATTTCTCGCCCACGAGCAAGCTCCAGCGTTTGCTGGCGGAATCTCGTCAGATGGTGACGGACCTGGAGCTGAGCACACTGCTGCCCATCAGCCATGAGAATCTCACTGGCAGTGCCACAAATGTATGCGTTTCATTTTCTCTTGACTATATTTGTCACATCCAAACACACCACTGAACACCAGTGTGCAAATATCACCGGCAGGGCGGCCTTTCTGTTAGAGGGAGAGTTTCTGTGTCTCTAGGGAGGAAAGGGAACATGCTTGTTTTAAGGAGGAAAAAGTTACACTTAGATGTCACTGGACCCAAACTTCCTCTTTCTAATGATCTGGGGCATATGAAGATAAATTCTTGGGGACTTTTTTCTTGGAGGGGGCGGGTACAGAGTTTTGCTCTTGTCGCCCAGGCTGAGGTGCAGTGGCACGATCTCAGCTCATTGCAACCTCCACCTCCCGGGTTCAAGTGATTCTCCTGCCTCAGCCTCCCAAGTAACTGGGACTAAAGGCCTACTCTACCATGCCCGGCTAATTTTTATATTTTTAGTAGAGACAGGGTTTCACCATGTTGGCCAGGCTGGTCTCAAACTCCTGATCTCCAGTGATCCACCCACCTTGGCCTCCCAAAGTGCTAGGATTACAGGCGTGAGCCACCACGGCCAGCTGGAAATGTTTTAAAAAACCAAATTTTATTATAGAAAGTTTCAAGGCCGGGCGTGGTGGCTCATGCCTGTAATCCCAGCACTTTGGGAGGCCGAGGCGGGTGGATTACCTGAGGTCAGGAGTTCAAGACCAGCCTGACTAACATGGAGAAACCCCGTCTCTACTAAAAATACAAAATTAGCCGGACATAGTGGCACATGCCTGTAATCCCAGCTACTCGGGAGGCTGAGACAGGAGAATTGCTTGAACCCCGGAGGTGGAGGTTATGGTAAGCCGAGATTGTGCCATTGCACTCCAGCCTTGGCAATGAGCAAAGCTCCACCTCAAAAAAAAAAAAAAAAAAAAAAGAGAGAGAGAAAGAAAGAAAGAAAATTTCAAATATGCACTGAAGTGGAAAGAATGGCACGGTCACTCACCTTTGACCACCATCGATTTTATCTTACCCCATCCATACACGTTTTCTTTGGAAGCATTTTAGCTCAGCATCATATCATGTCACTCATAAATATTTCATGATCATGATGTCTCTCTAACAGATATGGACTTTTAATTTTTTTTTTTTTTTTTTTGAGACTGAGTTTTGCTCTTGTTGCCCAGGCTGGGGTGCAATGGCACGATCTCAGCTCACTGCAATTCTCTGCCTCCTGGGTTCAAGCAATTCTCCTGTTTCAGCCTCCCAAGTAGCTGAGATTACAGGCACCTGCCACCATGCCTCACTAATTTTTGCATTTTTATTAGAGACGGGGTTTCACCATGTTGACCAGGCTGGTCTCGAACTCCTGACCTCAAGTGATCCACCTGCCTTGGCCTCCCAAAGTGTTGGGATTACAAGCATGAGCCACCCTGCCCGGCCTAATTTTAATTTTGTGTATTTATTTATTTTTGAGACAGCATCTTCCTCTGTTGCCCAGGCTGGAGTGCAGTAGCTATTCGCAGGCGTGATCACAGCTCACTGCAGCCTCAAATTCCTGGGCTCAAGCAATCCTCCCACCTCAGTCTCCCAAGTAGCTGGGACCACAGGCACGCACTGCCATGCCCACTCTGTTTGCCAGGCTGCTTGAACTCCCGGCCTCAAGTAATCCTCCTGCCTCAGCCTCCCAAAGTGTTGGGACTATCAGCATGAGCCACCATGCTCAGCTTATTTATTTGTTTTTTAGAGACAGTCTTGCTCTGTCACCCAGGCTGGAATGCAGGGCCAACTTGAACCTCCAACTCCCAGGCTCAAGTGATCTTCCCACCTCAGCCTCCTGAGTAGCTGGGATTACACGTACACGAAACCACACCCAGCTGATGTTTTTATTTTTTGTAGAAACAGGGTCCCACAATGTTGCCCAGGCTGGTCTCAAACTCTTGGGTTCAAGCAATCCTCCTGCCTCAGCCTCCCAAAGTGCTGGGATTATAGGCGTGAGCCGCTGTGCCTGGCCTGGCTTTTCTTAACAGTGTCTTTTAAAAAGCGAAATTTAAAATTTTGATTACTTCCAACTTAACAGGTTTTTTTTTTTCTTTTTTGAGACGGAGTCTCGCTCTGTCGCCCAGGCCTTGGTGCCAGTGGCGCGATCTCGGCTCACTGCAAGCTCCGCCTCCCGGGTTCACGCCATTCTCCTGCCTCAGCCTCCCGAGTAGCTGGGACTACAGGCGCCCGCCACCACACCCGGCTAATTTTTTGCATTTTTTGGTAGAGACGGGCTTTCACCGTGTTAGCCAGGATGGTCTCCATCTCCTGACCTTGTGATCCGCCCGCCTCAGCCTCCCAAAATGCTGGGATTACAGACGTGAGCCACCACACCCAGCCTATTCTAGTAGTTTTTTTGTAGATTCCTTAGGATTTTCTACACAATCATGTCATTCATGAATAGAGACAGTTTTATTCCTTTTTCCAATATTTATGCCTTATTTCATTTTCTTCCCTTACTGCTCTGGCTAGGACCTCCAGATGAGTGTTGAATAGAAGCAGGGGAGCAAACATCTTTGCCTTATTTCACGAAATGCTCTCTGATGGCAATTCTTGCTTAGTCCTTCAGATTGGTATTTTGTTAGATTCAGAGTTCCCTGGAGCAGTTTCTATGTGCCGCGAATAGATCCAAAACTAGAACATTAATCATTTTAGAATCAAGATGCTCACTGCCATGAGCCTAAACAGGTAGTTGCAGAGATTACCTTAAAGCAGAACAGGATCCAAAACTAGAAATTTTTCAAAGTATACCATGTGTGCCATATAAACTTTTCAAAGTGGAAACCGTGATGGACTCTGGTGTTTCCTAGGAAGATTTCTTCTTCACAAGCTGTCTCTGAGGCATTAGTGAAGCGTTGCATTTATATTGGGGCAGAGGAAGGTTTTTAATGACAAAACTATTTTGGTGCTTAGCTATCCCTTTAAATGTATGCAGTGAGGCTGCTTCTTCCCCTGTGTCTGGGGAGAACCTTTATGACTTTTCTAGTCATTCTTTGGCAGCTATTTCTTTAAAATACATTTTTTTAATTGAGATATAGGCCAGCCATGGTGGCTAATGCCTGTAATCCCAGCACTTTGGGAGGCCAAAGCAGATGGATCACTTGAGCCAAGGAGTTTGAGACCACTCTGGGCAACATTGAAAAACCCCACCTCTACAAAATAAAAAATTTTTTTTAATTAGCTGGACACACTGCCATGCACCAGTAGTTCCAGCAACTCAGGAGGCTGAGGTAGGAGGATCACTTGATCCTGGGAGGTCAAGACTGTGGTGAGCCATGATCTTGCCACTGCATTCCAGCCTGGGTGACAGAGTGAGACCCTATATCAAAAAGAGAGACAGAATTCACATTTTATTATTTACATACAATTCACCCTTCTAAAGTGTACAATTTGGTGGTTTTTTTTAAATCATATTAATAAAATCGTGCAGCCACTACCGCTATCTAATTCTAGAATATTTTAATCACCCCAAAAGGAGACCCCACATCCACAGCCACTGGTTACCACAATCTACTTTCTGTCTCTATGGATTTGTTGGACAGATAATTTTAATCAGAATTTGTTGACTAGAATTCATGGGATCCATGAACTTTGATGGAATAAAGATTACATGCCAGTTTATTTTTATTTTTAAATTTTATTTATTTATTTATTTATTGTTTTGAGACAGAGTCTTGCTCTGTCACCCAGGCTGGAGTGCAGTGGTATGATCTTGGCTCACTGCAAGCTCCACCTTCCGGGTTCACACTATTCTCCTGCCCCAGCCTCCCAAGTAGCTGGGACTACAGGCACCCGCCACCACGCCTAGCTAATTTTTTTTTTTTTTTGGATTTTTAGTAGAGATGGGGTTTCACCATGCTAGCCAGGATGGTCTTGATCTCCTGACCTTGTGATCCACCCGCCTCGGCCTCCCAAAGTGCTGGGATTACAGGCATGAGCCACCATGCCTGGCCTATTTTTTTATTTTTATTTTATTTTTGAGATGGAGTTTCACTCTTTCCTCCACTTCCTGGGTTCAAGCGATTCTCTTGCCTCAGCCTCCTGAGTAGCTGGGATTACAGGTGTGAGCCACCATGCCTGGTTAATTTTTTGTATTTTTAGTAGACAGAGTTTCACCATGTTGGCCAGGCTGGTCTCAAACTCCTGACCTCAAGTGATCCTCCCAACTTGGCCTCCCAATGTGCTGGGATTACAGGCGTGAGCCACTATGCCTGGCCCAAATTCACGTTTTCCAAACAAGCATTATAGCAACAGATGTCTCCTCCTTGTCCTCGTGGCTTCAGGTTGTTCTCTCAACCTCTTTGTTAGGGTTTTATGTCAAATTCCTGAGATATAATCAATCACTCCCTCATTTTTGTCCTGCTAGTGTAGCTCTGTGTGTGTGTGCCTGCACATGTGTGTGTGTGCATGCATGCGTGTGTGTGTGTGTATCTGCCTCCATCAGAGTGCACGTCAGGTAGCCAACAGGTGACTGCGTCCATGACTCCTGCTCACTGTGAACGCCTCAGGACCCTTCTCCACCTTGGCACCCTGGCTGCAGCACCCAGCATCTGCCACAGGCGGTCTCAGGGCCTACCTTGAATGGAACTGACAGGAACATGCAGAAAAAAGAAAAAGCTGGCCAGGTGCAGTGGCTCACACCTATAATCCCAGCACTTTGGGAGGCCGAGGTGGGAGGATCACTTGAGGGCAGGAGTTCAAGTTCTGCTGGGGCAACATACCAAGACTTTGTCTCTACAAAAAATTCAAAAATTAGCTGGATGTGGCCAGGCGCGGTGGCTCACGCCTGTAATCCCAGCACTTTGGGAGGCCGAGGCAGGCGGATCATGAGGTCAGGAGATCAAGACCATCCTGTCTAACACGGTGAAACCCCATCTCCACTAAAAATACAAAAAAATTAGCTGGGCGTGGTGGCGGGCGCCTGTAGTCCCGGCTACTTGAAAGGCTGAGGCAGGAGAATGGTGTAAACCCATGAGGCGGAGCTTGCAGTGAGCCAAGATCGTGCCACTGCACTCCAGCCTGGGTGACATAGCGAGACTCTGTCTCAAAAAAAAAAAAAAAAAAAAAATTAACTGGACGTGGTGACCCATGACTGTAGTCCTGGGTACTTGGGAGGTTGAGGGGGGAGGATCGCTTGAGCATGAGGTCAAGGCTACAGTGAGCTATGATCACACCACTGTACTCCAGCTTGGGCCATAGAGTGGGACACTGTCTAAGAAAAATAAAATAAAATTAGCTGGGTGCAGTGACTCACACCTGTAATCCTAGCTCTTTGGGAGGACCACACAGGAGGATTGCTTGAGCCTGGGAGTTCGAGACCAGCCTGGGCAAGATAGTGAGACCCCATTGCTAAAAAATAAAAATTAGCCAAGTGTAGTGGCTCACGCCTATAGTTCCAGCTACTCAGGAGGCTGAGGTAGGAGGATCATGACTTTGAGCCCAGGAGTTCGAGGCTACAGTGAACCACGATCACACCATTGCACTCCAGCCTGGGCAACAGAGCAAGACCCTGTCTCAAAAAATATATTTTTTTCAGAGTGTTTGAGCTAGAAAGATCCAGAAGAGATATCTAATTCCAACCTTACATTTTACAGGAAGGGAAAAATGACCGAATCTCTTTAGTCAACAAAGTACAGCTAGAATCAGAAAATCATTTAATTGGAAAAACTGTTGGCTCCAGATATCATACATTTTCTGGTGCATTAACTGATTCTAGAGATATTGGGAAGACAGAATTTAAATAACAGGGATTTACCTGGCAACACGCTTTACAAACTCCTCCCCCCATGCCTTTGTACTGAGTACAGCTAGGTACCGAAAAAGCAAATAATTTTGTTTAAAAATTCTTAATTTCTGCAATAAGGAAGCAGGGTAAAGTTCTGAGCAGCGTGTCTGCTTCTCCAGGGCTTTGCCATCTGTCGCTACAGACAAGGGTCGCAATTCAGAGCCTTGCTGTGAGACAGGCACTCTCCCACGTTGCCAGGGAGCAGGCAATGATTCAGTCCTCCTGTTGGGGAAATTGGCAATGTTTTCTAAAAATCACTGAAGAACTGACGCTTTGACAATGCAGTGTCACTTTGGGAATCTCTCCCACAGATACTTCTGCATGTGTATGAAATGGCATAGGCACACGTGTTTCTTTGCAGCATTGCTTTACAATAGCAAATGATAGGAGGCCACCCACCCAGTGTCCAGCAAAAGGGAACCGAGGGAATAAGCTGTGGTCCACCCACACGGTGGAGTTCTGAGCAGACATAGAACAGAATGAGGTGCTCTAGTATGTGGAAATATTTCCAGATATATTGCTAAGTGAGAAACGTGCAAGATACTGAAGGTTCATATGGCATTCCACATACATAAGGAGAGGGCCAGGAGCAGTGGCTCACACCTGTAATCCCACCACTTTGGGAGGCCAAGGTGGGAGGATTGCTTGAGCCCAGGAGTTCGAGACCAGCCTGGGCAACATAGCTAGGCCCTGTCTCTACAAAAAAAGGTTTTTAAAAACATTAGCGGGGCATGGTGGTGCACACTTGTAGTCCCAGGCACTCGGGAGGCTGGGACAGGAGGATTGCTTGAGCCCAGGAATTTGAGGCTGCAGTGAGCTGTGATTGAGCAACTGTATTCCAGCCTGAGCGATACAGCAAGATCCTGTCTCAAAAAAAAAAAAAAAAAAAAAAGAAGAAGAAGAAAAGAAAGAGGATGGAAATAAGAATATATATTTGCACAAAGACACAGTGGAAAGATGATATAAATTTTACCAATAGGAGGCATGAGGGATGAGGCAGAAGCGGGACTTCTCAGTTTATACCTGTTTTTATTATTTTGATTTTTAAACTATTCAAGAAAAACTCCAATAATTTAAAAATAGACAAAGGAGAAAAAAGGAGTTAGAGTAAGGGGAAGCGCACAGCTGAGCACATTGCCTCATGGCGGGCTTCCTCCTTGCCTGGAGGGTAGGGGTGAGGAGCGGACCCTACCATAAACTGAGCTTGGACTTGTGCCTGCTGTGTGGGCCTGGCCGTCCTGATTGCTGGCTTGAGATGGTTGGTGTTACCTGTCGGGGCTCTTGGCCTTTCTCGTGGCAGGCTGATAAAGCCTGCAGATCCCTTTCAGAATGAAGTTTTTAAACGAATAAGAGAAAATACATAGCATGGTAGCAAGGCACGGTGGTTCACGCCTGTAATCCCAGCACTTTGGGAGGCCCAGGCAGGCAGATCACCTGAGGGCAGGAGTTCCAGACCAGCCTAGCCAACAAGGTAAAACCCCCTCTCTACTAAAAATACAAAAATTACCCGGGCATGGTGGCGTGCCGTAATCCCAGCTACTCGAGAGGCTGAGGCACTAGAATCGCTTGAACCCAGGTGGCGGAGGTTGCAGTGAGCCGAGATCACGCCACTGCACTCCAGCCTGGGCAACAGAGCAAGACTCTGTCTCAAAAAAAAAAAAAAAAAAATCAGATGGTAAAATACATGGGCAATTTGCATAGAGAGGAAGCAGCATGAGTAAAAGCACAGAGGACTGGAAGCACCCTTGGGTGCCCCTGAGGAACTGTGAGGGATCCCGGGGTGGCTGGAATGCAGGCCACACAGGCAGGGGGAGGTGAGGAGGTGGGCTCACCTGCAAGCCAGGGGTCACCACGGAATGCACTGGGGTCTTTCCAGGCATCATCTCCCCTTCATTCCTCCCCCTTACCTCTCCACTCCCCTTCTTCCTCTTTTCCCCACCCAGACACCTAAGAAGGCTAACGAGGCACTTAGAGTTGCCGATGCTTAACTACTGACCACTGTTTTCAACACGGCTCACTGAGGGCTCACTGGATCGGTGCCTGTGTTAGGACTGACAGCGAGCCAGTTATATCTGGGCATTAGCTGATGGCCAGCGTTTAGCTGTAACACACATGGTGAAGCAGACAGAGAAGTCCTTCCAGATTAGAGACAAAGGGGACCCCACACATGAATGGGAAGTCAAGAAGCCTTTGTTGGATGGATGGATGGCAATTGTATGCAGTCACTTCATTATATTTTATTCATTCCCTAAGGTCTTATTTATTTATTATTTTCTGAGACAGGGTGTCACTCTCTCGCTCAGGCTAGAGTGCAGTGGCACGATCATGGCTCACTTCTGCCTCAAACTCCCAGGCTCCAGCGGTCCTCCCACTTCAGCCTCCTGAATATCTGGGAGTACAGGTGTTTGTCACCATGCCTGGCTAATTTTTTTTTAAGTGTATTTTTTGTCTCCCCGTGTTGCCTAGGCTGGTCTCAAACTCCTGGGCTCAAGAGATCCTCCCACCTCAGCCTCCCAAAGTGCTGGGATTGCAGGCGTGAGCCACTGTGCGTAGCCACTATGGTCTTTTTTAAATTGACAAATAATAATTGTATATATTTACAGTGTATAGTGCAATGTTATAATATGTATATAACATAGTAGAATGACTAAACCAGCTGTGTATCTATCACCTCACATACTTATCATGTCTTTGTAGTGGAAAGATTTAGAACCGATTCATTTAACAATTTTGAAATATATCATACATTATTATTGGCTGGGCACAATGGCTCACACCTGTAATCCTAGCCCTTTGGGAGGCTGAGGCAGGAGGATCACGTGAAGCCAGGAATGGGCAACAATGGGAGACCCTGTCTCTATAAATTTAAACACACACACACACACACACACACACACACGACATTATTTATCTTTTTTTTTTTTTTTTTTGAGACAGAATGTCACTCTTGTCACCAAGCTGGAGTGCAGTGTCGTGATCTTGGCTCACTACAACCTCCACCTCCCAGGTTCAAGCGATTCTCCTGCCTTTCAGCCTCCCAAGTCGCTGGGACTACAGGCGCGTGCCACCACGCCCAGCTAATTTTCGTCTTTTTAGTAGAGACAGGGTTTCACCATGTTGGCCAGGATGGTCTCGAGCTCTTGACCTTGTGATCCGCCTGCCTCGGCCTCCCAAAGTGCTGGGATTACAGGCGTGAGCCACTGCACCTGGCCAATACATTATTATTAACCATAGTCATGGTGCTGTGCAATAGATCACTAAAACTTTTCCTCCTGTCTAATTGAAACTTTGTACCTTTGACCAATAGCTCCCCTTTCCCCATCCACTCCCTCCCCAAGCCTCTGGTAATCACTATTCTACTCTCTGCTTCTATGAGTTCCACATTTTTTTTTTTTTTTTTGAGATGGAGTCTCGGTCTGTCGCCCAGGCTGGAGTGCAGTGGTGCGATCTTGGCTCACTGTAAGCTCCGCCTCCCGGGTTCACACCATTGAGTTCCACACTTTTTAGATTTCAAATATAAGTGAGATCAGGCAGTATTTGTCTTTCTGTGCCTGGCTTCTTTCACGCAGTCTAATGTCCTCCAGGTTCATCCACGCTGTTGCAAATTACAGAATTTTGTTTGTTTTTATGGCTAAATATTACTCCATTGTGCGTATATACTACGTTTTCCTGATCCACTCATCTGCTGACAGGCACTTATGTTGCTTCCGCATCTTGGCTGCAGTGAACATGGAGTGGAGTGCAGATATCTCTTCATCTAACGTCTTTTTTTCTTTTTTCTTTTTTTGAGACAGGGTCTCACTCTGTCGCCCAGGCTGGAGTGCAGTGGCGTGATCTTGGCTTACTGCAACCTCCACCTCCTGGGTTCAAGCAATTCTCCCACCTCAGCTTCCCAAGTAGCTGGAATTACAGGCGGGCGCCACGATGTCCAGCTCATTTTTGTATTTTTGGTAGAGATGGGGTTTTGCCATACTGGCCAGGCTGCTCTTGAATTCCTGATCTCAAGTGATCCGCCCACCCTGGCCTCCCAAAGTGCTGGGATTATAGGCATGAGCCACCACGCCCAGCCTCATCTAACATCTCTTAAAGGCATTTCTGCTATATTTGTGTTTAGTCTTCTTAAGAATTTTTTAGTTTCTCTATCCTGAATACTAATCTGGGAGTTGTTTTCTAGAAGTCAGAGGTCCCAGAAGAGTCAGCTCAAAAAAATACCTTTGTCAGTTATTGAAGGAAACAAAAGGCAACTTCAGTATTCATCGTGATCACGAGTAAGTCACCTTTGCTTATCTCACCTTATATCTCAATTAATATTTAATAAGTAACTTGGGAACATCGATAACGTTGAGTCAAGGCCATGCATTTGTTTGACTTGTAATACTTTCTCTTTTGCTCGACCAATTTATGCATACTTCTAAATTTAATCAGAGTAAAATGTCAATTACTTGCAAAGAAATGCAGATCAAAAAGTTCTCCTGCACTCCAGCCTGGGAACACAGTGAGACCTTGTCTCTTAAAAAAAAAAAAAAAAAGGCCGGGCGTGGTGGCTCACACGTGTAATCCCATCACTTTGGGAGGCTGAGGCGGCTGGATCACGAGGTCAGGAGTTCGAGACCAGCCTGGTCTGTCACTACTAAAAATACAAAAATTAGCCAGGCGCGGTAGTGGGCGCCTGTAATCCCAGCTACTTGGGAGGCTGAGGCAGGAGAATCACTTGAACCCAGGAGGCAGAAGTTGCAGTGAGCCAAGATGGCACCACTGCACTCTAGCCTGGGCAACAGAGCAAGACTCCGTCTCAAAAAAAAAAAGTTATTATTCTCAATACCTAGAATTTTAAATCTAGGGAAGTGAATACATAGACACAGCTTTAAAAATCAGAATCTAATATGAAAAGATGTTCAACATCACTAATTATCAGGGGAATGCAAATCAAAACCACAATGCGGGCCGGGCGCAGTGGCTCATGCCCATAATCATAGCACTTTGGGAGGCCAAGGCGGGTGGATCACTTGAGGCCAGGAGTTTGAGACAAGCCTGGCCAACATGGTGAAACCGCGTTTCTACTAAAAATACAAAAATTAGCCAAGCATGGTGGCGGGCACCTGTAATCCCAGCTACTCGGGAGGCTGAGGTAGGAGAATTTCTGGAACCTGGGAGGCGGAGGTTGCAATTAGCCAAGATTGCACCATTGCACTCCAGCCGGGCGACAATAATGAGACTCTGTCTCTAAACAAACAAACAAAAAACCAAACAAACAGAAAAACCACAATGCAGTACCACCTTACTCATGCAAGAATGGCCATAATTTAAAAATCAAGAAATAATAGATGTTGGCATGGATGTGGTAAAAAGGGAACACTTTTACACTGCTGGTGGGAATGTAAACTAGTACAACCCCTATGGAAAACAGTGTGGAGGTTATCCATAAAGAACTAAAAGTAGAACTCCGATTTGATCCAATAATCCCACTACTGGGTATCTACGTGGAGGAAAAGTATATGAAAAAGACACTTGTACACACATGTTTATAGCAGCACAATTCGCAATTGCAAAAATACGGAACCAGCGCAGATGCCCATCAATCAACTAATGGATAAAGAAAATGTGGTATATGGGCCAGGCATGGTGGCTCATGCCTATAATCCCAGCACTTTGGGAGGCCGAGGCAGGCAGATCACCTGAGGTCGGGAGTTTGAGACCAGCCTGGCCAACATGGTGAAACCCTGTCTCTACTAAAAATACAAAAAATTAGCTGGGTTTGGTGGTGCATGCCTGTAATCCCAGCTACTCAGGAGGCTGAGGCAAGAGAATCGCTTGAACCCAGGAGGCGGAGGTTGCAGTGAGCCGAGATCGTGCCATTGCACACCAGCCTGGGCAACAAGAGTGAAACTCAGTCTCAAAAAAAAAAAGAAAAGAAAAAAAATTATAGCTGAAAAAAAATCAAAATTAATGTTTTAGCATTTCATCTGTCTGTCCAGAAAGAAGTTTTTTGTTTGTTTGTTTTTGAGTTGGAGTCTTGCTCTGTCGCCCAGGCTGGAGTGCAGTGGTGCAATCTCAGCTCACTGCAACCTCCACCTCCCAGGTTCAAGCGATTCTCCTGCCTCAGTCTCCCAAGCAGCTGGGATTACAGGTGCGCATCACCACACCTGGCTAATTTTTTTTTTTTTTTTTTTTTGAGACAGAGTTTTGCTCTTGTCTCCCAGTCTGGAGTGCAGTGGTGCGATCTCAGCTCACTGCAACCTCCGCCTCCCGGGTTCAAGCGATTCTCCTGCTTCAGCCTCCCAAGTAGCTGGGATTACAGGCATGTGCCACCATGCCCGGCTAATTTTTTTTTTTTTTGTATTTTTAGTAGAGACGGGGTTTCGCCACGTTGGCCAGGCTGGTCTCGAACTCCTGAGCTTAAGTGATCCGCCCGCCTCGGCCTCCCAAAGTGCTGGGATTAAAGGCGTGGCCCCCCACGCCTAGCCAAGAAGTCTTTATGTGGAGTAAAGTTTTATAAAAGTTTTACATGGGGTAGCTGGGCGCGGTGGCTCACACCTGTAATCTCAGCACTTTGGGAGGCCGAGGTGGGCGGATCGCCTGAGGTCAGGAGTTTGAGACCATCCTGGCCAACATGGCGAAACCCCGTCTCTACTAAAAATACCAAAAAAAAAAATTAGCCGGGCATGGAGGCGCATGCCTGTAATCCCAGCTACTGGGGAGGCTGATGCAGGAGAATGGCTTGAACCCGGGAGGCGGTGGTTGCAATGAGTGGAGATTTGGCCACTGCACTCCAGCCTGGGCGACAAGAACGAAACTCCGTCTCAAAAAAAAAAAAAAAAAAAAGTTTTACATCGAGTAAAATCTTCATAAAAACGTGTATTGACCCAGTAAGCACTTTCTGGATTTGTGTTTACTTCTATCAAACCTGCATTTCATATGCGGTTTCCTCAGAACCCAGTTTGATAAGCTAAAGCGTACAGGCATTTCGGATCTTTTCAAGGTAAGCATATCAGCATTTCAAAGACACTGGGGAAGCAGAGAGCCTGAGCAGCGCCGTCCCCGCCCCCATCCCTCCTCCTCTCCCCTCCCTCTCTCCGCTGAGTTTTCATATTTATAGTATTTTGCATGTCCTGATGTTGATGAAAATCAGGATGTAGAGTTAATATTTTAGACGCCAGGAGCTTATAGCATGCTCTCCAATATTAATTGATTGTATTTTATTAATGTTGTGTTTTCTTCATCCAAAAGCAGATTTCTCATCTATGTGGAAGGCAGAAAGCAGACACCAATACTGAATGAATACTTAACCGTAAAACTGAAAGAGGATTCTAGTTCTTCATAAACGGCACTTAATTCCAGCTGGGAGCAGAACTAGAAAGTTAATTTTTAAACATCTACACTTCATTTTCAAGTTAACCATTTTTGTGCTGAAGAAATATTTTCATGTGTAAGAAAGTAGACCTTATTGTACATATAGAAAGTTGGAATTATGCTAAGAATGAAAAAGACTTCTCTGTAAAGATACGGACTACAGTTAAATGCTAGAGAAGCTCTTTAAAAATGTGAATGTCAAATAGAGAAAGAACCCTGCATAGAAAGTGCTGTTTTAACTATCTGATTTTTAAAAAATCTGTGCATACATTTAAATTCTAAACAATAGCTTATCAGAGTCAGCTCAAAATATATGAGAAACAGTATTCTCTCATGGTTTTAGCTTTTGACTTTGCTGTGTAAATAGACATAAGGTGCTTTGATATAAAATATAAAATGTAACTGGAAAATAGCTCGAGGTCCTTCTGTCCCAAGCTGAGCAGAGCCCCATCTTTCTGGGTCTATATTAGTCCCACCTACTGACACAAACAAAAGCTTGCTGGAAGATCGAGTTTTAGACGCATTTTTAAAAATCTTAAAGACTAAAACACTTCCATTTTAACTTGTAAAGTAATTTAATTTTTTAAAGATTATACTATATGCCTCTGTGTCTTCTCTAAAAGAATAGATCAACTTCAGTCCATAAAAGATATTTTTAATATTAAAGAAAAAATATGTTTCCTTGGTTTCTTTTTATTTTACAGGAGTAAAATAAGGAAGGAACGTTCATCACTTTAAACTGAACCTGGCAAGTTAATTTCCTCAGGAATGGGGATGTATTTTTTTAAGCATTGCAGATATCAAAGTTCTATTGTGCTGAATAAATGCCCCTTTGTTAACAGGTCTCAGTGTTACTTCAGAGATGATTTTCATGAGCGGGGAAGAGCCACCTCATTTAGCCTTTTTAATTAGGGTGCTGAAAAGAGAAGTTGGGTGAGGTTTGGTTATGTTCTTTATCAATGCGTGCTTTCTCCCTCAGGCTGGGCTGTCTAGAGCAAAACGGAGAAAGGTATAGTTGCTTCTGAGCTGCTGCCTGCCAAGTAGAAACCTAAAATGACCCTTGGGGAGCGTGACTTCCTATCTAAGAATCAAAATATTAAATTTTCTCCTCCTTTTCATGTTCATGACTGCACATCAACTTGCCTAGTGAAAAGGCAACACTGAATAGATGCTAAATAGGAACATGTCAGGGAACTAAAGGATTTGATAACAATTAAACATTATTTTATGGCTAAATGTATTTTAGCTCATAGGATTATAGTACCTACGACACCTGACACCTATTGTATCCCACCAGCTTATCGTTCCATATGCAATCCAACAATGAGAAATTTCAGCTGGGTGTGGCGGCTTATGCCTGTAATTCCAGCACTTTGGGAGCCTAAGGCAGGTGGATCACTTGAGATCAGAGGTTCGAGACCAGCCTGGCCAACATGACAAAACCCCCTCTCTACTAAAAATACAAAAAATTAGCTGGGCATGGTGTCACGCGCCTGTAATCCCAGCTACTTGGGAGGCTGAGGCAGGAGAATTGCTTGAACCCAGGAGGTGGAGGTTGCAATGAGCCAAGATCGTACCACTGCACTCCAGCTTGGGTGACAGAGTGAGGTCCCGTCTCAAAAAAAAAAAAAAAAAAAAAAAAAGAATGAGAAATTTAATGTTAGCAATGCATCTAGCTCAACCGAAGTTATTTATTTATTTATTTATTTATTTATTTATTTTTTTGAGACAGAGTCTCTCTCTGTCGCCCAGGCTGGAGTGCAGTGGCGTGATCTCAGCTCACTGCAACCTCCGCCTTTCAGGTTCAAGTGATTCTCCTGCCTCAGCCTCCCGAGTAGCTGGGACTACAGGTGTGCGCCACCATGCCCAGCTAAATTTTGTATTTTTAGTAGAGACGGGGTTTCACCATATTGGCAAGGCTGGTCTTGAACTTCTGACCTTGTGATCCACCTTCTCGGCCTCCCAAAGTGCTGGGATTACAGATGTAAGCCACTGCACCTGGCCCAAACTGAGTCATTTAAATGACAGGATTTCGTTTGTTTTTATGGCTAAATAGTATTCCATTATGTATATATATACTACTTTTTTTTTTTTGAGACCGAGTCTCACTCTGTTGCCCAGGCTGGAGTGCAGTGGCTCAATTCCAGCTCACTGCAACCTCCACCTCCCGAGTTCAAGCAATTCTCCTGCCTCAGTCTCCTGAGAAGCTAGGATTACAGGTGCCCACCACCACTCCTGGCTAACTTTTTGTTTTTTTAGTAGAGACGGGGTTTCGTCATGTTGGCCAGGCTGGTGTTGAACTCCTGGCCTAATGTGATCCTCCCAACTCAGCCTCCCAAAGTGCTGGGATTACAGGCGTGAGCCACCACATTTCTTTATCCACTCATCTGTTGATGGGCATTTAGGTTGCTTCCACATCTTGGCTGTTGTGAGCAGTGCTGCAGTGAACGTGGAGTGCAGATACCCCTGACCTAAGCTTTGAGCAATTTCTGTTAGAGAGGCAGTCTCCTTTTTTTTTCTATACTTTAATGGATGCACAGAGGCAGTCTCATAGAGTATTTGAAATAGTTACAAGATAAAACTAGATTTTAGCATTTATGTCTTATCAGCAACATTCTTAAGATCAACACATCTGAAGAGGAGGCAAATGAATTATACTACAATCTGCCTGCCAGAAGTAATCTCAGCATTGGAAAAGACTGATATAAGGGTATTTTTAGAATCTGTGAATGGATTTTTTTTTTAATTTTATTTTTAGTGACAGGGTCTCACTCTGTCACCCAGCCTGGAGGGCAGTGGTATCATCATAGCTCACTGTAGCCTCAAACTCTTGGGCTCAAGTGATTCTCCTGCTTCAGCCTCCCAATTAGCGAGGACTCCAGGCACGTGCCACCATGCCTAATTTTTTTTTCTTTAGATGGAGTCTCACTCTGTCACCCAGGCTGAAGTGCGGTGGCACGATGTCAGCTCACTGCAACCTCCATCTCCCAGATTCAAGAGATTCTTCTGCCTCCCGAATAGCTGGGATTACAGGCACCTGCCACCATGCCAGGCTAATTTTTGTATTTTTAGTAGAGACGGGGTTTCACCATGTTGGCCAGGCTGGTCTCGAACTCCTGACCTCAGGTGATCCGCCCACCTCAGCCTCCCAAAGTGCTGGGGTTACAGGTGTGAGCCCCCGCGCCCGGCCAACAGATATTTAAAAACAGAAATAGAAATACCCCCAAAGAAAAAAAGTTCTGAATTAAGATAAAACATAAACACTAAAAGCAGCTTTACCCCAAAAGTGCCAAGAGAATGCGTCTAGAACTTCTTGGCTGTGTGGGATAAGGTTGGCTCCATACCTTCCAGGAAGGAGACTGAAGACTGAATCCTTGTTATGGTCTGGCAAACTGATCCTGGAGTTTTCTCCTGTGGCTTTGTGTGGTTTGACACCTGTAGCTGGGGTGGTGGGTTTGCAGTGTTGTACTTTTGTTTCTCTTGAGCCATTTGATGATGATTTTGTTAGGACACATTGCAGGAAAGTTCATTATTCTAGGCCTTCAACAGAATAATCTTAGCAACCTCCAGTGTGATAGAGAACAGAGTGAACAGGATCAAAATAAGAAACCAGACACATTCATCAAGACTGCAGCTGACAAGGAGGTTTAAAAACCAGAATGGGGCCAGGTGCAGTGGCCCACGCGTGTAATCCCAGCACTTAGAGAGGCCAAAGCTCGCACATCATTTGAGATCAGGAGTTCGAGACCAGCCTGGCCAACATGGCGAAACACCTCTCTACTAAAAATACAAAAATTAGCTGGGCGTGGTGGTGGGTGCCTGTAATCCCAGCTACTCAGGAGGCTGAGGCACAAGAATCACTTCAACCTGGGAGGCAGAGGTTGCAGTGTGCTGAGATTGAGCCATGCCTCCAGCCTGGGCAACAGAGCCAGACTCTGTCTCAAACAAACAAACAAACAAACAAAAAACACCCAGAATGGTCTTTGAGAGAAGTTGATTGAATGAAAAGTGTACATGAATCAGTTCTTTAAAGGATGATGTCTGGGTTCTCAGCCAGATGCATGCTTAAGAAACCCAACCACAACAACAACAAAAAGAAACCCAACAAAAAATCAAAGAATTTTGAGCACACAGTAGGTGCTTTGCTGGCCACTGGAGACACAACAATGAGCAAAGCAGACAATCTAGTCGTAGAAACACACTAATCTAAGAATCCCATACATAGTTCACAAGAGACTGGTTAGTGCTACAAAAGAAAGCTTTGAGATATGATGACAGCTTATAATAGGGACTCAGGTGAAGGGTGGAGTGTTAAGAGAATGCTTCCTTAAAGAAGTGACATCTGAGCCAAGAGTTAAAGACAAGTGGATGCTAAGTAGGGCGAACGGGAAGCAGAAGAGAATTCCAGGCAGTAGGAACAGCATGTGCAAAGGCTCTGAGGTGGGAGGGAACATGACGCATCTGGGACCTGATGGGCCAGGATGGTGCAAGATGAAGCCAGGGACAGAGGCTGGGGCCAGATCATGCATACGAGTCGATGAGTCAGTGTGGGTGTGGTAGCATACCATGTTTTAGTGGGCCAGATGATGTAAACTCTCCTGTGCATCTTGGATTTTCCTTAAAACGAGGTCTTATTTGTATTCCAATTGCTTTGCTTTTGTAATAGGGGTGAGCAGGAATTCAACAGCCCTCGAGATACACCAAAACAGAACCCTGATTCTGATGGCATGAAGAATCTCAGGCCGGGAGCAGTGGCTCCTGCCTGTAATGCCAGCACTTTGGGAGGCTAAGGTGGGAGGATTGCTTGAGTCCAGGAGTTCAAGACCAGTCTGGGCAACGTGGTGAGACCCCCGTCTCTACAAAAAATTTAAAAATTAGCCAGGCATGGTGGTGCACACCTGTGGTCCCAGCTATTCTGGAGGCTGAGGTGGGAGGATCATTTGAGCCCAGGAGGTTGAGGCTGCAATGAGCCATAATCCAGCCACTGCACTCCAGCAGGGGTAACAGAGCAAGCAAGACCCCGTATCCCCCCCGCCAAAAAAAAAGCCAGTCAGTGACAGGGACAATAGTAGACCAGGCCTCCTGCCTGAAGATGTTAGAGAGATGAACCAGAAAAATTAAGAGTGGGGAAGTTTGGGCCAGGCACAGTGGCTCACGCCTGTAATCCCAACACTTTGGGAGGTCGAGGCAGGTGGATCACCTGAGGTTGGGAGTTCAAGACCAGCTTGACCAACATGGTGAAACCCTGTCTCTACAAAAAATACAAAAATTAGCCAGGCTGTGGTGGCGCACGCCTGTAATCTCAGCTACTCAGGAGGCTGAGGCAGGAGAATTGCTGGAACCCAGGAAGCGAAGGTTGCTGTGAGCTGAGATCATGCCACTGCACTCCAGCCTGGGTGACAGAGGGCAACCCTGTCTCAAAAACAAAAACAAACAAACAAAAGATTGGGGAAGTTTGTATCCTTATGTCCTCAGTGATACTCTTTCGTGAGATCAGCTGTATGTTGAAGTATACCAAATGAGGTATTTGTTTACTCACTCTTTCAGCCCTTCATTTGACATACATATTGAACATTGCTATGTGCCAGGTGCCCTGCTAGGCACTGAGTACATAAAACTGAGTAATACAGGGTGGCCCTCTAATAGCTCAAAATCTTACCTACAAGCACATAAAGTACAATCCCTTAGAGATGTGTTAGGAGAGTGCTCTCAGGTCCTAAACAGCAAGCCTGAGGTAGTATAGTACTGAAAGTCATAGACCACAAAATGTAGTCCAAATGGCATGGGTGTTGCGGGCACTGGCCTTGAAATCAGGCACATCTGGGTCTGGATCCCGAATGCAGCGTTTACCAGTTGTGTGAACCTGGGCTAAACTCTCTGAACCTGAGCTTGTTTGTTGGTCTGTAAAAAATACCATCAAGAGGCCAGGTGCAGTGGCTTCGGCCTGTAATCCCAGTACTTTCAAGGTGGGCGAATTCACTTGAGCCCGGGAATTTGAGACCAGCCTGGACAACTTAGCAAGACTCTGTCTCTACAAAAAAACTTTAAAAATTAGCTGGGCATGGCCAGGCGCAGTGGCTCATGCCTGTAATCCCAGGACTTTGGGAAGCCGAGGTGGGTAGATCACGAGGTCAAGAGATCGAGACCATCCTGGCCAACATGGTGAAACTCTGTCTCTACTAAAAATACAAAAATTAGCTGGGCGTGGTGGCGGGCGCCTGTAGTCCCAGCTACTTGGGAGGCTGAGGCAGGAGAATTGCTTGAACCCGGGAGGCAGAGGTTGCAGTGAGCCAAGATCGTGCCACTGCACTCCAGCCTGGTGGCAGAGTGAGACTCCATCTCAAAAAAAAAAAAAAATTAGCTGGGCATGATAGTGCATCCCTCCAGTTCCAGCTACTTAGAAGGCTGAGGTGGGAGGATCACTTGAGCCCAGGAGGCAGAAATTGCAGTGAGCTATGATTATGCCACTGCATTCCGGCCTGGGTAACGAAGCCAGACCCTGTCTCAAAAAAAATAAATAAATAAAAATAAAGTTGTTGATGCTTTATTTTTTATTTATTTATTTTGAGAGAAGGTTTCACTCTGTTGTCTAGGCTGGAGTGCAGTGGCATGATCTCAGCTTACTGCAACCTCTGCCTTGCAGGCCTAAGTGATCCTCCCACCTCAGCCTCCTGGGTAGCTGGGACTACAGGCACGCCATCACGGCCAGCTAAGTTTTTCGTATTTTTTGGTAGAGATGGGGTTTCACCATGTTGCCCAGAATGGTTTCGAACTCCTGAGCTCAAGTGATCCACCTGCCTCAGCCTCCCAAAGTGCTCGGAATACAGGCGTGAGCCACTGTGCCGAGCCTCATCAACAACTTTAAAGAAGAATAAGTGAGATACTGTTTAACAGATGCTGAGCCTGGTGCCCGGCACAGTAATAGGCTCTGTGATTATTTAAAAAGCCAGTTGCTAATGGGAAGTCTCTGTGGCAGATGTGCTAGACCTACAGGGGCTGTTGCCTGGTTGAAAAGGGATGCTGTATATGCGTGAAGGGTCACAGGAGAACCACTTTTGTTCCGTGTGGAAAAAGGAGTGTGAGAAACAGCTGGAGTACCGCAAAAAGCCCCTTTACTGTGGTCTTTATTAGAGCACAGCTATCAACTAAGTTGACTAAGTTACATATGAAGGGTTTAGCCCAGTGCCTGCCAAATAATAAGCATTCAGTACATATCAGCTATTGTGATTCTACCGTTATTCTGATAAAGAAGCTTTTTAGTGATTGGAATTAGAGAAAACAGGATTAATTTCTCCTTTTGGTGCAGTGACAGGAGAGTCTTGGCAAATGTTATCTTTTGGGGTCAGCTCTAGCTCTTGGGCTGGAGGGTGAGGAATCAGTTAAAGAAAAGGGTCCCTGGCGGGGTGTGGTGGCTCACGCCTGTAATCCCAACACTTTGGGAGGCCGAGGCGGGCGGATCACCTGAGGTCGGGAGTTCGAGACCAGCCTGACCAACACGGAGAAACTCTGTCTCTACTAAAAATACAAAATTAGCCAGGCGTGGTGGCACATGCCTGTAATTCCAGCTATTTGGGAGGCTGAGGCAGGAGAATTGCTTGAACCCAGGAGGCGGAGGTTGCGGTGAGGTGAGATTGTGCCATTGCACTCCAGCCTAGGCAACAAGAGTGAAGCTCGGTTAAAAAAAAAGAAAAGAAAGAAAGAGAAGAAAAGAAAAGAAAGAAAGAAAGAGAAAGAAAGAAGAGAGAGAAAGAGAGAAAAGAAAGAAAAGAAGGAGGAAGGAAAGGAAAGGGAAAGGGAAAGGAAAGGAAAGGAAAGGAAAGGAAAGG
Source organism: Homo sapiens (assembly GCF_000001405.40). Taxonomy (NCBI): domain Eukaryota; kingdom Metazoa; phylum Chordata; class Mammalia; order Primates; family Hominidae; genus Homo; species Homo sapiens. The sequence goes on from NC_000012.12 coordinate 122,834,368, forward strand.
GTCTCTGACCTCAGACAGGTTACAGTCTCACTAGGGAGACAAGGGTCAGGATTACGTGGGCGTCATTTTCCTCCTTACAGGCAGGCGGTGCCTCTCCCTTCAAAAGCAAGGGACCTTTATGCATGATTCCACATCTGCATTCCGATAGGAAAGGGAAACAGCAGAAACACAATACCCATCTGAGAGCTACGCTTAGAGAGGACTCTGGGCTTTTATTTATTTTTTTACTTCAGTCTTGTGACCAGTAATTTTAAGGGAAAGCCAATAATAATGTTTTTAAAAAGCCTCACGCCACCCCTGGCGGCATCTCCTCGGTGTACTTTGCTGTTCAGATCCGCCTGCCTTCTGTGCCAGCCTAACAGCGCCCGGCCTCAGCCCCCATTGTCCCTGGAGCTGGCGAGGTGTCCGGTTGCGGAGCCGGCGGCGTCTCTGGAAATGCATCCTGCATCCCCGCATGGATAACAGCTGCAGCTATGTCAGAATTGCACAAAGAGGGGAGAGTGTCATTGTGTGCCTTTTGACACATACATTAAGACCAAAAAGGAAAAAAAGCGTCTATCTGTGCTGCCACCGACCAGACTCATGGAGGCCAGATTTTCTCCAATTAACCAGATCTTGCCCTGGTGCAGACAAGACTTAGTGAGTTCGGAGGAGGGGTGGGGAGAGGGAATTGGCTGGGGTCCCTACCCTGGGTGGAAGGAGGAGGGAGGGGTTCCCCCTCCCCCTTCCCCTACCCTCCCCTCCGGGTTTAGGGAGGGGATTAGAGGTGGGGAGGAGCTGGGGGGGCGTTTGGCCTGTGCCCCAACCTTGTGAGTGAGGTGGGGGTTGGAGGTGTGCGGGGGGCGGGGCGTGTGCCGGGGTCGCCGCGGGATGGGGGGTTGGGGATGTGCGGGGAGAGGCGCGTGTCCCGAGATCGCGGGGGGTGGGGTTGGAGGTGTGCGGGTGGAGGGGCGCGCCCTGGAGTTGGGGGCGGGCGAGGCGTTTGCGGGCGCGGGGGGCGGGTTTGGAGGTGTGCGGGGGAGGGGCGTGCCCTGGAGTTGGGGGCGGGGCGAGGCGGGCTCCTCCCCGGCGGGCGGGCCCGGGCGCGGCGCGGTGGCCTCGCGGTGCCTAGGCTGGGGCTGCCGGACCGTGAGGCTGTGAGTCGCGCGGACGGAGCCGGACAAAAGCGGGCGGCGGCGGCAGGATGAACAGCATCAAGAACGTGCCGGCGCGGGTGCTGAGCCGCAGGCCGGGCCACAGCCTGGAGGCCGAGCGCGAGCAGTTCGACAAGACCCAGGCGAGCGGGCGGCGGGCGGCGGGCGGCGGGCGGCGGCGGGCGGGCGGGCAAGCGGCGTCCCTGACCCCTCACGCGCGAACGGCTGGGGCCCGGGAGGCGCCGGCCAGGGGCGGGGGACGGCGCGGGGGCAGGGCCTGTGTCCGCCCGGGCTCTCCGAGAGCTCCGCTGCCGCCCCCCGCCGGCCTCCGCGGCCCGAGCCGACCGGCGCGCAGGTGAACCGGAAGCCGCGCTCCCCGCTCCCGCCGGGCGCTCGGGCCCAGAGGCGCCGGGGCTGAGGGGGCCGGGGTCAGGGTGTGCGCGGGCCGGGAGCGCCGGAGCTGAGGCGGCGGGGGACGGAGATGGGGCCGGGGTTGGGTGTGCGCGAGCCCAGCGCGCCGGGGGTCGAGGGGGCTGGGGATCCAGGTGCTCCCGGGGCCGGCGCGGCCCGACTGGGGTCCCCGACCTTCCGTGCCGCTCCTTGCCGGCTCCTGCCCCCGTCTCCTACCCCCTGAAACCGATGCCCCCACGGGCAATTTCCTTAAAGGAAATTCCTTAAACTCCCAGCTTCCTTCTCTCGTGAGCGGTTTCCCAGGGCTGCACAGTCTCCTATTATTTGCTGGGTGAAAAGCTTCTCGTATGTCGCCAGACTTGTTTGCCCGAGCGCTGCCCACGTATAAATAGGTGCACACCCCCTCATTAAATACCGGCGCCCGACAGACAGAAACTTCCTGGGGCTCCCTTCCTGCGCCTCCCACGCTTGTAACTCTTCCAGATGATGCCTATCCTGGGAAGGCGTTAGAAATGAAATAAGGGCGCGGGTGTGCGTTTTGTACTTGTGTTTGTGCCGGGGACCCACGATGCAGACGTTGCTGCGTTTCTGGTTTCCTGTTGCTTTTTATTTTACAAACTCTTGAAGTGCTCTCAGGCTTGGGGGATGGGCGGTGGAGGGGGGCATACTTGTTTATTTGCCAAAATAAGTCAACCAAGACTGAAATGGCTGAAAAATTTTACTCTAGAGATAAAGGAAGCCAGAGGACCCCTCCCACTCCTGTCTAAAGCAGGTTGGTGACATTTGCGTTTGTGGCGGCTATTTGCAAGTTCCGTCCCACTTGTCCTTGCAGAGAGCTATGACTTCTGCGGTTGCCTTCACATCTAGTTAGCACACGCACTCTACAACAGCTTTCGTTTTGAAATGAGAGAGAACGCAGGGAGACCTTCTAACCTTTGTGCTTGGGATTGACCCAGAAAGCGATAATAAATCCTGAGGATATCAAGGCTTTAGAAATGCGAAGTGCTGGAACCCAGGTGGCTGCAAATTACCAATTTAGCCTTGTGATCTTCATCACCATCAACTGGTTCAGCCCGGATAGCCCGTCATTTTAAAAAAATTTAAAGTCACCAATACATAATTAATTGTGCCAAGAACTTGTAGATCATAGGGAGAAAACCTGAATTGGCAGACATATCTGGATGTTGTCAGAAACTTTGTTTATTCACTGAGTTTTTTCTCGTGCCTTTGAGGACGTATAAAGAGGTCTGATTGCTACATGGAGGAGATGGGATGTGAAGGACCAACTTCATTGATCTTACTCTTAAATGATAAGAAGTCAAGGGCAACCTTCCTGAGTGTCAAAGAGAGAATCTCTGATACAGGACCACACATTTTAGTGGTTGGTTTGATACACAAGAAGGTGGATTTTTTTTTTTTTTTTTTAAAGACAGAGTCTCTCTCGTTGCCCAGGCTGGAGTGCAATGGCATGATCTCAGCTCGCTGCAACCTCCGCCTCCCGGGTTCAAGTGATTCTCCTGCCTCAGCCTCCCAAGTGGCTGGGACTACAAGCGTGCGCCACCACACCTGGCTAATTTTTGTGTTTGCAGTAGAGAAGGTGTTTCACCATGTTGGACAGGCTGGTCTCGAACTCCTGACCTCAGGCGATCCACCCGCCTCACCTCGGCCTCCCGAGATGTTGGGATTACAGGCACCTCTCCGAAGGTGGATTGTTTTGTTTTGTTTTGCTCTGGTTTTTTCTCAGAGGCTAAGAGGGCCACTAACAATGAATAACTTTGTAATGGGTGAATGTCACAGGTCTTACCTATTCTAGGGCCCCATTTTCTGGAAAGTTGGAGTTTGAGTTCATTGTCTGGGTTTGCTCGTCTTCACAGTGACTTATTGAGGAATGTAAGAATGAGGTTTTGTACGTGGTTAATATTTAATTAGATCGTTCCCAGAAATAATCAGGTGAGCCGCCAGCCAGGTCCCGTGGTGGAAAAGGACCTGGAGAGCTGAGGTTGTTACTTCCATGTCTCCTTCGGGACAGAAAATAGCACATGCAGTCCAGGGACCTGGCTTCCTTTGTAATACGCTGCTTGTCTTGCATTGACCACAGCACTGTGTGCTGTGGCAGGAGCACTAGGCTGGCTTAGAATTTAAATATTCACTAGCCTGCCAGCCTCGCTTTCCTCCCCTGGGCTCCTGGGTCAGGAGGAAGATAATTGCTTTCCTGTGAGCTTTTTTGACAGGACACACCCTGTTTGCAAATATCTGTGGGGTTAGCGCTCAGGAGTGTGAAGAGAGGCGATCATGTGCCTGCTGGGAGCTGGTGCCTGTGATTGTTGCATGGTGTGTGTGTATAATCCCAGGGGAATGTCCAGAAAACCAGTGTATGCTTTTCTTCCCTATGACTTTAGTCCCTTTGGTTAAAAAAAAAAAAAATCCTTTTCAAAATGGAGGTGACAAACTTTTATTGTCTTGTTGCTGTTTTCTGAATACAGAATACTACAAAATACAGCATGCCTGTATTTGGAACCTGAACACTGCCTGTACCATTTAAAAAGAGGGTGTGGTATCATAAAGGCACTAGTAGGTAGATAGACCTAGGCTCTAGCCTGTGTCCCTGGCAAGTTGCTTAACTTGTAAATCTATGTCCTTGTCTGAAAAAAAAACCATACAGATCGTTCCAGCTATCGTATAGGGCTGTTGTAAGGTGTAAGAGAGAGACCGTGTGGCAGCTAGAACCTGTGACTACGTTAATGACTTAGTAAGGCGTTGCAGGTGGAATTAGAGTTTTTCATCAGCTGAGATGGTCCTTGAGATGGGGCGATTCTCCTGGGCTACCAGGTGGGCTCAGTGTAATCACAAAGGTCTTTAAATGTGGACAAGGGAGGCAGGAGAGGAGGTCGGACTGAGTCCATGTGAGAAAGACTCACTGCCTGCTGCTGGGGAGGAGCCACTAGCCAAGGAGTATGGGCATCCTCCACAGCCTGGAAAAGGCGAGGAAATGGATTCTTCCCTAGAGCCTCCAGGAGGAAACACAGCCTTTCTGACACTTTGCTTTTAGTCCTGTGAGACCTGTTTTAGACTTCCGACCTCCAGAACTGCGAGTTTGTGTGATTTGTTATGGCAGCCATAAGGAACTAATACATCCAGTATGTAAACATGAAAGAGCACCTAGGGCATAGAAGGGCCTCAGCAGATACTTGGCCCAACCGTCTTTCTCCCTTCCCTTCCTCGGCTGAAAAGTTTAACATCTAGAGAAGAAAGCATCTTTGAAGCATATCATGAAGAAGGACTCAGTTAGGAGTACTGGAAATGCTAATGGTGAGTCCTGCCTTTTCCTGATCTGTGAACCTTTCTGCTTCACTGGGCCTCAGTTTCCACTGCAGGCCCACAGGATGGAGATCAAGCCCAGAAGATTCCTCTCAGGTTAGGATGAGAGAAACCCTTTACTACACTGCAAGGCCTCTGGCCACTGCTGAGTGAGCCAAGTCTGGCGGGTGAGCATTAACTGTAGACATGAAACTACCCAGGTGTAAGGGGTTCCTGTGGGGCAGGGACTGTCTAGGGCAGCAATATGTGGAAACAGTTCATAGGTCCAATTTTCCAGGTTGGTGACATACATGCTTAGCATCCCCCGTGAAACCAAAATCCTGTCAAGATTAACATTTATTGACAACTGAGGGCTTCTCAGCCCCGGCACACAGTAGAGCAGTGTTGTCCAGGAGGAACCAGAGGCAAGCCACGTGTGTACTTTTAGATTGTCTAGTAACTACTAGAAAAGTCAACAGAAACAGGTGCGATTAACTGTAATAGCATATTTTATTTAACCCAGTATATCCAAAAGCTAGCCCTTTCAACATGTAATTGCCACAAAAATTATGAATAGGAGAATTTACATTCTTTTTCTCCTACTAAATCTTTGAAATAGGTATGCACTGGACACTCACAGCTGATCTCAGTCTGGACTCACCACCTTTCCAATACTCACAGCCCGCACCGGCCAGCGGCTACCGTGCCGGACAATGCAAGTGTTAGAATCACCTGGTGGCTTTTAGAAAAGGGCAACATTTACGTGTATAGGAGTGATTTGCCCGCAGCATGGCATGGGCGTTGAGCTCGTTGTTCCTGGGCATGCGCACTGCTGTCTCGCCCCGTGACATCCTCTGCTCGGTTCCACCCCATCAGCCCACATGGTGATGCCCTCGTGGTGATGCCCGGCAGGCCGCTGACTTCCCGACCCCTGGGCTGCATATTGCCTCCCTGGCAGAGCTATTCCAGAGGCTGTTCTTGGTCCAGGTTGGGGTGGGAAGGGGCCACCCATCCTTGACCTCCCCCTCCCTGTCTCTGATGTGTTTTGATGCCCATGACACATTCCTGAGCGCCGCTTGCTGTCTTACCATTTGGCCTGTTCCTGTAGCTTTGGGGTGTGCCCCAGGAAGGTCCGAGTCATCTTTGTACCCTCTAAGAGGTGGAGAGATGCCAACTGTGGCCACGTGTGGAATGGTAGGGCAGTCAAGAGCAAGCTCCAGGTTCAGCCCCTGGCTCTGTCCCTTCACCACTCTGCCTCAGTTTCCTTATCTACAAAATGGGGGCAATAATACTACACACCTCCTGGAGTGGTTGTGAAGAAATTTACAGGTGTTCATAGTGCCTGGTGTGTAGTGAATGCCGTGTAAGTGTTGGCTGTTATGTTGTGTTCAGAAGAGCAGGCTGGGCTGAAAGAGAGAAACAAGCTCCCTGTTGAGCTCTGCCCGGTGCCCTTAGATTAGCTGTAAGCGGAGGCCTTGTGTGCTGGGGCGGTTGGGGAGAAAAGTGGATCTGCACAGAGGTTGGGGGGACTCAGGCAGGTGGGGACAGCCCTTCCCTGGAAGAGTGAGCCCAGAGGTGCCACATTATGAAGGCTCTCCAGGGTTGGGAGGATATTCTGGGGGACGACAGCCTCAGGAGGTGCAGACAAAGCCAGCAGGAGCCTTGCCTGGCAGAACTGCTCACCCTCTGAATAGGGACAGGCGCAGACGAGGCCCCTTCTCTGACCTGATCCAGAAGCCAGCCTCCCAGCCAGCGCTGCACCGGTCATTCGCGAATGAAACCCAGCTGGCCACTGGATCCCAGCAGCTTAAAGTGGAAAGCCTCTGAGTGGAGTCCAGGCCTGCTTGGCCAAGGGACAGGGATACCCAGCCGGCTAACCTGAGACGCCTTGGCTGCTCTGTTGGCAATGCCCTTACCCGCCCCCTCCCCGCCCAACTTGGTAATCTGCGATGCTAACTTGAATATCACCTCCTCTGTGCAGCCACCCGCTGCCGTCCTCCTGCCCAAGCCTCTCTGTGCTGCCCAGTCCTCATGACATTATTTGCGCTGCTTCCACATCTGCCCTGACACGCTGTGGCTGGCCCAGCAGAGCGGGAGGAAGCAGACAGACATGGGGTGGGCGCATGTGTAGACCAGGCTCGCCTGAGAAGTGGGAGTGTGTCATCTCCTTGCCGAGTTCCCTGAGCAACTGCTCAGACCTGCACCAGCCACCTACCCTGGGGTCATCAGGCAGGGCCGCGTCGTAAGTGGCTGGATGAGTGGATGCTCAGGGGCCAGTGGTCTCCCTTCTTTGATGCTGTCTTCTTGGTGAGGTCTGAAAGGCTCATGGCCATCCATTCTAGGGAATGACTGAGGCCTGGAGAAAAGTTTATTTGGGGCGAGATTGTTTTTTCTCTGGCTAAAATAAACATGATCCTCAAACTGCAGTAGGTTCATCTGCTTGGAGGTGACTCAGGCTCCTGGCTTTTGGGACAGACGGGTTTGTGGAGTGATGTCACCAGGGCCCAGGGAATGAAACTGCACGACCTGGCTGCCTGTCACTTCCAGAGCCAGCCTGGCAGAGGGGTGACGCAGGAACAGTCCTCCTACTACTGGGTGTCACCCACAAAGCCTGGGGCGGAGGTGGCAGTGGGTCAGGCGGCAACATTGTAACCAGTGTCCTGGGGAACCTGGGCTCTCATGCTCCCCTCGGGAGCTTTCCTAAACGCTGAAATGACGGAGTGGCCAGGACCAAGCAGGCCTGGGTGAGAGTGAGGGGAGATACAGGTTAAATGGAGCGGAGCAGTTGCCCCTGACTTCCTGTCTGCTGGAGCTGACCCAGCTGTCCGCCTCGCTGCTTTGCGTGTGGCCATATCCCGGCCTCCTCAGCTACAGAAACCCTGTGTTTGCTCTGTCAATGGCCTTTGAGGGGACAGACGCATTTGAATGAGATCTCTCTGTCCTTCAACCAACTCTTTGGAAATGTTAAAGCAAAATAACCTACCGCTCTGCCAGCGTCCGTCCGTGTGCCCCAGCTCTTTGAAGAACGTTCTTGTCCCTGCCAAGTGCTGCTGTTAGGTGCCACGATAATACAGCACAGGGAGGCTTACGTCTGATTCATTTCAGCGTTGATTTTAAAAATAGAAATTGTTTTATAATTACTTTTACTCTGCAGCTCTAGTGGATAAATTATTAGCTGGAGAAGGAGAGACTCAGTGCCCTGAAGTCGTCCAGTACTTGTCTTTGAAAGAGCTCTTGTCCTTCGAGTGTTCACCCTTCCATTTGCCCAGTGGGGATTTGCTGACAGCCAGATGTTGGTTTGGGCCTAGAGATACAGCAGGAAGGAAGATGTCCCTGTATTCGGGGGTTGGAGGTGGGGACAGAGTATGATCGGTGGACAGACAACTCCGGAGCCTCCTGGGCCACAGGGTGCCGCGGGGTTGGCGTGTGGGGCAGCCGCTGCCTGGAGCCTCCCAGCTCAGTTGCCTGGCTTTGCTGACAGTGCCCATTCCTGCGGTCTGTTTCCATCTGGACTCCACATCAGGCCTGGGCCAGCAGCCTCTCGGGAGCGTCCCCTGCCTCACCCTGATCTCCCCTCTTCTGAGGCAGCACTCACTGAGATGCTCGCTGGGGTGTGCCCCATGAGTCTCAGTCCAGGGACCAGTGCAGCTCTGGGCTGCTCACGAGTCAGCGGGCTCTGTCTGGCCTGATTGTTCCTGGAAGCAGGGCAGGTGTATCCTGAGGGCTTGGGCTCCCCCTGGCCACTGGACTGAGCTGAAGGCCGCAGCCCAGAGGCAGATGCCCTCGCCCCAAGGGATGGGGGTAGTGGGAAGGGCCCTTGGCTCTGCCAGCCCCAAGGCCTTCGTTAACTTGAGATTTGAACAAATCCTGATCCGGAGCCCACTCGCAATTTGGAGGCATGTTAGCAGGCCCTTGGGGAGTGGGGCTCCTGTGGTGGGACGATAAGGATGTCTATGCTGACACACTTCTCCCACACCCAGGCCTAGCCCGCACCCTGAACTGTGAAGGCCATGCAGCCCAGGGCCGCCTGGGAGGGGCCTGAGGGGCTCCATCTCCATCTCTGGTCCATGTCTGGCCCACATCTTTTTGTTATTTATGACCTTGGACAGGTGGTTAACCTGCAGCCTCAATGTCCTCCCTTGCCCACCTGCTCCGAGGTTCCTTGTGAACATTAATGAGGCAACACTGGAACAATGCTGTCTGCTCGGGGGCCCAGTACAAGGCTGAGCTCAATAAAATTGAATTTATTAATAGGTTATTGAGACCTGTCTGCTGGCCTTATGGCATAGAGTATGTTCTTACACACTTGGCGATGCCAGCTATCCTGAGTGTATCTGCAGAGCCTCACCTGCCCCCTGGGCCCCTGGGTGCCCCTGAGCTTTGTCCCCACTCTCTGTCCTTAAAGGTCAGGCCCCTCCTGCTGCCAGCACTGGGCAGGATAAGAGCAGGCTCAGAGAGTTGTGAGCAGGTGGCCCCTGGGGCGTGGGTGTGGACTCCGAGGATTTTTCGAGACCCGAAAAGCTGCAGGGTCTGTGGAACCAGGCAGGAGCTGACCTCACTCTGCTTCTGCCCCTCTCTGCTGTCTCTGCGGACCCTCCAACTCCCTTCTGCAAGGTGTCTCACGGCGCTGTGGAACTCTCTATTATTGTTTTGTTTTGTTTGAGATGGAGTTTAGCTCTGTTGCCCAGGCTGGAGTGCAGTGGCATGATCTTGGTCACTGCAGCCTCCCAGGTTCAAGCGATTCTCTGCCTCAGCTTCCTGAGTAACTGGGATTACAGGCACACACCACCATGCCCGGCTAATTTTTGTATTTTTAGTGGGAGTTTCGCCATGTTGGCCAGGCTGGTCTCAAACTCCTGACCTCAAGTGATCCACCTGCCTCGGTCTCCCAAAGTGCTGGGATTACAGGCATGAGCCACCACACCTGGCCTATTATTTTTACTTTTTAGAGGCAGGTTCTCACTCTGTTACCCAGGCTGCAGTGCAGTGGTGCTATCATGGCTCACTGCAGCCTGGAACTCCTGGACCCAAGCCATTCTCAGCCTTCTAAGTAGCAGGGGACTACAGCCGTGCACCACTACACCCGGCTAAGTTTTAAATTATTTTTGGTAGAGATGGGGTCTTGCTAGGCTGGCCTTGAACTCCTGGGCTCAAGTGATCTCCCACCTCAGCCTCCCAAAGTGCTGGGATTATAGGCGTGCGCCACTGTGCCTGGTCCCCCTCCATTATCACTTCTGTCCTGCTTCCTCCAGAGACCTCCCCTGACCCAGCCAGACACCCCTCCCTGTTGTGCCCAGCAGTGGGAAGAACAGCATCCTCCTCCTCATGCTCTCATGCTGCACATTATCACTGCATCCCCTGCAGAGCCCTGGTCCCACAGCCACTCACAGCTGTGTGGAAACTGCCCTGCCAGGCTGTGTGTGAGGCCCCTGCCTCTTGGGAGCTGGATGGGAGCTGTGGGTGCTGAGTAGCGGACAGACCCCGGGGCGGTCACATGTGTCCTTATGATCTTCCTTTCTCTAGCACTGGGTTTTTCCACCCTGAGCTGAGGTCCATAATCAATCCCTTCCACTCCTCAAAGGCTGCGCTGCCCTGAAGGGGTGTCTCTGGCAGCTGACCAGCCAGCCTCTGGCCTGTGTCAGAGCTGCTGGGGTTGTTCTGCCCGAGGGGCCACATGGGGCACAAATGCAGGCTAGAGAACCCAGGGACAGGCCTGGGCAGCCCTCTACCTCCCATGGCACGCTGCAGTTTCCCCACCTTCAAAATGGGGAGAACTACGTTCACCCCACTCGGCAGCTGTGAGGACAGCATGTTGAGAACCTCAGGACCCAGAACCAAGTATTGCTGGCAGTTGGACCTGCCTCGGGACTGTAAGCCTCAGAGCGGAGCTGCGTCAAGGACACCGTGTGGGTCTCACCACAGAGTGAGCCCGAGTGCCTGCTGCTGCGGCCCTCAGAACCCTGGAGCCACTTCCGCAAGGGAGGGTCAGCAGCAGACGGGAGTAGGTGGGACATCACTGGGACCTGGCGGGCTTCTCCCGGGACAGGGCTTAGCTGCTACTGCCTGGTCAGAGGCGAGGCCCACGGAGCAGCCACAGACTCCCACTGTGCGAGCACTGTGCCTCCTTGTGTGGCGCTCTGAGCCTGGTGCACACATCTGCCCATCCTAGACACAACGGGGCTGTGTTCCCAGAGCCAGCCGGCACCCTGCCCGGGAGGGCCCTGCTGCCACGGATCCTGTCCCCTGCCGCCAGCGCGGGGAGCAGGCAGCACTGAGGCCCAGGCGCACAGGAGACCATGCCATGTGCCCAAGGCATGCCCCGTCACACTGCATTCCTGGGGCCTCCCTCCTGCCATGAAAGTCATTTGCATGCCAGGCACTGTTGAGGAGCTGGGGGTTCAGCAGCACCTATAGGCCGATCTGCTTCCCCTCGTGTTGCTGACTGCTGGGTGAGGGGAGAGGGTGATAAATAAGGAAACACTCCACTGTCTGAGGGTGCCCGGCCCTCAGAGACCATCCATCCAGAAGGTGCAGATTTCAACAGGGCGGCTGCAGGAGGGTGTGAGGGTGCCGGGTGCGGGGAGCTGGAGCTCTGCTGAGTGGGCATCTGGAGCCTAGGGCCTGGGGACACGGGTGGCTGCACCTTGGCCTCACTGTGTCTTTCCTCGCAAAGAGGAGAGGGCAGCCCATTCCCCCAGAATGTGTTCTCTGCTTCTAGGGTCCCTATCTCAGCCCCATCCCGGGGTTTCCTCAGTGTCAGGAGAAACCCCCGCATCTCTGTGTCTACAGCCTCTCTGGTGCCAGGTCTGCACCAGTCACTTCGCCTCCACCCTTCTTGCCAGGAATCTTCCGAACCAGGTGGCAGCTCAGGTGTCGGCAGCTGGGGATGGGGTTACACACCCCGGAGACGGACACGCCTGGCTTGTGACAGGACAGCTGCTTGCCAGTGAGCTGGGGAAAGTCACAGCCCCTGCCTCCTGCCCTGGGAGCCCCTCCCCACGGGAGGAACTGCCTGGGGGCTGTTCAGAGTCACTAAGGACACAGGTTGTGGAATCAGACAGACCTGGCTTTGAACACTGCCTTTATCCTTATTAGCTGTACAGACAAGTATATAAGCCTTCTGTGCCTCAGTTTCCTCACCAGGAAAATGGGTTAGTCACCACTTCCCTGGGCTGTTGCTGGGAGGCGAGTTGCCCATGCCTGGCTGGGGCTGGGCACTCAGGATCCTTATCATCATAGCTGCTGTCGTGAGCAATATTCTGCCTCTGGGGGCATGACACTCTCAGCCATGGCTTCTCACAGTTGGTGGATACGAGTTTGTTCAAGGAAGGAGCTGAGGCCTGGGGGCCACTGGCTGGGCAGCCCTCAGGATCAGGCCCACCAGAGCCTCTGTGCATTTCCTCAGGTCGTGGTTCCTTGAGATGGGACCGCAGCTCCTCCCCGACTACAGGGAGCAGGGCTCAGGGCAGCCCCAGGACACCTGCCTGGGAGGGTCCAGTACAATGGGCCCTGTGTGTGAAAGGGGGTCAGCATCGTGCTAGGGGCCGGGGGCGGCCCAGAGGCTGCCTGGCCCAGCCCCGCAGTCCCCTAGCTCCCATCTGAGGTCCCACCAGGTAGGGCCCCCCAGCTTCCCGGGCTGGCTTTTCTCACAGAGGAAATTCCACAGTAGACCCTAATTGGATGTCCTCTGCTCCGGTGTTGGGTGGGAGAGTGCAGTGGTGTCTGGGGAGAAGGCGCAGGAGCGCTGCACTGTCCTGCAAGCCGGCTCCCTGCCCTTCAAGGCCTGCCTGGCTTAGGCCAGCCTGTGGCTCAGGAGCCCAGCTGCCCTGGCTGAGGCTGGGGGCTGCGTGTCCCATCTCAGTGTCTGCATCTGTCGAGGCCCTGTCCCTCCCGCCCATGGCCTGGACAGCTCTTCTCAGGTCACAAACATTGGTGGTGGGGGACAGAGGTTTAGCAGACCTGTTCCCTGCATGAGAAATACCCCATGCCCCACGGAGCCAGGGCCGGGTTGTAGTGATGGTACCGCCGTGAGCCCTCCTCGAGAGCACAGTCACGTCCAGGAAGCCTACTCGGAAAAGGAGGCAGTAGCCGGGGCGGGGGGGGAGGGGTGAGACTGCCATAGGTGGAGCGGGAGGGATGCTGAGATTCTGGCCTTGGTCAAGTGTGAAGGTGCCACTTGCGCAGCTCCGGGTGACAGCTGCAGACCCCACTCCTGCCTTCCTCCGCCCCTGGCTGGGCTGCAGGTGGCAGCAGGAGCTTGACACAGTTTGACAGGGTGAGGCCCCACCCAGGAGAGGGGCAGCCTATGGGGCAGTGGGCCACAGGCCCTGGGCTTTGCCTAAGTTTCCTGGGAATGCCTCCCAGGAGAGTGGGGACAATGTGATGTGCACCCTTCATGGGGTGCCGCAAAGGCCAGGTGGGCCCCAGCCGGGGGCTCCAGTCTCAGCTGCTTTTCCCCAAGGGGAGATGGGGCCGGAGGACACCACACTGGGCCATGACCTGGGGCTCAGGGCACCACATCTGCCAGGAGAGTCAAGTCGTGCAGGTTTTGGGCAGGATGGCCTCCCGGAGCCATAGCCCAGCTTTGGTCCTTGTCCCCTGACTCCTGGAGCTCTTGGTGTTCACTGTAGTTCCAGCTGCACCGATCAGGCACAGGGAAGTCCTTCAGAAGCTTAGGTTGAGGGGATTCCTGTCTCCCCCATCGCTCCACTGGCCTTGAACCCAGGCAGAATCCTGTTCAGTATTGTGCTTCTCCCCCTTGGGGTGGTGTCTCCTGGGGTGGCTGCCTGGGGCTCTAAACACTGCTCCTTTGTCCCTCACAGGCCATCAGCATCAGCAAAGCCATCAACACCCAGGAGGCCCCCGTGAAGGAGAAGCACGCCCGGCGTATCCTTGGCCGGCTCTTGGACCCAGGAGTTGGGTGTGGATGTGGGAGCAGCGTAGTGCTGCAGGTGGCCTGCGGTCAGCTGTGCCGGGGTCACAAGTTCCCTCACTGAGCCCGGGGAGGAGGGTCCTGTGCAGCTTGGCTCCTTCCCATCTCAGTCTCATCACAAAAACGCCCCCATTGGGCCCAATGATTTCCTTGTCTTGCCCTAACTCCTGTCCCCTTGGCTGGACACTGGAGCTCTGGTGACCCGGGGTTGATGGGCACGTGATTGGGGGCCGGCCCTCTTCCGGCGGCCCTGGCCTCTCTCAGCCGGGTTTGCTGAGCCCCCGTGCTCCAGTCTCTGCTTCCACACTTGGCCTTGACATTGCAGGCATCATTCTGGGCACACACCACGAGAAGGGGGCTTTCACCTTCTGGTCCTACGCCATTGGGCTGCCGCTGCCCAGCAGCTCCATTCTCAGCTGGAAGTTCTGCCACGTCCTCCACAAGGTCCTTCGAGACGGGCACCCCAATGTGAGTAGCAGCTGCTGCCTCTGCTCCCCGGAGCTGGGGCACTGTCCCGCGGACATGCGGGCTCTGGCCCTGTTCCTGTCCCCGTAGCTCCGGGCTGTTCCTCCCGCCTCGGGTGGGGAGTGCGTGTCTCAGGGCCCTGCCACACGGTCCTGGACACTCCCCCACTCCCGTATTCCCTGCGCTGCAGGTGCTGCATGACTGCCAGCGGTACCGCAGCAACATCCGGGAGATTGGAGACCTGTGGGTAGGTCCAGCCATTCTAGGTCCTGCCTGGCATTCGGGGCTTTCCTGAGCGTGTGGGGCTGAGCGAAGGGTGGCTCCCTGTGGGCAGTTCCCTGCGGGTGGCTGGGTTTTCCCAGGGGCGACAGTGGGAGGGGCAGCACGGGGAGATGCTGCCTGCCTTTGAGGGCCTGGCCCAGGGCGCTCCACACGCATAACCAGTGGGCCCTCCAGCGTCGAAGTCACCCGGGCCCTTTAGTCCTCACGAGTTGGGAAATGTGGCAAGACCACAGCCCGGGCACCTCGGTGGTTAGAGAGCCTGTGGCAGGGCGCAGGTTCCTGGGCTCCCCCAGACCTGCTGCTGAAGAATCAGGACTGGAGGTCTGCATTTTGAGCACACACACAGTAAGGCCTGAGAGCCCTGGGGGGCCTGCAATCTGGATGCACTGCAAGACCTCAGGAGTTAGAGATGTCCCTGGTGGGCAGAGGGCCTTGGCCTGGTTCTCTCTGGAGCACTGTGGGGTGCTCGTCTGCCTGGGCAGGGACATAGGAGCAGGGCAGGCCCTGGACCGGGTACCCACAGGGAGGCCTGACCAGGGCGTTATCCAACCCAGAACCACTGCCCGGACTCACTTCCCTTGAAGCGAGGAAAACACTGCCCATGGTGCCACCTGCAGATGCAGGCCCAGCTGGCCCGGCCGCAGGGGCCGTGGGGCTGGAGGAGGGAGCAGGGAGGATGTGTCCAGGCGCCCGTCGGGACGTGCCTCCCTGCCAGCACCAGCACTTTAATAAAGCGTCCCTGCTCAGAACTGGCCTGCCGCCCTGGACAAAGAGCTCTCTTCTCACAAGAGTTTCTTTGGCAGGAATGACAAGGAGGAAGATTAAGGGAAAAAGCTAGAGACAGAGAGGGTGGTTGGTGGAGGCCAGGAGAAGACGTTTGTTGAATGAAGAAGTGCCCGGTGGTGGGTCACTCTCGTGCCCAGGTCCTTGAGGACTCTTGGACGTGTTCACGAGCCGTGGCCCCTCACCCTGTCTGTCTTCACACAGGGACATTTGCATGACCGCTACGGACAGCTGGTGAATGTCTACACCAAGCTGCTGCTGACCAAGATCTCCTTCCACCTCAAGGTGGTTTCCTCGGGGGAGTCATGGGGCTGAGGGACCCGTGGGCTTTTCCCACTGTGACGTTATGGCACATGTTGGGACATCGAGGGTGGGATCTGTCCTCTCCATGAGTCTTTCCATTCACCTTCTTGTCCCAACTATGACTAAAGGGGAGACGGGGAAGCCAGGGCATCACGAAGCTCCTAGAACACTTCAGGCATTTCCGTGGACGTGGGCACGGGCTTCCCCAGGCGTTTCTGTGGACATGAGCGCTGGGCTTCCTCAGTCTCTGCTGTGCTGGCCGGGTGCTCCCCTCCTCCCAACCCCTCCACTGCCCTCTGCCACCTATGTGGGCCACAGCCTGGGTCTGCCAAGAGCAGGGTCCAGCGTGGGGCCCCCTGGTTC
Organism: Homo sapiens; assembly: GCF_000001405.40. Classification (NCBI taxonomy): domain Eukaryota; kingdom Metazoa; phylum Chordata; class Mammalia; order Primates; family Hominidae; genus Homo; species Homo sapiens. Next base: position 122,850,337 of record NC_000012.12, read on the forward strand.
AGTGGCCGCTGGGTTGGGGGGGCCCTGGTTCAGTGGCCGCTGGGTGGGGGGGGCCCTGGTTCGGTGGCCGCTGGGTTGGGGGGCCCCCTGGTTCGGTGGCTGCTGGGTGGGGGGGCCCTGGTTCGGTGGCCGCTGGGTGGGGGGGGCCCTGGTTCGGTGGCCGCTGGGTGGGGGGGGCCCTGGTTCGGTGGCCGCTGGGTGGGGGGGCCCCCTGGTTCGGTGGCTGCTGGGTGGGGGGGCCCTGGTTCGGTGGCCGCTGGGTGGGGGGGGCCCTGGTTCGGTGGCCACTGGGTGGGGGGGGCCCTGGTTCGGTGGCCGCTGGGTGGGGGGGCCCCCTGGTTCGGTGGCCGCTGGGTTGGGGGGCCCTGGTTCGGTGGCCGCTGGGTGTGGGGGGCCCTGGTTCAGTGGCCGCTGGGTGGGGGGGAGCCCTGGTTCGGTGGCCGCCAGGTGTGGGGGGGCCCTGGTTCAGTGGCCGCTGGGTGGGGGTTCTCTCCACAGCATCCCCAGTTTCCCGCGGGCCTGGAGGTGACAGATGAGGTACTGGAGAAGGCAGCTGGGACCGATGTCAACAACATGTGAGTCACTCTGCATGGCTACATAGCCAGTTCCCCTCGGCTTCCCCATTCCTTCCTACCGCGTCTCACGCCCAGGCGTCCGCATGGGGCAGTGGGGTTGAATGAGTCCGTGGCTTTGTTGGTTGATGCTCACGCTCCCAGGGACAGAGGGTGAAGTTAAAAGGGTGGGGTGTACTTGAAGGACTGTCGTCCTGGCAGAGGCACGCTGTCTCACCAGAGCCATGGTGTCGGCGGTGCCCCCGTCCCCACTGGAGGGGGCGTCTCAGGACGAGTGGGTGGGTCCACCCACCCTTTTTCATTTCTTCCCCCACTTCTCTTGCGTAGCTTCCAGCTCACTGTGGAGATGTTTGATTACATGGATTGTGAGCTGAAGCTTTCTGAATCAGGTGAGCCGTAAAGAGGGGATGCGGGGGTCTGAGTGTATTGCTAAGTCCCCAGAGATGGGACGAGAAGAAAAAAGAAGACATGAGTGATCAGACCAACTGATCACTATGAAATGACCCTGGCCAGCCGCAGTGGCTCACATCTGTAATCCCAGCATTTTGGGAGGCCGAGGCAGGCAGATTGCTTGAGGTCAGGGGTTCAAGACCAGCCTGGCCAACATGGTGAAACCCTGTCTCTACTAAAAAAATATAAAAATTAGCCAGGCGTGGTGGCGCACGCCTGTATTCCCAGCTACTTGGGAGGCTGAGGCAGGAGAATCACTTGAACCTGGGCGGCGGAGATCATGCCGCTACACTCCAGCCTGGGCAACAGAGTGAGTCTCCGTCTTAAAAAAAAAAAAAAGAAAAAGAAATGCCCCTGCCCCTCCTGGGGTCCCTGCACCTCCAGGGATAGGTAATGGGGCCTCCTGGCCCCTCCAAAGCATGGCAGGCCCCAGCGGGTACATCCAGGATACAGGTTCAGCCATCTCTTCCATCCAGTGAGTGTCACTCCATCAGCCCCAAGACAGGGAGGGTGAGGAGGTGTGCACAGGAGCCACCTTGCCAGGTTCCTGCCCCAGCCTTGGGCCATCTGCAGAGCCCAGCTGGAAGAAAGGTTTGGGTCGTCCTGCCATTTTCTGCTCTAGAAAGCCTCTGAGTCACGTCAGACTTCCTAGCGAGGGAACCCGGCCGCTGTTGGACAGGAAATCTCAGAGGGCTCAGCTTCCAGGCTGGAGAACTGATTGTTCTGGGTGGCAGCTTCAAAACAACTCATGGGTGACTCAGTGCTCTCCATAAGAGGGCAAGAAGCAAATGCCTCCTTAAGGGAAAATTGGGAGTTAGAGGCAGTTTGGGCAGCCTCCCTGAGTCCCCAGGTCTGGCCAGTGCAGCTGGGCGAGCCTGATGGGTATTCAGTTCCAGTGGGTGGGAGGTGGGCTCAGAGTTGGACCCTTGTGCCTGGGAAGAGCCTGCTCAGGATCTGACATGGAGAGCAGAGGGCAGGTGTCCAAAGGTGTGGCCCCAACTGTGCAGCAGGACAGGGCTACCAGGCTCTGTGTCCTGGCAGAGATGTGCTGAGCCTGAGCCTCTCAGCACAGAGCCCACCAGGTAGGAGCCAGTTACCCCTGGCATGGGAGAAGGCCAGTGTGGGCAGGCAGTGGCCCCACGAGGGAAGTGGAGAACACTCACAGGCACGCTTCCCACCTGGTGACGCTGGTGTGTTGATGAAGCACAAATGGGGTGTACCAGCATCTGCTGGAGAAATTCCCAGATCTGCAGAGGTGACAGGTACAGGGGCTTCCCTGCCTCAGGACCTGTAACAGCAAAGAAACACAAACGTCCTAAACATGCCTCAGCAGAGGCTGCGTCTCGCTGTCTGTGCAGAGCAGAGAACGGAGGGTGGTGGGAAGAGAGATGTGTCGAATCTGGGATGGCCGGGAAGATCTAGAAAACATTCTACTGTGTGAAATCAAGCAGATTGCCGAACAGCATGGACATACGTGTTGAAGATCCAAGCAGTACTTTATGTGTGCTGTAATTTTTTGCAAGGAAAACATACTTAGCATGACATGTAATTAGAGATTACTTTTTTAAAAAGGCAAGGGGCGGCACTTTGTGTCTTCCTTCTTGCCCCTCCCCCCCAGGCTCTCTCCTGTCACTGCAGAGATTTGCAAGTGGTCCCATCACAGGCAAGGCAGGAGCAGGACCTGAGGGGCCAGGGCACAGGTCTGTGCAGCGGGGGCTGTCTGGCCGCTCTCCCGTGCTGGCCAGCTGCCTGCTCTTTGTCATTCTCTCTGCCCCAGAGAAGCTGCCAGCCAAGGAGGAGGCAGCCTCATGTTTGTCCTTTGTCCCTCCCACTTGGTAGTTCTGATACAAGGCCCGATTGTCAGGGGCAGGGGAGACGGGCCCTGGGGGTGTCAGGGGCAGGGGAGACGGGCCCTGGGGGTGTCAGGGGCAGGGGAGACGGGCCCTGGGGGTGTCAGGGGCAGGGGAGACGGGCCCTGGGGGTGTCAGGGGCAGGGGAGACGGGCCCTGGGGGTGTCAGGGGCAGGGGAGACGGGCCCTGGGGGTGTCAGGGGCAGGGGAGACGGGCCCTGGGGGTGTCAGGGGCAGGGGAGACGGGCCCTGGGGGTGTCAGGGGCAGGGGAGACGGGCCCTGGGGGTGTCAGGGGCAGGGGAGACGGGCCCTGGGGGTGTCAGGGGCAGGGGAGATGGGCCCTGGGGGCAAGCGAGGTTTCAGGGTCACTTGGGGTGTGCAGAGCCAAGCTGTGACCCTAGTGCCGTGTTACTTGGCAGAAGCCCTGCCTGTTCCCACATCTGTAAAGTTAGGCATTTGGGGTGCTCCATCGTGAGCCTCCTTCCTGCTCTAACATTCAGCGTGGGTTTGAGGCCCGTGGGCATGGAGCTATCCGTCACCCTTGTCAGTCGGGCACCTCGTCCTGGGCTCCCAGGTGGAGGTCTCTGGAAGCCCTTGCTGAGCTGGGCTGGGAGCTCCTTTGCCCTGACCTTGTTGTTGCCGTTGACCTCCTTCATGGGAGCATCTGGTCTTGACCTGGGGCAGCCACCAGCACATGAGGCTCCCGTCTTGGAGGCAGGGGGCACACTGGTGTGTGGGAGCTGGCTTAGGGCCCTGCTTCACAGTTGGACCACCTTGGACAGGTTGCCCAGCTCCCAAGGGCTCACGTTCTTCCTCCTGCCCCTTTTGCACAGTTTTCCGACAGCTCAACACGGCCATCGCCGTATCCCAGATGTCCTCAGGCCAGTGCCGCCTGGCCCCCCTCATCCAGGTCATCCAGGACTGCAGCCACCTCTACCACTACACGGTCAAGCTCCTGTTCAAGCTACACTCTTGTGAGTGGCCCAGGGCAACCCCTGGCCCGGAAGGCTGTGTTTATATGGCTTAGACATTCACTGTCAAAAAGGAAAATCGAAAAATTAGAGGTTTATTCATTTAAAAATGGCAGTAATAAACCCACTGCCCATTAATAGAAATAACATATATTTTATGAAAAAAAAAAAAAAAAAACCCACTACTTTACCAAGCAAAAAACTTAGTGAGTGGCTTGGTTTTCATTTTTACGACTAAATGCCTGGCTCGGCCAAGACGGAGGCCCCAGCTGCTCCCAGGAATCTCCCGCCAGGCACCCTGGGGGTGCAAGCGCAAAAAGGCAAAAGGTGTCTGGGGTGTTAGGAGAGTTTTGATCTAACCAACCCCTTGAAAGGGTCTCGTCCCTCGACCGCACTTTGAGAACCACTGTGTTAGTGTCAGCCTGGGACCAACGTGTTTGGTGAAAGCGGCTTGCTAGTGCCTCCCGAAGCCAGGTGTGGGTTAGGTGAGATGTGGCCGCAGCGCCTTCCTTTCCATTCGCTGTTTCCTTCTCTAGCTCAGTCTGAACTGAGCCCTCCCACAGCGTCTCCCACAGGTCTCCCCATCCCGATGGGAGAGCGGGCCTGGCCCGGTCTCAGGTGATCTCTGATCTGTGAGTTTGTAGCATACGGAGGAACAAGGCAGGGCAGGTGAGCCCCTGAGCAGTGTGCAGAGAAGTCCTGTTACACTTGTGCCACCCTCCAGGTCTCCCTGCGGACACCCTGCAAGGCCACAGGGACCGGTTCCACGAGCAGTTTCACAGGTACTGCCTGGGACAGGGACAGGATTGAGGCCGGTGGGGGAGAGGCTCCGTGGCCCCTTCCTGAACCCGAACTTCCCACCATCTCTGCAGCCTCAGGAACTTCTTCCGCAGAGCCTCCGACATGCTGTACTTCAAGCGGCTCATCCAGATCCCCCGGCTGCCCGAGGTACCACCCCCAAGAGGGCCCCGAGGCCCTTTGAGGACCCCAGGCACCTGGCTGGGCCCCACACAGGCTATGGAGATGGCGGAAGGAGGGCTTGCTTAGGGGACAGCTGAGCAGGTCCCACCTGCCGCCCCTGCAGGGACCCCCTAACTTCCTGCGGGCCTCAGCCCTGGCTGAGCACATCAAGCCGGTGGTGGTGATCCCCGAGGAGGCCCCGGAAGATGAGGAGCCGGAGAATCTCATTGAGATCAGCACAGGGCCCCCCGCGGGGGAGCCAGTGGTGAGCCCCCTGCCCAGCCCGTGTCCCCCAGTCCTCCAGCTGCAGCATGAGGCCAACGGGAGTGTCGGGTGGCCAGCCCTCCCTTTGCCCACTGCCCGGCCTGGAGGGCACAGGTGAGTGGGGTCACCATGCTTTGCTGTGGCAGGTGGTGGCTGACCTCTTCGATCAGACGTTTGGACCCCCCAATGGGTCTGTGAAGGACGACAGGTGAGGGCTGGAGGAGCCGACTGGGCTGGGGGTGGTTGGAAACGGGCTCAGCTGAGCTGTGCTCTGGACAGTTCTGTCTGGAAAGGCCATAGGTGGGGAACATGAACCCGTGAGGTGCCCAAATCCTGAGTGGCCACTGAGGAGGAGACAGGTTCCTGTGCTGGGTCTGTTGACTGTTCTGGTTGACTTAACTTGAACCCCAGGACCTCTGTCCCCAGGGACCTCCAGATTGAGAGCTTGAAGAGAGAGGTGGAAATGCTCCGCTCTGAACTGGAGAAGATCAAGCTGGAGGTGCGGGGTGGGGATGGGTGGGGGCCAGGGCCCCTCACGGCCCAGGCAGGGCCCCACGTCACACCTCCTCCCGCAGGCCCAGCGGTACATCGCGCAGCTGAAGAGCCAGGTGAATGCACTGGAGGGTGAGCTGGAGGAGCAGCGGAAGCAGAAGCAGAAGGCCCTGGTGGATAATGAGCAGCTCCGCCACGAGCTGGCCCAGCTGAGGGCTGCCCAGCTGGAGGGCGAGCGGAGCCAGGGCCTGCGTGAGGAGGCTGAGAGTACGTGGGGCCTTGGCCACAGGGGTCCAAGGGTGTGTCCCCAGCCCCTGCCACCCCACACGGGGCATCACTGCCCCTCCTCTCGCCCCCAGGGAAGGCCAGTGCCACGGAGGCGCGCTACAACAAGCTGAAGGAAAAGCACAGTGAGCTCGTCCATGTGCACGCGGAGCTGCTCAGAAAGGTAGGTGCAGCCCATCCTCCATCCCAGCCGGTGGCAGGGCCTCTCGGGGATGGCAGCAGAGCATGAGCCCTTCCCCTGCCCATGCAGAACGCGGACACAGCCAAGCAGCTGACGGTGACGCAGCAAAGCCAGGAGGAGGTGGCGCGGGTGAAGGAGCAGCTGGCCTTCCAGGTGGAGCAGGTGAAGCGGGAGTCGGAGTTGAAGGTATGTCCCTTGTGGCACAGGGCCCTGCCCCGGCATCCCCAGCCCACTGCCCCAGTGACACGCTGTCCTGTCCCAGCTAGAGGAGAAGAGCGACCAGCTGGAGAAGCTCAAGAGGGAGCTGGAGGCCAAGGCCGGAGAGCTGGCCCGCGCGCAGGAGGCCCTGAGCCACACAGAGCAGGTGCATCTGGCTTTGATGACTGGAGGTGGGGTTCTGGGGCCAGTCCTGGGTGGAAGTCAGGTCCTCTTTCCCGTGAACAGGCCCCACCTGGGTGCCACTCGGTGATCCTGGGATGCAGCCCTGACCCAGACCCAGGGGCTACATGGGAGACAGGACCTACCGCTGGTCCTCAGGGAGCCCTGAGTCTAATGGAAGTGATCACTAACCCCCAGGGCCCAGTTTATAAGCGTGGGGGCAGGGTGGGTGGGGCCTGGGAGCTCTGTTCACATGCCTGGTGTCCATGTCTGTCCACAGAGCAAGTCGGAGCTGAGCTCACGGCTGGACACGCTGAGTGCGGAGAAGGATGCTCTGAGTGGAGCTGTGCGGCAGCGGGAGGCAGACCTGCTGGCGGCGCAGAGCCTGGTGCGCGAGACAGAGGCGGCGCTGAGCCGGGAGCAGCAGCGCAGCTCCCAGGAGCAGGGCGAGTTGCAGGGCCGGCTGGCAGAGAGGGTATGGCCTCCCCAGATGCAGCAGCACCACTGAGTTCACTGCCGTCTGGCAACCATCGATCTGTCTCCGTGATCTGCCTGTTCTAGAGATTTCATGTAAAGGGGATCATACACGATGCATCCTTTTGTGTCCGGCTTCTTCACTCAGCATCACGTTGTCAAGGGTCACCACATCATAGCCTGTGTCATTACCTCATTCCTTTTATGGCTGAGTCGTACTCTGCCGTGTGGACAGACCACATTGTGTTTATCTGTTCATCACTTGGTGGACATTGGGTTTGTTGCAACTTTCTGGCTGTTGTAAATAGTGCTGCTGTGGGCCTTTGAGCACAAGTTTCTGTGTAAACATCTGCCATCACTTATCTTGGATAGATAGCTGATGTGTGTGGAACACAGTAGAACTGCTGGGTCTCACCTCTGTTACCCTGTTGAGAAACTACCAGACTGTTTTCCAAAGTGGCTGCACCATTTTACACTCCCACCAGCAACGCATGAATGTTCCAGTTTCTCCACATCCTTGCCAATGCTTATTATTGTCTTCTTTTTATTTTAGCCATCCTAGTGGGTGTGGAGTGGTTTCTCACGGTCTTGATTTGTGTTTCCCTGATAGCAAAGGGTGCTACATATCTTTTCATGAGCTACCTGGCCATTTGTGTATCTTTGGAGAAATGTCTTTTAGGACCTTGAGCTCACGTTTTAATTGGGTTATCTTTTTATTCTTGAGCTGTGCACTGTGTGGGAAGCCTCTTTCTAGAAATCTCCACCCCCCTGACCAGTGAGGGTCTCAGCTGGGCTCCAACTGGTGGCCCATGGGTCATTCCAGGGCTGGGGCACATCCTTGGCCTTGGGGAGGATCTCTAACCTGTCCTCTTCACCCCCATTGCCAGGAGTCTCAGGAGCAGGGGCTGCGGCAGAGGCTGCTGGACGAGCAGTTCGCAGTGTTGCGGGGCGCTGCTGCCGAGGCCGCGGGCATCCTGCAGGATGCCGTGAGCAAGCTGGACGACCCCCTGCACCTGCGCTGTACCAGCTCCCCAGGTAGACAGTGGGGCCACACTCAGCCGCTCCCCTGCCTCCTTCCCATCCCCAGCCCTGAGCAGCGGGTGGCAGGGGCCTCAGTTCTCCTCGTGCTTGCAGACTACCTGGTGAGCAGGGCCCAGGAGGCCTTGGATGCCGTGAGCACCCTGGAGGAGGGCCACGCCCAGTACCTGACCTCCTTGGCAGGTGAGTGTAGCCAGGGCAGGGCGGAGGCGGGGGCTGTGTCCCAGTTCCAGCGCCCATGGCCACCTCTTGCCTTTTGGGAGGTTTACAGACAGCAGGGACCTCTCTGGGAAGCCAAGCAGATGCCCCCTGCCTGCTCCTTCCCAGGAACCCACCCCTGCCCTGTGGACAAATAGGCTTTTGCCTCTGGGGCCTGGGCCACCATATGTCTGCAGGTGGCAGAGCACTGAAGGGCCCGGGGCCACACACACTGTGGTGTGGTTCCCACTGCCTCCTGGACGTTGTCTTGCCGAGCCCTCCTTTCCTCTTCCTCCTCCTCCTGGGATAGCTGGCCACCGACGGTGGTCCCAGTGCTAGTGTCTCAGTGTCATCCTCCCCCAACCTTGGCCCCACCCACCCGCACAGACGCCTCCGCCCTGGTGGCAGCTCTGACCCGCTTCTCCCACCTGGCTGCGGATACCATCATCAATGGCGGTGCCACCTCGCACCTGGCTCCCACCGACCCTGCCGACCGTAAGTGGGTCCTGGGATGGCAGGTTCTGTCCACCTCACTGGCTTGTCTCCCCTGGGGGTCCTTATGGAGCCTGTCGGTGGGGGGGGCTCCACTCACGGTCCTTTCTCACCCCAGGCCTCATAGACACCTGCAGGGAGTGCGGGGCCCGGGCTCTGGAGCTCATGGGGCAGCTGCAGGACCAGCAGGCTCTGCGGCACATGCAGGCCAGCCTGGTGCGGACACCCCTGCAGGGCATCCTTCAGCTGGGCCAGGTGAGGCACAGCTGAGTGTGGGTTTGGGAGGCTTGGGCCTGCCTCTGACCTCTGCACCCACCTCTGGGTTGGCTGAACAGGTGTTTGTGCGTGGAGCCTGCAGCCTCAGGACACAGGGTGGGGACCATGCACCCTCCTCGATCCCTGTGGTCCCCAACCTCTTTCCCAGGCTGCCCGTGGGACGGGGGGGGACGGAGGCTACCCCTGTCTGACTCCCATCCTCACCAGGAACTGAAACCCAAGAGCCTAGATGTGCGGCAGGAGGAGCTGGGGGCCGTGGTCGACAAGGAGATGGCGGCCACATCCGCAGCCATTGAAGATGCTGTGCGGAGGATTGAGGTGAGCACGGGATCTGGGGACTCCCCTCATTCCTGTGGAGCTTTGGGGGCCGGAGGCCCCAACTGGGCTGGGTACAGGCTGCACCCACTCCTGCTCTCAGCCTCCAGACAGAGGACAGATGGCGTTTTCCAGGGGCCTGTGAGGTCAGAGCTGAGAGGGCAGGAGGCAGCCCTGGCTTTCCCAGGACCACGGTCCCCTCCTCCCAGCCAGCTCACGGCTCTGTTCTTGGGTGCAGGACATGATGAACCAGGCACGCCACGCCAGCTCGGGGGTGAAGCTGGAGGTGAACGAGAGGTGAGCCCCCCTTCTGTCCCCCCAGGCCCAGCCGAGGTGGGCTCCCCGTGGCCCCTAAGGTTCTGCCCCCAACTGTTCTGCTCACGGGAAAGGAAGGCCTGGCTCAGAGCAGACACTCCCTCCCCACCTGCTGAGCCCTGATGTGGCCAGGCCCGCCATGGCGTCGTGTGGGCTGCTCTGCAGAGCGGCAGCTAAGTCTCTCCTTCTCTCCCCCAGGATCCTCAACTCCTGCACAGACCTGATGAAGGTGAGGGGCTGTGACCCGGGGGGGTCTGCACCTGGAGGGCCACCAGTCATTGCTGTCTTGGTCTCGGCAGGCTATCCGGCTCCTGGTGACGACATCCACTAGCCTGCAGAAGGAGATCGTGGAGAGCGGCAGGGTGAGGGGCCGGCGGCAGCAGGGCACAGTCCACAAGGAGCCTGACCCCCAGCCTAGGCCACCCTGGGCATGAGACCCTCCACCCCCTACCACAGGGAGGCCTCAGGGATGCGCCCTATGGCCAGAGTGAGGGGGAGAGGGCCCTTGAGGGCCACTTTCCACCTTTGGTGTCCTTGACTGGCATGTCCTGCCCTGTTCTCCCGTCGCCACTAGGGGGCAGCCACGCAGCAGGAATTTTACGCCAAGAACTCGCGCTGGACCGAAGGCCTCATCTCGGCCTCCAAGGCTGTGGGCTGGGGAGCCACACAGCTGGTGTAGGTTGCCCTGGGTGGGGGGGGGCAGGGGGCTGCTTCCTGCCAGTTGGAGCAGTTTGGGGTTCAACAGGGTGCAGGGAGTAGAGGGGGTGTGGAGTGGTGCCAGCCGTCCGTGGGGTCAGAGACCCTGGCCCTGACTGGCCCTTGACCCGCAGGGAGGCAGCTGACAAGGTGGTGCTTCACACGGGCAAGTATGAGGAGCTCATCGTCTGCTCCCACGAGATCGCAGCCAGCACGGCCCAGCTGGTGGCGGCCTCCAAGGTGAGCTTGCACGCCGACAGCAGCACACTGGGCTCTGGGCCCAGCTTGGCCTGGGCTGTGGCTGCCAAGCCCAGGCCTGCTGCTGCCCTGAGCTGGGAGACCTGGGCCCACCCTGACCTCTCGCCCCTCAGGTGAAGGCCAACAAGCACAGCCCCCACCTGAGCCGCCTGCAGGAATGTTCTCGCACAGTCAATGAGAGGGCTGCCAATGTGGTGGCCTCCACCAAGTCAGGCCAGGAGCAGATTGAGGACAGAGGTGAGTGCCAGATGCCAACGGGGGCTGCTGGCTCCCGAGGCTGAATGGGGGTGGGTGCCCAGATGTTCACCCCCTTGTCCTCCGGCCACAGACACCATGGATTTCTCCGGCCTGTCCCTCATCAAGCTGAAGAAGCAGGAGATGGAGACCCAGGTAGGCGCCCATGGCTGCCCCGTGACCTCTGAGCTCATCCCTCGGGCGAAGCCTGGACCCAGGAGAGAGCTCCCTGGGGAGGCTGGGCTGGGCTGAGCAGGCCGTGTGGCTACAGGTGCGTGTCCTGGAGCTGGAGAAGACGCTGGAGGCTGAACGCATGCGGCTGGGGGAGTTGCGGAAGCAACACTACGTGCTGGCTGGGGCATCAGGCAGCCCTGGAGAGGAGGTGGCCATCCGGCCCAGCACTGCCCCCCGAAGTGTAACCACCAAGAAACCACCCCTGGCCCAGAAGCCCAGCGTGGCCCCCAGACAGGACCACCAGGTGCCGTCTGCACTGGGATGGGGGAGTTCCTGGACGGGGGTGCTGTCCCCAGCCCTAGAGGGGCACATGGTGCACGTCCCTGGGGAAGTCAGGGACCACTGACAACATGCAGGGAGGAGCTTGCTCAAGGGAGAGGTGGGGCCCCAGGTGCCTGGCTGTGACCACTGACCCCCCACCTTTAACCCCTGCAGCTTGACAAAAAGGATGGCATCTACCCAGCTCAACTCGTGAACTACTAGGCCCCCCAGGGGTCCAGCAGGGTGGCTGGTGACAGGCCTGGGCCTCTGCAACTGCCCTGACAGGACCGAGAGGCCTTGCCCCTCCACCTGGTGCCCAAGCCTCCCGCCCCACCGTCTGGATCAATGTCCTCAAGGCCCCTGGCCCTTACTGAGCCTGCAGGGTCCTGGGCCATGTGGGTGGTGCTTCTGGATGTGAGTCTCTTATTTATCTGCAGAAGGAACTTTGGGGTGCAGCCAGGACCCGGTAGGCCTGAGCCTCAACTCTTCAGAAAATAGTGTTTTTAATATTCCTCTTCAGAAAATAGTGTTTTTAATATTCCGAGCTAGAGCTCTTCTTCCTACGTTTGTAGTCAGCACACTGGGAAACCGGGCCAGCGTGGGGCTCCCTGCCTTCTGGACTCCTGAAGGTCGTGGATGGATGGAAGGCACACAGCCCGTGCCGGCTGATGGGACGAGGGTCAGGCATCCTGTCTGTGGCCTTCTGGGGCACCGATTCTACCAGGCCCTCCAGCTGCGTGGTCTCCGCAGACCAGGCTCTGTGTGGGCTAGAGGAATGTCGCCCATTACTCCTCAGGCCTGGCCCTCGGGCCTCCGTGATGGGAGCCCCCCAGGAGGGGTCAGATGCTGGAAGGGGCCGCTTTCTGGGGAGTGAGGTGAGACATAGCGGCCCGGGCGCTGCCTTCACTCCTGGAGTGAGTTTCCATTTCCAGCTGGAATCTGCAGCCACCCCCATTTCCTGTTTTCCATTCCCCCGTTCTGGCCGCGCCCCACTGCCCACCTGAAGGGGTGGTTTCCAGCCCTCCGGAGAGTGGGCTTGGCCCTAGGCCCTCCAGCTCAGCCAGAAAAAGCCCAGAAACCCAGGTGCTGGACCAGGGCCCTCAGGGAGGGGACCCTGCGGCTAGAGTGGGCTAGGCCCTGGCTTTGCCCGTCAGATTTGAACGAATGTGTGTCCCTTGAGCCCAAGGAGAGCGGCAGGAGGGGTGGGACCAGGCTGGGAGGACAGAGCCAGCAGCTGCCATGCCCTCCTGCTCCCCCCACCCCAGCCCTAGCCCTTTAGCCTTTCACCCTGTGCTCTGGAAAGGCTACCAAATACTGGCCAAGGTCAGGAGGAGCAAAAATGAGCCAGCACCAGCGCCTTGGCTTTGTGTTAGCATTTCCTCCTGAAGTGTTCTGTTGGCAATAAAATGCACTTTGACTGTTTGTTGTCACTGATGCCCCAGAGGGAGGGGCTGTGCCTGGCTCTTCATTCCTCCAGGGACACGTGTTCCCTTGTCGGCCCTGGCCAGGTGCTGGGGCGGGGACCTATTCATGTCTGCATTTAATGCTAGAGTACTTGGGACTGCAGAAAAGCTCAGCAGGGCTGTCACTGGCTGTGTGTGTGTCCGCCTTCCATCTCTCTCTCGGGGGATTTATGGGCCTCAGGGCCCTCCTTTTACACAGGAGGCCAAGAGCCAGCTGCCTCCACAGAGGCCACTTGCACTCCCAGCCTCAATGCCCACAGCTTCCCTGGGGCTCCTAGCAGTTGCTGACCCCCTCAGTGTGTCTGAGACCATGCCTGACTGACAGTTGCTAAGCTAAGGTGGGGACCCTGACTCCCGGCTGGCTTGGACTTGAGCCATGGCCACACACAGCCTTTGCACTTACCGGAAACCTGGAAAGGTGTTCAGTCCCTGGGTGTGTGGCAGCCTCACAAGCACCCACTTTACCCAGGAGCACCATGCCAGAGGGAAGGCTGAGGTGGGGGAGCTCACCCTGTCCTACCCCCTGCCAAGATCACTGGCATTTATAGAGAAACAGGACAGGGTGGGTCAGGGGAGAGAAAAGGCCCCTTGGCTGGCTCCTGTATGGCCTCAGACAAGCCTTCCACCTGTGCTCACGTCTCCTGGAGGATGAAGTGGGGCCTCAGCTAAGGCTGCGTAGCCGGGGTGCTTGTGCCGGGTGGTTAGGGTGAAAGGGCCTTGCAAACTGACCACAAGGGCTAAGACAGACCCTGTGCCTGGCTCTTGTTTGTTTACAAGGCAAGATGGCTTCAGAAACACTAACGGAACTGATTCTCCACCAGATACAAATGAAAATCCACAGGCATTGACAACGCTTAACTGATCATTCTTGAGTCCTCAATGACCAAACTTTTTTTTGAGATGGAGTCTTGCTGTCACCTAGGTGGCAATACAGTGGCGTGCCTTGGCTCACTACAACCTCCTCCCGGGTTCAAGAAATTCTGCCTCAGCCTCCCGAGCAGCTGGGATTACAGGCATGCACCACCATGCCTGGCTAATTTTTGTATTTTTAGTAGAGATGGGGGCTTTGCCATGTTGGCCAGGCTGGTCTCGAACTCCTGATCTCAAGTGATCCGCCCCCCCCCCCCCCCCCCCCCCACCTCAGCCTCCCAAAGTGCTGGGATTCCAGGCCACTGTGCCTGGCCGAAACCTTTAATTGAACAGGCTGCCTCAAGTGTGGGGCTAGAAAGCAGGAGCTTGGGGTCTGGTCCTGCTCCCCCACCCTCTTGGACCTGTCACTGCCTCTCCCTGGTCCTCCTTGTGAATGGGACACACAGCAGGAGGAGAGGCTCCCACAAGGCAAGGTTCATGAGCCACAAGACTCTGTGAAGTCCAGCATCCTCACTGGAGTGGACAACAGATTTGGCTATAAGCTTCCTGGCAGCCACTGGGAAGAAAGAAACTATCACACACTTTTTCTTTAAGGCTAACTGGCTTCTCAGGAAATCCTTCCCTCTTCCTCACAGAAAAACCACAGAAATTTCTCCTGTACATTCTCATAGAACAATGATGTGCCAGGAATGGCAGCTATTACAGGAGACAGCAACAGGTGAGCTTGCTCTCATCTCAGTTCCTCAAGTCCCTTGCAGGGGCATTGTGACCCAGATACACAGCTTAGCTGGGGTGGTGAGGACGCAGGCACACGGCTCAGCCGGGGCGACGGGCATACCTAGCTGCAGGCGCACGGCTCAGCTGGGGCGGCGGACATACATAGCTGCAGGCGCACGGCTCAGCCGGGGCGGCGGGCACAGGGCAGTTCTGTAGCTCTGCAAGGAGGCAGGGTTTGCAGGGTCCCCTCCTCTCGGCCTAGAGAAGGAAACAGCACCCACTGGGCTTTGAAATGGGCAGAGGCAACTGCCTTCTTGAAACACCTGCTGGCAAGTCCCCAAAGCAAAACATCAGAGCCACTGGTTTTCCCACTAAAAACCAACACAGAAAATCCTAACAAGTACCACCATTCACACAGCACACGGCGGCAACCTCACGGACAGAGAGCAGGCACAGTCTGAGCCCTGAGGTCACCCTCAGTCCCCTACTTGGACACAGTGGCTGTGATCCTGAAGACACCCTCTTAAGACACAGAACATGCCCTGTACGTGACTGCTGTTTATGAGACTGGTGACCAAGAGGGTAAGAGGCCCCACCTGTGCCAGGGGCCCTGGACAGGCAGAGATTTTGTCTTCAGCTTCAAAAACAGACGTCCCAGCCAGCTTCCCTGCTGGAACTTTGATCACTGATGTTTCAGAACCAGACATCATGAACATCCACATCCCCAAGTAAATAAGTGACAGGCCTGTTATTAATAATTCTCTATTTATTAAAAAGGGTCCTACAGCTTTACAGCCACAGCACCGGACACGGCCCTGGACAGCGACGGCGAGCCCGGCCAGGGGCCGCTTTGCAACTTCAATGCCAAGCTCACGTCTGGCTGCGACCGTGGCAGGCTGTGGCATCCCCGACAGCGGCCGGTGGCGGAGGTATGGGGGCGGGTGGCACCGCTCACTCGAGATTCACAGAACATGGCAAGCCCGCCTGACTGGCATGGCAGTGAATCGTCCTGTACAGCTTCATTTCCTTTAAGAAAACAGTTACAGTAGAGTTCAAGTCCGAGAGCAGGAATGTACGGTCACTGAGGACAAAAGGCAGTGGCCTGGCCCGTGGCCCAGACCCCGCTTCAGTTCTGCCTTCTGTCACCCTGGCGGCTAGGCACAGGTCGGGGCCCTGGATGCCCGACAAGTGACAGGGGAGGGGCGGGCCAGAAGGTCCACTGGTAAGCACCTCGGCCTTTTCCGTCAACAGGTGCCACTGCCCCCTGCTGGGCCCTGGGCCTTCAGCACACATGGCACGTGAAGATGAGGTCCCACAGGGGTGGGGGAAGAGCAGGTGCAGACGGTTGGAGTGCAGCCCCGTCCCTCAATCCCATGGGGCGGGCTTTCGCCAAACCCCTAACGTTGCCCACCCTGAGGCCCAGCCACCAGCCACCCAGGGGCAGAGGATATTGGCTAAGGGTAGCCTGGGTCAAGGCGGCCGGACGTCTTGACCACCTGTAACAGGGCAATGAACTTGGACAAGCCCTTCAGAGAAAGCAGAGCCGGGGCCTTGCCCAGCCCCTAGCAGGTGTGAGTCCCGGCACCTGGGGAAGCTAAGGCACAGCACGGACACCCGAGGGGGGGGCACCGTGCACTGCTTGCACAAAAGGAAATTGCATCCACTTCATCGGCATTTCGATCTGCTCAAGACAGTATCTGCATTTTTTATAAAATTTCCCTGAATGGTCTTGGGAGTGTCAAAAAAGTTTTTTCAATATAAAACAGGAAAATCACACACGTAGTAAAAATATTGGGGGATTATTTCTTCATAGAAACCTTCAGGGCCGGCTCCAGGCAGGCGGGAGAGGAGGAGCTGGGGACACAATTTGCTGTGCAAAGTCCCACTCGTGCGCTCCCCTCCCACACCAGTGGCCGTTCTCCGGCCTCTGGACTCGGCAGTGGGCCCAGTGCAAACTTTGCTTGTGGCTCTGAAGCAAGAGCAGCAGCCAGGTCAGGCGGTGACTATGGTGACCTCTCCCCAACAGATTCAGTGAGCAACAACGCAGCCACAGGTGGTGGCCCAGCCACGGCGCTCTTCCAGGCCGGCCGGCGCCCACCCGCCCTCACCAGGGCTGCAGTGGCCGGTGGGTGAGACACATAGGACTGTCTTTCGAAAATAAAATAAGTATCATGAACCATGCTCATTAAATAAAGCTGCAACAGAAGGACCACGATTCTAAATGGGACTGGGGGAGAGGCCTATTTCTTCCCAAACATGAGTTCATCAACGCTAAGATACTTAGAAATCACACGGATAATGCAAACCGATGCAACGCACAGGTGTCAGGCTGTAACCCGGCACACACAACTGCCTTGATGCCCAAAGCCTGGGCTCCTACTACTCACCACTGACCTACAGTTCTAAAATCAGACAGACACGCTGGCCCAGGGCCCCAGAGCCCTTGGCACAGAGCGGACCTCCAGCCTCCTTCCCGTGAGCAGAGCACAACACGCCAGGTGGAAGAAGTCTCCCGGGAAGGACCGCGCCGGCGCTCACTGGAGGATGAAACCCGGCTGGTGTGGAGGGAGCCGGGGCGGGGGTCTCTGAGGGAGAGGTGGCGGATATGGGGACACGAACTGCGAAGAGAATCCTTGCTGAGTGGGGAGGCCCACGCGGGGGGGCAGGGGCGGGCACTGTAATCCTGGGTACGGCACGGCCTGTCCCGAACTCATGGCCGCAGTAAACGGGGTGGCTAAGCGTCCCGCAGGCACCGGGGGTGGTGGGGGGGGGATGCGCCGAGGTGCAACGGCAGGAGGCCCACTGGCCTCTGGGGCAGGGTAGGGAAGGGGGGCGGTAGGTGCCAGTTCGGGCAGCCTGGGGGGCAGCGGGGCCAGGGCCTGTGGGAGTCTCTGCCCCTTTAGGACCATCTCCTGGAGCTTCTCGATTTTCACCCGTCGCATGTGGGCCAGTTTCCGTTTGCTCTGATAGACATCAATGAAGGAATCCAGAGGAAGTTCTCCATCCAGAAACTTCTCTGCCATGTTCTGAAAGAGGCAGAAACCTGGTTACAGGGACAGCCAGATGGGGAGGATGCTCCCTTCGTGGTCTAGGCACAAGGAGAGGCAACGCCCAGCTGCTTCCAACACTGCCCCCTCCCTGTAACCACCCAGAGGGCCTCGCTCCTGCTCCAGATCCCAGAGGTCATGGGCTCAGGCTTCAGCATGAGCTGCCACTAGGTGGAGAGGACGACAGCCCTGCTGCGCACCCCACCACCAGCGTGACAGGCAGAGGAGCTGGCCTTTGGGTGAGGGCTCCGACTCCTGGGTCCCAGGCCTCTCTCGAGCCCGCTGGAGTCCAACACCTCCTTGCTTCCACCCGGCTGCACCCTGACTGACAGACTCGCCCTGGGTGGGTAAGCAAGACAGAAACACCTGTGCCCCCAGGGCTTCAGAGTTCATCGAGCCCAGCCCTATCTTGGCAAGACCCTGCCGGCCCCAGCCTGCAACAACTGCACAACATTCGACCTTGACTCATTTCCTTATCGCCTGGCGAGGCTCAAGGCTCTAATGCGCAGCTGGACGTGTCCCAGAAGCTCTGTAGCCTCCTCCCAGCTGGCCCTTGAACGACGGCACGTGGTAATCCGCCACTGGCCCCAGGGGCCGGCGTTCACAGGGTGGCACGCATGCCCTCTCTTGGCCCTCGCTCGGACCTGCCCTCACTCACCCCGCTGCTCCCTGGACCCCTGCCTGGCACTTTCCCCAGCACACAGGCCAGGCTGCCTGCTGGTATACAGCCCGTACACCTGGGAGGCACCACTCCTGGCCGTGGCGGTGTGGCACTCACGGTCCCTGGAGGCAGCGGGCCCACGGACTGCCCAAAGCGCCCCAAGGATTCCACCAAGGCTGGTGGGCTTTACCTCAGTGTCTTCCTCAATCTTGGCCCCTTCTGCCTGAAGAAGTGCTAACAGGGTCTCCAAGGAAGCACTGCTAGACTGTCTGTCTGGAAAAAAAGCAAGAGGTATGACAAAAGTGAGAGGTGTCCAGGTAAAGCCCTTCATGATGCCAACCACGGCAGGATTGCACCTTCCTTTCCAGGAAGCTGAATGTGAAAGGCTTGAAAACCTACAGGGGAACAAGTGCACCAAGCCAGTGCCCAGGGGCCAACATCCCATGTCAGAGCAACCTGTGTCACCAGCTGCTTCTAGAACCAGCTGTTTTCAAATATGGGGCAGTGACATTCTCATCATGCCACTTTGTATTTCCTTTATGTTTTGAGTGGTAACTTACATCGAGTATACACATCTCAAGTGTGTAAGTCAAATTTCCACGTGTTTAACCGCCAACCACCACCCCCCAGATCCAGACACAGAACCTTTCCACCGGGCGCCCTCACGCCCACTGCACCCGCCAGATAACCCCTACGCTGGCCTCCACCACCACAGAGGAGGTCCGCCTGGTCTTGACTCCACATCCTGGAATCAGAGAGTACAGGTCATACTCTCCTGGCTTCTTGCACTCAGCACCGCGTCTCTGAGACCCTGCTCAGGTCTGTGAATCAGTTCGTTTCTTTCCAATGCTGTGTAGTGTTCCATTGTGTAAACAGACTTTATGTGCCCATCACTCTGTAGACGGACATTTTTATTGTTTCCAAATTTTATTATAAGGTAATAAAGATACAACATTCTTGTACCTATCTTCTGAGAGACATTAATATCCACTTCTGTTGGGTATACACCCAGGAGCAGAGCTGCTGTGCAGCGCATACACACTCTTCATTCTAGCAGGTGCTACCCAACAGCCTTCCCCAGGTGAAATGAGAAAAGGAGGTGGCTGTGGCAGTGCAGCCTGCAAGCCCCAGATGACCCATGGACACTCCTACCAGCAAGATGCACGGCACCTCACAGCACTTGGTACTGCCAGTCTTTTTACTTTTCGTCATTCTGGTTTGGGTGTATGATCGTAAATTTTTACTGAAGTTAATGGAGAAAATGACAAGATGATAGCAAGTAGTGACAGACATCACTGTAAACCTCACTGCAGAAGGTGATCTTTAACCCAAACTCTTTAAAGGGATGGGGTCTCTGTCACCCAGGGTGGAGTACAGTAATGCAATCACAGTTCACTGTGGCCTCAGCCTTCAGAGTAGGTGGGACTATAGGCGAGCACCACCACCCCCAGCTTATTTCACTTCTTTTGTAGAGACACAGTCTCGCTCTGTCGCCCAGGCTGGAGTACAGGGCTGCAATCATGGCTCACTGCAGCTTCAATCTCCAAGGCTCAAGCAATCCTCCTTCCTTAGCCTCCCAAGTAGCTAGGACCATAGGCGTGTGCCACCACCCCCAGCTCTGACTTTATCTAAATGTCCCTTTGATAACTATCAAAAGCACTTAGGATGCTCAACAATCTTTAATTCTGATGTCTCCTCCTAATGGCTGCAAATTAAAGTATGCCATTAAAATAAAGTGTTTCAGTGATGCTTTTTTTTTTTTTTTTTTTACCATTAACAAACAGCATAAGACAAACGGGCAAACGTCATAAGACATCTGTTTAATATCATAATTCAGAAAGCTTTTTCTATGCTGTTTAGAGAAGGTGGGGTCTTGAATTTAAAAAGTGGTTAAGTCTCCTCTTCTAAACTGGTGACTGCTAAACTGGCTGGCTTCCTCCTAATCTCCAGCCCCTTTTCTGGTAACTGCCCCGAGGTACCCACGTTTCTGCAACCTGCTTCACACTGCAGACCCTGGAGGTGCGTGTGGACCTGGGCTGACCTCAGCAGTCACCGCCACCAGTCAGGGCCACTGGGAGGAGGGGGCAGTCCTGCTATACACCCTGCCCTCTCGAACCGCAAGTGCAGAGAGGCCGCAGGTCTGGGGGCCCTCCATATTCCATACATAAACTAGTCCAATACAGTGGCTCATGTCTGTAATAGCAGCACTTTGTGAGGCAAAGGCAGGAGGATGGCTTGAGTTCAAGACCAGCCTGGGCAACATAGCAAGACAACCTCTCTGCAAAAAAATGAAAAACTAGCCTGCTTGGGGTAGTGCACACCTGTGGTCCCAGCTACTCAGGAGGCTGAGACAGGAGGATCACCTGAGCCCAGGAGGTCGTGCTGAGCCATGGTTGCGCCACTGCACTCCAGTCTGACAGAGCAAGACCCTGTCTCTAAAAATAAATAAATAATATACATAAGCTATTTGTTCATTGCAGTAGAGTCGCTATCTTAACCTGAAATTTTTCCGTAATATTTCTTTCCTGGTAGGGCAATAGCTTGAAAATGTGTCCTTCTCTCAACTCTTTATTCTCGAATGATCACCCTTAAAAAGTTACCTAATTTGGTCTTCTTTATCTGATAGGCTTCAAAGAGAACCTGGAGTTCCTGGTATTTCTGGGTCAAGCGTGCTTTCAACGTGTCCAGCTGGGGCTGGTACAAAAGGTTTCCTTCTGCCAGGCTCCGGTTGCTGGCAAGTGTCATTTCTTTGTTAAGCTGAACATTCTGTGTCTGCAAGGAACACACAAGATGATGAGAACCAAAAGTATATCAGCTCCTAAACCCCTGAGGTCCCCACGCACACCCCAGGAGCCCAGTGCAGCTGCTGCCACCTCACTGGTCTCCACAGCTGGCACCGCATGCCAGGCAGATGCTACTGACCCAGAGCCAAGCCCCTTGGTTTCTCATTTGGAGCTGCTGCCCGTCGTAAAGAATGAGGCCGACTTCCTTCCAGCACGTTTCCAGGACAGGCTTTGTCCTGTGACTCCATGCAGAGCCTTCCCTGCCACGGCTGCGCTGTGACTTGAATTCCTTACTACGGCCATTGTGCTTGCAGAAGTAAACAGCTGTAAAGATTTAGAATCTGATTTTTTTCAAAACAAGTTTCTGCTGCTCCCGAGGAAGTTAAGGAATCACTTATCAGCAGGAGACCAGTTGGCATGATGTCAATTCAGGCTTCATAAGCAGGCTAAGAGGTCCAACCAGCAAGCTGAAGAGACCCTGGGAAGGAACTGTGTTTCCAGCCACCGGGGTTCCTCTGTCTCTCCCATGCCCACCCCAGCTCTTCTGAGCCTTCCAGCTCCTAGCTGTTGGTGGGTGAGCAAAGCCGACCAAAAGCTGGGGGAAGAGGGGGGACATATTTTGCCCATCAGGGATTTCATTTTGTCCTTTAAAGCAATGACAGGCTACCCTGGTAGGTAGAGAAGAAGCCACATGCCCAGAACTTAGGGGAGAACGACAGGAGTAGAAGGTCTGAGAAAAAAAGGCAAAACGCTCCTAGCAAAACTTAGCCAAAGTTTAAATAAAAAACACAAACGCGTGGGTACCCTAGTTCCCTTTTCACTCACTGGTGATCGGCTTCCTCTACCACAGCCCAGCCGCCGCCACCTCACTTTCCTTCCACACCGTCAGTTTCAACAGCATGCGATTCCTTACCCAGCGTGTGTCCCTGTTTCTCTTTAAGCAGCTCTTCTTCAACGCCACCCCAGTCATCTCATTTTCCCCTTAATATTTTCTACCACCCCACCCAGGCTATTTTTGCTGCGACTTCCTTCCTCTTAGTAGCTCGAGTATAGATTCCTGGCCATGCTGCCTCTGCTCCCCACCCCCAGTCATACCCGTTGATTGCTGTCATAGTTCCTGGTGCGCTCACACGAGTGCACACGCACCACACACACAAGGAAGAGCCTCAGGGAATCAGAGAACAAAGAAAGAAGCCCTTGGATCCATGCCTCAATCAGGAGATCCCTAACCCCAGCAGGAGGGCTCTTTTCAGCAGACAGTGATCTGCATCTCCAGACAACAGCTGCACCCAGGGCCCTAAAGATCAGGCTCTGCTGAAACCCAACAGGATTTAAATGACAATGAAAACCAAACCTCTCTCCCAACTCTAAAGTAAAAGCTAGGAGTGTCCTCGAAATGTGGGTGGTAGAAATGCTTTCATCTCTTCTGATGCCTTTAGCAAAAAAGGAGAATCTTGGGACTGGAAAGACGCAGTTTCACTCGGGTTTCTGGTAAGCAGTGGGGCTCCCGTCACCCGCTTCCCCACCCACAGGGCGGCTCTCCATGGGCTTTCTATGCCAGGCCATGCAGAAGCGTCTTTCCTTCCATTGTTAAGTCATTTAAAAGAACAAACAAAAACCACTGTATGGCCACTCTGGAAAACAGGCACTTTTTAATAAAGCTGAATACGTAACTACCCTATGACCCAGAAGTTGTACTCTTGGGCATTTATATCAGAGAAATGAAAACTTATATTCAACAAAAACCTGCTCAGGACTGTTGAGAGCAACATTTATTTGTAACAACTAAAATCTGGACGCAGCCCAGGTGTCTTTTAACAGGTGAATGGTTAAACAAGCTGCAGGCCAGCCAGGCCGCAAAATACCACTCAGCAGCAAAAGGAAGAAACTTGACTGGCGGGACTGAGAACGCTCTAGGGAATCACACTGAAGGAAAACAGCCAACCCCAAAGGGCCACTCACTCCATGACCCCATGCACACAACACCCTTGAAATACAAAATCACAAAAATAGAGAACAGATTAGCGGTGTGTGTGGGACTATAAAAGGCCGACATGACGGATTTGCACGGGGACGGAGCCGTCCTGATGTTCTGTGTCCTGGCAGTATCAGTGCCCCGATCCTGGTGCTGAGAGTGCGTTGAATTTCACCAGATGTTACCCAGGGGGCAGCTGGGAGAAGGGGACACAGGATCTCTCTGTATTCTTTCAACTGCATGTGAAACTATGAGCATCTCAAAATAAAATTTAACTGTAAATACAACCACCAACCACTGCTGAGATGGCTTTCTCCTGCTGGTCTCACCTGGCGGATGAGGAGAAGGGCACATTGTCCAGGCTGCATTCAGAGACAGGCCTCGCGCTCCTGCTCCCAGACCCACAGTTCTGTGTGTTCCATCACTCTCAATCAATCATTTGTTCAATAAACATTTACTGAGCGAGTATTATCTGCCACGCCTGGGGTTAGGCACAGGGAATTCTGAGAAACAGGAGTGCTCCCACCCTCAAATAAACTGAGTCAAGCATAAATGGAGCCAAACTCATCAGCCCTGATCTGTGAGGCCCCAAATGGCCTGGTCCCCACCATCCCTTCCCGGTCAGTTCTGAGAAAGGAGGTCCCTAACCATCCTGCCTACACCAGCAGCCACCCTCTGTCAGCGCCCATGTCTTTCGTGGCATCATCACTGTCATCAGTGAAGATTAAATCTGTTGTCTCAATCACTGTCTGTCCCAACACTAAATACAGACGACACACTTGTCTTTGGCATCCCAAGCACTTTGCACACATCTGCCACTCAGTGAAGATCTGCTGAATGAATCAGAGAGCCCCCCACAACCCCAAAAAAGCCAAGATTCACTCAAAGCCAAGCCTGGCAAATAAGGGAGGTAACAAAACTGTGGAGGAAAAAAAGCGACCTAAGTTTGTTGAGAGCTAAGTGCCTCCAATCCTTGATGAAGCAGAGGCGCTCCCATCAGAAAGTCACTAGAGACTAAGTCTGAGGGAGGGTGTCACGCTGGACCTTAAAGTAATTGTCAAACAGAATTTCCTCAAAAGTCCTCAGTCAAGGTAGCACACAGCAAGTGCAGGTCTCCCACGCAACCACTTGAAAGACAGCGCTCAATGCAGCACCGACCGACATTCCAGCAGGCGGCCTAGACTACCCCACAGCAGTCTCAGCCTCGGCTGTGCCTTACGATCCCCGTTTACTGGGGAGTAGGGAGGCTGCTGTTACAAATCTCAATGTCCCGACCAACCCCTACCTGTTGAGCTCTTCAGGAGGGGCCAGGCATGGATGCTGCCTTCAAAGCTCCCTGCTGATACATACCGCTAAGCTGAAGACTTTTGCTCCAGTTTCACCATACAAATGCATCTACAAACAAAATCTTATTTCCGTAGGGTTTAAGTCAAGTCAAAATCACTTGTCCTATATATTAGAAAGTCCTAGAGGAGAAGAACACAAGGAAAGCGTGGACTATAATAAAGACAACTCACGTGTCCACATTTCTGGGGTCTGGGGAAAAAAGGCAATTTGTTTTGTATAGGACACACATAAGCCACCAGGCATCAAAAGAGGCCAAATAAAACTCCAACTGAGGCCGAGTGCGGTGGCTCACACCTGTAATCCCAGCACTTTGGGAGGCTGAGGCAGGCAGATCACCTGAGGTTAGGAGTTCAAGACCAGCCTGACCAACATGGAGAGACCCCTTCTCTAAGAAAAATACAAAATTAGCCGGGCATGGTGGCACATGCCTGTAATCCCAGCTACTCGGAGGCTGAGGCAGAAGAATCACTTGAACTTGGGAGGCAGAGGTTGCAGTGAGCCAAGATCGCGCCACTGCACTCCAGCCTGGGCAACAAGAGTGAAACTCCGTCTCAAAAAAAAAAAAAAAAAAAAAAAAAAAAAAAAAACTCCAACTGAGGACTGTTAAACTGGCAGTGATTTTTTAAATATCCTTTGGGTATTCAGATGTTTTCATATAAATACGATAACTTTTTTTTTAAATTGAGACAGAGTCTCGCTCTGTCACCGAGACTGGAATGCAGTGGCGTGATCTCAGCTCACTGCAGCCTCCGCCTGCCAGGTTCAAGCAATTCCCGTGCCTCAGCCTCTCAAGTAGCTGGGATTACAGGTGTGTACCACACCTGGCTAATTTTTTTTTTTTTTTTTTTTTTTGTATTTTTAGTAGAGACGAGGTTTTGCCACATTAGCCAGGTTGGTCTTGAACTCCTGACCTCAAGTAATCTCCCTGCCTCGGCCTCCCAAAGTTCTAGGATTACAAGCATGAGCCACCACACCCAGACAAATACAGTAAATTCTAAGTGGCCACCCAGAGAATACCCACAGCATCCTGCAGGATAATGGCAGTAGGGACAATGGCCAGGATGCATGTGCTGAAGGTGAATGTCTTTTCTTAAGCATTGGATAAAACTTTTTAACACTCAAAACCTGCCCCAGAACACACCTTGGATGCTACAATCAATGTAGAAACTCTTTCCTCAATCTTTTCATTGTTACAGTTGGAAAAAAAAAGGGGGGAGGAGAAACAACAGCTTTGTTCATTTGCAAAGCAAAGGCAAATTGGCCAGGACAGGCCCGGGAGGCCTCCACAGGCGCAGCATACACCACTCAGCAAGGCCCAGATGGCAGCCACTCCGGCCACATACACCCGGCTCTCCACCCCTCTCCGACTGATTCCAGCCTCAATGTCTGTGACCAAATCTGTACAGTAAATCTGAGAATGCTTAGAGAGGTATTTTAGGAACCATCAAACTAAAAAAAAAAAAAAAAAAAAATCTTAAGTTGCCACTGTCTTTGTTTCATGGTAGGCACCAACAGATACCTGAAATTGAAAACAGTGATGCCAACCTCTTGATCATTCTCATGATCCTTTTTGTTAACCATAGAAAAGTCTTTTCAGGAAATAATCTCTCTGTGGTAAAGAAACATTCTTATAAATTTACTCAGTTTCACTTCAGTTTCCATTACTTCTCATAAGTGAAGAAAAATGAGATGCCTGATTACAGCATTTGTAGTAGGACCTGGCTTGTCTAAACTTATTTCTGCCCACCTATCCGTGCATGAGCACAGAGAACTCTCTGGAAGCATGCTCACCCCAGGGTAACAGCAGCAGCCCGAGTGGTATGATTTTTTTACTTTCCACTTTCTACTTTTAACTATCACAGTGTTTGATTCATTAGAGCAAGCACGCATAACTTTGTAGAGAAAGGGTTTTTCTGTTTTAAGTTAAAAAAAAGTATCTTATATATACTTATCCAGGCAGAAATGTGGAGGTCTCTTTTTATCTCTTGGGATGCTTACATTAATATATGTAACTCTCTCAGAACACACAGTCTGGCTGGGCACGGTGGCTCGTACCTGTAATCCCAGCACTTTGGGAGGCCAAGGCGGATGGATCACTTGAGGTCAGGAGTTCGAGACCAGCCTAGCCAAAATGATGAAGCCCCACCTCTACTAAAAATACAAAAAAATTAGCCAGCTGTGGTGGCGGGTGCCTATAATCCCAGCTACTGGGGAGGCTGAGGCATGAGAGTTGCTTGAACCTGGGAAGCAGAGGTTGCAGTGAGCTAAGATTGTACCACTGCACTTCAGCCTGGGCAACAGAGTAAGACTCCATCTCAGAAAGAGAAAAAAAAAAAACACACACACTATCTCAAATGCACATGTCATTATTTCTTTATTTGGGTTGGGGGAGTGTGGTAGAAAATAAAGTCAGCAAGAAAGAAAAGAGATCTACAGTCCCCTCTGCATATGCCACGGCTGCTACAAAGGAGAGGCACGCAGGGGCAGAGGCAGAGGCAGGAGACCGCCTGCAGCTCTGTGGCCAATGCTGGGTCAAGGGTGTAGGTTTCCCATGGATGCTTTCCAGACCAGACACTTCTACAATGTGAAATTCTGATTCCAGCTGGCCAGTGTCTAGCTCCTCCACCTGTAATTATAATTGTGCCTTCCTAAACACAAAGGCAGACAAATCTGCCCACATTTCCAAGCTAAATCTTCTTCATGGAAAGATACTCATAGCAGTTCTTTTTACCCCCTTCACACTGTAATATAATACTTACAACAACTAAGTAAGTGACATGACTGAATTCGTTTAGCAAACTTGAACAAACAAATGGGAATCCTTAATAGCACCGGAAGTCCTTTAAATGCTCAAAATCCAGTGTGTACTTGGAATTTGGGCTGCGTTAGGATAAAAACAAAATATGCCCGCACCTACAGCATTCTCAGAAGGCATAGTATTTATGCAAAGTAAATAAATCACATTTTATTTAACAAGCAATCTTTATTGTCATTTTTTATTTTTTGAGACAGGGTCTTGTTCTATCACGCAGGCTGACATGCAGTGGTGCAATCATGGCTCACTGCAACCTTGACCTCCTGAGCTCAAGCGATCCTCTTGCCTCAGCCTCCCAAAGTGCTGGGATTACAGGCTTGAGCCACTGCGCCCAGCCACAAGCAAGCATCTTGTTAAACAAGCATTAGGTCCAGGAATATAAAATGTTCTTCCCACAAAGACTCTGCTCACACTGGCTCTTCAGCCTGGAACGCCCTCCTATCCAAATCTCTGCTGCAAACTCTACCCTAACCAAGGTCTTAGCAACGGAACCTTTTCTAAACCTTCCCCAGCCCCACCAACGCCACACAGAGCTAGACCCTTAGTGGTGGGCACTCCCTGAGGCCCCGCTTGATTGAGATACAATTCACACCTCATACAATCCATCTACTGAAACCATTCCACTCAAGGGTGTCTCATGTATTCGCAGAGTACACCTCTGGCTTCACTGTATTCACACTGTATTCTTCTGTGCTTGTTTGTTCATCTATTCATACATCAAAAAAAATTTTTTCAGGCATCATCACGGGCTGGCTCTGGAAGTACAGGCAATGGAGACAGAAAAGTGAACAGGAAGGTGAGGTTCCTTTCCTTAGGAGAGTGCAGCTACTAAATATGACAAACAGAATCATAAAATCTGTCCACTGCTAGACCGGGTGCGGTGGCTTACGCCTGTAATCCCAGCACTTTGGGAGGCCGAGGCAGGTGGGTCACGAGGTCAAGAGATCAAGACCACCCCGGCCAACATGGTGAAACCCCATCTCTACTAAAAATACAAAAATTAGCTGGGCAGGGTGGTGCCCGCCTGTAGTCCCAGCTACTCAGGAGGCTGAGGCAAGAGAATCGCTTGAACCCGGGAGGCAGAGGTTGCAGTGAGCCAAGATTGTGCCACTACACTCCAGCCTGGTGACAGAGGGAGACTCCGTCTCAAAAAAAAAAAAAAAAAGAAAAGAAAGAAAAACAAAACAAAACAAAAAACCTGTCCACTGCTGTGTCACGAAGGTGTTGTAAGTCTCCTGGGAGTGACAGGATGCTTGTGGTGTGCTGAATGGTGTGCCCCCCTCCCCCAAAAAGATGTGTCTACACCCTAATCTCTAGAACCTACATTTATTGGAAAAAAGGTCTTTGCAAATGTAATGAAGTATCTGGAAATGAAACAATCATCTTTAATCATCTAGGTGGCCCTAATCCAATGACAAGAGTCCTTTTTTTTTTTTTTTTTTTTTTTGAGGCAGTCTGGCTCTGTCACCCAGGTTGGAGTGCAGTGGGGCAATCTCGGCTCACTACAACCTCCGCCTCCCAGGTTCAAGCGATTCTCCTGCCTCAGATTCTCCTGCCTCAGCCTCCTGAGTAGCTGGGATTACAGGCGCATGCCACCACACCTGGCTAATTTTTGTGTTTTCAGTAGAGACGGGGTTTTACCATGTTGGCCAGGCTGGTCTCAAACTCCTGGCCTCAAGTGATCTGCCCGCCTTGGCCTCCCAAAGTGTTAGAATTACATGCGTGAGCCACCCTGCCCGGCCGACAAGAGTCCTTTTAAGAGACACATGGAGAAGACAGAGGCAGACGTGAAAGCCATGTGAAGACGGGGGCAGCATGATGTGGTCACAAGCCCAGGACGCCAGCACACATGAGAAGCTGGAAGCGGCAAAGAAGAGTCCTCCCCTAGAGCCTCCAGAGGGAACAGGGTACCCTGATTTCAGACTTCTGGCCTCCAGAGCTGTGACAGAATTAAGTTTCTGTTGTTGCAAGCTGCCCAGTTTGTGGTCATGTTACAGCAGCCACAGGACTAGTACAGTGCTGGAATCTTCCACCTGTTCTTGAAAACCACTGTCTATCCTGCTCTGTGCCCCAGCAGCCACCTGGCTGACCTATACCAACCCTTCACCCGGACACTCACCCTCAGGTTCTGGTTGGATTCAGCAATGAGGATCAACAGTAGGAGGAAGATGAAAAGGGACAGCGGAGATGGGGAGTGTTCCCCGGGTTGCCTCGCTGAGGTGCGGCTGCAGCTGGGCCAGGTCCTCCAACCCTCCCTTCCTCCAAGGCAGCCCTCTCCTCTGCCCCTCCCGCAGGCCTGGAAGTGAGAAGTGCATGGCTGTTGCTAATCCTGCATCAGGCTTTGGGGGTCTCCACGCTGCCCTCTCCTTGTGGGGAATCCCTTTATTCAACTCCTCACCAATCCCTCATGCTGACTGTGCCATGTCTTGCCAGAAGCCTGACTGAAATAGTTAGAACAGTTTACCCCATGACACAAAATGACACTTGAGCTCACATCCACTCTTTTAATGGTGACCATAAAGCCCCTTAAGAGTAGAACCATGTCTTAATCATTCCCCTGTGCCCAGAACCTAGCGCAGTACCCAGGCTAACACAGGCACATAGCTAAATACTTGCTTGATTGGGCTCGGTGGCTCACGCCTATAATCCCAGCACTTTGAGAGACCGAGGCGGGCGGATCACTTGAGGTCAGGCATTGGAGACCAGCCTGGCCAACATGGTGAAACCCCGTTTCTGCTAAAACTACAAAAATTAGCCAGGCATGGTGGTGTGCGCCTGTAGTCTCAGCTACTTGGGAGGCTGAGGCAGGCAGGAGAATCACTTGAACCCAGGAGTCAGAGGCTACAGTGAGCCGAGATCGTGCCAATGTACTCCAAAAAAAACTTGCTCAATTTTAACCATAAGAATCTTCATAATTGGGGCCTCAGGACACTATCTGTCAGTCATTGTGAAAATCCTGCTAAGCTTTTTTGAAGATTAGCCTTTTTGAATGTTCAAATTCATAAACAGTAACGTCATGGGTTGATACAACCAGCTATAAACTGGGAAACTACTTGCATTCCTAGCTTTTACTCCAGCAGTGATAACAGTTTGGCAGTGAAATGGAAAGGGGGAAAAATGAAGATGATGACACTGATGGCTGGAAAGCGAAGCTACCCATTAACTGTGGTGAAACATGAGACACAAAACACACACGGAGACACAGACACAAGCTGGCTTTGTGCGACGCTTCTCTTCACTGAAATCAGCCCTCTCCCACTTAGAAAGCATATCAGAATGTTAGAGTAGCATTACTGTCATGAGAGCCTCGAAGCCACTATATTTACACGTGTAATTTACACACCGGTGCAGTAGCTCACGCCTGTCATTCTAGCACTAAGGAAGGTAGAGGCAGGAGGATTGCTTGAGCCCAGGAGACCAAGACCAGCCTAGGCAACGGAGTGAGGCACTGATCTCCACAGAAAGGAAAAAAAAAAAACAAACACGACACACACACAGAAAAACCCTAATCCCAAGCTTCCATTTCTACAGCTCATCAGGGCCACAATGACATGCTCCAGCACAGTGGTTGGCCCATTCATCTGTTCGTTCATTCATACAAGAAATACTTGGGAAGCACCTCTGTGTGCCAGGCTCGGGGGAGACACCATCATCACAGGGAGTCTGGCTCAGAGTCTCAGTCAAGCCCATCCTCCTACGTAAGGCACTGAGCGTTGTGCACTGCCCAACTCCAGGGGGTGCCATTCACTTCGTACTGCAGCACTGCATACCCGCACAGACTGCATCTGCTCTTCCAATAAAAGGCTCAAAAGAGAAAAAGGGGAAAAATCAAAACAGATGTGATTTTAACGGTTTAAGTAAGACAAGTTACTGGTGCTGATCTGAAAACTTTGCTCTTGTCAGTATCTTCCACATTTCAACAAAATTTGCTGACATTTGTTGAGCATAGCTAGCATGTGCCACCTTCTCTTAGTTCCACTGTCTCCATTCTATCCTCTGTGACAGTGAGACAAATTTGTCCTCATTTTACTCAAGAGACAGGAAACACAATCTTAGGAAGGTTAAACGAGCTGTCAAAGTTACAACTGCTAGTAACTCCCTCCAGAGCTGCGATCTTAACTACTGTGCAGTGGCTCACGCCTGTAGCCCCAGTTACTTGGGAGGCTGAAGCAAGAGGATCACTTGAGCCTAGGAGTTCAAGGCCAGTCTAGGCAACATGGTGAGACCCTATCTCTAAAAATAAATTATGCCAGGTATGGTGGCTCATGGCTGTAAACCCAGCACTCTGGGAGGCCCAGGCAGGCAGATTGTTTAAGCCCAGGAGTTGGTTGGAGAACAGCCTGAGCAATAAAGTAAGACCCCATCTCTACAAAAAATAAAAAATGAGCCAGCCATGGCAGCATGCACCTGTGGTCCCAACTACTGGGAGGCTGAGGAAGGAGGCTTGCTTGAGCCAGGGAAGGCAAGACCGCAGTGGGCTGTAATCACACCACTACACTCCAGCAGAGGATCAAATGGAAATTTACTAGTTTACTATTTCTCTATTTTCATGTTATAACAACAATCATCTAAGGTTCATTCCTATTTATACCTTTTTTAAAAAAACCTTTTATAGAAGATACTTTCAAAAAGTAAAGGTAGAGAGATGAGTATGATGAAACTATGTATAACCGTCTCCTAGGTTCGACAATTAGCAACATTTGCCAATCTTCATCTATATTCCCGCTTTTTTTTAAAAGTAGTTTAAAGCAAACTTCGAGCATCATCATTCATGCTTAAAAATTTTATATTTCTAACAGGTAAGAACTTTTTAACCCTAGCTACAATGCCATAATCACATTTAGCAAAATTCACAATAATCCTTTAATATCATCCTCTGCATGTGTTGGCTCAATTTCTTCTATAAAAAACTTTTTGCCTCATCTATTTGACTACATGAAATACAGTTTATATAGGAAAAGCTGGATAAATGCTTGGTTCTTTTTTTTTTCTTTTTAAACCAACTTTTGGAAGACTGAGTTCATACCTGAGCAAACTCCAAAAATGACCAATAAGCTTTTTGGGAGTATCATTATGAAGTAATGAAGTTTTTATCTCTGATAAAAGGCTGTTCTGGGACACCACTGCTGCCCTGCTCTCCAGTAAAATATGTCTAAGACCAATCCTGTACATTTGCTGCCCCCAAGCTTAGCTGGCCCTTCTCAAAGGAATACTAGTTCCTTTTGGTGGGAAATTTGATTTTCACCTTTTCCTCTCCAGATAAAATTAAATTCAAAGTTATCTATAACACAAAGAAAAGGAATAAAACAAATCTTAGCTTTTGTACTATTCTACTACTAGAAATATTCTCAAATTGCATTAAGACCTTAAATGCAGCAGGCTTATGGGTTAGGTTTGATAAAGAAAGGCTGCCA
This sequence comes from Homo sapiens, assembly GCF_000001405.40. Taxonomy (NCBI): domain Eukaryota; kingdom Metazoa; phylum Chordata; class Mammalia; order Primates; family Hominidae; genus Homo; species Homo sapiens. The sequence goes on from NC_000012.12 coordinate 122,882,624, forward strand.
TACATTCAGCTAGGTTAACTGCATCTCTTTTTATTTTACTATACTTGATTTATCACACCAACTAATTTCAAGGTAAATTTCACCAAAGTAACATGCAATTTGAGTTTGAGCTTTACATTAAAGGCTAGGTTATTTAAAAGTCCAAATTCACCTTCATTCAGTAAAAAGATATTCCCAATGACAAACTAATTTCACCAGTCTCCACCTGAATTCAGGTCTTCAGGTGAAGCCTGTAACCCAAGCCTACGATGGCCCTTAGATGTGCTGTAAACACATTAATGTGGCTTAATTCAAATCTTCAGTTTTACTGAAACAAACTTAACAGTTGCGGAGTTGGACTATTAACATGTTGACAAAATTAAAAGATCTGCAAATACAGAAATATAGTTAAAGAATCGGAGAACATTATGAAACAGTCCTAAAATACGACAATCCTGGGGGTTGTGTGAAACCATCTCCAAGGCTACAGCCCACTCAGGAAGGAAACTTACCAGCTGCTTATCGAATGTTCCACCAAACAACCCACTCCACACACAGAACCTCTAACTTCCAACTATTAGATTAATAAAGATAGCTATTTTTATCGGAGACATCAAAATCCTTCTTGAGAGAAAACTTGCTTCCCTCGAAAAGGAACAGACAGTGAGATCTAGACTCAAACGATCCCCTCCATATGTAGCTGACGTGAATCTAAAAATTGGTACGTGTGAGTGCAGCTAACCACAGAAACACAAAAAGCTAGGCTCGAAAATAAATGGACTATTCCTAGGTAAGATGGAAAGTGACACACTTGACAGTTTCTAGGGCTGGCAGGCACAACTTACCAGGAGAGGGTTTGGTTTTTCCTAGAAGACATATTTTCTTTTCTTTTTTCTTTTTTTTGAGACAAGAGTCTCACTCTGTCACCAGGCTGGAGTGCAGTGGCACGATCTCAGCTCACTGCAACCTCTGCCTCCTGGGTTCAACCAGCCTCAGCCTCCCAAGTAGCTGAGACTACAGGTGTGCACCACCACATCCAGCTAATTTTTGTATTTTTAGTAGAGATGGGGTTTCACCATGTTGGCCAGGATGGTCTCGATCTCTTGACCTCGTGATCCGCCTGCCTTGGCCTCCCAAAGTGCTGGGGATTACAGGCGTGAGCCACCGTGCCTGGCCAGAAGACATATTTTCTAATACTCAGAGGAAAAACAAGCTCTCCCTTCTTCTTGGACTTATAATGTGGATAATGGTGTCAGTAATAAAGAAATATACTAACAGGTGTCAATGGTTCTGATAACTGGCATATGTTATAAAATGTCCTAACTGGCTTCAGAATAACTGGAGACCTTGGAGGAAGGAGGGCAGGAGTGAGGATCAGAAGACAAGATGGGACACCCACACAGATCACAAAGTTAACTGCCTTTGTCCTCTGGCCCTATCCTAGGCCTTCCGAATTAGAATCTCAGCAGTAAAGGCCAGGAAATGCACAGCGGAGCCCTCCACTCCACATCATCAGAACCAGTTAGGTCCCTGTAACTGAGCAGTTTGGTTAAAGCACACACTAAGCATTTTAAAAATCTGTTGTCAATGTTTCATTTAAGGTAAAGGTCTTTTCTTAAGGGAAGGGGTCCACTAGAAGTTCTTTTTCCAATAGGCCACGCCTTTTCCTGTGGGGTGGGAACTGGACACCGGATAAGCAATCAGGGCAGAGTCCGAGTCCTTTGGGAATTCTTCCACTTCCCCTATCTAGTCCAGACCTAATTCACCACCAAGTTTTCTTTCAAGAGAATCAATTTATATCTATGCTTTCCAAAGCACTCAGTTGACAGTTTTTGTAGAAATAACTTTCTCTTTGCACTCATGCAAAAATCCAGTTGCCCCAGGATTTAATGAAATCATAGAACTATTGTAATAAAACCAGAATGAACAGATCTGGGAGTGAACACATTTGATCCTGTGTAAGTATGAGATTCCAGTGTAGGAGCAGAAATGTCCAGATACCTAGTCATGACCACCTGACCATGAGGGGTGTCAGTTAATAGCTTCTACTCCCCTCCCATCTCAAAAAAAAAACCAGCTTACGGAAGACAGAATTCCTAAAATTCTGATTTTCTTATTAATAGTTTCTGGCCAGGACCAACAACCAAAGCATTCATTTGTTTAGGAAGAGCTTCGGGTTTTATTGTTTGTTTTTTCCCCCTCATCTCTATTTCCTTTTTACAATTTCTGGAAATTCATGTCTAAGAATTCTTCGGACCAGTCTTTACACAGGTGCAAATAAGAAAGTGCCTATCCAGGTGGACCCTGGATTTATGTTTATTAAGACTGTATCTTTTGACAATTTTGTTTTTACATTTAAAATACATCATGACATGAACTTTCCAACACCTGACCCGGAATTTGGTTCAACAGATAAAATTTAACTCTCACGTGACTCCAATTACTCATCTTCTATTCCGTTTAAATGAGAAAATGCTATTCTAATAATGGAATTTTTTTTTTCAGTCTGTGGTTAGGGAAAAAAGGGATTAGTCAAAAGAGAATCTGTTGAGATTACTCCACTGAAATTTCGTAATTAAAAAACTATATAATCATATTTCATGTAGGGGATCAGATATTTTACCTAAAAACTGCCTAGACACTTAAGACTTACTAAAAAAAAAAAAAGTTAAATGTTGATCACTTTAACGTATTTGTTTTAAACAGATTTCAAAGATGTTAACTGCATTATAATTTATGACAGCAAAAAAGTGCCTAAATATCCAATAAAGGAATGGTTATATAAATGACATATCCACATGAAAGATCACATAGCTGTTAAAAATCATGTCATGTAAGAATATTCTGATTTAAAAAATAAGAAAATACCCAGAGTATAACTTTAGGTTAAAATCAAACAAAAACTCTACAAAAACTCTAAAAAATCATCCCAAAAGGGAACAACAAAGGAAAAAAACTTAAATGCTTTGTTAACAGTGTTTATCTCTGGGTAGTGATATGATGTGATTACACTTTTCTTCTTTATGGTTGTGTTTTCCAAATTTTCTATAATAAACATGTAAAACATTATTATTATTATTTTTTTTTTTTTTTTTTTTTGAGACGGAGTCTCGCTCTGTCGCCCAGGCTGGAGTGCAGTGGCGCGATCTCGGCTCACTGCAAGCTCCGCCTCCCGGGTTCACGCCATTCTCCTGCCTCAGCCTCCCGAGTAGCTGGGACTACAGGCGCCCGCTACCACGCCCGGCTAATTTTTTGTATTTTTAGTAGAGACGGGGTTTCACCGTGTTAGCCAGGATGGTCTCGATCTCCTGACCTCATGATCCGCCCGCCTCGGCCTCCCAAAGTGCTGGGATTACAGGCGTGAGCCACCGCGCCCGGCCGTAAAACATTATTTTTAAAAGTTTGATTAGTTGGGATCAGAAATAAAACATACTATTATACTTCCCTGCCTTCTTAAACAGAGTACATGAAACTAAGGTAGCTTTCCTTGATGATCTAGAATTGTCCTTATGAATATCAAGTGACTATGGTGCTGTCTCTGATAGAGCAATACTCTTGGGCTATGGAAGCAGATGGGTATGTTTCTCCCCTAAATAAGCATTTGCCAAAGTGTGCCCCCAAGGACTCAGTCCTGTGAGCTTTTCTAAGAGTTGCAATCAAGTGTGAACGAGAAATACTGTGTAGGCTGCCCCTCTGGAGCTTCACCACACTCTAGCAGAAGAAACAAAACCTCTCTTGGCCGGTGTGGTGGCTCACGCCTACAATCCCAACACTCGAGAGGCCAAGGCAGAAGGATTGCTTGAGCTCAGGAGTTTGAGAACAGCCTAGGAAACCATAGCAAGACCTCATCTACACTAGAAATCAAAAAAGTCAGCCAGGCGTAGTGGCAAGCGCCCGTAATCCCAGCTACTCAGGAGGCTCGTTTGATGGAGGCTGCAGTGAACTATGGTCACACCACCATGCTCTAGCCTGGGCGACAGAGACCCTGTCTCAAAAAAACAAACCCCTCTTTAATTCCCAAATTGATTTACCATGGAACTCTTTTTAATGTAATTATAATACAATTAACATCCACAAAATTAGAGATCTAAGGAAAACACTACCCTAATCAAAAGGCCACAAAATGTATTCACAGTAACAGCTTCCACTTACTGGGTTTTCTTGCCAGGCATGGTGTAAAATAGTTTATACGCATCATCTTATTTAATCCTCAGAATAACTCAATAAGGATGGTATTACTAACTCCCATTTTAAAGAGGAGGAAACTGACACTTAGGAAGGTTAAATACTTGCCCCAAAGTTTCCTAGCAACCCAAATCCTGTCTTAACCACGATGCTTCAACAGTCAACTTTCCAATTTTTGTACGGCTTTTATGACTTTTGCCTCCTATCACTTATTTCTTGATGATGTTATTGGTTCTTCTAGTTTTTCCCCACAGTCTTAACATTTGCCACTGGCAGATAAACCACATGACTAAGTGATTATTTGAACTGTGTGCAAAAGCAAGACTCAACAGGCTCTGCTATAAGTCCAGTATATGTCCTTGAAGTCAGTTATCTCGGCTGCCCAACGATCATTTTTATCAACCATCTTTCAGCCTCCTAACTCATATCCCAGCTTTCTAATCTCATCCCCCTCAAATCCATCCTTCCCCTGGCTGCCAAAACGATCTACATAAATGGCGAGTGTGACCAACCGCAGCACTCCCTGGCTTAAATCCTCCAACGGCTCCCTGCCTAGAGGATCAAGCCCAAGCTCCTTAACAGGGCATATGAGGCCATCTGGTCCCTGACTGCCTTTTGGGCCTCAGCCCCCACTACACCCTGCCCTGGTCCCTCCAGCAATACTTATAATATTCCTGTATGCACACACACTCTGTCCCGGCTTCTTCCCTAAGTGCCTTTGTTCCTCCCATATGCCTGGGAGCCCTTCTCCCTCATTACCTGGCTAACTCTTAACTCATTCTCTGAATCATAACTTATGAGTCATTCATCTTCTCCAGGAAACACTCCCTGCTGACCCCCCACCTTCCAAAGGCTTACTGGATCTCCCCCCACCAGTGTGTGGGCCTCACTACTGTTTCACATGTACCCTGTACACCTGCATGATCCTAAATGATGAAAACTATGTGGTTTACTGGTTTCACATCCCCCAAGTGGCACACCACAGATGCTCCGCAAAGGCTGGGTACATGAATAAACTTCTTGACCTCAGTCATGTTCACATTAATGAAAACTACTGTCTGATGGCAAACATGTTAGACCACTTTTGTTTTTTTTCTTTTAGACAGGGTCTCACTATGTCGCCCAGGCTGGTCTCAAACTCATGGGGCTCAAGAGATCCTCCCACCTCAGCCTTCGGAGTAGCTGGATTTACAGGTGTCAGCCACCACACCCAGCTCTGATGACAAACATGAATTTGCACTATGTTCCTCTACTATCCTAGACACTGGGCTGCAGATGTAACCTCGAGGTGCCATTAGTTAACCTTGGAGATAAAAGGTTTGATTTAAAAGAAACATTAGCTGTAACGCTGCTTGAAATATAAGAAATTATTCAAATATCTACTTTTCACATAAACTCTTTGACAAAGTAATGGACTACGTTCCTCACAATCCCTTGACAAATACTTTGAAAAGCCTTCCCTTGACACACTGTAACGTATTCTAGAGACAACAAAGCTAAGCTAAGTCACCTCTCTACTTTCATTCTTCCCTTGGAAGAAATTCTACAAAGGCATTTCCTCTGCTTTTGTATCATTGGGTAAGACATCATTTCCAATGATGAAATCTGAAAACTCACACAGCTGGGGAAGGAAATAAACCAACGAGAACTCTTGTCTCAGCATGTTCTGAGCGCCAGTGATTACCTACGAGTGGCTGGCACACGGTCTTCTAGATCACCTCCCACTGCGTACCTGGCATGAATCTCCATAGCAACATTCTGCTACAAATACTGTAATCAAAGCCAAACAGGCAACAAGGCCGGCATTCCTCAGCTCAAGAACACAACCACTCTGCATACGACCGACCGGTGAGGGTCAAACAGTGCAGTCTACTTCTGGGTTCCTCTTCCAGCCAGTCTCTAACAGGATGTTAGGTCATCCAACTTGTTTCTCTCGTTTCTCCCCTCCCTTCGATGGCAGCTCTTTCCTTCTCCCAACCCACTAATAGCTCCTAGTGGCCTTTCAAACTTTTATATTCTCCTTGATTTCCACAAGCACTTGGAGGAGAGTGGCTTGAATTTCTGTCTCCAAGCAGAGCATTCACCCTGAGCTCCAGAACCACACTCCAACTGCCTGCGGGACAAAGCCCTGCCCATCCCTCATGCTCTGCCTAATCCGGCCTCAATGACTCCCTCCCTCCTGCACCCCCACTGCCCCTCCCCTCCCCGCTCACCAGAGCCCTGTCTCCTACTCACTTCCACTTGAAGCCCGGTTATCACCACTCACTCAGCAGCACTACCCAGGCACATCCTGGGTGCCAGGCACTGTGCTGGGTGCCAAGGACAAAAAGACAAACATGACAAAATGCAGCCCCCAAGCCAGTGGGGGACACAGGGAAGTGACTTACAAAATGTGTGTCAAGTGCCACAGGAGAGGTATACAAAGAAGCTAAGAGACCACGTGCCTGTGACAGAGGTGGGGAAAGCACTTCAGGTCAGCAGGAGAGGGGAAGTGAGAAAGGGAGTCGGGCCAGCTGGTCCGAATACCTCTCCCAGAGCCCTAGCTCAAATCCTAATTTCTTCCTAACCTCCACTTCCGCCGCCAACCTGGTCCTGCCACGCCAAGCCAGCCCACGCTTTGCTGACAGATTAACCTCCCTAAAGAGCAGTTTCAGGCCGGGCGCGGTGGCTCACGCCTGTAATCCCAGCACTTTGGGAGGCCGAGGCGGACGGATCACCTGAGGTCAGGAGTTCTAGACCAGCCCGACCAACATGGAGAAACCCCATCTCTACTAAAAATACAAAATTAGCCGAGCATGGTGGCGCGTGCCTGTAATCCCAGCTACTTGGGAGGCTGAGGCAGGAGAATCGCTTGAATCCGGGAGGCAGAGGTTGCGGTGAGCCGAGATTGTGCCATTGCACTCCAGCCTGGGAGACAAGAGCAAAACTCGGTCTCAAAAAAAAAAAAAAAAAAGAGCAGTTTCATCCGACTGCTTCTCTGCTCCAAAATCATCACGAAGCTCCTTGTTTCCTCCTAAATTAACCACCATGGGGCGCACACCCTGGCACTCCCCCTCACCAGCCCTATTTCTTGTCATTTCTCTACACACAAGTACATGCCATCTGGCCAAAGTAGACGAGAACTCGCTCGTCGGACAACCCATCCCTGCTTTCCTGCCTCTGTGCCTGTGTCACTTCCTCCTGAGCCCCCATTTTTGTCCATCAAAAGCCTACTTAGAGAAATAAATAATTCACAACAGTGGACATGGGGAAGAGCACACTGAGGGCAGAGCACAAGGCGGGGGGTTCCGCCGGTTGGCAGTGTTTACTTCCTCGGCTGGGTAGCAGGTAGACAAAGTTCCTTATTCTCTGTGCCCTCTGGTAGATATTATTCTATTTAATAATTTATTTTCTTAACGTTTACCTACCCACCAAGTCTGTCTCTTTTGTTTTGTGGGAACGTAAGTTAAAAAACAAAAACAAAAAAAGTCTGTCTCTTGCATCAGAAACCTAATGTAGCCAGAGAGCTTTTTCATCTGAACTTCAATGTCATTTAGAATTCACACGTGGCTTTTTTTTTTTTTTGAGACAGCCTCACTCTGTCACCCAGGCTGAAGTGCAGTGGCATGATCATGGCTCACCACAGCCTCAACCTCCCAGGCTCAGGCAATCCTCCCACCTCAGCCTCCTGAATATCTGGGACTACAGGTGTGTGCCACTATGCCCAGCTAATTTATTTTTTGTAGAGATGGAGTTTCGCCATATTGCCCAGACTGGTCTCAAACTACGGGGCTTAAGTAATCTTCCCACCTCGGCCTCCCAAAGTGCTAAGATTACAGGTGTGAGCCACTGCACCCAGCCTGGCCTTTTTCTTATTCTCTTTTTCAAAAAACTGTGGTATAATATACATAAAATTTTCCATCGTAATCATTTCTAAGAGAACAGTTGACAGTTCAGTGGCACCGAGTACATTCATATTATTATGCCACCATCACCACCATCTACCTCTAGAGCCCTTCATCTTCCCTAACAAACTCCCTATTCCCTCTTGTATTGTAGACATTTCTGTATTTAGTTTATTCCCAAATTATAATCTAGCAATTATGTCCTACTTGTGTATCTATCCCTTACAATGCCCTGCACAGGGAAGTGTTCAAGAGCTGTGGAACTGAAATGGAATCTTCCATTTGGGCATCAAGGAAACTACGCCTTTTAGCTAACAATAACTATTTACCAAGTGTTCACTCTGTGCTAAGTATCATATTAGGCATCTTACTTATTTCATTTAATCTACCCAACAATGCTATGAAAAAGGTTATTGTTATTTTCTCCTTAATTTCCAGTGAGGTAACTACAATTAAAAAGACTAAATACTTGTCAAAGGTCAACTACTGGTATCAAAAGCCAGTTCTGACTCCGACCACTGTGTGATGCCACCCACCACTGCACTTTTAGCAAACGCAGAAGAGCAACTAAATAAATTGATCAAATTTCATCTAAGCCAGTCTACATATTCTGAAAATTGCATCTTAATAAAAGGGAGCTGGCCTCTACTGAATGCTTCCTCTGTACCATTTCTGTTGTGACATTTAGCCTTACAAGTACTCTAAAAGATAGGCATATTATCCTTCCTTTAACAGTTGAGGAAACTGAAGCACAGGGTTTAAGTCACTTAAAGTCACACAACTCAGCTCCGTGCTTTCCATGAAATCTTGATGCCTCACTTAAGGATAAAATGACATACAACTGAATTTCAGTACATATTCCTAGGCACAGTAATTTTTTACTCATGTAAAAGGTCCATGGAAAAGATTTAAACGTAAAAGTTGAAGCCTTTACACGTACATAATGATTATAAAACATGGATAAAAACAAACTCCAGTAGTATTATACTCAAGAGTGCAAATCTTAGCTTCTAAAACAGTCTCACCAGCATTCAGAGTGTGTTTGGGAGCCGGTCCCTGGATTTAAAGCAAGGTCAATACATTTCAATGAGCCATTATGATTCATGCAGTAGCTTTCAGCCCCCCACACAAATCACACCCGAACACGCCTTAGGGAAACAGCTTCTTCCAGACCAGAGCTCTTTACTTTCCACAAAACAACCTGTCTTTCAGACCCTCAGCATTTTTGCATGCGGGCATGGGCATTTTCATGCCATGGGAACAAAGATCCCCAATTTGAATTGTTAGTGGAATCTTTAGCAGTAACCAATCAGCATTTCCTCAGAAAGCACAGTGAAGTAATTCAAGAGGTCCGGTTTAGTTGCCTAATCCCCTAAGCGACAGTTCCTTTTAAGGGAGTGCCCTGCAAGTCCAATGGGGTTAATGTTGACAGATGAAGGCACATTCCACTGCCATGTAAAAATAACTTTAAATAAAAATAAAATACATGCATATGAAACATTAGCCTGCAGCACAGACAAGAGAATAAGATCATGAAGGATATACTACATTTAGGGAATTGCATAATGAACAGGAGGAACAGGAAGAGAGAAACTGACACACAGGCCCAGAAAATGAGGACCGTAGCTCCGAAATCATGTTCACTACTTAAACTGCACTGAAACTCACACGCCACAATTAAAACAATGTAAGTGACGCATAATGAACAGCTGCACTTAAACCTAACAGTGAATGCCTTCAAAACCTAGCCACATTTTCCAGCCTCCACAAAATATCCCCTCAGGCTTAAAGAAGCCTTACTCTACAATTTAAAACACTTCCTTCTGCCAATTAAAAAAAAAAAAAAAGAAATCCTTTGGTTCAGGTTAAGAAATTCTATGCTGGGAAAGGCCTGTTATATTTACCATTTCACCCTATACCTACTCAAATACATAATCATTTTGACCACAGAAAGATCAATGTTTGGCTGGGCGTGGTGGCCCATGCCTGTAATCCCAGCACTTTGGGAAATCAAGGCAGGAAGATGGTTTAGGGCCAGGAATTCAAGAGGCAACATAGCAAGACCCCATCTCTACAAAAAAACAAAAATAAAAAATTAGCCGGTGGCAGCGGGGTGCGGTGGCTCACGCCTTTAATTCTAGCACTATGGGAGGCTGAGGCAGGCAGATCACCTGAGGTTAGGAGTTCAAAACCAGCCTGGCCAACATGCTGAAACTCCGTCTCTACTAAAAATACAAAAATTAGCTGGGTGTGATGGCGCACACCTGTGAGCCCTGCTACGCAGGAGGCTAAGGCACGAGAATCACTTGAACCCAGGAGGCAGAGGTTGCAGTGCGCTGAGATTGTACTACTGCACTCCAGCTGGGCAACAGAGCAAGATCCTTTCTCAAAAAAAAAAAAAAAGGAAAAGGTAAATGTTTTTTAGGCTAATTGCAAATCATAATTTACTCAACATTCTTGAAATGGGATCCTAGTAACTTTCAGGATGATCTGGTATTAATGATTGTCAGTCATCTTTCAAAAAGAGAACTATTAATATAAGTGATTAATTATTGCAATTACTTTTTATTGAGCCCTACTGATGGGCTGTGTTAAGTACTAATAGGCATCATCTCACCTGATCCTCACTCTATGAAATAGGTATTACTGTCATATTATCCTTTTCCAACAGATACTCAGGCAGGTGAAGTGACTTGCCTGCAATCACACAGCTGGGAAGCGGCCAAGTCCAGTCTGGAGTGTGTGATTCCAAAACCAGAATGTTCTTTAACACGCCATCACAAATGTTCCATTTGGTCAACAGTTCATAAAATATTTTCTTCTATTGTGTCTCACAATTACCCCCAACATAAGCCAATGCATAGCATTACCAGATGAGTGAAACTACCATGACCAAAAATTTCGGTTCACATTACACCCATTCCGAGAAAGGCACACCACACATGACCAGGACGACAGGATTGACAGTGATCCTCGCTAGGTGAGCTAAGGTATTTTGGTTTTCAAGTTGTTTCCTTGTTTTAAAAGCACTACACCCAGAAAAGCAAACTACTGCTGAGTAATTTAATGTGAACTATGCAGGCTTATCAAGTGGAGTCGCTCAGGCCTCAATACTTCTCTTGGGTATTCAGGTATGAAGGTCACTTTTACTCAAAAAAAAAAAAAAAAAAAAAAAATCCTGCCAGATGAATTTACCTTTCTCTTTAAAAAATAATCTTCAGGTTCTGAGGTAGAGGAAACAGGTGAGGTTGTCCCTAACAGCCTCCAAGTGAACAGAATGAACTTGATTCTTTCCACAAGCTTCCCTCCACTAAAGGCAGTTTATTTCTATTAATGTTCCACCAACAAAGCTACAGTACTCAGTTCTTACTGCAACAGAATAGTCACATATACCAAAATAACTTGTAGGCAGTGTTACACATTAGAAAAATATACCTATCATTTTATTATTAAACCAGAAAAACCCTGCTGACAATCAACAAAAGGTCTCCCAGCAACTGAAAAGCAGAGAAACTAAGCAAAGATTTTTTCTTTGGAGACATGAAACTCATTCAGCTAAGAAGGATGGATTTTATCACTTATTATTCTCCAAAATGGAAGGTGCCACATGGAGACCATAAACGGGGTACACTGCATCTTGGAGCAACGTTATTATGTGTCAAGTTACAAAGCCCATGAATACAAGGGGTGTATTAATGGAAAGACTGATACCATCTTACTACAGTGGCCTCTCTGTAGCTCCGGACAATGATCTGTTGAGGGTTTTCCAGGGATTTTGAATGTGCAACCTCCATACAAGCTCTCTTTTAAGGGGGCTGGCTTGGTGCTGAACAATCCCTCTTCGGAAAGAAAGCCAAAAGCCCCCACACGGGCTCCTGGGTGAGAGGCTCAGCACTGTAGGCGTGGGAAGGCTCAGACTTCAGAGACATAAAGGAGTGGTAGGTGGGCCAGGAAGAGCTGGGATTAGCCTGGGCCCACCTGCCTGGAGGAGAACCAGACCCAAAAGATCAGACTTTCCGAGAATGAGTCCAAATGGGTTGAGAGAAAGGGAGCACACACTGCAAATCTGCAAGGATGAAGTCAGTTACCCGAGAGCAAACCACACCTCAAGGTGTGAAGGAAGATAACCAGAAACAGGAGCTGGCACATGCCTTCCAGGGGCTGGGCAAGGCTTGACTCTCAGAGGTGAGGGTTGGCAGCCAGCCCCAAACCCCCATTTTAACTTCTTCCTGAAACTGCTCCAGGAACCTTCCTTAGTCCCAGACACGTGGGACGCAGTGGTACAAAGCCAGCCACACTAAATTTCCCACCTTCCCTTCCTCGGTGGAGGGGGCAACCCTTACAGAAAAACGTATCCTGTCGCCACCCTTAGGCCCATCCACGAACTCCCGTAACTCTGCTGGGGCCACTTCAAAAGAAGTCAGACTCCAGGGGCATTATTGGGACCCCTTAGATACATGGAACCTTCAAACCTTACCCTGGCTATGGTATGACCATGGACTCCTGCCTCCAAACCCTGGGCTGGGGACCCTCGCCCAACCCTTAAAGAGCCTCAGAACCACCTCATAGACTCAGCTACAGACCCTCAGCCTCCCGAACCCATCTTGGAACCCTCAATCCTCTCCTAAGAGTCCTATTTGGATAGTCCACTCAGTCCCCCAAAACCTACTCTGATCCCCTATAGCTGCCTCAGTCCCCCTGGTTGTCCCCAACCTTTCCTCTCAAAGGAAACCCCCCAACCTCTACCAGATCTAGCTCTTGGTCCCCCTCAGTCACCCCTAATCCTCGCCTCCGACTCAGCCCTTATTACTCTCCCCGCTCCTCCGACCAAACCAATCTCAGATCCCCCCAGTTCCGTCCTCTTCCGCCTAGACCCAACGATAGCACTCTAATCCCCAAATTCCCATTCCAGGCTCCCTAATCTCCACTTCAGACCCAGCCTTAAGTCTTCAGACCCAGCCTTAAGTCCTCAGCCCCACAAAACCTTGTCTCAGGACCCCCAATCGGCTCCCCAAGCCCCGTCTCAGGACCCTTTTTCCCGCCTCCGCCCTAGTCTCGGTCCCCTCAGTGCCTCAAACCCCCTCTCAGGCCCCCTATTCCTGCCTAAGCACCAGTCGCGGTTCCCTGGCTCCCGCACCCCGCCCCAAGCGCCCCCATTTCTAGCCCAGTCCCCTCAACACGACCGGAGGCGCCGCGGTCGCCTCCGCCTCCGGCCACCGTTCGAGGAGCGAACCCCGCTCGAGGCCTCACAGCCGCCGCCTTAAGCCCAGCTCGGCTCACCTCCTCCATCTTCTGCACCATCTCCGTCAGCTGGCCCTCGTCCTCCAGCAGCTCGTTGAGCTGCACCAGCGACAGCCCGGCGAACCGGGCTTCGCTCCCGGCGCCCGCCATCCCCACGTCTCGGCCGTCGTCGCCACCGCCGCTGCGGCCACCAGGCTCCGCCGACCGGAAGCGCCGCCCTCAAGGGCCGCCCCCCGCGGGGGGGACACGTGACGCCAGCCCTGGGTCGTGACGTCATCACCGCGCGGGCGGGCGGACGTGACGTAAGTGTCGCGGCTCGCTTGGAGTGGAATGTGTCAGGGACAGTCGGGACTTCTAAAGGGAGGGGAAGGGCCCTATGATTGGGCTGTGACGCGTGAGCGCATTAATGACGTCACTGCGGCTCGGGAGAGCGCGCCATGAGGTCATAAGAGCCTTTTTCCTCCAGGAAGAGAGATACCGCGATCCAAGGAAAACAGGCAGTGGGAAGGAAGTTCCCGCAGCCTGTGAGCCCAGCCCGATGCACGGAACCCAAAAGACAGAGACTTCATGGGGAAACAACTTTAGGTGTCATTGGTTACTTGGAATTGTGGAGCTGCCACGTCATTCATTTAACAAATATGTTTTGAGACCTACTCTGTACTGGGCATTGAGTATACAGTTCTGAATAAAGCAAAACGGACCCCTGCTTACATGGAGCTAACAGAATGAAAGAGGACGCAAACAAAACAAGAAATAAGTAAAATAATTAGGCGATCACAAATAAGGGAATGGACACTGAAATAAGAAAATAAAAAGACCTTTAGGGTAGTAAGAGATGGCACTTTCGGAGAAGGTGGCGTCTAAGGAAATGTGAAGGATGAGAAGGGAGGAACCAGCCACCATTCCTGTAGGAAGCTCAAGGCAGCAAAACCAGCACGTGCAAAGGCCCTGGGACAGGACTAACTTGGTGCATTCAGGAATGGGAAGAAGGCCAGTAAGGCTGGAGCATTTTGAGCAAGGACCCATTGAGTGGCCCCTTTGCATCACCTCAGAGGAAGGTGCCCAGACATCCAGGTGGGCCAACCTGTGCTCTTTCAGAAACAACACGATTTAGGGTGCAGTCGCTCTCAGTCTCTCAGCTACCGGGAAGCCTCTTAAGATCCAGGAGCCTGGGAACTCATTATCCTACTTTGGAATCTGTCACAGTTCTAGTTAGAAGAAACCTAAGGCTGAGGTTAACCATGACAGCCCCCTAATTTTACACATAAGGGAACTGAAGCCCTGAGAAGGGGAAATTTTTTGGGCTTTTGCTTTGTTTCTGAAAATCAAGTAATTGGCAGGTCTCCTGGCTCCCAGTCTGGCGTCCACCACGCTGGCATCATAACACACTGACCTCGTCTCATAACTCAGCTCTGAACACAGTCGAGGCATTCAGCAAATGCTTATCGGCAGACTTAGGGGCTTTGTGTATAAAGCTGATTCTTCTGCAACTCCATGGGTAAAACATAAGGTCTGTGTTCTCCATCCATACGTTAGGCTGGGCTCTGCCAACCTCTTCTCTCCTTCCAGCCCGTTGTACTAAGGGCTCGTGTTTGCAGAAAAATGATGAAAGTTAGAGGAACTATTGCTTTTTTTATTTTTTGAGACAGAGTCTTGCTCTGTCGTCCAGGCTGGAGTGCAGTGGTGCGATCTCAGCTCACCTCAATCTCCGCCTCCTGGGTTCAAGCGATTCTCCTGCCTCAGCCTTCCAAGTAGCTGGGACTACAGGCATGCGCCATCACGCCAAGCTAATTTTTGTGTTTTTAGTCGAAATGGGGTTTCACCATGTTGGCCAGGTTGGTCTCGAACTCCTGACCTCAAGTGATCCGCCCACCTCAGCCTCCCAAAGTGCTGGGATTGCAGACCTGAGCCACCCCGCCCGGCCAAAAGAAATGTTTCATATAATCCGTAAGCTAAAGGTTTTTTTTTGTTTGTTTTGTTTTGTTTTTTTTTTTTTTTGAGACGGAACCTTGCTCTGTCGCCCAGGCTGGAGTGCAGTGGTGTAATCTCAGCTCACTGCAAGCTCTGCCTCCCAGGTTCACGCTATTCTCCTGCCTCAGCCTCCCGAGTAGCTGGGACTACAGGCACTCGCCACCCCACCCAGCTAATTTTTTGTATTTTTAGTAGTGACGGGGTTTCACCGTGTTAGCCAGGATGGTCTTGATCTTCTGACCTCGTGATCCGCCCACCTTGGCCTCCCAAAGTGCTGGGATTACAGGCATGAGCCACCGTACCCGGCCAAGCTAAAGGTTTTATTGAGCTCAAAAGGACACTCGGTAATTTTCTTCCTTCTAACTTGTTATACTTGGTGAAGAAAGATGGCTCTAAGGAGGAAAGGACACAAGTGGGAAGGAGATGTAGGAAGCTGGCGTTTCTTTTTTCCTTCTCCCTCCAGGAGAAGAATAGACCTGTCAAATTGAGAATAGTAGCTCTATTTCCAGGAAATCCTCTCTATGAGGCTTAAGATGTCCAGGAATTTCTCATAGTCCCCACAGAAGGTGAGAATAAGGTAGGGGTCAGAGCTCTCCAGAATCTAGAGGGATGATGTGATTTAACCAAGAACATACCCCAGGAACAAAACTGGCTTCAGAATGGCATACCTATATACAGTGACCTCTAAACGTACTAAGTTTAAACACGGCTCACTTGCCACCCTTGCCCAGTCCTTTTATAACTATTCTCATACTTGCTATCTGCCACCAACCTATTGGAGTCATACACCACTTCCTTTGTTAAACAGAGCAAACCACAAAATCATCTTGTTTTCTGCTGCTCTAAAAACTTCTTGTCATTCTTAAAGGGGATTGAGAGAAGAAAAGAAAATGTCAAAGCTTCCTTGCATCAGTGTCAAACCTGTCAATTTAATGCATGGATGGATTTGCATGTCTTTTTCCTTTTATCGGTTGGCTGATATTTGGGTTTCTTTATGCACCTACATCTGCTTGTAATGCTTGTGGGTTAACTAAGAGTTTGCTCTGGTGAATCAAGGGCAATGTATGCATGTGCCAGAGCTTCACTCTCAATGGGAGCATTGTTGCCGTCTGAGCAATGAGTCTCCTGTTACACAATATTGGGAATTGTTTGGCAAGCATACTTAAAACACACACACACACACACACACACACACACACACACACACACACAACCTTTGCATAGTTGAACCTAAAAATCTTCTAGCCTTGGGATTAGAATTCTTTCTCTCCCATTGGTAGATTTATCCAGAAATAATTTCCAGTTTGAGACGCTGGGAAAAAATGTATTAATAAGAAGGTGTCCATAGCATAGCACACATAGCTACAAAACTATGTGTGCGCACTAGAGGAATTATTCCCCCAGGTGTCAGGTGGAACAGCCATGCTTCTCTGGGGACTCACAGCCTGATGTCACCACCATGTCACTGTCATGTACTAATACCTACATGTCCAAAATGACCTACATACTAGTCATCCAGAAAAAAGAAATCGTTTTAGATACAGTCTCTGCTTTGGAGAGCAAGAGAAGATATACAAATATAGAATAGTATTTTTAAAATTATATTTAGGGTTGATGTTATTTTGGTGTGTTATAAAGGTAGGGGGCCAGGCCTGGTGTCTCACACCTGTAATCCCAGCACTTTGGTAGGCCAAGGCGGGTGGATCGCTTGAGGTCAGGAGTTCGAGACCAGCCTGGCCAACGTAATGAAACCCCATCTCTACCGAAAATACAAGAATTAGCCAGGTGTGGTGGCATATGCCTGTAGTCCCAGCTACTTGGGAGGCTGAGGCAGGAGAGTCACTTCAGCCTGGAAGACGGAGGTCTATAGAATGGTCATAGGAGGGGAGGGTGAATAAATGACATTATGAGAACTTAAATGTCCAACACTATGGGAATGGTTAAGTAAATTGTAGTAAATCTGATCAATGGTATATTTTCAGCCATTAAAATAAGATACGCAAAGACTATGAAGCTACGTGGAAAAAGCAACATGAGTTAAGGTACAAAGGCAAAATATAAATGTAGGCTGGGCATGGTGGCTCACACCTGTAATTCCAGCACTTTGGAAGCCTGGGGTGGGAGGATCCCTTGAGTACAGGAGTTCAAGGCCATCCTGGGCATCAGAGGGAGACTCTGTCTCTACAAATATAAAATTAAAAAAAAATAGCCCGGCACGGTGACGCATGCCTGTGGTCCCAGCTACTTGGGAGGCTGAGGTGGGAGGATTGGTGAGGCCCAGGAGGTTGAGGCGGCAGTGAGCTGTGGTCGCACCACTGCACTCCAGCCTGGGCAAGAGATTAAGACCCTGTCTCTTTCTCTGTCTCTCTCTCTCATTCTCTGTATGTGTGTGTGTCTGTGTATATATATCACATGTATAATGTGTATACAGACTGATTATAATGAACAAGCTATATTTCTATAGGACAAAGACTCGAGGGTAACAAAGTATTTAAGTTGTTAGTGGAGAAGTTAGTGATTTTTTTTTTAAGGTTACAACAATGCTTGTGGATTGAAGTTTTTTTTGGTTTTGTTTTTGTTTTTTTGAGACAGAGTTTCGCTCTGCCGCCCAGGCTGGAGTTCAGTGGCATGATCTCAGCTCACTGCAACCTCCGCCTCCCAGGATCAAGTGATTCTCATGCCTCAGCCTCCTGAGTAGCTGGGATTACAGGCACATGCCACCACACCCAGCTAGTTTTTATATTTTTAGTAGAGACGGGGTTTCAACATGTTGGCCAGGCTGGTCTCGAACTCCTGATCTCAGGTGATCCACCCACCTTGGCCTCCCAAAGTGCTGAGATTACAGGAGTGAGCCACTACACCCGGCCAAGGATTTTTGTATTTTTTTTTTTAACTAAAAGGAAGAAAACGAATATAACTAATGTAAATGTAGCTGCTCACAACCTCAAGAAAAACAAAAAAGAGTTTATTAAATATCACTGGCAAAACCAAAATGGTCACCAACAAAAATAATAAAATCCTGCAAACCCAAACTTACGTGCTGCACCAACCCACAATAAATAAAAATGTATTGGGTGATATGCCATGAAACAGAGCAGGGCAGATTTTCACAGCCTGATTTTCACTAAACTCCCTGCTGGAGTGTTACTGAAAATTCACTTTTCTTACTATTTACTTAAAGGAAGATGGGGGTCTTAATCTTGCTCTTTTTTTTTATCTCTCAACAAAAATGCTTCTGTTTTGCATCATTATTTCATATTTAAAAAGAGGTGATAAAGCTATTTTTACCTCTTGTGTTGATCAACCCAGCCAGGGAGAACAACTGCAAGACCACTTAACTTTTTTTTTTTTTTTTGAGACGGAGTCTCACTGTCGCCCAGGCTGGAGTGAGTGGCACAATCTTGGCTCACTGCAGGCTCCGCCCCCTGGGGTTCACACCATTCTCCTGCCTCAGCCTCCCGAGTAGCTGGGACTACAGGCGCCCGCCACCTCGCTCGGCTAATTTTTTGTATTTTAAGTAGAGATGGGGTTTCACTGTGTTAGCCAGGATGGTCTCGATCTCCTGACCTCGTGATCCGCCCGCCTCGGCCTCCCAAAGTGCTGGGATTACAGGCGTGAGCCACCGCGCCTGGCAAGACCACTTAGCTTTTGCTTCCCTTATGAATGATTTCTCTGGTCACCCCTAGAGAGGACCCCAACTGTTTTCAAGTCCCAGAACCTTGCTTTCCTCATTAAAATAGCCTTCAGAAAGTGGCCCTGCAGCATTTTTTGCCTGATTTGCCTTGACACCGCAGATAAACCACAGAGGCAACAGCCTGTTCTCTGCTTATATGCATTGCGATAAGCCTGACAGTTTCAAGAAGATTAGGTTCATCCACTAAGAAATTAACTCAGCTCTAACATTCACCTCGAACCCTGACAATGTTGAAAAACCTTACGTCTAAGTGGTTATAACACTTGAGTTGGTTTACACATAGGTAAAAGTACAAAGACAGGATTTCCAGGCATTGGGTTTGCAAATTCTCTAGAGAGAAACTAGAAACTGAAACCCTCTCAAGGTGGTTTTTTGTTTTGTTTTGTTTTGTTTTTTTTTAGGAAACCTTTATAGGTTTTTGTTTGCTTGCTTCTTTAGTTACAAAAGTAATTTGCACCTTGAATTTCTTAACTGAGTCATGGGCTTATATTATTATCTATTCCTTTTGATAAATTTGAACTATTTATAATAAAATATACAAATTAACATCCAAATACTTAAAAATAACGTTTGTTTACTGTAAAAACTGTCTAAACTGTGAGAAGTGTGTAAGCTGAAAAGTTAACAACAAACCCTATTGAACCCATGTCCCAGAGGTAGCCACAGTGATCAGTTTTGTTTCGGTTCTAGAATTTTTAAAAAGATAAACATGTACGGGCTGGGCGTGGTGGCTCACGCCTGTAATCCCAGCACTTTGGGAGGCCGAGGCGGGTGGATCATGAGGTCAGGAGATCGAGAACAGCCTGGCTAACATGGTGAAATCCTGTCTCTACTAAAAATACAAAAATTAGCCGGGCGTGGTGATGCATGCCTGTAATTCCAGCACTTGGGAGACTAGATGGGAGGATCACCTGAGCCCAGGAAGTCGAGGCTGCAGTGAGCAGTGATCGTGCCACTGTACTCCAGCCTGGGCAACAAAGGGAGACCCTGTCTCGAAAAAAAAAAAATTACCTGGGTATGGTGGCACATGCCTGTAGTCCCAGCTACTTAGGAGGCTGAGTCAGGAGGATTGCTTGAGCCCAGGATTTGGAGGCTGCAGTGAGATATGATCGTGCCACTGCTCTCCAGCCTGGGTGACAGAGCGAGACCCTGTCTCAAAAATAATAATAAAATGGCATAAAATAAAATTCAAATAGTAGATAAGGGGGTCAAACAAAAACCATTAACAACTTGTGTTTCCTTCCAGAAGTTTTTTCAGTGCTTATTCAAGCAACTATATTCATATCCACCCTCCTACCCACTTACTTTTTTTTTTTAAAGCAAGAGAGATCACACTCTACTTATATGGAACGTGTCACTTTGCAATCATATAGCTAAGGACAAATCAATATAACTCCTTAGCGACATTAGCTGACCCATAGCTGGTTCCAAAAACTCTTGAAACCTATTCAACAGGTGTTGCCTGAATTTA
Source organism: Homo sapiens (assembly GCF_000001405.40). Taxonomy (NCBI): domain Eukaryota; kingdom Metazoa; phylum Chordata; class Mammalia; order Primates; family Hominidae; genus Homo; species Homo sapiens. The sequence goes on from NC_000012.12 coordinate 122,903,049, forward strand.
CCTTTCCCCTAGTAGTGCTGAAAATAACGTTGGTGTTTTTTTTTTTTTTTCCTTTGAATTCCATGCAGGGTGTTTTCTTCTTTTTTTTTCAAGTGAAGATTCTTCTCAGCAGAAGGTGTTAATCCAGGCACTAAATCTGGAACATTCTAATCACTGTGAAATTTTGCATGTCTCGTCTTAGGCAGAAAATGTGTGAAGATACCAGTTTATTCTGCTCTTACCTTGCGGTCCTTCTCGAGGTGATTCTGCATATGCTAATGATCTTATGTCAGCTCCCACCTCAGTCACCCCCACCTCTTCACCTCCTGGACCTGTTGCCCTCAACGTCAGTGCTACAGAAACCCACCTAGTTTACGCTCTTCTTTCAAGAGGGGGGTGCCTTATCTGATGCACTCGAAATCTACTCCCTCCTCCCAAGCCTTTCTATTTATATAACTGCATAATGTTTAACTGTACAGGGAAGCTATGAATCCTGTATTCATTTCCTATGCTGTGACAAACAACCACTAACTTAGTGGCTTAAGCAACACTCATTTCTTCTCTTACAGTTCTGCAGGTCAGAAGTCCAAAATCACGAAGTCCTAAAGTCAAGATGTTGGCAGCCCTGGTTCTTTCTGGAAACTCAGAGGGGAGAATCAGCTCCCTTGCTTTTCTCCCAGCTTCTAGGGGCCTCGGTCAATCTCTGCCTGTTTTCAGATTGCCTCCTCTGACCCTGACGCTCCTGCCTCCCTCTTAGGAAGCCTTTTGTGATGACATTGGACTCACCTGGATAGCCCAGGCGCCACTCCCCACCGCAAGGCCCTTCGCTTAATCAGACCTGCAAAGACCTTGTACCACACAAAACAACGCTGGCAGGGCATGAGGATGTGGGTGTAATTGGGGAATTATTATTTAGTCTTCCACGCCATCATCCTTTACAAATAAATAAATTAGGACAAAGAAACTAAGTTCTCCTTGGCCACCAACTGTTCATCCTTTCTCCCCATGGGCGACCACTGTTAACACTCCTTGGTGTGAATTTTTCCAGACCATTTTTATTCTTTAACATATATACATATGAATGCACAACAGATTTATTTAGTGTTGTTTTGGGTAGTATTTTTGTTAAAAAATATGGCATCCTATTCTGCAACATGCTTCTGTCTCTGTTTTGAAATCCATCTCTATTAATACACGTAAAACTAGTTCAGCTACCACTTTTAAAAAATTACTTCTTATTGTGGTACAATATACATAAAGTTTATCATTCTAACCGTTATTATTTATTTATTTATTTTTGAGACAGAGTCTTGTCTGTCACCCAGGCTGGAGTGCAGTGGCAGATCTTGGGTCACTGCAACCTCCACCTCTTGGGTTCAAGCAATTCTCCTGCCTCAGCCTCCTGAGTAGCTGGGATTACAGGTATGCACCACCATACCCAGCTAATTTTTGTATTTTTAGTAGAGACAGGTTTCGCCATGTTGGCCAGGCTGGTCTCAAACTCCTGACCTCAAGTGATCTGCCCTCCTCAGCCTCCCAAAGTGCTGGTATTACAGGCGTGAGCCACCGCACCTGGCCCCTGCTCCTGTGTGTGTGTGTGTGTGTGTGTGTGTGTGTGTGTGTGTGTTTGTTTTGTTTTTGTTTTTTTGTTTTTTTGAGATGGAGTTTTCGCTCTCGTTGCCCAGGCTAGAGTGTAGTGTGACTCGATCTCGGCTCACTGCAACTTCCACCTCCCAGGTTCAAGCGATTCTCCTGCCTCTGCCTCCCAAGTAGCTGGGATTACAGGCATGTGCCACCACACCCAGCTATTTTTTTTTTTTTTTTTTTAACTAGAGACAGAGTCTTGCTCTGTCACTCAGGCTGGAGTGCAGTGGCGCAATCTCGGCTTACTGCAACCTCCGCCTCCTGGGTTTAAGCAATTCTCCTGCCTCATCCTCCCGAGTAACTAGGACTACAGGCACACTCTGCCATGCCCGGCTAATTTCTTTTGTATTTTAGTAGAGACAGGGTTTTCACTGTGTTGCCCAGGCTGGTCTTGAACTCCTGAGCTCCAGCAGTCTGCCCTCCTCAGCCTCCCAAAGTGCTAGGATTACAGGTGTGAGCCACTGCACCAGGCCTAATTTTGTATTTTTAGTAGAGACAGGGTTTCACCATGTTGGCCAGGCTTGTCTCAAACTCCTGACCTCAGGTGATCCACCCACCTTGGCCTCCCAAAGTGCTGGGATCACAGGCATGAGCAACCATGCCCAGCCTCTGCTGTATTTTTAAAGTGCCCATGAGGGACCGGGCATGGTGGCTCAGGTTTGGGAGGCCTAGGCGGGCAGATCACAAGGTCAGGAGTTCAAGACCAGCCTGGCCAACACAGTGAAACTTCGTCTATACTAAAAATACAAAAATTATGCCATGGAATACTATGCAGCCATAAAAAAGGATGAGTTCATGTCCTTTACAGGGACATGGATGAAGCTGGAAACCATCATTCTCAGCAAACTAACACAAGAACAGAAAACCAAACACCGCATGTTCTCACTCATAAATGGGAGTTGAACAATGAGAACACATGGACACCAAGAGGGGAACATCACACACCAGGGCCTGTCAGGGGGTTGGGGGCTAAGGGAGGGATAGCGTTAGGAGAAATATCTAATGTAGATGATGGGTTGATGGGTGCAGCAAACCACCATGACACGTGTATACCTATGTAACAAACCTGCACGTTCTGCACATGTACCCCAGAACTTAAAGTATAATATAAAATATATATATACAAAAATTAGCCAGGCATGGTGGCAGATGCCTGTAATCCCAGTTACTTGGGAGGCTGAGGCAGGAGAATCGCTTGAACCGGGGAGGCAGAGGTTGCAGTGAGCCAAGTTCATGCCACTGCATTCCAGCCTGAGCGACAAAGGTAGACTCTGTCTCAAAAAATAAATAAATAAATAAAATAAAGTGCCCACAAGGACTTGTGCAAATCCTCTAACATGCCTGCCTCAATTTCCTTATCTATAAAATGGGGATTAATAATATGTATGTCTACAGTGTTTCAAGGATCACATAAAGTGATACAGCATTTTTCACCATTAAAGAATACATACTTGGGACCGGGCGCGGTGGCTCATGCCTGTAATCCCAGCACTTTGGGAGGCTGAGGCAGGCGGATCACAAGGTCAGGAGATCGAGACCATCCTGGCTAGCACGATGAAACCCCGTCTCTACTAAAAATATAAAAATTAGCCGGGCGTGGTGGCGGGTGCCTGTAGTCCCAGCTACTCGGGAGGCTGAGGCAGGAGAATGTCGTGAACCCGGGAGGCGGAGCTTGCAGGGAGCCGAGATTGAGCCATAGCACTCCAGCCTGGGCGACACGGCGAGACTCTATCTCAAAAAAAAAAAAAAAAAAAAAAAAAAAAGAATACATACTCAGCCAGCCGTGGTGGCTCACGCCTGTAATCCCAGCACTTTGGGAGGCCTAGGTGGGTGGATCATGAGATCAGGAGATTGAGACCATCCTGGCTAACATGGTGAAACCCTGTCTCTACTAAAAATACAAAAAATTAGCCGGGCGTGGTGGCGGGTGCCTGTAGTCCCAGCTACTCGGGAGGCTGAGGCAGGAGAATGGTGTGAACCCAGGAGGCAGAGCTTGCAGTGAGCCGAGATCATGCCACTGCACTCCAGCCTGGGCAACAGAGCAAGACTCCATCCTAAAAAAAAAAAAAAAAATACATACCCTGAGAAATACTATGTCAGCTCCATATCATCATTTAAGCCTCCCTCTTTCAAAAAATCTCACCTGCATGCTTTCATTTATTCATCATTTCATACATTTATTGAGCATCTACTATAACCTACTCACTGTTCTAAACACTGAGAATACAGCAGTGAACCAAACAAGCAACACCTTCACCCCCATGAAGTTTACATTCCAATAAGGAGAAAACAGATGCCAATCACATAAACTAGTTATGTAACTAGGATAATTTCAGGTAATAACACAACCAGATCATATACAGCCTTTTTTATTATAGTGACACAAGTGGATTTTATTATGAGAACAGTAGGAAACAATGGAGAGGGGTTTTCTGGGGTTTTGTTTGTTTTGTTTTTTGGGACGGAGTCTCACTCTGTGGCCCAGGCTGGAGTGCAATGGCACAACCTCAGGTCACTGCAACCTCCGCCTCCTGGGTTCAAGCGATTCTCCTGCCTCAGTCTCTTGAGTAGCTGGGATTACAGGTGCCCACCACCATGCCCGGCTAATTTTTGTATTTTTAGTAGAGACGGGGTTTCGCCATGTTGGCCAGGTGATCCTCCTGCTTCGGCCTCCCAAGTGCTGGGATTACAGGCGTGAGTCACGGCACCCAGCCAATGGAGAGGTTTTTTTTTTTTTTGTCTTTTTTTGTTTGTTTGTTTGTTTTTGAGACGGAGTCTGGCTCTGTGCCCAGGCTGGAGTACAATGGCGCAATCTTGGCTCACTACAATCTCTGCCTCCTGGGTTCAAGTGATTCTCCTGCCCCAGCCTCCCGAGGAGCTGGGACTACAGGCACGTGCCACCATGCCCAGTTAATTTTTGTGTTTGTGTGTTTGTTTGTTTTGAGACGGAGCCTCACACTGTCGCCCAGGCTGGAGTGCAGTGGCGCAATCTCCACTCACTGCAACCTCCACCTCCTGGGTTCAACTGAGTCTCCTGCCTCAGCCTCCCGAGTAGCTGGGATTAGAGGCATGAGCCACCATGCCCGGCTAATTTTTTGTATTTTTAGTAGAGACAAGGTTTCACCATATTGGCCAGGCTGGTCTCGAACTCCTGACCTCATGATCTGCCTGCCTCGGCCTCCCAAAGTGCTGGGATTATAGGCATGAGCCCCTGCGCCCGGCCTGTATTTTTTTTTTTTTTTTTTTTTTTAAGTAGAGACAGGGTTTCACCATTTTGGCCAGGATGGTTTCAATCTCTTGACCTCATGATCCGCCCGCCTCAGCCTCCCAAAGTGCTGGGATTACAGGCGTGAGCCACTGCGCCCGGCCCAATGAAGAGTTTTAAGCAGGGAAATGACAATTCACAATTTCAGGTCCCTCTGTATCTCAATAAAGCCATTTTTTTTTTTTTTTTTTTTTTTGAGACGGAGTCTCGCTCTGTCGCCCAGGCCGGACTGCGGACTGCAGTGGCGCAATCTCGGCTCACTGCAAGCTCCGCTTCCCGGGTTCACGCCATTCTCCTGCCTCAGCCTCCCCAGTAGCTGGGACTACAGGCGCCCGCCACCGCGCCTGGCTAATTTTTTGTATTTTTAGTAGAGACGGGGTTTCACCGTGTTAGCCAGGATGGTCTCGATCTCCTGACCTCATGATCCACCCGCCTCGGCCTCCCAAAGTGCTGGGACTACAGGCGTGAGCCACCGCGCCCGGCCAAAGCCATTTTTTTTAAAGGCCCCTCTGGCTGTTCATGGGGAAGGGGTCGTGGAAGGCCAGCATTGCTTGTGATAATGGTGCCACTCCCCCGCCATTGAACCATCATGTGCTATCTATCGACATCTGCTTGTTTGTATTCTTTTTTATAAGCTGCCTGAAACCTTTGCCACCTGCATTTGACCTGTCTCTGCCAATTAACTGTAAACTTGAGGGTCAGGAAAACCAGACAGTCTTCTCTACAGAATTTGAGAGCACAATTTGTGTAAATAGGAACTTTTTTTTTTTTCTGAGACAGGGTCTCACACTGTCGCCCAGGCTGGAGTGCAGTGGTGAGATCACAGCTCACTGCAGCCTCATCTTCCTGGGCTGAAGCAACTCTCCCACCTCAGCCTCCCAATTAGCTGAAACCCCAGGAACGTGCCACCACACCTGTCTAATATTTAAAATTTTTTTGTAGAAATGGGGTCTTGTTATGTTGCCCAGGCTTACAAAAGGAACTTGATTCATGGTGGTAGGTGATGATGTACAGTTTTTTTTTCTTTTTTTAGAGACAGGGTCTGGCTGTGTTGCCCAGGCTGGAGAGCAGTGGCACCGTCATAGCTCACTATAAACTCAAGCAATCCTCCTGCCTCGCCTTGGTCTCCCAAAGTGCTGAGATTACAGGTGTGAGTCACTGCGCCTGGCCTGATATGCAGTTTTAACGAGAAGAAACTACCTAGAGCTGGGCATGATGGCTCACAACTGTAATCCCAGCACTTTGGGAGGCCAAGGTAGGCAGATCGCTTAGAGCTGTAAACGCTGAGAATACAGCAGTGAACCAAACAGGCAACACCTTTGCACCCATGAAGTTTATATTCCTCTAAAGAGCAAATAGATGCCAATCAAGTAAACAAGTTATATAACCAAGATAATTTCAGGTAATAAAACCAGATCATATACAGCTGTTTTCCTTATAGTGCCACAATTGGATTTTATTACGAGAATAAAATCCAATTGTTTCAGCCTGGGTAATGTGATGAGACTCCATCTCTACTACAAATACAAAAAAATTTAGCCAGGCATGGTGGCTTGTGCCTGTAATCCCAGCTACTCAGGAGGCTGAGATGGGAGGATCACTTGAGCCTGGGAAGTGGAGTTTGCAGTGAGACAAGATTGCACAACTGCACTCCAGCCTGGATGACAGAGCAAGACCCTGTCTCAAAAAACAAGAAGAAAACGACCTAGTCCAAATAACTTGGGTTGTGGTCATTAAGAGGAGGAGCAAACGACAGTACTTTGCTTCTGGGACCTCAACTTTCCCATCTGAAAAATGGGACTAATTCCTATCTCCACTCCACTACAAAAACAAGGCTTTATATTGACAGAAAAACATGCATATGGAAGATCATGCCGCCTTGGTAAGCCAGGCCTTGGCAGCCAGTTAGTGGTGTGTGGTTGCCCTGAAGCCTGGTTGGGGCTCAACAGATGAAACGAAAACACCAGGCGCCCTTTCTAACCCTCTTCCCTCCTGCCCTCTCAGTTGGAAGGGTGTTTGGATTGTTTTTCTGAATTTGAAATGTTTCCTTTTGTTCCAGGAGAGAAGACCGCTAACCAGGTTGACATATTCCTCTTCCCTGAGGGGCACATTTTGGAAACTGTCTGAGGTCGCAGGCTTGTTGCCACTGAGTAGCTGGGCAACATTCCTCCCCTGGCCTGTCTATTTTAAGCCACGCAGATAACTAGGGAGGCGGGGGCAAGACAACAAAGGCTGAACAGTGGGTGAAGGACATCTGGCAGGAAGGGCTGGCAGCAGGCAGATGGGTTTTCAATGGCATGGATGGGCTCCCACTGTGTAGAGCCTGGGAGGGCGAGGAACGGGCTCTCGGACCATGGCAGCCCCCATGTGAGGGGAAGGGAGGTGGCAGGCACGTTGATCAAGGCATCTCCCCCCACTTATTCATTCATTCATTCAGCAAATATTGGCCTCCTCAAACCTGCAGGTTGTTTTTCGTCGGTTCTGGACCATTCTCAGCCATTAGCGATTCAGAGAGTTCTCATGCCATTCTCTCTTGCCTCTCTGTCTGCAACTCCAAACAAATGTATGACAACATTTCTCAAAGAACCTTCCAACTCTCTTCTTCTCCCTTTGGTATTTTCTTTTTGTCTCTCTGTGTTACATTCTGGATAACTTTTGTTTTTTTTTTTTTTTGAGACAGGGTCTCGTTCTGTCACCCAGGCTGGAGTGCAGTGGTGCCATCTCGGCTCACTGCAACCTTTACCTCCCAGGTTCAAGCGATTCTCCTGCCTCAGCCTCCGAGTAGCTGGGACCACAGGCATACACCACCACGCCTGGCTAATTTTGTTGTTGTTGTTGTTGTTATATTTTAGTAGAGATGGGGTTTCACCGTGTTGGCCAGGCTTGTCTCGAACTCCTGGGCTCAAGTGATCGGCCCTCCTTGGCCTCCCAAAGTGGTGGGATTACAGGCGTGAGCCACTGCCCAGCCATAACTTCTGTTATCTCACTAATTCTTCCACCATGAACAATCTTCTGTCACATACAATAATTGAGATTATTCCTTATTTATTTTTTAAGTTTCTAAAAGTTCTATTTTGTTCTTTTTGGAATATGTTATGGCGAGGCACAGTGACTCACACCTGTAATCCCAGCACTTTGGGAGGCCGAGGAGGGCTGATCGCTTGAGCCCAGGAGTTCGAGACAAGCCTGGCCAACATGGTGAAACCCTGTCTCTACTAAAATACAAAAAAAATTAACCAGGCATGGTGGTGCGTGCCTGTAATCCCAGCTACTCGGGAGGCTGAGGCAGGAGAATCACTTGAACCCAGGAGGCGGAGGTTGCAGTGAGCTGAGATCGAGCCACTGCACTCCAGCCTGGGGAACAGAACTAGACTTTCTCTCAAAAAAAAAAAAAAAGAAATCTGTTATTTTTTATAGCCTTATATTCCTTGTAAATGTTTTCAAGCTTGATGATTTTGTTGCTGTTGTTTTCTAGAGACAGGGCCTCTCTGTCACCAGGCTGGAGTGCAGTGGTACAATCATATAGCCACTGTACCCTGGAAATCTTGGGCTCAATGGATCCTCCTGCCACAGCCTCCTGAGTAACTGGGACTGCAGGTACATGCCACCATGCCCAGTTAATTTTTTTTTTTTTTTTTTGAGACGGAGTCTTGCTCTGTCGCCCAGGCTGGAGTGCAGTGGCGCGATCTCGGCTCACTGCAAGCTCCGCCTCCCGGGTTCACGCCATTCTCCTCCAGTTAATTTTTTAAAAAAATCTTTTGTAGTATGAGGGTCTTGCCATGTTGCCCCGGCTGTTCTTGAACTCCTGGCCTCAAGCAGTCCTTCTGCCTCGGCCTCCTAAAGCACTGGGATTACAGGCATGAACCTCTGCACCAGCCCCGATGATTACTTTTTTAAACCGTTGAGCATAACTGTTTTAGAATCTGTGTTGGATAATTTCAGCGTCTGAGGTCTGTGTGAGTCTGCTTCTGCTGCCTGTTTCTTCTGGTTCCTGTTCACATGGTCTTGTTTCCCTATGGACCATGTGTGTTGGTTATTGCCCTGGAAAAGTTATTTGTGGGGAATTCTCTGAGGCCTAGAAGGAAGGAGCTCTCCTCTGGAGAAGATGTGCACCTGCTTCTGCCGCACTCTTGGGCACCGCCAATCAGGGTGACCTCAGATCGAGTTCCCAGCTTCAGTTCCCTGTGCCTCCAGCTGATTTGTATCCACGGGCAGGCAGGCCGGTGGCAACAATCTTTCAGGAATTATTTATTCTCCCTCTTGCTTTTCCTTTTTCTGGTTTGTGCGGCGTCAAGGAAAACTTCTTCTTCTTCTTCTTTTTTTTTTTGAAACAGAGTTTCGCTCTTGTTGCCCAGGCTGGAGTGCAATGGCGTGATCTTGGCTCACCGCAACCTCCAGCTCCTGGGTTCAAGCGATTCTCCTGCCTCAGCCTCCCGAATAGCTGGGATTACAGGCATGCGGCACCACATCCAGCTAATTTTGTATTTTTAGTAGAGATGGGGTTTCTCCCATGTTGGTCAGGCTGTTCTCAAACTCCCAACCTCAGGTGATCCACCCACCTCGGCCTCCCAAAGTGCTGGGATTACAGGCATGAGCCACCACGCCCGGCCTCAAGGAAAACTTCTTTACTGTCCCCTGAGTTTGGGGTCAGCGATATCCCTCAATGGTTATCCAAATAAATGTTTAGCAATCAGCTACCTGGAAATACTTGGGAAAAGGTACTTTCCAGGTATTTATTTTCATGAATGCTTTCACCTTTATTTCTCTCAGTATATTCATGATATAGATATTTTGTACATAACAAGGTTAAGTGACTTGCGCATGTTCTATGTAAAACAGAGGCAGAACCAAGGCTCAAAAAGCACCTAGTCCAGCAACCAACTTGAGAGGGGTCATAGGAAGTTCACCAACACCGTGAATGAGAATGGCTTATTCCAGGGGGATTCAGAAAATGAAGTAATCAGAAGGCCTTTTTTTTTTTTTTTTTTTTTTTGAGACAGAGTCTTGCTCTGTCGGCCAGGCTGGAGTGCAGTGGCATGATCTCGGCTCTCTGCAATCTCCGCCTCCCAGGTTCAAGCAATTCTCCTGCCTCAGCCTCCCGAGTAGCTGGGATTACAGGTGTGTGCCACCACCCATGGCTAGTTTTTGTATTTTTAGTAGAGACGGGGTTTCACCATGTTGGCCAGGCTGGTCTCGAACTCCTGACCTCAGGTAATCCGCCCGCCTCAGCCTCCCAAAGTGCTGGGATAACAGGCATGAGCCACCGCGCCTGGCCGAAGAAGGCTTTTTTTTTTTTCCTGGGGGAAGAAAAAGAATCTGGGCTGGGTGTGGTGGCTCATGCCTGTAATCCCAGCACTTTGGGAGGGTGAGGCGGGTGGATCACTTGAAGTCAGAAGTTTGAGACCAGCCTGCCCAACATAGCAAGACCTGTCTCTATTATAAGATTTAAAAAATTAAAATAAATAAAAAAGTACAAAAGAGTACCTGGGAAAGAGTATTAATTTGTAGTACTTACCACTTCCTGTAGTGTAAAAACTCCTGCCATGGTTGATGCCAAATTACCAAGGAGCAGTCACAAAGGTGGAGTTTAGAAGACACGAGTGGACTGGGCATGGTGGCTTACACCTGTAATCACAGCACTTTGGGAGGCCGAGGCAGGAGGATCATGTGAGCCCAGGAGTTTGAGATCAGTCTGGCGAACATGGTAAAACCCCATCTCTACTGAAAATACAAAAATTATCCAGACATAGTGGTGGGTGTCTGTAGTCCCAGACACTCCAGAGGCTGAGGCAGGAGAATCCCTTGAACCCGGGAGGCAGAAGTTGCAGTGAGCCGAGATGGACCACTGCAGTCCAGCCTAGGGGACAGAGCAAGGCTCTGTCTCAAAAAAAACCAATATGGTGAACACTCCTAAGGGGTTCAGGATTTCCCAGGATTTCCCAGGAGCGGAGACATATTTGGGTAGAGAGAGACCTGGATGATGACAGGGAGCTGGCCATGAGAATATTAGGGAAGGGGGTTCCAGGCAGAGGGAAGAGTTATGCACAGGCCCAGAGGTGGGGACAAGGTTGGCATGTTTGACGTAAAGAAAGAAGGTCAGTGTGGCCAGACGCAGTGGCTAATGCCTGTAATCCCAGCTTTGGGAGGCCGAGGCGGGCAGATCACCTGAGGTCAGGAGTTTGAGACCAGCCTGGCCAACATGGTGAAACCCTGTCTCTACTAAAAATACATAAATAGCTAGGTCTAGTGGTGCATGCCTGTAGTCCCAGCTACTCGGGAGGCTGAGGCAGGAGAATCACTTGAACCCAGGAGGCAGAGGTTGCAGTGAGCCAGCATCAGCCATTGCACTTCAGCCTTGGCAATAGAATGAGACTCTGCCTAAAAAAAAAAAAAAAGCAAGGGACACAGTCTGGAAAGTGGGAAGAGTGACTTCACAGTAGAGAAACCTGATCAACATGAATGACCTCAGCGGTGATCAAGGTCAACATCAACAGTGACAGGTCATAATGATTGTGTGTGCGTTTGATAGGATTTGATGAAAATGGCATCCTCCCTAAAACCCATCGCCATGTCTAATCATGAGAAAAATATCAAACAAATCCTAGCAGGGGACAACCTACGAAATCCCTGACCAGTGCTGCTCAAAACAGTCAAAGTCATCAAAACAAAAAGTGTCAGAGAAACTGTCACAGCCAGGAGGAAACTAAGGAGACATGACTACTAAATATAATGTGGGGCCGGGCGCGGGGGCTCACGCCTGTCAGCCCAGCACTCTGGGAGGCCGAGGCGGGTGGATCACCTGAGGCCAGGAGTTCAAGACCAGCCTGGCCAACACAGTGAAACCCCGTCTCTACCAAAAATACAAAAGTTAGCCGGGCGTGGTGGCGTGCACCTGTAATCCTGGCTACTTGGGAGGCTGAGGCAGGAGAATCGCTTGAACCTGAGAGGTGGAGGTTGCAGTGAGCTGAGATGGTGCCACTGCACTTTAGCCTGGGTGACAGAATGAGACCATGTCTCAAAAATAAATAAATAAATGTAATGTAATGTAATGTAATGTAATGTAATGTGGGATTGTAATTACGCGACGGAGTTTTCTTGCCCCTTGCTCAGACAGAGCTGATTTACCAAGACAGTGGTATTGCCATAGAGAAAATGTTTAGTAAACACACTACCAATCAAGCAGAAGATGGGAGTTTACTATTCAAATCAGTCTCCCCAAAAATTTGGAGACCAGGGTTTTTTTAAGTATAATATAGTGGGTAGAGGACTAAGGAACCGGGAATGCTGATTGGTTGGGTCAGGAATGAAATCACAGGAGGTTGAAGCTGTCTTCTTGTCATCCTCAGCTCCTGGGTGGGATCACAAGACCAGTTGAGCCAGTTTACCAGTCTGGGTGGCGCCAATTGGTCCATCAGAATGTAGGGTCTAAGAAACACCTCGAGGGAGCTGTCGTGGCTCAGGCCGGTTGCCCTGGCACTTGGGGAGGCGAGGCTACACGTTCGAGACCAACCTGGTCAACACTGATTAAAAAGAAACATCTCGAACACCAATCTTAGGCTTGATGATAGTGATGTTATCTCTAGGAGCAATTGGGGAGGTTATGAATCTTGTGACTTCTGGCTACACAATTCCTGAACCCTAATTTCTTTTTTTTTATATATACAGGGTCTCGCTCTGTCGCCCAGGCTGGAGTGCACTGACACGATCTCCCCTCACTGCAACCTCCACCTCCTGGGTTCAAGTGATTCTTGTGTCTCAGCCTCCCGAGTAACTGGGATTACAGGTGCACACCGCCACACCTGGCTAATTTTTGTATTTTTAGTAGAGACGTGGTTTCACCATATTGGCCAGGTTGGTCTCAAACTCCCAACCTCAAGTGATCCACCTGCCTCAGCCTCCCAAAGTGCTGGGATTACAGGCATGAGCCACGGTGCCTGGCTCTGAGTCATGATTTCTACCCTTGTGGCTAATTTGTTAGTTTTACAAGGGCAGTTTTGATCTCCGAGCAAGGAAAGGATTGTTTTGGGAAGGGCTATTTTCATCCTTAAGATTAAACTATAAACTAAATTCCTCCCAAAGTTAGCTTGGCCTATGCTCAGGAATGAACAAGGACAGCTTGGAGGTTAGAGGCAAGGTGGAGTCAGCTATGTCAGATTTTTTTTTTTTTTTTGAGACGGAGTCTTGCTCTGTCGCCCAGGCTGGAGTGCAGTGGCGTGATCTCGGCTCACTGCAAGCTCCACCTCCCGGGTTCACGCCATTCTCCTTCCTCAGCCTCCCGAGTAGCATGGACTACAGGCGCCCACCACCATGCCCAGCAAATTTTTTGTTTTTTTAGTAGAGACGGGATTTCACCGTGTTAGCCAGGATGGTCTTGATCTCCTGCCCTCGCGATCTGCCTGCCTCGGCCTCCCAAAGTGCTGGGATTACAGGCGTGAGTCACCACGCCCAGCCAGATTTTTTTTTTTTTTAACTGTCATAATTTGGTAAAGGCAGTTTCAGGATCCTGGAACAGAAAAGGGCGTTGGGGAAAAACTAAGAAAATTGAATAAAGTATAGACTTCTGTGAATAACAATGCATTAATATTGGTTCATTAATTGTGACAAATGCAGCACACTAACATCAGATGCTAATAGCAAGGGAAAATGGCTGAGGGGTATATGAGAATTCTCTGTACTATTTTCACAATTTTTCTGTGAAACTGTTCTAAAAAATAAAGTCGAATAAAGTCGATGTTAAAAAAAAAAAAAAAAAAAAGAAGGCTGCCGTGTGCAGAATGAATAAGGAGAGCCGGGCAGCCCTGCAGGTGCTAAGGTAGCTTGGATTCGGGTGGGGCAAAGGGATCGGGAAATAGACTCCAACACAGGAAGTCCAGCCGACGCTCCGACAGGTCACGGGGAAAGGGAGGAGTCAGGTACGACACTGAGATTTTTCAATTTAAGCAACCAGCATACGGTGCCATTAACTCAGACTAAGAGGAAAACAAGTTTGGGAGAAAATCTCAAGGCTTCATTTCCACCATGATGAGTCTGAGATGAGTCAGAAAGGAACCATCAGGCCAGGCACGGTGACTCACGCCTGTAATCCCAGCACTTTGGGAAGCCGAGGCAGGTGGATCATTTGAGGTCAGGAGTTCGAGACCAGCCTGACCAACATGGTGAAACCCCATCTCTACTGAAAATACAAAAATTAGCTGGGCAGGGTGACATATGCCTGTAATCCCAGCTATTTGTGTGGCTAAGGCATGAGAATTGCTTGAACCCAGGAGGCAGAAGTTGCAGTGAGCCGAGATTGCACCACTGCACTCCAGCCTGGGCGACAGAACAAGACCCTGTCTCAAAAAAAAAAAAAAAAAAAAAAAAAAAAAAGAGAGAGAGAGAGAAAAGAAAAGCACCTACTGTGAGCAGGGAGCACACCTGCTACATGAGGACACAGGTACCAGCCTTTAAGAAATTCCTAGAGTGTTTGAAGAGCAAACAACATGCTAGAAAAGCCCACACAGGCCAAATAAATGAAGATGGAGGAGACCAGCTATGGTAGTGAGAAATCAGGGGAGACTGCCTGGTGGCAGTGGGGCATGAAGGATGTCCAATCCAGATGTCCCCAAAGCAGCCATCTTCCTGTTCTGGAGAAGCCTGTCCTCAGCCAGAGCCAGCACACATCAGTCACCACTACGGTCTCATGGCCTCCAGCCAGGCTCCAGTTTGAAAAGAATCTTCCCTTTCTTTAGGCCATGGATTGTCCAGAAAAGCCAGATCATTAAGGACCAGAGGTAAGGAATTTATCTGGCAGCTGACCAGGCCTTGTCAACACAGGGCCTCGGGCAGCGCTTGTGTAACTGCCCTGAATTAGTTCTTCCCAGCCAGGGCGTGCCCAGCATGGACCTGGGTCCAGGGGAGGTAAAGGACCTCTATTGCATGTCTGTGTGGGCCTGTGCTGCTGCCCCGGGGCCCTTGCTGGCCACTGCTTGTTGCTGTATGCAGAGCAGAAAATTCCTTGAAGCATTTCTCCATGCACCCTCCACTCGCAAGGTTCCTTCAGCTATAAATAACAGCAGGACATGCTGAATAAGGGTTGCAGAAGGTTTGGCGATGAGACCGTGGCTGCAGCCTCTGCAGGCAGCATTTCCTTATCTACAGAGTGGGGTGAGCCCAGGCCTGGCTGCCCGGGGTGTTGGGGGAGCCACTTCTCTGGGTCCTCGTCCAGTACCTTCTCCACACTGAGCCCAAGGATCAATCAGGTCACGCCCTGATCAGAACCCTTCAATGCCCCCAGTTTTCATGAAATAAAAGTCAACTACCTCGCCATGGCCCCAGGAGCCCTCGCCTTCCTGTCCCCTCCTCCTTCCTCCCTTGGGTGCCCCCCACTCTGTCCCCTGGCCGTGTCCTGCTTGGCAGATGTCCCACCTCTTGCTGTCTGGAGGTCTCTGTACTTCACAATCCTTTGTGGGATCCATCTCCTCCCCTACTTATCTTTTTTTTTTTTCCTTGATGAGGTGAAATTCACATGACATGCACTTAACCTTTTTTTCTTTTTTATTTTTGAGACAGAGTCTCAATCTGTCACCCAGGCTGAAGTGCAGTGGTACAATCATGGCTCACTCCAGCCTCAAACTCCTGGGCCCAGCAATCATCCCCCCTCAGTCTGTGAAGTAACTGGGACTATAGGCACAGGCCACCACGCACGACTAATATTTTATTTTTTGTAGAGATGGGGTCTCCCTATGTTGCCCAGGCTGGTCTCGAACTCCTGGGCTCAAGCGATCCTCCCACTTCGGCCTCCTAAAGTGCTGGGATTACAGGCATGAGCCATTGCACCTGGCCACTTACCCATTTTAAAGTGTACAAATGCATTGGTATTAAATGTATTCACAATATTGTGCAAACACCAGGTCTCTCCAGCTTCCAAACTTTCTCATCACCCTGTAAAAAACATCTTGTATCCAGCAAGCAGTCACTCCCCATTCCTCCCTCCCCATGCCCTGGTAACCTCTAATCTGCTTTCTATCCCTATAGATTTGCTTCTTCTGAATATATCATGTAAAAAGAATCATACCATAGGTGACCTTCCCTGCCTGGCATCTTTCATTTGCATAATGCTTCTAAGGACCATCTATGTTATAGCATGTACCAGCACTTCATTCCTTTCTACAGCTGAATCATATCCCACAGTATGTGCATACCACGGTTTGCAGTTTGTTTATCCATTCATACATTGGATTGTTTGCACTTTTTGGCTTTATTTTATTATTTTTAGAGACGAGGTCTCACTCTGTCATCCAGGCTGGAGTGCAGTGGCACCACCATGGTTCGTTGCAGCCTCAACCTCCTTGAGCTCAAAGGATCCTCCTGCCTCAGCCACACAAGTAGCTGGGACGACCGGTATGCACTACCACGCCTGGCTGATTTTTAAATTTTTGTAGGGATGGGGTCCCACTATGTTGCCCAGGCTGTTCTCAAACTCCTGGCTTCAAGCAATCCTCCCGCCTCAGCCTCCCAAAGTGCTGGGATTACAACTGTGAGCCACTGTGCCCAGGTCCATGTTGAGCTTTTTGAGGAAGTGCCAGACTGTGGTTGGGATCATTCTTTCCTCTAGATACCCAAAGCTGGTACCTCCTTGTCATTCAGGGCTCAGCTCCCATATCACCTCCCCAGACCACCCCAGCTCAAACAGTGCTCCTCTCCCAAGTCACTCTCTTGTCTGCTGCCATCTTTTCACCATCTGGAGTTTATTACCCAGTAGGATGTAGGTGATCTCGGACCTCTTAGTCTCCACTGTGACCCACAACCTAGCACAGTTTCTGGTAGACGGAGGTTCTCAATAAATGCTTACTGAATGACTGATCTCAGGTAGTCAAAGGTAAAGAGCTGTAATAATGTGAGGCACTGTCACTGTCACCTTAGGTCGCTGTTAGGACCTCCCCCTGGGTGACTCATCTGTTTGTTTGTTTATTTATTTATTTATTTATTTATTTATTTATTTATTTATTTTAGATGGAGTCTCACTCTGTCGTCCAGGCTGGAGTTCAGAGGCACAATCTCGGCTCACTGCCACCTCTGCCTCCCGGGTTCAAGTGATTCTCCTGCCTCAGCCTCCCCACCACACCTGGCTAATTTTTGTGTTTTTAGTAGAGATGAGTTTTCACCATGTTGGCCAGGCTGGTCTCCAACTCCTGACCTCAAGTGGTCCGCCTGCCTCGGCCTCCCAAAGTGCTGGGATTACAGGCATGAGCCACCACGCCCAGCCAACTCACCTGTTTAAATGGTCAACTTCCTCCTCTCTGAGGAAAGAATAAAAACCAGGAAAGAGAAACCATTGGCGATGCTTCTTTCTCAGCCCTTTCCTGTTAGTGACTCAGCACAGGTATCTCCTTCACTATCCCCAGCTCCTGAGGTGCAACAAGCAGCCCTTAGTGACAACTGCAAAGGAAAAAAAAAAAAAAAAGGCAAAGGTGGAAAATAATTTGGGTGGAGATTAGATAAGCCTATAAACCTGTCCCCAGTCTAGGGAAAAGGTTCAGGGCTCTGGTCAGGGTTCGGGCTGCCTGTGTTCAGTTCCCAGTGCTGTGCCACTTAATTTTTGCAGGTTACTTAACCTCATTTTTCTTTTTTGAAAAAACTGCATTAACCGTAGTAGCTGCTTCATAGACTTGTTGTGAGGATTAAAAGCGTTAAAGTCACATAAAGTGGGCCAGGCATAGTGGCTCACACCTGTAATCCCAGTACTTTGGGAGGCCAAGGTGGGAGGATCACTTGAGGTCAGGACTTTGAGACCAGCCTGGGTGACATGGTGAAACCCCGTTTCTACAAAAAATACAAAAAAAAAAAATTTTGCCAGGCATGGTGGCACATGCCTGTAGTCCCAGCTACTTGGGAGGGTGAGGTGGGAGGCTCACTGGAGTCTGGGAGGCAGATGTTGCAGTGAGGTGAGATCGTACCACTGCACTCCAGCCTGGGCAACAGAGTGAGACCCCTGTCTTAAAAAAAAAATCACATAAAGCGCATAGACTCGTGTTTGCTGCACTGAAAATGTTTTATACCTGAATGGTTATCATTGTCATCATCATCAATCCATCTCGGTTCTGATATCTGCAGGCTGGTCATTCAGATCTAAGAAGATAATAAATATGCTTGCTAAATGTCAAAGGAAACATTGGGAGTCTGCTTAATGCCTCTGGATCATGCAATTTAAAATGGTTGGCTGGGCGTGATGGGGCACACCTGTAATCCCAGCACTTTGGGAGGCCGAGGCAGAAGGATCGCTTGAAACTAGGAATGTAAGACCAGCCTAGGCAACATAACCACAACTCTGTCTCTACAGAAAATCTAAAAATTAGCCAGGCATGGTGGCACAGGCTGTAGTCCCAGCTATTTAGGAGCCTGAGGCAGAAGGATCAGTTGAGCCCAGAAGTTCAAGGCTGAAGTGAGCTATGATGGCACCACTGCACTCCAGGCTAGGCAACAGAGCAAGACCCTGTCTCTAAAAAATAACAATAATAAATAAATGCAATGGTTAATGTTATGTTATGTGTATTTTACCACAATTTAAAAAGCAAACATTGGCCGAGGACAGTGGCTCACGTCTGTAATCCCAGCACTTTGGGAGAGCGAGGCAGGTGGATCACCTGATGTCAGGAGTTCGAGACCAGCCTGGCCAACATGATGAAACTCCATCTCTATTAAAAATACAAAAATCAGCTGGGTGTGGTGGCACATGCCTGTAATCCCAGCTACTCGGGAGGCTGAGGCAGGAGAATCGCTTGAATATGGGAGGCGGGGTTTGCAGTGAGCGGAGATCGCGCCACTGCACTCTACCCTGGGAGACAGAGACTCTGTCTCAAAACAAAACAAAAAGCAAACATTAAAGAATTAACCTCCTTCTGAGCTCCCTCTGCCAAAAAAAAAATTTAAAAAATTGTCCGTATTATTATTTGAAATAACAGCTTCCTTACCTGGGGCCAGAAACAAATGGTCAGCAGCAATGGCTGTGTCAGTGCTGGGTTCCAGAGTTTCTTCTCTGTGGAACTGTCTAGAATGCCAGGCCCCTGTTTCAGGCTGGGCTCATTGAATAGAGGCGGCTAGGGAGGGAGGAGGTGGAGACGCCCGGCCGGCCGCTCAGGTCTGGGCCAGGTTCTCAGCCGGATGCACTGGCTTGCTGTTGGGTGGCTTAACGACTGCTATTTTCAGTCAACAGAAGTCAGAACAGCTGCTTTCCATTTCTCCCAGGAAGTCTTCCTGGGCCACAGCAGCACTTATCATGCCAGGGTTTGTTTAGTTTGTTTACAGTGTTCCCTCTCCTACCCCTGAAGAAAATTCTAGTATTCAGAAATGTACATAGAACAATATAACAAACACATGGTACCCACCGCTCAGGACTAGCCATTGCTAACGATTTCCTCTCTTTGCTTTGAGTCTTTTTAATTTTTTTATTTTTATTTTTTAGAAATATGGACTTCATTGTTTTGAGATGGAGTCTCACTCTGTTGCCCAGGCTGGAGTGCAGTGGCACGATCTTAGCTCATTGCAACCTCCGCCTCCCGGGTTCAAGTGATTCTCCTGCCTCAGCTTCCCGAGTAGCTGGGACTACAGGCATGTGCCACCACGCCCGGCTAATTTTTGTATTTTTAGTAGAGATGGGTTTTGCCATGCTGGCCAAGATGGTCTCGAACTCCTGGCCTCAAGTGTTCCGCTCACCTTGGCCTCCCAAAGTGCTGGGATTACAGGTGTGAGCCACTGCACCCAGCCAAGTCTATTTTTATTCTTAAAGAAGTAAGGTATTGCATATCTTCATGCTTTTGTCTTCAATACCCAGACAAACTCCAACATGAATTGGTTGTGTAGCCTTCCAATCTATTATTATTATTATTTTATTGTTTAGAGAGAAGGTCTCGCTCTATCACCCGGGCTGGAGTGCAGTGGCACAATTATGGGCTCACTGCAGCCTTGAATTCCTGGGCTTAAGCGATTTTCCCATCCCAGCCTTCGGAGTAGCTGAGACTATAGGCACACGCCACTACACCTGGCTAATTTTTCTTCTTCTTTTTTTTAAAGTTTTTAGTAGAGATGGGGTCTCACTATGTTGCCCAGGCTGGTCTTGAACTCCTAGACTCAAGTGATCCACCTGCCTCAGCCTCCCAAAGTACTGGGACTACAGTTGTGAGCCACAGTGCTCGGCATTTTTTTTCTTAAGACAGGGTCTCACTCTGTCGCCCAGGCTGGAGTGCAGTGGCGCCATCATGGCTCACTGCTGCCTCAACCTCCCAGGCTCAAGCAATCCTCCCGTTTCAGGCTCCTGAGGAGCTGAAACTACAGGCGTGCACCACTGTGTCCTGCCTTACACCAGTACTTCTTATTTATTTATTTATTTTTTTTGAGACGGAGTCTCGCTCTGTCGCCCAGGCTGGAGTGCAGTGGCGCGACCTCCACGCACTGCAAGCTCCGCCTCCCGGGTTCACGCCATTCTCCTGCTCAGCCTCCCGAGTAGCTGGGACTACAGGCACCCGCCACCACGCCCGGCTAATTTTTTTTTGTATTTTTAGTAGAGACGGGGTTTCACTGTGTTAGCCAGGATGGTCTCCATCTCCTGACCTCGTGATCCGCCCGCCTTGGCCTCCCAAAGTGCTGGGATTACAGACATGAGCCAGGGCGCCCAGCCACACTGATACTTACATTGGCTAATTTTTAATTCTTAATTGTTAATCCCAGTGGAGCAACGGTCCTTAACTCAGGGCCCCCTGACAGAGGAATTGTAAAATACCACACGTTTCCCACAAGTTGCATACAATGCTTTATGTGCATGGGTATTTTTCTGAGGAGAGTTCCTAGAATTTTCATCAAATTTCCCAAGAAATTTATGACCCCAAAAGTTCTGGAACAAAACCCTGAAGAGCCAGGGCCATCGGGCTTAACCCTCCTCTGTGCTGTTTCCGTTTTCTCAGGTGTGGCTTTTGAACCTGCCGACACAGAGTGAGGTTGACACAGACCAGTCCAGTCGACAGGGGAGCTGCAGCAGATAGCAGGGGGCATGGGGAAGGGGCTCTGCCTCGCAAGGTGCTTTGTGCACATCTTCACCCTGAAGTCATCACCAGGGTCCCTGTGGGCTCCTAGGACCCCAAGTCACTTCAGAGACCTCTCATGGCTCAGCAGCTGCCTCAGGCATTGACTTGGGCTGAGTCTGCCATCTTCCTGGGATTGGGGTCGTCTTTAGCCCTGGCAAGTTGGAAACTGAAATACACTCTCCAGACGAAGGCAGCAGCAGGGAGTGTGGGGACCTGGGTTCCAGCCTTGGCCATTCTGCTAAATACATTTATAACCCTGCAGTCATTTCTTTTCTCTGGGCCTCAGTTTCCCTGTCTGTTAAATGAGGTGATTGGACTGTGTTCATTGTTTTCACACTATGTTACGGCATATCGAAGAGTTCAATCATTCCTTTCTTTTTCAAATTTTGTAGAGACAGGGTCATGCTCTGTTGCCCAGGCTGCAGTGCAGTGGCACGATCATAGCCCATGGCAGCCTCAAACTCGTGGACTCAAGTGATCCTCCCACCTAAGCCTCCCGAGTAGCTGGAATTACAGACATGGGCCTCTATGCTCAGCTCAAACATTTCTTTAATGGCTGTTTACTGAGCACATACTATGTGTCAGCCACTGTTCTAGGCACTGGGGAATACAGCAGTGATGAAGACAAACTCTAATGTGGGAAAGAAACAATGACAGAGTAAACTAAGTCCTGGCGCCAGGACTAAGCCAGCCCTGGGGTGCCGTGCTCCTCTTCATTCTCTCTCATCCCTGCTTGTTTTCCTCATCTGTCTCTCTGGCCAACTGTGCTGTTCCCAAAGCCCTCGACTGCAATTACTTTCTCCTGGTTTACCCAGCACACTGTGTGGGACAGAAGGAGGACAGTGACATTTGCTAAATTAATTGTAACAGAAAAAAGTCAGCTTTAAAAGTCATAACTCTCCACACCCACCAGGATGGTGACAATTTTATATTGTTTGTTTTTGAGACAGAGTCTCACTCTGTCACCCAGGCTGGAGTGCAGTGGCATGATACCAGCTCACCACAACCTCCACCTTCCGAGTTCAAGCAATCCTCCCACTTCAGCCTCATGAACAGCTGAGACCACAGGTGTGTGCCACCATGCCCGGCTAGCAGTTTTTGGATTTTTTAGTAGAGATGAGGTTTCACCACGTTGCCCAGGCTGGTCTTGAACTCGTGGGCTCAAGCGATCTGCCTGCCTCAGCCTCCCAAAGTGCTGGGATTACAGATGTGAGCCACTGTTCCCGGCCCTGGATGGTGATAATTAAAAACAAAAACAAAACCAGAAAATAACAAGTGTTGGTGAGGATGTGGGGAAATTGCAACCCTCATGGATTGCTGGTGGGAATGCAAAATGGTGCAGCCGCTGTGGAAGACAGTCTGGCAGTTCCTCAAAACGTTGAGCACAGAGTTCTCATGGGACCCAGCAATTCCACTCCCAGGCATCTACCCAAGAGAGGCGAAAGCAAACTCCCACAAAAAAAACATGAATGTTGGGCCGGGCGCGGTGGCTCATGCCTGTAATCCTAGCACTTTGGGAGGCCGAGATGGGTGGATCACGAGGTCAAGAGATTGAGACCATTCTGGCTAACGCGGTGAAACCCCGTCTCTACTAAAAACGCAAAAAATTACCTGGGTGTGGCGGTGGGCGCCTCTAGTCGCAGCTACTCGGGCGGCTGAGGCAGGAGAATGGCATGAACCCGGGAGGCGGAGCTTGCAGTGAGCCGAGATTGCATCACCGCACTCCAACCTGGGCGACAGAGCGAGACTCCGTCTCAAACAACAACAACAACAACAAAACATGAATGTTCCCACTATTAGCAGCACTAATAGCAGTACTATTCACAATAGCCCAAAGGTGGAAACAGCCCAAATATCTATCAACAGATGAATGGATAAACAAAATGTGGCATAGCCATACAATAGGATATCATTCAGCCATGAAAAGGAATAAAGTGCTGATTCATGCCACAACATGGTTGGACCTTGTACACATGATGAGAGAAGCCAGACACGAAAGGCCACGTAGTATAGGGTTCCATGTACATGAAAAGGCCAGAGGGGCCAATCTGCAGAGCCAGATTTTAGAATGCTGGCGGCCAGGGGCTGTGTGGAGGAAGAATTGGGGAGTGACTGTTAATGGGTATAGGGTTTTCTGTTAGGGTGATGAAAATGTCCTGGAATTAGATAATGATGATGGTTACACAACATCATAAGTGTACTAGATGTCACTAATGATAAGTTTTATATTGTCTGCATGTTGCTGCAATAAAAACAATTTTAAAAACATTAGGCTGGGCGCAGTGGCTCACACCTCTAATCTCAGCACTTTGGGAGGCCGAGGCAGGTGGATTACTTGAAGCCAGGAGTTCAAGACCAGCCTGGCCAACATGGTGAAACACTGTCTCTACTAAAAACACAAAAAAATTAGCTGGGTGTGGTGGCAGGCGCCTGTAGTCCCAGCTACTCAAAAGACTGAGGCAGGAGAATCGCTTGAACCAGGGAGGCAGAGGTTGCAGCGAGCTAAGATTGTGCCACTGCACTCCAGCCTGGATGACAGAGAGAGATCCTGTCTCAAAAACTAAAACAAAAAACCCTGCCAAAATAAAACAAACAAAAGAAAACATTATATCTCTAGCTGGGCGTGGTGGCTCATGCCTATAAGCTCAACACTTTGGGAGGCCAAGGTGGGAGGATTGATTGAGGCCAGGGGTTTGAGACCAGCCTGTTCAACAAAGCAAGGCCTGTCTCTACAAAAAAAAAAAAAGCAAAAGAAAAAATTAGCTGGGCATGGCGATGTGCACCTGTAGCCCCAGCTACTCTGAAGGCTGAGGTGGGAGGATCACTTGAGCCCAGAAGGTTGAGGCTACAGTGAGCTGTGATAGCACCTCTGCACTCCAGTCTGGGCAATAGAGCAAGAACCTGTCTCTAAAAACAAACAAACAAACAAACAAAAACACTCCTATCTTAAATGTAATGTGGGACACTGGAACAGAAAGAGGACATTAGTAAGAAAACTAGTGACACACAAATACAGCTTGCAGTTTCACTGATAGTGACATGCTATGTTGGTTTCCTAATTGTGACAAATGTACCCCAGTACTGTGGGATTTTAAGAGAAGAGAAACTGTGAGGGGTGGGGCATAAGGGAACTTTCTGTATTGTTTTGTGACTTTTCTGTAAATCTAAAATTATTTCAAAATTAAACTTTTTTTTTTTTTGAGACAGTCTCGCTCTGTCACCCAGGCTGGAGTGCAGTGACGTGATCTCGGCTCACTGAAACCTCTGCCTCCCGGATTCAAGCAATTCTCCTGCCTCAGCCTCCCGAGTAGCTGGGACTACAGGCGTGTGCCAACACGCCCGGCTAATTTTTGTATTTTTAGTAGAGACAGGGTTTTACCATGTTGGCCAGGCTGGTCTTGAACTCCTGACCTCGTGATCCACCCACCTTGGCCTCCCAAAGTGCTGGGATTACAGGCATGAGCCACTGCATCTGGCCTAAACATTACTTTTTTAAAACTCCTATGTACCTCCTAAAAAGAAGGTAATTCGGTCTCTGGAAGGTTCTTTTGTCTGCCTATGGCGCACTTTTGGGTGTGGGTTTACAAATCAAGGCACTGGAGCTAACTCCATAGGAGAGGGAGAAGAATCTGGAATTCTCAGCCTGAAAGTGCAGGGATGAGAAGAGACAGGCAGATGGGAGAGGAGCTTAGACTGGAACGGGGCTGGGCTGGGGCCAGGAAGCCCCTTGCGAGGGACTTTGCAGAACAGGAATGTCCAACACTGACGCTACAAACTAGAGATGCACAGGCTGGAGACCACCTCTACACATGTGCTTGTTGGTCCTCGGTTTTGTCAAAATAATTTGAGCCAATACATAAAAAACAGCTGATCTCACATGAAAATTGGAATTTCCAACTTCTCTGGAAACATCTGAAGATATGCTAAGTCTCTGAAAACTTAACCCCCTCTGCTTCCTAAAATCAAAAAGGAAGTCCTGAGGTTAACTTCAACCAAGGTTGCAAGTTCCCCTCTGTAGCAGGCTGAGTGGTGGCCCCCAAAAGCTTCCCTTGTCAAACCCCTGAACCTGTGAAGTGACCGTATTTGGAAAAAAGGGTCTTTGCAGATGCAAAGGACCGCTAGATGAGATCAGCCCGGATTATCTAGGTGGCCTCTAAATCCAATGACAAGTGCTTTTATAAGAGAAAGACAAGGCTGGCCAGGCGCGGTGGCTCACGCCTATAATCCCAGCACTTAGGGAGGCCAAGGTGGGCAGGCCATCTGAGGTTAGGAGTTTGAGACCAGCCTGGCCAACACAGTGAAACCCATCTTTACTAAAAATACAAAAATGAGCCGGGTGTGGTGGTGGGTGCCTGTAGTCCCAGTTACTCAGGAGGCTGAGGCAGGAGAATCGCTTGAACTCGGGAGGTGGAGGTTGTAGTAAGCCAAGATTGTGCCACTGCACTCCAATCTGGGTGACAGAGCAAGGCTCTGTCTCAAAAAAAAAAAAAAAAATTGAAATACTACTCTACCAGTTGGCACAGAGCCCTCCTCCTGGGACCCCAGAGTTCTTCACAATTCAGCAAGTAAGAATAACCACCGCAGGGGTCTTCCTGTGTCCGGGCCCAAACCTCCCTGCTGATTGAGCTGTCCTCCTGGGTAATATTTCTTTACTGCATGGATTGGGGTGGGTGTCGGGTGCCTGGGCCCCGATGGAAAAGAACAGGTGGCATTTGTTGGGCCTCAGTTCAGCTGTCCCGGGAAGCACAGAGGCCCCTGGGATTTCAAGGCAACGTCTCTATCCCCCTGCGCAATCCCCGTGGAGACAGGCAGACAGGAATGTCTACACCAGAGACCCTGGGATGGGAGGAGTGCAGATGGGGCTCCCAGACACAGGGGGAGGCCCTGGACCACCCAAAGTCTCTCTGCAACTCCACCAGAGAGGGCTGAGAGGAGAGCCGTGGTCTGGTGGAAAAACCTAACTGGGCGATGAGGCAGTTGGCCCAAGTAGAAGTCAGAGGTTAGGGGTAAGAGGTAGTACACTTTATTGACCGGGTTCTCTCAACATGTTGCAACCTCTGGCAAAGCCAGATCCTGGGCTTTGCCACCATCCCATCCACCAAAGACAGAAGAGAATGCATCTCATGAACATCCACGTGGCCTCCAGACAGCAGAGCACAGGGGCGGGTGTGGGGAGGGAGGCTGCCAGCCAGGGGTGGGTGGACGAGGGGCGAAAGCGCTGGGTGCCGGGCTGGGGGCACCCCTGAGGCCCCTCCAGACCTGGCCAGCCCCTCACTCCCCCAGTTGAGGTTTCGTGTGGTTCACAGTGAGACTGGCTTAGATTGGCAGCGGGCGATGGCAGACAGATGCCCTCCACGCTCCCTACCCGCCCTGGCCAGACTCACAGAGCTGGCAAGAGGGAGAGACGGAAAATCCCGTTCCCCGTGTCTCCCTCCGGGACAGGGAAGCCCCTTCTCTGGAGGGGTAAAGGGGAGAGGCCTAGTCTCTGGACATCCCCCAGGCTACTAAGGAAGGGCCATTCACTCCTGGCTCAGAAGTTTCTAGAACATCTTGGTGAAAGTGCCCGCCATTACTCCCAATTAGAAAAAGGTTTTTGAAATCTAGGAGTTGACTGGGGTGCCTCAAACCAAACAGTAAAAACCCTGGTAAGACCTAGGTTTAAAAAGGCAGCTCTACCTTTGCTTAGGAGGCTAGGGAGGTCCGTGAAGGCGTTGGCTCAGGGCAGCAGGGGTAAGGAGTGCCCTGGGAATGGGGCAGGGACCAGGGGCAAGATGCAGGAAGCGGTGATCCATGGGACATGGCAGGTCGTCTTTCAGTGCTGCAGGCCTGGGCTCGGAGGGCAGCTGGGGGCCTCCGTGGGCACATCTGCCAGGCAGGCACCGGGTCCTCTGCCCCACCGGGAGAAGCAGGGGCCCCCCATCAGGCCTTGTGACTGCCGTTGGCTACAGGCTCGTTGTGGCCAGCTGTGAAGTCTGCGGCGGGCTGAAGCCCCAGCATCTGCCGCTGCACCAGCTTGGCGTAGAGGCCGCCCTGGGCCAGCAGCTGCTGGTGGGTGCCCTGCTGCACTACGCGGCCCTTGTCCAGCACCACAATGAGGTGCGCGTGCTCCACGGTGCTCAGCCGGTGCGCGATGATGAGTACCGTGTGCTTCTGCAGGTTGCCATGGATGGCCTGCTGGATCTGCGGGGACAGTGGGGGCCTGGCTTGCATGGCACGGACGCCCCACCCGCAACCGTGCTTCATGCCACGGCCTATGGGCTGATGCTTAACCTCTCTGAGGCTCAGTTCACAAACGATGGCCAGCTTCCTGGGTTTTTCTTAAAGGGAGACAGCTCAGGGCCAGACACAATGAGGCACCTGGTGAATGGGGGATCAGCTCTACCCTGGCCCTCCAGTCTTCTGGTCCTTCCCTTCCCCCTCCTTTTTTTTTTTTTTTTTTTTTAAGTCTTGCTGTCACCCAGGCTGGAGTGCGGTGGTGCGATCTCAGCTCACTGCAACCTCTGCCTCGTGGGTTCAATCGAGTCTCACGCCTCAGCTTCCCAAGTAGCTAGGGGATTACAGGTGCCCGCCACCATACCCAGCTAATTTTTGTATTTTTAGTAGAGACAGGGTTTCACCATGTTGGCCAGACTGGTCTCGAACACCTGACTTTGTGATCCGCCTGGCCTCGGCCTCCCAAAGTGCTGGGATTACAGGTGTGAGCCACCGCGCCTGGCCTTCCTTGTTTCTTATCTGCCTTCCCCACTGGAATGGAAACACCATGGGGACAAGGGTCTTTGTCTAGTTAGCCCACGATAACCCCAGAATGGTGCCTGGTGCCTGGTGCCTGAGAAGAGCTCAGTAACTCTCTGTGTAACAAATGAATCAATCCGCGCATAGACTGAGGTTGCTAGCCATCTGCAAATACATGACTGGGCCCACCTGACCAGTGAGAATGCGACTCAGAGGGGAAGCACTAGCTTGAGGTCACACAGTTATAAACTGTAGGACGGAGCTGCTAATCCAGGTATCCCCATTCTGTTTTTTGTTTTTGTTTGTTTGTTTGTTTTTTCAGATGGAGTCTCACTCTGTTGCCAAGGCTGGAGTGCAGTGGTGCAATCTCGGCTCATTGCAACCTCTGCTTCCCAGGTTCATGCTATTCTCCTGCCTCAGCCTCCCAAGTAGCTAGGATTACAGGCACCTGCCACCATACCTGGCGGACTTTTGTATTTTTAGTAGAGATGGAATTTCACCATGTTGGCCCGGCTGGTCTTGAACTCCTGACCTCAGGTGATCCACCCGCCTCGGCCTCCCAAAGTGCTGGGATTATAGGCATAAACCACTGCGCCCAGCCTTTTTTTTTTTTTTTTTGTAGATGGAGTCTCACTCTGTCGCCCAGGCTAGAGTGCAGTGGCACAATCTCAGCTCACTGCAACCTCCATCTCCCGGGTTCAAGTGAGTCTCCTGCCTCAGCCTCCCGAGTAGCTGGGGTTACAGGCATGCACCACCATGCCCAGCTAATTTTTGTATTTTTAGTAGAGACAGGGTTTCACTGTATTGACCAGGCTTGTCTCGAACTCCGGACCTCAAGTGATCCACCTGCCTTGGCCTCCCAAAGTGCTGGGATTATAGGCATGAGCCATCATACTGGGCCTATTTTATTTTGTTTTGTTTTGTCTGTTTGTTTGAGCCAGATGGAGTCTGGCTCTGTCGCCCAGGCTGGAGTGCAGTGGCACAATCTCGGCTGACTGCAACCTCCACTTCCCAGGTTCAAGCAATTCTCCTGCCTCAGCCTCCCAAGTAGCTGGGATTATAGGCATGTGCTACCACACCTGGCTAGTTTTTGTATTTCTAGTAGAGATGGGGTTTCACCATGTTGGCCAGGCTGGTCTGCAACTCCTGACCTCAGGTGATCCACCTGCTTCGGCCTCCCAAAGTGCTGGGATTACAGGTGTAAGCCACCACTCATGACCCAGGTCTCCCCATTCTGATGCCTTCTCTTGCCCCACACCATACAGCTCTGCCTGGAGCCTGGAGGCTGGGTCCAGAGTGGCTCCTGGCTCCCCACTCTCAACACCAGGAATTCACCAGCCCAGGAGGCTGATAGTCTGGGAGAGCTCCTGGGGCCCGTCTCTTCTCAGCATCCATCTGCTGGGCGATGGGGGCTCTGGCCACCTGGAGCCGCTCCTGCCCCCGCATTGCCCACCACCCTGTGACTCACCAGATACTCGCTCTCGGCATCCAAAGCGCTGGTGGCTTCATCCAGGATGAGGACTGGGGGGTTCCGCACCAGAGCCCGGGCCATGGCCACCCGCTGCTTCTGGCCACCTGACAGCTGGGCGCCCTTCTCCCCTGTCTCTGTATGGTGGAGGCACAGAGACAATTTAGCAATGGGTGAGGCCGGGCAGCACCGGGGAAGAGTGAGAGGCCCTGCCCTGCAGCTGTGGAAAGGGCGGGCTGGAACCCACAACTTGAAAGCTCATGAAATGATGTTCCCCCCACCCAACTCATAAGGGGCATGCAGATTAAGCCTACATGCAAATTGATAGCAAGTTACCAATTTTCACTCATTCATTTGGCAGAAACCCAAACATCTGATAGCACACAGTGCAGGTGAGGCTGCAGGGAGACAGGCCCTCACCCGTCCTCCTGGAGAAGGGGAGTTGGAGCGAGCCCCATGGCTTGAAGAGCTGCAGCAATAACCCTGGGTCTATGAGTCTGTGCAGTGCAAAGGTTGTGTGTATTCACCACAGATGTGTGGCCTGTGGCCCCGCAAGCCCACCTGGACCAATTTTCCCCATGGACCGACTTCCTCCCATGCACAACAATATAGACACAGGTCACCTGTGACCCACAGCGCTGTTATTGCAAAAAATAAAACAAATAGACTCAAATGTCCATCAATAGGAAATTGAGTCAATCAATTATTATTATTTTAGAGACAGGGTCTCACTCTCTCACCCACGCTAGAGTGCAGTAGTACAATCACTGCTTACTGTAGCCTCAAACTTCTGGGTTCAAGCAATCCTCCAGCCTCAGCCTTCTGAGTAACTGAGACTACAGGTGCATGCCACCACACCTGGCTAACTTAAAATATTTTTCTGTAGAGGTGGGGTCTCACTACATTGCCCAAGCTGTTCTCAAACCCCTGGCCTCAAGCGATCCTCTTGCCTTGGCCTCCAAAGTGCTGGGATTACAGACGTGAGCCACTGCACCTGGCCACGCCACCAGTTCTTTATTATTTCATTTTTCTTTCATTGAGATGAAACTGACATAACATAAACATAACCATTGTAAAGTGAATAATCCGGGCTGAGCACGGTGGCTCCCAGCACTTTGGGAGGCCAACCAAGGTGGGCGGGTCACAAGGTCAGGAGATTGAGACCATCCTGGCTAATATGGTGAAACCCTGTCTCTACTAAAAATACACAAAATTAGCCGGGTATGGTGGCACATGCCTGTAATCCCAGCTACTCGGGAGGCCGAGGCAAGAGAATCACTTGAACCCGGGAGGAAGAGGTTGCCGTGAGCCGAGATCGCGCCACTGCACTCCAGCCTGGGCGACAGAGCGAGACTCCATCTCAAGAAAAAAAAAAAAAGTGAATAATCCAGTGGCATTTAGTGCATTCACAATGTTGCACAACCACCACCTCTACTGAATTTCAAAACACTATTCTAAAATAATATATATTTATTATATCAATTAATTACTAGAACTACTTAAGTTCATATCGAGGTAATTTTTTTAAAAATTAGTGTATTTAGTATATTTTAATTTAAAAATTCTTTTAAATTGACAAGTAAAAATAGTTTGTATTTAATGGTGTACAACGTGATGCTCTGAAATACATATACACTGTGGAATAGCTAAATCAAGCCAGTTAACATATACATTATCTCACATATTTATCACTTTTTTAAAGAGAGAACACTTAAAATCTACTCTCTTAGCTATTTTCAAGTACACAGTACACTGTTACTAAATATAGCTGGCCAGACACAGTGGCTCACACCTGAAATCCCACCACTTTGGGAAGCCAAGGCAGGCAGATCACCTGAGGTCAGGAGTTCAAGACCAGCCTGGCCAAAATAGTGAAACCCCGTCTCTACTAACAATACAAAAAAAAATTAGCAAGGTGTGGTGGTGGGCACTTGTAATCCCAGCTACTCAGGAGGCTGAGGCAGGAGAATCGCTTGAACCTGGGAGACGGAGGTTGCAGTGAGGCAAGATTACTCCACTCTACTCCAGCCTGGGCGACAGAGTGAGACTGTCTCAATTAAAACACAAACAAACAAAAAACTATAGTCAACAGGTCTCTTGACCTTATTCCTAAGGGAAAATTTTTATCTTTTGATCAACATCTCCCCAACCCCCCTATACATTGTATATATTTAATTATTGAAAAGGGGCTATTCGTGTGGTTCAAAAATCTAAAAATACAGGCTGGATACAATGGCTCATGCCTGTAATCCCAGCACTTTGGGAGGCAGGAGGATTGCATGAGCCCAGGAATTTGAGACCAGCCTGGGAAACATAGCAAGACCCCGTCTCTACAACAAAAATAAAAAGTGGGGTGGAAGGATGGCTTGAGCCCAAGAGGTTGAGGCTGCAGTGAGCCGTGATCACGCCACTGCACTCCCACCTGGGTGACAGAGCAAGCCCCTGCCTCAAAAAAAAAAAAAAAACTAAAAAAACTAAAAATATATAAAACTCTAAATAATGAAAAGTTTAAGTTCTTTCTTCAGTTCCCTCCTGCTCCCACCAAAACGTCTTTCATTAGTTGCTTACATGTCCTTGTCTAGTTTCTTTATGCAAATATGAACATGTTATTTTTATCTCCCCAGTCCTTTAATAGGAAAAAAAAAACCCAGCTCCTTATGCTCTGCACCTGGCTCTTCTCACTCAGCATCCTATCTCAGTGACCTTTCCATACTGCTATATGGAGAGCTGCCTCCTCCTCTGCCTCCACCTCCTCCTCCGCCTCCACCTCCTCCCCCTTCTTCTACTTCCTCTTTTTCCCAGCAGCATAATATTCCAGTGTATGGGCTTCTATAATAATTTACTTAATAAATATTTTGCTGAGTCACAGCACAGTGGCTCATGCCTGTAATCCCAGCACTTTGGGGATTGCAGGAAGATTGCTTGAGCGCAGGAGGTTCGAGTCTGGCCAGGGTAACGTAGCGGGACCCCATCTCTACAAAAAAAAGAGCAGGTGGCAGGGGGCAGTGCTTAACTCAGAGGGTTATGTCCCTGAGGGTGACCCTGTGGGCCCAGGAGAGGGGCCACCCCCAGCTCCACACCTGTGCTGTAGCCGTCCTGGAGTTCCATGATGAAGCCGTGGGCATTGGCCTTCTGTGCGGCCTCCACCACCATCTCGAAAGGCACAGTGGGCAGGCCGTAGGAGATGTTATCCGTGATGGAGCGGGCGAACAGCACGGGCTCCTGGCTCACCAGGGAGATCTGGGGAGGAGGGAGCATGGAGCATGAGAGGCCAGGAATGTGTTCATCCAGCTGTCCCCAGCAGCCTTGCTGCCTGGGGCCTGGAGACACCAGCAGTCTCAGGCCTGAAACCTGATCAGGGCCCAGTGACTGCACTGAGCTGCCTCTCTTCTTCCCCAACAGTGACTCCCGCCTGTACCCACAAGCCCTCAGCCTCCCCTAATCAGCAAACTGGGGCCTGCTACATTTGCTGCTCTGGGATAAGCCAAGTTCCCTGACCTCTAAGAGAAAGCTCACTGGCCATCCCTGTCCTGA
This sequence comes from Homo sapiens, assembly GCF_000001405.40. Lineage (NCBI taxonomy): Eukaryota > Metazoa > Chordata > Mammalia > Primates > Hominidae > Homo > Homo sapiens. The sequence goes on from NC_000012.12 coordinate 122,935,726, forward strand.
AAAAAAGAAAGAGGGATAGAATATAGAATGTTGCTGTGAATGAGTCTGCTCATCTCAGGAAGCAAGAGGCCACAGCAGGGCTCCAGGTCACACAGACTGCCCTGGCGGTGGTCCCCTCCCTTCTAAGAGAACAATTTAAAGGAGCTATCATCTCTAGATTCCAGTTTCAGGAATCTGGGCCTACAAAAATAATAGTATGGCCAGGCCTGGTGGCTCATGCCTGTAATCCCAGCACTTAGGGAGGCAGAGGCAGGAGAATGGCTTTAGTCTAGGAGTTCAAGACCAGCCTGGGCAACACAGAAAGACCCCATATCTACAAAATGAAAAAAATATATAGTATGGAAGATATCATTGCAACACCATAAGTAGCAAAAGTTAATTAGTTAATTAATTAAATTAAAATGGAAACAATCTAGGTGTCCATAAATGGGGATTGGTTAAATAGTGACAGTGCATCCTTAAAACTGAATTGTAATAGATACATATACACAGCATGATTCTATTTTTGTTTAAAAAAATTATAAACGTGTACCTTCATATATTGATATATTTCTATAAAGATAGGAAACACATTGAAAAGGATATTTACTAAACTGTTAACACTGGCTACCTCCATGTGGTGGAATTCAAAAGGTAAGGTGGAGGGGAACATTCATGTCTTAGTTACAAGATTCATTACAACTATGAGAATATGATTAGCTTGTAGCATTTTATTGTTTTATGTTTATAGAAATTAACATTTTAAATTTAAAAATAGAGGCCAGCCATGGTGGTTCACACCTGTAACACCAACAGTTTGGGAGGCTAAGGTGGGAGGATGGCTTGAGCCCAGGAGTTTGAGATCAGCCTGAGCAACACAGTGAGAACCCGTCTCTACAAAATAATTAAAAATTGGCCAGGTGTACACGGTGGCTCATGCCTGTAATCCTAGCACTTTGGGAGGCCGAGGTGGGCGGATCACCTGAGGTCAAGAGTTTGAGACCAGCCTGACCAACATGGAGAAACTCTGTCTCTACTAAAAATAAAAAATTAGCTGGGTGTGGTGGTGCATGCCTGTAATCCCAGCTACTCAAGAGGATGAGGCAGGAGAATCACTTGACCCCTCGAGGCGGAGGATGTGGTGAGCTGAGATCGTGCCATTGTACTCCAGCCTGGGCAACAAGAGCAAAACTCCATCTCAAAAAAAAAAAAAAAATTGACCAGATGTGGTGGTGTGCACCTATAGTCCCTCAGGAGGCTGATGTGGGAGGATTGCTTGAGCCCAGGAGGTCGTGGCTGCAGTGAACCATGATCACACCACCACATTCCAGCCTGGGTGACAGAGTGAGATCCTATCTCAAACAAAAAGTACATAAATAGTCCAGGCGCCATGGCTCACTCCCAGCATTTTGGGAGGCCAAGGCGGGTGGATCACTTGAGGTCAGGAGTTCGAGACCAGCCTGGCCAACATGGTGAAACCTTGTCTCTACTAAAACTACAAAAAATTAGCCGGGTGTGGTGGTATGTGCCTGTAGTCCCAGCTACTTGGGAAGCTGAGGCAGGAGAATCGCTTGAACCCAGGAGGAAGAAGTTGCAGTGAGCCGAGATCATGCCACAGCACTCTAGCCTGTGCGACAGAGCGAGACTCCATCTTAAAAAAAAAAAAAGAAAAGAAAAAGTACATAAATAAATAATTAAGAGAGGCTATTCATGAAGGAAAACCAAATGGCCAATATATGAAAAGGTGTTTAATATCTTCAGTCATCAGGAAAACACAAAAGACCACAATAAGCTACCACTACATTCTCACCAGTTAGCAAAAATTCAGGACTGACAATGTTAGGTGTCTGAGAATCGAAGCGTGGTACCTACTGCAAAGTGTGAACGGCTCTGCCCAGGGGGCTCTTCTAAAACTTTGGTGAGCAGCAGCCTGGTGGCCTCCCACTTGGCACCATTTCACAACAATCTACCTCTGGTTACATGCACATGGTGTGGGCAGATTTCACAACCCATGGCCCTCACCACCATCTCGAACTTGGCTAGGAGTTCTGGAATCTCTGTGCCAACACTCAGGCTTTCACATAATTTATGTTGATGATGTAAACGGTGCTCCCTTAATAGTTTATATTTCTTGGACAGTGCACAACCTGAGCAACCATCCAGGGCATCCCTGCTCTTAGGCCAGCACAGGGACAGGTGTTATGGTTCCTTTCCTGAAAGGATTACTAAAAACTGTCCAGTCATGAATAGCCTATTTTGAGTACTGGAGATGACCTAAATGTGGAACAGCTGAAACTCTCCTTCACTGCTAGTAGAATGTAAATTGTAAAATGTAAATTGGTATAACCACCTGGGGATAGCTGTTGTGACAGAAACTACGGCAGTTGGGGATGTACATCCACTATCACCAAGCTTTCTACTCTTAGGATTATACCTTGGGAGAACGTACTCATGTACAACAGAAAACATAGACAAAATTGTCCACATCCCACACTGGTATTTTTGGTAATGGTAAAACAAAACAAAACAAAACAAAACTGAAAAACAGGCCGGGGGCAGAGGCTCACACCTGTCATCCCAGCACTTTGGGAGGCTGAGGCAGGAGGATCACTTGAGGCCAGGTGTTTGAGATCAGCCTGGGCAACATGGTGAGACCACATTTCTACAAAAAAATAAAATTAGCTGGGCATAATGGCATGTGCCTGCAGTCCCAGCTACTTGGGAGGCTGAGGTGGGAGGATGACTTGAGCACAGGACTCTGAGGCTGCAGTAAGTTGTGACTGTGCCACTGCACTCCAGCCTGGGCAACAGAGGGAGACCCTTTCTCAAAAAAATAAAAATAGGCCAGGTGCAGTGGCTCATGCCTGTAATCCCAGCACTTTGGGAGGCCGAGGCGGGTGGATCACGAGGTCAGGAGATCGAGACCATCCTGGCTAACATGGTGAAATGCCGTCTCTACTAAAAATACAAAAAATTAGCCAGGCGTTGTGGTGTGCACCTGTAGTCCCAGCTACTCAGGAGACTGAGGCAGGAGAATGGCGTGAACCCGGGAGGTGGAGCTTGCAATGAGCCGAGATCGTGCCACTGCACTCCAGCCTGGGCGACAGAGCGAGACTCTGTCTCCAAAAAAAAATAAAAATAAAAATAAACAAATAAATAAAATAAAATATAAAGGGAAACAACCCAGCGAGGCACGGTGGCTCACGCCTATAAACCCAACACTTTGGGAGGCCAAGGCAGGCTGATCACCTGAGGTCAAGGGTTCGAGACCAGCCTGGGCAACACGGTGAAACCCTGTCTGTACTAAAAATACAAAAATTAGTCAGGCATGGTGACGCACTCCTGTAATCCCAGCTACTAGGGGGGCTGAGATAGGAGAATAGCTTGAACCCGGGAGGCGGAGGCTGCAGTGAGCTGAGATCTCACCACTGCACTCCAGCTTGGGCAACAGAGCAAGACTCATCTCAAAAAACAAAAATAAAGGGAAACAACCCAAATACCCAGAATGCATAAATAATTGTGATAAACATATGTATAGTGGGTTACCACCCAGCAATGAAAATGAATGAACTCTGTCCCCAGCCTCAACCTGGATGACTCACAATGTCGAGTGGGAGACACAAGACACAAACTAATCCACACACCAATCACGATTCTACCCAGATGAAGTTCCGAGCAGGCAGCACAGAGCTCAGGGGTGCACACAGAGATGGCAGAACCAATGAAAAGCAAGAGCATGAAGACTCTAAAAGTCAACACATTACTTCTTGGGGAAAGAGAAGGGACACATGGCGGGGGGTAGGAGGCTTCTGGAGTGCCAGAATGTTCTATTTCTTTTTTTTCATGAGACAGAGTCTTATTCTGTTGCCCAGGCTGCAGTGCAGTGGCCCAGTCTCGGCTCACTGCAACCTCTACCTCCCGGGTTCAAGTGATTCTCGTGCCTCAGCCTCCTGAGGAGCTGAGATTACAGGCATGTGCCACCACACCCGGCTAATTTTTGTATTTTTAGTAGAGATGGGGTTTCGCCATGTTGGCCATGCTGGTCTTGAACTCCTGAGCTCAAGCAGTCCACCTGCCTTGGCCTCCCAAAGTGCTGGGATTACAGGTGTGGGCCATCACATCTGCCCTTTTTTTCTTTTTTAATAGAGACGGAGTCTCACTATGTTGTCCAGGCTGGCCTCAAGGGATCCTCCAGCCTCAGCTTCCCAAAATGCTGGGATTACAGGTGTGAGCCACCACGTCTGGACAAGAATGTTCTGTTTCTCTAGGAGGGCATTGTAATTGGTGATAATTCTTTGAACTGTCCATTTATCTCTAGTGCCCTCTTCCGCACCTGTTACAGCTCACAAGAAAGACGGTTAGATGCAGAAAGGGCGGAGAAGTGTGGCCCAGGCCCGTGCACATACCACACGGTGCAAGTACTTGTGGTCGTAGGCGCTGATGGGCTTGCCGTCCAGCAGCACCCGGCCCCCCTCCAGGGGGTAGAAGTTCTCCAGGATGTTGACACAGGAGCTCTTCCCACTGCCCGAGGGCCCCACCAGGGCCGTCACCTTGCCGGGGGACAGGCTGAAGGAGACATTCTGCAAAGAACACACAGGCACAGTGCGGGGTTATCGGCTCAGGTCCCAGGACTGGATGCCCTGACCTTGGACACAGGTGGGTGCCCTTCCCAGCCCACCCCATGTGCCTCTCCCTCGCTTGGGCACTGCTGGCCCCTAAACGTTCTTTCTAAGACACTAGGACTTGGAAGCACCTTGAGATTTGCTGTTTCCTCTGTCTGGAATGTTCTCTCTGCAGGGAGGCCCCTGGTGAGGTCTCACCTCAAATGTCACCTCCTCCAAGAACCCCTTCTTGACTGTTACCACCATTCCCATGGACCATCCCTACCACAGCACCCTGATCTATTTTCTTTCTAGCACTTATTATCGGGAATCATTCTGTTAAGTATCTGTCTTCCCCAACTGGAGCCCAAAACTCCTGGAGGGCAATGATCTTGCCTGACATATTCCCAGCTGCCCTGCCACAGCCTGGTGTATAGGAGGTGCACCAGAAATGGGGTGACGGAAAGGCTGATTCTGGCAGGCCTCAAGCCGCGCCCTCACCTGCAGGACCTGGGTGTGGGGCCGAGTGCGGTAGGTGAAGGTCACATTCTCAAAGTCCACCCGGCCCTCCAGGTGGTCGGGGGCCAAGCTGCCATCGTGCACCATGGTCGGCTGCCGGTCGATGAACTCGAACACCTTCTCAGCAGCCCCCACTCCCTGCATCAGGCCACTGTAGACGGAGCCCACGGACTGGGGAGAGGAGACACGCGTTCCTGTCCCACCGATACCCGACTCCTGGGACCCACCCCTGCTACTAGAGAGGAGGCAGGTATAGGGAAAGCAAGGAGTTCTGGCGGGGAGATGCAGGAGGCCACCTGACCACCCACTGGTGCATTAGATAACGACAGTAAGGGGAGCTGAGGACAGCAGCATCACTAGCACTCTACCGGCCATCCAGCTGAGTGGGTGCCATCATCCCCACAGGAGCAGATGGAAGCGAAGGAACCGGCAGGGGTGTGGCACAGTGGGAATCCAGCCTTGATCTTTCAATTGCGATAGCATAGCTTTTTTTTTTTTTTTTTAAGATGGAGTCTCCCTCTGTCGCCCAGGCTGGAGTGCATTGGTGCAATCTTGGCTCACTGCACCCTCCGCCTCCCAAGTCAAGTGATTCTCCTGCCTCAGCCTCCAGAGTAGCTGGGATTACAGGTACTCGCCACCACGCCCAGATAATATTTGTATTTTTAGTAGAGACAGGGTTTCACCACACTGGCCAGGCTGGTCTCAAACTCCTGACCTTAAGTGATCCGCCCACCTCACCCTCCCAAAGTGCTGGGATTACAGGCATGAGTCACCAGACATGGCTTGATTTCAATTTTCAAAATGGGTCTTAATGTGTACTATAAATAAATATATTCTCCTTGGGTAAAAATACATAGAATATGAATGTAAATCATAATAACGGCCCATTTTCTTAAGTATTCTCTATTTATTTTTTTTGAGAGGAGGGTCTCACTCTGTTACCCAGGCTGGAGTGCAGTGGTGTGATCTTGCTCACTGCAACTTCTGCCTCCCGGGTTCAAGCAATTCTCCAACCTCAGACTCCTGAGTAGCTGGGACCACAGGCATGAGCCACTACTAAGCCCAGTTAATTTTTTGTATTTTCAGTAGAAATGGGGTTGCACCATGTTGCCCAGGCTGGTCTCGAACTTCTGAGCTCAAGGAATCCGCCTGCCTCAGCCTCCCAAAGTGCTGGGATTACAGGTGTGGGCCACTGCGTCCGGCCAAGCATGCTCTGTATGTTAGGAGGTAGGTTCTAACATTATCTCCTTTTTTACTGATGAGGAATCTCAGGCACAGAGGGCTCAAGTAACTTGGCCCAGGTCACAGAGCCTAGAAGTGGCAGAGCCAGGATTTGAATCCAGGCCCATCTGTCTCCTGAGTTCAGGCTCTTAGGTGCTGAATGTCCTCATTGGTGATAAGGGGGTGATATCGGCATCTGTGTCCTGTTACTGTGAAGACAACAGCAACAGCCGGTAGTAAACACCTAAAACCCCAGAGCTGGCCGGGCACAGTGGCTCACACCTGTAATCCCAGCACTTTGGGAGGCGGAGGCAGGCGGATCATTTGAGGTCAGAAGTTCGAGATCAGCCTGGCCAACATGGTGCAACCCCATTTCTACTGAAAATACAATTTTGTACTAAATTTTGTACTAAAAGTACAAAAATTAGCTGGGCATGGTGGTGCATGCCTGTAGTCCCAGCTACTGGGGAGGATGAGGCAGGAGAATAGCTTGAACCCGGGAGGCAGGGGTTGCGGTGAGCCAAGATTGCACCACTGTACTCCAGCCTGGGCGACAGAGCAAGACTCCATCTCAAAAAAAAAAAAAAAAAAAACCTAAAAAGAAAAACATTAGCTGGGTGTGGTGGCATGTGACTGTAACCCCAGCTACTCAAGTGGCTAAGGTGGGAAGATCACTTGAGTCCAGGAGGTCAAGGCTGCAGTGAGTCATGAAAGCACCACTGCACCCCAGCCTGGGTGACAATGTGAGACTGTCTCAAATAGTAATGATAATAAATAAACAACACTGCACTGAACATCTCTGGACATACATCTTCGCCCACTGCTGTGAGTACTCTTGAAGCATGGATTCCTAGGGGCAGATTTACTGCTGAGTCAAATAATATGGCAGGTGTGATTCTCCAGCAGATGCAATGGCCTGAGTAGCAGATGCTAGGAACACCCCACCAACATCCTTGAGCCTTTGTCAGCGCAGCACACAAAGGCCCAATCTCTTACTGCCTGCGGGCTGCGGGCTTTTTTGTGGGAGCGAGGCAGACAAGAGAATTAACACCCTCACTCCAGGCTGACCTTGAGCAATGGCTGATGGCAGCTTGGGTGTAAACACCCCAGCTCCCTGGCCCTCAGATGGGATGACTCTGGTGCTGGTGTCCTACCCTGTCCGCTAGAAGGATCCCACCTCAGTTGCCCACACTGGTAACTGGCTCCACAACTCACTCTGCTGACTTCCTTCCTTCCACGTCTCACTTTCCACTCCCACCCCCGTTTCCTGAGATCACCTCCCAAACAAATCCGTTGCACGCCAATTCTGTCTCAGGATCTGCTTGTGCGGAAACCAAAATCAAGACAATCTAAAACACCCTTGCATTTCCGAGGCACTACGCTGGAAGTAGGCTGGGAGGAAGTCAGGCCCGGCTGGCCCTGAGCCCCGTTCCCGAGCAAATGTGATGGACGAGTCACTCCACCGCTCAGGTTCAGTTTTCTTTTCATCACTTCAATTTCTCACAGAGCTGTTAAGACCATTTTCTGAAATCACCTCTGTCCCTAAAGGGTGTTGCTGTCACTTGTTGGTAGTATTATCATTCTTTCTTTCTTTTTTTTTTGAGATGGAGTTTCGCTTTGGTTGCCCAGGCTGGAGTGCAGTGGCGCGATCTTGGCTCACTGTAACCTCTGCCTCCCGGGTTCAAGCGATTCTCCTGCCTCGGCCTCCTGAGGTGTGAGCCACCGCACCTGGCCCTTTCTTTCTTTTTGAGACACGGTCTCTCTCTGTCGTCCAGCCTGGAGTGCAGTGGCGTGATCACGGCTCACTGCGGCCTTGACCTCCCAGGCTCAAGCGATTCTCTAGCCTCAGCCTCCTGAGGACCTGGGATTACAGGCACATGCCACCATACTCGGCTTGCCTATTTATTTATCAAGACGGAGTCTCGCTCTGTCACCCAGGCTGGAGTACAGTGGTGCGATCTCAGCTCACTGCAACCTCTGCCTCCAGGGTTCAAGCAATTCTCCTCTCAAGTAGCTGGGATTACAGGTACCCACCAACACGCTTGGCTAATTTTTGTGTTTTCAGTAGAGATGGGGTTTCACCATGTTGGCCAGGCTGGTCTCGAACTCCTGACCTCAAGTGATCCACCCGCCTCCGCCTCCCAAAGTTCTGGGATTATAGGCGTGAGCCACCACGCCCTGCCTAGTATTATCATTCTTGATATGATCATGCTGTCTCCCCTACTTACCTTAGAGAGAAATACCACATTGTCAGAGTCCCTGGAGCCCCGCCCCCACCCTGTTAAGATCCCTCTTCCCCAAACTCCTCCCTTCTCTCTGGATCCCCGGACACACTGGCCTCTCACCTCCATACAATCTCCCAGGACAAACTCGTAGATGATGAAGGCGATGAGGTTGCCGCTGGTCATCTGGCCTGAGATGACAAGGTGGCCCCCGTAGTAGAGGATGCTGACCTGGACCACCAGCAGTGTGAGCTGGGGCAGAGGGAGAGGGGATGTGGGTCGAGGGGACCTTAGATCCCCCACCATCCCCATTCCCTGACCCATCCCAGGCTGCAGGGGGAGGTGAGGGCAGACCCAGCCACAAACTGAAATGCCGGCCGTTGGCAGGGGTGTCTTCCAAGGCTTGTCACTCATGCCTTCCCCTGCCCCGAGCATTTCCCTACAGAGGCCTCCAGCTGGAGCAGGCTGTGGGCTTGGCCACAGAACAAGGCTTTCTTTGTGAGGTCCTGGCACACACATGCCACCCCCAGGCTCCTCAGCTTGGCCACCTGGGAACTATTCGTCCTCCTCATGGGGAAGAGCATGACTCAGAGAGGGCAAGTGCCCTGGCTAAGGTCACACAGTGAGCTCTCTGTCTCCTCCCCCAGTGGGGTTCCGTGAAGAAGGGGCTGTGATGGGAGCGCCCATGCCTTCCTCCTGTGCCTGGGGGGCATCTGGGAAGGGAGTGGAGTCTGAGTACCCATGGCAGCCCACACCCTAGTCAGGGACTCCATCTGTCCTCCTCATGCCCAGCCAGAACTAGGCTGCTGTCTGGACCACCGTGCCTTGGTGGAAGCTGCAAAGGCACCCCCTGCCAGCAGACGGATTGCTAAGAGGCTCAGCTAGCTGAGCTGGACCTTAGCCCCTCCTCTCCTCCTTGGCTGATACTTTTGGGAGGTGGCAGCACCAGGAAGTCCCAGATATCCTCTTTCCCCTGGCTCCCCTGTAGACCACCAGCTCCCTCCTCCCTCTCACTCCAAACCCTCCTCATTCCTCCGCAGCTATGCCCTGACCTGCCCACCTCCCATGTGTGTCCAGTGTAGCAGTGACATGATCCAAGTGCTCCCCATCCTCCAAGGAGAGGCTGTGACGCACTCCCGGGAGTGTGCCAGACACTGTCGGGAGTGTGTGTGGCTGTGACATGAGACCTGCCCGAAAGTGGCCTAGGGACCTGCTGACTCCCCACCTCAGCAAGGATGTTTCCCCAGCTGGGAAAAGAAAGCTCCCACCCTGCCACCCCACGTCAGGTGACTGGGAGAGGGGCAGCCTTGCTTCTGGGAAAGATTCTCAGCAGGGCGCGGTGGCTCACGCCTGTAATCCCAGCACTTTGGGAGGCTGATGCGGGTGGATCACCTGAGCTCAGGAGTTCGAGACCAGCCTGGCCAAGATAGTGAAACCCCGTCTCTACCAAAAATACAAAAATTAGCCAGGCATGGTGGCGGGCGCCTGTGGTCCCAGCTATGCAGGAGGCTGAGGCAGGAGAATCGCTTGAACCCAGGAGGCGGAGGTTGCAGTGAGCTGAGATGGTGCCACTGCACTCCAGCCTGGGTGACAGAGTGAGGCTCTGTCTCAAAAAAAAAAAAAAAAAAAAAGAAAGACAGACAGATTCTCCACCAGCTTGACACCAACATGCAGGACTGATGTCCTAGATCGAGGGCTTCCCCCATCTTTGCATCCCATCCCTCCACAGCCAGAGCTGCCTGGCCAGGGGCACGTACCCCGCTGCCCCAGACGTAGTACATGTAGGCAGCTGCCTCCTTCCTGTTCAGCTTGTACACCTGCTGCAGCTTCCGCAGGTACACCTCTGCCTCCTCCTCCTCATTGGCGAAGCTCCGGACAGTCTTCATGGCACTGATGGTCTCCTCCGCCGTGTTGCTCGCTCTGGCCAGGGCATTCTGGACCTCTTTGGAGAGCCTCTATGGACAGGAGGGGGACAAGAAGGAGAAGACCCCAAAACAGCCTCACTATGTACTGGAGCCCCCAGGCCTCTCTGGGTTTTTCCACCCTTCGCTGGCACCAGCTATATGCAAGAGGTTCCTAGGACAAAAAGACAAGATCTAGCCCTTTCTCCCCCATCCCCTTCTGGCTCAATTTGACACACTCAGGTAGTCAACTCCAGAGAGGCTCTTGGGGCAATGGTTTCAGCTCCTGAAGGATAGGGCACGGTGCTGATCGTTAAGTCATCCCCAGTATTCAAAAGAGGCTATTCATGACTGGACAGTTTTTGGTAATCCTTTCAGAAAAGGGGCCTCAACACCTGACCCTGTGCTGGAAGAGCAGGGGATGCCTTGGACGGTTGTTCAGGTTGTACACTATTTAAGAAACACCAACTATTAAAGGGGCACCATTTACATCATCAACATAAATTATGTTAGAGCCTGAGGGTTGATAAAGAGATTCCAGAACTCCCAGCCAAGTTCTACATGGTGGCAGGGGCCATGGGTTGTGAAATCTGCCCACACCATGTGCATGTCACCACAGGCAGAGCTGAAAAGTGGTCCCAAGTGTGCGGCCATCAGGCTGCTGTTCACCAGAGTCCTGGAAGAGGCCCCTGGGTGGAGCTGTTCACACTTTGCAGGAGTCACTATGCTGATTCTCAAGCCAGCCAGGAAGGCTGCCTGAGAGTCCAGGACAGGAGCATGCACTGGCATGTCCCATGACCATGTGTCACGCCCCAGCCGCAGGAAGCATGCAGGGTGCCTGAGTCATGTTTGGCCATGGGCGGTGTGTGTGGTTTGTGGAGATGACTCGCTGGCTACACACAACACATTCAGGCATGGGGTGGAAAACCCAAACAGAGCCTTCCTGAGGCCTCCCTTAGCTGAACTAAAAGGCAGGGCCTGCAGTGCACACAGAGGTGGGGGCTGAGGGGGAGCTCCAGGGTTTCTTGCTCCATCCCAGGGGCTGGTGGGAAGGCCGGAAGCAAGGGGTGGGGAGCAGCGTGCCAGAAATGGCTCAGACTCTAAAGAATAGATTTACTTTCTCATCTCAGTGAGGACGGTGGGGAGGCTCGTGACCAGGAACTTCGGGAAGAGGTCCTACCTGTGTGGCTGGAGAAGACTGTGGGGAGTGGCCTCACCGGGGGCTGGGTGGGAGATGGCTTCCTTTGCTACCCTGGTCTCAGGTCACCAACACCAAAGGCTCCAATGGAGCTGCGACAATGACTTACCCGGCACCACCTGGAGGCCGTCATGCATCCAAGCCCCTGCTCTAGAAGTACCCCACGTGGGCCTGGGTGACTGTGAGGGGGTTGCCTGTACCTGTCACAGGGTCACAGCCCTGCCTGTCTGAACCCAGCCTGTCTGTCCCTTAGGGCTCGGGGGCACCCGCCCATTCAGGAAGCAGGAGGAGGGTGAGGTCAAACCTGGCTCACGGCCCTAGCTCGGAAGCAGAAGCAGTGCCGTGGGGTGGCCAGAGGGGACAGCAGCCTGCCCATGATGGCATCACAGCGGGCCCGCGATGGCATCACAGCGGGCCCGCACCACCCCCACATACACACCAGGCACGTTCCAACCCAGGGCCTTTTCACTGGCTGTGCCCTCTGCTCAGCACATACCTCCCAAGATGCCCGCCTCCTTCAGACCCTTATTCAGATGTCCCCTTCTCAGCAAGACCTATTTAACTTGTATTTATTCATTCATTTTAGAGACAGGGTCTTGCTGTGTCACCCAGGCTAGAGTATAGTGGCACGATCATTGCTCACTACAGCCTCGACCTCCTGGGCTCAGGCGATCCTCCACCTCAGCATCCCAGGTAGCTGGGACCACAGGCATGCGCCACCAAGCCCAGCTAACTAAAAAAAATTTTTTTTTGTAGAGATGGGGTCTTGCTATATTGTCCAATCTTGTCTCGAACTCCTAGGCTCAAGTGGTCCTCCTGCCTGTGCCTCCCAAAGTTCTGGGATTACAGGCATGAGCCACCGGGCCCAGCCAGTAAATCCAATTTAAAATTGCAGCTACACCCAATGCTCCCAATCCCTCTGCTCACTTCATGTTTCTCCTTAGCACTGACCATCTTTTACTGTATTGTGGATTCTCATTCTTTATGCTGTTGGTACCTAGTATCTGTCTCTGACACTAGATACAAGTTCCAGGAAGGCAGGGGCCTTGTCTTTTTCACTGATGTATCCCAGTGCCTGGGACATAGCAGGTGGTCAATAATTATTTATTGAATGAGCGAAGAAATGAATGAATGAATGCAAACACAGCCTCAAGACCTGTCCTTCACTAGCCCTTAGTGGCCCCCTGAGCCCCTCCTAAGGGGATGTTTGGGGGCTGCCAGGGTGCACAGTCCCCAGCAGAGACAGGGCAGGCCTACCTTGTAGTACTTGCCGTAGATGTTGGACACCATCATGATGATGGGGAAGCCCATGAAGGTGACCAAGGAGAGCTGCCATGAGAGGCTGAACATGAAGACCACCACGCCCGTGACCTTGACTGTGTTCCGCAGGAAGACATTGATGTTCTGGGAGACCAGGTCGCTGACCATGGTGGTGTCCGAGGTCAGGCGGGAGATGAGGTCCCCTGGAACACACGCGGCTCAGCTCTCACCACAGCAACCCGGGCCTTGGGGGTGGCGGTGGGGGATGCTAAGGGGCCTCTGAGACAGACACTGGGAAGCCGGGCCTCCCTACCTGTGGGCGGGGTTGGGGGGTGGGGGAGAAGAGCAGATACCCCTCGAGGGCTACTCTGAGCCAATCCCAGTCATCAGCATCTTGCTTAAGCTTCATGACATCCCGCTGTACAGCGGAGGAGGCTGGGGCTCAGAACAGGAAGGCCCCCGTAGAGTCACACAGCCTGTCCGTGACTGAGCCAGACTTCAAACCCATGTCTCCTCCCTGTCACTGGCAGAGGGGGTAACTCCTCTTCCCTTCTAGGGAAATAACAACCTGGCTGGTGGCGGGCAGGAAAGCGCAGACACTTCTTACCTAAGTTGGACATTGTGCTAAGAGCTGTGTAAGGACCCCATGGGGTGGCTACTATCCGTGTTCCCATTTTACAGACAAGAAAACAGAGGATCAGAGAGGTGAAGTTCGTGAGTGGAGGAACCAGGGCTTCGACCCAGGCCGGTGTCTCTCAGAGCTTGGATCTTGGTGGATATTCTATCGTCTTCCCCGTTGTGGCCCCTGGCCCTCACCTGCTGACCCCCATGGGAGCAGGGTCTCTGTCGGCCACAGGCGTGGGTAGTCCTGGACCTGGTGGTTTCCATGGGGCAATGGAAAGCAAGGCCTTGGCTCCTGCAGGGACCTCGGGTGGCCTGGCCTGGGCCCCACAGAGGCCGCAGCCCACACCAAAACCTCAGTGAGCAAGCCAGCTCCCAGGACACAGGCCAAGCCCAGGGTGTTCCCAGCCTGAACTAACAGCAGGAGGAGAAGACAGAGGGCTGAGACCACCCACACGCCCATTTCATTCCTCAGTGCCAGGCAAGCCCACAGGGGTGGGGCCCAGCCCCCAGGACACCTAGGGCACTGGAAGGACCAACCTGTGCGGTTCTCATCAAAGAAGCTTGTCTCCTGGGACACCAGTGAGCGGAAGAGACAGTTTCGAAGGCGAATGTTCAGTCTGGCAAATATGAGGGTAAAAATGCCGCCCCGAATACCTGCGGCAAATGAGCTAATTGCAGATAAGAGATATTATAGCACGATGTCCTTCCAGACCAGTGACCACACCCGGCTGCCCCCTCCCGCTGCCGGCAGGCCTGGGAGCCCCACCGCAGCCCCACTCCAGGGCTGGCATCCCTGCGGGGTCCCCCTCATTCCCAGTGGGAGCCCCCCTCAAGGTGAGGGCAAAGGGGACAGTTGTGGGACAAGAGACCCAAATGTGCCAGCCAGACCCTCTTCCTTCCAGAACAGCTCAGACAAAGCCGGTTCTGTTTGGGACCAGATTCCTACTTGGAAAACAGCCAGGGAGGGTGAGCAGGGAACCCTGAGGACTGAAGCCCTTTTCAGGGACCAGAGGGTGTGGTTCTAGGGTGCTCTAAGACAGTGTGGAAGCCGGTTCCCAGGGTGACCAGCTGAGGGACAGGCCCACCAGGGGCATTTCCAGGGCCTCCCTGGCCCCTGTCTTCCTTAGGAACAGGCCCTCCCTTCCCTCCCTGGTGCAGGTCGGGGTGTGCGGGGCAGGGCGTGGGGGTTGAGCCAGCTACCTGCCAATGGCCAGCAGGCACACGATGACGACAGCCGTGCTGAACTGATCCATGCTTTTCTGGATGACGATGCCATCAATGGCGCGGCCCGTGTAGTAGGGCAGGAAGGTCTCTCCTGGGGGAGGCAGGGCAGCCTCAGGGACGTCTGCAGCCAGGGGAACCCGCACCCTTCCTCCTGAGGCTCCAGAAGTCCACACACCAACCCCTCTGCCCACTCCACCGGTGGGCTTTCCTCCCTCGGCAAACTCTTGCTGCCCATCGTGGGGCCCCAGGGTGCTTAATGCCCCCCTCCTCAGAGAACAGGGGAGCACTGGGCCTTGCATCCACACAGCCTGCTGGTTCTTCTTTATTTATAGTGGCTACCAGGCATCGAGCCAGGGCTCCTGCAGGATGCTTCATTCTCTTGTTTTTTGAGACAGGGTCTCGCTGTGTCCCCCGGGCTGGAGTGCAGTGGTGTAATCATAGCTCACTGCAGCATCAAACTCCTGGGCTCAGGTGATCCTCCTGTCTCAGCCTCCTGAGTAGGGAATACAGGCATGTGCCACCATGCCAGGCTAATTTTTTTTTTTTTTTTTTTGTAGAGACAGGGGTCTCACTATGTGGCCCAAGCTGGTCTCAACCTCCTGGGTTGAAGCAATCCTCCTACCTTGGCCTCCCAAAGTACTGGGATTATAGGTATGAGCCACCGCTCCTGAACTTTGTTTCATTCCCTTTGGAGCAGGCCCTGGAATCACCCCCATTTTACAAATGAGAAAAATTAATTTGTTTTTCTTTTTCTAAAATATTTTCCTTTTTTTTTTTTTTTTTAACTTTTTGAGACAGGGTTTCACTCCTGTCGCCCAGGCTGGAGTGCAGCCTCAACCTCCTGGGCTCAGTGGATCTTCCCACCTCAGACTCCTGAGTAGCCGGGACTACAGGCACACGCCACCAGGCCTAGCTAATTTTTTGTATTTTTTTGTAGAGACGAGGTTTCGCTAGGTTGCCCAGGCTGGTCTCTAACTCCTGGGCTCAAGCGATCCACCCACCTCAGCTTCCCAAAGTGCTGGGGTTACAGGCCTGAGTCACAGCGTCCGGCTGAAAGTGAAGTTGAATGAGATGACTCGTCCAGGCCACATGGCAATCAGTGGCTGATTGACGCCAAAGTTGATTTCATTCTTCTCAATGGGTTCAGAGTCCAAATTCTGGAACCTCAGAAGACGTTGCTATTCTGGTTCCAAGCAATGCTGGAAATTGCCACCCCACCCCTCCTGGTGGGGCACTTGACACCTTGCTGGGTGCTTTCTTACCCGCTTGCCTTACTGTGTTTTCACAACAATCCTGGGGTGGAATGGGAGACTCACAGAGGCTGAGGAATTTACTCCAGGTCACACAGCAAGGGGAAAGGCTGGGACTCAAACCTAAACTGGCTTTCAACCTGGGGGCTCTTTCTTTTCCCTTCCTCCTGTGGTCTGAATGCATCTCCCAAAATTTACATATTGAAACATAATCGCCAATGTGATAGGGCAGAGCTCTCCAGGATGGGATGAGGGCCCTTTTCAAAGGGCTTGTAAGCCTGGTTTGCCATCTCTCGCCCTTCCACCTTCTGCAGCGTGAGGACACAGCAGTCTTCCCCTCCAGAGGACACAGCAAGGAGGGACCATCTTGGAAGCAGAGAGTGGCCCTCACGACACCAAACCTGCTGGCACCTTGATCTGGGACTTCCCAGCCTCTAGAACAGTACGAAATCAGTTTCTATGGTTTCTAAATGACCCAGTCTGTGGTATTTTGTTACAGCAGCAGAAATGAGACTCCCCCGACAATAATCCGGAATGTCCACTCTCCTCTTAAGGAAATAGTGGCATCACCAGGCCAGGCCAGGCCCTTGTTCATCCCAGGACCTGTTTCCACTGAAGTTCTTTCCATGAGCAGAGCCAGGTTTGGGGCTGGGCATACAGTAGGTGCTCAATAAAGGTCAGTGAATGAACCCCGGGCAGGTCTGGCTAGCACAGTCTGGCCTGGCTCAGACACTTGGGTAGTGAGACTTTCTGTGCAGTTCTGGTGCCCTCTGCTGGGACCATGAGGTGGCAGCCTAGAGGGCCTGTGTCCCCACAGTCCTTGGCCAGACGAGGTCTCCAGCTGAGGCTGCAGAGTTCCACCCAGCCTGAGTTTCTGCCTCAGTTTACCCACAGAAAAGAAGAGGGCAACGATGAGCTGTGACAGAATATTCTGGAATATCTGATTCCAGCAAGCACCAATGCTAATAATCGCCTTACTGGGTACCAGGGGCTGTGCAAAGCATGCCGGCAAACTCTCTTGCTGAATCTGCACAAGAATTACGTGAAACTCTCCAATGCACCAGCAAATACTCAGACCATTTCCAGAACCTGACCACTTTCACTGCCTCTACTGCCCCAACCCTGGTCCAAGTCATTAACCTCACTGGGACTATCTCAGTAGCCTGCTCTCAACTTTGCTCACATCAGCCTGTCCACACAGTAGAAGGCAGGATCCTGTTGGAACTAACTTCAGATCTTGTTGCTCCTTGGCTCAAAACAGTCCAAATCCCCCTTCTCATCCAGTGAGATGGTAAAAGCCAAAGTCTTTACAATAGCCCACAAGGACCTGCATGATTGAGCCGCTAGCAGAGACCTTTGTCTTCTCCCCGCCCCATCTCACTCCCTCTGCTCCAGCTAACTGGTGTCTGCTCTTGAACAACTGGGCACCTTCCTGCCTCAGGACCTTTGCATGGGCTAGTCCTTCTGCCTGGAGTGCTCTTACCACATACATTTTTTTTTTTTTTTGAGATGGAGTCTCAGTCTGTTACCCAGGCTGGAGTGCAGTGGCATGATCTCAGCTCACTGCAACCTCCACTTCCTGGGTTCAAGTGATTCTCATGCCTCAGCCTCCCAAGTAGCTGAGATTACAGGTGACCGCCATCACACCCGGCTAAATTTTATATATGTATATATATATTTTGAGATGGAGTCGCACTCCGTCGCCCAGGCTGGAGTGTATTGGCACGATTTCAGCTCGCTGTAACCTCTGCCACCTGGGTTCAAGTGATTGTCCTGCCTCAGCCTCCCGAGTAGCTGGGATTACAGACACCTGCCATTGCACCTGGCTAATTTTTGTATTTTTAGTAGAGATGGGGTTTCACCATGTTGGCCTGGCTGATCTTGAACTCCTGACCTCGTGATCCACCTGCCTTGGCCTCCCAAAGTGCTGGGATTACAGGCATGAGCCATCGCACCTGGCCTAAATTTTATATTTTTATTAGAGACAGGGTTTCACCATGTTGCCCAGGCTGGTCTTGAACTCTTGACCTCAAGTGATCTGCCCGCCTCGGCCTTCCAAAATGCTGGGATTACAGGTGTGAGCCACCACACCCAGCCACTTACCCCAGATATCTGCTCCCCTACCTTCTTAAGTCTCAAAGGCCACCCAGTAATCCTATAGGTTTGGTACAATTATTCCTTCCATTTGTGGAAATGTATTCTTTACACAAAAGAGGAAACTGAGGCTCAGAGAGATTAAGTCACTTGCCCAAGTTTATACATTTGGTTTGCCATGAAATCCATATTAAAGAATCTTAGGCTACAGAAGGTAGCTCACACCTGCAATCCCAGCACTTTGGGAGGCCGAGGTGGGAGGATCACTTGAGCTGGAGAGGTCAAGGCTGAAGTCGCTGTGATCACTCCACTGTACTCCATCCAGCCTGGGTGACAGAGGGAGGCCCTGCCTCAAAAAAAAAAAAAAGGACTCCATTTGTTTTTTATGTATTTTTTTTATTTTTTTTGAGACGGAGTTTCACTCTTGTTGCCCAGGCTGCGATGCAATGGTGCGATCTCCACTCACAGCAACCTCTGCCTCCTGGGTTCAAGCGATTCTCCTGCCTCAGCCTCCCGAGTAGCTGGGATTACAGGCATGCGCCACCACACCTAGCTAATTTTGTATTTTTAGTAGAGACGGGGTTTCTCCATGTTGGTCAGGCTGGTCTCGAACTCCTGACCTCAGGTGATCTGCCCCCCCTTGCTGAGATTACAGGTGTGAGCCACCGTGCCCGGCCTATTTTTTATTTTTTGAGACAGAGTCTCATTCCGTCACCCAGGCTGGAGTGCAGTGGCACGATATCAGCTCACTGCAACCTCCACCTCCCAGGTTCAAGCAATTCTCCTGCCTCAGCCTTCTGAGCAGCTGGGATTACAGGCGTGTGCCACCACGCCCGGCTGATTTTTGTATTTTTAGTAGAGACGGAGTTTCACCATGTTGGCCAAGCTAGTCTTGAACTCCTGACCTCAAGTGATCTGCCCACCTCAGCCTTCCAAAGTGCTGGGATTATAGGTGTGAGCTGCTGCACTTGGCCTCTAAAGAACCTTAATTTAATAAGAGATACTCAACCCTAAAACTAACATTTCCCAATGGGTGGTTTTTTGTTTTTTGTTTTTGTTTGTTTGTTTTAAGATTCTGAGGGTACAGAAAAGCTGGGCACTGCTGAATGCTTGTTGATTGAAAAATAATTATTAATAATCACAGTACCTAATTGTCTTTTTTGAGATGGGGTCTCGCTATGTTGCCCAGGTTGGTCTCAAACTCCTAAGCCAAAGCAACCCTCCCTCCTTGGCCACCCAAGTAGCTGCGGTCACAGGTACATGGCATTGCACCTGGCCCTAACACTGATTAAGTATTTACTTGTGCTAGGCACCAAGCTTCCTCTCACTTCTTTCTCACAGTACCCCAAGAAAGCCCTCACTTCAGAATGGTCAAGTGAGCGTTGGCCAGGTTAATAACTTGCCTAAAGTTATCAGTGAAGTCGGGAGCCTGAGCCTCGAGTCTGCGCCCTGACTCTTGATGCAATCCTGCAAGCCGGGAAAATCTGCTCAGCAGTATTTAAGGATGTCTGCATTCCCCGACCACACAGCAGCTGACGGCAGGGCCCCAGCAGGTCGGGTAAACAAGGTCATGGCATGGGGCACCATCTGTCTGCACAGGCATGACAGTCATTCATACTTTTGTTCATTTATTCATTCAGTGAGCCCATCTCTGTGCCAGCTACTGGGATCCAGGGTGAGTCAGACCTGGCCCCTGCCCCTGAGGGGCTCAGGACCTGGGAGGGGAGGCAGGAGGGTGAATGCATACATAACAGGGTCTTGCTATGTTGGCCAGACTGGTCTTGAACTCCTGGCCTCAAGTGATCCTCCTGCCTCAGACTCCCAAAGTACTGGCATTGTAGGCATGAGCCACTGTGCCCAGCATAAATGCATAGTTTTTTGGGTTTTTGTTTTTTTGTTTTTTTTTTTTTTGAGACGGAGTCTCACTTTGTTGCCTAGGCTGGAGTGCTGTGGCACAATCCCAGCTAACTGCAGCCTCCACCTCCTGGGTTCAAGATATCCTCCTGCATCAGCCTTCTGAGTAGCTGGGATTACAGGCGGCTGCCACCATGCCCAGCTAATTTTTGTAGTTTTAGTAGAGACGGGGTTTTGCCATATTGTCCAGGCTAGTCTCGAACTCCTAACCTCAGGTGATCTGCAGGCCTCAGCTCCCCAGAGTTCTGGGATTATAGGTGTGAGCCACCGTACCCAGCCTGAACATATGATTTTTATGTCATAAAAGCTATAACTGAGGTGCAGACAAAGTTACCACAGTTGGCAGAATCTAAGGTGGCTTCCTAAGGAGGGGACTTTTGGGCCGCCCAGCATGAGCCAGGAGAAACTGCCTGGTTTAATGGGAAGGGGTCATCCCAGTCCTCACACCTGCTAGTATTACTGGGAGGTGTCTATGTGCCAGGAGCTGTCCAAGGTGTCTCACCCATGTGGATTCACTGACCTTTCCAACCCCATTGGAGGGGTACTACTATGCCCATGTCACAGAAGAGGAGGCTAAGACTTAGAGGGGTTAAATAACTTGCCTAACCTCACACAGATGTTGAGGAGATGGGACTGAGAGGGCAGAGGTAGATCGTAGGAGTACAGGGCTGCAGAGTCAGGGCCAGCTCTGGGTTTGCCTGTCCTCTCTCAGAACATTCTGGCATTGTTATTGCATTGTCACCTCTCTAGGCTCTGTCTCTGTCAGTTAACATTTTTATTTTACTATTTTATTATTTATGTTTTTTGAGATGGAGTCTCACTTTGTCACTCAGGCTGGAGTGCAGTTGTGTGAGCTTGGCTCACTGCAACCTCTGCCTCCCAGGTTCAAGCAATTCTCCTGCCTCAGCCTCCCAAATAGCTGGAATTACAGGCGTATGCCAGCACATCTGGCTAAGTTTTATATTTTTAGTAGACATGGGGTTTCACCATGTTGCCAGGCTGGTCTCGAACTCCTGACCTCAGGTGATCCACTTGCCTCGGCCTCCCAAAGTGCTGGGATTATAGGCATGAGCCACTGTGCCCGGCTAATATTTATATATCTTTTAGCAGAGACGGGGTTTCACCATGTTGGCCAGGCTCGTCTCAAACTCCTGACCTCAAGTGATCTGCCCACCTCGGCCTCCCAAAGTGTTGGGATTACAGGCATGAGCCACCGCGCCCAGCTTAAAATTTTTAAAACTCATAATAGCTAACAACCCTGAGCACTTACCATGACAAGCCAAGCTCTGTACTTAGTCCTTCTCCTATTTTTTTTTTTTTCTTTGGTAGAGACAGGTCTTGCTCTGTTGCCCGGGCTGGAGGGCAGTGGCGTCATCATGGCTCACTATAACTCAAGCTCCTGAGCTCAAGGGATCCTCCCACCTTAGCCTCCTGAGTAGCTGGGACTATAGGCAAGTACCACCATGCCCAGCTAATTAAAAAAACATTTCTTTTAGAGACAGGGTCCTGCTGTGTTGCCCAGAGTGGTCTCAAACTCCTGGGCTCAAGTGATCCTGTAGCCTTGGTCTCCCAAAGTGCTGGGATTAGACATGAGCCACTGCACCCAGCTCTCCCGTTCTTTTCAGCATCTAAAATGTCAGGAAATAAGGACTCCAACAATCCTTGTTGCACAGAGGAGGGAAGTGAGGCTCAGAAAGGCTGGAGAACTTACGCAGGGCCACTCGGCTGGGTAGGGAGCAGGACAGGGATTTGTGCCCAGGCCTCGTTGCCCCCAGAACCTGTGAGCTCCAACCATGCAGTGCCACCTTCCCACCCATGTTGCTGAGTGGTGCCTTCAAACTGTTTGGACCAGACTCACAGGCACAAATACATTTCATGTCACAAACCAGGCCACACCTGCACGTAGGCACACACAACTAAAATATTAATATCTTTTTTTTTTTTTTTTGGTCTCAAACTGCTGAGAGTTTTTTTTTTTTTTCGTTATCTGCCTGCCTCGGCCTCCCAAAGCGCTGGGATTACAGGCATGAGCCACCATGCCTGCCCACTCTGATGTTTTCTAGTCTATTCTCTGATGATCCCAGCTCCAGGAATTTATTCTACAGATCCATCCACATTCATATGAAATGTGTATGAACAGAATTATTGACGTGCAGGTCGGGCGCAGTGGCTCATGCCTGTAATCCCAGCACCTTGGGAGGCCAAGGCAGGCAGATCGCTTGAACTCAGGAGTTTGAGACTAGCCTGGCCAACATGGTGAAACCCTGTCTCTACTAAAAATACAAAAATTAGCCAGACGTGGTGGCAGGCGCCTGTAATCCCAGCTGCTTGGGTGGCTGAGGCAGGAGAATCGCTTGAACCCAGGAGATGGAGGTTGCGGTGAGCCAAGATCGCACCACTGCATTCCAGCCTGGGTGACAGAGCAAGACTCCATCTCAAAAAAAAAAAAAAAAAAAAAATTCATGTTAAGAGGAAAAGGCTCAAAATAACCCAAGAGTCAAATGATGGGAGACCAACTAAATAATCTATGGTATAGCCGCACAATGGAATATTATGAAGCCAAATAAAACAATGAGGTACTGGTTGGAAAAATTCCAGAACATATTGTTAAGTGAAAAGAGCAAAACATAAAACAATGTGGGTGAGAGGTGGGGGAGTGATGCATGTTCTTTTGATGTGCTTGTAGCTGCATAAGGAAAAGCTGGGAACATGCACAAGAATTGAGTAAGAAAGAATGCTTTCCTGGCCACCTGGGAGTTTCTGGGTCCTTTTCCTGCAGTTAGCCCTGGGCAGAATGATCAGGGTAGAATTAGAAGTGAAACACAGCCAGGCATTGTGGCTTGCGCCTGTAATCCCAGTGCTTTGAGAGGCCAAGGTGGGAGGATCACTTGAGCCCAGGAGTTCGAGATCAGCCTGGACAACATAGTGAGATCCTATCTTTACAAATTTTTCTTTTTTTAATTAGCTGGGTGTGGTGCACGCCCCTGTAGTCCCAGCTATTTGGAAGACTGAGGTGGGGGGATTACTTGAGCCTGGGAGGTTGAAGCTGCCGTAAGCTGTGATCATGCCACTGCACTACAGCCTGGGCAACAGAGTGAGACCCTGTCTAAAAAAAGAAAAAAACAGGAGTGGAACTCATAGTTTCCTTTTTCTTCTCTTGTCTTTTACTTTTTCCTTTTTTAAATTGAGATGGGGTCTTGTCATATTGCCCAGGCTGGTCTTGAACTCCTGGGCTCAGGCAATCTTCCCACCTTGGCCTCCCAAAGTGCTGGGATTACAGGCGTGAGCCACCGCGCCTGGCCTATTTTTTCGTTTTAAATTACATAAAATAGAAATGGGGCAGGCACCGTGGCTCACGCCTGTAATCCCAGCACTTTGGGAGGCCGAGGCCAGTGGATCACCTGAGGTCAGGAGTTCAAGACCAGCCTGGCCAACATGGCGAAAACCTGTTTCTACTAAAAATACAAAAATTAGTTGGGTGTGGTGGCATATGCCTGTAGTCCCAGCTACTTGAGAGGCTGAGGCAGGAGAATCACTTGAAGCTGGGAGGCAGAGGTTGCAGTGACCTGAGATTGTGCCACTGCACTCTAGCCTAGGTGACAGAGCAATACTATGTTTCGAAAAAATAAATAAATACAATAAATAAATAAATAAATAAAATAGAAATGGGTTCTCGCTATGTTGCCCAGGCTGGTTTTCAACTCCTGGGCTCAAGTGATCTTCCTACCTCAGCCTCCCAAAGTGCTGGGATTATAGATATGAGCCACTATGCCTGGCCTCTTTTCCTTTTCATATCAATTTGATGTCTGAACCACGTAAGTAAAATCTTTTAAAATCTAAGGCAGTCATATCCACCTAATTTGATGTTCTGGTGGCCACATGTCCCCGAGGTCCTTACTTACCCAGAGCTGCCACGATGAGGAAGAAGGAGGCGGCCACGAGGAAGGCCACGTCGGGCTTGGTGTAGGAGAGCAGCTTCTGCAGCGTGGCCCCAGACGCCTGCTCGGGCGGTGGCCGGCCGCTCCCAGGGAAGCCCTCAGCCTCGGTGGCCGCCCCTGGCTCCAGGGCCTGGGTGCCTGGCCGCACGGTGGACAGCAGCCACCAGAGCAGGAAGGATGCGCCGAGTGAAATGTACGTCCACACGAACAGGGCCCAAAACCAGGGGTCCCGGATGGGCCTGCGCACCTCTGAGAAGAGCAGCAGCTTCACCATGGCATAGATGCCCACGAAGAGGCACACGAGGGTGATGACCAGCCACGAGGCCCGCAGCCGCCGGGGCCCCAGCGCACTGTTCTTGGCCACACCAATGGTGGCTCCCAGCAGCAGGCAGCTGCGGTACAGGCAGGCTGCCCAGAGATCCAGCACCGAGTCAAAGATGTTGAAGTGGCGGATGTCCTCCAGGAGGCTGCGGTCCAGGTGGCTGAAGACATAGATGGCCGTGGTCACGCAGATGTCCACACTCATGAAGGCCAAAGTCACCACCACCGCCTTCCACAGCCGCATCCTGCTGGTTGGAGGTGGGCGGGTGCTGAAGGCCAGGTTGTAGCTCACGGGGGCAAGGCCATCATCATCCACAGGGCGAGGCCAGGCCTGTAGGGACAACAGCAAACATCAGCACAAGGGGTTCAGGTTTGCCACTCGCTGGCTGTGTGACCTTGAGAAAGTCACTTGACATCTCTGAGCCTTAGTTTTCTCATCTGTAAAATGGCAATATCAACTTCCCGGGTACTAAGATTCCACTCATTCAAGGGATACTTACTGAGTGCCCACTGCGGCCAGGTGCTGTTCTTTGTTCTTTGTCATGAACAAAAAGAACAAAGATCCCTGCTCTCCTGGAGATGACATACTCATGCAGGAGACAGATAATAAGGAAATGGGCTCACGCCTGTAATCCCAGCACTTTGGGAGGCCGAGGTAGGTGGATCACCTGAGGTCAGGAGTTGAAGACCAGCCTGGCCAACATGGTGAAACCCCCATCTCTACTAAAAATACAAAATTTAGCTGGGTGACAGAGCGAGACTCCATCTCAAAAAAAAAAAAAAAAGATAATAAGGAAATAATGTGTGTCTTGTGAGGCCAAGGTTGGAGGATCCCTTGAGGCCAGGAGTTGGAGAGCAGCCTGGGCAACAGGGTGAGACCCTGTCTTTAAAAAGCAAACAAACAAACAAACAAACAAACATTAACTGAGTGTGGTAGCATGCTCCTGTAGTCCAAGCTACTTGGGAGGCCAAGATGGGAGGATCGCTTCTTCAGCCTGGGAGTTCGAGGCCACAGTGAGCTATGATCATGCCACTACACTCCAGCCCTGGTGACAGCAAGATCCTATCTCTAAAAAAAAAAATTTTTTTTAATTAAAAAAAGAGATAAGGGTTGTGGTGGAAAAAAGAGGGGGGTAAATAGGATGGGGTGAGGGTGAATAGGATAGGGGTGGGGGAAGACAGAGATCAATTTTATTTTATTTATTTATTTATTTGAGACAGAGTCTTGCTCTGTCGCCCAGGCTGGAGTACAGTGGTGCGATCCCGGCTCACCGCAACCTCCGTCTCCCTGGTTCAAGCGATTCTCCTGCCTCAGCCCCCCAAGTAGCTGGGACTACAGGTACCCCACCACCATGACCAGCTAACTTTTTGTATTTTTTTTAGTAGAGACGGGGTTTCACCATGTTGGCCAGGCTGTTCTCAAACTCCTGACCTCAAGTGATCCACATGCCTCAGTAACCCAAAGTCTGGGATCAAAAGCGTGAGCCACTGTGCGGGGCCAGAGATCAATTTTAAATAGGGGGCCAGAGAAGACCTCGCTGGGTAGGTAACACTTGAGCAAGACTTGAAAGAGTTATGGAAGTCTGCCAAGTGGCTATCTGGGGAAAAGCACTTGGCACAGGTGAAACAGTGCCAGAGCCCCAAGGCAGGAGTGCCCCTTGGGAAGGCAGCAAGGCCCCATGAGATCAGAGAGGGTGGGGAGTATCTGGAGGATTTTGCATCCATAGTGAGGACGAAGCTGAGATAAGCAGAGTTTAATAAACAGCCGCTGTCTTTACTACCACTACTCATTTCTCTGAACCTGTTTCCTCATTTGCAAAATGTGAGTGTGAGGTTCAATGTGTCAGTTCTGGGCAGAGTGCCTGGTGCATAATTGCTGCTGATTGTAATCAACCATATACAGTGTGTGCTTAATAAATGTTTGTCCACTTTTCTCCTCCCACGTCAGGCCTTCTATCTCTGCAACCCCAAATAAACTATTTTGGTCTAAGAGGGAACTTGACAGCTGTGGGGGTGGCTTGCAGGCCACACAGCAATCCAGAAACCTTGGCATCTGCTTGGAAGTTTCCAGAATCTTTTCCTCCTGCCCAGGTTGGCCCTCGTGCCCAGCCCTAGGCCCCTTTGGTTTTCTGAATCTTGATGTCTGCTTTATCCAAGGCATCTCCCGGCACTGGGTCCCTCAGGACTCCCCCAGAGCCGCAGGGACACCCGGGAAGTGGGCCTGGAGGCCTGAGTTTGTGAGTGGGGCTTGTCCACGGTAGGGTTAGGACCGGGCTGGGGTGTGTCCCTGGGTGCTACCTCCTGTCTCAGCTCCAGTCCTTCCTCCCGTGGGCCTTTTGTTGTCATATCTGCAAAATGGGCTGGGCTCTAGATCCCCCAAGAGGAGGGGTGAGGCGCTGGGTGACAGCGGGGATGACTGTCGTGGCTGGGAAGGGGCCATCCTGAGAGAGATCCTCTCCCCGAAGCTCTGGCGCCCAGGTGCCCAAACCGCTCACACTGTGGCATGACTGGAACCTCACACAGTCCCACGAGGCCAGGGTTTCCATATTCCCGTTTACAGTTAGGGAAACTGAGGCACAGAGAGACAAAACCACCTGATCCAGACATTCAGCCAACAAGGGCCCAAGCCAGGATGACTTGAGGCAGTCAGTGAGTGTAGGACCCCAGCATCTGCCTCTCCACCTGTCTACTGCATGCCTGGCACAAAGCAGTTGTCTAATAACTACAAGCAGACAGGGATGTAACACTGCACTTCCTGTGAGCCCTGCCCTGCACCATGTGCTTCAAATCCAGGTGGCCCCACCTATTTAATCCTCACAGCAACTTTGTGAGATGTGCACTGTCATCCCTTCCACTTAACAGATGGAGAAACTGAGGCCCAGAGAAGTGAAGAATTTGCCCAAGATTACACAGCTTCTGAATAGCAGAGCTGGGATGTGGATTCATAGGTGTCTGAGCCCAGAATCTGTGTTCTTCACCCCTAAACTAAGATAACATTCAATATAGAAAATGCTACCAGGGGCCAGGCATGGTGGCTCACACCTGTAATCCCATCTGGGCCTCTTGGGAGGCCAAGATGGGCAACAGCTTGAGCTCACGAGTTCGATTCCAGCCTGGGCAACATGGCGAAATCCCGTCTCTACTAAAAATACAAAAATTAGCCGAGCATGGTGGTGCACGCCTGTAACCCCAGCAACTCAGGAGGCTGAGGCAGAAGAATCACTTGAAACTGGGAGGTGGAGGTTGCGGTGAGCCGAGATTGCGCCACTGCACTCCAGCCTGGGTGACAGAGTGAAGGAAAATGCTACCGGGAAGTGTTCATCTAAGGAAAAGGGTCCCCAGCAGAGGGCTGGGCCGTGTGGCAGAGGTGATAAGACTGCTGAGGCTAATTGCTGGCAATGACAGCAGCTGGTGCCAGCTGACATTGGCTCCAGGCACTTACATGCGTCAGCACTCACCAGAGCCCTATGAAGTAGGTCCTATCATTATCCCCATTTTACAGTTAGGAAAACTGAGGAACAGAGAGATTAAGTGACCTGCCCTGGGTCACAGAGCTAGGTGACCCACAGAGTTGGGTCACAAGCTGGGATGTGAACCCTGGCCGTCCAGTTCCAAAATCTGTACTCTCAACTCCATAGCTCCAACCCTTCAAAACAGCCTCTCCAGGAGGTAGGCACAACCCCTACTAATGCTGAGAAGGGGTCTGAGATGCAGAGGGGGAATGGAGTGGGGGGATATAACAACCTCCAAGCCTGGGCCCTGCTTTCACCCCCACACCTCCAGGCACACCGAAGCCCATCGCAGAGATGACAGTTGCTTAGTCAGCAGCTGCCCCTCCAAAGACGGTCAGGGCCAAGCAGGGTCAAGGGCAAGGGGAAGTGGGTAGGATGGTCGGACACCCTCAGCCCAGGTCCTGGCTCCCTCCCCAGCCCTGCCTGTGCTGCCCACGCAGGCTCCTGTCTGCTGCAATGCAGAGGCCGTGGGGAGCGAGCGAGTGGGTGAGCTCCAGTCAGAGCCCAGGGAGGGAAGCTCCTGGCCTGGTGCCATTCCAGGCCTCCCAGCCAAGCCACTGCCGGCTGCACCAGGTGCTGCCAGCCGCCTCAGCTGCTGCTCTCCTCGTGGTGGGCACATGGGGTCCCTCAGTCCCCAGAAAGGGGCTCGGGCTCAGAAGTGGAACAGGAGGCAGATCCGCAAGAGACTCAAAACCTGGACAGCAGCCCAGGGGCTTGGCTGACTCTCCCAACCTGACTCCCAGCCTCTGGGGGAATTCCTTCCCCATCCCCCAACAGCCCAGGGTACCAGTCATGCCCCCCGCCTCCAGAAGCCTATTTATCTTCATCAGAATAAACAAAATTTCAAACACTCATATCGCAGACTACCAAAGCCACATTTTGCAGATGGGGAAACTGAGGCCCACAGAGGGAGGGGGTGAGGCTTGTCTCAGGTCATCCACCAGGCTGGGGCAGAGCAGTGCTAGCACCTGGGTCCCTGCCCCCAAGCACTAGTCCTTCTACCACAGACTCCTAGCAGAGTGGACTCCAGCCCCGGGTCGGGTTACAGTCCTCGGTGGGGACAGTTACTCCGTTATTTTTAAAGCTACTGGGCAGAAGCGTGACCACCAGCCAAGGCTGCTTAGAGGCCTGTCACCGCTCTCCAACTGCCTGACTCAGAGGATGCGCTGGGCTCGGCCAGGTGGAGCTGGAGGGCAAATTGTGAGCACATGGGTGACCTGCTTGGCCTGAGGGACAAGGACAAGGTGGTGGCCAGAATAGGCCCCACCCAGAACCGGACAAGGCCCAGGAAGACAGGGGTGGCTCGCCCTGACTCCGTGCACTAAAGAATGGCACAGGATAAGCAAGTGGCCTTGTCCCCACCAGGGGTCTTGTCAAAGGCTTTTCTTCCCAGGGTAGGAGACATTGGTTGGGGTATCTCTAGGCATCAGCTGCAGAGAAGGCCAGAAGACGATAGATAGCAGTTATTATGACGCTGCAACAGAGACCCTTTGCAGAGAAGGCCAGGAGACAATAGATAAAAGTTATTATGACACTGCAACAGAGACCCTTCACCGGGCCCTACTATGTGCCTGGCACCTCCCAAAGCAGCCAGGCCTCCCCACTTCCCTGGGAGGACCCTGTGGTCATCAGCTTCGTTTTACAGCTGGGGAGACAGAAGAGGTTAAGTGACACGCAGAAAAAGGACGAAGGCAGGATGGAGACCCGCATCCAGGGTCTCCAGGATGGAGACTCGGGGGTCCCCTGTCCAGGCTATTCAGGGATTGCAAGAAAAGGGGCCAAAGAACTTGGGTGGCCCAGTGGCCTCGGTTCACCCCTGACATGGTGAGCTTTTTACCCCGGTGTGGGCCCAGACCCAGATAAGCCCATTCCATTCGCTGCGCAGCAAAGCACTGACTGACAGAGGCCTGCTGGGTGGGAGGGCCTGACTGTGGGGGTCCCTGGCTCTGGGGCAGGAGCGGGCTGGGTCTGCGTGGGTCCATCCTGATTTCATCCCTGCTGAGCCTCTGGCAGCCCACGTGGGGCCCAGCCTCACTCTGGGACTTGAGAAGCTGTCTCAGGTGCTCTCAGCTCTAGGAGAGGCAGAGAGGCGCGAGGTGCCCTCCCTCCAAGCCTCCTCTTGTCACCCGGCCCTGCACTATCCGGAAAAGGGGAATGGGCAGAGGCGGGGATCCTGTCAGCCCAGCTTAAAGCTGTCTCAGTTAATGTCAGGCCGGGGGAGGAGGCTTTTTTTTTTTTTCCAGAGGCCCAGAAATAAAAGAGGCTCCCCTGGGAACCTACAGGCCTCACTGCCAGCGTGGATGGCGGGGAGCAGCGGCAGCCCACTGGCCTGCTGAGGAGACTGAGAAAAGGGCTTTGCCCAGGTCAGCAGGAACAGGCCAGATCCCCCAGGCTTCTGCCAAAGCCCTGGTGCTCAGGATCCCTGGGAAGCCCTGACATGGACAGTGGGAGCCCTCAGAAGGCGCGCCAGCCCCGTCCTGGGGGAACGACAGCCATCCCAGGATCCTCCAACACCTCCCACATTTTCCAAGAGGCAGCGGCGCCTTGGGGGTTAAAAAAAATGGCAACATTCGCCCTACGGGCGCGGAAAGGATGCTGCAGGGATGGGGGCTGGGAGCTGCGGCTGCGGGCTCCGGGAGGGCTCCAGGGAGGCTCCCACCTTCAACCGAGATGCCTATTCCCACCGAGGCAGGGGTGCCCAGACGCCCCCCAACGCGTGCCTGGCCTGGCACCCTGGCCTGGAAAGGTCCCAAAACCAGGGGTCTAGGGTGCCTTGCCCTTACCTGTTACCTGGCACCAGGTGAGCTCTGGGAGGGGGCGCGCAGCAGGCTCGGGTCTGGGGTGCAGTTTCCGCGCTGCTCATTGAAGACTGCGCCGGACGCGGTCCTCGCTCCGCTCTTCCCGCTGCTCCTCCCCGCCTCCCACCCGCGCTGCGCCGCTGCAAGGTCGGAGCTGAGACTGGCGTGCGTTGAGACAGGCTGATGGACGGGGCGGGGCCTCAGTGACGGAGGGGGCGGGGATCCTGGGGCAGGGACCGGCGGAGCCTCCCGGGAGGGGCGGGGCCTCAGGAGGAGTGGGCGGGCTTTCCTGGACGGGGCGGGGCCCCCGAGGAGGGGGCTGGCGAAGCCTCCGGGTGGGGACGGGCCTCCTGGGGGCGGGGCCACAGCTGGCCACCTGCTCACCTGTGGCAAACTCCTCCCACATCTGGCCAACCAGGCCCTCCACACTGCGTGCTGGCCTCCACCTGGAGCCACGGGCCCATCCTGAGGGGACGGAAATGGTTTCACCTGAAGGAGGCCAGCTTTTTAACTGGCCTTTTTCCCTGGAGGGACAGCCAGCCAGTCCAGGAGGGTGGGTTATGGTCCTCATTCATTCACTTATTCTTTCATTCGTTCACCCAACAGATATTTATCCAGTGCCTACGGCGTGCCATATGCCCTTTTAAGCATTTGAAATTAAACAATTAACAAAACAAGATCCTTGCCCTTCTGGAGCTGACATTCTAGTGAGGGTGTCAGACAACACATATAAGCAAATGAGATATATTGGAAGGGAATACATTTTACGGAGAAAATTGGTGCAAGATCAGGGATTCGGGGCATTGGAGAGGGGAGGCAGCGATATGTCCTCAGTGACTGCCAGGTGCTGGGAACACAGCTGTGTGTGAAAAGACAGAAAACTCCCAGCCTTCATGGCGTGAAGGGGACAGAACATCAGCAAGTAAGTGCATAAGGCCATTCAGGTACTGGATGCAGTAAAATAAATAAAATTGTGTAAGTGAAAGGTGAGAAGGCGTGAGCCACGGGGAGGGAGGAACATCCTACGCTAAGGCCTGCAAGTTCAAAGGCTCTGAGGTGGGAACCAACTTGGCCACTTGAGGACCAGAAAAGGGTCCATGTGGCCTGAACCGTGGGAAGTGGGTGGGGGAGTGGACTTACGGCCCAGAGGGGCAGCAGGTGGGGCTAGAACTGCCCACATCCCTGGATCCTCTGATCAGAGGCTTTGTTTTTTCCTGAGACAGAGACTCCAGGATGGAGTGCAGTGGCGAGTTCTCAGCTCACTGCAGCCTCTGCTTCCCAGCTTCAAGTGATTCTCCTGCCTCAGCTTCCCAGGTAGATGGGATTACAGGTGTCCGCTACCACGCCTGGCTAATTTTTGTATTTTTAGTAGAGATGGGGTTTAGCCATGTTGGCCAGGCTGGTCTCAAACTCCTGACCTCAAGTGATCTGCCCTCCTTGGCCTTCCAAACTGCTGGGATTAGAGTCGTGAGCCATGTGTGCCCAGCCCTGAACAGAGGCTTTTTGGAGCACTCTCTGAATTGGAAATGTCCTCTGCTACTTGGTGGGACAGCTTCTTTAGAGGGGAATTTGTTCAGAACTTACAACACTATGTTTTTTTTTAACCCAGAAGGAATTTCCTCTACAGATAGACTTGTGCAAGGGAGCTAAGGTACTAGCTTAAAGGTAGTTACTACAGTAGCAAAAGTCTGGAAATAACCTAAATACCCTTCCATAGGGAACTGGCCAAATAATTAGAGAACACCTGTTCAACAGAATACTCTGTAGCCAGAAAAAAAAAAATAGAAGACATAGAGTTATATAAAGGTATGGAATGACCTCCTAAATGTATTGAGTAAAAACCAAGGAGAGAATAAAGTTGAACCATGTTACTATTGGTGCAAAAACAAAGGCAAATATCTAATTGTACTTGAAGACGATATCTTGGATGGACTGTCCAAAAAGCAGGAGTCACTCAGAGCTGGGCTCTGTCATTTATGCTGTGTGACCTTAAAGAGGTGACTTTGCCTATCTGAGCCTGTTTTCTCATCAGAGAAATGGGGTAATAAAGATATCGACTGCATCAGGTAAAGGTAAAATGTGACAAGGCCAGTGAGGGCAGCCCCTGGCATGTGATAAACTTTCAGTAAAGGAGAACAAGGATTATTTTTAGGAGAGATGGGATGACTGAACCTTTATGTAACTACTAGCATAGTATAGCAAAAATCAACAGGAGCTGTCAGAAATGTGAAACGGACAGAAACAATTCGGCCTCATCACATGCTATTTCTTCACATGGATGTTGCTTTCCAGCGATCAAGTTTGCAAGCTCTCCAGTCTCTCATTCCTCTGTACCTTTTTTTTTTTTTTTTTTTTTGAGATGGAGTCTTGCTCTGACACCCAGGCTCACTGCAGCCTCCACCTCCTGGGTTCAAGCATTCTTCCCACCACAGCCTCCCGAGTAGTTGGGATTGCAAGCATGTACCAACACGCCCGGCTGACTTTTGTACTTTTAGTAGAGATGGGGTTTTGCCATGTTGGCCAGGCTGGTCTCAAACTCCTGACTTCAGGTGATCCACCCACCTTGGCCTCCCACGGTGCTGGGATTACAAGCATCAGCCACCGCACCCGGCCTCTCTGTACCTTTGCATAGCTTGTCACCTCTGCCAAGGATGGGCTTCTCAAATCCTGGCCACTGCGTCCCTTTCACATATCTGGCCCACTCTCCTTGCACTTGAAACAATCTTAGAATGAGAGCTTGGTGAGGCGGGGAAGGTAAGCTGCAATGTCAGGTGCACTGCAGGAGGCTGTCAGCCTTGTGACAAGGGGAGGGTGAAACAGGTGAGGCACAGGTGAGTGGGCCACCAGTCACTGCCTTCCCAGCATCCTTTCCACCCCCCCCCCCCCCCCGGCTGCCATGTGGCAGCCAACTGGCTTGAGTGGTCCCATTTGCATCCCCAGCCTAGTCACAGAGACTGGCTCTGGTAAACTTGGACTAAGAACCATTGTGTGAGTGACTGCTAATGGATACGGTGTCTTTTTGGGTGAGGAATGTTCTAAAAGTTGATTGTAGTGATGGTTGCACAACTCTGTGAATATACTAAAAACTCTTGAATTGTAAACTTTAATTTGGTGAATTGTATGGTATGTACAGTGTATCTCAATAAAGCTATTATTACAAAAGGAAGTCCAGGCAATGTGGCTTATGCCTGTAATCCCAGCACTTTGGGAGGCCAAGGTGGCAGGATCACTTGAACCCAGCCCGGGCAACACAGTGGGACCCAGTTGCTACAAACAATTTAAAAAATTAGCTGGGTGTGGTGGCACATGCCTGTAGTCCCAGCTACTCAGGAGGCTGAGGTGGGAGGATTGCTTGAACCTGGGATGTTGAGGCTGCAATGAGCTGTGTCCATACCACTGAACTCCAGCCTGGGCGACAGAGACCCTGTCTCAAAAAAAAAAAAAAAGAGAAAGAAAAAACACTCCATGCCATATGCCATAAAGGAAATGCAAATTAAAACAGCAATGTGATATCAATACACACACACTAGAATAGCTGAGATCTGGAACACTGACAACACCAAATGCTGTCAGCGATGAGGAACAACAGGGACTCTCATTCATTGCTGCTGGGAATGCAAAACAGTCCAGCTAGGGAGGAAGGCAGTTCGGCAGGTTTTTTTATAAAACTAACTATGCTCTTACTACATGATCAGGCAATCACACTCTGTGATATTTACCCAGAGGAAGTAAAAATTTACGTCTACAGAAACACCTGTCCACAGATGTTTATAGAAGCTTTATCATTATTACTTTCGAGATGGAGTCTCACTCTGTCTCCCAGGCTGGAGTGCAATGGCATGAACTCAGCTCACTGCAACCTCCGCCTCCCGGGGTCAAGTGATTCTCCTGCCTCAGCCTCCCGATCAGCTGGGATTACAGAAGCCTGCCACCATGCCCGGCTAATTTATTTATTTATTTATTTGAGATGAACTCTTGCTCTGTCACCCAGGCTGCAGGGCAGTGGTGTGATCTCGGCTCACTGCAACCCCCACCTCCTAGGCTCCAGTGACTCTCCTGCCTCAGCCTCCCAAGTAGCTGGGATTACAGGCGCATGCCACCACGCCTGGCTAATTTTTGTATTTTTGGTAGAGATGAAGTTTCACCATATTGGCCAGGCTGGTCTAGAACTCCTGACCTCAGGTGATCCACCTGCCTCGGCCTCCCAAAGTGCTGGGATTACAGGTGTGAGCCACCACACCCAGCCTGGAAGCTTTATTCTATTGAATGTTTCCAACACGAAGAAATGATAGATGTTTGAGATGATATATATGCTCATGACCCTGATCTGATCACTATGCATTATATGTATTGAAACATCACTACATACCCCATGAGCATGTAAAATGATTTATCGACTAAAACATAAACAAAAATAAAATAAAATAAAGCTTTATTCGTAATTGCCTAAACTTGGAAGCAACTATGATGTCGTTCAGCAGGTGAATGGATGCACTGTGGTACACCCAGACAACAGAATATTATTCAGTGCTAAAATGAAATGAGCTATCAAGCCATGAAAAGGCACGGAGGAACCTTCAATGCACATTCCTAAGAGAAGGAAGCAATCTGAAAAAGCTCCCTACTGTATGATTCCTACCATATGACATTCTGGAAAAGGCAAAACGGTGGAGACAGTACAAAGATCAGTGTTTGCCAAGGGTTAGTGAGAAGGAAGGGGTGAGTAGGCAGGGCACAGAGGATTTTTAGGGCAGTGAAACTACTCCATATGATACTGTAATGGTAGATGCATGCCACATACATTTGTCAAAAACTATAGGCCTGTAATCCCAGCACTTTGGGAGGCCAAGGCGGGTGGATCACCTGAGGTCAGGAGTTCGAGACCAGCCTGGCCAATATGGTGAAACCCTGTCTCTACCAAAAATATAAAAAAAAATTAGCCAAGTGTGGTGGCACACCCCTGTAATCCCAGCTACTCAGGAGGCTGAGGCAGGAAAATCGCTTGAACCCAGGAGGTGGAAGATGCAGTGAGCTGAGATCATGCCACTGCAGTCCAGCCTGGGCGACAGAGTGAGACTCCATCTCAAAAAAAAAAAAAAAAAAAATCAAAAACAAACAAAAACAACAAAAAAACTATAGAATATGTTTATTTAATTTTTAATGATTTTTTTGAGACAGGGTCTCATTCTGTCACCCAGGCTGGGGTTCAGCAGCATGACCTCTGCCCATGCAACCTCTGCTTCCCAGGTTCAAGTGATTCTCCCACCTCAGCCTCCTGAGTAGCTGGGATCATAGGTGTGCCACCACAACCAGCTAATTTTCGTATTTTTCATAGAGACGGGATTTTGCCATGTTGACCAGGCTGGTCTCGAACTCCTGAGTTCAAGCGATCTGCCCACCTCGACCTCCCAAAGTGCTGGGATTACAGGTGTGAGCCACTGCGCCCAGCCAAAAACTATAGAATATATGAATCCTAATGTAAACTGCCAGCTTTGGATGATAATGAGGTGTCAGTGTGGGTTCACTGACCATAACAAATGTACTGGCTCGTGTGGGATGGTGATGGTGGGGGAGGCTGTGTGTGCTGTGGCTATACTTGCTACTCAATTTTGCTGTGAGCCTAAAACTGATCTTAAAAAAAAGGAAATCTATTAAAAGTGGTTAAAATGGTAAATTTCGTTATGTAGATGTTATCATAATAAAAAGAATGTTCATAGCAGCTTCATTCATAATGTCTTTTTTTTTTTTTTTTTTTTTTGTTGAGACAGAGTCTCACTCTGTCACGCAGGCTGGAGTGCAGTGGTGCAATCTTGGCTCACTGCAAGCTCCGCTTCCCAGGTTTACGCCATTCTCCTGCCTCAGCCTCCCGAGCAGCTGGGACTACAGACGCCAGCCACCGCGCCCGGCTAATTTTTTGTAGCCAGGATGGTCTGGATCTCTTGACCTCGTGATCCACCCGCCTTGGCCTCCCAAAGTGCTAGGATTACAGGCGTAAGCCATGGCGCCTGGCCTCATTCGTAATGTCTTTAAACTGGAAACAGCGTAAATGTCTGTCAGCTGTAGAATGGGTCAATGACTTGTGGAATGTTCACTCAAGGGAATAGAAAGCAGTCGAGAAAAATAACAGGGGCGCTTCTACGGGGGCTGGAATGTTCTGATTGGGATCTGGGTGCTGGTTACATGGGTTTGTCCAGTGCTCTATGTTGACTTTTTTGTTTTTGTTTTCTGAGACAGAGTCTCACTCTGTCGCCCAGGCTGGAGTGCAGTGGCGCAATCTCGGCTCACTGCAGCCTCCGCCTCCTGGGTTCAAGTGATTCTCATGCCTCAGCCTCCCGAGTAGCTGGGATTACAGGCGTGTGCTACCACGCCTGGATAATTTTGTTATATTTTTAGTAGAGACGGGGTTTCACCATGTTGCCCAGGCTGGTCTCGAACTCCTGACCTCAGGTAATCCGCTGGCCTCAGCCTCCCAAAGTGCTAGGATTACAGGCGTGAGCCACCACACCTGGCCTCTATGTCAATTTTTAAAGTATGTGTAAATATACACATATACAGACATATACATATGATTGCACATTCATATACATATATTCACATACACATATACATACGACTCTGGAATCAAGATACTCTAATTCTGGAGCGTTCTAATTCTGGTCTGCTACTCACTAGGTTTATGACTCTAGACAGATTCCTGTACCCACCTCACTTTCCTTATCTGTAAAATGGGGGTAATAATACCTTAAGCAGTCAACAAAGAT
This sequence comes from Homo sapiens, assembly GCF_000001405.40. Lineage (NCBI taxonomy): Eukaryota > Metazoa > Chordata > Mammalia > Primates > Hominidae > Homo > Homo sapiens. Next base: position 122,973,063 of record NC_000012.12, read on the forward strand.
ACATGTCAGCGCTGGCTGGCAGCACATGTTGATTCAGTACTTGCTGGTAAATATTCTTCTTGCTGCTGCTCCCTTCGGTGACTGAGCCCAGAGTGTCTGGAAGGAGGAGAGGGTCCATGGAGAGGGCCAATCTAAACTGATAAGCAGGCCAGGCGCAGTGGTCTCAGTTCTAGACCAGCCTGGCCAACATGGCGAAATCCCGTTTCTACTAAAAATACAAGGCCGGGCGCGGTGGCTCACGCCTGTAATCCCAGCACTTTGGGAGGCCGAGGCGGGTGGATCATGAGGTCAGGAGATCGAGACCATCCTGGCTAACAAGGTGAAACCCCGTCTCTACTAAAAATACAAAAAATTAGCCGGGCGCGGTGGCGGGCGCCTGTAGTCCCAGCTACTCGGGAGGCTGAGGCAGGAGAATGGCGTGAACCCGGGAAGCGGAGCTTGCAGTGAGCCGAGATTGCGCCACTGCAGTCCGCAGTCCGGCCTGGGCGACAGAGCGAGACTCCGTCTCAAAAAAAGAAAAAAAAAAAAAAAAAAAAAAAAAAAAAAACAAAAACTTTGGGAGGCCGAGGCAGGGGGACCACGAGGTCAGGAGATCAAGACCATCCTGGCTAACACGGTGAAACCCCGTCTCTACTAAAAACATAAAAAATTAGCCGGGTGTGGTGGCGGGCGCCTGTAGTCCCAGCTACTCGGGAGGCTGAGCCAGGAGAATGGCGTGAACCCGGGAGGCAGAGCTTACAGTGAGCCGAGATCGTGCCACTGCACTCCAGCCTGGGCGACAGAGCAAGACTCCGTCTCAAAACAAACAAACAAACAAACAAAAAACAAAAAAATTAGCTGGGCGTGGTGGCGCCTGCCGATAATCCCAGCTATTCGGGAGGCTGAGGCAGGAAAACTGCTTGAATCCGGGAGGCAGAGGTTGCAGTGAGCGGAGATCGCGCCACTGCACTCCAGCCTGGGTGAAACTCTATCTCAAAAAGTAAATAAACAAATAAATAAACTGATAGGTACAACACACTCATCTTGCAAACTGCTGCAAACGGAGAGGGGGTGAGGGTGGGGTGGGGTGCTGCATGTGCCAGGCCTGCCTGGTGGGTGGCTGGGGAGCCGACCTGCCCTGGGCCTCCTGGGGAAAAAGGGCAGTTAGGCGGGTAATGAACATTGATCTGGGGAAATGGATCCTTTCCTAGATAGCAGGGCCTCTCACTATCACTGGGCAATCAAGACGACTGTAAAACGTTAAACACCTTCTCGGGCCGGGCAGCTCTGCACGAGAAAACCCCAAATCCCACATACTTCCACCACTCCCAGAAGCCCTGTGGTGGTTAACTGGGGAACTCTGTAGGGTTCAAACGCCATATTTGCCCCTTACTGGATGTGTGACCTGCGGCGGGTCCCTGTGCCTCTCTGGGTCTCAGTTTCCTCATCTGTAAGACGGTGATATAATAGTACCTAGCTCAAAGGTTTAATGCTGGTAGATTCCTGAGCAAAGGTCCGGGGAGAGAAGAGGCTCGGTCTGCAAGAGTTGTCATTTGTTGGCTGCGGTGAGACCACGCCCCGTCGCCCTCCCACACCTGACCCCGCCCTCCCGCGTCCATTGGGAACGCCACCGGAAGTAATGCGAGACGGAGCGTTTTGGTGGAGACACTCACTGGGGCAATCTGAGGTAATCCAACAGACTGTGGCGGAGGGACCGGAAGCGCCAGGCAGGGACCCGGGGTAGATGCTAAATCCAAACTGAAACGTACAGGGCTGGATGATTGAAGCACCAGCGGGAACTAGTCGGACCTCCGAGCTCTTTAAACTGTCCTCAGCTCGGCTGGTTCTCCACGAGCTCCGGGCAGACGGCGGGGGGTGGGTCGGCGTTTAAGTCAAAGGCCTTGGGGCTCCGAGTCCCTTCCTCTCCCCGTCCTGTGAAGGCACGACCCAGTTCAGCTGTCTGTAAAGTGGAGCCATTAGTCCCTGCCTCGTAGTGGGAAAACTGGGAGGCGGAACGAGGAGGCCGCCGGTCCCAACCCGGCCCAGGAGCATCTTTCTCCGCAGACCGTTTCCTGGCGAGGTGCGTCTTCGTCCTTTTCCGCCCTTGGGAACTTAGAGCGGCCCCTTGGCCGCTGGTTCCGCGCCTCCCGCGGTTGGGGGCGTGCCCGAAGTCTCTCTACGGAAGCTGGTAGGGCTGTGGGTGCTTCACTATGGCGACGGTGGGGGCTCCGCGGCACTTCTGCCGCTGCGCCTGCTTCTGCACCGATAACTTGTACGTGGCGCGCTATGGGCTGCACGTGCGCTTCCGAGGCGAGCAGCAGCTGCGCCGGGACTACGGCCCGGTGAGTGGCCGCTGTCGTCCCTACGGAGCAGTGGGCAGAGAGGGGTAGTGGAGGAGGGAAGTTCGTCCCCAGGGTCGTTTGCTTTGCGCACGCCGCGCACCGTATCTTCAAATACAAGAATGACGGCCTCTCTCTGCCTCGGTTTTCTCACCGTAAAGGGGTAATAGTATCTCCCTGTGAGATTGTGAGGAAGGAATGAACAAGCATGTAGGGTGCTTAGGACAGGGCCGGGCTCAGCTTGCCGCCTCACAGCAACACCAGCCCGGAGCCCTGTCCTGAGCTTGACAGGGTTCCGCAGTTCATTCTCTCCATGATCCTTTGAGGTCGGGGCTCCTCTCCCCATTTTAAGCAGGGGAAACTGAGGCTTAGAGAGTGAAGGGATTTCCTCAGGTCATACAGTCATGCTCAGTGTTCTTTCTGCTCCCAGATCCTGCGCAGCCGAGGCTGTGTTAGCGCCAAGGACTTCCAGCAGCTGTTAGCAGAGGTACCAGTCCCCTGCCCCTGCACAGCTCCTCCTCGTTAGATTTGTGTCCGCAGCTTGAGGACACAGCTTGAGCCTAGCCTCAGTCCCTGATCCCTGAAGGGTCACTTAGGCCCTCACTTTCCTCCTTCCTGCCCCCCACTCATCCCTCCACACCTGAGTCTTGGCACCAGGAGAGAGAAGGGGAAATGCTAAGTTGCTAAGTTGCCTAGTCATGCCGTTCTTAACAGCTCTGTGAGATAAGCACAAGCACCACTCTCATTTTGGATTGAGAAGCTGAGGCTTAAAGAGGGATCCCTTGCCCAAGCTTTTACAGCAGGAGCAGATGTGATCCCAGCCACAGCTTCCAGGCCCCTGGGCTCCTCACACCTTACCATATACCCCGCAGGCTGCTGCCAGGGCTGCTGCCCCACTCCCTCCTCCTCCTTCCCCTGGAGTCAGTGGTGGGAAGCTTCCCAGGAGAGTCCTCAGCAACCTCTGGAACACAGGACTTGGCCATGACTGTCTCCTGTCCCTGTGTGGGCCCAGATGGTTGAGGTACATCTAGGGGTTCTCATCCCAGCTAGGCTCAGGTTGGGGCAGCCTGAAACAGGATGGGTCCCCTTCTAGAAGTCCCTTTCAGCTAACAGTCTGGAACTTGCAGTTGACCCAGATAGATTCAGGAGTGTAGGCTAGACTTGGCTTCCAGCCTGGGCCCTGTCTGGCGTTCTGGGCTTCAGTTTCTTCATCTGTACAGTGGCCTCAGGAGGATGGGAGGCCCCACCTGGTAACAACCCTGTGCCACCCCAGCTTGAGCAGGAGGTGGAGCGGCGGCAGCGGCTGGGGCAGGAGTCAGCAGCTAGGAAAGCCCTCATCGCGAGTTCCTACCACCCGGCACGGCCTGAGGTCTACGACTCACTGCAGGTACCAGCCAGCCAGAGTGCTTGAAGGCCGGTACTGGAAAGAGGAGGTAGCATCCAGGGCTGGGGGTGCTGCCTGCCCCACAGCTGGTGTGTTTTGCTCCCAGGATGCAGCTCTGGCCCCCGAGTTCCTGGCCGTGACTGAGTACAGCGTGTCCCCAGACGCAGACCTCAAGGGCCTTCTCCAGCGGCTGGAGACAGTATCGGGTGAGGTCCTGGCCCTGAGACCTGGCAGGACCAGGGAATGGCAGCCTGGGAAACCTGGGTGTGGGATGCTGGGGTCCCTCCAGCCACCATCTCTGCCTCCAAAAACCAAACCAGCAGGAGCTGGAAGGGTCAGTGGGACCAACCTGCCAGGAGCAGGACATCCGCATTCATTCATTCAATACCTGCCATGAGCCTGGTATCTTCATTCTTTCCTTCACCCTTCCTTCGTGCCCTCATCCAGCAAATAGTGGATATTTGTGTCATGTGTGGGACAGCTGGCACACTCAAACAGGGCTGATCCAAGATCTTAAAGGGACCATTGAGACAGGTATGGGCAGGATAAAGGGACCAGTAAGGAATGGCAAAGCCCGGCCCCCCAGGGCTGGCAACAGGAGGGAGCAGTTACCACCTGGAGTTGTGGCTCTGGGCGGAGGCCTGCGGCCATGCCAAACTCCAAGTAGGGCAAAAAATGCCCCACTTCTCTTCGGATTTCTTGCTGGGCTCACTTATTGGCTAAACCCAGCAGGAAATGCTGGGCAAGGGAGGTTTGCGTGTTGTTTAACCTCTGATTCAGTTTCCTCATCTGTAAAATGGGAGCAACAGTAACCCCCTCTCTTAAGGCACTGCGACGATCAAGTGAGTTAATCTGCATAGAGTGCCTGTCACAGGGCCCGCACGTAGTGTTTGGAAAGTGTTTCCTATTCTTATTGGCACTGATAGCCTGGGCTAGGGGCTCCTGTGGGAGGCAGATACAAGTTTCCCCTCATGGAGCCTGTGCTTTGTTGGGAGTCATGGGTGGAATGAATCCCCCTCCTCCCAGCCTGGGGGTGCTCTCCTCATTGCCTTCCACTCCCCGGCAGCTGAGATAGTGCTGAGGCTGTTGGCTGGGGCAGGGCCTAGGCTGCGAGGTGGCCCCATCGTGGGCACACTAGCCCTGCACCCCTGGGCATTGGTGCGTCCGCCAAGAAATGTTTAGGTTTCCATTCTCAGCCTGGTTTCTTCCCCCTCAGGGCCCAGCAAGAAAGAACAGCCCCTTCTGGCCTTCCTGCTGGGGGACAGAGGCTCCCAGAGCCACTTCTGAGTTGGGGTACAGACTTCGGTGGCTCATCAGATGAAAGGAGGTGCAGAGAGAGCCTGAAGTTGGCTCTGTGATCCCGACTTGGCTGTCACTGGCCTGCTGGGTGTCCCTGGGCTACTTCCTTCCCCTCTCTGGGCCTCAGGACCCATATGTGAGCTCCCAGGGCCAGCCCTGTGGACACTTGTAGAGTCTGGGGAAAGGTTCCGGGCATAAGTGGGGGGCATGGGAATCGGCCTCCCCTGCTCCTCATGTTACTTCCTTAAGTCATCACAATAGCCCTGAAAAGCAAAGGCCTCATCTCCATGGCACAGGTGATGAAACAGGAAGACTGAAGCCCAGGCCTGGCCGGCCCACGGCCACATTCAGGCCAACAGACCATCCCTCCTTCCACAGAGGAGAAGCGCATCTACCGGGTGCCTGTTTTCACAGCGCCCTTCTGCCAGGCCCTGCTGGAAGAGCTGGAGCACTTCGAGCAATCGGACATGCCTAAGGGGAGGCCCAACACCATGAACAACTACGGGGTGGGTGAGGCCTGGCCGGTGGCAGAGGAGGGGGTGGCTGGGGTCAGGAGGCAGTGTCAGAGGTTCTGCAGATGGGCTGCCTGCCCGGGCTGCGAAAGAAGGTCACAGTGGGATCACCGTGGAGTGGAAGCCCAGGGTTGCAGCCCTCTAGTTTCCTTGCTGACCCCAGGAATCCCCTCCCAGGTGCTGCTGCACGAGCTCGGGCTGGACGAGCCGCTGATGACACCACTGCGGGAGCGCTTCCTGCAGCCGCTGATGGCCCTGCTGTACCCTGACTGTGGCGGGGGCCGGCTCGACAGCCACCGGGCCTTTGTGGTCAAATACGCACCGGGCCAGGACCTGGAGCTGGGCTGCCACTATGATAATGCCGAGCTCACCCTCAATGTGGCCTTGGGCAAGGTCTTCACAGGGGGCGCCCTGTATTTTGGGGGCCTCTTCCAGGTGAGTGTGTGACCCATGCGGCAGGGCCTGGGGCAGCTGTGAGTGCCCAGGCCTGAGTCGTGCCATCTGCAGGCACCCACAGCCCTGACGGAGCCCCTGGAGGTGGAGCACGTGGTGGGCCAGGGTGTCCTCCACCGTGGCGGCCAGCTGCATGGAGCCCGGCCCTTGGGCACTGGTGAGCGTTGGAACCTTGTCGTCTGGCTCCGAGCCTCTGCTGTGCGCAACAGCCTCTGTCCCATGTGCTGCCGTGAGCCCGACCTGGTGGACGATGAGGGCTTCGGTGATGGCTTCACCCGAGAGGAGCCCGCCACGGTGGATGTATGTGCGCTCACCTGAGCTTGCTTGGGCCCAGTGTGGGGGTGGCAGGCAGGTGAGGGCTCCGTTGCCTTGGTCTGGGGGCAGAAATAAAATCCCCGCAGCCTACTGCACTTCTTGGCTCAACGGTGTGCCAGCTTCTGGGTCATTCTATGGGCAAAGATGCTGCCTTAGTTCAGGTTTGTCAGAAGCAGGGTCTGGAATGGGGCTTCAGCGAGGGAGTCAGGGAAGCAGGGGAGGGGAGGGAGCAGCTGGGCAAGGAAGTGGCTTCAGAGGACGTCCAGCCTCAGCTGGCCCCACGGAGAGCTCCAGGCAGAGCCCACAGTACCACAGTGTGCCCACACCACCGGTTACTGGCTCCTGGATGAGGGGGCCAGAGAGGAGTGAATAACTTCCCAGACACTTATCTCCAGGGCAGGGTGCCTTCCAGTAGCCAAGGGAAGCCTCCAGAGAGCACAGATGTGAACCCTCAGCAGCAGGCATCACCCCCCAGTGGACTCGGGTGGGCCACCAGTAGCATCTTCTAGATGGCAGAGGGGTGAATGGCAGGGCCAGGAACCAGGCTGCCCGGGTTCCCATTCTGCTTCTGCCACTTCCAGCTGTGTGGCTTTAGGTGAGCCTTCACCTTTTGGTGCCTTCGTTTCCTCATTTAGCACCTACCTCCTAGAGCTGTTTTGGGAGTCAAATGCGCTGACGTATATAAAGTGCTTTGCAAGATCCCTTTGTGTTTGCGGCTGTCATTGTGGAAGAGTTGCAACTTGGGGGCCCGAGATTGGATGAAGCGCACAGCCACGCTTTGGGTTACACATTTGAAACTCAGGGGGCTTCCATATTGCAGTCTTGAGTTTGGTCTCCCTGGGAAGGTGGGGCACCAGCCCCATGCCACGTTGCACGTATCAGCTGGAGCAGAATCCTGGCTTCCTTCCGGATGGGCCTGGGGTCCATGCCCGCGCTCACTGCCAAGATCTTTCTGGCCCCTACGGACACGAGTTTGCGACCTCTGAGTCACTGGGTGGGCGCGTCGGAAAGACCAGGGCGCCTCAGTCTGGAGCTCGCAGTCGTATGGAGAGGGCAGGACCAGCCGGGGAGGAGGGCGGCGCGCGCGAGGGTCGCCTTCTTCCCAGGGCACCGGGGGCGTGGGTGCTGCGGGCGTGCGCCGAGAGGGCAGCCTTGGAAGTGGGCGCAGCTTCGGCAGACACAGGCGTGAGGGGCTGCGGAGCTCGAGGGCCGGCGCCCCTGCTTGCCTCTGCGGGAGGTGGGCGCGCCCGGGACGGAACCTGGGGCGTCAGAACGAAAGGCAGCGGCGCCGCGCTTCCCAGCCGGCCAGCCTCCCGCGCAGCGCCCCGGCCGGAAGCCTCCTCGCCGCCGCTTCCTCTCGAGAAGGCGCGGGGCGGGCTGTCCGGCCCGCAGGGCGGTCGAGGTGGGAACGGAGCAGCCCCGGGGGCCCCCTTGAGGCGGCGAGGCCGCGAAGGGCGCGGGGCTGGAGGGTAGGAGAGCGCGGGAAAGCGCCCCAGACGCCACTCGCGGCGGACGGCGGCCAGTTCCCAGGGGTTTGGAGCCGGGTGCGCAGGCGTGGGGCCTCCGGGCACGGGGCGGGCCCTTAACAGGCACCGCTGCGGGGACTGGAGTCGGCGGAGAAAACCGGGGTCCCCAGCGCTGGGGGTGGGTGAGGGTCGCTCATTTTCCCGGGACGGTGACGGGTACTGGGCGTCGCCAGGCCCCGGCCCCGCTAGAGCCACCCTTGGAGCCCGCCCGCGGCCGGCCTTGGGGGCTTCGGCTCAAGCGCGTCTTCTTCGTCGCCAGCCCGCGGCGCCATGGCTCACGTCGGCTCCCGCAAGCGCTCGAGGAGTCGCAGCCGGTCCCGGGGACGGGGGTCGGAAAAGAGAAAGAAGAAGAGCAGGAAAGACACCTCGAGGAACTGCTCGGCCTCCACATCCCAAGGTCGCAAGGCCAGCACGGCCCCTGGGGCGGAGGGTGAGGACCACAGGCATCGGGGAGAGGAGGCGCAGTTACTACCCGGGGAAGTCGGGCGAGCAGTGGTCGGGGACGCTCAGTCATGCCTCTGTGCAGCCGGGCCTGAGATGTGAGGGCCAGGCGCCGCAGGAGCCAGGAAGGGGCTCCTCTGGGAAGCTCCATCTCTGTTCTGGAAAGCCCCTCAGGAAGCGCTCACCCTGTAGCCGGTCTGTGCCTGCCCCAGGCCAGAGCAGGGGACGAAGGTTTACCTCTTCCCCTCCTGGCCTTCCAGCCTCACCTTCTCCCTGCATCACAGAGAGAAGCAAGCAGAAGGCCCGGAGGAGAACAAGATCCAGCTCCTCCTCCTCTTCTTCCAGTTCTTCTAGCTCCTCTTCTTCCTCCTCGTCCTCCTCCTCTTCCTCCAGTGATGGCCGGAAGAAGCGGGGGAAGTACAAGGACAAGAGGAGGAAGAAGAAGAAGAAGAGGAAGAAGCTGAAGAAGAAGGGCAAGGAGAAGGCGGAAGCACAGCAGGTGGAGGCTCTGCCGGGCCCCTCGCTGGACCAGTGGCACCGATCAGCTGGGGAGGAAGAGGATGGCCCAGGTACTGTGCTGCCCAGCACCTGAGAGGGAGAAGGTCGCTTCCCAAGGCCTGGCCACCACCTCCGTCTTCCCTTCCAGTCCTGACGGATGAGCAGAAGTCCCGAATCCAGGCCATGAAGCCCATGACCAAGGAGGAGTGGGATGCCCGGCAGAGCATCATCCGCAAGGTGGTGGACCCTGAGACGGGGCGCACCAGGTGGGGAGCTTTCGGCCTGACTTACACCACAGGATCTGGGAGTGTTGGCTGAAGATGTGTGCTCTCGGGAGGAGTGGGGCCGGGCGGGGTTCCTGGTGCCTGAAAAAGGCCAAATGTGGGCAAAAATACGGTCACTTGGAGTAAGTAGTTGCAGGGGCTGGAAGGGCCTGGAGGAGGCTCTTGAAAGGGCTGTTGTTGGCCGGGCTGAGGCTGGCAAGGCAGAGCCCAGCTCCACTGCCTTCATCAGGGAGAGTGGGTGAGGCCCCAGGGTCTGTCCACTCAAGGCTGCGGGGTGGGAGCCCTGGGACCCCTCTGCCGGCTGCTTGTGGTTCTGCTCCTCTGGCATTAGGGGACCTGCCTATTCCTTGCTGAACGGAGACCCTCCCACCCCCAGGCTTATTAAGGGAGATGGCGAGGTCCTAGAGGAAATCGTAACCAAAGAACGACACAGAGAGATCAACAAGGTGGGTGTGGCCCCTCTGCCTGCCATCCGCCCCCAGCTCTGTTTGTGATGTACCCCTCCTCCTGTGTGCTTTCTTCCCCAGCAAGCCACCCGAGGGGACTGCCTGGCCTTCCAGATGCGAGCTGGGTTGCTTCCCTGAGGGCCCCCGCTGGCCAAGGCCTGTGGACGACGCTGGCGGCCCAGCCTGGGCAGGTTTCAGGGTGCCAGTGGGAAGCCTGATGGGTGCTGGTGGCCTTTCCCCCGTGGATTGGTCTCTGGCCCAGCCCAGTCTCTTCTCAGGGGCAGGGGGTGGAGGTTGGGGTCACCGGCCTGCTTGGCACCCCCATCTGAAAGAGCAGCACTTCTCAGCTATTAAAGGCCCCCTGGATAGACTTTCTCTGTTCTGTGGCTTTTTGTGCTGAGTGGGAGGGAAGGGTGCTACATGACTGCCAGGGAAAAACAAGGGCTCCGGGAGCTTTTGGGCAAAGCTGGGGTGTCCTCTGGTGGTCGTGAGCACAGGCCACACCAGCGCCTGTGCCTTCCTCTTCAGGTCAGCCTGCCTGGACCAGACCTCATGCCAGCTGAACCCCAAACCCAGAGAGCTGGCTCTGAAATGCCATGCACTCAGGCATGGAGAGAGTCGGCTTCCCCTGCCATGTTCATTCCACAGATCGCAGCAGTGCAGAGCCAGGTGCTGGGGCTGGGTGGCCTGTGTGGCAGGTCTGGCTCTCACTGCCCAGCTGTGTCTTCCACTCTGAGGCAGGGAGGCTCACAGCACCCGTTTCACTGAGGTCTGTGAGGGCAAACTGAGTTCCATCCCAGGAAGGAGCTAGAAGCAGGCTAGGCCTAGAGTCAGCCCCGCACTCACGTGTTGGCGTCACTGTGAGTGTCACTAGCATTACTGTTCCATGCCCCCATCCCACCATGCCCCACGGTCGCCACTGCAGTAAAGAGATCCAGAAGGAAGCCTTCCCGCTTCTTTAATTGGTGTAACAGACATGACGTTGTATACAGAGCACACTCAGGCCCAATGATGCGGGGACAGCAGGGACGGATGGGGAGATGGGGACACTGCTCACACATGGCCCAGAGAAACAGACGGCACACGGACAGACCAGACGGGAGGGGCTGAGACGTGAAGGCTGTGATGGGGTGGGCAGTGGGACTCAGACCGAGCCAGGGAGGGGTGGGGGGTCTCTGCTGAATCCCTCTTTAGAAATCAAAGAGAAGGCAGGTGGTGGGGCGTGGGGGTGTGGTGGGAGTGGGACTAAGGCTTCTATTCTAACAGGCCTGGGGGGTGGCAGTCAGCAAGGCCTGCCTCACCCTTTGGTTATGACTGGTCAGGCCTGAGCCCTGCAGCTCAGCACCCAACTCTGTAAACATTTTTGGTATTTTTAAAGGACGCTGCCCTCCCTCTCTTAGTTTCAGAAAGACTGGTACTTCCTCAAGAGGAGAATGTGCCAAAAGGAATCTGAAGGGAGGTGGAAAGCAGACCTGGATACAGAAGAGACTTCCCATGGGGGGGCAGGCTGCCCACCTTGCCATCTATGGCTGAGGGCCGCTGGGAGAGCCCCAGGGGACTATTGCTGTTGTCCTTGGCATGGCTGGCGGCTGGGCAGGCAGGCGGGGAGTGAGGAGCCGTGGGGGAGCTGCCCCCCTGGGGAGAGGCTGAGCCCACTGCCCACAGGGCCTCCCGGCCTTTATTGCAGGAGGGCCCGAGACTCTTCCAGGTGCTTCTCTGGATGGCTGGTCTCCCAGGCAGCAGGCAAGACAGGATAAGGTGGGGCCAAGAGAGGAGGAGGCACTGGCCACAGGGCCCCTGACAGGGGCTGTGATTGTCGGGCCAAGCAACTTCCTGCTGGGAGCAGGGGGGTCAGATATTGCACTTTCACTGCAACAGTTACATGAAAACTTGGTCCATAAAATAATCGTTGCTTTATACATAATGCCTGAAACAACAAAAAGCTACATCTTAAATATGAATAAACCCTGAAGGTTCCATCCCTCCAGACTTTTTTCTCTGCACAAAATAAATAGCTTTCACTCTGTATAGACCCACTTTTGCAGAACATTTACACGACCCTTTGGCTGTACATATCTACACACGGGAAAAAGTTAACATCACTCTGTGCACCTCCCCAGCCCGGTCCATGCGTCCCAACACCAGACCCAGGTCGGCCGTAGCTTCTCGGGGACAGAGCCTGGTCGCTGGACAAAGGCCGAGGCCAGGCAGGCTCTCCCACTTCCGGGAAAGCCGAGGAGCAGCAGAGGGGCCGCCGGAGCTGGCCGTTGAGCGCCACAGCCAAGGTCACGCTTGGTGCTGGGGAGAGAGGGCAGACGGTCAGACCCAGCGTGCAGGACAGCATGGTCCTTGTTCAGGCGAGAAATGAAGTCATGGCTGCCTGCCCTGAAGCTGACAAAGCAAGTTGTGGCTTCTTAGATTCGGCATGAAAACGGAATTGGCATTAAAAAAACCGAAGTGTGTGCCCCACCCACCCCAGAGTAGAAATTCAGTGGGATTGCCGGGGCCAGGTGAGGCAAGGAGCCCATGCCTCGCTAAGTGGGCAGGAGCAGGGCCCACGGGACCCAGAACCAGGCTGGACTCCGTCACAGTGCTGGGTGTTTTCAGTGTGGAGGGGCTGCTCTCAGTACTGAAAGAGTTAAGAAAAGGAAGCAGCCAAGGATTGCTCGTTTAAAAAAACCTCATAGAAATCAGATTGAGAAGTAGAAAGGCGTAGAAACGTGGGCGGGCGGCCTTGACTGATGGCAGGGAGCGGAAGAGGCGGCCAGGCCCGTCCAGCCCGTGGCCTGAGGCTGGAAACAACACTGGCCTGGGCTCCAGGCGGGGCAGGCAGACAGGTGGGCAGGGTCCGGGGTGCAGAAATTAAGATACAGCCTTTCTCTCCTGCTTGCACGAGGCTCTGCCGCACTGGAGCCTTCAGTGTGGTTGTAGGTCCTGGGTCAGCAGGTACTGAGTTTCATGCATGTCAACGGGGCTGTAGCCATAGGAGGTGGTAATGGGTCTCCGCTCTCAAAAATCAGTGCAAAACCAGTGAGGTTGAACAGTTGAGAAACTCGAGTTAACAAGATGCAGGCTGGACCCCTGTTGGAGCTGCTACCAAATGGGAGGGGACCTGGGAGTGAGGGTGGCCAGTGGATGGGGAGGTGGCAGGCTGCGCCTGGGCCCACACCTGGCACCAGGACACTTGGAGATCCACACAGGGCAAAATGTCTGGGAGAACCTCCCGGGCCAGTCTGAGTGGGAGGTTCTGGTCCCTCTGCCATCCTGGGGCTGGTGGTCCCTGCCAGCTTCCATGACAAGCCGGACCCGTCAGGCCCGAGGACGTGAGGCAGGGCAGGGAGCACTGTGTGGTGCGGCCCGTGTCCTCCACAAGGCCCTGGGACAATCTCCCAGGCCCACGTCAGTGCGTGTGCCCAGGCCAGGCCTCCTGGCGGGGCTGGCCACCCTGGCCTAGCACCATGGAGACCCCGCGCTGCACTCACGGTGCCCTACTTGGGGCCCGCGGCTGCCCCCGGCTCCAGGCGGCCAGTCATGGCGCGGCCCCAGCAGCCGGCCGCCACACTCATGCTGCGCTGGCCCCGCTGCTCGCCATCCGCCTGGCTCTGTGTCCGCTCGTGCCGGTGGCTGGGCCCGCTGGGCTGGGCCGAGATGGTGCGAAGCAGGTGGTTCCGGGAGCGCAGAAAGTCGCCCTGGCCGGGCAGGCCGAAGCTGCCCTTGCGCAGCGCCATGCGGGTGGCCGTGTTGCGAGCGGGCCGCGCCCGGTGGCTGTACTTCAGCTGCGCCAGGTGGGCCGCGTAGCCATCCGTGATGAACTGCGGGGTCAGTGAGGACGGCTGTCACAGGCTGGGGCTCCCCGAGCTGCCCGCCTGCACCCGCCCCCACAATGCGCCCACTCACCTGGCACTGCTGCTGCAGCTTCTTGGTGGGCCGGCCCACGATGTAGATCTGCATGGGGGACAGGCTAATGGCGCTGTACACCGCCACGTCCTTGGTGGAGCCATAGGCCGCGTGCACGCGCAGGTGCAGCTGTGGGGAGACTGGCATGGGCACAGGCACCATGGTCCCTCTGCCCCCACCCCTGCCCTGCCCCATCCTCCCGGGCCCCACCTCGGAGATGAGCAGCTTCAGGAAGTTGGCCTTGTGCCGCAGCGGGTCATGCACCAGGCCGTCACAGAAGGACACCACGCCATGGGGGAAGTTGTGCTGGGCCAGCCACGCCACCACCCGCTGCTTCTGCATGTCGGGCCGGCCCGTCACGTAGATGATGAGGTAGCCCAGGTCCTGCCAGTGCCTGGGGGTGAGGTGTCGTCTCATGGTCACCCCTTCCTCCCTCCTGGGCCTCCCTGTCTCCTGCCCAGCCAGGGCCCACTTGGGCCATTGGAAAGCACATCTCTGATTGAGCTCAGACAGTAACGACGACAATGGTTGACAATGACGTGCTGCAGCAGGCCCTTGGGTGCCCGCACTGGGCGGCAGATGCCCCTGCTGCTGTGTCCCTGGCTTACCAGCCTCACCTTCCAGATGCGGGAATTGAAAGCCGACATTGAGAAGTGACATCGCTTGCCCAAGGTGACACGGCTAATAATTGGGGGTGCTGGGCTCTGAACTGAGGTCCTTAAGGCCCAGTGCCCGAGCCAGGCGTCCCCCACAGAGGCTCCGCTGTCCTCCTCCACCTGGCTGGTGGGAGCCCCTGAGCCCACCCACCTTGCTACAGCCCCTTTGTGCCCCTCTGGGCCACTCACCGCACCACGTCCACGGCCCCGGCCCGCACCTTGGGGTCGCTGCCCATGATGGACACGCTAGCGGCAAAGGAACCGTCGATGCTGAAGACCACGAACTCTGTGCCCTTGGGCAGCACGGTGATGTAGCTGTCGGCAAACGTGTGGTCTCCCCTGGCAGGTGGTGGGGGTGCTCATCAGAACCACCCAGAGCCTCGCCCTGCCTATCCCGCCCTCCCAGTGCAGGCATATACCTGACCACCATCTTGATAGGGTAGACACCCACGCCCAGGCGGTGCGACTCAGGGATGGTGTAGGAGACACGCCCACTGTTGTTGGTCACCAGCGTATCCAGGTAGAGCCACTCGCCTGAGGGCGGCTGGGTCATGATGTGCACATCCACCTGGGCCCAGCAGGCTGGTCACGGGCTGGCTGTGTCTGGCCTCTCCACCCCCTGCACCCCGGCCAGAGGGCAGCAGGGAGCTCCCCAAAGTCCCTCCATGTTACCCCTACCCGCCGTGTCCTTACCTTCTCCCCAGTCAGGGTGACCATGTCCAGGGGCCCATACATGAACCTGCCCGTCAGAACCTGGGGGCCGTCCTCATTGGCAAGGGCATCATTGATCCGGTGGTTGGCCGTCACGTTCTGTGGAGGGAGTGGCAAGCCCAGGTCAGGGGGTCGGAGGGCACCCCGGGTCCCTGTGTTCTGCTCAAGCTCTGTGGGCCTGAGGGGCAGGCTTGAGCTGTGAGCTGCGCAGCCCATGTCTGAGTCTGGATCAGACACGATGACGTGGCTTTGGAGAAACTAGGAAGCCTTGCTGCCTTCCCTGTCTGTGAAGTGGGCTGACAGCTCCAACCTCATGGCCTGGGAAGGTACATAAGACTGCAGGCTTCCCTGCAACTCAGTTTCCTCATCTGGACACGGAGGCTGGTGACAGGGTGACATCGTGGGGGCCTGGGCGCCCGGGGGACCCTCACCCGCAGCTTCACGTGGGTCCGCTTGCGCTGCCACTTCTCCCTTGGCTTTGAGGGGGTGAACACCGACACTTCCTTGCCATCCAGCTCCAAGATGCTGGAGTTGTCATGCCTCATGACCTGGGAAGAGGGGACAGTGCAGGCTGTGGGGCAGATGCCACCCGGGGGCTTCCTGCCCTGGGAGGAGGAGGCCCAGTACCCGGGAGCAAGAGGAGCCTGTGGGTTGTAGGGGGTGTTCTTCAACTCACTACTGTCTGCCCAGTAGCCCTCAGACCCCTGTTCGTTCACCTGACGAATGTGCAGATATGTTCCCTCCATCCCAATGTCCTGAAAAGCCTGAATACACCCGAGCATAAAGGTGCCCTCATCTTGCTTGCTCTGTGATCTGATGGGGTTGGAGAGGAGTCCCCACTGTCCCCTCGTCTGTGAAATGTGGCCCTGTCATGGGTGTTGTCACTCAGGGCCCTCCTGGGAGGTCCCAGGCCCCGGGTACCTGTCTCAGCAGAAAGGAGACCACGTCTGTTGACTCCCAGTAGCTGGCGTGGAAGAGGTGAGGCAGAGCCACCGTGGGGAAGGCCGTGAGGGCGTCAGGGCAGTACAGGGCGTAGTCGATCCGCTTCTGGCCCCACCACTTTGCAGCGACTGCCAGGAGGGGCCGTGACTGGGCTGGGGCTGTATAGCCCCAGACAGGGACCCCGAAGGGTCACCCGGCCCCTCTGGCCTGCTCAGCCCAGCACAGTCCCCCCACCAGCTATAGCCAAAAGTGAGTCTTCTCCCAGGCTGGGTGAGTGAGGCAAGCGGGAGGGAGCGCAGGCAAAAGCACGCAGACCCAGGACAGTGGTGAGTGCCAGCCCTGCTGAGGGGCTCCTGCGGTTGCGTGGGAGGACCAGTCGCCATCTGTGGGATGGTACCAGCTGTCTGTGGTCCCTTCCTGACTCTGGTGACCCTCTGCCCCGTGGCAACCCCATCTCTGCCCTCTCTGGGCCATTCCTGTTCTCCTATCTTCCCCCAGGCCTCAAGGCTGGGAAAGGCGGCACAGAGATGGGGTTACAATTCCTGATCCCCAGGGCAAGGGTGCTGCCCTTCTCGCACCTGGGCCACCCTACGAGCCCTGAGACACAGCAGTGTGGGCGGGGAAGCCTGGGCCTCCAGATGGATGGTCCTGGGTGCATCTGGCTCTGCCACTAGGGGCTGGGCGAGGACAACCTTCCTGAACAAGACAAGCTTGTAAAGTGCCCCCTGGGCTGTCCGCAGGAGAGGCCCAGCAGCAGGGCCTGGTTTACAGGTCCAGGCTTCCCTAGGTTCTGCCCACAGCTTTCCCCGGAGCTTCCTTGGTCCTCATCTGGCCTCACTCCAGCTCCGTGGGGTCCCTGGTCCCCCACCCCACCAGACAATGCCACCAGCTCCCACCTCCTCCCTAGATGGCCAAGTCCTCCCAGCCCAGCCCCCAGCTCCCTGTTAGGCCGAAGCGGGGGTCTAGGTGGGCAGAGCCTGGCAGTGAGGGGTGCTCAGCAGCAGAGTGACCCCCAGTGAGGGGAAAGTGTGTGGGGTGGTACCTTCTCCAATGTCCAGCTCAGGGAGGCCAGGGGCCCTCTCCAGGCCAGGGCTTGCCTTCCTGGCTGGAGGGTGGGGGCCAGGGGTGGTGGGGCTGGGGGCGGGCAGGGCGAGCAGGGACAGACGCCTGACGCTGGGGGTATGGCTGAGCGCATCGGGGGCCTCTGAGAAGCAAGAGCAATGGATGGCTCAGCCACGCGGGGATGACCGCACTGCCACGTCTACCAGGGGCCAGGCAGGACACTGGGACAGTGCCAGGCCTGGAGCTATCAAGGGCGAGCCCATTGGCCCTCCTCACGGATGAACACAACTGCCAGCAACCCCCACCCCAGCCTCAGCTCCTGCATGGCCACCCTGACCACAGCTGCGAGAATCCCTGGCCCAGCACGGGGCGCAGCCCCTGGCGGGGACTGAGAAGGGAACCCGGGCTGTGCTTCAAGCACCAAGAGGCTTCATGCAGGAGCTAAGCATGAGGAAGGCGGGGCCCTTACTAATGCGCCTTCTTCCAGAATCCTCCTGAGAAGGCGAAGCTTCTCAGCCTAGACACTGCAGAGTCTTTGGACTTGACCGGTCTCTGCTGTGGGGCTGGCCCGGGCACTGCAGGTGCCCAGCAGCCTCCCTCCCTCTACCCACCAGGTGCCAGCAGCAGCCCTCCCTAGCTTCATCAGCTAGAAATGCTCCTAGACATGGCCAGCAGCTGTCCCCTGTGGGCACAATGGCCCTGGCTGAGTGAGGAGGGTGAGGGGCCTGGTATACTCACTCTGGGCGATGCTGGATGCCGTGTAGCTCTCAGCCATGCCTGACACCTGGCTGGCGATGCTGATCTCACTGGCTCGGCGGAAGCCACGACTGGCAGGGGCAGTGCCCGGCGAGGAGGGGGCGCCATGCTCTTGGAAGGCTGCATTGTGGGTCTGGAGCACATCCGCTGCAGGTGGACAGGGACCAGAGGCCAGGTAAGAGAGGCCCTGCCCAGCCCCGGAGCAGTGGGGAAGCCAGTGTGCCAGGGTCCAGTGTGCACCTAGACTGGAGGCTGGGCAGCAGCTGTGCCAGAGCCACCTGCTCAGGGCCGTGAGAGGAAGGGGCCCAGAGCTTTAGCAGGTGAGGAGGAGGGCTGGGGCAGGGTGGACTGACGAATGGACACAGACACAGGGCAGGGAGGCGTGGCAGCTGGGCTCAACCTCAGTCACCCTCCTGCCCCACACACACCCCTCAGCTTGTCTCCAGCACCCCAGTGGCTCCAGGGCCTCCAGAGCTCACCCTGGCCTGACCTGACCCACAGCCCACAGCAGAAGCAGCGGCTCCACCCAGGTTTGCAGGGCGCTGACAACAGGTGCCATGGGTGGCTTCCTGGGGATGCCCTGCACATGCAGAGCACAGAGAGAGGCAAGCCCTGAGCATCCCTCACACAGGCCACAGCCAGCAGCCCCTGATGGGCGTTTGGGGACAAAGGCAGGTGCTGGGGGCTCAAGCCAGGCTCACCCAGGCGCAGGCTGAAGACAGGACAGAACAGGGAGGATGGGGCTCAGCCAGACAAGCCACACCTGGACGGGGTACAGGAGGTGCCTGGGTGACCTCAGAAAGCGAAGGAGTGGGCCTTGGGGAATCCAACCCCTCGCTGGGACCAGAAGCTTCCCCAGGTGAGGGGTGGGCCCGGCTGGCTCAAGGCCTCAGTCTGCTTCTGGCAGAGCCCTGGAACTGTCGCTGACTTGCTGTGTGGCCCTGAGACGGCCTCTGCTGTCTCTGAGCTGCTGCGCCCCTTTGCTTTGGCTCTGCCCTGCCTCTGGCCCACAATATGCAGGGAGGAAGCACCGACATCAGCTCCCCAGAGCCGTCCTGCCCAAGTCTCTGTTCCTCACCACCCAGGTCCCACGAACTGTGAGTGGCCAAGGAGGGCATGGATTGGGGGGTGTCCCTGAGGACCAGGTCAACCAACGAAGCAGACGTCACCACGAGCAGGGGAGGGTACACACACTCGGCACAGCCCGGGCGGGGCCCGTCTTGCCAGGTGGGCGCGGGAACAGGCATACTGGTTTCCAGGAAGCCGTCCCCGTGGGGGAGAGGGGCCAGGGGGCCGCCCTCCAGGACCAGCTCAGGGTTTCTCTGCACGGTCTCGACTGGAGGCAGACGGGGAGAGAACAGAGGACAAGAACAGACACTTGCATGGGCCATCCAGACACGCTCTGACACAGAGACTCAGGGCTCCTCGAGGACCAGGACGTGACAAGACGCTGGGACACACGCTGGGGCAGGGGTCGGGCCAAGCCTACCTGGACCTCCCCTGCCCCAACGCATCTCCTGCACCCTATCTCGGGGCCAGCCGCCTGCCATGATGGGACCCAGCCGACCCAGGCCCCCTACTAAGTGAGGGTCCCTGCTGGGTCCTTAGCTCTGTCTCTGTTGGGATGGAGGCTCAGCTGTGGAGAGGGGAGTCTGGTCTTGTTCTGCCCTTTCCCTGCTCCGGGGACCCTGGAACAAGGCCCTGACCTGTGTCCTCTGAAAGGTGGGAACTATCATTTGTGCCTCACAGGGATCAGTGCGGAGGGATGCACCACCCCCACCCCCCACCCCCAACAGCTGTCCACCTCCAAGAGGCATTCAGCACAAGCTGTCCCTCTCACCTGGGGAAGAACCACGTAGCATGGAGGACCTAGGAGCCAGGGAGCCACGCTTACCCCACCTTCCCCCAGAGGAGTGGGGCGGAATGTGCCTCTCACCCAGCAGCGTGGAGCAGCCATCCCCCAGCGGGTAGCGTTGGTAGCGGGGGACGCTGAAAGGCGGCAGGGCGTGAAAGCGCCGTTCCAGCAGCGGCTCCAGGCGTGAAGCTGACGGGTCCGCGGGGTGGAAGAGGTTGTAGACTTGCTGGCAGGCCGGCCGCAGCTGGAAAACTGGGGGTGGGGGTGTTGGCTGCAGAGCTGGGGCTGGCCCTGAGGAGCAGTGGTGGGGGTGGGAAATTTGGGAACTGGGCACTGGGTTGTCTGCTGAAAGTTAGGGATAAGATGGGGGGTGTGTCTCTATCAATTTGGGACCTGTTTGGGTCATTGTCACTTTTTTGTTTGTTTGAGACAGGGTCTTGCTCTGTCACCCAGGCTGGAGGGCAGTGGTGCGATCTTGGTTCACTGTAGCCTCCGTCTCCTGGGCTCAAGTGATCCTACCCCCTCAGCCTCCTGAGTAGCTGGGACCACAGGTGTGCACCACCACACCTGGCTTTTTTATTTTATTTTTTGTAGAGATGGGGTCTTACTATGTTATCCAGGCTGGTCTCAAACTCCTGGACTCAAGTGATCCTCCCACCTGGGCCTCCCAAAGTGCTGGGATTACAGGCGTGAGCCACCACGCCTGACCTCTAATTTTTTTTCATTGCAAAAGTTATAATGATTGTGGTAAAAGGTGGTTTGCAGTACAGAAGAGCATATGATGAAGGGCACATGGTGGAAACCCCTTCCACCCCAGATCCCCCCGAAGCTCCAGCTCATCTTGCGGGAGCACCACCGAGTGCTGGCTAGGGCAGCCCTGCCCTGCCTGTATCGGAAAATGTTTCCCCTTCTGTCAAATGGGGCAGCAGTTCCAACCACGTCATGGAGTTAAGGAGATCACGTGAATGCAAGGTTGTGTTAATTATTAGTGCTGTATCTCACTTTTAGAGGGACATAAACCAGAACATATGCTATGCCTTCTGAACTTTGCCTTTTCCTCCCATTTAACACAAAAAATGTTGGCGTCTTTCATGTCAGCACGTCTAGTTTCTCCTTGCTCTTTTTCAGTGGAGGCGGGTACTCCACTGTGTGGTTGTGCCAGAATTTATTTAACCAGCCCCTCCACATAGACGGACATTTAAGTTGGTTCTGGTTTTTCACAATGACACATAATGGGACCACAACGGTACTGTCCCTAAGTCTCCATGCACCTGTGTGGGACTCTGTGGGGCTGTTCAGAGCCTGCAGTGGCTGGGGCACAGGGATGCCCTCCATGGGGCTGCCTTGGTTGTTGGGGTCCCCTTAAAGCTACCCATTTCTCTTCCTGGCAGTGCTGAAGTCGCCAGTTTATGGAAGGGGAAGGCACTTGGGTGCTGAGTCCAGAGGTCTGCATTTTTTTTTTTCTTTTTTTTTGAGACTGAGTTTCGCTTTTGTTGCCCAGGCTGGAGTGCAATGGCACAATCTTGGCTCACCGCAACCTCCGCCCTCCCGTGTTCAGGCGATTCTCCTGCCTCAGGCTCCCGAGTAGCTGGGATTACAGGCATGTGCTGCCACACCTGGCTAATTTTGTAATTTTAGTAGAGACGGGGTTTCTCCATGTTGGTCAGGCTGGTCTCAAACTCCTGACCTCAGCTGATCCGCCCGCCTCGGCCTCCCAAAGTGCTGGATTACAGGCGTGAGCCACCGCGCCCGGCCAGCTCTGCATTTTTAACCTGCACTTGGCAAGCATCTAAACCTCTCTGAGCCTCAGTTTCCCCCTCTGTCATCTGGGAGTGTAACATGTGTTGCTACTCTCAGGATTGTGTGGCTCCTGGAGCTTTGCAGGCTGATCCCAGGGCACAGGGCAGGGACTGCTGCTCCAATGACGCCCAGCCGCTGGCCTGCCTGCCCTGGGTAGACAGAGACGCACAGCTGTGGCCCCTCCAGGGCTGGGAGCCCACTATACCCAGGAGGCTTTGGGGATGCCTGGCCTCTGCATCTCTCCCTATGGGAGGACCTTGGACCTGGGAGGCTGGGTCTGTCTCCATCTGACTCTGGGGTGGTGCCTTCTCTCCCTGGACCTCAGCTTGCCCATCTAGGGGTTGACCCTCAGCATCCACAGGCACCCCGGAGATGAAATGAAACAGCAGGTGTCACGGACGGCCAGTGACTGAGCTGCTGAAGCAGGAGCAGAGGATAGCAAGGGGCCCTTGGTGGGGAAGACAGGAAGGAGGGCAGAAACAGGCCTGGGACGTGGCCATGATCTCATCACAGGGGTCCACTGAGACCCCCGCCCCCGCACCCAGTGCATGTACCCCCCATCCTGCCCCTGCTGGGCTCTCACCATCCAGGGCTGGGATGACAGTCTTCCTCAAGGCCAGGACCAGCCCCAGCGGGCACCCGAAGAGGAAGAGGTCGGTGATCTCAAAGTCAAACCTGCCCAGGGCACCTGTGCCATCCAGCATGGTGGAGCTGCTGGAATGGCGTGAGCAGGGCTCAGTCCTCAGCACGCTGGCATGGAGGCTGCAGACCCAAATAAGACTTAGCTGTCATGTGGGTGCAGCTGCCATCATCTGCCACGACACTGCTGGTGGCAGCAGGTCCCAACCTCTCTCGGGGGCCCACTGGCTTCAGGACAGCCCTGAGCTGGACCACCTGCCCCTGGTCCATTCTGCCCCCAACTCTGCCATTCCCCACCCTCACCCTCAAGACAAGTTGCTCCCTCAGGCCCAAGATGGCCCTTGGTGTATATGAGACAAGGCATCCAGTAAGCCACTTTCTCCTGGGCCCAGACTGGGATTCCAGGTCTCAGGCTGGGGGAACCTCAGGCAGACAGCCCGGGTCTCCTGTTGGCCATCACAGGGGATGTTCCTCCCTCTTGGAGCCTCTTCCCACACCCAGAGGCAAGCCCCAGCCCCCCAGCCCTGCCCACCTGGACAGGAAGGCCTGGTGCTGCTGGATGGTATCCAGCTCGTAGGTGGATGAGTCGCTCCTCTTGCGGGGCAGTTGCCTTTTGGGGTCCTCAGTGCCGTTGCTGCGGGGGATGTCGACGTTGCTTCGGCTCAGGTGCCGACTGCTCTCCAGGCTGGAGCCACCACTACTGCCACCACCACCACTGCTGCCACCACCGCCACCGCCGCCACCGCCACCACCGCAGCAGTGTGCTGCATTCATCAGGATGCCCGGGGACAGCAGGTCATTGTCCTGGAACGGCCCCGTGGAGGCTCACTGCCAGGTGGCCGCTGGCCTGACCCCTTCTCCAGTGTCCTGGAAGCTGCCTCCTCCCTCCTAACCCCAGGCCAAGCGGCCACTGTCCAGCCGGCCTCTTGCCAAACCAGAGGGGAGGGCCCCATTCCCTTCTGTCCTCCCACCCACCAGCCACCCTGGACCTCATTGGTCTACAGGCCGTTTTCCACTATGCAGCAGAGGCAGGGAAGCAGAGAGGGGTCGCCCATCCCACCTCCTAGGAACCAGACCCCACTGCCCGCAGTGCAGACCCTGGTTCAGGCTCATGAAACCACACGCATTCCTAGGCTTGGCCACATAGCAGCTGCTCCCCTGCCCCCATGTACCTGCCCTGCCGCCTCTGGGCACCTATGCTGCCAACCTTTGCCCTTCCCATCCTTTTTTGGAAGGGTGAGGGGAAAGAGATTGTGAGAAAAACTGCTACAGCTCTTTCAGGGCCCAGGCACTTTCCTTGACTCTTTGGCCAGAATGTGCTGGGCTTCCTCAGCTCCCCTGCACCCCCAACCCCTCCACAGCCCCTGTCCTGGAGGTGAGCTCTGGCAGCAGGGTTGGGGGTCAGGGGCTTGGAAAATGTTTGTTGAATGAACAGAGCTTAACTGGGTAGAGTCCAAGCCAGATGGACTCAGGAAGTGCTGCCAGCATTCTGCTTGGTGGACACAGCCTGGGGCCAGGTGCAGGAACAGGCAGGGCAGCCACCCTGGGGGCGTGCAGGAGGCTTCAGGCCTTGGGGACTGTCTGGGCCCCCACTTGGGTACCTGCATGCTGACCACGCTGCCCCGGCGGCTGCTGCTCTGACTCTCAGACACCGGCTGGTTACTGTAGCACAGGGCATCAAATGCCAGGATGCCCCCGACGCAGTCCCCAATCAGGCAGACCTTGGGAGAGAGGGGCCAGAGGCCTGAGCCATTCACCCGCTCGCTGGACTATAGGCTGGGGAGGCCGTCACCTTCCCCCTGAGGCCAGCCCGCCCTACAGGGTCTTCCATCCTCCTCCCCTCCCCAACTTCCCCGGGACTCACCTGCCCATTGAAGGTCATGCCCTCCTGGGACTTGATGAAGTCCCCATAGGCAAGGTTGGCTCGCTGAATCACTGTGGCAACTGCCTCCTGGTACTGGGGGGAGGAGGTGGCCAGCAGGGGGAGGGCAGCCAGGGGAATGTGGTCCTGACTGCTGGACAGACAGCCTTCGTCATGGCTGTAGGGGCTGAGGCTGGGGAGAGGGGCCAGTCAAGAGAGGGCAGGCGGCTCCAGCTCAGCCCAAAGGGCCCCTCTCCCCTGACCTGAGTCTCAGCCATGGACTCAGCATACGCTAGTGAGGACCCTTCCCGGCCAGGGCCTGGATAGGCTTGGGGGACCAGGGTGGGTAAGACCCCATGTCTCAGAGGCAGGCCAATATCCCCACATTACACGTTTGGAAACGAAGGCTCAGCCATGGGCCCAGGCCTCCTGGGACTCGAGGCTTAGCCTGCGTGTATACGTTTGGGCACCTCCAGGTAGAAGGGGCTGGCCGGTGGGTCTGGACATCGGGGCAGGAGTCCTGAAACTGGGGAGCCACCTGAGGCCCAGGGGTAGGAGGAGGACAGTGCACTGCCGGAGGCTGCAATCAAGGGCAGATGCCACTCACTTGGAGACCAGGGCAAAGGCGTCAGAGCAGACGGGCGGGCAGGGCACCAGGCGGATGGCAAGGCGGCCCAGGGCGCTGGGGTAGTGCACGCGCATGACGGTGTCGAACACGTTGGCGATGGTGTTAGCATCGCCCTTCTTGGAGCTGGGGTCCCCGGCGCCTGTGTCCAGGATGGTGCCTCCGTGCAGCACCAGTAGCAGCACGTGGATCTTGGAGGGCGGTGCAGCCAGCGGCTGGCTAACCTCGTCCTGCATGGGTTGGGGGACAGTGTCAGCTCCCCAGGGAACCCAGCTCCTTGCTGAGGCCCCTCTGTCACCCTTGTTGGGGGTGTGCCTCTTGCACGCAGCCCAACTGCTCCCTCTGAGAACCCCAGTTTTGGTTACTCATGCCTGGAGCCTGGGGTTTGGCTGCCTCAACCCCTCCCCTGGGACTCTTGCAGGGACTGGAGCCTGCAGGAGGAGGCAGGGAGGTGGGCCTGTCCACTCCTCCTCCTGCAGCCCTGCTCCTGTCTGCCACCCTCACCAGGGGCACAGAGGACATGGAGGGAGGGAGTCCATTCCTTTGAGAGCATGAGCTCTGCTTCCTTCAGGGAGCCCGGGCAGTGGCTTCTGGGGCTTCCAGCTTTAGCGGGAGGCAGAGAGGTTCAGCCTGTCTTGGCCTTGGGGGCTGCCTGCCCTGTGTGTGTCTGTCTTGGCCTGAGCAGACAGGGCCACCACCAGCTCAAAGTTACAGAGGTCACCTGAGAATGGCTGGGGTCAGGGCATCCACAGCCTGAGTGGGCGGCAACCCCAGCTACTCTGCCTGCAGCTCCAAGCTCTCCCCCAAGTCATTCTCCCCAGGCCCCCACCCTAAGGCCCTGCCATTCCTGGCCTCTCTCTAAGACCAGGGTCTCCAAAAGGAGAGGTGTCCTGGTGGGGACGGAGCCCCAGCACCTTAGAGAGGAGGTCGATCAGATTTCAAGAGGTAATGACCCCACCTTCCTGCCAGGCCAGGCCTGCCTGTGAGGTCAAGGTGAGACCCTAGACCTGCACACTTGTGTAGGGGCTGCGAACTGCTCCAGGCTGGGGGACTGGGCCAATATCACATAGCGTGTCGGTGCCAGGCTGGATCAGAATCTGAAGCCTCTGCCACTACTCAGCACTCTCCTGCCAGGCCAGGCTGTGGCCCTGTCCCCAGAGGTCACCCTCCCCTGCCCCAAGCTTCTGGTATGTGACCAGAGGATAGCAGCAGGGCCAGGGCCTGAGAGGGGCCACTGATGAGTACTTGCTGTGTCCATATGATGTCTGGGGTGTGGGGGCAGGGAAGGGAGCTGAAGGGAGAGTCCTGCCTCCAAGAACCCGAGGAGACAGACCAAGGAGCCAAAGCCATCTAGAGGGCTTGTGGTGGGGACAGCTGGCCCTGAACTGGCCAGGGGGTAGGGGTAGCACCAGGAACCAGGTGCCAACACAGAGGCTGGGTGGGTGGGGAGGGCAGGGGCTGGATCCAGGACTTAACAGGCCACCAGGTGGCTGGGCGCAGTGGCTCGAGCCTGTAATCCCAGCACTTTGGGAGGCCGAGGCAGGCAGATCACTTGAGGCCAGGAGTTTGAGACCAGCCTGGCCAACATAGCAAAACCGTCTCTACCAAAAATACAAAAATTAGCCAGGCATGGTTGTGCACATCTGTAATCCCAGCTACTCGGGAGGCTGAGGCAGGAAAATCGTTTGTACCCAGGAGGCAGAGGTTGCAGTGAGCCAAGATCGTGCCACTGCACTGCAAACTGGGTCACAGAGTGAGACCCTGTCTCCAAAAAAAAAAAAAAAAAGTGGGCACCAGGAAGGGCAAGGGAATGGATGGGCTGGGCCAGGAGCCACTGAGCAGCAAGAAGCCTGGTGGGTGCTGCTGAGCTGGAGGAGGAAGGCTGGGCTGCCCTCACCCCAGGAGGAGCCAAGGGCTTCTCTCTTCTTCCCAGGGGCCAGGGCAGGACTGACACTTGTCTTCACATGGGGATTAGCCACCACTGGTTGGCCTGGACACAAACACACTCAGCCCAGGGCAGAGGGGGCCACCAGCTGCCCAGAACACATGGCAGGAGGGAACAACATGAGCCCTGTTGGGCTTTGACAAGGGCTTTTTTCCAGTCCAGTGAGGCGAAGGGCTTATGGAAGAAATGTCTTACGCAGCCTTCACGACAGGGAGGTGACATCCAGCGGTACTTTGTCACCAGGGGATGAGAAGGGCTTGGCACTGGGGGCTGAGAGAATCCTGCATAGGCCTGTCTGACTGGGCTCAGCCCTGGAGATGATCCAGGGACCCCCAGAGGCCCCTGGAACACAGCCTCCCTACACTCAGCCTGCTTTCTCCAAGGGGACACCTGGCCTGCCCTGGGCTCTAGTTGGGGCTGAGCCCCCTGCAGCTGTAGAGGCATCCCCCTACTAGTGTCTCCACAAGGCAAGGAGCAGGGGCTCCGGTTTGGGGGTTCTTGCAAGCAAATGGATTTGGCTTTGGATGGCGGTACCCCAGAATCAGTGCTGGGTTCTGAACACACACCCCAAGGCAGATCCAGAGCCCCAGGCCCCTTCTGCCCCTCCCCTGGGGGGGCGTCAGAGCTGTGTGTGCTGCAGGTGGGGAAAGGGATCCGTTTGCTTATCTAGACATTAAGCAGCAATTGGAAATCAACTCCCCTTATTCCATGACCCTTTCTAGAAAGCTGACCTCGGCATCAGACCGCAAAGCAGAAAACCACAGGAGGGGGAGGCTGTGTGGATGTCCCTCCTCCTCCCCGCCTAGATTCCCCGGGGGCCCGAGTTCCCCACAGAAGTGGTGCTGCCTCCACCTTAGGTAGCTTGAGGCCAGAGCAGTGCGGTGACCGCAGGTGATGGTGGGACAGCCCAGCTCAGCCCTGGCTCCTGTCCCAGTGCAAACAGCTCTGACGGCCCGCAGGTGGAGGAGGATGGGGCATGAACTCCCACAGAGAACCCCCGAAGCGGATACAGGCGCTCTACCAAGACAGTTTTATTGGACACACTGAGCTCCGCCTGCCTCCCGCGGGGCCATCTTGTCGGCCACGGCCACATCACTTCTGCCTAGACGACTGTCGCTTCCTCCCTTTTCGTCTTTTTATCTTCAGGGACAGCAGACAGGCTGGGCACAAGGTGAAGATCTTATTTTTGATCTGGAATTTACAAGTTTCTCATTTTACTTTCCCATGGGTGGAGCTTGGATAAGGCTTTCTCAGGGGTTGTCTGTAGTCCCTGGTTCTCGGGGACCTCAGAGACAGAGGGCGACAGGCGCCTTCCTAGCAGGGCAGCAAAAAAGGAGGCCCAGGCCTCTCCCCAGACAGTACCCAGGCAGGCGTGGAGGTGAGGCTGCCAGGCCCAGAGTTCCACCTCTGTAACCCCTCAGACTATTCCTCTGCACCCTGCCCCTCCCTTGGCGGCCATGCCCCTGTCCCTCTGACACCCGGGCACCCACCTCTATGATGTTCAGCTGCTCCACACTGGAGGCCACCCTGAACTCAGGGGCACCCTGGCGGTACAGACCATCTGCAAAGACACAGAAGCCGTGCTGTGAGCTGAGGGGCAGCCCAACCTGGCCGACCGGACAGAGGCTGCAACTGTGACGAGGGGAGCTTGGGGGTCCCCAACTCACATGTATGCCCAGCACTGTGCAGAAGCTGGTCAGAAAGGAGGGGGCTGAAGCCCTGCAACCGCCCTCCCCAGGCTCTGCAGCACCCCCAGACCTGCTGACCTTGTGTGTCTTCCGGCTCTGGGCTCTCGATCTTGTCCATGAGGTCATTGGAGCTCCACTTGGTGATGTCCTTGGGGAACATTTCCTCTGTGTCGGACAGGTCCTCTGGAGAGGAGAGAGGGAAACTCAGGTGGGACTGGGAACGCTGGGGAAGCCTGGCTTCCCGAGGTGGGGACGCCCCTGTGTACGGCTCTGCTCTGACCGTTCCTCAACAGGACGGCCACACAGCCCCACACCTTGGGCATCTTCCTGACCATTACAAAAAATAGTGGTAACATTCACATAAGAAAAGTCACCATTTATAAAGTGGCATTTAGTATATTCACAGTGCCCTGCAACCATCACCACTATCTAATTCCAGAACATCTCACCTCCCTAAATGGGAGCCTCATACCCGGGAGCAGTGGGTCCTCAGTCTTGCCTTCCTTGGCCCCTGGCCACCACCAATCAATTTTCTGTCTCTACAGATTTGTCTATTATGGACATTTCCTATAAATGGAACCATACACCATGTGGTCTTGTGTCTGGCTTCTTGCACTCAGCATAGGGTTTCTGGGGCTCCTCTATGTTGTAGTGTGTGTCAGATGCTTCATTCCGTTTTATGGCTGAACCATAGTCCATTGCATGGACACACCCGTTTTGTTTGTCCACTCATCAGCTGATGTTCCTGACTGTTTTTTTAAAAATGCTATATTGACCAGGCATGGTGGCTCATGCCTGTAATCCCAGCACTCTGGGAGGCTGAGGTGGGTGGACTGCTTGAGGTCAGGAGTTCAAGACCAGCCTGACCAACATGGTGAAATCCCGTCTCTACTAAAAATACAAAAATTAGTCAGGCGTGGTGGTGTGCGCCTGTAGTCTCAGCTACTCGGGAGGCTGAGGCAGGCGAATTACTTGAACCTGGGTGGCGGAGGTTGCAGCGAGCTGAGATGGTGCCGTTGCACTCCAGACTGGGCGACAGAGCAAAACTCTTGTCTCAAAAAAAAAAAAAAGCTACATTTAGGCCAGGGGTGGTGGTTCACGTCTGTAATCCCAACACTTTGGAAGGCTGAGTCAGGTGGATCACCTGAGGTCAGGAATTCAAGACCAGCCTGGCCAACGTGGCAAAACCCCGTCTACTAAAAATACAAAAATTAGGCAGGCATGGTGGCATGTGCCTGTAGTCCCAGCTACTCGGGAGGCTGAGGCATGAGAATCACTTGAATCTGGGAGGCAGAGATTGCAGTGAGCTGAGATTGCACCACTGCAGTTCAGCCTGGGCAACAGAGTGAGACTCCGTCTCAAAAATAAATAAATAATAAATAAAAATAAAAAATGCTACATTTACTTTATTCCATCTTCACCATTTTTAAAATTTCTTATATATTTTATTTTTTTGAGATAGGGTCTTGCTTTGACGCCCAGGCTGGAGTGTAGTGGCACAGTCATAGCTTACTGCAGCCTTGACCTCCTGGGCTCAAGTGATCCTCCCATCTCAGCCTCCCGAGTAGCTGGAACTACAGGCATGCGCCACGACACTTGGCTAATTTTTTTATTTTTATTTTTGTAGAGACGAGGTTTCACTATGTTACCCTAGTTGGTCTTGAGCTCCTGGGCTTAAGCGATCCCAAAGTGTTGGGATAACAGGCGTGAGCCACCGTACCCAGTTCCTGTTTTGTCAAATTGACAAATAATCATAATTGTACATATTCATGGGGTACACAGTGATGTTTCAATACACCAGTGCATGGTGATCAGATTAGGGTAATTAGCATATCCATCATGTCAAATATTTATCATTTCTTTCTGTTGGGAATGTTCAATTTCCACCTTCCAGTGATTTGAAACTATATATTACTGTGGTTTAAAAAAATTTTTTTATTTTTGGTATTGACAGGGTTTCGCCATGTTGCCCAGGCTGGTCTCAAACTCCTGGGCTCCAGCAATCCACCTGCCTCAGCCTCCCAAAGTGCTGGGATTACAGGTGTGAGCCACTGTGCCTGGCCTAATACATTACTGTTAACTCTAGTCATCCAGCAGTGTCACAGAACTAGAACTCATTCCTCCTATCTAGATATAATTTCATATCCTCTAACAGGCCTCTCCCTGTCCCTCCACAAAAGCACAGCTTCATAAGAAGTGCTGCTATGAACACCGCCTCCAAGACTCCTCCTCCTGCTCCTCTGAGAACTTCTGCCCAGGACCACCAGGCTCATGGCTACTGTCTGGCTCTGGCACTTGCCGGCCCCCCTCCAGTCCTGGATGGGCTCCTGGGCCCATTTCCCCAGGACACCGCTGTCCTGGCACTTCCTGCTTTGCTGTCTTTTTTACAGCTTTTTCTATGTGAAATACGTATTGTCCTCTCATCAGGGTCAGAGAGCCACCTGGGAGGGGTGGGACGCCAAGAGGCCCCTCCTCCGTCCTGGGCAAGGCTCCTGGTGCAGAGGCCAGCTCGGGAGTCCCCAGCCACCATTCCAGGTCCTCCAGTCCCAGGGCCAAACCAGGCACCTTTCTTCTGCCTGGACACTGACTCCCCAGGTTCCTTCCCTTGAGGGCAGCTGGCCAGTTAACCAAAATGCCACCTTATGTGGTTCCTGTGCCCCTCCAAGCCACAGTGGTGACATGAGATCTGGTGCTGCCTGTGTCTGCTGAGTGCCTATGGGCTCGCCCCCATCCCTTTCTGAGCCTCTGAGCTGCTGTGTGAACTTTGGGCTGGCTCAGCCACTGGCTTGCAGAGGGACCCAAGCCCCCAACCCCTACACCTGCTGGCCCCTCCAGCTTCCTGGAGAGGAATGGCTGGGGCACCAAGCAGGCGAGCGCTGTATGCATGCCTCTTCCTGGCACAGGTGGTGCATCTGCTGTATGGTCATGCGCTTATTTTGGGACTAGTGGGAAAATGGGCACTTCACATGTTTTCTGCTTATTGCATTTTCTAAAGTGCCTGCATTAGATGTGGTATTAATTTAATCAAGAAGAAATAAGGTAAGTACAAAAAATTAGAAAATTAAAAGAAGTTATGCTTCCATGGAAATAAATTCACATACGGAATAAAGCCCTAGTCTGATGGTGTATCCTTATTTGGGGTTTCAAGAGCGCAGTCCCCATCTGCCAGGCCCACAGCACATCCTGATATCGGGTTCTGAGACCCCAGACTCAAGGGAACAAGATGACCTCATCTCATCCTCTGTGCACTGCCCCAAACACCAGGCTGTCCACCTGGGACAGTGCAGGTATAGGGACTGGATATAGAATAGTAACAGGCAACACCCGCATCAGTCCACACCCACACCCTAAGCCCTTTCAGACCCCTCCCCACCTCGCCCAGGAAGGCCCCAAGGACTGCAGAGCGCTGCCTGCCTACCGTGCGCATCGAAGAACTCATCATCTGAGCTCTCATCCGAGTCCCTGGCAATACTCTGCATCCTCCACTCTGAGATGCTGTGGCGGGAAGGACTCGCTGGAAGGCAAAACCCCAGATTGACCGCCAACTGGAGAGGAAGGGCCCAGAGGCTGCCCTGAGCCGGCAGGAGGCAGGGAGGGCCACCCACAGGCCTGACAGGCATCACAGAGGCTGCCACAGGAGCCAGGAAGGTTCCGAAGAGAATGAAGTGTGTAAATGAGTGGGGAGCGGCCTAGGCTCATCTCCTGTCCGCCTGGCACAAGGCAGTCATGTCCCGGGGAGCATGGGTGGGGAAGAGCATGACAGACATAAGCCCAGGACGTGGGGTAAGACAGGCCTGGGTCCACTCCTGGGCCTCTGACCTGAGTCTGACCAAGAGCAAACTCCTGAAATTTGGCCACAGCAGGGCCCAGGCGGGAGATGAGTGAGCCAGGCCTGCCTGCTGGAGAAGCTGGCTCCACCCAGGGTGCCTGGGTTGATCCTTAATCTCAGGGTCTGAAGTCTCCTAGGGTCCCCATCAGGAGGGGTGGCCCCTCCACCGCGCTGCAGGAGCCCAGCCACCTCCACTGCTCCTATGGGTAGCACTGTCTTCCCTGGGCATGGAGGGGAAGTGTTGGGGAGCCCACTGGGGCAGGGCCCAGGCTTCCCTGTGTGCGAGGACTAGCCCAGGGCTCTGACTCCCTCTGGGCTTGGTGCCTCAATGTCCATGGGAAAGAACTCTGAGGAGGTGCAGTGATCCAGCAGTGTGTGGGGCTGCCTTGAGGGGAGGGACCTTGAGTGTGGGTGGCAGGTGGCGCAGGGCCTTACCTCCCCGCTTGGACGACCGAGACGACTTGGAGGATGTGGACCACTGTTTCTTGAGGCCGCGCCCCACTAGGGGCTCCCCATTGCTGCTGCTGGGCTCCGGGGGCTCCCCAGAGGTCTGGTCCGAGACGGCTTCGTGCTTGACGAGCTCAGTGGCCTCCTCACCATCCTCATTGAACTGGGCCATCTTACGGGAAAGCATGAGCTGTGCCTCCTTCTCCAGCTCCCGGATGTTCTCCATGCTCAGCCCATACCACTCGTCCTGCCAGCACCAGGCCTGCCGGTGAGCCCGCACCATCACCCTCCGTAGTCCTGTGCCCCATGGGGATCAGAGAGGGAGAGACGAGGGGAGGGAGGTCAGCGCAGGAGCCTGCACGGAAGTGTGGGGCCCAGGCAGGGGCTTTGGGAGGCTGTACCCATGTTGCAGGTCAAACTAAAGTCACTGCCTGTCTGTGCCTCAGTTTCCCCATTTGTAAAATAAGGGGACTGGCTCACAGATAGTCTCACAAGCTCATAGTGGTTCTATAATTAGAGTGGAGGGGCCTCCCAAAGCAATGTGTCCGGTCAGAAGCCACAGTTGGAAGGGCGCAGTGGCTCATGCCTGTAATCCCAACACTTTGGGAGGATTAGGTGGGAGGACAGCTTGAGTCCAAGGGTTTGAGATCAGCCTGGGCAACGAAACAAGACCCTGTCTCTATAAAAAAAAAAAAAATTAAAAAAAAAAATTAGCTGAGCATGCTGGTGTGCGCTTGTAGTCCCAGCTACTCTAGAGGCCGAGGTGGGAGGATCACTTGAGCCCAGGGGTTTAAGCCTGCAGTGAGCTATGATTGTGCCACTGCACTCCAGCCTGGGTAACAGAGTGGGACCCTGTCTCTAAATCGATAAATAAATAAGAAGCCACAGTTAATTTTCTGGGAGATTCCTGCACAGGGGAGGTAGAATAGGACTTCCTGAGAGTCTCGTGTCTCAGTGTCTGCTATATTTTTCCTGTTAAATTTCCCACGGAAAATCAAGTTCAAGTTCAAACTGGGTTGGTTCTCCTTTTCTTTTGTTTTTTTAAAAAAAGCTTTTAGTAGAATATATTATGCACGTGAGATATATAAGAATATATTATACATATAAATTAAGATGTAGAATAAAGTAAAGAATATATACCTTTTAAAGTATAAAAAACAATTAAAGGGCCAGGCATGGTAGCTCACATCTGTAATCCTAGCACTTTGGGAGGCTGAGGTGAGAGGATGGCTTGAGGCCAGGAGCTTCAGACCAGCCTGGGCAACACAGGGAGATCCCCCATCTCTACCAGAAAAGACAAAAAAAAAAAAAATTAGCCAGGCGTGGTGGTGTGTGTCTGTGGTCCCAGCTACTTGTGAGGTGGAGGTGGGGGGATCGCTTGAGCCCAGGAGTTTAAGGCTGCAGCGAGCCATGATCATGCCACTGCACTCCAGCCTGGGTGACAGAGTAAGACCCTGTCTCAAAATAGTAATAATAATAATAATAATAATAATAATAATAATAGAATGATAAAGACTAAAAGCAGACTGGGGGTTGCCTTGGGCCAGGGTGGGATGGGGATGACAGTGAAATGGGAACAAAGGACCTTCTGGGGTGATGAATGCTCTGAAGTTGTGCCCAGCTGTGAATATACTAAAACTTACCAAACTGTTATCTTACAATGAGTGAATCATATGGAATCTAAAATTATGCCTCAATAAAGCTGTTTAAAAAACATTAAAAAGCAATGAGACATCCACATCCACAGCCCCAGCGAAGAAACACACCATCGCCGGCGACAGGGAGCCCTCCACTCGCCTGGCCCCTGACAGTTGGCCCCGAATTTTGCTTGTCATGCGTTTTGCCTTCTGGTCTCAGCACACAGATGTGTTTTCCTGCACACTGTATCAGGCTGGTATGGCTGTTGCTGAATTCCGCATCTATGTGTCACGCTGTATTTTTCTGCCACTTGCTTCTCTGGGTGAGTTTTGTCCATGGATGCACGCGTGGGGGCTTTGGCTCATCAAGCTGGGATTGTGTGGCATCCGTGTGTGTGTGAAATGCCACATTTCATTGATTCCTTTTCCTGCCAATGGGCCTTTGGCTAATTTACATTGTTTCTCCATTTTGCTTTCATAAACCTGGTGCTCTGAATGAACATTCCAGAACAGGCATGGGGATTTCTCCAGGGGACAAACCTGGGAGAAGCAATCTCAGGGCATGTACCCCCGCCTCCCCTAGAGCATGCTGAGCGGGTTTGCAAGCAGTTGGGCCACGCCAGGCTCCCAGGCTGGTCTCCTGTGTACCCTCTTTTCCTGCCTCCTCACTTCCCACCCCTGGCTTTGCTCAGCCTTCCTTTCTAAATCCCATCCATTCTTAAAGACCTCTCTGTGGGATGGAGTCCTGTGTCCCCTGCCCAAGCCCCAGGGGTGGCCTCAGATGTGGCACACTGAAGAGCCTTGGTTACCTTTTCTGGGACTGTCTGCTGGCCTCACAGGGCTGCCAGGAAGGGCCGCATCCCTTGCTCTACCCTATATAGGGAAATGCCTCCTCCTGGGGTGACCGGAAGGGCTGGGACATGCACTACATCTGGGGCCAGGCAGTAATGAGGACAGCTGAGAGCTGTCCCAACCCCCAGGAGTTGCCTCCTCAAGGCCCCCAAGAAGCCCAGCGTAGCTCACATGAGTTCACGAGATCATCCCCGTGATATTATAGGACTAGTACTCACAGTTGTCATCAAGCTCCACCTATGTGCCACACCCCATCTTCAGTTCTGAACCCACGGTCTCGGCCCACAACAGTCCGATAGGATCGGTGTCATTACACCCATTTTACAGAAGAGAAAAGCAAAGCTCAGTGAGGCTGAGAGACCACAGAGCCACTACGTGTGAGTCAGGCCTGGACTCTAAAGTTGTCTTCTTTCTTCCCACCAGCCACAAGCTCCTGCTTTCTGAGGGGAGAACTGACTTTCAGGGAGCTGGGGAGTCTCTGCAGCTTGGCCAGGATCTCAGCTGCTGGGTAGGGCTAGGGAGAGCCAAGCAGACCCACAGAGCCAGAGTGCCAGGAGCTGCAGCCTTAGTAGGTCTGCTGGGTGTCCTGTGCAGGGCTGAACCTAGAGAAGCCTTGAGGAGAGGGTGGGACGAGTCACCAGCGCTGATGTGTTCAGGTTCCTGGAGGTCGAGAAGGGCGGTAGGGGACGCCCTGCCCAGGATAGGGGAGCCCCTCCCAGTCCTGCCCACATGCTCCTCCACTCCTCATATTGCCTGGGAAGTGAGAACCACCATTCCCATTTTGAGGCTTCAGCACTGGGGTTGCAGGTCCCAGTCTGTGAGCCCTGGGTAATGGAGAGAGGCAGGTTTGGGCCAATCTAAGCTCCCATGGGGTTAGAGAGATGGATTGTGGGAATGCATCCCTCTCAATGGATGGGACAGCTTCCTTCTCTTCCTGCCACCTCTCCCAGCTGCTGATTGACACCGCAGCAGCCCTTCTGGAAAAAGAATGGTGGACAATGTGTCTGAGTGTTCTGCCCTGGGGATGGAGGTGGTGACACCAACACACCCATCGAGGCCCTGTCCACGTCTTCGCTTCTCCAAGTGGAAGACCGCGTCCTTGGACCCCAATCCTTTCGGGTACACATCCACCCTTCCCTTGGGGTCACAGCCCCAACACTGAACATGGCTGTCTAGTGAGACACCTCCCTTACTGATGCTAAGAACAGGAGGATGTTAATTCAGGACAAGGGTGGCTGGGATGGGAGGCAGATCTAGTTCAGCCCCAGTGTTGGGTCTCTGCTTCCTCCTGCATAAGTGGAGTGACAATGCCTACCCTCATGGGTTATCGTAAGCTTACGTGACAAGCGTGATATGTACTGTCAACAGTGTGGCTCTGTTCAATCTTAAATAAAGTCACCCTTGCTCATGGCATCACAAGGTGTCTGGCTGGGGTGCCTTTTGGGTCATGGGCCTCAGGGACCGGAACCAGCTCTTGGAATGACATCATGCTATGACCTCGGCAGAGGGGGGTTTAGGGCTCTAGGTGAGGAAATGGCACTCACTGCACCAGGACCCCCAGGCCATCTGCTGTCTACCTGTTCCATGGGCACCTACTCTGGCTAGGCTGGTGTGGGTGTGAAGGCCACTATGATGTCTGAGACACCCTGCTCCTGGGAGCTTCCAGCCCAGTGAGGGAGGCTGAGCTGTGGCCCTGGGTTCTGGGCCTCCTTGAGTAGAGGAAACAAAGGCCTGGGAGCCCAGAGGCCCAGATGAGCAGCAGGGAACCTGTCCCCAGGGGCTACTCAGACCTGTGGAGTGTGGGCTACTCTTTATCAAATGCGAACTAGGTCAGGAATGTCTGGGGGCAGTGCCTAGGGCTTCTTCATCCAACAACACACACTGCTTGTCTCTGCAGATGCTCAGTAAGTATTCATGGATGTTCAAGATAACCCATGGCTGGCGGGTAGTGGGGAAGCTGGACATGGGCTTTGGTGTCACCTTCCCAGAACAAAACAGAAACGCAGACTCCCAGGCAGACATGCAAAGAGAGGAGGCAGACAGGCAGGTGACAGGAGACAGAGGGGTTGGGTAGCCCAGCCACTGCCCACCTGGCATGGGTGTGCTCACCGGTGTCGTGGATGAACCTCTCGATCTTGGACTGCATGCCCCAGTAGCGGAACTCCACCTTGCAGAGCTTGTATGCGCACATGATGGGGAAGACCTGCTTCTTGTACTCCTCGATCCAGTTCTCGGACAGGGGCCCCCGCTGGGTCTTGGTTGACTGGAACAGCTTGGGGTCCTCTTCTGTCTTATACTCGTTGTGGGGCACAGGGTCTTTGACAATGTCGATGAAGTCTGTGGGTAAACCCTTAGAGTGGCCACTTCTGCCCTGACCTCAACCCCCACCCACATCTCTCCATGTTCCTCCACCCCCAAATCCTCCCAGGACTCTGGGCCTTGCCCTGCCAGAGGGACCCTGGGAGTGAGGATCATGTTCTGGGCAGCTCTGACCTCAAAATCCCTGACAGTGGGGCCTGCAGTTTCCTTGGTGCATTCATTCATTCAGATAAGGGTCTTGCTATGTTGCCCAGGCTCAAGCACTCCTCCCACCTCAGCCTCTCAAAGTGCTGAGATTACAGGTATGAGCCAACGAGCCTGGCCCCTTGTTGCCTTTTCAAGTCATTTCAGCAAAACCCATGTTCTGAGTGCACCCTACCTCTTGGCAAAGCAGATAAATAAGGCAATGAGGAAACACTGGGGAGATGAATTTCCATGAAGAATACAGGGTGGGAGGAACAGAAGAGAAGGCTAGGAAAAGCTTCCCACAAAGACGGTGTTTCAGCCAGAGGGGTGGAATCAAGAGGTCAAGAATGTCCCAGCAGCACCGGCCCTTGAACAAGAGGTGGGGGGTTCTGGGGAAGGAACCACCAGGGTGTCTGCGTGAGGAGAAGGATGGCAGCAGTCACAGAGCAATGGGGATGCCCTGGACATGCCGGCCACTTCTCTCCAAGCTAGGAGACCGGACAGTTCCCTGAGAGCCAAGTGGACCCAGGTATAGATCTGAGGCTGAGAGGGATGCAGGCAGGCTGGCCTGTTGGAAAAGCCTTCCTGGACAGAGACCGGAAGAGATGTCTGAAGAGGCCTACAGGGGGTGTCTGGCCAAGCTTGCTCCAGGCTAGGCCTGAGAGCAGGGGCAGATGCCACAGAGGTAGGAGTGCAGAAAACAGGCTTAGGGGCTGACAGGACCTGGTGAGGGTGACAAGAAGATGGGTGATGGCTCTGGGCAGGACGTAGGCCAGGCCACTTATGATCACAGGCTTCCCCTCCACAGCAGCATCTCAGAGCCCTCCTGTGTGCTCACTCCCGAGGCACATGTGTGTTGGGCAGGACTGGGGCACTCACTGGGTGAGAAAGAGCCCCAGTAAAGGGTTTGTGGCTCACAGAACCCTTTTTTGCGGTCGGTTCTGCTCTAGCCAGGCCCTTGGCTGCCTCATTTTCTCCAATGTGTGGGCCCCTCTGTATCCAGGCTGCAGACTGCAGACACAGACATCAGCTCCACCAAAATCAGCAGGGTCAGGAGCAAGTCTGAGGACCACAGAATGCCAGGAGGGATGAGCACTCTTCCTGGAGCAGACCATATGCCCTGCCCATGTGAGCCGGCAAAGACCCTGCATGGGAAATGTCACAGAGACTTAGGACCCATGGCAGCTGGCCTCAGAGGGAGCCTGCAGAGCTCTGGCAGTGTCAGGGCTGCCTGCTATGGGAAGAGCTATGTACACCCCAACCCCAATTCCTACGCTGACGTACTGAACACAGTGCCTCAGAATGTGATCTTATCTAGAGATAAGGTTTTCAAAGAGGTAATCAAGTTAAAAGTAAGGCCATTAAGGTGGGTCCTAACCCAGTATGACTGGTGTTTTTATAAGAAGAGGAGACAAAGAGGTAGACAGACACAGAGGGGAGTGACCATGTGACGAACGAGGCAGAGATTGGAGGGATGCTTCTACAAGTCAAGGAGCACCAAGGACTGCCGGCAAGCAGACACTGAAGGGGCCTGAACAGAGTCTTCCCCAGGGGGAAGAACCCACCATGCTGTGATCTCAGACTTCTGGCCTCCAGAGCCCCGAGAGAATAACTGTGTGTTGTGCAAGCCACTCATGCTATGACGCTTTGTTTCGCAGACCCAGGAAATCCCAGCAGAGGTGGGGGGGTTGGGCCTGGAGCAGCTCCTGGGCCATGGACACCCACCCCCAACCCGCATGCCCTGCCTGAGATGCCTCCACAGTGACTTGGGCCTTGTACCCAGAGGCTGCAGGAGGGTGGCTGCTGAGCTGCACTGGCCCACATATGTGTTTTGTTTCACTGGCATACATTTATTTACAAAGATTTTTAATTGGTTGCTAACATTTAGTATTGGGAGATTTCTCATGAACATCCTTATCACTGGCTTCTCTTGAAAATGAAGATTTAACAAATGGGGCCCATCCCCTACATGTCACTGTCATCTGGAGGTAGTGGGTAGGGCACCCACCATCAAGAGGACATAGACCCCATTATGTGCCGGGGGCACTTGTGCATGGCTGTCAGCTAGAGATGGATGCCCGAGCCCATATGTACTTCTGGGGAGTAGGGATCCCGCAAAGGGATGGAGGGAAGCAGCTCTGGGTGGAAAAGGCACTTGGACTTGGTGTATATATCAGGAGAATGGGGCTGAGAAGGCCTGCCCTGCCTCCCCCATGGGCCCCATGCTTGCTCCAACTCTGACCTGCCTGCCCAGGACAGGGCCAGGTCTGGAGTCTACCAGGTGTGGGGAAAAGGGGCAGGACAAGAGGGACCTGTGGGTAGGAAACCCAGAGTACAGCCCTGTGGGGCTCTGCCCTTCCTGGTTACCGATTGTCAGCTGGTTCTTTTCCACAGGAGAGAGGTTGAACACGTCGGGGTTTTCTCCAGCATCAGTTTTATAAAAGGTTTCAATGTCGATGGAGAATTTCTCCACGAAAGGACAGGTGAACCTGTGCGGAAAGGAAAGCACTCATCAGGACCTGTCCTTGGAGAGGCCCAGTGTCCTGGCCAGGGCCTGTTGACCCACTGGGTAGGAGTGGAGCTGGTGAGCGGGCATGGAAGGAGGGTGGAGGGTAGCCGAGACTTGCCTGCCCTGTCCACCTCTTGGATCGCCACTTTGTCCCAAGAACAGCCAGGATGGGGGCAGGGAAGGATTTAGGGGGAGCAGAAGACAGTGTATCCTCAGTGGCTTCTAGAAGCCCCATGTCCAATGTCCACAGCATGGCAGGAACACGGGCACAGCTATGGCAGCATACTGCCAAGCAGGAGGAAGCTGGGGTGCTCCATGGGGCATGCCACCTCTAGTTCCCAAGAAGCCAGCTCTGACAATGGGGGAATAGCCTCTCTCTAGGCTGGAGATGAGCTTAGAGGGGAAAGTACTACTGGGAAGAGGAAAAAGCTCCGTGGATCCCTCAGCAAGCTCCAGGTGCCCACCAGCGTGGGGAAGGGAGCCCCAGGAGATTTGTGGGGACCCCACCTGCTCAGCAGTAGACAGCTTGTGGGACCAGCTCCCATCTATTCAACTCAGCAGTGATAAGCTACACACTGCAGGGCACAGAGTGAAGAACCCTCTGCCAGGGAATCCCAAGGACAGCCCTGCTCAGCATGGGATGTGGGACAACACTGTCACAGCAGCTGAAGGTCTCAGAGTTGGAAGGGACTTCTGGGTCATCTGTTCTACCCTCAGTTTCTTTCCAGAAGGCTGTCTCAGCCTTCTTAGGGAGCCTGAAGTGGGTTTACATTCCCTGCATCTTCTGGAATGGCAAAGGAGTCTCCAACAGCCCTCGCTTGACTCACGCCTTCATGGCCTCCACACGTAGGCAGTCAGGAGGCATCTAGGGGTATATCCTTCCCTCTCTTGCCTGTGCCTGCCCTAGGTGACCTTCGGGGCACCTGTATGGAACAAAGCCTGGGTTCCCTGGGGTTATGGGTTGTTGAACCTGCTTGAAGGCTGATCCCATCCCCTGGATCTATGCCACAAGATTGCTTCCCGCCAGATGGCATGTGGAGGTGGGAGGCACATGGAGGCCAAAGCAGGCGCACCTGGTTCGGGTGTAGGGGTAGGCATTCCAAGACTCCTCCACCACCCGCAGGGCTGCCTTGGGCAGGATGGAGCGGAACCAGCTGGGAATGTGCATGCCCACATGATACACCTTGTGTGTGTACTGCCCAGAGCCGCCTGGGCCATCTGTGTACGGCCGGTTCTCCAGGATCTCCACGCCGCTGCCTTCGCCATATGTCTCGTTACGGCTCTTCTTCTGTGGGGACAAAAGCACCTGCAATGTGTGTGGGGCCAGAGCACTCTTCAGGAGGGAAGGGGCACAGGAGACTGGGCCCAGGGGTGTGGAAAGGGAGGAGGGGCTTTGGTCAACGAGGCTGGCTCCTCCTGTGTCACTTCCAGGCCCCCAAATCTATATGCCAGGGCTTGTGCAAGAGGCTGAAGGGGCCACAGACTCCCTCTCCCAGACCTAGTGCTGCACACACAAGTCCTATATTCTGACTCCCACCTGTCCCAGGACTAAAAGCGTTCCCAAGATCAGGAACAAGACAAGGATGCCCACTTATTTGCTTTTCCTCAATATTGTGCTATAAGTTCTAGCTAAAGCAATTAGACAAGAAAAGGAAATAATAAGAGGCAACTGGGCACATTGGGTCACGCCTATAATCCCAGCACTTCAGGAGGCTGAGGTGGGCAGATCACTTGAGGTCAGGAGTTTGAGACCAGCCTGGGCAACATGGTGAAACCTTGTCTCTACTAAAAATAGAAAAATTAGCCAGGCATGTGGCACATGCCTGTAGCCCCAGGTACTCAAAGGCTGAAACAGGAGAATCGCTTGAACCCGGGAGGCAGAGGTTGCAGTGAGCTGAGATCACGCCTCTGCACTCCAGCCTTGGTGACAAAGTGAGACTCTGTCTCAAAAAACAAACAAAACAAAACAAAACAAACAAAAAGAATAAGAGGCATCCAAATTGGAAAGATAGAAGTAAAACTATTTCGATTTCCTGATGCCATAATCTTATATATGGAAAATGCTAAACAATCTCCACCAAAGCCTGTTAGACCTAATAAATAAATTCAACAAAGTTGCAGAATACAAAATGACACATAGAAATGAACAATGTCAAAGAAAATTAAGAAACAATTCCATTTATAATAGCCTCTGAAAGAATAAATACCTAGGAATATATTTAACCAAAGAGGTGAAAGACCTGTGCACTTAAAACTACAAAATGTTGCTGAAAGAAATTAAAGTTCTAAATAAATGGAAAGACATCCCGTGTTGATGGATTGGAAGATTTAATATTGTTAAGATGGCGACACTGCCCCAAACAACCTACAGATATAATGCGATCTTTATCAAAATCCCAGCAGCTTTATTTGTAGAAATGGAACAGCTGATCCTAAAATTCATATGGAATTACAGGAGACCCGGAAGAGCCAAAACAATCTTGAAAACAAAACAAAACCAAGCTGGAGGACTCACACTTCCCTATATCAAACCTTACTACAAAACTACAGTAATCAAAAAAGTGTAGCACTGGATAGGATAGACAAATAGATCAACAGACAGACAGACAGAATATAATTGAGAGTCTAGAAATAAACCATATATCTATGATCAATTAATTTTTGAGAAGGGTGCCAAGACCATCCAATGTGGAAATAATAGTCTTTAAAAAATGGTGCTGGGACAATTGAATAACAACATGTAAAAGAATGAAGCTGGACCCTATCTCACAGCAGATACAAAAACTCGAAATGAATCCAAGATTTACAAATAAGAACTAAAACTATAAAACTATAAGATGCTTGAGAAATGGTAGTTTAAAAAAAGAAATAAAATCACAAAATGATAAAACAGAAGAAAACTGGGGCAAACAAGGTCATCTTTATGACCTTGGATTTGGCAATGCTTTCTTAAATATGACACCAAAAGCACAAGCAACAAAAGAAAAAATAGATGAACTGGACTTAACTGAAATTAAAAACCTTAGTGTATCAAAGAGCACTATGAAGAGAGAAAAAGACAACCCACCAAATGGGAGAAGACATTTGCATACCATGTATCTGATAAGGGACTTGTATCCAGAATATATAAAGAACTCCTAAACTCAACAACAAAACAACACAATTCAAACATGAGCAAAGGACTTGAATAGCCATTTCTCCAAAGAAGATATACGAATGGCCAATAAGCAATGAAAAGATGTTCAACATCACTATTCATTAGGAAAGTGCAAATCAAAACCACAATGAGGGCCAAGTGTGGTGGCTTATGCCTGTAATCCCAGCCATTTGGGAGGCCGAGGCAGGCAGATCACTTGAGGCCAGGAGTTAGAGACCAGCCTGGCCAACATGGTAAAACTCCGTCTCTACTGAAAATACAAAAAGTAGCTGGGCGTGGTGGCACACTCCTGTAATCCCAGCTACTCGGGAGGCTGAGGTAGGAGAATTGCTTGAACCCAGGAGGCAGAGGTTGCAGTGAGCCAAGATCGCGCCACTGCAGTCCAGCCTGGGTGACAGAGCAAGATTCTGTCTTTTTTTTTTTGATATGAAATCTCGCTCTGTCACCAGGCTGGAGTGCAGTGGCATGATCTTGGCTCACTGCAATCTCCGCCTCCTGGGTTCAAGTGGTTCTCCTGCCTCAGCCTCCCAAATAGCTGGGACTATAGGTGCCCACCACCACATCCAGCTAATTTTTTGTATTTTTAGTAGAG
Organism: Homo sapiens; assembly: GCF_000001405.40. Lineage (NCBI taxonomy): Eukaryota > Metazoa > Chordata > Mammalia > Primates > Hominidae > Homo > Homo sapiens. The sequence goes on from NC_000012.12 coordinate 123,016,504, forward strand.
ATGGGGTTTTACCATGTTGGCCAGGATGGTCTTGATCTCTTGACCTCATGATCCGCTCGCCTCGGCCTAAGACTCCGTCTCAAAAACAAACAAAAAAACAAAAAACACAATGAGATAGCACCTCACACCCATTAAGGTGGTTAGTATTCAAAAAAACCTAGAAAAAAGAATCAATGCTGGTTGGCATGTGGAGAAACTGGAACCCTATTGGTGGGAATATAAAATGGTGGGAATGTAAAACTGTTGAAAATAGTTTAGTAGGCCAGGTGCGGTGGCTCACGCCTGTAAGCCTAGCACTTTGGGAGGCTGAGGTGGCTGGATCATGAAGTCAGGAGTTTGAGACCAGCCTGGCCAGCATGGTGAAACCCTGTCTCTACTAAAAAAATACAAAAATTAGCCGGGCATGGTGGTGTGTGCCTGTAGTCCCAGCTACTCAGGAGGCTGAGGCAGTAGAATCGCTTGAACCTGGGAGGCGGAGGTTGCAATAAGCCGAGATTGTGCCACTGCACTCCAGCCTGGGCGACAGAGTGAGACTCCATCTCAAAAAAAAAAAAAGAAAAAAAAAGAAAAGATAATAGTTTAGCAGGGCAGGCATGGTGGCTCACTCCTGTAATCCCAGCACTTTGGGAGGCTGAGGCAGGTGGATCACTTGAAGTCGGGAGTTCGACACCAGTCTGGCCAACATGGTGAAACACCGTCTCTACTAAAAAAATACAAAAATTAGTCGTGTGTGGTGGCGCATGCCTGTAATCCCAGCTATTTGGGAGGCTGAGGCAGGAGATTGCTTGAACCCAGGAGGCAGAGGTCACAGTGAGCCGAGATTGTGCCACTGCACTCTAGCCTGGGTGACAGTGAGACTCCATCTCAAAAAAAAAAAAAAAAGTTTAGCACTTTCTCAAAAAGTTAAACATAGCATTACCATATGACCAGCAATTCCACTTCTGGGTATGCACCCAAAATAACTGAAAACAGAGACTTGAACAGATACTTGTACACCAAGCCTTCAGATGACTCCAGCCCTACCAGCTGCTGCCATGTATTCACAGAAAAACCTGTACACCAATGTTCATTGCAGTATTATTCACACTAGTCAAAAGCTGTAAACAACTCAAGTGTCCATCAACAGATGAATGAATAAAATGTGGTCTATCCATACAATAATAGAATATTATTCAGTCACAAAGAGGAATGAAGTAATGCTACATACCACAACATGGATGAACCTTGAAAAGATTCTATTAAGTGAAACAAGCCAGACACAAAGGACCACATATCCTGTGATTCCATTTACATGGAAAGTACAGAAAAGGAAAATATATAGAGACAGAAAGTGAATTAGTGGTGGCCTGCTGCTGGGGAACATGGGGGAAATGAAGAGTGATGCTAATGGGCGCAGGGCCCTCCCTCCCTCCATCCATCCCTTCCTCCCTCCCTCCTTTCCTTTCCTTCATTTTCTTTTCTTTCTTCCCTTTCTCTCACTTTTCCTTCCTTCCTTCCTTCCTTCCTTCCTTCCTTCCTTCCTTCCTTCCTTCCTCCCTCCCTCCCTCCCTCTTTTCTCTCTCTCTCTCTCTCTCTTTCTCTTTCTCTCTTTCCTCTTGCTTTGTCACCCAGGCTGGAGGGCACTGGCATGATCACAGCTTGTTGTAACCTCTAACTCTTGGGCTCTAGTGATCCTCTCACCTCAACCACCTGAGTAGCTGAGACTACAGGACCATTCCACCACATCTGGTTAATTTTTTAAAATAATTTAATAATTTAATAATTTTTAATTTCTTTTCTTTTTTCTTTTCTTTTTTTTTTTTTTTTTTTGAGACAGAGTCTCATTCTGTCACACAGGTTGGAGTGCAGTGGCACGATCTAGGCTCATTGCAACCTTCGCCTCCCAGGTTCAACCGATTCTCCTGCCTCAGCTTCCCAAGCAGCTGGGATTACAGGTGTGCACCACCATGCCTGACTAATTTTTGTATTATTAGTAAAGACAGCGTTTTGCCATGTTGGCCAGGAGTTTGGGGTCTCAAACTCCTGACCCCAAGTGATCCGCCTGCCTCGGCCTCCCAAAGTTCTGGGATTACAGGCATGAGCCACTACGCCCAGACATGCTCAACTAATTAAAAAATTTTCTTTTGTAGAGAATGGAGTCTCACTATGTTGCCCAGGCTTGTCTCAAACTCTTGGCCTCAAGTAATTCTCCTGTCTCAACCACCCAGAGCTTTGGCATTACAGGCTGGTACAGGTTCCTTTTTCTTTTTCTTTTCTTTTCTTTTTTTCCTTTCCTTTCCTTTTTTTTTTTTTTTTTTTGAGACAGAGTCTCACTCTGTCTCCCAGGCTGGAGTGCAGTGGCGAGATCTCAGCTCACTGCAACCTCTGCCTCCCAGGCTCAAGTGATTCTCCTGCCTCAGCTGACCAAGTAGCTGGGATTACAGGCGTGTGCCACCAAGCTTGGCTAATTTTTATATTATTAGTAGAGAAAGAGTTTTGCCATGTTGGCCAGGCTGATCTCAAACTCTTGACCCCAAGTGATCCACCTGCCTCGGCCTCCCAAAGTGCTGGGATTACAGGAATGAGCCACCGTGCCTGGCTGGTACAAGTTTCTTTTGAGGTGATGAAAGTGCTCTGGAATTAGGTAGTGGTGATGGTTGCACAACTCTGTGAATATACCGAGAACCTTTGAACTGTACACTTTAAGTGGGTGAATTATATGGTGTATGAATTATAGCTCAAGTAGCTGTCAAGTTATTTCAAAATCCCGTGGGTCAAGGGGGCCTGAGGGGTTTGCTGAAGAATGTTCTGTTGCTTGGCCTGGTGCTGGTTACACAGGCATATTCACTTTTTGCAAGACCATCAGGGTAGACACTTATGAATCATAAACTTTTCTGTATATATACAACACTTGAATAAAAAGTGAAAAAGAATTAGGAATGAAACTGGGAAAGAAAAGTCTGCAGGCTGCTCAGAGCACCCCACCTTTAGAACACCAGGCCGATGAGGGCCCTGCCACTCAGCCATCTCCCTGACACAGCTCCAGCACACCACTATGAGCTGACTCTTGCCAGGCAGCAGGGTCTCTGAGAATGAGCAAGCGCTCCTCTCTCCCTCCAGGAAAGCCGCAAGCCCCATCAGCCAAATAGTTAAAGCTGAAATAACCCCAAATAGCAAAATCCCCCACCCAGTGGAGGGCCTGTGCAGCCCTCACCCAGAGGAGTTCACAGAAAGTAGAAGAAAGAGATGTCATTGTCCAGGCTGGTCTGCTTTGGGAAGAATCATCCCTGCTCCAGACTTGGAGTACGTGGAAGACCTACCCCAAAGAGAACAACTATCATGTGATTAGAAGACATGAGGGGAGGCCTTCACTCAGCCTCAGGGGGGTCAGGGAAAGTGACCTGCAGGGGAGCTGGGAGGTGGGGAGGCACTCACCAGGCAGGGGTGGACAGGACAGATATGCTGGGTAGGGAGGCAGGTGACAGAGCTGAAGGTCTGTGTCTAGAGGGAGCCCTGGAAGCGTGTGGACTCAGTTGCCTGGGTGTAGCCTGCGAGGCAGGAAGTGGCAGGGAAGGGCCTGGGAGCTAGGCAGAAGCCATATCACAAAAGTTTTTTTATTTTTTTATTTTTGTTTGTTTATTTGTTTTGAGACAGATGAGACAGAGTCTGGCTCTGTCACCCAGGCTGGAGTGCTATGGCATGATCTCGGCTCACTGCAACCTCCGCCTCCCAGGTTCAAGTGATTCTCCCACCTCAGCCTCCCGAATAGCTGGGATTATAGTCACGCGCCACCACACCCAGCTAATTTTTGTATTTTTAGTAGAGATGGGGTTTCACCATGTTGACCAGGCTGGTCTCACACTCCTGACCTCAAGTGATCTGCCCGCCTCCGCCTCCCAAAGTGCTGGGATTACAGGAGTGAGCCACTGTGCCCGGCCATAAAAGGAGCACAGTTTTGATGCTAAGGGAAGGAAAGGGTTTAAGCAGGAGAGGAGCACAATCTAATCTGGGTCCCAGGAAGAACGTCCTGGTACATGTATAGAGAATGGGAGATCCCCTGGCATGGGCAGCTGCCCACAGGGGTGTTCTTTCCTGGGTTTAGATAGGAGGTGAGGCCCCCAGCTCCGGGAGCAGCAGGAGATGCCTCTGTGCTCAGCAGGTAGGCCAGGTACTTAGCGGCTTTATGAACATGAAATCTTGGTAGCTGAGGGCAAAGGAGAGAAGGGAGAGGCCGGGCTGCAGTTGAAAGTGGTCAGTGGGCGAGGCACAGTGGTTCATGCCTGTAATCCCAGCACTTTGGGAGGCTGAGGCAGGCAGATCACCTGAGGTCAGGAGTTCGAGACTAGCCTGGCCAACATGGCAAAACCCTGTCTCTACTAAAAACAATAATAAAAAAAAATAGCCAGGCGTGGTGGTGGGTGCCACTAATCCCAGCTACTTGGAAGGCTGAGGCAGGAGAATCTTTGAACCTAGGAGGCAGAGGTTGCAGTGAGCTGAGATCATGCCATTGCACTACAGCCTAGGCGACAAGAGCGAAATTCCATCTCAAAAAAAAAAAAAAAAAAAAAAAAAAGAAAGTGATTAGTGAGCCCAGGTACACTTGGTACACTACAGACCAGTGACTCAGCCTTTTCCTGCCCACCATGGTGGGATAGAGGCCCCATGCCCCTGCGCAGCCACCCACCCTGCCCATGGGCTGAGATCTGCTCCTTACCCTGTGCCCAAACATGTCCTGTGCTCAAACTGGGTAGAGGCCACAAGGTCCAGGCAAAAGGGAGCCACATCTTTACCATGTGGGCCACAGGGGCCCCAGCCCTGTTTACTGAGGACCCACCTGCTGAGAATTTCAGTTTATTTATTTATTTATGAGATAGGGTCTCAATCTGTCCCCCAGGCTGAAGTACAATGGCATGATCATGGCTCACTGCAGCCTTGACCCCCCAAGCTCAAGCAATCCTTCTGCCTCAGACTCTAGAGTAGCTGGGACTACAGGCGTGCACCCCACCACACCCAGCTAGTTTTTTATTTTTTTGTAGAGTGCCTTGGTCTCTCAAAATGCTGGGATTACAGGAGTAAGCCTCTGTGCTCAGCCTGGGAATCACAGTTTCTAAATCAAGCCCCACTGCGGTGTCAGGTGAAGACCATTCCCCTTGAACAGCAAGCTGCCCTTCCCTGAGGATGTGGGGCATGGAGTTTACCTTCAGCTATCAGGGTCCAAGAGGGGCTCCCTCTCAGGGAGGTGGCAGAACATGCGGGCTTAGAGCATAGTTTCTGTGGTTCAAATGTCTGGGTACAAACCCTCCTCTTTTTCTTTCTTTCTGTGTGGTCTCTGATAAGTTAACCTCTATATGTCATCATCTCCCCATCTGTAAGAGGAGGAGAAGCAATAGTACTGGCTAGGTTGTTGAGAAAATTAGATGCGAGCATGTGTAGCTGACGTACACAGGATGAGCTCAGGTTGTGTGCACACTCAGCAGCAGGGAACATCATCCCAGGATGCCACGCCCTGGCTTTATCCCAGCAAGGAGAGTGGCAGGGGAATCGCCATGGCTCCAAAGCCAGATGTCTCCATGGCTTCAAAGTTCCCCTGAAGGATGGAGTGAAGAGCCAGGCCTGGAAAACCCTTCATTTCCGGTGCTCAGAGGCTCCCGGTACAGCCAAGAGGTGCGGGGAAGGGCGGTGAGGAGGGGCCAGGCAGCACGGCTCTCCGCTCAGCCTTTTTCTGGTCCTGGATCAGCCATTGATGTCAGCACTTGGGCTAAAAGGACAGGGCAGAGGAGTGCAGCTGGGTCTCAGCTGTGCCTCTGATCAGGATGCGGCTGCGGAGGAAGGCCCTTTTCATAGCTATAGGCACCAAGACCGCTCGGAAGACCCACAGAGCATCAGACACCAGCGCTCCTCGTGCACACTAGGGCTGAGACTCAGATAGCGGCCACAACTGCTCAACTGTCATTATCAGGAGCCAATGCAGGCAGGGAGAGAGGGCTTCCTGGAAAAAGAGGCTACCAAGGGAGGCAAAGAGCATGAATGAGAGCCCCAAGCAGGAGATCTCCTGACCCTGTCTCAGTTTACAACTTGCCTTTGCACCCACCTGTTCTCTGCACTTCAGAGCCCTGAGATGTTGTGGGATCATGCTCCCCACTCCACAAGTAAGAAACTGAGGCACAGAGTACTGGAGCCAAGTCTCCCAGGCCATGAGTGACTGTGGTAGTGCAGAGACAGAGAAGCAGCCACAGATTGCATTAAACTGCAGAAACCTGCATGTGCATCAGAACCCCCAACCCCTACCTAATAGGCACCAGGCATGGTGGGTAGCTGGTCTGGCAGGAATTGAGGGGAAGGGGAGGTCTGTTCCTGAAGGAGGGGCACCGGCCAGATGCCACATCTACACTCAGGGATCTGATGTGCCCTGCCTCTTCCCCCAGGGCCCTCCACCCAAACCTCCCTCCCCAGAGCCCCGCTGGGACCAAGCAAGGCGGGCTGTGCTCTGCTTGTTCTCCCAGCTCCCTGCCACAGGGGCATGACTCTGTCTCCTGGCTGGGCCAGCAGCTTCTCCTGCCCATTAGCCCTGACATGGAATTTATTGCACAGCTGAATGAGGTAGGCAGTTCGAAGCACAGGCTGGGCTGGGGCCAGCTCACTGGAGGGAGGGGACAGCTAGGAGTGGCCCTTGCTGCCAAAGAGCCTGACCCCAGGGTAGAAATGTGTCTCCTGGACTTGGTGTATGGCGCAGGGAACTGAGGGCTGTGCTCCCTGTGAGGGGCTCACTGAAGCTGCCACTCAGAATGTCAGTGCGCAGGCGTGCATGCGTGCACACACATGTGGCGTGTGTGTGCATGCAGGAGCCAAGGCCCATGGATTCAGGGCTCTTCTGGGTGGAGCAGAAGGTGCACGTGACCAGAGCCATCTCTAGAGAAGGCAAAAAATGGAACCAGGAGGACACTTACAAAGACATCCTCAAGATGACCTACTTGTGGTATACATGGGGAAACTGAGGGCCAGGGACTGGAAGCAACATGTTTGGGCCACAAGCTGGAGGGTTAGAGGTAGCTGGCGAGGCAGAAGGGATTCTGGTGGGACTCCTGGGCAATGCACAAGTCCACAGACTCCCCAGAGGACGCCACCTTCTCACTGGCTGCTGCCAACAGCTCATTAAAAACACGTTCTCCTAAATGTAAGGGCTCAAACTATAAAACTCTTAAGAGAAAACATAGGCATAAGTCCTATGAACTTGAACTGGCAATCGTTTTGGAGCCATGACACCAAAAGCACAAGCAACAAAAGAAAAGACAGATAAACTGGACCTCATCAAAATTAACAACTTTTATGCTTCAAAGGACACTAAAAAGAAAGTGAAAAAACAACGTACAAAATGGGAGAGAATTTTTATATACAATATATCTTATAGTAACTTATATCCAAAATATATACAGAACTCCTCCAATGCAACAACAGAGAAACAACAACCCCATTCAAAAACTGGCAAAGGAGCTGGGCATGGTGCTGTACACCTGTAGACCTAGCTACTCCAGAGGTGAAGTTGGCAGGATGGCTGGAGCCCAGGAGTTCAAGGTCAGCCTGAGCGACATAGCAAGACCCCATCTCTAAAAAAATAGTAAGAATAATAAAGGCAAAGAACTTGAACAGACATTTCTACAAAAAGATTATACAAATGGTCAACGAGCAAATGAAAAGATGCTCAACATCATTTGTCATTAGGGAAATGCAAATCAAAACCATAATGAGATACCACTTCACACTCACTGGGGCGGTTAAAAAGACACACAGCAGCAAGTGTTGTTCAGGGTGTGGAGCAATGGAACCCTCGTACATTGATGGTGGGAACGTAAAATGGTGCAGCTGCTGTGGCAAACAGTTTGGCGGTTCCTCAAAAAGTTAAACATAGAGTTACCATATGACCCAGCAATTCCACTCTAGGTAAATATCCAAGAAAAGGAAAACATATGTCCACATAAAAACTTATACATGAATATTTATGGCAGCATTATTCACTGTAGCCAAAAAGTGGAAACAACCCAAATGTCCACCAACAGATGAATGGGGAAACAAACTGTGGTCTACCATGGAATGGAATATTATTTGGCCATAAAAAGTAACGGAGCACTGGCACATGATACAAGAGGGATGAACCCTGGAAATATTATGCTGAGTGAAAGAAGCCAGACACAAAAGGACACATATTGTATGATTCCATTTATATAAAATACCCAGAATAGTGGAATCTATAGAGACAGAAAGCACATTATTGGTTGCCTGGGGCTGGGGTGAAAATAGTGATTTCTTTTTTGGGGTAATAGAAATGTTCTAAAATTGATTCTGGTGACGGTTGTACAACTCTGAATAGGCTAAAAACCACCGAACTGTGCACTTTAAATGGATGAGTCATGTGGTGTGTGACTTATATCTCAATAAAGCTGTTATAAAACAAAACAAACAGAAACCAATCCTGCCTTTTGTACTAAGATCAAAAAAATCAAATGTGGCAAGCAGGAAGGGGCCTCGCTGGCACTGTGAGAGAGACATGGGTCACCTCTAAGCATCTCTCTGCCATGAATGTCCCTCCCCGTGTCCAAAAGCTCAGTTTTCTGCTTATGCAGGAAACCTCATGTTTGAGGCAGTGGCGACTTTAAGCCGAGCATCTGTTTCCATGGTGACATGATGGGCTAGCCAAGGGCATCCTCGGTCAGCTTCCTGAACAGCAGGTGTGTATGTGTGCGTGCATACACCTAGGCACACAGATGCACATGCATACACAGCCACAGGCCTCTCTAAGGCACAAAAAATGTGCTATATCTCCATGGCCCAGAGCGATTGAGTCCCCTTCCAAAACAAAAAACAGACAAGACTCTGGGTGAGGCCATAGGTGAGGTCAGGGCAGGCATGTGTCATCTCTCCCTCTTTAAAAGAGCTCCTGGAATGTGGACCAGATTTTTTTTTTTTTTTTTTTGAGACAAAGTTTCGCTCTTCTTGCCCAGGCTGGGGTGCAATGGTGTGATCTTGGCTCACCGCATCCTCTGCCTCCCGGGTTCAAGCGATTCCCTGCCTCAGCCTCCTGAGTAGCTGGGATTACAGGCATGAGCCACCACACCTGGCTAATTTTGTATTTTTACTAGAGATGGGGTTTCACCATGTCCATCAGGCTGGTCTCGAACTCCCAACCTCAGGTGATCTGCCTGCCTCGGCCTCCCAAAGTGCTGGGATTACAGGTGTGAGCCACCGCACTCGGCCTATGTGGACCAGATTTGTAGTGAAAACAGCAAGCTCTTCCTGGATGCTCTAAGCTCCCACCTCTTCCAGTAGCATCATTTATTTGTGGCTATGCTAAGTGCTTTGCATGTACATTCTCCTTTAGTTACTGCAACATCCCCTTAGGAAAGGTGTATTAGCACTATTACCCCCAAGTCACAGATGAGACGATCGAGGCTATGAGAGGCACAAACTTGTCCAAGGTCACACAGTTACTAAATGGCAGAGCCAGGCCTTGAATTCAGACCTGTGTCATTCCAGAGCCTGCTCAGCCCAAAGCACCAAGGTGGCTCAAGGAAAAGACCTCAGCATAAGATAGGTGCTCCGTAAATTCTTATTGAACAAATAAATGAATTCTAGTCCCAACTCTGTGACCAGCTCCCTCTCCTCCTGGACAAGTCACTTCTCTTTGGTGTCAATTTCCAAACTCTAAGTGGAGACAGGACTACCTATCTGTCCATGCCCTGGCGTAATGGGTGGAATGTCCCCACCAGGCCCTTGGAATGTGACCTTATTTGGAAATAGGGTCTTTGCCGATGTAAATGGAGTGACGTGGCCACAAACTAAGGTATGCTTGGAGCCACCAGAAGCTGGAAGAGACAAGGAAGGGTCTACCCGTAGAACCTTTGGAGGAAGTGCAGCCCTGCGGACACCTGCCTCTCTGGTTTCTGGCCTCCAGAACTGTGAAAGAATAAATGTCTATTGTTTCAAGCTATGCAGTTTGTGGTTCTTTGTTATGGCAGCGCCAGGAAATAAGATACCTGGGATGCTGGCAGGCTCAGTGAGAAGGTGTGTAAGACAGGGGGTCCAGAGCTGCCTGCAGGAGTTTCTTTGGGCAGAGGCCTGGTGACCCACCTGCCAGCAGCTGAGGGTGGAGCCAGGACAGGGGCCAGGAGGGTCCCTTCCACCTTGGCCTTGCTGGGTGGCTGCGCAGAAGCCCCTGCCCACTCAGGCAGACTTCACGCCTTTTCCAGGACAGCAGGCTCACCCAGTAGCATCCTGTGCGGTCTAGGGAGGATGCCTCCTGCCTCTTCCAGCTGCTGCTGGCTCCCAGTGCTCCTTGGCCCATGCTGTATCTCTCCAATCTCTGCTTCATCTTTCCTGTGTCTTGGTCCTTTCCTTTTCTTATAGGGACACTAGTCATTCATTCAGGGACCTCTCTAAATCCAGAATGATCTCATTTCAAGATCCTTAACAAATTACACCTTCAGAGGCCCTATTTCAAAATAAGGCCACATTCTGAGACTGCAGGTGGATGCAGATTCTGGGGGGGACACTGGTCACCAGTGGGGTGAGTGCCCACAATGGCCTCCTGTGAGTGAGCTTCAGCCTGCCTGCTGGAGAAACAAGCACACTACACTGATGGCCCCCCACCTGTCCCTCATCTCTCGGTGGGGCAGGTGGAGTCCTCACCACCTCCCACCCAGCCCTTGGCCACATACATCTTCAGTCACCAGCACTTTCCCCAGTGTATGGTGACTCTTCATGCTGACTCCAGTACCCCTGGCCTTGCCACCCATAGGTGACCCTGTGCTATGTGTAGCTCTGAGTATCTGAGCACTGGAAGGCAGAGCTGTGAAAGGGAGAGCACTGGCTTCAGAGTCAGACAGGGTGGAGAGCATGTAACCTCCAACAGCTGGAACTTCAGAGAAGGGGTGAACTAGGAGACCTCAAAGTGCTCCACTAAAAGCAATGTGAAAAAGGCAGCCCACCACATCTCTGGGCAGACTGGTATCATTAGGCCAGCTATGCACCCTTGGGCAAGTTCCTTGATATCTCTGAGCCTCGAGCTGTCATCTGGGGATGGGGATGAATGGGGATGAGTACCACCAACTGTGCAGGTTATCGTGAGGATTAAAGCAGGTTCTGATCATTTGCTGGACACTGATTCAGTCGGCTGTGGAGGGGTGTGAGGGCTGCAGTCAGTGGCAGAGCCACTGGGAGCCAGACGGGACCCCCTGTATAGCACTTTGGTGTTTCCTGAAATAGATGCTAGGTAAAGATTGGTCAAATGAAGAATGGATTCTAGTTCCAACTGTCACCAGGAACTTCAAAGCTGGCATCACCAAGGGCAGCCAGTCCTCCCCAAGCTGACCTCTGGCTCCCCACCAGTGATGGCGTCCAAGGGGGGCAGGCCCCTCCTGGCACAGCTACTCAGTCATGCCACTTAGGAGCAAGCTCTTCTCGAATCACTCTGATCTCTGCCACATGAGCAGCCACCCCCTCGTCCCTGCCTACCATTCCCCTAAACAGTGCTGCGGTACTGTTTTCAGAGACAGCGGCAGTTGGACAGCAGAGACAGGCCTGGCTCCCCAGGGGCTAACGAAGGAGTTGGGGGAGGATGCAAAGAAAGATCAAGACCAAGAAACCCCTGAAAGCAGCCGCTCCCAGGGTCCTGGCCAGGCCACCTCCGGCCACTCCCTCGGCGGCACACATTCGCTGAACACCTCGGACGGATGGCCCTCTCCCAGCCAGGCAGACGATTTTGTTTTCTCACCTTTAACACGGTGTATATTGAGTGCTGCTCCAGCAGGGTGCCAGGTACTTTGACGCGCGAGCCCAGCCCATCTTTTTCACAACCTTCCAGCGGGGCAGCTTGCAGAGAGGAAGGCCTATTCCTAGCTGCCACTGGCTGGCAAGTGGCAGAAGTGGGAAATGATGAACTAAGGTCTTCTTATTATTCTTTCCACAAAAACACAGCAGTCTTCTTGAAGGCCTATCCATCTTGGGAGGCCAGTGCAGACTGTGCCCTTGAGCCTGTGCTGAAACGTATGTGAAATCTATCTTCCCAGAGAACGGGAAGGACTTTCATCCCCCTCTGCAACTCAGCCCTTGGCACAGGAAGTGCACAGGAAAGTCAGGTGACTTTAACTTACTTTTTAGCAATGTTACTGAGGTATGACTGACATACAATAAGCTGTACACATGTAAAGGAGCAGCTGGTGATTCTGACGTACGTTCACACTTTTGAGTCCATCACCCCACAGTGACAAGAACCCCAGGAACCGCAGGTTAGAAAAAGGCTAGAGCGGGCACAGACGGGCAGGTGGGGCTGGGAAGAATGAGTGCCCTCAGGACCCAGAGGGTCAGAGGAAGCTGCCTGGAAGAGGGGCATTCACACCAGCCCTGCAGGAGGGGCAAGAGCTCTCAAGATGGAAATTGGGCTGACAGTAGGGGTCTTGGTGACAGGAAGGGCACAGGTAGTGCCTTGGGTCTCCAAGTCGGGGTGGCCTGAACCTCTCCCCTCCTGCCCACCTGCTCTGCCCTCAGGCCTGGGAGCCACAGCACAGGCTGGGGTTGAGAGGGGAGATCCCTCCCAATGCTGCCTCCTCCCCAATCTAGACACTGGCACCTCCTGGTCCTCTCCGCCTGCCAGGGTGCCCTCACCTCTGAGATTGGCAGCAGCCTCCCTTGGCCTACTAGGGGTCCCAAAGAGGCCACCTAGGAGCCCGGAGATCTGAGCTCCAACCCTGGCCCTGTGGACCTCAATTTCCCCATATGTAAAATGGGAAACTATGCTCTCTGAGAGCCTAGCTTAGGTTACAGATAAAGAAACTGGCTGTGCATGGTGGCTCATGCCTGTAATCCCAGCACTTTGGGAGACTGTGGGTGGATCACCTGAGGTCAGGAGTTCAAGACCAGCCTGGCCAACATGGCGAAAGCCCATCTCTACTAAAAATACAAAAATTAGCCAGGCATGGAGGCGGGCACCTGTAATCCCAGCTACTGGGGAGACTGAGGCAGAGGAATCGCTTAAACCCGAGAGGCAAAGGTTGCAGTGAGCTGAGATTACACCACTGCACTTCAGCCTGGGGAACAGAGTGAGACTTCATCTCAAAAAAACAGAAAAAGCAACCAAGAGGAGCACTACCCCCTTGGGTCTTGTGGTGTATGTGTGTGTGTGTGTGTGTCTGTGGAGATGCATGTACACATGTGCACATATGTGTGCATGTTGTGTGTGCATGCATGTGTCTGTATAGGTCTGTGCATGTGTCTGCATGTATTTGTGTACATACCTGTATGCATAGGTGGCTGTGCTTGCATGTACATATGTTGTGTGTGGACACACATATGTGTCTGTGTGTGTGTGTGTGTGTGTGTGTGTGTGCACTAGAGCCATGGGTGAGGGAGGGAGGAGCAGCCCATGTGCACTAAAGAGGATATGAGCCAGAAACTGGGAAAACAGACCCACAGACCTAAACCCTGCCCTGAGACACTCACTGTCCAGCAGGAAGCAGACAGACACCCACAAAGAGGTGGAAGGCACTAGGTGCCCAGGTGTGGGACTGACAGGAAACTGCGAGGATTCAGGGAAAGAAATCACTCATGCTGCCCATGGAGATCAGAAAAGCCTCCGAGAAGGACACAGCATGCTGGCTGGTCTGAAAGATGGGCAGAAGGACCCTTGAGATAACCTGGGGACTCTTCTGTTTCAAAACATACTCACTAGGGTAGCATTTATTTAAAAAGAGGACAGTAAGTGCTGGTGAGGATGTGGAGAAACTGGAAACTTCATACATTCCCAGTAGGAATGTAAAATGGTGCAGCCACTGTGGAAAACAGTCTGGTGGTTCCTGCAGACATCAAGCATAGCGTCACCATGTGACCCAGAAATTCCCTTCCTAGGTGTAGACCCGGAAGAATTGAAAATAGATACTTGTAGGCCGGGCGCGGTGGCTCACGCCTGTAATCCCAGCACTTTGGGAAGCTGAGGCGGGCGGATCACGAGGTCAGGAGCTCGAGACCATCCTGGCTAACATGGTGAAACCCCGTCTCTACTAAAAATACAAAAAATTAGCCAGGGGTGGTGGCACGCGCCTGTAGACCCAGCTACTCGGGAGGCTGAGGCAGGAGAATGGCGTGAACCCGGGAGGCGGAGCTTGCAGTGAGCTGAGATGACGCCACTGCACTCCACCCTGGGCGACAGAGCGAGACTCCATCTCAAAAAAAAAAAAAAGAAAACAGATATTTGTATGCTAATGTCAACCCAAATGTCCATCAATGGATGAATGGATAAGCAAAATGTGGTCTGTTCATACAGTGGAATATGATTCAGCCATAAAACGTAATGAGGCACTGACACATGCTATGACATGGATGAATCCCAACAACATGACACTGAGTGAAAGAAGCCAGACACAAAGAGCAACACTGTGAGTGATGCCATGCACATGAAATGTCCAGAACAGGCAAACCCAGGGAGACAGGTAGTACATTAGTGATTGTCAGGGGGTGGGGAGGGGGAGTGAGGAGTGACTGTTTAATGGATATGGGGTTTCTTTCTGGGGTGATGAAAGTGTTTTGGAACTAAAGTTGGTGGTTGCACAACATTGTGAGTATACTAAATGCCACTGAATTGTTCACTTAAAAATGGTTGTTAATGTTTTGTGAATTTCACCTCAATAAAAGCAAAACAAGACAACAACCAATCAAGTAAGCCCAAAGCCCCTAGTCCCAAAAGAATTTCTTCCAAATGCTATAGAGACCTGATAGCCTGAGCCCCGTCCATGCAGACAGTAGGCAGGCCAGCGTTTTGCCCCTCAGAGGGCACACGACCTATGGGCCTGGCAATATCTTGGAGCTCATTTTGTTGGAGCTCGGACTGGGGGCTGTGGAGGCCAGAACCCAGCGATGCATCCGCCTGTCTAAGACCCAGCTGGGGCAGGGCTGGCCAGCAGGGGCCTTAAGTGCATGGGAAACTTCCCAGTCAGTAGCTCTAGCAGGAACCTATGGCTTCCTGGTAACTACATGAGGGCTGAAGCACCTCAAACACAGCAATTAGTCCTCAGGCCGGAGACAGCACACACCAAGAACACAGAGGACACAGGTGCAGGGCACTAGCACCTGTGATGTGCAGCAGACCCCCTGCCCATCACCAAGCTGTCTATCCGACACCCCCAGCCTCAAGGCCTGCCCAGAGGAGAGCTGCCCAGCCAGCCAGCCTGAGCAGGAACACCAACAGCCTTGCCCCCAATCTCCCCTCCAAGCATGCTAGTGCCTGTCACAGAAGCACCTCTCCCGGCAATACCTGGTTTCTTTCACCTTTCTTTTTTAACAGGAAAGCAGACGTGTGCACACATGCTTGCTCACCCAGAAGGTGCACAGGGAAAGGCTCTGGAAGCTCAGAGGAGCAGCAATGACTCCAGCTAGCCCTTAGAGGCCACAGTGTCTCTGCCTAGCTGGGGAGGATGCCCATCTGTCCAACAAGCTCTCACGAAGGGCCCTGAGAGTGCTGATGCTCACGATCTGCAAGGCGGGAGATGTTTCCATCCTGCCACAATCCTAATCAATGGAGCTTCTCAAAAGACACTGCATGTGTCGGCTAGATGGACGGGGCCTGGCTGCACAGCTGCAGGAAGGTCTGAGCGTCTAACAGGGAACTATATGATGCTTAACAGTTACATTCATTCGAGGCATAAGGATAGGTGTTCAAAAAAACCCTGAAGTGGCTGGGCATCGTGGCTCACGCCTGTAATCCCAGCACTTTGGGAGGCCAAGGTGAGTGGATCACAAGGTCAGGAGACTGAGACTGTCCTGGCCAACATGGTGAAACCCTGTCTCTACTAAAAATACGAAAATTAGTTGGGTGTGGTGGCGCGTGCCTGTAATCCCAGCTACTCCGGAGGCTGAGGCATGAGAATCGCTTGAACCCAGGAGGTGGAGGTTGCAGTGAGCCGAGATCACGATGCTGCACTCCAGCCTGGCGACAGAGCAAGACTCCATCTCAAAAACAAACAAACAAACAAACAAACAAACAAAAACCTGGAGTGACAGGTGTTTTGAGGAGCCCAGAGGTGATTCTATGCTCCAGAACAGCTTTGGGATCTCCTGGGGGCTGGAGGTCAGTCCTCCCGATCTTGACAGCCACCGGGAGGCCAGGTGGAGCTGAGGGGCTCCTGTGGTCTGGGTTCACCCTGGCTTGGGTGGGAATTGAGAAGCAGTAAGACAACAGCAGCACTGGCAGATCAGCCTGGTCCTTGAACACGCTGAGCTATTTCCAGAGTGCTCAGAGATGGGGGGCTGATTTAAGCTGCTTCCTCTCTCTCCACTCTCTAGAAATAATTATCGGGTAAGTGGTTCAAGAGGGAATTGAGTGGTCCTTCTGAAGCAGCTCAGAGCAAACAGCCCCCCGGAGAGGCTGGGTTCACCTTCCGTTCTTTTCCCAGCCAAGGCTCCCACATAGGGGAGCCTGGACAAACCCTTGCAGCTTCCTCAAGCTCCTCCCAGAAGGCAGCTGGGGCTGCAGGCTCTGCTGCGAGCTCACAGCTACCTCCCCTGACCTGGGTGGAAGGTGGGAGCCCAATAGGCGAAGCCAGTGATGGGAGGTGGAGGCCCTGCTGAAGCCTTTCCCCCACACCAACGACTCAGTCTGATGCTGTAATTAAGGGGTTGTACAGCAAGAAGCTGGAGGAGGGCAAGCCCCACTGGGTCACAGGGACTGGAGGCACTGATATGCCCAGAGGAGCCAGAGCCAGGCTGACAGCAGGTTCATAATCAGTGTGGGAAGCCCGAAGACCCTCAGCCTGGAGGGAAGCTGCCGGGCTAGGCCATGCCAGGCACTGAGGGTGGACAGAAGGCCAGCAGGAGAGCTGGGATGGAACCTCTACATAGAAAGGACTGCAGCCAGGACTGCAGCAAGTGGGAGCAGTGGTCCCATCTGGGGTCAGCCAGAGGCAGCCAGGTCTTGTGTTCCAGGTTGATCAGGCACTGAGTAGGGAGACTGGAGGTGTCTCCTAAGCAAGAGTCTCTGGCTCGTCAAAGGAGCCTGTCATCCTCAAACTCCTGTGTGCGTCTGTAAGTGAGCCACATGTCTGACACTGCTTTTTTGCAAGCAGTCAGGGTGGTGAGGAAAGCATGGAGCTGGGAGCTAGGAGACAGGCCCTGTGCTCCTTGGCAAGGCATTTAACATCTCTGGGCCTCATACGCCTTCCTGTCTGTAGAATGGGGTGTTATGGACTGAATGTCTCTGTCCCCCTAAAAGGCCTGACCCCCAGTGTGATGGTATTTGGAGATGGGGCCTTTGGGTGGTAATCAGGGCTAGATGAGATCATATGGGTGGGGCCCTCACAATGGGACTGGTGTCCTTAGAAGATAAGGAAGGGTGGAAGATGAGGGATTACTTAATGAGTACAGGGTATTTGAGTGATAGATACCCTACAAGCACCATTTTCCAATCTGTGCATGCAACAAAATTACAGTTGTATCCTATACATTTACACAAATAAAAAACAGAGGAGAAAAAGAAAAAGAGAAGACACCAGAGCCTGCTCACTCTCTGCCATGTTAGGAAACAGGGAGAAGGCGCCCATGTGCAAGCCAGGAAGAGGGCCCTCACCAGAAACCGCACTTGCCAGGCCTTGATCTGGGACTTCCGGCCCCCAGAACTGTGAGGAAGTGTGTTCCTCTACGCCCCCAGTTTGTGGTATTTACTGATGGCAGCCCAGGCAAACTGAAACATAGGAAAACATAGGGATAACGTCTGGGCCAGGGAGATAATGGTGCTGAACGCAAGGGCAAGTGTTCGCGTTGTAGGCGGCGGGACACAGTGCCGGAAAGCAATCTGATGCCGTGCGCCCATGGTGTGCTCTGTGCGCCTGGCATCGTGCCTAGAGGCCAGGGGTCCAGCACAATTCACACTTACCAGGAAGTTCTGGGGCAGGCACTGCACTGTGAAGGCCACAACTCCACCTAACCCACATGTGGTGTCTGTGCGCTGGCGCGACCCACCCTCACCCCATGACCCACCCTTGCCCCACGACCCACCTGTATCATGTACAGCTGGGCGATGCGGTACTCCTCCACGGTCATTGGCAGAGGAATCCGATATTCCTTTATAATCATCTTGGAGTCCAAGCCTTCCCGTCGATGGGGAACTGCAAGTTGGGACTTCTAGGCAAGGTTCCTTAAATAACCATGACAAAATTCACCAAGGACCCCTGGGAGACAGAGAGGACAGAACAGAACAGTCACTTTCTGCAAAGGCTGGTGAATACCATAGCACAGAGGAAAGGCCCGGTCTACACCTGAGGCTGGAATTGTGGCCTCTGATCAGGCATGATCCAACGGTGCAACTTTGAGCAGGTTCTCTCCTTTCCAACCTTTATTTTTCTTGTTTGCTAACAGCTACCAAAAGGACAAGTGAGAGGCTATGTGTAAGCTCTCTGATCAACAAACAGCCACGGGGAAGTAAAGAATTGTCACTCCATAAACAAGGGCCAGGGTAAGAACACCGTGCTCTTGTTTTACTCACAATCCTAACAAGGTACAGCATCTATTTCCCCGGTACTGACACAGTGAGTAATGATAGCTGGTCATGGAAAAGCAGGCAGATCAAATAAAACTAAGCAGCACAGACATGAGACATTCACAAGTCAGCAGTCTGAGCCATGCCATTAGGGGCAGATGACATCACTACATCCCAAGGGGGAGACTCTGAGTGATTTAACGTTTGGTTTCAGTTCAATCCAATAAGAAACATTTATTGGCATCTATTTTATTCCTTCCATTGGGCTATGTCTGGGAAGTAGATGAGACAAGATAAGCAGAGAGTGTGCTCATAGCCACCTCTATTTAAGTGACAAAGAATATATTTGATGAAGATTTGTCCCTAAGCAATCACATTTTTTTTTAACTGGGCCGGGCACAGTGGCTCACACTTGTAATCCCAGCACTTTGGGAGGCCAAGGTAGGCAGATCACTTGAGGTTCGGCGTTCAAGACCAGACTGGCCAACATGGTGAAACCCCGTCTCTACTAAAAACACAAAAATTAGCCGCAGGTGGTGGCAGGAGCCTGTGGTCCCAACTACTTGGGAGGCTGAGGCAGGAGAATCGCTTGAACCCAGGAGGCGGAGGTTGCAGTGAGCTGAGATCGCGCCATTGCACTCCAGCCTGGGGGACAAGAGTGAAACTCCGTCTCAAAAAAAAAAACAAAAACTTGGTGCTTGGAAGAGGCGCATACTCAGTTATCCGGAAAATGAAATCACCCCTTAAAACCCAAGCCCCAGATGGCTGAAGCTTTGCCATAAATATCATTTGGTCACCTCCAAAGGTCACATGCTGTTAACATGAAGCCAAGTGAAGGTTTTCAGGATGGATGATAAATAAATTTTACATTTATTTATTGTTTAGAGACAAGGTCTCACTCTGCACCCAGGCTAGAGTGCAGTGGTGCAATCCCAGCTCACTGCAGCCTTGATCTCCTGGGCTCAAGCTATCCTTCTGCCTCAGCCTCCAGAGTAGCTGGGACTACAGATGCACGCCACCCACACCCGGCTAACGGTAGTATTTTAGCAAGACTACTCCAAGGACAGCAGCCAGGGAGGATTCACAGTGACCATGGGCAGGACTCCTGCTAAGTGATAAAAGCAAGGGCCTGGCCAGTCAGGCAACTTCCCCAGGGCACGGCTCTCTATCGGGCATTGGAGTATCACCCAGGTGCTAAAGCATTACTGGGTAGCTAACAAGGTTGAGAAAAACATTTATCAGAACTCTCAGGAATACCAGTAGACAGGGTTAAAAGAAGTTCTTAAATAAGCCACTTAGGGAGAAAGACAGAGAGAGGAAAGGTCTGATAAAGGGGCTCCATCCCTTGTGCTAGCCTAAAACAGCGGCTCCCAGTTGTTTAGTTCACAGCAGGTAGGAACGTCAGCCCGAAGCCCATTCAAATTCTCACATCCATCCTGGCATTATGGGATGCCAAGGCAGGTGGACTGCTTGAGGTCAAGCAAGCTCAAGACCAGCCTGGGAAACATAGCAAGACCCTCCTCTCTATTAAAAAAGAACCCAATTCTCACATCCAGTTGCTTTAAATATAGTCCAAGTGAAGCTCTTTTTTAGCCGATTAGAGCCTAGATACTTTATATACCCCAGAAACTGCACCCAACATCTGCTGGCTGTAGATAAGATAACCCTGGATCCCAGACCCCAACTGCCCCTTGGAGGTCTCTGACCCAGACTCCCCATGGTGCTGCTGAGCAGCATCACCTGGACACAGAAATCCCCTCTAGCTCCCCTCTCTCTGGGAAGTTTCCTTGCCCTGTTCCCCTCCTTGGGGTGGCCCCAGGCCCTGCTATATCCATAAGGACTCTTGCTAGGAGGGGCTTCCCCTCTCCTGCGACCTGTCCACCAGCCTTTCTGATCCCTGATCAACCCCAAAGCTCCCCAGAGGCTGTGCTCAAGTGAAAAAAGACCATTGCTGACCTTCTTCAAGGTCAATGGGTCTAGCTAACAGCCCATGGGACCTGCAAGTTTAGGGCCTGAGGCCCTGTGGAGTTCTTCCCCATACTCCCAGACTCAGCTCCGCCTAGGCCCACATGTCTATTCTCACACCTGGCTGGAAGCTGAGGACACAGGAGAGAGAAGCAATGGCCCTACAGTCCCCAGGCTGCACCTTATCCTGTGAGGTGTGAAACAAGAGCTGGCTGGGCCGAAGTAGCAAGGGACCCAAGTCTGACACCTGGATGGACTTCCAGCTGGCTGGGAGGGTAGCACAGGCACCTGATCTGAGAAACTTACATACATAAAGGAGAGAGAGCTTTATGTTTGAGGGAAGTTGGAGGAAATTAGGGTTGGAGACGGGAAGGGAAAATTGAAGTTCAATGGGGGTTGTTTCTGAAGCTTCTTCACGTGGTTCTTCATTGAAGCCCCAGCATCGCCCAACTAGGAAGGCACAGCAGGTGCTTGGTGTGAAGCAGTACACCTGTGTGACGTGCAGCACCCACTCCGCCTCTGTGGGGCCTCAGGTGGGCTCCTTTACTGTGGGGCAAATGCAGTGACCCAGAGTGGGCAAGTCTCATTTAGTCATCTAAATAACATGGTCAGACACAGACTCTAAATGTTCTTCAGAAACCTTACGAGTCTAAGCATTCTGCCCTTTGGGAGTCTTAACCCCTCCAGCGTACATGACCTGCCCTGCTCATCCCCATGCAAATCAGTCCTTTCTCAATCCTCTCAGATTCCAGGCTCACCAGGCACTAGCAAGGTAGGACCCCCTGAGCCAGATTCATAATGTTCCTTAAATGTCTCCATCACCTCAAATAACAACCAGGGGTGAAATCTCGCAGCCTGAGCCAGCACCCAGACACTGGCTTGGGTCTCTGATTTCAAAGGCTCTGTGAGCACATGTCTGGAACAGATACCTAATGATGTTCCCCCACGGACAAGCTGTCAGGTGAGCTGTTAATTGCACAGGTGCTGTCCACAGCTCCGCTGGGATATTTTTGCGTGCAGGCAGAGGGACAGAGACAGAGAGGGAACACACACCTGGAGGGCCCAGAGGCCCCTTGGAGGCTCCTGGCACCTGGGTGGAGTGGGGCAAAGCTTAGGACCGTGCAAGGGCAGCAGCCACATGGTGGAAGAGCATCAGAAAGTGCAAGTGCTCAGGATGCAATTCCATCAAGGCTGGCTTAGGGAAAAGCAACCGTGTTTCTGCCCACAAGGAACTAAAGAGCTGTAGAGGTAAGTAAGTAGGTACATACATGGATAGGAAGAAGGAAAAAACAAATAAATCGTTCTATATCTTACAGTTAAATGCACGGGTGACTAATAGGAGAGAGGACTCAGAACTCTAAGAGTGACACAGAATGTGACGGGAGGTGACAGTTTGGAGCTCACTCTGGGATCTGACTGCAAAGCCTCACAATGCCTTTACCAGCTGTGTGACCTCCTGGAAAAGCCCCTGTATCTGCTGAGCCTCGGTCTCTCCATATATAAAATGGGGATAATACTATCTGACTTCTGGAGTTACCATGAGTGTCATGAAAACAAGATAAGTTGCTCAGTCCAGAGGGGTCTCAGGAAAGGCTTCATGGAAGGCGGAGCCAGGCTCTCTGAGATCCATGGGATTCTGCTCGGCAGAGCTGAGGGCGGGTGTGAGAAGTACTCAATCCAGTAAGAAGGAACAGCGTGAGCAAAGGCCCCAGGGCAGGAACGTGGGGCTCCATTGAGTGGCTTCCCACCATGTGCCCCTGGCATGGCCAGGCTGCATCTTGGGGAGATGAGGTGGGGCTCTCTGAAGCATGAGTTTAGGGGCTTAGACATCCTTAAAGTCATCTAAAAAATAATTACCTGGCCGGGCACGGTGGCTCACACCTATAATCCTAGCACTTTGGGAAACCAAGGCAGGAGGATTACCTGAGCCCAGGAGTTCAAGACCAGCCTGGGCAATACAGTGAGATACTGTCTCTTCAAAAAATCATACACTTAAAAAAAATTAGCTGGGCAAGGCGGCAGACACCTGTAATCCAGACACTTGGGGAGGCTAAGGGCAGAGCTGAGGGTAGGTGTGAGAAGGACTCAATCCAGTAAGAAGGAACAGCGTGAGCAAAGGCCCCAGGGCAGGAACATGGGGCTCCATCGAGTGGCCTCCCACCATGCACCCCTGGCACGGCCGGGCTGCATCCTGGGGAGATGAGGTGAGAGGATGGCTTGAGCACAGGAGGTCAAGGCTGCAGTGAGCCATGTTTGCGCTACTGCACTCCAGCCTGAATCACAGAGCAAGGCCCTGTCTCAAAAATAAATAAATACATAAAATTCAAAAAAAAAGAAAAAATTATCTGATGTTGAAATCCAACTAACCAAAAAGATAAGTCAAAATGAGGTAATAAATGGAGAAATCCTGATGAACACGGCATTGATATTTTGAAATCATGGCAATTATGTGATTGAACTGACTATCAAAACCTCAACACTGTACACAAATGATAATACAACTAAGACAAATTTGGAGAAGAACAAAGGTAGAAATATCGTTTCCTCAACTTCCATAGCATAGAAGTTGGTTCATTAAGTAGGTAGAAAAATTAGTGAGAGATGAACAGGCAGAGAATGGAGGATTTTTAGGGCAGTAAAAGTACTCTGTGGGATACTACAATGGCGGATGCATGTCCTCATACATTTGTCCAAACCCACAGAAAGTACAACATCAAGAGTGAGCCCTTGTGTAATCTACGGACTTAGGGCGATGCCATGTCACTGCAGGCTCATTCATTGTAACAAACAGGGCACATTGATGTGTGATGCTGAGAGTGGGGGAAGGGGCATATGGGAACTCCGTACTTGCCACTCAATTTTGCTGTGAATCTAAAACAGCTCTTAAAAAAAATAAAGTTTAGGTGGCTCACGCCTTAATCCCAGTACTTTGGGAGGCCAAAGTAGGCAGATCACTTGAGGTCAGGAGTTTGAGACCAGCCTGAGCAACGTGGTGAAACCCCATCTCTACAAAAAATACAAAAGTTAGCCAGGTGTGGTGGAGTGCCTGTAGTGCCAGCTACTCGGGAGGCTGAGGTGGGAGGATCCCTTGAGCCCGGGAGGTGGAGGTTGCAGTGAGCCAAGATCGTGCCACTGCACTCCAGCCTGGGCAACAGAGCGAGACCCTATCTCAAAAAATAAATAAAGTTTATTATTAAAAAAAAATTAATGACTTTAACCTTTTAAAAGTTTTTCTCTCAGAAAATAGATTAGAGGTCACCAGGGGCTGGGGTTGGAGGAAATGGGAGTAGTTGTTTAATAGTTACAGAGTTTCTATTTGGGTGATAAAAAAGCTTTGGAAGTGGTAGTGGTGATGGTTGCTCAACATTGTGAATATACTTACTGTGATGAAATAGTACACTTAAAAACTGTTAAAATAGCAAAGTTTATGTTATATATATACTTACCACAATTTAAAAAAATCAATAATATACCAAAACCATTTAATCGTATACTTTAAATGAGTATATGTATGGTATGTTATTATACTTCAATCAAGCTATTTTCAAAAGCTTTTCTCTCACCTTTAACCTTTTAGGACTATTATCACTTACAATAAAGAAATCTTTTTCCTCAGTTTAGCAACTCCCATTTCACTTGAGATACATGAAAATTGATACATTTGTCTGGTTAAATTCAAATAACATTAAATTTAATTTTTACCTTAAAAACTCATGTAGAACATGATACTTTTTTAAAAAAAGATCATGTAGAACACGATACTTTTTTAAAAAAAGATCATGTAGAACATGATACTTTTTTAAAAAAAGATCACGTAGAACATGATACTTTTTTTAAAAAAGATTAAATTTAATTTTTACTTTAAAAATTCATGTAGAACATGATACTTTTTTAAAAAAAGATTATTACTACTCTGTACATGTCTGTTTGTATGAAGAGTGTGGAATAAACGTTGACTGAATGCTGGAGAGGGTTCCATCAGATGGATGGAATTTGTGGGCAACTTTTACCTGCACTTTATTACCTGATGTTTCAGAAGGCAGCAGCTGTAGCATTTGAGTGGTGTGTGTGTAAACAGACAGAGAAGGGCTGGTAGTGTTGTGATTAAAATAAAACAATCAGCTAGACCTTCTGCCACCTGTTAGCTGTGACAGTGGGCAAATTGCTTAATCCTTTGATCTTTCATTTTGTCTTCTGGGGGTAAGAACCACCCCTGCCCAGCTGGGGTGTCTGTAGATTAAATGAGGTGATGCACATGAAGTGCTCAGCCCTGTTCCAACCAGTGTTCAACTAGCAAGAGTGAACAACAAGGTGGCACTGCTGTCCCTAGCAGGGTCTGGAAGGCGGGTCCCTGAGATATAGGGCCTGTGGGCTTCCTGGTAGGGCTGCCTACCCCCAGGTGCAGACAATAAACCTAGGCCTGAAGGAGGAGCAG
This sequence comes from Homo sapiens, assembly GCF_000001405.40. Classification (NCBI taxonomy): domain Eukaryota; kingdom Metazoa; phylum Chordata; class Mammalia; order Primates; family Hominidae; genus Homo; species Homo sapiens. Next base: position 123,041,394 of record NC_000012.12, read on the forward strand.
CCCTGCTGTGGTGCTGGTTGGCCTTACAGCCAGGCACGGACCTACTGGGGTGAGATAGGGTCCTCCTCACTTTCTCCCTGGTTGAGCTGAGGCCAGGGAGCATGGCAGACCCTCCCGTATCAGAGCAGTGTGACTTGTGTGTCTGCCTCTCCCTGGAGCCCCCTTGGCCCGAAGCTGAACCCTCCTCACTCAGACAATTTCATTACACCCAGTCCGGCTGCCTGGGTGCTAGCGAGACAGACACACATTTCATCTCGTCTCTGCCGGAGTCGTGACGGGTTAGACAGAATTATGTTTTACTGCTGTCTGCAGGGCATCTTTTGGGGCCTGGCACAGACAGAGAAAAAAAAACACATACAGGTCTCCAGAGGCCCTTCAGGGAGGAAGGCCAGGCAAGGGGTCTGGGTGGTCGCCCACATGCACAGCCCACATGGCTCTGCTCCAGGGATGACAGGGACCCTTCCCTGGGCTTCAAATGTGGCACCTGGGCCCTGGCCTTAGAAAAGTCTTCAGGTTCCAGACCCTGGCATTCACGACCCTAGAAAGAACCCCCAGCCCCATGTTCACTGATGTCTTTGAGTAAACACCTGGCCAGACCGTGTCAGAGTGGGGCCACTCAGGGAGGCCATGGAGCAAGAGACCAGCCGTGGGCAAGGCGCGAGGTGCAGGATGCATCCAGACCAGGGTTCCAGGCACAGGCAGACGACCAAGAAGAGCTGTGAGGGATGTCACCCAAAGAATCAAGGGCATGGCTTCCCACCAAGACACAGAGCACCAGCTGGGCCTCCCAGGCTGGAGCCCAAAGATCTTCCTGAACCTCCCAGGGAGTAGAGGAGAAAAGTGACACAGAAAGAGCTTCAGATTCATGAGGCAGGGGTGGCCAGGCTGGAGGCATGTGATGAAGACTTAAAGTGGATTACTGGGGTTTGGCCCAGGACGAGGCGACGTGGACAGCTCCTTTAAGCGGAGGCCATGAGACACCCTGACTGGGAGGGGAAGCACGAGAATTGTGTTTATAGAACTTAATCTGTTTTTCCATGATTAGCAGGGGTCTGACGTCACAGATGGAATTTAGTGAGGCTGTGCAAAGTTAAGGGGGGATGGAATCCATCCCAACGCAGTTCAGCTGCATTCTGGTTACTAAGTCTGGAAGCTACTCCAAGCCAAGCCAGCGGGAGCCCCGGTTTTTGCAGTAGTGGGAAGCGAGGGAGCCACCGGCAGGTCTGGGGGCCTGGGACTCAGGACTGTGGGTATCCATAACCTCCTTCTGCCTCCCTTGAGTCCCTCTCCTCTTGCTCTAAGAGAGCTTCCTTCTGCTCTCTGCTTCCCAAACCTACTGGTTCCCAATCAGGAGCTGAAGCAGGCAATGGTAAAAGTACTTCCTCTCCAGATGCAGCCAGACAAGGCTCCCCAGGCCTCCCCTAACCATCTATGTGTATCCAGGGACCCAAAGCTCTGGATGAATGGGAGGCAGCACAGACGGATAAGGGGCTGTTCTTTGTCCAGCAACCATCCCCTTATGCCTGGGCTGGGGTTGCAGGAGTGTGTGGCTGCTCTGAAGGTGTGTGTTATGAGGTTAGCACTGATCAGCTGCCTCTCTGTGTCCTGGAGCTGAAAGCAGGAGAGGTCACAGACCCACAGAATCGTCCAATCCCTGCCCCAGAGTAGTTCCACCTTTATGTGTTAGACACTGGGCTTCCAGCAGAGATTTCTTTTGAAGAAAGGATTTCTGGGCTAAGAAACAAGCAGAGGACCCTGCTGCAGGCCAACCCTCCCCTTACAAATGAGGAGACTAAGGCTCAGGAAGCAGGCAGAGAGCTGGGTTGGGAACCAGGACCCTGACTCCCAGCTTCTCCCTCCACCCAGCCACAAACTCCCAGGCATTAGAGGAGAAAAGTGACACAGAAAGAGCTTCAGGTTCATGAGGCAGGGGTGGCCAGGCTGGAAGGGCAAGGACCAAGGAGACTTTGAGCAGGAGGACACAGCTCCTACCCCCACCCCCCACAGATTCCTTGACACCTTTAAGCAGGACCTGACTCCTTCCTCTAACGCTGGCCTGGGCAGTGAAGAGGGGGTCCCAGAGAGCTTTAAAGCCCTGGGCACTGCGGCAGTTACCCCAAATCCCACAGAAAGTCATAAATCTCACCATTGTACACCTGGAGTGCCAAGCTGGGGCAACTGCCAAGCCACTGCAGGAGTTGGTCACCAGATCCCACAGCACAGCGGCCACCTGGGGGCACCGTGGGGCTTGCAGTGCTCTGCAGCTCCAGGAGCAGGAGTGGGATGTTAGAGTTAAGTTATGAGGCATCGCTATGTAATGCCTCAACCCAAACAACAGACCCAGGGAAGCAGTGGTACAGACCACAGAGCAGGCTCCGAGAGGGCGCATCCTGCTCAAGGACTGCGGCAAGGCAAGGGGGCCCTGTTTTTATGACTCCTCCTCCCTGGCTGTGGCTATCAGCATGGCAACCTCAGTTGGGTGGAAACGGGCACAAATGTGCATGTGAGGAAATAAGCTTGAAACTCAGAGCCTCCAAGATGATAAGCATGGCATGAAGGAGAATTATTTGGAACTCACCTCCTACCCTGGTCCTCTAGGGACCCTGCTGGTCACAGAGCTACTACCACCACCACACTGGCCTCCAGGGTTGGTGCTCCCCTAATTTAACACTGAGTATGGCTGAAATAAGACTGGGCCCTTAAACAAAATGCCACGGGAGGCTTAGATGTGACAACAGAAACAAGCCCAGAGGGGACCTTGGCCCCAGCAGTTAGGGTCTAAGCTGTGGCTACAAAATCGTAGGCTGGGGTTTGCTCAGGGGCCTTCCTTTCTCACTCCTGGTCACCTCCCTGAGGCCACCACCATTTCAGCAGCAGCACCCAGACCATCCTCCTACATAAGAAGTGCCAGGGCTTTTCAGGAGGCCACTGGCCTTAGAAATGGCCAGTCCTTTAGGGGTGAAAGGTCTCAGCTTCTGGGGCATGCAGAAGGGAGGGCCCCCTGAGATGCTTAGAGGCTGAGAGCCTGTTGGCAGAGAGCTGGCTGTGCTGCAGGCCCTGTCCCAAAGCAAAACTCAGCTCAATCAATTCTCCAGGGAAATCAGAGCTTTCCGGAACCATCCAAGACACCAGAGTTGATAAGAGGCACTGCTGAGATTTTCACCTGGGTTACTCCTGAACTGGTGATAAGCCCTTGTGATGACAGAGTAGATACATAATGAGAATACAAAGGCCCCTGAGTGCTTACTCCTCTGGGCCAGCCTTCAAAACTCTGACAGGACACTCCAGGAGGGCACAGCTCCTGCAGTCCTACTTCAGTGATTCAGTTCCTTCACTATTTCCCACTCCTGATTTTATACCTTCTCTCCATCTTGAGTCTTCGTTACTTTTTTATCATTAATTTTTTTGGAGATGGAGTCTCACTCTTTACCCAGGCTAGATAGAACACAGTGGCGTGATCTTAGCTCACTGCAGCCTCCAACTCCTGGGCTCAAGCGATCTTCCTGCCTCAGCCTCCTTAAGTAGCTGGGACCACAGGCATGTGTACCATGCCTGGCTCCAGTCTTCTTTGTTTCCTCAAATTCCCATCATCAAATGGACCAACCCATTGCACCAATCCACTAGCTGCTGTTGCAATGCATGGACGGCTCTGCTCCTACTGAAGGCCAACTCTCTGTCACTGGGGCCCATGCCCTCTTGTCATTCAGGGACCTTCTCCCGAAATGCTCCCCTCTCTTGTCTCCCTAATGGACCTCCTCATTCACCATCAGCATTCAAACATGCAAGTTATAGCTCCCATATATCTGCAAAACCAAAACAAAACAACATGCCACAGCCCCCCTCAACTCTACCTCCTTGGCACCATCCCGCTTCTTTGATCCCCTTTATAGCAAATCCTCCTCAAGCTTAGCTATACTTGCTGTTTCCATTGTCTCACCTCCTGATCTCTTTCCAACCCACTTTGACCACCCCCACTCCACTGAGACCATATTGGTCAAGGTCACAAATGACCTCCATGTGGCTAAGTCGGCAGACAATTCTCATCAAATTCAGTCTTTCCTTAATTCCTGCATTTAACACAAATGGATTGAATGTTGGCTGCAGATGCCTCCCCATGGCTTGTGAGCAGGTGGGCACAACGCTGGGACTGAGTTTTTCCCTGGACAAGGTTCTCCTCTTTACTTGGCCAACATACCTCCCAATAAACTTCCACTTGGAGCCCACCATGTGCAAGATTCCAGCACTGAGGCTGTCAGCCAACTTACTCGGGTGCCTGTTAGTTATCAGCTGCAAATTATGAATTTTTGTTGCTCCAAAACAACAGCTGGTATTGTGCAGCCTGCAAGGAGCGCTGTGGGGCTAACCTCAAGTCCAGAGAGGCACAAACGCCATGCTGGAGTCTCAGTAGCCAGTGTCAGTAGCCAGTGTCCCTAGTCCTGTCTCCTTAAGCCCACCCTACTCATGGTACCAAAGGCGCACCAGCCCACCACTCTGAGCCCCCGTGACTCCTTCTGCAATAGCTATGGCTGAGTGGGGTACAGACCCAGCCGTCCCTGGGTGTCCCAGCGAGGGTGTCACAGCCCTTTAGCTCAGAGAAATTGCCCACAGCTCTCTGTGTCGCCTAAGACAGGGTTTCCCAAACTTGCCACATTACAACAGTCAACTCCTTAAAGACACAGATGCCAGGGCAGCTAACAGTCAGAGACTTAGTCCCCACCCCGACCCTGGCCCCTCATCCTTCATGCATCCTGTGAGGAGGAGGGTGTAGGAGAAAATACACAGTCTGCCCAGTCCTGCCTTTCCTGAAGGTATTCCCAGTGTGAATGGCCCCCTCCTGAAAATGGTGCCAGGGTCTCATCAGACCCCACATCCCAACAGCCCCCACCCTCTGGCAGGCACACTTGGCAACCAGACTCTTCTTCTTGCTACTTGGTTTATAAATCTGGCCCATGGTTTTACACACTTGGGCCCTATTAATACATTGTAAGTGACTTAATCCTCACAACTCCCCCGAGTTAGATGTATTGTCCCCACTTATTTAAGTATTTTATTGTGATATAACTCACATGCCATGTAATTCACCACTTTAAAGTGGTTTTTAGTATACTCACAGAGTTGTGCAACCATCACCCCTATCTAATTCCAGAACATTTTCCTCACCCAAAAAGAAAGCCCATTTCTCATTAAGCTCATTAAGCAGTCACTTCCCGTTGCCCCAGCCCCTGGCACCCACTAAGCTGCTTTCTGTTTTGATGGATTTGCCTATTCTGGACATTTCCTATTGGTGGAGTCATACAATATGTGCTTTCTGTGTCTGGGCTTTTTCACTTGGCATCATGTTTTTGAGGTTCATGTTGTAGCATTGCGAGAACTTCATTGCTTTTTATGACTGAATAATATTGTGCTGCAAGGCTATTAGCCCCGTTTTTATAACTAAGGAGACCCAGGGCTTTGTGTCATTATGGTACCTTGCCCCTATTACTCAGTAAGTGATGGAGTCAAGTGTATCTTACTGTACAGCCAGGATAGTAAATAGCTTAAGAATTGAACCATCATCTTCTATACTTAAATCAATTTATATACATATGCACCCCTAGCATTGATAATAGCATTTTATGACTTACAAATTCTTTTAGCCTTTTTATTCTTGCTTCTTCAGAATGATCTCCCAAGGTGGAAAAGGTAACAATGCTCCCATTTTTGGAAGAAATGAAAGCCCCCAAAATTTAAGCGGTATATTCCAGGCTAAAGCTATGTATTGATGCGTGAAAGGTGGCTGCACCTGACTCTGGATACAACACAAGCTAACAGCTGCTTTAATGCTTTTTAATAAAGATGCATGATTTAGAGAAACAATTTCTGTTTTTTTCTTTCAGAATATTTTGTAGGAAGTACAAACCTTCTGGCTGAGGGAAAGCCCCACTTAAACTTTATCAGAGTGGTTACTTGTTTTTATTCTAATGTTCTTAAATGATCTAGGAAATAAAGGTTGGTATCTCTTTCAAAATACAGGCGTCTTGGTTCCAGCCCAAATCAGCTGCATTGCCAAGGGAAAGACCTGGGAATAAGAATTTTTAACAAGTCCCCTAGGTGGCTTAGATCAACAGAAACATTTGCCTAGAAGCCAAAGCTCCACAGTCTGGCAAATAAAGTCTTTAATATTGTCATCCCAATGCCAACCCCCTCTTTCAGTAAGAATTCTAGTCACTCTGAACTCCATGCACCTAACAAATGTTCATTAAGCACCTCTTAGGGTCCAGGTTCTATGATGGGTGCTAAGGATACAGGGGACCAAGACAGGCCTCAGGGAGCCTCCAGGCTCCAGGGGAGACAGGCATCACATGAGTTATCAAAACCTAATGAGAAAAAAAGGGTGGGGGGAACCTGAGGGGAAACACTATTTAGCCTCAAAAAGAGACAGAATTGGCCAGGTGCAATGGCTCACGCCTGTAATCCCAGTACTTTGGGAGGTTGAAGCAGGCAGATCATGAGGTCAGAAGATCGAGACCATCCTGGCCAACATGGTGAAACCCCGTATCTACTAAAAATACAAAAATTAGCCAGGCATTGTGGTGCACACTTGTAGTCCCAGCTACCCAAGAGGCTGAGGCAGGACAATCACTTGAACCTGGGAGGTGGAGGTTGCAGTGAGCCGAGATTGCACAACTGTACTCCAGCCTGGGCAACAGAGTGAGACTCCATCTCAAAAAAAAAAAAAAAGAGACAGACAGACATCACATGAGTCATCAAAACCTAATGAGAAAAAAAGGGTGGGGGGAACCTGATGGGAAATATTATTCAGCCTCAAAAAAGAAGGACATTCTGACACATGCTACAACATGGATGAACTCTGAAGACATTAAGCAAAGTGAAATAAACCAGACACAAAAGGAAAAATACTGCATGATTCCACTTACAGGAAGTCCCTAAAGTAGTCAAATTCATAGAGACAGAAAGTAGAATGGTGGGTGCTAGGGACTTGGGGAAAGGAGAATGGGTAGTTAGTGTTTTTTTTTTGTTTTTTTTTTTTGAGACGGAGTCTCGCTCTGTCGCCCAGGCCGGACTGCGGACTGCAGTGGCGCAATCTCGGCTCACTGCAAGCTCTGCTTCCCCGGTTCACGTCATTCTCCTGCCTCAGCCTCCCGAGTAGCTGGGACTACAGGCGCCCGCCACCGCGCCCGGCTAATTTTTTGTATTTTTAGTAGAGACGGGGTTTCACCTTGTTAGCCAGGATGGTCTCGATCTCCTGACCTCATGATCCACCCGCCTCGGCCTCCCAAAGTGCTGGGATTACAGGCGTGAGCCACCGCGCCCGGCTGGGTAGTTAGTGTTTAATGAGGACAGAGTTTTAGTTTGGGAAGATGAAAAAGTCCTGGAGATGGATGGTGGTTATGGTTATATAACAGTGTGAATGTCCTTAATGTCACAGAACTGTATGCTTAAAAATGGTCAACATGGGGCCAGGCACAGTGGCTCATGCATATAATCCCAGCATTTTGGGAGGCTGAGACAGGAGGATCACTGGAGACCAGGAGTTTGAGACCAGCCTGGGCAACATAGTGAGACCCCATTTCTACAAAAAATAATAAAACTAGCCCAGCATGGTGGCATGTACCTGTAGTCCCAGCTACTCAGAAGGCTGAGGCTGGAGGATCTCTTGAGCCCAGGAGTTTGAGGCTACACCGAGCTATGATTGTGCCACTGCACTCCAGCCTGGGTGACAGAGCAAGACCCTGTCTCTAAAACACACACACACACACACACACACACACCCCTCCTACAAAAGCTCTGACAGGAGCCACAGTGGAGAAGCCAGGTGCTGCCTGAGGGTTCCATAACCAGAGGGACCTGACAGCAGCTCCCAAGCGTGCTTGTCCAGGAGGGTTCCATGCCTAGGACGCCCTTCACCCTGCCTTGTCTCCTCCCGATCCTGTCTGTTGCCCGCAGAACTTTGTGCATCCCTCAACTCAGTTTACTTCCAGCTTCCAGGTCTGTGAGATCCCGTGTGCCCTGTCTGCCTGCTCGTGAGCCATAGCTCCTCCATCGCCACTCTCCAGCCACATGGCTGCTTGCTTTGCTAGGAAATCACTATGTTAGCTCTCCATTCCAGCTGCTGCCATGCCCAGGAAGCACCCATTCCCCAGGCCAGGGAACAGCTGCTCCCTCACTCCCTGGCATCAACCAGGTCTGGGCACAAATGCCATGCCCTCCCTGTCCCTTCTACAGTGTAGATTTCCTCTCCTGCCCAGTTCAGTCCCATTGCCACACTTTGCAATGATCTGATTTGTGTACTTGAAGACTGCCTCCCTCCATCCCAGCACAGGTGACAGGAGGGCAGGGAACTTGTCTGTCTTATTTGTTGCCATAATCCCAGTAGATAATCCTAGAATGGTGCCTGCACAAAAGAGAAAAAGATAACACCTTTCATTTGTCTCTCCATTCACAGCAGGTGCTAGGCAGCCAGGGCCTGGCACTTAGTAGGTACTCAAGAAGGGTAATTGGCAAATGTTCACAAAAAAACCCTCTGCAGGCAGATAACGCTGCCGCCAAGCAGCCAAAGTGCTAATTACAAACTGCTCTGTTAGCTGTTCCTTAGCGCAGCTAAGATTCTCCAAGAATAGTGCACGCTCCCTGCCATGTCCCTGTTTCTTGACAGCGTCTGTGACTCAGACTTTTCATGGAGCCAGACTTGCCCTCCTCAAGAGCATGTGCAGGGCATAAACGTCAAACAGGACAACTGGATGTTGCTGCCCATGGTGTGGGCTGGGGGTGGGGGTATCTGAAGTCATCTCAGCCCTTTCTGATGGGCAGGTTTGGGAGAGACAAGCTGGGCCCTGAATGAGATATGGCAATGCCAGGCAGCCCAAATGCCCTTAGTATAACTACCACCTCCTCTCAGACACACTCAGTGCAGCTCAGTTTATAAACACTCTGCCACAACAATCTCGCTGGAAACTCAATGCTCAGAAGCAGTCAGGGCAAGATGGGAACACAAAAGCCCAGAGGGACTGAGTCATTTGACAAGGCCATACAGTGAGTCAGGGCAGAATGGTACCAGACTCTGTATCTCCTGGGCTGTGACCCAGGACTGATCTACTGTACTCTTAGGTGAGCAGGAAACCCAGGCGTCTTAGGTCACCAATAACCAGGTCCAAATGCTTAACTCAGAAGGGAGCAAGCAGGCAGAGCCAGAGGACCTAGAGGACAACGAAAGGCCCAGCCAGTGTCCTTAGGGGATGTGAGGACAGGCACATTCACGTGTCTGTACAACTTCACCCAGGCCTTGCTCCACAGCATTGTGAGCGGTGTGGCCTTTACAGTCCAGCCTCCCAGGGCTGCCAGAAACACAACATGCCTGGAAAGTTTCCCAGGTAACTGGCTCTTCTTTACAGAGCTATTAGCTTCCCTTCATCATGCCATAAAATCCTCCAGCCGATGACAGATCTCATCCTTCTCCAGGGAGGGAAACAGGGAAGAAACGAAACACAAAGGAAAAAAACCACTGGTCAAATTTGGAAAGCCCCATGGGCACATAACTTGGGCAGAAAAGGCATCAGAGATAGCTGGGTTGCTGCATTCAGTTGCACAGGCTATGCACTGTCCAACTCCAAGCGATGCCATTCTCATGTACTACAATATGAATGACACTCCCTTGAGTTAGGAAGTGCAGGGAAAGGACCTTGCATGATTTTGCGCAATGTCTTCAATATCCTCAAGGCCCACCCCTCGCTGACACCTTGTCCTAGGCCTCTCAGTTCTCAGAAACTTCTCATTGATACCCCTCTTGCAGGAGGAAATGACCAAGGTTGGGGAGGAGTCAAGGCAAAGGGTTTGGCATCTATTTCGTGAGCCACTTGACTGGCTGGGCTGAAATCAAGCACTAAGCCCAGGACTAGAGAGAAGTATTAGCCACCTTTTAAGGGCTGAATCCCACTTACGTAGACTTTGTTCTATTTCTCTCCTCTTTCTGGCTCTCTAATTAGATAAATGTTAGACTTTCTCCACGTATGTGTCTTATTCTCTCTGCAGCTTCCTTTTCTTCCAGTGTTGTATTCTGGATTTCTCCACGTTTGACTTAAAGTTCTGTTTCGTTGTTCAAATCTGCTTCATCATTCTTTAGAGCTTTTAATTCTCTGCACATATTCTCAACTTTGCCTTTTATTTATTTAAATGCACTGAACAGTTATTTTATTGGCTATGCTTAAATATTGCAGCATCTGAAGTCTCCAGAGTCTGTTTCTGCTGTAAATTGTTCGTGCTGGCTCTGGCTCTTAGTGCTTTATCTCTTCTTCTACTCAGTTATTTTTGACTAAGAACTGCTCACTTTCTGTGGAAGATATTTGTAGAAATTCTTTTGAGGCTTAGGATGAGGGTCTGTTTTTCCAGAGAGGGCTATATTTGCTCCAGCAAATGCCTGAGTTAACACCCATCTGCGATCACTCTAAATTCTCAGGTAGAGGTTAGTGGGAACCAGCAGGTCATGTAAGTTCATCTTTCTCGTTTTTCCATTCTATTCTTTTTTTTTTTTTGAGACAGTCTCACTCTGTTGCCCATGCTGGAGTGCCGTGGCGCCATCTCGGCTCATTGCAACCTCTGCCTCCTGGATTCAAGCAAGTCTCCTGCCTCAGCCTCCCGGGTAGTTGAGATTACAGGCACATACCACCATGCCCGGTTAATTTTATTGTTTTTTTTTTTTTTTTTTTTTGTATTTTTAGTAGAGACCCGGTTTCACCATGTTGGCCAGGCTGGTCTTGAACTCCTGACCTCAGATGATCTGCCTGCCTCGACCTCCCAAAGTGCTGGAATTACAGTGTGAGCCATGGTGCCTGGCCTAGTTTTTCCATTCTATTCTTACCCCGGAATAGACAGCGGGTTTGTTTGTTTCCTAGGGCAACCATCACAAAGTGCCACAAACTGAGTGTGGCTTTAAACAAAATAAATTTATTCTCTTACAGTTCTGGAGGCCAGAAGTCTGAAATGAAGGTGTCAGTAAGGCTGGTGGATTTCTTGAGGTCAGGAGTTTAAGATCAGCCTGAGCAACACAGGGAGACCTCATCTCTACAGAAAATTTAAAAAATTAGCTGGGCATGGTGGCGCAAGCCTGTAATCCTAGCTACTTGGGAAGCTGAGGTTGGAAGCTCATTTGAACCCAGGATATCAAGGCTACATGAGCCATGATCACACAACTGCACTCCAGCTACAGCGACAGAGCAAGAGCCTTGTCTCAATCAATAACAAAATAAAATAAAATTTTAAAACAGCCAATATAATAAATTAGATGAAAATTCTTTTCTACTCTTGAATCTCCCTTCCATTCTTGGAATAAATCCTATTTGGTCATGCTGTAATAATATATTCAGTTGAATGAAATTTGCTAATATTTTATTTAAGTTTTTTTTTTTTTTTTTAAGTGAAACCAGCCTGTAGTTTTGTTGAGTTACTGAGTTCTCCTTTGATTTTGGTAACAGGGTTCCTTGTAAAAGAGTTGTAACATTTATTTTTATATTATTTATTTTTTAACTCTGCACCCCAGCTGGGGTACAATGTCACCATCACAGCTCACAGCAGCCTCAACCTCCTGAATTCAAGCAACCCTCCCCCTTCAGCCTCCCAAGTAGCTAGGACTACAGGTGTGCACCACCACACCACACCTGGCTAATTTTTTATTTTTTGTAGAGACAGGGTCTCCCTATGTTGCAAGGGCTGGTCTCCAACTCCTGGCCTCAAGGAATCCTCCTACCTCAGCCTCCCAAAGTGCTGGGATTACAGGTGTAAGCCACCTTGCCTGGCCCTTTTTAAACCCTCTGAATTTATTTTTCTAGCTTCTTGAATTGAAAGCTGGGTTCAATAATTTTTAACTTGACTTGTCTCTGAATAAATTAATTTAGGGCTATATATTTTCCTTTGAGTACTGATTTGGCTTCATCCCATAGGTTTTTACATCCAGTGTTCTTACTGCCGTTTAGTTCAAACACAGTCGCTTAAAATTTTCATTTTGACATCCCCATTTAAACTAACAGTTATTTAGATTTTTGTAACTAATCTGTTACTCTCAAGAGATTTTTCTATTGAAATTTTTATTGATAATTGTAAATTCACATGTGGCTGTAAGCAATAACACAAAGAGATCCCTTGTATACTTTGTCCAGTGTCCCCCAATGGTGACATCTTTTTTTTTTTTTTTTTTTTTTGAGACGGAGTTTTGCCCTTGTTGCCCAGCCTGGAGTGCAATGGCGTGATCTCGGCTCACCAAAACCTCCACCTCCTGGGTTCAAGTGATTCTCCTGCCTCGGCCTCCTGAGTAGCTAGGATTACAGGCATGTGCCACCACGCCCGGCTAATTTTGTATTTTTTAGTAGAGATGGGGTTTCTGCATATTGGTCAGGTTGGTCTCGAGCTCCTGACCTCAGGTGATCTGCCCGCCTCAGCCTCCCAAAGTGCTGGGATTACAGGCAGTGACATCTTACAAAACTACAATATTACTATCAGGATATTGACATTGATACACTCTATAGACTTCAGTCAGATTTGCCAGTTTTACTTGTATTTATTTGTGTGTGCAGTGTGTGCATGTATTAAGTTCCATATAATTTTATCACTTATGTAGGTTTGTGTGTATAATAAAACACCTATCCTGGATTTTTAAAACTCTACATTATTCACTCCATATCTGTCATTTTTCACTTGCTATATCATCAATTTATTTATTTATAATTTTTTATTTTTATTTTTATCCTAGGGACAGGGTCTTACACTCTGTCACCCAGACTGGAGTGTATGGCGCAGTCATAGCTCACTGCAGCCTCACACTCTTGGGCTCGAGCGATCCACACCTAGAAACCTTTCTACCTCCTGGGTACAATCTTGGCTATTGTTTCCTTTTTCAGTTGAATCCCATTTTCACTACACCTTTTCAGGATTCTGCATGATTTCTTAGCCCCTAAAGGCATTTGTTTGCCTGCATGGATATGGGTTTTTAATAATATTTGTTCTATCAGATTTAGGGATTTGGAGCATGTCCTCAATCTGCAGCCATGATCTCACTCCTGCTTACACTTCCCAGGGATTTTCTTTTTTAAACTTGGGGTCAAAGAGAGAATGTGGGTCAATCCTTTACTGGTGGCAAAGGCAGGGAAGCTGTCGGCAGCTGTGTCCTCTTCCATGCAGTCCAAGAGAATCCTGGGCTCCAGCAGTTGCTGTCCTTCCACGGATGGTGAACATGAACATTCCAATTAGGTCTCCTTTTTGCCTGAGTTCAAACTGGATTTCTGTTGCACTCAGAAAGGTCCTGACTAAGAGTAGGATGATACATCTTGCTTTGACCTTCTGCATGTTATTCACTTGCTGAGCAAACCCTTTCCTCCTGAAGGGCAGAAAGATACATTTATGCTGAGGTATGGTGGCTCATGCCTGTAATCCCAGCACTTTGGGAGGCCAAGGCGACAGGATCACCTGAGGTCAGGAGTTTAAGATCAGCCTAGACAACACAGTGAAAACCCATCTCTACTAAAAATACAAAAATTAGCCCGGCATGGTGGGATACGCTTGTAGTTCCAGCTATTCAGGAGGCTGAGGCAGGAGAATCACTTGAATCCGGGAGCAGAGGCTGAAGTGGGCTGAGATCACACCACAGCACTCCAGCCTGGGCGAGAGAGCAAAACTCAGTCTCAAAAAAAAGAAAAGAAAAGAAAAGAAAAGGTACATTTTACTTTACTCCAAGGTCAAAAAATGGTTGAAAACTCCAAATAAGTTAAGGTGTTTTCTCTTTGTATGATGGTTCTGAAGTCTCGAAGTCTGTCCTCTGAGTCCACAGAAGACGTGGTGTGAATCTGGTCAGGAGAAAGACGCTGCAGCTGGTTGGAGAAAAGGGCAGATGCAGCTCGACATAAAGTCCAGTGTTCCCAACGTGCCACCCTTTCATCATGTGCAGACTCTTTCTGCCAAATGACCACCCATGAAATATGAGCTCTTTCTGTGAATCTGAGGAGTTGCTCTGGGCCCAGCACGTGGGGCCTGGAACTACCTCAAAGGCTTCTCCCGTCTAAGGAAGCAGTATACGCCACCAGCTCAGCCTGCCCAGCGTGCACACGGCACCAAGCTGGCTGGGTGCTAAACAGATACAATACTTGGAACTAAAATAAAACCCAACTCAGTGACATCTTGATGCAGCTTTGTAGGAACAGCAGGCTCCTGTGTACACACCGTTCTGCTCTGCACGCCTATTTGTAAATTAATCACACATCAGTAGACTTGGCTCAGATTCACATGTTTCTGGACCACTGTGAGGGTAGCTCAGGCTATGGGATCTTCCATTCAGCTTCAAAACCAGATCCTTTCAACAGATTCTGGGTGAGAATTCTTCTTCTTGCCAGGCTCTCTTAAGCCACCCACATCTTGCTCCCTTCCCCAGCAGAAGCAAACAGGGCAGAGGGAACGGTGACTCCCCACAAGCCCCCTCCATAAAAGCATCCCCAATATACTAATATCATAGTTTGAAGACACACACACACACACACACACACTTGCAAGATGTTAGTGAAAGCACGACGAAAAGAAATAGAGTGGCACCTTTTTATGATGTGTTCATACTCCACCAGCCAATGTCCTGCCTCTGCCTCTCCCTGGGGTTCTTTCCTGTGGTGTTAATCTCACCTCTGCTCCACCTGGATCCTAGAACACTGCCCAGTCCCAAGCCCAGTTGGGCTTCCTTGAGTTCACTCTTAGGAGCCCTGCAGCTTGAGTTCCAGGCTCTGGCCCTGAGGTCAAGGCAGTGGTGATGAGTCACAGCTGCAGGTCAGTGGAAAGTGACTGCAGCGTCAGGCCAAGCTTGGCCACTTACATGTCTGGCATGACAGTGGCCTCAGAGTACTCGTCTGAGAAGAAGAGCTATCACCTGAGCGCTCTGGAGAACTTAGCCGGAGCTTTCAGGCAGTCTGGGAGCCTACATGGAGGCGTGTAGGCTTATGTCTCATGTCCACGTTGCCCGGGAGACAAAATCCTTTTCTATTTAGAGCTGCCCCAAAATGTTCTGCACCAGCTTCTCACTGCGGTGGCTTCACCTTAGCATACAGGTATGTGGACGGCCACTGTGCTGGCTCACCTTGGACACTGCCTTCATGGGCCTGGGTCAGGTTCTCAGTCAGCAGCTCTTGCCAACTCCAGGAGGCCCAGACCCAGGAGTGGCCTCCTGCTGCCGGACACGAAGAGGGAAAGAGCTGAGCTGCCCGGCCCTCTTCTTCTAACAAGCCCTCCTGGGTTGACAAAGAAAGTCTCTCCCTGCACTGGGTGACACTGGACACTGTCCCTGTCCTCTCCCGGGATGCCCCAGGCCAGGGGCTGGGATAGCCTCAGGGCCTGGCTCTCTCCATACCCAGCCCAATCAGGGGTCCTGTGCCCAAGATCCTATCAAGATGGGTGCTAAGAATCACAGAGAATGGGGACAACCTGCAGGTCCCTGCAGGACTTTGCAGACCCAGGAGGTGGCAGTTCACTGAGGTCTAGCCCCTGGCCTTGAATGGGAACCAAGCAGGTGTGAACTGGGAGTAGAGGCCACCGATCTGCTGCTCAGCCTTGGACAAGTCAGAGTACTCAGAAGCCTCGGATCCCAAATGTGAAAGAGAAAAGCGCGTCTGAGTGTGTGTGAGAATTCCTTCCTAACCGGGGAGCATATCTTCAGGGCAACTTCAGGTTAAAAATCTAAATTCAGGCCAGGCGTGGTGGTTCACGCCTGCAATCCCAGCACTTTGAGAGGCCGAGGCGGGTGGATCACCTGAGGTTGGGAGTTCAAGACCAGCCTGACCAACACGGAGAAACCCCGTCTCTACTAAAAATACAAAATTAGCTAGGCATGGTGGCACATGCCTGTAATCCCAACTACTCGGGAGGCTGAGGCAGGAGAATCGCTTGAACCCGGGAGGCAGAAGTTGCGGTGAGCCGAGATCACACCATTGCACTCCAGCCTGGGCAACAAGAGCAAAACTCTATCTCAAAAAAAAAAAAAAAAAAATTTAAATTCAAAAACAAACAAAAAGAACTTCTTCCTAACAGGAACATTCAGAAGAACTAAGGAAAGAATGTCTCTGAGGGTGCAAATGGTACCATTGGTCTCCTCACCCTACAAGTATTTACAAAGTGCCGTAGACAAGACCGCATCTGAAATCAGAGCTGGGCGGGAGGCAGGACCTGTGGTTTCTAAGTGCTCTCTCCACTTCCCCAGGCAATGGGCCTATGGACACCAAAGCTGGGGCGCCCGGCCAGAACCTGAAGCCCCAGGGCACATAGAGGCTGTAGGCTCTGGTGGTGACGGTTCATCTGAGTTACAAGCGGCTGAGCCTCCTGGGCTCCCCACCGCGACGCCCACCCCTAGTTGAGGAACAAGCCCTAGGAGGCTATGGGAAAGAAGGAGGGGGAAAGCAGAGCCATCTGGCTTGTCCTGAATTATTAACCACAGAGGAGGAGGTACAGCTAAGGCCCTGGGGGAATCAGGTGCAGCTGCTCTCAGAGTTGGAGAGGGGAACTGGAACCCTTTTGCAGATCCAAGGGATCCAGAGGTTGGAATGTGACCCTCCGTGCCAGCTGGGCCCCAAGTCCCAGGGACCCCTCCTGTACACCTGACAGGTGCTACCTCCTCTCTGGGCCACTAGGCAGCAAAAAACAAACTATGCCTTCATCCCCTGACCTTTTACTCTTCAAAGTACTTACGAACCCACGTTCTTCACTTCTTCTTTTTGGGCATTTTGTCGGAAGGATAAACCAAGGCCAGGTGAGATCAGACAATTCAGCCAAGGTTGTAGGGCTGCCAGGGAGGTGGTCAGGGTGTATACCAGGTCTCCGTCTCCAATGCCACCATGGGGTCCCCTCCCCAAGAATTCCAAGTCACCCATGGCTGAGCCATGGGAAGAACACCTGCTATGTCTCCCTCTAATTTGCCTTCTGCCTCCATCCCTTTTGATTCTGGCCCTCACCAGCACTCCCTGGGTGTCAGAGACAGCCTTCTAATTGGCCTCTATGTTTCCAGTTTGGTTCCTCTGAAATCCTCCTTCTAGAAACCATTAGAGGACATCTTCCCAATGCAGATGCAACCATGTTTGCCAGCTCCCCAGAATGTCACTGGAAGCCATCATGCCCCACCCACAGCCTCTCCAGGGCCTCTCTCACTCCACCATTCACCTGCTGTTCCCTGCTGTCATTCTTGTTGTTCCCTGTTTGCGGTCCTCAGCTCCAAAGCCCTCAAGAGCAGCACCTGCCTCTTACACCTCGGCCCCAAGCACTGCAGAAGCTGGTAACTGTTGCCTGAGGCATTTGCTCAAGGCCCCAAGCGCTGTAGAAGCTGGTAACTGTTGCCTGAGGCATTTGCTCAAGTGCTCAACCCCTGCTGGTTCTTTTGTGGAAAAAGCCCTTTCCCACGGGGTCCACCTGGAAAATTCTCGAAGTGTCTATTAAGAATCAGCTTACACAGCACTCACTCTGAGAAGCCCTCCGAGACTACTCTGGGCAAAGCTGAGTGCCCAGGTGCATTGAGAGCACCTCAGCCCCAGCTCCCACCACACCCCATTCCCATTGTCTGGGCCCAAACCATGAAGCTCAGGGCAGCACCCGCATCTGCTTCATTTCTGCATCTTCAGGGCCAAGCCCACAGCGAGGTGCTCTACAGATCTCCATAAGTACTTAGGAGAGGCACAGCTGTGGGGGCAGAGGTCAGCATCTAGGCAGGGAGAGAACCAGGCAGGGAGAAGGCCAACCAAGGATATCACAGGCTGAAGAGCCCATGTGTTTCCAGTCAGAGAGGAGGAGCTCACAAGCATGGGACCTTTTCTGGGGGCTCTTCCAAGGGCCATCTGGAGAGCAGTGAGTCAACCAGCCACCTCCTGTGTGGCTCAGCCCCTGCCCCTTTCCGTAGCAGCACTGAGCTACATAGCCTGAATTTGGTAAAAGGTCTCGGATGTGGGGCAGAGGGCCCAGAGAAGGTCAGGGAGGAACTGCCTGGGAAGCCAGATGCCCACAAGGCTCTGTGACTTCACTTCCAGGGTTCGGTCTGTACTCTCTGCAGTCAGGAGTACTGTCCCAGCTTTACCACCTTCTGGCCCTTTAGCACCTGGCCATACACACCCACTAATGCCCCCAGAAGGGTGGAGGCCCACTTCTCCCCCAGAACAAGCTTGACTGATTTGTTTTCATATCATCTGAGCTTCTCTCTTGGACAGTGGGAAGCTGGGAGCTCCACCCAGGCTGCACACAGGACTGGCTTGAGGGCCATAGAGCAGGAAATAAATGGTGAGCTTGTAGCACAGCAGGGACAAGGCAGAGCCTAAGAAAGGGCCCAGAGTCTGGTGTATGCCTGATTCTGTGGCTATGAAACATCCGGAATAGACAAATCCATAGAGCTAGGATGCAGACAGATGGTGGCCAGGAGCTGTGGGGAGGGAGGAATGGGAAGTGACTGCTTAAAAGGGACAGGGGTTCCTTTCAGGGTGATGGAAATGTTTTAGAACTAGATAAAGGTGGTGGCTGCACAATCTTGTATGCATACTATATGCCACCGAATTGTGCACTTTTAACATGTTTAAGCTTACTGAATTTCACCTAAAAAGAAACGAGGAAAGAAAGGTCAGGCAGAACTCCAAGTATCAGTTTCCTTTTTTTCTCCAAGTCCTGGCAGCGCTCCCTTTTCTGCAAGCTAGCATCCTGGCTCTTTTTATCAACCCCCAGGCCCCAAGGGCTCAGAGCACAAATCGAGGGTGAGTTTTCCATGTTGACCTTTATTTTTTTATTTTTAACCAAAGATGCTCCAGCATACTGCAGGAGAAGGAACTTGACTGGGTCACCTCCTGGTTAAAACCCTTCAAGAATTCACCTTCATTCACCAAAGCACCCTGAGCTCCTTGCCTTGGCACTGGAAGTCTTTGCACAGGCTGGTGAACTGACACCCTCACCCGTGAGGACCCAGCCCGTCTGGGTGCCATCACCTGGGTCTCCACCTCCACCGGGAAATTCTGACCTACTAAGTTGACCTAGCTCCTGACCTAACTCAAGAGCCACCTTGGCAGTAAAGCCACCCTGACCCTGTGACAGTCCCTCTGCCAAGCCCCCAGCGCCTGACACTTCCACCCAATGCTCACTCAGCAGCTCATCCTGCATGAATGCAGAGTGGCCTGGAGGGAAGTGACTGCACACAGGATATACAGACTCTCCCACCACAAATAAACAAGCGATTCTGTCAACAAAAGAGCCAGAAGAAAACTGCACTCCTATTGGAAAGGGATGAGGAGCGCAGAGGCTGCAAGGAGGGTACCAAGTCAGAGCTGGGAAGGCCCAAGGCAGGGTGGAAGGTGGAGCTCAGAGAGGGTTCCAGGGTCCCTGGGTATAGGCACGGTCCTCCTTATAGGTCACCACCTAAGGGGGCAGCAGTCCTTAAGGGTGCCAGGTTGACATAGGTGGGGTCACAAACCTCAGAAACTGAAGAACTTGCAATCCAACCCTATCATTGGGTAGATGGAAAAATTAAGGCCCAGAAAAGGGCAGACAGTTGATCTACTCATCCTTCCACCTATGCATCCCTACTCGCATCTACCCATGCATCCCTTCACCCATGCATCCACCTATCCATCTACCCATGTAGCTACCGCGCCATTCACTCATGCATGCATCCACTGATCCATCCACCCATGCATTCATCCACCCATGCATCCATCCACCCATGCATCCATCCATCATCTACATAGGGCAGGGGTGGGACTAGAGCCCAGAGCCTCTGCCTCTAAACCCAAAGGTCTTCACAACGGGTCACAGTTGACTTCTTTACACTCACGGCAGCTCTGGGAAACTTTCTGACCCCTTAATGGGTATACAGGAAGAAAGACCCTGCTAGTGGAATGGGGGAAGGGTAACAGGGCTCATGACAAGGCACGGTCTATGCAGGATGCCTGCCCTAAGGCCAATCCTCATCAACAGCTCTGTGAGGGCAGCCAACCCTAAGCCCACTCTGCAGATGAGGAAACAGGAAACAAGCTCTGGAGAGGTCTGCTGACGTGCCTACAATCCAAGGATGGTTAACCACTACAGCCATAACCCTGTCCCAGATCTCTCCACTGTCCAAGAGTAGGCCCTCTCACTGCACTATGGCACGTCAGGCATGGCTTGGGCAGGGTGGATAGGAGGCGTCCCAGTGGGCAAGAAGCTTCTCAGACCAAAGGCTTCTGAGCCAGGGTCAATGTGGTGGATGGTGGGAGTCATTGGTCATCACAAGATGATGCGTCTCACAGGAAATGGGAAAGAACTTGTACACTGGGGAGTCAGAAAAAGGGGGAAGCCTGGGGCTTTCAGGCCCTGACAAAGCTCCTGCATCCAAGGGAGCTTCTGAAGGTTGTAGGAGAAGGTGGCTGCTAGCAGGGTCCCCAAGAACAGCTGCCGACAGAGTTTGGACAAAGTTATGCCATCTCCCTATGTGCCAGTGGCTTCAGAGAGTTCTGGAGGAAAGACCCAAGAGCCGGAGCAGCTATGAGGGCTGGCTGCTGGGAAGAGATGGAGTTGGGTGCGGAGGAAGGCACAGGTGTTCTAACAAAGGGACTCTGAGAAGCAGGAACTACGGTGTAGAGGTAGGCGGTAAGTTCCTAGGGAGGCCCTGCAGCAACTGAGGGGCCCCTGCTCCTCCTCCTCCTTCTCCCTGCCAAGTAGAGCAGCCTGGCTTGCATCTGTCTGCTCCCCTCCGGTGCACCTGGGACCCTGATGCTTGCTGCTTCCCATTTCAACAAATCCAGGGAGACAGGTTCCTGAGTCCCCAGACTCCCTCCCAGACAGGCAGCCAGGTGGAAGGGAAAGTTTGGGGTCCAGCGCCTGCACTTCTCATCTCTCCGTCCTTAGATCTGATACTTGCAACTGAGCCTTGGTTTACTCATCTGTAAAGGGAGGTGGTAATACGTCCAGTGAGGGGGTAGAACACTATGCCTGGCAACCAAGATGTGTTCTGTCACCCACAGGAATACTAAAAATATCTAACCCCTGGGCACTGCTGCTGGCTGTGGGGCTGGGGGAATCCTGGAGGTGCCTGTGGACAGCATTGCCCACTTAGCTCCAGAAATCCCAGGGAAGGGACAATAAGGGGGACGGGGCAGGGGCAGAGGCTATTTACCAGCAAAAAAAAGTACAGCACTCTTGCTCTTGGGGCTAGATGTATCTAGGATTTCAGAATATCCTGAACTTTAGACAGGTAAAGCTGCATATCTCAGCAGCATCCAATAAACAAATACATTGAACTCTCTGCAGTGAAAGACATGAATATAGAATACATAAAGACTATAAATAGCCTCACTTGGACTATAAATAGCCTCACCTCAGTTCAGGAAAAATTTTGCTGCCAAATGAGTTACAAAAAAGTGTCTGGTTTTCAGTGTGCTGGATTTTGGAATTGAGGATAAGGAATTGTGGATCTGCACATCAATGTTTTCACCACATATCTGTGTGAACCAACTGCATATCACCCCTGCTTCACCCCACTACCAATGCAGGACAGATGAGGGGTGACATGTGCTCTGCCTCTAAAACTCACCAGGCCCTGTGACCTTGGGGAACACAGTCCAAAGAGATGAGTCACACACGAAAGCAAATGTGCACACACACACAAACAGCAATGCCTATAAATATATTCATAACACAGGCCTGCGGGCACATAGGTCCACAAGGACGCAGAGCCCAGCTCTGCTGACGGAACCTGTGTTGCCCCAGGGCCCGCTGACCCCTGCTCAGGGCAAGGCCTGTGTTTCCAGGCCTGTGACTGGGCAAGCAAGGGTAGGCAGGAATGAGGAACACGGCAGGGCTTGGTGGTTGAGAGCTTCCTCATCTCTGCAGTGTGGAGAAGGGGCAGGTATGCCAGGCAGACCTGGCTCTGGTACCAGCACTGCCACTGCCCAGCCGGTGGCCTTAGATAGGTGGCCTTGGGCAGGTGGCCTGCGCCCCTGGCTGGGCTGCATTTCTTCACCTGCAAAGTCTGAGTGAAACAGGCCTCTTGGGCTTGGTGAGAGGCACACAGGAGCCCCCAGGGCTTGGCACACAGCTGGTGCTTAGGAAGTGCTTGCTGACTCTGTTCTGTGACGTTGCTTAAATGCATAATATTTAAAAGAGGGGGCTAAAATAAGTGGCCCCTTCAGTCCCAGAAGCGTCTCCCTCTCCCCCAGGGCTCTCTTTGGAGGCAGAGCCCCTTGTGGGTCTCTGTCCTACACCAGGGCTCTCTGGTCAGAATGCAGATGAGACCTACTGGATGCTCTGGCTGCCAAGAGCAGCCCCCACGAGACCAGGCTCCAGGTCTGGAAGGAAAAGCCTAGAGCAGGGACCCCTGGAGGAGGGGTCACAGCATTGCAGGCAGAACTCAGGCTTTGACATCAGAATGGTGCTCTGATCACACAGCTCCACCCCTCACTTGGTCTTAAGGAAGTTACTTAAACTCTCTGAGCCTCAGTTCTTCATTTTATAGGTGAAGGTATGTGGACCTTCATTTTATAGGTATGTGGACCTAGTCCAATACCACACACACCTCATAGGGTAGTAAGGGGAATAAATTAACAGACAATCAATGTAAAGCACCCAGCACACAACACCCAAGCAACAGCAGCAGCCGCTATTATTACTATAATGATGATGGTGATGGTGATGGTGATGCTGGGGATCAGCCCTGCTAAAGAACTGTGTCCCCACACTCAAAACAGTCAGGACTAGGGGAAACAAATCATTGATATCATTTTGTCACTATGCATTATTGCCAGCCTTCCCAGGGTTGGGGCCGTTGCTCACTGTTTCGACCCTCCCAGCAACGCTGCCAGCAGGCAGACAGACGCACTCTCCCCACTCCAAATTGGAAAATGGAAACCAAGAGAGCGACAGGGACTTGGTCAAGGTCATCGGGCAAGTCAGTAGCAGGGAAGGGATGAGAACTCCTCATTCTGGGCCCAGGGTGACACCAAACCGATCCCAACCAGCACCCCAAGGCCTGCAGCCCACAGGAGGCTCTCAGCCACCACGGGGCACAGGTATGTGCAGGAGCATCAAGACCTGGGCTGGGGGTGGCACAGGGCAGGGGAGCTGAGGGGAGTAGGGAACCAAGACATCTTTCAACTGGCCCAAGCCCATCGCGCACAGTCTGGCTCCTCTATCTTTGGCGGGGAGCCTGGGGCTATTTCGGGAAGCTCTGCGCACAGCCCGCCACTTCCCTGCCAGGCTGACTGGGTCAAAAACAAAACGAGCCCAGCAACACCCCTGTGTCAACAGGGTGGGAAGTGAGGAGGCACTGAACAGCCCCAAATACAACAGCAGGAACAGGAGAAAATCAGGGAAGGTTGTGGGGGTAAGCACATCACCCTCACCCTGCAAAAAAAAGCTAGTGGGAAACAAACAACACAATGAATCAGATGCAGCAGGACACAGGGAGTGACTAGCTCTGGGGCCAGACCACGTTCACATTCAAGCCTTGTCTTTGAGCAAGTCCTTTACCTGCTCCAGGCCTCAGTGTACCCATTTGTGGACCACCACCCACCTTGGAGGGTTGAGTGGGATTAAATGAGGTGACAGTGAGGCACTGGGCACCTGAGATGTCCTCAGCCTGGGCCTGCCATGCCCTGCTCACCCTTCAGAGCCTTGCTCAGAGTCTCCCATTGGGACAGCTGAGCTACAGCCCCCATTCTGCAGGCACTTGCCACCCACAGCCGCTGGAGGCCCCTGGACGGCTGCACAAGGCCCTGTCCATCCTTGTGCAACTGCAGTGCTGAGCCTGGAGCAGCTGCCTCATCGGTCTGTGAGGTCAAGCTCAAGGGGCCACCCAGAAGGCTTTCCGAGAGCATCCAAAAAACCAGAAGAAAGGGTGAAGAGGTCCCCGATGGCATCCAGGGTTCCCCCATAGCCCTCCAGTCACTGTCATGGGGCAGGCAGCAGGACTCAGCTCATCTCTAGCTGCTGCTTTGCAGGGGCAGCATGAGAGCCACCTGGTGCCAGGGACAGCGCACAGGGCTCTGCCCAGAGCAGGTGCACAGCAGACACTGGAGACGGAGTCAATGGGGAACCAACGGGGCTGGCAGGAGAGGCAGGAGGATGCAAGACAGGAACAACCATTTATGGGGCATTTCCAAGGCACCAGGCTCTGTGGGAGCAGCTGACACACCTTGTCCCAGCAGATTATGTCTTTTTGACAGGTAAAAGCAAGGGGCCCAGAAAAGGGAAAGGATTTTGGCAAGTTGGTGTGAGACTTGCAGGAGGCCAGCAAGCTCAGAAGGGCTGTTCATTTTAAATGATTAATTGTATGTAAAGCCTGTGGGTGTGAGGATGAGGAGGCAGCTCCCCAACAGGCACCCTGGGCTGGCCTGGGAGCCTTAGGGGACATCATCCCCAAGGTGGTCTGTTGGTTCTCTCACAGCAGGAGGATGGGAAGGAATGGATGGTGGTCAGGCAGCCACAGGGGCACTGGTACTGGCAACACTCAGCACTTCCTGCATTCAGGGGCACCCTCTGTCATCCTGGACAGCAGAGACTTCTAGAAGTCAGATGCAGGAAGTGCTTCCCAGAGCAAGATTGTCTTTCATTAACTGCTGGAGACGTGGGGCAGAGACTCACCCAAGGTCTGCAGCAGGCCTAAGCCTTGTCCCTTGTTGTATCCAGCCCTGTATGCGTTTGTGTGCGTGTGTGTAGACAAATGTCACCTTCACAGCTGAGGTGTCAGTGTGTCTCATCTGCGATGGGCCAGGGGAAGGAGATGAAAGCTCTTGCAGGTGCCATGTGTTGAAATGGCCACTCCACCATGTGCCCAGTGATGTATCCGAGAGGAGCTCAGGGAGCCAGGGCTGGATGCAGGCAGACAGCCTGGCCAGGAAGGAGGCCAAGTGTCAAGATCGAGCAAGGGGAGGGCCTGACGAGGGGTAGAGAAGACCAAGCTGGGAAACACACGGAGTGGGCTGGTGCAGGCAGGGGCAGAGGGTGAGGGGCCGTCACTGTAGATGCCCTGAAGACTGAGCATTGTGGGTACTCCCCACAACCCACAAACTCATGAGCCAGCCAGGAGCAAGAGCAGGGGTCTGGCTATGTATGCCACCATCATCTCCACTGCCTTTGTGGAGTGAGTCCGTGACCTCACCCCACAGCTGTTGGGGGTGGGGGCATGAACCTCTGAGACAAGCACAGACTGAGAGCTGGGAGACAGACAGACTCCTCTCTGCAATGCCCATCCTGTGAGAGGGGCTTAACCACCCCCTGGGATGGGCTACAAGGTACTGCTATTAGAGAAAGTTCCTATACTGAACAGTTTGCCCCACTGGGACTCAACCTGGGGTCTTGATTGACTTTTTGGAGCCACATGCAGCCTTTCTCCTCCAGGACACCTTAAAATACGTGTCTGACTAGTACACCCTCTCCACAGTGGCTGCCTACTGGACCCCCTCGGCTGCTCTGGGCTCTCTGATTCTACTCGTGGAGGCAAAGTCGCCCTTGCTGATGACAGGGCCTGAGGCTGCTAAAAGCCCTGGGTGTGTTTCCTGGGACCCGCTGCCAGGCCACACTCCCCGGCCAGTGCAGTAGGTTTGCCCTTTATCTGGTGACATTCTGCCTGCTGGGTGCAAGGGGTTGAATAGTGCAGCCCCCTCCCCAAATTCACATCTAACTAGAGCCTCAGAATGTGACCTTATTTGGAAATAGGGTATTTGTGGATATGATTAGTGAAGGATTTCTAGATGAAATCATACTGGATTGAGGATGGGCTCAAAACCCAATGACTGGTGTTCTTATAAGAAGAGGAGAGAGTCTACAGCCATGGCCATGCATGGTGGCTCATGCCTGTAATCCCAGCACTTTGGGAACCAAGGTGGGTGGAACACCTGAGGTCAGGAGTTCGAGACCAGCATGGGCAACATGGTGAAACCCCGTCTCTACCAAAAATACAAAAATTAGCTGGACATGGTGGCACATGCTTGTAATCCCAGCTACTCAGGAGGCTGAGGCAGGAGAATCGCTTGAACCCAGGAGGCAGAGGTTGCAGTGAGCCAAGATTGTGCCACTGCACTCCAGCCTGGGAGACAAGGGTGAAACTCCATCACACACACACACACACACACACACACACACACACACACACACACGCAAAAGAAGAAGAGGAGAGGACACAGGAGACACAGGAGAAGGCCATGTGAAGGCAGAGGCAGAGACTGCAGTGATGCAGCCACAAGCCAAGGAACACTTGGGGCCACCAGAAGCTGCAAGAGGCAAGGAAGGATTCTCCTTGGAGCTTTCAGAGGGAGTGTGGTCCTGCTGACAGCTTGATCTGAGACTTCTGGCCTCCAGAACTGTGAGAGAATAAATTTCTGCTGTTTAGGCCATGCAGTTTGTGGTCATTTGTGACGGCAGCCCCAGGAAACTAGTACATTGGGTTTGTGGCATTGGGAAACAGGACACACTCTGAGCTGACCACATATAGGTCAGCTAGTGTCTCCTGCTCCGGGCACCCTGCAGGAGAACAGCCAATGGGTCTCTTGGCTGGAAGGGTGACACTAGCATCTGGGCAGGACTGAGGCAGCCTGTCACCAGGCTGTTAGCAGGGCTGCAGCCCAATTAGCTCAGGGCATGCGAGGAGCCAACGGTGAGAAACCCGTCTGCATCCAGGCTCTTAAGACACTTGAGGGGAAGTAGTCATGTGGCCCAAAGTGCACTGGCCTCCCCCTGCCCAGCCTCCCCACTTTCTCCACCTCCCCACATGGTACCTGAACAGCTTTTTCTAGGCCCCCATGTCAGGTCAGGCCAGCTCAGCTTTGCTAAAAATCCACGGGCACGGCCGGGCACGGTGGCTCACGCCTGTAATCCCAGCACTTTGGGAGGCCAAGGTGGGCGGATCACAAAGTCAGGAGATCGAGAACATCCTGGCTAACACGGTGAAACCCCGTCTCTACTAAAAATACAAAAAATTAGCCGGGTGAGGTGGCTACTTGGGAGGCTGAGGCAGGAGAATGGCGTGAACCTGGGAGGCGGAGCTTGCAGTGAGCCAAGATTGCCCCACTGCACTCCAGCCTGGGCGACAGAGCGAGACTCCATCTCCAAAAAATAATAAATAAATAAATAAATAAATAAATAAATAAATAAATAAATAAAAATAATCCTTGGGCACACCAGCCCTAAGCAGACAGCCTTAAGAACTAACGCAGGGACTGCAGGTCTTTCTAATCAGAAATGCTTGAAGCGAGATCTGAGAAATACTTAACAGCCCCCTAACCCCAAGGGGCTCAGCATCCCCTACCTGTCTCCACTTTTGGAGACCCTCCCATAATGGGGAGCTGAGGGAGTTGGCCAAGACTTTTGGAAGCTTTAGGACTATGACCAAGGGTTTCTCTGAGATTCTGCAGAGTTTGGAATCTCAGAGAGCTCCAGCACTTACGAACCCCAGGCACCTCCACCACCCCAACACCATAGGCTCTGCCCACTTCAAGGGACATGGTCAGGACAACTGTAGGATTGATAATGTCAGAGCCAAGATGGTTAAGTCCAGCTTTTCTCAAACTGAAGTACAGGGATGAGCTGCTTTAGAAACACCCAGTGAGCTTGTTTAAAATGTAGATTCCAGGGCCAGGTACAGTGGCTCACACCCTTAATCCCAGCACTTTGGAAAGCTGAGGTGGGAGGATTGCTTGAGACCAGGAGTTTGAGACTAGCCTGGGCAATATGGTGAGACCCCATCTATACAAAAAAATTAAAAATTAGCCAGAAGTGGTGGATTGTGCCTGTAGAACCAGCTACTCAGGGGACTGAGGCAGGAGGATGACTTGAGCCCAGGAGGCTGCAGTGAGCTATGATTGCACCACTGCACTCCAGCCTGGACAACAGAGTAAGACCTACTCTCTAAAAAAAAAAAAAAGGAAAAAAATGCAGATTCCTATGCGCTGCTCCCAGACCTGCTAAATCAGAACCTCTGTGTGAGAGGCCTCAGAACCTGCGTTTTAAACACATCTCCTGAGGTTATCAGGAAGCCCTCCAGAGAATGAAACACGGGGCCTGGTACAATCTCCCCTGCAGACAGATGGAGAGACTGGAGACAGGACAGGGATTGCTGCAGGCCACGCAGCAAAGAAAAGGCCAGAGTCCACACCTCTCCTGGGCTTGCTGGGGTCCCTATAGGCCTGGAATCAGATGGCCAGAGTCCTCTGTGCTCAAAGAGCCCTTCCCCCAGGTGAAGCTTCCTCGCCTTCCAGGCCCCCTGGAAGCCTTCCCAAGCCCCGTGGGCCGAGTCAGCACCCCGGGCACCTTGCGCCCACTTTCCTTTTGGCATTTATCAGACTGCACTGTAGCCACATGTTTGCCTTGGAGCTCAGGGCCCGAGCCTTGTTCAAAGTTGTGTCCCCAGGGCTCGGCCACAGCAGTTGCTTAATAAAGGTAGGTACCCAGCAAATATTTGTTAGATAAAAGATTTTAATTCCAAACTCTGTCCCAGAACAGTTGTCTGACCTTGGGCAGGTGACCCAACTTCCAGGCCCCTTCCTGGAACAGATTCTGGTCATCTGCCCTGACCGTTTCCCAAGGTGACAGTGAAAAGCCAGATGCAATGCACTCAGGAAGCTGCCCAGCAGTGGGGCTCTGCACCCGGTGCTCATATGACAAGCAGGGGCTCACTGAGTGACTGGCAAGGAGCTAAGAGTCCCCAGGTTGGCAAGACCCAGCCAGGAGAGTCTGCTGATAAGATACAGCCCAGGGACAGACGAGTCCAGAGGTTCTACTAGCCTTGAGCCTGGGGCAAGAGGTCGCCATGCCCTGGCCCCTAGCCCAGCTCTCTTCACTGCTCTTGGGGCTTAAATCATGCCCTAAGCCCATGTCCACTGTGGGGAGCAGGGACTGGGCCCTGAAAGCTATCAGACTGCAAACAGAAGATCACATCAAGTGGTGGTAACAAGGGCCTGGGAGCTGAAGCAGGTCCCTGGCCTGTGTGGGCCTTAGTGTCCCAGCTATAGTGAAGGGGTTTGAGCTGGACCGTATCCAAGGGCCCCAGGACCGTGTGGGCAATGGCACCGCTGTCACAGCTGCTGTCATCAGCACCCTCAGGGCCTCATGGCAGGCATTCATGTTGGTGTGGGCATCAGGGAAGGTCTGCTCCTCTGGACAGAGGCCTCCTAGAACACCCAGGCCGGGCAGCCCAGAGGAACATGACACACGCTGAGTCTGGGAAGCAGGCGATGTCCCCCCTCCCAGCTCCACTGGCTGCCCTGAGGAGCAGAGCTGCCCATGGGATGGGCTCCCTATGAGACAGGATGCTCCTCGGTGTGCCACTTCCTCAAGCCAGGCAGTAACAGCTTACACAGGCCAGGCCTCTTCCAAGGAGGAGCTGGGGAGCTTAGGCCTGCCCCCCATGCCTTCTAAATAACCCCACAGGACCAACCGGTTCTTCAGACCAGGCTAGTTGTGGGGGCAGCCCTAAGGGCCCCACATCAACATGCCCCTTCGCGCATCTGCCCAACTCAGAGAATGCCGTGACGTGTGACTCATGTTGGGGCCACATGGAAGGGATGTCACCGAGTCACCAGGTCAGCCCTTCCTAGCTGCAAACAGGGGGATGCAGGGAAGGAGGCCAGCAGAGAGAGGGAGTTGAACTCCGTTCTGCCTCCAGGAGCCTATCCAGCTGGCCCAGCTCAGTGTGATTCCAAGGAACTCAGGAAAGCTGCCCTGGGTCTGCCTGGCTCAGTGTCCCCATCTAGCAGGTCCGACCTGGGATCCTCGAGTGTCCACTGTTGCTTGGGAGGGAGCAACAGGCTGAACTCTTGAGTAGGGTGGGCAGAGGGCTGCAGGCAGCAGAGGGGGACAGGCATGCCGGCTCTTCTCTAAGTTGAAGCTGCCAGCTGGTGTCTCAAGCATAACTTCCAGCCCCTGCTCTTTCTGGGTCCAGGGGAGGCCCCTCCTTGGCACTGCAGCCATATCCAAGTTTCAGCCATGAAATATGGAGCTGCTCATCTTTTCCCTGTGCTCCCCATAAGCCACACTGCTGACCACGTGTTGTGCTTCCTAGGGTGGAGGACAGCCAGAGAGAGACCCGCAGGCTGGATAACTCTGCTGCCCACCTTCCCCTGAGGGCAAGCTCAGTCCAGGGAGTGGCTCTGGGTTCAGGTGGCTGGCAGGGTACAAACGGCTCGATGATCACACCTCCTGACAGAAAGCTCTGCTGGCTAAGACACCGCACTGGCTCTCCAAACATTTGGGAGCATGAAAAGCAGCGGTTGGCCTGGCCCTGATCCTAGGACAGCCTCTGGTACAGAGCAATCTGACACTGGAGGAGAGCCCCACAAGACGATCATCCGCTTCACACGCTCCTGCGACGAGGCAGGCAAGAAGCACAGAATCTTGAATTCTCACACAACGCCCATGGGGGGACCATCACTCCCATTCCACACAATAGGAAACTGAGGTGCAATGGGATTAAGCAGCTTCTGTGGGTCACACAGCCAGGACTCAAAACCCGAGCCTATATGACTACCAAGTTTTGCTCTTCTACCAGCTTAGGAAGGTCCTAGAGCAGCCCAGTCCCGATCCTTTCCATCTCAGGAATCTAGAGTCCTGGAAAGGGGACTTCAGCCATGCAATTAGCACAGGCCCAGCAGGCAAATGAAGTCAGGCGGAAGGAGTGTTTTAAATTTACCCATTCCCCATTCTCTGTCTGCACAGGCTTGACAAAGCCTGTTCACAGCCACAGGCTGTGATAATGGTGTGCCCACGCCTAGAAAGCTGTGAAGTGCTTTACAAGGGCACAGGGTGACAGGAAAAGTGAGGACGCTGGCATGAAACAAAGTGCTGGGCACACACCATCCATTTGTCCTTCCCATTCTCCTGAGGGCATCCATCGCTAACTCTGCTGTGCACACCAGGAAACTGAGGCTCCGAGAGGTCAAAGGAATTCTCCAAGATCTTATAATCAGGCTGATGGTAGACAGGGGACAGGGACAAGGTCTTCTAACTTGCATTCTCCCCTGCCCTCCAGCCCCTGAGCATAGTCTTGCTTAGAGAAAGGTGATGGGGACTTGATGAGGAAAATTCCTCTCACTATGGCAACAAGGTGGGGAAAGTGAGGCACAAAGTAGACAGCAAGTTAAGGCTGGCAATTGTCCCTCTCCTGTCTTCTCCCAAGACACACCTACCATTTGCAGAGTGACAGAGCATGTTCAAGTCCCTCATTCATTCATTCCCACCAAACTTGGCTTTGTCAGGGAGACAGTCAGGTCTCAGAGAGATCCACTGGGGCAGAGCTGGGACCCCAGACTCTCAGACTCCAGGCCTAGTGCTCCCTGTCAACAGCTGCTCAAGGTTTTGAGGTTAAACATTCATCTGAAAGGGGCTTTCAGGATGCCGAAGGCAGCAGAGAGGGCCACAAAGCTGACCTACTGGGTAAACCTGCAACTGAACGTTGGACCAAATAAAACCAGCACCCAGTCAGGAAACCATCATAAGATACAACTTTCCCTCACCTGGAGCTCTGGAAGAAGAGGCTGTGGCCACCAGGCAAGGGCCCTGGGGAAGTCATCCAAGCCAGAATCCGGAGCCCCAACAGGGATCAGGGAAGGAGCCTGACTTCCGAGGCCTGGTGTTTAGGGAGAGCCCTGCCTCTTGAGAGTTTGGCTGGTGTGATTCCATCGCCTGCCCCCCTCCCCAGAGCTCCCTATCCCCTTCAGGGATGGCCAGCTGTCTCCAGCTTCCATGAGGATGGAGCTTCCGTTTTATTCACTTGGCTTCTCATGGGTCGTTAAGGTACAAACCCTCTGCTATTTGTTACATCGGTATACTTTCAACCTCTTAGGAAGAGCTCTTAAATGGATGAGCCTTTTTTCTTCCATATTTCATTTTCATATAGTCTCTAAGCTACGGAAAAATTGCAAAACTAACATAAGAACTCCCCTCTACACTACCCAAAAGCAGCAATTGCTTCCCTTTTGTTCCATCTGCCTTGCATCTGTGTCCCTCCTGCTCTCTGTGTGCATCTCTGGGCATAAACACTCCTGACCCATTGAAGAGTAAGTTATGGGAATGCCTTGTCTCTAACAACAGCCTACCATTCGCCACCGCCTACACAGGTGGTTCATCTCCTAGCACATCACACCTGTTCTCTGTGGTGAGACACATGAAGTAGACAGTGTTATCTCTATGTTACAGATGAAGAAACTGAGGCACATATCTCCTCATGTGCAGTGCTGCTCCTACTACCCTGAGCCACCAATGCTGAAATCCTCAGCCTAAAACACATAGACCCCACGATGCAGACTGTCTTTCTGATGATACATGATGTAGCAATTTTTAAAAGAAAGGGAGCCACTCTGCTCCTATAGCAGAATAACAGTGGATCAGGATCAGAGTGACCCGGATTTTCCACAGTGTAGAGTGGCCTCGTACTCTGGGTGGAAGCCCTGGGGCAAGTGAGTGGTAGGGCAGATGCAGGGGGCTCTCCTCCAGCTCATCCCCAGGCTGCCTGCTCCTTCCTCTCTCTAATTCCTTCCTTTTCTCTTCTCAGACAACTAAGGTGGGTGGCCGTGGAGTGCAGGGAGAGTGAGCACCCCCCAGCTCTCCTCACCCAACCTCCTTGGCCTCCTCCCATACTGAGCACCCGCTGAAGGACAAGGGCTGAATATAGTCTTCAGGCCAAGAGCCCAGCAGCCATGCCCGGTGCAGAGCAGGTTGCATGTATAACTAATGAGTGAGGCAGAGGGAGGGAGGGAGCGAAGGAGTGAAAGAGCCAAGGATCCAAGTTCTGGTTCTGCCTTCACAGGCAGGCTACTCAACCCTCCGAGACTCGGTCTACTTATCTGTAAAATGGGAGCAACGCCAAGTACTTCTAGGGTGGCTGCAAACTGTTAAATCAGATGAGACTTGGGAAAGTGTCTGTGAAGTGGATTTAAGATCCCAGTGCAGACATAGGTTAAGGAGTTTGCTGAGCCCTGCTCTGGGAATTGAAGCAGAAAATGGGAGAAGCAGAATGCAAAGTTAAAGATGCCCAAATACAAATGCCACACTCACATTCACTGCACACACTCTCACATACCCCATAGGCACACACAGGCACATATACATGCCACACACATGCACACACACCTCACACACACAACATACCACACATGCACATATAAATACACACATGTCCATATGCACACAACACACACTCACATATACACCCCCCACATGAGCACACCACACACGCATATGCAAACACATCACACACCTCACATAGACACACACATGCCTACACATACACCCACCCACCCACACACACACACAAACACACACATATGGCCTCACAGCTCAGTACACCCTAAGCTTATCAGTCTCTGATGAATCCCTTCCCTTTGGGCTGGCGGCCCTCAGAAGCCCTGGACAGAAAGCCAGCACCCAGAGGCTCCCCTGCAGACACAAACATGCCAATCCCTGTAATACACCAGACCATGCAACAGAGCACCAGGGAGGAAAAGAGGGAACAGAGGCAGCTCTTTCCAGAAGTGGACAGGGACAGTTGTCTCACTCAGGTGAGACACTGAGCTGTAAAGCAATGCATAAAAAGGACAGCTGTCTGATCTTAACAATCCTGGGAACCGTTTACATGGGATCATGTTAGCATGAGAAGAATGCCAAATGGTAGGTACACCCCTGCTAGCAGGCAGGGAAAACATATTTGTGTGTGCGTGCATGTGGGTGTGAGCTTGTGAGTTGCATGTGCATGCCTGCATGGCATGTGCACATGTATTTGTGTGAGTGTGCATGTGGGGAGGCTGTGTGTGTGTATCTGCAAGCATATGTGCACTTGTGGGCAAAGGCGTGTATGTGCATGTATAAGTACGTGTGTGTTCAGGAAACTCACAAGAGAGACTGGGGGAGAGTTTAATGTTCATGAGCTTCTCTCTTCCTGCAGTTTAAGTCATCATGCAACACCACCAACAGACTTTTTCAAAGCTAGGCACGGGCTGGGCGGGGGCCAAGGCAGATGTTCTGAGTCCCAGAATCTCTGACCCGCATCAGAGCGGCCTGTCCTGCCCAGCACAGCCTGGGTGGTGGATTCCACCATGCTGCAAGCCAGGCCAGGGAAAAATAAATCAGACTTTCTCCTGGGAGCTTCACTGGCTTCGTGGGGTCTGTCTGAACCACAGGGCTTCCCACCACGCCCTTCCCTGAATCCCAGCGCTCCTGTCAAATTAAAGAAAGAACCACTCACCGCCTGAAAGCCAGCCAATGAGGTGATTATTCCAATTTTCCTGGAACGAGCTTTCCACACTTTCACAGGCTGGAGCCATCGGCGGCCCAGGCTCCCACCTCTCCAAGCTGCTCTCACGCCCCCTGCGGCTCCTTTCAAGTTAAGTCACCACTACGTGAAGTTATACTTTAGAGCAGCCGCTGAGAAAGGACACAGGAGGGCGGAGAGGCTGGGGCAGAGCACTCACGATCTACCTCAGGCAAATGCAGCCAGGCTGGAGGAGCCGGCCTCTCTCCTCAAAAGCCAGCTTGGCTCTGGCTGTTCTTTTGACTTTTGGGCTTGGTAACTGAACACACACTTGCATTGCCCTGAGCTCACACGAAAGCCCTCAGGGCAGAGGAAGCCCAGCAGCAACGGCAGGGCCGGGTGCCTCCCATAGAGGCTGAGAGCAGAGATGACGATCAGGTGCTGCCACTTGTGGGCTGGCCTTTAAGGTGTCACATCAGATTTTCCGCTCACTAGCAAACCAAAACCAAACTAAACAAAACTAGCACATGGCCTCCCCGCCCATCACATAACTCGTAAACCCATCAGAATTCCCAGCAACCAACCAGAATCCAGATGCCCGTAATGTTGTTAAGAAGCCTGCACACCGCCCAGATGCCAGGAGGGTCTGGGTGATTCTCCAGCCCCAAAGCAGAGGAAGAAACAGCACAGACCTGTGCAGACACAAAAGCATTCCTCTCATCCTGCCCAGTTGTAACCCATCTGATTGCTCAAAGAGAAGCACCAAGAATTGAGGGTCTCTGGGGGGCTCAAAGGCAGTTTTAAAGAAACAGGGCTTTGGGGAGATAAACATAGTTTAAAGATGCCCAACCACAGAACCACACAGGGAGTCCTGTCTCAGGCCACCTTCAAGGCTCTGATGCTGTTATTAAAACAATCTGACAGAGAGAATGCTGAAACAAAAAACAGAATCCAATCAGGTGCTCATGAGGCTGAAGTCCTATATTCAACTATTCACTTTGTGAGCCAATTCTGGTCCCACCCTCAATCCCCACTGCACCCTGAGACACAGACACATACTGGAACATCTAGACTTCTCTGCAGTCAGCCCTCCAAGTTGAGTGCCTCTTTCAGAGTTGACTATGGGTTCCCTGGTACCTGAACTCTGAAGCTCCCTGGTGAGTCAGACAGGGCTACTTGGTGTAACACTTCCTATTTAAAGATCAGAGAGGGGTTACTCTCAGACACCATTCAAACCCATAACTTCTAAGAACTGGGTGCTAAATCCGGTTTCTTTGGCCCTCACTTTCCATCAACACGGGAGCTGTTCTTGTTGACAACCAGGGGTTCTTTTTTCCATTGCCTGCTGCACAGGAAGCAGAGGTCACGGTGGGAGCTGCCTGTGCCGGGCATGGGTCGGAGTGTGTCTCCCCGGGCTGCGCTGCTGAGGGGTTAGCCTCACAGATTCCCTCTGGGAAAGCCACTTAAGAGTCATTCTGAATGCATCTACTGGGGATGGGGAAGAAATGATGCAGAATGTTGACCCACTGGGCAGCAGGCTTGAAATCCTGCCTGACCAAACTGTGCCGAGGGGCTGTCCCAAACAGATGGTGCTATCCAGACAGACACACTGGCAGGGCCGCTCTGCCTGAAGCCAGCCAGCAGACGATCCTCCCTACACCACCTTCTTGGAAATCTTGGTTATGGGGGATATCGGGGTGGGGAGGGACACCCCTTGTTATCAGGGGTGGAGAGGGACAAAACATTTCCTCACTGAACTCTCATTTTCAGATAATGAAGGATTGGTCAGAGAGACAGCCAACGTGTGGCCAACAATCACCACTCCAGAGCCCTGCCCCATCTAGGGCGCACGTGCATGCCTCTGAATTTCCTCCCCTTTCCTTGGTCCAACCACAGTCCAGGAAAGCAGATTTTCTATGCCCCGTGGCAATCACAGTGGAAAATGGAAGTACAATGGAGTGCTGTACCTACCCAAGCACCAGGAGGCAGGAGTCGAGCTACTCACAGACTCCCTAGAGGAGAACTCCACGCACCCAAACTCTGCTGTGCCCCCTCTGAGTTCTGAGCATGCCAGGTGAGGCCTCTCCCTCTCTCTCTCCCTCCATCCCAGCTCTTCGGAGAGAAAGCAAGCAGCCCGCGTGACCAGACAGAGCCTTCCTTGCTAATAAACCCATCCTGAGGCTGTGACATGTTTCAGAAGGAGCAGAAAATTACCTTTTAGGAAGCCAATGTGAGGGAAGGGGTGGGGGGACAAAGTATCAGAGCCAGGAGGTGTGCACCACAGGAGCCAGGCTGGGGTCGCGCAGCAGCCTCCCATCCCTGCAGAGGTCCGCTGAGCTCCCCATGCTGCCGGCCTCAGGGGGCCGCCCCCAGCACGCAGCTCTCCCAGCAGCCCATGCCTGGAGACAGAGGACACTGAGGAGCACGCGTGTCCCCAGGATGGGTGGACGGAGGAGCTGGGAGACTGGGCAGGGATGCCGGAGGAAGGGAGAAAGGCAGGCCGGAGAGGAAGGGGTGGGGAGCGGAGAGGGAGGGCGGGAAGGAGGGAGAATTGATTTTCTCTCCTCCACTGGGACCACTGAGCTGAGTTGCCATGGAGAAAGGGGAGCCGCTGGCAGAGCCCAAGGCGGGCGGAGGAGCCATATGCCAGAGGGAAGGCATCAGCAGAGAGCCAATCCCACAGTTCTGCTGCTGCAGCCTCCCCCATACCAGGCCTCAGGGTCCAGGTGGCCAGGCGGGGAGGGGTACCGGCCAGACCGGTGGGCAAAAGCAGCAGCTGGTGGCCACCACCATGCCAAGGAAAAGGGAGGAGATGGGGGCTTTCTCGCCTGGCTCGTGGTGCTCCGCTGCCCCAAGAGCCTGGGCCCTCCGTCTCACGCCACGATGCCCAGCCAGAGCCTGAAGTCGGGACCCCAGAGACTAAAGTGACCCTCTCCCCGGGCTTAGGTGATACCTTGTGTTAGGGGAGGCGTTGTGGATTTCCACCTGCCCGGCCTCCCTGTTTCTAAAAATCTGTTGCCAAATCCTGAGTCACATCTTCCCACCCTCAGGGATAAGGGGATACCCACCTATGGAAGGGCTCCGATGGCCCAGTGCCACCCATGTGGGAAGCAGAGGAGAAGGGAGGCTGCTGGGCACAGCAGGGGGAGGGGGCTCTCCTGGACACACTGGCAGGTGGATGGGGACTCCCAGGCTCCCCACGCTGGGTGGCATCTCCCATCACGCCTGTGCCAGCCTCACTGCTGCAGCTGCCCACGTCCCAGCTTCGATACTGGCTTCAGCCACCTGGCCCCACTCATACTGGGAGCAGCGAAATGGGGCTGGGAAGAAAGCCACGAGACCTCAGTGGGGTCGCAGTCTCTCTTCTTGGAGATCACATGACCAGGGGCAAGTCTGGTCACTTCCTTGAGCTTCTATCTCCTTATTACAGACAGAGATGATACCACGTTCTACCAACTGGCACTCCCAGGCACTCAGACGTGGCAGGACTTGGGGAAGGCTCAGGGCAGGCACTAGTGCTGTCCTGGGCCCATCTCAGGAGCTGCGGTCTCCTTAGGGCTGGGAGCACAGTAGCAGCATCCTCCAGCCTCCTATCTCTCCCTGCTCACTTGGTAGACTCCTCAGGACTAAAACTACAGCAGGTCTGCATCCGGCACCAGAGCCTACCAGGCCCAGCTGCCCTGACACAGAGACATCTAAGTTGGGGCACAGCCCAATCCCATCGCTTTCTCCCTCAGTGTTTTATTTCACTTCTTTTTCTTTTTTCTTTTCTTTTTTTTTTTTTTTTTTTTTTTTTTTTTTGAGACAGAGTCAGGCTGGAGTGCAGTGGTATGATCACAGCTCACTGCAACCTCCACCTCCTGGGCTCAAAACAATTCTCCTGCCTCAGCCCAAGTAGCTGGGATTATAGGCGCCCACCACCACACCCAGCTAATTTTTGTATTTTTAGTAGAGACAAGGTTTCGCCATGTTGGCCAGGCTGGTCTTGAACTCCTGACCTCAGGTGATCCACCCATCTCGGCCTCCCAAAGTGCTGAGATTACAGGCATGAGCCACCGTGCCCGGCCTCTCTCTCACTGTTTTATGATGAAAGTGTTCAAGCATATGGCAAAGTTGAAAACATTTTATAATGAACATCCATATATTCACCATCTAGATTCTACCGCTTCTTCTCACTTTTTTTATTGCAGTAAAATACATATAACACAAAATTTACCATTTTAACCATTTTAAAGTGTTCACTTCAGTGGCATTGAGTATATTCACAATGTTGTGCAACCACCACCTCTATCTAGTTCCAGAGTTTCAGCATCCCAAAAGGAGACCCATTAGCAGTCTCTCTCCAGTCCCCTCTCCCCCAGCCCCTGTCAACAACCAATCTACTCTCTGTCTGTCTCTATGGATTTGCCTATTCTGGACATTTCATATAAATGGACTCATAAACTACATGGCCTTCTGTGTCTGGCTTCTTTCACTCGGTATCCTGTTTTCGAGGTCCATCCATGTTGTGGCGTGTGTCAGTCCTTCATTCTCTTTTATGATTGAATCATATCCCAGTACATGGATGGACCACATTCTGCTTATGCATTATCCATCAGCCAATGGACATGTGAGCTGTTTCCACCTTTTGGCTATTGTTGTCACATTTTTTTTTTAAGACACAGGGTCTCACTCTGTTGCCCAGGCTGGAGTGCAGTGGTGTGATTATAGCTTACTGCAGCCTCGACCTCCTGGATTCAAGTGATTCTCCCACCTCAGCCTCCTGAGTATCTGGAAATACAGGCCAGGGTCATGCCACTGTGCTCAGCTTCTCACTTTTAAAATGAAGTCTTCAGAGCCCAGTGAAATATTCCAGAGCCCCTCCTAAGGGATTTGTTCCCAAAGTTGCAGGCCCAGAGGCCCCAAACTGAGTGCTCATCTCACCCTGCCTTTCCACTAAAGCAATGCTCCCCATGGGTGACCAAGTAAGGGAGGCTCCAGCTGGCCCTGGGGCCCAAGGCAGAGATCCTAAAAGCCTGTGTGTAGCCCACAAGTGGGCCTCCAGCCTCCTCCAACCCATCCCAGGTAAGCAGTCAGCTGGGCAGGGAGACACATGCATGTGCCAACCCCACACCCATGCTTTGAGATCAAATGAAACCCGGTGCCAGGACCACTGGCACTCACTGACTACGTGACTAGCCAGTCATCACCCCTCTCTGAGCTTCAGCTTCTTCAGCTGTGAATGGGGCAACAATCTCTACCCCATGGGTTTGCTCTAGAGATGATGCTGGCGCCACCCAATAGAACTTTCCCCAGTGATGAACATGTTACACACCTGCACTATCCAGTGCAGCTGCCGTGACCTGCCACTGGCCCCAGGTGGCTACTAAGCACTTGAAATGTGATGAATGGGAGTGGGAAATAGAACTTTTCCATTTTATTTCACTTTAATTTATAA
This sequence comes from Homo sapiens, assembly GCF_000001405.40. Classification (NCBI taxonomy): domain Eukaryota; kingdom Metazoa; phylum Chordata; class Mammalia; order Primates; family Hominidae; genus Homo; species Homo sapiens. The sequence goes on from NC_000012.12 coordinate 123,081,017, forward strand.
TTGAACTTAAATAGTCACACTAGACTGGTGGTCAGTTCTAAGGCCTGAGGAGATGACAAGTGTAAAAGGACGCATGGTCCAGGCCCAGGCCTAGCTCCTGGTCTCTTCCCTCAACCCCTCCTCTCCTACTTACCCCACAGTGTCTGGGCAGGGGAGCAGGCTCTGTCCACAGCCTAGCTCCAGAGGCACCTCTAAAAGGAGAGAAGGTGGATGGTGGGGCTCTCAGGGAACAGCATAGATACCAACTGGGGAGTGGGCACCATAGACTCCATAATGACGTGGGTCTGGAACTGCAGGCCTCTCCTCTGCCCTGTTCTAGAACCCCTCAACTGCTGTTTCCCCTAGCAACTCCTGCGGTTATCCCTGGAATGTCTGGGCAGGGGCTGTAAAATTGGAATAGGTCCCCCCCCACTCCTTAATGTGGTGGCAGAGACCCCTGAGGGGAAATGCAGAGGGCCTTGGTTCTCGGCTGGGCTGTGGAGCTGGGCACTCAGGGAGTTTCACATAGCCACGAAGCTGCTTTCTCAGGCTCCTCTGGCAGGGAGCGTCAGGATGAGAATCCAGACCTGACTGCCACCCAGCCCTCTCACTTCGCAGATGCAAAAATCCAGACTCAGAAAGGGAGGTAACTTCTCCAACAGGGCGGGGTCTGAAGCCCAGGGTCCCGACCCCACCAAGCTGGCCCTGCAGGAGCCTCCTGAGAGGTGTCTCGGGAGCAGACCCAGGGGAAGGGGGCACTGTGCACTCTTGCCGGGTAGGCAAAAGTCTGTCTGCTTCTTGGCAGCTGTGTGGCTTCAAAGCCCAGACAGCAGGGACTGAAGACTGAGCAAGCCACCCCTCTCCTGTCCCAGACCCACCTGAACCCACCAAAGCTGGGAAAGGAGGGGTAGTGGAGACTCCAGAAAAACAGGAAAAATTTAAACTCAACCACTAAGTAAAGCATCATTAACTCCTGTTGTGCTGAGCCCACAAACAGGTAGGAGTCATGCAGAGGTGGGAGCTGTAGCTGAGGATGGGCCTGTACCCCCACCCTGCAAAGCCTTCTCCTGGCTCCCTCAACAGACTGGCCAGAAGGACCAGGACATGCTCAAAGCCCTGAATGGCCTCTCTCCACCCACTCAGAGTGAGGGCCTGCAGGCTCTGCCCTGCCACCTCTCCGCCCTGGCAAGGCCGTGGGCAAGTTCCTGCCTTGGGGCATCTGTACTTGCCACTCTCCCTCCCCTCTGCTCAAGGGCCCCTTCTCACTAAGGCCTTCCTTGACACCCTGATGTAAAACTTGGCCCTGACTCTAACCCTGGCATTCCTCTGACCCTTTCTAATTTTCTTCAGAGCGTTGATCGTTATCTAGTACCCGACTTACTTTTCTTTCTTCTTTCCTTTTTATTTTAAAAATTGTACATGTAACATAAAATTTACCATCTTAGCCATTTCTTTATTTTCATTTTTTTGAGACAGAGTCTTGCCCAGGCTGGAGTGCAGTGGCACGATTTCAGCTCACTGCAACCTCTGCCTCCCGGTTCAAGCGATTCTCATGCCTCAGCCTCCAAATAGCTGGGAATACAGGCGCCCACCACCATGCCCGGCTAATTTTTATATTTTTAGTAAGACGGGGTTTCACCATGTTGGTCAGGCTGGTCTCAAACTCCTGACCTCAACTGATCCGCCCGCCTTGGCCTCCCAAAGTGCTGGGATTGCAGGCGTGGCCACCGTGCCTGACCCATCTTAGCCACTCCCAAGTGCACACAGTTCTATGGCATTAGGCACATTCACATTGTTGTGCAACATCCCCACCATCCTTCTCCAGAACCAATTCACCTTCCCCAGCTGAACTCTACACATTAAACAATAACTCCCCATTCCCTCTTCACCAGCCCCAGCACTCACTGTTCTACTGTCTGTCGCTGTGCATTTGACAACTCTAGGGACCTCATCATATAATCATGGTAAGTGGAATCATACAGTATTTGTCCTTCTGTGTCTGGCTTCTTTCACTGAGCATGTCTTATGGGTTCATCCATGTGTCGTAGCATGTTCTTTTTAAAATATTGCCTGCCCAGGCACAGTACAGTAGCATACGCTTGTAGTCCCAGCTACAGGAGGCTGTGGTGGGAGGATTGTTTGACCCAGGAGTTTGAGCCCAGCCCCCTTGGGCAACATAGTGAGACCCCATCTCTAAAAAAAAACAAAAAAGTTTTTAACTCTCTGTCTCTCCTACTAGAATGGAGTCTCTACGAGGGCAGGGATGTTGGTTGGCTGTATCCTCGGGCTGGAAGAGCACTGGCACGCAGCAGGCACTGAATAGAATTTCTAAATATACAAACGGATGAACCAATGGATGGATGGATGAATGAAGACCCTGTATAGGTCAATGCCTCAAATGTCTGTGCCTGGCCTGGAGTTATGTCCCTCACCCCCACTGTAGACTAACTCCTGGTCCCACCCTACGGCTTTGGAACTGAAGCCACAGGCCTACCATCCCTGAGAGGTAGCGGTGCTCAGCGTGGCAGGACGCCCCACTTGATGGTAGGCTTCTCCCAGATGGCTAACTGCTTCGAGTCTTTCCCCCAGATGTAACATGTCTATGGGAGGATTATGACATGGGTAGATGAGAGTCCCCAGCCATGGAGGTGACAATGTGCCCTGGAGCCTCACAAGGCAGCAGCCACCAGGAAGAGGCATGGAGGCCAGGAAGGTCCTGGAACACCAGAATTTGGCCAACAGAGCCTGAAGCCAGCACATCGTGGAGGGGCAGCAGCCTGGGGGCATTCGGGAGACCTGGAGATGTGGCAGCTGGCCAGGAGCTGGGGTACAACCTTGACAATCACTAACCTCTCACTTCCTCGTCCTGCCAGGCTATTTATAGCCTCCCTCTCTCTGAAAACTCCTTCACCCATTTTTCTGAGCTTAACAAGCTTGGTGAATTGAAATCAGGTGGACCACCTCCCCAACCTCAGCAAGCCTGCTGGGGTGACTGCACTCAGGCCAGGCCTGCTGGCAGCTCCTGCTCCATGACAGGGACCCTTGAGGGCCTGCTGAGAGTCACAGGGTTGGGGTGACCCCGGGAAGGTGGCATCTAAAGAGAGGGCAGCAGCTGGGCACCCAGGCAGACCTCAGCCAGAGATGCTGGACGATGGTGACCCCAGAAGGGCTCAGCTCACCCCAGGCCTCCTCCCTGCTTCAGGAAAAACAAACAGATTGGGACAGTGGAAAAACAGCTGTACCTTTAAATTATCTGGCCCACAGATATGAAAAACATTTGCATGCTGAAGCTGTTTGCATCTTCGGTTATTTTTAGGGTGAACCCAGTTGCCTCCCCTTGGAACCAGATGAAGCCCCAGAGGCACGTAGTCCTTTTTCCCAGACGGGGGTCCTGGTCCTGTTTCCCTGGGAATAAGGCTTGAGCATGAGCTCTCTGGGACCCAGCCCCCGACCAGAACCACACCGTGCATTCAGGCTTGGGAGGAACTGGAGCACCAGGGAGCCAAGGCTGCAACTTTGAACATTTGCCACTGCTGACATCGTGGCCACCCACCTGGGGCCAGAAAGAGCCCCTCCGCTGCCCCCAGAGCATGGGTGAAGAGACGAACGCTTAGCCTACTACCTCCTCTCATGCCAGGCCCAGCTGATGGGAATATTTTGCTGAGATATTTCTAGCACCAGCAGCAATTAAAGCAGATTTTCTCTTCCACTCCCCTTCCCCAAAACAAGAATAAATCAGTTCTACCAATTTCCCAGCTAATGATTTCCTCCATTAAATTAAAAAGAAGAAGAAAATGTTTTCTTAAATGGATTACCAGCCCTGTGCTTTCAGAGACCATGTGACCTGTCAACTCCTTTTAAAGTCTGATACATCAAAGTCCCTGAATTAATTTTTAATAAATAAAAAAGTCATAATCTAAGAAGCACCATCCCACACACCCCCCTCCCCCATCAAGGGTCAGCTCTGAGCTGACTCTGGGAAGCCAGCTTAATCGGGCCAAGTATGGCTCTTAATAGAGAACCAGATCCATTCCACAGATGGGAGAGACAAGGCTGAGAGATGTCAGGTGCCCAAGCACAGAAATCAGGCCCTGAGATGAACCTAGAGTTGTGGCATGCACCGTAGAGTGCTACATGTGGAACTGAGTCCTTGATTTCGAGGGGCACCTGTCTGGAGAGATGCAAACAGGTAGATCCAGGAGCTGAGGAGTAACTAAGTAGGTGTGAGCTAGCGCCATCTGCGTGACCCAGATGGGGGCTCCTGGGCAGGACCTGGGCTTCTCTTCCTCTTTTGCTCCCTGGCAGCACCTGGTATAGGGTCAGCACACAGTGCTGACATCCCCTTTGCTTCAAAAAGCCCACCCCCTACAACACAGACAAACCTCAAAAACATGATGCTGAGCAAAAGAAGCCAGACACAAAAGGCCACATATTGCAAGACTCTGTTCCTATGAAACATCTAGAAGACGCAAATCCATAGAGACAAAGAGTACGGCAGAGGCTACTGGGGGTGAGGAAAAGGGTTGGGAGTTGTTAGTTAATGGGTGCAGTTTCTGTTTGGGATGATAAAAAAAATTCTGGAAATGGATAGGGGTGATGGTTACACACATTCTAAATGTACTTATGCCAATGAACTATACGCATAAAAGTGGTTAACACAGAAAATTTTATGTTATGTATATTTTACCACAATAAAAAAAAATACAAGGAGAAAAAAGCCCACTCTCCAAAATGCAACTTGAAGATACAGGATGGCCAATAACTCCACAGGGACAATGGTGGGACCCTCTGCAAACTGCCCCCAGACAGACTCAATGCTTAAAGCACAGCGCAGAGGCTCACAGGGCCTGTCTTGTCATGTATGAACACCAGGGACCTTCAGAGAAGGGCTCTTTGTGTGAGCCAGCATGACTAAGCCAGGATGCCCTGTCTCCCTGGCGGCCAGCCAGATGCCACAGGGCAGGCAGGGGCTGAGAAGTCTCTGTGGACACCTCCCTGGAAGGCACCTCCTGGTCTCGGCATTCACTGCACCCTTTTCCTGAAATGCACTTCCCGATATTCCGTAACCTGCTTCCTACGTTTATTTAGGTTTTCACAGGGAGGTCCTCTCTGACCATCTACAGTTAGAAAAATACCGGGAAGGTTGCTGGAGCCAGGCAAGGTAGCCGTGAGCAAGAACAGGAAAGCCAGGGCCCCAACACTATGACATGCCAGCACCTTCCTGCTCCCTGGCTACAGAAAAGCAGCTTGCAGGGGGCATCAGGTCCTGGCTCCATCATTTACCAGCTTGGGGGCCTTGGCTAGTTCCTTCAACCCTCTAAACCTCGGTTTTCTCTTCTACAAAATGGGGGTGAAGACAGTGTTTGTCTCTTGGGCTTTTCTGAGGACTACAATGAGATGATGTATAGTAAGTGTTTAGCATATGGCTGGGACATGGTCAAAGGTCGGTAAATGGTAATGATACATGGATTATAATGGAAGTACAACATTAATCCCTTAATGCTGGCCAGGAGGTGTGGGTCAGCGATCCTGAAGACAGGGGAAGGGGCCAGTCGGGCCAGACCACAACCACAACTACTCTTCTCAGCATGTGAATTAACTGATTGAATCTTTTTGTCCCCATGTTGCATATGAGGAAACTGAAGCACAGAGAGGTTAGTGACTTGCCCCAGGACATACAGCCAAGAGGTAGTGGAGCCCCGATTCAAATTCTAGTCATCTGGCTCCAAGCCTGAGCTGGCCACCACTGTTCCATAGGGTATCTCAAGGGAAGTGTGGAAGGAGGCTCTGAGAAGAGTCTCTGGCGTGCAGAGGCAGACCTACAGCCGGCTTGCACAGCTCTGACTTCCGGACATGAGCCTCTGGAAGTCCTAGGGAAAGGTCTCAGAGCAGGTCCCTCAGGGAAGCCCACAGAATGGTTGGACTGGCCTGGTTCTTCTCAGGCCCAAGACCTTGGTACTCAGTTCTGCTCAGCCCAGCCACTGTGATTAGCACCCAAGGGTGCAATTAACTCCTTCAGAACCAAGGCTAGGGCACTAAAGGGAAGAAGTATCTCCATGTTCTGGCTTACGAGGCATTCCTCAGACCCTCAGAGAGCCTGGAGACAACTAGAGACCCAAATCCTTCCAGGGACTAGAAATAGCGGGCCCTGCACACTTATGGGAGACTCTGTGTACCCTGTTGAAGGGCAAGCTGCTTCCAACTCCCTCTCAAAGGGAATGAATTTCCCTCAATGAAACCTTCTTTTTTCTTTTCTTTTCTTTTTTTTTTTGAAACAGCGTCTCACTCTGTCGCCCAGACTGCTGGAGTGCAGTGGCGCGATCTCGACTCACTGGCAACCTCCACCTCCCAGGCTCAAGCAATTCTCCTGCCTCAGCCTCCCGAGTAGCTGGGATTACAGGCGCATGCCACTACCGCCCGGCTAATTTTTTTAGTAGAGACGGGGTTTCGCTATGTTGGCCAGGCTCCTGACCTCAAATGATCTACCCACCTTGGCCTCCCAAAGTGCTGGGATTATAGGCATGAGCCACCGTACCTAGCCCTCAATGCAACTTTCTAAAAAATGCCTACTACAAATCTCTTAACTAATGACTCTCTTAGGCTGCTGCAATACAGAATTTCTTTTTTTTCTTTTTTTTTTAGAGACAGGGTCTCGCTCTGTCACCCAGGCTGGAGTGCAATGGCACAATCACAGCTCACTGGAGCCTCAAACTCCTGGGCTCAGGCAATCCTCCCACCTCAGCCTCCCAAGTAGTTGGGATTACAAGTGTGCACCACCATCCCTGGGCAATTTTAAAATTTTTTGCAGAGACAGGGTCTCGCTATGTTGCCTAGGCTGGGCTCAAACTGCTAGACTCAAGCAATCCTCTGGCCTTGGCCTCCCACAGTGCCGGGAGCTACCACGCCCAGCCAGCAATACAGAATTTCTAACTAGTCTCCCTCCTTTTCACTCCAGCCTCTACAAGGTGGCCCAAGTGAGCATGTTAAAATAAAAACACAAATGAGATTATGCTACTCTCTACCTCAGAATCCTCCAAGAACTCTGTTCACACTTCGTGTCGAGTCCAGCGTCTTTACCATGACCTGCAAGTCCTCCAAGGTCGTGCCCCTGACTCTCCATCATTTCCTACCACGTTTCTTCTCTTGTTCTGTTCCAACCACCCTGCCTTCCTTGCTTGCCTCAAACTTGCCAGGACACTTCAACCTCAGGGTCTTTGCACCTGCTATTTCCTCTTTCCCAGATATTACATGACTTGCTTTCTAAATTTATTTAAGTTTCTACAAAGAGGTCCTTTCTGACCATCCTATCCAAGCTCCCGCCCCCCGCCACCCCACACCTCTCTCTTCCCTCCCCTTGCTTACTTTTCTTCCTGGCATTTAGCACCACCAAAGAGCATATTTTAGGAAGGAATTTCATTTGGCTCACTGATGAATCTGTGCTTAGAACAACACCTGGCACATGAGTGGTGTTCAAAACCTCTGTTGATGGCTTTAGAAGTGAGAATGATGGGTGGAAGGTAGCGACTGGAAGTGGAGGGGTGTGGGGGTGGCAGGAGGGTGGTGTGGGGCTTTTGAGAATTGGTGAAAGAAGAAAAAGCTTGAATAAATGAACAGAAATAAGTTAAAATGATAATCAAAGATCTTCCCTGCTCCCCGCAAAATATCCCCAGGCCCAGAGAGTTTTATAGCTGATGTTAGCAAACTTTCGAGAAGTTCAGAAAAAAAGTTTACTCTTTGTTGGGGGGAGAGGGACAAATAAAACAAAAAACAGGCACATCTTCATGAACAAGATGCCATCTGAGTAGGCCCTAAAGTAAGATTTGAAGCCACGACAGCAACAACTTGGAATCCCCCAGGGAACCTTGTGTATGTCTCCTTTGCACTCATGTTGCTGCCTCCAGAAATGCCCTTCTCCACCTTGCCTCTGGTCTCAGCCCTCTGTCCCCCTTACTAAACCTGCTCTATCACTCTGGACATCCAAGCACACAGTGAGCACTGCATAAATGTTAGCTGCTGTTGGGCTTACTTGCTTACATGTCCGAGTCCCCGGCTAATTTGTATCCCCAGTGCCTGACACCATAGCAGGTATACAAAAAATGATAGAGGAATGAACAAGGCACACAAAAAGCCTAGCAAAAGCTACATATTTACTCTAAAAAAAGCTTTCGGGCACAGCTGCTGTAGGCATGCAAACCAAGGCATCCAGGCTGCGCAGCCCCGAACCCACCCTCAAACTCTTGGCCTCGTGAAATTAGGCAACAGGGGCCCTAGGTGAGCCAGAGGGCACTGAACTTTGCCTCAAAATTAGCGCTTCCTGATATGAGCAAGGAGGTGACAGCAGCCAGAAATCGCTACCCTCCCTGCACCCAATGAAGCTGATAGAAAGCTCTGGGTCACTCAAGGCTCTAAAATGTAACATTTGTCTGGCTGTTTACTTCCCCTTTATGCAGCTCAACTACTTAGATCCTTCTTCCTACTAGTGGGAGATGGATCCCAGTGGTGAGAAAAAAGCAAACCAAGTCCTAGAGTCTCAGGGGTCTTTAAAGCTGATCCGAGGGAAGACAAAGATGAATAAAGATGGAGGAGGAAGAGAACAGAATTTTTCCTCCCATACTCACACAAAAAAGATCTCGAATACCCATGCTTCATCCCCAACTATCACTACTCATGCAAACAAAGCCAGAGAAACCCCTGGATTAGCTACTGCTCTAAGAACTGACTGTGTCTTTCTCCCTCATCCATCAATCCCCTATCAGCCTTCAAACTCAGGTCAAAATTCCATGGAGCAGGAAAGCAGGTAAGACCTGGATTCTGAGTGTGACAAACCACCATCCTCTGTGAAAAGGCCTTGCTGTGAGCCAACAAGACCACAAGCATGAGTCAGAGCCAACAAATGGACATCTTTTGCAGCCAGTAGAGAGACAGTGAGCTTTGCCCATGAACAAAGATGACTCAGTGGAGCCGCAGAAAGGAAATCAACATTTATGGAGTATTATTCTTGGAGTTATCTACAGCTGTATAACAAATTAACCCAAAACTTAGTTTAAAACAAGAAAAATTTATTATTTCATGCTGCTTCTGTGGATCAGGAAGCTGAGAGTGGCTTGGCTGAGTGTTTCAGGGTCTTCCATGGGGTCACAGTCAAGATGTTGACCAGGGCTGCAGTCATCTGAAGGTTTGGCTGAGGCTGATAGAGTCATTTCTAAGTCAACTCATGTACGTGACTGATAAGTTAGTACATGGTTTTTGGCAAGAGGTCTGTCTCACTTCCTCACCACATTTCTGAACCTTTCCAGAGAGCTTGAGTGTCCTCACAAGATGGTGGCTGGTTTCCCAGAGAAAGTGATCCAAGAGAAAGGACAGCAGAAACCACATTTTCTTTGTTTAGAGACAGAGTCTCTGCCACCCAGCTGGAGTGCAGTGGCACAATCTCGGCTCACTGAAACCTCCACCTCTCAGGTTCAAGTGATTCTCCTGGCTCAGCCTCCCAAGTATCTGGGACTACAGGCACAGGTGCCAACACACCTGGCTAAATTTTTTTTTTTTTTTGTATTTTTAGTAGAGATAGGTTTTCACCATGCTGGCCAGGCTGGTCTAGAACTCCTGACCTCAAGTGATCCACTTGGCTCGGCCTCCCAAAGTGCTGGGATTACAGGCGTGAGCCACCACGCCCAGCCCACGCTGTCTTTTATGGGGCCTTGGAATTCACAATCTGTCATTTCCAACACCCTATAAGATACACAGGTAGCCCGATTCAGTATGGGAAGGGACTTCACAGGGGTATGACTATGGGGATGGGAGACTGAAGCCAGCCTGGAGGTGGCCGGCACAGCCACATTGTGGTCTTCCTAACCCTTGATGTAGACCATCTCCTTTCAACCTCAAGACAGCCCTTGAAGGCAGGCATTTTCATTTTACAGACATAGGTTCCTGCGTACCCGCACTGACCTGAGCCTCTTGTCCAGCCTCCTTGGGGCAGAGAGAACGAATTGGTGGTGAGCCATGTAGTGAGAATATAGTTGCAGGAATCCAGGAGGAAGGAGGCTCAGGAAAAGTGGTGCAGGATTCAGCCACTCACACGGTTACCACCTTGCTACCAGGGCCAGGCCACCCAGCCACTGGTGGCCTTACAGAAACAGCAAGGAGCATCTGCTCTCTCGGTTCTGCCACCTTGCCCCTCCCGAGGTGCCTGGCTTCACAGCAGGATTGCCGTCCTGCAGCCAGTTCATTAGGTGGCCCCCTGTGCAAGGTGCCTAAGCGATCTGTGGCTGCAGGTGCCACCTCATGGGGTTCGCAATTTATAGTCACTCAGAGGCAGAGGACACAGGTGAAGAAGGCGTCAGTCCCACCAGCTACCAAAGCTGCCTTGTCTCGCAGGAAAACATGACTGAGGCTTATCAATTTCCCCCATTTCATTCTCACCACCACTGACAGGGAAGAAGAACTGATTAAGTCCATAAATCTAATTTCTCCACCTAGGGCTGGATGGTTCTCAAGGACGGTTATTCCTCCTCTGCACAGGCCTGGGGTGGGGGTGCTGAGTGAGGGTCATGGAATTGAGACAGAAGTTGGTATCACCACCCCCAGGACCAAATCCATTTCCCTATGGCACAAAGGCAGAGAGGTGCATTTGAGCACTACAAGCACTAGGGTCAGCTTTGCTGATATTTTGGAAGAGGCAATGACATTATGACTCCCAGATGGGCCACACTGATACACACTGGAAAGCACCTTCCCGCTGTCACCCAGAGCATATAGGAGCCTGGCCTGAGTTTCTACACAGAATATGTGTAGAAACACATTTTTGGGCTGCCTCATGATATAGAGAAGACCTTGGCCTTGGAGAATCAGAGCTGTCCTGATCCATTTCCAAGCTGTGAGACCTCCTTGCACCCTGAGTCCTCATCTCTCACCCTGCCTTGTGGGGCTGATTCAAGGGGGAAGTGGTATGATGTGCACAGAGGCCCCAGCACAGCACTCACCAGGGGGAAGAGAGTCAACACTGAGCTGTTTCTCCATTCTTCCTTGCCCTCTTGCTTTGTTTTGAAAACTGAGGGATCCCTGGAGTAAGGTGGCCCAGCAGAGAAATCCCCCAAAGAGCGTTCTGCACCTACACACTGGAGTGGGTACGACAGGCCCCACTTGGATGCTACAGACTGTTTCCTGCAACCCCTGGGTCCAGCCTTGGGCCCAAGAACCAAGGATTGGCTCTGGGGTGGCCCAGCAGAAAGCTGAGCAGGGCAGTTAATTTTAATAAAAGGACTCCAGTCTGGCACCATGGCTCACGCCTGTAATCCCAACACTTTGGGAGGCCCAGGCAGGAGGATGGCTTGAGGCCGAGTATGAGACCAGCCTAGGCAACATAGTGAAACCTTATCTCTATTTTTTCAAAACAAACAAAAAGGACTCCATCCTCTGGAAAGCATTGCCACACTGCAGCCTCAAACAGGATTACTAAATCGCTGTTTGAAAAGACAAAGCAAGATTAAACAAATACTTAACTGCCCTCATCCTCATCCCAGGTCTGTCATCAGTCAGGCTAATCTAGTCTTGCTGGGTTCCCAGATCGGCCCAAAAGGCTCCTCAAGGCTTTATCTTCTCCTCAAAGCAGGGCCTCAGGCCAGACATGGCTGGCTCCCCAGGTTCGGCCTGCGGACCTGCGGCCTCCTCTAGCAGAGCCACCTCTGCCTTTGCCATGCCCTCTCCTAACCCATCCTAGGTCTCCGAAAGAGTGAGGAAAAACTGCCAGAAAACTGGAAATAAATCCTCTCCTTCCTGATCTCTGCAACTCCTTCTCCCTCTCAGTGGCTGCTCAAAGGAAGGACATTGCCTCCCTACCTCGACCTCTCCCCCGAGCCCCTGGAGCCCCTCTGGGAAGCTACAGTTTATGCCGCTTACAGTCACTTCTGTATTGTCCTCTGACCCCCTCGCCAACTGAGAACTGTGTTTGAGATGTAAAAGCACCCTTTAAAAATGCACTTGTGATCCATGGATGTGTGGATTGACAAAATGTGGTCTTATACACACAGTGGAAGATGATTGCACCATGAGAAGGAATGAAGCTCAGATGCATGCTCCTACATGAACTTGAAATCATGATGCTCAGTGGAAGAAACCAGACACAAAATGCCACATGGTGTGTCACTCCGTTCATAAGAAATGTCCATGATAGGCAAATCCAGAGATAGAAAGTAGATTAGTGGTTGCCAGGGGCTGGGGGTTTGGGGACAAATGAGGGATAACATCCATCGAGGAGCTCATTTTTGGTGTGATGAAAATGTTTTTTTAAAAAAACCTTTATTTATTTTTACACATTGTAAGAGAATAGAAGAAAATGTTCTAAAATTAACTGTGGTGTTCATTATACAACTCTGTGAACATACTAGAAACCATTGAATTGTACACTTTCAATGGGTGAATTGTATGGTATGTGAACTATATCTCAATAGAGCTGTTATTTAAAAATACACACACGCACACACACACACGCGCACACACACACACACCTTGAAATAATCATCTGTAATCAACAGAGTCTGGCCGCTGCAGTGGAGCCACCCCCTGCTCCTGAGCCCCTTCCTCCTGCCACTCGGCAGCCCCTCCAGAGCCAACCTCCCACTCCCCTCAACCTGAAGTACTGACTCTGGGGGCCAGCCCTGGGAGGGAGAACAAGCAAAAGATTCAGCCCCTATCCCAAACTCTGAGGATGGAGCTAGAGGCCACAGAAGACAGGCTGTTGCAGCCCAGGAGAGACTGCTCTTCCATGGCTTTAATACCTCCAACCCTGAGACCAGAAGCCACAAGACACCAACATTCAGTTGGTTTGTGAATGACTGTGAGGAACCTGGAGTCTATGGAAGGACACAGAGCCAGGAGGCCTGGGCCAGAGCCCAACACCACCAGAACCCCCTGGGCAGAGGCATCCCCACCCACACTCTTAGGATCAGCCCCCTCATCTCAGGGACAAAGCTGGGGATCCCAGTGAGAGGCCCCTCAGGCTGGGCTCGGAGGCTGCGGCTGGCCCAGTGCAGCAGGCCTGGGGATGCTATGTGGCTGTGAGAAAGGCCTGGTTAGGGGCCACATGGACACAAAGCATCGTCAAACACTCCAGGTGTCACTGGGCCATGGCAGCTGCTTCTCTTGTGGCACTGCTGGCTTGGCCAACAGAGCCAGGTGACACATTTCAGGAATACTTGTCTTATTTGAGCCTCACCAGTACAGGGCTGGCTGTAGACTTAAAAGGGGCTGACCAAGGTGACAGGTCTGCCAGCCAGAGGAATGGAACTCAAGTGGTGCAGGGGATCCCAGAACACCAGGAAGCCAGTCCAAGGCTCTCAGAGAGCTCAGGCAGGCTCCTGGGAGGTGACTCCGGCTGACCTCGGAAAGGCCCCATGTCTTCACCCAGCAGGCTGAAGCGGAGCCCAGCCAAGGCCTGTGATCCTGTGCTTCCTGCCAGGCTTGTCCTCCGGCGCATCAGGCTCACCCACAATGCCATGGAAGTCTCCATCATCTGCTCTGCCCCAGGAAAGCGGACTTAGTCCTCTGGGGACGTTACCCAAATAGCTGCCTCCAACTCTGGCCATAAAGCCAGGAACTTGGGAAGCTGGTAATTGGAGAAACTCTTCTCCTCCCCCACAGGACCATAAATTACCGTCCTCCATCTGCACAGATGCATCAAAGGCCCAGACAGCCTTCTCCGAAACCAAGCACAGGCAGTGGGGTGGGGTCCCTCCACCTCCTAGAAGCAGCTCCCAGGTGGGGCCGAGGGCAGGGAAGGCCAGGTTCCCATCTAAGAATCGAAGGCCTTGGACTGACCGACCTCCTGGCTCTGACCCCACGTCTGACTCATAGTTGGGAACAAACATCACATCTACCCCCAGGGCAAGACTGCAGCCACACAACCTCTCCTTTCTTCACTCTATTTATCAGTACACCCTCGCAGAACCACAGACACGTGAAAATATTTATATGATCAGATTAACTTCTGGGCTTCGTGGCGCACTGAAGCAAGCATGTTTATCCTTCCCTCATACAACACTTTTTCTTTGGTCACTTCTTTTTCGGGGCACTGGGGCTCACAGCACGGCAGTGCGTCCACATTAGGGTGGCTGCTGGGGATCCAAGACTCTCCACTCCACCATCCTTGCACAGCAGGCTGATTCAGGGCTTGGAACGTGGTGAGGGGGCCCAGGGGAATGGGCTGCTCCCCTGGGGAGTCGGTTATCTCTGCTCCAGACCCTGGCTTTTGGCAGTAGCCAAGCTTGCTGGACAGTCGCCCCTGTGGTGACAGGGAGAGCTAAGCAAATCAGAACCGATGGCCCTGTGCTGGGCACAGATCCCGCTTGGCAGCCCCTGCTGACGATTGCTCTGCGCTGCCATCTTTAGAAACAATCATTTCTTGGGCGTGCACCCACATGTGTACATCTCGATTTTACAGGCTCTGTTAAAGCGCAAAGATCTTTCAGGTACTCAACAAAGCAAGATGTCGTGATGTTGCCACCAGCCTGCCCCCTCCTCCCCCCGCCTCCGACCTGTCACCCAGATGAAGTGAGACGAAGTGTCTTCCAATACACACATCGGAGTGTGTCACTTCTCTGAGTAAAGGCCCTCAACGCTCCCCTTGGGTTTCAAGGCGACATCTAAGCTCCTTAACTAGGGCACGAGGCCCCCAACCTGGTCCTCCCTGCAGCTCAGCCCCAGCCAGACTCTCACAGACAGGAGCCCATGGGGCTCCTCCTGCCTCGGGGCCATTGTGAAGGCGGTTCCCTCTACCAGGAAGACTCTCCCTTGTTTACACGCAACCCTGCCTCCTGTGTCGTGTGAACTCAGCACCCCACAGGATCTAAACCAAGCGTCAGCACCTGAGGCTCCCTTCATGGGCTCCACGCCCCAGTGGCAGACCCCCCCAACCCCACTTCCACAAGGCTTGGCACTATCGTAAGGATCATCACCGCCCATGACTGATGCCTGTGATGGCCTGAGAGCTCCTTGAGAGTGGGGGCTGGAATTGATTCACTTCTGCAGCCCTGTAGCTCAGAGCCCACACTCAGGGCTGAATGATGGATCCATACACATGTCGCCTGCTCAGGGAGCCAAAGTGGCCCCGTGGCTTGTCCCCTGAAGCCCTAAAGCACCAGGAATACATTGGGAATTGGGACAGGGGGACAGACCCCTCCTTTGAGGGACTAGCCCCGCTCCCATGTGATGGCAGCTCAATCTCCATCTGTAGCCAGCAAGCACACCCAGGCACCATTTATTTACGCAATATTAACACATGCCCTGCTTGCATGCCCCAGCTCTTGGCCCTGGTTAAATGAGGCCACAGAAGAGGAATGGGCTCGCGGGAAGCCACTTCCCATGATTGGTGACTGCACAGCAACCATATTTTATTCACGGTGAGTTCCTGGGATTCTTGCCAGCTTACCGACTTCAATCCTTTTCCATGAAAAGTGTGTCTTGGGCATGCGTTCTGTTCCTCACCCAATGCCAGAATCTGCTTCTAGCTAGGAAGAGGCAGTGGGAAGATGGGGAGGGGGGCGAGGAATGAGAGAGAACCCAAAAGGACATGGAGAAGGAAGAAAGAGGGAGGAAGGTGTGAGGAAGGAGCAGAGAGGAACAGGGAAGGAGACAGCCACAGGCCCGGGGGCATCTGGAATCCCTCCCCCTGCACCACTAGCCTAAACAAGGGTCCCAACACCAGCCAGCCTGGGCTGAGCAGTGAGGACCTGGAACCAGAAGACAAAGCTGTACTCTTGTCAAGAGGAGGGATCCAGGCAGGGCAGAAGCAGAAAAAAGACACAGGAAGGTGGCTTGTGGAAGTCAGGAGCCACCCAGCAGGATGGCAGGCTGGCCATAGAATCCTCCAGGCCCAGCAGGTCTCCCCGGCCCCTCTGCAGCAAAAACGAGGCCCAGGGAAGCTAGAGGAACTAAAGGATGCTGGACTGGTGCCACTGTGCTTAGTGCAACACAGCTGTCCCCAGGACTCCCCAGAGTGGGGCCACCCTGCCATCTCTCTTTATTTTTATTATTATTTATTTATTTATTTATTTTTAATTTATTTTTTTGGTATGGAGTCTCGCTCTTGTCGCCCAGGTTTGAGTGCAGTGGCACGATCTTGGCTTGCTGCAACCTCTTCCTCCTGGGTTCAAGTGATTCTCCTGCCTCAGCCTCCTGAGTAGCTGGGATTACAGGCGCCCACCACCACGCCCAGCTAATTTTTGTACTTTTAGTAGAGACGGGGTTTTGCCATGTTGGCCAGGCTGGTCTCGAACTCCTGACCTCAGGTGATCCACCTGCCTTGGCCTCCCAAAGTGCTGGGATTACAGGCATGAGCCACCGCGCCCGGCCTGCCATCTCCCTTTTATTAGTGATTGCAAAGTGCTAAGGGGGAAAGACTTTCAGCAGCCCACTTTTCTGCACAGTCCTCAAGAGGCCAGCACCTCCTTTCCTCTCCTTGGCAGACCCTCCCTCGCTCCTCTACCCTCGACCCCACAGGCACAAGTGAGCTGTGGCTGGGAGTCAGGAAGGGAGATTGTCTTTCTTAAGGCACGCACATGCTCAGCAGTGATGGCATGGATGGGGAGGGGTTCCAGCAGACTTATTTATAGCCAAGCAGCCTGTCCGCACGCTCTCCAGTGCAGCCTGCCTCACTTGCCTGCCTGCCTGCCTTCCTTGCCTGCCTGTCTGCCTTCCACTGGGGTTTTTCAATCTGTGCCTATATTTATCGCCCAAAGCCGCTGGGATAATGGCAAGGCCAGAAATAGCCTTGAAGACATTCACGTGAAGATGACGGGCAGGTCCCCAGCTCCTGGGCTGACCTCGCCCCTACATCTGCCACTTGGCAGTGGGTATGAGGAACAGCTGGACAGAGCTCGGAAAGCGGCTGCAGCCAGATGGGAACAACATAATCCTCCTTTCTCTGCTGGCCTTGGCCCTCTGTAGTGATGCAGGGGACATGTCGAAAATGATACATCACAGCCGCCAGGCCACAGGGAGACCAAAGGTGACAGAGATTCCTGACGTCAGTGTGCTAATCAGAGCAGACAGTCCAGAGAAAGAGAGAAGAATCAAAGGCAGCAGCACAGCCTCACAGAAAGCAGGTCACCCCCAGCACCCAGGTTGCAGGGAGATGCTCTCCTGCCTGGCTTCTTGCACCTGTACAACGGAATCATGGGCCCATTTCCCATTTCTGTCCTCTGGGATGAGCGCTGGCCCACAGGCTCTGGGAGATGCTCTCAAGGGAACAAGGATTTGGGTCCTAAAGAGGCCTGGAATGGGTTGGGGCTCATGGGAGGAGGAAGAAGGTGCCAGATGTAAGTCAGGACCAGGACGGGGAGCTAGACATCTAGGCAGGATGGAGGGTGTCAGGGACCACCAGCCAGAGCCCTATCATAGGAGGGCAGCAGTACGAGATAAGAAACATGTGCAGGCCAGGCACAGTGGCTCAAACCTGTAATCCCAGCACTTTGGGAAACTGTGGGAGGATCACATGAGTTCAGGAGTTCAAGACCAGGCTGGGCAACATAGTAAGACTCTGTCTCTACAAAAAGAGAACAATTTTTTTTAATTAGCCAGGCATGGTGGCCTGCATCTATAGTCCCAGCTACTCCAGAGGCATAGGCAGGAGGATTGCTTGAGCCCAGGAGTTCAAGGCTGCAGTCAGCTAATATGCAAATGGAGAAGAGGAAGCGCCTCCTAATTAGAAGCAAACAAACAGATGCCACAGAGACAGCCACAAGGTTGGCGAGTGAGTCCCCCGAATCCCACGGGCTCCCAAGTGTCCACTCCTGAGAGCTGAGCTCAGGGGCCGGCTTCCTTCCCAGCCCAATCTCCATCCTGCCAGCCTTTGTCTCTGTACTTCAAGAACCTGAAACTTCTCAGCACTCCCCAAAGATACCATGCACTTTGAGTACTGAAGGCTCATTCTGGTCCGTCTGCCTTTCCCCCTTTACTCCTGATAAACTCCTCCATATCCTTCAAAGCCCATTTGAAATGCTCCCTCTTGTATGAAATCTTCTCCATCAGATGTCAGCTGCTGCCTTCTCTCTGCTCTAGCTGCACTCTGTGCCTCCCTTCTGTGCATGTGCTATGCATTCTAACATGTGTCTATACCCCCATCCCAGGGGCTGAGTTCCCCTTCCTCACTGGATCTCTGATTCAGTGGGCACAGCAAGCACCTGCCAGATAAGGGAGGCAACTGATTCCCTCCTTCACGCTCACCCAGAACTGTCGATTTTGCTGAAAAAAAAAATATATATCTTTTTTTTTAAAGAATGAAACCTCATACCAGGACTCCCTTTGGAGATGAGGGCAAAGGCAAGTCTGGCTCTCTGAATCTGCCTCCCTATGTTCCTCGGAGAACACCCAGCACAGCAAGATTGGGAAGCTACTGTTCTGCCAGGGCTTGACTGGCGGGACAAGTGGGATACTCCTCTACAGAGAGGGAGGAGGCCCACCTTTGTGCCTGTGGGCTGACGAAGCCCTGGGGGCTCTGGGCCCTACCTGCAGCACTGGCAGACTTCCCACAAGCTCCTGGTCTGAACATCATCTCCTTCCACATGGCCGATCATAGAGCAGGAGCCCAGTGCAGAGGAAAACTAGGCATGTAGCTAAGGGCTGGGTTAACCTTCTCTGTGCTACTGTTTTTTTAATGACCCAAACAGCTCCTGGCTCCTGGATGCCTGGCTCCAGGTCCCACTGTGTGCCTGGGTTCAGATGCCTATCCATGCTGGCACTGTTCCAAGTCCCACCTACAGCCTCTCAGATCCCACAGCTGGCGCACTATCCTTAGGAAGCCCCTCCAGCTGAGGAGAGAGATGCACAGATGTGCCAGGCACTGACAGCCTGGGAGGCCTATTCCCAGGGGCAATCAGAAGACTAGAAAGCACTGAAAGAGGCAGTGCCCTGTAAGGACAGCTCTACATCCACAGAAAACACCACTAACAGAGCACCCAGGTGTGCAGGCATCCATGCCCGGGGGAAGTAAGAATTGCAGGTGACACGCGCACAGCCTACTCCGCAGACACCTACTCCTTTCTTCCACATGACCATATGCAGTAAGGACTAATAAGGTCTGCATTTCACAGAAGAAGAAACTGAGGTGCAGTGAGTTGAGGGGACTTGCCCAAGGTGTCCCAGGCAGTTAGGTTCTGGAACCTGCATTAACCACACTATACAATTCTCCATGCAGATAAAACAATGTGCAACGTAAAATGCTGCAGCCTCTCTGGAAAACAGTCTGGCAATTCCTCAAATATGCTGAACACAGAGTTACCATATGACCCAGCAATTCCACTTGTAGGCATGTGCACAAGAGAAATGAAACATGTTCAATAAAAACTTGTACACAAGCTGGGCATGGTGGCTCATGCCTGTAATCCCAGCACTTTGGGAGGCCAAGGCGGGTGGATCACCTGAGGTCAGGAGATCGAGACCAGCCTGACCAACATGGTGAAACCCCGTCTCTACTAAAAATACAAAAATTAATTGGACGTGGTAGTGGACGTCTATAATCCCAGCTACTCAGGAGGCTAAGGCAGCAGAATCACTTGAGCCTGGTAGGCGGAAGTTGTAGTGAGCTGAGATTGCACCACTGCACTCCAGGCTGGGCAACAGAGCAAGACTCCGTCTCCAAAAAAAAAAAAAAATCATGCAGCACTGACATATGGTACAGCACGGATGAACCATGAAAACATGATGCTGAGTGAAAGAAGCCAGACACAGACGCAAAAGACCATATCATCTTATGACTCCATTCATATGAAATGTCCGGAAAAGGCATTAGCCATTCTTCTTCTCTATGAGAAAAGACTGAGACCCAGTCAGACTCACCTGAGGCAGGAACAGTATCTAACGCCACCCCTTCCACTGTGTTTCTATAACTCCATATAACGTCTATAACTCCCTGGTTCCAGAAGCCTTTCCTGACTTCACATACGAAGGAACTGATCATTCCACGTGCCCCATTCCCCACACATACCCCACACTGACATTGATCAGAGAGCTCTGCCAGCCAGGTGCATGGCCACCTTTCCCAGGCAGCTGCAAGTGCCAGGAGCCACTCCTATTTGTTTTAGGGAAGGAACATTCTTTATTGAGCACCTAATAAGTGCCTGACACAGTGCACAGGCACTCTGTACTGGTTTTCTTATTTGTTTTCTTTCCTTTGGTCAAAGTTTTTTCAAACCTAGGCCATTTTGGGGAGATGCTTTAATGCTTCAAAAACACACACTTATGACCTCAAATATCCCCTTGCAGTGGGACATAGCATGGGCTGACCCTGGGCCAACCTGTGATGCAGGACAAGGTCCCTCCTGCCGAGATGCCACCTCCCCACTCCTCTCTCACTGTCATCAACTTGCCCTGCTTCTTGTTTCTATTAATAAACATATCCACAGCGAAGTATCAAAGAGTGAATGCAACATGTTTCCCAAGAGTATTTATCATTTGAATGAAAACTAGAAAGACGGCAATGCTTGACTAAAAGGAATAAGGGACCAATAGTAAAATTTCAGGCACTGGAGGGATAATGAAGAAATGGTTCTCCTTCCCAAGCCCCTCAAAGCACAAACCTTATTTATTTTTACGTCCAGCACATAGTGCAGCTCAGGCACACAGACGGTACTTAGTAAATGTTCGTCATGTGTTAAGTGGCCTACTTAAGGCCACTCCTCCCATCTGGGAACCAGCCCCCTAGAAAGCTGTAGTGCAAGCTCCATGGGGACAAACCATCAAGTTCCCTTTTCTTGGGGGTGGTGGAGTGAGTTCTAAAACCCACCACCAGTCCGGCATGGTGGCTCATGCCTGTAATTCCAGCACTTTGAGAGGCCAAGATGGGAGGATCACTTGAGGAAAGGAGTTTGAGACCAGCCCAGGCAACATAGCGAGATCCCATCTCTACATAAAATTAAAAAATTAGCTGGGTGTGGTGTGCGTCTGTGACATGCAAGTTCGAGACTGCAGTGAGCTAAGATTGTACCACCGTACTCCAGCCTGGGTGACAGAGTGATCTTGTCTCTAAAAAACAAATTCTTAAAAATAATAGTGCCCACCACTAATTTGTAGGCACAACCTAGACACAGCACTCAACCTCAGTTGTCACAGAACTCTGCCTACACCTGAGAATTGCCACAGAAATGCAAGGAAGTCCCCAGCAAGGTGTGTTAGAGTGCTGCATCCCAGAGCAGGAGGGAGAAGGCTGGGGAGAGGAAGGAAAGTGCTGAACAACATGTGCTGTGGGGGAAGATGCTGCCCTGAGCTACTTAAGGGCAGAGAGCTTGCCTCCAGCTTCCTTACTGTCTCCGCATCCTCGTCCAGCCTCAGAAGAAAACACTAAGAAGTGGCCTTCTGCAAGGACATGCCCACCAGAGCAAAGGGCAGTTGAGAATGGTCTCCTGGGGCAGCCCATACACCAATCAATGGAAGTAATTTCCAAGTTGTCATTCCTCAACAATACATTTACTGTGATGGGGACGATGAAGTTAAAAAACTGAAAGAAAAAGCAAACTGGATTTCCCTCCCCTTTGGCCTATAGATTCAGCTCCTCCCAAGACAGCAAAAGCAACATCTTTTCCTCCCATCCCCCACAGGCAGCCCTCATACTGAGGAGTGTAAAGACGACAACTGATTCTTCCCATGCTGAGCTGGGAACTTCACAGGTCTCATTCTGAATCCCACTAGCCACAGGAAACCTTAAAGCTTGTCATTAGAGCAGCCTTGCACACTAAAAAAGAAAAATACCAGCTTTCTTCACAGAGAAGCACATGGAAGTCACTCGATGCAATGAGAGGACACCCCACAGTGATCAACCTAAGTGTATGGGTCCTGGAGGTTTAAGGGAAACCTGTTCTTGGTGACACAGTTACCTGTAGGGCTGTCAGATCTCAGCCCCCACCAACCTTCCTTGCCCGTTGTATTCCAAGGGACTGAATCATGAATTTGTTTATTTAGAGACAGGTCTCACTCAGTCGCCCAGGCTGGAGTGCAATGGTGTAATCATAGCTCACTGCAGCCTTGACCTCCTGGCCTAAAGCAATCCTCCCACCTCAGCCTCCTGAGTAGCTGGGACTACAGGTACATACCACCACACCAGGCTAACTGAATCATGGGTTTAAACAAACCACCTTGGTAGACACAAGGCCTCTGGTTTGTGTTCCCTGGGGCATCTGGTGGCAGGAGAAGTTGTTTTAGTGACTGTCCTTACAGTGATGATCCCTGATCTTGGCCATTTCCCTGCATATGCCTCTAACATGAACCTATGACCCTGATGATACAGGCTCCCTGGGTTTGCTCGTCTGTCTCCCTTGAACTGTTAGCTCCTTGACAGCAAGACTCTCTTATTTGTTCGGGCCTGACACTCCATGGAGGCTCAGCATGAGCCAAGTGAATAATGCACAGGAGCACTGACTTTGATCTGCCCAAGGCCTGACATCGTCAAGACTGCAGCCCAGCTAAGGTGAAAATGCTGGTCCAGAGAGAGCTGCTGAAGGCCCAGAGTGCCAAGAATCCTCAGCTCACAAAGTCTCAGGCTCCTGCTGGCCAGCGGAGGCTGGGCTTGGCCTCTGTGGGTGCTGTCAGGACCCTGTGGCTTGGCTCTGGGACCCTGGGGCCAGCCCTTCTTCCCTTGGCCCTCAACCTCACTGGGACCATTCATTGTTTCAGCTGTAAAAACACTGGACCTGCATTCCAGAAGCCCAAATTTTGGCTCTGCAACTAGCCAGCTTGCCATGGGACTTTGGACAAGTCACTTCTTTTCTTAGGCCTCAGTTTTCCAGTGGGTTAGGTGTAAAGGTTGGCCTAGATGACTTCTTGCATCTCTCCAAGTCCACAAGAACCTTCTTTTAAGCAAGAGGCACCCAATGCCTCAGAATTCCTCTAGGCTCTACCTTTATTTATTTTGTTATTTTATTTATTTATTTATTTATTTATTTATTTTGAGATGGAGTTTCACTCTTGTTGCGCAGGCTGGAGTGCAGTGGCGTGATCTTGGCTAACCGCAACCTCCGCCTCCGGGTTGAACCTCCGGGTTCAAGCAATTCTCCTGCCTCAGCCTCCCAAGTAGCTGGGACTACAGGCATGCACCACCACATCTGGGTAATCTTTGTATTTTTAGTAGAGACAGGGTATCTCCATGTTAATCAGGCTGAAGCCTGGTCTCGAACTCCCGACCTCAGGTGATCTGCCCGTGTTGGCCTCCCAAAGTGCTGGGATTACAGGCGTGGGCCACCATGCCTGGCCTGGCTCTACCTTTAGAACACATCTGGGGCCCAACAGGCTCGCAGCCCCCACACACCCGCTGCCTCTCCCTGTCAGGCCTCTGAGCCCGAGCCAAGCCATCGCATCCCCTGTGACTTGCACCTATACGCCCAGACGGCCTGAAGTAACTGAAGAATCACAAAAGAAGTGAATATGCCCTGCCCCGCCTTAACTGATGACATTCCACCACAAAAGAAGTATAAATGGCCGGTCCTTGCCTTAACTGATGACATTCCACCACAAAAGAAGTGAAAATGGCCGGTCCTTGCCTTAAGTGATGACATTACCTTGTGAAAGTCCTTTTCCTGGCTCATCCTGGCTCAAAAAGCTCCCCCACTGAGCACCTTGCGACCCCCACTCCTGCCCGCCAGAGAACAAACCCCCTTTGACTGTAATTTTCCTTTACCTACCCAAATCTTATAAAACAGCCCCACCCCTATCTCCCTTCGCTGACTCTCTTTTCTGATTCAGCCCGCCTGCACCCAGGTGATTAAAAGCTTTATTGCTCACACAAAGCCTGTTTGGTGGTCTCTTCACACGGACACACATGAAACTCCCTATTGCAATTGTTTCCCCACAATCACCCAGCTTCCTCCCTTCCTCCCATCCAGCCTGCTCTCATCACCATAGCCAGAAACCATCCTTTTAAAGCACAATTCGGATCCTGACCCTCTACTGCTCAAACATTTCCGAAGCTTCAGGTCACTCAGAGTCAGGGCCAAAGTCCTGATACAGCCTGCAAAGCCCTGATCTAACGGGGCCCTCAATATTCTCTGACCTCCTCCCCTGCTTCTCTTCCCCTCATTCACTCACTCCAGTTTCCTGAACATCCTGGACAAGCTCCTGCCTCAGGGCCTTTCTCCCTGAGCTACCATCCTGGCTCACTCCTCACCTCCTTCAGGTCTTCGCCTAAATGTCCCCAACTTGGGAGGCCTTCCTTTCCCCTGCTTCTGCAACTCTGATCACCATCTGATGTGCTTACAGGTTTTACTGACTATTTTCTATCGAGTGTCTACCCCCACTAGAATACAAGCCCCAGGAGGGCCAGAAGTTTTTAACATTTTATCACGTCTTTATGCCCAGCTCCTAGAATAGTAGGTACTCACTAAATACGTGTGGAATGAATCGCTGCTGATCCACTGAGGGGTCAATCGTGCTGCTGAAATGAAGAGTCAAGCTATTCAACCCCCTGGCTTGAATGGCGCCATCTCAGGAACCCCTCAGAGAATTCCAAGCTCTGTACACTGTCTCCAGGAACAAAAGCGATTGTCCCAGGCAGGGTTCACATCTCAGGAAGTGTGTGAAGAAACAAAGAAAGGAAGTGACACAGGGGACACAGATCCAGAAAGCTCCTGCTGACGACACCTGGTTACCGGGAGGCATGAGGGCTCAGCGCATACGGGAATGCCTCCAGGCACCTGGAGTGCTGAGCCGTCATGCCTCCAGCTGCCTCCCTGCAGGTGGGATGAGGTCATCAATGTGAGTGCACTGGATACCCACCATGGAGAAGTACTGGAAATGAACCGAAGACAGGGGCTCTGTACTAGAGCCAAGGGAAGGCAGAAACGAGAGGAAGAAGGAAAAGAAAGGTGGTGAGAAAGAGTTTCCCATGCTGAGAACCTGCAGGCAGAGATGTAGAGAAACCCCCAGCCCCAGACCACCACTGACCAAGACAGCAGGGCACCCGGCCTCACATGCCCTCAGGTAGGCCAGGCCAGCTTCCTTCCTGGCCCTGCCTGTCCTGAAGAGCACAAGTGAAACAGACCCATGCCCATCCCCCTGCAAGCATGGTATGCCTGCGCAAACCTCAACAAGTGACCAAAAGCATCGCCCAGAAACAATCGTCTTGCCACAGGCCCCCTGCTTCTTCTCTTCACCCCAGATAGCCTGCTCTCAACACGGCAGCCAGAAGACATCCTTCTGAAGCACAATTCGACACAAGCCAGAGGAATGCAGGCTTCTGCCACCTTGTTGAAAGTAAAATACATTCTGGGCCAGGTGTGGTGGTGTGCACCTGTAGTCCCAGCTACTCAGGAGGCTGAGGTGGGAGGACTGCTTAAGCCCAGGAATTCAAGGCTGCAGTGAGCCATGATCACACCACTGCACTCCAGCCTGGGTGGCAGAGCAAGACTCCATCTCTAAAATAAGTAAATAATTCCTTTAAAAAAAAAAACAGGAAGAAAAGAAAGTACATTCTCAGGAAGACATGCTGCATCAGAGCAAACAAGGCAAATGCAGGGGTCAGTCCCCAGAGCTCCGGGGAACAGGAAGAAGAGGAGACTGAGAAGAGCCAGCAATTTCTGGCTAAAGCCCTGCGTACTGAGCAGCGTCAGGTGTGTGTCAAAGAACCATATCAATAAACAAAATGTAGATGGGAGCAGTCAGGAGGGGCACAGGTGACAGAACTGGCCAGGGCATGACATGGGTCATCAGATTGTGCCCAGATCTCTACCAAGCTCTGTGGGGACAGCAAAGGAGCTGAGGAGGAGCTCTCTGTGGACTTCAGGGCAGCATCTTTGCTCCAGGGCATGAGGGCACTCAGCCCTCTACTTCCTCTCCATAACCTCCCCATGCTCTGGGCTCTCTGGGCAGCCTTCTAACATGCGAGACTTATCACAGACCTAAACCTCACAGGGACGGACAGGCCTGCATTCCCATGTGGGACTAGGGCTGCCTGAGAGGAGGGACTAGGAAGCAAGGCCCTCGCTGCAGGTAGGGCTCTGCTGCTGCTACGGATGGAGATAAGTCCCTTCTTCACCTGGGATGGGACTTCATCCAAGGGGCTGGAGGTGGGGATGGGGGTACAGCATGGGGAGGTGGGGACGTGCCCTGGAAAGTCTGTGTCATTGCTGCTGTGGTCTGAGGCCCTGCCCATGTCATGAGCTCTCTTTCTCCTCAGGAGACAGTGACCTTTTGAGGCCTGTCACAGAGACAATGGCAGGAAGTGCCCCTCCCTGCCTGAGCCACGGGGAGTCCGGAAGGAAGCCACTGCCTGGGCCCAGGACCCTCCCCGCTGAGCTCTTGCCCAAGGGACACTGAAGCTCATGGCAATGCCAGAAGCTCTGCTCACCAATGCCGAATGGCAAACATCTTCAACTGTGAGGGCTAAGGGCAAATATTCTCCTTGGCTGGGACCCTCCTCTTTAAGGCAGACCCCTACTGTGAAAGACAGCCAGGCAGTAGGAGACACAACCCCAGCTACCCCACCCACCACCTGCCACCCCCACCTTCTGGAAGGAAGGGCTCTGGATTCCTCCACAGCAAGGAGCTTTTCTAAAAATAAACCCTGGTCCTTGAGCCCTTTCCTTCCTCAGTCCCTTGTGGAGGAGAGAGGAGAAGGAAAGATCTCGTTCTTAGCGAACCCCAGGGAGTGTGGCCTCCCTCCACCCCATGACTCTCGCTACCAGGGCCCGGTGGTCACTATGCCACAAACTCCCAAGCAGGGTGCAGAGGCATGGAGGGGGCAACCCTAATCATCCTCACATGGGGCCTGCCATTTTCTAGGGGAGGGTTTTGGGAAAAGCAGGTGGTACCAGCTCTCTAGTCCAGGATCTGGGGGGAAAGGATGGCACCCAAAGGCAAGTCTCCCACATTACAAGGTTCCCAGGTCAACAGCAGACACAGACACTTACTGAAATATTTCAGGGAAAATGATGCCAAGAATTCTGAGGTCCAAGCAGTATGCCGTGACAGCACAGAGGGAGGAAGGAGAGGCTAATGCGGACCCAGGCCTTGCAAAGAAATTTAGAGGAAAGGAGCTGTTTGAAATGGGCTTGGAAGGTGAAACAGGAACCTGACAGGTAGAGGTGGGAAGAGGGAATTTCAGGATGCTGGAACTGCATAAGCAAAGCGCAGAGAATGTACCAGCATATAAACTAGACGCGGGCAGGGATGCCTGTCTGTTTTGTTCACAGTGGCGTCTCTGGCAACTGGAATGGTCCCTGGTGCAAACTAAGTAACAATAAATACTTTATGGACAAATGAGTGGAGCAGAACAATTCCTGAAGACATTTTAGGTCTAAGTGAAGACCTTCGGATGAGGTGAGCTGCAAGGCCATGGTCTCTGCAAAGCCACTGCACTCTGGAATGCAGTTGTTAAGAAGGAATAGAACCTCCTTCCTGTAAGAAAGGAGACAGGAGACCAAGGCTGTGTTGAAGCAGCGTCCCTCAGAGCAATGTCAGTGCTCAGGCCATGCAGGGCAGAAGAGCTCTCACCGGGCCCTGCCTCGACTTGGCAGCCAAGACCTTTGGCAACAGGACAACCACGAGGCCCCAACCCCGCAGAACCCGAGTGACCCCTGGAGAAGCTGCAAGTCAGGGCTGAGTGTTACTATGTGCCCTCCCCTACATCCACTCCCAGTAGCTGGGACACCTTGGAAAGTGAATTAAAACAAAACA
The DNA here is from genome assembly GCF_000001405.40 of Homo sapiens. Taxonomy (NCBI): domain Eukaryota; kingdom Metazoa; phylum Chordata; class Mammalia; order Primates; family Hominidae; genus Homo; species Homo sapiens. Next base: position 123,108,647 of record NC_000012.12, read on the forward strand.
GAAAAACAAAAAATACAACATAGCACTCTCTCTTCTTAGCACTTGGAGGCCTTTTCACAGCAACTGAAAAGAATGAGCAATTAGAGAAGATAACAGTCCACGGTGCCAGCCTGGAACTACGGAGCCACAGAGGCAACTTAAGAGGCCCCATCACAACGTGCCCTATCTTCCCAGCAAGGATGAGGGCACCCGGAGAAGGGAAGGGACTTACCCGAGATCAGACAGCAAGTAACAGTTGAGCCTGGGCTGAACCAAGGGCCCTGTGAGTCACAGGCCAAATTTGAAAAACCATGCCATGTGCTTCCAGGTCTAGACTCGGGGTCCAATCCCAATCCCACCACTGACTAGCTGTGCAACCTGGAGCTGATATCTGCCATCTCTGAGCCTCGGCTTCCTGTGTAAAAAGGGACCCTAACAGGCACTGCTCATGGTTACTGTGGGACTTAGCCCCATGCAGCAGGGGCTGGGTACATTAAACCTACCCCCACCAGCATCCTCACCTCAGCTTTGCTAGCTTCCCTTGATGGAACATCCATCCTCCGTGCCTCCAAAGCTGAAACTAGCCAATGAGTGAACAGGAGAAGGGTTCATCAACATTTAGGAAAAAAAGAAGGAAAAATCACTTTACCTCCTGTTCCACCCAACAAAGGCCTTGGCATGGAAAATGGGGCCAAGGCCAGGGATTGTGCCTGAGACAAAGAAATACGAAATGGAAAGAAGCTTGGGAGGCCAGGGGCTCCTGCTGCCAGCTGGGGGTGGGAGGGGAGAGACTGCTACTCCCTGGGCCATTCAATCTCTAGACCTGGCACTCCCTGAGACTCAAGACAGAGGCTCAGGCCCACCCTCCACTCAGCCTTGGCTTCTCACTGTACATCCAGAGGGATGGTGCATTAAAAACCACACTCATGCTTGTTTCTGGGCCACTGACCATGACTTGCGGGCAGCTGAGCAAGGCAGCAGCCCAGCCTCTGCTCTCTGCCAAAGCCAGCGAGTAGCCAGAGCCTGAGCTTCCCAGCCAAGGCACAGAAGAAGCATAACTCCTGCCTGTCCTCTTCCATGTACTAAGGGTAGAGCAGGCCAGGCTAAGCCTCAAGAGCAAACAGAAAAGAGCCACTCTGGGGTGCTCTATAAACAGGAGAATAGCAGCCGTTGGGGCCTCAAAGGCTGACCCAAGCAGTTTTTATCCTATTTGGAATCGAAAGCTACCAGAGGCAGAACATCGGTCTTTCGTATTTAGTGAAAAGAAGTCAATATTTGCAAAAGCGTAATCAATAAATACAATCTACCCCACATTAATCAGATAAAGTCAGGTTTATAGTGTCTTTTTAAGAGACGGGGTCTCACTGTGTTACTCAGGCTGGAGTGAAGTAGTGCGACCATGGCTTACTGCAGCCTCGAACTCCTGGGCTCAAGTGATCGTCCTACATCAGCCTCCCCAGTAGCTGGGACTATAGGCATGTGGCACCTCACCCAGTTAATTTTTTTTTTCAGAGATATGCAGTCTCACTATGTTGCCGAGGCTGTCTTGAAATCCTGGCCTCCAGTGATCCTCCTGCCTTAGCCTCCCAAAGTGCTGGGATTACAGGTGTGAGCCACTGCGCCCAACAATAGTCCGGTTTTTAGGGGAAAAGGGAAACAGCAATAAAGTCTCCGTACCCTCAAACTCCAAAGGCCAGGGTGGCCTGCAGGGCCTCAGCTCTGGGAAGTAGGGTGCTACTGCACAGGTGGACGGCCTTACCTGTGGGTCTGAGAAGGCTCCACTGATGTCCCTGTCAAAGGAGGAGAAATGGGTCCCTAGGCTCACAGAAGGTTGTTGAGGACCAGGACACACGTGCCAGCATCCTGCAGGGAGAAGCACAATGGGAGAGGAGGTGAGACACCTGGACTCTGATCACTCCACACCAATCCAACTGGGAGACCCACAATGCCGATGGACCAAGAGGATTGAACAGGGGACATCTGACTAAAGGTGTCTCCATTTTACAAAGGGACCCAGCCCAGGACGATTCAGGAAGCAAGTGTCTAACTCAGAATTGGTGACAGATACACCCCAACATTGCCCGGCACCCCTTCTACTTAGGAAAACTGCTCAGGGAGTGGGAACTGAGACCACCAGCACACACCATAAGCCATCCTATTTTCAAAGGCCCCTGGAGCTCTGTCTCAAACCTTGATTTTTCACTCATGAACCCCACTGGGATTGGAGGACTTCAGACCGCAGAGAGGAGGCTGGAAAATGAGGTAATGCAGGAAGAAGAGTGGGAGACACAGTCCGAGAGGATGGCGTCCTGATGCCGGGACAGGGGCATGGTCATATTGTGGGGTGATGCAAATGGCTTCCAGCCTTCCAGCAAGCCCCTCCAGCTGGGCAGAGTGTGATCTGACTACCCAGAGGCCAGAGACAAGCATTCAAAACAAAATGAAAAAGGTGGAGAAATGGATTTCCAAAGAGTCGCAGGTCCAACAGCCTCAGAGATGACAAAGTCTTCACAGGTACCACTGAAGCCACTACCCAACCCAGGGCTCCTACAGGGACCACAGACAAGCCGGGTAGCCCACCTCGCAGCTCAACACACATTCTTGTTTGCCTGACACACATACAAGCCTCCTGACCCTGGGCCCAGAGAGCAGGTAGCAGCCTACAGGGCTCTCCAATGACCATGACAGAGAGGCTGCTTATCTGCTGGCTATGGAAGCTGGGAGTGTTTCAGGAACTGATGCCCAATTCCAGGGCAACCCTGCTTTAGGAGCTGAGGACAGGCATGGTGGGGGTCTCCTCAGACACCAGTCCATGCCCGCTAGGGGCAAGCACAGCCCTAACAAAGGGAAATGGAATGGTGGCTGGGGATGGCAAAGTTATCAACTGCCAAGTGAACGGCCAGACAGAGGAGGGAGAGTGGAATTGGGGAGGTGTGAAGATAGCTAGCAATACACAGCAGTGGGAGGTGTGGCTGCAGGGAGCGGGCGGCTCTTCCAACCCCGCCACCGCCACCGCGTCCTGCATGCCCACCCCCGTGCAGGCTCCTCTGTGGGACTGAGGCTCCATCGCTGTCCTGCCCCAGCCCCTTGTCTCCACGGCTGCATGTACACACCCACATACACACTCAACCCCCGGAACAGATGAAACAGCCCAGGCACCCACAGCAGAGTGGATGCAGGTCCCAGCCCTCCCAGTGACCATGAGCAAGCTGGCCTTCCAGCCTTGCCTCTACATGCCACCGTAGGCCACAGTTGAGGCCAGCAACTCTGAAGTCTCCCCATGTTCGAGGTGAGGAAAGCTGTTGAGAGGGTTGAGGGTTTGCCATGGTAACGCACCCATCAATGGCGAGCCAGATTTGGTAGACCAGCCCCGCTCCAGCCCACCACAATGCTTCTCGGCGGGTGAGAAGGGCAGTGGTGACTCACACCCCACAGAATTAGATCCACAGGGGCTATGAGAAAAAAGCACTCTCAGAACGCAAAGAGAGGCACTGCAGGGAATTATGTTTCTGACTAAAAGTATTAAAAGTGAAAAAAGTGAATGCAGGGTCAGGCTAAGGAGCCAACCCAGTAGGCAGCTACTTGGGGAACAGACCTCTAGGGGCAGGGGGCTCAAAACATCCCTGGAAAGAAATTAAAATGTGCTGCTGGCTAACTCAGTTTTCCTCCAGTGACCCCTCACATAAATGGTAAACAGTGAATCTGTCCACTGCCCTAAGGGGACATGGAAAGTCACAATAAAACACAATTCCTTGCTGGGGTTTGTTGCATGTAATGTACGTTCCATACACACGTAGTCACAGTCCTGGAGGGGAGCAGGGCATCCAAGACCAAATAATACATCGTGTTGCTGTTTCCCAGGAACAAATGTCATTTCATTCCTTTAAGTTTTAAATCCAAATCTTCAATATACTTTTTTTTTTTTTTTTTTGAGATGGAGTCTTGCTCTGTCACCCAGGCTGGAGTGCAGTGGTGCTATCTCGGCTCACTGCAAGCTCCGCCTCCCGGGTTCACACCATTCTCCTGCCTCAGCCTCCTGAGTAGCTGGGACTACGGCGACTGCCACCACGCCTGGCTAATTTTTTTGTATTTTTAGTAGAGACGGGGTTTCACCATGTTAGCCAGGATGGTCTTTATCTCCTGACCTCGTGATCCGCCCACCTCAGCCTCCCAAAGTGCAGGGATTACAGGCGTGAGCCACTGCACCCAGCCTAAATCTTCAATATACTGCTTGAATGATTTGGAAAACTGCAGGGGAAAGAAAAACAAAACAAAAAGATACCTTAGGGGACAAGAACAACAGAAGTCAGAATTGCTTTCCTAAAAAATTTTCAGATCCCTGACTCTGTTTCAGTCCAAGAAAGTGAATTAGCAAGTGAATCTGTTTCTCTATATGATTCCTATTAATAGAATATCAGTCTCTCCTCATCCCCACTAAATAAATGTCAAACAAACACTTAAAGAATACCAGTTTGATGGGGTGCCAGCTACTAGCCTGCCCAGACGTCCACACGTCTCAGGCTGGCCCTTGTGGAAAGTGTAAGTTCCAAATGAGTGGGTAGTGCTGCCGAAGTTAAACACTGCTGTCTCCAGCCTCCGTTGACATGGCGACTGTGAGGCAGGTGGCTAAGGAATGGGTAGAGAGAGACCCATACGTATGGTAGGTGGAACCACGGCAAACTGTCCAGAGTGCTGACAACAGACCATGCATGGCCTTTGACTCCATCTGGAGGCATGGTTCCTAATTTTTTTCAATTTAGATATAATTCACACACCATAAAACCCGCCCTTTTAGCCAAGTGCCATGGCTCATGCTTGTAATCCCAGCACTTAGAGAGACCAAGGCAGAGGATCATTTGAGCTCAGGAGTTCAAGACAAGCCTGGGCAACATAGTGAGACCCCCCATCTTTACAAAAATTCATAAATTAGCTGGGTGTAGTGGCACATGCCTGTAATCCCAGCTACTCAGGAGGCTGAGTTGGGAGGGTAACCTGAGTCTGAGAGATCAAGGCCGCAGTGAACTGTGATCACACCACTGCACTCCAGCCTGAGTGACACAGCAAGACCATCTATAAACCCAACAAACCCCCCCACCCTTTCAAAGTATATAGGTCTACGGTTATTAGTCTACTTACAATGTTGTACAACCATCACCACTATCTGATACCAGAACATTTTCATCACCCCAAAAAGAAAACTTGTACACATAAGCAGTCACTTCCCATCCTCCCCTCCTCCCTGCCCCTGGCAACCACTAATCTTTCTGCCTCTATGGGTTTGCCTATTCTAGATACTTCACATAAATGGAATCATATAATATGTATCCTTTTGTGTCTGACATCCTTCACTTAGCATAATGTTTCTGAGGTTCACCAATGTTATAGCATTTGTGTCGGTATTTCATTTCTTGTTATGATGGAGTAATATTCCATTATATACACTACATCTTGTTTATCCATTCATCCATCGATGGACATTTGGGTTGGTTCCACCTTTTGGCTATTGTGAATAAATGCTACTGTGAACATCGCTGTACAAATTTTTGTGTGAACATTTATTTTCAATTCTTTTGGGTATACACCTAGTTATTCCTAATTTTTTAATAAGATAACATCACTTAATTTAAGACAAGTAATGCATCTGTATTTTGAAAACCTTCAAAACTCAAAAGGATAAAATGGTTAGAGGGTGAGAGTAAGTTTCTCTCTTGTCCCTGTTCCCCAGCACCCAGTTCCCTGCCCAAAGGCAAATTCCAGTTTCTGGCGAATCCTCCCAGAGACCGCCTATACATATACACCCTGCTTTATTTTAAAGACAGCTTGCATGGGAGGAACCTGGCAACTAGATCAGGCCGGAATCAGGCTGGAATCAGCCCAGTAACGCCAGGAAATGAGCACAGTCCAAGTGCCATTTCTCCCCTTTGTCCCAGTGTGCCCCTTGGAAAGCCATGTAGCCTAGAAGAGGCCACGGAACTGGGTGGCAAGAGGAGTCCTGGAGGTAGGTAGGTTCTGAAATGTGGTCCTCCATTTCCCAGCTATGAGGCCTCACTCAAGCAAGCTGCTTAACCTCTCTGGGACTTGGTTTCCCTATCTAAAAAAGAAAGTGGATACTGGTACCTAATTCATAGAATGGCTGAAGAGTCGATGAGCTAAAGAAAGCAAGTGCTTAGCACCATGCCTGGCACACAGTAAGTGCTCAGTGTTTTGCTGCCGCTGTGATTACTACCGCTGCTTCACCTCACTGAGCTGATCTTCAGCTTCCTCCTCCGGAAAATGAAGGAAGGCACCTCCCAGGCACAGTTACGGTGTAGACCCGAGATCCCTGCATGAGGGCCAGGCGTGCTACAGCCTCTGAGCAGTGGGGACTCAGGGAAAGTCAGGTGGCTGAGATGTGTCTCCAGCTCCCTGCATGCTGCTCCAGGCCCTTCTGAGGCTGGGTCTCCATCCTCTCACCCGCCCACCTCCCTGTATTCTCCCAAGAACAGCTCTGAACCCTCCACCATTACCCACCCTCCCACAGGCCAAGAGGAGGAGCTGGCATCATGGACCCCATGCCTTGGGCAGGCTGGCTGGCTGGATTTCTTATTTTATGACCCTACTCCCCCTCCCTTCCATCTTCTTCAACAAACACTGTACTCTGGAGCTGAGCTTCTCTTTCAGAAGCCCAGATTATTGGAGGCAGCAGGGAAACCCTCAGAGACGTTCAAAGTGGAGAGACCTCCAGTGAAGGTGGAAGCATTTGCAGGGCCATTAAAAGACTGTTAGGAGCGATTTTTCTCTCTGCTGGCAAGTGGCAAAAGCAGAGCCCAAAGAACAAAACCCAGACCTGGGAAAGCAGAGCAGGGGAAGAGAAACTGAACAAGCCTTGCTGAACCATGCAGAAGTTGATGGAGGGAAAAAACCCAATACGCGCCCGCACACACACACGCACACACACACATGCACACACACACACATACACACACGCATAACAAAGAGGAGAAATTCTTAGCCTGCAGCAGTTGGTAGCATTATGTAAAATCCCAAGCCCACAAAAATATCATTTGGATGATAAAAAGTTAAATTTAGCTAAGTACAGAGTGACTAATACTATGAGGGAGAGGCAGCACCCCCAGTTGCCTGGAGCTGATACAGCTGGCTTTTAGAAACTTTTGACAAGTAACCAGGGCCTTGTGCAGCACAGAATAACAGATTATGTAATAGGAGGCACCACCATCAGCAATACAAAACACAGCACAAGCGTGCAGCCTTCTCCAAGGGAGGGAACAGTTGGGTTCTGGTTTGAGTGGCTCCAGTAGGACCTTGCTTGGGCCATGGGAACCTGGATATTCCAGAGGCATCCAGGAGCACAGCCAGGCTTTGGAAGGGTTTATGTGAATGGGTCTGCAAAGATCTTTTCCCAGGGTGGTTGCCGGGGACTGTTACTTTGGTGGCCTTCAATGAGCCATGCCCTCGTGGAGTCCCCTCCCTTTTAATCTAGCCTGGCCTTGTGGCCTGTTTTAGCCAACAGTATGGGATGGAAGTAACACTGTGCCAGGTTTGTATCTCTAAGCTTAGGGAGGCCTGGCTAAGAATTGAAAGCAGGATGCAAACAGGTATTTCTGCACCAATGTTCACAGCAGCAATCTTCACAATAGCCAAAAGGTGGGCACAACCCAGGCATCCACAAACAGATGAACAGATAAACAAAATGTAGTCTATCTACATGATGGAATGTTAGCCTTAAAAAAGACAGACATTCTGGCCAGGAGTGGTGGTTCACATGTGTAGTCCCAGTGCTTCAGGAGGCCAAGGTAAGAGGATCACTTGAGGCCAGGAGTCCAAGACCAGCCTGGGCAACATAGAGAAACCCCATCTCTACAAAAAATACAAAAATTAGCCAGGAGCAGTGGCACATTCCTGCGTCTCAGCTACTCAGGAGGCCGAAGCAGGAGAATTGCTTGAGCCCAGGAGGTTGAGGCTGCAGTAAGCCATGATTATGTCACTGCACTCTAGCCTGGTGACAGGGCAAGACCTTGTTTCAAAAAAAAAAAAAAAAAAAAGCAGGAGAGGAGTGAGGAGAATGAAGTGGTGGTGGCAGCCTGGATGCTTCTGCATTTGAACTCTAGGGAAGCTGAAGCCAGGTAAGAAGCCAACCACTTGTACCTTGCCCAACGGGTGATGAGGAGGGGAACGGATGTTCCAGCCAGCAGCCCTAGCAGATACAGCCAAGCACCAGTACCATCTCACCAGCCACAGGAGTGCAGCCAGCCACCTTGTCAATGGGTCCCCCACCCCAAGTAGTCAAGTTGTTCCAGCTGACACCAGTGGCACAGGGATGAGCTAACCTTACCACTGGGCCCTGCCCAAATTGCCACACTGTGAGCAAATAAATAAAATGGCATTTTGCATCACTATGTTTGGACGTACTCTGTTAAGCAGCAATAGGTAACTGATGGTGGCCAAGCTCTCTAGCGGGTTTGCAGGAAGTTCTACTTCCATCATAAGACTCATGAAGACCTTTTGTATCCTCACATATGAGAGTTGCTGAGAGACGTTAGTGCTTAAATGAGTCTTAGGAAGAGAGTAGTCTTCCACTCCCAATATCCCAATGGAGTGAATGCTGAAATGAAGCCGGTGCTGAGTTTCAAACAGCGGTCGTGAGGCTGGGGAATTTCTCCAGTGATCCTACGGAGTAAGCTGGCCATCAGATGATCAACTCAAGCTGTCACTTAATTACACGACTCTCTATCTGTGCAGAGCAGGGGTTTGCACACTGTGGACAGAGATATGGATGGGATTCCCTGAGTGCAGTGAAGTGATCATTGGCATGGGATTGAGACCAGAGTTCTGGCTGCTGACTCTGGGTAAGTCAGCTCGGCTCACTGGGCCTCTGTTTCCCCATCTGTAGAGTGAGGAGGCTGGGCTTCATGACCTCTGAAAGGGTTCTCAGTTCAGCTCCAACATTCTACAATCCTATGATTTGGACAGAAGGGAATACTGACCTGTAATCCAAAGCCCTGCATCAAGTCCAATGACTTGCATCTAGGTTTGCAAGGCAGACAGAAGTGCTCACTGGGCTCCTCAGACGTGTGCCCCTGGAGCCCTGCTCTGCTCTCTGTGCCCTTCATGGATTTGTTCATTCATTGTTCAATATCTCACTATGACAGACTCTGGCATGGTCCAATTTCCTCTCCCTAAATCATATGTTTAGCCCCCTGGACTCTAGGTGAGGCTACGGGACTAGTTATATGAGTAGGGGAGGTCCACCACTTCAAAGCCTGGCCCCCAGAATGCCCCATGCAATCTCCTATGCTCCCTCTTTCTCTGCTTACCAGCCAGCTGACTGCACAGATTCACTGGAGAACTCCAGGGGAGCCCCAAGGGATGGGAGAGCCACAGTGTGAAAGGATCCTGGGTCCCCAATTCACCACATGGAGGCCACTCACAGAGCATGCAATTCAACTAAGACAAGAGTGGGGATAAGCCTTTATTGTGATAAGCCACTGAGACTAGAGAATTGTCTAGCAGTTAGCATTACTTAACTAATACATTCACCAAATTGATACTAATTGTCAGATATGTAGGAGATACACAGGAGAATTAGGCTGAGGTCTAATCTTAGCCTTCTTAGAACTACCAGTCTAGGTGACAGTTCAGGGAGATTGGATACAGACCAGTTCTGTACTCTGCGATCATGATGGGAACCTGCTCAAGCTCTATCCATACTGCCTGCTTCCAAAAACCTTACAACATAGGCTCACCACATTTTCCCACCAAACATGAGATGAGCAAAGAAAGAAAGCAACCAAACAGGAGGGAGAAAATCTCTATCAAGGCTCTAAATTGAGAACAATCTAAAAGCAAATGAGTAAAATCTTAGCTGTGTGCTTCCTGGTAGGCAAAGCAAAGAGGGAAATATGCTGGGTCACAAAGCTCTTCCCAATAGTGGAAAACATTAGTTCATGATGAGAAACAGACATTGTGCTTGGGAAGAGTTCTGAGGGGAATGTCCACGGGGCCAGTGTGTGAGGGAATTTGTGCCTGGGAGGAGGAAGCAAGAGGAAACCAAGCTAGCCTGGAAAGCTGTCAGCCTCCAGGGTGTACGGACAGCTTTGCAGCCCCGCCTGCGGCCTGACTGGCTCTTAACGGAGAGCTCCTCAGAGTAATTCTTCATCCTCGTTAATGTCAACACGGCAGCACCATGATAATGATGGAAAATATTTACATACCATACCACTGATGGGTTGTTTAGACCATCTGGCTACTGGACATGGTAAGTATTGTCGAACACATGGCCCTTCCGCAAATACTGTGCCTTAGTGCTGATGGAGGCCAGGCTGCAGGGACGTGAAACAGTGTCACTCGGCTGTGTCCGTGTGGCCTGTGTCCACTGTCAGCTTTAGTCACCTGCAGGTCAGGGGCAGAGATCTCCAGCTCCCACTCCCAGATGTATCTGGGCTCAGCGTTGATGACAATAGCCTAACTATTCCCTTTACCAAGGGCCTCTTCAGGACTCAAGTGATCCAACAAGACTTAACGCAGCAAGACAGCTCTGATTCTGTGGCCACCTGGGGGATTTCTCCAATGATCTCCTGGGACTGCTGAGAATGCTCAGAGGAAAATTCAGCACAGTTCATTTGTGTTTGAAGCAGCTTCTGCCTAAGCTTTGTCATGCTCGGGAGGTAGGGACAAGGATTAGGTAGCACAACTAAAGGCTGTGCTCTATCTAGAAGCATAGAGGATGGTGATTTTTTTTTTTTTTTTTTTTGAGACAGAGTCTTGCTCTGTCACCCAGGCTGGAGTGCAGTGGAACCATCTTGGCTCACTGCAAGCTCCGCCTCCCAGCTTCACAACATTCTCCTGCCTCAGCCTCCCAAATAGCTGGGACTACAGGCACCCGCCACCACGCCTGGCTAATTTTTTGTATTTTTTAGTAGAGACAGGGTTTCACCGTGTTGGCCAGGATGGTCTTGATCTCCTGACCTCGTGATCCGCCCGCCTCGGCCTCCCAAAGTGCTGGGATTACAGGCGTGAGCCACCGCGCCTGGCTGAGGATGTGATCTTAATCACACCTAAATGAAAATTTCTTCGTTCCATCCATGTGGCTCCATGAGTACTAATATCAGGCTGAATACAGAGGCTTTTTTTCTGGGTCAATGCTAAATATTTCTTCTTTTTCTTTTCTTTCTTTTTTTTTTTTTGAGTTTGGGGTGTTGAGTGGCTTGTTTTATTATTATTTTCTTAATTTTAGTAAGCAAGAAAAAGTTCTGTTGGGAGCCCGTTCAAAAGTAGCAATTTTCTTAATGGGAAGCATACGCTTGCCACCCACGTGAGGAGGCTGTGTCAGCTCAGCAACCATACTGCCCTGTGAGTATGGTGAAGTCGTGTTACCTACTTGACAACCAGTGAGTCAAAGGGAAACTCATCACAGGTGCCTGTATGGCCTGCCGGGGTTTTGCTGCATAGCCGACAAGGGCTTTCTGAGGGCACACCTGCAGCAAAGGCCTGGCTTTGGTTTTGTCAAATATGAACCCGCAGATTTAAGGTCACCTTATAACTAACACCCTCTAAGATTTAAAATGCCCCAACCAGAGCATTCAGGACCTGAGTTCACGGACTGGGTTCAAGAGCCAGTTTTGACTCCAACTGGCTGTGAGCTTCGACGGCCCCTCACCTCCTGGAATCTGTGTTTTGGCTGTGAAAGGAGGGGTAAGACAACAGGTGTCTAAGCAGCATTCTGGTCTAATAGTCACAGGTTGGCTGGGAGGCACTGGCCCAGGGCAGCAGCCTCCTTGTCAAGAGTGCCATAGGAGTTCCTTGGTCTTCTATAGGACTAGTGCCTTTCTCTCTGCAAGTAGAGTGATGACCACAGACCTCTCATATGGAGAGTGGATCATGGAAGAGTCAGAGCCCTCAGCCAGATGTGGCATAAAGCTAATTCACTGTCAGTCACACCCTGGCCAGTGAGAGTGAGCTCACATCCACATCCTCTAAAGGCACTGAGATGTAGTGGCACATGTTTCCTGAGAGTAATTACAGTCTGGGATGATGACCTTTGCTGGTACAACACCTAGCACCTTAGGGCAGGATGGCTGTGCAGAGGCCACACAATACCTCTGCAAAGCTCCTCCCTGCTGGTCAGACACCACAGCCCCAGCAGGGACAACCTCTCTGAGCACCTACTCTGAGCCACCATGTCATTCTAAACAAACATCTGCTCTGCTCACCTGCTCTTTTTGCAAAAGTTATCTGAGCCCCTGGGGAAAATGGAAAAGCATAACGAAGACCACACCCAGATCACTGGGTGCTTCACTTGAACCAGCCTCCAAAACATCCGGCAGCAGGCCAGAGACACACTTCTTGTTTAAACACAGAGAAATGAGACAGCCCCAGGTCTCCCAAGTTAGAGAATAGAATCTTCTCAGAACACACAGCTGCTGCAGGCCCAGCCCAGGCTCCTTCTCTGGGGAGCTGACTCTGGCTCCAGCCCTCAGAGGCCTCTCTGCTGACTCCCAAACCCCAGTGAGCAGGTCAGCGCCAGGCCTGGCCAAGCTCTCACCGGTTCAAGGAGAAATGAGAACATGGCTAATGGGCCAAGCTGTTCAAAGAGCTCCAGTTTGGTGGGGTATGGTGGCACACACCTGCGATCCCAACACTTTACGAGGCCGAGATAGAAGGATCTCTTGAACTCAGGAGTTTGAGGCTGCAGTAGGACATGATCATGCCCTCCAGCCTGGGCAACAGAACAAGACCGTGTGTCAAAACAAACAAACAAAAATCAAAAAGCTCCACTTAGTTTCTTTATTCTTAGATCTTTCCTACTTCTTAGTGTTCCTTTTGTTCATGAGATGATAGCTACAGTGAATTATACCTTTTTTTGTGTTTGTGGTTAAATACGCATAACATAACAATTACCATAATAACTTTTTTATTTTTATTTTATTTTATTTGTTTTTTGAGACAGGGTCTCACTCTGTCATCCAGGCTGGAGTGCAGGGGCATGATTACAGCTCATTGCAACCTTGAATTCCTGGCTCAAACAAACCTCCTGCCTCAGCCTCCTGAGTAGGTGGGACTACAGGCACGCACCACTACATCTGACTTTAACATAATTTTTTTTTAGTAGAGGAAAGGTCTATGTTGTCCAGGGTGGTCTCTAACTCCTGGCCTCAAGCAATCCTCCCGCCTCTGCCTCTTGAGTCCCTGAGATTACAGGCTTGGACTACCATGCCCAGCCCATGTCAACCTTTTGTTTGTTTGTTTTTGAAACAGGGTTTCGCTCTGTCACCCAGGCTGGAGTACAGTGGCATGATCTTGGCTCACTGCAACGTCTGCCTCCCAGGCTCAAGTGATCCTCCCACCTCAGCCTCACAAGTATTATAGTTGGGACTACAGGCACACACCGCCATGCCCATCTAACACGTCAACCATTTTTAAGTGCACAATCATCACTGCCATCTACCTCCAGAACTTCTTCATCTTCCCAAACTGAACTCTGTACCTATCAAATACTAACTCTCCATTCCTCCTGCCCCCAGCTCCCTGGGGAATCTCTTTAGAAATGATGTCAATTGGCCTGGTGCGGTGGCTCATGCCTGTAATCCCAGCACTTTAGGAGGCTAAGGCAGGCAGATCGTCTGAGGTCGGGAGTTCGAGACCAGCCTGGCCAACATGGTGAAACCCCGTCCCTACTAAAATACAAAAATTAGCCGGGCGTGGTGACACACGCCTGTAGTCCCAGCTACTCAGGAGGCTGAGGCAGGAGAATCGCTTGAACCTGGGAGGCGGAGGTTGCAGTGAGCCAAGATCGTGTCATTGCACTCCAACCTGGGTGACAGAACAAGGCTCCGTCTCCAAAAAAAAGAAGAAAGAAAGAAATGACGTCAACTTACAGATCTGGGAAATCCAAGTCGCAAGCCTGTTGATAGGCCTCCTGGTCACATCTGAGCTCCCCCAAAAACATAACCTCCCTGAAGGTTAGCTTCTGGTGTTTCTCAGATACTCGGTGGTAAACAAGCTGACAGAGAAGGGGCAAGGTAGCTGCTGCCCCCACCCTTTACCAGGAACATATCTTCCAGACCACAACCTGACTACAGGAATCCAAAAACCCAAGAGCCCCTCAGTCGTGTGCAAGCTGGCAGCTAATGGGAATGAACAGTCTTAACTGGCTATGCCAGGAACTACCCTACAGCCTGCCCTTTGCGGTAGAAAAGGCTCTCACACAGAAGGAGTTTTCTCCAGATTTTTATTTTACTTAAAAGCTCTTCCTTGCCTGGGGTTTTGAGGTTGAAAACCACTGCCTCGCACTCACACATTGTAAGTGGGAGTGTAAATTGGTACTACCTTTATGGAGAGCAATTTAGCAATTGCTAACAAAAATAAAAGAAAAACACTCCTTGACCCAGCAATTCTACTTCTGGAAATTTATTCTACAGACATGAGAGTATATTTGCATGAAAACCTACTTATTGAGATGCCTGCTACAGCACTGTTTGCTTCCCATCTTCTGCTCTTACAATCTAAAACCCCATCAACAGGGACCTGGTTTAACACATGATGGTCCACCCATGAGCAGAATACTAAGCCCACCATTACAAGAACTGAACAACTCTACATGAGCCAACAGAGAACCATCTGCAGGATTTATGTATTGTGAAGTCAAAAAAGCAGATGCACAACAATAGGCAGCCATTTGTGTTTAGCTTTGTTTTTAAGTAATATAGGCCAGGCAAGGTTGATCACACCTATAATCCCAACACTCTAGGAGGCCGAGGTGAGAGGACTGCTTGAAGCCAGGAGTTTGAGACCAGCCTAGCCAACATAGCAAGACTCCATGTCTACAAAAATAAAAAAATTAGCCAGGTGCAGTTGCACGTGCCTCTAGTCCCAGCTACTCAAGAGGCTGAGGCAGGAGGACTGCTTGAGCCCAGGAGTTTGAGGCTGCAGTGAGCTATGATCACACCACTGCTCTCTAGCCTGGGTAACAGAGCAAACCCTCTCTCTCTCAAAAAAAACAAAAAAAAATTAAATTAAATTAAATTTTTAGGCCGGGAGCATTGGCTCATGCCTATAATCCCCACACTTTGGGAGGCTGAGACAGGTGGATCAATTGAGGCCAGGAGTTGGAGATCAGTCTAGCCAACATGACAAAACCCCGGCTCTACTAAAAAATACAAAAATTAGCCAGGTGTAGGGGGACATTCCTGTAATCGCAGCTACTTGGGAGGCTGAGGCACAAGAATCGCCTGAACCCAGGAGGCAGAGGTTGTAGTGAGTGGAGATCGCACCACCGCACTCTACCCTGGGCAACAGAGCAAGATTCTGCCTCAAAAAAAAAAAAAAATTAAAATTTAAAATTTAAAAAGTGGCCAGGCACAGTGGCTCACACCTGTAATCCCACCACTTTGGGAGGCCGACGCGGGCAGATCATGAGGTTAGGAGATCGAGACCACCCTGGCTAACACGGTGAAACCCTATCTCTACTAAAAATACAAAAAAATTAGCCTGGCGTGGTGGCAGATGCCTGTAACCCCAGCTACTCGGGAGGCTGAGGCAGGAGAATCGCTTGGACCCAGGAGGCGGAGGTTGCAGTGAGCCCGAGATTGTGCCACTGCAGTCCAGCCTGGGCGACAGAGTGAGACTCCGTCTCAAAAAATAAAATAAAAATACAAAATATTAGCCAGGCATGGTGGTGTGCACCTGTAATTCCAGCTACTTGGGAGACTGAGGCAGGAGAATCACTTGAACCCATGAGACGGAAGCTGCAGTGAGCCAAGATCACACCACTGCACTCCAACCTGGGCAACAGAGCGAGACTCCATCTCAAAAAAAAAAATTAAAAAGTAATATACATTAATATATACAGAGAATCTCTCTGAAAGAGGACACACACACAAAACTAGCAACCATCACTGTCTCTGGGAAGGAAAACTAAGATATTGAAGACAGGGGTGGCAAGAAGTCTTTTTTATTATTATTATTATACTTTAAGTTCTAGGGTATATGCACAACGTGCAGGTTTGTTACATATGTATACATGTGCCATGTTGGTGTGCTACACCCATTAACTCGTCATTTACATTAGGTATATCTCCTAATGCTATCCCTCCCCCATCCCCCAACCCGGCAAGAAGTCTTATGTTTGCCTGTAGCTGCTTTTCACTTCGGTACCAAGTATAATGCATTACTTACTTACCCAAATAATATTTAAAATATATATGATCTTTATATTTTATTACTGAACTGTAATCTATGAGTTTGTAAGTTCCATAAGGAATGTATCTAATTTATCTTTAGAATCTTGCTAATGTCTGGTGCACTATCATGCATAGCCTTTTCAATGTTTCGTTAAAAAAATTTTTTTTATTTTGAGACAGAGTCTCGCTCTGTAGTCCAGATGGAGTGCAGCGGTGACATCACAGCTCACTGCAGCCTTGATCTCTTGGGCTCCCTTGATCCTCCTGCCTCAGCCTCCCAAGTAGCTGGGACTACAGGCATGTGTCACCATGCCCAGCTAATTTTTGTATTTTTTTTGTAGAGATGAGGTCTTGCCATGTTGCCCAGGTTGGTCTCAAACTCCTGGGCTCAAGCAATCTGCCCACCTCAACCTCCCAAATGTTAAATGTTTTTTAGTAAGTGAAAGAATGAATGAGTAAATGATTCTAAAGCACTCAAAAAACAATGTTCTTTGAATCCTAGAAAATTGTGAGTCTTGAATTGTTAGAGAAGGAAGAAGTTAGGTAGAAGCAAAAACAAATAAATAATTGATATCTGGATACAAAAAGCAGACTCAGTCATATCAAAGGATGATGCACACCACTGATGGTTCATTTAAGTTGATGCTACAGATTTAACAAGAGTTTTTAAAATTTCAATTCTAATTATTTTATGTTTTAAAATGCCAATATTTAATATTTCTTTTGGAATAGCAGAACGCAAAGAAAATGCATGGTACAGGCCAGGCGCTGTGGCTCACGCCTGTAATCCCAGCACTTTGGGAGGCCGAGGGGGGCGGATCACGAGGTCAGGAGTTTGAGACCAGCCTGACCAACAAGGTGAAACCCCGTCTCTATTAAAAATACAAAAATTAGCTGGGCGTGGTGGCAGGCACCTGTAATCCCAGCTCTCAGGAGGCTGAGGCAGGAGAATCGCTTGAACCCCAGAGGCCGAGGTTGCAGTGAGCCGAGATTACTCCACTGTACTCCAGCCTGGGCGACAGAGCGAGACTCTGTCTCAAAAAAAAAAAAAAAAATTAGGGTTTTTTTTTTTTTTTTTTTTTTTGAGATGGAGTCTCGCACTGTCACCCAGGCTGGAGCGCAGTGGCGTGATCTCGGCTCACTGCAAGCTCCGCCTCTCAGGTTCACGCCATTCTCCTGTCTCAGCCTCCGGAGTAGCTGGGACTACAGGCACCCGCCACCACGCCCAGCTAATTTTTTGTATTTTTAGTAGAGACAGGGTTTCACTGTGTTAGCCAGGATGGTCTCAATCTTCTGACCTTGTGATCCGCCTGCCTCGGCCTCCCAAAGTGCTGGGATTACAGGCTTGAGCCACCATGCCCAGCCTAGGCTCTACCTTTTAATCCTGTGACCCTCATATCCCTAAAGAATCAGAAAGAAGATCTAAAAACCAAGCAGACCCTTCAGTGAGTTGAATATAACTGCTAAGGGTTCTGCAGGGATTGATGCATATCCTTGGGTAAGCTTGGGAATTCTTGCCCTATTAACCTCTCACTCTTGCCCTACTATTCTCCACAATCCAGTCTGGCAAGCAAGCTGACTACAACTCCCACCATTTAGAAGAGGGCCAACTTGCAGATCAGACCACCAAGCTTCAGGCGAAAAGCTGTCACAAAGCTGGAGGGCTTTAGTCCTAGGAGAACTGCACACTGACCCCTCTGGTGGTCATGCAAACCACTATGGTTAAAATAAGGCAGAAAATTAAAAGTAGCAAAACCACACTGAGTGAGTAAAGAAAAAGAACTAGGGAGGAGGGAGGATGACTTAGGAAGTATGGCCAGCATGATGGGTTCAGCCTGTGGGACAGCTGGCAGACACACATCCATCCACCCCTTCCGTGGCCTCCGAGAACAGCCTGATTCATGACATTGGAACTTCAGCTTCATCATGGTAGCCCCAGTCAGCTGAATGACTCAGCAATCCCTCAAAGACTGAATTATCTCTAGGGTTCTCTGTTGATTGAAAGAGAGGCAAGAATTGCCTTTGAGAAAGATCAGGATAATGACTGGGAAAATGTGATGAAGCTTGCATGAATGACAGCAGTGATGAAGCAGTGTCTGTTCTCTGGTTTCCAGCAGGAGCAAAAGATTTACTTCCAACAACCAGGCTCTGTTCACTGGGGTCTCGTCCAAACACTGCCCTCAGCATGGTGGTCTAGGGGATGCCAGGGCAAGGGACCACAAAGCTACAGGGAATTTCTGAGAGCCCTGCCCTTGGAGAATGCACGAATGGTTCATCCCTCCTCAAGTCACATCCATCATCCAGGATGAGTTGAGCTTGAAATAATGGACTTCCAGGCTCTGTGACAACGACTTAATGGTGCACAAATGTGTTCAAAACATTCTGGAAGAGTCCTCAGAATAACCCCACTGAGAGATGCTGAACACCCTGCATCACGCCACTTACACCGCTGCCCTCCATTTCCTGGGAGTCCAGGTCGCAGGGGACCCAGGAGGTGCTGGCAGCTGCCTGAACTGTCCGGGTGTTACTCTTGTTTCTAACCAGAAAATAAGGTCACTGGCGTGTTGATGCCCAAGCAAACAGGTGTTAGAGGTGCTCCTACCCATCAAATTCAACAATGGTTTCCACTGACGCATAGAAAAACAATGGTGTTTGCCTACTTATTTTGCAACAGGCTGCCATACTGTCTTATTCTAATTAATTTTGAGTTTGTCTACTTTGAAAACCTAAGACAACGGCTGTATCCACTCAAAACATTCATTTTGCAACCTCCTATCTGAGAGTTATGCCCTGCCTCTTTTTCTTTCTTTTTTTTTTTTTTTTTGAGACGGAGTCTCGCTCTGTCGCCCAGGCTGGAGTGCAGTGGCGTGATCTCGGCTCACGGCAACCTCTGCCTCCCGGGTTCACGCCATTCTCCTGCCTCAGCCTCCCAAGTAGCTGGGACTACAGGCGCCCGCCACCACGCCTGGCTAATTTTTTGTATTTTTAGTAGAGACGGGGTTTCACCGCGTTAGCCAGGATGGTATCAATCTCCTGACCTCGTGATCCGCCCGCCTTGGCCTCCCAAAGTGCTGGGATTACAGGCATGAGCCACCGCGCCCAGCCTGCCTCTTTTTCCTAGCCTGTTGCATTGGCTTGAATCTAGAATAAAGAACAGTACTAAAGAGAGAGAAGGCATGCTTGTCTTGCAACAGACATTAAAAGGAATGTGTCTTAGAGCAACAGTGCTTCCTAGATGTTATTTGGCCCTGGAATGCTTTTTTGATGCAATACCCAGGAGCATTCTGTGTTCCTCAAACATACTTTGGAAAATGCTACTAGAGCATTTGACTATTAAGGATAAAGTATCTGAGTGCGGTTGCTCATGCCTATAATCCTACCACTTTGGGAGGCCGAGGGGGATCACTTAAGCTCAGGCATTCAAGACCAGCCTAGTAAACATGGCGAAACCCCATCTCTACAAAAAAAAAAAAAAAAAAAAAAAAAAAAAAAAAAAAAAAAGCGGGCTCACACCTGTAGTCCCAGCTACTTAGGAGGCTGAGGTGGGAGAATCACTTGAGCACAGGAGGTGGAGGTTGCAGTGAGCTAAATCACGCCACTGCACTCCAGCCTGGGTGACAGAGCAAGACCCCGTCTCAAGTTAAAAAAAAAAAAAAAAAAAGGTGGGGGGGCAGGCGCAGTGGCTCATGCCTGTAATCTCAGCACTTTGGGAGGCTGAGGGGGGCAAATCACAAGGTCAGAAGATCGAGACCATCTTGGCTAACATGTTGAAACCCCGCCTCTACTAAAAATACAAAAAATTAGCTGGCCATAGTGGCACACGTCTGTAATCCCAGCTACTCGGGAGACTGAGGCAGGAGAATCATTTGAACCCAGAGACAGAGGTTGCAGTGAGCAAAGATCGCGCCACTGCACTCCAGCCTGGGCAATACAGTGAGACTCGATATCAAAAAAAAAAAAAAAAGATAAAGTAGCTACCGATGGGAGATATTCTTTATCATGTTGAAATATTTGCCTATCCCTCAGTCTCTACGTTTTTAAGATTAATGAGGCTGGGGCCAGTGGGCTCACGCCTGTAATCTCAGCACTTGGGAGGCCAAGAGGGCGTATCACCTGAGGTCAGGAGTTCAAGATTAGTCTGGCCAACATGGCGAAATCCCGTCTTTACTAAAAATACAAAAATTAGCCAGGTGTGGTGGTGGGCACCTGTAATTACAGCTACTCAGGAGGCTGAGGCAGAAGAATTGCTTGAACCCGGGAGGCAGAGATTGCAGTGAACCAAGATCACTGCCATTGCACTCCAGCCTGGGCAACAAAAGCGAAACTCAATCTCAAAAAAAGGAGTAATGAGGCTAGGCATGGTGGCGCACACTTGTAGTCCCAACTACTCGGCAGGCTGAGGCAGGGGAATCCCTTAAGCCCAGGAGTTCAAGGCCAGCCTGGGCAACATGGGAGTCCTGTCTCTAAAAAAATTAAATGGATAGGCCGGGCGTGGTGGCTCACGCCTGTAATCCCAGCACTTTGGGAGGCCGAGGCGGGCGGATCACGAGGTCAGGAGATCGAGACCATCCTGGCTAACACGGTGAAACCCCATCTCTACTAAAAATACAAAAAAAATTAGCTGGGCATGGTGGCGGGTGCCTGTAGTCTCAGCTACTCAGGAGGCTGAGGCAGAAGAATGGCGTGAACCCGGGAGGCGGAGCTTGCAGTGAGCCGAGATTGCGCCACTGCACTCCAGCCTGGGCAACAGAGAGACTCCGTCTCAAGAAAAAAAAAAAATTAAATGGATAGTGAACTTTATCAAATGCTTTTCTGGCATCAACTGAAAGCACAGTAGTTGTTTTATTTGTATATTTTTCTCTTTTTTCTTTTAGTAGATCTCCTAATATTTATGTTTCTGAGGCTGGCCCACAACCCAGCATAATGAGTCCTGTGCTGGGTACTTGTACTGGGGGAACACAGAGACACAGAAAAATGCATAGAGTTCTTGCCTACAGAGGAAACAGAGGGGAGAGGAACACGGGGAAAACAACACACACACATGAACATGCACACTCCTGCATACCATCTGAATGGCAGGCTAGTACTTGTGAATTTTGTTTTGCGTTTTTTTTTTTTTGAGATGAGGTCTTGCTCTGTTGCCCAAGCTGGAGTGCAGTGGTACGATCATAGCTCACTGCAGCCACAAACTCCTGGGCTCAAGTGATCCTCCCGCCTTGGCCTCCCAAGTGCTGGGACTACAGGTACACACCACCATACCCAGCTAATTTTTAAAATTTTCTGCAGAGATGGGGTCTCGATAAGTCGCCCAGGCCAGTAGTACTTGTGAATTAATGTGTCACACACAGGGCACAGTGAGGACCCCAGGGAACCACATATGAATCATGCTAATCCCAGAGGGCTTCCAGGAGATGGCACAGAGCATTTGGGGACAGGCTGGAAATGAGGGCCTATGGATTTCAGTCCTGCCTTGTGTGGGACGGAAGGGCACACTTTCCTGGCCCACAATTATCTCAGCAGTAAAACAGTAGAGATAATTATAGATGCAAAAGACCTTTGGAAACACCCAGCTCTGCCTCCTTCATTTGCAAACAGAAGCTAAGGTTGGGGGCAGGGTCATTTGCCCAAGGCCACCGAGCCATCCTTGTGTCCTTCTTGGCTCCAAGGGGAAGGGGAAGAGAAACAAAAGAAAGCTTTGATTGGCCCGGCAATCACGCCTGTAATCCCAGCACTTTGGGAGGCCGAGGCGGGCGGATCACGAGGTCAGGAGATCAAGACCATCCTGGCTAACATGGTGAAACCCCATCTCTACTAAAAATACAAAAAATTAGCCGGGCGTGGTGGCGGGCGCCTGTAGTCCCAGTTACTTAGGAGGCTGAGGCAGGAGAATGGCGTGAACCCAGGAGGCGGAGCTTGCAATGAGGCGAGATCGCACCACTGCACTCCAGCCTGGGTGACAGAGCGAGACTCCATCTCAAAAAAAAAGAGTTTTGAGATGCTGGGCAGAAAGGAAGGTGAGAACAGCCTTCCCTGTAATAAATGTAATTGCTTCTACCTGAAAAACTGGCTGAGTCAGGAGGTGGCCAGGGTGCTAAGCTTAGGGTGTAGAGGCCAGAAATAGGAGAGGCTTGGACAGGAAAAGGGGATGATCCTGGTGCTGTCCCCCACCCCACCCTCACATGCCTAGGGCACCAGAGACATCCCCACCTTCTATTCTACATCAATACACCTGAGCAGACATGTGAGGATGGCTTTCACATTCATTCATTCATTCAACAAATATGGAGATTATATGGGTTGAAGAATGTCCTCCCAAAACTCATATCCTTGTCAGAAACTCAGAATGTGACTTTACTTGGAAATAGGGTCACTGCAGATGTCATTAGTTAAGGTGAGGTTGCACTGGAGTAGAGTGAGCCCTAAATCCAATGACTGGTGTCCTTATAAGAGAAAAGTCACAGAGGCAGATAGACACAGAGGGAGACAACCATGTGACAACTTAGGCAGAGGTTGGAATTATGTGTCTTCAAGTCAAGGAATGCCAAGAATGGCCTGCAACCACCAGCAGCTAGGAGGGAGGCCGGGAACAGATACTCGTTGCGGTCTCTAGAAGCAACCAAACTGCCGAAACCCAAAATTTGGATGTGTGGCTTCCAGTACTGTTAGAGAATACATTTTCATTGTTTTAAGCCATCCAGTTGTGGTGGGTTGTTATGGCAGCCCTAGGGAATTAACACAGAGATATGGTAGTGCACAAGCCCCTGCATGCTTGCCCTAGGAGCAGAGGCTCCAGGAGGCAGAGGGAGAGTCTGGTTCCATCTGGAATCCCTCCAGGACATCACCCTTACTCTTGCCCCAGTCACAGAACCTCACCCTGCCAGCCAGCCACACCTTCCACTGCCCTTCCAGAGCAGCTCCTAGCCTGTGTCTGTGCTAGGTCCTGATGGAAGAAGCAGCCCCCAGCCAACTGTGACTGCTTACTGGAAGGGATCATCACATGTGCCAGACACAAGGATGAATCCAAGTGCCTGTCAAGCTCTGGGAGGTGCCAGGAACTGTGCTAGGCCCTTTCACATACATTCTCCTTTAAACCTCAGGACCAACCAGAGGCAGGAAGGAAAGAGAAGCTCTGAGAAAGCATGTGACCTGCTCAGGATCCCACAACATGTCCGTGGCAGAACCCTGCTCCACATTCAGGCTGTCTGCATGAGGCCTGTTGGGTTCTCAGCACACCCAGTGCCCGATTCCCCCAGGACTGAAGCACCTGCCTCTCGACAGAACTGTCTCCCACTCGCTCTGCAGCTGTGGATGCCAGGGACCGCAGGCAGTTGGCATCTGCTCTTTGAAAAGGTATTTATCTTTCCACTCACTGAGAGCAAGCGAGAGCCATATAAGGACATGCCCAACGTCAGGTGCACAAGCGTTGCAGAGACAGATGTCATTCATACGCAGTGACCAGACATGGCCGTTAACTGCCAGGAACACCCACCTCCACTCCCCCAAGAGCATGGCGGGTACACTGCTGAGCAAGGAGCTCTCAGCTGGGCCACAGGTGTGGGGTCGCCTCTCCCAGTGTCTGGGAAAGCCAGGGCTCCATAAACACAGGGCCAGGTGTGGTCCAGCCCCGAGAGCCACTGGAGGTTCTCAGCAGTATTCATGAACAGCCCTACAAGCCTGAAATTTTTGTTTGTTGTCATTCTTTTGTTCTTTTCTTTCCCTTTTTTTTTTTTTACCATTTTGACAATTTATAAGTGTAAAATTTAGTGGCATCAAGGACATCCACAATGTTGTACAACCACCACCACTATCCACTTCCAGAGCATTTTCATTATCCCAACCAGAAGCTTTGTACTCACTAAACACTCATTCCCCATCTCCCCTCCCCAACCCCTGATAAACACTATTCTACTTTCTGTATCTGTGTATTTGCCTATTCTAGGTACCTCATATAAGTAGAATCATACAATATTGTCCTTTTGTGTCTGACTTCTTTCATTTAAAATGTTTTCAAGGTTCATCCATGGTTCATTCAATACTTGGCAAATATTATTTGGCCATAAAGAGGAATGGAATGCTGACACATATTGTTTGATGGAACCAAACAGTATGGCATATGAACAGACCACGTTCTGTTTATCCACTCATCAACTGCTGGACACTTGAGTTGTTTCCACCTTTTGGCCGCTGAGAACAGCACTACTATGAACATTAAGCTACAAGTATCTGTTCAAGTCCCTGCTTTCAAGTCTCTTGGGTATAGACCTAGAACTAGGTGTGGAACTACTATGTCATATGGGAATTTTGTGTTTAACCACTTGAGGAACCACCAAATTGTCTTCCACAGCAGCTGCAACCATTTGACATTCCCACCAGTAACACACGAGGGTTTCAATTTCTCCACATCCTCACCAATACTTGCCAAACCTGAAATTTTAGAGGCAGGGAAGAGGCAAGTCCCATAAGAGCCCCAGATATGGCTCCATGGCAAATCCCTGCCATCTGCCTACTTCATTCCTGCCATTGTGTACAGAGCAGCAGAAAGAAGAATGCTGGCTGTAGAGTCAGGAAAATCCAATTCTAGTTCCAGCTCTGGTGTCTGCTGGCTGTGTGACCCTGAACAAATACATTGATCACTCAGAGCCTCAATTATGTCCACTGTGGGAATGAAGCCAATGCACCAAAGTCACTTCCCACCACAGGCAGGGCTGTGAATCTGATGCCAATGGAAGAGAGAGAATTTGAGTATTTTCTTAAACTCTGTGGGATGATAGTAGGTGGTGGGAAGAAGAGACTGTTTCGATCTCCCTTGATAAATCTTCCATGATAATGTTTGGAAAGGACTAGAATACTTTTCCCTTCAACCTCCTCCTCTTTCCCTGCCTTCAAATGGAGAATCCAAAATACAGGAAAAAGTAGAAACATGAGGAATGTGGAAAAAATATCCAGATGAACTACCGAAGGCAATCTTAGCATCACAATTATTAATGAACACACACACACACACACACACAGACACACACACGCTCCTCCCTCACTGTACACGAAAAAGTTTGCTCAAATCTCTATGTCCCCAGATCCATGTTGGCCAGACTAATCTTGAACTCCTGACCTCAGGTGATACGCCCACCTTGGCCTCCCAAGTGCTGAGATTACAGGCGTGAGCCACCGCATCCGGCCCCAGCCTCATTACTCTGAAAAACATAGAGACTGAGGGATAGGCAAAGATTTCAACAATATAAGGAATATCTCCAACCAGGAGCTACTTTATCCATTTTTTTTTTAGATCGAGTCTCGCTCTGTTGCCCAGGCTGGAGTGCAGAGGCGTGATCTTGGCTCACTGCAACCTCCGCCTCTGGTTCAAGCTATTCTCCTGCCTCAGTCTCCCAAGTAGCTGGGACTACAGACGCGTGCCACCACGCCCACCTAATTTTTTGTATTTTTAGTAGAGACAGGGTTTTACCATGTTAGCCAAGATGGTCGCGATCTTCTGACCTTGCGATCTGCCCACCTTGGCCTCCCAAAGTGCTGGGGTCTGCCAAGCCCGGTGACCACCCCTGAGCCATATGACCAGGTAAGAGCACACCCAGGACATTGGTGATGTGATGGAAACCACCACTCCACACCTCCTGCAAGAGTCTGCGGCGGTGTCACCCACAGGGTCCTGGACAAATGGGCTTCGCATGAGTCAGTGCCAGGAAGCCCTCCAGGCACAACCGTTCTTGCACACACAAATGCCTCCTTCAAACCAGGCTGCAGGGAGGCTCCTCTCAAGCCTTGAAAACATGAAGTGTTCCTTCTTGGGTGCGCCCAGGACAGGTTTTCCCACTTACAAGGGAAAAAAAAAAGGTTTTACAAAATGCTTAGATTCCAAGGTTAAGTAGGCTTTTGAGCCTACTTAACTCCAAAAGCCTATTTAACTCCAAAATAGGCCCGTTGTGTGGTGAACTGTCAAAAGCAGCACTTTAACATAAAGCTCAGGGCCAGGTGGCCTAAATTTGAATCTGTTAGCCATGGGACCTTGAGGAAATAAGGCCTCTGCGGGACTCAGTTTTCTCATCTGTACAACAGAGCTGACTACAGAGGGTTGTTGTGGGATGAAGTGAGGCTCTGATATTCAGTAAGTTCCCCAACAAGCACAGGTGCTGTAGCTGGTGGGCCTAGCAGGAGAAAGCTCAGAAATTCAGCTGCACGATAGATCATGTTTTGTTGGTGGGCTAGCCTGGGAACCTAACCATGTGGACAGACATTCTCATGGAAAGCAGCCTTTCGCAGTGCCCACTCTGTGTCAGCTGGAAACGCCCCACACCAGCCAGCACTTTACACATGCTGAATTAAATGTGGCCACACCCAGTCTAGGAGACCACAAAGGCAGAAGTCAAGCAAAGACGTCCAGGGTGAAGGTGGGATCCTTCCCGGTGGCAGGAACAAACCTGCAGCCTATAGGTAGGTTCAGGTTCCATTTTTTTAAAAAAGCAAAAATAAAACATGTTTATAGCTAGGAATAATGTACTTTCATTTTAAATATTTTTAAACCATTTGACGTTTTAAAAATTTTACTGTGATAACCATAGTAACATATGACCCCCCCCCTTAACAAAACTTAAGTGTAAAATATGTTATTGTTGACTATAAGTACAATGTTGTATAGCAGATCTCTAGAGCTTATTCATCTCACTTGACTAAAACATTATGCCTGTAGATTACTAACTCCCCATTGCTTCCTCCCCTCAGACCTGGCAACCACCATTCCACTCTCTGAGTCTATGAATTTGACTACTCTAGGTACCTTGTATAAGTGAGATCATGCAGTATTTGCGTTTCTGTGACTGTTCTATTTCATGTAACATAATGTCCTAAACGTTCATCCATGTTATTCCACGTGGCAGGATTTCCCTTTTTGTTTGGTTTTTTAGAGACGGCGTCTCGCTACGCTGCCCAGGCTGGAGTGCAGTAGCTATTAACAGGCGAGATCATAGCACACCATAGCCCCAAACTCCTGAGCTCAAGTGATCCTCCCAAGTAGCTGCAACTGCAAGCCCGTGCCACCCTACCCATTTTGGGATTTCCTTCTTTTTCATGGCTGAATAATATTTTGTTGAATGTATATACCACATTTTCTTTACCCATTCATCAGTTGATGGACATTTTTTAATTATTTGGTTTTTTAATTTATCTTTGTTAATTTCCCATGAACATACATTACTTAAAATTTTTTTGGCCAGGCGCAGTGGCTCACCCCTGTAATCCCAGCACTTTTGGGAGGCTGAGGCAGGTGGATCACGAGGTCAGGAGATCAAGAAGATCCTGGCTAACTTGGTGAAACCCTGTCTCTACTAAAAATACAAAAAATTAGCCAGGTGTGGTGGCAGTTACCTGTAGTCCCAGCTACTTGGGAGGTTAAGGCAGGAGAACGGCGTGAACCCAGGAGGCAGAGCTTGCAGTGAGCCGAGATCGCACCACTGCACTCCAGCCTGGGCAACAGAGCGAGACTCTGTCTCAAAAAAAAAAAATTAAACTCATTTATCAAAACCAGAAAAAATAACAAAAAATAGAAATTTAACTTGGTGTTAAAGAAAAGGGCCTCCTTCTTGTTCTTTCTGACTCCCCCTCAGTCTCAATCCCTGTGGCCTTCAATAAATCAACCCCTCGGCCTCAGCTTATCTTCCATGTAATCTAGAACACAGCTCACAAGATTAAGAGTATGATTATTTACCATATTACAGCTAATTCACAAATGGCCTTAAAATTCTCAAAGCATGTTGAATGCAACTCCTCCTTAGTCACCCAGCCCTAAGTTAATAATTAAGCACTTGGCCAGGCATGGTGGCTCACACCTGTAATCCCAGCATTTTGGGAGGCTGAGGTGGGTGGATCACGAGGTCAGGAGATTGACACCATCCTGGCTAATGCAGTGAAACCCCGTCTCTACTAAAAATACAAAAAATTAGCCAGGCATGGTGGCAGGCGCCTGTAGTCCCAGCTATTCAGGAGGCTGAGGCAGAAGAATCGCTTGAACTCAGGAGGCAGGGATTGCAGTGAGCCGAGATTGTGCCACTGCACTCTGGCCAGATAGAGCGAGACTCCGTCTCAAAAAAAATAATAATAATAATTAAGCCCCCTTAATTGGTGAATATGGAAATGTACAGAACAGCGTCATAGGCACCACAGCACACAAAATTGACCCTGGCCTGATAATGGATTTCCTAAGTCACTTGCTCATGGAGCACTTCCACATCGAAAGTTAATTAGCCTAATGAGGGCAAGTGTGACTTCGTGAATGCCAGACTGACTTTCCGCTCTGAGCCAGCCACCCAGGCGGCTGCCCATGTCATCCTCCTGGATTCATTTCCTGGAGCACCAAAGAGGCGGACCAAGGGGACAGAACTACAGGAGGCTATGTGTCTCGTGCCTTCCCTACCACTATCTGTTAGGAGTCAGCACACATTCTGAAGGCCACCAAGAGCCAGGACACATACCTGCCACCTTTTCCTGGAGCTGGCCCCAGAACCTCTTCAGGAAAGGGGGCCCTCTGGCAGATAGAATCACAGGTGAGCCCCTCTGGCTCCTTCCAGATCATGGAAGGCCGAGGTGGGCAGAAGAAGGCTGTGCCCTACCAACCCTCATACTCATGACTGATGAATACCTGCTCTGTGCCTGACCAGGACAACAGCAGCTCATGAGTGTACTTGACAGCTCATAAAGCCACCCTCCCAGCCAGTCTCTCTGAATCCACACAGCAGCCTTGAGGGACCACTGCTACTGTTACCAGGTGGGTATTGGAACCAAGGCACAGAAAGGTGCTCTCGTGGCTGGGTGCAGTAGCTCACACCTATCATCCCAGCACTTTGGGAGGCCGAGACAGGCGGATCACTTGAGGCCAGGAGTTTAAGACCAGCCTGGCCAACAAAGTGAAACCCCATCTCTACTAAAAATACAAAAATTAGCGGGACGTGGTGGTGCGTGTCTGTAGTGCCAGCTACTCAGGAGGCTGAGGCAGGAGAATCACTTGAACCCGGGAGATGGAGGCTGCAGTGAGCCAAGATCACACCACTGTACTCCAGCCTGGGTGACAGAGCGAGATTCTGTCTCAAAAAAAAAAAAAAAGAAGAAGAAGAAGAAAGCAAAACAAAAGAAAGATGCAACTGTCAGTGGTCACTTACCTTGGAAATGGGACAACTGATGTCTCTGGGTCCCTAAACCCTCCTAGTTCAGTTGTCTTTTGTTGTTCCTCATCCAGAGGCAAACCAAAGTCAAAATTTCACTAGCCCAGAAACATCTAAACGTCTATCAATGGATGAATGAAGAAAGAAAATGTGGTGTATGCCTACAATGAACCATTAGTCAGTCTTAAAAAGAAAAGACGGCCGGTGCAATGGTTCACGCCTGTAATCCCAACACTTTGGGAGGCTGAGGTGGGTGGATCGCTTGAGCTCAGGAGTTCAAGACCAGCCTGGGCAACATGGCAAAACCCCATCTCTGCAAAAAAATACAAAAATTATCCAGACATGGTGGTGCGTGCCTGTAGTCCCAGCTACTCGGGAGGCTGAGGCAAGAGGATCACTTGAGCCCAGGAGTTCGAGGCTGCAGTAAGCTGTGTTGGTGTCACTGCACAAGCAACAGAGAGAGACCCTGTTTCAAAAATAAAAATGTTTAAAATGGTAAATGTTATATTATGTATATTTTACCACAAAAAAAGGAATGAAGTACTGATCCATGATACAACATGGTTGAACCTTGAAAACACTATGTTATGTGAAAGAAACCAGACACAAAAGGCCATACATTATATGATTCCATTTAATATAAATATGAAATGTTCAGAACAGGTAAATCAATAGAAACAGAAAGTAGATGAGTTGTTGCCAGGGGGCTGGGAGAGGGAAGAATGGGGAGTGACTGCCAATGGGTGTAGGGTCTCCTTCTGGAGTGATGAAAGTGTTCTGGAATTCGATAGAGCCAGTGAGTGCACACTGCTGTGAATATACTATATAACACTGAATTATATACTTTAAAAATCCTTTCAATTTTATAAAATTAAATTTTAATTTTACAGGCTGGGCACAGTGATTCACACCTGTAATCCCAGCACTTTGAGAGGCCCAGGCAGGAGGATCACTTGAAGCCAGGAGTTCAAGACCAGCCTGGGCAACATAGCAAGACCCTGTCTCTACAAAAAATTAGGCAATTAGCCAGGCACTGTGATGCACGCCTGTAGTCCCAGCTACTTGGGAGGCTGAGGCAGGAGGATCCCTTGAGCCCAGGAGGTTGAGGTTGCAGTGAGCTACGATTGTGCTACTGCACCCCAACCTGGGAGAGAGTGAGATCCTGTCTCAAAAATAAATAAATAAATAATTAAAATGGTTAATTTCATATCATGTGTAAATTCACCTCAGTTTTTAAAAACAGACAATCGTTGGCCAGGCACGGTGGCTCACACCTGTAATCCCAGCACTTTGGGAGGCCGAGGCAGGCGGATCACAAGGTCAGGAGATGGAGACCATCCTGGCTAACACAGTGAAACCCTGTCTCTACTAAAAACACAAAAAAATTAGCTGGGTGTGGTGGCGGGCGCCTGTAGTCCCAGCTACTCAGGAGGCTGAGGCAGAAGAATGGCATGAACCCGGGAGGCGGAGCTTGCAATGAGGCGAGATCGTGCCACTGCACTCCAGCCTGGGCGACAATGAGAGATTACCTCTCAAAAAAAAAAAAAAACAACAGACAACTGCACATCTCTGCCTTCTTTCCTGCTCTGTCCAAAGCCTCACCTGGTGCCTCTCTTTTTCCACTGGGCTTCCAGAGACCCTTCCTGTCCTCTCCCACACACCACATCTGCTGGAATCTACTGCATTTTCTCTCTGCATCTGAGGCCTTAACATGGCCAGAAGCTTAGAATCTTTCTGGGTTATTCTAAGCACCTAGGCAAGACTATAGTGAGAGTAGGAATAAACTGGCAATCCACCACCTGGAGAGAAGGGAGGCCCAGCCCTGAGACCTCATTGTTTGCTTTCTGGGGAATCCCTGTCCATCCCAGAGGCCAAGTAGTCCACTTCTACTTTTCCAGGTATGACTTATTATCACCCCTTCCCCACAGACCACCTCCCCCAAGTTTTCTTTCATCCAGAGATTTAATTAAATCCCTCTTTCAAATTTAGAACCAAGTTAGGCAACCTGAGGAAACCTAAAAAGGGATAACTCAGTGTCCCCTGGCACCCCACAGGCTGGCTGGGACACCCAGGTCCTGGGAGCTAAATCAAGAGGACAGCAACGCAGGTCTGACTCTAGATGGTCTGAGAAGTTCAAGGGATGTGTCTCTATCTAGATCAAGAACCAGGTTCAGCTGCTCTGAACATGCCCCCTTAGGCCCCCGGGGAACGCAGGCCCTATAACTCCTGCTAAGGGGACCTGAGTCAGAGGTTCCCACACTGGGACCACCTGCATCACCTCTTAATCCTCTTAGCCCAGTGGCCACAGGCCCTTCTGCTCCTTCAGCCCAGAACAGCCCAGAGACAGCAAGGAAAGTGGGCACCCCCAGAGGACACAGCCACCAGTTCCAGCCTCCTCCTCCCCAACCTGGCTTCCTGTTGCCCTATTCATGAGGTCAGCTCTGGGCCCCTGCTCCTTCTTTAATGAGTCAGAGAACAAGGAAAAGAGCAAAAATGAGCAGGCTCAGGGAAAGATGGAGACTAAGCTGGCTCTGGCTGGAGGTGAGCGAGGCCCCTCCTCCAGGACAAGCCGCTAGGAACTGTGCTCTTTTTAAAAAAATCCCCTGCCCCACCCCCTAACAGAAAGGAGGCCATAAACAGGGATCTGCTTGACCAGCTGTCACCCAGCCAGTCTGAACGTTGTTCTCCCTTAAAGGGAGAAAAAGGCACTGACTCTCAAGTAAGACTCCTAAACCCCCCAGGACCACACCCCAGAGGCCTAGCTAGACCCCACTCCTGCTCTCTAACCTCCAGCCTACAGGTGCATGGCTGGACAACTTCACAAGTAGGTCCAAATTTGGCCTCAAAGTCACATAGACAGATGTGATCCCAGAGCATGTAATCCTGTCTTGGTGAATCTGCTCTAAGTCCATGCATCCCTTTGGCCTCTTTGAAAAGGAAAAGCTACAGAACAAACAGAAGAGGAATTCTGTTTTCCTCTTGGAAAAAAGAAAAGGGAAAAAAAAAAACCCCATACAAACCCAAATTGAAAGGTACTTTGTACTGCTTAGACTCAACTAGATCAGGAAATACTGATGGATTTTTTAAAACAACAGCACAGGCTGTGTAACAGAACATGACCAAACACAAGCATGAACATGAGGGATCAGGTCTAGAGTCCAGCCAGCAGTTAACTCCCTGTGTGGTGAGGCCTAAGTCATGACATCTCTGAGTCTTAGGGTCCCCATCTGTGAGACACAAAAAATGAAAGCACTGAGGGCCATACCATGACTTCTCTGAGCCTCAGTTTCCTCACCTGTAAAATGGGCACAGCAACATTTGTGAGAGTCCTGTGAAGCACAATGGGCAGAAGTATGCCATGCACTGCGGTGTCTTAGACAAAAGGTGGGTAAGCGGGAAAGGCCCCTCCCCTCTGCACCTCCAGCCACTGCCTCTGCAAGAACAATCCACAGACGCTGGATCACTACCATGCCACTGGGCCTGGCACCAGCAACTCAAACACAAATAGCTAAGATCCCCCCAGCCTGAGAAGCAGCTGGGATACGCCAGGGATGCCTCTGGTTTGGAGGCTTCCCTGGAGAAAGAAGAGCAGCCGTCTCCTGGAGAGGGAAGAGCAGCCGTCTCCTGGAGCAGGAATCTTAAGCACCAGAAAAGCCCATAACACAGAGTCGACGAGGCTGGGTATGGTATAGGAGCCACTGGCCTGAACCCTGCAAGCACCAGTCCTGCAGCTCCCAGGCCACCAAGACAAACCTGAGTGAGCTGCACGTCCCAGATTTTATGAGCCGGCCTCCAGCTCACTAGCTGTGTCCTTGAGTCTTAATCCCGCTCCACTGCCAACACCCCACACCCAGCCCTGTGATCTCAGGGTTTCAGGGAAATGGAAAGTCATTCCCCTTTGTGGAAAGGTCAAACCCTTGGACTCGGTTTTTTCCAGTGCTCCTTCTGGCTCTCCTATTTGTTTGATTCTAAATTCCTTTATCCCCCCTGCTGGAAAGTCAGACAGAACATTCCTCAGGAAAGAGAACTTTTAGTGGGGGTGTGGTGGGGAGGAATAATTGAAGTAAAATGAAAAATGGGTGAAATCAGGTACTATAAAATCTTGGTATTCAAAGAGTGCACGACAAATTGCACCGGTCAGCAGTCACTACCGTGAACTCACAATGCTCTGGTGAGTCACCCAAGGCTGGGAACTGAAGTCAAACTAATACTCTCTATCACAGTACAGGACAGGAGCTCAGCTGCATACTAATGGCAAGAATCCGCTAAATGCATCCCTTGCTACTCCCAGCAGCAAATGCATAAGCTATTTCACACTCAAATATAAATTAGTGAGCTATTTTCCTTGCTGGGTTAATACAAATCGTGCTCTGGACCAATTAAGTAAGCCACTTCAAAACTTTGCTTCAGCGTATTGGAAAATGTCCCGCTTAGGGGAAGAATGAAGTCTCGAGTGATGCATGCCCAACTGATGGCGAAATAGGTGAGAGTGCTTTCAGAATTCTTGAGGATTTTGTTATTAATGGTGTTTTAGTGTTGGGTTCTTAAACACATCAAACAAATTTCCTTTAAACTAGTAGTTCCTGACTGCCATGGGGAAGGCTGCAGGCCTCCCACCTCCCAGATGGTTCAACCACAATAAACGTTTGGCCTGTCAGATGCACAACACTGATGAACTAATTGAAATATGCTGCAACAAGCAAACCCAAAATAAATGTAAAATAATTGTTTCCTTACACGATAACCCGCTGAAGTGCCTCCACGTCTGGCCACCCCTGCTGATTGAATGTTCCCCCTGCTCCGTGAGCCTCACTTATGTGTGGTTTTCAAAGGATTTAAATGCTTTTTTCCAGTGTGATTACCCACATGGGAAAAATTCTAATTGCAAAAAATGTTGAGTTTTTCTCCCTCTTATGAAAAAAAAAAAAAAGCAAGTGAAAAGTCAACTGTTATAAAGTACCAAGGAAAGCACTTAAATGGGCCCTTCAGTGTGAGAGGAAGAATGTCCTCCTGTTCTCCAGAGCACCGTCGCCAAGCCAGTGTTAAGCACGCATCCACACCTGTGGGGAAGCCCTGCCTCTCAGACAACCTCACGCCACTGATGAAAGCTGGGAATAGCCACCTATTTCTACCCTGACACACCCATCCCTATCCCCCTCCCCCCTCCCTCGATCCCTCCCTCCAAGGGGCTGTCTAGAGAGACAGCAGAGGGTGGAGCCAGCAGCACCCATAACAAGCTCTCCCACTGGCTCACCACCTCATGCAGGACACTGGTGCCCAGTGAGCCCTCCCTAGGGGGCTGGGAAGCCCAAGGGCCTGATTCTAATCCCAGGAGGACAACAGAAGCAAAGTGCACAGCCCTGCTCCACAGCACAGCCTGTGAGTCAGACTTGGAAGGGAAGCCCCCCAGCTGCCAAAAGAGAAAATTCAGGCCCTCCCCAGGAGCCACCTCTCAAAAGGGGAAATAAACAGCTCTGCAGAGGAGAAACAGTAATAATCCGTATGACGTACGTACGAACTCTTAAGAGGGCACACAACAGGCAAAAGACTTGGGAAAGCTTCCTCTGAGAGAGCCCAGGCATAAGAAGGCCACAATTTGAGGCATGGGGGCCCCAGGAACCCCCCATCTTGGCCTGAAACACCTCCGTAAGAGGATTATTCCTTTGGGAGAAGGATTGGTCTCAGCTCCTAAGAAAGGCCAAGTCTATTGCAGGGCTGCCGCCAGAACCCACTGCATGAAAGTACAGGGTCCCTCCTACCTGTAGACTTGAGCAGAGAGAGATGGGCACCATTCTGCTGGCAGCAGCCCTTCTAGAAGAAGCTACAGCAGGGCTGAGGGAGGACAGCTTGTCTTTCTGTAGCACCTAAGACAAGCAAACACAAGAATCTGCCCACAGCCTCATCCCGCAGCTCCAGTCTTCATCCATTAAGTACCATCAGCATTGTGAGGTGCCCTGAGCTAGGCTGGATACACCGTGGGGGCTGACATGATGCCAAAGGTGGCAGATCCTCACTATCCATGGATTCCATATTTGTGAATTACCCTAGTCACTAAAATTTATCTGTAACCCCAAAATCAATGCTCATGGTGCTTTCAAATTCATTTTCAAATTTGTGCAAATTGGCAAAAAATTTGAGTTGCCTGATGGCACATTCCCTGCTGAGGTTGAACGAGGGGACATCCTCTATCTTCCCATCTCAGCTCTCCTAATGGAAACACGTGTCCTTTTTGTGGTCTGTGCAGTGCCACATTTTTGGCACTTGTGTGCTTTGTGTTGGTGATTTTGCTGTTTGGAATGGCCCCCAATCACAGTGCTGAGGTGCAGTCTAGTTCTTGGGTGCAAGATGATTATGATGTGCAGAGAAAATCTCTTGTGTTAGAGAAGCTTCATTCAGACATGAGTCACAGTGTTGATGGCCAGGAGTTTAATGTTAATGAATCAATGATACATATTAAATAGGGTGTCTTTTTTGTTGTTGTTTTGAGACAGAGTCTCACTCTGTCGCCAGGCCAGAGTGCAGGGGCACGATCTCGGCTCACTGCAACCTCCACCTCCTGGGTTCAAGCAATTCTCCTGCCTTAGCCTCCTGAGTAGCTGGGATTACAGATGGACACCACCAAACCCAGCTAATTTTTGTATTTTTAGTAGAGATGGGGTTTCACCATGTTGGCCAGGATGGTCTCGATCTCTTGACCTCATTATCTGCCCACCTCGGCCTCCCAAAGTGCTAGGATTACAGGCATGAGCCACTGTGCCCAGCCAATTTTTGTATTTTTAGTAGACACAGGGTTTCACCATGTTGGCCAGTCTGGTCTCGAACTCCTGACCTCAGGTAATCCACCCGCCTCGGCCTCCCAAAGTGCTGGGATTATAGGCATGAGCCACCATGCCCGATCTCTTTTAACAGAAACATATATAAAATAAGATTACATATGGATTGGTTAAAGAAAATATTGTCCCCGCAGGCTCAAAGGAGCCTAACCCTGTGTTTTCCCTAGGAGCAGTGGTTCAGTGTTCACTAACTCAGTGTTTG
The DNA here is from genome assembly GCF_000001405.40 of Homo sapiens. Classification (NCBI taxonomy): domain Eukaryota; kingdom Metazoa; phylum Chordata; class Mammalia; order Primates; family Hominidae; genus Homo; species Homo sapiens. The sequence continues at coordinate 123,145,002 of NC_000012.12, forward strand.
AAGAGGGACTTTATAGAACATAACTATGTTAGCCAGCGTGGTGCACAAGTCTGTAGTCCCAGCTACTCAGGAGGCTGAGGCAGGAGGATCATTGGGCCCAGGAGTTTGAAGCTGCAGTGAGCAATGATTGCACCACTGCACTCCAGCCTGGGAGACAGAGAGAGACCCTGTCACAAAAAATAAAAAAAGAAGAACCTAACTATGGCCAACAATATGAATCAAATAACTATGCATACATGTATGCATAGTCAGGATATACTTTCCTCAGACAGAGCTATTCCACCCTACATTCATGTGCTCCTAAGGCTGCAGGTTGGCATGTCCACACCCAATAGGGAGTTTGAGCTGTCAGCTTCTGCTCCAAGGCTGGAATCAGCCTTGAGGTCTCTTGGGTCCTGCTGCTGCTCTGATAACACTCTGCCTTTTCCCTGGACCCATGACTCCCGCTGACGTCCCTGATCATGACCTCTGATCTTTCTGACTAGCCAGGTCTTAATAAGACCCCTTTCCACAATAGAGATAAGGGACTTCAGAGGCAATGGCACTCAAGGAAAAGCTTTATGAAGAATGGGGAACTTCAACAAGGAGAGTGTGAAACTGATTTTTCCATGCTCTCTCTCCAAGGTTGTCTTGGGTTTTTGATTTGTCTGTTACCGGAAACCTGCCTGTTGGTTAATCTCCTTTGTGTCCTCTAGCAAGGGCAGTTGTTAATATAAGTAATTTGGCCAGCCACAATGGCTCACACCTCAAGAGGACTGCTTGAACCTGGGAGTTCCAGACCAGTCTGGGCAACATAGCAAGACGTCGTCTCTACTAAAAATATCGTTCTATCATAAAGATACAGGCACACGTATGTTCATTGCAGCACTATTCACAATAGCAAAGACATGGAATCAACCTAAATGCCCCATCAATGGTAGACTGGAAAAGAAAATGTGGTATATATACACATAGTATAGAATACTATACAGTCATAAAAAAGAATGAGATCATGTCCTTTGCAGGAACATGGATGAAACTGGAGGCCATTATTCTTAGCAAACTAATGAAAGAACAGAAAACCAAACACCACAAGTTCTTACTTATAAGTGGGAGCTAAAGGTGAGAACACACGGACACATAGAGGGGGGTAACACACACTGGGACTTATTGGAGGGTGGAGGGTGGGAGGAGGGAGAGGATCAGGAAAAATAACTAATGGGTACTAGGTTTAGTACCTGAGTGATGAAATGATCTGTATAACAAGCCCTCATGACACAAGTCTACCGACACAACAAACCTGTGCTTGTACCCCTGAACTTAAAAGTTAACAGCTGGGCGTGGTGGCTCATGTCTGTAATACCAGCACTTTGGGAGGCCAAGGTGGGCGGATCACTGGAGGTCAGGAGTTCGAGACCAGCCTGGCCAACATGGCAAAACCCATCTCTACTAAAAATACAAAAATTAGCCCGGTGTGGTGGTGGGCGCCTGTAATCCCAGCTACCCAGGAGGCTGAGGCAGGAGAATCGCTTGAATCTGGGAGGCAGAGGTTGCAGTGAGCCAAGATCACATCATTGCACTGCAGCCTGGGCAACAAGAGCGAAATTCCATCTAAAAATAATAATAATTTTTAAAAAATACAATAAAAGTTTAAAAAAAAAAAAGAGTAAGCAAATGCCAGCCTGCCCCTCCTAACAGCACTCGTCGTGTCTTTGACCATAAATGTTTAGCAGAGGTTTGTCCTGGTGTTGCTAGGTTGGGCGTGAGGAGGTCAATGCTCCATACTCATTTCACAGGAAACAAGGACCCATGTACAGGGCTGTCACTTTTAAAAAAGAGCATTAAACCGGTAATCAGGGACTTGGGTTCCAGGCTAGAAGAGAGGTCTTGTGCAAATCACTTCTATTCTGCCAGCCTCTGCCTCTCATCCTCAACAGGGTGCAGGCCCTCCCAGCTCCAGTCTTCTGGGACCCTCCATCAAAGATACAGAGGATTTGAAAAAGGCATCACCAGGTTCCCCACTTTAATATCTGGACCAATTCTCTCCTTTCCCACCAGAAGACCTGTTCTGCAGGGCCATTGTGATGACCAGAGATTTTAGACTCTAAGTCCTACACACCTTTACAGTTGCTGTGGACTATCAAAACTACCCATTCTTCAAGCCCCCTTCAAGTCCCACTTCTTTCAGGAAGTCAACCCTGACTGCCTTACCCAGAAAGGGCATCTCCTCCTCTGAACTCTACCTTCAACAACTCTTATCACACATACCCTTTGTTCCCCATGGACTCATCTCCCTAACCACACTGTGAGTTAGTGTGTTAGGTACAATGTTACCTTTTTATTTTTATTTATTTTTTCTTTTCTCACTCTGCTGCCCAGGCTGGAGTGCAGTGGCACAATCATAACTCACTGCAGCCTGAAACTCCTAGGCTAAAGGGATCCTCCCATCTCAGCTACAGGCGCACACCACCACGCCCAGCTAGCAATGTTACTTACTATATTTAATTCACTTATCCATACAGTTTTCCAGAAGCCTTTTGTGATGACTTTATAAAGAATATATATAGAGAGATTTATACATAAACACACACACAGAAAAAGAGACAGTTCAGGAAAGCAGCAATAAATATGCTGATGTTGAGGGTAATATAGTTGCTAGACAGAATATCACATTGTGTGCTGAGCAGCCTGGAAGCCAAGGAGAAGAGGAGAAACATAATCAGTTGGAAAGACAGTGTGGTATAGAAAGAGCCACACATAGTGTGGCAAAGAAGCAGAACTGAGTGCAAATCCAGGGAAACTTGGGCAAGTTAGTTGACCTCTCTGTGTGTCTTAACTTCTTTCTCTGGGAAAAAGGGGAAGAATACAACCTACCCTGCACAGTGTGTCAGGGAGGCCCAAGCACACTGCATGGTGCATAGTATACAAACAAAACGTGTTTTCCTTCCCCACTTTCCTTTTCATTATCAAAGGAGAAAGCAACCTAGTTTCCTGCGGGAAGGCAAAGTTTGCCTGGCCCTAAATTCTAAAAGAAAATTTTAATATGGGTCACTGTAAGAAGCCTTTAGAAAGGGGAAAATGCCTCAGATTATGGTTTTAGAGTAAACCAGATGAGGATTTGCCATGGCTCTATTTGATAACATTCCAGGGTACCAGTAAAAGCTTAATAAACATCAACCAAATGACCTACAGAGAAGCTGTGCAAAGACCACTTAGCCGCATCTGTGTTTGGAGGCAGGGAGTCCTGTTAAGCAGCTTTCAGGGTGACTATCTGCAAAGGGATTGATCTCATCTAAGCGAAGTTGAGAACTGGCGTACAATGGCTCATTTTGGATTGACTCTGCGGTCATAAGCAGTGGCTCCTCCTGCCCATGGCCAAAGACACTGGAGCAATACCACTACGCTTACATTAAAGAGCACACGGCCCTGGCATTTTTTCCAAAAACAGCAAGGCAGTGATCTCAAAGTACCAGACGTTTCCTCTGCTAATCTCTACAGATAACTGCACATCCTCTATGACTGGTCTTCTCGAAGACCAAGTTGGAAAGACTTTAACTAGATGGGCTGGTTAGGAGAGCATCTATCTGCTTGGTGTTAAAACAGGCCTCTAGACACGGAGGAAGGCAACGGGTCCCCATAACAGAGAATGTATAAGCAATCAACTCTGGACAAGAAGGGCTCTCAGTGGTGATCTAGGCCAACCCTCTCACTATTTTCCTAAGTACCTTACTGTGCAGCAAAGCATTGGGGATGCAGAGAAACGTGATACAGCACTAACCGCCCAGGAGCTCACAGTCTAGTGGGGGGCACGTGTAAACAGATAAGGGCCATTCTGTGTGGCAAGCAAATCAGACTAGGGTGGTTCGAAAATCAGAAGAGGGACCAATTCCACCTGCGAAGGCCAAGACTGGGTCTCAACCAGTGAAGAGTTGAAGGCACCTGGGGAGAGGGAGGGCATGGGAGCACCATGCCTTTGAAAGCCTCTAGGTAGCCTGAGAGGACTGCAGCTTAGGGTATGAATGAAATGGTAGGAGAGGAGGCAGAAAAGGTAGACAGGACCCAGATCCCAGGGGGCCTTAGATACGCAGAGGAATTCTTTCAGATTCCATAAGGTGCAACCAAAACCAAGAGAAACCAAGTGACTTAGTTAAGCTCCTGTAGCAAGTTATGGGAAAAGCCAGGCCTGGAACCCCAGTCTCTCGACTCCCGCAGTCCACTTCTCTCCCCTGCTGCCTCCCACGCCTGAGCAGCTGGGGAAGACCAGGAGAGAGAATGGCCCATTCAACACTCACTACCCAGAGAATCTGGAGTCTTTGCCTGGCCATCTTCAGGGCAGAGGATGTACTGTCCTGTTCACTTGGCAAGCCACTCCTTACAAGAAAAACAGCCCTTCCTAACTCATTGTGTTTCTCTCTGCAGTGGGAGAGGGCTGGAAGTCCATTCCAACCACAGAATACAGTCCCTTCATGGAAGGAAAGTAATTTAACAGCAACAGTCCAGGAATCAGACAAGCTATGGTCCCAGAGGCAAGCGTTGGAGGGGCCTTCTGCTCCACGGAGACACTGACTCCACGCAGGGTACTGACCAGGGCAGGAGACCAGAGATGAATCAACTCCAGCCCGGGAGCTCACCGTCCAGCAGGGGAGATAAGGCAGATGGAAAAGTAACTATAAAATAAGGCAGACGGTGATAAGAGTTACACAGGAGATACAGATAGCAGGCAGTGGGAGTTCAGAGCAGAGAGGAGTCTGGGGGATGGATGTTAGGGGAGATTCAGATGAAGGGGAGCACTTACTGCCTTCCCTCCAGAAGTGGGGGGTCTATCCTAGCAGCTCTGGTCACTCCCAGGTGGAGGCCGGGGAGAGAGCTGGTTGTGGACAAAGACAGATGTTCCAGTGAGGTCTCCTTTGAAGAATCCCGACTCTGGGTGGGGGAGGCAGGTAGGCCGGGGTGTTTGGAGAGGCACCCAGCCCACACTTCAGTGGGAGGGAGAGGAGTGCAGGATGTCTCTGCAGGAGCAAGTCGGTGGAAAGGGGACAAGCCTGGAGGACTTGCCTTGAAATGACATTTGCACCGCGCGCACTATGTTCACCTGGAGTGGCCGTTTGGGATTTCTTGCGGGGAGGCAGTGCACACTGGGGCGGGGGACACTGAACTTTCCCTCTCCCCAAGGCCCCCCGATCAGCCCTGCCACGGATAAGAAAGGATTCGGGGTGGGAAGAAGACAGAGCCGGCACCCCATTACCACACGAAGGGGGCACTGAGGATGGAGACGGGCCACACCCCAACCCTGGGCCCCCGACAAGCAGAGGCCACGGCCCGGGCCTGGGGACGTTCAGCTGGAGGCGGGAAGCAGAGAAGGCGGGCCGGGGGCTCACCTCCGCTTCCTCCCGATAGCCCCTTCCTCGCCCTGGCACCGGCACTGCCCACGCCTGCCCCCCGACCGCTATGACACTTGTCCCTGGCGGGGGTCCCCCACGCGGTCGCGACCGACGGAAATTCGGAAATCAGCGTTTCGGGCACGGATCCAGGGCCGGCGACTCACTGAGGCCAGGCTCGGGCGGTCTCCCGAGCGGGGCTCCCGTACGCCACACCCTCCTCCCTGCCCGGGTCTCCGCTCCCTCCTCCAGCCCCCGGCGGGCTGGAGGCTCGGCGGGCGGGCGGGCCGGGGCCTCTCTGGGAGCCGCCGCCCAGATCCCCAGGTCCCCGGCCAGCGCCCGGCACTGCGGGACTCACCGCGGGCCTGCGGAGCGGCCGCCCGGACGCACTCACCCCGCTCGGCGCGGCCGCGGGCTCTGTCCTCTTCGGGGCCCCGGCTGGGCCGCCGCCACCTCACGCCGCCTCACGGGGAGCGCCCGCCCCGCGGCCCCGGCCCGGCCGGCTGCGCCCCGCGCGCCCCCGCCGCCTGCTGGCCCCGGGCGAGCGGCAGAGCCCCGGCGGGCATTGCTCCCGAGCGTCGCAGGCGGGCGGCGGCGGCGCACGTGCTGGCGGGCGGCTCTCGCTGAGGCGGCCGCGAGCTGAGAAGGAAGCGCCGGGCGGGCGGCCGGGGCCGGCTGGACAGCTCTACGCCGCGGCGCCGCGGTGCCCCGCGCACCCCAGCGGCCGCTGCTGCCCGCGCGCGCCGGGCCGGGCTCGCATTCCCTCAGTGGCGGCGGCGCCTCCTCAGGCCGCGCGGGGGAGCGGCGGCGGCGGCGGCGGGGGCGCGTCCCTGCGGAGTCTCGGCCCGGCCCCGCCGCCTCCGCCGGAAGAAACCTCTCCGACTCGGGCAGCCCGCCTGGTTCCTCAGACCTGCCGCGGCGACCCCGCTCCTCCCCGGCTCGCCCGTGTCCTCAGGGCCCGGGACTGGACTCGGGGGCGGCGGCGCGGATCCCCGCCCCGGGCTCCTCGCCCACCGTCCGCAGCAGCCGAGCGCACTCGGGGGCGGGAACCGGCCGACTTGCGGCCACTGTGACTCTTAAAACAGCCTCATTTTAAAAAATGAAGTTTCTTAGGAGCGAAATGGTAAACCAGGGAGGGCAGAGCGCAGCGGGCAGCTCACCGAAGCCCAGCCCCGGGCGCGGTGCTCGCCACACGGTGGGTCCGCGCTCTCCCCTCAGGACGCCCGGGCCGCGGCCCAGGGAACGGCAGAGCCGGGAGCGCAGCCGTCCCGGTCCCCACCTCAGGGAGTAGCTGGAAGAGGATCACGAACAGTTTAATCCGGATGATCTGGCACGACAGGGCTCTCCAATGGGAAGAGCCCCCGGTGGGGGAGCGCCTGGTGACATTCCTTAAAAACATGAGGTGTTTGTTAGGTTGAGCCAGGGTGGACTTGTTTGGCAAAATCTGAAGTCATGGAACTAAAGAGAGCACACCTAAAACTTAGTGATGTGTGACCCATCCCTACTTGTCACCTTATAAGGCTGAGGAGACGGCGGTGCTCCCCTGGAGGAGAGAGGACAAGCTAAAATTAAGGCGGCCTAGATGACTCCAGATGAAGCCGGGGAGGCCGAGCCCCTGACAGCTGCTCACCTCCTGGGGTCACGGCAGAACCCAACTGAACGGGCCAGGAAGGCCATCGTTCCCGACTCGCCTCCAGGTGCCCCTGACCATGACCACGCAGAGGAGGACCAAGGCGTACCACCATCACCTAGAACGCTTCAGCTCCTTCCCTCCACCAAGAGGTGCCCTAGGATCCATCCAGAAAGATCTGCGGAGCCCACAGAGTCCCAACGGGAACTGTGCTCCTGGATGGACGCCCCTTAACCCATAACTCAAGGACTTCTCTATGCCTGGGACTTAAAATCACCAACAACCCGCTCCTGCAGCCAGCTAGCAGAAATAAACACACAAAGGCCACACGCCAGTTCACAGCCACAAGTATTTATTGAGTGCCTGTAGTGCAAGAAAGAGAGATGGTCCCTGCTCCCGCGGAGCTTACAGCTTCACGACTCCAGCATCTGGCTAGATTCAGAAACAACTGCAGCAAGCACTTGTCTACCCACCAGCAGCACTGTAAAAAGCACATTTCTCACATTATCGGTCACTGTTACAGTGAAATTGTTAGATGTAAAAATTATCCTTGAAATCTGTAGTCATAGAGATGACATGGTACATAATGTCCAGCAAATGCACATTTATGGCTTGATTCCTCACATATCTGAGGGGTCTATGGAAATAAAGTACAAATCAGGCAGAAAAGACTTAGTAACACAGTTCCTAAGAATACTGGGGTAGTAGTTTATTATCAAACTACCATAGAGCTCTTGGCAGGGCAGGAAATTATTTCCAGCAAAATTTGTGCAATATAGTGGATTTAATCAAACCTGCAACTGTCAACCATACATGGTCCCTCATGACAGGTAAATATAATCTACCTGTCTGAATGGTAAAAGGCTACAGGTGTGCATTTATTTTTTAAAGCTTCTTAAAGACTCATAGCACAAGTGGCACATTGAAATCTAGTGAAAACTTGAGATAATCTAAAAATTAAAGTGACAAAAGTGTCTAATTTTACTACATATGTAGGTGCAGAGTTCAGATTTCAAGTAGCGTCCAGCAAAGCACGTGGCTTTTCTGGGCGAGAAGGGGATAGCTTTTGGTTGGCTATCACAGACTCCACCTACATCTCCTAACACCCACTGGCAGGCACTTCCTGTGCATGGTTCTGCCCACAAGCTGTCACCTTTAGATGAAACATTTGAAGGGGCAATTATTTGGAGGATACTGGCAATAATTTTTAGAAAAACAACCTATATTTATACCAAATAACCCCCAAGTCACCAATTAAGACCAAAGTGCTTTCTGAACTTACACGTGACAGGTTATCAAATTTGTTAAATTTTTGGTGGCTAAAAAACCAAACACACCAGAGGGATGCTTAATTTAAACTCCAAAAAAGCTCATTTTTTTGCAAAGCGTGAAGAGAACATCTTAGACCACCTAACAAATGTCAGTCCAAGGCAGTTTTTAGGTCAACTGCTTCGGACATAATCTACTTTTTTATTTCAGAAAGTATGCTACCTCAAGGCTGGGCGCAGTGGCTCACGCCTGTAATCCCAACACTATGGGAGGCCAAGGCAGGCAGATCATTTGGGGTCAGAAGTTCAAGACCAGGATGGCCAACATGGTGAGAACCCCGTCTCTACCGAAAATACAAAAATTAACCAGGCGTGGTATGCACCTGTAATCCCACCTACACGGGAGGCTGAGGCAGGAGAATAGCTTGAACCCAGGAGACAGGTTGCAGTGAGCCAGTATCACACCACTGCACTCCAGCCTGGGCAACAGAACTAGAGACTCCATCTCAAAAAAAAAAAAAAAAAAAAAAAAGGATGCTACCTCAAAAACCTACTTAACTCAATGAATCTGAAATATAATATTTCTTGAGCACTTACTAAGCACCAGGCACTTTACAAAATCTCCCTTAATGAAAGGAGTTTTCTTATTTCATCTTATAGCTGAGAAAGGCAGGCCTGTGCCAGGATGTGACCCAGGTCTCTCTGGCTCCAAGTCTCTCCTTTCTTGTCCCCTGAGCCCAGCTCTGCACAACCCTAGCACGGCCACTTTAGCTACATCTGTTGCTTCAGTTGGAAAAGTCCTTCAGTTGCAAAGACCATTTCCATACCTCAGGAGTAGCTCCTGCAAACAGAGGCTTAGCAAGGGAAAGGAAGGGGGCAGATCCAGGCATCAGGGGAGAGTTCACTTTCTATTTGCATTTTAAAAGGCACTTCCCAGAGGTGGCAGATTTGCTTAGGGTTTTTTTTTTTTTTTTCTTTTTAAACTATTAATACCTGCAGCAAAGCCCCAAGCCAACAACAAAAATAGTTTATACCCGGGGATAATAGCTGCTATTTAGAATTGCCATCTTTCCTGCTTTTAGGTGGAGTGTTTTTTCAGTTGAGTGTTCATAAGATAAGCATTACCGAAGAGAAAGACAGCAGAAAGAACTTTCCTTGGTATCCCTCTTCACAGCTATGAAGAAAAAAGAATACATTTTTTAGAAATAAGTGACTGATAGCTCCAATCTATTACACACTTCAAATATCAAAGCATATGCTGAGAGAGAGGCGCAGAAGATGTTTTGATGGAGGTTAACGCCTTTTTTGGAATAAGCCAATATAGGCTACTAAGAAGATAATTCCTTGGCAAGATAAAACTATCATCTCTTCTGAAATGGCATTTTTTAATTCTTAAGAATGTAGTAGATTTTACAATAAAAGTAGGGAACAAGGAAATATCCTAACAATTTTCAAGTTAGTTTTTAATGTCATATCCAGGAACACATTAAAGGTGGTCTTACTAGGTCTTGACACAAGCTGTACTGGAGCTTGATTAAAATGAACATTTTCTTTACCAAGACTAGATTTTTTTTTTCTAAAGGCTAGAAAACCAAGAATAAAGAATACCAAGAATAGGCCGGGTGTGGTGGCTCATGCCTGTAATCCCAGCACTTTGAGGGGCCAAGGCAGGCGGATCACATGAGTTCAGGAGTTTGAGACCAGCCTGGCCAATATGGTGAAACACCATCTCTACTAAAAAAAAAAAAAAGATATATACATACACACACACACATAGACATATACACACACACAAAATTAGCCGGGCGTGGTGGCAGATGCCTGTAATCCCAGCTACCCAGCAGGCTGAGGCAGGAGAATCGCTTGAACCCGGGAGGCAGAGGTTGCAGTGAGCTGAGATCATGCCATTGCACTCCAGCCTGGGCAACAAGGGCAAAACTCCATCTAAAAAAATAAATAAATAAAATAAAATAAAAATAAAAAACAAGAATAAAGGCACTTGATTCTAATTATAAGTAATTTTGATTAGCCTGAAGTCTTCAAAAGTTGCAGAGTAGGGAGCAAAGGTTCAACTGCACTGTCAGACAGGCCACCCTCCTTGCTGAGAAGGGAGCAGGGCTGTGGACCCCTGGCCTGGGGACCAGCCAGGTGAAGGGTGCTCAAAGGTCATTTGAGAGCCTGCTTGGAATAACTGGGATGGCTTGGTTCATTCTAACTACTTATTATTAAGAGCCACATAAAGAGGAAAAGCTCAAAAGCAAACCAAAATTTAAAACCTGAGCATGTTTAGTACGAATCCATTTTGAAAGTTTGGATGAGTCTGTTTATCAACATGTACCGAGCTGGAATATGTGGGGCACTGCGTTCTGATTGGCTACCAAAAACTAAGTAGTTACACAGCTCCAACTTAACCAGCAGTCCCAACACAAACCTGCCAATGCTCCTGGATCAGAGGAGAGACTCCTGCCCACGTGCTACTTCTGAGAGCCAGCGGCTACCACAGAGGCAGTGGGCTGGAGCCCTCTGCAAGGCCGAGGGGAAGGCACCAGGCTCCATCCGGACACACTCCCTGTCCATTAACAAATACAGTAGATTGTGATGATCTAAAGTCTAGTGTTCTTACAGCACCTACAGTGGAAATATTTTCCTTTTGGCCAGGGTGAAGGAGTGGAAAGGGGTGAACATATCCAGATGACAACTATGACGGACAGCTGAAGCCATGCACACTAAGAAAACCAGGCTGCCCTCTTAATCCCTCACGGGGTGGTGGCTTGTATTTCAAAGGGTTTATCTGTCCATTTATTGTCCAGGGTGGGACACAAGTTAATTCAGAACAATGGGCAGAGAGCTACTCTGAGAGCCCTCCAGAGAGGGCTCTCCAATTGTTTAACTTTTTTAGAAAAGATAAAATTAGAGAATTACAATCTCTCTTTTTTCTCTTACAGACAATAAAGTTTAAAGAAAATGAGTTATATTCATGTAGTTTTCAAAGCTTTCCAAGAGTCCATTATTACTATTCTGATATTCACTCTAAGACACGTTTCAAATACGAATTGCATTATCATTTTTTAAAAACCTCAACACAACTGAAATCCAAGGTACACTGTAATTGTTTATGTATTCAGCATGTACTAGTCTATCATTATGGAAGCTATTAAGCTTTATTTTTTAAAAACTGAATTGTATTTACAATGTAGAACAAGTCTATAAAATTGATGTGCAGTTAATTGTAAAAGGATAACACTATTTGTTTAGAAACAAGCTGCTTCCTCTGTTTATATTTCCTTATTCTTGATATAAATTGGAGACAGATACTATTTAAAAATAATGCTTTTTAAATAGTAAAATATACAAGAGATTCCTGAGCATAACAAAAATATCTTGAAAATATGTGGCCATTTGAAGTATAAAATAGCAAGTGTAAGAATAGCATGATTGTAAAACTACTGTTTGAAGGCTTATAAACAGTACAAAATAGTTTGCCTTTTCTGACTGCATAATTATACATTAGTGCAAACAAAAATGTCTCAAAATTTAATGGCTACAAATCTCAAAGATTTGCAGAGGTGCGCAAAACATGGAATTTCTTTAGCGTCATGCGAACTGAACCCAGTTCTCGATTAATCCTTTCCAAACGATCTTCCAAGGCTTCCTAGGTGAAAACAATGGGAAAAGTTTAATTAGAATTCTATACCAAGTTCTATAATCACCACCAAACTGACCTTTCTTTTAGCAAAAGAGCAAGTATAAACACTAAAATTACAATTATTTTGCTTTCTACACGAAACATCTTATGATTTCTTTTAAACTGGACAATATGAATTAGCTTTTCAACTATTCCAAATAACTGCTGTACTTTAAAATATTCTCAATATGTTTGACACATTGAGTATATGGAAATTCTAGTAATAGCAATACAACCAACTGGAAGAGGATAATTCTTTGGCTCTGCTGAAGTGAGAACAGTACAAGAGGAGCCTAGGAGGTGCTTCACACATTTCACCAGAAGAAATGGACACATTTGATCAGTGCTGCATCCCACACATACATAGATCAAATAACTTTCTTCTCACCAAAATTTCTAAGTTAAAAAGGAAAAAAAAAAAACACTGAAGGATACTTTTCTTAAAAAAAAAAATAGATTTCACAATGAATTAACAATTGCTATTTTAAAATAAACAATATTACTGTTAAATAATACCTGGACTATATATCATTATACATACTTCTGTGTTTTTGTTGAGACAGGGTCTTGCTCTGTCACCCAAAGCTGAACTGCAATGGCATGATCATAGCTTACTGCAGCCTCAAACTCCTGGACTCAAGCAATCCTTCCACCTTAGCCTCTCGAGTATCTGAAACTACAGGCAGGCACCACCACACCTGGCTGATTTTAAACATTTTTTTTTTTGCAGAGACAAGATCTCACTATGTCACCCAGGCTGGTCTCGAACTCCTGGCCTCAAGTGATCCACCCACCTCGGCCTCCCAAAGTGCTGGGATTATAGGCATAAGCCACTATACCCAGCCTCATTTTAGTTAATTTATTCAGTATTAATTCCAATGGTGTCCTGAAATAAAACTTAAAATTTTTTTCTTTAATTATAAAAGGATTATAGAACACTTAGAATATAGAAAATTTAGAAGACAAATAAGCAAAAAAGAAAAAAAAACTGTTCCTCTTTCCTGTTTTTTCTGCATACATATATATGCATACCACTTTTATTTTATTTTTTTTTTTTTGGTTGGGGGAGACGGAGTCTCGCTCTGTTGCCCAGACTGGAGTGCAGTGGCACAATCTCAGCTCACTGCAACCTCTGCCTCCCAGGTTCAAGCGATTCTCCTCCCTCAGCCTCAAAAGTAGCTGGGATTACAGGTGCCCACCACCATGCCCGGCTCATTTTCATATTTTTAGTAGAGACAGGGTTTCGCCATATTGGCCAAGCTGGTCTTGAACTCCTGACTGCAGGTGATCTGATCTGCCCACCTCAGCCTCCCAAAGTGCTGGGATTACAGGCGTGAACCACTGCACCCAGCCGTGTATCATTTTTAAAAGAAAAATAAGGCCAAGCATGATGGCTTACACCTGTAATCCCAGCACTTTGGGAGACCAAGGTGGGAGAATCACTTGTGGCCAGGAGTTCGAGACCACCCTGGGCAACACTGCAAGGCCCTGCCTCTACAAAAAAATTTTAAAAATTAGCCAGGTGTGGTGGTGCATGCCTGTAGTCCTAGCTTACTCAAGGGGCTGAGGCCTCAGAGGTCAAGACTACAGTGAGCTATGATTGTGCCAATGCACTCCAGCCTGAGTGACAGAATGAGACCCTGTCTCAAAAAAATTAAAAGAGAAACCTAAGAAGAGAATCAAACTCTATCTCAATTTTTTTTTTTTTGAGACACAGTCTCACTCTGTTGCCCTGACTGGAGTGCAGTGGTGCAATCTCAGCTCACTGCAACCTCCAACTCTTGGGTTCAAGTGAACCTCCTGCCTCAGCCTCCAAGTAGCTGAGATTGCAGGCACACCACCACAACCGGCTAATTTTTTTGTATTTTTAGTAGAGACAGGGTTTCACCACATCGGCCAGGCCGGCCTCAAACTCCTGACCTCAAGTGATCTGCCCACCTTGGCCTCCCAAAGTGCTGAGATTACAGGCATGAGCCACTGTTCTCGGCCTCAAAATATCTTTGAATTAGGCCGGGCCCATGTGCCTGTAATCCCAGCTACTCAGGAGGCTGAGGCAGGAGAATCAGTTGAACCAGGGAGTTGGAGGCTGCAGTGAGCCGAGATTGCGTCACTGCGCTCCAGCCTGGTGACACAGCGAGACTCCGTCTCCAAACTAGATAAATAAAAGATTAGCCAAGACAACCCCACACCTTTTAAAAAATGATCACATTGGCAGGTATTTTTTTTTATTATTCTTTTTCAGAGACGGAGTCTTGCTCTGTCACCCAGGCCGAGTGCAGTGGCACGATCTCAGCTCAATGCAACCTCCACCACCCAGGTTCAAGCGATTCTCATGCCTCAGCCTCCCGAGTAGCTAGGACTGCAGGCGTGCACTACCACGCCTGGCTAATTTTTTGTATTTTTAGTAGAGATGGGGTTTTGCCATGTTGGCCAGGCTGGTCTTGAACTCCTGACCTCGTGATCCGCCCACCTCGGCCTCCCAAAGTGCTGGGATTACAGGCATAAGCCATTGCGCCTGGCCATGGCAGGTTTTTTTTTGTTTTTTTTGTTGTTGTTGTTTTCCCAAACATACAGGTTTCAGGATGGGGAAGAGCTTATCTTCATACACGGCAGGTAGGAGTAGAAATTGTCTCAAACATCCTGGGTTACAACTTGACATATATCCAAATCCTTAGAAATTTGCATTTCTTTGGACCTAGCATTTTTATTTCTGGGAATGACTCCTAAGGCAATACTTACACGTGCAAAGAGATATGTTTAAGAACTTTATTGCAGCCTTATTTATGATATCCAAAATTAGAAGCAACCCAAATTTCTACTAAAACATTCTTGGTTAAATACGTTACTGCTGATGGAATATTGTACGTTAATTTAAAAGGATGTTATAGAAAGATATTTCATAACATGAAAAGTTCAATTGAAAGTTTATTTTTTTTTTTTTTTAAGACTGAGTCTTGCTCTATTACCCAGGCTGGAGTGCAGTGGCACCATCTTGGCTCACTGCAACCTCCACCTTCCAGGTTCGAGCAATTCTCCTGCCTCAGCCTCCCGAGTAGCTGGAATTACAGGCGCCCACCCCCACACCATGCCCGGCTAATTTTTGTACTTTAGTAGAGACGGGGTTTCACCATGTGGGCCAGGCTGGTCTCGAACTCCTGACCTCAGGTGACCCGCCTGCATCAGCCTCCCAAAGTGCTGGGATTACCGGCATGAGCCACCACGCCCAGCCTATAAATTATTGACTAATATTTATCAGAACAAAAAGACAAAGTCAGAAAAAAAGAAGTTGGGGGCTGGGCACAGTGGCTGGAACTCCTGACCTCAGGTGATACACCAGCCTCAGCCTCCCAAAGTGCTGGGATTATAGGCGTGAGCCCCTGCGCCCGGCCTACGGCTCACTTTTTGAACCTCTACAGCTATTCAGTTTCCAAAGTGTAACCATTTTATCTGCTTGCTAATGGAAAGGAGTTCAGAAATAAATTACAGATTTGAGGAGGGAGAAATCAAACAAAAAGAGAGGCAATCTGTGAGCACTAACTTAGTGTAAAATCTGTTGAAAAGCATATTGCCATTTGCTCTCAAGTTAGTTTCTTGAAAATACAAGGGCATGAACACCTTCTTCTCTAAGTCTAAAGGTAAAATCAATTTTTATTCCTGAAAGCTAGCTTGCAGTTATAAAATTGCTATAATCAAACACTTCCCGTAAAAGCTAAAAGTTTTGACTGCTGCTTCAGTGTGTCTAATTTTCACTGTGCCATGATTTTTTAAACCCCTCTTAGATAACTGGAACACTGACTGGCATCAAGCCTCTAAAGCAGATTCAAGCTAAGACATTTCACCTGATTTAATCTTGTCTGTAAAGTGATTCGTCCTCCAGGAGAAGGCATCCTGCTTAGTGCTGCCTCAATCTGTTAACACACGAAAAAAATATGTTTAAATTACTGGCAGGGAGGTTTATCACACAGAATGGAAAGAAAAGGTTTTGGCTTAGTATTTCCTTGTCCATTTCATCTCAACTTAATTTCCCTCTGTCAATTAGTAACGACCACATGGCTCAAATCCGTTGCTAGCACAGCTCTGGTATGTTATCCCATTGTAATTTCCTGAGACAGGTTTGACTCAATAATTCCCTTCTCCTTAGACATAAGCATTAAGTTCAGAAAACAATTTTTAAAAATATTTGTTTGTTTTTACCTGGTCCTTTTCTTTTGTAAGTTCATCAAAAAATCGTTCTGTTTCAGCTAGGGTCCGAATTTTTGCTGTATATTCAAAATCATTCCCCTGTGGAGTGACTGAAACCGGCTTACACTGTTCGTAGCTAACTGATTTATTCTTCTCCCAGGCTGTTCTCACAGATACTTTCTTCACTCCATTTGGCACCGGTTCAGGGCAAGAGCTATGATTAACATGGTTATCGGTGGCTTTCTCAGAATAAGTTTTTTCTGTCAGAGAGGAGAGAAATTGCTTATATTTCTTATCAATTTTTCGTGTAGGTTGCATATATATTAAATATGTTGCCCAATTTCACTTTCTGGATATAGCTGCTATGTGGCCCAAAAAAGTAATGAAAAGAGATACAATAATCAATCTTATTTACTCAGTGCTTTTTTCTCCAAAGAATTCTGAAAGCTTTGCCCTCTGTTTGACAATCTTTGCAACTTCCCTTAATGAACTTAAGCAAACTTCATGTAAACATAAATGAACTTTAAGTAAACTTAAAGCAAAAAAAAAAAAAAAAGCTTAAAAACTAAATAATACATCACATTTAGTGGACATACACCAACACTAAACAGTTAATGTTTTGAGGGCCTACCCAAGTGATTTCACATACATTGTCTTATAGCTTTATTCCAAATTTAGAATATAAATGAGAAAAAAAAAGTTACCCAAAGCCTAAGCTGCATATAGAGAATAAAAGTAAAGAGAATAACTGAGCAGTGTGGCCCTGGTAATTAAACATCAACATTCCCTGTACCTCAGTTTCCCAACTTTTCAATGAGGATAACAACATTGACATAACAACACGTAGCATCATGAGTGCTTAGTTTCAGACGCCCTTGAGTGGGAAAATATTTAAGTGCAAGATATTATAATATTTAGAACACTGAGAGATACCAGAATCTCAAAAAATGAATGATTAAAACCATAACTAATATTTTTTAGGAAAAGATACCTTCCGAGTCATCTAGAGGAAGAAACTGGAGTTGCTTTCTTGGATTGGTACGTTGTAATGTAGACACAGGAACAGTATCTAAATCATCCAAAAGTATATCAAATCTATTGAATGAAGCAAGTTACTTGTGAGAAAAAAAATGTTAACTGATTTTCCCTATCTCCACTACAAAGATGAGCTGGCATCCAGCTAACTCACATATTTATGTATTTTCTTAAAAGAAAGCTGGTTATGTAATTGTCTAAAACTGAAATTTATTTCTATTTTCTAACAAAATTGTATTTACAAACTAAAGACTTAAAACACTTACCCATACATTATCTCATTTGATATTTATAAAAACCTTATGAAATAAGCAGGGTAGTTATTATTATCCCCGTTTTATAGAAGAGGAAACTGAGGTTCAATGTGCTTAACTCATCTCCGCAAGAGCCTGACAGAGTTGGGTCTGGAACCAAGAAGCAACATCCCTCCCCGCTAATAGCACACACAGCTGCCCACACTTCGGAGGGGACAGATTCTCAGCAGCACAGGTAAACATGCATTTGGTGCCAGGGCCATACCAGTAAAGCCCACTTTCCTGTACAAATGGCCCAAAAGTTTTCCCGTATCATAAACCTTTTCAGGAAAACAAAGAACTATCATTCTACATACAAAAGCTGACAGGGGTGCTGAGGTGATAATTTAAAATCTAGTAGTAGCAAGTTTACATAGTTAAAAACTGTGTTCATTGTACTGCAGTACTTTAGTTGTAGTATGACATTCACTTATGATTTAAATGAAATTCACAGAGTTCCCACTGGTAACTGAAAAATTAGTGATAGCTAGAGACATAAGTCAACATTTAGAAAAAAATCACTAATATAGTAAACTTTATTCTACAATTTTAGAGAACTTACCGAATTGGACTGCTCTCATTTTTGCTAAGCAGATGACTAAATCCTGGGGACAAGTTTTCTTTAGGGGATCGCTTTGGACTATAAGCCACAGTCACTGGTGTTAGCATAATCTCTCTTTTTGCTATAGAAGAAAATGAAGAGGAAATATTCTTTTCCTTCTATATGTATCAGCATAACAGTTTCTTATTCAGTATTTTTTTTCTAATTTTGAAAGGAATATAATTTCAACGTAAAACTTTGAGAGAGAAATAAGAGTGTACAAAAAAATAAAATCACTCATAATCCTAACACCTAGAGGTAACCACTGTAACACTGTAGTATATCAGACAGTACTTTCAGCACTCTGACTCAAAACTGGTTTTTCAGGATTTTAGAAGTCGACTGGAAATAAGATGGAAACAGCAGTACACTACTGAACATTCCTATAACACAATAATAAGAATCTCCTCAGCTGGTGTGAAAACGGAAATTCAGGACAGGAATTCAATGCTTCAACTTTAAAACCAACCTGTTATTGGCTAAAGAAAAATGGTGACTAATGCTAAGTACTTGAGATCAAATACATAAGAAGTATATTTGAGACTAGCTTGGATTAATTTGATTGAATTAATGTTTGGATAGCTGGCATTTTTAAGTATTAGTTGCAAACAATTTAGTGGACACAATAAATTATTAGTATTAGTTGTAAACAATTTACTGGACACAATAAAAAATCTCACTTTAATAAACAGATTTCTTCATTTACATTTGTAGTATCTATGTGATCAGACAATTTTATTTATGAACAAGATCTTATTTAGGGGTCCTCTGCTCAGAGTACTCTACTAGGTGCTGAGGATACAAGAGAAACCAGAAACAGGCAAGCAGCGGGCACAAATAGATTTGACTCAGAGATCACGCTTTTGAACCCAAGAGATGTACACATCTAACTCTTACTTGGAGTACTTGATTTACGATTTGAAGGTGGTAAAGATGATGATCTCTGTGAGGCCGAATTAAGTCTCTTTTGTCTCTGTTGGGCACACTTTTCTGGAGAACGACTTGCATTAACTGAAGTTTCAGTTTGCCGAGGATTTACTACAGCAGACCAAAAAAAAGCAAAACAAAAAACAAATCAAAACAAGCCTACGCTTCAGTTATCCACCTTTATTAACAGGTGGTTACACATGGTTACACACCAAGCCCCACAGCTTAGGTTCTGCTCAAAGCATTTATTCTCACCAGCTAGGTTATAGTGACTATTTGCAAATGCACCACATTATAATGATAAAAAATGCTTGATGAAGAAAAATATGGGAGTTTATAATGAATTCATTCTGGCTCCCTGTTTACAATCGGCATTCAAGGTGATTTTCAAGAGGGTTATTTTTAGAAAGCAGGTTACTAATTTATTTACTAAGAGACACTGCTTGGGAGATGTAACCGCAAAGACGCTGGCAGGATGACTAAGGGGTCTGAGAAAGCAAGCATAGTGGAAAAGGAGAGAAATGTATTGGTGACCTGGACCTGTGAAAAAACACAGTATTAAAGACACTACTTGCCTTATCTACAGATGCTCAGTAACCAAGAAAGAAGAGGAAATGTTATATCTCACTTCATGAATACCAAATGCCTATCACAGCCTTCTGATGTGTGCAAGTAAGATGGACTGACAGGAATTTTTCAAATATCCTTAGGAATGCCATGTAAGGCCAGGAGCAGTGGTTCACGCCTGTAATCACAACACTTTGTGTTTACACTTTGTGTTGTGTTGTGGAGGACAAGGCGGGTGGACCACTTGAAGCCAGGAGTTCGAGACCAACCTGGCCAACATGGTGAAACTCCGTCTCTGTTAAAAATATTAAAATTAGCCGGGGGTGCTGGAGGGCACCTGTAATTCTAGGTACTTGAGAGGCTGAGGCAGGATGATAGCTTGAACCCTGGAGATGGAGTTTGCAGTGAGCTGAGATTACGCACTGCACTCCAGCCTGGGCAAAAGAGTGAGACTCTGTCTCACTGTCTCAAAAAAAAAAAAAAAAAAAAAAGAATGCCATGTAAGCCTTTTTCATAATCGGAATGTAAGATTCAACTGGCTTTGTACAAAAGGTACATGTTATGCCAGAACTGTGATAAATTATTAACTAGGACATTCAATTCTCTATGAAACGGGGCTGAAGTAGCAGTAAAATAGCAAGTTTACAGAGCTAAAACTTTTAATTTCATTACCTAAATATTTTAATTTTAACGAAGGTAATATAAATGGGGAAAAGATATCTATATCCATCTATCTCAAACAAGGAAATACTCACTATTTGAGGTGTCCTCTTTCTCTGTCTGTGTCCCCCAATTTTTAAATATTTTTCCCTCATCAAGTTCTTTTAAAGCTCTCATGATCGGCGTGTCTGAAGTCTCTCTTTGCTTTTTTATCAACAAGCTTGTTGATGAACTTCCAGGTGAAGAATCCTTTTCCAGAGGTGAACGGTGCCTTAAACAATAATTTTAAGACATACAGTGCTATGGACTAAATGTCTGTATCTTGCCCCCCGCCCCCACACCAAACATACATGTTGAAGCCCTAATCTTCAATGTGATGGTGTGTGGAGGTGGGGTCTTTACGAGGTAATTAGGGTTGGATGAGGTCATGAGGGTGAAGCCTCCAAGATGGGATTAATGCCCTTATGAAAAAGGGAAAGAGGCAGGAGCGCTCTCTCTGTGCACACACACCAAGGAAAGGCCATGTGAGGACATAACCAGGAAGAGGGCCCTCACCAAACACTCAGCACCCTGATCTTGCACTTCCAGCCTCCAGAGGTAGAGAAAGAAATGTGTGTTGTTTATGCCACCCAGTCTACGGTAATTTGTTATAACAGTCCAAGCTAAAACACACACTTTACTGGGGTTGTTAGGGGAATAACAGAGTTGACAATTATACTCCACAATGAGCATGCTTTGCAATGCAAATAAATTAAACCTGCATACAGTGCTTTCCCATCCTTCTAGTCCTACACTTAGAGGAACAGCATCTGCACAGCACCCTGGAGTAAGCGGCTGAGGCTGCTCACGCAGGCTCGGGGCTCGGGCTGGCCAGAGCCATCTGAAGTGGGAGAGGATCTACATCTTTTGTTTGTTTTTAGACAAGGTCTCACTCTGTCACCCAGGCTGGAGTGCAGTGGCACAATCATAGCTCACTGTAGCCTTGAGCTCCCCAGGCTCAAGTAATCCTCCCACCTCAGCCTCCCAAGTAGCTAAAACTACAGGCGCATGTCACCATGCCCGGCTAATATATTTATTTTTTGTAGAGGTGGGATTTTGTCATGCTGCCCAAGCTGGTCTCGAACTCCTAGGCTCAAGCGATCCTCCACGTTGGCCTCCCAAAGTGTTGGGATTACAGGCGTGAGCCACCACACCTGGCCTGAGGATCGACATCCTATCCTAATCACAAACCCATACTGTGCCACTGAGCACAGGTGGGGAAGCTTGGCAGAGCTCATGGAAGTAAAATATTCTAAAAGTAGTAGCCTTTCAAAGTAAAATAAAAGTCAGGTTCTCAAAATTAAGACATTAAAGAACCAAAGAGAGGGCTTCCCAAACTTTTAAAAGCAATTGAAATCTCTAAGAAAACATAACATCCCTAAATAGAATCTTTAGCAAAGTTATCTCACCCTAGGCTACAGGTTTCCTCCAGCTGGTTATCCACGTTACTGTCCTGGGTGTCCAGAGGCTGGCCAGTAAAGATGGAATACTCTGCACCTGGAATCAGCCATTTCCGCCTGCTGACGTCTGAAGTTGCTAGTGTGCTATTAGAATGAAAACGGTCAGGCATTATAAAGGTCTGCACTTCATTTCAGACTGCATGTGCATATAAAACAATCTGCTCTCAAACAGTATTTACACATTTGTACACTAATTTAAAAATCACATGTAACAATCTATATTTTGGATACAATTTATTTTACAGTTTTATGATTCAACTTAACTGTTGTTCTAGGTTTCTGTTACTTCTGAATCTCAGTCAAGATTCAGGTACTTGCGGCTCTGAACATTCCCCTCACTGTCTCTCAGGCATTTCACACCCTTTACACTCTGTGCCCCTACTGTAGCTGAGGGTAAAGTGCTGAAGGAAGCAGGGCTGCCCTTCTTGTTCCCTTCAGACCAGCACTGTCCAACAGAATCTTCTGCAAAACCAGAAATGCTATCTGCACTGTCCAATGCAGCAGTCACAAGTCAGGTGTCACTACTGAACACCTGAAATGTGGCTGCTGAGACTGAAGAACCAATTATAAAACGTTAATTTTAATAATGAAAGTTTTCAGTATCAAAATGGAGTCACTAATGTCAAACTCCCAAAAAATGGAGCTGGGAGGCACAAAGGAGCAGCCTCTCACACAGATGCTGATTATGGGAACTATTCTGAATTCCTCAGAACGACAGTATTCCAGATAATAAGCTGCTTGTACAAGGAAACATCCCTAACAAGGGATGTCTCCACCACTGAGCTAATGCTAATGCCTGCAACATGCTCCTGTAACCAGTGGTCTTTGTTTTAAAATAGCTTAGTGGACTGTGGACTGCCCTTTGTCTTTTAAAGTTTCCTGTGTCCCAACCCCTTTGGACATGCTTATGGTTCACCACAGCATGCGTACTCCAGCTTGCAAACCCCCAACATTTCCAAATAAATTTCTTTGGAGAGTCAGTCTCTGTCACTGATTTTAGGTTGACATGATTGATTTAAATAGTAATAGTGGCTGTTGGCAGGACTGTACTGAACAGCGCAATTCTAGACATTGCTCCCCCAGCTCATCTGAGGTTCCCACCATCATGTTAACCCCCAGTCATTCCCCAGACTTTAGAGCCTGCCTTGTTTTCTCCACACCTATGCCTGTTCTCACACTAGGCAACTTCCTGACCACTCTCTCCAGTGAGGTGACCCTCTACTCCTCAGCCAGCCACCTCAGAGGGTACTTGCTGGCTTTTGTCAAAACCAGAGAACACACTCCCCTTAAGAAACCAATACTCCAAAGACTGTGCCCCTATTCTGCCTCCCGCCCTCAAGCTTCAGCAACGTGACCTACGATCCTTGGCCTCTCCATTTTCCATTTATCAACCCCTCCTAGTCTGACTAGGTCCTCTTGATCTACCCTGAAGTCCACACTCACGATACTTTCTCTCTCACCTTTCACCACACCTGACTGGCAGCAAAATCTGAGGACTGGCTGACTACAAAGGCCGCGCTTCAGGTCTCAACTCCTACCACTGAGCTTTGCTGGAAAAAAGCCACCAGCTGGGCAGACTCATCACCACCTCAAGCGGACACCCCAAACCGCCTGACCGCCTGGCAACATGACTTTCTTTTTTTTTTTTTTTTTTGAGACGGAGTCTCGCTCTGTCACCCAGGCTGGAGTACGGTGGCGTGATCTCGGCTCACTGCAAGCTCCGCCTCCCAGGTTCAAGCGATTCTCCTGCCTCAGCCTCCCAAGTAGCTGGGACTACAGGCGCCTGCCACCACGCCCGGCTAATTTTTTTGTATTTTTAGTAGAGACGGGGTTTCACCGTGTTAGCCAGGATGGTCTCGATCTCCTGACCTCATGATCCGCCCACCTCAGCCTCCCAAAGTGCTGGGATTACAGGTGTGCGCCAACGCACCCGGCCGGCAACATGACTTTCTGTAACCAGCAAGCTTCAGTTCTCCAAACATGACTATCTCACACCCTTTCCACCCTCCTCAAACCTCCCATCCCACCTTCGTTGACAGGTGAAACTTTTGAGTCAAATTCAAAGAAACACCAGAAACCATGAAACAACTCTTGTTTTCTCTCTGTCCCCTTTCACAACCAAACATTTTAGAGGCTGCCTCTTCTATCTACATTCACTTCAACTCCAGTCACTCTTTCCCTCAGTTTTTTTTTTTTTGAGACAGAGTCTCACTCTGTCGCCCAGGCTGGAGTGCAGTGGCGCGATCTCGGCTCACGGCAAGCTCTGCCTCTTGGGTTCACACCATTCTACTGCTTCAGACTCCCGAGTAGCTGGGACTACAGGCGCCCACCACCACGCCCGGCTAATTTTTTGTGTTTTTAGTAGGGATGGGGTTTCACCATGTTATTAGCCAGGATGGTCTTGATCTGCTGACCTCGTGATCCACCCACCTTGGCCTCCCAAAGTGCTGGGATTACAGGCGTGAGCCACTGCGCCCGGCCCAGTTTTTAAATTAAGAACTATTTCAGGGCCAGGCTCAGTGGCTCATGCCTATAATCCTAGCACTTTGAGAGGCCAAGGCGGGCAGATAACGAGGTCAGGAGCTCGAGACCACCCTGGCTAACATGGTGAAACCCCGTCTCTACTAAAAATGCAAAATAAAAATTAGCCAGGTGTGGTGACGGGCACCTGTAGTCCCAGCTACTCAGGAGGCTTAGGCAGGAGAATGGCATAAGCCCAGGAGGCGGAGTTTGCAGTGAGCCGAGATTGCACCACTGCACTTCAGCCTGGGCAACAGAGCGAGACTCCGTCTTAAAAAAAAAAAAAAATCTTCAAACATTCTTGGAAAATTACAAAGAATACTATAACAAGCATCTACTCACCCATTCTCAGTTTTAATAAATGCTAAGATCTTGCCAATTTTTTTTTTTCTTGAGATGGAGTTTTCCTCTGTCACCCAGGCTGGAGTGCAGTGGCGTGATCTCAGCTCACTGCAACCTCTGCCTACCAGGTTCAAGCAATTCTCCTGCCTCAGCCTCCACAGTTGCTGGGATTACAGGGGCCCACCACTGTGCCCAGCTAATTTTTGTATTTTTAGAAGTGACGGGGTTTCACCATGTTGGCCAAACTCCTAACCTTAAGTGATCTGCCCACCTTGGCCTCCCAAAGTGCTGGGATTACAGGTGTGAGCCACGTGCCCAGCCCGATCTTGCAAAATTTGTTTTTAATTATAAGACCAATTTTTATATATTTAATTACACAGAAGGCATAATGTATTAATACACATTTTTAAATGTCTTTTTTTTTTTTTGAGACAGGGTTTTACCCTGTCCCCCAGGCTAAAGTGCAGTGGCATGATCATGGCTCAGTACAGCCTCGACCCCTCAGGCTCAAGTGATTCTCCCACCTCAGCCTCCCGAGCAGCTGGGACTACAGGCGCGTACCACCAACCACCACACCCAGCTTTTTTTTTTTTAAGACAGAGTCTCGCTCTGTCACCCAGGCTGGAGTACAGTGGCTCGATGTCGGCTCACTGCAACCTCCGCCTCTCAGGTTCAAACCATTCTCCTGCCTCAGCCCTGTGAGTAGCTGGGATGACAGCTGCGTGCCACCACATCTGGCTAATTTTTTTGTATTTTTAGTAGAGACGGGGTTTCACCATGTTGGTAAGGCTGGTCTCAAACTCTTGACCTCATGATCCACCTGCCTCAGCCTACCAAAGTGCTGGGATTATAGGCGTGAGCCACTGTGTCTAGCCGCTAACTTTTTATATTTTTTGTAGAGACAGGGTTTTGCCATGTTGCCCAGGCTGGTCTCAAACTCCTGGGCTCAAGCAATTTCCCCACCTTGGCCTCCCAAAATGCTGAAATTATAGACGTGAGCCACCACACCTGGCCTTTAATGCTTTCTCTGTTCAATATTATGTTTGAAATTTATCTGTGTTAGTACATATAAGCTCTATTCATTTTTATCATTTACCCATAGTATGAATATATTTGTCCTTTCTCCCGGCAGTGGAAATATGGTTTTTAATATGCAGCCTTTCGACAATGCTAAAATTAACACGTGTGAAAATTCCTCTAAGGCAAACATCTTAACATGCAACTGTGGGATTTGGTGCACATCTTCAACCTCTCTGACTGTTGCCAAATCACTCTCCAGACAAGCTGTATCAACTGTCAATCATTACTTTGAGAGTTCCTGTCTCTCCATATCTTTGCCAAACGTTAAAGTGTTTCAATTTTAAATATAACCTGTCCGATGGTGTGAATTGTATCTTATTGTTTTAATGTGCATTTTCATGACAATTAACATGTTCTCATTTTTATTAGCCATCAGGGATCTGTGCGCTGCTTGTTATATTCTTTTACCATTTTTTGTTGAGAAAGTTATCTTTTTCTTATTGATTTGTAAGAGTTCTTTCATCTTCTGGATACTTTTCCTTTATTCGTTCCTGTTCACTTTAAAAATACAAAATATCAGCCGGGGCCAGGTACAGTGGCTCACGCCTGTAATCCCAGCACTTTGGGAAGCTGAGGCGGGCGGATCACTTGAGGTCAGGAGTTCGAGACCAGCCTGGCCAACAAGGTAAAACCCCGTCTCTACTAAAAATACAACAAATTAGCAGGCATGGTGGCACGTGCCTGTAGTACCAGCTACTCGGGAGGCTGAGGTGGGAGAATCGTTGAACTTGGGAGGCGAAGGTTGCAGTGAGCCAAGATTGTGCCATTGCACTCCAGCCTGGGTGACAGAGCGAGACTTTGTCTCTAAAATAAAATATCAGCCAGGAACTGTGGCTCACGCCTATAATCCCAGCACTTTGGGAGGCTGAGGTGGGCGGATCACTTGAGGTCAGGAGTTTGAGACCAGCTTGGCTGACATGGCAAAACCCCATCTCTACTAAAAATACAAAAATTAACCAGGCATGGTAGTGGGCACCTGTAATCCCAGCTACTTGGGAAGCTGAGGCAGGAGAATCGCTTGAACATGGGAAGCAGAGGTTACAGTGAGCCGAGATTGTGCCACTGCACTCCAGCCTGGGTGACACAGCGAGACTCCATCTCAAAACAAACAAACAAACAAACAAAAAACATATATTATATATATATCTCAAGCACACATAGACATACAGGTAATATTCATGCCAACCATCCAGCTTTATAAATCTTGGTTATATATTCTTTAAATTAAGAGTAGAACACTATAAAGACAACTAAAGCCCCTGTGCACCTCTCCAATCTCATTCGTTCCCTCCCAAAAGCAACCATTTATACTAAATTTGTGTTCAGCATTCCCATGCACGTTTTCATACGTTTACTATGTTTGCATGAACCCATAAGAAATACAAAATTGCTTCACATGCTAAAGTCAATATAAATAGTATCCTATTTCTTCTGCAACTAGTTTTTTGTTGTTCCATATTATGTCCTTAAGATTAATCCACGTTGACCGTCTAGCTGAGGATCAGCAAATTCTCTCTGTAAAGGGCCAGAGAGTAAACACTTGAGGTTTTATGGGCCAGTGTCTGTTGCAACTACTCCACTTTGCTGTTGCACAAAAGCTGCCGTAGATGCTATGTAAGTGAATAAGCTTGTATTCCATGAAAATTGTATTTGTGGACACTAAAATTTGAATGTTATACAATTTTCTTTCTTTTTTTTTTTTTGAGACAGAGTCTCACTTTCTCACCCAGGCTGGAATGCAGTGGTGTAATCTTGGCTCACTGGAACCTCCGCCTTCCAGGTTCAAGCGATTCTCCTGCCTCAGCCTCCTGAGTAACTGGGACTACAGGCACATGCCACCATACCCAGCTAATTTTTGTATTTTTAATAGAGATGGGGTTTTGCCATGTTGGCCAGGCTGGTCTCGAACTCCTGACCTCAGGTGATCCACCTGCCTTGGCCTCCCAAAGTGCTGGGATTACAGGTGTGGGCCACCACGCCCAGTCCGTCATACAATTTTCATGTGTCATGAAATATTCTTTTTTCCCAAACATGTAAGAATGTAGAAACCATTCTTTACTCAGGGGCCTCACAAAAACAGGTAGTTCATGCCACATGTGGCCCCACAGGCTGGGGTCTGCCAACTCGGTCTCTGCCACCTGCATTGTCATGATGCAGTGTCATGCTTGAGTGTATGACAGTATTTTCCATATTCCAGCTGTTAGACTTTCAGGTTTTCATTCACTTTTTTTTTTTTTTTTTTTTTTTTTTTTGAGACAGAGCGGTGCTCTGTCACCCAGGCTGGAGTGCAGTGGTGCGATCTTGGCTCACTGCAACCTCCGCCTCCCAGGTTGAAGTGATTCCTCAGCCTCCCGAGTAGCTGGGATTACAGGCCTGCACCACTATGCCTGGCTTATTTTTGTATTTTTAGTAGAGATGGAGTTTCGCCATGTTGGCCAGGCTGGTCTCAAACTCCTGACCTCAAGTGATCCACCTGCCTTGGCCTCCCAAAGTGCTGGGATTAAAGGCGTGAGCCACCACGCCCAGCCTGCATTCACTCGAGTACCCTCTGAATGGGCTTCTACTGTTATCACTCTATCCAGACTGTTCACTAAGCATTAGCCTCCAGCTTGCAAAGACCTTGCAGTCTTCACCTTGATCTCTCAAGCAGCAATGTGAGATTATGACATATATTATACATCAGTTTTCATTCACAATTCCTGGCTCATAACTTTCATATCCCTTGTTGCAGTCAACAGAATCTCTAACCTTCTCCTGTCTTCCTTTTACCTTACCAGGGTAGGACTCTAATCTGATTATGGGTCATAAGACTCTTGTTCGAATCAGAGAGGGTCCTGCCTCATCCTCTGGGGGAAGGAATGCTGCACAAAGAGGCCAAGAAGGATCTGAACAGAAAGGCCTTGCTGGGTTTAGATCACATCCTTTCTGTCCAATCACATTTCAACACAGTCGTCCAAGCTTCAATCAGGCCTGTCCAATGAAACCTCCATAAAATGCCCAAAAGGACAGGGCTCCAGAGCTTCTGGAGAGCTGAACAAGAGCTCATCCACGCACTGAGGGGGCATCACACCCCAGCTCTACTGGGAAAGAAACTCCTGTGCTGGAGATCCTTCCAGACCTTACTCTGTATCTCTTCAACTGGTTGTTTATTTGTATCCTTTAAAATATCATCTGTAATAAGTTGGTAAACATGATTCTCTGAGTTCTATAAGCCACTCTGGCAAATTAATCAAACCCAAAGAGAGGGCTGTGGGAACCTCAACTTGAAGCCAGTTGGTTAGACGTTTTGGAGGCCTGGACTTGCAAATGGTGTCTGAAATGGGAAGTCTTGGGGACTGAGCCCTCAGCTTATGGGATCTGACCCTATCTCTGGGTAGATAGTATCAGAGATGAATGGGAGGCCACCCAGCTAGGTCCCATGAAGAACTGATTGCTCGCTTGCTGGTGAGGAGAAATGTCACACATTCTGGGTCACAAAAGTCTTCTGAGTCTATTTTTGTTGTGCTGGTGTGAGAGCACAGGGAAACACAAGTTGGGTTTTGCACTCAATACCGGTGGCTGCTTGTTTTCCTCTAGCTTTTTGGCAGCGCTTTCTCGGGTTCCTTTGCCAGCTCTCTCTATCCAACACCAGTGTCAGAGTTCTTGCCCCAGGCCTACTTCTCACTAAACACACTCAGTTTACATCCATTCTACAACTTTACGCACCATCTAGAAAGAGACGACTCCAATTTTTTTTTTTTTTTGAGACGGAGTCTTGCTCAGTTGCCCAGGCTGGAATGCAGTGGCGCGATCTTGGCTCCCTGCAAGCTCCGCCTCCCGGGTTCACGCCATTCTCCTGCCTCAGTCTCCTGAGTAGCTGGGACTACAGGCGCCCGCCACCACACCCGGCTAATTTTTTGTATTTTTAGTAGAGATGGGGTTTCACCATGTTAGCCAGGATGGTCTCGATCTCCTGACCTCGTGATCCGCCCATCTCGGCCTCCCAAAGTGCTGGGATTACAGGCGTGAGCCACCGCACCCGGCATGACTCCAAAATTTATCATACCATCCTAAAACCTTATTTTTGAGCTCCAAACTCATTTATAATTGCCTATTTGATTTCCACTTAGAATCGATATGAATCTCAAACAAAAATATTCAAGATGGAAATTCTGATCTCTTCCCTAAGTTCAACACATGAACTAGGTACCTTTAGTTGTTTGAGAGAGAAACCAAGGAATTATTCCAACACCTCCCTTTCTTACCTTGCCATCCAATTCACAACCATATCCTATAGATCCTACCTCTAGAATCTCTCCCGAAGAGTCTCTATTGTCTATTTCTGTGACCACCACCTAGCTAACACCACCTCTCTCCTAGCACTGCACCAGACTAACTAGTCTCCTGCTTCCATTCTTTCCTTCTCCATCTTCTCATGGCAGGTACATTAATAAAAATTAGATAACATCATTTTACCACATAAAAACCTTCAAAGGCTTCCCAATGGACTTAGGGCAAGATCTAACTTTTTTTTTTTTTTCTGAGACGGAGTCTTGCTCTGTCTCCCAGGCTGGAGTGCAGTGGCGCAATCTCGACTCACTGCAAGCTCCGCCTCCCGGGTTCACACCATTCTCCTGCCTCAGCCTCCGGAGTAGCTGGGACTACAGGCGCCAGCCACCGCGCCCGGCTAATTTTTTTTGTATTTTTTAGTAGAGACAGGGTTTCATCGTGTTAGCCAGGATGGTCTCGATCTCCTGACCTTGTGATCCGCCCGCCTCGGCCTCCCAAACTGCTGGGATTACAGGCGTGAGCCACGGCGCCCAGCCAAGATCCAACTCTTGATCACGGCTTAGAAAGCTATAAATGGTCAATCTCTGATTTCATCTAGGGCAACTTTGCCTCTTGCTGGAAATATTCAGGCCACACTAACCTCCCTTAGGCTCTTCAAATATGCTAAGCTCTTTCCTACCTGAGGACTTACCAAGGCAATTTCTCTGCATGGACCACCTCCCAGACACCCCACCCTGCCCACCCTCCCATCCCTCACCCCACACCTCCTGCTCCAGCAATTCTATGCACAGGTGACTCCTCTGCTTATGAGCCTCCTCTAAAGAAAGGCCTTCCCTGGTCCCCAACCCGAAGCTCTCTCTTTTATCTCTCTCAAATGTTCAATTTGTTACTTACATCTTTTCTTTAAAAAAAAAAAAAAAAAAAGAATTTCCTATGTTCTACTAAGATTAATTAACAAAGACCTAGAAAAATCTTCTCTTACAATTTATTTTATTTTATAGAGATGGGCTCTCGCCATGTTGCCCAGACTGGTCTCGAACTCCTGGACTCTAGCGATCCTCCCACCTTGGCTTTCCAAAATTCTGGAATTACAGACGTGAACCACTGTGCCCGGCCCTAGAAAAAGCTCCTCATTTGACAATTACAACTTGGGTCACAAATTACAATTTAAAATCATTTTTCTAATAAATGTCATTATAAAGTTATTATTTACTTATTAATATTCTTTATTTACACCCAAATCATAATAAAATTCAGATCTAATATAAAAATAATGTATTCTGTAAGGGTATCACCAAGACAATGTTGAGATTATAGCCAAGCTAATTCTGAAAGAACTAAAAAAACTAGAAAGAAAACCCATACAACCTAATGAAGATCCATCTTCATAGTTCCTTCCATTAACATAGGAATAAAATGTCTGAAATTTTAGGGCTAAAAGACCTTTTGAGATGTTCTAGCCCCTTGTCCTTATTTTTACAGATAAGAAAAATGAATTCCAAAAAAGGTAAGTGACTTGCCTAAGGTCACACAGCTGGGCAAAGAACAAAATACATTCCAAGGATCCCAATTTGATCCTAAGATATTTCCTCATTTTAGCAAATGCCTCTGCATAAGAGGGTTTACAATGTTCAGTAATTAATCTAACACATTTAAGTTCTGTAATGACATTTAACCCGGACTTTCTTATGATTTAGACAGATGAGTTTCTCGTCTTAATAAAAGCATGCACCTATTTCTAGCTTTATAGAGAGTAAATGAAATAACTTACTTGGCACGCGAGGGTCTCACGTGAATTCTAGAATTATGACGAAGGCTTAACATATTTTCATGTTCTACTTGCTTGACCTGAGCTTCAAGTTTTGAAATCATTCTAATTCAAAAGCAATAAAGATAAATTAAGTACATTTCAACAAATGTAAAATATAGCTCAACCACAGTTTATTTAACAGACCCTCCTAAAAAATGGGTGGTAAAAGAGTTGCAAGTCCATGGCCGGGAATGGTGGCTCACCCCTGTAATCCCAGCACTTTGGGAGGCGGAGGCAGGTGGATCACAAGGTCAAGAGATGGAGAACATCCTGGTCAATATGGTGAAACCCTGTCTCTACTAAAAATACAAAAATTAGCTGGGCATGGCGGTGTACACCTGTAGTCCCAGCTACTCGGGGGGCTGAGGCAGGAGAATCACTTGAACCAGGGAGGTGGATATTGCAGTGAGCCGAGATCGCACCAGCCTGGCGACAGAGTGAGACTCCGTCACACACAAAAAAAGAGTTGCAAGTCCATAAACATTTTTCATAGTAAAACATCACCATTATTTAAAAAGCTAAATAAGCCAGGTGCAGTGGCTCACGCCTGTAATCCCAGCACTTTGGGAGGCCGAGGTGGGTGGACCATCTGATGTCAGGAGTTCGAGCCCAGCCTGGCCAGCATGGTGAAACCCCCATCTCTACTAAAAATACAAAAATCAGCCAGGTGTGGTGGCATGCGCCTGTAATCCCAGCTACTTGGGAGACTGAGGCAGGAGAATCGGCTTGAACCCGGGAGGCGGAGGTTGCAGTGAGCCGTTATCACACCACTTTACTCCAGCCTGGGCAACAGAGCAAGACTTTGTCTCAAAAAAAAAATAAAAGCTAAACAAAAATCAGTGAATATAAATAGAAAAACAGAAAAACAAATACATTAAAACTCTACAAAGGAACATTTCCCATACAACTGAATAAAAAGGGAACAAATGGACTTAATATCGCAAGTTATATAAATTTGACTACAGATCAAAACATAACATTTATAAATAAACATAAAATTGTCAAATAAACTGCATTCTAATGTGTTTAATCCTAATATGTATATAACCATGCATACAATAGGTAACACTTTCACAAACAAGGAAGCAGGCTTAACTTCCAAAAACAGAACTTTTACCAAAAAAATTTCAAAAAAAAAAAAAAACCTTTCTAATTTTTAAAAAGAGGCCAAGGCTAAAATATTGCAAACAACCTATAGGTATTTCATCTGATTTGTGCCATGTTCAAAATAAAAGCCTATTTTCAAGTTTACCAACAGGAAATAACTACTCTGGCCAACTGACTATTTTAAAGATATCCTGGCATTCATGCTGTTCTTTTTTCCCCCCTTTAAGAGATGAGGTCTCGCTCGGTCACCCAGGCTGGAGTGCACTGGCATGATCATTGCTTGCTGCAGCCTCAAACCCCTGTGCTTAAGAGATGCTCCTGCCTCAGTCTCCCAAGCAGCTGGGAGTACTGGTGCATACCGCCATGCCTGGCTTGTTCTTTTAAGCTCTGTGTATGACTTCATCTTATCTTTCAAACTCGAATTCTTACCTACTTTGATGCAAGGAAGATTTGAGAAATAATAGCCCTAACAAGACTGATGTTTTATAACAATCTGATAAGAAAGCTATCACTAGAACTGAATGAATCACAGAAGAGTGGCAGATGAGAAACCTAGACAGCATTTCTGTTCTTCTCTATGAGAACTCCTTAAGACTGCAGTAAAATGTCTAAATAAGGGACGTTACTTATATCCAAATACAAACATAAAATTTGCTCTTGAACTAGTTTAAATATTTCTCTTTTCTATCTTTCATTTTTTTGGTGGGGAGGGGAGAGTCTTGCTCTGTCACCCAGGCTGGAGTGCAGTGGCGTGATCTTGGCTCACTGCAACCTCCGTCTCCAGAGTTCAAGCGATTCTCCTGCCTCACCCTCCTGAGTAGCAGGGATTACAGGTGTGCACCACCATGCCCAGCTAATTTTTGTATTTTTAGTAGAGACAGGGTTTTGCCATGTTAGCCAGGCTGGTCTTGAACTCCTGACCTCAGGTAATCTTCCCACCTCAGCCTCCCAAAGTGCTGAGATTATAGGCGTGAGCCACTGCACCCAGCCCAGTTTGGATATTTCTAATCATTTGCAATGGATACTACCATTTACGATTCTGTCCCTACCTAATTAAACAAATCAGATCATTAATACAGTCTCCAACCGGTCTTTCTGAAAGTAGATGACCATAATTTTGGTGTTAATGCTGTTTTCTTTTTGAAGCACCAAAATAATTCTGTGAACTAGGCTGCTTCTTAAAGTTCTTGCCAGTGGTTAAATATCATTTGGATTTTAACCTATGCTGAGAAAATACATAATGTTTGGGAAAATATCCACCTCTGAGGCACAACCATCAGTACATTTTAATTACTTAAAACATGTTGTTTGAAGCCAGGTGCAGTAGCGCATGCCTGTAATCCCAGCACTTTTTGTGGATGAGACGAGAGGATCACTTGAGGTCGAGAGATCTGAGACCAGTCAGGGCAACACAGCAAGATCTTACTTCTAAAAAAAGTTTTTAAAAATCAGCCAGGCTTGCCGGGCTCCGTGGCTTATGCCTGAATCCCAGCACCTTGGCAAGCCGAGGCAGGCGGATCACTTGAGGTCAGGAGTTCAAGACCAGTCTGGCCAACATGGCGAAACCCTGTCTCTATCAAAAATACAAAAAATTAGCTGGGTGTGGTGGTACACTCCTGTAGTCCCAGCTACTCGGGAGGCTGAGGCAGGAGAATTGCTTGAACCCAAGAGGAGGAGGTTGCAGTGAGCCAAGATTGTGCCACTGCACTCCAGCCTGCGTGACAGAGTAAGACTCTGTATCAACAACAACAACAACAAAAAATCAGCCAGGCATGATGATGAGTGCCTGTAGTCCCAACTATTCAGGAAGCCAAGGCAGGAAGACTGCTTGAGCCCAGGAATTCACAGCCAATCTAGGCAACATAGTGAGACCCTGTCTCTTTAAAAAAAAAAAAAAAAAAAGAGAGAGAGAGAGAAGAAATCTTGTTTGGCTAAAATGAAACCTATTTCCATGTCAAGGGAAAATTAAGACAAAACTAGTTCTCAAACTGCTTAAAAATCCTCAAGAAAAACTTCCTTCTCATCATGTTCAATACAGACACATAAAAGAACAATTGAGGTATGTGTACATTAGTAAGTTAATACATTTTACCTTTTCAAATCAGAAATCTGAGTATATGCATCAAGCAATTTGTTCTCAGTTGTATTTAATGCATCCTATGGAAATAAAGGAGAAATTCAGATAACTGAAGACAAATATTCACATGAATTATTTTAAAATGCATAAAAGAAAATGAATCTAAGGCTAAACCAACTAGCTACAAACCATACTCAGCAAGTATGGCATCAACCATACAGCCAGGACCAACAGTTCAAGGAAAACAAATGAGAGCAAAGCACCGGCCTACACAAGTCCCTCTGTGTAAGTCCCCTGGGTAACAGATACAGCCCTTTATACTTTGCTTAATTAGAAACAAATCAGTGTTAAAATAACTTGACTAAAACCTCAGAAGGATGGTAAAACAAATATTTTCAATGAGATTTAGATATCATGGGATCTGCTCCCGAACCCTCAGAATGCTTTGGCAGCCAAGCTATGCAGGCCTTTTTGCTGAGCTTCAATAACCACAACCCTCCATTCTATGCAACAGAAATACTTGGGCCCCACTTACACCATCGTCGAAGGGTTTTACTGAATGCAAATATGTAGTCTCCAAACAGAGCTTTCAAAAAGAATTCAAACATAATTGATAAACTCAACCCTACCAAAAGCTAATGCAGTGAAAATCAAAGCTTGATATTTAATCAGTATTAAATGGCTGGGTGCAGTGGCTCATGCCCATAATCCCAGCACTCAGGGAGGCTGACACAGGTGGACCACTTGAGGTCAGGAACTGGAGACCAGCCTGGCCAACATGGTGAAATCCTGTCTCTACTAAAAATATAAAAATTAGCTGGGCATGGTGGCGCACACCTGTAATCCCAGCTACTCAGGAGGCTAAGGCAGAAGAATCGCTTGAACCCAGGAGGCAGAGGTTGTGGTGAGCCGAGATCACACCACTGCACTCCAACCTGGGTGTCACAAAACAAACAGTATTAAATAATAATTTGCATCTGTATGGTACCTTATACTCTTTTGAACAATTTCATTTCAAATGCAATAGCCATTCAATAAATATTTGTCAGATTAATGAATCTAACAAACTTGTGAGTTAAATGGGGCAGGTATTTGAAAATAAGGATACTGAAACAGGATAAGCAAGGTTCCAGTTCAACAGCTACGGAGGTTCAGGAAGGGGTGCAAGGAGGAGAAGAGTCAGATCCCTTGATTCCCAATCCAATGTTTCTGCCTCTGCATGAAATCTAGAACATGAACCATTACCCCTTACCTTTACTCTCCTGTGTTCTTTTCCAAGGGACTCATACTCTCCTAAAAGCTACAAGGAAAAACAAAAAAAAATTATACCACAAAATTAAACGTTATTCTATCAACTGAGGTACAGTCTACAAAATAACTGCCTATAGCCTTCAAAAATGCCAATGTCATGAAAGAGAAAGGTCAATAGAGAACTGGTGATTCAATGTAAAGGGAATGGGACAATTCTCAATTTCTGGAATGGTTTCTGTACATTTGATATTATTTCAAAATAAAGCTGGATGCGGTGGCTCACACCCATAATCTCAACACTTTGGGAGGCTGAGGACAGAGGATCACTTGAGGCTAGGAGCTGGAGACCAACCTAGGGAACAGAGCGAGACCTCGTCTCTTCAAAAACAAAAACAAAAACAAAAAAAAAACAAAAGCTGGGCTCGGTGGCTCACGCCTGTAATCCTAGCACTTTGGGAGGCTGAGGTGGAAGTATTGCTTGAGCCTGAAAGCTCAAGAGTTCAAGGCTACAGTGTGCTATGATCGTGCCACTGTACTCTAACCTGGGGGACAAAGAGAGACCCCGTCTTAAAAAAAAATAGCTGAACATGGGGATATATGCTTACAGACTCAGGAGGCTCACTTGAGCCTGGGAGGTTGAGACTGCAGTGAGCTTGTAGTGAGGCTTGCAGTGAGATTGCACCACTGCACTCTAGCCTGGGCCACAGAGCGAGACCCTGTCTCAAAATAAAATATCAATACCATGTAAGTATTTTAAAAGACTAAAATTTGCATTGCTCTTTTTGGAACTATTACTTTTTTTTTTTTTCTTTAGATGGAGTCGCTCTGTCGCCAGGCTGGAGTACAGTGGCTCACTGCAACCTCTGCCTCCCGGGTTCAAGCAATTCTCCTGCCTCAGCCTCCCGAGTAGCTGGGACTACAGGCGCACGCCACCATGCCCGGCTAATTTTTGTATTTTTAGTAAAGACGGGGTTTCACCATGTTGGCCAGGATGGTCTTGATCTCTTGACCTCATGATCCGCCCGCCTCAGCCTCCCAAAGTGCTAGGATTACAGGCGTGAGCCATCATGCCCGGTGTTTTTTTTGTGTTTTTTTTTTTGTTTTTTTTTTTTGATGGAGTCTTGCTCCATCACCTAGGTTGAAGTGCAGTGGCGTGTTCTCAGCTCACTGCAAACTTTGCCTCCTGGGTTCAAGCAATTCTCCCACCTCAGCTTCCCAAGTAGCTGGGATTACAGGCGTATGCCACCATGCTCAGCTAATTTTTGTATTAGATGGCGTCTCATCATGTTGGCCAGGCTTGTCTCAAACTCCTGACCTCAAGTGATCCACATGCCTTGGCCTGCCAAAGTGCTGGGATTACAGGCTTGAGCCACCACGCCTGGCCTATTGTATATTACTTTTTGCTAAATTAGTTCTACCTAGTAAAAGCACAATGCCAAAGTCTTTATTTAAAAATATATATATGTGAGGCTGGGCATGGTGGCTCATGCCTGTAATCCCAGCACTGTGGGAGGCCAAGGTGGGTGGATCACTTGAGGTCAGGAGTTCGAGACCAGCCTGGCCAACATAGCGAAACCTTGTCTCTACTAAAAATACAAAAAAATTAGCTGGGTGTGGTGGCGCGTGCCTGTAATCCTGCCTACTTGGGTGGCTGAGGTGGGAGAACTGCTTGAACCCAGGAGGCGTAGGTTGTAGTGAGCTGAGAGGGCACCACCGCACTCCAGCCTGGGTGACAGAGTGACATCTTGTCTCAAAAATAAATAAATAAGAGGCCGGGCGTGGTAGCTGACGCCTGTAATCCCAGCACTTTGGGAGGCTGAGGCAGGTGGATCACTTGAGGTCAGGAGTTCAAGACCAGCCTGGCCAATATGGTAAAACTCCGTCTCTACCAAAAATATTTTAAAAAATAAAAATAAATAAATATAAGAACACATATGTGAGATTTCTGGTTAAAGATGACAAATTAATAACAGAATTTTCTTCTCTTCACCCTCAGAGTCCACTAAACTAACAATGAAGAAATTAAAGAGAAAACAAACGAGGTGACAGTAACAGGTGAGAGATTTCAATAAAGTCTTAGAAAATTGAAAAGAAACAAAGTGCTGGCCGGGCGTGGTAGCTCACACCTGTAATCTCAGCACTTTGGGAGGCCGAGGCAGGTGGATCATCTGAGGTCAGGAGTTCAAGACCAGCCTGGCTAACATAGCGAAACCCCGTCTCTACTAAAAATACAAAAATTAGTCAGGTGTGGTGGCACGTGCCTGTAGTCCCAGCTACTCAGGAGGCTGAGGCAGGAAAATTGCTTGAACTTGGAAGGCAGAGGTTGCAGTGAACCGAGATGGTGCCACTGCACCCCAGCCAAGGTGACAGAGCAAGACTCTG
Source organism: Homo sapiens (assembly GCF_000001405.40). Classification (NCBI taxonomy): domain Eukaryota; kingdom Metazoa; phylum Chordata; class Mammalia; order Primates; family Hominidae; genus Homo; species Homo sapiens. Next base: position 123,183,544 of record NC_000012.12, read on the forward strand.
TCTCAAAAAAAAAAAAAAAAAAAAAAAGAAAAAGGAAAAAAGTGCCTTAGCAGGGTGGAAGTGGATACAACCCCAAGTGCCTGAATCCAGAAATGCTGATGAAAAGCAGGCTGATGTCAGCATAACTGTGAGAGATGCCCACCTTGAAACCCAGGTTTAGAGATGGACAGGGTTGAGGCACAGGGCTGACCACAGAAAACTGGTTGAAATTCCTTAAGTAATCAGAGCCCAGGACACATCCCATACAGCAGTAGACTGTTCAGCCAGGTGGCAGGACAGCAGGAGAAAATGAATGGGGAGAAAAATGGAACTTTGGAAATCCAAGGATAATAGTGGAGTGGGAGGCAGAGGATAAAGAGAAAATGACAAAGTAAAAGACTTCAAAAACACCCAGGGCAGGTCACACCTATAATCATAGCACTTTGAGAGGCCGAGGAAGATTACTTGAGCCCAGGAGTTGGAGACCAGCCTGCGCAATATAGCAAGACCCCATCTCTACAAAAAATTTAAAAATTAGCCAGGTCTGGTGGCATGTGCCTGTAGTCCCAGCTACTGGGGAGGCTGAGGCAGGAAGATTCCTCGAGCCCAGGGGTTTGAAGATGCAGTGAGCTATGATCACACCACTGCACTCCAGTCTCGGTGACAAGGTGAGACCTGTCTCTAAAATAAATATATTAACAAATAATTTTCTTTTGAAAAAAGGTGACCTCCCCCTCCTCCACTGCCAGAATCTGACTGATAGGTCCCAGGCAAGAGACTGTAAGACCTGTCTTTACGAAAACTGAACAACCCCAGAAAAAAAACCTTCTAAACATTCACATCTGGAGGTCCCCTAACAAAATGGCTGGTGCATGACTCTACAATCGCCTGAAAATGAAGGCTACCAGGAACTAAGTCCCATCCATACACTTAAGAGTCTTTCAATAGCTTTTTATACTGCTTCGCTTTAATTTAATTTTTTTTTTTTTTCTTGAGATGGAGTCTTGCTCTGTCGCCCAGGCTGGAGTGCAGTAGCGTGATCTCTACTCACTGCAAGCTCCGCCTCCCGGGTTCACGCCATTCTCCTGCCTCAGTCCCCTGAGTAGCTGGGACTACAGGCATCCGCTACCACGCCCAGCTAATTTTTTTGTATTTTTAGTAGAGACGGGGTTTCACCATGTTAGCAAGGACGGTCTCCATCTCCTGACCTTGTGATCTACCCGCCTCGGCCTCCCAAAGTGCTGGGATTACAGGCATGAGCCACCGTGCCCGGCCTATTTAATTTAATTTTTATCTTTTGAGACAGAGTCTCACTCTGTCACCCAGGCTGGTGTGCAGTGGTGTGATCTCAACTCACTGCAATCTCCACTTCTTGGGTTCAAGCAATTCTCATGCTTCTGCCTCCCGAGTAGCTGGGATTATAGATGTGCACCATCACACCCAGCTAATTTTTGTAGTTTTAGTAGAGACAGGGTTTCACCATGTTGGCCAGGCTGGTCTCAAATTCCTGGCCTCAAGTGATCCACCCGTCTCAGCCTCCCAAAGCACTGAGATTATAGGCGTGAGCCACCACACCCAGCCTAGTGCCTCTTAAATGTGAGCCTGCAAAAGAACCAACACTTGGAAAAAGACATTAAATATGAAAGATACTTCAAATGAAAACAAAAGCTTAACTCAGAATAATGAAAACTACAGAAACAGTCCAATGGAAGCCATAATATTCTCAAAGAAATAACAACATTAGATTCAAAACAGGAATAGAAAGCTATTAAAAATGATCAATCAGAAAAAGAGTTGTTAGAAACTAAAAAAAAAAAAAATATTGTTACAAAATTTCGGCATACCAAGGATAAAAAGATGATCCTAAAAAACTTCCAGAAAGAGAAAAAAAGAACCACATTAGAAAGGAATGAGAAACATGATTACTAAATGCAATGTGGGCCAGGCACATTGGCTCATGCCTGTAATCCCAGCACTTTGGGAGGCCAGTGTGGGAGTATCGCTTGAGCTCAGGAGTTGGAGACCAGCAAGAGCAACATAGTGAGACCGCATCTCTACAAAAAAATAAAATTAGCCAGGTGTGATAGCCTGTAGTGTCTGTAGTCTCAGCAGTCGGAGAGGCTGAGGTAAGAGGATCACTTGAGCCCTGGAGGTTGAGGCTGCAGTGAGCTATGAATATGCCTACTGTACTCCAGCCTGGGTGACAGAGTGAGATCCTGTCTCAAAGAAATGATAACAATAAATGCAATGTGTGATCCTTGATTGGATTCTGGATTAAAAAGCAAAAAACAATACATCTATAAAGGATATTATTTAGACAACTGGCAACATTTGAATATAGACAGAATGTATTTACATATTAGTATTATATCAATGTTAAATTTCCTGAGGATGAAAAGTACATTGAGATTACACAGGAGAGGCCGGGCATGGTGGCTCAAGCCTGTAATCCTTAGCACTTTGGGAGGCCGAGGCGGGTGGATCACGAGGTCAGGAGTTCGAGACCAGCCTGACCAACATGGTGAAACCCCGTTTCTACTAAAAATACAAAAATTAGCTGGGCATGGGGTGGTGTGCGCCTGTAATCTCAGCTACTTGGGAGGCTGAGGCGGGAGCATTGCTTGAACCCGGGAGGCGGAGGTTGTGGTGAGCTGAGATCGTGCCATTGCACTCCAGCCTGGGCAATAAGAGCAAAACTCCGTCTCAAAAAAAAAAAAAAAAAAAAAAAAGAGATTACACAGGAGAATATCTCTGTTCTTCAGAGATACCTATTGAGGTATTTAAGGGTAAATTATCATAGTGTCTAATTTACTCTCAAATATAGTTCAGCAAAAGAAAAAAGTTTATATCTCTATGAAGACAAAGCAATGCTGTAAGATACTCACAACTGGTAAATCTAGGTAAAGAATATACAAGGGTTTTCATTGTATCATTCTTACAATTTTTCTGCAGGCTTGAAACTTTGAAAGCCATGGGAGGGGAGAGAAAGGAAAAGAATTGATCATGTCATAGGCAATAAAACAAAGCCTTCAAATCTGAAGAAAACATACACCCAGAATCACAGTTAGGATCTAGATCTTCATCTTCAGCTAGGACCTAGATCTTCACCCACCACAATTATAGATAATATGTAAAATTTAAGAAATAACAATATCGAGCCAGCCACAGGGGCTCATTCCTGTAATCCCAGCCTTTCATGAGGCTGAGGCAAGTGGATCACTTGAGGTCAGGATTTCGAGGTCAGCCTGGCCAATATGGTGAAATCTCATCTCTACTAAAAATGCAAAAATTAGCTAGGCATGGTGGCACGCGCCTGTAACCCCAGCTACTCAGGAGGCTGAGGCAAGAGAATTGTTTGAACCCAGGAAGTGGAGGTTGCAGTGAGCCAAGATCATGCCACTGCACTCCAGCCTGGGCGACAGAACAAGATTCCATCTCAAAAAGGAAAGAAAGAGGCCAGGCGCAGTGGCTCTCGCCTGTAATCCCAGCACCTTGGGAGGCTGAGGCGGGCAGATCACCTGAGGTCAGGAGTCCGAGACCAGCCATGGCTAACATGGTGAAACCCTGTTTCTACCAAAAATACAAAAAACTAGCCGGGTGTTGTGGTGCTCGCCTATAATCCCAGCTACTTGGTAGGCTGAGGTAGGAGAATCACTTGAACCCAGGAGGCAGAGGCCGCAGTAGCCAAGATTGCGCCATTGCACTCCAGCTTGGGCAATAAAAGCGAAACTCTGTCTCAAAAAAAAAGAACGAACGAACAATATCAGTACATTATTTAGAAATACATAAATACTAGAATATGATATACCTCGAGAAAAAAATGAACAAAGGATGTAAAAGGCCTTAATTTTTAAAAAAGAAAAATACTTGAGATTTAAACCACGTTCATGTATGGGAAGAATCAATATTTCAAGTCTCAGCTGTCTCCAAATAAATCTGTAAATTCAGTGCAATTCCAATCGAAAGCAGAGTGGCATGCTGACAGTAATATTTGTATGAAACAAAACAAAGCCAAGAAATAGGCAAAATAATTTTTACAAGAGCAAAAAAACGAGATAAGGAAATGGCACCAAAAATCAACACTTGTTATAAAATACTAATAATTTACATGATGTGGTTCCAATTCAGAGACAGACCAATGGAACAGCTCAGAGCCTCAAAGGAGATTTACACGAGAAGGAAATAAAATGTACAACAGAAGTCAGTAAGGGAAGGAAAATCTATTTAAAAATGATTCTGGGACAACTGGTTAATCATTGGAGGCAGGGAGGATCAAGTTCAATTCCTACTCATACCATATATTACGTAAGAGGTAATTCTGGGCTGGGCGCCGTGGCTCGCACCTGTAATCCCAACACTTTGGTAGACTGAGGCGGGTGAATCACCTGAGTTCAGGAGTTCAAGACCAGCCTGGCCAACATGGTGAAACTGTCTCTAGTAAAAATACAAAAAGAATTAGTGAGGCATGGTGGTGGGTGCCTGTAATCCCAGCTATTCAGGAGGTTGAGGCAAGAGATTGCTTGAAGCCGGGAGGCAGAGGTTGCAGTGAACCAAGATTGCGCCATTGCACTCCAGCCTGTACAACAAGAGCAAGACTCCATCTCAAAAACAAACAAACAAAAAACACCCAAAACTTGTATCCCATAAAAATACCAAAAGAAGATGGATGCAATACGTATAACCATTTCCTCTTAATCACACTTGAAAAATTAAAAGGCTTGACAATACCAAGCACTGGAAATAATCTAGAAAAATAAGAATTATCATACACTACTGGCAGGAAAATAAACTGGTACAACCATTTCAGAGAGCAATTTAGCAATATCTAAAAAAGATAACAAAGCTCATATTCTATGTCCCAACCACTGCATTCAGAGAAAGAGACTATTATAACAGGCTATATTTCCCAGTAACAGCCACAGCAATATTTCCAGACCCATAAGCTCTTGCAGAACCTTGCTGTGTTCCATTAAGAGATGGTATCCATTTTCCCTCCCCTTGAACCTATGCAGGACTTTGGAATTGTTTAAAAAATAGAATAGAGGCCAGGCACGGTGGCTCACGCCTGTAATCCCAGCACTTTGGGAGGCTGAGGTGGGCGGATCACCTGAGGTCAGGAGATCGAGACCACCCTGGCAAAAACTGTGAAAACCCATCTCTACTAAAATACAAAAAATTAGCCAGGCATGGTGGTGCACACCTGTACTCCCAGCTACATGGTAGGCTAAGGCAGGGGAATCGCTTGAACCTGGGAGGCAGAGGTTGCAGTGAGCCGAGATAGCGCCACTGCACTCCTGCCTGGGCAACAAAAGCAAAACTCCTTCTCAAAAAAATAAAATAAAGAGTAAACATAAAAATAAATAATTAGCCAGGTGTGGTGGCGTATGCCTATAGTCCTAGCTACTCAGAGGGCTGAGGCAGGAAGATCACTTGAGCCCAGAACTTCAAGGCTCCAGTAAGCTATAATCATGCCACTACACTCCAGCTTGAATGACAGAGCAAGACTCTGTCTCAAAAAAATAGAATGTGGTACAAGTGATGCTGTACAGTTTCCAAGGCAAGGTCATAAAAGGCAATGTAAATGTAGCTGTTGGGATGCTCTTTCAGGACTCTTGTCCTTAGTAGTAAGCCATCATGTTGCAAAGAAACCCAACCTAACCACATAGAGAGGAACTGTGGCCTTAGCTGACAGCCACCATTCATGATGGAACATGCCCTTCAGAAGATTCCAGCTCCCAGTCCTTAAGTTTTGAGCTGAGGTCCTAGACACTGCAGAGCAGACAGGCTGTCCCTGCTGGGCCCAGTGCAAGCTCCTGAACAACAGAGTCCACGAACAGAATATGTCAAGATTTGAGGTTATGAGTTTTGGAGCTATGGCAGCTAGAACAATACCCTAGAGGCGCTTGCACACATTGGCATAAGGAGCCACATAGAAGAAATGTTCATAGTAGCATTGCTCCTAACAGCAATGACAAACTGGCAAAAGGAAAGTGGATAAATATACTATGGAAGAGCCACATGATGGACGACACAGGAATAAACAGAAATGAAGTTGTGCTACTACTACATGTATCCAGTTAGGTGAATCTCACAAGTGAAAAAAGTTGCATAACATTAAAGACAGTATTAAGGCCGGGCACGGTGGCTCACCCCTGTAATCCCAGCACTTTGGGAGGCCGAGGCGGGCGGATCACGAGGTCAGGAGATCGAGACCATCCTGGCTAACACGGTGAAACCCCGTCTCTACTAAAAATACCAAAAAAATCAGCCAGGTGTGGTGGCGGGCACCTGTAGTCCCAGCTACTAGGGAGGCTGAGGCAGGAGAATGGCACAAACCCGGGAGGCGGAGCTTGCAGTGAGCCGAGATGGTGCCACTGCACTCCAGCCTGGGCAATGGAGCGAGACTCCATCTCAAAAAAAAAAACAAAAACAAAAATAAGTATTGATAGTATTTATAAAAGTTTCAAGATACGCCAAAGAAGTAACACTAAGGATACATACATACACATGTGACCATACAAAGACAAGGTAATGATATTCACACAATTTAGATCAGTTACTCCCAGGAAGACAGAAGTGATCAGAAAAGGGTGCACAGGGGATGTCAACTGCATTTTGTAGTATTTTATTTCTCTTTTTTTTTTTTTTGAGATGGAGTCTCGCTCTGTCGCCCAGGCTGGAGTGCAGTGGCGCTACCTCAGCTCACTGAAAGCTCCGCCTCCTGGGTTTACACCATTCTCCTGCCTCAGCCTCCCGAGTAGCTGGGACTACAGGCGCCCACCACCACGCCCAACTAATTTTTTGTATTTTTAGTAGAGACGGGGTTTCAACGTGTTAGCCAGGATGGTCTTGATCTCCTGACTCTGATCCACCTGCCTTGGCCTCCCAAAGTACTGGGATTACAGGTGCAAGCCACCACACCCGGCCGGAGTATTTTATTTCTTAAAATAGGTGGTGGATTCATATGTACATTATATTATTCTCTATATCTTTTTATGTACCTAAGATATTTCAAATGTAAATGTTTAAATTAAAATGAATCAATAAAAGCTGAATGTGTCAACATGGCAAATCTCAGAAACAATGTTGAAAGGGAAAAACCAGGTTGCAGCAGGATATATGCAATGCAATACAATTCATACATTGCTTAAGAACACATAAAACATTACTAAATATTGTTTACAAACACAGGCATATGTAGTAAAAGCAAAAAGAACTGCATGAGGATAACAGAGCACATTTAACAAAGTGAGTACCTCTAGGGTGGGGAAGAGAGGAATAGAAGACAGTGTTTCACTCTATCTAGAGAAGGCTAGAACGGTATTTGTTATATTACTCTCTATACTTTTCTGTATGCTTGAAATGTTGTATATGATAAATGCAAAGTCAGTGTATCACTGTCTACATTAATACAATTTCAGCTAAAAACAACACATTCTAGCTATCCTTTGCTGCTTGATTGCTGCTCAAACATAACTGTGGTGGGTTTGTGAATAATTAGAAACAATAACATCCCAGGCCAGGCGCGGTGGCTCATGCCTGTCATCTCAGCACTTTGGGAGGCTGAGGCAGGTGGATCACTTGAGGTCGGGAGTTCGAGACCAGCCTGACCAACATGGAGAAACCCCATCTCTATCAAAAATACAAAATTAGCCGGGCATGGTGGCACATGCCTGAAATCCCAGCTACTCAAGAGGCTGAGGCAGGAGAATCACTTGAACCTGAGAGGCGGAGGTTGTGGTGAGCTGAGATTGCACCATTGCACTCCAGCCTGGGCAACAAGAATGAAACTTCGTCTCCAAAAATAAAGAAAAAGAAAAAGAAACAATGACATCCCAGTAGCAATGAACATACTCAGTACCAGTTCAAGTGATTCTCCTGCCTCAGCACCCTGAGTAGCTTGGACTACAGGCGTGCATCACCACGCCTAGCTAATGTTTTTTATTTTTAATAGAGGCAAGGGTTTTACCGTGTTGGCCAGGCTGGTCTCGAACTGCTGACCTCAGGTGATCTGCCCGCCTCGGCTGCCCAAAGTGCTGGGATCACAGGCATGAGCCATCACACTCAGCCTAGCACCAGATCTTAATGTCTGAATACCATTTTCCATGAAAAGGAACCAGAACTCAACAGAAAAAATGAGACTGATTCTAGGACTGGAGCTTGGAAAAGTACAAGATGAGCCTGGAACATAGTGCTGTGCCAGGAAATATGGACATGCTCAAAGAATGACAAAAGCAAGTCAAAAGGACACGGGACCAGTCTGACATGTCTCCCACTGGCCAAACTTGGGACACCATGAGTATCAAAATAATCATGGTAAAGAACCGCAATCCACTGAGTAAAATAAGAATCCATCAATCTTCTTTACTGATATAACAAAGAAAGGACATGCACTTTAGTAGTAGTATCCTAGCTACTCAGGAGGCTAAGGCAGAAGGATTGCTTACTCCAGGCTGGGCAACAGGGCAAGGACCTGTCTCTAAAGGCAAATAATAAATAAGTCAAGGAAAGAGGGAAGCTCCTTTCAGTCAAATGCAGAAGGAATACAGAATTAGAAAAACACACCACAGTACATGCTTCTTTCAGGCAAGACTCCTCAATGGAAGCTAAAACTAGGAGGTAAAAGCTTAATGAGAAAAAGGCTGGGTGCAGTGGCACATGCCTGTAATCCCTGTAATCCCTGCACTTTGAGAGGCTGAGGCAGGAGGAACGCTTGAGCCCAGGAGTTTGAGACCAGCCTGGGCAACATGGCGAAACCCTGTCTCTACCAATGATACAAAAATTAGCCAAGTGTGGTGGCGTGCACCTGTAATCCCAGCTACTCAGGAGGCTGAGGCAGAAGCATCACTTGAACCCGGGAGGCAGAGGTTGCAGTGAGTCAAGATCATGCCACTGCACTCCAGCGTGGGCAACCAAGCAAGACTCCATCTCAAAAAAAAAAAAAAAAGTTAAATAATTGTCAGGGCATAGTGGCATGTGCCTATGGTCCTAGCAACTTTGGAAGCCAAGGTGGAAGAATCACCTGAGCCCGCGGAGGTTGAGGCTTCAGTAAGCTGTGATCGCACCACTGCACTCCAGCCTGGGCAACAGAGTGAGACACCGTCTCAAAAAAAAAAAAAAAAAAAAAAAAAAAAACAGAGAGAAAAGGAAATGTAATATGTAATTACAGTATACCACCATAGCTTAACTGTGAACAATATTTATACAGCTGTAATAAATGATGTATAATTTCCATTTTAAGACACCATTGATTATATATCACACCATTATTTTACAAATTACTAAAAGAAAAAAATACTGCTTCAGGCCTGTAATCCCGCACTCAGGTGGGCGGATCAAGAGGTCAAGAAATCGAGACCAGCCTGGCCAGCATGGTGAAATCACATCTCTACTAAAAATACAAAAATTAGCTGGTGGCACGCGCCTGTACTCCCAGCTACTCAGGAGGCTGAGGCAGGAGAATTGCTTGAACCTGGGAGGCAGAGTTTGTAGTGAGCCAAAATCACGCCACTGCACTCCAGCCTGGGCGACAGAGAGGGATTGTCTTTCAAAAAAAAAAAAAAAAAAAAAAAAAATATATATATATACACACACACACACACACACACACACACACACACACACACACGAACCACATGGGAAGGAGCAGGAGAAGTGTCTGTGTTGCAGCAAATGGTGTAAGAAAGCCACACTGTGACCCTGCATGGGAGAAAGTCAGTATGTCTGAAATAGATGGAAAAAAAAATGAGAGTGCAATATAAGAATATTATTTGTAAACATGGAGGAAAATGCTAGAAGAAATAGCTAAAAGAGCTGAAAGTAACAGCCTCTAGGGTAGGATACTAAAAGGTAGGTAGGGAAGACTGCTGTTTTTCATGAGATGCAAATCTAAAGCAATCAGAAAATTTCAACAGCCTAAATACTTTCAGATTACTCATGTATTGTAATATCCTGAAAAACGATGTTAAGAAAAATTTAGAAGCCAGGTGCAGTGGCACACACGTGTAGACCCAGCTACTCAGAAGGCTGAAAGGAGAATGCTTGAGCCCAAGAGCTTGAGGCCAGCCTGGGCAACATGGCGAGACCCTGTTTCTAAGAACAAAAAGAAAGAAAAATTTAGAAAAAAATAAGCAACCTGAAACCTAATCTGGTTTCAATGTTATACAAATCCAAATTTTAAGTGAAATTATATCAAAGTGAAAAAATTTAATCAAACTTGCTCTAAATCTGTTCATAGCATTTTATCCTGCCAGACACACAAATGTTAAGATAGCTTGAAAGTTGACCTGATGCAGACACAGTTTTTTTTTTTTTTTTAAGTTGACCTGCTAGAAACAGAAAAGATATGGGAGTGATGCCATCGTTCTAAGTATCTGACTTCGTGCTGCAAAGCAAGACCCAATTGACTCCATCAGGAAGGTACATATTCACAGTTGCTGCAAAGTTATGTAAAACTAAAATAAAGGCCGGACATAGTGGCTGATACCTGTAATCCCAGGACTTTGGGAGGCTGAGGCGGGCGGATCACCTGAGGTCAGGAGTTCGAGACCAGCCAGGCCAACATGGGGAAACCCTGTCTTTACTAACAATACAAAAATTAGCCGGGCGCAGTGGTGGGCTCCTGTAATTCCAGCTACTTGGGAGGCTGAGGCGAGAAGATCTCTTGAGCCCGGGAGGTGGAGGCTGCAGTGAGTTGAGCTCCTGCCACTGCACTCCAGCCTGGGTGTCAGAGTGAGACTCTGTCTCAAAATAAATCAATAAATAATAAAATAAGCCTAGAAAGTCATAATCACTTGTAAGAGTATAATACCTAAATTACTTTTAGCCAATCACGTCATTAAGTTACTATTATTCGCTACTTACATCTTGAAACATTTTGTTCTCTTGTTTTAGTTGAGCTTCTTTATCATCTGAGAGTTTGTAAGCATTCTCAAATGCTTCTTCTAAATCTTGCAGTCTAGATTTTAGTCGAATGATGGTATTGTCTTTTTCTTTACTGCTTGTTCTCATTTCTTCAATTCGTTCCTGCAAAATTTTGGAAGCACTGCTGGCTGCACTGAAGCGTTCTCTCAAATCATTCTATAAAACAAAGACAAACATAATTTTTTTTTTTTTTTGAGATGGAGTCTCGCTCTGTTGCCCAAGCTGGAGTACAATGGCGCAATCTTGGCCTACTGCAACCTCTGCCTCCCAGGTTCAAGCAATTCTCCTGCCTCAGCCTCCCGAGAGCTGCGATTACAGGCGCCCACCATCACCCCTGGCTAATTTTTTGTATTTTTAGTAGAGACAGGGTTTCACTATGTTGGCCAGGCTGGTCTCAAACTCCTGACCTCAAGTAATCCACAGGCCTCGGCCTCCCAAAGTGCTGGGATTACAGGCATGAGCTACCACGCCCAGCCCAAAATTTATTTTAAATGAAAAAAAAAGATGCCTTAATAATAGCTAATAAATTGTGGGCATTAAAAAATGAACAAAACATAGAAATGGAAATGAACAAATCTATTTTGTTGTATTCTGGGATGGAGAGTCCAGAAAGAATAGTTCTACTGGAATACCAGCCCCTGACATTATCATAAGGTATACAGGAAACTATCATCTGTGGCACTATGACTCTAGGACTCACCTAATAGCTCCTACAGTTCACTTTAATAAGGAAAAAATAACCACTGCTATTAGGGAAATTATTTGAAAGTATAGCTGGACTTTGTTGCCCAACATCAACATTTAGGGAGGAGAAAAACATTTCATACCCTCTCACTATGAAAATACAGGAAATTCAGTTGGCCAGGCACAGTAGCTCACGCCTGTAATCCCAGCACTTTGGGAGGCCGAGGCAGGTGAATCACGAGGTCAGGAGTTCAAGAGCAGCCTGGCCAACATGGTGAAACCCCGTCTCTACTAAAAATACAAAAAATTAGCTGGGCTTAATGGCAGGCGCCTGTAATCCCAGCTACTCAGGAGGCTGAGGCAGGAGAATCACTTGAACCCAGGAGGCGGAGGTGGCAACGAGCCGAGATCATGCCACTGCACTCCAGCCCTGGTGACAGAGTGAGACTCTGTCTCAAAAAAAAAAAAGAAAATACAGGAAATTAAAAACCCATCTGATATGTTAATATTCACTCAACAATCATTTCTGGAATACCCACTAGGTGCTAGGCACTAGGGTGCTAGAAATGTAAGATTAACAAAAAAGATAATAGTCCCGAATGTCATGAAGCTTAGGAGGAGAGGAACTAAAAAAGCAAACAGGCCAGGCACTGTGGCTCACAGCGGAAATCCCAGCACTTTGGGAGGACTGCTAGAGCCCAGGAGTTTAAGACCAGCCTGGGCGACATAGCGTGTCTCAACAAAAAATTTTAAAAATCAGCTGGGTGTGGTGGTGTGTGCCTATAGTCTCAACTACTCAGGAGGCTGAGATGGGAGGAGCACTTCAGCCCAAGAGGTTGAGACTGCAGTAAGCCATGACGGCTCCACAGCACTCTAGCCTGGGCGATGGAGTGAGACCCTGTCTCAAAAAAAAAAAAGGCAAAGATGAAAACAACATATAAAACAAAATACGCTGGGTGCCAGTAACCCCAGCACTTTGGGAGGCCGAAGCGGGCAGATCACCTGAGGTCAGGAGTTCGAGACCAGCCTGGCCAACATAGTGAAATCCCATCTCTACTAAAAATACAAAAATTAGCCGGGCTTGGTGGTGGGCACCTGTAATCCCAGCTATTCAGGAGGCTGAGGCAGGAGAATCCCTTGAACCAGGGAGATGGAGGTTGCAGTGAGCCAAGATCGCACCATTGCACTCCAGCCTGGGCAACAAGGGCGAGACTCCATCTCAACAAAAAAACAAAATAGACAGTTTCCACCAAAATTTTGTTCATAAGGCCATATGTATCTCATACATATACACACTACTCTATGATAGCTATCATGCATTTTATCGTCTAATAGATATTAAAAATAAAACTTGTAAACACAGACTTTGAGAAACTTTTGACCCTTAAAAAGATTGCCTTATACCAAAAGATTGGGAATGACATAACAAAGGTCTTTGTTCAGAAAGAAAAAAAGTTACCTGTAAAAAAATAAAATTTGGTAATGCGTGGGGAAAAAAGTAATTTTAGCATAAAAAGTTTATGCACTTTTAGTTATATACCCAAGGAAACTAAAAACTTACGTGGCACATAAAATCTTGTAGACAAACATTCATAGCAATATAATTTAAATAGCCAGAAAGTATATAAACATTACCTGATGAATGTAAACAAAAATGTGGTATTATTCACAGAATGAAATATATTCAGCCATAAACAGGAATGAATACTGATATGTTACAACATGGATAAACCTTGAAAATATTATACTAAGTGAAGAAGCCAGACACGAAAGGCCACACAGTCTAGGATTTCATTTATATCAATGTTCAGAAAAGGCAAATGCACAGAGAAAGAAAACTGAGTAGTGGTTGCCAGGGTGTGGAAGGACAGAATGTGGGGGGTGACGGTTAAGGGGTGTGGGTTTTTTTTTTTTTTTTTTTTTTTTTTTTGAGGAAAATGTCCTAAAATTGATTGTGGTGGTGGTTGCCCAACTCTAAATATACTAAAATTCATGGAATTGTACACTTTAAAAGGGTAAGTTTTATGGTATGCAAATTATATTGCAAAAAATTAAAAAAAAATTTTTTTTTGAGACAGGGTCATGCTCTCTTGCCCAGGCTACAGTGCTGTGGCGCAATCATGATCCCTGCAGCCTCAACTTCCTGGGATCAAGTCATCCTCCTGCCTCAGTCTCCCGAGTAGCTGGGACCACAGCTGTGCACCACCATGCCCAGCTAATTTGTAGAGACAGAGGTCTCTGTATGTTACCCAGGCTGGTCTCGAACTCCTGGGCTCAAGCAACTCTCCCACCTCAGCCTCCCAAAGTGCTAGGATTACTGACATGAGCCACCACACCTGGCCAAAAGGTAAGTTTTAAAAGGGTAAAGTTTAGGCCAGGTGCGGTGGCTCACACCTGTAATCCCGGCACTCTGGGAGGCCGAGGTGGGTGGATCACGAGGTCAGGCATTACAAACCAGCCTGACCCCCATGGTGAAACCCCATCTCTAGTAAAAACACAAAAATTAGCTGGGCACGGTGGCATGCACCTGTAGTCCCAGCTACTAGGGAGGCTGAGGCAGGAGAATCGCCTGAACCTGGGAGGCGAAGGTTGCAGTGAGCTGAGATCGCGCAACTGCACTACAGCCTGGGCGACAGAGCGAGACTCCATCTCAAAAAAAAGAAAAAAAAAAAAAAAGGGTGCAGTGGCTCACGCCTGTAATCCCAGCACTTTGGGAGGCCGAGGCAGGAGGATCACAAGGTCAGGAGATCGAGACCATCCTGGCTAACACGGTGAAACCCCGTCTCTACTAAAAAATACAAAAAATTAGCTGGGCGTGGTGGAGGGCGCCTGTAGTCCCAGCTACTCAGGAGGCTGAGGCAGGAGAATGGCGTGAACCCGGGAGGCGGAGCTTGCAGTGAGCCAAGACCGCGCCACTGCACTCCAGCCTGGGCAACAGAGCGAGACTCCGTCTCAAAAAAAAAAAAAAGGGTAAAGTTTATAGCATTATATGAAGCCAACAGCACTAAAAATATAAACTTCATAAGCCTTCCTTAAAAAGACAAGAAACATAACTGATGTTATCACGAAATAATTCATTTGTCTCACCAGAACACCCACCAAAAAAAGAGTACTTACCACTTCAATTTCCAGTAAGTTATTCTTATTTTCAAGTGTTCTCACGCGACTAGTAGCTTCATGCAAAGCACTATCTAATTGGCCACATCTAAAAACCATAAATTTAGCTTCAATTAGAAGATAAAATTATTACCCTTAAAAGTATTACATAAATCTAACCAATTCTCTAATATATAACATAAGACAAATTCTCCAGTGTTAACTAAGACTCAGGATGCCATTTTAATAGAATATAGCCCAATGAATCTAATAATATAGTATGTAGAGAAAAGGCTAAAATTGGCCAGGCACAGTGGCTCACACCTGTAATACTAACACTTTGGGAGGCTGAGGCAGGCAGATCACTTGAGGCCAGGAGTTCAAGATCAGCCTGGCCAACATGGTGAAACCCTATCTCTACTAAAAATACAAAAATTAGCTGGGCATGGTGGCATGTGCCTGTAGTCCCAGCTACTCAGGAGGCTGAGGTGGGAGGGTGGCTTGAACCTGGGAGGCTGAGGTTGCAGCGGGCTGAGATCACAACACTGCACTCCAGCCTGAGTGACAGAGTGAGAACCTGTCTCAAAAAAAAAAAAAAAAAAAAAAAAAGCCTAAAATAATTTTTTTAAAAGATATAAAAAAAAGACATGCATAAAATAGCTTGATCTTAGCTTGAAAAAAATCTGTATCTATATATATGCATTATGATTTCTGGAAAAATGCAAAAAATTAAATTTGGATTTGGGATTTGGGACTAGAGGTTGGGGTAGGGAGATTTACTTTTTTCTTTCTTTTTTTGAGACAGGATCTCACTCCATAACCCAGGTTGAAGTACAGTGGTGCAATCACGGTTCACTGCAGACTTAACCTTCTGGGATCAAGCAACCCTCCTGCCTCAACCTCCTGAGTATGCACCACCACACACAGCTAATTTGATTTTTTGTAGAGATGGGATCTCACTTTGTTGCCCAGGCTGGTCTCAAACTCCTGGACTCATGCGATCCAATTTACTTTTCATATTATGACCTTCTGTACTATTTCGAATTTAGCACGAATATAACTATTCTTATAATTAACTTCCTTTGTAAAGTTAATTATCACAGATCCTCAAAATAACAAAATACATAGAAGAATTCAGTTACCATCTTGACTCGGTGTTTAACATAGTATGAATAATAAAAGCTTTATTTATTTAGCACTGACTATACACCAGGTCTTTAAGCACGTTTCGTTTATCCTCACAATTCTGTCCATTAAGACTATCATTGGTCCCAGCCAGGCATGGTGGCTCACGCCTGTAATCCCAGCACTTTGAGAGGCCGAGGCCGGTGGATCACAAGGTCAGGAGATCGAGACCATCCTGGCTAAACCATCCTGGATAATACGGTGAAACCCCGTCTCTACTAAAATACAAAAAATTAGCCGGGCATGGTGGCGGGCGCCTGTAGTCCCAGCTACTCGGGAGGCTGAGGCAGGAGAATGGCATGAACCTGGGAGGCGGAGCTTGCAGTGAGCCGAGACAGCACCACTGTACTCCAGCCTAGGCGACAGAGACTCCATCTCAAAAAAAAAAAAAAAGAAAGAAAGAAAAAAAGATTATCATTGATCCCATTTTACAGTTGAGAAAACAAAGACAGTTCAGTTCCTCACTGAAAGTCACACAGATTGTAAGCAGTCACACTGGGAACATAAGCTGGGCACTCCTAGTTCATGATCCTAACCACTGTGCATTAATGCGGCACAGACATGAAATACTGATGAGACTATTCTTGAAAAAAAATCACTCAAATAATCAAGTGTGTGTTAATTGTATTTGACTTTTTTCAGTACTATGGATTCTAATGTGCCAGAGGATCACTGTCCCAAGTTCTAAATCCGTGACATAGTAATCTGATATCACAGCTGGCTAATGGCTCCATTTGTAACACCAGGGGGATTCTCCAATTTGCAATTTTAAGTTTGGAAAAAACCAGTGTATACACTGATAACAATGGTTTTTTATCTTGGGGGAAATCATTTCTCCAGTTCTAAATGACTGCCACGTATTTTGTTTCTACTGTCCTCTGTAACACAGCTTTTTTTTTTTTTAACCATAAGCCAGATCAAATCTTTTTTGGGAAGAGGAGAAAATAATGTACTGCTATTCATTTTACACAGTGATTACATCTACTCCAGTAACCAAGCCTGCCACTGTTATTAACTGCTATAATACAGCCATTTACTTAAAACCCTGGCTTCCAATTTGCTCCACCTATATTTGCTCATTGCCCTACACGCTCAAACATCTTCTAGTCATAAAAATGTTTTGACTGGCTATAATTTATTCTAGGTACCTTCTTTAGGACTGTTTTTAATCTTCAAAAGTTCACTGGCGGGCTTCTTTCATACTTGTTTTCCTACAGGAAGTAACTACAGTCATCTTTGCATTTTTTTTTTTTTTTTTGAAACTGAGTCTCACTCTGTCGCCCAGGCTGGAGTGCAGGAGTGCAGTGACACAATTTCGGCTCACTGTAACCTCTGCCTCTCGGGTTCAAGTGATTCTCCTGCCTCAGCCTCCCGAGTATCTGGGACTACAGGTGCGCACCACCACATCCAGCTGCTTTTTGTATATTTAGTAGAGACAGAGTTTCAATATGTTGTCTAGGCTGGTCTTGAACTCCTAACCTCTAGTGATCTGCCTGCCTCGGCCTCCCAAACTGCTGGGATTACAGGTGTGAGCCACCACACTCAGCCTCATCTTTGCCTTCTAAACAAAAACAATAATAAAAAAACCAACTTCCCATAACCTGCTATCTACTGTTTGTGTCGTAAAAAACCTAAACCTGTCTCTTTTCTTTTGGTTTGGCTCTTTTTCAAATTACTTTTCCCTACCATTGTACCCCCACACTACTAAATGCAAAATGAAAGCTGTAGAAACATTCAATAAGACAGCCATGTTAACTACCACAGCAACCAAAACTACTTACAGTATAAAGGCTAGTTTTCCCATAACTTTGAAAGTTAAACTGTTTTGTTTTGTTTTTTTGAAAGTTAAACTGTTAACCAGACGGAAGATTTTAGTTCCCTCCTAAGCTCTTTGAAGTGAGCTTTGTCTTTTCTCCTTAGAGAATGCCTTGCTATCAGCTAGACCTGCATCGATTTTCAATCTATTTAAGTCCTATTTATTTATTTAGAGACAGGGTGTCGCTCTGTCACCCAGGCTGGAGTGCAGTGGTACAACCTTAGTTCACTGCAGCCTCGACCTCCTGAGCTCAAGCAATCCTCTCACCTCAGCCTCCCCAGTAAGTGGGACCACAGGTACACGCCACCATGCCCAACTAACGTTTTAATTTTTTGTAGAGACAGGGTTCCACTATGTTGCCCAGGCTGGTCTTGAACTCCTGAGCTCAAGAGATCTGCCTGCCACAGCCTCCCAAAGTGCTGGGTTACAGACGTGAGCCACCATGCCTGATCAAGTCCCGTTTAATGGTAAAGTATGTTGCAAGGACTCTACTACTAATACTAGTAGTGAAAGCATCAGATTTTCTAAGTGATTCTAAAATAGGTATGAAGCTATCCTGAATATAAGGCCATTCTCCCCTGCATATCTTTGTGGGTTTTTTTGGAATGGGCCTATTAAAAAGGTGAAGAACTGCCACAGGACATAAGCCATAGACTTATTAGAAAGTCCATAGTACTGCTCCTCCCATCAATGACATTACTCTGCATATACAAAATTCGCTCAACTGTTTCAGTATTTTGCCCATGTGAAACAAATGGCTCCACGTCAGTTATTAGTGTATTATAAGAGGGGGGTTTAGCTTCAAAAATACTTAGGCAAACATGACTGTTAAAATTTCAGATCCAAAGTATTTTCAAAGTGTTTTCTCACATTATACTTCTGTGAAAATAATACATCCAAGGTGGAGAAAACTTCACAGCTAAATTATAAATTTTACCTGTCTACAAGAATTTGATTGGTTATCTTCCAATCTTCAACTCCAGAGATTTCTTTTGCCTCCAGCTTCTGTTTCAAACTATTTATTTCTGATTCATAATAAGCTCGAAGATCTGCTATGTGTCGAGCATGCTTTTCCTTCAGATTCTGCCTAATCCTTATTCAGTGAGAATAAAAAATATATATTAGGAAAGCTATCTTCAGTCTCCATCCCACAAGAGAAACCAAGAACACAATGATTCTCATGGGCAAAAATATAGCATATTTCCTTTGCATACTACAAAATATATAGATTAATACACAAAAAGTTAACAATCAAGTGAAAAAGTTTTTATATGCTCCATCTTAAAAATGCTAAATCTCTAAGACTTTATGCAATACTGAAGTTCAATAAAGATCATTTTCAATCAGATATCACAGAAAATCTATTAACATTACAAGCCATTCACTGAAATACATACTTAGACAATATCACAGGATCTTCCAAGGAAGTCAATGAAATGCATTCTGGGACACTGTTGGCTGTACCTGGAAGCTGGGACTGACTGACTGAGGCCGAAGCAACCATGACAGTGTTTTCTTCATCTACAGTGTTGACCGAGATATCATTACTAGTAATGGTATATACTGACGGAAACGTGGAACTGGTCCTACTTTCGTTTTGGAATGTCTGATTTTTCCAAGAGTCCACCGGAGAAGCTTTTGTGTGTGAGGGATATTTTGGAAATCCAGGTAACTGAGAAGTGACATTACTTGCTTGTGAAAATGAGTCTATGTCAGAGGGACTAGACATACTAGGCTCTAGAACAGAGTCCGGGGAAAAGGATATTCTGTCATCAAGGGCATTCGGAAGGCCGTGAGGTTGAATCCCTGAAATCTGCTGCTTTGGCTTCATGTGTAACGTAGGATCTAGAGTCAGGACCTGGAAACCAGACAACAACGAAGTCTTACCCTCAGAACTCGGCTTTGTTTTGCTTGTTTTGAAGTGAGTAGGCTTTAGATCTCCTAGGGAAAATGAAGCTTGAGGTAAAAGTTAGAGTCAGGAAGCATTGTTCACGTTCACTCGGCAGAATGTGGACAACTTTACCTCTGGTGGATGATTTGGGTTGGAAGCAGAAGTGAGATTCCTCTCAGGTAACTGCTTGTTTTCCCTTTGTTTTTTATAATAAATATCCTTCAGTGACGGTAGCTTCATCTCATTACTAGTATTAGACTTAAAGATACGAAACAAAATTAAATGGTGTTATCAATAATGAAACAAATTAATGATATCAAAATAAGCACCATAAAAAGATTTTTGAAAGACTTTAAGCAAATTGAAAATGTAGACTGTCAGATTTGTAATACAAGCTTGGAAGTCATTACCTAGTATGATGAGTCTACCTCAGAATGGAAAGATGTTTGGATCTCCTAACAATTTAGGACACTAAGGGGATAATGTGAACATTAATTATTTAGCAGCCTATGAATACTTCCAAATAATGAAATTCTTAGTAGTTCTCCCACTCAAAATAAGAACCAAGTTTTCTGGGTTTCTTTGAGACAAGGTCTCACCCTGTTGCCCAGGCTGGAGTGCAGTGGTGTGATCATGGTTCACTGCAGCCTCAATCTCCCAGGCTAAAGTGATCTTCCTGCCTCAACCTCCCAAGTTGCTGGGACTACACGAGTGCAAGACCACGCCCAGCTAATTTTTCTATTTTTTTTTGTAGAGACAGGGTCTCACCATGTTGCCCAGGCTAGTCTCAAACTCCTGAGCTCAAGCAATCCTCCCACCTTAGCTTCCCAAAGTGCTGGGATTACAGGCATGAGCCACCACGCCTAGCCAATAGCCAAGTTTTGAGGTAAGAAAATACTTCATAGGCTAGGCGCAGTGGCTCATGCCTATAATCCCAGCACTTCGGGAGGCCAAGGTGAGTGATCACTTGAAGTCGAGAGTTTGAGACCAGCCTAGCCAACATGGAGAAACCCTGTCTCTACTAAAAATACAAAATTAGCCAGGCATGGTGGCGCATGCCTGTAATCCCAGCTACAAGGGAAGCTGAGGCAGGAGAATCGCTTGAACCTGGAAGGCGGAGGTTGTGGTGAGCCGAGATTGCGCCATTGCACTTTAGCCTGCGCAACAAGAGCGAAACTCCGTCTCAAAAAAAAAAAAAAAGAAAACAAGATACTTCAGAATGAATGATAGAAGGATGAGAAAACTTTCGGCCAAATTAATTTCATATGGCTGAAGAAAAAGCACCAAGAGCTGGAGTTCCTTATCTATGTAGTTACAATCATGTTTGTTAAAAGAGTTGGCCAAACAAAACTAGGTGTCACAAAGTGACCCAATGAAAATAAGTCCCCCCCACCCATCACTTCTCAGCCTTTTGGCTAAGATCAAGTGAAAATAAGTCCCTTTATTCATTAGTAAAATAAGAAGATATGACCCTAGGCTGGACACGGTGGCTTACACCTGTAATCCCAGCGCTTTGGGAGGCCAAGGCAGGCGGATCGCCTGAGGTCGGGAGTTCGAGACCAGCCTGGCTAATATGGTGAAACCCTGTCTCTACTAAAAATACAAAAATTAGCTGGGAGTGGTGGCGCAGGCCTGTAATCCCAGCAACGCAGGAGACTGAAGTGGGACGATCACTTGAACCCAGGAGGCAGAGGTTGCAGTGAGTTGGGATCATGCCACTGTACTCCTTCACTCTAGCCTGGGCGACAGAGCAAAACTCTGTCTCAAAAAACAGAAGATAGGACCCTAATTTCGAAAAATTGAAATCAGGACCTCACTACACTAAAAATGTTGCAGAGAGGTCTAGGCTCTAAACACTAAAACTTTGGGCTTAAATTATTTCAAGGTGGGACGTATTATAGGGTGTGAGAGGAGAACCAATTAACCTTGGGCCTCAAATTTAAACTGTGAACACTGTCACAAATGAGATTACAGATTCAACAATAGATACACTGAAAACACTGAAAGAACACATTAATCATGTAGCTTTAAATTTGTGTCCCATTTCTAGACCCTACGTAGGCTGCAGAGCACCATGAATATGTATTTTTAAAACCTTGTGAGTGTGTGCATTAAAGGCATTAATTTGTTAAATCTAAACCTTTAAAATATACTGTGGTGGCTCACGCCTGTAATCCCAACACTTTGGGAGGCCAAGGCGGGTGGATCACTTGAGGTCAGAAGTTCGACACCGGCCTGGCCAATATGGTGAAACCCCATCTCTACTAAAAACACAAAAATTAGCCGGGTGTGGTGGTGCGTGCCTGTAATCCCAGCTACTTGGGAGGCTGAAGCAGGAGAACTGCTTGAACCCAGGAGGCGGAGGATGCAGTGAGCTGAGATCGCACCACTGCATTCCAGCCTGTGAAACAGAGCGAGACTCTGCCTCAAAAAAAAAAAAGTACCACAATTCCCATAATCCTGCTGTAGAATTCATTCTTTACATGCCAATAACCTAAAGAAGCCTTTTCAAGACCTGAAGCCTGTGAAGAGTAGCATTACTCCAGCTATGGCCACAGCCTGGTGGTCTGGGGGAATAGTTGGGGTTATTCTACTCAAAGCTCATGGGAATAGAAAAGTACCACTTTTCACCACTTTTATGTTCTTGTCATGTTAACATCTCTAAAGTAGGGATGCCTCTTGTAATTAATGGCATTTTATAATTGCTATTGCTTTGGGCCAAGTTGTGGTTGTGACAGACTGTCATTCCCTGCTCATGAGCTCAAAATTGGCCAAATAGGTATCAGCAGCTTGGAAGACAAACCTACACACTACAATGAAGCTCCTGAGGACCAATATTTAAGAGAACGGTGAATCAGACACGTTTAGCAACATACTCCACATGGGAGTCCAAAGCGGGCTAGTCCTACATGCTACTAAGACAGGTAAAAAGCAGAAAGGCCTTTCTATTCTTTTTAAAGAAATGCAGAATCGCTGATGCTCTTGGTGGGCTAGAGGAAGATAACGTGGGAAAACACAGAAACTAACACCAAGGTGAAGAGAGAGAAATGGCCAGGCATAGTGGTTCACATTTGTAATCCCAGCACTTTGGGAGGCTGAGGCAGGAGGATTGCTTGAGTCCAGGAGTTTGAGAGACCAGCTTGGGCAACATAGAGAGACCTTGCCTCTACTAAAAACAAACAAACAAAAAAAAAATGAGCCAGGTGTGGTTGCACATGACTGTAGTCCCAGCTACTCAGGAGGCTGAGGCAAGAGGATCGCCTGAGCCCAGGAGGTTGAGTCTGCAGTTATCTATGATGAAGCTGCTATACTCCAGCCTCGGCAACAGAGTGAGACCGTGAAGAAAGAAAGAGAGAAAGAGAGGAAGAGGAGAAGAGAAGAGAGGAGAGGAGAGGAGAAGAGAAGAGAAGAGATGAGAAGAGAAGAGTATAACACTCTGAGAAGGAAAGAATTTTAGCCACTTTTATTTCACTTATGTTTTCCTTTTTAAAGTATGCATAAGAGTTATATAATAAGCCAGGCACAGTGGCTCACACCTGTAATCCCAGCACTTTGGGAGGCTGAGGCAGGTGGGTCACAAGGTCAGGAGATCGAGACCATCTTGGCCAACATGGTGGAACCTCGTCTCTACTAAAAACACAAAAAAATTAGCTGGGTATGGTAGTGCATGCCTGTAGTCCTAGCTACTCAGGAGGCTGAAGCAGGAGAATCGCTTGAACCCAGGAGATGGAGGTTGCAGTGAGCCGAGATCACACCACTGCACTCCAGCCTGGCAACAGAGCAAGACTCCGTCTCAAAAAAAAAGTTATATAATAGGCCAGGCACAGTGACTCACAGCTGTAATCCCAGCACTGTGGGAGACCAAAGCAGGGGAATCACTTGAGCCCAGGAGTTTGAGACCAGCCTAGGCAACACAGCAAAAATCCTCTCTCTAATAAAAAAAAAAAAAAGTTACTGATACATAATAAAACCTATGTTTAAGTCTAAAGACTCTTTCCATAAGAATAAAATATAAATTCTAAAGTGGTTAAAAAAAAAAAAAAAAAAAAGCATTGTATCAGTCTAATTTATAAATTTTTCTTGGTAGAACATGAAATGGGAAACCTTAAAGTTGACAATACCGTAGAGTCAACAAAATGCAGTATCCACTTACTGATGTTCAAGATCAGATAACACTGTGAGCCCTGCAATTGCAAAGCCTACTAAGCCTGCCTTGCCCCCTACAATCTTACCCCCCTCATACTTCATTTCTCTGTGTTGACCTGTGTCTTTTTGTTCCTTTCATGAAGTACGGAACATTGGTTTCCGTCACTGAGACTCTGATGCTTACAAGTACATTGCCCCATCTGTCTGTCTGTATATGTCATTCATTTTTATGTCTCTTGGTTACTTTAATAGTATCTCTCCTTTTCCCCAGGTACTCTTTCATTACCTGATCAAAATACAGAAATGAAGGCCGGGTGCACTAGCTCATGCCTGTAATTCCAGCACTTTGGGAGGCCAAGGCGGGCGGATCACCTGAGGTCAGGAGTTCGAGAGCAGCCTGGCCAACATGGTGAAACCCTGTCTCTACACAAATACAAAACATAGCTGGGCATGATGGCAGGTGCCTGTAATCCCAGCTACTTGGAAGGTTGAGGTGGGAGAATCATTTGAACCTGGGAGGCAGAGATTGCAGTGAGCTGAGATCACGCCACTGCACTCCAGCCTGGGCAACAGAGCGAGACTCCGCCTCAAAGAAAAAAAAAAAAGAAAAAAAAAAATACAGAGGTGAAATAGGTACATTGATGTACATTTACTGAATAGTTTTATTTCTTTGCTCTTAAATTTAAAAAAAATGGGCCAGCGCAGTGGCTCACGCCTGTATTCCCAGCACTCTGGGAGGCTGATGTGGGTGGATCACCAGCCTGGCCAACATCACGAAACTCCCTCTCTACTAAAAATACAAAAATTAGCCAGGCATGGTGGCGCATGCCCATAATCCCAGCTACTCAGGAGGCTGAGGCAGGAGAATCACTTGAACCTGGAACCACTGCACTCCAGCCTAAGTGACAGACTGAGACTCCGTCTCAAAAAAAAAAAAAAAAAAAAATTTTTTTTTTAAATGTACCTTTCTTACTCAAAGAAAATCCAGCAAATTGGCCGGGCGCAGTGGTGCATGCCTGTAATTCCAGCACTTGGGAGGCCAAGGCAAGCAAATCACGAGGTCAAGAGATCGAGACCATCCTGACCAACATGGTGAAACCCCGTCTCTACTAAAAATACAAAAATTAGCTGGGCGTGGTGGCATGTGCCTGTAGACCCAGCTACTCGGGAGGCTGAGGCAGGATAATCACTTGAACCCGGGAGGCAGAGGTTGCAGTGAGCCAAGATCGCACCACTGCACTCCAACCTGGCGACAGAGTGAAACTGTCTCAAAAAAAAAAAAAAAAAGAATACAGCAAATTAAGTTGCTCATAACTATGGTGGAAATGGATCGCATAACAAATGAAAATGAATGGAGGTGTAACAAATGAAAAATCAACACCAATTCTGGGAAAAGGGGAAGAAATTAATAGCTGAGGACCTACTACATATGAAATAGTAGGCACAATCCATTTAATTTCACAAAACACTAACCAGCATTTTTTTTTTCCCTTTTTGAGACAGGGTCTCACTCTGTCACACAGGCTAGAGTGCAATGGTGTGACCTCCCGGGCTCAAGTGATCCTCTCACCTCAGCCTCCCAAAGTACAAGGATTACAGGTGTAAACTATGATGCCCAGCTCAAGCCAGCCAGAATTTTTTAAAAGTGGAATTTTTAATTCCACTTTTTTCTGTTGTTGTTTTTGCTGAGGCGGAGTCTCGCTCTGTCACCCAGGCTGGAGTGCAGTGGCACCATCTTGGCTCACTGCAATCTCCACCTCCTGGGTTCAAGTGATTCTCCTGCCTCAGCCACCTGAGCAGCTGGGATTACAAGTGCATGCCACCACGCCCAGCTAATTTTTGGGTTTTTAGTAGAGATGGGGTTTTACCATGTTGGCCAGGCTGGTCTTGAACTCCCAACCTCAGGTGATCTGCCCACCTTGGCCTACCAAAGTGCTGGGATTACAGGCTTGAGCCACAGCACCCAGCCTTTAATTCCACTTTTAAGAAGCATTGCTAAGATTACATAAGGCAAAAATGACAGACTGAATTTGAAAACAAGTGAGTATGATTCTAAAGCCCATGCTTTTTCCAGTATTTTAGAAGTTGAAAAATAAAATTTATACTGGAGTACTTAGCAACAATTGTAAAACACAAACACACACAGTTTTTTTTTTCTTTGAGATGGAGTTGCACTCTCGTTGCCCAAGCTGGAGTGCAATGGCACAATCTCGGTTCAGTGCAACCTCCACCTCCCAGGTTCAAGTGATTCTCCTGCCTCAGCCTCCCAAATAGCTGGGATGAACAGGCACACGCCACCAAGTCTGGTTAATTTTTTTGTATTTTTAGTAGAAACGGGGTTTCACCATGTTAGCCAGGCTGGTCTCGAACTCCTTACCTCAGATGGTCTGCCCACTTCAGCTTCCCAAAGTGCCGAGATTACAGGATTACAGGCCACCACGCCCAGTCCACGGTGTGTGTGTTTTGTTTTGTTGTTTTTTTTTTTTTTTTTGAGATGGAGTCTTGCTCTGTCACCCAGGCTGGAGTGCAGTGGCGCAATCTCCCCTCACTATAAGCTCTGCCTCCTGAGTTCACACCATTCTCTTGCCTCAGCCTCCCGAGTAGCT
The DNA here is from genome assembly GCF_000001405.40 of Homo sapiens. NCBI lineage: Eukaryota > Metazoa > Chordata > Mammalia > Primates > Hominidae > Homo > Homo sapiens. Next base: position 123,209,870 of record NC_000012.12, read on the forward strand.
GGGACTACAGGCGCCCGCCACCACGCCCAGCTAATTTTTTGTATTTTTAGTAGAGACGGGGTTTCACCGTGTTAGCCAGGATGGTCTTGATCTCCTGACCTCATGATCCGCCCACCTCGGCCTCCCAAAGCGCTGGGATTACAGGCGTAAGCCACCGCGCCCGGCCACCGTGTGTTTTTAAATTACCTGGTTTGGTGACACATCTGTGGAAGACAATGATATGAACGTCTTCTCTAAAGTTTCAGGCAAAGAGTGGTGCATATCCTTTTCCTCTAGTTTCCAGTAAGTCAATCCTGATGTGCACAAACACACAGAATAGAAAAGAGTGAGAAAAAAACAAAAATGCTTTCTAGAATAACATTTCTACCTAAAGGAAATTAAATATGGGAAGAAATTAATTTTGGGTTAAAGTAATTTGAATTTTGATGGAAAAAAGTTATCTAAATTCCTTATTATGTAAGAGTCCTAACTGGATGCAAATGTTTAAAACTGAAATATAAAAAGTCAAGATGAGTTGGTACAATTTAAAATACATATTTTTGGCCAGGCATGGTAGCTCACGCCTGTAATCCCAGCCCTTTGGGAAGCTGAGGCAGGAGGATTACCTAACGTCAGGAGTTTGAGACCAGCCTGGCCAACGTGGTGAAGCCCCATCTCTACTAAAAATCCAAAAATCAGCCAGGTGTGGTGGCACACACTGTAATACCAGCTACTTGGGAGGCTGAGGCATGAGAATCGCTTGAACCCAGGAGACAGAGGTTGTAGTGAGCTGAGATGGTGCCACTGCACTCCAGCCTGAGTGATAGAGTGAGTGACAGAGTCTCAAAAAAAAATTAAAATAATAATAATAAAATAAATTTTTTTATTTTTTGAGACAGGGTCTCACTTTGTCACCCAGGAGTGCAGTGGTGCCATCTCAGTCCACTGTGGTCTCTTTTTTTGAGACAGAGTCTCGCTCTGTTGCCCAAGATGGAATGCAGTGGAGTGATCTCGGCTCATTGCAACCTCCGCCTCCCGAGTTCAAGCAATTCTCCTGCCTCAGCCTCCTGAGTAGCTGGAATTACAGGCATGCGCCACCATAACCAGCTAATTTTTGGTTTGTTTTTTCTTTTTTTTTTTTTTTTTTTTTTTTTGAGACAGAGTCTCACTCTGTTGCCCAGGCTGGAGTGCAATGGCACGAGCTCGGCTCACTGCAACCTCCGCCTCCCAGGTTCAAGTGATTCTCCTGCCTCAGCCTCCTGAGTAGCTGAGGTTACAGGAATGCACCATCACGCCCTGCTAATTTTTGTATTTTTAGTAGAGACAGGGTTTTGCCATTTTGGCTAGACTGGTCTCGAACTCCTGACCTCAAGTGATCTGCCTGCCTCGGCCTCCCAAAGTGCTGGGAAAACAGGTGTGAGCCACCGTGCCCAGACTAATTTTTGTATTTTTAGTAGAGATGGGGCTTCACCATGTTGGCCAGGCTGGTCTCAAACTCCTGATCTCAAGTGATCCTCCCGCCCCGGCCTCCCAAAGTGCTGGGATTATAGGCATGGGCCACTGCGCCCAGCCCAGCTCACTGGAGTCTCAACCTTCCAGGTTCAAGACATCCTCCTGTCTTAGCCCCACAAGAAGCTGGGACTACAGGCACACACCACCAAGCCCTGCTAATTTTTTTGGTACTTTTAGTAGAGACAGGGTTTGGCCATGTTACCCAGGCTGGTCTCAAACTCCAGAGCTCAAGCAATCCACCCTCCTCGGCCTCCCAAAGTGCTAGGATTACAGTTGTGAGCTACCAGGTCCAGCCTTAAAATATATTTTAAAATAGACAATTTCTTTTTTTTTTTTTTTTTTTTTTTTTCTGAGACAGGGCCTCCATCTGTCACCCAGTCTGGAGTACAGTGGTGCAATCACAGCTCACTACAGCCCTGACCTCCCGAGCTCAAGCCATCATTCCCTTTCAGCCTCCCAAGTAGCTGGGACTATAAACTCAACACCACCGCACCCAGCTAATTTTTGTATTTTGTGTAGAGACGAAGTTTTGCTATGTTGCCCAGGCTGGTCTCAACCTCCTGGGGTCAGGTGATCTGCGCACCTTGGCTTCCCAAAGTGCTGGGATCACAGGTGTGAGCCACCACGCCCAGCTGACAATTTCTTTGTGAGTAGTATAGACATACAGAATCAATGTAAATAATTCAAATGTTTATTGAGTACCTATAGTGCCAGGCTGGGGAGGCAGGAGGAGTGAGACATGAAAAGTAAGTAAATCATGCAGTATATAGGTGGTAAGCACTCTGATGAGATTTTAAAATAGGATAAAGGGGATATGTAGTGGGGGGTGCGATGGGCAGGCACTATTTTTGAATCAGGTAAACAGGGTTGGCTACTGAGAGGATAATTAAGAGGGCATCAGCCATTTTAGCCATGTATGAGGGAGCTCCCTCATACAGGGAAAAGAACATTTCAAGTATGGAAAACAGCCAATGCAAAAGTCCTAAAACCTATCTGGGACATTTGAGCAGACAATCTCCCTTCTCATCAAAGAAACGGACAGAGCACAGCCAGGCGCAATGACTCACGCCTGTAATCCCAGCACTTTGGGAGGCTGAGGCGGGCAGATCACCTGAGGTGGGCAGATCACCTGAGGTCAGGAGTTGAAGACCAGCCTGACCAACATGGAAAAACTCTATCTCTACTAAAAATACAAAATTAGCTGGGCGTGGTAGTGCATGCCTGTAATCCCAGTTTGGGAAGCTGAAGGCTGAGGCAGAAAAATCACTTGAATCTGGCAAGCGGAGGTTACAGTAAGCCGAGATCACACCATCGCACTCCAGCCTGGGCAACAAGAGCAAAACTCTGTCTCAAAAAAAAAAAAAAAAAAAAGGACAGAGTACAATCCCCAGCCTACAATGGTCGACTTTTTTTTTTTTTTTTTTTTACTTTATCATGGTGCAAAAGCGATATGCAGTCAGTAGAAACCATACTTTGAGTACCCATATGACCATTCTGTTATTCTTTTTTTTTTTTTTGAGACAGAGTCTGGCTCTGTTGCCCAGGCTGGAGTGCAGTGGCACAATCTCGGCTCACTGCAAGCTCTGCCTCCTGGGTTCACGCCATTCTCCTGCCTCAGCCTCTTGAGCAGCTGGGATTACAGGCGGCCGCCACCAAGCCCAGCTAATTTTTTGTATTTTTAGTAGAGACGGGGTTTCACTGTATTAGCCAGGATAGTCTCGATCGCCTGACCTCGTGATCCGCCCGACCTGGCCTCCCAAAGTGCTGGGATTACAAGCATGAGCCACCGCGCCTGGCTGACCATTCTGTTTTTCACTCTCAGTGTTCAATAAAGTATATGAAATAGTCAATACTTTATTATAAAATACTTTGTGTTAGATAATTTTGCCCAACTGTGGGCTAATGTAAGTGTTCTGAGCACATTTAATGTACACTAGGCTAAGCTATGATGTTTAATAAGCTAGGTGTACTAAATGCATTTTCAATTTTTTTTTTTCTTGAGACAAAGTCTTGGTATTGCCCAGGCTGGAGTGCAGTGGTGTGATCATGGCTCACTGCAGCCTTGACCTCCCAGACTCAAGCAATCTTCCCATTTCAGCTTTCCAAGTAGCTAGCACTACAGGCGCATCACCATCCCTGGCTAATTTTTTGACTCTTTTGTAGAGATGGGGTCTCAACTTGTTGCTCAAGTTGGTCTCAAACTCATGGCCTCAAGCGATCCTCATACCTTGGACTCTCAAAGTGCTGGGATTATAGGCATGAGCCACTGTGCCCAGCCCATTTTCAACTTATGATATTTTCAATTTATGGTGGGTTTATCAGGACATAACCCCATTGTAATTCGAGGAACAATTCAGTATAAAGTGAGGTCAAAGAGGTAACAGGGCTAGGTTGTTAGGCACTGTGGGCCCCTGTAAGGACTCTGTGAACAACAGGGTTTGGAGAGGAGGAGTCACATGATGTGACTTAACTTTTCAGAGGATCACTTTGTCTACTATGTTGAGAACAGACTGAAGTGTGCAAGAGTGGAAGTGGGGAGGCTGGTTAGGAAGACAGTAGCAACCCAGGTGACAGATGAGAGAACACTCTTAGGCTAGAAGCTGTGGAGGTTGTAAGAAGTGGTGCGATTCTAGAAAGATTTGTAAGGCAAAGCTAATTCATCCTGATGAATTGGATGTGGGATATGGAAAAAAAAAAAAGTCTGTATATAAGGCCATTAAGATTGGAATAAGCTCACCATGGAGTGTAAAGGATGGCTCAGAGGGTTTGAATTTAATTCATTTTGGACTACCCGAAAAAGGTTGATGATTTTTACAGCTGTTCAAAACAACTGCAAAAGTACTTCTTTATTCTCTTTACAGATCTTGTAACATAAATTAAGATAAGAAAGAAAGGTGGCTGGACATGGTGGCTGAAGCCTGTAATCCCAGCACTTTGAGAAACCGAGGCTGGTGGATTGCTTGCACCCAGGAGTTCAAAACCAGCTGAGGCAACATGGCGAAACCCTGTCTCTACAAAAAAATACAAAAGCTGGGCATGGTGACACCGCCTGTTGTCCCAGCTATTCTTGGGAAGCTGAGGTGGGAGGATCACTTGAGCCCAGGAGGCTGAGGCTGCAGTGAGCTGTGATCGCACCACTGCACCCCAGCCTGGGTGACAGAGTGAGACCCTGTCTCAAAAAACAAAACAAACAAAGGTAAGGCTGCTACCAGAGAACATCACAACACATAACACATTTACAAAACCATACTACTATACAGTATCATCCCATATGGAGAAATGTAGGCAAGTTGTTTTTTAAAAATAATGCTCTAAAAATCTAAGTACCTTCCTCTGAGTGTATGTAGTTTAGGTTAAAAAAAATAAAAATGTAAGTATCATACCTGTTCCTGAATCAGACATCCAAGCATTTGGAGTTTCATCTGGTTTACTGAGGTAAAAAGCACGAGGATGTGTAGCAGCAGCAAAATCAGACTACAAGAAAGAAAACTATTGATTGACAGCTAAAAGTCATTAGGCACAATCTGCTGACCCAAGAAATGAGAGCCAGGCCTCAAACCAGGTGGGGAGAAACCTTCAGAGGGTTCAAAGAAGAAAGCCTGGCCAGGCGTGATAGCTCACGCCTATGATCCCAGCACTTTGGGAGGCCGAGGCGGGTGGATCACGAGCTCAAAAGTTCGAAAACAGCCTGGTCAAGATGATGAAACCCCGTCTCTACTAAAAATACAAAAATTAGCCGGGCGCAGTGGCGGGTGCCTATAATCCCAGCTACTCGGCAGGCTGACGCAGGAGAATCACTTGAACCTGGGAGGCAGAGGTTGCAGTAAGCCGAGATCGTGCCACTGCACTCTAGCCTGGGCAACAGAGCAAGACTCTGTCTCAAAAAAAAAGAAGAAAGCCTGATTTCCCCATGGTTACAAGAATGCTAACTGATAGGAATTCACTGTTGCAGATTTTTTTTTTTTGCCTGTGTAATTTACAAAAGTTTATTTCGGTTCTCTGTGGAGCTGGAAGGAGAAAAATGGGGGCAGGTATTATTTCGTGAGTTCAGACCTAAAATGTATTTATAATTTGCCATTTACTTCCAAAACAAATTTGAAGTGCCTAGAATTAAAGTCATTTAGTATAAAAATTAATGTAAAAGCTCTAACAATTCATTTTTATCATAATTACAATAAATCAGATTAACTCTAAAAACCATAAATCAATAATATGAGCCTTAAGTAGTAGACTACTTCCTATATACAAACAATTGGTTAGTAGTCCCTGCTTACTTATCAATTCTAGTAAAAATTCTGAACAAATCAATCCTCACATCTCTGACACTGTCGCAAGAAATGTGTTTCCAGAGATATGTGATGAGAATATTTCTATCAGAATTTTTCTTATCAGGTCCCTCATGAAACTTTTAATTCCTGTAAAGAGTATGTAACCATCCATGAACCCATTGCCAAAGTAAAAGCACACTGAAATAACACTACCTACGAAGATGGGGAATTAACACATGAGCCTTATAAGGCACCACTTATTTTCTTTCTCATCAAGGAAGAAATTCCACCTGTTTCAATTTGTCTCACTACTTAAGACCAAGAGAAGGCCGGGCGCGGTGGCTCACGCCTATAATCCCAGCACTTTGGGAGGCCAAGGCGGGCAGATCACGAGGTCAGGAGATTGGGATTATCCTGGCTAACACGGTGAAACCCCGTCTCTACTAAAAATACAAAAAATTAGCCGGGCGTGGTGGTGGGGGTGTATTGAATGGCTTTTCTAGAGCTACCAATATAGTACTAAACGGCTTTTCTAGAATAAAACTAGCAACACAGTACTAAAGGGCTTTCCTAGACCACAGACGCTTTTGTGGTTCATAGAGCTTCATTTACCTTCACTTCCCTCCTCTTCAATATAAATCTGAAAAAGTACAAAGAATGGTGATATCAGGAAGCCTAAATTGAAGAAATAAAATTTATTGAAAGAGGAATAAATAATGCCTTATGAAGGCTGTAGGACAATCTTCTTATGACCTCTTTAATGGATCTTTTTCATAGGATGACAAAAAGACCATGTTCAGGATAAGACATGGCCAGTTTCTAAAGGTATTGGGTGTGTAGAGGGACCTGATTTTGCCATTTCAATGTGTTATACTAAACAATGCTATTCTGTGACAAATTTAGAGCAATAAGGGCTATACAGGCATATTAAAAATTATCTGGCCAGGCACAGTGGCTCATGCTTGTAATCTCAGCATTTGGGGAGGCCAAGGCAAGAGGATCACTTGAAGCCAGGAGTTTGAGACCAGCCTGGGCAACATAATGAGACCCTGTCTCTACAAAAATATATTTTAAAAAAATTTCTTTGGGCCAGGAACAGTGGCTCACGTCTATAATCCCGGCACTTTGGGAGGCTGAGGTGGTTGGATCACTTGAGGTCTGGCCAGCCTAACCAACATGGCGAGACCCCATCTCTACTAAAAATACAAAAATAAGCCAGGCGTGGTGGCACGCGCCTATAGTCCCAGCTAATCGAGAGGCCGAGGCAGGAGAATCGCTTGAACCCAGGAGACAGAGATTGCAGTGAGCTGAGATTATGTCACTGCAACCCAGCCTGGGCAACAGAGCAAGACTCCATGTCAAAAAAATAAATAAATAAATAAATAAATAAATAAAAGAAATGTTTAAAATCTTAATTATCTGAAACTCAAATTTAAATAATTTTTTAAAAAACCTTACTCAATATCTATAATCTTTTAATTAAAGTAGCTGCTAGCTTAGCAAAAGGGCCATACAGAATTTCAACATTTAATCTCTCACAATTTGGATTATAATTCAGAACTGTTCAAATTTCAACCTTTTTTTTTTTTAGACGGAATCTCGCTCTTTTGCCAGGCCGGAGTGCAATGGCGTGATCTTGGCTCACTGCAACCTCTGTCTCCCCAGTTCAAGTGATTCTCCTGCCTCAGCCTCCCGAGTAGCTGGGACTACAGGCGCATGCTACCACACCCGGCTAAGTTTTGTATTTTTAGTTAGAGACGGGGTTTCACCATGTTGACCAGGATGGTCTCGATCTCTTGACCTCGTGATCTGCCCACCCCGGCCTCCCAAAGTGCTGGGATTACAAGCATGAGCCACTTGGCCCAGCCTCAACTTTAAGATTACAGTATTACTTCTTACAATTTAATAATAATATAAATTATTTGAAAGTTTATTTTAAACAATTAAATGGATTACTCTCTGGCTAAATGTAAACATTTGCAGTACAAAGAGAAATAGGACCTCTGCAAATGATTCATTTTCATAATATTTTATCCTTTATTAGCTTTGATTTCTAGCCTACTAAAGAAGAAACACTTACAGCAAATCATTATTTCTAATCCTCTGAAACACCAAAAGAAAGATGCATAAATGGGCCGAGCGTGGTGGCTCATGCCTATAATCCCTGCACTTTGGGAGGCCAAGGTGGGTGGATCACCTGAGGTCAGGAGTTCGAGAGCAGCCTGGCCAACATGGTGAAACCCTGTCTCTACTAAAAATACAAAAAATTAGCCGGGCGTGGTGGCGGGTGCCTGTAGTCCCAGCTACTTGGGAAGCTGAGGCAGGAGAATGGCGTGAACCCGGGAGGCGGAGCTTGCAGTGAGCCAAGATTGTGCCACTGCACTCCAGCCTGGGTGACAGAGCGAGACTCCATCTCAAAAAAAAAAAAAAAAATTGGCCAGGCATGGTGGCACACGACTGTACCACCATGTACCACCTGTACCACCACAGGTGCTTGGGAGGATGAGACAGGAGAATCGCTTGAACCTGGGAGGCAGAAGTTGAAGTGAGCCGAGATCACGTCATTGCACTCCAGTCTGGGCCATAAGAGCGAAACTCCGTCTCAAAAAAACAACAACAAAAAAAATGTATAAATGAACAAATTAACAATACAAAAGAAAGGGCACAAGAGTTTTGTTCATGAGCGTGTACTAAACCCACATAATCATCAGTACTGGAGCCCGCAGGGAAAGTGACTAGTCACCTACTTTCTCAATTGGTGTCTTCTTACTTTGCTCATTTCCTTGTTTAGATCTTGAACCTCCATCTTCTACATGTGCTCTCTTTGGTTGGTTCTGCTTCAGTTTTTGTGCCCATGATGTTATAGCATTACTATTTAAGAAGAGAAAACCAAAATTACTTTTTTTTTTTGTTTTGAGACAGAGTCTTGCTGTGTCGCCCAGGCTGGAGTACGGTGGCGCAATCTCAGTTCACTGCAACCTCCATCTCCTAGGTTCAAGCAATTCTCGTGCCTCAGTCTCCTGAATAGCTGGGATTACAGACGCACTACCTCGCCCAGCTAATTTTTGTATTTTTACTAGAGATGGGGTTTCACCATGTTGGCCAGACTGGTCTCAAACTCCTGACCTCTGCCCACCTCAGCCTCCCAAAGTGCTGGGATTACAGGCATGAGCCACCACACTGGGTTCCAAAATTATTTCTTTAGATACTGTACTTCACATATAAAGCTAACCACCAGTTGCTTTCAGTTGTTGTGTGTGTGGTTTTTGTTTGTTTGTTTGTTTGTTTTTTAGAGACCCTCTCTGTCACCCAGGCTAGAATGCAGCGGCAGTGGTGCAATGACAGCTCACTGCAGTCTGACCTTCCTCAGCTCAGGTGATCCTCCCACCTCAGCCTCCCTAGTAGATGGGACCACAGGTGGCCACCACCACACCCAGCTAATTTTTCTATTTTTTTTGTAGAGCCAGGGTCTTGCCATGTTGCTCAGGCTGATCTCGAACTCCTGGGCTCAAGTGATCCACCTGTCTCAGCCTCTCAAAATGCTGGGATTACAAGTGTGAGCCACTGCGCCCAGCCAGTTGTTTTTTCTACTAGCGGTAAGACAATGAATTTTTATTAATTCACCTACATTACTTTTTTCAATTTCTTATTATCAAAGGCAAAGTAAACAAAAAGACTAACAGTGACAGGCCTGGCGCAGTGGCTCACGCCTGTAATCCCAGCACTTTGGGAGGCTGAGGCGGGTGGATCACAAGGTCAGGAGATCGAGACCATCCTGGCTAACATGGTGAAACCCCGTCTCTACTAAAAGCTACTCAGGAGGCTGAGGCAGGAGAATGGCGTGAACCCGGGAGGCAGAGCTTGCAGTGAGCCGAGATTGCGCCACTGCACTCCAGCCTGGGCAACAGAGCGAGACTCTGTCTCAAAAAAAAAAAAAAAAAAAAGACTAACAGTGACTAATAATACAAAAAGTCTGTAGCCATAGACTAGAACAAAAACCACCACATTTGCCCTTCCAAGTGCTAAATGTATCTCTACAATGAGAGTGTATTTGTTGGCATAAATCAATCATTATACTTGAACATACATAAGATTTGTGTTGCTTTAGATGACACAATTCAGGGACATGAAACTAAAAACTTGGGATAAATTATGAAATTTTTAAGGATTACTTGTTTTACAAACATTCAGTCACAGTTTAATAAAAAGCCTCCTTTGTCATGAAATGTCACTAAATTTATAAAAATTCTTCTTATACATAAAAAACATTCAGGCTGGGTGCAGTGGTTCACGCCTGTAATCCCAGCACTTCGGGAGGCCAAGGTGGGCATATGTTGTAAGACTACTAAACTCTCAGGAGTTCAAGACCAGCCTGGCCAACACGGCGAAACCCCGTCTCTACTAAAAATACAAAAATTAGCCGGACGTGGCGGTACATGCCTGTAGTCCCAGCTACTCAGGAGGCTGAGGCAGGAGAATCATATGAACCTGGGAGGTAGAGGTTGCAGTGAGCTGCGATCGCACCACTGCACTCCAGCCTGAGTGACAGAGCGAGACTCCATCTCAAAAAATAAATAAAAACAGAACAAAAGAAACAAACAAAAACATTCAGCAACATACAGACTAGAAAAAAGAAAATAAAAAACATAAAATTGGGGCCAGGCACGGTGGCTCACACCATAATCCCAGCACTTTGGGAGGCTGAGGTGGGCACGTCACCTGAGGTCAGGAGAGAGACCAGCCTGGCCAACACAGCGGAACTCTGTCTCTACTGAAAATACAAAAATTAGCCGGGTGTGGTGGCCCACACCTGTAGTCCCAGCTACTCAGGAGACTTAAGGCAGGAGTATCACTTGAACCAGGGAGGCAAAGGTTGCAGTGAGCTGAGATTGCGCCACTGCACTCCAGCCTGGGAGACAAGAGCAAGACTCCATATCAAAAAAAACAAAACATAAAATTGGGTAACCCTGTATATAATTTTTGGTTTCAGCTGGACATGGTAACATAGCACGCGCTCATAGTCCTAGCTACTCAGGAGGATCACTTGAGCCCAGGAATTTTAGGCTACAGTGAGCTATGATTGCACCACGGCACACCAGCTTGGGCAACAAAGCAAGACCCCCACCTTTAAGAAAAAAAAATTGTGGCTGGGCGAGGTGGCTCACACCTGTAATCCCAGCACTTTGGGAGGCAGAGGCGGGCAGATCACAAGGTCAGGAGATCGAGACCATCCTGGCTAACACAGTGTAACCCCGTCTCTACTAAAAATACAAAAAATTAGCCTGGCGTGGTGGCGGGTGCCTGTAGTCCCAGCTACTCAGGAGACTGAGGCAGAAGAATGGCGTGAACCCGGGAGGCGGAGCTTGCAGTGAGCCGAGATTGCGCCACTGCACTCCAGCCTGGGTGACAGAGCGAGACTCCGTCTCAAAAAACGAAAAAAAATTGTTCAAATTACATGAACATGTATGACAAACTTCCACTATTGATACAGTCCTGTCTGCTAAAAATATCTTTTCTATTTTCTGGCAAAGCTTCCGACCTTAAGAGTTTAGTAGTCTTATAACATTACAGATGGGAAGAAAGTCAGTGTCATTAGAATATAGTGTGCTTTGTTTATTTCAATTTTCTACAGGCAATGAACTGATAAATGTTCAAATACATCTCATTCTATTATAGTGCATTAAAAGGAACACTAGATTCTAAATGTAATAAACTCCCTTCAAATGATAGAAATTCTACTTACCTATTTGTTTTCCCACTGTATACTTCAGAAACCTTATTTTCACCAAGAAAATTATGTTCAAATTCACCAGGAGAAATGGATACATCTTCCTTTAAAGACACATGACACTCTTCAGGAGTCTGTATATAAAAATTCTCATTTTTCACACCATCTACAAGTGACTCAGCCGGCACCGCAGGTGCTACATACTGTCCTTTGGGAACATCTATGTGCTCCATGAACTCCTTAGGGTCTTTAGATTTGTACAGATTTAATTCTGAGATACAAAAGGTGCCATATCCACTGCTTACTGAGCAACTATCCACATTGCAGTCTGGTTGTGACGTGGACATTTCTTGCTGTATTTCAGGTTCTGTGGATTCAGGATAATGGATAACAGATTCATTTCTCTCACTGCTTAGAGAAAAAAAACCCATTTGACTTTCCGAAGATACTTGTTTGTTTGAAGAATTTCCTTCACAGGAAGCTAAGGAAGCACTACTAGTCTGTAATTTGACTAAATTTTTTATCTCCTCCTGTATATGCTGGAAATAAAAAGTTATAGATTTGGGTAAGAAAGTATATTAAACATCATATTTTTATGACTGTTACAAGAATATCATGTTTCAAAATATGATGAGATATTATTCTAAAGATAATGTGATACTTTATCTTTAGTTTATAAACAAAATTGAGGCTGGTGGCCAGGCACAGTGGCTCACGCCTGTAATCCCAGCACTTTGGGAGGCCGAGGTGGGCAGATCACAAGGTCAGGAGCTCAAGACCAGCTTGGCCAACACGGTGAAACTCTGACTCTACTAAAAATTAGCCAGACACGGTGGTGCGCATCTGTAATTCCAGCTACTCAGGAGTCTGAGGCAGGAGAATTTCTTGAACCCAGGAGGCAGAGGTTGCAGTCAGCTAAAATCATGTCACTGCACGCCAGCCTGGGTGACAGAGTGAGACCTTGTCTCAAAAAAAAAAAAAAAAATTGATATAACGTATTGTTTTTTCTTACAAATATAAAAAAGGATGCTGGGTGTGGTGGCTCACGCCTGTAATCCCAGCACTTTGGGAGGCCAAGGCGGGCAGATCAAGAGGTCAGGAGTCCCAGACCAGCCTGGCCAACATGGTTGGTACTAAAAATACAAAAATTAGCCAGGTATGGTGGCACACACCTGTATTCCCAGCTACTCAGGAGGCTGGAGCAGGAGAATTGCTTGAACCTGGGAGGCGGAGTTTGCAGTGAGCCAAGACCGTGCCATTGCACTCCAGCCTGGGCAACAGAGTGAGACTCCATCTCAAAAAAAAATAAATGAAAATAAAAGTAAAAAAGGGCTGGGCAGGAGGCCGAGGTGGGTGGATCACCTGAGGTCAGGAGTTTGAGACCAGCCTAGTGAACATGGCAAAACCCGTCTCTACTAAAAATACCAAAATTAGCTGGGCGTGTTGGCAGGTGCCTGTAATCTCAGCTACTCGGGAGGCTGAGGTAGAAGAATGGCTTGAACCCAGGAGGCAGAGGTTGTAGTGAGCTGAGATCAAGCCACTGCACTCCAACCTGGGCAACAAGAGTGAGACTCCATTTCTATATATGTGTGTGTGTATATATATATGTGTGTGTGTGTGTGTGTATATGTACGTATGTATATGTATATAAAAAAAGGAATCAATGTAAATGGTAACTTACTTGAATTTGGTTGTGGAACTGCTCCTGCTGGGCAACTATCTGTTCTTGGCATTGTTTTTCCACCAAATTGAATAGCTGTAACCACCTGGTCTATTAAATTATAAAATATTTTAGTTAAAAATAATTTTTTGACTTAACATTTCACAGAACAATTCCTCCAGTGTAAAAGAGCCCTTTTTAGGTCATGATCCATCCCAAATCCCAAGAGCCATCAGCACTCTCATAGCTAGAGTATGCTGGCGCGCCACACCAAGAGAGCAGGGAGTTCTACAGAAGGCTACGTTCAGCCTCAAGGCTGGGAAACTTTCAGCCACAGACCACATGCAGCAATATACAACATCAGGAAGTGGCTATGAAAACTAACTGCCTGCGTAAAGCCTTTCAGCATCTTTCCACTCCTAAGCTCTCCTTAGACGGCTCTGCACTGTCTGTCTCCTACGCACCTCTCCACTTCATCCCAGCCCTCTGTCCTTTGCTGACTACGCACCTGCCTCACGGGCATCCTCTGTTCGTGAGCATGCCAAAATTGTCTCCCACCTCACAGCTGAGCACCTGATGTGCCCATCACCTCGCGAGCTCTTGCACAGCTCTCACCATGACTGCTGTCTTCCCACCCTGCAATTTCAGCCTAATTGTCATCTTCTCAAACCATCCTAACAGTTCCTTTCTTTCTTGTCATCCTATTTATTTCCTTCATAGTATTTGCCACATCAGAAAGTCTCTTAAATGTTCACTTTGTGAACTCTGTCTCCTACCCCTGCCCCACTCTAACTCCAAGCTCTCCACTAAAAACTCGTGGGGTCCTGGACAAATTAATTTGTACCTCAGTTTCCTACTTTATAAAATGGGAATAATAATATCTCATAGATGGCTAAAAGGATTAAGTTTTATTTATTTATTTATTTTTTTTTTTGAGACGGAGTCTCTCGTTCTCTCACCCAGGCTGGAGTGCAGTGGCATGATCTGGGCTCACTGCAACCTCCGCCTCCCGTGTTCAAGCAATTCTCATGCCTCAGCCTCCCAAGTAGCTGAGATTACAGACATGTGTCACCATGTTCGGCTAATTGCTAATTTATATATATATATATACACATTTTTTTTTTTTTTTTTTTTTGGAGACAGAGTCTTGCTCTGTCGCCCAGACTGGAGTGCAGTGGCATGATCTCGGCTCACTGCAAGCTCTGCCTCCTGGGTTCACGCCATTCTCCTGCCTCAGCCCCCAAGTAGCTGGGACTACAGGCACCCGCCACCACACCCGGCTAATTTTTTTGTATTTTTAGTGGAGACGGGGTTTCACCATGTTAGCCAGGATGGTCTCAATCTCCTGACCTCATGATCCGCCTGCCTCGGCCTCCCAAAGTGCTGGGATTACAGGCGTGAGCCACTGCACCCAGCCGAATTTTCATATTTTTTAGTAGAGACATGGTTTCACCATGTTGGCCAGGCTGTTCTCGAACTCCTGACCTCAAGTGATCCACCCGCCTCGGTCTCCCAAAGTGCTGGGATTACAGGCCTAAGTTTTAAATTTAAATATGATGCAGTGATCTCAATGGGGAAGGAACTCCATGTTGGAAATCTGTGAGGTCACGGTCATGACAAAGCTGGGGGGACATCACTGGCATTTAGTGGGCAGGGTCCAGGCATGCGGATCATAGGGCAGTCCCCCATGATGAAGAATTGTCCTGTGTCCATTTTATGTTATAAAACAATAAATATTTCGCACAGTATTCATAACATCAAAACAAACTTAAGTTTCAAAATCTCATGAGAAGTTGGTCACCCTTTCAGAAAAGCATGTCACCAGTGGAGGTGCTGTACACAATACCTGGATCATCAACACACCATAGCTATATTGATCTGTGTTCAGCTGCTGAATTCACAGTGAGTACATACAGGTAAACATGACTACTTCATTATGTCTTCTAATGAACATGTGCCTGACATGGATATATCCAAATACATGTTATTTTACTGTAAATTTTTTATTTCTCCTTTATGTCACATTTAGGATAGTATATTGATTTTTTAAAGCGGGTAAAGGTAGGTTATATTACCTATGAATTTCATTTCAGGATAATATAAATTGATGTTATTTTGAAAGCTGTTATAAAAACAGAGCTCAGAGGCTGGGCACAGCGGCTCATGCCTGTAATTCTAGCAGTTTGGGAGGCCAAGGTGGGTGGATCATTTGAGTTCATGAGTTCAAGACTAACCTGGGCAACATAGCAAAACCTTGTCTCAACAAAAAATGCAAAAATTAGCTGGGCATGGTGGTGTGCACCTGTAGTCCCAGCTACTTGGGAAGCTGAGGTGGGAGGATGGCTTGAGCCCAAGAGGTTGAAGGTACAGTGAACAGAGATTGTGCCACTGTACTCCAGCCTGGATGACAGAATGAGACCCTATTTCAAAAAAAAAAAAAAAAAGAAAGAAAGAAAAGAGAGAGAATGAAAGAGGAGAAAAAGAAACAAAGAAAAGGAAGGAAGGAAGAAAGGAAGGGAGGGAGGGAGGGGGTGGGAGGGAGGGGAGAGGAGAGGTGGGGCAGGGAATATATTCTGATTCTGACTTAAGATGCTAATGTCAAAAAAAAAAGGTTGATTTCTAATTATCAAAAGTAACAATTTCTAGTTAAACACAAATTTTCCAGAAGTTAAAATACATTGTGGCAATGCCTCCTTTGTCCTAAAGCATGTTAATTCAGTTATCAAAAGCTAATAAGGGCTAGCCACGGTGGCTCATGCCTGTAATCCCAGCACTTTGGGAAGCCAAATCAGGCAGATTACCTGAGGTCAGGAGTTCGAGACCAGCCTGGCCAACATGGCTAAACCCCTTCTCTACTAAAAATACAAGAATTAGCTGGGCATGGTGGCGCTCGCCTGTGATCTCAGCTACTCGGGAGACTGAGGCAGGAGAATCACTTGAACCTGGGAGGCAGTGGTGGCAGTGAGCCGAGATCGCACCATAGCACTCCAGCCTGGGCAACAGAGCAAGACTCTGTCTCAAAAACAAACAAACAAATAAACAAAAAGCTTATGAGTAGATACATTAAGGGAAGCATTTAATATACTTAATAAAACATTCCATTTTTAATTGCATTTGCATGGGCATTTTTAAAGGTCTTTCACGTTAGTGCATACTGATTATTATATGCAAACAAGCATAAAGTATAAAAACTGAAAACTCAATTTTTTAAGCATATAATAATACTTTTTTATAATTTCAATAATTATGGATAATGGATATAAATAATTACACTTAGCAGTTGCTGCTATCGAATTCTTAAACCAGGTAATCTTTCATTTCGCTTACTCTACATTCTGAAAAATAACACAAATTATGCTTCTAAAAGTACAATTAACGTTTAAAACAAGATCTAGTGCTTTCTAAGAATTAATAATGGTTTAAACATTTCTATAAAAAACTATCAAATCCAGCCTTAGGAAAGTCTATCTTGAGCATTATCCTATGAAATAAAATTTATATATACTTTTTTTTTTTTTTACTGAGGGGGTCTTGCTATGTTGCCCAAGCAGGTCACAAACTCTGGGCACAAGCTATCCACCTCTGCCTCAAGTGCTGGGATTACAGGTTCTCTTTTTTTATATATAGAGAGAGACAGGGTCTCAGTCTGTCACCCAGGCTGGAGTGTAGTGCTGTGATCATAGCTCACTGCAACCCTGACTTCCTGGGTTGAAGTGATCCTCCCACATCAGCCTCCCAAGTAGCTAGGACTACAGACACCGTGCCACCATGACCAGCTAATTTATTTATGTATTTATATTTGTAGAGACAGGGTCTCGCTATCTTGCCCAGGCTAGTCTCAAACTCCTGGCCTCAACCAAACCTCCCACCTTGGCCGCCTAAAGTGCTGGGATTACAGGCGTGAGCCACTGTGCTCGGCCATGTAAGTATTCTTTTAACTGTTACATTTTTATATCACAATTTAACCTATGAACCAAAGAAAGAACCACTGATCTGAAAACAATATAATGCAATGTATCACAGCTGAATATGGTAAGGTACTAAATAGAAGCTTCAATTTATAATTAGAACATTGAAAATATTTCAAAGTGGATTTAGGTTTTTCAAAATGATGACAATTCCATATAAGTTACTGACAACATTACAATTAGTAACAATTTTAATAATTTTGGGATTCTCAGGTCTCTGAACCAAGACAATGTTTTAGTTCATATTTAATATACAAATTAGTATGTCTAATCAGTAATATATTGTTAAAAAATACTTTTGATCACCTTTTTCCCATTCATTCAATATCATTCCCAAATTAATATACTTGACCACTTTAGCATTAACTTAAAAGTGTCATGCTCTTCAGGACATAAATTTCTAATAATTTAGAGTTTAGTAGAGGTATGTTTTAACATAATTATTTTAAAATTCCAAAAATAAAACAAAATTAGATACCTCACAGTTTTTCCAAAGTTCCGAATCAGTCTTTCCACTGTTTTGTAGCTCTTGCATTAAAGAAGTTAGGACTTCAACTGTACCTTGAATTACAGATGGTCTGGTCTTCCCTGAGAAAGAGGATACCCCATTTGTACTAAGGTGGGGACTACTTCTGTTGAAACATAAATAATTCAAATGGTTTTCTTCATTCTATCAAAGTGTTGAATAATTCAGCAGTTCAAGATTTAGCAGAGCAGTACAAAACCACTGACATTTAATCCTTCTAATGGCACCTCATTTGTTCAAAATCTGATCACAAGTTGCTCCACAAAAGGAAACGGCCAGTAAAAAGACCGCACTGTACTCTTTTTAAGAACACAACAAGAAGACCTTCTCCAGAAGTGAGAGAACACTCCAAAGGATCGGCAGAAAATAGAAAAAGTCTGTGCTAAACAATAAGATTAATTTCCAGCTTCTCTGATCTCAGCTATTCCAGAGGATTATTTCCCCCAACTTTCAGAACAGCCCTTCATTGTGCAGTGGGGATTCTTTCCCCACTGCCCCAAATGACAGTCAAATCTTGTTCACTGGACACCCTTAATTTGGTACGATAAGCTGATGCTTATCTCTGCACTATCTCTGCATAAAAGTTGTGCCAAGCAAATCAGCAGCAAATATTCAGGACTTATTTAGCCTACTCAGTGTGTAAAACAGCACTGAGTTTTTCCAGGAGTACTGCTTTTCCAAACTTCAGGTAAGTTATTTCGGATTTGTTTTATAAACACACAATATATTTCAGGACATTAAAATGTACTTAAAATCTAGTCACCAAAAGATCATTTTAATTTATTTACTGCTTGATATCCTGCTTTCTTTCACAAATAATTTGTTTAAAAAAATAAATAAAAATAACAATAAAATAATAGTTAGGACCAGTGAAAATATTACTAAAAATTCAAAGGAGGCCAGGCGCAGTGGCTCACGCCTGTAATCCCAGCACTTTGGGAGGCCAAGGCGGGCGGATCACCAGGTCAGGAGATCAAGACTGTCCTGGCCAACATGGTGAAACACCATCTCTACTAAAATACAAAAAATTAGCCGGGTGTGGTAGTGCGTGCCTGTAGTCCCAGCCAATCAGGAGGCTGAGGCAGGGGAATCCCTTGAACCCAGGACACGGAGATCGCAATGAGCTGAGATGGCACCACTGCACCCCAGCCTAGTGACAGAGCAAGACTCCGTCAAAAAAAAAAATTCAAAGGAAAGAATATATGTTATCAGTAAAGGATTTTACATAGCTGTAATAATCAAGTTTAAATGTGGCCAATTTAACTGCCAGTCACAATGAAAAGGAAGACAAGTTTAATTGCCTAATTTTCACTAGCAAGGCACAGTTAGCTTCCTCCAGCCAAATCAAACACTGTTCTAACAGGAATATCTTCTAGAAGTGTACTTTAAAGGGACCACCAAGTAATACAAGAACCAAAATGCGTGGCCAACTTTCTGCAAGTGCATACAGATTACTGTAGGACCATTTCCTGTGCCTTTTAAAATTTCCTTTTCTCGTTTTATTTCACATATTCCTTTGTTTTTTACAACTCCCCACCCCCATTGTTTTATATACCCATGTAAGCTGCCTTAAATTCCTCCTGAAAAGGGCAGAGAATTAACAACTTTTAAAGTAATGTATTTATTTATAATACACAATTTCTTCAAGACCTACCGTGTTTAAAGCTCCTTGCCCCTTTACCAGTAAGGCCCCAAAACCGCTGTTTTCCTTCCTTGTACCCGCTCTTTATAGATGCTCTCCTCTCTTACAGTCCTTGCCTCTTTGCTGTTTCTACACTACTATAAATTTAGAAACCCAATAACCAAGCTTGTCAGACTATGTGCAAATTGAAAGTAAACAGGCTCTGATGAAAAACAAACCATGATCTGTGTTAAGACCATTAAAAAATAAAAAACCAATCACAGGATAGCTTAAAAATAAAATGCATTTTAAAAAATTAATAAAATGCATAAAACACACTTTGATAACATCTATTTAGTCCACTATTTTGTCTACTTAGAGTCTGTTATTGTCTTAACTTCCTAATACTCAACTTTAACTGCTACTTCCCACATTGGTGAAGTATTTCTGCAACATAAAACATCAATTGTCCCAATCATTTAAAAATGTAGAAATAATATTTAGGCAACTAAATGTTAAAGATATGCTTGTAATTTACCAAAAACAAACAAAAAAGTATAAAGGAAAGTAAAACAAGCAAAACAAGTTCTTTTTCAGAATGCTTTCCATGCAAAAGTACATATCTCTGAGAGAAATGAGAAACATGAAAAGACCAAACCTATTCCTGACTTAAACATCTGTCCCCGAACATTTTTTTTTTTTTTTTTTGAGACAGAGTGTCGCTCTGTCGCCCAGGCTGGAGTGCAGTGGCGCAATCTTGGCTCATTGCAACCTCTGCCTCCCAGGTTCCAGCAATTCTCCTGCCTCAGCCTCCTGAGTAGCTGGGACTACAGGCGCGTGCCACCACACCTGGCTAATTTTTGTATTTTTAGTAGAGACGAGGCTTCACCATGTTAGCCAGGCTGGTCTCCAACTCCTGGCCTCAGGTGATCCACCCGCCTCAGCCTACCAAGGTGCTGGGATTACAGGCATGAGCCACCGCGCCCAGCCTCCCTGAACATTCTTGATGATAGGTTAAAAAATAATAATAATTCAAATCAGTAACTATGACACTATTTGGATAAGTTGATAAACGTATGCAAATAAGGTTATTCTGATTTGGTACATTTTTTTTAAATCCCATTCTTACCTATCAGTATTTAAGTTCAGTCCAAGAGAATGAAGAGAATTTTCATCAGATCCTACAGAAGATGAAGTTTTGTGTAAGGTTTTCACCAAGTCAAACTCTTCCATAGTGTACAGAAATTGTTATATTCTCTTATTGGAAAATAAAGGTTCTTGGGCTGTTTGAGAAAAATGAATCCGTGTCATCTTCAGAGGCTTCATCATCTACTGGCATTTTCAGTGGCTAACATTCAGAACTGTGAAATATCCTAAACTTCCAAGAGAGTCTGAAAATGAATGGGGGAAAAAAATACTACTATAAAAAGCCACCAAAGCTAGCAACTGTTTTTACATAACTTTGGAAACCTTAACTGCTTTCATACAGATCTCCATTAAGGATAGCAACAGTATTCATAATAATCAAAATGTAGAAACCACCCAAATGTCCATCAATGGATAAATGGATAAACGAATGAAGCATATTCATAGAACAGGATAGGATTCAGCCATAAAAAGACACATGCTACAACATACATGAACACTGAAGATACTATGCTAAGTAAAAAAAGCCAGTCACAAAAGACCACAGACTATATGATTTCATTGATATGAAATATCTTGAATGGGCAAATTCATAGACAAATGGCTGCCAGGAGCTGGGGAAGGAGAGAATGTGAGTGAGTGCAGCTGGTATGGAGTTTCTTTTTGGGGTGATAAAAAATTCTGGAATTAGATAGTGGTGATGGCTGCACAACCTTGTGAACTAAAAACCACTGAATTGTACACTTGTAAAAGACTGAATTTTATGGTATGTGAATTATGTATCTCAATTAAAAATCTACATTAAGGATTATTTGCAAAAGTAGCATCACCTTTTTCAGGTAATATTTCAGATTTTTATATGTTTAATAATCAAGGTTCTTTTTTTTAGAGACAGCATCTTGCTATGTTGCCCAGGCTGGTCTACAACTCCTGGCCTCAAGTGCTCAGCCTCCCGAGCAGCTGGGATTATAGCGCAAACCATTTTGCCAGGCTTTACAATGAAAGTTCTAGATATAATTCTATTATGTAACAATTGGAATACTTGCATGCCTTGTTCATTTGTTTAATAAATTCTACCAAGTATATATGTTTGTTGACTTATACAGAGACAAGAAGAACTGAACTACTTAATATTTAATTTGTATTAAAAAGAGCCAATTAAACTGTTAACAACCATAGCTTCCCCATTGTCTGGAAGTACATTTTGAACTATATATATGGTCTTTTGTCTCTGTGCAGCTATTCTTAGAAAATAAACCACTGGGCACACTGGAGCCTGCCTGCAGCTACTGGGAGCATGTCCCAGCTACTCTGGAGGCTGAGGTGGGAGGATCACTTCAGCCCAGGAGTTCAAGACTGCAGTGAGCTATGATCCTGCCACTGCACTCCAGCTTGGGCAACAGACCAAGACCCCATCTCTTAAAAAATAAAAATAAAAATAAAAAAATTATTTGCCAGGCCAACTAAAATTTCAGTGAAGCTGGATATATACCATGGCAAATTGGCTGTAACAGGTCAAACAAGATGCCTCCTTCCTGGGGAATTCATGCACTTATAAAAGAGCAAGGGAGCAAGAGGAAAAAGGAGAAAGAAAGAAAACTTCAGCTGCTTACAAACTGAAAAGCTTAGAGAGTGCAACAGGAATATTATCTAGTATTCCGCTTCTGCTAGATTCCCACTTTCTAGGGCCTGCTTTTATAAAGCATTACACAAAAACAGGGACCATTTCCTTCAGGGACAGGAGTGAATGCAAAGGGTAACCGGACCTAACTAAATGGACTTTTCCCCAGTGGCTCAGCCCATCACCCACGACAAATGGGGCATTGAAACAGTCAAGGACTGCCCCTTCCAACTGGCAACAGAAATACCTGGATTCCAATCACCATGCTATTACACCAGGAAAACACAAGCTCTCCAGGGAGATGAACCTGCAACCCCATCTATTATTTCCCCTGCTAAGGTAATCCGGATCCGGATGCAGATCCAGATGGAAAACCACTAGAAATTCAAAGATGCTTCTCCATTTGGGGTGGAGGTGCTGGGGGGAGGGCAGGGAAGTAAGAGGGAAAAATCCTTAAACACCCACAAATACAATGCAAAAAAAAATTTTTTTAACTTGATACAGAATGAATATAAGAGCAGAGCTTTTATATTTCCCAGCAACAAGATATGACGCTTTTGGTGTCCCTACCCCCTAGCAAAAAAAGGGAGCTGGGGAAAAGGAACGATTGATGGTTATGAAACATGAAAGTTAACTGGGCGCTCCGCCTTGACGGGAGGCTTGGGGGAGAGGAAGAGATTTCAGATGGGGATGAGGCCAGATCCCGACATTCTGAGCTCACAGTCAGCCCGCAATGGCTGGTGGCGGCTATCGGGTCAAAGTGGGAAGGAGAGGGAGAATCTATGCAGTCGCCTAAGCTACGGAAAGCAGGGAGGACGGAGAAAAGCCACCGCTCCTGCAACTACAACCGCGATTCCAAAAGGAAACCGGGGCACCTTGGCAAAAAATGGGGGGAAAAATTAAAAAAACCCCACAAACCCCCCGCCCCTCAGGAAGAGCGATCTGCGATTGGGCCGCGCGAGTGTCACTCAAGGGCGCCGAGTCTAGAAAAGGCGCACCGCGGCCGGGCAGAGCTCCCACACGCCGAAGGGCTCCGAGGGGGTCAGGCCAATCGGCAGCCGTCACCCCACACCCCAGCCCATCACCACACTCAAGGGGCCGCTAAGACAGTGTCTCCTAAGTCTCGTCTCCTGTCCCCAGCGGCCTACAGCTCCCTGCAGGCTGGTGGCCGCTTACCTGGCCGCCGCTCCCGCTGCCGATGTCAGGGTCATGCAAGCGGCCTCTCGCGACCGTTACCCGAGGGAGCGCGCGCGCGCCCGGCGTCTCTCCAGTGATTGGCTGCCCGGAAGGAGGCGGAGACAGCCTCGCATGGCGCGCGCGTCCACCTCGCCGTTCCCCCTCGCGCAGCTCCAACCAAAGAGAGACATCCAACCCCGGGGGAGTGACAAGGGGGCGGGATTGCTGTGAAACTCTCTTCTCTGATTGGCTCTCTGGGAGCCAGCCGCTGCCACGAGGGAAAGAAGCTTCAGTTTCTCGCATGCGCAGTGAGTAAACATGAGCCTCTGGTAGATAAGAGAAACCGCGATCGGAGTACGGCGCGTGCGCAGATCAGGGATCGCGATTGCGAATCCTCCGCTGAGGTGATTTGGATATCCCTAGAACGTTGAGGGCACGAGTCGGGTCCTGAGACCAGGTAAGCATCTGCGGAGAAGCCAGGTAACCCTACGGCTGCCGACGACTGTCAAAGGCTCCGGAGAGAGGACTGCGAGCCGGGACGCCTGGGTTTTTCCCGACTTGCGACCCCGAGTGGCGCAGCCAGTTTACCTGAGGCCGCGCTGGCGGTGGGGTGGGGCCGGCCGTGACACCCGAGCTCAGTTTTCTCGGGACCTGGTTTACGCTAGGTGCTGTGGGTCGGCCCTGGGGCTGTTCAGGCACTCAGGGCAGGGGAGAGGAGAGACTACCGTCCTGGAGATAACGGTTCCACGGAGGCCCAAGGCGAAACGGAAGGATCCTCATGTACAAAACTGAGCGGAATGGAGCTGTGAGCACGCATCAGGTGCTGTTTCAGGCCTGGCACGTAGTAGAGGTCAGCACTGCCCTTGCTAGGCTTTTGCGGAGATACTCGTTTTTTTTTTAATAGACGTGGGGTGGGGGGGTCTCACTGTGTTGCCCAAGCTGATCTCGAACTCCTGGCCTCAAGCGATCCTCCTTCCTCGGCCTCCCAAAGTGCTGGGATCACAGGCGCAAGCCACCCAGCCCTACTTTTGAAGGACCAAAGGGAACTCGCTCTCCTCCCCGTGGGACCCCAGCCCATTTCATGCGCACTGTGCAGGCCACATTCTTCAGCATAGTTAACCTTTAAGGTCTTTCCAGCTACTCGATTTACCTCCAGGAGTTCTGGCTCACAGTAAAGGGACTTCCCTGGCACTATCACTTAGGCCTCCACAACCCAGGAAATGGATCTGCCCTTGGAATAACAGATCTGCCAGGAGGCGTTACATCTCATTGGAGCTTCCTAAGTATACCTACCAATTTTTTTTTACTTTTTTTATTTTTGTGGGGGAGGGGGGTAGGGGGGACAAGGTCTCTCTCTGTCACCCAGGCTGGAGGGCAGTGGCGCGATCTCGGCTCACTTTAACCTCTGCCTCCCGGGTTCAAGTGATTCTTCTGCTTCAGCCTCCCGAGTAGCCGGGAATACCGGTGCCCGCCACCACATCCGGCTAATTTTTTGTATTTTTAGTAGAGACGGGGTTTTGCCATATTGGCCAGGCTGGTCTCGAATTCCTGACCTCAGGTCATCCTCCTGCCTCGGCCACCCAAAGTGCTGGGATTACAGGCATGAGCCACCACGCCTGGCAATTTTCAAAGGGTAAATTTGATGTTATCCTATCTTTCATGATTTTTTAAATTATATTACATAATTCCAAAAGATATTTTATGTTTAAACCAGGACTTACTTCATTGAAGATGGTTTTATCTTTCAGTGTGAACCTGCTGGGAAGTCAGGCTATATTTTTGGCATCACAGTGATCTCCTTAGTACCTGATTTCACAGACCAGAATTATGATCCCACCAAATAACATGTTTTCAGTAATGTCATGGCTTATCAAGTACTTCTTAAATTGGACCATACCAAGTAAAATAATTTACAAGCCACTGTTGTAGATGCCTTTTCACCCTAAGCTCTAAAACAAAGGCCGATGAAATAATCAGTTCCCAGACTGGGTTTGTGTCATAAGACAACAGTGTATGTGGTGTGTCATTCCAAAGTTCCTCAGCCTTGTAGTTGAGAGATCTGACATGCTCCCATTTAGTGACCACTAAGTACTTTACATTTATGGCAACATGTATGATTTTGTTCGCACTCTAGGTAGTAGTATCTCCATTCTACAGATGAGGAATTAGAGCCAAAGTTACCCAGTAAGTAAATTGTGGCATTGAGACATTGAACGCAGGTCTGTTGGCCACAGAGCTCGCAATCCTTGGCAGGAAGGCCTTTTTGGGACAAAAGAAAAAATGAGAGGAGTCGTCAAATACAGAAAGTCAGGCTGGTCCAAACGTAGTGAGTTTTGTGTGTGTGTGTGTGACAGAGCTCAGCTCACTGCAAGCTCCGCCCCCCAGGTTCACGCCATTCTCCTGCCTTAGCCTCCCTAGTAGCTGAGACTACAGGTGCCTGCCACCAGGCCCAGCTAATTTTTTTTTTTTTTGTATTTTTAGTAGAGATGGGGTTTCACCGTGTTAGCCAGGTTGGTCTCGATCTCCTGACCTCATGATCCACCTGCCTCGGCCTCCCACGGTGCTGGGATTACAGGCGTGAGCCACCGCGCTCGGCCTGGTAGTGAGTTATCTTAATTAATTGTTCACAGTCACAGATCAAACTTCTTGTTCTACTCTTTCCCCCTTCTCTACTGTACTTGACTAGTCTTTTTAAAAAGAGAAAGTTGGCCGGGCGTGGTGGCTCATGCCTGTACTCCCAGCACTTCGGGAGGCCGAGGCAAGCGGATCGCTTGAGGTCAGGAGTTCGAGACCAGCCTGGCCAACATGGTGAAACCCCATCTGGGCTAAGAATACAAAAATTAGCTGGGCGTGGTGGCTGGTGCCTATAATCCCAGCTACTTGGGAGGCTGAAGCAGGAGAATCGCTGGAACCCGGGAGGCAAAGGTTGTAGTGAGCCAAGATGGTGCCACTGCACTCCAGCCTGGGCAACAGAGTGAGACTCGTCTCAAAAAAATAAATAAATAAAAACTTAAAACAGAAAAAGTTAAGGAAAAGGAGCTAACATTGCCTAAGAAACTGGAAAAAGATCTGGAGATATGAAAGGTAATGAAACAAGGTGTAGAAAGGATAATTTAGTTTCAAAAATTGAAAACCTAATGGTTTCCAAGATAGGTCTTACTGAGATAATCAGGAAGTGTGCATCTCTTATTTTCTTTATTTGTATTAAATACAATAATGTATTTGAAAGTGCTTTGCAGCTGCACGTGGTGGCTCACGCCTGTAATCCCATCACTTTGGGAGGCTGAGGCAGGAGGATTGCTTGAGCCCATGAGTTCGAGACCTGCCTGGGCAACATGGCAAGACCCCATCTCTACAAAAAATTAAAAACTAGCCAGGTATGGTGGTACACACCTGTGGCCCCAGCTACTGGGGAGGCTGAGGCAAAGAAGCTTGCTTGAGCCCAGGAGGTCAAGGCTGCACTGAGCCATTTTTATGCCACTGCACTCCACTTGGGTGACAGAGGGAGACCCTGTCTCAAAAAAAAAAAAAAGAAGAAGAAACTGCTTTGGTTTGTATATGTTTAAGTCCTAAACAAACACAAGGCATCGTTAATAGAAATATAGGCTTTGAGACTTTTGGAAGAAAATATACAGTGTTGTTATTCCTGCTTTTTTAATGTGTTTCTGTTTTAATAGTGTAGTTGATAAATTATAAAGTTCCCGTTAGATGCCATAAATAGAACAAATATGGGGCCGGGCGCGGTGGCTCACACCTCTCAGCACTTTGAGAGGCCGAGGCGGGCGGATCGCCTGAGGTCAGGAGTTCAACACCAGCCTGAGAAACACGGTGAATCCCCATCTCTACTAAAAATACAAAAAATTAGCCAAGCGTGGCGGCATGCGCCTGTAGTCCCAGCTACTTGGGAGGCTGAGGCAGGAGAATTGCTTGAATCTGGAAGGCGGAGGTTGCAGTGAGCTGAGATTGCGCCACTGCAGTCCAGGCTGGGTGACAGAGTGAGACTCCGGCTAAAAAAAAAAATAGAAGAAATATGATACACACAAATAGCACAGGTGTAATTCTGTGGATTCAAAGTTTTCTGCTTAAAAAAAAATAAACGGGGCCAGGCACTGTGGCTCACGCCTGTAATCCCAGGACTACGGGAGGCCAAGGCAGGCGCATCACCTGATGTCAGGAGAAACCCCCGCCTCTACTAAAAATACAAAATTAGCCGGGCATGATGGCAGGTGCCTGTAGTCCCAGATACTCAGGAGGCTGAGACAGGAGAATCACTTGAACCTGGGAGGCAGAGGTTGCAGTGAGCCAAGATCACGCCATTGCACTCTAGCCTGGGTGACAAGCGAAACTCCGGCTCAAAAATAAAATAAAAATGAACGAGATGTTGGGATTGTGTGAAGTGAATGTTTTCCTCTTTACTTCATTAGCTATCTCTTGAATTCTGCAGCATTAAGCATTCAAGCATTAAGCCTGTTAAATTTAGACCAGACCTAGAGTAGTCTCTTTTTCCTCCCGTCCGCCAAAATCAAAGACTACAGCTCTGCATTTCCTGCTCAATCTATTATGCTTTCCTTGTTTGAGAAATAACTATCTGCAAACACTTACTGTGAGTGAAGGGTGCTTTATCTTCAGCGTAAAACCCCAAGTCTAGGAAATGGCATGGTCTGTTTCAAGCCTTACCAGCAATACTCACTGGTTCCATTTGAGAGGTTTCAGCCCTTAAGGATTTCAGATACCTACAGCAGGAGGATGAGCTAACAGGAGGATGTGAAAGACAGGGAAATGCTACTTTCTTTTTAACTACCATTTTACAGACAGCACCAAAACACTTTTTTTTTTTTTGAGACGGAGTCTCACTCTGTCACCCAGGGTGGAGTGCAGTGGTGTGACCTCAGCCCACTGCAACCTCTGCCTGCCAGGTTGAATCCATTATTCTGCTGCAGCCTCCCGAGTAGCCGGGACTACAGGTGCACACCACCACATCTGGCTAATTTTTTGTATTTTAGTACAGAGGGGGTTTCACCATGTTGCCCAGGCTGGTCTGGAACTCCTGAGCTCAGGCAATCCACCCTCAGCCTCCCAAAGTGCTAGGATTACAGTCATGAGCCACCACACCCAGCCCCAAAACACATTTTTGAAACATGAATTATTATTATTAAGCATTTGTCAGAAAATCATTTTCCCCTCACTTAGCTTCTGGCACCACCTGCTGGCCGTTTTGTCTTTTCAAAGCAGCAACATTGCACGTTGGTCTGTTTAAGCTCAATGTTGTTTGGCCCTTAACTGTTTATTAGGTCATTGTTTTGAGACCTATGGTTTCATCTCCTTCTTAAGGAAGAGACAAGACGGAATAAGCAGGTAATCAGCCCTCCTGAATTCTTGTCTCAGTTTCTTAAATGTCATATAAATAAGAAACATGCTGGGCATGGTGGCTCATGACTGTAATCCCAGCACTTTTTGAGACCGAGGCAGGCAGATTGCTTGAGCTCAGGAGTTTGAGACCAGACTGGGCAACATGATGAAACCCCATCTCTACTTTTTTAGAAAAGAAAAAGAAAAGCTTTTAAAAGTGTCTGTCCTAGCAATCAGAAGAACTTGCTGATTCCTGTGTTCTGGAACAATGCTTGTCAAATTTTATGTGCCTCTGCATCACCTGAGGATCTTGTTAGGCTGCAGGTTCTCATTTGGTAGGTCAGAGCAGGGCCTGAAATCTTCATTCCTAACCATCCTCCACGTGGTGCTTTTGCCACTATGTGGACCACACTTTGGGTAGCAAGATTCTAGAGCTACATTGTCCCATAAAGTAGCCACCAGCACATGTGGCCCAAACTGAGATGTTCTGTAAGTATGACCATAACCTAGAATTTGAAGCCTTCATATTTAGGGGGAAAAAAGAATATCTCAATTTTAAAATATTGGCTGGGTGCAGTGGCTCACACCTGTAATCCCAGCACTTTGGAAGGCTGAGGAAGGCAGATCGCTTGAGTTTGAGTTCCAGACCAGCCACAGCAACATGGTGAAACCCCGTCTCTACAAAAAATCCAAAAATTAGCCAGGCATGCTGGTACATGCCTGTAGTTCCAACTACTCAGGAGGCTGCGGTGAGAGGATGGCTAGAGCCTGGAAGGCAGAGATTGCAGTGAGCTGAGATGGCGCCACTATACTCCAGCCTGGGTGATGGAGCCAGACTGGTCTCAAAATAATAAAACGTTGATCACGTGTGGAAATAATAGTTTTGATATATTGGGTTAAATATACATTTCATCATTTATTATTTCTAATGTAACTACTAGAAAATTTAGAATTTCACATGTGGGTAGCATTAGTTTTGTTTTTTTGTTTGTTTTTTTGAGACAGAGTTTCACTCTGTTGCCAGGCTAGAGTGCAATGGCGCAATCTCGGCTCACCGCAATCTCCACCTCCCAGGTTCAAGCGATTCTCCTGCCTCAGCCTCCCAAGTAGCTGGGACTACAGCTACGTGCAACCATGCCCAGCTAATTTTTTGTATTTTTAGTAGAGACGGGGTTTCACCGTGTTAGCCAGGATGGTCTCGATCTCCTGACCTCATGATCTGCCCGCCTTGGCCTCCCAAAGTGCTGGGATTACAGGCGTGAGCTACCGCGCCCAGCCCAGTAGCGTTAGTTTCTATTGGACACCACTGTTCTAGAACATTAACACAACAGAGGTGACATTTTTTATTTTTTTTTCCCCCAGATGACCCAGTTTCCCAATCTCCTTGTTTCCATGTCACCATCTCTGCTAGCTCAAATCAGTATTTGTTTAATTCTTTTCTTGGGACGATTTCCTTGCCCTCCCATCACACTCCTTTACACCTTCTCAGCCTTCACCATTGCCATCATGATCCCAGGGATCTCATCAAGCAATGAACAGTCCTATGTGCCAGAATACTAGCAGCATCCTTGTTTAAAGCACTTAGCCTTGCCATGGGGTGTGGGGCCTGGACCAGCAGCAACAGCCTCATCTGTGAGCTGGTTAGAAATGCAGAGCCTCGCCGGGCAAGGTGGCTCACGCCTGTAATCCCAGCACTTTGAGAGGCTGAGGCTTGTGGATCATCTGAGGTCAGGAGTTCGAGACCACCCTGACCAACACGGTGAAACCCCATCTCTATTAAAAATACAAAAAAAAAAAAAAAAAAGCTGGACGTGGTGGTGGGCACCTGTAATCCCAGCTACTTGGGATGCTGAGGCAGGAGAATTGCTAGAACCCGGGAGGCGGAGGTTGCAGTGAGCAGTCAGGGTGACGGAGACTCCGTCTAAAAAAAAAAGAAGAAGAAATGCAGAGCCTCAGGCCTCGCCCCAGACCTAGTGAACCAGCATCACAAGTCACAAGACTCCCAGGTGATTTGTATGCACATTAAAGTTTGCATGGGGAGACTGGCTGGTGAGTACTTTAACAATCTTCGTAAAGCACACTGTTTCAGTTAGTCTCCGCACCTGTTCCTTCAGTTAGTTTTAATGAAGTTTCTGCAAGGTTTATATACCATGAAAGTTGTAGCTAAGGTAAACTAGTGCTTTACCTTTCAAAAAAAAAAAACAAACAGTGAATTTTAGATAAATGGCGTCCAGAAGGCAGGTCCAGAGATTGACATCTCATGCTTTCCTGAAAATAGATTAAATATCCTTTATTTTATTGACCTTTTTTTTTTTTTTTTTTTTTTTTGAGAAAAAGTCTCACTCTGTACCCCAGGCTGGAGTGCAGTGGCGTGATCTTGGCTCACCACAACCTCCGACTCCCGAGTTGAAGCGATTCTCCTGCCTCAGCCTCAGCACACCACTGCACCCAGCTAATTTTTTGTATTTTTAGTAGAGATGGGATTTCACCATGTTGGCCAGACTGGTCTTGAACTCCTGACCTCAGGTAATCTGCCCACCTTAGCCTCCCAAAGTGCTAGGATTACAGGTGTGAGCCACCACACCCAGCCTCAAATATCCTTTAACCTTTTCAGAGACACGAAATGAAAGGCATTACCATCCTCTTTACTTCTCTCCAAAGTGAGAGCTGTTGATGACACAGCATCACCTCCTACATCTAGGCTTTTATTTGGGGTTGTTTTTTTTTTGTTTTTGTTTTTTTTTTAATAAAAGAGATGGAGTCTCACTATGTTGCCCAAGCTGATCATGAACTCCCAGCTTCATGGGCTCCTCCCACCTCAGCCTCCCAATATGCTGGGATTTCAGGTGTGAGCCATCACACCCAGCATTATTTTATTTTTTATTGTATTTTTTATTTTACTGTTTTTTGTTGTTGTTGTTTTTTGAGACAGAGTCTCGCTCCTTCAGTCTTCGCCCAGGCTGGAGCGCAATGGCGTGATCTCGGCTCACTACAACCTCTGCCTCCCGGGTTCAAGCAATTCTCCTGCCTCAGTCCTCCCAAGTAGCTGGGACTACAGGTGCCCACTACCACCCCCAGCTAATTTTTTGTATTTTTAGTAGAGACGGGGTTTCACCATGTTGGCCAGGATGGTCTCGAATTCCTGACCTCAGGTGATCCACCTACTTCAGCCTCCCAAAGTGCTGGGATTACAGGCACGAACCACCATGCCCAGCCTATTTTGTTTTTTAGAGATGAGGTCTCCCTATGTTGCACAGGCTGGAGACAGCTTCTGGGCTCAAGCAATCCTCCCACCTCAGCCTCCCAAGTAGCTGGGACTGTAGGCTATTATCTTGTTTGCTCCGGCCACAGGCCTTGTTGCAGAGTTGAACATGCCATCCCTGCAGATAGTCTGTCTTGGTTTGAGTTGAATTTGGAAGCTGGAGGAGGGGTGTGCTGACCAGATCCAGTCATGAAGAACGCCACTCAGTAGCACATAGGTTTCAAATCCTGACAGCAAGCTCTCCAGGAGGATGAGGGGCATAGAAAGTTTGAGAACCACTGCTCTATAGTATGTTATCCATCCTCAGCTATCACATGTATCCTGTTTGTGCTTGTCTTCATTTCTCTTTTATGCTACAGACTCTTTAGGCTCTCTGAAGCCCATGCCTGATACTCAATAGATGTTTTAAATATTCTTGCACAAATTAATGTTCCCTTTTGTAAATTCCTTAGACCTGTTATCTCTGAACTTAACCAAGTTGGAAGGGACTGAAGCAATGACAGGAGCTTTCACCTTAACTGCGATCAGCCATTTAGTGCAGAAGCCATCATCAAAGGAAAAGTAGAGCCTAGGGAGTCAGGGTAGAGCGCCAGCCCTACGCCGAAGCTCACGTTTGAAGAAGGGAACTGGGGCAGAGCTGTCATGACTGCTGGTTTCCTCTTACTAGCACTTCTCTGTACCATTTTTCTTTTTCTCTTTTTTCATGTCACAATGAGCTATAATTTGAGCTGCTTTTATTGTTCCCTAAAGACTTTGGATTACTCTGTATCACAAACACTGAAATCCAATTCGTATTTTTTTGGCCTTTGGGGAAGTGGAACCATGGGTGTGTTTGTCATTTTTAGCAGTCATTGGAGTAGGGCCAAAGCTCCAGGAGATACTAAAAGTGTCTAGAATTGTCTGATTGGCTGTTGGAATTAACTGTTAAACAAAGCAGCCAGTAACTGAACACCGGAGACCTTCTTGAACTCCAGCTGGGTGGGAGACCTTCCAGTGTGTCTGGCAGCTCTGAACTAGGACAGAAAGGTAGAGATTCAAACAGTGGACTGGTGACAAAGCAGCTGATAAAAGCACTCTCATCTCCATCCTTTGTCTGGGAGTCTCGCCTTGCCTTGGAATCACTTCCTCTCTTTTTCCCTGCACTGGTTTGTGCCAGCGCTGTCCTGCCTGGTCACATTTACCAGCTAGCGGATGAGAAACTCAGAAGTGCGGGGCTCATGTTCCATAATGAATTGAATCCGGGACTACAGGCTGCCTGATACACAAATGAATTTTGTTTTGTGGATTGAAAACAGGAATAAGGAAAGATAAGTTTTGGACATTGACTTAGTCTACTCAATCTTTCGTAGGTAAGGTGATTCTTAGAGAGAGTTCAGAGAAAGTGCCTGGGTTTATCATTTATCTTTTTCTAAGGTATTTGATTTTATACACATTTCATACACATTAAACAAAACCAGTTTTTAAAGCACCACTTTCCTTGGCACACTCCATTTCAAAGTATATCCCTTCACAGTCATGGAGCATCTTGCCAATACCATCTTTTAAAACAATTTTTTTTTTTTTGGCTGGGCGCAATGGCTCACGCCTGTAATCCCAGCACTTTGGGAGGCCGAGGCGGGCGGATCACGAGGTCAGGAAATCGAGAACAGCCTGGCTAACATGGCAAAACCCCGTCTCTACTAAAAATACAAAAAATTAGCCGGACGTGGTGGCAGATGCCTGTAGTCCCAGCTACTTGGGAGGCTGAGGCAGGAGAATGGCGTGAACCCGGGAGGCGGAGCTTGCAGTGAGCCAAGATCACACCACTGCGCTCCAGCCTGGGCGACAGAGCGAGACTCCGTCTCAAAAAAAAAAAAAAAAAATACAAAAATTAGCTAGGTGTGGTGGCACGTGCCTGTAGTCCCAGCTACTCGGGAGGCTGAGGCAGGAGAATCACTTGAACCCAGGAGGCGGAGGTTGCAGGGAGCCGAGATCGCGCCACTGTACTCCACCCTGGCGACAAAGCAAGACTCCGTCTCAAAATAAAAAATAAAAAAGAAATAGCAGAAGTAGAGATGAAGGATATCATATTGTCACTCTAAAGGTGACCAGTGTCATCTCAGTATCACTGTACTGGTTACTAACCTAGAAGCTTACATGTAAAGTAACAGGAAATGCACATATTTACAAGAAAGCAACGCCTGATCCCATGTCTCCATCCTGCTTCCTCCTCAGTGGGTATCTATCTGGATCTCACAGTGGGCTCAAGAGACAGCAGCAGGCTCAGGGGAAGTTGACCGAGGGTGAGGTGGACAGGCTGGGAGCAAAGCTGTGGAGTGATCTGCTGGATGTCCAGTTACCTTAGAAGCTGGCTCCCACCTAGATCAGACACCAGTTGCCATGACTACAGTTTATGAGGTTTCAAACACTAAAAGAAGCTATTTAGAGCCTCATATGAGGCAGTTGCTTAATAAGAGCAGCACAGGCCGGGCGCGGTGTGGCTCACTCCTGTGATCCCAGCACTTTGGGAGGCTGAGGCTGGTGGATCACCTCAGGTCAGGAGTTCAAGACCAGCCTGACCAACATGGAGAAACCCTGTCTCTACTAAAAATACAAAATTAGCCGGGCGTGGTAGCACATGCCTGTAGTCTCAGCTACTCAGGAGGCCGAGGCAGGAGAATCACTTGAACCCAGGAGGCAGAGGTTGCAGCGAGCCAAGATCGCGCCATCGCACTCCAGCCTGGGCAGCAAGAGCGAAACTCCATCTCAAAACAAAAAACAAAAAAAAAGCAGCACATCTGTATTTAGTGCCTACTACATAATCTACTAAGTAATCTTCAATAAAGATGCTCTAACCAAGTGGTACTTTTGCAGTTCCCGTAATCCTCCTGGGTGACAGAGATTTTACTACAAATCAGCCTCAAGCCTTGAAAGGAATCAACAAAGCCCTTTCTAGAATACTTTTTTCTGTGATCTTTTCTTTTTTGAGACAGAGTCTCGCTCTGTCACCCAGGCTGGAGTGCAATGGTGTGATTTTGGCTCACTGCAACCTCCGCCTCATGGGTTCAAGCGATTCTCCTGCCTCAGCCTCCCAAGTAGCTGGGATTACAGGTGCGTGCCAACACACCTGGCTAATTTTTGTATTTTTAGTAGAGATGGGGTTTCACCATGTTGGTCAGGCTGGTCTCGAACTCCTGACCTTGTGATCTGCCCGCCTCAGCCTCCCAAAGTGCTGGGATTACAGGTATGAGCCACCGCACCCGGCATTTTTTTTTTTTTTTTTTTTTTTTTTTTTTAGACAGAGTCTTACTCTTGTCACCCAGGCAAGAGTGCAGGCAAGCTGCACCATCTCAGCTCACTGCAACCTCCACCTCCTGGAATTCAAGCAGTTCTCCTGCCTCAGCCTCCCGAGTAGCTGGGATTACATGCGCCCACCACTGCGCCCGGCTAATTTTTTGTATTTTTGGTAGAGACGGGGTTTCACCATGGTCTCGATCTCCTGACCTCGTGATCCACCCTCCTCGGCCTCCCAAAGTGCTGGGATTACAGGCGTGAGCCACCACGCCTGGCCCTACGTGCCTATTTTTATACCAGTACCACGCTGTTTTGGTGACTATGGCCTTATAGTATAGTTTGAAATCAGGTAATATGATGCCTCCAGATTTGTACTTTTTGCTTAGTCTTGCTTTGGCTATGTGGGCTCTATTTTGGTTCCGTATGAATTTTAGATTTTTTTTTCTAATTCCGTGAAGAATGATGGTGGTGGTATTTTGATGGGGATTGTGTGGAATTTGTAGATTGCTTTTGGCAGTATGGTCATTTTCACAATATTGATTCTACCCATCCATGAGCATGGGATGTGTTTCCATTTGTTTGTGTCATCTATGATTCCTTTCAGCAGTTTTGTAGTTTTCCTTGTAGAGGTCTTTCGACTCCTGTGTTAGGTATATTCCTAAGTTTTGTTTTTGTTTTTTGTTGTTGTTGTTGTTCGTTTTTGCAGCTATTGTAAAGGGGGTTGAGTTCTTGATTTGATTCTCCACTTGGTCGCTGTTGGTGTATAGAAAAGCTACTGATTTGTGTATGTTAATCTTGTATCCAGAAACTTTGTGAATTCTTTTATCAGTTCTAGGAGCTTTCTGGAGGAGTCCTTAGGGTTTTCAAGGTAAACGATCACATCATTAGCAAACAGTGACAGCTTGACTTCCTCTTTATGGATGTGGATGCCCTTTATTTCGTTATCTTGTATGATTGCTCTAGCTAGGACTTCCATACTGTGTTGAAGAGAAGTGGTGAGAGTAGGAATTCTTGTCTTGTTCCAATTCTCAGGGGGAACAGTTTCAACTTTTCCCCATTGAGTATTATGTTGGCTGTGGGTTTGTCATAGATTTTTTTTTGCTGGTTTTGTTTTGTTGTGAGACAGTCTCGCTCTGTCACCCAGGCTGGAGTGCAGTGGGGCGATCTCAGCTCACTGCAACCTCCGCCTCCCAGGTTCAAGCGGTTCTCCTGCCTCAGCCTCCCGAGTAGCTGGATTACAGGCATGCGCCACCACGCCCGGCTAATTTTGTATTTTCAGTAGAGACGGGGTTTCACCATGGTTAGGCTGGTCTTGAACTCCCAATCTCAGGTGATCCACACTCCTCGGCCTCCCAAAGTGCTGAGCCACTGCACCCAGCCTCAGTTTGAAGAATTTTTTAATTTCCATCTTGATTTTGTTTTTGACCCACTGCTCATTCAGGAGCAGGTTATTTAATTTGCATGTATTTGCATTTTTTGTTTGTGGGGTTTTTTTGGTGTTTTGTTTGTTTTGAAACGGAGTTTTGTTCTTGTGCCCAGGCTGGAGTGCAAATGGCACAATCTCGGCTCACTGCAACCTCCGCCTCCCAGGTTCAAGCAATTCTCCTGCCTCAGTCTCCCAAGTAGCTGGGATTACAGGCACCTGGCACTACACCCAGCTAATTTATTTGTATGGTTTTGAAGGTTCCTTTTGGAGTTGATTTCCAGTTTTATTCCACTGTGGTCTGAGAGAGTGCTTGATATAATTTCAATTTTTTTTTTTTTTTTTTTTTTTTTTTTTTTTTTTTTTTGAGATGGAATCTCGCTCTGTCGCCCAGGCTGGAGTGCAGTGGAGCAATCTTGGCTCACTGCAAGCTCCACCTCCCGGGTTCACGCCATTCTCCTGCCTCAGCCTCCCCAGGAGCTGGGACTACAGGCACACACCACCACGCCCGGCTAATTTTTGTATTTTTAGTAGAGACAGGGTTTTACTGTGTTAGCCAGGATGGTCTCAATCTCCCGACCTTGTGATCCACCTGCCTCGGCCTCCCAAAGTGCTGGGATTACAGGCGTGAGCCACCGCTCACGCCTAATTTCAATTTTCTTAAATTTATTGAGGCTCATTTTATGGCCTGTCATATGATCTCTCTTGGAGAAAGTTCCATGTACTGTTGAATAGAATGTATATTCTGCAGTTGTTGGATGAAATGTTCTATATATATCTGTTAAGTCCATTTGTTCCAAGGTATAGTTTAAATCCATTCTTTGTTGACTTTTCGTTTTGATGACCTGTCTAGTGCTGTCAGTGGAGTACTGAAGTCCCCCACTATTATTGTGCTGCTGTCTATCTCATTTCTTAGGTCTGTTAGTAATTGTTTTATAAATTTGGAAGCTCCAGTGTTAGGTTCATATATGTTTAGGATTGTGATATTATCCTGTGACAAGGCCTTATTACCATTATATAATGTCCCTCTTTGTCTCTTTTAACTGCTGTTGCTTTAAAGTTTTTGTCTGATACAAGAATAGCTACCCCTGCTTGTTTATGGTGTCATTTGCATGACATGCCTTTTTCCACCCCTTTAAGTTTACGTGAGTCTTTATGTGTTAGGTGAGTCTCCTGAGGGCAGCAGATGGTTGATGAGTTCTTATCCATTCTGCAGTTCTGTATCTTTTAAGTGGAGCATTTAGGCCATTCACATTCAATGTTAGTATTGAAATGAGGTACCAGCTGGGCACGGTGGCTCATGCCTGTAATCCCAGCACTTTGGGAGGCCAAGGTGGGCGGATCATGAGGTCAGGAGATCAAGACCATCCTGGCTAACACAGTGAGACCTCATCTCTACTAAAAATACAAAAAATTAGCCGGGCGTGGTAGCGGGCACCTATAGTCCCAGCTACTTGGGAGGCTGAGGCAGGAGAATGGCATGAACCTGGGAGGCGGAGCTTGCAGTGAGCCATTATCATGTCACTGCACTCCAGCCTGGGCAACAGAGTGAGACTCTGTCTCAAAAAAAAAAAGAAAGAAATGTGAGGTACCATTGCATTCATTGTGCTCTTTGTTGCCTGTGTACTTTAGGGGTTTTTTGGTTTTGCTTTTTAACTTGTATTTTTGTTTTATAGGTCCTGTGTGATTTATGCTTTAAAGAGGTTCTGTTTTGATGTGTTTCCAGGATTTGTTTCAAGATTTAGAGCTCCTTTTAGCAGTTTTTGTAGCAGTGGCTTGGTAATGGTGAATTCTCTCAGCATTTGTTTGTCTGAAAACAACTATCTTTTCTTCATATGTGATACTTAGTTTTGCTGGATACAAAATTCTTGGCTGATAATTGTTTTGTTTGAGGAGGCTGAACATAGGACCCCAATCCCTTCTAGCTTGTAGTGTTTCTCCTGAGAAATCTGCTGTTAATCTGATAGGTTTTCCTTTATAGGTTACCTGGTGCTTCTGTCTCACAGACTCTTAAAATTCTTTCTTTCATTTTAACTTTGTCCGGAATTGGTGGGTTCTTGGTCTTGCTGACTTCAAGAATGAAGCCACGGACCCTCATGGTGAGTATTACAGCTCTTAAAGATGGTGTGTCCAGAGTTTGTTCCTTCAGATGTTCAGATGCATCCAGAGTTTCTTCCTTCTGGTGGGTTTGTGGTCTCGCTGACTTCAGGAGTGAACCTGCAGACCTTCGCAGTGAGTGTTGCAGCTCTTAAAGGCAGCACAGACCCAAGGAGTGAGCAGCAGTAACATTTACCACAAAGACCAAAAGAACAAAGCTTCCACAGTGTGGAAGGTGACCCGAACGGGTTGCACTGCTGGCTCAGGCAGCCTGCGTTTATTCCCTTATCTGACCCCACCCACATCCTGCTGATTGGTCCATTTTACAGAGAGCTGATTGGCCCATTTTACAGACAGCTGATTGGTCTGTTTTGACAGGGTGCTGATTGGTGCGTTTATAAACCTTGAGCTAGACACAGAGTGCTGACTGGTGCATTTACAATCCTTTAGCTAGACACAAAAGTTCTCCAAGTCCCTAGATTTAGCTAGACACAGCACTGATTGATGTGTTTACAAACCTTCAGCTAGACACAGAGTGCTGATTGGTGCATTTACAATCCTTTAGCTAGACACAAAAGTTCTCCAAGTCCCCACTAGATTAGCTAGACATAGAGCACTGATTGGTGCATTTACAAACCTTGAGCTAGACACAGGGTGCTGATTGGTGTATTTACAAACCTTGAGCTAGACACAAAGTGCTGACTGGTGTATTTATAAACCTTTAGCTAGACATAAAAGTTCTCCAAGTCCCCACCCGACTCAGGAGTCCAGCTAGCTTTGCCTACTGGATCCCATGCTGGGGCCGTGGGTGGAGCTGCCTGCTAGTCCCACACCATGCCCCCGCACTCCTCAGCCCTTGGGCGGTCAATGGGACTGGTTGCAGAGCAGGGGGCGGCGCCCGTCCGGGAGGCTCTGGCCATGAGGGAGCAGGGCAGGGGGAGGGGGGGACTCAGGCATGGCGGGTTGCAAGTCCCACGCCCTGCTCCACGGGGAGGCAGCTGAGGCCCAGCGAGAATTCAAGCACAGCCCGGGTGAGCTGGCAGTGCTGGGGGACCCGGCACACCCTCCACAGCTGCTGGCCGGGGTGCTAAGCCCCTCACTGCCTGGGGCCGGCGGCACCAGCCGGCCACTCCTAGGTCGGGGCCCGCCAAGCCCTCACTGGCCCGCGAGCTCTCCCTCCACACCTCCCCACAAGCGGAGGGAGCCCGCTTTGGCCTTGGCCAGTCCAGAGAGGGGCTTCCACAGTGCAGCGGCGGGCTGAAGGGCTCCTCAAGCACAGCCAGAGTGGATGCCGAGGCCAAGGAGGCGCCGAGAGCGAGTGAGGGCTACTAGCACATTGTCACCTCTCATTTGGATAACCTGATGACAATATGCCTAGATGAAGATCTTTTTGCAATGGATTTCTCAGGTGTTCTTTGTGCTTCTCGTATTTGGATGTCTAGGTCTCTAGCAAGGCCGGGGAAGTTTTCCTCGATTATTCCCCCAAATATGTTTTCCAAGCTTTTAGATTTCTCTTCTTCCTCAGGAACACCAATTATTCTTAGGTTTGGTCGTTTAACACAATCCCAGACTTCTTGGAGGCTTTGTTCATATTTTCTTATTCTTTTTTGTCTTTGTTGGATTGGGTTAATTTGAAGACCTTGTCTTCGAGCTCTGAATTTCTTTATTCTACTTGTTGAATTCTATTGCTGAGACTTTCCAGAGCATTTTGCATTTCTAAAAATGTGTCCAAAGTTTCCTGAATTTTTTATTGTTTTTTCTTTAAGCTATCTATTTCCCTGAGTGATTTCTCCCTTCACTTCTTGTATCATTTTTTGGATTTCCTTACATTGGGCTTCACCTTTCTCTGGTCCTTCCCTGATTAATAACTAACCTCCTGAATTCTTTTTCAGGTAAATCAGGTATTTCTTCTTGGTTTGGATCCATTGCCAGTGAACTAGTATGTTTTTTGGGGGGTGTTGAAGCGTCTTGTTTTGTCATATTACCAGGGTTTGTTCATTTGGGTAGGCTCTGTCAGAGGGAAGGTCTAGGGCTGAAGGCTGTTCAGATTCTTTTGTCCCATGGGGTGTTCTCTTCATGTAGTACTCTGCCCCTTTTCCTATGGATGTGGCTTCCTATGAGCCAAACTTGCAGTGATTGTTGTCTCTCTTCTGGGTCTAGCCACCCAGCGAATCTTCCCAGTTCCAGGCTGGTACTGGAGGTTATCTGCAGAGTCCTGTGATGTGAACCATCTATGGGTCTCTCAGCCATGGCTACCAGTGCCTGTTCGGTGGAGGTGGCAGAGGGTACAATGGAGCTTTGGTGGGTTAATGGTCTATTTTTTTTGCTGGTTGGCCTCCTGCCAGGAGGTGGTCCTTTCCAGAAAGCATCAGCTGTGGTAATATGGGGAGGAACCAGCAGTGGGCGGGGCCCTAGAACTCCCAAGATTTATTTGCCCTTTGTCTTCCTGCCAGGGTGCATAGGGAAGGACCATCAGGTGGGGGTGGAGCTAGGCGTGTCTGAGCTCAGACTCTCCTTGGG
The DNA here is from genome assembly GCF_000001405.40 of Homo sapiens. NCBI lineage: Eukaryota > Metazoa > Chordata > Mammalia > Primates > Hominidae > Homo > Homo sapiens. The sequence continues at coordinate 123,250,999 of NC_000012.12, forward strand.
CGGGTCTTGCTGCGGCTGCTGTAGGGAATGTGGGTGAGATTCCCAGGTCACTGGAGTCGTGTACCTAGGAGAGTTATGGCTGCCTCTGCTGAGTCATGCAGGTTGTCAGGGAAGTGGGGGAAAGCTGGCAGTCACAGGCCTCACCCAGCTCCCACACAAACCCAAGGGCCGGTCTTACTCCCACCGTGTTCCCCCACAACTGCCCCGAGTCTGTTTCCAGGCAGAGGGTGAGACTGGCTTGAAAATTTGCCCCAAGGCTGTGCCCCTCCCAGCAGCGAAAGAAAAGGGCTGTAGTTCTTCCCCCACCTGTGAAGTCTGCATGCTGGATTCGTGCAGTTGCCCAAGTTCTGGCCAGGAGGCTTCTCACCCTGTTTAAATTGTTACGAAGTTCGACTAGAGAATTCTTCTCCCTGTGGAGTTTTATCCCTTGCTCCTCTGGCCACCCTCCCGATGGATCCCTGTGGTGCCAGGCAGGAATGGGCCTTCTGGGGACCCAGCGAGCTCCCACGGCCTTTCTGCTGCTTCCTCTACCCCTGTAGTTCGCTCTGCTGAGTCTGACTTAGCTCCAGGTAAAGTTGGAAATTTCTCCTGCAAACAGACCTTCAGCCTCTCCAGTGGGGGGGTGTGTGTTCGGGAGAGGAGGATCTCCCTTTCCCACTTCCACAGTTGGGGCACTCACAGTATTTGGGGGTCTCCCGGGCCCTGCAGGAGCAATCCGCTTCCTTCAGAGGGTCTGTGGGTCCTCTCAGGATTGCTGGTTTGTTCTTGCAGTTGATCTAGAGCTAAAATTCACAATGCAAGCCTCTGCATGCTGCTCTGTCTGAAGCTACAATCTAGTCCTGCCTCCTGTCTGCTATGATCCCAGGAGCTCCCATGCAAATAAATTATGATCACAAGGTCCCAAAATAGGCTGTCTAGAGCTGAGGAGCAAGGAGAGCCAGTCTGAGTCCCAAAACTGAAGAACGTGGAGTCTGATGTTCAAGGGCAGGGAGCATCCAGCACTGGAGAAAGATGTAGGCAGAGAGTCTAGGCCCATCTCATCTGTCTTTTAATATCTTCTCTAACTAACCTGTAAGCTCCAAGAAGACAGTCCAGCTCTTTTTCATCTCATGTCCCTTACTGTACCTAACAAGGACCTTATTAAAAGTTGACTGGCTGGATGCAGTGGCTCACGCCTGTAATCCCAGAACTTTGGGAGGCTGAAGCAGGTGGATTACTTGACCTTAGGGAGTTCAAGACCAGCCTGGGCAATATGGCGAAACCCCATCTCTACAAAAAGTAATTACTCAGATGTGGTGGTGTCTGCCTGTAGTCTTCACCTACTAGGGAGCCTGAGGTGACAGAATCGCCTGACCCTGGGGAAGTCAAGGCTGCAGTGAGCTGTGATCGCGCCACTGCAGTCCAGCCTGGGCGACAGAGTGGGACTCTGTCTCAAAAAAAAAAAAAAAATTAGTTGACTTGGTAGTTCCAACGATGAGTACCAGTTGGACCACGTTGTTGGCAGTGCGTCCAGGGAACAGATGTTCACATTCAAATCCATGAAACTGGAAACAAAAAACAACAATCATGACATTGATTGATAGTGATGTTTACTATGTCAGACTGTTTAAGCTCAGCTATAAAATAGACTACTCAGCCCTGGGTGGGGGTGGGGGGTGGCTCACACTTGTAATCCCAGCACTTTGGGAGGCCGAGGTGGGCAGATCACCTGAGGTCAGGAATTCGAGACCAGCCTGGCCAACATGGTGAATCCCCGCCTCTACTAAAAATACAAAAATTAGCCGGGTGTGGTGGCACACGCCTGTAATCCCAGCTACTCAGGAGGCTGAGGCAGGAGAATCACTTGAACCTGGGAGGCGGAGGTTGCAGTGAGCCAAGATCGCGCCATCGCACTCCAGCCTGGGCGACAGAGCGAGATTCCGTCTCAAAAAATAAAATAGACTCTCATACTGTCATCTTTACATTTTGATTTCAGAGATTCTCAAACATTTAAATACTGGCACTTGACCCAGATCCTAATTTTTGCTTGATGCACTATTTACCTGTATCAAATTACAGTCCGTTCCTTTGAATTTTTTTTTTTTTTTTTTTTTTTTTTTTTTTTTTTTTGAGACACTGTCTCGCTCTGTTGTCCAGGCTGGAGTGCAGTGGCTCTGCCTCAGCCTCCCGAGTAGCTGGGATTACAGGCACCCACCACCAAGCCCGGCTAATTTTTGTATTTTTAGTAGAGATAGTTTCATCATCTTGGCCAGGCTGGTCTTGAACTCCTGACCTTGTGATCCACCTGCCTCGGCCTCCCAAAGTGCTTGGATTACAGGTGTGAGCCACCATGCCCGGCCTGAATTTCACACTCAAAACCTCTCCTTTCTGAGAAAACAGCACCCCCGGGTGCTTGGAAGATATTTTTGGTCTATTGCAAGAAAATATGTATTAGCTGGCAGGGCATGTCCTGGTAACATGGCAGACAGTGCAAGGCTGAGGAGAGGGGCGTCTTGCTGAATAATGTGTCTCTACTCATTTCCTAAATTCCCTCGGTAACAGATGGGTCATCATTTGAATTGCTTTATAAAAAGCTGTCTTTGAATCTGAAGCATAATCTTGAGGGCAGATGCCTCTTACTGAAAGCTCTCCTTATTCATCTAACCCAGGTCCTCAGCCAGCAGAGCCACGTTCCTTATGAGCACCGTGGGTTTATTTCATTTTCCTACACCACTGACCCGAATATGCCCGGCGCCATGGGGACTCCGGCTTTGGGAGAAGCTGACGTTGTTATCCCCAGGAATAGCTGTCACTCCGGTCCAGATGGCAGGCAAGAAGGACTACCCTGCACTGCTTTCCTTGGATGAGAATGAACTCGAAGAGCAGTTTGTGAAAGGACACGGTCCAGGGGGCCAGGCAACCAACAAAACCAGCAACTGCGTGGTGCTGAAGCACATCCCCTCAGGCATCGTTGTAAAGGTAGATCACAGAAGGCCGCTGAGGGGAGAGGCCCCGCCCAAGGGTTCCACAGCCTCCAGAGATTTCTCCCAAGTGTGAATGGGATCAGCCGAAGTGCATTATTTTTCTGGCTTGGGCCACCCTCTACCAGCCAGGCAGTAGAGAGCACCGCAGATCTCGTCCCATCCCTGAGCCATTCCTCCCTAAGGCAGAACCTCCTACAACAGCCTGGGAAGCCTGTTTCCAGGATCTTTTGGAGCCAGGGTATGGCTGCCATCCTTGAATTTGGCAGACAGCACTGGTGCTTGGCTGCTGCCCCGGAAGCAACGTCTTGACAAAGCTAAGCAGTGGCTGATAAAGGCAGGCGCCCGGGCAGCATGGTTCTTTCAAATCCGTTCCCACTGCAGGAAGGCTGCCGAGATCCCCAGCATTGCTATGGGATCCAAGTCCCTGAGGAGGCGGCAAGCAGGCATGGGTTGTCTGCTGGCAGTCCCAGCCCTTAACTGTCATGGCTGGTTAACATTAGGGTGGCCACATCCTCCACGCCTCTCTGTCCCCTTTGGTAAATGTCGGTGATACCTCCTCTTCTGGACAGAGAGGACTGAGGGCGAGATCATGGAGGATCATGGAGGCCAGGCATTTTCCAACCTCAGAAGAAAAAATGCTGTGCACAGCTGCCTATAGGAGTCTTCCTTTTTACATAAAAAAACAAGTCTCGGGCCAGGCACAGTGGCTCATGCCTGTAATCCCAGCACTTTGGGAGGCCGAGGTGGGTGGATCACCTGAGGTCAGGAGTTCGAGACCAGTCTGGTCAACATGGCAAAACCCCATCTCTACTGAAAATACAAAAATTAGCCGGGTGTGGTGGCGCGTGCCTGTAATCCCAGTTACTCGGAGGCTAAGGCAGGAGAATCGCTTGAACCCTGGAGGCAGACATTGCAGTGAGCCGAGATCATGCTACTGCATACCAGCCTGGGCAACAGACAAGATTCCCTCTTAAAAAAAAAAAAAAGAAGGTTGGTCAGAGGGGCTCCCAGTCCATCTGCCTCAGGGATCACGAGAGAGTCCTGGAAGCAGCACAGAAGAGAGATAGCCAAGGCAGGTGTTTCATATATAACGATACTGGCAGCAGATACTTACAGGTCATGGAAACGTGTGGGAGGAACTGTTCGAAGCAGCATTAACTCTGCAGTCCCCAAAACCCCATGTTCATGATTTCCATCACAGTACAGGTGTGGAATCTGGGACATAGAGAGGCTAAGTGACCTGCCCAAGGTCCTGCCACTCAGTAGTCAGTTCACACCATACCCCAAGTCCATGTTCCTAACAGCTGCACTTCACTGCTGGGTTTCTGAGCCACAAGCATATCATGTAAAACCTCAATCATTTCTTTTCCCCCTTGAAAAGTGTCATTCATGAGTAACAAAATTCTGAAACCTGAGAGTTAATTTTTGTTTAACCTATTTGACATAACTCAATCCAAACTTGCTTTCAGAATTATTCTTTAACCCTAATTTCATAGAATTTTTTTTTTTTTAAGAGACAGGGTCTTGTTTTGTCAGCCAGGTTGGAGTGCAGTGGTGCAATCATGGCTCAGTATAGCCTCAAACACCTGGGCTCAAGCAATCCTCCCGCCTCGGCCTCCCGAGTAGCTGGGACTGCAGGCATGCCCCACCACACTCAGTGTTTTTTGTTTCGTTTTGTTTTTTGAGACAGTCTTGCTCTATTGCCCAGGCTGGAGTGCAGTGGCGCAATCTCAGCTCACTGCAACGTCCGCCTCCTGGGTTCAAGCAATTCTCCTGCCTCAGCCTCCCGAGTAGCTGGGATTACAGGTGCCCATCACCACGCCCAGCTAATTTTTTTGTATTTTTACTAGAGACAAGGTTTCACCATGTTGGCCAGGCTGGTTTCAAACTCCTGACCTCAAGTGATCCACCCATCTTGGCCTCCAAAGTGCTAGGATTACAGGCATGAGCCACCACGTCCGGCCATCCAATCTTTACATTTTTGGTACAGATGGGGGGTCTTGCTATGTTGCCCACGCTGGTCTCAAACTCCAGCCCTCAAGTGATCCTCCCGTTTCAGCCCCCAAAGCATTGGGATTATAGGTGTGAGCCACTATGCCTGGCTTAAGATTTATCTTTTATCAAACAGCTTTGCAAGGCACTCACCCTATAATAACTGAGGCATTACACAGTGAATGAGTTATGGCTGACTAATAATAAAGATGCTATTTTCTTCCTTCAGACAGAACTTTATGCTTATGAATGGTGCACACAAAGTGGTTGTTAACTGGCCACAAGCTAGATACATCAGTTGATACTTTCATAATTATTTTGCGACTTTAAGTTATTTGAAGGCCACTGTTGCTTCTAAACAAAATAGCACTCCTAATGATTAAAACAATCACACTGAAAGCCACATAATACAGCAAGGGTATGGGACACAGGGCAGAGGCAGGAAAGGGGCTGGTCTTCACTGTCACTGACTCATGGGGACTCCTGATAAGGGGCTTTGCCATCCAGGTTTGTCCCTCTCTATAAAGCGAACAGGTTGTCCTGACCAGCCTGGCCAACATGGTGAAACCCCATCTCTACTAAAAATACAAAAATTAACTGGGTATGGTGGCGTGCGCCTATAATCCCAGCTACTTGGGAGGCTGAGGCAGGAGAATCACTTGGACCCAGGAGGCGGAGGTTGCAGTGAGCCAAGATCACACCATTGCACTCTAGCCTGGATGACAAGAACGAAACTCTGTCTCAATAAATAAATAAATAGTAAATAAAAAAGCGAACAGGTTGAATTTAATGACTTCTGAGGTCCTGTCCATTTTTAACATCCTGTGGTTTTCACATTATAAAATATTATCTCTTACAGTGCCATCAGACAAGATCAGTTGATCAGAACAGAAAGCTAGCTCGGAAAATCCTACAAGAGAAAGTAGATGTTTTCTACAATGGTGAAAACAGTCCTGTTCACAAAGAAAAACGAGAAGCGGCGAAGAAAAAACAAGAAAGGAAAAAAAGAGCAAAGGAAACCCTGGAAAAAAAGAAGCTACTTAAAGAACTGTGGGAGTCAAGTAAAAAGGTCCACTGAGAAAAGAATTAGAGATTCCAACTGACAGAATCTGCCAGAAGCTCCCAGGGAATAATGGTGGCGAGTTCCATCACCAGCATTATTATAGTGCTTCAAAAGAAATATTTTTGATGAACTTAAAAGACAACAAATTTATTTAAATGGTGCACTAAACTGTAGTGAACAGAGACATGCACGATTCAAGAATAAAACTCGGCTGGGCACGGTGGACGGTGCCTCACATCTGTAATCCCAGCACTTTGGGAGGCCGAGGCGGGCGGATCACTTGAGGTCAGGAGTTTGAGACCAGCCTGGCCAACATGGTGAAACCCCGTCTCTACTAAAAATACAAAAAATTAGCCAGGCATGGTGGCGGGCACCTGTAATCCCAGCTACTCGGGAGGCCGAGGCAGGAGAATTGCGTGAACCTGGGAGGCGGAGGTTGCAGTGAGCTGAGATCGCGCCACTGCACTCAAGCCTGGGCAACACCTGGGTGACAGAGCGAGACCCCATCTCAAAAAAAAAATAAAACTAGTTCAAGTGCAATGACACACGCCTATAATCCCAGCACCTTGGGAGGCTAAGACAGGAAGATCACCTGAGCCCAGGAGCTCAAGATTGCAGTGAGCTATGAACACCACTGCACTCCACCTGTCCACTTGTTCTTGTGTGACAGAACAAGACCCTGTCTCTAAAAAATAAGATAAAACCATAAAGAAACACAGTCAGTACTATACAAGAATAATGGCTACTTCTAGAGGGAAGGAGTTGTCATTGTGATGAGGCACTTGGAGGGGTTCTGGGGTGCCTGACAAAGTTCTGTTTCTTCACCTGGGTGGTAGTTAGAAGGGTGTCCCCGTATTTCAAATTGTACCTTTGTGAGATTGTATGTTTTGTAATAATAAAATTTTTTTTGTAATTAGTAAAGTCAATTTTTATGGAGAACTGGAGAATGGAGTCAAACATTAATAGCATTTCTTGGCAACTTGCCATCTGCTGGGAAGCTGCTGCCCAGTGACACTTAAAAGTCAGTTATCCCCATGTCAGCTCAAGACAGTAAGAGAAAACAAGGGCCGGGCATGGTGGCTCACGCCTGTAATCCCAGCACTTTGGGAGGCTGGGGCAGGCGGATCATGGAAGTCAGGAGTTTGAGACCAGCCTGACCAACATGGTGAAACCCCATCTCTACTAAAAATACAAAAATTAGCCAGGCGTGGCAGCACACGCTTGTAATCCCAGCTACTTGGGAGGCTGAGGCAAGAGAATTGCTTGAATCTGGGAGGCGAGGTTGCAGTGAGCCAAGATTGCGCCATTGCACTCCAGCGTGAGCAACAGAGCAAGACTGTCTAAAAAAAAAAAAAAAAAGAGAGAAAATAAGAGGGTTGGAAGAGCTAAAGGCTCTGTTCCTTGTCCATGTGCTCTATTAGCTTCTAGGCTGTATGATGCCCAGTTGTGCCTCTGATGTAGAAACAAACACATTCCCTGCACGTTGATTTGCAAGATTTGTAAAGGTGAGGTTCCAGAATCTGATTTGCTTGTAAATTTACGTCACTTAAGCTGGATTTTACCTTACAGTTGTTTTTCTTTTAAAGCCATGCTTTATAGCTTGGCTTGTTAGAACTCTTCTGGAGTCCACGTAGAAAACAAATAGGGAAAAATGCTGAGAGGTGAGAAAGCCATTGGGAGATTGCCAGTTGCAGGGCCTCAGTTGTGCAGTCTGTCCAGCAGGCCTAGGCGGCATGTCCAGTAGGCCTAGGTGGCATGTCCAGTGCATACATCCAAGCACACCTTTCTCTTTGAGGCTGCCAATGAAGGCTCTTCTCACCTCAGTGACAGCTTTGGATGCTTACACATTCAATGCAGGGCTCATTCTACACCTCCTGTTGCGAGTGTACAGGACCCTTCCCCAGCCCAAACGCCCTGTAGAAAATAAAGGCTCTAGAACAACACCTAAGAAACCAGTAAGAGTGGGAGGGGAAATTTGGAGCTGGAGATAAGGGAGAATGGTTTCCGTTTGTCTCCTCTCTCATACCTTTGCAACTTTCTGCCACATGCAGGAAGGGGACACAGCACCCATTTCGCTAGAGCCTGTTCCTGCTGGCCTTCAGCCTTGTCATGGCTGAGAATTCGCCTCATGCCTGCATCAAAGAAAGACAAGTCTCTCTCATTTGTCTTTGTCTACTGCTCAGCAAAGCAAATTCTCATTGCAGGTATTTAGGGCCTAAGGTATAGAGTAAGAATTAAAATCCCTTTGGGAGGCACTGTCAGAGACCACCACGTGGACTCTCAACACATCCAGTGCAGCCCATTTTTTCCCTGGCACCAGAGCAGATAATTCTTCCAGTGAGCACCATATGAAGTAGCTTGAAGTTAGGAGCCGTACTTTATGAAAAAGATTCCTGTAGCACCCACCAAAAGCCCACAGGATAAGCACCTACGAACTGAGAATGGCCTAACCATGGGGTAACAGGCCAACTCAATAATACTGCTTCTGGCCGGGCGTGGTGGCTCACGCCTGTAAACCCAGCACTTTGGGAGGCCAAGGCGGCTGGGTCACCTGAGGTCAGAAGTTGGAGACCAGCCTGACCAACATGGTAAAATCCCATCTCTACTAAAAATACAAAAATTAGCTGGGTGTGGTGGCACGCTCCTGTAATCCAGCTACTCGGGAGGCTAAGCTGGGAAAATCGCTTGAACCTGGGAGGCAGAGATTGCAGTGAACCAACATCAAGCCACTGCACTCTAGCCTAGGCAACAGAGGGAGATTCCATCTAAAAAAAAAAAAATTTTTTTTTTAAAAACTGCTGCTGCTATTTTTTTTTCCTAGCATACACTTAAGTTTGCTGCACTTAAAATACACCCATAATGCAACTTCACTTTATCCCTACCTCTGACTTAGCAAACACATTCTTTCCCCAGCCAACTGTGCTAATGATATCACCAAAATGTTTCCGTGTCAGATGGGAAAATACAGTTTGAACAGGCATCTCCTACCTCTTGTAAAAGGTAAAGTAGAGGTTCCTCTCCAAAGACTTTCCTCCCCATTTAATTTGGAATAAACGGTAACTTCTCTTCGAAGCAAAATTTATTCAAAGACCTGTGCTAACATTCCTAATTATCTGCTAGCCGTGGTAAAGAAATCAATGTACTTTATGTTCTTAGCTCCCACAATTTAGCCTAAATATTTGTCCTGGCATGCTTACACTGGTCGGAGCAAGCATTAGGTCATAGCCTGTTCCTCTTCCTTATTTAAAAGTGTTTACCTTTCTCACCATTCCACAAGTTACTTTCTCCTTCCTTTGTTCTCTTCTGCCTTCGCCTCTTTTAAAAAGTTTTAAGTTGCTTCCCAATCAGGACAAATACAGAATATGAGGTCCCGTTCCAGCCAATGGAAACCGGACACAGCAGTAGGGTGGACGCATCAGGTTACAAATGACCCTGTCTCTTTGTTCGGTGTACTCTCGTGGCAAAACTGCTGGCGAATGTACCCTTTCTGCGGGAAGTAAAAATGGCCTTGCTGAGTAAATTAAATTTATGTTCAAGTGCTATTTCTTCACGGCACCGGGGAACAAGCATTTCAAACACTTTCATGAGAGATTATTTAAAATAGCACTTCTTTACACCAGGCGTGGTAGCTCACACCTATAATCCCAGTACTTTGAGAGGCTAAGGTGGAAGGATCACTTGAGCCCAGGATCCAGCCTAGGCAACATAGTGAGACCTCATCTCTGCAAAAAAAATTTTTTTTCCATCACACACCCATTCATTCAATACAAAAAGTCTTTTAAAAATTATTCAGGCATAGTGGCACACACCTGTAGTTCCAGCCACTAGGGAGGCTGAGATGGGAGGATTGCTTGAGCCCAGGAGGTTGAGGCTGCGGTGAGCCAAGATTATATTACTGCACTCCAGCCTGGGTGGCAAAACAAGACCCTGTCTCAAAAAAATAAAACAGCACGTAAGAATTCAAGGAACCCACATTTTAATACAAATTGTTAATGAAAATAAGCTTTATTACATCAAGTAATAAATACATACAAAGATGCAAACAGTTTTAGTCATTTTCTTCCAGATGTTTTTATCAACTTACAATAAACGCAGAACTGAGATCTACTTACAGTCTTAGTATGAAAGTGTTCGGGGGTCCTTGTTAGGTTTGGTGGGTTGCTCTTTCTTCTGTATTTATAACTTGTGCATTTTTAAAAATTGACTTTGAAGCACTAATAGTCATGCAAATGCTTAAGCAAAAAAGAAGTTACATTAAGCAGAACCTACATTGTATGGCAAATGGGAACCGGCTACTAAGTAAAGCGTGCTGTCAATATGCGTTCAAAACAAAATCCCTACAGTGGTATTAGCTTATGAAAAGGAACAAAGAACACCATGGGTAACAAATGTATACAAAAGAGAAGATTAAAGGGAGACAATGGTGTCTTGGAGGCAAACTACAGTTTGCTGTAAGATAACTTTCCGTGCATCTTTTAAATCAATGCTTAAAAAACAAAAAAAACCTGGGCAGTTCCTAACTACTTAAAATGCAAATCCTAATTAACTGCAAAATCTTTTCTCAATCTTTGAGACTGTAGGTTCAGAGCCAAGTGAACCATGGGAGGAAAAACGAAACTGTAACCATTTTGAAAACAAGGGTTTCATCTGAACAGGGGAGATGAACTGTAACTTCTCATCTTGTAAAAAGATGGAAATCCTTCAAAACCAACAAGGCAGCTAGGATCTGGCATTCCGTTCCGTTTCTGCCAAGCACTCCCGAACCAGTCCTCTAGCGTGAATGATGCCTGAAACAGAGGCAGAGACCTGAGGTCAGCAAGTGCACAGGACCAGCCAGCAAAGCCCATTCTGAAACAGCAAGAGGATCCATCCTTCCACAGCCTGTCCACAAAACCCTCAGACATAAAGAGAACCAGGGAAACCTATAACCAAGCAACCCTGAAGGACGCTAACAATCCCATCCCTCTCTAAAGCCCTTCCCTCCTCACCACAACTCTTCCTGTCTCTCTAAACATTTTTTCCTGCATTCAAGGTGCACCAGCAAGCTGTCCTTCCACGACACTGTTGGATGAAAGACATGTCTCCACCCAAATTCTTTTGCTTGACCCACTATGGAGATTTTTCTCTGGCTTCTTCAGTCTGAATTCTAGACAGGGCTTGACCGGCGTAAGTAAGCAAGAGAATGGCTTCAGCTGCACACGTGAGGGCGCAGAGAACTGACTACTACCCACGCGGGACCCTGGGTCCACGGGGACAACCCCACAAGACTGCAGCTACCTTCTGCCCGATGAATCTTCCCCAGTCTTTTGTCTCTGTGGTTTGGTGCTTACCTTTTTTTTCTTTCTGCCTCTACTGAACTTCATGAAATATGATCTTTTAATAGACACTAAGGATTCTATTCCTTCTAATACATGACTCCCAGAGGCCACTGGGAATGACATCCCACATCATCACCTCACAAATCTTAGAAACTAACTCAGAGCCTTGGAGAATGTTTTCTGTGAGGACCAGACAGCAAATATTTTGAGCTTTGCAGGCTACAGTCTCTGACACAACTACTTCACTCAAATTTTTTTTGAGACAGCATCTTGCCCTGTCACCCAGGCTGGAGTGCAGTGGCACGATCACAGCTCACTGCAGCCTCAACCTGCCAGGATCAGGTGATCCTCCCACCTCAGCCTCCGGAGAAGCTGGGACTATAGGCACGCACCACCATGCCTGGCTGTTTTATCATTATTTGTAGAGATGGGAGTTTCACTATGTTGCTCCTGGCTTTAGCCTCCCAAACTGCTGGATTACAGGCATGCACCATCACACCTGGACCCACAAACCTTTATTTATGAACACTTAAGTCTGAATTTCAGATAACTTTCACACGTCCCAAAATCATTTTTTTTTTCAACCATTAAGAACCATGCCTGTCGCGGTGGCTCACACCTGTAATCCCAGCACTTTCGGAGGCCGGGGCGGGTTGCCCACTTGAGGTCAGGAGTTTGAGACCAGCCTGGCCAACATGGTACAACCCCATCTCTACTAAAAATACAAAAATTAGATGGGCGTGGTGGTGGGCGCCTATAATCCCAGCTACTCGGGAGGCTGAGGCAGAACTGCTTGAACCCGGGAGGCGGAGGTTGCAGTGAGCCGAGATCGCGCCACTGCACTCCAGCCTGGGTGATAGAGCGAGACTCTGTCTCAAAAAAAAAAAAAAAACAAAAAAAAACCACTATTCTTGGCTCCTGGCTCTTGGGCTGTAGTTGCCAACCTACCTACAATGCTCCTAGCTCCTAACTCCCTGACCCCTCTATGACGTGTTTTCACCCTGCTGTGACATGAGCTTGGTAAGCTTGGGCTTGGCTGTTGGCCAAGGGGTAGCACTAGGTCTTCCTTGTTACTAAAAGACTGGCAGTTTGTACGCATTTGCTGACTTGAACCAGTGCCTTTTCTGGGTGACTGCAAATTACCTGTTGGACTCTGGGACCCAGCATCTTCCCAGGAATTTCCATTCAGGTAAGCAGCACCCCAGCTACCGGAGAGCAGCCCTGGGACCACCCAACTCTCCAGGCGAGACCAGGGTTGGGCTCTGCATCCCTTCCCCCAGGCCCTCTTCAATCACATCCTCTAACCCTGGTAGTCCCAACCTAGCTTTGAGACCCGTCAACCTCTTCACAAAGGTTTCATAAACTCCAGAGCAACCCCGCTCCTGGCAGCAGCCTGTCCTCAACTGGCCCTCGTGTCACTGGGGCATAACTTCAACTACAGCCCCCATTTATGCTACAGATTTACAACCAAAGAAAGTTCCTCTCCCAGGCCGGGCACGGTGGCTCAACGCCTGTAATCCCAGCACTTTGGGAGGCCAAGGCGGGAGGATCACAAGGTCAAGAAATCGAAACCATCCTGGCCAACCAACATGGCGAAACCTGGTCTCTACTAAAAATACAAAAATTAGCTGGGTATAGTGGCGCACGCCTGTAGTCCCAACTACTCGGGAGGCTTGAGGCAGGAAAATTGTTTGAACCCGGGAGGCGGAGGTTGCAGTGGGCCGAGATCGTGCCACTGCACTCCAGCCCAGGTGACAGAGCTAGACTCCATCTCAAAAAAAAAAAAAAGAATGTTCCTCTCCCAGGTTGCTTCTCCAGCCTTTTTAAGAACCCCAAGTCCCAGGCCGGGCGTGGTGGCTCACGCCTGTAATGCCAGCACTTTGGGAGGCCAAGGCAGGTGGATCACCTGAGGTTGGGAGTTCAAGACCAGGCTGACCAACTTGGAGAAACCCTGTCTCTACTAAAAATACAAAAAATTAGACAGGTGTGGTGGCACATGCCTGTAATCCCAGCTACTTGGGAGGCTGAGGCAGGAGAATCGCTTGAACCCAGGAGGCGGAGGTTGCGGTGAGCCGAGATTGCACCACTGCACTCCAGCCTGGGCAACAAGAGTAAAACTCCGTCTCCCAAAAAAAAAAAAAAAAAAAAAAAAAAAAAGAGCCCCAAGTCTCCCCTCATCTTGAATGCGTTCATGGGCTATGGCTCTGCTGCACTGTCGCCTTCTAAAATAGAAATCCTGTCCTACCTCCACTCCCCTTTTATTTCAGAAGGTAGCAACCTATTTAACGTCCTTTCGAAATCAGACGGACAGTCACACCTTAACACGAGTCCCTTGTGCTCTGTCATCTCCTGCCTGCCCTCCCTCTCCAACCATTAAAGAACAAAGTGCTCTCAGCCTCCCTCCCCAGACCCTAGCACAGACCCACACACTTCCTTGGGTCTCCCTCCAAAGAGGTGACAGCAGAGGGCAGTGCAGGCACCGATGAACCCTGAGCTTGGCTTCCCTAGGACCAGTGTCGGCCCACAGGAGCAGACCAGGCAGGGTCGGGGGCAGGGGGCACTTCGAACACACCCTTGAAAGCCAGCAGACCCCCTGGCAGCACACAGGGTAAGAAGGGCTCCCTGCCTGGGCTGCCCTTCCCAGAAGACCCCTCTGAAGACATCCAGCCCCCCAGGCCCCTCGCTACCAGACCCATCGCCTGCCTGAGGCCTCCACCACAGACGGCAACTCTGTAACAAGACAGGAGCTCCCATGAGTGAGCCTCATCCCTAGCCCACCTTCCCACATTTTCCCCAAAAGTCTTTCCAGAGTTAAAGGTCTAGCACTGTGGTCACCGACAGGGCAGCGGGGCCGGGCTTACCGCGCTTCAGCCTCTCCATGGCACTCTTGCTCCCTGCGTACGTGGGTCTGATCTCCTTCCCCAGCTCTTCAATGATGGCCAGCAGCTCCGCGTATTTGCTTTGGGGCACCTGGCTGTTCCCAGTTCCCTAGAATCAGAAAGAAATGGGTTCAGCAAAATCAGCCGGGCGTGGTGGTGCGTGCCTGTAGTCCCAGTTACTCAGGAGGCTGAGGCAGGAGAACTGCTTGGACCCAGGAGGTGGAAGTTGCAGTGAGCCAAGATCACTCCACTGCACTCCAGCCTGGGCAACAGAGCGAGACTCCATCTCGGGGGAAAAAAAAAAAAAAGGGTTCAGCAGCCTGACCCCAAGGCCACAGGCAGGTGGGTGGAGAGGGCCCCGGGCCGGTCAGGATAGGGAACGCAGCCCAGCCTCAGACTTCTGGGGCAGCCACCTCAGCTGGGCCAAGGCACGTCCCATTCTAGGGGACAACTACAAGTTAGGGAGATGGTCCTCACCCTCCTATCCTCACACACTCAGGGAGGCCACCCAGTCGTCTCCAGGAAGCAACTTTATTATCTCCAATGAACAAAACAGGGGAAACAGCTCATTTTGGCACAAAAGAGTCCAAACAGCATTTCCCAGGATGCAGATGGATGGGAGGGCACATCCCAGGTGCCAAGCCTCCAAGCCAGTGGGGAGACAAGAGGCCACACCTGGGCCACCAGGACCACAGCGATCCGCCATGGCCCAGCCAGAGCCTGGAATGCATTCCCTTCTCTCATCCTCCCACCAACAGGGCCCAACCCCCAGAAAACCTTTCCTCCCACCACCACTGGGAGCCCCACAGCAAGCACCCGGATCAGCGAGGCTGGGCTTCCGGCAAGCCCACAAGCCCGCAAGCCCACAAGCCCAGGCTACCTCCCCTTGGCCACCTCCTCCCATAGACACGCCAGCTCCCTGGGCGAGGTCCTTGCCTCCCCCCTCCTCCACCACCGCCTCTGTCCCCTGGCCTCGCGCTCTGTCCTGTCCTCGTCCTGCTCCGGCTGCTCTGCCTCCCCACGGCACTGCCTCCAGGCCTCACGGGCCTCCCGCCTGTCCTGGCGCCGCCGTCGCATGGCCAGAACGTGGCACTGCCAACTCCCGGCTGCCCCTCTGCCTGGCCTCCCACAGCCACCGCTTCTTCAGCCGGTCCCGCTCACAGGCCCACACCTGCTTCTCCTCCTGGGGCAGGGCAGCCTGGTGGGGCATGGCCGGGGAGCCGCCCACTTGGCGAGGAACAGGCTCCATAGCGACCTCAGAACACTGGTGCTGGGGCCCAGCCAGGGAGAGCATCTTCCCGCTGGGACCTTCCCCGGGGCGGCTCATCCCTTGGAGATGTAGGGTGCAGCTGAGATGGTGGCGGCCCCATTCCTGCTGTTCGCCAGCCTGGGCTGGGGGTACTAGGATCACCCTTGGGCTGATGAGGAGCCCGGGTCTTGGGCAGTTACCAAGTGGGGGGTCACAGTCTGGAAAGTGGTGGAACCAGGGAGCGGCCTCGCCCAGGCCACACTCTCAAATACTGGCCCTCGACAAAAGGCAGCTGGGCTCTCAAGACAGGGCCACCTCCTCTCTGCTGGGCCCGCGCCCGTGGAGAGCAAGTGGGAACTGACCCTATCTTCTGTCCCAGCTTGGAGAGCCAGCATCAAGGTCAGGCCTCACTTGCCCAAGAAAGAGGAGTGAGGAGGCCCACTGGAGGAACGCGTGGGGTGGGAGCCTCAGCACAGCTTGGGCTGCTGCCCCTTCCTGGTGCTCTCCTGTCCCCTCCACCTCACACGTCCCCGCGAAGCACAGTCCCCAGTGCCCTCCACTCTGATGTGTTCTGAGCAGGAGCGCAGCCAGGGCCTTGGGCTGAGAAAGCTCCGTCCCATCCTTTCTGCTCCTTCGTCTCTTCCACCAACTTCTCTCCTCTGATGGTGGGAAGCATGTCTCCCCCTGGCCCTCCCACCATGCCATCACCCCCATTGACATACCTGGGTGTAGCCTAGGGACGGTGGCCCGTAGTCACTGAGCAGCTGGCGGTACTGTGAAGACGTTGCCATGCTGGTGGAAGGCGAGTGGACACTCCCAGCTGTGGGGTGGGGAGAGAGAGGCCAGGAGTCAGCTCAGCCAGTTGTACCAAGGCAAGGACTCCGGGTCCTGCAACAGCCCTTGCCCAGGACCCACACCACCAACTGTAGCAGGATGGAGAACCCTGCTCTCCACCTCCGGTTTGACCAGCATATAAGATGGATAATGAAATGTAGCTACAAGGCACCTGACCATCCCCAGCTCTGCAGCAGCCGCTGGTCCTCACAGAGCTCCATCCCATCCAACCAGAACCTTCCAAGCAGCAGGGCTGCTCCCAAAGATAAAATTATTGCCACTCCTGGCCTGAACTCTGCCCATCCCCTCTCCCTGTGTCCTGGTCCCCAGAGGCTGAGAACCTAGAGGCCACATCACACCACAGCGCCACATAGGCTGGTCGAAACCAGGCTGAGCTTCCAAGCCTTTTTGCTTCTATGCGCTCAAATCTCTGCTGTGCTCAATGACAGGGAAGACAGGAAGGCCTTGGAGTATTTGAGACCCAACCCTGGCTGGAGACAGGCACGCTGGACATCAAATCAGAAATCTAGAGAACACCATGGCCTCTGTGTGCCCCAGATAAAGCCCCTCAACCCCTCTGTGCCTGTCTCCCCCTCCCCAAAGAGGGGACCAGACTCTTAGCAGTCTATGCCCCAAGGGCTCTGTATCCCAAGACAGGAGGGTTGAGGCCCCACATATGGGATGCAACATTGGGGCCTGTCCAGAGCTGCAGTCAGTGACCAAGCAGGGCCCAGCCCAGAACGCAGCCTCCTGGATCTGGCAGGGGAGTCCGTGGCTAGGAGCACGCGGCCCCGCAATGGCGTCCCAGTGGCCATTAGCGGGTAAAGGATATCCTGCAGAATGACAAACAGCGGTAACCATGGAGAATTTACCTAGTCCTCCTCGGCAGCTGCCCGCCTGCCGCCCCCAGAGCCACACGGTCTCTCTCTCACACACACAGTGGGCGCCGCAGACTTGGCCTCGGGGACAGACAGCTGGTGCCAGGCTGGCCAAACCCACCAGCTGCTCGCTTGGTGTGGGTGAGGGGAGGGGCAGAGGAGGAAGGAAGTTCAGGGCCTCAAGCTGGGGGAGCCGGGAGGAGCACTGGAGAACCCTGGCTCCAGGCCCCTCGATTTAGAGAAATGGACCTGAAGGGGTGGCCCCAGGGCACACAGCATAGAGGAGACCAAAGCAGGGAGCCAGCTACCCCGGCACCTGCCCCTCTCTCCGAGAACGGGGACCGTTCCGAGCTGTCTCCTGAGTCTCAGGCCAGCCCTGGATGCTGCCACTGCAGCCCAGGGTTATGCTCCAGCTTGGGCTGGAACTGCAAACGTGGACTTGGATCCTGAACTGGGCAGAGCACCGTGCCACTCCGAGCCTCAGTTTCCACGCCTCCCACGTGGGGATGATGAGACACATGCGGATGATGAGACACGTGCGCTATAGGGGCGGGTTGCTTGGGAGGGGGACGCACAACGCCCACGATATCTGGCACGTCCATGGCCACTGCAGGAATTGGGCAGGGTGATGTCCCCCAGAGCCCCCTAACTACATCAGCCAAACCCCAGTTTCCTGAGCTTCTGATGTGGCAGCAAGCATGGCATGGCGAACACAGGCTCTGCCGGCACAGACCTGGGTTCTGATCCTGGTCACTACACCTCTCTGGCTCCAGGGCCAGTCGCTGGGGGTAGCATCGCGCACAGCACCCCAGGCGTTTGCAAGATCCCAGCGCCCTGGCAGGAGGGGTGCTGGCCACTTCCCACGCACCCTCGCATTCCCTCGGTGTGCCCCCGTCCTCTTCCCCAACTGCTCTGCCCACTGCTCCTCACCTCCCCTTTTCTGTCCTCCCCACTGGACTTCGTGCCAGCCCCAGCTGTGCCACTCCTGGCTGTGTGACCTCAGACAGGCTCCCCGCCCTCCAGTCCTCAGTTTCTCCATTTGTTAGAGGCAGTGCTTCCCAAGAGAAGGTCTATGGGCTCCAGTTCCTACTATTTGATGATACTGGGGTTAGGTTTTGCAGGGCTGAGAGGGAGGAGGAAGGAGAAATCGTCCCATTTTGGCTGGGGGACGAGGAGCAATAGCTCGGTGACCCCAGTGCTCTGTCCAGGCCACTCCCTTGTTCGGGGGCGGGGGGGTGTCTAGTCCTGGAGAGAGATGGCGGAAGGGCTCCGAGTTCCACTCCTGGTCACTCCTTCCTGCAGACACAGGGACCAGGACACAGGGACCACGTCAGCGAAGGCCGTCTCGGCGCATCTCAGACAATGAGCGCAGTGTGCAGGAGCGAGGGGTTGGCAGAGGCCAGGAAGCTCCTGGGGCCAGGCGCGGCTCCCCACCCCCACGCCAGACAAAGAGCGCGGGGCCTGGGGAGCTGGCGGCCTTCCCGCCACTTGGGGCGCCTGGGGGGCTCTGGGGCGGGGGAGGCGGGGGCTTTGTCTAACTCCGCCACTGCCACCACCGGCCAGGCCGCGGCTTGGCAACCCGTGAACAGGAGGCAGGGCTGCAGGGCGTGAGGGATGATGACAAGGAAGCCGGAGGAGCAGCGGCGGCAGCGGAGAGTCCATCTTGGATGCAAATGGCAGGAGGGGAGCTGGGGTTCTGCAAAGGGGCCCGTGGGGGGTTGGGAGGGGCACCAAAAAGCCCAGATCTGGGGATCTCGGCACTCCTGGAATTCTCCACAGGACAAAGAAGAAAAGCTGAGTACAGGTCCAGCCAGCCCAGAACAGGACTTCAGGGGTCCCCGTGAGTGCCGCTGTCCCTGTGACCCCAAACCCCGAGGGTCCCAGTTTAGGGCCCCGGCCCCAATGACACCAGGGTAAGCCTGAGCTCAGCCTTGCCCAGGCTGGCAACACCAGCCCCTGCCCTCCCCACAGGCCAGAGGAAGAAGGCTGCTGGCAGTCCTACCTGGCAACAAAGCCCGTCTTTGTAAGGTCTGCGGACCCCAGAGGAGGTGAGAATGTTTGAGAAAAAAACAGTGGCTGTTTGCTCTTTGGGACTCCGAGCCCACAAGTGAGCAATTCAACTCTCCCTCCGCACCCTGACGCTTAACCCTTTCCTGCCCCTACACCTCAGTGTCCAAGATTTTTTTTAGGTATCGTTTTTATGGGTCCCACTTCCGATTTGGGGGGTTACGAGGTCAACGTTTGCAAACAAGGCCCAAAACTCGAGCAGGAGAGCCAGCGTGGCACCGGTGACCAACGGGGCCACTCCTCTCCCCGTCGAGTCCTTCCCCCCATCCCGCCCCGCAACACAACCGCCTTTTGGGAAGTCTGTTTCCGACCAAGTGTCAGAGAAGAAGGGCCCCAGTGAGGTCACAAAGCCCGGCACCTACGAATCCCTCAATGTTGTGCCCACTCCCCATGGCTCCCTCGGTCCCCTGGGCTCAGCCCGAAGCTGCCTGACAACTTCTGGAGGAGTTTCCTGGGAGCGCCCGGCTGCGGCCGCAGCCCCAGGAAGCTTGAGGGGAGCCCCTCCCGGCTTCTGCATCGAGGGCCTTCCAGGGCCAGCCCTTGGGGGCTCCCAGATGGGGCGTCCACGTGACCCACTGCCCCCACGCCCGCGCGCGGGCCCCAGCAGCCCCAGAGCTGCGCCAACTTCGTTCACTCCGCGCTCACCTTACGGGGGTCCCCGCGTGACCGCATGGGGTAGCCCCTGCTCCCACGCTCCCGGCCGAGGCCCCCGGGCCTCCGAGTACGCTGCCCGCCGGCGACCCCATCCTGGTCCCAGTCCCGGCGGCCCCGCGACCTCAGGGCCCCCGGCAGCCCGGCAGCCCCGCAGCCCCGCAGCCCCGCAGCCCTCCATCCGCGCCCGCCCGCGCGGGTCCTGGCCCTGCCCGCAGCGCCCCCCGCCCGGGCTGCTTCACGACCCCGCTCCCCAGGGCGGCGGGGCCCCGCGCCCCGCTCCCGGCGCGGCCCGGGCCGCTCCCGACTCCCGCCGGCAGGGGCCCTCGCCGAGCCGCCCAGAAGCCGGAGGAAAAAGGAGCCGAGAACAAGCCTCCCCCGCCCTCGCCCTCGCCCGCCGCGCTCCCTGCGATCCGCAGCCGCCGGCGCGGGGGTCACCCCGGGCCGCCCGCCCCGCACCCCCAGCCGAGGCCCTCGGCGTGCGGGGCGCACCAGAGAACTTTCGCGGCGCGGGCTCGGGAATCATGGCGGCGGCAGCGCTGCCCCGGGCCGGGACCCTGAGCCCCCCGCCCCCGGCCTCCGCGGGCGCCCCGGGCATCCCCGGGCCGGGGCCGGGCGCGCGGACCCCCAACTTGGCGGCGCTTGGGGCGCGTCGCACGCGGCTCACTCACCGGCGTTGAGGGCGGCGGCGGGCATGTGCGCGGCCAAGTTCGGTTTGTAAGACATCCCCCCGGGCGGCGGGCGCGCCGGGCGCGGCGGGGCCAGGCCGCGAGGGCGGCGGCGGCGGCGGCGAGGCCGGGCGGTAGCGCTGCAGCCCCGCGCCCGTCCGAGCGCCCGCCGAGCGCCCGCGCACTTTTTGTTGTCGGCGGCTCGGGCCGCGCCGGCAAATATGGCCGTCCGCGCCCTGCCGCCGCCGCAGTCTCACCCAGGCCCCGGGTGCGGCGCAGGGGCGGCCGCAAACTTTCCGCGGAGCCGGCGGGGCGGCCGGGGCCGGGAGGGGGCGGCCCGGCGTCAGGGGGCGGCTCCGCCTGCGGCCGCGCCCCGCGCCTCCGGGTGCGCTCGGCGCCCGCAACTTGCCAAAGTTTGGGGGGCTGGGGTCCCGGCGGCGCCTGAGGCCCGCGCGCGTCCGGGCGGCTGCCCCGCGCCCGGCGCCCCGGGGGTGTGCTGGGGGCCGGTCCCGCGGCGGCTGCGGGAGGCCAGGGCGAACCGGAATCCGAAGAGCACTTTCTTCCCCTTGATGGTGGGGGCAGGGATGGAAAATTACCTGGAGAAAATGGTGGCGAGTGGTGTATTTAAGCACGTAGATCATTCCAGACGCCCAGGTCTGGCCAAGCCCCAGGATTAGAATAACCGATGCTTGACATTGATTTCAAATAAATTTCATGTCTCTGTCTGTATGAAGTGGTTTTTAACCCTTTGGGGATCCAAGACTCCTTTGAGACTGACAAAAGCTTAGAGGCCTTCTCCACCCCTCACCCCCCTCCCCGGAAAACTCATCCCTGAATCGCACAATTTCGTGCGTAGACTCACTCCAGTATTTAAGGGAAGCACCTACTATGCGCCACTCACTGTTCCAAGCGCTGAGGATACAAGAATTGAACTTGGCAAAGTTTCTACCCCCTGGAGTTTACGGGACAATTTTAGATCCTCCTTCGACCCCACCCCCAGCCCATCCTTGGATCCGATTGAAATGTAACCATCCAGTGTATTTTGGATTTGGATTAGATGAATAACCTGAAGGTTGTGGGGTTTTTTGGGGTTTTTTTTTTTTTTAATCTTGGAGTTCTGCCGAAGTAGTAAAGCTCGTTAAAATACATAAGATGCCCACCCTTTTCTGTTGTTTTTAATCGTCATGGTTTGCAGATTTAATTAGACACAGGCGTGCAAGCATCATCTCCGGATCTGATGACAAAGGCACCCACCTAGGGATGCCCACCCAGGCCTGCTTCTTCCTTTAGGACCAAAGGCGCAGGCGACGACACCCCCTCCCCAGCTTAACCCCCATCCTTGAGATCAGCTGTAGGCCAGCACTAGCGAAGAATGCTCAGTGAAACCTTATTCCATGAATAAATTAATGCCACCCATGTGGCTGGTCCCGGGCGCCCAGTCCTTTAGAGCAGCGCAGTCCAATGGAAATAGAATGCCAGCCACATAGCTAATTTTCAATTTTTCAGTAGTCACATTTGAGAAAGTCAAAAAACACTGGTGAAATTGATTTTAACATGTTTTATTTAATACAATAGCTCCAGAACAGCGTGATTTCACTATATAATGAATTGAAAGGAATTATTAATAAGACACTTTACATTCTCTTATCATACGAAGTCTTCGCAATCCAGTGTGTGTTTTATACTTACAACGCATTTTAATTCAGACTAGCCACGTTTCAGCGCTCAGTAGCCACCATAGCTAGGGGTCACCGTATTGAACAGTGCAGGGCTGCAGCTACTAGCGGAGGGCTCCTGCGACGGACACACCGGGTACTGACTCTGACTCCCCCACCCACTGGCTGTTTGACTAGGCCTCCATTTCTTCGGGGCAAGAATCCAGATCTCAGTGGCAGGCCCGGTCCTTTCTATGAGTGCTCTGAACCGATCTATTTCCATATTGTTATTTAAGAACCGGGGTCTCCCTCTGTCACCCAGGCTGGAGTGCAGTGGCTTGATCGTAGCTCACTGTAGTCTTGAACTATTGGGCTCAAGTGATCCTCCCGCCTCCACCTCCATCTCAAAGCACTGGGATAACAGGCGTCAGCCAATAGCGTTGTATTTTTTCCATTGTCCCCACTCCTCGCTCTAAGTCCATGGCATCATTTTAAAACTGTTGGCCGAGCACAGTGGCTAACGCCTGTAACCCCAACACTTTGGGAGGCCGAGGCGGGCAGATCACGAGGTCGGGAGATCGAGACTAGCCTGGCCAACATGGCAAAAACCCGTCTCTACTAAAAATAGAAAAAATTAGCGGGGCGTGGTGGCAGGCGCCTGTAATCCCAGCTACTCGGGAGGCTGAGACAGGAGAATTGCTTGAAACCGGGAGGAGGTTGCAGTGAGCCAAGATCCTGCCACTTGCACTCCAGCCTGGGTGACAGAGCAAGATTCCACCTCAGAAAAAAAAAATTTCAGCTCACGCCTGTAATCCCAGCACTTTGGGAGGGCGAGGCAGGCGGATCACCTGAGGTCAGGAGATCCAGACTAGCTTGGCCAACATAGTGAAACCCCATCTTAACTAAAATTACAAAAAGTAGGCGGGCGTGGTGGTGCGTGCCTGTAGTCCCAGCTACTCGAGAGGCTGAGGCAGAATTGCTTGAACCGACGAGGCGGAGGTTGCAGTGAGCCAAGATCGAGCCACTGCACTCAAACCCGGGTGACGGTGAGACTCCGTCACAAAGAAAAAAAAAAAGTTTCAGCTGGGCACGATGGCTCACTTCTGTAATCCCAGCACTATGGAAGACCAAGGCAGGCAGATCAATTGAGCCCAGGGGTTCAAGACCAGCATGGGCAGCATAGAAAGAACCCATGTCGCCAGGCCCGGTGGCTCACACCTGTAATCCCAGCACTTTGGGAGGCCGAGGCAGGCGGATCACGAGGTCAGGAGATCGAGACCATCCTGACTAACACGGTGAAACCCCGTCTCTACTAAAAATACAAAAAAATTAGCCCGGCAAGGTGGCGGGCGCCTGTAGTCCCAGCTACTCGGGAGGCTGAGGCAGGAGAATGGCGTGAACCCGGGAGGCGGAGCTTGCAGTGAGACTAGATCGCGCCACTGCACTCCAGCCTGGGCGACAGAGCGAGACTCCGTTTCAAAATAAGAAAGAAAGAAAGAGAGAAAGAGAGAGAGAGAAAGAAAGAGAAAGAAAAAGAAAGAAGGAAGGAAGGAAGGAAGGAAAGAAAGAAAGAAAAAGAAGAAAGAAAGAAAGAAAGAAAGAAAGAAAGAAAGAAAGAAAGAAAGAAAGAAAGAGAAAGAAAGAAAGAAAGAAAGAAAAAGAAAGAAAGAAAGGAAAGAAAGAAAGAAAGAAAGAAAGAAGGAACCCATCTCTACTAAAAATACAAAAATTAGCTGGGGCATAGTGACACGCGCCCGTGGTCCCAGCTACTCTGGAGGCTGAGGTGCTGAGGGGCTGAGGGGCTGAGGTGCTGAGGGGCTGAGGTGCTGAGGGGCTGAGGGGCTGGGGTGCTGAGGGGCTGAGGTGCTGAGGGGCTGGGGTGCTGAGGGGCTGGGGTGCTGAGGGGCTGAGGTGCTGAGGGGCTGGGGTGCTGAGGGGCTGAGGTGCTGAGGGGCTGGGGTGCTGAGGGGCTGAGGGGCTGAGGTGCTGAGGTGCTGAGGTGCTGAGGGGCTGAGGGGCTGAGGGGCTGAGGGGCTGGGGTGCTGGGGTGCTGAGGTGGAAGGATCACTGGAGCCCAGAAAGCGGAGGTTTCACTGACCCACAATGGCACCATTGCTCCAGCCTGGGCGATAGAGCAAAACTGTGTCTCAAAAGAAAAAAGAAAGAAAAGAAAAAAATCTTTTCGTTTTTTATTCTAATCGAGATATTATTCACTTAGCATAAAATTCATCCTTTAAAAGTATGCAACTTAAGAGGCCGGGCGCGGTGGCTCACGCCTGTTATCCCAGCACTTTGGGAGGCCGAGGCAGGCAGATCACGAGGTCAGGAGATCGAGACCATCCTGGCTAACACAGTGAAACCCCGTCTCTAGTAAAAATAGAAAAAATTAGCCGGGCGTGGTGGCGGGCGCCTGTAGTCCCAGCTACTCGGGAGGCTGAGGCAGGAGAACGGCATGAACCCGGGAGGCGGAGCTTGCAATGAGCCAAGATGGCGCCACTGCACTCCAGCCTGGGCGACAGAGCGAGACTCCGTCTCAAAAAAAAAAAAAAAAAGTATACAACTCGGCCAGGCGCGGTGGCTCACGCCTGTAATCCCAACACTTTGGGAGGCCGAGGTGGGCGGATCACAAGGTCAGGAGATCAAGACCATCCTGGCCAACATGGTGAAACCCCGTCTCTACTAAAATACAAAAACAAACAAAAAAAGAAAGCCGGGCCGTGGTGGTGCGCGCCTGTAATCCCAGCACTTTGTGAGGTTGAGGAAGGCGGATCTCTTCAGCCCAGGAGTTTGAGACCAGCCTAGGAAACATAACAAGACCACATCTCTACTAAAAATACAGACATTAGCCGAGAGCGGAGGCTAACCTGTAGTCCCAGCTACTTAGGAGGCTGAGGTAGGAGGATCACCCTAACCTCGGGGAGGTTGAGGCTGCAGTGAGCCAAGATCACGGCATTGCACTCCAGCCTGGGTGATAGTGAGACGCTGTCCCCTCACCCCCCAAAAAAGTATATAATTCAGTGATTTTTAGCATATTTGCAGTTGTGCAACTATCACCACTATCTAATTCTAGAACATTTTTTTTTTTTTTTTTTTGAGACAGAGTCTTACTGTGTCTCCCAGGCTGGAGTCTTGCTCTGTCGCCCAGGCTGGAGTGCAGTGGTGCGATCTCGGCTCACTGCAAGCTCTGCCTCCTGGGTTCACGCCATTCTCCTGCCTCAGCCTCCTGAGTAGCTGGGACTACAGGCGCCCGCCACCACGCTCAACTAATTTTTTTTGTTTTTGTATTTTTTATAGAGGCAGGGTTTCACCATGTTAGCCAGGATGGTCTTGATCTCCTGACCTCGTGATCCGCCCGACTCGGCCTCCCAAAGTGCTGGGATCACAGGCGTAAGCCACCGCGCCTGGCCTAATTCTAGAACATTATCACCCTGTTTTATTTTATTATTTATTTTTATTTTTATATTTTTGAGATGGAGTCTCGCTCTTGTTGCCCAGGCTGGAGTACAATGGCACAATCCTGTCTCACTGCAACCTCCACCTCCCAGGTTCAAGCGATTCTCCTCAGCCTCCCCAGTAGCTGGGATTACAAGCACCCGCCACCACGCTCCGCTAATTTTGTTATTTTGGGTAGAGATGGGGTTTCGCCATGTTAGCCAGGCTGGTCTCGAACTCCTGACCTCAGGTGATCCGCCCGCCTTGGCCTCCCAACATGCTGGGATTACAGGGGTGAGCCACTGCTCCCGGCCCACCCCATTTGATATTTATTTATTTATTCATTTATTTAGAGACAAAGTCTCAATCTGTCGCCCAGGCTGGAGTGCAGTGGCAGGATCTCAGCTCACTGTAAGCTCTGCCTCCCAGGTTCACGCCATTCTCCTGCCTCAGCCTCCTGAGTAGCTGGGACTACAGGTGCCCGCCACCACACCCAGCTAATTTTTTTTGTATTTTTAGTAGAGACGGGGTTTCACTGTGTTAGCCAGGATGCTCTCGATCTCCTGACCTTGTGATCCGCACTCCTCGGCCTCCTAAAGTGCTGGGATTACAGGTGTGAGCCACTGCGCCTGGCCTATTTATTTTTTATTTTATTTTATTTATTTATTTATTTATGTTTGTTTTTTAGAGGGAGTTTCGCTCTATCGCCCAGGCTGGAGTGCAGTGGCATGATCTCAGCTCACTGCACTTGCCTTCTGGGTTGAAGTGACTCTCATCCCTCAGTTTCCTGAGTAGCTGGGATTATAGGCGCCCGCCACCATGCACAGATAATTTTTGTATTTTTAGTAGAAATGGGGTTTCACCATATTGGCCAGGCTGGTCTCAAACTCCTCGCCTCAAACGATCTGCCTGCCTTGGCCTCCCAAAGTGTTGAGATTACAGGTGTGAGCCACTGTGCCTGGCCTATTTATTTATTTATTTGAGACGAAGTCTTGCTCTGTCACCCAGGCTGGAGTGCAGTGGTGCAATTTCGCGTCACTGCAAACTCCGCCTCCTGGGTTCGAGAGATTGTCCTGCCTCAGCCTCCCGAGTAGCTGGACTACAGGAGCCCGCCACCATGCCCGGCTAATTTTTATATTTTTAGTAGAGATAGGGTTTCACCATGTTGGTCAGGCTGGTTTCAAACTCCTGACCTAGTGATCCACCCTCCTCAGCCTCTACTAAAAACACAAAAATTAGTTGGGCATGATTCCAGGTGCCTGTAATCCCAGTTACTTGGGAGGCTGAGGCAGGAGAATCGCTTGAACCTGGGAGGCAGAGGTTGCAGTGAGCCAAGATCCTGCCACTGCACTCCAGCCTGGGTGATGGAGCAAGACCCTGTCTCAAAAAAAAAAAAAAATTAATTAAATAAAATAAAAAGAAACTTCATACCCGGTAGTAGTCACTTCTCATTCCTCATTCTCTCCAGCTTTAGGCAACTACTAATTTAGTTGGATTTCCTATTCAGGACATTTCCTGTAAATAGAATGGTACGCTATGTGGCCTTTTGTGTCTGGCTTCTTCCACTTGCCATAAATAATGTTTCAAGGTTCATCCATGTTGTAGCAGGTGGCATTCCAGCACTTCCTTCCTCTTCAGGGCTGAATATTCCATGGTATGAATGTACCCCATTTTGTTTATCCATTAATCAGTTGATTGACATTTGAGTTATTTGTACTTTTTGGCTATGATGGCTATGACGAAGAGTGCTGCTGTCATCATTTGTGTACAAGCTTTTGTGAGAACATGTTTTCAGTTCCTTTGGTTTTATACTCAGAAATGGAGTTGGTGGGTCAAATGATAACTCTGTTTCACTTTTTGAGGAACTGCCAAACTGCTTTCCATAGTGAAACTGCACTTTTTTTTTTTTTTTTTTTTTTAAGAGACAGAGTCTCTGTCACCCAGGCTGGAGTGCAATGACATGATCCTAGCTCCCTGCAACCTCGAACTCTTGGGCTCAAGCAATCCTCCTGCATCAGCCTCTCAAATAGCTTGGACTACAGGCATAGGCTACCACAACTGGCTAATTTTTGTATTTTTTTAAATTTCTTTTGAACAAATGTATTACTCCAGAATTTTTTTTTTTTTTTTTTAAGGAACAGGGGGCTGGTCTTGAACTCTTTTTTTTTTGAGACCAAGTCTCACTCTGTCACCCAGGCTAGAGTGCAGTGGTACGATCTCGGCTCATGGCAATCCCCACCTCCCAGGTTGAAGTGATTCTCCTGCCTCAGCCTCCCGAGTAGCTGGGATTACAGGCATGCGCCACCACACCTGGCTAATTTTTGTATTTTTAGTAGGGGTGGGGTTTCACCATGTTGGTCAGGCTGGTCTCGAACTCCTGACCTCAGGTGATCCCCTGCCTCGGGCTCCCAAAATGCTGGGATTACAGGTGTGAGCCACCCACCCAGCCTCACCCATTTTATTTGAAGAGTTTTGTTTTGTTTTGTTTTGTTTTGTTTTGTTTTTTAGATGGAGTATCTCTCTGTTGCCCAGGCTGGAGTGCAGTGGTGTGATCTTGGCTCACTGCAACCTCCACCTCCAGGGTTCAAGCCATTCTCCTGCCTCAGCCTCACGAGTAGCTGGGACTACAGGCACGTGCCACCACGCTCGGCGAATTTTTTGAATTTTTAGTAGAGACGAGGTTTCACCATGTTAGCCAGGATGGTTTTGATCTCCTGACCTTGTGATCTGCCCGCCTCAGCCTCCCAAAGTGCTGTATTACAGGTGTGAGCCACCACGCCTGGCCTAGGTGTTTGTTTTTTGTTTTGTTTTGTTTTTGAGATGGAGTTTCGCTCTTGTTGACCAGGCTGGAGTGCAATGGTGGGATCGCAGCTCACCGCAACCTCTGCCTCCCAGGTTCAAGCAATTCTCCTGCCTCAGCCTCCCTAGAAGCTGGGATTTACAGGCACGTGCCACCATGCCCGGTTAATTTTGTATTTTTAGTAGAGATGGCATTTCTCCATGTTGGTCAGGCTGGTCTCGAACTCCCGACCTTGGGTGATCTGCCCGCCCCAGCCTCCCAAAGTGCTGGGATTACAGGCATGAGCCACTGCGCCAGGCCCCTAGTTTTGTTTTCTTTTTTTTTTTTTTTTGAGACAGAGTCTCACTCTGTCACCCAGGCTGGAGTGCAGTGGCGCGATCTCGGCTCACTGCAAGCTCTGCCTCCCAAGTTCACGCCATTCTCCTGCCTCAGCCTCCTGAGTAGCTGGGACTACAGGCGCCCGCCACCACGCCCGGCTAATTTTTTGTATTTTTTTTTAGTAGAGACAGGGTTTCACCGTGTTGGCCAGGATGGTCTCCATCTCCTGACCTTGTGATCCGCCGCCTTGGCTGCCCAAAGTGCTGGGATTACAGGCATGAGCCACCACGCCCGGTCTCTATTTCTGTTTTTAAAACGAGTCTTGCCCTGTTGCCCAGGTTGGAGTGCAATGGCATGATCTTGGCTCACTGCAACCTCTGCCTTCTGGGTTCAAGTGATTCTCCCACCTCAGCCTCCCAAGTAGCTGGGATTACAGGCACCCGCAATCGTGCCCGGCTAATTTTTGTATTTTTGTAGAGATGGGGTTTCACAATGTTGGCCAGGCTGGTCTTGAACTCCTGACCTCAGGTGATTCACCTGCCTCAGCCTCCTAAAGCATTTTTAGTTATTTTTTGTATATGGTGTGAGATGGATCCAAATTCATTCTTTACATGTGCATATCAGCACTTTTTTTTTTTTTTCGAGATGGAGTCTCACTCTGTCACCCAGACTGGAGTGCAGTGGCGTGATCTCGGCTCACTGCAACCTCTGCCTCCTGGGTTCAAGCAATTCTCTCCCTCGGCCTCCCGAGTAGCTGGGATTACAGGTGCCCGCCACCACGCCCGGCTAATTTTTTTGTATTTTTAGTAGAGACAGGGTTTCACCATCTTAGCCAGGCTGGTCTTGAACTTCTCTCAGCACATTTTGTTGAAAAAACTATTCCTTTCCGGCTGGGCACGGTGGCTCACACCTGTAATCCCAGCACTTTGGGAGGCCGAGGCGGGCGGATCACGAGGTCAGGAGATCAAGACCATCCTGGCTAACACGGTGAAACCCCGTCTCTATTAAAAATACAAAAAAAAAAAAAAAAAAAAAATTAGCCGGGCGTGGTGGCGGGTGCCTGCAGTCCCAGCTGCTCGGGAGGCTGAGGCAGGAGAATGGCGTGAACCCGGGAGACCGAGCTTGCAGTGAGCCGAGATCGTGCGACTGCACTCCAGCCTGGGTGACAGAGCAAGACTCCATCTCAAAAAAATAATAATTATAAACAAATAAATAAATAACTATTCCTTTCCTTCACAGAATTGTCTTGATGCCATTGTTGGAAATCAATTGATGATGAGTGTGAAGGTTTATTTCCAGGCTCTTAATTCTATTCCACTGTTCACCTTGTTTATCCCTATTCCCATACCACACTGCCTTGATTTCTGTAGCGTTATAGTAAGTTTTGAAATCGGGAAGTATGAGTCTTCCAACTTTGTTCTTCTTTTTCAAGACTGCTTTTGGCTATTTTGGGTTACTTTCATTTATTTCCATATGAGTTTTAGGATCAGCTTGTCCCTTTCTGAAAAAAAAAAAAAAAGAAAAAAGAAAAAAAAAGACAATAGGAATTTTGATGAGCTTGTATTAAATCTGTATATCTATTTTGGGAGTATTGCTATTTTAATTGCAATATTGTCTTCCAATCCATGAACACAGGATCTCCTTCCATATTTTAGGTCTTATTTAATTTTTTTAACTTCAACAATGTTCTATAGTTTTCAATGTAATTTCTTTATTTTTATTTATTTATTTATTTTTGAGATGGAGTCTTGCTCTGTCGCCAGGATGGAGTGCAGTGGGGCGATCTCGGCTTAGTGCAACCTCTGCCTCCCGGGTTCAAGCGATTCTCCTGCCTCAGCCTCCCAAGTAGCTGGGACTTCAGGTGCGTGCCACCATGCCCAGATAATTTTTTTATTTTTAATAGAGACAGGGTTTCTCCATGTTGGTCAGGCTGGTCTTGAACTCCTGACCTCAAGTGATCTGCCTGCCTCAGCTTCCCAAAGTGCTGGGATTGCAGGTGTGAGCCACTGCACCTGGCCTTTTTGTATTTTTAGTAGAGGTGAGATTTCACCATGTTGCCCAGACTGGTCTTGCACTCCTGGGCTCAAGCAATCCTCCGGCCTCTGCCTCCCAAAGTGCTGGGACATGAGCCATTGTGCCTGGCCTTAGAGTGTTTCTTTACTGGTTTAATGGATATTTCACAGAGTGGCTTACCAGGGAGCAAGCAGGTAAATGGAGAGAGAAGGAAAGCCCAGGGAATTAGTGTAGTATGAAGAACATCAGGAGACACAAGCTTTAGCTCCACATCTGCCGTAAACCCTTCTCTAGGCCTCAAAGAACTCGCTTGACATCCCCAGGCCTTAGTTTCATCTGTAAGATCAGGGAGGTTTGATAGGATGGATCACTAAGGATTCTCTCAACACTTCACATCCTAAGAAGACAGGTAACACGCACGCCATTTTCTCTAACAAAAAACACCAGCACTTGGCCAGGCACGGTGACTCACACCTATAATCTCAGCACTTTGGGAGGCCAAGGCGCACAAATCACTTGAGGTCAGGAGTTTGAGGCCAGCCTGAGCAACGTAGCGAAACCTCATCTCTACCAAAAATACAAAAAGTAGCCGAGCCTGGTGGCACATTCCTGTAATCACAGCTACTTGAGAGAGTGAGGCAGGAGGATCGCTTGAACCTGGGAGGTGGAGGTTGCAGTTAGCCAAGGTCACGCCACGGCACTCCAGCCTGGGCAACACATGAGACCCCCATGTCAAACAAACAAACGAAAAACCAGCCTAGAAAGGATGTTTTTATTTTTATTATTTATTTTTTTGAGATGGAGACTTGCTTTGTCGCCCAGGCTGGAGTGCAATGGCACGATCTCAGCTCACAGCAACCTCTGCCTCCTGGGTTCAAGCGATTCTCCTGCCTCAGCCTCCCGAGTAGCTGGGATTAAAGCTGCCCACCACCATACCTGGCTTTTTTTTTTTTGTAGTTTTAGTAGAGACGGGTTTCACCATGTTGGCCAGTTGGTCTCAAACTCCTCACCTCAAGTGTTCGGCCTGCCTCGGCCTCCCAAAGTGCTGGGGTTACAGCCGTGAGCTACCGTACCAGGTCAACCTTTATTTTTTTGAAAATATCTTTTTTTCCCCCCAGTATTGTAAGATTTAGGTCTAGCCTATGGCACCTAGTATCCCGAGGTGGTCTGCCATCCAAGTACTAACCAAGCCTCGCACTGCTTAGTTTCCAAGATCAGCTGAGACCAAGGACGTTCAGGGAAATATGGCCATAGAGAAAGCCCTTACATTATTCTGGAACTGATTCCAACACTGAAAAACATTCTGAAGCAATCAGCTCCAACGAGGACTGTGCCTACCCCAGGTAATGAGAATGGTGACCCACAGGAGGGAATATTAGAGCTTCTATTTATATGGGACATACAGCGTACGTATCAGGACAGCAGCTGCTATAGCTTACAAGTCAATTAATAAGCAGTGCTGGAGGTGGAGGTATGCACTGGAAACTTTTTTTTTTTTTTCCAGGCAGTGTCCTTCGCTCTGTCACCCAGGCTGGAGTGTAGTGGCACTGTCTTGGCTCACTGCAGCCTCCGCCTCCCGGGCTCAAGAAATCCTCCCACCCCCGCCTCCCAAGTAGCTAGGGCTACAGGGGTGCCCCACCACGCCCAACTAATGTTTGTATTTTTTGTAGGGATGGGGTCTTGCCCTGTTGCCCAGGCTGGTCTTGAACTCCTGGGCTCGAGATCTTCCCACCTAGGCCTCCCAAAGTTCTGAGATTACAGGCGTGAGCCACTGTACCCTGCCTAGAAATCTTTTGAATCTGGAGTATGTGACCAAAAAGGCTTGAAGACCACTGATGTAAGAAACTAGTCACGTAGGCGGCCAGACCCATCATTTCACAACCTAACAAATAGGTGGGTGAAGTATCATGACTAAGACATCGCAGTTGCTGATTCCAGGATGGTTTGTGCGCTGGGGACATACAACAATTCCTTCTATCAGTTTGGGCTATGACCAGGGGTCTACTCCCAAATTTACTTATTTTTTATTTTTTTGACCTCCCGAGCTCACAAAATCCTCCCACCTCAGCCTCCCGAGTAGCTGGGACCACAGGTATAAGCCACCATGCCCCGTTAATTTTTATTTTTTGTAGAGATGGGGTCTTCCTATGTTGCCCAGGCTGGTCTCAAACTCCTGGTCTCAAGCAATCCACCCACCTTGCCCTCCCACAGTGCTGGGATTACAGGCGGGAACCACCACTTCCAGTCCTAATTTTCAGTTTTGTTTCTGCCATTATTCTTGTTTTTTTTTTTTTTTTTTGAGATGGAGTCTCGCTTTGTCACTCAGGCTGGAGTGCAGTGGCGCAATCTTGCGAGGCTCACTGTGAGCTCCGCCTCCCGGGTTCACGCCATTCTCCTGCCTCAGCCTCCCAAGTAGCTGGGATTACAGGCATGTGCCACCACCAGCTAATTTTTGTATTTTTTCAGTAGAGACAGGGTTTCATCGTGTTAGCCAGGATGGTCTTGATCTCCTGACCTCGTGATCCGCCCACCTCGGCCTTCCAAAGTGCTGGGATTACAGGCGTGAGCCACCGCGCCCGGCCTATTCTTGTTTTTTTTTGTTTGTTTTGTTTTTTTTTTTGAGATAAAGTCTTGCTCTGTCTCCTAGGCTGGAGTGCAGTGGCATGATCTCGGCTCACTGCAATCTCCACCTCCCAGGTTCAACCCATTCTTCTGCCTCAGCCTCCCGAGTAGCTGGGATTACAGGCACATGCCGCCATGCCCAGCCAATTTTTTTGTATTTTAATAGAGATGGGGTTTCACCGTGTTGCCCAGGCTGGTCTTGAACTCCTGAGCTCAGGCAATCTACCTGCCTTGCCCTCCCAAAATGCTAGGATTACAGGCGTGAGCCACCGTGCCCGGCCCATTATTCTTGTTTTTAGACCAGGAGCTGGCAAGCCTTTTATATAAAGGGTTGGATAGCAAATATTAATGCTTCAGGCTTTGTAGGCCATATAGACTCTGTAACTATGCAACGGTGCTGTCGCAGCTCTCACACTGCCAGAGACAATACATAAGAGAATGGGCATGGCTGTGTTCCAATAAAACTTTATTTATGGACACTGAAATTTGAATTTCACATACTTCTCACATGTTAGAAAATATTCTTTTTATTTTTTCCAACCATTTAAAAATGTTCTCAAAACCATTCTCAGCTTATGAGGCCAGTGAAAAACAGGTGGCAGGCTGGACTTGACCCATGGACCATAGTTGGCCAATTCCTCTTTTAGTCCACACAAGTTTCTTTCTTTTTTTTTTTTCTTTGAGATGGAGTTTCACTTTATTGCCCAGGCTGCTGTGCAATGGCGCGATCTCGGCTCACCGCAACCTCCGCCTCCCGGGCTCAAGTGATTCTCCTGCCTCAGCCTCCCGAGTAGCTGGGATTAAAGGGCTCAAGGGATTCTCCTGTCTCAGCCTCCCGAGTAGCTGGGACTTACAGGCACCCACCACCACGCCCGGCTAATTTTTGCATTTTTAGTAGAGACAGGGTTTCACCATGTTGGCCAGGCTGGTCCCGAACTCCTGACCTCAAGTGATCAGCCCGCCTCAGTCTTCCAGTGTTGGGATTACAGGCATGAGCCACTGCGCCTGGCCACAAATTTGTTTCTTAAGCCTATTTCCCCATAGGCAGGGAAAAAAAATGGGACATTTGAGGACACAATAAACCTATCTTCATAAAGGTACCTCCAAATAAGATACACACAAAAAGCAGAAACTGTGGGAACAGAAAGCTAAACAGAAATCCAGCATCAATGCAGGAATTGAGAGCTTTGTATAATTTACCTGTATCCAGGAGTAGAGGTGGAAGAGACTGTAGGGCCTCTTGTTCCTACCACCAGTTTAGGTATCTTCACAAAACACGACTTACAGGTTCATGCTGTTGAATTTCCTACAATTAATATGGTTTGGGCCAGGCGCAGTGGCTCACGCCTATAATCCCAGCACTTCGGGAGGCCGAGGTGGGTGGATCACGAGGTCAGGAGTTCGAGACCAACCTTGCCAACATGGTGAAATCCCATCTTTACTAAAAATACAGAGCGAGACTCTGTCTCAAAAAGAGAAAAAAAAAGTTACATGAAGTATTCAGACTAATTTAACAGGCACCTAGCTATCCTACCTTTGCATGATACTCAGTTTTGTTTTTTTTTATTTTTTTGAGATGGAGTCTGGCTTTGTCGCCCAGGCTGGAGTGTAGTGGCGTGATCTCAGCTCACTGCAACCTCCGCCTCCCCGGTTCAAGTGATTCTCCTGCCTCAGCCCCCTGAGTACCTGGGATTACAGTAGGTGCCCGCCACCAAGCCCAGCTAGTTTTTGTATTTTTAGTAGAGACAGGGTTTTGCCATGTTGGCCAGGCTGGTCTTGAACTCCTGACCTCATGTTGATCCTCCCACCTCAGCCTACCAAAGTGCTGGGCTTACAGGTGTGAGCCACTGTGCCTGGCCACAGTGATATTTCTTTACTGAAAGATGATGATGGCCAGGGACAGTGGCTCACGCCTGTAATCCCAACACTTTGGGAGGCCGAGGCAGGCGGATCACCTGAGGTCAGGAGTTCAAGACCAGCCTGCCCAACATGGTGAAAGCCCGTCTCTACTAAAAATACAAAAAATGAGCCGGGCATGGTGGCAGGAACCTGTAATCCCAGGTACTCGGAAGGCTGAGGCAGGAAAATCGCTTGAACCCGGGACGTGGAGGTTGCAGTGAGCCGAGATGGCGCCACTGCACTCCAGCCTGGGTGACAAGAGTGAAACTCCATCTCAAAAAAAAAAAAAAAAAAAAAAAGATGATTCAGACCCAATAGTGTGGCCCTTGCCCCTCTCAACCCAGTAAGGCACTTACCACCCAGAGTGGGCAGCGTTAGAGGATGGAGCCAACTTACTGAGAATCGGACTCTAAAAATAAGCATTCGGCACATTTCTTTTAGCCTCTTCTCTCTCATAAAGGCCTCCACAGATGGCTTCTTTACATCATGCTCTCAAATGACTAGCTGATAAATATTCATACTTATGGAAATTGTATTGTACATACTCCAAACGCCCAGCCAGTTAACATTTGTATCTTCTGTATCTCGGGGGTGGTGCCCTTTGTTCATATGTAAAAAGCACACATGCACATGTATACACACACACACACAACCAGCTTTCTCCTCTATGACTAATTTGCCTAGAGCAGTGATTCTCAACCAGGATTGATTTTGCCCCCCAGGAGACATTTGCCAACGTCTGGAGAGATTTTGGGTTGTTAAAAATGTGGGGATGATGTGTGCTCCTGGCATCTGTGGGTGGAGGCCAGTGATGCTGTTCAACATCCGACAGTGCCCAGGATACCTCCACTGCAAAGAATGACTTGGCTCAAATGTCAACAGGGCCCAGGCCAACCCAAGGTGAAGCAAAAACAAGACTGAGGGAGAGCAAAACCCCAAGGGAAGGAAGGTCAAAGCAGCCTGGAATTCTAACAGAAAAACACAAGGGGGCTGGCGGAGGCACGATCCAAAGTTTGCTTTCATCTTTTACCCTCTAAGACTGGGTCTTACTCTGTCACCCAGATTGGAGTGCAGTGGAGCAATCATGGCTCACTGCAGCCTCCACCTCCCCAGCTCAGGCAATCCTCCTGCCCCTCAGCCTCCCAAGTAGCTGGGACTACAGGCACGTGGCACCATGCCCAGCTAATTTTATTTTTGTAGAAGCAGGGTTTTGCCATGTTGGCCAGGCTGGTCTCAAACTCCTGGCCTCAAGTGATCCACCCGCCTTGGCCTCCCAAAGTGTTGGGATTACAGGCATGAGCCACTACAAGCAGCCATTCTTTTTTTTTTTTTTTTTTTGAGATGGAGTCTGGCTGTCCTCCAGGCTGGAGTGCAGTGGCGCGATCTTGGCTCACTGCAAGCTCTGCCTCCCGGGTTCACGTCATTCTCCTGCCTCAGCCTCCCAAGTAGCTGGGACTACAGGCTTCCACCACCACGCCCAGCTAATTTTTTGTATTTTTAGTAGAGACGGGGTTTCACTGTATTAGACAGGATGGTCTCGATCTCCTGACCTCATGATCTGCCCGCCTCGGCCTCCCAAAGTGCTGGAATTAAATGCCTAAACCACCATGCCCGGCCTTCGGCCATTATTTCTTACTCAAATTAATACTCAGCAGGGTGCTCACACATGTAATCCCAGCACTTTGGGTGGCCAAGGTAGGTGGATCACTTGAGGCCAAGAGTTCGAGATCAGCCTGGCCAACATGGCGAAACCCAACCTCTAATAAAAACACAAAAATTAGCTGGGCATGGTGGCGGGCGCCTGTAATCCCAGATACTTGGGAGGCGGAGGCAGGAGAATCCCTTGAACTCGGGAGACAGGTTGCAGTGAGCCGAGATAACGCCACTGCACTCCAGCCTGGGCGACGGAGTGAGACTCTGTCTCAAAAAAACAAAACAAAACAAAACAAAAAAAAAAACAAAAAACATATAAATACCCAATTTATTTTTTATTTTTTGAGACAGAGTTTTGCTATTGTTGCCCAGGCCGGAGTACAATGGCACGAACTCGGCTCACTGCCACCTCTGCCTCCCAGGTTCAAGTGATTCTCCTGCCTCAGCCTCCGAAGTAGCTAGGATTACAGGTGTCCGCCAGCTCGCCAGCTTTTTGTATTTTTAGTAGAGACGAGGGTTCACCACGATGACCAGGCTGGTCTTGAACTCCTGACCTCAGGTGATCCGCCCGCCTCGACCTCCCAAAGTGCTGGGATTACAGGTGTAAGCCACCGTGCCTGGCCAATGCACAATTTATTAAGGTTATACATTTAAAAACCTGTTTCTTTCAATTTTCAAACTCAAAAATACTGAATCAAATTTTAGTTAAAACACTTCCTTTTGACTTGTTCCTCAATTAATGCTCAATTATCTCATATATTCAGGAGGTTAAATCCCCCCTAAACATTAATGCTATTTACAAATTTGATCGAATACCCTTACGCATTTCAAGCTAAAATTTGAACATCCTTCTCCCAAGTATTTGAAATAATCACAGAGAAACTCCCAGACAAGCCATGCACTAAACGCTGCTCAGATTCCCACTCGCATCCCAGCCCTTTCTCCCTCCCACCGCCTTCCGCAGCAGTCCAAGACAGCAGCCCACTCCGGGCCCACACACTGCACCTGGGCTGGGCACCGCCCCACCCTGGCTGGCTCCCTGACTCAGTGCCTGTGCCATCTGCAAAGGCACGGTGACAGCACTTACATTTTATAAAGACACTATGAAGATGTTCATGAGATCTGCGAAGACAGCGCGCAAAGAAAGCACAACCCGTGACTCGTATTTAATTTATTTAGAATCTTACAAAAACAAAAAACAAAACAAAAACCACCACAACAGAAAAAAAAACTAAATACAGAATTTGTTACGCTTCACGGTTGATCGTTTTTACTTGCAAGAGTAAATAAACCTTGCTAAAATGCAGCCAGTACATTTTTATTGCATGAGACCAAATTTTTCAGTTACATATCAAAAATGATTGGGATAATCAATTCCGGACGCTTGGTACCGTGCTCCCACGAAAGGCTGGATGCAGCAATGCAGTATCATTGGAACAGGGCGCACCCTTCACACACTGATGGACACGCTACAACAGGAGCGATAACAAAAGGGAGATTTAAAAAAGAGAACCAAATGAAAACACACCAAGAGCTGACATCCACCTTTGTTTCAAGTTGTCTTTGGATCCCATCAGATGTTGTCTCCAGATGCACCATGTCAGATTAGTAAAGGAGAACCATCTACACCTACATAGAAAAGTATCCTTTGCTCAGAGGAGGTAGAACCTGGCCAAAGTTTTATTGCAGAGATACAGTGTACCTCTTCCCACCTCTCATGGATGATGGAAGATACAAGTGGTTATTGAAAAATCATATCAGTAGTTTGCAAATTCAGTATAAACCATGAACAGGATATTTTTCTGATAGCGGTGAGACTGCAATGTGCTATGTAGAAAAAAAGCTCTCTCTGCCCCATAAAGTGGGAGTCAGAAAGAGGGCTCAAGCTTCTTTATCCTCTTCAGTGCCATAAATACTGTCACAGCAAAAAGGCCTTCAGTGTCTGCTGGCCAGAAACATCTGCCCAGGCACAAATGGGCCACAAGGGCAGGGTACTGGTTAGGGGCCCGCAGTGGAAAAGCCAGACAGGTTCTCACCAGGGGCCTGCAGAGTGGCCTTCACTCTGGAGGACGCCTGAATTACAAGTATCAAAAAGAACCCGCCTTTTTGGGCTTCTTCTTTTCCTTGCTTAGCCCTGCACTAAGGGGCAGTCTTGCTGGACGGTGCCCTGCCACGTTGCGGCAGCCCAGATGGCCGCACTGCCAACCACAGCACGGCTTCCCCATGGGCGCCAGAGGGAGACTGAGCAAGGAGGGTCTGCGTGGAGGATGCACACTGGAGGCAATCTGTGACAGGCCCCAATTCACGACAAATTTAGTTCCCAAGACTGATCCAAATACAGAATGCTTTTACATTTTTCACCAAGTCTACCAAGTTGAATAGTAATGAATGAAACTTGTACATGAATGAAAAGGCCCCAAAGACGCTCACGGCAATCCTTGAAAGTTATAAAGGAACATTTTCTTACAGGTGCAAAATTGTGAACAAATACCCAATGTCTGCCTCCCGGGTGCTCAACACCATCATTTTGATGAACCATCCGGGTCTTCCCAACTCGAATTATTAAAAACGCCTCGATCCCGCTCTGCTTCTAGGCTTACGGCTGATGTAGACAAGATCCACTCACCGATACAAGGGTGGAGAGCACAGCCGTTCAGGGTACCCCAGGGACCAGTGCTGCAATGGGAATCTGCTTGTCTCACCCTCCAGCAGAGTCAGCCTAGGAGGCTCCAGAGCAGTTGCTTGGCTCTCTTTTGGAGGACAATTGTTCCTTAATGTACATTCTCTCTCTTTTTTTTTTTTCGAGACGGAGTCTCGGTCTGTTGCCCAGGCTGGAGTGCAGTGGCGCGATCTGGGCTCACTGCAAGCTCTGCCTCCCAGGTTCATGCCATTCTCCTGCCTCAGCCTCCTGAGTAGCTGGGACTACAGGCACCCGCCACCACGCCTGGCTAAGTTTTTTTTTTTTTTGTATTTTTAGTAGAGACGGGGTTTCACCGTGTTAGCCAGGAGATGGTCTCAATCTCCTGACCTCATGATCCGCCCGCCTCGGCCTCCCAAAGTGCTGGGATTACAGGCGTGAGCCACCGCACCCGGCCAATGTACATTCTCTAAAGTCACCTGTCAATAACACACTAGGCCTGCCTCCTGCCTGCTATAAATATCCTCAACAGGTTATAAACAGCAGCAGGCTACCTGTGTTCATTGCAAGTAAATTACTCATCATTTGTAGGTTAAAAGCATAGGCCCGACTTCTTAAATAAACATAGGGAATTTGCTGCAGCAGCAGGCCAGAAACCACTGTTTCAAATCTGCAAGATTTTCCTATCAGGTGGGAAGACAGAGATAAGAAATATGGTAAGGCCTGAAAAATTGCAAAAGTAGAAGCAAGTCAGGTTTGCTGATCTAAGAGCTAAGTTTGATCCCAAATGCACTGAAGAAGTTAGAGGAGCTTAAAGAAGTCTCAGGAAGCATTTTTTAAAATGTGAAAACATCAGGCTCACTATAGCTTCCAAAGAACAACATAAACGAGCATCAGCAGTCATACAATGACAGTATCAGAAATGGCACTCAAGTGCATCCCCCCAGTACAATGCATTGCACACAACACAATAAGACATAGTAAAAAACATTAACACAAAACAGGAATTCTACAGCAAAGATGCAAAACTGAATTCTAAAATACAGGAACAAATACTTTTCTAAATGAAAAGTTTTCCATACTTTTCTTAAAAAAAAAAAAAAAAAAAAGTCATAAGATGCCCCATATGGGAAAGTCAAGAAAAGAATAAATAGAGCTGAAGGGAAGAGGGAAAAGGGAGAAACAGGTGGGCAGAGTCCCAATTTACAAGAATTATTTACATTCAGAATCCAGAAGAACTCAACATTTCTCTATATATACATTTATGTACATATATATAAATACAGCACAAAATTAGAGGGTGGGTTTTGGATTTTATCTCAAGTACTCAAAAAAAAAATGCTAGCGAGCTTGAGTTGCAGGTATTTAGGTGTGTTTCTGTCACTTAAAAGACACTGCATTTGTATCAGACAACTGGCATTCAATGAGACATTTTTTTTTTTTTTTGCAGTTTTTGCTCTCAGCTGTAGCCCTGACATGAAACGCTTGCTACGTTTCTGCAGCAAAGTGGGCCGAGCGCAGTACGCACAGGTGTGGTGTTAGCCAGGGAGACCGAAGCCACACAGAAGGGGAGTCAGTAAATGTCCATCTCCACGGTGTCTGCCTTTGCCATTGGGAGGCCTGAACTAATCAAACGTTCATTAATAGGATCCCAGCCTAACAGCAACGCTTATGTAGCACCATTCTTAGAAACTACCAAGTATCACACAGGTACATGTGTATGGGGACCTTCCTCTTGACTGCTTGTCAAGAAAAGGATCCAGAGGGAACTTCTGCCCCTACTTCCATGAAGTGAGATGCAACAATCATTTCCAATCTATTTTTTTATCTCATGCTAAAATGAAAGTGGAGGGGAGAGGGAAGAAGGCTCCCATTCTACAATTATAAATGCTGTCCTGGTAGCCTTTCTTCTCTTGCCGGCTAACAATTGTTCTAACAGCATCCCATGGAGGCCAGCAAATGAATGCCCCAGGGACTACAGCCAGAAAATTGTGCCTGTAAAATATCATATTCCTCTGGAGCTTGGTAATATAGAAATTTTACCTCTACAGATGAGGCAAACTAAAATATTGTTGTAACTCAAAAAGGCTTCTGAAGTGCTGAGTTAGAATAAATATATATAGATACATACACACACTACATTGCTTTGGATGCAGGTTCTTACTAATTTATATACACATGTAAAGAGAAGATACTGAAGTGTCTAACTGTAATTTAGCAGCAGAAAAAGAAAACTGCTTAACATATTTGCTTCTTAATCAAGTTGTGTTTAAAGAAATGCATTAATACTCCTATGAATTTGTATCATTGATAGTGTATCTGGATAATCCCAGTAACTACAGACAGAGACCTTGTGGTATGGAGGTTGCTAAATGAGGGGAACACTAATTCCCCCAGAGATAACATCTGAGCTGCTTTAGACTCTGGAAGTGGTTTTCAGTACAATTGACGCTGTAAACTCTGAAAACACGAACATGATTTCCAACCAAATCTTTGTGCTCAGAGCCATATTGCTAAAAAGAAAAAGGCATTGCAGAGGCAAAGTGGACATGGGGTTAATTAAACAAGGCCTCTGAATTCAGGTGTGGCATTTAGATCCTGCAATGAATGGACCTATTTTACAGAAGTCAGCGGCAAATTTTTTGTATTTTTTGGTACAGATGGGGTTTTGCCATGTGGACCAGGCTGGTCTCGAACTCCTGGCCTCAAGTGATGCACCTGCCTTGGCCTCCCGAAGTGCTGGGATTATAGGAGTGAGCCACCACGCCCGGCTACGAGTTGGGTTTTAACAGAAGAGGACCTTGAATGCTGAAGCTTCACAGGGCGGCCAAACTAACTCGCTGATTTTTGCAAGACCACAGTGTAAAGGTCGGATGTCCACCTGAAGAAGGGGTGGGTGCAACTCTCTGGGTGCTGCACACACCATGACCAGCCTGGGCATGCAGCACCCCAGCTCCCATCCATTCACACTGGTTGCCTTTGTGAGGTCCATTTTGAGAGGGCTTTCAGAGGCCTTTTTAATGAGAAAAAAAAATAGCTGTTCTACAAAGAACCTAAGATACATACACTCCTATTTATCAAGATGGCTAGTCCAGAGCAAACATTACATCATAGGCCATGGGGGTTGTCACTTAGCTGCATGCTAAGAATCCTCATATGCTGCTTTGAAAACGCCATAAAAAACTAAGATGCCCTCATACACAGAAAAGAGGAGTTGGGCCAACAGCCTGCGAGAGAAGATCCTTCCCAACTCTGCCATTCTTACTGCAGGAGGGTTTGTAATGCTTCCCCACTTCCTCAGGTCCAGCGACTGCACCTCCACCACTGGAGTGGGGGACACTTCCATTGCTGATGGAAGCTGCCTACTGCTTTTAAAAACACACACATGAGCTGAGAAGTTCTGCTGAAGGTGGGGAGAGTGCTGCTCTTGGCTGCCAGCCGGGTCTAGCGGCCCTAACAAGGGAAACTGGCTGATACAAAATGGATCACTGCCTGAGATATATGAACTGGACTGAGGATAGAAGTTGCATCCGCTGGGCAAAATGTGCCAAAGAACAGAAAGTACTTTCAATTTATTCTTTTAGGCACCAAGAATAAATAAATCCTAAGAAAACTTACGGTAAGCTTGACATAACCAAACTCAGGCTAAAGGAGACACAAGAGGATGAACGCCCTAAGCTTTCAGCCAGGTTTGTCAGTTTTAACACACATCTCACCCAATTCTGCAAGAAGTTTACAAACAATTCAACTTAAAAAACATTCAGAAGTACTATCATTATACCCTTTCCCTCAATGCCATCTTACATTTTAGGGATAAGTTTTAAGCCAAACTATAAGGCTACCTGGAATGCTGAGACAACACACAAATTCTGCTGAGTCCCCGTCACAGACTACTTCTGAAGGTCACCAGTGAGGGCCTAAACAAGAGTCCACTTCTTGTTAGTATAATAACTTTTTATTTGACATCTACAAGATTTTGGCATCTTGCAGCTTTTTACCAGGTTTATACAATCTCGATTTTTCAATAGTGCAACCTGTGGAAGCAAAAAAAAAAAAAAAAAAAAAAAAAAAGAAAAAAAGAAAAGAAAGAAAAAGAAAGAAAAGATAAAAAGACCAACTGTCCCCTCACTTGTTTTTATAAACATCTATTATAGGCGAAACAAAACTTACCCATATTATATAGATAAGTGTCTATTCACATTTGTACATTACCATTTTTAACAGCTTGAGATAAACTCTACGTCTTACAACACATTAAACAATATTCAAGTTACTGAGTAACAACAATAACAACAATAACAAAAGAACACACAGCAGAAGCCTCAAGTGTTTCCTCATTGTCTACAACTCAGGTATGGTTTCCTTTTTATGAGTGACAAAGCAAATTAAGATAATGAAGTAAAAAACGATTGTTTGCAAGATGAAAGCCAATTTGTACTTCCTTCTAAAACTACCTTTAAGTTGCAAATGTAAATTTAAGAGGCTCATAGCCATTTCTGCAGCACACATTAGGAATAC
The DNA here is from genome assembly GCF_000001405.40 of Homo sapiens. NCBI lineage: Eukaryota > Metazoa > Chordata > Mammalia > Primates > Hominidae > Homo > Homo sapiens. The sequence goes on from NC_000012.12 coordinate 123,295,109, forward strand.
TATTAATACATTAAAATTAACTTTTAAGAGTTTTATCACAGAAAAATGTATGTATTCATTACCTTGACCAGAAACCCAGGGCAGGGAGAAGGGGAAGGAGGGGTCTGCAGGGTTTGAAGCAATACCCAGGTATAAACACTATAAAAATGCAATAACCAATGCTGTACATCTAACAAATGTTTCTCTCTGTTACTCGACTCCTGTGTTAATCTTGTTTCAGCATGCTTCCAAAGACATGCACTGTCAGAACAAAAATTAGAAAATAACCTGAATGCATGATATGCAACCTTTCATTTCATGCTTTAATAAACCTATTAAGTTGGAAAAAGAAACCAATATATATTTTCTATATTTATAGACTCAAAACACATGCATCCGGGGATACCTCCCACAGCAATGGCATGGATGTACTGCGTTAACCCTGAGCACTGTATAAACATAAAGTAAAGCCAGTTTGGGAAGTTCCAAGCATTTTAAACCAACTGTGGTCTGTAGCCTTTAACACACTCACAAACAGACTGACACACACGCACACACACATCCCCCTCTGCTCACCCGAAGTAAAAGCAGATGGGAATTATCAGGGGAGAAGCTAAAGGAAAGACATATGTACCACCATCAGCACTGCTGATTTTCAGTTTTGCTATCTATTCCAGGTTTGTCCTTACTCCCAAAAAAACTAACTAGAGAGCACAACTGAAAAAAATATATAATTCTTTGGAAACTGTCCCTGATTTTTATGCAAATGATATGCTTCAACAGCATTTCAGATCCATCCATGTTGAAACCTGTCTGTTCTTCATGCGTTGCTCAAGTTGGTGATGCTCTGAGGGTGATGCTGTTGCCATAGCTGTTTCTGTTGGACCGCAAGCTGTTGAGACTGGTCTGAAGTTGATAGGAGATTTACAAGAGGAGACACACAATTTGCCGGAATGATCAAACCTGTAATTAGTAACAAGAATTTATCAAGTTGTGTCCAGAAGAAACCACACTGTACAGCTTCACAGCAGATTCCAAATGAGGCATAATATTAAGCGTAATGGACAAGAAGTTCACACAAAAATTAAACGACTACCTAATAAATGAAATGGCCATTGAGATGTAGTCTGATTCTTCCACAGCATTTCCCACAAATACCCAAGCATATGCATGTGTTTAGTGTAATGCTATCTTGTTGGAGGAATAGGAAGTCAAGAATATCTATTATTCTCTTTTTAACAGGAGGTTAAGAATATCTATTATTCTATGTATTATCTTTTAATGCACCAAAAGACTACAGAACAGAAGTTGCAAATTCAAATGCTAACCGAAACAGGTTAACTTAGAAGAGCAGATACTAGCAAACTGGAAAGGATACTCTCTGGGTGCTGGTTAAGGGAACTTTAAGTCCTGCATGTAGGATTGAAGGCTCAATGTTCCAGATAAATTGCATGCATATATATATGTGTTTTTTTTTTTGTTTTTTTTTTCTGAGATGGAGTATTGCTCTGTCGCCAGGCTGGAGTGCAGTGGCACAATCTTGGCTCATTGCAACCTCCGCCTCCCGGGTTGAAGTGATTCTCCTGCCTCAGCCTCCCAAGTAGCTGAGACTACAGGCACCTGCCACCACGCCTGGTTAATTTTTGTATTTTTAGTAGAGACAGGGTTTCACGATGTTGGCCAGGATGATCTCGATCTCTTGACTTCATGATCCACCTGCCTCGGCCTCCCAAAGTGCTGGGATTATAGGTGTGAGCCACCGTGCCCGGCCCTATTTGTTTTTTTTTTAAATAGAGACAAGGTCTCACTGTGTTGCCTAGGCTGGTCTCAAACTCCTGGACTCCAGCAATCCTCCTGCCTCAGCCTCCCAAAATGCTGGGATTACAAGGTGAACTACCATGCCCAGCTGATGGGCTGCTTTTGAAACTGGAAATCTAGACTTTTATATGAAACCTCTTGATTTTTAAATGTTGGCAATTAATTCAAATGAGGCTGGGCTCGGTGGCTCACGCCTATAATCCCAGCACTTTGGGAAGCTGAGGTGGGCGGATCACTTGAGGTCAGGAGTTTGAGACTAGCCTGGCCAACATGGTGAAAACCCATCTCCACTAAAAAAATATAAAAATTAGCCAGGTGTGGTGGTGCATGCCTGTAATCCCAGCTACTCGGGAGGCGGAGGTTGCAGTGAGCCGGGAGCACGCCACTGCACTCCAGCCTGGGCGACACAGTGAGACTCAGTCTCAAAAAAAAAAAAAAAAAAAAAAATTCATTAATTCAAATGAAAACCTACAACATCCCAAAATACTGGTGTCCAAAAAAAAAAAAAAAAAAAAAATTCCATAGACTGACTTTGGCCCATGAACTCCCGATATGCAATCCGTGGTAGAGGAAGGCTGCTGTAAGCGAAACCAAGATAAGCAAACAGAGTCCAGTTGCTGCCCTGCTTCCTGGACACCTGTAGTTGAGCACACGGTGAGAATAGCTGGCCTAGTCTACCCTTGCTCCCTGCAGGACACCAAGCCATTCTCTGTGCACAGTGGCTTTTGAATTCCAGAGTCTTAAGTTAGCTCAATGGAGAACTCCTGGGCAAGAGGCTGAACTGTCTACACACCAGGGAGCCTGCACAGCCACCAAGAGTAGAGAAGGAGAGCAAGAGCAGCTGAGAGCAGCATCAAAGAGATGACCACATCATAACTTCAACCAGAACCAACAATGTCTGTTTGAAGGCTTAACTTCTGTTCAACCTTGTAAGAAATATAAAACGGGTCCCATACCCACTACTGGAAGAGATGTTAGATGCATGTGGAATAAAGCTAAGATATTAGCAATGAGAAAAAAGTCGGATCCGATTTTTTCCTGCAACTCAAACCAAAACAAAAATTAGACTCACCTACAATCCGTTGCCCATCTTCCGTTCTTAGCCGCACGATCTGCATCTTCACGTTTGTGCCACTGACAGATGCTAGAACACCCTCAACTTTTGTCCAGACACTCAGCACTGAACCACATAATACATAATATGTACGGCAACGAAGACCTATTTCACAAACTAGCCCCAAGCTTGCTTTTTTGCAATTGCCGCGCCTAAGAAAAATGGGAAAGAAATACATATGAGTGTCTATATATGCACACAGACACGTTTCTAAAAGATTTACAAGGTCAACTCAAATTTCTTTTCTTTTCTTTTTTTTTTGTTGAGATGGAGTTTTGCTCTTGTTGCCCAGACTGGAGCGCAGTGGTGCGATCTCGGCTCATTGCAACCTCTGCCTCCCAGGGTCAAGTGATTCTCCTGCCTCAGCCTCCCGAGTAACTGGGACTTTTTTTTGTTGTTGTTGTTGTTTTGTATTTTTAGTAGAGACGGTGTTTTGCCATGTTGGGCAGGCTGGTCTTAAACTCCTGACCTCAGGTGATCCACCCTTGGCTTCCCAAAGGGCCGGGATTACAGGCGTGAGCCACCGCTCTTGGCCTCAAATTTCAAATAAACAATGTTTCAGCAGTATTTGCCTTTACTATTTCTTAGATTATAATTCTGTTGGCCCATTGGGTTAGCATTTCCAATTTAAGGTATCAGGCTGATTTTTAAAACCACGATTTTTTCAGGGGCCTGCCTCCCAATAAAAAGGGTTGAATTTATTGTGTTTGCTATCTGTTGAAGCATTTTAGTCATTTTAATATCCATTATTTTACTGCAATATTGCTACTTTATAAAATGATCTTGCTAGCCGGGCAGGGTGGCTCATGCCTGTAATCACAGCTCTTTGGGAGGCTGAGGAGGGAGTATTGTTCGAGTTCAGGAGTTTGAGACCAGCCTGTGCAACATGGCGAGGCTCTATCTCTACAAAAAGTTTAAAATAATTAGGTATGGTGGCTCATGCCTGTAACCCCAGCACTTTGGGAGGCTGAGGCATGCAGACAGCTTGAGACCAGGAGTTTGAGATCAGCCTGGCCAACGTGGAGAAACCTCATTTCTACTGAAAATACAAAAATTAGCCAGGTATGGGCTGGGTGCGGTGGCTCACGCCTGTAATCCCAGCACTTTGGGAGGACAAGGCCGGCTGATCACAAAGTCAGGAGACTGAGACCATCCTGGCTAACACGGTGAAACCCTGTCTCTATTAAAAATACAAAAAATTAGCCAGGAGTGGTGGCAGGCACCTGTAGTCCCAGCTACTCGGGAAGCTGAGGCAGGAGAATGGCGTGAACCCAGGAGGCGGAGCTTGCAGTGAGCCGAGATCGTGCCACTGCACTCCAGCCTGGGCAACAGAGTGAGACTCTGTCTCAAAAAAAACGAAACAAAACAAAACAAAAAACTGGCTGGGCACGATGGCTCACGCCTGTAATCTCAGCACTTTGGGAGGCCGAAGCAGGCAGATCATGAGGTCAGGAGATCCAGAGCATCCTGGCTAACATGGTGAAACCCCGTCTCTACTAAAAATACAAAAAATTTGCAGGGTGTGGTGGCGGGCACCTGTAGTCCCAGCTACTCGGGAGGCTGAGGCAGAAGAATGGCGTAAACCTCAGAGGCGGAGCTTGCAGTGAGCCAAGATCAGGCCACTACACTCTGGCATGGGCGACACAGCAAGACTCTGTCTTCAAAAAAAAAAAAAAAAAACAAAAAAGCCAAGTGTGTTGGCGCATGCCTGTAATCCCAGCTACTCAGGTGGTTGAGGCACGAGAATCGCTTGAACCTGGGAGGCAGAAGGTGCAGTGAGCCAAGATGGTGCCATTGCACTCAAGCCCTCTGTTTAAAAAAGAAAAAAGATCCTGAGAGATCCTGCCATGAAAAAACAAGCAATACCTGTGAAAAGAAAAGAAGGAGGGGGGAAGATCCTGCCAGTTATTTCTATATTATGAAACTACTGATACACTGGTTCTAAATCACATTAGTGGGAAGGACTCAGCAATCTAGAGAGATGGAAAGGGGTGGGAGGGGAGCGAGAGGCTACATGTAAATTTAAGAAGAAATGAGAAAAAGGAGAAATACCATCAATGTTTTCTGGTTAAAATTATCTTCAGAATATTCATCAATAAAGATGCCCTTCTGGTTAGTACTAACTCAAGACGAATCTAATACAGTGTTAAATGTAGGTATATAGGACACTTTTCTTGCTATAACTCAAAGCAAATGTTTGTTGTTTTTTAAGTTAATTTTTTGTAGAGATGGAGTCTTGCTGTGTTGAGGAGGTTGGTCTCAAACTCCCGGCCTCAAGCAATCCTCTCATCTTGATCTCCCAAAGTGCTAGGAGCCACTGCACTGTCCCCAGAGGAAATGTTTTAGAAAATGTTTAGGCCAGGCGCAGTGGCTCAAGCCTGTAATCCCAGCACTCTGGGAGGCAGAGGCAGGCGGATCACGAGGTCAGGAGATCAAGACCATCATGGCTAACACGGTGAAACCCCGTCTCTACTAAAAATACAAAAAATTAGCCGGGCGTGGTTGGCGGGTGCCTGTAGTCCCAGCTACTCAGGAGGCTGAGGCAGAAGAATGCCGTGAACCTGGGAGGTGGAGCTTGCAGTGAGCCGAGATCACACCACTGCACTCCAGCCTGGGTGACAGAGCGAGACTCCATCTCAAAAAAAAGAAATGTTTGTAGGGGCAAGGCGCGGTGGCTTATGCCTGTAATCCCAGCACTTTGGGAGGCCGTGGTGGGCAGATCACAAAGTCAGGAGTTCGAGACCAGCTTGGCCAACATGGTAAAACCCTGTCTCTACTAAAAATACAAAAATTAGCTGCGCATGGTGGCAGGCACTGTAGTCCTAGCTACTCGGGAGGCTGAGGCAGGAGAACTGCTTGAACCTGGGAGATGGAGGTTGCAGTGAGCTGAGATCGTGCCACTGCACTCCAGCCTGGGTGACAGAGCAAGGACACCATCTCAAAAAAAAAACAAAAAAAAACAAAAAAAAAACCCAAGTTAGTAGGTTAACTTTTAAAACTTTTTTTTTTAGACCACGTCTTGCTGTCATCCAGACAGGGGTGCAGTGCCACGATCTCAGCTCACCGCAACTTTTGCCTCACAGGCTCAAGCGATTCTCATGCCTCAGCCTCCCAAGTAGCTGGGATTACAGGCGTCTGCCACCATGCCCTGCTAATTTTTTTATTTTTAGTAGAGACGTGGTTTCACCATGTTGGCCAGGCTGGTCTTGAATTCCTGGACTCATGTGATCCATCTCGACCTCTCAAAGTGCTGGTACTACCAGCAAGCCAATGGTGCCTAGCCAGCCTACCTTTTAAAACATTTTATCTTACAGATTTTTTCTAATTTTCAGTGGCACTAATTTACTCTCATAATGAAAACCAAAAGCACTACTCACATCAAAGCCAACTTATCTACCTGCAGAACAGCCCAAACAATCAAAACAAACAAAAAGCCCCTCAAGCTAAAATTCATTTACATCTCATATTCCTTTTCATGAAGTGGGCCAGATACTGTAAGAGCATTAACTACTTAATGAGGGAGAGAACAATGAGAAGAAAACTATGATTTGCAGAGTATAAGAGTATACGAGGTCACAAAGTGAACACTGTAAGCCAAGGGGTGAGGGGGCACAGCAGGAAGAGCTCCAAGACTCAACAACAAAAGTTTGCATGTGCTGTGCTATTAACTTTGGGAATCTCCCTGGTTTCTTAGACATTCCCTAGATCTGGGACACCAGTAAAGCTTTTTTAAAAAAGAGAGGAAGAAAGAAAAGAGCCCAGCTACTCAGGAGGCTGAGATGGGAGGAGTTTGAGGCTGCAGTGAGCTATGATTGCTGCACTGTACTCCAGCCTAGGTGATATAGGGAGACTGTCTCTTTAAAATAACCAACCAAACAAAAAAACATGAAGGGAGAGTGACAGAAGGAGGGCGAAAAAGTGGTTTGTTTTTTTTTTTAAGAGACAGTTTTTGCTCTTGTTGCCCAGGCTGGAGTGCAGTGGTGCAATCTCGGCTCACCACAACCTCCGCCTCCCGGGTTCAAACAATTCTGCCTCGGCCTCCTGAATAGCTGAGATTACAGGCATGCGCCACCACACCCAGCTAATTTTTTTTTTAGTAGAGAGGGTTTCTCCATGTTGGTCAGGCTGGTCTCGAACTCCCGACCTTAGATTATCCACCTGCCTTGGCCTCCCAAAGTGCTGGGATTACAGGCGTAAGCCACCACACCTGGCCTTATTGTTTTTTTTTTTGTTTTTTTTTTTTAATGGAGTCTCGCTCTGTCCCCCAGGCTGGAGTGCAATGGCGCAATTTTGACTCACTGCAACTTCCACCTTCCGGGTTCAAGCGATTCTCCTGCCTCAGCCTCCCAAGTAGCTGGGATTACAGGTGCCTGCCATCACACCGGCTAATTGTTTTGTATTTTTAGTAGAGATGGGGTTTCACCATGTTGGCCAGGATGGTCTTGAACTCCTGACCTCAGGTGATCCGCCCACCTCAGCCTCCCAAAGTGCTGGGATTACAGGCGTGAGCCACCACACCCAGCCGTGAAAAAGCAAGTTCTAATATGAAGGATAACTGTTAAGGTCATGCTGCCAGACAACAGTTGGCTGGAAATAAGAAAGCATCAGTGAAGAGTAAGGAGGTACATAAACTAAACAGTTTCTAGTCTACAACTGTCCAGTAAATATTCCTGATGGAACACACCACGCCTGACAATACTTAATCTGTTAGTTAATTCATGAGGACATACTGATAAAGAGTGAAGGTGTATTTAAATCTCAATTAAATTTTGGAAAATTTGGTAGGAAACACGAAAATACTAACCAATAAGCATGAGTACAAGTATCTGCAGATGAATTATACTGATCTAACCAGTGCATCAGGGCATCATCTGAGACGACCTGTAAAAATGAGAAGAATTTCATTGAAAACAGTATTGCTTTAAATAAACTGGTTACCTAGTCTGGTCTGTAATTCTAGAGGTAGCCAATTTAAAATAATCTCTACACAAAAAGCCTAACCCTTGCTATTAACTGAATCTGAACGCCATTTGAAAAGCTCTGTCATGCTGGTTCCTCTTATGTAATACATTTTTCAAATAACTACTTAACTATAATTGTTTTCAAATCAGAATGGCTACAAATAATAATATAAGGTAATATTAATAAAATAAAACCTAATAGTAAATGTTAGGAAAAGTGGTCGCTTAACATTTTCTATAAATCATTGCAAAATATAAACATAGAGGCATCCTCACAATAAAACTAAGAGGTAGTGAGAAGGGCTTTAAACATTCTAACTTTTGTGATTAGCACTGGAAGCTTCCTTTACTGAAGAGATAAGCTGTTTCAAATAATCATTTTAGGCTGGGCACGGTGGCTCATGCCTATAATCCCAGCACTTTGGGAGGCTGAGGCGGGTGGATCACTTAAGGCCAGGAGTTCAAGACCAGCCTGGCTAACATGGTGAAATTCCGTCTCTACTAAACATACAAAAAAAAACTAGCCAGGTGTGTGGCACATGCCTATAATCCCAGCTACTTGGGAAGCTGAGGCATGAGAATCACTTGAACCCGGGAGGCGGAGGTTACAGTGAGCCAAGATCGCGCCACTACACTCCCAGCCTGGGTAACAGAACCTTAGAAGTTTCTTAAGGCTGGTAACATTAAGACTGTGATATTAGCATAACAAAAGTTGACACTTTCCTTAAACCAGGCTGGGTGCGGTGGCTGACACCTGTTAATTCTAGCACTTTGGGAGGCAGAAGTGGACAATCACTTGAGCCCATGAGTTCCAGACCAGCTCAGCCTCTGCAACACAGTGAGACCTCATTTAAAAAAAAAGAAAGAAAGAAAAAGAAAATATAATTTCATACCTAGAAAAGCTATCTTAAACAATTTCAATATATTATAAAATAAGTATTCTTTTTTTTTTTTTTTTTTTTTTGAGACGGAGTCTTGCTCTGTCTCCCTGGCTGGAGTGCAGTGGTGCAATCTCGGCTTACTGCAAGCCTCCTCCACTTCACAGGTTAAAGTGATTCTCCTGCCTCAGCCTCCTGAGTAACTGGGATTACAGGCATGCAACACTACGCCTGGCTATCTTTTCTATCTTTAGTAGAGATGAGGTTTCGCCATATGGGCCAGGCTGGTCTCAAACTCCTGACCTCAGGTGATCCAACCGCCTTGGCCTCCCAAAGTACTAAGATTACAGGCGTGAGCCACTGTGCCCAGCTAAAGTAAGTATTCTTTTTTTTGAGACGAAGTTTCGCGCTTGTTGCCCGGGCTGGAGAGCAATAGCGTGATCTTGGCTCACTGCAACCTCCGCCTCCCGGGTTCAAGTGATTCTCCTACCTCGGCCTCCCAAGTGGCTGGAATTACAGGTATGCATCACCATCCTGGGATAATATTTTGCATTTTTAGTAGAGACGGGGTTTCTCCATGTTGGTCAGGCTGGTCTCGAACTCCTGACCTCAGGTGATCTGCCCACCTCGGCCTCCCAAAGTGCTGAGATTACAGGTGTGAGCCACATTGCCTGGCCCAAAGTAAGTATTCCTATATAATATAATGTACAAATGAAAAAATACCTTCTTATATTTCTTTTTTAGATCAGCATAAATTTCTAATTTGAGCTGCTTCCCAGTATTTGGTCGATAAACTAAGAAAAGTTTCTTTTTAGGATTCACTTCTTTAACTAAGATGGCAGTTTTCTTGTTGTTCCTTATCTGTTTAAAGAAAATGACAAAATATAAAGATTTTATAATACACACTTTAAGACATGTTTCTGTACCATCACGTCAGCAAACATAATCATTTGAGACTATAACACTAAGTAAGTACACGGTAACTTCAAAAAGGACCGAAAATGCTTGTTTAAAAGACTAACACAGTCACACCCAAGAGGCAGTTATTGGACCTTAATTCTGGCTAAAGATGAAGGTTAAAGACCAAAGTTATCTTCAGAAAACTACGTGGAATTAGCTTTAATGCACAAATGTCCAACACAGATCATTTTGCTTCTTTTATTTCCTGTACCTGGAATCCCAGTCAAGCAGCCTCAGAGAGGTAAGAAAAACCAAGTGTAATAAAATGTTAACAGTGGAATCCAGGCAGTAGGCATTAGGGGTCTTCAGAGAAAATTCTTTAAGCTCTGCTGTATGTTTTTAAACATTTCTCAGTAAAATGGAAAAAGAAATGTTACTCTCCTTTCAAGTTAACAATAGAATTCAAGCCCCTCCAAGATAAGGCCTTGGATGGCCCCAGTCCTCTGCACTTGTCTACTCCGTCAGTACTGCCTTTCCCGATGTCACAGGGTTTTGAAGGGCAAAGTGAGAGATCACATGATAAAGTGTTCTGTAAACATCAAAGCTGCTATGGCAGCAGAAAGCAAAAATGTTGAACAAATTGTCCACACATATGGAGGTAAAAATGGAAGAAAGGGAAGCATTAGAGAAATGTTGGAATTTAGGTATGTATTTTTAACTTTTTTTTTTGTTTTTGAGACAGTCTTGCTCTGTCACCAGCCTGGAGCACAAGGGCGCGATCTCGGCTCACTGCAAGCTCCGCCTCCCAGGTTCAAGGCGATTCTCCTGCCTCAGCCTCCCGAGTAGCTGGGACTACAGGTACTCACCACCATGCCTGGCTAATTTTGTATTTTTAGTAGAGATGGGGTTTCTCCATGTTGGCCAGGCTGGTCTCAAACTCCTGACCTCAGGTGATCCACCCGCCCCGGCCTCCCAAAGTGCTAGGATTACAGACGTGAGCCACCACGCCTGGCCTATTTTTAACTTTTTAAAGTTGGATTTATGAGAAAAACTTTAAGAGGAAGGAGTTACTCTTAAAACTCCATTTAACTCAAGGAAAAACAACTGGAAAATTCATTTCTTCTTTATAAAGACTGAACAGCTTCTAAACAATCATTTCTGGAGCAAAACGGAAGGAAAAAGAAAAGTTTCAAAGTAAAACCATTTTCCCAGCCCTCTACACAATAAATCATTGTTTGCGGGGCTATTAACTTTTTATATTCATTCTTATAATGAAAAACACAATATTTTACTTTCCTCTTCATGGATATTAAAGACCCTTGGTCTCTTACTTTTTCCAACGAATTGAAACATTGTTTATATAATTACTGTAAAGTCATAAAACAATGGTTAAGGTGAAGATTATATTTAAAATTATTTATCAGCTGACAGGAAATATCCAAACCTATACTTAGAGGATAGTGTTTAAGACACTTAACAATGGGCTCTGTCTTGACAGTGTCAGGTTAATTATACATCATCACAGAACAGTGGAAAGTGATTCTGACATTGTTTTCCCAATGGCAGCACAGGCTACACACACTGAAAAGTATGGTGGCCTAATGCAGTGGAGGTTCAAAGGCAAACGAAGACCAGGAATGAGGTCTCTAGGACCACCACTCCTCACGCCCAGCCACCTGTTGCCACACAGAGAATGAAGGACCAGTATTATCACATCCTTCAACCTAAGAGAAGCTGGGGATCAGGACTTTCATCACAATCTACCAACGGTGATATTCTGGCAATAATTTCAATTTAAAAATAATAACCAAGAGCCAGGTGCAGTGGTGCATGCCTGTAATCCCAGCTATTCAGGTGGACAAGGTGAGAGGATGGATCAAGCCCAGGAGGAGTTCGAGACTGTCCTGAAAATAACCAACACCTTATGTGGACCAATCAAAATTGCATCTATGGGGGATAGCCGAGTAAAATACTTGAATTCTACCAATATCAACATCTTGGTTGTGATATTACACTACAGTTTTAAAAAATATTACCACTGGGGTAACTGATAAAAGTATGCAAGATGTTTATCTGTACTGTTTCTTATAATGACATGCAAATCAACCTACAGTTCAATCAGTATTTCAAAAACCCCAAAACCAGCAAGGCACAGTAGCTCACAACTGTAATCCAGCACTTTGGGAGGCCGAGGTGGGAGGATCATTTAAGCCTAGGAGTTTGAGACCAGCCTGGACAACACAGTGAGACATCAACTGCATTAAAAAAAAAAAAAAAAAAAAAAGCCAAATGTGGTGGAGTGTACCTGTGGTCCCAGCTACTTAAGAGGCTGAGGTGGGAGGATTGTCTGAGCCCAGGAGGTTGAAGCTGCAGTGAGCCATGATCACGCACGCCACTGCTTATCAGCCTGGGTGACAGAGCGAGCGAGATCCCATTACAAAAAACAAAACCAAACCAAAAAACCCCAACTCAACTAGGAGCCAGATCCTTTGAGAGCTTTTCTCTAGGTCAAGGATCAGCAGCTTAGGCCTGTGGAATAAATCTAGCTTGGCACTCCTAAACTGAAGTAAGATTAAGAAGGAATGAAGGAAGGTGGGAAAAAAAAGAGAAAGGAAGGAAGGAAAACACAGAGGACATGCAATATAGACCACATATGGCCTACAAAACCATACATATCAGACCTTCATAGAAAAAGTTTAGCAACTCCTGCCCTAGATCATTTATGACTTCATCCTGCCTGTGCCATCATCATACATGTAGGTACTTCATATGAGCAAGAACCAGGTCTTACTTGCAGTCACTCCATAAATATTTGTAAACAGAAAGCAAAATATGTTATATACAACCAATGAAATATTACTCAGCCTTGTAAAAAAGAACGAAGGGGCCAGGCAGCGTGGTTCACACCTGTAATCCCAGCACTTTGGGAGGCAGAGGTGGGAGGATCACTTGAGGCCAAGAGTTTCAAACCAGCCTGGTCAACATAGTGAGACACCATCTCTACAAAAGAAAAATTAAAAAATTAGCCACATGCCAGGCGCGGTGGCTCATGCCTGTAATCCCAGCACTTTGGGAGGCCAAGGCAGGCGGATCACCTGAGGTCAGGAGATCGAGGCCATCCTGGCTAACACAGTGAAACCCTGTCTCTACTAAAAATAAGAAATTTAGCCAGGCGTGGTGGTGCGTGCCTGTAGTCCCAGCTACTCGGGAGGCTGTGGCAGGAGAATCGCTTGAACCTGGGAGGCGGAGGTTGCAGTAAGCCAAGATCGTGCCACTGCACTCCAGCCTGGGCGACAGATTGAAACTGCCTCAAAAAACAAAACAAAACGAAACAACACAACCCCAAATATCTTAGAGAACTGGCGAAATAAAATTTCTGTTGTCTTGGATCTGAGTAAGTAAATATGAAACTCAAGATACTGCTGAATATCTACATACTGTTGAGTATCTACACATACATGTATAGATGTGTGCGCACACACACCCCTTAGTTCTGTCCACAGAGACAAATCATAACTGAAAGAATGTAGCTATTTTACTAACTGAAAAATGAGTCTTAAAGATATAAAGCATTATTAAGACTAAAGTAAGTCTCTGTCTTATGAAAAATGCTTAATTTAAGAAAATGTTGGCCAGGTGCAGTGGCTCAAGCCTGTAATCCCAGCACTTTGGGAGGCCAAGGCGGGCAGATCACGAGGTCAGGAGATCGAGACCATCTTGGCTAACACGGTGAAACCCTGTCTCTACTAAAAATACAAAAAAAATTAGCCAGGCGTGGTGGCAGGCGCCTGTAGTCCCTGCTACTCTCGGGAGGCTGAGGCAAAGAGAATGGCATGAACCCGGGAGGTGGAGCTTGCAGTGAGCCGAGATCGCACCACTGCACTCCAGCCTGGGTAACACAGCAAGACTCAATCTCAAAAAAAAGTTAATTCAGCCAGGTGTGGTGGCTCACATCTATAATTCCTTTGGGAGGACAAGGCAGGCAGATCACCTGAGGTCAGGAGTTCGAGACCAGCCTGGCCAACATGGTGAAACTTCACCTCTACTAAAAATAAAAAAATTAGGCTGGGCACAGTGGCTCACGCCTCTAATCCCAGCACTTTGGAAGGCCGAGGCAGGCAGGTCACCTGAGGTCGGGAGTTTGAGAACAGCCTGACCAAAGTGAAGAAACCCCGTCTCTACTAAAAATACATGTCAGCCAGGCCTAGTGGCACATGCTTGTAATCTCAGCTACTCGGGAGGCAGAGGATGAGGTGAGCTGAGATCGTGCCATTGCACTCCAGCCTGGGCAACAAAGAGCGAAACTCTGTCTCAGAAAGAAAAAAAAAGAAGAAAATGTAACAATTCTAAACCCACACCTAATAACATCCTTTAAAATGCATTAAGTAAAAACATAACACAAATGGACAAACACACAATTACAATGATAAATTACCAAAATAGACAAAGCTAAACACAACTGGGAAACAGGTACAAAGTGAAGAGACAATTACAATGCTGGCCATTAAAAAGTATTATATATCTGAATAGAATTTAAAGGAAAAGTCGTACTTGCAATGACAAGTAAAAGCCATCGTCTGGTCCTGTCAGCTCAGCCCAAATCTTGGTAGCTTCCTCCCATGACATTCCCCTCTCTACACTAATCTGTAAGAGAAACAACGAAATTTAAACTCATTTCTGTAAATGCATCTCATGGGAAGACGATACTTCACAACATTTTCTAAACTTACTGTGTATAATTCTACGTGGCCAGAGGTTGAATATCCTGGAGTCAGAAACTTTTTAACATCACTTTTCCGCACTTTTTCATCTCCAGAACCAAGATCTTGAACAAGAAAAAGAAACATGTAAATGTAAAAAGAACATTTTTATCAGGTACACACGTTTAAAGAATTTCTCCACTCCACATTTTCCCTGGGGACATTGTGGGGGGGAAATTTTCCCTACTTACCTAAGATTCCCATATCATATCTTCCATTTTTTTTGGCATTTTGAACAACTGCAGTAAGTGTGTCCGCAAAATACTGAAATAACGCATTCTGCTGATGCACCTCCATGCCTAAAATTCTATTTAAGAATTTTCCTATGTTGTTATAATCTGTAATGACAAAAGATAAACGTTTTCATGCAAATGATAATTAAAAATTTTTTATTCATCTAGGCTTAGTTCAAGTCCCACTTTCTCTTCTAAAAGTCTTCCTTCTTAACTCTTACACTGTCCTCACAACAAGGCTGTAATCTGCCCATTTCTCTCTCTAGCAATTAGCACCACTGCAGGACACGCTCAAAAGAGGTTTGTCAAATTGAATTTTTGCATCTTCAGCCTCACTTATGGAAAGTATGAACACAATTCAGTACATAAGAAAGTTAGTTCTCCAACACTGAATTCTCAACTGTAGTGGCACTATTAGAATGTCTGGGAGCTTTGGAAAACTACCGATGTCTGAGCTCCACCCGACTTCAGTAATTTTTCGTTTTGTTTTGTTTCTTGAGACGGAGTCTTGCTCTGCTGTTGCCCAGGCTGGAGTGCAGTCATGCAATCTTGGCTCACTGCAACCTCCCCCTGCCAGATTCAAGCAGTTCTCCTGCCTCAGCCTCCTGAGTAGCTGGGATTACAGGCGCCCGCCACTATGCCTGGATAATTTTTGTATTTTTAGTAGAGACAGGGTTCCACCATCTTGGCCATGATGGTCTTGGACTCCTGACCTTGTGATACGCCTGCCTCAGCCTCCCAAAGTGATGGGATTACAGGCGTGAGCCACCGCGCCCGACCAATTTTTTTTTATTTTTTTAGACGGAGTCTTGCTCTATTGTCGCCGAAGTTGGAGTGCAGTGGTGCAATCTCGGCTCACTGCAACCTCTGCCTCGCGGGTTCAAGTAATTCTCTTGCCTTAGCCTCCCGAGTAGCTGGGACTACAGGCACCCGCCACCAGGCCCGGCTAATTTTTGTATTTTTAGTAGAGATGGGGTTTCATCATATTGGCCAGGCTGGTTGCAAACTCCTGACCTTGTGATCTACCCACCTCAGCCTCCCAAGGTGCTGGGATTACAGGCGTGAGCCACCGTGCCCAGCAGACTTCAGTAATTTTTAAAAGCTTGAGAGCTGATCATATCAGCAGCCAGTGCTGAAAACTGCTTCTCTATGCATGGATCTTTTACACATACCCCACAGCAGCCAAAACCACCCAGAATGTTTTAAGAACATGAAGCTTCCCCTTCAGCTCAAAAGCATATATCATAATGGACTTTAATACTATAGCAACAGTTATATGCCCACACAAAGCTAATAGTAGTACCTTTATCGAGAGTAAGAATTCCCGAGCGATCTTCTACATTTATCAGGCCAACGCCTATCAGTCCTTGTCGAACATCTGTAAGAACAGGATCAATTCTGACTCATAAATTACAAGGGATGTCTACAATGTACCACTAAGTGAGAAAAGTATGTTGTAAGTAGTATCATGCCATTTTAAAAAAACACCTTGATATTTATATAAACATGGAGAAAATGTGGAGAGAACTGCCCTTGTTCACTCTGTCATCTGTGACCTAAGAAGGTGAGAATGGAAGGAGGGTTAAGGGGACTGTATTAACTCTCTTCATTATACATGTTAAGATTCTTTTCTTTTTTTTTGAGACGGAGTCTCACTCTGTCACCCAGGCTGGAGCGCAGTGCGCGATCTCAGCTCACTGCAACCTCTGCCTCACGGGTTCAAGCAATTCTCCTGCCTCAGTCTCCTGAGTAGCTGGGACTACAGGCTAAGTTTCATATTTTTAGTAGAGTCGGGGTTTCGCCATGTTGGCCAGGCTGGTCTCAAACTCCTAACCTCCGGAGATCCACCCGGCTCGGCCTCCCAAAGTGCTGAGATTACAGGTGTGAGCCACTGCGCCCAGCTGCAAGATTACTGTCATTACTTATAATAAACAAGTAACCTATCTATCTATCTATCTATCTATCTATCTATATATATATATATATATATATATATATTTTTGCGACAGAGTCTGACTACGTTGCCCAGGCTGGAGTGCAATGGCATCATCTTGGTTCACTGCAACCTCCGCCTCCCAGGCTCAAGGGATCCTCCCACCTCAGCTTCCCGAGCAGCTGGAACTACAGGCGTGCACCACCGTGCCTGGCTAATTTTTTTTTGTAATTTTTTTAGAGAGGGGGTTTCTCCATGTTGCCCAGGCTGGTCTTGATCTCCTGAGCTTAAATGATCCACCTGCCTTGGCCTCCCAAAGTGCTGAAATTACAGGTGTGAGCCACTGCGCCTAGCCATAACCTGTAATTTTAAGAAGTTAGAAGTAAATCAAGGAATCTTTTTTTTTTTTTTCTGAGACAGGGTCTCTCTCACCAGTCTGGAATGCAGTGGTGCCATCACAGCTCACTACAGCCTCCACCTCCTAGGCTCAAGCAATCCTCACACCTCAGCCTCCCAAAGTGCTGGGATTACGGGCATGAGCCACTGTGCCCAGACCAGGGAGTTGTTTCTGACACTCCTGATGTCAAAAGGAGTGAAGGTGTAGGGTTAAGACTTTACTGCTTTTGTTGAAAGCCGAGAGTAATGATGAACACCTCTAACTGGTATGTCAATATGAACTGTTAACAACACATATCAGTATGTGCTAATCTACCAAAAGGACTTCCTAGTGAAAAATGCTAACTCCATCTGGGTGCCTTGGCTCACATCTGTAATCCCAGCACTATGGGAGGTTGAGGTGGGAGGATCACATGCGGCCAGGATTTCAAGACCAGCCTGGTCAACATGGCGAAACCCCATCTCTATTGAAAACACAAAAATTAGCCAGGTATGGTGGCGGGCACCTGTAATCCCAGCTACTCGGGAGGTTCAGGGAGGAGAACCCTTTGAACCTGGTGGCGGAGGTTGCACTGAGCCAAGATCACACCATTGCACTCCAGCCCAGGTGACAGCACGAGACCCCGTCTCGAAAAAAAAAAAAAGGACATTTCCAAATACACGAAAGAAAAAAGGCTAAGCTATGAGCCACATGTATCCATCACCCAGTTTAAACAACTGTGAATTCATGGCCAATTTTGTTTCATCCAAACCTCCCACCCCAACCAATCAATCCTCACAGATTATTTACCTAGGTACTTTTTCAACTTTAAAATTAAATTGAATTTTAAAAGCTATTTGGGGCTGGGCACGGTAGCTCATGCCTGTTAATTCCAGCACTTTGGGAGGCTAAAGCGGGCAGATCATGAAGTCAGGAGATCGAGACCATCCTGGCCAACATGGTGCAACGCCGTGTCTACTAAAAATACAAAAATTAGCTGGGTGTGGTGGCATGTGCCTGTAATCTCAGCTACTCAGGAGGCTGAGGCAGGAGAATGGCTTGAACCTGTTGGCAGAGGTTGCAGTGAGCCGAGATCATGCCACTGCACTCCAGCCTGGCGACAGAGCAAGACTCGGTCTTAAAATAAATAAATAAATAAATAAATAAATAAATAAATAAATAAATAAATAAATAATTTTTAAAAAAGACTCGGTCTTAAAAAAAATAAAATAAATAAATAAATAAATAATTTTTAAAAAAGGCTATTTGGCAAAGTGATTTTACTCAATGTACTAAAACAACTTTCCTCTATTAAATCTCTTATTAGACAAACATGCTTTCACCATATCAACAGTAAGAGCACTTTCATTTGAATAAAATTTGCTTTAATAAATCTGTTTAATACAAGATAATTATGTGTCCTAGTAACCATTAATTTCAAAGTTTTATACAATTTATGTCCAAAGAAAAAAACTAATATAACAGCAAACATTACAACAGGTTTGAGTACATCTTTGTCAATAATCATTGTCATTGTTATGAATATTTGTAGAAGTTACCTTTAAAAAATTCTCCAGGATAGTCTGGAGGTGGTGATACCATAGGAGAATCCAAGTTTACAATGGATTTCATGACAATTTCTAAAGCATTTCTTCCATACTGCAAAAAAAAATCAAAACCTTTAACCAGTTTCAGCATTTGGATACTCTTCAATCACATGACCACCTAAATACTATAAAAACTACTGGCTGGGTGCGGTGGCTCATGCCTGTAATCCCAGCACTTTGGGAGGTCGAGGTGGGTGGATCACCCGAGGTTGGGAGTTCAAGACCAACCTGACCAACATGGTGAAACCCCATCTCTACTACAAAAAATTAGCTGGGTGTGGTGGCAGACACCTGTAATCCCAGCTACTTGGAAGGCTGAGGCAGGAGAATTGCTTGAACCTAGGAGGCGGAGGTTGTAGTGAGCCGAGATGGCGTCATTGTGCTCCAGCCTGGGCGACAAGAGCAAAAAACTCCCTCTCAACAAAACCCCAAAAAACCCACAAACTTATTGTACCAAAGATTCAAAAAAGCAATTCTCAATTATCTTTATATGTATTTATTTATTTTTTCTTTTTTTGGAGACAGAGTTTTGCTCATCGCCCAGGCTGGAATGTAATGGCACGATCTCTACTCACTGAAACCTCCGCCTCCTGGGTTCAAGCGGTTCTCCTGCCTCAGCCTCCCAAGTAGCTGGGATTATAGGTGCCCGCCACCATGCCCAACTAAATTTTTTTTTTCTTTGAGACGGAGTCTTGCTCTGTTGACAGGCTGGAGTGCAGTGGTGTAAACTCGGCTCACTGCAACCTCTGCATCCCAGGTTGAAGTGATTTTCCTGCCTCAGCCTCCCAAGTAGCTAGGACTACAGGCGCACACCACCACGCCCAGCTAATTTTTCTATTTTTAGTAGAGACAGGGTTTCACCATGTTGGCCAGGATGGTCTCGATCTCATGACCTCGTGATCCACCCACCTCGGTCTCCCAAAGTGCTGGATTACAGGCGTGAGCCACTGTGCCCAGCCACGCCCAACTAATTTTTGTATAATTTTTTGAGACAGAGTCTTGCCCTATTGCCCAGGCTGGAGTGCAGTGGCATGATCTCGGCTCACTGCAACCTCCGCCTTCCAAGTAGCTGGGACTACAGATGCATGCCACCACGCCCATCTAATTTTTGTAGAGATGGGATTTCACTATGTTGGTCAGGCTGGTCTCGAATTCCTGACCTCAGGTGACCCACCTGCCTTGGCCTCCTATATTCTGGGATTATAGGTGTGAGCAACTGATCCCGGCCTAATTTTTGTATTTTTTTTTTTTTTTTAGTACAGATGTGGTTGCACCACGTTGGCCAGGCTGGTCTCGAACTCCTGACCTCAAGTGATCCACCTGCCTTGGCCTCCCAAAGTGCTGGGATTACAGACATGAGCCACAGCGCCTGGCCTTTATATATATTTTATACTGCCTAGTTCATGTCTCTACACATAAAAAACATGAGAAAAATTAACTTCCTTTGCTTCTGAGAACTCACAGTTAATTCAGTCTCATTTATTCTTGTTTTCCAAAAGGAATAAAGACAACTACATTGCTGTACTGATACTTAACATGCGATCTAACATACATGTGAAATTCTGTCTTATAGGAAGCCATGATTTTAAAGCAAATGCATAGGAGAGGCAGTTTTGTTTTAGACAGTAACTACTTTCCTTTTGTGTTCCCGAAAGACACCATACACTATCACAAGTTTTCAGAGATACTGAAAATTGAAATGTACCTTATTATCAAAGTTGAACCTGCTCAGATCTCTAGATTCTGTTGCCCTTCTATCACCATGTGTAAGTGCCCCCTGTTAAAAACAAAAATTTCAATCAAGGCACAGGTAACCTTTTACCAGAAAACAGGTACAATAGATCATCATTTACACACAGCCACACAACTCCAAAACTCACCAAACTCTCAAGTCTTTTAGCAACAATAGATGCAAATCTTTGTTCTCCTGCCAGTTCAGATATCAGAAAGACATACTCAGGAGCAGTAACTTGGTTTGATCTATGAGTACGTCCTGCAACGAAATTTTGTTTTAAAGATCATTGATTGTGTTCGCTGGACAGAGAATATTCTGAGATGTATTCCTAGCATTTAACACTAAACTGGTATTGGGAAACCACTAAACAATAAAAATTACAGATAATGTAAAATTACCATAACACACATAAAACTGCTCAATGACAGAAGTATTAGCATTGCTACCCCAATTTTGCTTAACCACATGTTACTGATGCACAATTACTCTGGATTTTCCCAAAATTGTTTTTCAAATCATTGGTCACAAGAACATGAAGATGGAGGGAGGAGCTATGGGCCTTTGGTGAAGCTACTGAGGTTGGAAACACATATAGAAGTAGCAGCTTCTCTGATATGGACCTAATACATCCTTAAGTTTTATAAGGACACTCCTTGAGGAACCCTGTTCTTGGAACCCCACAAATTCCCACCACATATATATTTTTTACAACTTGTAAACAAGCAAAAAATGAATCCACAATGCATCATATACTATAAAGTATATATATAACACTCCTTAAATGCAAGATCTGAGATTTCGAGATAAGATATAAGACATTAAACAGGATTTTTTTGTTGTTGTTAGAGTTTCGCTCTTGTTGCCAAAGGTAGAGTGCAATGGTGTGATCTTGGCTCACTGCAACCTCCGCCTCCCGGGTTCAAGCGATTCTCCTACCTCTGCCTCCTGAGTAGCCAGGATTACAGGCATGCACCACCACGCCCGGCTAATTTTGTATTTTTAGTACAGACAGGGTTTCTCCATGTTGGTCATCCTGGTCTTGAACTCCCGACCTCAGGTGATCCACCCACCTCAGCCTGCCAAAGTGCTGGGATTACAGGCGTGAGCCGCTGCGCCCAGCCTGTTTTTGTTTTTTGAGACAAGGTCACGCTCTGTCACCCAGGCTGGAGTGCAGTGGTGAAATCATATCTCACTGCAACCTTGAACTCCTGGACTCAAGTAATCCTCCTACCTCAGCCTCCTGAGTAGCTGGGACTACAGGCACACGCCACCACACCCAGCAAGTTTTTCTTTTCTTCTTCTTTTTTTTTTTTTTTTTGAGATGGAATCTCCCTATGTTGCCCAGGCTGGAGTGCAATAGCGTGATCTCAGCTCACTGCAGCCTGCGCCTCCCAGGTTCAAGCAATTCTCCCGTCTCAGCACCCTAAGTAGCTGGGATTACAGGTGTGTGCCAACACACCCAGTTAATTTTTGTATTTTTAGTAGAGGCTGGGTTTCACCATGTTGACCAGGCTGGTCTCAAACTATTACCTCAAGTGATGCACCCACCTCAGCCTCCCAAAGTGCTGGGATTACAGGCACGAGCCACTGCTCTCAGCTGTTTTTCTTTTCTTTTGGTGGAGAAAGGGTCTCACTGCGTTGACCAGGCTGGTCTCAAACTCCCGGACTCAAGTTATCCTCCCACAGTGGCCTCCCGAAATGTTGGAATTACAGGCGTGAGCCTCTGTGCCCGGCCTAAACCTAGGTTTTGGTATGCGCAAATTTACCCCAATGATTCCTAGCTATCCATTAAGTGAAATCCAGTTTGTAGGAACTTACCGAACTGTTGAATTGCTCTATCAGCGCTCCAAGGTAATTCTAAAGTCATATGAACTCTTCGCCTTTGATTTTTAGCTCTCCTATCTGCTTGTAATGAAATACCCGAGCTGGCAGCTTCTGAGATGATAGCAATATTCTGTGTCAAATATAAGAAAAATAAAGTCACTTTTGCATAAGAACAAGCAGGCCAGTGCCTTAAATGAAGTCCTTCAGCAGACTGCCTATTCTCTCCTTCTTTCTCAATAATGAAGACTTCCAGTTTTATTTCCCAGTCTCCCTTACGGCTAAGTGTGAACATTCTCCAGCCAGCAAGGTGTAGGTAAAATGTATGATGCACAGGAAATGTCCTTAAAAGTAGGCGACATGCCCTTCTCATCCCCTTGTCTCCTCTCTGTTAGGTAAAATGTAGAGGTACTGACAAGAGTCTGGAACAGGTATCTTGGAATACAAAGGTAACTTGGAAATGGAGGCCCACATAATTTAATGAACAACACGGAAGATGCCTGGACTTCAAGAGGGCATACAAGCCCTGCTCCACCTACCCAAATGTGTCCATGAGAGAAATAATCTATCTTATTGAAGTCAACACTTAACAGACTTTGTATTTTCTGTTATTTAACAACCAAAACTAATTCCAACTAATGTAATTCCTAATGCATATGGGCCTAGATTCATGAAGCAATTATATAAAATAACTAATACCTGTACCTACAATCTTGAAAATACGTAACATTATCTTTTTGTATATATATATTTTTTGAGACAGGGTCTCACTCTGTCACACAAGCTGGAGTGCAGTGGTGCAATCATAGCTCTCTACAGTTTTCACCTCTCAAGCTCAAGTGATCCTTTCACCTCAGCCTCCTCAGTAGCTGGGACTGTGGGCATGTGCCATCATGTGACTATTTTCCCTGTACAGGGCAGGGTCCCATTATGTTGCCCAGGCTGGTCTCAAACTCTTGTAATCCTAGTACTTTGAGAGGCCGAGGCAGACGGATCATTTGAGGTCAGGAGTTCAAGACCAGCCTGGCAAACATGACGAAACCTTGTCTCTACTAAAAATTCAAAAATTAGCCAGGTGTGGTGGTGTGTGCCTATATTCCCAGCTACTCAGGAGGCTGAGGCAGAGAACTGCTTGAACCCGGGAGGTGGAGGTGGCAGTGAGCTGAGATCCAGCCTGGGGGACAAAGTGACGGTCCTTCTCAAACAAAGTCTACAGAAAGAGTCTCTGGGCCAGCACAGTAGCTCACGCCTATAATCCCAGCATTTTGGGAGGCAGAGGTGGGTACACCACTTGAGGCATGGAGTTCAAGACCAGCCAGGTCAATATGGTGAAACCTGTCTCTATCAAAAAATACAAAAATTAGCCAGGCGTGGTGGCGCGTGCCTGTAGTCCCAGCTACTCGGGAGGCTGAGGCACAAGAATCACTTGGACCCAGGAGGTGAAGGTAGCAGTGAGTT
Organism: Homo sapiens; assembly: GCF_000001405.40. Taxonomy (NCBI): domain Eukaryota; kingdom Metazoa; phylum Chordata; class Mammalia; order Primates; family Hominidae; genus Homo; species Homo sapiens. The sequence goes on from NC_000012.12 coordinate 123,318,682, forward strand.
GAGATCATGCCACTGCACTGCACTCCAGCCTGGGCAACAGAGTAAGACTCTGTCTCAAAAAAAAAAAAAAAAAGAGTCTCTGGAGGCACCCAAAATCTCTACAATGGTTGGATATGGGAATGTAATCTGTAAGCCATTTACAGTAAATCGTCTTAATATAACATGACATAGCAATAAAATAAACAGTGAAACCAAAATTACTAGTAATATGGACACACATAAATATTTTAGTCTCAAAATCGGAATGACATTAGATGTCACAACACCAAGATGAACTAAGGGAACGTTTTTTTTTTTTTTTTGAGACAGTCTCACTCTGCTGCCCAGGTGGAAATGCAATGGTGCAGTCTTGGCTCACTGCAACCCCTGCCTCCCAGGTTCCAGCTATTCTCCTCCCTCAGCCTCCTGAGTAGCTGGGACTACAGGCACATGCCACCACACCCGACCAATTTTTGTATTTTTAGTAGAGATGGGGTTTCACCACCATGTTTGCCAGCCTGGTCTTGAACTCCTGACCTCATGATCTGCCCATCTCGGCCTCCCAAAGTGCTGGGATTACAGGCGTGAGCCACCACGCCTGGAGAAAACACAGTATTTTTATATCATGATTAAATATTTCAAAAGCCTCCAAAGCACTCAAGAGCCATATCTGATTCTATGCATTACACACAATACTTATTATATTCAATGATAAAATAATAAAAACATGCAAAATATTCAGTGAGTAAAGGCAATTACTAAAAAAATTTGTGTAATAGCTCTGTTGCACAGGCTGGAGTGTAGTGGTGCGATCTCGGCTCACTGCAACCTGCATAGCCCAGGGTTAAGCTATCCTCCCACCTCTGCCTTCTGAGCAGCTGGGACTACAGGCATGCACTACCACACCCAGCTAAATTTTTGTATTTTCAGTAGAGACGGGGTTTCACCATGCTGCCCAGGCTGGTCTCAAACTCCAGAGCTCAAGTGATCTGCCCACCTTGGCCTCCCAAAGTGCTGGAATTACAGGCCTGAGCCACTGCACCCAGCCAATACTTACTATATTCAATGATAAAATAATAAAAACACGTACAATATTCAGTATGTACAATTACTAAAAAATACAGAATGACAATACTCAATGGACATGACTTATATTAAAAGGAAAAAGACTCTTCTAAAGCTTAATCTAAATATACAGGCATTGTTCTTTTCACTGAGAAGCATCTCAGTAAAACATACCTTATCTCCATCCATAAATCGTTGTTTTTCTGTGATGTTTAGTATTTCCACAGGCACATCAAGTTCAGATCTTGACTCATAAGATATGCTTCCATCATCATTGCTCACAACCCGTCCCTTGCGGCCAGTCATCTGAGAAGCCAAACAATGTCATTACAATGAAGGTATCTGACTGCGGTGGATGGACTCAGTGCCTCTTTCCTTGAAGACACTTGGGAGATAAGAGCACAGGCTGTGCTGCACCACACACTGAAGGATACAGAACACTGCAACAGAGTCCCTGGAAAAACCTTGACACATGGCCACGATCACAAAAGATGCGTGATAAGTGCAGTAACTAGGACCAGTGGCTTGGGACAGACACTCAGATACTGCAGGCAGCAGTTCATTGGATGTAGGATGGCAACTAAAGTAGAACAAGAATTCTATGATCTAAGAAATTTAGATTATTATGTGAAGACAGTCAAAATACAACTCATTTTACAGGGGTTCAAATGGCAAAAATGTCACCAAGAGATACAGGCCTATTTACCTCAGCAACGTTCTCAGGGCCACCAAGTTCATCGATAAGTTCATCCAGGGTATTAGGGGGGAGGTCTTCAGCTAATTTTTCTAGCTTATCAAGCAGGTCTTTCTTCATCTGCTGAGCCCTTTCCACAGCATCCTGACTTGTTATAAGGCTACTGTTACTGTTGGTGTTACTGTTAGCTAGATAAAGAACATTTGCTAAAAGTTAGTACAAAGTTTAAATATTTTTGTTTAAAACAGTATTTCAAAAAGGAAGTTTCTGTATGGATACCTGGTGTACTGTTAGGAGCAGGTGAGATAACTGGTGTAGATGAAAAACTAGGTCGTTTTGATCCAAGACCTGATGCTAATAAGGCACTTTGAATAGAATCTGGATCTATACTTTTCTTCTTTTTTTTCTCTTTGTTTTTCTTGTGGTCTTTTCTAATTAACCAGGGATCTGAGTGTTAAGGAAAGATACATGTCAAATCATTTGTTAAAACAAGTACAGAATCTTCAAAGGAAACAACCTTTGAAATTTTATTTTTTTGAGACAATGTTTCGCTGTTGTAGCCCAGGCTGGAGTGCAATGGCGCAATCTCAGCTTACTGCAATCTCCACCTCCTGGGTTCAAGCGATTCTCCTGCCTCAGCCTCCTGAGTAGCTGGGATTACAGGTATGTGCCACCACACCTGGCTAATTTTGTATTTTTAGTAGAGATGGGGTTTTTCCACGTTGGTCAGGCTGATCTCGAACTCCCAGCCTCAGGTGATCCACCCACCTTAGCCTCCCAAATTGCTGGGATTACAGGCATGAGCCACCGCGCCTGGATGAAATTTTTTATATTGTTAACTGATAACTTATCACCACCTACATTGGTTCATCCATACACCATGGGGTACAAATCCATGTTTTCAAGTTAAAAATAACTGCACAAAATTGAGGTTATCTTCTCACATATATGAGGCTCAAACTTCCAGAAGGTAGATAAGCCTGGAGCTTTCCACCAAGCAAAGATTATAATCTGTGTGATCATTTGTACTGTACAGAAGAAAAGGTTTCATATCCCATTTTCAAATATACTGAAATATTATATGCTTTCGTGTATATTTAATATACTGAACTTACCATTTTCATCATCCTCATTAGACTCATCTAAAAATGGGTTGAAATCGTCATCATCTCCAGAACTCATGTTTTTAGAGCTCTCATAGTCACTTTCTTCATTATCAGAGGCATCAGATTCACTTCCACTGTCGTCAGAACTGCTACCAGTAAGGCCACCTACTTTTCGTGCTTTTTTGGCTTCTCGAGTTATTTCTTCACCTACCCTCCGCCACAAACAAGAGAGTCAGCCCAAATTCAATGTTTCTTAAGATCCAGTACATCACATTTAGTTCATGAATTAATTCAAATGAAAAGTGCAGAGGAAAAGTATTTAGGTTAAGTCAAAAAACAAACAGAATTCACAAACCAGCACTAACCTTTTGGACTCCCATAAAAAATAAGGTTATAAACATTTATTCTGAAGAAGAAATTGGATACAAAAGTACTAAGTCAAGACTGCCTTCAAGTGCACAAGTTTCAAAACATATTCAGGACAACAGAGTAAAAGCAGAACCTCTGGCATAGTCACAATTTGACTGTGTATCAGATTTGAGAAGAGGCCTAATAATTACAGGTTTATAGACATGGAATACTTAGAAAATCAATAGAAAATCAATTTATAAAACCTTTTTATTTTTGGAGACAGGGCCTCACTGTTGCCCAGGCTGGAGTGCAGTGGCACAATCATAGCTCACTGCAGCCTCGACTTCCCTGGCTCATGTGATCCTCCCACCTCAGCCTCCCAAGTACCTGGGACTACAGGCACATGCAACCATGACCAGATATTTTTTTTTTTTCCCCAGACAGTGTCTACTCTGTCTCCCAGGCTAAAGTGCAGTGGCATAATCTTGGCTCACTGCAACCTCTGCCTCCCGAGTTCAAGTGATTCTAATGCCTCAGCCTCCCTTATAGCTGGGATTATAAGGCGCCCCTGCCGCCAGTCCTGGCTAAGTTTTTAATTTTTAGTAGAGAAGGGGTTTCGCCATGTTGGCCAGGCTGGTCTCGAACTCCTGACCTCAGGTGATCCGCCTGTTTCAACTCCCAAAAAGCTGGGATTACAGGCGTGAGCCACTGTGCCCGGCGAGAAGTCAACTTCTAAAACCAAAACAGGGCTGGGCGAGATGGCTCACACCTGTAATCCCAGCACTTTGGGAGGCCTAGGTGGGTGCATTGCTTAAGCTCAGGAGTTTGAGACCAGCCTGGCCAACATGGTGAAACCCCATCTCTACTAAAAATACAAAAATTAGCAGGGCGTGGTGGTGCATGCCTGTAATCCCAGCTCCTTGAACCCAGGAGGCAGAGGTTGCAGTGAGCCAAGATGGTACCACTGCACTCCAGCCTGGGTGACGGAGACGGAGACCCTGTCTCAAAAAAAAAAAAGAAAAAAAAAGAAAAGGCTCTTTTAAAGAAAACTACTGAAACACCCAGCTGTCTATATATTAAAGAACAGGTCTGACAATACAAAGACACAGGTTTTAGTTCCCATGCATCATTAACTATCTCTGTGAAACTAGGAAAACTCTTTAATCTTTAAATCTTTCTGTGCTTCAATGATCTCTGTCTATAAAATTGGAAAAATAAGACCTAATTTCGTATGGACCTCTGCCAGGTTATATGGTAGAATGTATATAGCCAAGTGCTTAACACACTGCCAACCACCAGTGAATTGCTCAATTCCTAATTTAAAACGGGGATAACTTGTGCATTCAAAATTGTACAAGTGACAGTGAAAATTTGGAACCATTTGTGAATTCATGGAAGGCAGTTCATTCCCAAAATATAGCCACTTTAAAATGCTTATGTTTTAATTTCAACAGTATTTTCAACGTCAACTATTTTCTTTTTTCTTTTTCTTTTTTGAGACAGAGTCTCGCTCTGTCATCCAGGCTGGAGTGCAGCAGCGCTATCTCGGCTCACTGCAAGCTCTGCCTCCTGGGTTCACGACATTCTCCTGCCTCAGCCTCCCGAGTAGCTGGGACTATAGGTGCCCACCACGATGCCCGGCTAATTTTTTGTATTTTCAGTAGAGATGGGGTTTCACCGTGTTAGCCAGGATGGTCTCGATCTCCTGACCTCGTGATCTGCCCACCTCAGCCTCCCAAAGTGCTGGGATTACAGGTGTGAGCCACCGCACCTGGCCTATTTTTTCTTTTTTAAAGTGCTCACCTTTCCGCTTCTTTATTTTATTTTCTTTACAAGGACTATCTCTTGGCGAACTGTTGTTACTTGGAGCTGTCAAATCGATTCCTAGTAAACTATAAAGTTTTTTCCTGTCTGGAGCAGGAAAATGTTTTTCAATGAGTGACTGCAACACACCTCTGTAGGAGAGAAACAGTGACAATTACTGCTTCAGTTGACAAAATAATTATATGTAAAGTATTATTAAATATATTGAAATATACTTTGTTCAGTTTTACAAAATACTGATAAACGAGCTCAAATAAATTTTAATTTTCTAGCCCAAAGCTGTCCAACTAAATAATAAGAATGCAAGCCAAACCACATACACAATTATTGTATTTTCTGGTAGCTTAAATTAAAAAAGTAAAAAATAAATAAAACTGGTGGAACTAATTTTAATAATACATTTTAACTCAATATACCATGTCAACACATATGTTTTATGTTATTTTCTCTTAAGGAGTCTTTGAAACCTGGCTCAGTACACATATAATAACATCTCAATATGGACCAGTCATTTCAACTGCTCAATAGCCACATGTGACAAGCGGCTGCCATTCTGGACACGGTAGTTCTAGGCAATTATGTACAGAAAAATATAGATTAGCAGGTGTATGTCTTGCTTTTTTCTTTTTTTTTTTTTTTTTGAGACCGAGTCTCTCTGTCACCCAGGCTGGAGTGCAATGGTGCCATCTCAGCTCACTGCAACCTCCGCCGCCTGGGTTCAAGCAATTCTCCTGCCTCAGCCTCTCCAGTAGCTGGGATTACAGGTGCCCGCCACCACGCCTGGCTAGTTTTTGTATTTTTAGTAGAGACGAGGTTTCACCGTGTTGGCCAGGCTGGTCTCAAACTCCTGAGCTCTCGTGATCCACCAGACTCAGCCTCCCAAAGTGCCTGGATTACAGGCGTGAGCCCCATGTATTGCTTTTGAAAGGAGCATCTGAATGCATCCCGAGGCACAAAATAGTAGAGCAGCAAGTTTATTTTGCTCAGTTTACTACCAGAGTTTGAATGTGGAGGTTAGGCAAACTAAAAACAATGCCTAAAACATTTTAAAATCTATTTCTGAAGATCTCATGCTTATTTTCAACTTTTAAAGTAGACTTTATTTTATTTTATTTTTTTTTGAGACAGGGTCTCACTCTGCCGCCCAGAGGGGAGTGGAGTGGAGTGGTGCGATCTTGGCTCACTGCAACCTCCACCTCACGGGTTCAATGGATTCTCCTGCCTCAGCCTCCCAGGTAGGTGGGACTACAGGACGTGTGCCACCATGCCCAACTAATTTTTTTTATTTTTAGTTGAGATGGGGTTTCACCATTTTGGCCAGGCTGGTCTCAAACTACTGACCTCAAGTGATGTGCCCATGTTGGCCTCCCAAAGTGCTGAGATTACAGCTGTGAGCCACCATGCTCAGCCAACTTATAAAGTAGACTTCGTTATATTAGGACAAACTATAGTTACTGTTCCTGTGGATAACGGTAATTTCAAATACAGTACACTAAAACTGAATCTAAGCCAAGCTGTCACAGATTTCCAAGATGTACAAGATAAACAAAGTCTAGCCCTTCTGTTAGTTCACATACTCTGTGTAATATTAGCAAAATGCTTAACATTTTAGGATTATGAGATTTCTGTTATTGTTTTCCAATAGATACACTGTTACAGAAAAGCAGAAAACTCAGATCAAGAAAACTTAAAGATGATGCAGGTGAAACAAAAGTTTTGTCTCCAGGAAATGCCCACATTGGAACTAAGGTAAGGAAGAACTCAAAAAGAAACAAAAACATTAAAAGAACAAAAACATTACTTGGCAGTTGAAACAAAATCATTCAATTCTCCCCCGCCCTCTTCCAAAGCTTCTAATGTTCTAGCTTCTCCTGTAGACTGCAGACCAATTACAACACACTGGAGAAAAAAGAAAACATGTTAATTATGAATAATAATGTTTGTGGCTTCTTACCAAGACATATTTTAAACATTTAGCTAAACAAAGATTTCAAACAAGAATGTCCTCATTATTATAAAACACAAATTTGTTTTACTTATTTCTTCTACATATTTGAGACAGGTTATTTGTCAAAAATTTAGGCAGGAGATAGGATTACAGACAGTAGTAAGCATGAGTGAAGCCCCTGCCCTTGTACAGTTTATAGTATCTTATGCTTTAAGTAGATAAATATTCACCGAAAAGAAAAAACCTTAACGCAATACACATCCATATGTTACCAGTGCTACCAGCTATGGATGACCAATTATAGTGATGTTTACTTTGTTATACTTTTCTGAACTCTCTAAATTCTCTAAGCAGGCATTGCTTTTATAATTTTAAGAAATGTATTTTTTAGAAGTTTTACTATCCTTTAGGAAAACCAGATTTTACAAGCAGAAAACCTCAGCACCCACAAAGACTAAACAACATAACCCCCAAACAATCTCTTAATGAGTTCTTCTACTTACTTTTCCATTCTTGATTTCCTCTCGAGCTAGTTGCACAACCCTTTTAACTTTGGATGCTATGCATAAGTATTTGAAGAACCTCTGGTGAGCAGACCAGAACTGACCCCACATGGACTTCTTCATTCGTTGCTCAGCATCAATCAGATCTGCAGCTTGCTGAAACCGCTCTCTGGCGATGACCCACTGAAGATACATAATCAACATTTCAGACACTTCATCTTTGAGTCTAGTTATTTAAAAATACCAATTAAATCAAAACAATGTTAAGTGCAAGACCATTTAATATTAATTTAATAAATCATCTTTAGTAACTTGGGAATCTATTTCTCAGGATACTCACACAGTTGTCTCAAGTTTCTTATTACCTAATGCAGTCATTTTAGAAAATAATGTGATTTTAAGAACTATGCAACTGAAATAAATGGCTATAACTTATGAATTACCTTAACAAAATGAAAACATGGACAATCTGAAATATAAGAACATTGGTTAGGCCAGGCGCAGTGGCTGATGCCTGTAATCCCAGCACTTTGGGAGGCTGAGGCAGGTGGATTGCTTGAGCCCAGGAGTTCCAGATCAGGCTGGGCAACACTGTAAAACCTCATCTCTACCAAAAAATACAAAAATCAGCCAGGCACATTGACATGCGCCTGCAGTCCCTGATACTCAGGAGGCAGAGTCTGGAGGACTCCTTGAACCTGGGAGGTAGAGGTTGCAGTAAGCCAAGATCACACCACTGTACTCCAGTCTGGGTGACAGAGTAAGACCCTGCTTCAATTAAAAACAAAAACAAAAAAAAACACATTGGTTAAACAGCCTATCATCTGGTAACTCATCTGTTTGTTTTTGTTTTTTGTTTTTGTTTTTGTTTTGCGATGGAGTATCCCTCTGTTACCCAAGCTGGAGTGCACTGGCACCATCTTGGCTCACAGCAACCTCCGCCTCCTGGGTTCAAGCGATTCTCCTGCCTCAGCCTCCCCAAGTAGCTGGCACTACAGGCGCACACCACCATGCCCAGCTAATTTTTTTTCGTATTTTTAGTAGAGATGAGGTTTCAACATGTAGGCCAGGCTGGTCTTGAACTCTTGACCTCAGGTGACCTGCTCGCCTCAGCCTCCCAAAGTGCTGAGGCATGAGACACCGTGCCTGGCTTCATCTGTTGTTTTATAGTAGAAATACATTCCCATGGGCAGGAGGCATCGCAATCGCCAAAACTAACAGAAACATTATCAGATACATTAAATAAACACTAGGAATTAAGAAAAATTCCTCACCAGCTTGACAGCTTTGTTATACATTTTAACGTAGCTCTGAGAAAGAAGAACTTCCTCAATTTTGAAGGTCACTCCAGTAAAGCTCAGTTGTCGAGCAATGTACATTCCTCTAAGCTTCATATCCATAGCAACTATTTCCATGGCACCAACTCCTCTGAATAAAATTAAAACATACAGTAATTACCAATACAGTAGAATTTTAACATACAGAGAATGGGCTTTAGGAATAACACACTTCTTAGATTGCTACTGAGAAGAGTATATACCGTAAACTGCATTACCTCCGTTCTACTGCTTGAATAAAATCACTGAATTCTCTAAATGGAGTACCCTCACCCCATATGCCAAGACGGTTCATATAGGCCATGTTGCGTGGTTCAGAAGCACCTGAAAATCCCACAAATGAAATATATTATAGTTGAAAAAATAACCTACAATATATATTTTTAAATAAATAAATACTCACCAGTTGCACTAGCATAAACAACTCTGGCTTTTGGCAATTTGTTCTGAAGCTCTAAAACTGCTAAGCCTGTCTTGGTTGGCTTTGAAGAACCAACAGGACATAAGTTTTTGGCTTTATGACACTCATCAAACACTATCTAAATGGAATGAGTTAAGGAATGTATCACATTAGTATTAAGTAAGAATCTCCAGTCTTTCAAGAAGAGTTAACTTTTATTTCCCTGAGGCCTTCTGATTGCCTATTTCATGACTGCAAATACAAAGGAAGTCCTATGGGCCTTTCCCCAGTTACATCCTCCTCCCTCTCTAGCCTCAAAGACATTCACTGAATTTGGAATTTAAACCAGCAATTTGCCTCTAAATTAAAACAGAGAAAAGAACCCACTGCAGCAAGAAGTTGTTATCTGGTAACTTGTAAAAGTAGAAGCATGATTGGTAACCAACTTAATCAGCATTTCAAAAAGTGATGTTCCTCATGCAGGACAGTTAAAAGATATACTGTGAACAAGTTTGGGACCACTAAGTTCTAACAGTTTTCTTTCACTTAGTCTTCTCGGGTATTCTGCTATGTAAATATGCAATGTTAATCCTCAAAAGGGGAATACAGTATTCAGTATTCCTCATATCTATTAACATTTTTCTAAACCAGGAGATTAAACATTGGTCTCCTATCTGACAGGTAAAAAACCGAATCAACTTTCCAATCCCTTTGGACTCTAGGTAATCATTAAAGTTTTCACTCCAGCAACTCGTTTAATCTCAAGATTCCTGTTTCCCAAAGGTCTACCCTTTTATAATTTTCTTGTCGTTAAAAAATAGAAAAATATTTGCCATAAAGGATACCACTCCATCGAAGTCATCACCGCACCAATGCAGAAGTTGTTTTAACCTAGTTTTATACTTGCCGCCAGACTGGCTTTCACCAATAAGTGAAGAGTAAGTAGCAAAAATAACACCCTTTTTCACACTCCCATTATGTTTGGAAGAAATTTTTCCGTATTTAAACTAAAAAAGAAAAGAAAAGAATTTAGTTAATTAGTATACCTTTCTCTCTGCAACATTCATCCCAACTAAACATTCACAAGCAGGAACTCTTGTTAGGCCCATGACAGGCTTCAGAAAACATAAAAGTACAGAGACGCAAATTTATTTGTATAAATGTACACAACACAAACACACAACTTTATAGTACAAAAATCCAGTTTTTGGTAGGACACAGTGGCTCACACCTGTAATCCCAACACTTTGGGAGGTCAAGGTGGGTGGATCGCTTGAGCTCAGGAGTTCCAAGACCAGCCTGGCCAACATAGTGAAACCCCATCCCTACAAAAAATACAAAAATTAGCCAGGCATCGTGGTGCGTGTCTGCAGTCCCAGCTACCACAGGGGCTGAGGTGGGAGAACTGCTTGAGCCTGGGAGATGGAGGTTGCAGTGAGCCGAGATTGTGCCACTGCACTTCAGCCTGGGCAACAGAGCTGAGATCTTTTTTTTTTTTTTTTAAATCCAGTTTTCAAAGTCTTAAAAACTTTTATCATCACAAAAAAAAACATTAAAAACCAGACAAACTTCCCTATAAGAATAAAAAGTCACAATTTACAAACATTTATTGTGCACTTACTATATGCAAAACACTGTGATTAATTTCTGATACATAAGAATTATGAGTAATTGTTAATGTGCCTTTCTAATACTACTCTGAAATTTAAAAAAAAAATTCTAGATGCCACTTACATCCTTTTAGTTCTGAATTGTATACAGTCATTCAAGACACAGTACTTTATAGCTACAAATCCACCCAGTAAAACCCACCCTAACAAGCCACTGTTTAGGGCAACACTGAATTCAACTTAGGACTCACATGGGAAGTAGAGGTGCAGTTACTTATTTTCAAAGGGCTACTAGGGAGGCCCTTCCAGGAACCCTATCAGTCTATTTTAACCTTATAGCACCAACAATTGGTGCATGCATAGTAAGTCAATAAAGATTTGCTAACTGAACCTTAACATTCTAAAACACACTGGCACACATTGTCTTTCAGCTTACAGAATTGTTTTCATGTGAGCAGAGGTATGAGTAACTCAAGTCCATTAGCTGTACAAATACTGAAACCAGTCTGCCCAAGCCATAACTATCTACATCGCATATGATTTGGTGACCTATAGTGCAAGGTATGCCACCTGTCTAAACTGCACCCTTATGGCATATAAACTATAAAAGAAAGATAAAAATAACACTGAAAATTGAGAGAATCAACTGGTGTGCACTGTACACTTGAGAGCACATCTCAATTTGGACTGGTCACTTACACTGTTCAATAGCCACATGTGATGAGTGGCTACTGCCTGTCAGTGTTTAGCATATAGGAATCCACAAACCAACAATAGTGGCTAGCACTCACTATGCTTTCTGTGGAGTAACATCAAAGTTTTCCAAAAAGTGTCCCCTTATATACATAGCTATTATTATTGTCATCTCACAGATGAGTCAATATTTATTGAATGACCAACTGAATAAAAAGATTTCATACCTTATTTAACGAATGAACCAAAATGTTTTTTGCTCCAATATCCCTTAAATCTCTTTCAGCATCATACTTTAAGTCATTTGAAACACTAAACCTGCCAAAATATTAAAAAGCACAAATTAAATACAAATTATATCATTCTAGAATTCAGGAATAAAATTAATAAAGCCAGGTCTTGACACTTAAAAAAAAAAAAAAAAAGAAAAAGAAAATACACTTACTCATTAAAACACCATCCCACTGAGTGCAGTGGCTCACACCCATAATCCTAGCACTTTGGGAGCCTAAGGCAGGAGGACTGCTTGAGCCCAGGAGTTCGAGACCAGCCTGAGCAACACAAGAAGAGCCCGTATCTACAAAAAATTAGCCAAGCATGGTAGTGCATGCCTGTAGTCCCAGCTACTCAAGAGGCTGAGGCAGAACTGCTTGAGCCCCTGAGGTAGAGGCTGCAGTGAGCCATGAATATGCCACAGCACTCCAGCCTGGGTGACAAAGATCCTGTCTAGATGGGGAAGGCGGATCCCATCCCCACATGCTAAAGTAATTACTAACAAAACCTTCCATTGAGACGGAGTCGCACTCTGTCACCCAGGCTGGAGTGCAGAGGAACAATGTCGGCTCACTGCAAGCTATGCCTCCAGGGTTCACGCCATTCTCCTGCCTCAGCCTCCTGAGTAGCTGGGACTACAGGAACCCACCATGACGACCGGCTGATTTTTTGTACTTTTAGTAGAGACGGAGTTTCACTGTGTTAGCCAGGATGGTCTCGATCTCCTAACCTCGTGATCCGCTGCGCCTGGCCCACAGCCAGTTTTTAAACACTTACCACAATGCTCGTTTTCTACTCAACAAATAATTTTCATAGATGATTCCTGCTATCGTCCTTCCTTTTCCTACACCGGCACCATCACCTATTAAGAAGCCAGCACGATCTCCATTAGGTAGGAAAGTTTCATGTTGCTGAAAAACAAAAGGCTGGTAATTAATATAATCCTTCAGATATTTTGGTGATCAATCTTTCATACACTGTTTTAGGAGTAGGAATATGTTATGTTTTTTGTTTTGTATATGTATTTTGTGACTTTATTTTTACATAAATTTCATAGAGTTTTGGATTTTTTTTTGAGACGGAGTCTCGCTCTGTCGCCCAGGTTGGAGTGCAGTGGCGCGATCTTGGCTCACTGCAATCTCTGCCTCCCGGGTTCACACCATTCTCCTTCCTCAGCCTCCTGAGTAGGTGGGACTACAGGCGCCCGCCACCACGCCTGGCTAATTTTTTCTATTTTTAGTAGAAACGGGTTTCACCATGTTAGCCAGGATGATCTCGATCTCCTGACCTCGTGATCCGCCCGCCTCAGCCTCCCAAAGTGCTGGGATTACAGGTGTGAGGCACTGCACCCAGCCAAATTTTATAGTTTTGGCTTTAATGTGGATACTTTCTTTTTTTTCTTTTTTTGAAACGGGGTCTCGCTCTGTTGCCAGGCTGAAGTGCAGTGGCACAATCTCGGCTCACTGCAACCTCTGAATTCCTGTTCAAGCTATTCTCCTGCTTCAGCCTCCCGAGTAGCTGGGATTACAGGTATGCACCACCACGCCCAGCTAATTTTTTGTATTTTTAGTAGACAGGGTTTCACCACGTTGACCAGGATGGTCTCGATCTCCTGACCTCATGATGCACCCGCCTTGGCCTCCCAAAGTGCTGAGATTACAGGCACGAGTCACCGCGCCCAGCTCAATGTGAATACTTTCTACATATTTACTGTATATTATCTCCTGCTACTCTTCCATGCACCAGGTAATGAAAGTTAACAAATTAGTGAGGAGCCCGCCATACCCCTTATCAACACCTGCAGAATCAAACAGGTTTTTGTTTGTTTTTGTTTTGTTTTGTTTTTGAGACAGTTTTGCTCTTGTTGCCCAGGCTAGAGTGCAATGGCACAATCTCGGCTCACCGCAACCTCCGCCTCCTGAGTTCAAGTGATTCTCCTGCCTCAGCCTCCCGAGTAGCTAGGATTACAGGCATGTGCCACCACGCACAGCTAGTTTTTGTATTTTTAGTAGAGACAGGGTTTCACCATGTTGGCCAGGCTGGTCTCGAACTCCCAACCTCAGGTGATCCGCCAGCTTCAGCCTCCCAAAGTGCCCGGCCAGTGGTTTTTTAGTTTTTTTCAGACAGAGTCTCACTCTGTCGTCCAGGCTGGAGTGCAGTGGCACAATCTCAGCTCACTGCAACCTCCACCTCCTGGGTTCAAGTGATTCTCCTGACTTAGCTTCCCAAGTAGATGGCACTAGAGGTGTGTACCACCATGCCTGGCTAATTTTTGTATTTTTGGTAGAGACAGGGTTTCACCACGTTGGCCAGGCTGGTCTCTAACTCCTGACCTCAGGGTGACCCGCCTGCCTCAGCCTCCCAAAGTACTGGGATTGGGCCGGGCACGGTGGCTCACACCTGTAATCCCAGCACTTTGGGAGGCCGAGATGGGTGGATCATGAGGTCAGGAGATCGAGACCATCCTGGCTAACACGGTAAAACCCCATCTCCACTAAAAACAGAAAAAATTAGCCGGGCGTGGCGGTGGGTGCCTGTAGTCCCAGCTACTCGGGAGGCTGAGGCAGAAGAATGGCATGAACCTGGGAGGCGGAGGTTCCAGTGAGCCAAGATCGCACCATTGCACTCCAGCCTGGACGACACAGTGAGACTCCATCTCAAAAAAAAAAAAAAAGTGCTGGGATTACAGGCGTGAGCCACCATGCCCAGCCAAATTAAAAGTTTTATATCACACAAAATATGGAGGATAAATGGCTATTTTGGTCATTACTTATTTTACAGATATGGAATATGACTGAAATCATTTCAAGACAACTGCTTAACTCTACCTCACATCATTTTAAAAGCCCACACAACACCCCACTGTCCAATAATATCACAGTTTATGCAATTACCCCCCAATAATGTGGATGCTCAAATCTTTTCCAGCTGGAGGGACAAAAGGTACAACAAATATCATTCTGCATATGTTCTTATCTAACAGTTCCAGGGAACACACTCCTAGGAATGGGTATATATACACACACATATACATATATATAATTTTTTTTTTTTGAGACAGGGTCTCGTTCCCATCACCCAGGGTGGAGTGACAAGATCACAGCTTATTGCAGCCTCGACTTCCTGGGCTGAGGTGATTCCCCTACCTCAGCTTCCCGAGAAACTGGGACTACAGGTGCGTGCCACTACACTCAGCTAATTTTTTGTATTTTTCGTAGACATGATGTTTCACCATGTTACCCAGACTGGTCGCGAACTCCTGGGCTCAAGCAATCCACCCACCTCAGCCTCCCAAACTGTTGGGATTGCAGACATGAGCCACTGTGCCTGGTCGATATACATATTTTTAATTTTAATAAATATTCCCAGTAAATTCCAAGCAAGTTATAACATTTGCCATTTCCACTGGAAATGCACTATCTGTATCTCTGCTACACTTCTAAAATTTAATTTTCCAACACATTAAACTTTCATAAATATTACATTTACAAGGTTTTCATACAAGGAAAAGTTACCTTTAGATTGAAACAACTCTGTTATATAGAATAGGATAAAATAATTATTGTATTATGAAATATTATTGCTTACCTGGGCTGCATATGTAATTGCCTCAAGCTGCAATGCTGATAACCAGCCATTATCAATGGTTTCCTCAGAAATGGATGTTTTGTACCAAACATCAGGAGGAGTAACACTGGATAAAGAGCTGGTTTCCACTACAGCATCTGGATGACGTAGGCCAATTTTTACTAAACAAAAATGTAAAAACATTTTATTTTAATTATTCTAAGTAATAACATTTCCAGTTTCATTATAAGATATTTCAATGTTTTTCTTATAACATAGAAAAATAATTAAAAAGTATTCACTCTGAGCTTCCATAAAAAGTAACTGATGACAAAGTACTATCTATATTTGACTAAAATGATTTATCAACTACATATGGTTAAAACAGAGATTTGGGCCAGGTGGGTGGCTCACGCCTGTAATCCCAGCACTTTGGGGGGCCAAGGTGGAGGGATCACTTGAGGTCAGGCGTTCAAGACCAGCCTGGCCAACACAGCAAATCCCTGTCTCTACTAAAAATACAAAAATTAGCTGGGCATGTTGGCACGCGCCTGTAATTCCAGCTACTCAGGAGGCTGAGGAACGAGAATTGCTTGAACCCAGGAGACGGAGGTTGCAGGGAGCCGAGACTGTGCCACTGCACTCCAGCCTGAGTGATGCAGTGAGACTCTGTCTCAAAAAATAAATAAATAAAATTAAATAATAAATAAAATAAAATAGAGATTTGCTGATAAAAAAAAGATCTAAAAAAACACCACTTGGTTCATAACAGCAGGTTCTCTAGTAGTAACAGAACATAATGCCAGATTAAGGAGTTCAGTTACTTCAAGCATTCATTCAGTAAAACAAAAGTTTGCAATACAATTTTATTTTGAGGCTAGGCATGAAGGTTCATGCTTGTAATCTCAGCACTTTGGGAGGCCAAAGCAGGAGTATCATTTGAGGCCAAGAGTTCAAGACCAGCCTTGGCAATATAGTGAGACCCTCATCTCTACAATTAAAATCCAAAAATTAGCTGGGCATGGTGGTGGGACCTGTGGTCCGAGCTATTCAGGAGTCTGAGACAGGAGGATTGCTTGAGCCTTGTAGGCTAAGGCTGCAGTGAGCTAAGATTGCGCCACTGCCTGGCTGGGCATGGTGGCTCACGCCTGTAATCTCAGCAGCTGGGAGGCCAAGGTGGGTGGATCTCCTGAGGTCAGGCATTCGAGACCAGCCTGGCCAACACGGTGAAACCCCATCTCTACTAAAAATACAAAAATCAGCCAGGCATGATGGTGCACACCTGTAATCCTAGCTACTCAAGAGGCTGAAGCACGAGAATTGCTAGAATCCAGGAGGGATCCTGGGAGGTGGAGGTTGCAGTGAGGCAAGAGCATGCCACTGCACTCCAGACTGAGTAAAGAGCCAGACCCCGTCTTAAAAAGAACATATTTTACTTTGAAAAGTATTCGAAAGACAACTTGGCTATAAAATTTAACAACCAAGTCCCCAAAATGTACAACATGAATACATTAAAATAATGATCTGGAAGCTTTTTCTGTAAAGGGTCAGAGAATGATTTTGCCGTTTTAGGCCATCCTGTCTCTTGTACAACTACTTAACATTGCTGCTGTAGTGTCAACGCAGCCATAGATAATAAGTAAACCAATAAACATGTCTATGTTCCAATAAAACCTTATTTACTATAAAAAAGCGAGTGGTCCAGATTTAGTTTGCTGTCCTCTGGTTTAAAGGGCCATAAACTCTTTCAATCCTTTTGCAAAATGATTATTGGAATAAGAAAAACAGAATTTCAGATAGGACTTCTAAAATTCATTGTAGGTGAGCAGAAAAGGATGGAATCTTGAGTCTATCAGTAGTTGATAAAAAGAGAATTGTAGTTCAATTCAAATGGTATTATTAGTGGTTTTTTATAGAAACCAAGACTACATGAAAGACAAATTCTAGACATAGATTTGTTTCCTGTAATGAAAAAGTGAAAATTTTATGCAAATATTAAAAACCTAATTTTCGACTTCATACAGTGGCTGCTAAAAAAAGAACCATGTTATACAAAAGGGAGAAACAAAAACTATGGAATTCAAATAGCACAATTATTTTTATAATTTCAATGTTTTTACAATTTTAGACAAGTTGTATTAAATATCTTAGCTTTATATATCTTTACAATTACCTTTGATTTTTATAATCACTACTCCTATGAACAAAATTAAAATAAAATCCAAGCTTCTTTAGTTTTGGTTTTAAAAGACTTTGACCTAAAGCAAGATTCTAAATTTATATGGAAAAAAACAAAACAAAAAGAACCAAAGAAACCACAGGAAAACTTTGATGTAAATATCTGACAAATCCCGAAGACATACATTTTATTGGCATGTATTCTGCATAGGTTTCTGCATGACCCATTTCTTCTTCATCTTCTTCCTCTGGTTCATCATCTTCTTTTACAACAGGAACCTTCTGCAACACAGAAAGAGCACAATCAATCCCAAATCCAGGGACCAGACGCCCAGCCAACACACAGAAAAACTCTCTTGTAGGAACACCTACAAATTTCCATCATGGAAACATGACGCGCCACCTCAATACTCCCTAAAATCTGGGCCACACTTCGTGGCTTTCCTGCTTCTCCAATAATGAGCACAGACAATGAGGTCCTACTCTGTCTCTTACCCACAAATGGGTCACAAGACTCCACGTCCTTCCGGCCACCATCGTGTCAAGCTACTTTCCCCTTCAATACTGCCTATCACCCCTCCTTGATGCCCAGAACTCTCTCTGCACTCAGACTTCGCCTTCATTCTAGTTCCAGGAGAAAGAGCAAGCAGTGTGTCTGGCTCTTCCTAGTGCAAAACTGGAGTGAACCCTAGCAAAGGTGGATTGGCCCCAAAGGACCCTGCATCACCACAAGCAAGGCCTCTCAGTCTCACATTCCACCTTCTTCTCAGTTCACTTCTATTTGCCTGCTTTCCCGCATATCCTAAAACCAAAACCCCAGAAGACTGGAGTTTATTTTAGAGGCCCTTATGAAGAACAGAAAAATTTACTTCAGACTTCTGTGTCTCCACAGATGCAATCGTGATCATATATAAGATGGCCATATAATTTATTTTCCAAACCCTGGCACATTTGAGTTGGGGAGCTATTGAGGATTACACTGAGAAAACAGAAGTAAACCCAGACTGTCCTCGGCAAACCAAGTGAATGGTCACCACGGTTATGCTTCCCTTTTCTTCCTCTACAGGATCTTAAAGGAATAAAGGAAGATCCGGAATAAGCCACTTTTCACTACCAGTACAATCATTAGGCAACTGTTTATTAGCATGCACTTGTTCAGGGAAGAATATAAAGAAACTGTTGTGAAACTCAGTATGCCAAGGGAAGAGGACAACAAAAACCTACAGGTTAAGGCAAATTAAGGCAAGATCGAGACAGCATTAAAAGTGAAGGACAGGCTCTTTTTTCATTTACCTCAGAATCTAGAGCAGAATATGGTTGCAAATAGATAACAAACGTGAAAAGGAAAAGAAGTGGGACATAACCATCCAATCAACATTAACCTATGGAGTCTTTAGATAAAATCTAAAAACTTGGAATGTTCTCAGAAATTATGCTAAAATAAAACTCAATTTCGGAAATTCGAGACAAAACAGGACTGGCCAAATGAATAGATTTGAATCCCAATTCTGCTGTTATTTAATTGTGTAGTCTGTTTTTTAATTTAGGCAAATTACCTAAATTCTGGGTCCTCTCCACCCCCACCGTCTAACCCTGTCCTCGCTTATAAAATAAAAATGTATTCTATGTTAAGATAAGCAGCCTCCTTTCTCCCTCCATCCTTTATTCTCCTACCTATAGTTTTTTAAAATCATCATAAAATTGATGATAATTGAATAACTGAAGGATAAGTTGGTAATACTGAAGGACCACTATATCCAGGGAACAAACAAGTAATACCTTGAAGCCAGGTGCATGTGAGATAGCAACTGACATCAAATTTAGGTCAAAGAGATAACTCGGGTGAGGGAGACCACGGTACCTGGGAAATGTTTGCCCAACATACCATGTAGATGTTCACTACACAACGCTGGGCAAATCTTCCTAGATGGGGAACGTGGGCCTGGGGTTGTCAGGTACTCCCATTTTTCAAAATAACCGGGAAATCAGGATTTGTATATGTCAGCAAACAAATTCAAAATTCTTCAAAATACCATGAAGGCCAAACAAAATACATTTGTCAGCCAGGCATGGTGGCTCACGCCTGTAATCCCAGCACTTGGGCAAGCAGGGGTGGGCGGATCACCTGAGGTCAGGAGTTCAAGACCAGCCTGGCCAACATGGCAAAACCCCGTCTCTACTAAAAAATACAGGCCAGGCACAGTGGCTCACGCCTGAAATCCCAGCACTTTGGGAGGCCGAGGCGGGTGAATCACGAGGTCAGGAGTTCAAGACCAGCCTGGCCAAGGTAGTGAAACCCCATCTCTATTAAAAAATACAAAAGAAAATTAGCAGGGCGTAGTGGCGGGCGCCTGTAATCCCAGCTACTTGGGAGGCTGAGGAAGAGAATTGCTTGAGCCCGGGAAGGGGAGGTTGCAGTGAGCCAAGACTGCACCAATGCACTCCAGCCTGTGACAGAGCGAGACTCCATCTCAAAATAAATAAACAAAATAAAAGAAACAAAAATTATCTGGGTGTGGTGGTGGTGGTGGGGGGCGCCTGTAATCCCAGCTGCTCAGGAGGCTGAGGCAGAAGAATCACTTGAACCTGGGAGGCAGAAGTTGCAGTGAGCTGAGATTGCACCACTGCCCTCCAGCCTGGGTGACAGCAAGACACCGTCTAAACACACACACACACACACCCCGACACACACACACACACACGCCCCCCCCCCCCTCCCCGACTAGTTTGGTTGATGGGCTATCAGTTTGCAGTCTCTCTGAGATGTTACTTAACTGCTAAGCCAATAAAAAACTTTTGGTATATAATGGACTGAAATGGAAATGTGAGAACCACATAAAACATTTCTTGAAGAAATATGCATTCTTAGTTTCCAAAAATCACCTTCCAAGTGCTGTTGGTAGACAATCACTAAGTAAACTGGGTACCGCCAGTAGCACTATTGTTCTCCTGGTTCCCATTCAAAACCTCAGCTACAGTTTGCTGCACTGTCTCCAATTCCATATTCTAGAACCAAGTCCCAAAATTCTTTTGGTATCGTTATGTACAGTCATCTCTTTTTTTCCTTTCCCCTCTCCGTTTTTCAATCCCCTCTGCAAGGTCTCTAGTACCCCTTCTTACTTCCCCCTTAGGTTAACCAACTTTCCAACCTCTCTCTTTTGCCTACTCCTACTCATCCCGAATCTGTCTTCCCTACCCCTTTACTCAGTCTGCACCCCAACTTCTCCTGAATCACTAACAGGTCCCTCCATGTCTACTGGCTCAATGGTGCTAGACTAAGTCCAAAGTCCTTCAAACTCAATTCAGCACAGGGCACCTTGGCCTCCCAGCACTTTGGGAGGCCGAGCTGGAGGGATCACTTGAGGTCAGGTATTCGAGACCAGCCTGGCCAATGTGGTAAAACCCCGTCTCTACTAAAAACACAAAAATTAGCCAGGGCTGGTGGTGGGCACCTGTAATCCCACCTACTCAGGAAGCTGAGGCAGAAGAATCGCTCGAACCTGGGAGGCGGAGATTGCAGTGAGCCAAGATTGCACCACTACACTCCAGCCTGGTCAACAGAGCAAGACTCCATCTCAAAAACAACAACAACAATAAAAACCTCAATTCAGGACCCTCCATGGAGCCCAGACCTACTATTCCCACTTCTTTCTACAAGCTAAGCTTCCTGGCTTATTTTCACCGAAGCACATACTCACTACCTCCCCTCTGTGCCCATTAATCCTTTAGCTCCCTTCCTAATATCCCACCTCAAAGTCTCGTCATACTCAAAACCCAAGCTCCATTATTCCCTCTCCATAAAGTCCACCAGGCCACTAGAGTTCAGGAAGGTCACCTCTTCCTCCAAATTCCTAACCTTTATTGTGAGTAGCACATTGCATACCATTTGATGTACTTTTCATTATTACTACTTAATCCAGATGGTTGTCAAATTTTGCTTACTGAAGGTAGAATCATGTAATAAATATACTTCTTGTAGAAACCTACTACATATTAACAATGTTATACATGGAGAATTTATTAAATAAATGTATGGAATCAATTGATCCAAAGCATACAGCATTTTCAAAATGTTAAGAATTCTAACCAGGCCGGGTGCAGTGGCTCACGCCTGTAATCTCAGCACTTTCGGAGGCTGAGGCGGGCAGATTACCTGAGGTCAGGAGTTCGAGACCATCCTGGCCAACATGGTGAAACCCCATTTCTACTAAAAATACAAAAATTAGCCAAGCATGGTGGCACATGCCTGTAATCCCAGCTACTTGAGAGGCTGAGGTGGGAGAATCACTTGAACCTGGGAGGTGGAGGTTACAGTGAGCCAAGATAGCACCACTGCACTCCAGCCTGGGCGATAAGAGTAAGACTCTGTCTCAAAAAAAAAAAAAAAAAAAAAAAAGAATCACTCATAACCAGATCATTATATGATCTGTCAATGCATTATGAGCTTTCTATTCAAGTTCGGTCCTAAAATGAACACAGTTATCAAATACTTTTCGTTAACCCCACATTGTCTTTTTTTCTGCTCAGATGAGATTTTTAACAGTAAGATATCAGTACTGCATGTTAGTGCCACACTCCATCAATCTGCAAGTTTTAACCACCCTGGTTAGTATCTATATTACTCCAGCGAGGTTTAAGCATATCCATTAGTTCCCACGCCTGTATAGCTTCTTCCCAACCCAAAAACAGCTTTCTGAGGGTTGTTCCATATAGAACACTTTTAGTTGAGTACACTCTCATACTACACAAAAATAAAGACACAGTTATTTGAAACTCACCATGGTTGGGGAAAAACTCCTCATCTTCATGTCGTTTATCCACATTCTAGCTCCTTCTTTATTAGAAGACTCTTTCTTTACTGTACCATTGCTTACATCAGCTGAGGAGGAAAAAGTCAAATTACATTTAGAAGAAAATTCTGAACTTATTTTCCCATTATTTAAAAATCCAGAAGTTTAAGGCTGCTGCGGTGGCTCACACCTGTAATCCCAGCATTTTTGGGACACCAAGGCGGGTGAATTACAAGGTCAGGAGTTCAAGACCAGCCTGGCCAAGATTGTGAAACCGCATCTCTACTAAAAATACAGAAACAAGCTGGGCGTGGTGGCGGGCACCTGTAATCCCAGCTACTCGGGAGACTGAGGCAGAGAATTGCTTGAACCTGGGAGGTGGAGGTTGAAATGAGCCGAGATTGCACCACTGCACTTCAGCCTGGGTGACAGAACAAGACTTTGTCTAAAAAAATAAAAATAAAAAACCCAGAAGTTTACATATTTCAAAAACCAAAGAATGTCAATCTGCCTATAACTAATTTATTTTTATTTATTTATTTTTGGAGTTTCACTCTTGTTGCCCAGGATGGAGTGCGTTGGCGCAATCTCAGCTGACTGCAACCTCCTCCTCCCGAGTTCAAGCGATTCTCCTGCCTCAGACCCCCAAGTAGCTGGGATTACAGGAATGCGCCACCATGCCTGCCTAATTTTGTAATTTTTTTTTTAAGTAAAAACGGAGTTTCTCCATGTTGGTCAGGCTGGTCTTGAACTCCCAACCTCAGGTGATCTGCCCACTTTGGCATCCCAAAGTGCTGGGATTACAGGCGTGAGCCACCGCACCTGGCCTCTATTACTAATTTAAATTAAGCACAGGCATGAAAACATGTAAACCCATGTGTCTTTATGGAAGTAAAGAATTAACTTTAGAAAACAACTCAAAAGGAACGTGTGCAAGGGAAGCTTGAAAATTATTTATCAGAAAGATACCCAAAAGCCAGCATTACTTTGAGACACTTCATTTGACTCATTAAAAATAAACAAGGCCGGCGCAGTGGCTCACGCCTGTAATCCCAGCACTTTGGGAGGCCGAGGAGGCCCAGTCTCTACTAAAAATACAAAATTAGCCGGGCATGGTGGCGCATGCTCATAATCCCAGCTACTTGGGAGGCTGAGGCAGAGAACTGCTTGAACCCGGGAGGCGGAGGCTGCAGTGAGCTGAGATTGCATCATTGAACTCCAGCCTGGGCAACAAGAGTAAAACTCTGTCTCAAAAAAATTAATTAATTAATTAATTAAAATTTAAAAAAATACAAAAAAAAATTAGCTGGGCGTGGTGGCGGGCGCCTGTAGTCCCAGCTACTAGGGAGGCTGAGGCAGGAGAATGGCATGAAAACAGGAGGCAGAGCCTGCAATGAGCCGAGATCGCGCCACTGCACTCCAGCCTGGGCGACAGATCAAGACTCTCAAAAAAGAAAAAAAACAAAAAAACCCAAAACCTGGGGTTATCACCCAAACAGAATCAATTTCATGTGATCTGGTGGTACTTACTAATTTTCAAGGCAAAATAATTATTTCTAGAAGAAGAAAAATCAATTTGGGAACTCCTTACTTCCTCCTGCTCCCAGAGTAAAGATCTAAACAATGAACACTTTCTTCTATACCACTGGTTTTCAAACTCTTTTAAATATAGCAATAAAATCTCAGAATCCACTTATCAATCAGCAGAGCTACTTGACTGAATAGGGGTGGGAGGTATCCAGTCCAGAACCCCTGGAACCAGCCTTCAGCCTCCAAGAATCCCTGAAGTCCTCACAGTACCTGGAATTCTTGAGATAGAGGTGCGGAAATCACTGCCTTTAGGGAAGAGAGTGCTAACATCAGGAGAGCTGATCAGCATTTCATCTATTCTAGCAAAAGATGAAGAGTATTTGGGAGGACTATCACTTAGACTCCAAAACGAGTACAACTAATTAAAGTATTAACAGGCCAGGTGCTCACGCCTGTAATCCCAGAACTTTGGGAGGCCGAGGTGGGCTGATCACTTGAGGTCAGGAGTTCAAGATCAGCATGGCCAACATGGTGAAACCCTGTCTCTACTAAAAATAGCCAGGCTTGGTGGCTCATGCCTGTAATCCCAGCTATTTGGGAGGCTGAAGCAGGAGAATCACTTGAATTCAAGTGGCAGGGGTTGCAGGAAGCCGAGGTCGCGCCATTGCACTCCAGCCTGGGCGATGGAATGAGACTTCGTCTCACAAAAAAATAAAAAATAAAAATAAAGTATTAACTAAACAAGGAAACTAGAACAGAGATGATATTTGGGGGCATGGTTTGTTTATTTTAACTGTGAAAGAGCCAGTGATCAGCTCCTAGTTTTAAGACCAGAGAAATTGTGACAGGTTAGAACCCAAAGGGGCAACAACCACACAGATAAGAAGTAGAACATGCAACACCTTGCTTTCTGCAGTTTCATATTTTCAATGTTTTTCCCCTTCAGTAAAAAGAGGACCATCTCCTACAACAAAAAACTTTGCTTGTCTTCAGCATTCACTTACCATCTTTTTTTTTTTTTTTTTTTGAGATGGAGTCTTGCTCTGTCGCCCAGGCTGGAGTGCAGTGGCGCCATCTCAGCTGACTGCAACCTCTGCCTCCTGGGTTCAAGCAATTCCCTGCCTCAGCCTCCCAAGTAGCTGGAATTACAGGTGCCCATCATCATGCCCAGCTAATTTTCATATTTTTAGTAGAGGTGGAGTTTCACCATCTTGGCCAGGCTGGTCTTGAACTCCTGACCTCGTGATCCACCCACCTTGGGCTCCAAACGTGCTGGGATTACAGGCATGAGCCACCGCGTCCGGCCCATCTTTGTTTCTTAGTCCTGACCTAGCTTGACAGTTTCTCAGGCTTCCATACATGGATAGTCTTGCTGTGCAGCCTGATAAATGTCTGCATTTGTCTTTTAAAAATCACTACCTTAAATGTGGGAGAATTTACTGTACTAGATATCTTGTTCAGTCAGCTCCAAATCTATCCCGTTTTCTGTTGTGTTCTCTAAATTCTTCCCTCACAATGGCATACATCCACTCCTTTAAGTTATGATGGCATATGCTGATGTGAGGAGTACAATGCTCAGAAAGCCACTCATATAAGAAGCAGGCTTCCTCATTAAATCCAAAGACCGTAACGAGAAGCATCTTCCACCAACTGTCGACCATCCCCAAGTCCCTTGCGAGTGATTCCAGAAACTGCCCTGCACCTCAGCCAGGTCAGGGTCACAGTGCTGCACTCCACGGCAGAAAATGGTATCAGTCCTAAGACAGCTAAAATGATTTCCCAACTTGCATCTCACTGCCAGGTTGCAGTCAGTTCAGGACAATGACCTTGAGAGGAGAACCAAAAAACGAAAACCAAAAGACAAAAAACTACAGCCACAAGGACACAGTGGTATGGACCCAAACATAAAAACCAGATGATCTGAAAATTTTAATGACATCTGTCACTTAAGACAAAGTTCTACATCTTCCTATAAACACTTATCGCCCATTCTTTTAGAATGCTCTTAGCCCTCTATTTCATAAAAACACAAGCAGGCCGGGCATGGTACTCACGCCTGTAATCCCAACAACACTTTGGGAGGCTAAGGTGGGCAGACTGCCTGAGCTCAGGAGTTCGAGACCAGCCTGGCCAACACAGTGAAACCCCGTCTCTATTAAAAATACAAAAATTAGCTAGGTGTGGTGGCAAGCACCTCTAATTCCAGCTACTCGGGAGGCTGAGGCAGGAGAATCACTTGAATCCAGGAGACGGAAGCTGCAGTGAGCAGAGATCGCACCACTGCACTCCAGTCTGGGTGACAGACTGAAAATCCGTCTCAAAAAAAGAAAAAAGAAATGTAGAATTGTGGGCTCTACTGAGAATCAGATTCTGCTTTCAAACAAGATCCACAGATGAGTCACAAGTAAACAGCTATTTGTAAAGGATTTGTAAAGGATTAAGAAAAATGTTAACTGACTACCTATAATATATAAAACTGGTAAGATTTCATGTTGCTAACGTAGCTACCTGATGATCCTAGAAATCACATTTCAAAGCTAAACAACCTACCCAAGGCATCTAAACTTTTGCTTCCCTTGAATTGTGTTAAAGACTGTAAGTACGCAAAATAATGCATATAACACCCTTTTATGGCCAGTTCTTTAAAAACCCAAGCAAATCGTTTAAAAAAACATGCTGACATAGCTTACCAGAGAGAGAAAGTTGATACTATTGAAAACAGACTTACTAGCTGCTGTTGCTACTGGCTGAGCAATATTAGCAGGTGGCTTTAGTTTCATCAGTTCATTAAGACTATTATTTTTCAGTAGATCTTTAAGCTGAACTTGGTCTTTTGAAGGTGCAGAGGTCATGGCATTTCGTACTGTTGGTGCTGAGACTGACGGGCGTGTGCTTGCAGTAGTCTGGATAAACTTAGTTAAAGTGATGGTTTGCCTGTTGGTTGTTACAGGTGGTGTTTTAGTCATTACAATTGTAGATCCCAAGGGTGGAAGATGATTTATTTGATTCAGCACAAATGTTGTAGTAGATGGAGGCTGCTGCTAGATAGAAAACAAAAAACACACCACTGAAAAATGCTTCATTCTCTAATGAAGCTTATATCCACAAACCTGG
Source organism: Homo sapiens (assembly GCF_000001405.40). NCBI lineage: Eukaryota > Metazoa > Chordata > Mammalia > Primates > Hominidae > Homo > Homo sapiens. The sequence goes on from NC_000012.12 coordinate 123,345,644, forward strand.
AAGGACAACTAAAAATCTAAAATGCACTTTTATTATTGCTTTTTTTTTTTCTTTGAAGCAGTCTCATTCTGTCATGCAGGCTGAAGTGCGATCATAGCTCACTGCAGCCTTGCCCAACTGGGCTCAAGTGATTCTTGTACCTCAACCTCTGAAGTAGCTGGGACTACAGGTGCACACCACCATGCCCGGCAAATTTTTTTTAGAGATAAGAGTCTCCCTATGTTGCTCAGGTTGGTCTCAAACTCCTGGGCTCATGCCATTCTCCCACCTCAGCCTCCCAAAGTGCTGGGACTACAGGCGTGAGCCACTGTGCCCAGCCTTGCCTAAATATTAGTACTTCATTTCTGATTTGATTAGCTACAAATTACCAAGTTAAACGGACAACTTTGACGAAAAGAAGGTATAGTTGTAATATAACCCTTTCTATAACTGTCAGGGATGGCAAGCATAAAATGGAACTATCCCACACAAACCGAAAATAACAGGACTAAGCCAGGCACAGTGGTGTGCACCTGCATTTCCAGCTAATTGGGAGGGTGACACAGGAGGTTCACTTGATTTTAAGACCAGCCTTGGCAAAATAGCAAGACCCCTCCCACCCCAATCTCCCCAAAAGACTAGTAACAGAAAGTTTCTAATGCCTTGATTGATGACATTTTCACTTTTTTCCTCCTCAACACTATTTGCTATTTCTCCACTACTCCTTTAATAATGAGTCTTTAATAAAGAGTCTACTATTGGCCGGGCGCGGTGGCTCACACTTGTAATCCCAGCACTTTGGGAGGCTGAGGCGGGCGGATCACGAGGTCAGGAGATCGAGACCATCCTGGCTAACACGGTGAAACCCCGTCTCTACTAAAAATACAAAAAATTAGCCGGGCGTGGTGGCGGATGCCTATAGTCCCAGCTACTCGGGAGGCTGAGGCAGGAGAATGGCCTGAACACAGGAGGCGGAGGTTGCAGTGCGCCGAGATCGCGCCACTGCACTCCAACCTGGGCGACAGAGCGAGACTCCATCTCAAAAAATAAAAAATAAAAGAATAAAAATAATAAAGTCTACTATTTACAACTTTTTTCAATATTTTGACTTGTCATCAATGACCGTGTTATATATCTTCACGTACAAATCTGTTTTTAAAAATATCTTTGTGGGGCTGGGAGCGGTGGCTCACATCTGTAATCCCAGCACTTTGGGACGCTGAGATGGGCACATTACCTGAGGTCAGGAGCTCAAGACTAGCATGGCCAACATGGTAAAACCCTGTCTCTACTAAAGATACAAAAATTAGCCAGGCATGGTGGTGGGCGCCTATAGTCCCAGCTGCTTGGAAGGTTAAGGCAGAAGAATTGCTTGAACCCAGGAGGCAGAGGTTGCAGCGAGCCGAGATGGTGCCACTGCACTCCAGCCTGGGCGACAAAGCGAGTCTCCGTCTCAAAAAAAAAAAAAAAGAAACAAGAATGAAAGAAATGTGTCGCAAAGTAGGAGGTAAGGGTAGGATATTGGGAAAGCGGCAAAAAGCAGAACTAGAGAGAGAAAACTATTTCACACTAAAAAGTTTTTTATTTTTTATTAATTATGCTTTTTTGTTGTTGTTGTTGTTGAGACAGAGTCTCGCTCTGTCACCCAGGCTGGAGTGCAGCGGTCCCATCTCGGCTCACTGCAAGTTCTACCTCCCGGGTACATGCCATTCTCCTGCCTCAGCCTCCCGAGTAGCTGGGACTACAGGCGCCCGCCACCACACCCGGCTAATTTTTTGTATTTTTAGTAGAGACGGGGTTTCACCATGTTAACCAGGATGGTCTCGATCTCCTGACCTCGTGATCCACCCTCCCTGGCCTCCAAAAGTGTTGGGATTACAGGCGTGAGCCACTGTGCCTGGCCTCTTTTTTTATGTTTTTTGAGATGAAGTCTCACTCTGTCGCCCAGGCTGGAGTGCAGTGGCTTGGTCTCTGCTCACTGCAACCTCCTCCACTTCCTGGGTTCAAGAGATTCTCCTGCCTCAGCCTCCCAAGTAGCTATGACTATAGGCGTGCACCACCACACCAAGCTAATTTTTGTATTTTTAGTAGAGATAGAGATGGAGTTTCACCATGTTGGCCAGGCTGGTCTTGAACTCCTGACCTCAAGTGATCCACCCACCTTGGCCTCCCAAAGTGCCAGGATTACAGGCATGAGCCACTGTGCCCAGCCCATTTCTTCTTTTATAGAGATGGGGTCCTGCCATTTTGCTCAAGCTGGTCTTGAATTCCTCGGCTCAAGCAATCCTCCTACCTCAGCCTCTCAAAGTGCTGAGACTACAGGTGCGAATCACCACACCCGGCCATGTTTTCTCACTACACTTCTAAACTATTTTAGAAGTAACGACGAATCTAAATCATTCTTACCCTCACATTTAATAGTGCTGGAGTAGGTACAGTCTCTGGTTCTTGTTTAACAGGAACTGCTGCTTCGGTCTCCAAACCTAGTTCTAATGCACTAAGTGGCACTGACTGGAGAGAAAACAACATCAGACAAAAAATAAAAGGACAGCAGTAAATTCTGTTTCAAGGACAAGGTTTGCATTTATTAAAAAATATCAAGTTTAACATTCAAACTGACGTTAAATCACTAACAGCAGATTTATAATGTAATAATCTTTGCAAGCACAAGATCTCCACAAAACGGTACTAACAATTCCTTTTTTAAAACATTTTTGTAGGCCGGGAGTGGTGGCTCATGCCTGTAATCCCAGCACTTTGGGAGGCCGAGGTGGGCGGATCATGAGGTCAGGAGTTTGAGACCAGCCTGTCCAACATGGTGAAACCCCATCTCTACTAAAACACAAAAAATTAGCTGGGCTTGGCCAGGCGCAGTGGCTCACGCCTGTAATCCCAGCACTTTGGGAGGCCAAGGCAGGAGGATCACAAGGTCAGGAGATCGAGACCATCCTGGCTAATGTGGTGAAACCCTGTCTCTACTAAAAATACAAAAAATTCACCGAGTGTGGTGGTGGGCGCCTGTAGTCCCAGCTACTTGGGAAGCTGAGGCAGGAGAATGGCGTGAACCTGGGAGGCGGAGGTTGCAGTGAGTGGAGATTGCACCACTGCACTCTGGACTGGGTGACAGAGCGAGACTCGGTCTCAAAAAAAACAAATAAATAAAACAAATAACTAAATAAATAAAAACATTAGCTGGGCTTGGCGGCGGCCCCCTGTAATCCCAGCTACTCGGGAGGCTGAGGTGGGAGAACTGCTTGAACCTGAGAGGTGGAGGTTGCAGTGAGCCAAGATCGTGCCACTGCACTCCAGCCTGGGTGACAGAGTGAGACTCTGTCTCAAGAAAAAAAAATTTTTTTTAGTCTTTTTTTTTTTTTTTTTAAGGCTAGTCAGGTGAAGCAGTCGGAGTAGAGGAGAAACAAAGAAATCTGTAACTGGCTGTGATCAATTACCTGTAAACAACACTGCACTCGGACCAGTCTATTTTTTTATTTTTCAGAAACAAGGTCTTGCTCTGTCACCCAGGCTAAAGTGCAGTGGCACGATAACAATTCACAACAGCCTCAAACTCCTGAGCTCAAGCGATCCTCCCACCTCAGCCTCCTGGGTAGCTGGGACATCAAGTGCACACAACCACGGCCACCTAATTTTATTTAACTTTTTGTAGAGACAAGGTCTTGCTACGTTGCCCAGGCTGGTCTCAAACTCCTGGGCTCAAGCAATCCTTCAGCCTCAGCCTCCCTAAGTGCTGGGATTACTGGCATGAGACACTATGCCCAGCCAGAATCTTACGTTTTTGCTTTCAGAGAATGTATATAATGAAATCACAGAAGAATATCCCTAAATAATTAAACAACTATTAAGGAAATTAAAGATACTCCCACAAGAACACTAAACATCTCTTACACTATCTATACGTTTATAATAACATCAAAGCAGAAAATAATGTTTTGGTTTTCATTATTATTTTCTGCCTCATAAATCAAAATGAATACTCAACATAAAAATAACATTTGGCCGGGCACAGTGGCTCACGCCTATAACCCCAGCACTTTGGGAGGCTGAGGCAGGCAGATCACAAGGTCAGGAGTTCGAGACCAGCCTGAACAACATGGTGAAACCCCATCTCTACTAAAAATATAAAAATTAGCCAGGCGTCGTGGCCCATGCCTGTAATCCCAACTACTCAGGAGGCTGAGGCAAGAGAATTGTGAACCCAGGAGGCAGAGGTTGCAGTGAGCTGAGATTGCGCCACTGCACTCCAGCCTGGGTGACAGAGCAAGACTCCGTCTCAGAAAAAAAAAAAAATTAACACATGTATTTAAAATTAAGGCTTCACATGTATATTTAAAATTGGGCCAAGCTTGGCTCGCACCTGTAATCCCAACACTCTGGGAGGCCGAGGTTGGCAATCGCTTGAGCTCAGGAGTTCAAGACCAGCCTGGGCAACATGGCAAACCCTGTCTCTACAAAAAAGACAAAAAATTAGCGGGATGTGGTGGCACGTGCCTATAGTCCCAGCTACTTGGGGGGCTGAGGCAGAAGGATGGTTTGAGCCTGGGAGGTTGAGGCTTCAGTAAGCCATGACTGCACCACTGCACCCCAGCCTGGGCCACAGAGTGAGACTATCTTAAAAAAAAATACTGTAAGCGGAAATCACTAAGAAAGAGAGGCTTTGGAAAACTCTTACCTGCTGAACTGACGGGGTAGGCATTGGAGTTGCAAGCCCTGCATCTCCACCATCAATATCAAAGAGGTCATTCGGACTAATTCCACTCTCACTCAAAGCAGCAAGCAGTAAATCTTGCCCTGGCTCCACCATCTTTAAAGGGAAATATTAAATATTAACATAAAAAACAAAAAGTGACAAATATTAACTCCCCTCTAAATATAAACAATCCAACAATCTCTATTAGACCCATTCATTCAGTATTAATGAAGAACCTGCCATGTCTCAGACAAAGAGGATAAAAGAGAAATAGTCTTGGATCCCAAGCTCACTCTAAAATAGAAAGGATAGAGAAGTACATAAATCATAGCACAAGTATGCATCTACAAAAGGCTACGGGAACAGAGAAGGAAATAATGAACTTTGTGGAAGCAGAGATGTTATAAAGATGACAATGCAGCAGAGCATCAGGGAATCATCAGGTGGACAAGGATCCTCTCGACTATGCATTCAAAACATAGAGGTATGAAAGAATTTGACACACTTTAAAAACTATGGCTGGAGGCCAGATGCCTGTAATCCCAGCACGCCAGGAAGCAAAGCCAGGTGGATCACCTAAGTTCAGAAGTTTGAGACCAGCCCGGCCAAAATGGTGAAACCTTGCCTCTACTAAAAATACAAAAATTAGCCACATGTGGTGGCGGGTGCCTGTAATCCCAGCTTCTCTGGAGGCTGAGGCAGGAAAAACCACTTGAACCAAGAGGTGGAGGTTGCAGTGAGCCAAGATTGTGCCACTGCACTCCAGCCTGGGTGACAGAGCGAGACTCCATCTCAAAAAAAAAAAAAAAGAAAAAGAAAACCTCTGGAGTTAATTCAACAAGGGTATGGAAGCTCAGAACAGAAGTATGGGGCTCAGGCAGGAAACGGCAAGAGGTGAAGGTATCACCTACAGCCCTGTACACCATGCTGGAGAGTTCACTTGCTCTTGTGGGAAACAGGGATTACTAACAAGTTTTCCGATTGAGGACTACCTGACACGGCAGATTTGTGATTTAGAAAGATTACAAGTCTGGGCACTGTGGCTCAAGTCTGTAATCCCAGCACCAAAGTGGAGGTGCAAGAGGTTAGCTTGAGGCCAGCAGTTCAAGACCTGCCTAGAGACCCCGTATCTACAAAAAAATTTTTTTAATTAGCCAAGTGTGGTGGTGCACGCCTGTAGTCCCAGCTACTTGGGAGGATGGCTTAAGCCCAGGAGTTGGAGACTGCAGGGAGCTGTGATTGCACAACTGCACTCCAGCCTGGGTTACAGAGTAAGACCCCCAACTCAACTCAGTAAAGATAGAAAAAAATAGAAGGATTACTCAACAGCAATGTGGAAACAAACTAAGAGGGAGCAGAAGACCAGGAGCAGAATGACATCTTGGGAAACTGACATAGCTGACCAGGAGAGAGATGTATTATAACTGCATGGGGCAGAGAGAAAGAAGGGGAAATGGAATCCAAGATACTTAGGGAGCTAAATCCATCACATTTAGCTTAAATACAAACTCAGAATGGAAGCGAGAATATGAAGCACGTCAGAGAAAAAGTATGAGCTGATGAATGGTTAGAGTCAGGCCAAGAGAAAATAAAAAATAAACACCGAGCCCAGAAGACCTAAAGGATGAGTTCTATGGAGTTTGCCGGGGTGGGGGGCTAAAGCCAATTTAAAGCAAGTAGACAGATTTTAGTTTGGAAGTTTTTCCAACTATAATCTCAGGGGCCAAACTATTCTGCTGCCATGGATTTTTACCCATTTTATAGGGGGGAAAAAGAGCTTTCTAAATTTTAACTTTTCTCATTAATTTCCCTGAAATAACCAATTTACATATACAAACATACTTATGAAAAATCTGTACTCTTCTCAGAAAACTAATTTCATGTTACATAAATATACTAATTTTCAGCTAGTCCATTTGTTCTCAGACTGTGATAAAATTAAGTGTCAGTGTTTCATGATGTCCTACAAAAATGGCATTAGCCAAGAGTACGATCAGCATGACTACGCAGTTTCGCTCTTGTTGCCCAAGGTGGAGTACAATGGCGCGGTCTCGGCTCACTGCAACCACTGCCTCCCGGGCTGATGCTCCTGCCTCACCCTCCCAAGTAGCGCCCACCAACACACCTGGTTAATTTTTGTATTTAGTAGAGACAGGGTTTCACAATGTTGGCCAGGCTGGTCTCGAACTCCTGACCTCAGGTGAACCACCCACCTTGGCCTCCCAAAGTGCTGGGATTACAGGCCGTGAGCCACTGTGCCCGGCCTGAGCATGACTTCTAGCATGTAAGAACTGTTTCAGATGAAAGCATTTAACAAAGAAATCCTCTACTGCGTCTATGTCACCTACGTTTGTGTATCATTTAGACAGATGTTCTAATGGAAACATGAGTGAGTCTAAGGTGAAAACCAGATACCCAGAATGAAAGAGGGCAGACCACTGTGTAGAAGAGTGGGAGGAAAAACAGACACCCCAAAGGAGATTTTTTGGAGACGGAGTCTAGCTCTGTCACCCAGGCTGGAGTGCAGTGGCGCGATCTCGGCTCACCGCAACCTCCGCCTTCCAGGTTCAAGAAATTCTCCTGCCTCAGCCTCCCGAGTAGCTGGGACTACAGCCGCCCGCCACCATGCCCAGCTAATTTTTTGTATTTTAGTAGAGATGGGGTTTCACCGTATTGCCCAGGCTGGTCTCAAACTCCTGGGCTCAGGCAATCCGTCCGCCTCGGCTTCCCAAAGTGCTAGGATTAGAGGCGTGCACCACCGCGCCCAGCCTCCCAAAGGAGATTTCTCCATAATTTTCCAGAAAAAGGAAAAGCAACCTGAGGAAGAAAACCATTTTGGGCAGGGAGTGAGGAAGGAAGGAAACAAGCCTAGCACCGTGTTAAATTCTTCATAAACATTACCATACTCAAGCCCAAAACAACCCTGAGTGAGATAGGTAATATAATTTAAGAGCTGAAACTGAGGGTCAGAAAACTTAAATCATCTACCGAAGTTCACTCACGCAGGAAGTGGTAGAAGATTAGAAACTAGATAGTTCAAACTCCCAAAATCCACGAAGTTTTCTTTCCAATGAGTAGATAAAGTTGATGTTGGTAAACTACGATGTTTCATTATTTTATTTCAAAATAAACGCCAGATTGAGATTAAAATTGGAGGGGGAATAAAGTATTAGACAGCAAGATATAAATAACATGAAGGAAATGAATGACAGAGTTAACAGGAGAAATGTCCCAATATAGATTTCAAATAAAGTTGTTTGCCTGATGACTTTTGATTCAAAAAAAAGACCAAGTTAACTAATTTTTCTAATATAGACACATTTGACCATACTTTTACAAATTATCCTACTGCATAATACGAACAAGTACCTAGAGCTCTAAATCAATGCTTTTAACATTTTCAATCCATAAAATACTTCGTTAAGACTAAAATAGGGTCTTGGCCCACTGGCTACAGATAATCTTGACCCAGATTAATAGAACTCTGGAGACTATCAAAATGTCATCTCTTTAAAATAAATACTGGAAATGATTTATTTACATTTGAAACAGAAGTACATTGTTTTAATCCAGTGACTTCCAAAACTACAGACCACAGAGCCCCTGCAGGCCACAGGATCCATCAGTCCATGAGCTATACACCAAGCCCTATCTAATAATATTCAAAAGTGTAGAGATGCCATTAATCAATGAAATGCATATTCACTGCAAACTATTATTCAGTTCATGAGAGCTTTCTGAAATGTTTTCCTAACAATGAGCATTTAAGTACAAAAAAATTTTACTGAGAAACTTTTTGATGTTCATGTAAGAAAGAGAGCAACGGTTATAAATAACATTATCGGTGACCAGCTTAGAACTCACTCATAGGAATCACAATTTGACTTAGCCATTCCACAATGTATACTTGTATATACCAAAACATGTTATACACCATATGGACAATTTTTACTGTTCAATTAAAATAAGTAACAATTTAAGACCCTCTAATCTGATGAATGACCTGGGAATAACAACGTCTGTAAAAGACACTGTCTTTTACAAGCTACTAATGAAAGAGATTTTAATCCTAATATATATCTTATACATAAATGGAATACTAGGGATCATTTCTCAGCCAAACGGGCACAAATTCTCTATTTGTTCTTTTTTTGCAGGGTGAAGGAGGGAAAGGGGACAGAGAGAGAACATCTATCCCATTCTCTAACTCCATTAGGCAAAACCCTTAGTATGTAATTATATTTCTATTCAGAAACTATTATAGACTCACAGAATTTTGGTGCTCAAACTGAGAGAGCCCTTAAAAACTTGTATTAGCCAATCTCCTCCTCATTTTACAAATAAGACCTGTTCATAGGAGGAAAAACATTTTCACTTTTAAGTCACAAAGCACCATATAAATGCTAAATACTGTTAGGTACAAGAGAACTGTGTTAGTGTGTCTACAAAGGAATTCATAGACCTCAGATGACATTTACCATGGAGCAGTCTGACAAACCCAAGTTACTAACCACGGAAGGTCTCTCTCTCAAACAATGGACAAAAAAAAGAGTTCAATTTTTATCATAAATACATTTGAAAGCTGGGTGCGGTGACTCACACCTATAATCCCAGCATTTTGGGAGGCTAAGGAAGGAGGATCACTTCAGTCCAGAAGTTTGAAACCAGCCTGGGCAACAAAGGGAGACCCTGTTTCTTTTTCTTTTTTTTTGAGGCAGAGTCTTGCTCTGTCGCCCAGGCTGGAGTGCAGTGGCGCGATCTCAGCTCACTGCACCCTCCACCTCCCAAGTTCAAGCAATTCTCCTGCCTCAGCCTCCCAGGTGGCTGAAACTACAGGCCCGTGCCACCACACCCAGCTAATTTTTGTATTTTTAGTAGAGACAGGGTTTCATCATGTTGGCCAGGATGGTCTCGATCTACTGACCTCGTGATCCGCCCGCCTGGGCCTCCCAAAGTGCTGGGATTGCAGGCATAAGCCACCATGCCCAGCTGAGACCCTGTTTCTTAACAATAAAATAAAAAATAATAAAAATAAAAAAACGCTGGGCACGGTGGCTCCCCTGAGGTCACAAGTTTGAGACCATCCTGGCCAACGTGGTGAAACCGTCTCCTCTAAAAATACAAAGAATAGCCAGGTGTGGTGGCGGGCGCCTGTAATCCCAGCTTCTCAGGAGGCTGAGGCAGGAGAATCGCGTGAACCCGGGAGGCGGAGGTTGCAGTGAGCCAAGATCGCAGCACTGCACTCCAGCCTGGGCGACAGACCGAGACTCCATCTCCAACAAAAAATAAAAACAAACCTCAAAAAATTAGCTGGGTGCAGTGACATGCACCTGTGGTCCCAGCTACTTGGAAGGCTGAGGCAGGAGGATCCCTTGAGCCTAGCAGGTCGAAGCTGCAGTGAGGCATGTTCATGGCACTGCATTCCAGGCTGGGTGACAGAGTGAGACCCTGTCCCAAAAAAATGAAAAATAAACGAAAGCATTTGAAAACATGACCTATTTCAAAACAGTACGCCTATGAAAACTTCTATGATAAGTAAGACACAAAGACACAGCAGTAGAGAAAAACTAAGAGCTAGTTTTGGCAGGAAGAGAATACTGAGAAACAATAGCCAACCAGAAGAATGGAAGGATATAGTTCCCATTCAGAATACCAACACAGAAAGTTACCAAGGGGGACAAGGTTCCTCTTGCTGAGACCTAAAACCAATCTCTACAGCTCTGAGCAGACACCAGGGACATGTCCACAATAGCAGTAGCACACCACAGTGGCTGAGGAGATCATGGAGTCGGACAAAATACCTAGGTTCAAATACTGGCTGCATTGCCCACTAGTAGTATGATATGGTCAAGTGAGAACTTCTCTGACTCAGTTTCCTCATCTTAAAATAATACAAATAGAACTTCCTTCATAGGATTACTGTGTGAAGTAAATGTGATACTACCTGGAGTAAATGTTAGCTACTAGCTAGCTACTATCATTTATATATATGTTAGTATTTCATCCAAAAAAGATGTTTACTCCCATATCACTGATTCAGCACTTTATTCCCCAGAATACAAACTTTGTTAGCAATCCATTAAATAATTAACTTTCATACTAGTCTTTGGGTTTGTTTGTTCTTTTGCGATGGAGTCTTGTTCTGTCACCCAAGCTGGAGTGCAATGGCACGATCTCAGCTCACTGCAACCTTGAATCCGCCCCCCTGGGTTCAAGCGATTCTCCTGCCTCAGACTCCAGAGTAGCTGGTATTACAGGCGCGTGCCCCCACACCCAGCTAATTTTTTTGTATTTTTAGTAGACACGGGGTTTTACCATGTTGGCAAGGCTGTTCTCAAACTCCTGACCTCAATTGATCCATCCGCCTCGGCCTCCCACAGTGTTGGGATTACAGGCGTGAGCCACCGTGCCCTGCACATATCAATTATATAAAATACTAGTCCCTTTTTATCTTAAAGTGTTACTGCTACACATCCAACTTGACCAATCAGTTACTAAATTTAGAATAAACTGGTGGACATTTTTAAATGTGCACGGATACTATCACTTAGCAAATATCTTCACCTTAGCTAATAACAAAAAGGATTTTTTTCTCCTTAGAGTGCTAAGCATGTCTGATTCGAGATTCAGCTTTATCTGTGCTTTTATGCAGCTGTGATATGACTGACATTTAGTTTAAGAATTTTAAGATAATGATCCAGTTAGAGATACAGTTCATCAACAAATATTAAGTGTCTACTGTGTGCAGTAGACACTTAAGAACATCAGGAGAAAGAAACAGCAGTTACAAAGAAGTTAGTTTACAAGAATTTCCTTTATCTAAAAGAATGTAATCTGGGCTGAGCATGGTGGCTCATGCCTGTAATTCCAGCACTCTGGGAGGCCGAGGCAGGCAGATCACTTGAGGTCAGGAGTTCGAGACCTGACCAGCCTGGTCAACATAGTGAAACACCATCTCTACTAAAAACACAAAAATTAGCCGGGCATGGTGGCGTGCCTGTAATCCCAGCTACTCCAGAGGCTGAGACAGGAGAACACCGGAACCCAGGGGGTGAAGGTTGCAGTGAGCCGAGACTGCACCACTGCACTCCAGCCTGGGCGACAGAGTGGGACTCCGTCTCAAAACAACAAACAGTCAGGCATGGTGGCTCACGCCTGTAATTCTAGCACTTTGGTAGGCTGAGGCAGGCGGATCACAAGGTCAAGAGATTGAGACCATCCTGGCCAACATGATGAAACCCCATCTCTACGAAAAATACAAAAATTAGCTGGGCATGGTGGCGGGTGCCTGGTGGCGGGTGCCTGTAGTCCCAGCTACTCGGGAGGCTGAGACAGGAGAATAGCTTGAACCCGGAAAGTGGAGGTTACAGTGAGCCGAGGTCGTGCCACTGCACTCCAACCTGGCGAAAGAGGAGACTCCATCTCAGAAACAAACAAAACAACAACAACAAAGAATGCAATCTGTACTTTTCAACACCTACCCTTCATAGGACCTTGCTTGGTAAAGTAACCCCCACTGCAAAACCTGTAGGAAGAAGATATTTACAAAGGAATGTGCAAATTATATACAAAGCCACAAAAGTCCTTTACAAAAGCAATACACAAATAATTGAGTTGGGGGGAATTAAACAACTTTCTTGATTATCACTAGTCAAATTCAGATGGTCAATTGTCTTGATTCTCACTACAGGCTGAGTTTCCCGTATCTGAAACTTGGAACCAGAAGTGACTCAGGGTTTTTTGGATTTTGGAATACCTGTACATACATAATGAGATATCTTAGAGACTGGACCCAAGTCTAAACACAAAATACACTTATGTTTCATATACACCAGATACACATAGCCTGAAGATAGTTTTATACAGTACCTTAAAATGTGCATGAAACAAAGTTTTGACTGCATTTTGGACTGTGATCACTCACGTGAGGTCAAGAGTGGAATTTCCCACTTGTGGCATCATGTCAGTGCTGAAAGTTTCAGATTTTGAACATTTCAGATTTTGAATCTTCAGATTAGGGATGCTCAACCCATATATGGGTGTGTTTTTTTCTTTTAACCTTCAAGATAACCCATGAGTATCAAATGCTACCCATTATCCCTTTGTCACAATTTATAAACCAAGGCTTAGAAAAATGAAATACGGGCCAGGCGCGGTGGCTCATGCCTATAATCCCAGCACTTTGGGAGGCCGAGGCAGGTGGATCATGAGGTCAGGAGATAGAGACCACAGTGAAACCCCGTCTCTACTAAAAATACGAAAAAAATTAGCCGGGCGCGGTGGCAGGCGCCTGTAGTCCCAGCTACTCAGGAGGCTGAGGCAGGAGAATGGCGTGAACCCAGGAGGCAGAGCTTGCAGTGAGCCAAGATCGCGCCACTGCACTCCAGCCAGGGCAACACAGCAAGACTCCGTCTCAAAAAAAAAAAAAAAAAAAAAAAAAGAAGAAGAAAAATGAAATACAACAAAGGGAGCTTGGAATAGAATTACAAATTCAGAAGGTCTGACACCACATCACTCCAAGATCCTGTACTCCCAACCCTGTTCCAGTACTTTTCAAACTACTGATGACAACACATTAGCAGGGTGTCAAATCAATTTGGTGTATCAGGTTTTGTTTTGTTTTGAGATGGACTCTTGCTCTGTCACCCAGGATGGAGGGCAGAGGCGAGATCTTGGCTCACTGGAAGCTCTGCCTCCCGGGTTCAAGTGATTCTCCTGCCTCAGCCTCCCCAGTAGCTGGGATTATAGGCGCCCACCACCATACTCAGCTAATTTTTTTGTATTTTTAGTACAGACAGGGTTTCACCGTGCTAGCCAGGATGGTCTCCATCTCCCGACCTCGTGATCAGCCCGCCTCAGCCTCCCAAAGTGCTGGGATTACAGGAGTGAGCCACCGCACCCAGCCTACTGTATCAGCATTTTAAAATAGCTCAGTATAGGCTGAGTGCGGTGGCTCACTCCTGTAATCCCAGCACTTTGGGAGGCCAAGATGAGATCACTTGAAGCCAGGAGTTCGAGACCAGCCTGGCCAACATATACACTGGCCAACATATACATATATGTCTCTACTAAATACACAAAAAAGGTAGCTGGGCGTGGTGGCACACACTTGTAATCCCAGTTACTTGAGATGCTGAGGTGGGAGAATCACTTGAACCCAGGAGGTGGAGGTTGCCAAGATCGCACTCGTGCACTCCAGACTGGGCAACAGAGGGAGACTCCGTCTCAAAAAAAAAAAAAAGATATATATATAGTTGTATGGGTATATGTATACTAGGTCACAATGTAAACCGCATTTCTTACTGTGGGATGCAATAAAAATATTTGAAAAGCATGACTCTGATCTATATATTGCCTCCCAATAAATAAGTTAATTTGATAGGTTTCATACCATATCTTATTCATAAAAGAGAATTCCTGATCTTTAAGAGCCCATCCTTTCCACTTAAGGAAATTTCAGTGGTATCCCTAAGGTTGTCTTAACACTTGGTGAGTTCAAGCCACAACAAATTGCATCTGTCAATCAGCATATAAAAACAAAGACAACTGCAAAAACTTTAGGATTACATCATTTTAGATAGTTATTAATTGGTATTTAATGCTAAAGTAATTACTCTTAAAAATTATCTTTGGCCAGGCATGGTAGCTCAAGCCTGTAATCCCAGCAGTTTGGGAGGCCAAGCCGGTTGGTCACCTGAGGTCAGGAGTTCGAGACCAGCCTGGCCAACGTGATGAAACCCTGTATCTACTAAAAACACACAAAAAAATTAGCCAGGTATGGTGGTGGGCGCCTGTTAATCCCAGCTACTTGGGAGGCTGAGGCAGGAGAATCGCTTGAATCTGGGAGGCGGAGCTTGCAGGTGAGCCAAGGTTGCACCATTGCACTCCAGCCTCGGTGACAAGAGTGAAACACCATCTCAAAAAAAAAAAAAAATGTATCTTTACACCAACTTTAGAAAGGCAAAGCATGGGAACCCACAGAGCCTCATGGAATGTGAGGTTACTCAGTAGGACTAGCCCTGAGTGTTCTCCATCTTCACAGGTGGCAAGTCACAAATCGAAGCTCAATTTAGATGCTAAGAAATGCCTAAACATATCTGTAGCTAAACTCTGAGGGAAACCACTTTTTTCTTTTGAGACAGAGTCTCGCTGTGTCGCCAAAGCTGGAGTGCAGTGGCGCAATCTCGGCTCACTGCAACCTCTGCCTCCCAGGTTCAAGCGATTCTCCTGCCTAAGCCTCCAGAGTAGCTGGGATTATAGGTGCGGATCACCACGCCCAGCTAATTTTTTGTATTTTTAGTAGACAGGGGTTTCATCGTGTTAGCCAGGATGGTATGGATCTCCTCACCTCGTGATCCACCAGCCTCGGCCCCCTCAAAGTGCTGGGATTACAGGCGTGCACCACCAAGCTTGGCCGAGACAAACCACTTTTTAAAGCATAAAATGAATCTGCATGCTGCCCCTTTTTCAACAGTACTTTCAGTAAGGCACTTAAAACCTACAGGTTGGGCACAGTGGCTCACACGTGTAATCCCAGCATTTTGGGACGCCAAGGCAGGCAGATCACGAGGTCAGGAGATCGAGACCATCCTGGCCAACATGGTGAAGCCCCATCCCTATTAAAAATGCAAAAATTGGCCGGGCACAGTGGCTCACGCCTATAATCCCAGCACTTTGGAAGGCCGAGGCAGGCGGATCACGAGATCAAGAGATTGAAACAATCCTGGTCAAAATGGTAAAACCTCGTCTCTGCTAAAAATACAAAAATTAGCTGGGCGTGGTGGCACATGCCTGTAATCCCAGCTACTTGGGAGGCTAAGGCAGGAGAATTGCTTGAACCTGGGAGGTGGAGGTTGCAGTGAGCAGAGATCACACCACTGCACTCCAGCCTGGGCAACAAAGTGAGACTCCGTCTCAAAAAAATAAAAAATAGAAAGAAGGCTGGGCATGGTGGCTCACGCCTGTAATCCCAGTACTTTGGGAGGCGGAGGTGGGTGGATCATCTCAGGTCGGGAGTTCAAGAACAGCCTGATCAACATGCAGAAACCCCGTCTCTACTAAAAATACAAAGTTAACCAGACGTGGTGGCTCATGCTTGTAATCCCAGCTACTCGGGAGGCTGAGGCAGGAAAATGACTTGAACCCGGGAGGGGGAGGTTGCAGTGGGCCGAGATCGCGCCATTGCACTCCAGCCTGGGCAACAAGAGCAAAACTCCATCTCAAAAAATATTTAAATAAATAAATAAAAGTACAAAAATTAGCTGGGCGTGGTGGCGTGTACCTGTAATCCCAGCTACTCAGGAGGCTGAGGCAGGAGAATCACTTGAACCAAGGAGCGGGAGGTTGCAGTGAGCTCAGATCACCCCACTGCACTCCAGCCTGGTGACAGAGCAAGACAGTCTAAAAAAAAAAAAAAAATACAAAATTGCCTGACATATAACCGCATTCAATGAATGAATGAATGAATAGTAGGCCACTAACTCAGTGTCTCCCCTTCAGCAACTAAAGTGAAGATTTATTTAAGATTCTGAGGCCAGGCGCGGTGGCTCACGCCTGTAATCCCAGCACTTTGGGAGGCCGAGGCAGGCGGATCACCAGGTCAGGAGTTTGAGACCAGCCTGGCCAATATGGTGAAACCCCGTGTCTACTAAAAATACGAAAATTAGCCGGGCATGGTGGCACGCGCCTGTAGTCCCAGCTATTTGGGAGGCTGAGGCAGAATAACCGTTTTAACCCAGGAGGCAGAGGAATGCAGTGAGCCAAGGTTATGACACCGCACTCCAGCCTGGGCGAGAGAGCGAGACTCCACCTCAAAAAAAAAAGATTCTGTTGGGCGTGGTGGCTCACGCCTGCAATCCCAGCACTTTGGGAGGCCGAGGCAAGCGGATCACGAGGTCAGGAGATCGAGACTATCCTGGCTAACATGGTGAAACCCCGTCTCTACTAAAAGTACA
Source organism: Homo sapiens (assembly GCF_000001405.40). Lineage (NCBI taxonomy): Eukaryota > Metazoa > Chordata > Mammalia > Primates > Hominidae > Homo > Homo sapiens. The sequence goes on from NC_000012.12 coordinate 123,362,282, forward strand.
AAAAATTAGCCGGGCGTGGCAGCGGGCACCTGTAATCCCAGCTACTTGGGAGGCTGAGGCAGGAGAATGGCGTGAACCCGGGAGGCGGAGCTTGCAGTGAGCAGAGATCGTGCCACTGCACTCCAGCCTGGGCCACTGAGCGAGACTCCGTCTCAAAAAAAAAAAAAAAAAAAAAAAAAAAAAAAAAGGATTCTGACGGGGGGGCCAAGGGCGGTGGCTCACGGCTGTAATTCCAGCACTCCGGGAGACAGAGGTGAGTGGATCACTTGAGGTCACTAGTGTGAGACCAGCCTGGCCGACATGGTGAAACCCCTTTCTGCCAACTACATAAAAAAAAATTAGCCAGGTGTGGTGGCACATGCCTGCAATCCCAGCTACTAGGGAGACTGAGGCAGGAGAATTGTTTGAACCCTGAAGGCAGAGGTTGCAGTGAGCCGAGTTCATACCACTACACTCCAGCCTGGGCAACACAGCAAGACTCCGCCTCAAAAAAAAAAAAAAAAAAAAAAAAGATTCTGAAGGGGCCAGGCACAATGGCTCATGCCTGTAATCCCACCACTTCGGGAAGCGGAGGCCAGAAGATTGCTTGAGGCCAGTAGCTGCCTCCCAACATGGTGAGACCCCCGCCTCTCAACAAAAAAATTAAAAAAAAAAAAATTAGCTGCTGTAGTGGTGCACATCTGTAGTCCCAGCTACTCCGGAGGCTGAAGTGGGACGATCGCTTGAGCCCAGGAGTTCAAGCTGCAGTGAGCTATGACCACGTCACTGCACTTCAGCTTGAGCAACAGAGTGGGACCCTGTCTCAAAAATTTAAAAATAGCATAAATATTCCAAACGCAATTATATGGAATAAGTTGGAATGGAAGATAAAAAGCAGAAGCCAGAGAAAAAAAGTAAAGTCGTCTCCCATCGGAAAAATTTTGGAAACAACTTCTTTAAAAGATGAGAGAAAATGTTCCCTTGCTTGCAAAATTAATGTCCCACTCAAGTCACCAGTAGGAAATTCTGCTATCTTCTGTGCAACGATGATAGCTTTCCCTACGCTTATGAAAATCAATTCTGATTGCTAGAAAATATGGTGGAAAATAGAATCCCTCTGTACTGTCAGCTCGCAGAATTATCTGAAAGTGTTAAGTCAATTCCTGCTAGGGCACTCCGGATGACAGTTCTCTGCACCCTTCTGGATGACTCTTTAGAAACCATATTCCATCCCTAATTCTGGCTGTCTAGAATATATGAAACATTTAACTCAACATAAAATGATAATAGCCAACTTTCAAAGGTCAAAGGGGACCAGTTTATAACCTTCCCTCAACACGTGTTCAGTACAAACTTCCGGGTGCACTTACAATTGGCTGCGCAATTCAATGGATAAAAACGTTGCTTTATTTGTCTCTCATTTTCTGGCCCGTTCTTTTCCCACGTTTCTCAACCAGCGACTCCCCAAAACAAAAGCCTCCCACAGTAAACCGAGCACGCACATAAAAAGAGCTTCTCTGTGCGAGGATCAAGTTAGTGGTCCGCAAACATTAACCAAACAGAAGCACAAAGCAGGGGTGGGAAGGGGAGGAGCTGGATGCCAGGGTCAGGAAAGAAACAATCAGAAGGGTTTAGGAACATCCAAATCTCCTCAGCGGTTAAACCGACCCCAAACCACTTCTGGGAAACCACCGGTATCCACTGCTTTGGGGAACTCTGGATGCTCGTTATGCCAAACGCTCTCAAAGTAAGCAAATCCCCAACTGCCGTTCCCCTCCATGGGTAATTCTTAGGGTCTGGGAGGTGAGCTCGCCCGCCGAGGCAGAACTAAGCGAGTCGCCTGGAGAGGCGTGAAGGGAGCCTGCACGTGTCCCCCGCGGCTTCCCCACCGCCCCAAGAGCGGGGCATGTACGAGACCGCGCTGTGGGGTTCAGATTTAGGAAGGACGACCGCGTCGCCTGCCTCCCTCCCTCGCCCAGAGCCGGGAGCAATGCTGGGGCACGAAAGAGGACTTGGGAAGGATCCGGTCCTTACTTTCCCCGCGGGTCCCGGACCCGCAGCCCCCGGGTTGTGAGGCGGAAGCCAAAGGGGCGAACCCAGCGGAGCCGGCGTGCACAGACCCTGCCCCGCGGTCCAAGAGGGGTGCCTCCGGCCCGGGACAGCGGGGCTCCCGGAGCCCGAAAGCCCCACGAGCGGCGACAGCGGGGCCCGGCGCTGACGAACAGAGGAAGCGAGTACAACGGAGCCGCCGTCGGGAACATGCCCCCGAGGGCCCCGGAGCGCGCGGCCGCGAGGAGCGGCAAGCGGCGAGGGAGGCCCCAAGCCGGGGCGAGGTGGCTGTCCCCCCAGCCTGGCCCCGCACGGCCCCCCGAGGGTGGGAGTGGGAGGCTGTCCGGGAGGGGGAGTGTGGAAGGAGAAAAGGGCCAAGGGAAGGACTTACTTTCCCCGCGGGACCCGGCGCCAGCACAGCTCCTCCCGGGAGGTGTGAGTTTGAAGGACCAGAGGCGACTGGAGCGGAGGCGGCGGTGGCGGCGGCAGCAGCGGCGTCCTGCTCTGCCTACCTCCCCGCCGCCATCTTGACGCCCCTCCCCCAGCCCCCCCGCCCCGCCGGGAGGGGCGGGGGAGGGGCAACGGATGAGGCGCCGCGCGCACGCAGCGCCCTCACGTGACTTCCTCCCTCCTCCCCCACCCGCCTCTCTGCGCCCCTCTCCGCCCCGCCTCCCTCCTAGGTGAAGGAAGATGATTTCCCCCCCATCTTGACCACCCCCCAGTCTTCGCCGCCAAAAACGGACTCCGCCGGCTATCCTCGGCCCGGTACCAGTTGTTGGATCCAAGAGAATTCCGGAACCCAAACGGTCCATTACCGCGGCTCTGGGGTGGGCGAGGGGTGAGGGGGCCGGGTTTCCGCGAAGGGGGAGGGGGAAGGCGAAGGCCACCTAGGAGAGTCACGTGACTACTGTTTCCGCCGGCGCTCACGGAGAGCTCGCGGTAATTCCGTTTCCCCGCCCTTTTTTCCCCGCGGCCTGTCGGGAAGAAGGTCCGCGTGCCAGGGCTATCGGGAGGTCGGCCGGAGGGCCGCGCGCATGCGCCCCGCGCCTGCTTTCAAACTCCGGTTAGGAAGGGCCTGGAGCTATTTTCAGAACCTGTTAGGGTGGGGAGCTACGGCCCAGGAAGTTACCTAGCAGCGTTTCTGTCACTTGGAAGATCTCTTCATTACCTAGTTAGTCCTAGAAACAAAATGTTTACATATTCATTGCTTGTTAGGCTCGCTCAAAGCACTTTATTGGCAGTGAAACCGCAAGTAACCCGGAGCCCTCGGCGCGACCACGGCTAGAATCAGAGCCTAAGGCGTGTGAGCTCAGCCATCCCACGTCTGTCTTCACGCTCATACGCAAGCCCGACACACCGGGGCTCCCACTTAATGAATACTGAAGAGTAGGGCTGTCCCTACCGCTTCTCACTTCCTTGTTTTCATCTTTTCGTTATTATTAAGCGACCTAACACAATAAACATATTACCTTGTTGGTAACCCTTTTGTAAAGTCATTCTGAAAGTGCTGTTTGACTCCGTTGCTTGGGTAATAAGCACGCCTGGGTGATTCTTGCCCCCTACTGGCTGCGCATCCTACAAGCCTAGTGCTGAAAGCAAACCAAGTAGCTGGAACAGTTGGAGGTTACAGTGTGAACTCTTCCAGAGACAAAGTATTCGGGGAAAGAAAGGAAAAAGTAGGCACAGAAAGAATAGGAAACTTCAGTGTTTGTACACATAGATATGTATTATATATCTATGTATACATTTATAAATATTTTTAAAGTGCTAACTAATCGCTTTACTAATTACATTATTTCATTTAATCCTCTCACACACATAGAAAAAAAACCTATAAAGACAAAAATAAAAAATATTTTAGGCCGGGCGCAGTGGCTCACGCCTGTAATCCCAGCACTTCGGGAGGCCGAGGTGGGCGGACCACCTGAGGTCAGGAGTTCGAGACCAGCCTGGCCAACATGGTGAAACCCCATCTCTGCTAAAAATACAAAATTTAGCTGGGGCTTGGTGGCGGGCACCTGTAATCCCAGCTACTCTGGAGGCTGAGGCAGGAGAATCGCTTGAACTCAAGAGACGGAGGTTGCAGTGAGCCGAGATCGTGCCATTGCACTGCAGCCTGGGCGACAGAGCGAGAATCCGACTCAAAAACAAAAAACAAAAAAAACCTTAGGCACAGGCCAGGTGTGGTGGCTCACGCCTGTAATCCCAACACTTTGGGAGGCTGAAACGGGGATCTCAGCCAGGAGTTTGAGACCAGACTTGGGTAACAAAGTGCAACCTCATCTCGACAAAAAAACATTTTTCTTTTTGAGACGGGGTCTCGCTCTGTCGGTCGCCCAGGCTGGAGTGCAGTAGCGCGATCTCGGCTCACTGCAACCTCTGCCTCCTGGGTTCACGCCATTGTCCTGCCTCAGCCTCCCGAGTAGCTAGGACTTTTTTTTTTTTTTTTTTGTATTTTTAGTGGAGACGGGGTTTCACCGTGGTCTCGATCTCCTGACCTCGTGATCCACCCATCTCGGCCTCCCAAAGTGCTGGGATTACAGGCGTGAGCCACCGCGCCCGGCCCAACAAAAAACTTTTAATTAGCCAAGTGTGATATATAGTCCCAGCTACTCAGGAGGCTAAGGTAGGAGAATCACTTGATTGCCCAGAAGTTTGAGGCTACAGTGAGCTATAATCGTGCCACTGCACCAGCCTGGGTAACAAAGCGAAACTATTTTTTTAATTTTTTTTTTTTTTGAGACATAGTTTCACTCTTGTTGCCCAAGCTAGTTTGTTGCAATGGCGGGATCTCAGCTCACTGCAACCTCCGCCTCCTGGGTTCAAGTGATTCTCCTGCCTCAGCCTCCTGAGTAGCTGGGATTACAGGTGCCCACCACCACGCCCGGCTAATTTTTTGTATTTTTAGTAGAAACGGCGTTTCACCATGTTAGCCAGGCTGGTCTCGAACTCCTGACCTCAGGTGATATGCCCGCCTCAGCCTCCCAAAGTGCTGGGATTACATGCGTGAGCCACTGCGTCGGGCCTTATTTATTTATTTATTTATTTATTTATTTATTTATTTATTGAGACGGGGTCTTGCTTTATCTCACCCAGGCTGGAGTGCAGCGGTGCGATCTCGGCTCACTGCAGCCTCTGCTTCCCAGGTTCAAGCAATTCTCCTGTCTCAGCCTCCCGAGTAGCCGGGACTACAGGTGTGTGCCACCACACCCAGCTGATTTTTGTATTTTTAGTAGAGAGGAGGTTTCACCATATTGGCCAGGCTGGTCTCAAACTCCTGACCTCAGGTGATCCGCCCGCCTCAGCCTCCCAAAGTCCTGGTATTACAGGCATGAGTCACTGCGCTTGGCAAAACTCTGTCTGGAAAAAAAAAAAAATTCTTAGGCTTGCAACTGACAGTGATGTTTCCACCACATTCTATTGGTTAACAAGGCAGCCAAATTCAGCTCAGGAAAGGCAACACAAGGGTATGACTAGTGGGAAGTGTTGTTCATTGGACGCTACCAAAGTAAATCATAAGGAATTTTGAGGGTGAGGGACCTTTGGGACATCCTATTGGAGATACTTAGGAAGCAATTGAATCCTACAGCTTGGGGATCCAGATGGGGATTAATGTGAGACGGGATAAAACTATACTAGGAGAGGCTGGACACGGTGGTTCACACATGTGATCCAGGCACTTTGGGAGGCAAAGGTGGGTGGATAACCTGAGGTCAGGAGTTCAAGACCAGCCTTGCCAACATGGTGAAACCCCATCTCTACTGAAAATACAAAAATTAGCCGGATGTGGTGGTAGGCACCTGTAATCTGAGCTACTTGGGAAGCTAAGGCAGGAGAATCGCTTGAACCCAGGAGGTGGAGGTTGCAGTGAGCCGAGATCATGCCACTGCACTCCAGCCTGGGCGACAGAGTGAGACTTCATCTCAAAAAAAAAAAAAAAAATACAACTAGGAGAGAATGCAGAGAGGAGAGCCAGGGGCAGAGCTGAGGTTCTGTGTCTAAGAAGTGAGCACCAGGCCAGGTGTGGTGGCTCACGTCTGTAATCCCAGCACTTTCGGAGGCCAAGGTGGGTGGATCATGAGGTCAGGAGTTTGAGACCAGCCTGGCCAACAAGGTGAAACCCTGTCTCTACTAAAAATACAAAAAATTAGCCGGGTGTGGTGGTGCACACCTGTAATCCCAGCTACTCAGGAGGTTGAGGCAGGAGAATCACTTGAACACAGGTGGCGGAAATTACAGTGAGTGGAGATGGTGCCATTGCACTCCAGCCTGGGCAACAGAGCAAGACTCTGTCTCAGCAACAACAACAAAAAAGAAATGAGCACCAGGCCGGGCACAGTGGCTCACGCCTGTATCCCAGCACTTTGGGAGGCCAAGATGGCAGGATCACGAGGTCAAGAGATCGAGACCATCCTGTCCAACATGGTGAAATCCCGTCTCTACTAAAAATACAAAAATTAGCTGGGTGTGGTGGTGTGTGCCTGTAATCCCAGCTACTCAGGAGGCTGAGGTAGGAGAATCACTTCAACTCAGGAGGTGGAGGTTGCAGTGAGCCAAGATCGAACCACTGCACTCCAGCCTGGTGACAGAGCGAGACTCCTCAAAAAAAAAAAAAGAAAGAAAGAAAGTGAGCACCCAGTGAGCATGAGAAAGGTCAATCAGAGAGGTCAAAGCAGAATCAAGGAGAGATTATATCATGGATGCAAGGGAGTAGTCATCCCAGCAACACTTCTTCACCCTGGCAGCTGCACTTCTATGCAATAGCATCAACTATACCCAGTTTGCAGTTTTCCACACACTCGCTGAATTAGCCTCATCACACCAAATCCTTCCCTGAGACACCAGGAGCAATCAGAGCCCCCATAAAGGTCACCCTCTAATTCAGAGACACTAGCACCAGCGATGTCTAATGCAGCAGAGAGCACCAGTGTGTGGCTGAAGCATCTATTGGATTATTCAAGATGGCAAACACTGTGGTAGACAGTTGTTTTTGACTGCCCAGAATCTATGGTTCTTTCTTCAGAGAGCCGCATCTTAGTTTTATCTCCCTCTCTCAAAGTCCATGTGGTTTGGAGAGCACTAACCATGTCTCATGCACATCACTCCAGATTGAGTGTGCAAGCCAGGTCTAGCTGATTAGAATACTGGATCCACAGCCATAGTGATCCGATTTGGTGCCGGGCCAGTGAGTCGCAGTTCTAATACTTTGCATTGAAAATATCAGGAAAAAGATACTCTCTTGCCTCTGATGTTGCTAAGACAGTGTTGGGAAGTTGGGGCAGAGGCCCTGTGGGGCAGGAGGCCACGCTGATAATGAGATCAACCCAGAAAACAGCAGGGCAAAGGAGTAGGTGGGGTGGGGAGGGACTGGATTCTGATGACATCTGCTGAGTCCTGGGACCCTGTCAAACCTGAAGCGATTTCTAACCCTGAGCTTTTTTGGTTTTTCAGTTTTCTTTTTTTTTTTTTTTTTTCAGACGGAGTCTCACTCCATTGCTCAGACTGAAGTGCAGTGGCATGAACTCAGCTCACTGCAACATCTGCCTCCTGGATTTAAGCAATTCTCTGTCTCAGCCTCCCAAGTAGCTGGGACTACAGGCACCTGCCATCATGCCTGGCTAATTTTTGTATTTTTAGTAGAGACGGGGTTTCACCTTGTTGGTCAGGCAGGAGGTCTCAAACTCCTGACCTCAGGTGATCCACCCACCTCGACCTCCCAAAGTGCTAGGATTACAGGTGTGAGCCACCGCGCCTGGCCCTGGTTTTCTTTTTATAGAGACAAGGTCTCACCATGTTGCCCAGGCTGGTCTCTAACTCCTGGGCTCAAGTGATCCTACTACTCTGGCCTCTGAAAGTGCTGGGATTACAGGTGGGAACCACTGTGCTCAGCCTTAACTTTTTTGATATAAGAGTCAATACAGGGGGGAAGGGGGAGGGGAGGGATAGCATTAGGAGATATACCTAATGTAAATGACGAGTTAATGGGTGCAGCACACCAACATGGAGCATGTATACCTATGTAACAAACCTGCATGTTGTGCACATGTACCCTAGAACTTAAAGTATAGTAAAAAAAAAAAAAAAAGAGTCAATACAAAAATAAAAAGAAAAAACAAGAGTCAATACAGGCTGGGCTGGGCGCAGTGGCTCACACCTGTAATCCCAGCACTTTGGGAGGCCGAGGTGGGTGGATCACCTGAGGTCAGGAATTCAACACCAGCCTGGCCAACATGGTGAAACCCTGTCTCTACTAAAAATACAAAAAATTGGCCGGGCGCAGTGGCTCACGCCTTTAATCCCAGCACTTTGTGAGACTGAGGCGGGTGGATCACGAGGTCAGAAGTTCAAGACCAGCCTGGCCAAGATGGTGAAACCCCGTCTCTACTAAAAATACAAAAATTAGCCAGGCACGATGGCAAGCACCTGTAATCCCAGCTACTCAGGAGGCTGAGGCAGGAGAATCCCTTGAACCCGGCGGGGTGGAGGTTGCAGTGAACCTTGATCACGCCACTGCACTCCAGCCTGGGTGACAGAGTGAGACTCCATCTGAAAAAAAAAAAAAATTAGCTGGGCGTGGTGGTGGGCACCTGTAATCCCAGCTACTCGGGAGGGTGAGGCAGGGGAATCACTTGAACCCAGGAAGTGGAAGCTGCCGTGAGCCGAGATCGTGCCACTGCACTCCAGCCTGGGCTACAGAGGGAGACTCGGTCTCAAAAAAAAAAGAGAGAGAGTCAATACAGGCGAGGCACGGTGGCTCACTCCTGTAATCCCACCACTTTGGGAGGCCAAGGCAGGTGGATCACCTGGGGCTAGGAGTTCGAGACCAACCTGGCCAACATGGTAAAAACCCGTCTCTACTAAAAACCCACACAAAAAAATTAGCTGGGCATGGTGGCAGGCGCCTGTAATCCCAGCTACTCGGGAGGCTGAGGCAGGAGAATCGCTTGAACCCTGGAGGCAGAAGTTGCAGTGAGCTGAGATTGTGCCACTGCACTCCAGCCTGGGTGACAGAGGGAGACTCAGTCTCAAAAAAAAAAAAAACAGACCAGGGGCTGAGTGTGGTGACTCACGCTGGTAATCCCAACACTTCGGGAGGCCAAGGCAGGAGGATTCCTTGAGGCCAGGAATTTAAGACCAGCCTGTGCAACATAGTGAGACCCCATCTCTACAAAGATAAAATCAAGAAAATTAGCTGGGCATGGTGGCACACATGTATGGTCCCAGGTACTCAAGAGGCTGAGGCACAGAATCCCCTGAGCCCAGGAAGTCGATGCTGCAGTGAACCATCTTTGTGCCACTGCATGAACTCCAGCCTGGGTGACAGTGAAATCCTGTCTTGAAGAAATAATAAATAGCTCCCTCTCTCCCCCTCCCCCTCCCCCTCCCTCTCCCTTCTTTCTTCAGTCTCCCTCTGTTGCCGAGGCTGGACTGTACTGCCGTGGTCTCGGCTCGCTGCAGCCTCCCTGCCCCGGGCTCCCGTGGTTCTCCTGCCTTGGCCTGCCGAGTGCCTGAGATTGCGGGCGTGCGCTGCCACGCCTGACTGGTTTTTGTATTTTTGGAGGAGACGGGGTTTCGCCCTGTTGACCGGCCCGGTCTCCAGCTCCTGACCTCGAGTGGTCTGCCCGCCTCAGCCTCCCGGGGTGTTGGGATTGCAGACGGAGTCTCGCTCACTCAATGCTCACTGTTGCCCAGGCTGGAGTGCAGTGGCGTGATCTCGGCTCGCCACAACCTCCACCTTCCAGCCGCCTGCCTTGGCCTCCCAAAGTGCTAAGATTACAGCCTCTGCCCGGCCGCCACCCCGTCTGGGAAGTGGGGAGCGTCTCTGCCCGGCCGACCATCGTCTGGGATGTGGGGAGCCCCTCTGCCCGGCCACCCTGTCTGGGAAGCGAGGGGCGCCTCTGCCCGGCCGCCGCCCCGTCTGGGAGGCGGGGGGTGCCTCTGCCCGGCCGCCACCCCGTCTGGGAAGTGAGGAGCGCCTCTGCCAGGCCGCCCCATCTGGGAAGTGTACCCAACAGCTCCGACGAGTCAGCGACCATTGAGAATGGGCCATGATATCGATGGCGGTTTTGTCGAAAAGAAAAGGGGGAAATGTGGGGAAAAGAAAGAGAGATCAGATTGTTACTGTGTCTGTGTAGAAAGAAGTTGACATAGGAGACACCATTTTGTTCTGTACTAAGAAAAATTCTTCTGCCTTGGGATGCTGTTAATTTATAACCTTAACCCCAACCCCGTGCTCTCTGAAACATGTGCTGTGTCAACTCAGGGTTAAATGGATTAAGGGCGGTGCAAGATGTGCTTTGTTTAAACAGATGCTTGAAGGCAGCATGCTCCTTAAGAGTCATCACCACTCCCTAATCTCAAGTACCCAGGGACACAAACACTGCTGAAGGCCGAAGGCCGCAGGGACCTCTGCCTAGGAAAACCAGAGACCTTTGTTCACGTGTTTATCTGCTGACCTTTTCTCCATTATTATCCTATGACCCTGCCACATCCCCCTCTCTGAGAAACACCCAAGAATGATCAATAAATACTAAAATAATAATAATAATAAATAAATTAAAAGTCAATACCTTCCCTTATTTTCTTGAATCAGATTGAGTTGAGTTTCCCTTGTATGCAATCCAAAACAATCCGGAACAATACAGATACTAACTAAATTACAATGTTGAAAGTTTCAATTATAAATTTAAATTAAGCTTTACAAGTTTTTATCGGCCCCAATTATCTACCTTTTTTGAGTATGGACTGATATTAACTCAAATTGTCCCAAGAAAGTAGGCTTTCCCACTGTCTGTTGTCTGTTGCCCAGGCTGAACTGGAGCACAGTGGCGCGATCATAGCACCTGTAGTCCCAACTACTCGAGACCCTGCCTCAAAAAAAAAAGTTAGAGACCATCCTGGCCAACATGGTGAAACCCCGTCTGTATGTACTAAAAATACAAATATTAACCAGGCATGGTGGCATGCACATGTGATCCCAGCTACTCGGGTGGCTGAGGCAAGAGTAGCTGGGATCACAAAATCGCTTGAACCTGGGAGGCAGAGGTTGCAATGAGCCGAGATCATGCCACCAGGCAACAGAGTGAGACTCTGTCTCAAAAAAACAAACAAACAAACAAAAAAACAAAACCCATGGACGATTTTTATGTTTTTATAATGGAAACATTGCTGTTAATGTTTGTAAACTTTCCCTTAAAAAATCACATTTAAAATATCTAAACACTTTGTTTTGTTTTTTGAGACAGGGTCTTGCTCTGTCACCCAGGCTGGAAGAAGTGGTGAGATCATGGCTCACTGCAGCCTCGAACTCAGGGGCTCAAGCAATCATTTCAACCTCAGCCTCCTGAGTAACTGGGACTACTGGGCTAATTTGTAAATTTTTTTTTCTTTCTTAGACTGAGTCTCACTCTGTCACCCAGTCTGGAGTGCAGTGGCATGATCTCAGCACACTGCACCTCCTGGCCTCAAGTGATTCTCCTGCTTCAGCCTCCTGAGTATCTGGGATTACAGGTGCCTGCCAGCCATGCCAGGCTAATTTTTTTTTTTTTTTTTAGACAGCATCTCACTCCGCCACCCAGCCTGGAGTGCAGTGGTGCGATCTCGGCTCACTTCAACCTCTGCCTCCCAGGTTCAGGCGATTCTCCTGCCTCAGTGTCCCGAGTAGCTGAAATTACAGGCGTATGCCACCACACCCGGCTAATTTTTGTATTTTTAGTAGAGACAGGGTTTTGCCATGTTGACCAGTCTGGTCTCAAGCTTCTGACCTGAAGTGATCCGCCCACCTTGGCCTCCCAAAACGTTGGGATTACAGGCATGACTCACTGTGCCTGTCCAAATTTGTAACTTTTTTTATGGAGACAAGGTCTCGCTGTGTCACCCAGGCTGATCTTGAATTCCCGGCCTCAAGTGATCCTCCCCCTTTAGCTTCCCAAAGCACTGGTATTACAGGTATGAGCCACCACACCTGGCCTTAAAATACCTAAATTAGGCCAGGCGCGGTGGCTCATGCCTGTAATGACAGCAGTTTGGGAGGCCGAGGCGGGTGGATCACCTGAGGTCCGGAGTTCAAGACCAGCCTGACCAACATGGAGAAACCCCGTCTCTACTAAAAATACAGAATTAGCTGGGCGTGGTGGCACATGCCTGTAATCCCAGCTACTCAGGAGGCTGAGGCAGGAGAATCACTTGAACCCAGGAGGCAGAAGTTGCGGTGAGCGGAAATCGCACCATTGCACTCCAGCCTGGGCAACAAGAGCAACACTCTGTCTCAAAAAAAAAAAACACCTAAATTATTTTTTAATAACACTCTTGCTGTGGGTTGCATTATGTCCCCCACAATTTCGTATGTTGAAGTCATATCCTAACCCCCAGTACCTCAGAATGCGACCTTATTTGGAGATGTTCTTACAGATCTAATCAAGTTAAAATGAGGTCATTGGCCTTAATCCAACGTAACAGTGTTGTAGAGGGAGAACACTATGTGAAGATGCAGGCGCAGATCTGGGTGATACTTCTACCTTCTACGAGCCAAGGAATGTCCGATTGTCTGCTCACCGCCAAAAGCTACGGGAGAGGCATGCGAGGGACCACTGCTCATAGCATTTGGAGGAACCAACCCGCCAACACCTTGATTTTGAACTTCTGCCCCCCAGAACTGTATGACAATACATTTCTGTGGCTTAAGCCACTTAGTTTGCAGTACTTTGTTATGGTAACCAGCAAATCATACATCTATTAAGAACATCTCCCAGAACCAAAATGATGATATTCATTCATTCCTTCAAACTCACCAATTTAAGATTAAAAAAAGAAAGAAAGCCTACACAGGAAAAAATTAAGAAAAATCACATTCTGGGCCGGGTGCCATGGCTCACACCTGTAATCCCAGAATGCTGCGAGGTGGAGGCGGGCAGATCATTTGAGACCAAGAGTTCGAGACCAGCTTGGGCAACATGGCAAGACCCTGTCTCTACAAAAATTGCAAAAAATAGCCAGATATGGTGGTGTACGCCTATCACCCCAGCCACTCGGGAGGCTGAGGTGGGAGGATCACTTGAGCTTGGGAGGTTGAGGCTGCAGTGACCTGTGATGGCACCACTGCACCACAGCCTGGGTAACATTGCAAGACCCTGTCTTAAAAACAAACAAAAAACAAAAACAAACTGCCCGTGCTCATCAATAAATACATTTTCCATGTGATTTTATAATAAAATGATAATTTTTATTTTTATTTATTTGTATTTATTTTGAGACAGAGTCTCGCTCTGTTGCCCAGGCTGGAGTGAAGTGGCATGATCTCGGTTCACTGCAACCTCCGCCTCCCGGGTTCAAGCGATTCTCCTGTGTCAGCCCCGCAAGTAGCTGGGACTACAGGTGCATGCCACCACGCTCGGCGAATTTTTGTATTTTTAGTAGAGACGGGGTTTGGCCATGTTGGCCAGGCTGGTCTCAAACTCCTGACCTCAAACAATCCACCTGTCTTGGCCTCTCAAAGTGGTGGGATTACAAGCATGAGCCACTGCACTTGGCCATAAAATAATTTTTTTTTTTGAGATGGAGTTTCACTCTTGTTGCCCAGACTGGAGGGTCGGCCAGATCTCGGCTCACCCCAACTTCCTCTTCCCGGGTTCAAGTGATTCTCCTGCCTCAGCCTCCCAAATAGCTGATATTTTTAGTAGAGACAGGGTTTCTCCATGATGGTCAGGCTGGTTTCGAACTCCTGACCTCAGGTGATCTGCCCACCTTGGCCTCCCAAAGTGCTGGGATTACAGGTGTGAGCCACCACGCCCGGCCTATTTTTTTGTATTTTTTTAGTAGAGATGGGATTTCACCATGTTAGCCAGGATTGTCTCGATCTCCTGACCTCGTGATCCACCTGCCTTGGTCTCCCAAAGTGCTGGGATTACAGGCACGAGCCACTGTGCCCTGACTTTTGTTTTTGTTTTTGTTTTTGTTTTTTTTGAGACAGAGTGTTGCTCTTGTTGCCCAGGCTAGAGTGCAATGGCGTGATCTCGGCTTGTTGCAACCTCTGCCACCCAGGTTCAAGCAATTCTCCTGCCTCAGCCTCCCGAGTAGCTGTGATTACAGGCATGCACCACCAGACCTGGCTAATTTTGTATTTGTAGTAGAGACGGGGTTTCTCCATGTTGTTCAGGCTGGTCTTGAACTCCAGACTTCAGGTGATCTGCCCGCCTCGGCCTCCCAAAGTGCTGGGATTACAGGCGTGAGCCACAGGCCTGGCCCTGGCCTGATAATTTTTAAAACTGTAAGGAATTCCCAATATATTGTACAACTAGTTTGATAATGCCTTTCCTTTAAGAGAAAATGTGAGGAGAAAAGTAGCTATATCCATTTGACAGAGAAGCAAAAAGCCTGATTGTGCATAAAAGCTATTTGGGGTTGAATGCAGTAGCTTACACCTGTAATTGTAGTACTTTGAGAGGCCGAGGTGGGAGTCGGCTTGAACCCAAGAGTTCAAGATAAGCAACATGGCGTGACCCTGTCTTTTTTTTTTTTTTTTTTGAGATGGAGTCTCACACTCTTGTCACCCAGGCTGAAGTGCCGTGGCATGATCTCAGCTCACTGGGGTTCAAGTGATCATCCTGCCTCAGCCTCCTGTGTAGCTGGAATTGCAAGTGTGTGCCACCACATCTAATTGTTTTTTGTTTTGTTTTGTTTTGTTTTGAGATGGAGTCTTCACTCTGTCACCCAGGCTGGAGTGCAGTGGTGCGATCTCGGCTTACTGCAAGCTCTGCCTCCTGGGTTCACGCCATTCTCCTGGCTCAGCCTCCCGAGTAGCTGGGACTACAGGTGCCCACCACCACGCTGGGCTAATTTTTTGTATTTTTAATAGAGACGGGGTTTCACCATGTTAGCCAGGATGGTCTCGAACTCCTGACCTCGTGATCCGCCCACCTTGGCCTCCCAAAGTGCTGGGATTACAGGCATGAGCCCGGCCAATTTTTTGGATTTTTGGTAGAGACAGTGTTTCACCATGTTTACCAGGGTGATCTCGAACTCCTGATCTAAGGTGATCCACCCGCCTTGTCCTCCCAAAGTGCTGAGATTACAGGTGTGAGCCACCGTGCCCGGCCCTAATTTTTGTATTTTTAGTAGAGACAGGGTTTCACCATGTTGGCCAGGCTGGTCTCGAACTCCTGACCTCAGGTGATACGCCCACCTCGGCCTCCCAAAGTGCTGGAATTACAGGCGTGAGGCATAGCACCTGGCATATTGTACATACATTATACATATTAATATATGTGTGTATATAGAGAAAGGTACTTTTAGGCCAGGCATGTTGGCTCAGGCCTAAAGGAGGTTGGAGAAGCACTTGAAGCCAGGAGTTCAAGACCAACCTGGGCAACGTACTGAAACCTGGTCTCTATTAAGAAAAAAAAAAAAAAAAGAGGCGGGCACAGTGCCTGACGCCTGTTAATCCCAACACTTTGGGAGGCCGAGGCGGGCAGATCACGAGATCAAGAGATTCAGATCATCCTGGCCAACATGGTGAATCCCCATCTCTACTAAAAATACAAAAATTAGCTGGGCATGGTGGTGTGCAGCTATCATCTCAGCCACTGGGGAGGCCGAGGCAGGAGAATCACTTGAACCCAAGAGATAGAGGTTGCAGTGTGAGCCAAGATCGCGCCATTGCACTCCAGCCCGGTGACAGAGTGAGACTTCATCTCAAAAAAAAAAAAAAAGAAAGAAAAAATGAAGATAGTAACATATATTTATATATATTTGCACATCCTCTATCTCATATATATATATATATATATTTTTTTTAATTTGAGACGGAGTTTCACTCTTGTTGCCCAGGCTGGAGTGCAATGGCACAATCTCACCTCACCACAACCTCCACCTCCCGGGTTCAAGCAATTCTCCTGCCTCAGCCTCCCGAGTAGCTGAGATCACATGCATGCGCCACCACGCCTGGCTAATTTTGTATTTTTAGTAGAGACAAGGTTTCTCCGTATTGGTCAGGCTGGTCTCGAACTCCTGACCTCAGGTGATCCACCTGCCTCTGTCTCCCAAAGTGCTAGGATTATAGGCGTCAGCCACCGTGCCTGGCCATATATTTTTTTTTTATTCTCACTTTGTCGCTCAGGCTGGGGTGCAGTGGTGTAATCTTGGCTCACTGCAACCTCTGCCTCCCAGGTTCAAGCGATTTTCCTGCCTCAGCATCCCAAGTAGCTGGGATTACAGGTGTGTGCCACCTGTAGTTTTTTTGTATTTTTCGTAGAGACTGGGTTTCGCCATGTTGGCCAGGCTGGTCTCGAACTCCCAACCTCAAGTCATATTCCTGCCTGGGCCTCCCAAAGTGCTGGGGTTACAGGCATGAGCCACCACGCCCAGTGTCGATAATTATAATTTATGTACTCTTTGCAATAAATTAGTATTCAGATTTACAATCTATGAATCTACCCTTTGCTTAAAACCATTTAGTGGCTTTCCATTGGACTGGAGTAAAAATATAAGTCTTACTAGTGCCCTTCTGTAAGTCAGCATCCAGTTAGGAAAACAGAGAGGTTAAAATAGGAAATTCATTAAACGGGTGACAGAGGACTGAGAAGGCAGAAAGGGAACACCGAGGCAATGTAAATAACAACTAGAGGAAGCAGCTACCACCTCCAAAGCTGGAGATAAAAATAAAAACAAGTTGGGGTTAGCACAGCTAGCAAAATCGGAGGAAGAGCCCCGGAGAGCTCGTTCTCACCCCTCTAAGAAAGAGGCACATAGCCAGGCGCTGTGATTCATGCCTGTAATCCCAGCACTTTCAGAGGCAGAGGTGGGCGGATCACTTGAGGTCAGGAGTTCGAGACCAGCCTGGCCAACATGGCAAAACCCTGTCTCTACTAAAAATACAAAAAATTAGCCTGATGTGGTGGTGCATGCCGGCAATTCCAGCTATGTGGGAGGCTGAGGCAGGAGAATCGTTTGAACCCAGAAGGCAGAGGTTGCAGTGAGCTGAGATTGTGCCACTGGGGTGACAGAGCGAGACTCTGTCTCAAAAAAAAAGACAGAAAGAAAAAAAGAAAGAGGCACAACCAGATTGGTGCTGGGCCTCCCAGAGCCCTGTGTAGTTGGGACTCAAAACTCTGAGGAGGGGTCTGCTGTTGGTGCCTCCGCGGGAGCACAAGGAGGCTGTCTCTGGGAGTGTACAAAGAACCTGGAGACTGAACCAAATACTACTGCCAGAGGCAGTGTTATTACTGAGGGGAACATGCTAGGAATAGTAAGCAAACAGGCAAGAACAAGTCCCCTCTCTTCCTCCTGCCTCCCAGACTGCTTCTATCTGCTCTCATTGGAAGAACCTAACATTAACTGAGAACGGGGAATTATGGTTTGCTGCTCTGTATCACAGAACAGGGTAGAAATGTGGATATTACCCAGGCTGATCTCAAACTTATGAGATCAAGCGATACACCTGCCACGGACTCCCAAAGTGCTGGGATTACAAGCATAAGCCACCAGGCCTGGCCTGCCTTTTTTCCTTATAGCATTAATCACTATTTATAATGATCTTTTGGGCTGGGAGCAGTGGCTCATGCCTGTAGTCCTAGCAATTTGGAAGGCCAAGGTGGGCAGATCACTTGAGGTCAGGAGTTTGAGACCAGCCTGGCCAACATGGCAAAACCCCACCTCTACTAAAAATACAAAAATTAGCTGGGTGTGGTGGCGGGTGCCTGTAATCCCAGCTATCTGGGAGGCTGAGGCAGGAGAATCGCTTGAACCCGGGAGGCGGAGGTTGTGGTGAGCCAAGATCCTGCCACTTCACTCCAGCTTGGGCGATAGAGCAAGACTCTGTCTCAAAAAATAAATAGGCCGGGTGCGGTGGCTCACCCCTGTAATCCCAGCACTTTGGGAGGCCGAGGTGGACTGATCATCACCTGAGGTCAGGAGTTTGAGACCAGCCTGACCAACATGGAGAAACCCTTGTCTCTACTAAAAATACAAAATTAGCTGGGTATCGTGGCGCATGCCTGTAATCCCAGCTACTCGGGAGGTTGAGGCAGGAGAATCGCTTGAACCTGGGAGGTGGAGGTTGCGGTGAGCCGAGATTGTGCCATTGCACTCCAGCCTGGGCAACAAGAGTGAAACTCTGTCTCAAAAAATAAATAAATAAAATAAATAAATTAATTAAATTAAATAATCTTTTGGATGGGCGTGTGGCTCACGCCTGTAGTCCCAACACTTCGGGAGGCCAAGGCAGGTAGATCATTTGAGGTCAGGAATTCAAGACCAGCCTGGCCAACGTGGTGAAACCCCTTCTCTACCAAAAATACAAAAATATGCCCGGGCGCGGTGGCTCACGCCTGTAAGGCAAGCGCTTTGGGAGGCTGAGGCGGGTGGATCACTTGAGGCCAGGAGTTCAAGACTAGCCTGGGGAGCATGGTGGAACCCCGTCTCTACTAAAAATACAAAAAAGAAATAGCTGGGTGTTTTGGCGCATGCCTATAATCCCAGCTACTCGGGAGGCTGAGGCAGGAGAATTGCTTGAACCTAGGAGGCAGAGGTTGCAGTGAGCCGAGATCACGCCATTGCACTCCAGCCTGGGTGACAGAGCGAGACTCCGTCTCAAAAAAAAAAAAATAGGTGGGCATGATGGCACACTCTTGTAATCCCAACTACTTGGGAGGCTGAGGCAGGAGAATTGCTTGAGCCCAGGAGGTGGAGGTTGCAGTGAGTCGAGAACGTGCCCCTGCACTCTAGCCTGGATGACAGAATGCGACCCTGTCTTAAAAAATAAATAAAATAAAAATAATCTTTTAGGCTAGGGGTGGTGGGCTCATGCCTGTAATCCTAGCACTTTGGAAGGCTGAGGCAGCTGGATCACATGATGCCAGGAGTTTGAGACCAGACTGGCCAACATGGAGAAACACTATCTCTATTAAAAATACAAAAATTGGGCTGAGCGCAGTGGGTCACGCCTGTAATCCCAGCACTTTGGGAGGCTGAGGCCGTCATATCAATTGAGGTTAGGAGTTCGAATCCAGCCTGGCCAACATGGTGAAACCCCATCTCTACTAAAAATACAAAAATTAGCCAGCCATGGTAGTGGGCGCCTATAATTCCAGCTACTCAGAATGCTGAGGCAGGAGAATTGCTTGAGCCCAGGAGGCAGATGTTGCAGTGAGCCGAGATCAAACCACTGCACTCCAGCCTAGGGAGACAGAGAGAGACTCCGTCTCAAGAAAAATAAAAATAAATAAACAAAATGATCTTTTTTTTCTTTTTTCTCTTTTTTTTTTTTTGAGATGGAGTCTCTCTTTGTCGCCTAGGCTGGAGTGCAGTGGCGTGATCTCGGCTCACTGCAAGCTCTGCCTCAGCCTCCCGAGTAGCTGGGACTCCAGGTGCCTGCCACCACGCCCGGCTAATTTTTTTTTTTTTGTATTTTTAGTAG
This sequence comes from Homo sapiens, assembly GCF_000001405.40. Lineage (NCBI taxonomy): Eukaryota > Metazoa > Chordata > Mammalia > Primates > Hominidae > Homo > Homo sapiens. The sequence continues at coordinate 123,381,720 of NC_000012.12, forward strand.
AGATGGGGTTTCACCGTGTTAGCCAGGATGGTCTCGATCTTCTGACCTGGTGATCCGCCCACCTCAGCCTCCCAAAGTGCTGGGATTACAGGTGTGAGTCACCACACCCAGCCTTAAAATTATCTTTTAAATAATGCCTTGTTTCTTCCCTAAAAGAATGCAGGGAAGGAGCTGTGTCTACTTTCCCTTCGGATCCTTGGGGGATCCAAAACAGCGGCAGGCATAGAGCTCAATAAATGTTGAAATAATCAATTTTGGAGAAAGCAAACACCTCTCTCTCTATATATATTTTTTGTTTGTTTGTTTGTTTGTTTTGAGACAGAGTCTCGCTCTGGTGCCCAGGCTGGATTGCAGTGGGACGATCTTGGCTCACTGCAACCTCTGCCTCCCGGGTTCAAGCACTTCTCCGCCTCAGCCTCCTGAGTAGTGAGATTACAGGCACGCACCACCACGCCTGGCTAATTTTTGTATTTTTAGTAGAAACGGGGTTTTCACCATGTTGGTCAGGCTGGTCTTGAATTCCTGACCTCGTGATCCACCTGCCTCGGCCTCCCAGAGTGCTGGGATTACAGGTGAGAGCCACTGCACACTGCCACACTTCCACATATTTATGGAAGCTGTAAGGCATGTTGGAGATTACGGCACCAGCTCCTTCATTTGACAGGTAGGGAAATGGAAGGCCAGAGAGCTGAACTGATGTGCCAAGTGACACAGTGACTTTGTGACAAAAGTGTCCTTTTCTACCTTTCCCAGTGCTTTCACATATATCATTTTATTTTCCTTTCCTATTTTCCTGGTGCTTTGGAAGAGTCTTTGGGCAATGGTTGGGTCTCCAAAACCTTTTCAATTACCAAAGAGACAGGATGGATTAGTGACCTCGTCCCACACCCCTGGGAGGGGCCCCAGGGAAGAGCAGTAGTAACTGGACGCCTTCCCTGAGTCCAAAGCAGACACTCCAGGACACCTGATTCTCTGGGAACATACTGACTGAGCCCCCTCTCTCAGAGGGGAACAGCGAATACTTGCTTCCCTCGGGATAAGGTAGCCATTTAGTGTTTGAACAGTGGAGAGACTGACCCAGGCCCTGCAATTACATTGCTGGGTGACCTTGGGCAGCGCGTAAGTGACCCGCTTCCTCTATTGCCCCATCTGTAAAATGGGTGGGTGTGAAGCATTAGGATCTTTGCGGTCCTGGAAGGACCTTCCCTACTGACCCAGTTAGTTGGTAGGAGTTGTGTCTGTGGGTTTTTTTTTTTTTCTTTTTTTGAGACGGAGTCTCGTTCTGTCGCCCAGGCTGGAGTGCAGCGGCGTGATCTCGGCTCACTGCAAGCTCTGTCTCCCGGGTTCACGCCATTGTCCTGCCTCGGCCTCCCAGGTAGCTGGGACTACAGGCGCCCGCCACCACGCCCGGCTCATTTTTTTTGTATTTTTAGTAGAGACGGGGTTTCACCGTGTTAGCCAGGATGGTCTCGATCTCCTGACCTCGTAATCCACCCGCCTCGGCCTCCCAAAGTGCTGAGATTACAGGCGTGAGCCACCGCGCCCGGCCGGGTTTTGAATACTGGAATATTCAATAAACCTTTTTTTTTTTTTTTTTTTTTGAGACAGTGTTTCGCTCTTGTTGCCCAGGCTGGAGTGCAATGGCGCGATCTCGGCTCACCGTAACCTCTGCCTCCCGAGTAGCTGGGATTACATGCTATTCTCCGGCCTCAGCCTCCCGAGTAGCTGGGATTACATGCATGCGATACCACGCCCGGCTAATTTTGTATTTTTAGTAGAGACTGGGTTTCTCTATATTGGTCAGGCTGGTCTCGAACCACGGACCTCAGGTGATCCGCCCGCCTCAGCCTCCCAAAGTGCTGGGATTACAGGCATGAGCCACCGCGCCCGGCCAAAACCTTTCAAACCTGAGAATGAATGGATCAAACTGCTGGAGAGGTCGGTGTGCTGGAGTTGCTAAACTGCTGGGAGACTCAGGTTTCCCAGCTCTTAAGGGAAGATCGAGGGGTCAAAGGTCGGGTTCCGGTCAAGCCCACAGAGAACCGGAAGTCCCAGATCCGGTCGGCTCGGAGCCCAGGGCTCCAGCCGGGCTACTCACGCTCCGGAGGCGGAGCTTCAGCAGCGGGAGGGGGAGGAATCTGGGGCCTCCCAATGGCAGCTCGGGTGTCTTCCATCGCAGCCATTCAACGTCTGGCGACGGTCAAATTTAAACACCCCTCCCACCTCCTCCGCCGGGACCTGTCGGGAAAGCGTTTGCAGTTATTGCGGCGGCTGGACACGCCCCGCCGCCGAAGAGGCGGGAGAAGGGCGGGGCCTTTCTCCGAGTTGGCCTATCACTACGGGCAGCCTGCGGAGAGGCGGGAGGCGGCGCCAATCGGGGCGAGCAGCTGGAGCCCGGCGGAGCAGTTGGCTGAGTTGTTGCAACTTTTTTCGAAAGCTGGGTTTCCCGGGAGATCCCAGGCGGTGACAGAGTGGAGCCATGGCTAGAGGTATTTGCCCAAGTGGCCGGCACCGGAGCGGCTGGGTCGGGGGTCGTGCTGGAGGGGTTGCCGGGGTGGAGGCAGCGGCTGCGGGGAGGCGTCCTCCTCGGGTGGCTCGGGGCAAGCTTGGGGACCCGCGTGGGGGGAGAGGGGGTGCTGCTGCGGAACCCGCCGGCCCCCCCTTGCGGCTCCAGATGCCCCCAGAAACCCTTCCCACTGCCGTGCTTCTGTTTCCCTTCTATGAAGTGAACACCTGCGGGCCTGCCTCTCCACGGCAGCAGATCCATATGTCAGAGCTCTTTGGAAACTAAAGCGCAGGGCACCTCCAGGGAATAGGTGTTATTGATAGAAGTGGGGCGGGGGCAGGAGTGAGGCTTCGCCCACTTTGGGGCCCTCTCTCTTTGGGAAAGGAGGTGATCCCGAGGCGAAGGCGCAGATCGATAACCTGCATATTGGGGTGCGCGTCAGGGTGGACACCGCAGCAGGCGCCTTTCCTCCCTCCCCACGTCCTGAGTCAGCTCTGCGCCGCTGGAGCGAAGGCCGGGCCCCGCTGGCCCACTTTGGGGTAAAACGGGTTCCTGGCATCTCGCGGGCGCGGTCGTTCGCCCCGCATCTGGTCAGGACTTCGCCCCCCGGTAGATGGCTTGGGTGGGCTTGTACAGCCCTGGGAGGCGATGCCCTGTCTGAAGTCCTCTGCATACTTAGTTGGCTGTCAGGACAGTGCCTCCCAGGTATGCGGCAAAGAGATCTCCAACCGCTTGGTCATTTCCAGCCACTGCGTCTCCTTCACGCCAAAGGGCCAAAAACTTGAGCGTGAAAGTTGAGTAGAATTAGTATTAAAAAAAAAAAAAAGTTTTGGTATTATATTTTTCTCAAAATTTCAAGGCTTCAAGTGTTAGTAGGAATTTGCTTTAGTGCAGTATGCTCCCTATAGCAATAATAATGAATAAAATAATGATTCATTCAGTAAATATCTATTGGGTCCCTTTGTTTTCAGGCCCTGAAGTCAGTTGCATCATCTATTCTCCTAGCATCCCTAGAGGTTCTTTTGGGATAAGACTTACCCAGAGCCTGATGAAAAAATGAGGCATAGTAAACTTCAGGTTAAAGAGCTTCATCACTCAACTCTTGGAGAAAATTAATACTAATATTTTTCCTTTGAAAAGTGTTAAGCATCTAAAAGTATATTTAACATTATCTGACTAATTTATCTGACAAATTTTAATAAAACTATGCTTCCTGGGTTCATTTTTCTCATCACAGCAAAATCATTTAAACTACTTGTTTTAAAAGTAGTGCATTAATTAATATATGAAGAAAACTAACCATCTATCATTGAAATACTTAAAATATGACTAAATAATAATTATGGCCAGGCATGGTGGCTCACACCTGTAATCCTAGCACTTTGGGAGGCCAAGGCGGGCAGATCACCTGAGGTCGGGAGTTCGAGACCAGTCTGACCAACATGGAGAAATCCCGTCTCTACTAAAAATACAAAATTAGCCGGGCATGGCAGCGCATGCCTGTAATCCCAGCTACTTGGGAGGCTGAGGCAGGGAGAATTGCCTGAACCTGGGAGGTGGAGCTTGCAGTGAGCCGAGATTACGTCACCGCACTCCAGCATGGGCAACAGAGCAAGACTCCATCTCAAAAAAACAAACAAGAACAATAACAAAATAATAATAATTACCACTGAGGGCCAGGCACTTTATTAACTCAATTGATCTTTACAAATTGTTATTCTCATTTTTTGGAAGAGGAAGCGTGAAGTCCAAACTTGCTGTCCAGACTCTAGCTTGGCTGGGTCTTTGCTTGTGCCACCCAACCTCCCTTACTTACCCAAAGCGAAGATAATGTTTGTCAGCTCCTCCCATGGCAGCTTACAAATCACCTATGTAATTATTAGTTATTGATTCTCACTGTCTCACTTGACCCCCAAATTAGTAGTTACCTGTTTCTTAGGCTTTACTGCCCTTGCAAGCTATTAAATTGGATATTTAGATTTAGATTTTTTTTTTTTTTTTTTTTTTTGAGACAGAGTCTCTCTCTGTCACCCAGGCTGGAGTACAGTGGAGTGATTTCAGCCCGCTTCACCCTCCCTCTCCTGTGTTCAAGTGATTCTTGTGCCTCAGCTTCCCAAGTAGCTGGGATTACAGGCACCTGTCACCACACCCAGCTAATTTTTGTATTTTTAGTAGAGACGGGGTTTCGCCATGTTGGCCAGGCTAGTCTTGAACTCCTGACCTCAGGTTATCTGCCCACCTCGGCCTCCCAGAGTGCTGGGATTACAGGCAAAAGCCACCACGCCTGGCCAATATTTAGAATTGTAAATACCAAATCATTTACAGCACTTCAAATGAACAGTCTTTTTCTTCTAGAAAATTGGGCTTTGAACTTGCAATTCACTTTGAGAGCCCTGCTGGGTCACAGAAACAAACTGGTCAGATGCCAGGCAACACCTCACTCATTTTGAAGTTTTATAATCATGCAAATATTTACAACCCCAATATATTAGTCTCAGGGGTCAGTCCACCTACCTTTCACTATTTCTACTGCCATTGTTGAATGGTCTCTTGGTTGGTTGCCCTCCTCATTTTGCCATCTTCAGTTCATTATCCCTTAGCACCTGGTGGGGGGGTCTCCAAAAATACAGACTTTTCTTTTTTTTTGGGAGACAGAGTCTCACTCTGTCACCCAGGATAGAGTGCAGTGGCACAATCTTGGCTCACTGCAAACTCCACCCCCCTGGGTTCAAGTGACTCTCCTGCCTCAGCCTCCCAAGTAGCTGGGATTACAGGCATGCGCAACCACGCCAAGCTAATTTTTGTATTTTTAGTAGAGACGGGGTTTCGCCATGTTGGCCAGGCTGGTCTCAAACTCCTGATTTCAGGTGATTTGCCCTCCTCTGCCTCCCAAGGTGCTGGGATTACAGGTGTGAGCCACTGCGCCCAGCTGGTGTATTTGTTATATACGTATAAACTTGCGGAGAAAGGACTGTTTTGAAACTTACATTGAATGATCTGTATTTACATCTTCTAGGTACTGGAGCTGCAGAATTGAGAGGAATAGGTGCTAGACTTGTAATGTGTCCCCTGCAATTGGGGGCTCAAATGCAGAGAAAGCTATGACCATGAGTGGGGCGTGGGGTGTGGCTCGGTATACTAGAATGTGAAATGGATAAGATGATCTATGTGGGTGCTTCCTGCTCCAAAACCATGATTCTCATGGCAGTTAAGCTGCAAAACTTCTCTGCCTTGCAGAAATAGAAGACGCTTTCAAATGGCTCAACCTGGTTATCAGAGTGTCACTTTCGAATCCTCTTTCACCCTCTGGGTAATCTTTTGGATATTCAACTGTAGTAGGCTCTGCAGAGGGCATAGGCAGAGTACCTAGCCCACTGGAGTTAGTGGTTGGGCTGGAGACCCTGCCTTGAAGGATGCTAAAGCATGAGCTGATTTGGGAGGGATTGTCTGAGCAGTGACCTGTCACCACCTAATCCTACTCAGTCTTATCCGTTCCAATGGGAGTCGAGGGAGGCTAGGTGGGAGGATGGCTACAAACAGCCATTTGCTTATCTGTGGATGTTGGAAGGTGCTCTGGTGGATTATGGAATTCAAGGTTCTTGGTTTTTACCCATGAGGACACTGAGGCCCAGACTGGGGAAGTGACTTGGCGATGGTCACAAAACACCTCTGGGCAGATGCAGGGAAATAAGTCCAGCCCCTGACTCCCAGGCCATGGGCCAGGCTGCAGGAGCTGGATGCCTTGAAGTGTCTTGTTTGCATCTATGACTTTGCACAAATACAGTGAATCTGGCTGTGGGCCCTCAAGCCTTAATGGCCACAGAGTAGTGGTGCAGGGCAGTGAGCTATGCTGAAACAGCCACCAGAGTGACGGGAACCTCGTCTGCCTATGGGGGCATTTTCTCACGGCGGGATAGGAGAACAAGGTGACATGTTAAACCCTTCTGCAAGACCATTTGCTTCTCCCAAACTCCATTTCCTCATCTGTAACCAGGAAGGGTAGTGGCTGGGAGGGCAAGGCCCTGGGGTCAGTTGGCTGGGGCTGAAAACCCATCTAGTTCTGAGAACTTGGCCAAGCTCCTCACTTTCTCCATCTGTTGAAAAGAGATAATAATGGTGTCTACCTTTGCAGGGCTGCTGTGAGGTTTCAGTGAGATAACGGCAAGAGACTCGCCCAGGAAACCGATCATTATAACCCCTGGCTCTGTCTCCCCAGGGCTTCCTACCGGTCAAGTACAGCCCTTCTGGGTTTGACACCTGGCCCCATCACTTCCTAGTTCTGTGGCCCGGGACAAACCCCTGCACATCCCTTGAGTCACAGTGTCACCATTGTAAGCTGGGATGCCGACAGGACCTGCCCCCGTGGGCGTGCGGGGAGGATTCAATGCCTGTGAAACTCTCGGTGGGCACAGCGCCGGGCACACCCGAGGGCCTGGCCTGGCGCGTTCACCGCTGCTGATTTCGTCTGGCACAGACCGGGTTCCCAAAATATCCGCAGAGCCAGCGGAAAAAGGAGCCGGGCGGGCTGGCGGGAGGGCGGGCGGGAGCCTGGGCTGTCATGACGGTGTTTCCCACCCCTTCCTCCGCGAGTGGCTGAGGCCGCGCGAGAGGGGGCGCGCCCGAGCCGGGATTCGCCGCGCCCGCCCGCCCGCCCTCCGGAGCGGCCTGGCGGCGCCGCCCCTACCAGCCCCCTCCCCGGGCCGGGCGCCGGACGGTGGGCGGCTGCGAGCGGGCGGGAGGGCTGCGGAGGACGCGCCGCCTGCGCCTCCTTCCCTTCGTGCCTCGCCCCGGGCGGCCCGGGGCTGCCGCGGTGCGCGGGTGCCGGGCCCTGCCTCGCCGGCCATGGGGGAAGGGGGCGCCGTGGGGCGCCGCCGGCCCTTCCCCGGGGCGCCGCGGCGGCGCTGGTGGCGGCGGCGAGGGCGCGGGGCGCGCCGCCATGGGCCTGGCCGGGCTGCAGGTGGGTGTGTCGGGCCCGGCCGCGCGGGGGGCGGGCGGCGCGCGGGGCCTGGCCGGGCCGGGCGGCGGGAGGGCGACGCGGGCTCCGGCCCGGCCCTCCCGGCTGCGCGGGCGGCTCACCAGAGCCGGGGCCTCGAAATATGGCTGCGGCGGGAGGCGCCGTCGCGGCGCCCGGCCCGGGCGGCCCCGCTCCCCGCCCCGCCGCGCCCTGAGCGCCCCCTCCCCCGCTTCCCCCGGGTCCCCTTCTCCAGGCAGGAAGATGTCCAAGCCCCGCGCGGTGGAGGCGGCGGCGGCGGCGGCGGCGGTGGCAGCGACGGCCCCGGGCCCGGAGATGGTGGAGCGGAGGGGCCCGGGGAGGCCCCGCACCGACGGGGTAAGCAGGCACCCTCCCCGCACCCCTGCGGCGCGCCCGCCGGGCCGGGGCCGCGAGCACATGGGCGACCCCGGGTACCCGCCCGGGGCGCCCGGCCGGGCCGCTTCCTTTGCTGCCGCCTGGCTGGGAGTGGCGCCCACACGGCTCCGCCATGAGCCTGGCGGTGTTTGACCTCGGAAAAGTTTGACTGCGCCTTCGTGGCGTCTCCGCAGCCCAAGACCCTACTTCCCCGGAGGTGGCCGCGGTCCCAGGCTGTGCGGGGCCTGCGCGGGCCCCTCGGAGAGGTCACGGGTCTCACCGCCTCGGTGTTGAATGGTCCCCGAGGCGGCGAGGGCCCGGCGTTGCTTCTGGGGACGCCCTCCTCCGTCTGTACTTACTCAGAGGAGGGGCCCCACGCCCAGAGGCGCCCGCAGTGACCTGAACCGCCCCACCGCCCCGTCCACTCTCTTACTGACGCCCAGGTGCGGCTTGCGACAAAGTGGCCGCCCCGAATGCGCTGGCTGTGGCTCCTGCTCTTCCCAGATTCCCCAGTCACCCTGAGAGAAGTCCTCCCGTCGCAGCCCTGGAGGCTGCGGGGCTGCAGTGATTTGAGAGGGGTCAGGCTCCGGCGCTCATGGGGCTCTGGCTGTGCTGACAGGCCCTCCAGCCGCCCTCAGCACCAAGTGGTTAATCAGGTTCCCCGGGGCGTGTTTCTGTGCTGAGTCCCTGCGGCTCCTGCCAGGGCAGTGAACTCCTAAAGATAGCCTAGCTCTTCACATGCCCAGGTCCTTTTGACCTCCCTGTTGCGGGTAGGCTGTCTTCTTCCTATATAGACCTTGGGTTGCAGCCGACTCTCCTGCTGGCCAGCTGTCCCCTTAGTGATTTAGAGACCAGCGCGTTTAGGAAACGTTTCACTGGACCTGGGATTCTAAACCTGCCAGTGCTCTCCTGAGACAATGGGGGCTGGCATCCCCTGGTAGCCCAGTTTTTGAAAAACGGTGTTGTCTGATTTTCATCTTTTGTATTCCTCCTCCTCGTGAATGCTCTAGGATCTTCTTCTTCAAGCCTCTTTCAGAATATGCTTTTGTCTTTTTAGGAGAACGTATTTACCGGGCAGTCAAAGATCTATTCCTACATGAGCCCGAACAAATGCTCTGGAATGCGTTTCCCCCTTCAGGAAGAGAACTCAGTTACACATCACGAAGTCAAATGCCAGGGGAAACCATTAGCCGGAATCTACAGGAAACGAGAAGGTAAGCTTTTGAAATGGCCTCGTTCTGATCCCAGCTGGTCGGGTTGCAGAAGCCTCTGTCCTCTGCAAGAATGCACATATGTATTTATCCAACCTTTTCAGTCTCAGATTCGAGAGGTTTGAGCCATGTTCTGTCTTGCTGCTGAAAGAATGGCTTGTCCCAGGGTGTGTGCCCTGTTGGTTTGACAGGTTTTCCCTGCTTTCACAAGAGTTAGCATATCCTTCAAGCTTGATTGTCTTGCTTAGTTGCAAAAATAACATACCTGACCCACAATTAGAGAGGCTCACAAGTGCTGAAAGTGCAGAAGTCATGAATTCAGGTTGTACAGACCAGGCAATTGCAGACCTAACTAATGTGTTCATGTAGGGAACTGACTTCCTTCCCTTTTATGAGCTGGCCTTGACCCCATTTCTTTTTCTTTTTTTGAGACGGATTTCCGCTCTCGTCCCTCAGGCTGAAGTGCAATGGCACGATCTCAGCTCACTGCAACCTCCGCCTCCTGGGCTCAAGCGATTCTTCTGCTGCAGCCTCCTGAGTAGCTGGGATTACAAGCGGCCGCCACCACGCCCAGCTAATTTTTGTATTTTTGGTAGAGACGGGATTTCACCGTGTTGGCTAGACTGGTCTCAAACTCCTGACCTCAGGTGATCCACCTGCCTTGGCCTCCCAAAATGATGGGATTACAGGCATGAGCCACCGCGCCTAGCTGCCTTGACCCCATTTCTAAAGTTTCCTGCCAATCAAGCATTTGGTGTTAGTTTCTGAAGCAGCATCCTATGCAATGAGATTTGGAGTTAAAATGTTAAACCCGAAAATACAGGGTTAATGAAAACGGTCTGGTCTTGCAAAACAAACTGAAACCTCTTAGACATCTTGCTCTAATCCAAATATTCCCTTTCAAAGCTGCAGTGGGGAGTGTCAGCTTTCCCCAATTCACCATGCTCTCTTCTAATTAAAACTTGTCTGAAAGAAGCAGAGCCTCTGGCTGCCAGCAGCTCCATACAAGGAAGCCTTGTGTTCGCTAACAGAAAGTGTCATAAATGACGATTTGGCATGACCTCTGGGGCCGGATCTGAGAACCAGGGCTGGGCAAGCCCTGAACTGGGGACAGGAGCCCACCCTGTGCTTGATCTCCCCTGGTACACAGGGCAATATTGTTTTATTTGATCTTCAGATGACTTGGGTTCCAATCTTAAGTTTGCCACCTGAAAGAAGGAGGCTTAGATAGGTTGCTGCTCTCTTCTGAGCCTCTGTTCTCTCATCTGTAAATGGGGAGAGAGGAGTCTGACCTCACACACACAGGACTGTTTTGAAGGGTGGTTGCAGCGTGGATGCCAAAGGGCTTTGTGGTGGACTCCATGTGCCAGCTCTTCACCCCTGGACTGCCAGCTCATCCCTGGACCTGTGGCACTTAGAATTCCTGCCCATAGGGTTGGGGAGAGGCGCTGTCTATAAATGGTAGTTGCCCGGACTCTAGTCCTTTAAAATAGGGCAGTCTATACATTGTACCAAATGGTGGCCTGGTATACAAGCTAGTATATTTGGCTCATGGTTTTACTAAATGGCCATGATTAGAATTTTGGGTCAGAGTCCGGGCATGGTGGCTCGGGTTTGTAATTCCAGCACTTTGGTAGGCCAAGGCAGGAGGATTGCTTGAGCCCAGGAGTTTGAGACCAGCCTGGGCAACATAGTGAGGCCTCATCTCTACAACAATGAAAACAAAAAAAATTAGCCTGGCATGGTGGCATGCATCTGTAGTCCCAGCTGCTTGGGAGGCTAAGGCAGGAGGATCCCTAGCACCCAGGAGTTTAAAGCTGCAGTGAGCTATGATCATGCCACTGCACTCCAACCTGGGGAACAGAGAGAAACCCCATCTCTAATATAAAAATAAAAAGAATTTAGGTCAGCTGGACTTTGGAGACCCCAAGGTCCAGGCTGTGGTCCGTGATTCTGCTGTGATACAGACTGAGTGATAGATAATGTTCACGGGCACCACACACTCCTGGGCCTGATGTCCTGGCTTTAATTCTCTCTGATTTCACCCAGGAAGGTGTGTAGAGGAGGAAGAAAGATCTGGATGGTTTTAATGGTTTTTGTTTGTTTTTTTTGAGACACAGTCTCGCTCTGTCTTGCAGTCTGGAGTGCAGTGGTGCAATCTCGGCTCACTGCAACCTCCATCTCCCGGGTTCAAGCAATTATCCTGCCTCAACCTCCCAAGTAGCTGAGATTACAGGTGCCCGCCACCACGCTCGGCTAATTTTTTGTATTTTCAGTAGAGATGGGGTTTCACCATGTTGGCCAGGCTGGTCTTGAACTCCTGACCTCAGGTGGCCCACCCGCCTTGGCCTCCCAAAGTGCTGGGATTACAGGTGAAGTCACTGTGCCCGGCCTAATGTATTTATTTATTTTTCTGTTTTGTTTATCTAGATATAGTTAATATATCATAACGTTCATGTTAAAGCGTATGAGTCGGTGGTTTTTAGTATATTCACAGGGTTGCGCAACCATTACCACAGTCTAATTCCAGAACGTTTCCATCACCCCAGAAAGGTACCCATTAGGCGTCACCTTCGATTCCCCATCCCTCTAGTCCAAGGTAACCATTAAAGTACTTTCTGTCTCTGTGGATTTGCCTGTTTTGGACATTTCATATGGATGGAATCACAAAATACATAGCCTTTTGTGTCTGGCTTCTTTCACTGAGCATCATGTCTTCAAGGTTCATCCGCGGTGTAATAAGTATCAGTGCTTCATTCCTTTTTTTTATTTTTGAGAAGGAGTCTCTCTCTCTCACCCAGGCTGGAGTACAATGGTGCAATCTTGGCTCACTGCAACCTCTGCCTCCCAGGTTCAAGCTATTCTCCTGCCTCAGCCTCCCAAATAGCTGGGATTATAGGCGCACACCACCACGCCTGGCTAATGTTTTTATATTTTTAGTAGAGATGGGGTTTTACCATCTTGGCCAGGCTGGTCTCGAACTCTTGACCTCAGGGGAGCCACCCTGCCCAGCCCTTCATTCCTTTTTATGGCTGGATAATACTCCCTTTTGTGGATAGGCCACATTTTGTTTATTCATCTGTTGATGGACATTTGGGTTGTTTCCACTTTTTGGCTATTACAAATAAACTGTTACGTTCCTGCATAGATTTTTTTGGGGACATATGTTTTTAATTCTCTGGAATAGATGCCTAGGAGTGAAATTGCTGGGTCATATGGTAACTCTGTGTTTAACTTTTTGGGAAAATGTCAAACTGTTTCTAAAGTGGCTGCACCATTTTATATCTGTGAGCAGCGTACTATTTACTTAATTTTTTTTTCTTTTTTTTTTTTTTTTTGAGACAGAGTCTCACTCTTTCGCCCAGGTTGGAGTGCAATGGCATGATCTTAGCTCACTGCAACCTCCGCCTCCCAGGTTCAAGCAGTTCTCCTGCCTCAGCCTCCTGAGTAGCTGGGATTACAAGTGTCCGCCAGTACACTTGGCTAATTTTTGTATTTTTAGTAGAGATGGGGTTTACCATGTTGGCCAGGCTGGTCTTGAACTCCCGACCTCAGGTGATCCGCCAGCCTCGGCTTCCCAAAGTGCTGGGATTACAGGCAGGAGCCACTGTGTCCAGCCTATTTACTTAGTTATTTAAAAGTAAAACATTTTTTAAAAAGGTAAGCAGTTTTCCAACACTGTCACTCCACAAGTGTTTTAAGTGACAGATCATTGCAGTGTGTCTCCCGATACCCAGGCCAGTCTGCTGGGGCACCATGCTGAGAACTGCTGTGAACCTGGGGCTTCAACCCCACTAGAAGGGGACCTTCTTTTTCTTCGGAGTCTGAAATGAAGGGTGCCAGGCAGCTCTTGGGGAAGAGTTTCTGCTTTGTCACCTTACTCCTGTCCCCTAATGCTGTCCCAGCCTTCAGGAATGGAGCTTTTGATCTGAGTCTGCAACCTGATTCCTGAAAGCTATTGATCAAGCACCCTGCCAGCGTCTCCGTCTCTGGTGCCTCTCCCTCACAGGCTCTCTATCTCCCACGTCAAGATGCAAAAGCCTAAAACCTCTGCCCAGTGTCTTGGTCAAAAAATCGAGCTGGAGCTAGGCACTCCCCCTGTCATAGCCCATAGCGGACACGGGGCTTAACAGGCCAAGGGCACTCCTGCCTGACAAACCCAGGATCCTGTCTTCTCAAAGCTTGTCTTAGAATGCAGCTGGTCGTCTGGAAATTGAGAGACAGTACAGAATAAACCCGTCTTTCCCCCACCTCCGCCTGCAGAGAAAAGAAATGCTGGGAACGCAGTACGGAGCGCCATGAAGTCCGAGGAACAGAAGATCAAAGACGCCAGGAAAGGTCCCCTGGTACCTTTTCCAAACCAAAAATCTGAAGCAGCAGAACCTCCAAAAACTCCACCCTCATCTTGTGATTCCACCAATGCAGCCATCGCCAAGCAAGCCCTGAAAAAGCCCATCAAGGGCAAACAGGCCCCCCGAAAAAAGTAAGTGCCCCATTCAGTCCTCTTCCTAACGTGGAGCAGTTTGGTTCCTCTGATGCCAGGGAAGCCTGCTCAGGTGCCCATGGGGGTTCAGTGGCCACCTCTCAGCCTCTCTCATGTCAAAGACTCAGATGCCCCGAGTCATCAGCAGGGATGCCACTGTTTGTCAGTTTCTGGATCTGGCATGGGTCCAGAGTTCAAGAGCCTCTCCTTCCTCCCCTCCTTACCCACCCCAGCATAAGCAGCCTTTGTTTTTTAAATTTATTTTTTTTGTTTGTCTTTTTTGGTGATTGGTGTTTTGTGTTTTTTTTTTTTTTTTTTTGAGACAGAGTCTCTTGTTGCCCAGGCTGGAGTGCAATAGTGCGATCTCGGCTCACTGCAAACACCACCTCCTGGGTTCAAGCGATTCCCCTGCCTCAGCCTCCTGAGTAACTGGGATTACAGGTGCATGCCACCATGTCCCGCTTATTTTTGTATTTTTATTAGAGACAGGGTTTCACCATGTTGGTCAGGCTGGTCTCAAACTCCTGACCTCGTGATCTGCCTGCCTCAGCCTCCCAAAGTCCTGGGATTACAGGCGTGAACCACCATGCCCGACTGTTGTGTTTTTTGAGACAGGGTCTTATTCTGTCATCCAGGCTGGAGTGCAGTAGCTCACTGCAGCCTCAACCTCTCAGGACCAAGTGATCCTCCTACTTCAGCCTCCCGAGTAGTTGGGACCATAGGTGTGCACCACCATGCCTGGCTAATTTCTTTCCTTTTTTTAGAGACGGGGTTTTGCTGTGTTGCCTGAGTTGGTCTTGAACTCCTGGGCTCAAGTGATCCTCCCGCCTCAGCCTCCCAGAGTGTTGGCATTACAGGCATGAGGCACTGCGCCCAGCCAGCAGCCCGTCTTTGAAACTCCTCTGAGGCCCTCATGGGCAGGTGACTGAGTGACCTGCAGGCTCCAGTGGACAAAGGTGTTTAAGTGACATCATCTCCAAGGAGCTGTGTGCCTCCTCGGTGTGTGCCTTCTAAGGAGCTGTGTGCCTCCAGGTTTTCAGTCCTGATATTTATTTTCTCCTCTTCCCCTCTTACCCAGAGCTCAAGGAAAAACGCAACAGAATCGCAAACTTACGGATTTCTACCCTGTCCGAAGGAGCTCCAGGAAGAGCAAAGCCGAGCTGCAGGTAGTCACGTGCTTTAAATTCCAGTTTGTGGAGGGGCAGGGTGGCCCACCAAGCAGTGCTTGGCGTGTGCGTATGTGTGTGTCCTCAGCCTTGTTTTCGTCATCTTGGAGCAAGTCTCTTGGCCCCTCTGGACTTGGTTTTCTCCTGGATCTATCGGGGATCCTCACAAAGCTTGTCCTGCCTTTCTGCTGGGGTCACTGCAGGGCTTGGTTAAGACACTTGTGTGAAGGAACCTTGTGACTTGTAGCATGTGGCAGGGAAAGCCAGGTGTGACTCTGAAGGTGGATTTTCCAGGACTTGTTGGCAGAGCCATTGGGAGCCTGGGACTGTGGGAAAGGCTGCCTGTTCTTTCAGAGGCTTTTCTTGTCTGTTTTCTGGAAGTTTCCATGTTGTGGCCCAGGGTGTTAAACAGCAGTGGCTTGGGGCCACTTGCTGGTTGCGTAGCCTTGGGCCAGTCACTTACCCTGTCCATGCCTTGGCTCTCCAGTCTGTAAAATGGTACAATAATGTAGTACCTGCTAGAGCTGTGGTGAGCATTCAATAAATGTGGTCATGCAAGAGGAACCCTTAGAACCATGCTTGGCACTCAGTAAGTGCCAGCTAACTGTTACTATCGCCACCTCTGCTTCCTCAGTGTTGTCACTCCCGTCTGCTCTTTCCCACGCTGCTGCCATACTAGGAGCCTGCAGACCAGTGAGCAGCACCGGCTGGAAGGCCAGCTGGCCTATGCGGGCCTCCGCTGCCATGTTTGCAGAGGGTTGAGCTATGCGGCAGGCAGTCAATATTTGCTGCAGTGAGGTGTGGTTATTGCCTTTCTGTGAAGGAAACGCAGGGCATGGCAGGTCCCTCTGCTCTTCCCCCTCAGGGACACCTGGGGCTGCCCCTCTGCTCTCCCTCACCCCCACAGTGACCACCGGGTTGGGAGAGGTGCTCAGGATTGCATCCTACACAGAGAGGTGGGGACCCCGGCTTTGGCAGTTTCAGCATTTCAGCCCTCATGCGGACTCCTTCAGCGTTCTTGATGTTAAATGCGCAGATACACAGTGGTCTAGTATTCTTTCTCTTTTTCTTTTAATTGATGAAGCTTCATTTAAAAAAAATTTTTAAAAAGGTCCATTTTCTTCCCCACAGAGAGCAGCTTTGGTTTTATTGCCTGAAAAAGGCAATGTCTTTCAGCCAAGAATGAGCTGTTTAAAACATTTGTCAGCAGTGGGAGGCTGTGCTAGGTCACTTTTTTTTTTTTTTTTTTTTGAGATGGAGTTTTGCTCTTGTTGCCCAGGCTGGAGTGCAATGGCGTGATCTCGACTCACCGCAACCTCCATCTCTTGGGTTCAAGTGATTCTCCTGTCTCAGCCTCCTGAGTAGCTGGGACTACAGGCATTCGCCACCACGCCCAGCTAATTTTGTATTTTTTTTTTTTAGTGGAGATTGGATTTGTCCATGTTGGTCAGGCTGGTCTCGAACTCTCGACCTCGGGTGATCCGCCCACCTCAGCCTCCCAAAGTGCTGGGATTACAGACGTGAGCCACCGTGCTCGGCCTGCTAGGTCACTCTTAAAGACAGCACTGGGCCAGGTGCAGTGGCTCACACCTGTAATCCTAGCACTTTGGGAGGCCCAGGTGAGCGGATCATCTGAGGTCAGGAGTTCGAGACCAGCCTGGCCAACATGGTGAAACCTTGTCTCTACTAAAATACAAAAATTAGCCAGGCATGATGGCAGGTGCCTGTAATCCCAGCTACTTGGGAGGCTGAGATGGGAGAATCACTTGAACCCAGGAGACGGTAGTTGCAGTGAGCCGAGATCGCGCCACCGCACTCCATCTTGGGTGGCTGAGCAAGACTCCGTCTCAAAAAAAAAAAAAGACAGCACTGCAGATGGTGAGGTGGTGCCAGACCACAGAATCCCAGACACCTCCCAGCCAGGGTTGGAGCTGCGGTGTGCCCACACACAGGGCCTCTGCTGAGCGTCCACCAAGGGCTGCTGTGGACTTTAGGGTGGGGGGAGCCGAGTTGGCCTTGTTAATAAGAAGCAAGAGTTTGTGCTGGGCAGAGTGAAGGCTGCGATGGGACAGGATGCAGGTCTGCTAAATCTTGCAGCAGATGAGCAGAAGGGAAGAACACACTTGCTTCCCTAAAGCACAGTCTGCAAACACAAGAAAGCTCGCCCTGTTCCTGGACCGGGAGCCGTGCTTTGCCCCCCACTGTTTGTGTTGGCTCTGCTGAGTGCAGCCATGCAAGCTGTTGCTGGCCAGGGCAGGGAGGCCATAGCTGGCCGGGATGACGTGGCTAGAGCTGGTCAGGGTGGAATATTTTCTGACTGCACAGATAAAGCCCAAGAACGGGACAGCTGGGGCTCATCTGAAGGGTGGGGTCAGTCCTGACTTGACTGCCATGCTGGGCCCAGGCTGTGGATCCAGGAGGGTGGGGCATAATACAGCCTGTTGTTGGCCAGATGGTCTGGGGTGAAACTGCAATTCAGAGCCTCTTATATACCTCCACTGAGGCTGAAGACAGCAGCCAGGGCGGGCCTAGCGCCAGGGCGTGGGTCCTGGGCAACAGGGTGGGATCAGGGCTGCTGGATTTGGACACAAGGTGGGCCTTGGAGAGATGCCCTATCCACCAAGTGCTTCACTGCAGGGGCCCCTTGGCCGGCCAGCCTGGCTGTGGGTGGGGTGGCAGCCAGCAGCGGGGCAGGGACCATGCCTCTTGGCAATGGCTGGGCTTCCTCATGCCCAGCTCGGCCCCAGGGCCAGATGTGCAAGCAGCCTGCTGATTCCGCTTGGGAAGGTCCCCTCCTTCCTGGTCACAGGCGCTTCTCAACTGCCCTAGTTCCAACCTTGTATCCCTCCCACTCCATCTCCTTCTAGGCCCATTTGTGGGTTCCTGCCAGAAGTCCCTTTAGAAAACCCAGGGCTGGTTGTTTGCAGGCCCCAAATTCCAGGCCTTTGGGAGACTCAGCCTCCCTGGCTTTGTGCCGGGGCATCTGGCCTGGTCCCAGCTTCCCTCTGCGCATCTCCTACCTGCCGTGTTTGGTCCCAGCAGAAAAACCCCCATTCCACTACCCCGGTCTTTCCATGATCACTCCCGTTTACATGGGCCCCCGTACTTCTCAGCACTCTCTGCACACTTGCAATGAATGGGTCACACAGCAAGGTGGTTATGTGTGTGATGGTGGTGGTGTTGCTTTGAGGGCCTGCTGTGTGCACTGTTCTAGACCAGGAGATTCCACAGTAAACTAGACCAGCCCGTAGGGCTTGTTTTCCAATGGGGAGTAATTAACAACAAAAAAGACACCAGCTACTTGGGAGGCTGAGGTGGGAGGATTACTTGAGAACAGAAGTTCAGTACCAACCTGGGCAACATTGTGAGACCCCATCTTTTGTGGGTTTTTTGTTGTTTTGTTTTTTTCGAGACAGAGTCTCACACTGTCACCTAGGCTGGAGTGCAATGGCGCGATCTTGGCTCACTGCAGCCTCCACCTCCCGGGTTCAAGTGATTCTCCTGCCTCAGTCTCCTGAGTACCTGGGATTACAGGCGCCCACCACCATGCCCAGCTGATTTTGTATTTTTAGTAGAGACAGGGTTTCACTGCGTTGGCCAGGCTGGTCTCAAAATGCCTGACCTCATGATCCACTTGCCTCGGCCTCCCAAAGTGCTGGGATTACAGGCGTGAGCCACTGAGCCCGGCCGTGAGACCCCATCTTAAAAAATAATTAAAAAGGCCTCCCAAGTAGCTGGGACTACAGGCGCCTGCCACCACGCCCGGCTAATTTTTGGTGTTTTTAGTAGAGACGGGGTTTCACCGTGTTAGCCAGGATGGTCTCGATCTCCTGACCTTGTGATCCGCCCGCCTCGGCCTCCCAAAGTGCTGGGATTACAGGCGTGAGCCACCGTGCCCAGCCAAAAAGTTTTTAAAATGTTTTTATTTTGCAATTTTTTTTTTTTTGAGACAGAGTCTCACTCTGTAGCCCGCGCTGGAGTGCAGGTGTGCGATCTCGGCTCACTGCAACCTCCACCTCCCAGGTTCAAGCAATTCTCCTGCCTCAACCTCCCAAGTAGCTGGGATTATAGGCGCTTGCCACCACGCCCAGCTAATTTTTGTGTTTTTAGTAGAGACAGAGTTTCACCATGTTGGTCAGGCTGGCCTCAAACTCCTGACCTTGTGATCCGCCCACCTTGGCCTCCCAAAGTGCTAGGATTACAGATGTGAGCCACCGCGCCTGGCCAATAATTTTAATTTTATAGAAAAGTTGCAAAGATAATACAGAGAGTTCCCCAGACTCCTTACCCATCTTCTCTCACTTAAGTTACTCTGGTGAATTTGTCACAGCTAAGTAACAACCAACATTGGTATATTACTGTTGGTTGAAGTTTTTTTTTTGTTTTTTGTTTTTTGTTTTGAGACAAGGTCTCACTCTGTTGCCCAGGCTGGAGTACAGTGGCATGATTATGGCTTACTAACCTCCGCCTCCTGGCCTGAGACTCCCAAGTAGCTTGGATTACAAGTGTGCACCACTATGCCCGGCTGATTTTTGTATTTTTAGTAGAGACAGGGTTTCGTCATGTTGGCCAGGCTGGTCTCGAACTCCTGACCTCAGGTGATCCACCTGCCTTGGCCTCCCAAACTGCTGGGATTACAGGCATGAGCCACTGTACCTGACCAAGTTTTGTTGTTGTTTTTTTTAAATCTATTCCACCAATATATATCTTTCTTTTTTTTTTTTTTTTTTTTTTGAGATGGAGTCTTGCTCTGTTGCCAAGGCTGGAGTGCAGTGGCGCGATCTTGGCTCACTGCAAGCTCCGCCTCCCGGGCTCACACCATTCTCCTGCCTCAGCCTCCCGAGTAGCTGGGACTACAGGTGCCCACCACCATGCCCGGCTAATTTTTTGTATTTTTAGTAGAGATGGGGTTTCACCATGTTAGCCAGGATGGTCTCGATCTCCTGACTTCGTGATCCGCCCGCCTCGGCCTCCCAAAGTGCTGGGATAACAGGTGTATATCTTTCTTTTTTTTTTAACCTTCTTGACCCTTATCTTTCATATCTTTTAAGTGGAACATTTTAGTCCATTTATGTTTAAGGTTAATATTGATATGTGAGGTTTTGTTAGGTATATTACTATTAAATAAGTTTATGGGAAGGTTTTTTTTTGTTTTTTGTTTCTTTTTGAGATGGAGTCTTGCTCTGTCTCCCAGGCTGGAGTGCAGTGGTGCGATCTTGGCCTACTGCAAACTCCACCTCCTGGGTTCAAGCGATTCTCCTGCCTCAGCCTCCTGAGTAGCCGGGATTACAGGTGTGTGCCACCACGCCCAGCTAATTTTTGTGTTTTTAGTAGAGACGGGGTTTCGCCATGTTGGCCAGGCTGGTCTCAAACTCGTAACCTCAAGTGATCCACCCACCTCAGCCTCCCAAAGTGCTGGGATGACAGACGTGAGCCACCATGCCTGGTCATGTTTTCTGTTTTTTTTTAAGACAGGGTCTCACTCTGTTGCCCAGGCAGGAGTGCAGTGTCACAGTCATGACTCACTGCAGCCTCAACCTCCTGGGCTCCAGCAATCCTCCTCCTTCCTCAGCCTCTAGAGTAGCTGGGACCAAAGGTGTACGCCACCACACCTAGCTTATTTATTTTTTGTAGGGACAGGGTCTGGATCTGTTGCTTAGGCTGGTCTCTAACTCCTGTCCTTAAGCGATCCTTCCTCCTGGCTTTCCTGAAGTGTTGGGATTACAGGAGAGAGCCACTGCCCCTGGCCTCATTTACATTTTAAAAGACCCCTCTGGCTACCTTGTGGAGAACTGAGTGTTCCCTGGGGTCAGAGTGAAAGCCTGGTGACTAGCAAGGGGGCCGGAGCGGGGCCGGGGCCGTGGCTGGGCTGCAGGGCCGCAGTGGGAATGGAGATGGAGAGGAGGTGGCAGGATTTGGGACTGTCCTTGAGGTTACTCATTCACCATTGTTCCCAGCACAGACTGCAGCGCCTGGCACATTGCAGGTGTGGATTGAGTGCCTGGAAAAGCTGCAAGCTGGTTTGGGCCTCTGTGTAGGGGGAATGGGCTGAGCTCAGCAGTTGGTGTCAGGCTCCTGACACGTGCCATCTGGTTTGGTGAAAGTCTATGCCGTCAAGACATGCTGGTTTGGGGTGAGCCACACTGGTTTGGAGCTTCCGATCTGTCTTCATTTGGTTCCCTTTTGCTCTGTAGTATCTGTGCAGTGGCAGAGCAGTAGAACCCAGGGTTAGGGATGGAGGTAGGTGCAGGAGGGGTGGCCTTAGAGGAGAGGTGGATCCAGGGGTGCCCCCTCCCAGTTCTCTGTTCAGGTCTGTATTGACCCTCGGGATTGGAGGCCCTCTTCTCATCCATCGTGGTGGCCTCCATACAGGTGAATCTCAGCGATCCCAAACAGAAGTATGAGCCATCAGACCAGAGCCATGTGGACTGCGTGTGTCCCATCCAAAGGGCACAGCCTCTGATCTGCTGTACCCGATTTTCTTTTTTCTTTTTAAGGTGGAGTCTTGCTGTGTCGCCCAGGCTGGAGTGCAGTAGCACAATCTTGGCTCACTGCAACCTCCACCTCCCAGGTTCAAGCGATTCTCCTGCCTCAGCCTCCCGAGTAGCTGGGACTACAGGCTCCTACCACACCTGGCTAATTTTTGTATCTTTAATAGAGACAGGGTTTTACCTATTTGCCAGGCTGGTCTCGAACTCGTGACCTTACGATCCGCCCGCCTCGGCCTCCCGAAGTGTTGCGATTACAGGCGTGAGCCACCGCGCCTGGCCCACTGTACCTGATTTTCTGTGAAGTCAGAGGCCTGATTTTCAGGTGTGGGCAAGTTGGACATTTTTTAACGTGCTGCATGGGCAACAGAACATATCTACGAGCCCCATTCTGTTCTTGGGTCCCCACTGTTTCCCTCCTGATCCAGTTGAACCCCAGGTGACAGATCTTCCACAACAGATGGGTGATGAGAAAAGGAGGGATACTTGGGGGCTTTGCCATCACTGGGGACCCATCATCCCCAGTGATGCCAAATGAGGCCGATTGTGGCCCGGTGGGCATGGCCTGGGCAATCAGGGCTCAAGACCATCAAGCTACGCACGATGGGCCTAGGAGAAGATACTGATGCTGTTTTTCTTTCTCTCTGCCCAGTCTGAAGAAAGGAAAAGAATAGATGAATTGATTGAAAGTGGGAAGGAAGAAGGAATGAAGGTAAGGGGCTGCTGTGCTTGCTGCATCATAGCTAAAGCTGGAAGAGCTCACCTTCCCTGGTCCCGTGGCTGAGAGTGGCCACCATGTGGCTTTCACCCTCTAATGGCCATGGTGACCAGGCAGACTCTATTAGGTTGTCAAAGAGCCAAATACCAAAAGTTGTTAAGGAAATGTCTTATGAAGGAAACATAAATGGGCTTTGTATATAAATGTTATCCAGGGGAAGCTTTTCTTAGAAATTGTGGTTAAACAATTCAGTGGCTTTTTGTACATTCACAATGCAATGCAACCATTATCCCTGTCTAATTTCAGAATTTTTTCATCCTCCCAAATGGAAACCCTTACCCATTACTTACCACTGCCCACCATCCCCACCTCTCCCCTGCCCAGCCCCTGGCAGCCACTCAGCTGCTTTCTGTCTCAGTGGAGTTGCTCTTCTGGGCACTTCATATAAATCGGATTATACAATATGTAGCTGATGCCCAGGGAAACTTTTAAAAGGAGAAACTAATACATTTTTAAACTGTTTTCCTAGATAATGACAATGCCCAAGAAATGTGCTTTTCTCTTACTGTATTTCAACCACACTCAGTTTGGGCGAGAGGAGAAGTACTCTCTACAGTGGGGTTCAGATGGGCCTAGACTAGGGCTCCGGGTTCAGAAAGCTTCCACTTCCACCCACCACCTAGGGGGATTCCGGCTTAAGTCCTGGGCCCCTCCAGCAACCCCATTCAACTCCATGTAGAATAGAGTGAGGAGACACAGGAGAGAAATCGTGGAATGAGGTAGAGACCCAGAACACTGGGCCTGCTGTTTGCCTAGGAAGGCATAGCGCATAGCCCCTAGACAGAGAAACCAGGTGTGTGGATTTGAGCTGTGTCACTGTCTAGCTGTGTGGCCTCAGACACGTGGTTGTGCCTCTTTAAGCCTCAGTTTCCTCATCTACAAAATGGGGCAGTCTCCACCTAGCAGATCTCTCACGAGCTCTGATGTAACTGCTTTGCAGATGAGCACCAAGGAACCACGTTTGTGGAGTGAGGGAACGTTCTAGAGCTGGCCTGTAGTGACGGTTGCACAGCTGTATACACTTCATAAAACCCATCAGCCTGTACATGTAAAGTGAGTGAATTTTATGACATGGCTCAGTACAGCTGTTAAAGACTGGGGTAAGCCCCAGCTCCCCGGAGACCTGCTGTGCACAGTGGCATCCATTGCTATTATGAACCAACACCCTCTCTTATCACCTGACAGATTGACCTCATCGATGGCAAAGGCAGGGGTGTGATTGCCACCAAGCAGTTCTCCCGGGGTGACTTTGTGGTGGAATACCACGGGGACCTCATCGAGATCACCGACGCCAAGAAACGGGAGGCTCTGTACGCACAGGACCCTTCCACGGGCTGCTACATGTACTATTTTCAGTATCTGAGCAAAACCTACTGGTGAGTCCACTGTTGCTTAGAGTGGCTTTTCTGTCCTCTGGGCAGTGAGGAGAGGCCAAAGGGCCAGGAACTCCTGATTCTGTTTGGTGGCCAGTCTTTTGGTTTTGTTGTTGTTGACTTTTTTTTTTTTATTTTTTGAGATGGAGTCTTGCTCTGTTGCCCAGGCTGGAGTGCAGTGGTGTGATCTCGGCTCATTGCAACCTCCTCTCAGGCTCAAAGAATTCTCCTCCCTCAGCCTCCAGAGTAGCCCAGCTAATTTTTTTTTTCTGTATTTTTAGTAGAGGTGGAGTTTTGCCACATTGGCCAAGCTGGTCTTGAACTCCTGACCTCAGACGATCCACCCGCCTTGGCCTTCCAAAGTGCTAGGATTACAGGTGTGAGCCACTGCGCTCGGGCTGTTGTTGCCTTTTTTCAAAGCTGTGATGCAATTATCGCCTGCTTCCTTTTTTTTTTTTTTTTTTTTTTTTTTGAATCTCGATCTGTCGCCCAAGCTGGAGTGCAGTGGCACAATCTTGGCTCACTGCAACCTCCACCTCCCGGGTTCAAGGTATTCTGTCTCAGCCTCCCACGTAACTGGGATTACAGGTGTGCGTCACCACGCCCAGCTAATTCTTATATATTTTTTTAGTAGAGACAGGGTTTCATTATGTTGGCCAGGCTGGTCTGACCTCATATGGTCTGCCTGCCTTAGCCTCCCAAAGTTCTGGGATTACAGATGTGAGCCACTGCGCCTGGCCCCAGCTTCCCTTTTTTTTTTTCTTTTGAGACGGAGTCTCGTTCTGTCACCCAGGCTGGAGTGCAGTGGTGCAATCTTGGCTTACTGCAACCTCCACCTCCCAGGTTCAAGCGATTCTCCTGCCTCAGCCTCCTGAGTAGCTGGGACTACACACACATGCCACCATGCCTGGCTAATTTTTTGTATTTTTAGTAGAGATGGAGTTTCACTGTGTTAGCCAGGATGGTCTCAATCTCCTAACCTTGTGACCTGCCCACCTTGGCCTCCCAAAGTGCTGGGATTACAGGCATGAGCCACTGTGGCCCCAGCTTCCCATTTTTAATCTTTGGAATTGGAGCTGTCCTGGATGTTATCTCATCCAAGGGGAGAAGTGGGCTAGTCACATGAAAACCTGTTAAGCAGCTCACCTGGCTCTCCTTCAGGGCATTTGGCCAGAGCAGCTCTGGAAATCACTAATTGATCTTGCCTGGCTAGGACCAGTGGAGTTGAATTTTTTATTTTTTATTTTATTTTATTTTTTTGAGATGGAGTTTCACTCTTGTTGTCCAGGCAGGAGTGCAGTGGCACGATCTTGGCTCACTGCAACTTCCACTTCCGAAGTTTAAGCAATTCTCCTGCCTCAGCCTCCCAAGTAACTGGGATTACAGGCATGCGCCACCACGCCCAGCTAATTTTGTATTTTTAGCACAGACAGCGTTTCACCATGGTGGCCAGGCTGGTTTTGAAATCCTGACCTCAGGTAATCCACCCGCCTCAGCCTCCGAAAGTGCTGGGATTACAGGCGTGAGCCACCGCGCCTGGCGGGGTTGATTTTTTTAATCCATTTATTTTGTGAAACTCTACCATTTCCTCCTGTGCCTCCATAAAGAGCCCTTTGGGTCCTACCCCATCCCCCCACCCAGGGCCTGTGCAGGCTCTCAAAAATAGCTTTGTGGGCCAGGCGTGGTAGCTCATGCCTGTGATCCCAGCACTTTGGGTGGCCGAGGTGGATGGATCATGAAGGTCAGGAGCTCCAGACCAACATGGCAAAACCCCATCTCTACTAAAAATACAAAAAAATTAGCCTGGCATGGTGGCACACGCTTCTAATCCCAGTGACTCAGGAGGCTGAGGCAGAATTGCCTTACCCCGGGAGGCAGAGGTTGCAGTGAGCTGAGATCGTGCCACTGCACTCCAGCCTGGGCGACAGAGCGACGAGACTCCCTCTCAAAAAAAAAAAAAAAAAAAAAAAAGCTTTGCAAATTGAGCCAGACCTGGTGGCTCGTGCTTGTAATCTCAAAAACTCAGGAGGCCAAGGCCAGAGGATCACTTGAGCCCAGGGGTTGGAGACCAGCCTGAGCAATATAGGGAGATCTTGTCTCTACAGAAACAATTAAAAATTAGCCTGATGTGGTGGCATGTACCTGTGGTCAAAGCTACTCGGGAGGCTGAGGTAGGAGGATGACTTGAGCCCGGGAGGTGGAGGCTGCAGTGAGCCGTGATCGTGCCACTGCACTCCAGCCTGGGTTACGGAGCGAGACCCCCTCTAAAAAGGAAAAAGAAAATAGCTTTATGAATTGAATCTTTTCAAAACACATGGCTTTAAATCAGCATCCCACCAGAGCTGAGCACAAGTGTGACTCTCTTCAGGTTGAAAAGCCTCTTTATCCATTTAATCCTCTCTGGCCCTCCTTCCCCTCCAGCGTGGATGCAACTAGAGAGACAAATCGCCTAGGAAGACTGATCAATCACAGCAAATGTGGGAACTGCCAAACCAAACTGCACGACATCGACGGCGTACCTCACCTCATCCTCATCGCCTCCCGAGACATCGCGGCTGGGGAGGAGCTCCTGTATGACTATGGGGACCGCAGCAAGGCTTCCATTGAAGCCCACCCGTGGCTGAAGCATTAACCGGTGGGCCCCGTGCCCTCCCCGCCCCACTTTCCCTTCTTCAAAGGACAAAGTGCCCTCAAAGGGAATTGAATTTTTTTTTTACACACTTAATCTTAGCGGATTACTTCAGATGTTTTTAAAAAGTATATTAAGATGCCTTTTCACTGTAGTATTTAAATATCTGTTACAGGTTTCCAAGGTGGACTTGAACAGATGGCCTTATATTACCAAAACTTTTATATTCTAGTTGTTTTTGTACTTTTTTTGCATACAAGCCGAACGTTTGTGCTTCCCGTGCATGCAGTCAAAGACTCAGCACAGGTTTTAGAGGAAATAGTCAAACATGAACTAGGAAGCCAGGTGAGTCTCCTTTCTCCAGTGGAAGAGCCGGGACCTTCCCCCTGCACCCCCGACATCCAGGGACGGGGTGTGAGGAAGACGCTGCCTCCCAATGGCCTGGACGGGATGTTTCCAAGCTCTTGTTCCCCTAACGTCTCAACAGGCGCTCACTGAAGTGTATGAATATTTTTTAAAAAGGTTTTTGCAGTAAGCTAGTCTTCCCCTCTGCTTTCTCGAAAGCTTACTGAGCCCCGGGCCCCAAGCACGGGCCGGGCATAGATTTCCTCTTCCACAAGCTGCCGCTTTTCTGGGCACCTTGAAGCATCAGGGCGTGAAATCAAACTAGATGTGGGCAGGGAGAGGGTTGCTTACCTGCCCTGCTGGGGCAGGGTTTCCTGAAACTGGGTTAATTCTTTATAGAAATGTGAACACTGAATTTATTTTAAAAAATAATAATAAAAATTTAAAAAAATTAAAAATAAAAAAAACCACAGAAAACAACTTTACATGTATATAGGTCTTGAAGTGAGTGAAGTGGCTGCTTTTTTTTTTTTTTTTTTTTGCTTTTTTTTGCTTTTTGTAGAAGAGATTGAGAATGGTACTCTAATCAAAAATAAAGTTTTGTAGTGGGACCAGAAATTACTTACCTGACATCCACCCCCATTCCCCCTCATCCTGCTGGGGTTGAAAGTTCCAGACCTGCTGTCGAGGCCTTGTGTTTGTCAGACACCCAGTGTCCTCCTGCAAGGACGCAACTGTGAGCTGAGGTGTGAGCCTAGGAGCCCAGGACCCCTGACCCCGGCCGCTGCTGCCAGCCTCAGAAAGGCACCCAGGTGTGCAGGGGAGCACACAGGGCCCGGCAGCCCCCAGGAATCAAGGATAGGGCTAAGGTTTTCACCTTAACTGTGAAGGCAGGAGGAATAGGTGACTGCTTCCTCCCGCCCTTCACAGAACTGATTCTCACACACTGTCCCTTCAGTCCAGGGGGCCGGGGCTCAGGAGCCATGACCTGGTGTCTCCTGCCCACCCTGGTCCCAGGTAAATGTGAATGGAGACAGGTATGAGAGGCTGTCCTCGTCTTTGATTCCCCCCCAACCCCACCTCGGGCCTCACGACGGTGCTACCTAAGAAAGTCTTCCCTCCCACCCCCCGCTAGCCTGGTCAGTGGTCAGCAAATTGGAAGAGGATCCGATGGGAGTGTAAATGTGAGACACAATGTCTTGATTATACCTGTTTGTGGTTTAGCTTTGTATTTAAACAAGGAAATAAACTTGAAAATTATTTGTCATCATAAAAATGAAACAAATTAAAATATTTATTGCCAGGCAAGGCCACGTGTGTGTCTTTCTGTTTTTACAATTTGACTGTGTCACACCAGCATGTCTAAGCTTTGGTAAGCATCCTCCTGGGGAACCAGAAAAGCTTACTGACGTGATTTTGAGCGTGTTTCCCAGAACTCTGAGCTCTTTCGTTTCCTCATCTGTATACTGGGGACCATAGGGTATGTGAAGATTAAAAGTTAATGCTTTTTTTTTTTTTTTTGAGACAGTCTCTGTTACCTAGGCTGGAGTTCAGTGGGGCAGTCTCAGCTCACTGCAACCTCCAACCTCCACCTCCTTGGTTCAAGCAATTCTCGTACCTTGGCTACCTGAATAGCTGGGATTACAGGCATGCACCACCACACCTGGCCTTTTTTTTTTTTTTTTTTTTTTTTTTTTTTGAGATGGAATTTCACTCTGTTGCCCAGGTGGGAGTGCAGTGGCATGATCTGGGCTCACTGCAACCTCTACCTCCCAGGTTCAAGCAATTCTGCCTCAGCCTCCCAAGTAGCTGGGATTACAGGCGCCAGCCACCACACCCAGCTAATTTTTTTGTATTTTTAGTAGAGACGGTCTTTCACCATGTTGACCAGGCTGGTTTCGAACTCCTGACCTCAAGTGATCTGCCCGCCTTGGCCTCCCAAACTGCTAGGATTACAGGCGTGAGCCACTGCACCCGGCCACAGTAGAGACAGGGTTTCACCGTGTTGGCCAGGCTGGTCTCAAACTCCTGACCTTAATGATCCACCCGCCTCGGCCTCCCAAAATGCTGGGATTATAGGCATGAGCCACCACGCCCAGCTTAAAAGTTAATGCATTTTGAGCCTTAGAACAATGGCACATAGTAAGCATCATAAACTTTAGCTGATGTAATTGTCATTGCGACTTATAATTTACTAGACTTGATGATTCTCAGGAGGCTCTGAATCATCACTGCACCTGTCTTGGGCTGGAAGTCCCTATTACCAGCCCAGATCCCTGTCCCCTCCATGCTTGGGCACTGGTGGTAGATTGGAACAGTGAGTAGAGCCCTTGGCTTAGATGCAAAAGATCCAGTTCCAGCATCAGTTTTAAGTGTTTGTCAGCCGTGTGACATTGGTCAAGTCACTTCCCCTCTCTGAAACTTGTCTCAAATAGGGATAATCTCTGCCCACTTGACTTGCCTCCTCCCCCAAAGATTCAGGCATCAGTATTATAGCTTCACCTTGGAGGGGACATGTGGCTGCTGGAACAGAACCTCTGCTTCCAATCCACTGCTGTGTAACTTGGGCAGGTACGTAGTCTCCTTGTGCGTCAGTTTCCCTCCCTGTAACATGGAGACAGTAATAATACTTGTACAGGGTGATTGTGAGGATTTAATGAGTTAATACAAAAAAAAAAAAAACAACACTTGGAACAGTGCCTTGCACATAGCCTTCAGTAATCAGTATTAGCTATTATTAGAATTAAAAATTTGGCTAGCTTCTATTCAGTGTTTACAAGTACTCAGGACTAATAGCTAATAAGTGCCTCCAAGTTCTGATATGTAGTTGCTATATTTATTTGTTCATTTTACTTTTTGTAGAGATAGGGTCTCACTATGTTGCCCAAGCTAGTCTCAAACCCCTGGCCTCAAGCGATCCTCATGCCTCACCCTCCCACAGGGCTGTGATTACAGGCATGCGTGAGCCACTGTGCCTGACTTATTTTTATTTATTTATTTATTTTTTTTTTGAGATGGAGTCTTGGTCTGTCTGTCGCCCAGGCTGGAGTGCAGTGGTGCAATCTCAGCTCACTGAAACCTCCACCTCCCGGGTTCAAGCGATTCTCCTGCCTCAACCTCCTGAGTAGCTAGGATTACAGGCGTGCATCACCACACCCAGCTAATTTTTGTATTTTTAGTAGAGACGAGGTTTCACCATGTTGGCCAGGCTGGTCTCCTGACCTCGTGATCTGCCCATCTCCCAAAGTGCTAGGATTACAGATGTGAGCCACCGCGCCCAGCCCTATTTGTTCATTGTAAAAGATGACTGCTGGCCAGGCACGGTAATCCCTGTAATCCCACCACTTTGGGAGGGCGAGGCAGGCGGATTATGAGGTCAGGAGCTGAGATCCTGCCACTGCACTCCGGCCTGGGCGACAGAGCGAGACTCTGTCTCAAATAAATAAAATAAAAGATGATTGCTACAGCAACCACCTCCTGTGCCTTCTGAGACTTGGCTTGAAAACCTTTTTTTTTTTTTTTTTTTTTTTGAGACGGAGTCTCATTCTGTCGCCCAGGCTGGAGTGCAGTGGCATGAACTCAGCTCACTGCAACCTCTGCCATCCAGGTTCAAGCAATTCCCCTGCCTTGGCCTCCTGAATAGCTAATTTTTGTATTTTTAGTAGAGACAGGGTTTCACCTTCTTGGCCAGGCTGGTCTCGAACTCCTGACCTTGTGATCCACCCACCTCGGCCTCCCAAAGTGCTAGGATTACAAGCATGAGCCACTGCACCCGGCGAAAACCTACTTCTGAGCCTGTTCCTCCCCGGTCTAGGTTTGTAGTTGGAATCCTGCAGTGTGAGAACCGCCAGAGCTCAGCTGACGTCACAGCTCTGTTACCTGTTGTCAAGCTAGGCCCATCTCTAGGAGAATCACCCCAAGGACTTATTTTCCAAAATGCCCACCTGCCAGCATCAGATTTTACCAAGAGTTGCAGTCCAAGCATTTCTCACCGTAACTTTTTTTAGTCTCCTGGGGTACCACAGCCACCCAGGCCATCTTAACCTTTCTTTCTGAGTGGGTTCTCTTACCCTATCTATCCCCACAGGGAGGCAGGGGAGCATTTATATATTTGGAGACAGGGTCTCACTCTGTCACCCAGGCTGGAGTGTAGTGGTGTGATCATAGCTCACTGCAGCCTCAAACTCCCGGGCTCAATTAATCTTCCCGCCTCAGCCTCCCCAGGAGCTGGGACTACAGGTGCTCACCACCATGCCTGGCTAATTTTTTGTTTTTTGTAAAGATAGGTTCTTACTATGTTGCCTAGGCTGGTCTCGAACTCCTGGGCTCAAGCAATCCTCTCACCTTGGCCTCCAAAAGTGCTGGAATTACAGGCTTGAACCACTATGCCTGGCCAGGGTTGCAGTGTTACACAGGGTTCTAGGGATTAGGAGCCCTGATCTAATGATGCTGTTGAGACAGTGTTCTGGACTAGACTCTTAAACACTACCAGCTCTTCCTGGAAGGCAGAGTGGTTGAAGCCTGTGTGTGGACTTTGTATCTGGGCTCAAGTCCTGCTTCTACCACTTTCTAGCTGAGGACCTTAGACAAGACTTTTCACCCATTATGCCTTAACCTCCTTGGGAGGACCCCAAGGACAATAGTGATACCCATCCCACAAAAGTATGTGAGACAGCATCGGAAAGGTACTTAGAATGATGCAGGCGAGGCATACAGTAAATTATTACTATTATTAGGACTTGCCAGTGACTCTGGACCCATAAAGCTTGGCAGCTCCGCGCCCGGGCCTTGGAATCAGGCCTGCATTTGCCTCCTGGGCAAGCTGCTTCCTAGCTCCACAGCCAGAGTTTCAGTTTCTAAACCTATAAACTGGCCGGGCACGGTGACTCACGCCTGTAATCCCAGCACTTTGGGAGGCCGAGGAGGGCGGATCATGAGGTCAGGAGTTCGAGACCAGCCTGGCCAATATGGTGAAACCCCGTCTCTACAAAAATACAAAAATTAACCCAGTGTGGTGGCATATACCTATAGTCCCAGCTAGTCGGGAGGCTGAGGCAGGAGCATCGCTTGAATCTGGGAGGCAGAGATTGCAGTGAACCCAGATGGTGCCACTGCACTCCAGCCTGGGCGATAGAGCAAGACTCCGTCCCCACCACCCCCCAAAAAAAAGCCGGGTGCGGTGGCTCACGCCTGTAATCCCAGTGTGTCCGGAATTGGTGGGTTCTTGGTCTCACTGACTTCAAGAATGAAGCCGCGGACCCTCGCGGTGAGTGTTACAGTTCTTAAAGGTGGCGTGTCCAGAGTTTGTTCCTTCTGATGTTCAGATGTGTTCGGAGTTTCTTCCTTCTGGTGGGTTCGTGATCTCGCTGGCTCAGGAGTGAAGCTGCAGACCTTCGTGGTGAGTGTTACAGCTCTTAAGGCGGCGCGTCTGGAGTTGCTCGTTCCTCCTGGTGGGCTCCTGGTCTCCCTAGCTTCAGGAGTGAAGCTGCAGACCTT
Organism: Homo sapiens; assembly: GCF_000001405.40. Classification (NCBI taxonomy): domain Eukaryota; kingdom Metazoa; phylum Chordata; class Mammalia; order Primates; family Hominidae; genus Homo; species Homo sapiens. Next base: position 123,413,542 of record NC_000012.12, read on the forward strand.
CGGGGTGAGTATTACAGCTCATAAAAGCAGTGTGGACCCAAAGAGTAAGCAGTAGTAAGATTTATTGCAAAGAACAAAAGAACAAAGCTTCCACAATGCGGAAAGGAACCCGAGCGGGTTGCCACTGCTGCCTGGGGCAGCCTGCTTTTATTCTCTTATCTGGCCCCACCCACATCCTGCTGATTGGTAGAGCCAAGTGGTCTGTTTTGACAGGGCGCTGATTGGTGCGTTTACAATCCCTGATCTAGACACAAAGGTTCTCCACGTCCCCACCAGATTAGCTAGATACAGAGTGTGGACACAAAGGTTCTCCAAGGCCCCACCAGAGTAGCTAGATACAGAATGTCGATTGGTGCATTCACAAACCCTGAGCTAGACACAGGGTGCTGATTGGTGTGTTCACAAACCTTGAGCTAGATACAGAGTGCCGATTGGTGTATTTACAATCCCTGAGCTAGACACAAAGGTTCTCCACGTCCCCAGCAGACTCAGGAGCCCAGCTGGCTTCACCCAGTGGATCCCGCACCGGGGCTGCAGATGGAGCTGCCTGCCAGTCCCGTGCCCTGTGCCTGCACTCCTCAACCCTTGGGTCGTTGATGGGACTGGACACCATGGAGCAGGGGGTGGGGCTCGTGGAGGAGGCTTGGGCCGCACAGGAGCCCACGGAGGGGGTGGGAGGCTCAGGCATGGCGGGCTGCAGGTCCCGAGCCCTGCCCCACGGGAAGGCAGCTAAGGCCCGGCGAGAAATCGAGCGCAGCGCCGGTGGGCTGGCACTGCTGGGGGACCCAGCACACCCTCAGCAGCCGCTGGCCCGGGTGCTAAGCCCCTCATTGCCCGGAGCCGGCAGGGCCCGCCAGCTGCTCCGAGTGCGGGGCCCACCAAGCCCACGCCCACCCGGAACTCCAGCTGGCCCGCAAGCGCCCCGCGCAGCCCCGGTTCCCGCTCGCGCCTCTCCCTCCACACCTCCCTGCAAGCTGAGGGAGCGGGCTCCGGCCTTGGCCAGCCCAGAAAGGGGCTCCCACAGTGCAGCGGTGGGCTGAAGGGCTCCTCAAGTGCCGCCAAAGTGGGAGCCCAGGCAGAGGAGGCGCCGAGAGCGAGCGAGGGCTGTGAGGACTGCCAGCACGCTGTCACCTCTCACCAGCACTTTGGGAGGCTGAGGCGGGTGGATCACGAGGTCAGGAGATCGAGACCATCCTGGCTAACACGGCGAAACCCTGTCTCTACTAAAAATACAAAAAAATTAGACGAGTGTGGTGGCAAGTGCCTGTAGTCCCAGCTACTCAGGAGGCTGAGGCAAGAGAATGGCGTGAACGTAGGCAGCAGAGCTTGTAGTGAGCCGAGATCGTGCCACTGCACTCCAGACTGTGCGACAGAGCGAGAGACTCCGTCTCAAAAAAAAAAAAAAAAAAAATCTATAAACTGGTGCACCGGTACCGGTCCCCATCTCCCCAGGTTATGAGGAACAAATGAGATAATCCACAGAGCAGGCGAAACACATTGAGTAAGCCACTGTTATTTACTAAGAAGACAGGCTCACGGAATGGTTGCGGCAGCCTCATTAGTTCCTTTGCGAAGTGCAGACACCCGCTCTCTGTTTCATTGATTCCTAAATGCATTTTGTTCACATCTTAACACCTCTGAAATCAGGATGAGTCCTAAAATCGATAGCTTCTTAACATTTTAGTTTGCAGCAATCTTTCCCTTCATAGTGACACCAGATAATCGTGCATCGCTTAGACTGAATGAATGCAATTGATTCATTATACAATGAAATGTAGATATATGACATATACACACATATACCATGTGTACCATCGTAACTAAGAGACCACTCTAGATAAGCTATAGAAAGTATAAAAATCATTTTACTTTAATACAAAATCACATAAAGAAAGGCATGTTGGCTAAATCAAATATTCACTAAATATCAGTGAAGTCACCACTGGAATCTCAATAGCACATTTTCCTGCTTTCTTTTCTCCCTTCTGCTAACCATTGAAGACCAGGGTCATCCGTGGGAGCAGATGAGTAGGACACGCGTCTGCACGCTGGAGGCCCTGGGGGTTGACATGGGAGCAGGAAGTGGACCCCCCCACCCTGCACATCCCTTCTGTTTTTCTTGATTTCAGTCTCACTGGCCCAGGCCAAATCTTCAAGGGTGTCTAGTTCTGCAGCCAGGGAGAAAGTGATGCCAAGAGAACCTCGTCTCCTCCCTCCTCAGTCTGCTTTGAAGGGGAAATAAATACACAGGCCTAGTGTGTCTGTGTGGCACAGGGAGGTGGTTTTGCCAGGCATCTTGGAAGGTTGTCTTCTAGAATCAGAGCCATAGCCTTACTTGTGGCCTTGGATCTAGGTCTGTTTCCCCGATCGAAAAAAGAACCTGGTGTGGAGAGAGAGAGGGTTCAGGGTAAGCAGAAGGAACAAAGCAAGGGGCACAGCAACCCCCGTAAAATTTCTAAGTAGCTCTTGCAGCTGTTGACTCAAAAATATGTCCAGGCCAGGCATTGTGGCTCACGCCTGTAATCCTATGATTTTGGGAAGCTGAGGCAAGAGGATGAGGATCACTTGATCCCAGGAGTCTCAGACATGCCTGGGCAGCATAGTGAGACCCCATCTCTAAAAAAAAAAAAAAATTAACCAGGCGTGGTGGCATACACCTGTAATCCCAGCTACTCAGGAAGCTGAGGCAGGAGAATCGCTTGAACCCGGGACGCAGAGGTTGCAGTGAGCCGAGATTGCGCCACTGCACTCCAGCCTGGGCGACAGAGCAAGACACTATCTCAAAAGAAAAAGAAAAAGCAAAAAAACCCCAAAAAACCCGGGTGCGGTGGCTCATGCCTGTAATCCCAGCACTTTGGGAGACGGAGGCAGGCAGATCATGAGGTCAGGAGATCGAGACCATCCTGGCTCACACGGTGAAACCCCGTCTCTACTAAAAATACAAAAAATTAGCCGGGTGTGGTGGCGGGCGCCTGTAGTCCCAGCTGCCTCGGGAGGCTGAGGCAGGAGAATGGCATAAACCCGGGAGGCGGAGCTTGCAGTGAGCCAAGATGGTGCCACTGCACTCCAGCCTGGGTGACAGATTGAGACTCCGTCTCAAAAACAAAAACAAAAAAACACATTCATTCGTTCATTCATTCACTCATTGATTCTAGTAGCTCATTAAGTTTATCTGACCCTGAAAGGGTGGCCTCACGCTCATTAGCCACTAGCCACATGTCCTCAGGCTAGCTCATGCACAGAACACACATTTCACTTTTGCTCTATTAGGCTCAAACTCCAATTAGGTGTCCTAAGCTCCCGTAGAAGGACGCTGAAAGAAACCAGTAGTTTATGCCTTCTGGAAGCCTGATTTGCAACAAGACAGCCAATGAAAGTCCTAAATGAACACCTTCACTTCGGACACCTGGGTGGAGGTGCTCTTTCATTATCTTACCTCAGAAGACCCTTCCTTGTGGAAGAAACACTTCCATTAGGCTGGGTGCAGTGGCTTACACCCGTAATCCTAGCACATTGGGAGGCTGAGGCGGGCGGATTGCTTGAGCTCAGGAGTTCCAGACCAGCCTGAGAAACGTGGAGAAACCCCATCTTTACCAAAAATACAAAAATTAGCTGGGCATGATGGTGAACACCTGTGGTCCCAGCTACTCGGGAGGCTGAGGTGGGAGGATCGCTTGAAACTGGGAGGCGGAGGTTGCAGTGAGCTGAGATCAAGCTACCGCACACCAGCCTGGGTGACAGAGTGAGACCCCATCTCAAAAAAAAAAAAAGGAAAAAAGAAACACCCCCATTGGCCTTACTTTGACCCTGTCTCCCAACCCTTCTCCACAAGGCAACCAGAGTGAGCTTTTTGTACATAAATACGGTCATGTTACTCTCCAGCTTAAAACCATCCAATGTCTCTTCCCAACGTACCTAGAATAAAACCCACAGTCAGCACCAGAAAGAATCCACGTGGCCCTGGGTGACCCAGCCCCTCCCACCTCTCCAATCCCACCTCCATTCTCTTCCCTGTTCCAGTCACCATGGTCTTCTGTTCTGAAAATTTCTTTTTTTTTTTGAGACAGAGTTTCACTGTGGTTGCCCAGGCTCAAGTGCAATGGCACGATCTCGGCTCACGGCAACCTCCGCCTACCAGAGTTCAAGCAATTCTCCTGCCTCAGCCTCCTGAGTAGCTGGGATTACAGGCATGCGCCACCACGCCCAGCTAATTTTGTATTTTTAGTAGAGATGGGGTTTCTCCATGTTGGCCAGGTTCGTCTCGAACTCTGGGCCTCAGGTGATCTGCCCGCCTTGGCCTCCCAAAGTGCTGGGATTACAGGCGTGAGCCACTGTGCCTGGCCTGTTCTGGGAATTTCTGTAGCCTGAAGCTCTTACACTTACTGTCCCGTCTACCAGGAATGCTCTTTTGTTTTGGTGGGAGACGGGATCTTGCTCTGTCATCCAGGCTGGAGTGTAGTGGTGTGACCATGGCCTACTGTAGCCTGGACCTCTTGTGCTCAAGAGATCCTCCCAAGTAGCTGGAACTACAGGCACATACCCGGCTAATTTTATTCTTTTTTGTAGAGATGAGGTCTCTACAAAAAAGCTCTCTATGTTGCCCAGGCTAGTCTCAAACTCTTGGGCTCAAGCGATCCTCTGGCCTTGGCCTCCCAAAGTGCTGGGATTACAGGCATGAGCCACTGCTCCTGTCCTGGAATGCTCTTCCTTCCGGTCTTTAATGTACTTCAGTGATCAGTTTGAATGTCACCTCCTCACAGAAGCCTTCCAGGACTTCCCAACTCGATTTTCTTGTGTTTTTTTTCCCACTGCTGTGATAAAAGATAACCCAAATCTAAAGTAGTCCTCTCTCTCCCGTTCTGTCCCCTTATTTGTGATCATAGCACATATAGCTATCTGAAATTGTCCTGTTAATATATTTCTTTACCTGTTCACTCTCTGACTCCCTCTACTAGAATGTAAGGTCCACGAGCCAGAGACTTTAGGTTCTGTTCACTGCTGTATCTTCAGCACCTACAACAGTGCCTGGCACATGGCAGACCCTCAGTAAATATTTGTTGAATGAATGGAGTACAGGAAAGCTGCAGCCTACTGTCCTGACACCTGGCAACTAAGAGGGCACATATCAGTGTGGTCCAAGGAACTTTTGAAAAAAATCCAGATTTCTGAGCTTCATCCAAGAACCACTGACTTGATTTCTTTTTCTTTTTCTTTCTTTTTTTTTTTTTTTTTTTTTTTGAGACAGAGTCTTGCTCTGTTGCTAGGCTGGAGTGCAGTGGCGCAATCTCAGCTCACTACAACCTCTGCCTCCCGGGTTCAAGCAATTCTCTTGCCTCAGCCTCTTGAGTAGCTGGGACTACAGGCTTGGGGTTTCACCATGTTGGCCAGGATGGTCTCAATCTTCTGACCTTGTGATCTGCCCGCCTCAGCCTCCAAAAGTGCTGAGATTATAGGTGTGACCCACTGCGCCCGGCTTTTTTTTTTTTTGAGACGGAGTCTCGCTCTGTCACTCAGGCTGGAGTGCAGTGGCACGATCTCGGCTCACTGCAAGCTCTGCCTGCTGGGTTCACGCCATTCTCCTGCCTCAGCCTCCCGAGTAGCTGGGAATACAGGCGCCCACTACCATGCCCGGCTAATTTTTTGTATTTTTAGTGGAGATGGGGTTTCACCATGTTAGCCAGGATGGTCAGCCAGGATGGTCTCCATATCCTGACCTTGTGATCTGCCCGCCTCGGCCTCCCAAAGTGCTGGGATTACAGGTGTGAGCTACTGCGCCCGGCCTACTGACTTGATTTCTGAGAATCTGAATTTTACACAAGCACCTCACTCTTAGTATAAGAGGCAGCATCCGAAGAACTATGGGATCAACCCTGGTGCACAGACATGAGGGAAGTATTCAGAGGAAAGTGCATAGCATGTTCCAATGCTGGGACACGGCTCATTCAAGAGGAATGGTCCCACGTGGGACAGGGAGAGGTCCTTGGGCATTTCCCACAGCCAGGCTGAAACTGCCTGTTGCTCCAGTTCTATTCTGGTTATCAAGAGGATATTGACTCCCTTTTTTCTTTTTTTTTTTTTTTTTGAGATGGAGTCTTGCTCTATTGCCCAGGCTGGAGTGCAGGGGTGTGATCTCAGCTCACTGCAATATCCTCCTCCCAGGTTCAAGTGATTATTCTACTTCAGCCTCCCGAGTAGCTGAAATTACAGAGGCCATGGCTAATTTTGTATTTTTATTTATTTAATTTTTATTTTTATCTATTTATTTTTTTTCAGACACAGTCTCATTCTGTCGCCCAGGCTGGAGTGCAGTGGTGCGATCTTGGCTCACTGCAACCTCTGCCTCCCAGGTTAAAGCGATTCTCCTGCCTCAGCCTCCCAGGTTAAAGCGATTCTCCTGCCTCAGCCTCCCAAGTAGCTGGGACTATAGGTACACGCCACCACACCCAGCTAATTTTTGTATTTTTAGTAGAGACGGGGTTTCTTTTTTTTTTTTTTTTTTTTGAGACAGAGTCTTGCTCTGTTGCCCAGGCTGGAGTGCAGTGGTGTGATCTTGGCTCACTGCAACATCCGCCTCCTGGGTTCATGCCATTCTCCTGCCTCAGCCTCCTGAGTAGCTGGGATTAAAGGAGCCTGCCACCATGCCTGGCTAATTTTTTTGTATTTTTAGTAGAGACGTGGTTTCACCATGTTAGCCAGGATGGTCTCGATCTCCTGACCTCGTGATCCTCCCGCCTCGGCCTCCCAAAGTGCTGGGATTACAGGCCTGAGCCACTGCGCCTGGCAGAGACGGGGTTTCACCATGTTGGCCAGGATGATCTTGATCTCTTGGCTTGGTGATCCGCCCACCTCGGCCTCCCAAAGTCTTGGGATTACAGGCGTAAGCCACTGTGCCCGGCCTATTTTTATTTTTTTTGAGACAGAGTCTCGTTTTGTTGCCCAGGCTGGAGTGCAGTGGTGCAATCTCAGTTCACTGCAACCTCTGCCTCCTGGGCTCAGGCGATTCTCCTGCCTCAGCCTCCCGAGTAGCTGGGATTACAGGCACCCGCCACCATGCCCGGCTAATTTTTGTATTTTTAGTAGAGACGGGGCTTCACCATGTTGGCTAGGCTGGTCTCGAACTCCTGACCTCAGGTGATCCTCCCACCTCAGCCTCCCGAAGTGCTGGGTTTACAGGCGTCAGCCACTGCGCCCGGTCGAGTTTGACTCTTGATTCCATTTCCTGAGCATCACCATGTGCAGCAGGAAACATTCTGGAAAGGTGTTTTCCCTGCCGTAGATTCCATGTAGCCCAAGATTAGGGGCGAATGCACTTAGGAGGTAAATAGATGCGGCTTCAGGTCTGAGTTCCACCACCACTGACCCGCTGTGTAACCTTTGCAGGTCATTGATCCTCTCTGACTCTCAGTTTGCCCGTCTGTAAAACAGATCTCCTGAGTAGATGTTTACTCAGCTCAGTGTCTGGCACATAGCAAATGCTCACTAAGTGGGAGCTATGTTAAATCTTTTTTTTTTTTTTTTTGAGACAGGGTCTCACTCTGTTGCTCAGACTGGAGTGCAGTGGCACCATCTCGGCTCACCTCAACCTCCGCCTCCCAAGCTCAAGTGATTCTCCTGCTTCAGCTTCCTGAGTAGCTGAGATTAAGGCGAACGCCACTACCACCCAGCTCATTTTTGTATTTTTTAATAGAGTCAGGGTTTCACCATGTTGGCCAGGCTGGTCTCGAACTCATGACCTCAAATGATCCACCCACCTCGGAAGTACTGGGATTACAGGTGTAAGCCACTGCATCTGGCTTAGCTATGGCGAATCTTAAGGTATGGGGAATTATCTTTCCCTTTCCCCAGTCCTACTTCATCTCATCAAATTAAACCCAACAGCCTCTGAGTAATATTGGGAAGAAAACTGCTATTTCCCTGCCCACCATACTGAGCTCACATGAACCACTGCCCCCAGAGGAAGAACCATGACTTTGCTCTCTGGAAGCTACATGCCTGACTGCCTCTTCCTTTGGTTTTTTCCTGCTGGGCCAGAGGTATTCTCCCCTGTGCTCCTGCCCCTTGCCCTCTGCCCCTGCTCCCTTCCAAGCTCCTCAAGGTCCTGTCCCTGAGAAAGAAGGCCTGGGTTATTCCTTTTTTTTTTTTTTTTTTTTGAGTCTCGCTCTGTTGCCCAGGCTAGAGTGCAGTGGCACAATCTCGGCTCACTGCAACCTCCACCTCCCGGGCTCAAGCGATTCTCCTGCCTCAGCCTCCCGAATAGGTGGGATTACAGGCATCTGCCATCACGCCCGGCTAATTTTTGGATTTTTAGTAGAGACGAGGTTTTGCCATGTTGGCCAGGCTGGTCTCGAACTCCTGACCTCAGGTGATCTGCCCGCCTCAGCCTCCCAAAGTGCTGGGATTACAGGAGTAAGCCACCGTGCCTGGTCATCGCTATTATCATTTTTGTTTTCTTTCTTTCTCTCTCTTTTTTTTTTTTTTTGAGATAGGGTCACGCTCTGTTACCCAGGCTGGAGTGCAGTAGCGTGATAATAGTGATAATAGTTTACTGCAGCCTTGAACTCCTGGGCTTAAGTAATCCTCCAGTCTCATCCTCCTGAGTAGCTGGGACCACAGGTGCAGGCCACCACGCCCAGCTAATTTCACTTGATCTCAGCTAAAAGGCCGACAAATGATACCAGCTAATTAAAAAAAAAAAAATTGGCCAGGCGCAGTGGCTCATGCCTGTAATCCCAGCACTTTGGGAGGCTGAGGCAGGTTGGTCACGAGGAGTTCAAGACCAGCCTGTCCAACATGGTGAAACCCCATCTCTACCAAAAATACAAAAATTAGCCAGGCATGGTGGCGCATGCCTGTAATCCCAGCTACTCAGTAGGCTGAGGCAGGAGAACTGCTTGAACCTGGGAGGCAGAGGTTGCAGTGATCCGAGATTGCACCACTGCACTCCAGCCTAGGCGACAGAGTGAGACTTTGTCTCAAAACAAAAAACAAAACGATGTTTTTTCATTGACATGGGGTCTCACTTTGTTGCCCAGGCTAGTCTCAAACTCCTGGCTTCAAATGAATCTCTTGCCTCAGCCTCCTGTAATCACTGTTGAGATTACAGGTGTGAGCCATTGCACCCAGCCTGGTCAAACATCACAGGGAGGCAGTGGAGTGTAGAAGCCAGACTTCCTTGGGTTCCTGACTTCACTATTTACCCTCTGTGAGACCTTGGGCAAGTTACCTTACCTCTCAGTAGCTATTTCTCCATCTGTAAAATAGTATCTACCTTGCAGGGTCACTGTGATGATTCGATGAATTAATATATGCCAAGTGCCTAGGCTACTGCCTGGCAGATATCATTATAATACACTGGCATTGAGTTTTCCCATGGGCTGCAGCACCACAACCGGGAGAGTAGAGGCCCTCCCTGCCCTGGGCAGCTGGTCAGCCTCTTCTTGCCCCCGACTACTTCCTTGAGTTATTATTTGGCGGGACCGGGGGGCAGCAAGGTGACACTTACAGCTTTTTTATGATTGTCTTCTCCTCCTTGTTCCTGCCAGCATTTTTGGCACTAGTAACCACAGCATCTTTTTCTCTTCTTCCTCCTGGGCCTTCTCTTGGTGGAATCAGGCCACTGGGAAACGGGACAAAAAATAAATGGATTATTTTATTACAGATCGTTTTTTTTTTTTTTTTGAGTTGGAGTCTTTCTCTGTTGCCCAGGCTAGAGTGCAGTGGCGCCATCTCAGCTCACTGCAACCTCCGCCTCCCGGGTTCAAGTGATTCTCCTGCCTCTGCCTCCTGAATAGCTAGGACTACAGGCGCCTGCCACCATGCTCGGCTAATTTTTGTATTTTTAGTAGAGATGGGCTTCACCGTGTTGCCCAGGCTGGTCTCAAACTCTTGACCTCAAGTGATCCATCTGCCTCAGACTCCCAAAGTGCTGGGATTACAGGCATGAACCACTGAGCCTGGCTTTTATTACAGACCTCTTATCTGTGCAGCTCTGAAAATAAAGGGTCTTAATGATGATGATGATGATTATGGTAATATTACGGTTGAAAGCACTAGAGTCAGAGAAATTCTGTTTAAAATTAGAATCTTCCCTGTACCTTTCCAATGTGATGCCTCGTTTCTTTTTTTTTTTTGAGACGGATTCTCGCTCTGTTGCCCAGGCTGGAGTGCAGTGGCGCGATCTCGGCTCACTGCAAGCTCCGCCTCCCAGGTTCCCGCCATTCTCTTGCCTCAGCCCCCCGAGTAGCTGGGACTATAGGCGCCCGCCACCACACCCGGCTCATTTTTTGTATTTTTAGTAGAGACAGGGTTTCACTGTGTTAGCCAGGATGGTCTCAATCTCCTGACCCAGTGATCTGCCCGCCTCAGCCTCCCAAAGTGCTGGGATTACAGGTGTGAGCCACCGTGCCTGACCCTCTTGTTTCTTTCTCTTACCTAATTGCATTGGCTACTGCTTCAAGCTTCTCAGTTTTCTAGGAATATGATTGTGTATAAATTCTCTAACTTAAGCCTTGGTTTCCTAACCTATAAAATGAGTCTAATAATAGTACCTACCTCAAAGGATTGAGAGATTATCTAAGATGATACATAGTGCTTAACATTCAACAAATATTTATTAAGCTACCTACTGTGGTTAATAAATATTTTGTCTCTGAACTGTTTTGTCTCTGAACAAAATAGACAAAATATATTCTCTCACGTAATTTATATTCCAGTAGGAGAAGGAAACAGTCAATAAAGAAATAAGTAAAATAAAAGTATAAATTGTAAGTCAGATGTTGATAAGAGTTAGATTTTTTTTTTTTTTTTTTGAGACAGAGTCTTGCTCTGTCGCCCAGACTGGAGTGCAGTGGCACGATCTCGGCTCACCGTAGCCTCTGCCTCCCGGGTTCAAATGATTCTCCTGCCTCAGCCTCCCAAGTAGCTGGGATTACAGGTGTGCACCACCACGCCTGGCTAATTTTGTATTTTTAGCAGAGACAGGGTTTCTCCATGTTGGTCAGGCTGGTCTCAAACTCCCGACCTCAGGTGATCCACCCGCCTTGGCCTCCCAAAGTGTTGGGATTACAGGCATGAGCCACCACACCCAGCCCCTTCCCAATTATGTTACCAAAAAATTTCCTTTTGTGTTTAAGCTAGTTTAAATCGGACTTCTGTCACTTGCAACCATAAGAAGACTGACCAAAATGAAACATTTCAATTACGGCACAGTACAACTCATTACATCCACTTAAGCGTTTTGTTGCAGTGCCCACTGGTAAATTTACCCCCATGGTGTTGTCCCCTTGCTGTGGACTGAATTGTGTGTTTTAATTTTTTTATTTATTTTATTTTTAAAAATTTTCATTTATTTATTTTTTTGAGACAGAGTCTAGCTCTGTCACCCAGGCTGGAGTGGTGGCGCTACCTTGGCTCACTGCAAGCTCCGCCTCCCGGGTTCACGCCATTCTCCTGCCTCAGCCTCTCAAGTAGCTGGGACTACAGGCGTCCGCCACCACGCCCGGCTAATTTTTTGTATTTTTAGTAGAGATAGGATTTCACTGTGTTAGCCAGGATGGTATCAATCTCCTGACCTCGTGATCCGCCCGCCTCTGCCTCCCAAAGTGCTGTACAGGCATAAGCCACTGCGCCCGGCCTTATTATTATTTTTTTTTTGAGATGGAGTTTCACTATTGTTGCCCAGGCTGGAGTGCAATGGTGCAATCTCAACTTGCTGCAACCTCCGTTTCCCAGGTTCAAGCGATTCTCCTGCCTCAGCCTCCCGAGTAGCTGGGATTACAGGTGCCCACCACCACACTTGGCTAATTTTTTTGTATTTTCAGTAGAGACGGGGTTTCACCATGTTGGCCACGCTGGTTTTGAACTCCTGACGTCAAGTGATCTGCCTGCCTCAGCCTCCCAAAATGCTGGGATTACAGGTGTGAGCCATCGTGCCTGGCCGAATTGTGTGTCTTTAATAAAAATTCCTGGCCAGGCTCAGTGGCTCACCATGTATTTCACAGCACCTTGAGCTGACAAAGATACCTCTTTCAGTGTGAGTGTGAAAGGGCAGGATTCATACTTCTCCCTCCTTCTTCATAAAAGAGTTTTGCAAAGAGTGGGCTCTTAATATCTACTTTTTTTTTTTTTTTGAGACAGAGTCTTGCTGTCGCCCAGGCTGGAGTACAGTGGTGCGATCTTGGCTCACTGCAACCTCCACCTCCCTGGTTCAAGCAATTCCCCTGCCCCAGCCTCCAGAGTAGCTGGGATTACAGGTGCACGCCACCATGCCTGGCTAATTTTTTTGTATATTTAGTAGAGATGAGATTTCACCATGTTGGCCAGACTGGTCTCGAACTCCTGACCTCAGGCAATCTGCCTGCCTCGGCCTCCCAAAGTGCTGGGATTACAGGCGTGAGCCACTGTGCTCAGCCATTTCTTAATATTGTTATCAATAATTAAAAAAAATTTTTTTGAGACAGGGTCTTGATCCATTGCCCAGGCTCATCTTGAACTCCTAGGCTCAAGTGTTCCTCCTGTCCCAAACTCCCAAAGTGTTGGGATTACAGGCATGAGCCACCAAACCCGGCCTAAATTTTTGTAATTACAAAATATTATATTATTTATATTCTAATTTTATTTTATTTTTGAGACAGAGTCTCACTCTATCACCCAGGCTGGAGTGCAGTGGCAAAATCTCTGCTCATTGCAACCTCCGCCTCCTGGGTTCAAGTGATTCTTGTGCCTCAGCCTTTTCAGTAGCTGGGATTACAGGTGTGTACCACCACACCCGGCTAATTTTTGTATTTTTAGTATTGACGGAGTTTTGCCATGTTGGCCAGGCTGGTGTTGATTGAACTCCTGACCTCAGGTGATCCACCCACGTTGTCCTCCCAAAGTGTTGGGATTACAGGTGTGAGCCACCTGCCCAGCTGATATTTTATTATAGATACTTATTATAATAATGATTTAACAAGAAGCATCATCTAAAATTTCCATTTTTCCATGATCTATTATTACATAAATTAAACTTGGTGACTAAAAACAGTGGTGACATGATCTCCAATGATGACTCTTTCTTTCTTTCTTTTTTTTCTTTTTTTGAGATGGAGTCTCGCTGTCGCCCAGGCTGGAGTGCAGTGGCGCGATCTCGGCTCACTGCAGGCTCTGCCCCCCGGGGCTCACGCCATCCTCCTGCCTCAGCCTCCCGAGTAGCTGGGACTACAGGTGCCCGCCACCTCGTCTGGCTAATTTTTTTATATTTTTAGTAGAGACGGGGTTTCACTGTGTTAGCCAGGATGGTCTCGATCTCCTGACCTCGTGATCTGCCCACCTCGGCCTCCCAAAGTGCTGGGATTACAGGCGTGAGCCACCGCGGCCAGCCGACTCTTTCTTATAATTGGCTTTCTTTTTTTTTTTTTTTAGATCAGATCTCACTGTGTTGCCCAGGCTGGAGTGCAGTTGCTATTCACGGGTGCAATCACTGCCCACTGAAGCCTCAAATTCCTAGTCTCGTGGGATCCTCCTGCCTCAGCCTCCCAAGTAGCTGAGACTACAGGCACTGAGACTATAGGTGCACACTGCTGTGCCTGGCTTCTTATGGTTGGCTCTGTGGTCCACCTGCTAGCCTGAGCTTCTCACTTGGCTGCGTTCAGTGGGCCATTGGCGGAGGGCTGTGCACAGCTGGGGCTGTCAGCAGGTGCGCCCTGGTTCTCCTTCACATGACCTCTCCATGGGACTTCCCCTTGAGCTTCCTCACAGAATGCTGGTCTCAAGGAAGCATTCTAAGAGCACAGAAACAGAAGAAAGGCCTCTTACCAACTTAACCCCAGAGGCCTAACAGCGTCACTTCCACCCTGTTCTCACAGTCAAAGCAAGTCACAGAGCCAGCCTACATGCAAAGAGAGGGAAAACAGAATCCACCTCTTGATGAAAGGAGTGGCAAAGTTTCATTGCAAAAGGTATGCAGGGTGGGAAATACTGCTGTGGCTCTCTTTGGAAGCAACCTACCATATTTCCCTGGAATTATACTTTTTTTTTTTTGAGATACAGTCTCGCTCTGTCACCCAGGCTGGAGTGCAGTGACACATCTCAGCTCACTGCAACCTGCGCCTCCTGGGTACAAGCAATTCTCCTGCCTCAGCCTCCTGAACAGCTGGGACTACAGGTATGAGTCACCACGCCTGGCTAATAATTTTTATATTTTTAATAGAGACGGAGTTTCACCATGTTGCCCAGGCTGATCTCAAACTCCTGACCTCAGGCAATCTGCCTGCCTCGGCCTCCCAAAGTGCTGGGATTACAGGTGTGAGCCACCTCAACCAGCTGTAATCAATTTATTATCAGTATATTATCTGTGTGAGTTTGGACCTTCAAATGGATGCAGTTGCTATGAGAACATCTCAGCTGGCATGCTGGCTTCTCCACAATATATAACACTAGAGACGAAGCAGAATCCTGCCTCTCTTGGCCTGAGCCAGATGGAAAGTGTGCGTCTCTTGTTCTCTGAGAATTCAAAACTAGAAAGAAAGTGTGTGGTTTTGCCCACTAACAAGCTGCTCACGACACCAGCAGCTTGGCAGTTTCTCTTTTTAACTACCTGTGCCTGAACTACTTATTTTATTCTATTTTTTTTCTGAGATGGAGTCTCGCTCTTCCGCCCAGGCTGGAGTGCAGTGGCGAGATGTCGGCTCGCTGCAAGCTCCACCTCCCAGGTTCACACCATTCTCCTGCCTCAGCCTCCCAAGTAGCTGGGACTACAGGCGCCCGCCACCACGCCTGGCTAATTTTTTGTATTTTTATTAGAGACGGGGTTTCACCGTGTTAGCCAGGCTGGTCTCGATCTCCTGACCTTGTGATCCACCCACCTCGGCCTCCCAAAGTGCTGGGATTACAGGCGTGAGCCACCGCGCCCGGCCCTGAATTACTTACTAAATGAGACAAAGGTCTTTCCATGAACACGGTTCCAACCTCAGCAAAAGGGAGACAATAAATGTGGGTTCTTACAACGCTTCTGCTGTATTGCTGCTCTCTGAAAGATGCTACATTTAAGGCATTTAAAGAATCATATCACTTGGGCTTTGTTTCATTTTTGATCAGGGTATGTCCTTAATTCCAAGCTTTCGTGATCTAAATGCGGCGTGCTAATTACAAGCACAGTCTCTGATGTCACACTGTCTGAGGTCACATCACCACTGTTGCCACCACTGCTTAAGCAGGTGCCCACCACTCTGGTCCTCAGCTCAGCATAGTGATAACATCACTGCTACTCACAGTCTTGCTGTGAGCACTAATTGAAATGATGCTTGGGATACATTTAGCAGACAGAGTGCCTGGCACATGGCGAGTATCAATAAATACTAGCCAACACGACATTTTTATTGCCCTGGTTTTTCCTTCCTCTACCTATAAGAAAACATGCTTCGTTTAACTCAGTGTTTCCCAGAATTATTTGACTACAGAGCCCCCTTTTCAAAAAATACCTAAGTAAAGGAAAACATTTTGGGAAATAGCACAAATGGAAATAGCTACGAGTCTCAACGTGATTATGGCAACAGCTTTTTTATAGCCTCTCTTGCTTGTCCTACAATCTATTTTGTATATGGTACCACTGCAGTCTTTTTTAACTTTCCTTATTTTTTTTTAATTTCTTTTTAGAGACAGGGTCTTGCTATGTTGCCCAGGCTGGCCTTGAATCCCTGGGCTCAAGTGATCCTCCCGCTTCAGGCTCCCTAAGTGCTGGGATGTAACACTGCACCAGGACTTTTTGTTTTTGTTTTTGTTTCGTTTTGTTTTTGAGAAAGAGTTTTGCTCTTTCGCCCAGGCTGCAGTGCAGTGGCACGATCTCGGCTCACTGCAACCTCCGCCTTCTGGTTTCAAGTGATTCTCCTGCCTCAGCCTCCCAGGTAGCTGGGATTACAGGCGCCCGCCACCACACCTGGCTAATTTTTGTATTTTTTAGTAGAGATGGGGTTTCACCATGTTGGCCAGGCTGGTCTCGAACTCCTGACCTCGTGATCTGCCCGCCTCGGCCTCCCAAGGTGCTGGGATTACAGACGTGCCACCATCCCCAGTCGTTTTTATTTTGTTTTGTTTCGTTTTTTTTTTGAGACACAGTCTTGCTCTGTCACCTAGGCTGGAGTGCAGAGGCGTGATCTCGGCTCATTGCAACTTCTGCCTCCTAGGTTCAAGTGATTCTCCTGCCTCAGCCTCCCGAGTAGCTGGGACTATAGGCATGAGCCACCATGCCCAGCTAATTTTTGTATTTTTAATGGAGACTGGCCTCTTGTCATTCTCTTGATCAAAACTTTCCAATGGCCAGGTGTGGTGGCTCACACCTGTAATCCCAGCACTTTGGGGAGGCTGAGGCAGGTGGATCACTTGAGCCCAAGAGTTTGACACTAACCTGGGCAACATGGCGAGACCCTGTCTCTACAAAAAATAAGAAAATTAGCTGGGCATGGTGGCATGCACCTGTGGTCTCAGCTACTTGGGTGGCTAAGGTGGGAGAATCGCTTGAACCCATGAGACAGAGGTTGCAGTGAGCCAAGATCGCACCACTGGGCGACAGGGTGAGACCCTCAAAAAAAAAAAAAAAAAAAAAAAAAAAAAGCCAGGCTTGGTGGCTCATGCCTGTAATCCCGGCACTTTGGGAGGCCAAGGTGGGCAGATCAGGAGGTCAGGAGATCGAGACCATTCTGCCTAACACGGTGAAACTCCGTTTCTACTAAAAATACAAAAAATTAGCCAGGCACGGTGGCGGGCGCCTGTAGTCCCAGCTACTCGGGAGGCTGAGGCAGGAGAATGGCGTGAACCCGGGAGGCAGAGGTTGCAGTGAGCCGAGATCGCGCCACTGCACTCCAGCCTGGGCGACAGAGCGAGACTCTGTCTCAAAAAAACAAAAACAAAACAAAACAAAAACAAATATGTAACCTAGCAAGGAATTCTGGGCCAGGTCTGGGTGCAGGACCCTCCAGGCAGTGGAGCCCACCTCTTGTAGCACTGCAGCTCTTCCTGCACCACCAGGAGCTGCGACTTGAGTTTGTTGCGTTCCTGCAGCACATCCCTTAGCTCCTGCAGAGTGAAGCGGGGTCGGTTGGGATCTGTCAGGTCAACCACCATTTTGTTTGGGCCCAGGTTCACCTGGAAGAAAAGACGCAACCTTTGCAAGCAACTCTATATAATTAAATTATTATTATTATTATTATATTTTTAGAAGGAGTCTCTGTTGCCCAGGCTGGAGTGCCATGGCACAATCTTGGCTCCCTGCAACTTCGGGCTCCCAGGTTCAAGCGATTCTCCTGCCTGGGTCACTGGGATTACAGGCGCCCGCCATCACGCCCGGCTAATTTTTGTATTTTTATTAGAGATGGGGTTTTGCCTTGTTGGCCAAGCTGGTCTCAAACTCCTGACCTCTGGTGATCTGCCTGCCTCGGCCTCCCAAAGTGCTGGGATTACAGGCGTGAGCCACCGCGCCCGGCCTACGCCTGGCTAATTTTGTATTTTCAGTAGAGATGGAGTTTCGCCATGTTGTCCAGGCTGGTCTTCAACTCCTGGCTTCATGTGATCCGCCTGCCTCAGCCTCTCACCACAGCAGCTCTATTTACAGCAGCCAAGGGGTAGTAGCAGTAACCCAAGTGTCCATGAACAAATGAATAGATAAAGAAAGTATAGTATATGCCTCCAACAGAATATTATTCGGCCTTCAAAGGCAAGGAAATTCTGACATGTGCCACAACATGAATCAATCTTGAGGACATTGTGCTGAGTGAAATAAGCCAGGCACTTAAGACAAATATATGATTTCACGATATGAACAACCTACAATAGGTAGATTCAGAGGGACAGAAAGTAGAAAAGTAGTTACTGGGGGGCCGGGGGAGGGGAAGGAGACGTTGTTACTTAACAGGTCAGAGTTTCAGTTTTGCAAGATGAAGAGAGTTCTGGAGACGGATGGTGGTGATGGCTGCACAACAGCGTGAATGGACATGCAGCTGAACTGTACACTTAAAAATAGTTAAGATGGGCCGGGCACGGTGGCTCACGCCTGTTATCCCAGCACTTTGGGAGGCCGAGGCGGGCGGATCACCAGGTCAGGAGACAGAGACCATCCTGGCTAACGCGGTGAAACCCCGTCTCTACTAAAAAAATACAAAAAAGTTAGCCAGGCGTGGTGGCAGGCGCCTGTAGTCCCAGCTACTCAGGAGGCTGAGGCAGGAGAACGGTGTGAACCTGGGAGACGGAGCTTGCAGTGAGCTGAGGTCCCACCACTGCACTCCAGCCTGGGCGACAGAGCGAAACTCCATCTCAAAAAAAAAAAAAAAATTTAAGATGGTAAATTTTATGTTACTGTATTTTACTACAATTTATTTTATTTTATTTTATTTTTTTCTTTTGAGACAGAGTCTTGCTCTGTTGCCCAGGCTGGAGTGCGGTGGCATGATCTCAGCTCACTGCAACCTCTGTCTCCCAGGTTTAAGCAATTCTTCTGCCTCAGCCTCCCTAGTAGCTGGGATTACAGGCGCCTGCCACCAAGCCCAGCTAATTTTTTGTATTTTTAGTAGAAACAGGGTTTCACCATGTTGGCCAGGCTGGTCTTGAACTCTGACCTCAGGTGACCTGCGCCCACCTCGGCCTCCCAAAGTGCTGGGATTACAGGCATAAGCCACCACGCCCAGCTTTACTACAATTTAAAAAACCAAAAAGGGGTCAGGAATAGTGGCTCACGCCTGTAACCCCAGAACTCTGGGAGGCTAGAGCGGGTGGATCGTTTGAGCCCAGGAGTTTGAGACCAGCCTGGACAACATGGGAAACCTCATCTCTAGAAAAAACACAAAAATTAGGTGGCCATAGTAGCACATGCTTATAGTCTCAGCTACTAGGGAGGCTGAGGTGGGAGGATCACCTGAGCCCAGGGAGGCTGAAACTGCAGTGAGCAGTGTTCAAACCACTGCACGCCAGCCTGGGTGACAAAGTGAGACCCTGTCTCAAAACATACAAAGAAAAAAAACAAGGCATATTTTTGTAAACTGTCTAGTGGCACTAAACGTTCATTTTCTTAATTCATGCATTTTCCCTATCCCTGTTCTTAAGGCTGCGGTTTGAGAAGAAAATATGCCATCTCATCTGCCGCCTGATGAAACTTGTCCACTTTGCCCCATATGGGAAACTACCCAGCCCCTGTGCACACCACGCTGTTCTCGGCTCATAATGGGGACTTCCTCCATATCCTTGTGCCCGGAGAGGGAGGCAAAAATAACACAGAATGTGGCTGAGCAATCCCCCGCAAGTCAGTTAACTTTCCTTGACTCTCAAAAGCCAGGCTACAAGTCATCACACTTAACCATGTCACTTGACAGACACTAAAGTAGAATATTATCTAGAAATACAATTGTCACTATCACTTAGGAATAGGTGAAATAAATTACCAGGGGTCAGAGAAGGTATGAGGCAAATAATAATAATAATTAAGAAGAAGAAGAAGAAGAAGAAAGTTACCAGGGAAGCTACAGGGAAACTTCATACTTCCATGTGAATTTCAGTGACTCTGTTCCTGTTCTTTCCTGGCTTACTTCTTGGTTTGTATACTTTTTTTTTTTTTTTTTTGAGACGAAGTCGTCTCGCTCTGTTGCCAGGCTAGAATGCAGCAGCGTGATCTCAGCTCAATGCAACCTCTGCCTCCCGGGTTCAAGCAATTCTCTTGCCTTAGCCTCCCGAGTAGCTGGGACTACAGGCACGTGCCACCGTGCCCAGCTAATTTTTGTATTTTTAGTAGACACGGGGTATGTTGGCCAGGATGGTCTCAATCTCTTGACTTCCTGATCCACCTGCCTTGGCCTCCCAAAGTGTTGGGATTACAGGCGTGAGCCACTGCGCCCAGCCTTGGTTTGTATACTTGGTGTTTGTTTGTTTGTTTTTGAGACAGTCTTGCTCTGTTGCCCCAGCTGGAGTGCAGTGGCACGATCTTGGCTCACTGCAACCTCTGCCACCCGGGTTCAAGTGATTCTTGTGCCTCAGCCTCCGAGTAGCTGGATTACAAGCGTGTGCCAGCAGGTCCAGCTAATTTTGTATTTTTAGTAGAGACAGGGTTTCACCAGTTTGCCCAGGCTGGTCCCAAACTCCTGGCCTCAAGCGATCTGCCTGCCTCGACCTCCCAAAGTGTTGGGATTACAGGTGTGAGCCACCGCGCCTGGCCTGGTTTGTATACTTGTATTCTGGTTCTAGGACTGTGTGTCTGACCTCTCCCACTAGATGTGAGCTTCTTGAGGGCAGGGACCTTGTCTACGTTATCTCCATAGCCCCAGAGCCTAGCATCAGTCACTGCAGTCACTCATCAAATGTTAGTACAAGTAAGGTCAAATGTCTGTATTTTAGGATGGAGTATTTAGGACTAGCATCTCTGAATTAAGATCCTGACTTCACCTCTTAACTTGCCGTGAAGTCCTTAGGTAAATTACTTAACTGTTCTGTGCCTCAGTTTTGTAAAACAATAATAGTCTGAGGATTAAAAAAGACATCGTCCACTTACAGCAGCTTTTTTGTTTTTCTTTTTTAACTGTGGCTGGAGACCTGCTAGTAGGTCATAAAATTAATGAGTTTCGACAAGAATTTTAAAAACTAGGCTGGGCATGGTGGCTCAGGCCTGTAATCCCAGCACTTTGGGAGGCTGAGGTGGGCGTATCACTTAAGCCCAGGAGTTCGAGACCAGCCTGGGCAACATGGTGAGACCCCCATCTCTACAAAAATACAAAAATTAGCCAGGTGGTTGGTGTGTGCCTGTAGTCCTAGCTACTGGAGAGGCTGAAGTGGGAGGACTGCTTGAGCCCAGGAGTTTGAGGCCTCAGTGAGCTGTGATCACACCATGGTATTCCAGCCTGGATGACAGAGAAAGCTGTCCCCGCAAAAAAGACTTTTTTTTTTTTTTTGAGACAAAATCTCGCTCTGTCACCCAACCTGGAGTGCAGTGGCGCGATCTCGGCTCACTGCAACCTCTGCCTTCCGGTTTCAAGCAATTCTCCGGCCTCAGCCTCCCGAGTAGCTGGGATTACAGGCACCCGCCACCACGCCCGGCTAATTTTTTTCTGTAGTTTTAGTAGAGATAGAGTTTCACCATGTTGGCCAGGCTGGTCTCAAATTCCTGACCTTGTGATCTGCCCGCCTTGGCCTCCCAAAGTGCTGGGATTACAGGCGTGAGTCACAGCACCCAGCCAGATGATTTTTAACATATGTGTAGATCCCTATATCCATACCCTGATTAAGATATGGGACACTTCTAGCTCTCTATCAATTTCCCTTCTTTTCCCCCCACCACCAGTTTGCCTTCTATAACTATAAATTATTTTGCCTGTTCATGAATTTTATTTAAATGTACAGTAGGGCTGGGTGCTGTGGCTCAGGCCTGTAATCCCAGCACTTTGGAAGGCTGAGGTGGGTGGGTCACTTGAGGCCAGGAGTTTGAGACCAGCCTGGCCAACATGGTGAAACCCCGTCTCTACCAAAAAAGAAAAAAAAAAAATAGCCACGCGTGGTGGCACACGCTTGCAATCCCAGCTGCTCAGGAGGCTGAGGCAGGAGAATCGCTTGAATCC
The DNA here is from genome assembly GCF_000001405.40 of Homo sapiens. Classification (NCBI taxonomy): domain Eukaryota; kingdom Metazoa; phylum Chordata; class Mammalia; order Primates; family Hominidae; genus Homo; species Homo sapiens. Next base: position 123,435,105 of record NC_000012.12, read on the forward strand.
AGGAGGTGGAGGTTGCAGTGAGTCGAGGTCACGCCACTGCACTACAGTCTGAGCAACAGAGCAAGATTCTGACTCAAAAAAAAAAAAAATCTACAGTAGTTTCTCTTTAGTGCCTGGCTTCTTTCTCTCAATGTTACATCTGTGAGATTCATTCACACTGCTGTGTGTATCAGCACCCCGTTCTTTTTCTCTGTTGCATAGTATTCCATATATCACAATTTCAAAACTCAATTGGGTTGCATTTAGAGTGTTTCCAGTTTGGCAGCTGAGACTAAAGCTGCTCTGAATCTTCTTGTCTATGTCTTTTTGTGGTCATATGCACTAATTTCTCTTTAGGTAAAATGTGTTTCTTGTCCAAGTGTGGTGGCTCACATCCACAAGCCCAGCACTTTGGGAGGCCAAGGTGGGAGGATTCCTTGAGCTTAGGAGTTTGAGACCAGCCTGGGTAACGGTGAGACCCCCATCTCTACAAAACATCAAAAAAGTTAGCCAGGCATGGTGGCACATGCCTGTACTCCCAGCTACTTGGAAGGGCAAGGCAGGAGAATTGCTTGAGCCTAGGAGGCCAAGGCTGTAGTGAGCCGTGTTTGCACCACTGCACTCTAGCCTGGGAGATAGAGCAGGACCCTGTGTCAAAAGAAAAAAAAAGTGTTTCTTGCTCTAGGTCAAAGGTTCTCAAACTGTGGACCCTGGGCCAATAGCATCAGCATTAACTGCGAACTCGTTAGAAATACAGATTCTGGCCAGGCAGGGTGGCTCACACCTGTAAACCCAGCACTCTAGGAGGCTGAGGCTGGGGGATCACTTGGAGCCAGGAGTTTGAGACCAGCCTGGGCAACACAGCGAGATCCCATCTCTTAAAAAAAGAAAAAAGAGAAAAGAGAAGAGAAAAGAAAAGGAAGGCGTCTCCCTGCCAGTAGGTGCCCTCCTACGCCCCGCAGGCGCCGTGGGCCCGGAACCCTCGCTCCCACACTCACCTCCCCGCTGGCCGGAGGGCTCTGTCTCCGCAGCCCCTCCACCTCCTTCCTGAGGTGGTCCCTCTCCATCTTCAGCTCCTCCAGCGCCAGGCTGCCCTCATTCACCAGCGCCTCCAGCATCTCCAGGACGCGGACGACTTTGAACTGCAGCTGCGTCACCCGGGGGTCGCTGCCCAGGGCCATAAGCTCGCGGCCCAACAGGTAGGAGATGTCATACACGTCCTCGGCGGTCAGCTGGAAGGGGCTCTTGCCCAGCGCCCCCTCGGGCCCAACCTCGTCCCTCTCCTCGTCCTCCTCTCCCTCCTCCTCTTCCTCTTCTCGCACAGGGGGCTCCTCCATGGCCACCCAGACCCCCGCCGACCTCGGAGCTGCTGTCTTGGAGTCTCCCAAAGGTTAGACTTCCTCCCGGCACCCAAAACTTTCCGCTGGGCAGAGTCCCTACCTGCCCAATCAGCGCGGCCCGGGGGTGGGCCCGGGGGGATGGTGCAAGGGGCCGCGCACGCGACTCTTGGGCCTGCGCCCCGGCGCACCGTCCCCGCTGCCAGCCACGCTGGAGAGTGCGCTCCAGGATGTGGTTTGGGGCGCGAAGGGACAACGGAAAAGGAGGCAGCCGAGAAGAGGAACGGGGAAGTTCAGGGGTGACGGCAATCGCCCCAGCCTGGGAACAGTTGCAGCCCCGGGGAGGAGCCGCCCTGAGCCCCGCCCCTGGCGACCGCTGCCAGGAGGTGCGTTTCCGTGGAGACGGAGTTTCCACCGTGCAATCCAGAGCGGGGTAAAAAGAACGCAACTTTTTCCTTTCCACCCTCGTGCTTTCCAGCCGTAGAATTTGCATCGTAGGTGATGGAAGATCCGGGTGTCTCTTTGAGGGTGTTTTCTGGAGCCTGCGGCCAAACAGAAAGCAGCTGCTGGGGGCAGCGCGACAGAGTCCCCGAGGCTTGAGGATCTGGAAAACTCCCAGGCAAATTGTCACTAGGGCCTGGGGCGTCCGACTTCGCTGTGACTCTCAATAAAATGGAGAATGTCTGCCCTGCTCACTTCGCTGGGTCCTCGGCTCCTCCACGTAACCAGCGCTGTCACCTTGGCAAGTTACTTAACGTCTCCGAGCCTCAGTCTCCTCCTCTGTAAAATGGGGACAATAGCGGGACCCAGGTGGCAGGGTTGCTGCGAGGAACATGAGCTTATGAGATCATGTGTGCGACACCTCAAGCACTTAGGAAGCACTCACATACGTGACTGCAATCCTTCATTCTTTCTTTCTTTCTTTCTTTCTTTTTTTTTTTGAGACGGAGTCTCCCTGTGTCGCCCAGGCTGGAGTGCAGTGGCGCGATCTCGGCTTGCTGCAAGCTCCGCCTCCCAGGTTCACGCCATTCTCCTGCCTCAGCCTCCCGAGTAGCTGGGACTACAGGCACGCGCCACCACGCCCGGCTAATTTTTTTGTATTTTTAGTAGAGACGGGGTTTCACCATGTTCGCCAGGATGGTCTCGATCTCCTGACCTCGTGATCCACCTGCCTCGGCCTCCCAAAGTGCTGGGATTACAGGCGTGAGCCACCGCGCCCGGCCCCTTCATTCTTTCTTCCACAGCGCTAGGGAGGAATTGCTGGTGTTGGAGACACCTTGCTACTTGGGTGAGAGAAGGAGGAGTAATTAACAAGAGAGAAACCCCTGTCTGAAAATCACAAAGCATTCGACACATATGCGGAATCCATATTACTGAGAATATTAGCAGAGTGGCGTAGAAACTTGAGTCATTCGCTGTGGCTCATGCCTTAATCTCAACACTTCAGGAGGCTGACGCAGGAGGATTGCTTGAGCCCAGGAATTTGAGACTAGCTTGGGCATCATAGTGAGACCCTGTCTCTACAAAAAGTAAACAAAAGTAGCTGGACACAGTGGTTCATGCCTGTAGTGGCAGGTACTCGGGAGGCTGAGGTGGGAGGACCACTTGAGCCCGGGATGTTGAGGCTGCAGTGAGCCAAGATCTCACCACAGAGTGGTGCCTGTGACAGAGTGGGACCATGGTGACAGAGTAAGATCATGTCTCAAAAAAAAAGGCACAACAAATCTCAAGTTATTTTAGGTTTCACTGGAGGTTTGTGATAGTCTCAGGCAGAAAGCTCAGCAACGGGGCTTGTCTTTCCCAGGAATGTATTGGCAGCTTTCCTTGTGATAGGTGTATCCATTTTCTCCACACTGAGGTACTAGAATCTCAATGGAGAATGTACATAGATTAAACCAACCAACAAAAGCAAAGCAAATTAACAAAACACACTATTTTCAGAGGGTCGTTTCTTTTTATTTTATTTTATTTTATTTTATTTATTTGTTTATTTATTTATTTAGAGACAGAATCTTGCTCTGTTGCCCAGGCTGGAGCTCAGTGGCATGATCTCGGCTCACCGCAACCTCCGCCTCCCTGGTTAAAGCAATTCTTCTACCTCAGCCTCCCCAGTAGCTGGGACCACAGGCGCATGCCGCCCCGCCTGGCTAATTTTTTGTATTTTAGTAGAGATGGGGTTTCACTGTGCTGCCCAGGCTGGTCGCGAACTCCTGAGCTCGGGCAATCCTCCCACCTGGGCCTCCCAAAGTGCTAGGATTACGGGCGTAAGCCACCCTGCCTGGCCTATTTTACTTTTATAAAATAAAAAAGTCAGGCCGAGATGGGCGGATCACGAGGTCAGGAGACCGAGACCATCCTGGCTAACACGGTGAAACCCTGTCTCTACTAAAAATACAAAAAAAATTAGCCGGGTGTAGTGGCGGGCGCCTGTAGTCCCAGCTACTCGGGAGGCTGAGGCAGGAGAATGGCGTGAACCCGGGGACAGAGCTTGCAGTGAGCCGAGATCGCGCCACTGCACTCCAGCCTGGGCAACAGAGCAAGACTCGGTCTCAAAAAAAATAAATAAAAATAAATAAATAAATAAATAATAAATAATAAAAAAATAAAATAAATAAAAAAGCCTCACTCTGTTGCCTAGGTTGGAGTGCAGTGACACGATCTCGGCTCACTGCAACCTCTGCCTTCCAGGTTCAAGCGATTCTCCTGCCTCAGCAGCCCCACCCCGAGTAGCTGGGATTACAGGCACGCGCCACCATGCATGGCTAATTTTTTGTATTTTTAGTAGAGACGGGATTTTACCATGTTGCCCAGGCTGGTCTCCAACTCCTGACCTCAGGATGATCCACCTGCCTCAGCCTCCCAAAGTGCTGGGATTACAGGCATGAGCCACCATGCTTAGCCTTTCTTCTTCTTCTTTTTTTTTTTTTTTGAGATGGAGTTTTGCTCTTGTAGCCCAGGCTGGAGTGCAGTGGCATGATCTCTGCTCATTGCAACCTCTGCCTCCTGGGTTCAAGCGATTCTCCTGCCTCAGCCTTGCAAGTAGCTGGGATTATAGGCGCCCACCACCACACCCAGCTAAGTTTTGTATTTTTAGTAGAGACAGGGTTTCACCCTGTTGGCCAGGATGGTCTCCAACTCCTGACCTCAGGTGATCTGCCCGCCTCTCCCTCCCAAAGTGCTGGGATTACAGGCATGAGCCCAGCCTATTTTTTCTTAAGAGATGAGGCTTTGCTCTGTCACCCCAGCTGGAGTGCAGTGGCATGATCACAGCTCACTGCAGCCTTGAACTCCTGGGCTTAAGTGATCCTCCCACCTCAGCCTCCTGAGTAGCTGGGCCTACAGGTGCTTGCCACCATACCTGGCTAATTTTTTTTTTTTTTTTTTTTTTTTTGAGACAGAGTCTTGCTCTGTTGCCCAGGCTGGAGTGCAGTGGTGCAATCTCGGCTCACTGCAAGCTCCGCCTCCCGGGTTCATGCCATTCTCCTGCCTCAGCCTCCGAAGTAGCTGGGACTACAGGCGCCCGCCACCACGCCCGGCTAATTTTTTGTATGTTTTAGTAGAGACAGGGTTTCACCATGTTAGCCAGGATGGTCTCGATCTCCTGACCCCGTGATCCGCCTGCCTTGGCCTCCCAAAGTGCTGGGATTACAGGCATGAGCCACCGCACCCTGCCTTTCTTTCTTTTTTTTTTTTAAGAGACAAGGCCTCGTTCTGTCGCCCTGGCTGGTCTCAAAATCCTGGCCTCAAGTAATCCTCCCACTTTGGCCTCCCAAAGTGCGAGGATTACAGGAATAAGCCACTGTGCCCCGCCAGGAATGTTGTAATAATCAAAACGAAGCTCCTGGGCAAGGGCCTAGAAGTCCACAAATCACAGAGTGACAACATCTAGTGGTTAAATACTGAGATGAAATATTAGGCCTGCCATACATAAAAGAGGGTATGCCCATCCAATAGAATAGTATTCAGCCATAACAAAGAATGAAAAATAAAATAGCTCGTAAATAAATTGTTGCATATATTGGCAAATGATTTTCAATAAGGGAGCCAAGACCATTCAATGGGGCAAGGACAGTCTTTTCAACCAATGGAGTTCACCATATACAAAAAATTAACTCAAAGTGCATCTAAGGGCCATCACAGTGGCCAGGAGTTGGAGAACAGTCTGGGCAATACAGTGAGAACAATCTCTACAAAAAGTAAAAATGGAGCCAGGTGCCGTGGCTCACGCCTGTAATCCCAACACTTTGGGAGATGGAGGTGGGCAGATCACTTGAGGTCAGGAGTTCGAGACCAGCCTGGCCAACCTGGTGATGGAGAATGGAGAGTTGTCGTTTAATGGGGATAGAGTTTCAGTTTTGCAAGATCAGAAAGTTCTGGAGATTGGCTGCACGTGAGCCACTGTGCCCGGTCAAGAGATGTTAATTTTGAGGGGCCTGGTGGCTCATGCCTGTAATCCCACAGCACATTGGGAGGCTTACGCCTGATGATTATTTGAGGCCAGGAGTTCCAGACCAGCCTAGGCAACAAAGTGAGATCCCATCTCTACAAAAAAACAAAAACAAACAAACAAAAACAAAATTATCTTGGTGTGATGGTGCGTACCTGTGGTCCCAGCTACTTGGGAAGCTGGGGCGGGAGAATCACTTGAGCCCAAGAGTTCCAGGCTGCAGTGACCTGTGATCATGCCACTGCACTGTAGTCTGAGCAACAGAGCAAGACTCAGTCTCAAGAAAAAAAAATTTAAATAAATAAATAAGTAAAATAAAGCTGGGTGTAGTGGCTCATGCCTGTAATCCCAGCACTTTGGGAGGCCGAGGTGGGTGGATTGCTTGAGGCCAGGAGTTTGAGACCAGCCTGGCCAACATGGTGAAATTCTGTCTTTACCAAAAATACAAAAATTAGTGGGGCATTGTGCTAGGCACCTGTAATCCCAGTTACTTGGGAAGCTGAGGTGCAAGAATCACTTGAACCTGGAAGGGGGAGGTTGCAGTGAGCCAAGATCGTGCCACTGCACTCTAGCCTGGGTGACAGAGCAAGACTCAGTCTCGAAAAAAAATAAAATAAATAAAATAAATACATAAATACATAAAATAAAGAGGTATGAATTTGATTAAACAGTTTATCTTGAATAACCTAGACATGAGTCCACAGATGGCTTCTATGGTTTCATAGGTGTCTCTCATAGCTTCGGTGAGTTTGTCTTCTGACTTTCAGTCATGTGCTTCTAAACTCAACATGAAACTCCCTCTTCCCAGCTGCGCTTCTGACTGCCCTAACTTTTCAGACAAATCAAAGACCCAACCAGTGCTATAGTCTGCATTGGTAAGCCTGCTCGAGGAACTCCGTGTATTCGCCCAGGATTTAGTCCACGAACGCTCAAGCAATTTGCAATCCAAAGAAGATTTGAAATATGAGACTTCTGAGGCATCATATGCTCACCAGTTTATGATAAAGGATGTTTCAGAGGATACAGATGAAAGTGAAGAATGGGGGGAGGGGGCAGAGCTCCCACGCCCTCCCTGGGGCAGTGCCCTCCAGGAACCTCCAGTGTTCAGCTGTACTGAAGCTCGAAAAATGTGCTGTATCTTGCTCTTGGTGGAGGTCACGTGAGTATACACGAAGGTAAAAAGTTGAGGTTGGGCAGGGTAGCTCCCGCCTGTAATCCCAGCATTTTGGGAAGTTGAGGTGGGAGGATCGTTTCAGCCCAGGAGTTCAAGACCAGCTTGGGCAACATAGTGAGATCTTGTCTGTATAAATAATTAAACAATTAGGCGGGTGTGTTGGTGTGCACTGGTGGTTCCATCCATTTGAGGCCAAGGTGGGAGAATTGCTTGAGCCCAGGAGGCTGGGGGTGCAGTGAGCTGTGATGGAGCCACCGCACTCCAGCCTGGGTGACAAAGCGAGACTATCTCTAAACAAATAGCAGGGCGCAGTGGCTCACACCTGTAATCCCAGCACTTTGGGAGGCCGAGGCGGGCGGATCACAAGGTCAGGAGATCGAGACCATCCTGGCTAACACGGTGAAACCCCGTCTCCGCTAAAAACACAAAAAATTAGCCGGGCGTGGCGGCGGGCGCCTGTAGTCCCAGCTATTCAGGAGGCTGAGACAGGAGAATGGCGTGAACCCGGGAGGCGGAGCTTGCAGTGAGCCGAGATCGCGCCACTGCACTCCAGCCTGGGCCAGAGCGAGACTCCATCTCAAAAATAAACAAACAAACAAACAAACAAATTATAAATAAATAACAAAAAGCTGTGGAACCATTCACTTATCTGTGCATTTCCTTTAGGTAAATTACGTCTCAATAAAGTGCTGGGGAGAAAGCAATGAAGCACTGACATACGCTACACCAAGGATGAACCTCGAAAACATCATGCTGAGTGAAAGAAGCCAGACACAAAAGGCCGCACAGTGTATGATTCTATTTACATGTAATGTCCAGAATAGGTAAATCCATAGAGACAGAGTAGATTCGTCCCCAGTCTAGCCTCATTCTAGGGCTGGGAAAAATGGGAAGTGACTACCTCTGTGTATGGGGTTTCTTTTGCGGGGGGATCACAATGTACTAAAATTAGATTGTGGTGATGGTTGCACAACTCTGAATATACTAAAAACCACTGAACTGTATATTTTAAACAGGTTGATTTTATATGTACATAATGCTCAATTCTGTTGAGTAGAATTAGCCTTCCTAGAACAATGCCATCAGGAAGAATTAAAAGTGAGTTTCAGCTGGGCACAGTGGCTCATGCCTGTAATCCCAGCACGTCGGGAGGCCGAGGCGGGTGGATCATGAGGTCAGGAGTTTGAGACCAGCTGGGCCAACATGGTGAAACCCCGTCTCTACTAAAGACACAAAAAATTAGCTGGGTGTGGTGGCCAGTGCGCTTATAATCCCAGCTACTCAGGAGGCTGGGGCAGGAGAATCGCTTGAACTTGGGAGGCGGAGGTTACAGTGAGCTGAGATCGCACCATTGCACTCCAGCCTGGGCGACATGGCTAGACTCTGTCTCAAAAAAAAAAGTTTCTTCTAACTTTCTTTCTTTTTTTTTGAGACGGAGTCTCGCTCTGTTGCCCAGGCTGGAGTGCAATGGTGCGATCTCAGCTCACTGTAA